>NC_000001.11:170684587-173184587 GCF_000001405.40 Homo sapiens | reverse complement strand
TTTTAAGTTTGGAATTTTTATCTATATTTCTCACAGATGTGCAGTGCACATGCAGGCCTAAGTATATGTTGTGTGTGTTGTTTGTCTTTGATGTCATGGTCCCCTCTCTTAGGTGCTCACTCGCTTTGGGTGCACCTGGCCTGCTCTTCCCATGTTGGCCTCTGCAACCACACAGGGATATTTCTGCTATGCACCAGCCTCACTCCACCTTCCTTCCATCAAAAATATGTGTGTGTGTCTCAGTCCCTGTAAGTCATGTCCTTCACAGGGAGAATTAACCCTTCGATATACATGGCAGAGTTTTGTGGGAAAAGAATTGAATGAAAAGTCAGGAGATCAGAATTTTAAATTTGACTTAGCCACTAACTAGCCATGTAACCTTGGGAAAGTCATTTCCCATTTCTGGGTCTTGCTTTTCTTTCTGTTAAATGAGAGGAATGTTAAATATCTAACAGTTTAGAATCTTATGCTTACAGTGTTATCTGTGAATGCACATATTAAATGTCTATGTTCTTGTTGCTATGAGTCAAGGAGTGTAACCTTCTCCTTTACTATGTTGAATGTATTTTTTTCTGGACAAGCTTACATCTTCCTCAGCCATCTTTGTGAGTCCTTCAAGAGCAGTTATCAATTGTTAGTTAGATATTTTCTATTTAGAGAATGCTTAAGGGATTCCAATCCCGATCCAAATCATAATTTGTTCTTAAGTATACTGGGCAGGTCCCCTATTTTAAGTCATAATTTTGTATTTAGTGCTTTCCTGGCTCTCAGAGAGTATTAATATTGATATTAATAATATAGTTAATAGTAATATTGCTATTTACATGGAAACAAATAAAAGATCTCAGAATTCACTACTGGTGAGAGTGTTGGAGTGTTCATTTATCCTTGTCTTCTCCATGTTCTGAGTAGCTCATCCTCTGAAGAGGGGAGGACGGGGCAAGCTTTCCAGTTTCCTACTTGCCTCCAGTTTTAGCCATCAAAGACACATCTGAGGGATGGTTGAGGTGGCAAAGCCCATCTTTGCTTTTGAAAAGATGCTCACTGGAGGTCCTTAGAGTCCCTCTTCATGGTTCAAGAGAGACTGATTTAAATAGAGTTCTACCATGTACTGTTTTTCCTTTCCTCAGAACCTTATTTCTAACCCTGGATGATTTCTTATGTCCCCTCTCCTAAGTGGTAATTACATCTGCTGTCTCAATAAAAGGTCACAACTATTAATGGGTTTGTGTAGCATAGTCTGGCCACAGTGATCCCTGTGCTACTTTTGATGGTGCTGATGACGTTGTCCTCCTTAAAACACTTCTGTTCCCCAGCTTTTTTGACCTCACCCTTTTCTGGACTTCTCTTTCTGTTCTCTGCCTTTCTTAGTCTTCATCACCCCTCCTCTTTCTCTGCCACCCCTTTAATGCTGGTGTACTTCAGGACTCTACTCTCAGCCCTATTCTTTCTCTACAGCAGAAACTGCAATCTGGCAGCCAATGAGCCGCAGTCTAGCCTATGTCTGTGTTTCATCTGTTTATTAAGTTGAATTTAGTAGCTGATATTTAAATATCGGGAAATTTCTGATCTTTTTTGAAAACAAAACCAAAAACAGAAACAGGAGATCTGGTGATGCTGGGCCCAATTTTGGCATGGCAGCAACCTTCCCAAACAGAGTGGCAGCTTCCCTCTTTAAGGAGACTCCATGAACTCCATTTCCCAAGAGTTCTCCTCACCCACACAATGTGCAAATGCACTTACACAAACTCACTGCTGAAGTCCCTCAGGCATTTGAGTTGTGGTCTCTGCTCTATACCCTTGCCAATCTCATTGATTCTTGTGCCTTCAATCAATGCTCCCACATCAGCAATACCTAAGACCGTTTTTCAGCCCAGATGTCTTCTACTCCAGTGCCTCATTTGTTGTAATCACTTGTGTTATTAGTAATAAAATACCATTTAGTGAGTTCTTTCCCTGTGCCAGGCATCGTATTAGCCATTTATATAAATTGTTATTTCCATTGTCTCAACAATTCTTTGAGGTAAGTGGTATAATTCCTATTTTACGTCTGAAAACTTGAGACTCTGAGAGGTGAACTTGTCTAAACGCATGCAGCTACTAAGTGGTGGGGCTTAGATTCAAGATCAAGGGTAGTTAACACCCAAGACCACACTTTCAACCACTGCTACTCTGCTTCTGGGCAGCTCTGTATGGATGTAATGGGCTCTTCTACTTAGTATGCTCAAAATAGAACATTCTATCCTCTTTGGCAAGTCCCTCCTCCTGGTTCATGATGTTGGGTAAATGCATAAACATTTTTCCGTTTTCCCTTTTGGCCCAATTCATAAAAATACCTTATTTTTTCTATCAGTTGAACAAAAGCTTTGAATTACTTTTACTAGAAGAGAATAAGAAAAAGAAATGTTGTAAGAACATAAGAACCAAGTTTATAATACTTTTTGCAAAAGGTATGCACAGAGCTTATTAAGTTCAGAAGTGAATGTTTAATAAAGACCATACTGGGGTGGTTTTCAGTAGCATTTTAAAATATCAAATGGAATGTTAGGAGCACCAAGAAGTAGTCCCTGCGGATTTCAACCACTCTATACATGTATTTTTTATTACTTAAATATATTTTTTGGCAGCCCTTTGGAATTTTATTCCTGCAGCAGCCTTCCTTACGGAGTATGTGGATGGTTTGGAGCCTTCCTTAGCAGCATACCTTGTAACTAGCCATTGTAGCTGTTGTAGCCACTCATTCACTCCACGGGATCAAAGCACGGAAAGATGTTGTTAAAATGTAAATGTCAATATTACCTAGCAGAATTGGCACATGAACACTTTTAATGCCTTACCTTCCCTCCATCCCCTAAAGCTGGTCAGATGGCCCTGAGTCATGGAATGTAAGGCCCTCTAGTTCCGACTAAGGGCCTGGGGAACAACTGGAGTAGCATTCAGGGAGGGAACTGCCTTAGGAAGAGGAGATTGAGCGCTCAGAGTATCCTACCATTATGCCAGAGCCCTTGAGAAATCTGGTGCCATGGTCTCATGGGGCATGATTTTAAAATGGGCTTTGATCAAATTTTGGTCAATGGAACTGATTGACTTTGATCATATCCTTGTGGCTTATCTACTGAGGGAACAGAGGGATGTTAGGAGCGGAAACACAGACTTTTAGCATTTGGATTTCCCTGGAGTCCTGCCAATGCTGAGAAAATACAGCTCTTTATTGCTGTGGACATAAGACCTGATTTTTCTCCTGATTTATACGATCTTGGCCTTCTTTGGTATTTGAGGCTTGAGGTTAAAAACAAAGAACAATAACAACAAAATACAAAAGTAATTAACAGGAAGACCCAAAGTTGTAGAAATATTAGCAGAAGGTAATCTCTAAAGGTCATTTCAGTCCAGTGCTCTATTGTCATTTAGGATGAACTATTTATTAACAAGGACATACACCCTTTAAGTAATTTTTAGGATATGACAATCTGTATTCTCCCCTTATAATCAGTTTCAAGGTATAACATTCTATAATCCTATGATCATTCCTTAAGGCAACATGGCCTTTTAAATTTATGAAAATCTCACTTACTATTATAAAACCATCAACACTCAGCCAGTTTGAAATAAATTTTTTCTGCTTCTACTATATGCTATGCCAGGCATTGTGCTAGGTACTTAGTAATCATCTGTTTCCTTGAGAGAAGTAAAAATTAGCTGAGCTTGATCTCTTTTGCTCTCCCAAATACTTGTTGCTATCATGTCTATTGTTCATCGTATCCCTAACACACATGCATTACCTAGATGCACTTCAAAATACTGTTGCATCAGTAAGTAGCATTGATAAAATATACCAAATTATTTTAATTATTTAAATTAATACTATTTCTATCCCTTTAATCATGTTCATACTATTTTAAACTCTTGAACACTGACGCAAACACACTTCTTCTAGGTAAGTAATAAACAATTCTCATTGCATGCATGGTTAAATCTCATTTTATTAGTGGTCAAATAAATAGTAGTTTTTGAAAAGGCAGACATTTGAAAGTCTAAAATAATTTTATCTATGAATTTTCATTTCTAGGGTGTCAATTTGTAACATAAGGAGACCTGAGACAGAGCAGTAGATTTTATAATACATTACTTATATAATTAATGATACTTTATCCATTCATCCACAGATACCGATTGAATTTCTACTGTATGTATTGTGTGTCTACAGTGCTAGGTACTAGAAATGTAAAGACAAATATGAAATCATTTCTTCTCACCAAGCGTTGAATATAGTGAGTGGTATGAATTGGATTGAAGAGAAGCTAGGAGCCAGGATATCAGATAAGAAGCTGAGTGCTGACGACTGGAAAGAAATGAATGGATCTGAAATATATCAGGAATAAAAAACTAATAGCACTTTGGGATTGGTACATATGGGTGGTAAAGAAAGGAAGGAATTAATTTGTTCATTCATTCAAAAGTATTGTTATTTTGAGAGGCATGAAGAAATAAGAAACAGTGAACACGTATAATTTGAAAGAAAAAATCAGAATGCTATGAGAAAAAAATGGGATGGTCTACTTGAAATTGGAAAGAGGCAAGGTCTCTCTGGGGAGATGACATTTAAGTTAAGGTCTGAAAATTGGAAGAAACCAGCTCTGTGAACTGTTGGCAAGGGTCAATGGCTGGGGGTAAAGAGTGGTAAAAGGAAGTTAAAAATACCATCCAAGACTATATGACCAATTTTAGAAATGAAGGCGAATGGTTATTAGCTTCTTTCTTATTTTGGTATGAATATATTTGTCTATGTATTAGCCAGTGCTTTCCTTCCACTCTCCCATTCCTCTTCATTCTAATTTAACAGTGTTAATGGTAATTCATTTTATATCTTATCACTTAAGTTAGAGAATATCAAAGAGGGAGTATGACTCAACTAGAAGAAGAATGAACATCATCCAAAGATGGATAAAAAAACTTGTATCTTATTTGCAGGAGAGAGCTAACATGTTTTTGATTATACAACGGATATCAGCATCATTGGGTAGAAGCATCATTTTACTATTGTCTTTATTTGGATGTTAGGTATGATTAAAGGGGTGTGTATAGATGTCAAGTCGACAAGGGGTGAAATGTGGTGGGTTTGTACTAACACAAGTTAGCCAAGCTAGAAGTATAGTCCCCAGAATTCCTCTTCCTGTGTAGCAACAAGGCAAAGTTCGCATGAGATTTAGAAGGTGAAAGTGAAGGGACAGCCATTTTTCTACTCTAAAGTTTGGAGTACAGTGCCAGGTGCTGTGCAACTCATGCCCATTGCTCCTGATCTTCTGGCTCATCGTGTTGCTGTGGAGCTTCAGCTTCTCCAGTTCTGTTTGCATCTGGGCAAAAATATTATCATCAGACTCTTTGAGACTAACACTCTATTAGTTTTCTATATCTGCTGTAAAAAATTACCACGAACGAAGTGGCTTAAAACAACAAAATTTATTCTCTGAGAGTTCTGAAGGCCAGAAGTCTGAAATGAGTCTTGGAGGGGCTAAAAGCATGTTGTTAGCAGAGCTGGTTCCTTTTTGAGACTCTCGGGAGAACTCATCTCCTTGCTAGTTCCAGATTCTAGAGGCATTTCTCACTCTTTGGTTAATAGTCCTGTATCATATCACATTTTCTCCCATTGCTTCAATAGTTACATTGCTTTCTTTCCTTTCTACAGTCAAGTCTGCCACTGTCTCTCTCTTATAAAAAATGGTTACATTTAGGAACCCCCTGGAAAATTCAGGATAATCTCCTCATCTCAAGATCTTTAACTTAATGGTGTCTGCAAAGTCTGTTTTGCCAGGAGGTAACATTCACAGGCTTCAGGCATTAGAGCATACATATTTTTGGGGGTCATTATTCAACCTACCGGAAATATTTTAAGCCAGAAGGAAACAGAATAACATATTTTAAATACATGAGAAAAGAAAATAGAAGCCAAGAATTTTATATCCAGCAAAACTGATATTCAACTTATTTTTTTAATTTTTAAATTTTTTTATTTTGAGACGGAGTCTGTCTCTGTCGCCCAGGCTGGAGTGCAGTGGCGCCATCTCAGCTCCCTGAAAGCTCTGCTTCCCGGGTTCCCGCCATTCTCCTGCCTCAGCCTCCCCAGTAGCTGGGACTACAGGCGCCAGCTACCACGCCTGGCTAATTTTTTGTATTTTTAATAGAAACAGGGTTTCATCGTTTAGCCAGGACAGCCTGGATCTCCTAACCTCGTGATCCGCCTGCCTCGGCCTCCCAAAGTGCTGGGATTACAGGGGTGAGCCACCGCGCCTGACCTGATATTCAACTTTTAAGAATTCAGGGAATGTTGTTCCTATGAGCCCTTCCTAAAGGATCTATTAGAAAAAGAGCTCCAGACAGCTAAAGTAACTAAAGAGACATTGACTTCGGGACTTGTGGTGACTATGAAACATGTGATTTTTACAAAAATAAGGCTTAAAAGGAAAAGATTATGATATATAATGGGTATATCCTCTGGTAATGTGGGTATAAGTCTAAAAAATAGGTAGGATAATAAGGAGAGGGTATTAAAATGTGTTTTAAACTGTTCTTACTAATGATATTAATGGTGGCTAGTTTTTCTATTCTGAAACTGTGTTATTTATAATATGAAAAGTAGATGTGTAACCATCATTCAAGGCTCAGCTCAAACATGCTCCTCCATGAGAACTTCTTTAATGTCACTAGGAAGAATATATCTTTTACTTTTTTTGAATTCCTGTAACATATAATTCTTTAATGGCACTTATTACTTTCTATTTTGCATTATAGTGATTTGATGCAAGTTGTTTTTTTAAGTTCCATAATAACAAGTTTCTCTACTTAACAAAGTGCTATGCCCATAAAGTTGGCCAGTAAATATTTGTTTGTGAATGACTAAATGATTTACCTTGAAGAAACTTAGCAGGGACAGAGACTGAAAACTGCAATTGCTAACAAAATTCCCATATAGAATCTGCATTTTTTATTTTAAAAAAAATTTATTTTAGGTTCAGGGGTACACACACAGGTTTGTTATATAGGTAAATTGTGTGTCATGGAAGTTTGGTATACAGATTTTTTCGTCACCCATGTAAGAACCCGATAGGTAGCTTTTCCATCCTCAGCCTCCTCGCACACTCTACCCTCAAGTAGGCCCCGGTGTCTGTTGTTTCCTTCTTTGTGTCCATTTGTACTCAATGTTTAGGTCCCACTTATGAGTAAGAACATGAGGCATTTTGCTTTCTGTTCCTGCATTAGTTTGCTTAGTATAATGGCTTCCAGCTCCATCCATGTTGCTGCAGAGGACATGATCTTGTTCTTTTTTACAGCCAAATAGTATTCCATTGTGTATATATACCACATTTTCTTTCTTTAAGGTAAAATTATAATATTTTCTAGTCTAAAAATTCAGTGGTAAAATATGCAAGCATAAAATTTACCTTTTCAACCATTTTTAAAACTTTTATTTTAGGTTCAGGGCTACATGTGTGGGTTTGTTACATAGGTAATCTGTGTGTCATGGGTGTTTGGTGCACAAGTTATTTCATCACCCAAGTAATAAGCACAGTACTCGATAGGTAGTTTTTTATCCTCTCCTAACCCCCATCCTCCACCCTCAAGTAGGCCCCAGTGTCTATTGTTCCCCTCTCTGTGTCCACATGTTTTTGTTGTTTAGCTCCCACTTATAAGTGATAACATGTGGTATTTGGCTTTCTTTTCCTGGATTAGTTTGCTTAGGATAATGATCTCCAGTTCCATCCGTGTTGCTGCAAAGGACATTATCTAGTTCTTTTTATGGCTGTGTAGTAGTCCATGGTATATATGAATCACATTTTTTAATCCAGTTTACTGTTGATGGGCATTTAGGTTGATTCCATGTCTTTGCTATTGTGAATAGTGCTGTGATGAACATATGTATCTATGTGTCTTTATGGTACAATGATTTATATTTCTTTGTGTATATACCCAATAATAGTTTTGCTGGGTTGAATGATAGTTCTGTTTTCAGAACTTTGAGAACTCACCAAACTTATGATTTCCATAGTGACTGAACTAATTTACATTCCCTCCAGCAGCGTATAAGCATTCTCTTTTCTCCACAACCTTGCCAACATCTGTTATTATTTTACTTTTTAATACTAGCCATTCTGACTCGTGTGAGATGATCTCTCACTGCGGTTTTGATTTCAGAGTCCATATTTTTTCTTTCCCAAAGTGACACAACATCTGAGGGATAGAGTATCCTCATTAATAATATCTCCTCATTAAATAGTGAAATATTCCTTCTGTAAGTTCAGGTTCTTCCCTTGGTTAATTTTTTTTTGTCCATACTGGTAGCATGGAAATAATTATCGAAGGGCCCATATTTTTACTGTTTTCTGAAGGTAGTTAGTTTTTACGGATATGATTTGTTAGGCAAGCTTCATAAATTATAATTATGTACCCACAAAAAAAGCAATTACACCACTACTAATTACCTGTCCACAACTTTTTGATACACAGAACAAGATACTTTGTATAGGATATAAGGAAGCTGTAGCATTCATTTTGAGTCTACGCCCCAGCCATGTACTTACAAACACAAGACATTTGTGAGAGGAAGCATCAGCCAGCTGGTCTTAGATTAGGAAAAAAAACACAAAAAAACAAAAAACCATGACTTCCTCCTGTCTTGGTAGACTGCTCTGTTAGTTTAGTGTCAATTGAAAATGGAACTCATGTATGCGCCAACAAAAGTCTTTCTGGAAGAGGAATAAACCTAGCTAAGGAGCCTGGGGAAAAATAGGGTCCCAAGCTTAGTCTAGACATGTAGACAGTTGAGCCTAAATCCCCATTACATAAGAAGTGCTGGTCTGACCTGATGATTGTTTTTCCCATAATGTTAAATAAAACAAGAGCCTCTCAAATTACAGTAAGTCATGCTCTTCATAAGACTTCTGCCAGAAATTCTCAAGTGGCTAAGTGGCAGCACAAGTTGTGCTATAACTTTCTAAACAAAAGCTTCCTTTTCAGGGGGCCTGATAGCATCAGGGAAGGAATGAGGGAGTACAAGTGAGGAGAAAGCAAAAATAAAGTAGGCATAGAGAAAAAAATCAAGGAATGGATAATATAAGAGCCTTTCAAGAATGTAGATTTACACTAGAGATTTATTAAATTTGAGGGCCTATAACAAAATTAATTTATTTAAACAAATATTTGTTAAAAATTCTTTTATAAAGTACCTGCCACTGTGTTAGGTGTTCTGGGGAATCTGAGAGAAATAGAAAGACACTAGAATAATATGGTTGGTCTAAAGCACTCAAGATTTAGAATCAATGGAGGCTTGTGTTCAAGTTGAGATTTTACCACCACTTATCAGCTGTATCCTCTGGTTTTACTTAATTGTAGGTCTACTGATCACTGCCTTCCCTGCTCTGCCATCATACAAATTATCTCATAGGATTGTTTTGAGGATTAAACAAAACACCAACCACGGGTCACAGATTATGACATTTTCAAGGTATTTAATAATTTTTAATTACCACTTGTAGAAACCACAGTCCCTGCCCGATAGGATCTTACTTCACAGAAAACAAAGACGTAAGAGACTCTAAAAGGAGTAAAGAAAGATGAAAGTCTGTAGGTTTACAAGATAGATGATTAAGATAAGTGGTATTTTTTACATTATTACCAAGTGGGACAGACTGTATAATCTGTATGAGGTGCTAGCCCTGTAGCTTTTTGTTTCATTATTGAAAATTCTATAGAAGTGACATTGGCCATATGGCAGTGTATGAGATACCAGCTTTCATTCCCCCACAGAAAACAATGAGACAGCAATTGATATGGTTTGGCTCTGTGTCCCCACCCAAATCTCATCTTGTAGTCTGGGGTGGGATCTCGTGGGAAGTGATTAGATCATGGGGGTGGTTCTCCCATGCTGTTCTGATACTGAGTGAGTTCTCATGAGATCTGAGGTTTCATAAAGAACTTTTCCCCCTTCATTCTGCACTTCTTGCTGCTGCCATGTGAAGAAGGACACGTTTGCTTCCCCTGCCACCATTGTAAGTTTCCCAATGCCTCCCCAGCCCTGCAGAACTGTGAGCCAGTTAAACCTCTTTCCTCTATAAATTACCTAGTCTCGGGCAGTTCTTTATAGCAGCATGAGAATGGACTAATACAGTAAACTGGTACCACAGAGAGTGGGGTGCTACTGTAAAGATACATGAAAATGTGGAAGTTACTTTGGAACTGGGTAACAGGTAGAGGTTGGAACAGTTTGGAGGGCTCAGAAGACAGGAAAATGTGGAAAAGTTTGGAATTTCCTAGAGACTTGTTGAATGGCTTTGATCAAAATGCGGATAGTGATATGGAAAATAAAGTCCCGACTGAGGTGGTCTCAGATGGAGATGAGGAACTCATTGGGACCTGGAGTAAAGGTCACTCTTGCTATGCAAAGAGACTGGCAGCATTTTGGCCTTGCTCTAGAGATCTGTGGAACTTTGAACTTGAGAGAGGTGATTTAGAGTATCTGGCAGAGGAAATTTCTAAGCTGCAAAGCATTCAAGAGGAAGCAGAGCATAAAAGTTTGAAAAATTTGCAGCCGGACAATGTGACAGAAAGGAAAACCCATTTTCTGGGGAGAAATTCAAGCTGGCTGCAGGAATTTGCTTAAGTAATGAGGAACCAAGTATTAATCACCAAGACAATGGAGAAAATGTCTCCAGGGCATGTCGGAGACCTTCGTGGCAGCCCCTCCCATCACAGGCTCTGAGGCCTGGAAAGGAAGGATGGTTTTCTGGGCACAGCCCAGGGCCCCCCTGCTCTATGCAACCTCGGGACATGGTGCCCTGTGTCCCAGCTGCTTCAACTCCAGCCATGGCCAAACAGGGCCAATGTACAGCTCACGCCCTTGCTTCAGACGGTGCAAGCCCCAAGCCTTGGCAGCTTACATATGGTGTTGGGCCTGCGAGTGTACAGAAGTCAAGAATTAAGGTTTGGGTACCTCTGCCTAGATTTCAGAGGATGTATGGAAATGCTTGGATGTTCAGGCAGAAGTTTGCTGCAGGGGTGGAGCCCTCATGGACAACCTTTGTTGTTTGCCCTATTAATAATTAATAATTTGCCCTATTACAAGGAGACTGTAGCCCCTTTGTTTTGGTCAATTTCTCCCATTTGGAATGGGTGCATTTATCCAGTGCCTGTACTCCCATTATATCTTGGAAGTAACTAACTTTCTTTTGATTTTACAGGTTCGTTGGCAAAAGGGACTTGCCTTGTCTCAGACGAGACTATGGATTTTGACCTTTGGATGAATGCTGAAATGAGTTAAGACTTTGGGGAACTGTTGGGAAGGCATAATTGTGTTTTGAAATGTGAGAAACAGGAGATTTGGGAGGGACCAGGGGTAGAATGATATAGTCTGGCTCTGTGTCCTCACCCAAATCTCATCTTGAATTGTAATACAAATTATAATCCCTACATGTTGGGGAGAGACCTCATGGGAGGTGATTAGATCATGGGGGTAGTTCCCCCAAGCTGTTCTCATGATAGTGAGGGAGTAGTCATGAGATCTGATGGTTTTATAGGGGATTTTTCCTCCTTCACTCTGCACTTCTTGCTGCTGCCTTGTGAAGAAGGACATGTTTGCTTCCCCTGCCGTCATGATTGTAAATTTCCTGAGGCCTTCCCAGCCCTGCAGAACTGTGAGTCAATTAAATCTCTTTCCTTTATAAATTACCCAGTCTTGGGCAGTTCTTTATAGCAACATGAGAATGGACTAATACATCAATCCACAAAGGAAAATAGTTTTGAGAGGGCTCAAGGGTCTAATTAAGAACGTGCAGCAACACAGTGGTGCAAAAAATAGATAATAATAACACATAATGATTGTTGGGGATATCAGCATACCTGAGATGTGTAGAGATGACTAGAAACAGGAACATAGAGCAGGGGATATCAGCTTGAGTCACAGTTACACAGTGGGTTCCACTGTGGTCCCCAGTGGCATGCTCTGCAGAGGGCACTGGAAGCTTTTGCCATTGAGGTAACTAATAGCAATCAACACTGTGAACTCCCTGGAGAGGGAGATAATGCTATGTCACCCCTAAAAGAAGCCACTGTTGTGCAGCTCTGGGACTGAGGCAACCCTTTCTCTGATTTCCTGTGAACTCCCTGCCCCAGATTTATGGCTGCATTAACCATGCTTGCACCCCAGACACCAGAACCACCATCACAATGAGCTAGCCTGCACCCTGGTCAGTGGAGCCACTGTTCCAAGCATACTTATGTTTCAGACCCAGGGTCTGTGGCCACTCTAATACTGGAGCTACCACTGCAGCAGTCATGTCAGCAACCTGCTCCCTGGAGCAGTGGTAACCCTACACATGCCTGTACACCAGACCCAGGCTCCACAGCTACTTCATGAATGCCTGCACCTCACACATCATTACCGATACAGCAGCAAGAGCTCCTGCACCCCAGGCACTGATGCCGCTGCTGCCTCTGACCCCAAAGCCATGGTCCTTCCATGCAATATTGTGCTCCAGACCCTAGCTTCATGGTCACTCCATGGGTGCCATGCATCAGACACCAGTGACGCATCACCACAAATGCACCCAACCATTGGACTTGGTGCTAAGAGGGATCCCCTCAGCCTTGACTTTTTCAGTGAAAGAAATATAAATCAGGAGAATTTTAGCAGTCCTAGTCACCAGTGTAGACACCCACAGCCATGGCCACAGAGGACCCCTGTATTCTTCACCAATGTCAACCTCAGCTGACAGAGCTGCTTGGAGACTACATCACTGTGTACTCATCACAGCCAGAATCCCCCCATTTCATCCAGCCAGTGCATTTTCACACACCTGTAGATGAAGGTCTTTCTCTATTGAAAACAGTCTGTGAAGTCTAGAAGAGGTGACTGCTCTATCAAATGCACAGACGTTAATGCAAGGTAACAAGAAACATTAAAAAAAAAGTCAGTCCCCAAGGTACACAGCAATTTTCCAGAAACCATTTTCAAAGAAACAGAGATGTATAAAGTACTTGACAAAGAATTCCAAATAATTGTTTTAATGAGGCTCTGGGAGCTACAAGTAAACACAGATAGACAACAAAACTCAGGAAAACAATACATGAACTAAATGAGAAGACCAATAGAGAGTTATAAATAATTTTTTAAAAACCAAACAGAAATTCTGGAGGTGAAAAATACAAGGAATGAAATGAAAAATATAATAGAGAGGATCAACAGCAGACTTGATCAAGTAAAAGAAAGAATGTGCGATCTCTAAGACAAGGCATTTAAAAATACATATTGAGAAGGAAAAAAGAGTGGAAAGGAATGAAGAAAACCTAGGGGATTTATGAGATACCATCGAGAAAGCTAACATTTGCATGATTGTATTTTATAGAAGGAGCAGACAGAGAAAGGGGCAGAAAGTTTATTTAAAGATATAACAACAGAAAACTTCCCAAATCTGGGGGGAAAATGAGCATCCAGATACATGAAACTCAAAGATCTGCAATTAGGTTCAATCCAAAGAAGACTTCACTGAGGCATAATATAATCAAACTCTCAAAACCCAAAGATAAAAAATCTTGAAAGTAGCAAGCATATAGAAGTTCCTCCCATAAAAAGAAACACCCCAAAAGCTATAAGTGGCTTTCTCAGAAGAAACTTTGCAGCCTAGAAAAGAGTGGAATGACATTTTCAAAGTGCTGAAAGAATAAAACTGCTAATGAAGAATACTCAGCTCAGAAATCTGTTCTTCAAAAATCAAGGAGTGATAAAAGTTTTCCCAGACAAACAAAATCTGAGGGAGTACATAACCACTAGATATGCTAGAGAGTTCTTCAAGCTGAAACACAAGGATGCTACTCAGTAATATGCAAACATATGAAAGTATAAAACTCACTGGTAAAAGTGCATAGTCAAATTCAGAATACTCTAATACTATAATGGTGGTGTATAAATTACCTGTATCTCTAGTATAAAAAAAGATGAAACTATTAAAAATATCTATAGCTACAATAATTTTTTTAATGGATATATAATATAAAAAGATGTAAATTGTGACATCAAACAAAATATGGTGGGGGTAAAATAAAAAGTGTAAAGATTTTTTTTAATGCAATTGAAGTTATAAGCTTAAAATAGACTGTTGTAACTATAAGATGGATGTTATATGTAAGCCTCATGGTAACCATAAAGTGAAAACCTATTATAGCTACACAAAAGATAAAGAGAAAGAAATCAAAGCACACCACTACAGAAAATCATCAAATCATAAAAGAAGACAGAGAGGAAAAAAGGAAAAAAGGGATCTATAATATAGCTGGAAAACAATGAAAAAATGGTAATAGTGAGTCCTTATCTATCAATAACTACCTTGACTGAAATGGATTAAATTCACCAGTCAAAAGACATTGGATTTGGACTATACTTTAAACAAAACAGACCTAACAGACATACAAAAAACTCTATCCAACAGAACTAGAATACATATTCTTGTCAGGAGCACACATAACATTTTCTAAGATAAGTCATATGCAGGTCTACAAAACAAGTCTTTTTAAAATTGATAGACAATAGTTGTATATTATGGAGTACATGTGATATTTTGTTACATGCATAGAATGTATAATGATCAAGTCATGGTATTTTGGGTATTGATCACCTCAAGTATTTCTCATTTTAATGTATTGGGAACATTTTAAGTCTTCAAGCTATTTTGAAATATATAATATATTGTTAACTATAGCCACTCCACACTGATTTCAAACAGTAGAACTTATTTCATCTATCTAACTGTGTGTTTGTACCCATTAACCAACCTCTCTTCATCCCCACTGTCACACTTTTGCCAGCCTCTGGTATCTATCATTCTAATCTCTAGCTCCATGAGATCAACTTTTTTAGCTTCCACATGATTGAGAACACGTGATATTTGTCTTTCTGTGCCTGACTTATTTCACCTAACATAATGATGTTCAGTTCCATTCATGATACTGCAACTAATATAATTTAATTTTTTATGGCCAAATAATATTCCATTGTGTATATATACTACATTTTCTTTATCCATTCATCTGTTGTTGGACACTAAGGTTGATTCTATATCTTTGCTCCTGGGAAGAGTGCTGCAGTAAACATGGGATGCAGGTATACCTTTGATATACTGATTTCCTTTCCTTTGAATAAATATATGGTAGAGGGGTTGCTGGATCATATGGTAGTTCTATTTTTTTTTGAGAAATCTCTATACTTTTTCCGTAGTAGTCGTACTAATTCATATTCCCACCAACAATGTATTAGAGCTTCCTTTTCTCTGCTCCCTCATCAGCATATGTAATTTTTTGTCTTTTTGTTAATAGCCATTCTAACTGGGTAAGGTGATATCTTATTGTGGTTTTGATTTGCATTTCTCTGATGATTAGTGGTGTTGAGCATTTTTTCAAATATCTGTCAGCCAGATACTTGCAAGTATGTCTTCCTTTGAGACATGTCTATTCATTTCCTTTGACCACTTTTTAATGGGTTTATTTGTTTATTTTATTTTTGAGTTGTTTGAGTTCCTTTTATATTCTGAGTATTAGTTCCTTGTTGGATGAATAGTTTGAAAATATTTTCTCCCATTCAACAGGTTGTTTCTTCACTCTGTTGATGGTTTCCTTTGCTGTGCAGTAGTTTTTTTAGTGTAATATATGTCTCATTTTTCTATTTTTGTTTTTGTTGCCTGTGCTATGAAACAATTCTCAACAACTTTAAGATGTCTGAAATCATAGCAAGTACATTTTTTGGTTGTAATGTTATAAAACTAGAAATCAATAACAGGAGGAAAACTGGAAAATTTACCAATATGTGGAAATTAAACAATATACATATGTGAAACCAATGGGTCATAGAAAAAAATCAAAAGTAAAGTAAAAAAAGTCTAGTGACCAATAAAAATGGAAATACAATCTCTAAAAACTTATAAATACAGCAAAAATACTTCTAAGAGGAAAGTTTATAGCAATAAATGCCCACCTTAAAAAAGAAGAAAGCTCTCAAATGAATAATATAATCTTATATCTCAAGGAAGTAGATAAAGAAGAAACTAAGCCCCAAATTACTATAAGAAAGAAAATAACAAAGATCAGAGCAGAAATAAATGAACTAGAGGCTAGAAAAACAATATAAAATTTAAAAACTGAGTTTTTTTTCAAAAAGATAAAATTGACAAATATTTGGCTAGCTAGACTAAGAAAAAATGAGAAAAGTCTAAAATAAATGAAATCAGAAATGAAAGGGGAGGCATCACAACTTATAACACAAAAATACAAAGGATTATAAGAGATTTCTATGAACAATTATACCCCAACAAATTGGATAGCCTGGAAGAAATGAATAAATTCCTAGAAACATACAGCCTACAAAGACAGAATTATAGTGAAATAGAAAATCTGAACAGAATAATGAGTAAGGATATTGAATCAGTGATAAAAAAGTCCTCTGTCAAAGAAAAGTCCAAGATGAGATGGCATCAATGCTAAATTCTATGAAACATTTAAAGAACTAATACCAATGTTTCTCAAGCTCGTCAAGAAAATTGAAGAAGAGAGAACACTTTCAAACTCATTTTATGAAGCCAGCATCACCCTGATACCAAAGCCACACAAAGACTACAAGAAAAGAAAATTACAAGCTAATAGCCCTAATGAACATAGATGCAAAAATCCTCAATAAAATACTAGCTCACTGAATTCAACAGCACATTAAAAAGATCATACACAATGATCAAGTGGGATTTATCCCAGAGATTCAAGGATGGTTCAACAGACACAATTTAAAAATATGATATACCACATTAACAGAATGAAGGTCAAAAACCATATAATCATCTTAGCAGATGGAGAAAAAGCACTTGACAAAATTCAACATCCTTTCATGATAAAAACACTCAACAAATGAGGTATACAAAGAATGTAGCTTAACATAATAAAGATCACGTATGACAAGCTCACAGCTAACATTATACTGAACAATGAAAAGTTGAAAGATTTTTCTCTAAGGACAAGAGCCAGACAAGTATGCCCACTTTCACCATTTGTATTCAACGTAGTACTAGAAGTTTTAGTTAGAGCAAATAGGCAAAAGAAAAAAAGAAAGAAAAGGAATTCAAACTGGAAAGTAATTGTCTCTGCTTGGAGAAGACATAATCTTACATATAAAAAACCCTAAAAACTTCACCCAAAAACTATTAGAACTAATAAATGAATTTAGTAAAGTTGTAGGATATAAAACCAACATGCAAAAATGAGTTGTGTTTCTCTACACCAAGGAGAAACTATCAGAAAAAGAATTAAGAAAAATATCCCATTTATAATAGCATCAAAAAATACTCAGGAATCCTCATCTCTACTAAAAATATAAAAATTAGCTAGGTGTGGTGGCAGGTGCCTGTAATCCCAGCTACGCAGGAGGTTGAGGCGGGAGAATTGCTTGAACCCAGGAGGTGGAGGTTGCAGTAAGCCGAGATCACGCCACTGCACTCTAGCCTGGGACACAGAGCTAGACTCCGTCTCAAAAAAAAAAAAAAAAAAAAAAGCATTGATGAAAGAAACTGAAGAAGACATAAAGATATCCCATGTTTATTGGATCTGAGGAATCAATATTGTCAAAATATCTATGCTACTCCAAGTTCTCTAGAGATTCAATGCAATCCCTACCAAAATTCCAATGGAATTTTCACAGAAATATAAAAAATAATCCTAAAATTAATATGGAATGACAAAAGACCCCAAATAGCTAAAGCAATCTGGAGCAACAAGAACAAAGCTGGAGGCATCACTCTTTTTCAATTTAAAATTATATTACACACCTCTAGTACTCAAAACAATATAGTACTGGCATAAAAATGAACACATAAACCAATGAAACAGAATAGAAAGCCCAGAAATAAATCCACACATATATGGTCAACTAATCTTTGACAGAGGCTCATTGTCAAAGTATGCCTAGAATATATAATGAGGAAAAATAATCTCTTCAATAAATGGTGTTGGGAAAACTGGATATCCATATGCAAAAAGAGGAAACTGAGTTCTTACAATAATAGACTCAAAATGGATTACAGATTTTCATATCGATATTTTTTTGTATATGACATCAAAAGCACAGGCAAGAAAAGTGAAAATAAACAAGCGGTACTATATTAAATTGAAAAGTTTCTGCACAGGAAAGAAAAAAATCAATAAAATTAAAAAGCAACCCTAGGAATGGAAAATATTTGTAAATCATATATCTGATAAGGAGGTAATATCCAAAATATATAAAGACCTCATACAACTCAATAGTAAAAAATCAAATAACCCAATTAAAAATGGGGAAAGGACCTGAATAAATATTTTCCTAAGGAATAAATACAAATAGCTAACTGTTCTATAAAAAAGTGTTTGACATCAGTAATCATCAAGGAAATGTAAATCAAAACTACAATGAGATGTCACCTCACACCTGTTAGGGTGGCTGCTATACAGTTAAAAGATATCAAGTATTGGCAAGGATGTGAAGAAAGGAGATGGCTTATACATTGTTGGTGGGAATTTAAATGGGCACAGCCATTACGGAAGACAGTATGAAGTTTCCTCAAGTAATTAAAAACAAAACTACCACATGATTCAGCAATTTCATTACTGAGTATATACCCAAAGGAAATAAAATCACTATCTTGAAGAGATATCTGCCCTCCCATGGTCATTGAAGTATTATTCACAATAGCTGAAACATGGAAACAACCTCAATGTCTGTTGATAGATGAATGCACAAAGAAATTGTGGTATATATACAAAATTGAATATTATTCAGCCTTAAAAAAGAAGAAAATCCTTCCATCTGTGACAACATAGTTGAAACCAGATGACGTTATGTTAAGCAGAATAAGCCAGACATAAACAAATCAAATACTACATGATCTCACTTATATGTGGAATTTAAAAATATCAAACTCACAGAAACAGAGAATAGGAGGGGTACCAGGGATCAGACAGGGTGGGTTGGGATAAAAGGGGAGATGTTGGTTAAAGAGTACGTACTTGCAGTTATAAGATGAATAATTTTCAGAGACCTAATGCACAGCATGGTGACTGGAGTTAATGTATTGTGTACTTGAAATTTGCTAAGAGAGTATATATTAAGAATTCTCACCACAGAAAGGTGAGGCAGCACGTAAGTTAATTAGCTTGATTGTGGAAATCATTTTGTTCCTGGACCAAACTGAGAGTTGGGCTGCTATTTCTCATGGCCCAATAATGAGACACAGATGTACTGGGGAGGAAGAGAGTTTTTATTTCTGTAACAGGTTACAGGGAGAAGGCCTGGAAATGATCACCAGACCAACTCAAAATTACAGAGTTTTCCAGCGCTTATATACCTTCTAAGCTATATATCTACGTGTAAGTGTCCATTCACCTAAAGACATAAGTGATTAGCTTCTTTTAATCTATAACTAAGGTCTGAGTCCTGAAGACCTTCCTCTGGAGCCTCAGTACATTTACTCAATCTAAATGAGTCCAGGTGCTGGGGTGATTGCCCTTGTCTCCTGCTAAATCACGGAGATTTGGGGCGTTCCTTCAGACCTCCAATTAACTTGTTTGTGGAGGCCTGGGGAGTTTCTTCACACACATAATAAAGCTTGTTTAATCCTAAATGGGTCCTGTTAAGAATTCCTTCGTTATTTTGTCATGCGTTAAGGCCCAGGAAAGGTCTAGGCAAACTTCTTGGCGGGCTTTTGTTACATTCCAGCCTTTGCATGAGGGCACGGGCTTTTTCTGGCTTTTAATATTTAACTTAACCACTTGGTCAGTACCGAAACAGTTGTTATGGGGGCCTGTATTAGTGAGACATGGCCTGCCACAATTTCAAAATGTATATGTATATCAAAACATGTTGTATGCCTTGAATGTATGAAATTTATATTTGTCAATTACACCTTAATAAAGTTAGAAAAATGGAAGGAAAAAGAGCATTCTACAGACTTAAGAATGATTAATTTAAAAGATGGACTTACTACTTTTGCAGATGAGAAAACTAAGGTTTACAATAGCAGAGACTACTAGCTAATAACCAGAGTTGTCTCTTCTTTTTTCTGGAACTCCCAGCCTTCCTTGCAGTTAGGAATGGATATTTGACAGACTTCTAACTAATACAGTGTTAGTCAAGGCCCACCCACCTGTTGCCCTGTATGTCCTCTCTACTGGCTGTATGTTGACCTCTAGGGCAACGGAAGCCTTCATTTGCCTAGAGGCAAATGCTTTAACCAACTGCATGGAATAGACACCTTTCTCCTCTTTTCTTGCCAATCAGAAACACCTGTTTGGTCTATATAAGCAAGAAATTTCCAATATTTTAAGTCACTGAGATCTTAGAATTTTTATTTTATAGTAGCTAGAATTGGTTAACTAGTATAGTTGGTAAGAATATGAAATTGGATATATATAGAACCGCTCACAGAGCCAAGTTTATAATCTCAGAGCATCAAGAAATCAGACCATAAATCTGCCTTTTTCTTTTCTTCACATGCTGCACTTTAGACAGGACTTAAAACTCATAAAACTGTTAGTCTGACTCCTATCTTTGTTGAGATTGATGCCTACAAATGAAGGATAATTATTTTTGTATTTGTAATGAAAATACAACTAGTCAAATGTAAGCATTGCATCAATGATAAGACCTGTTATTATGTTTAATATTATTATAATATTATGTTTTTCTGTAACTGAGTGTCTTCTTTTTTATGCTTTCTAATACCATTGTACAGGTTAAGTCAGGAAATATGGCAGCATTATAAACATTGCTCTTCTGAAGTCTAAATGTTTAATGAAATCATTGAAACAAAGCTTTACATCCAAATAGAAGTGCAATCTTTAAGTCAATTATTTTCCTATGGCCTGTCCCTACTCTAAAGTCATAGCATAATGGTTATGATGATAACAACCAATTCTCATGAAGCCTACGCTGTACCTATAACCTGATTCAATATAATCTGAAAGGGATCTGGGACTCTACTTCTCTACTCAAAATATTTAAAATGACTTGTTGAAGTTTTTACAAACATATGGTTCTCTAGATCTCCATACAGCAATGATCAAAAAGAGAAATGAAAACTTTGCCGCTGACTTGTCTGGTGCAATTTACTGCATATGTTTTATTTGCAAGTCAGCAGTTTAGGTTTCCCTTCAGACCTAGCCAGTGTGGTGTACTAGAAATGAACTATGTACTTCAGGCAAGACCCTTGGGTTCCAGAATAAAGTCTGCCACACATCTCACAACCCTTGGCCTTAGATTTATAGTTTGTCATCCTAATTCTTGTTTTCAAAAAGTTCTGAATCTATGGAATAGGTAAATATGTCAGTATAATCTCTAATATTTCTCCTGAATCTAATATTCTACTAGAGAAATAGCCATATTTAGGGGGAGAGTTACCACTAACATCACCATCATCATCACAGTTCTAAGGGCAATAATATATAATAGTGACTAGGAACAGATTCTGGAGCCATATGACCTGTGTTTAAATCTTAGTTCTACCACTCACTAGCTGTGCAAGATACTTTGGACAAGATACTAAACCACTCTAAGACTCAGAATGTTCATCGGTTAAACAGGGGTGAGGATAATAGTATTCACTTCAAAGAATCACTCAGTGGATTAAATTATTTCACCTATAGTTATGCACTGCATAATGTTTGGTCAATGACAGACTGCATGTACAACAGTGGTCCATAAGATTATAAAGGAGCTGAAAAATTTCTGTTGCCAAGTGAAGTCATAGCCATTGTAACATTGTAGTATAACACATTACTCACCTGATTGAGGTGATGCTGGTACAAACCAACCTAGGTTGCTGCCAGTGGTATAAAAAGTACAGTATATACAATTATGTACAGCATGTAATATGTGATAATGATAATAAACTACTATGTTACTGGTTTATGTGTTTATTATAGTATTTATTTTTATCATTATTAAACTATACTCCTTCTACTTATTAAAAAAAAGTTAACTGTAAAACAGCCTCAGGCAGGGCCTTCAGGAGGTATTTTAGAAGGCATTGTTATCACAGGAGATGACAGCTCCATGTGTGCTATTGCCCCTGAAGACCTTCCAGTGGAGCAAGATGTGGAGGTGGAAGACAAGTGATATTGATGATCCTGACCCTGTGAAGGCCTAGGCTAATGTGTGTGTCTTAGTTTTTAACTTTTAAAAAGTTTAAAAAGTAAAAAACAAAAATCAGAAATTTTAAAAATAGAAAAAAGCCTATAGAACAAGAATATAAGGAGAGAAAATATTTTGTATAGCTGTGCAATATGTTTGTGTTTTAAGGTGTTATTAAAAAAGAAAAAAGGTAAAGAAATTAAAATGCTTATCAAGTAAAAAAGTTATAGTAAGCTAAAGTTAATTTATTGTATAAGAAAGAAACATTTTTAAATAAACTTAGTGTAACCTAATATACAGTGTTTAAGAAGTCTACAGGAGTGTACAATAATATCCTAGGCCTTCACATTCACTCACCACTCACTCACTGACTCATCAAGAACAACTTCCAGTCCTGCCAGCTCTATTCATGGTAAGTTCCCTACACAGGAAATTGCCTGAAGACACATTTCTCAGAATGTACACCCATCTTTAAGTGATGCATGATCATATATAAAGCATTTAGAAGGTTCCGGACATCTACCTGGTAAATACTATATATTAGTTTTTATTGTTAAGGTTTTAGGGTAAGTCATGGCTGGGAAAAATATGAGACCATCAAGGTCTCGTATTCCTGTCACTTTTCTTTATCTATGTGTCTATAAAAGGCGTGGTGATAGATATCAGAAAAGTGTGGGTATTTTGACTCTCTTGGGGTGATAAGGAAGTGTTGCTAATACTCTGATTCTTAGGTTGGGTAGTGGATAATGAGTGTTAGTTTCATTATTATGTTCCATAATATACACATATACAGTATGTATTATTTTGCCTGCATTAAATATTTCATAAAAACAATGGGATTTGGGAAATTCTACTTCTGAATATGCATGATATTTTATATATAGATGTGCAAGTCTAATAAGAATAAATTTGTAACATTAAAAAATCATAGGACGAGCACCCTGATAAACCCAATTGCTGAGTGACATCCGAGAAGCTGAGTTAAATTCAATGTTGATTTGCTTTGCCTAGAAGAATGGGACTGAGATGGGAATGAGCCATATCAGATACAATGGTAAGGTGGGTAATATTCATCTTTGATGCCAACAGGATTCTACTGTTTATTCCTTTACACTCCTGGTTTCCTCTGGATCTCACCTTCAATCTTCATCAAATCACACTTGTTGGCCACTATCACTTATTGCCTAGACTTATTTGACGTCCTCCTAACAGCTCCCCTTGTCACCAGTCATGTCCTCTCCAATCCTCTATCTGTCCTACATCCATCAGGTGCTTTTGAAAATGCACATTTGACCATGTCACTTCTTAGCTTGAAACACTTAGATGATAACCCATTGATTTCTGAACAAGGTTAACATGGTGTGGCATAGCAAAGACTATTAGTTGCCCTTAATATCTTTTTTCTTTCATCCTTACTAACAGAAGCCTGATTTTGTTAGAGAGAGCAATTGTGCTCAGCTACTAGCATCCCTTGCAGTTGGAATGGTTATTCTGGCCAAGGAGATGTTCTATATTCTGGCCAAGGCGATATAAGTCAAAGTATAAGTAGATATAAGTAGAGAGTGGCATCTATAAGAGCTCTGTAAAAAGAGTCTCACTCAGGGGCACTGTAACCTGCTATTCTTTTTCTATTATTCCATCTCCCTGCTTAGCAGAAATAGTGCCTAAAGCTGAAGTGGCCATCTTAAGAGCTTGAAATGGTCTTATGGCAAGAACTCCTGCACTAAAGATGGCAGAGCTGAAAGCTAGAATAAGTTGGGATCTTTGATGTTTCTTTCATCATGGAGGTAATTTGGACTGCCTACTCCTGGTCTTGTTTTTGTTGGGACTCAGAAAACTTGGAAAATACCACAAAATGAAGGCCTCGGAAACAGCCTCAGAAGCAAAAGTTTTTCTTACATTCTCCTGCCTCTTCTCAGTCTCGTTCTCCCCTGAGGATAACCAGAGACACTAGAATCCCCTTTTCCCCAAGGTGGGGTCATGGAAACTAGAACCCTCTTTTCCCAAAGCCAGTCATAAAACCTAAAATTATTACTCTCACTTTGACTCCACATTTCTTTGTAAAAACTGGCCATAAATAAATTATCTGATCTACCTTGTTTGACTGTAGGTCATAAGACCCCTGTTCCAGAGAAGTCTCTACCGATACCCAGAAGGAAGAAATGCATGCTCAGAGAGGCCAGGAAGGATCCAGATAGAAGCTGTGTAGAAATATAATTGGACCAATAAGGTATGATCTAAAGAGTGGGGAGTGTGTCTTCATTCTGAAGGCTTCCAAGTACATGTTAATAAATTTGTATGCTTTTTATCGCATTAAGCTGCCCCTTGTCAGTAATTTTCAGTGAACTTTAAGAGGGTGAAGGGGAAGTTTTTCCTTGGCCCCAAAATTTTACATGAGAGAAAAATAATCTATCTTATTTAAATAATTATTTTTTTTATTAATAGCATTTAATAGAAGTCAAAGCCATATAAAAGTGGGATGACTGAGGTGTTTTTTTTAAATTTTATTATTATCATATTTTAAGTTTTAGGGTACATGTGCACAATGTGCAGGTTTGTTACATATATATACATGTGCCATGTTGGTGTGCTGCACCCATTAACTCGTCATTCAGCGTTAGGTATATCTACTAATGCTATCCCTCCCCACTCCCCCCACCCCACAACAGTCCCCAGAGTGTGATGTTCCCCTTCCTGTGTCCATGTGTTCTCATTGTTCAATTCCCACCTATGAGTGAGAACATGCGGTGTTTGGTTTTTTGTCCTTGCGATACTTTGCTGAGAATGATGGTTTCCAGTTTCATCCATGTCCCTACAAAGGACATGAACTCATCATTTTTTACGGCTGCATAGTATTCCATGGTGTATATGTGCCACATTTTCTTAATCCAGTCTGTCGTTGTTGGACATTTGGGTTGGTTCCAAGTCTTTGCTATTGTGAATAGTGCCGCAATAAACATACGTGTGCATGTGTCTTTATAGCAGCATGATTTATAATACTTTGGGTATATACCCAGTAATGGGATGGCTGGGTGAAATGGTATTTCTAGTTCAAGATCCCTGAGGAATCACCACACTGACTTCCACAATGGTTGAACTAGTTTACAGTCCCACCAACAGTGTAAAAGTGTTCCTATTTCTCCACATCCTCTCCACACCTGTTGTTTCCTGACTTTTTAATGATCACCATTCTAACTGGTGTGAGATGGTATCTCATTGTGGTTTTGATTTGCATTTCTCTGATGGCCAGTGATGATGAGCATTTTTTCATGTGTTTTTTGGCTGCATAAATGTCTTCTTTTGAGAAGTGTCTGTTCATGTCCTTTGCCCACTTTTTGATGGGGCTGTTTGTTTTTTTCTTGTAAATTTGTTTGGGTTCTTTGTAGATTCTGGATATTAGCCCTTTGTCAGATGAGTAGCCTGCGAAAATTTTCTCCCATTCTGTAGGTTGCCTGTTCACTCTGATGGTAGTTTCTTTTGCTGTGCAGAAGCTCTTTAGTTTAATTAGATCCCATTTGTCAATTTTGGCTTTTGTTGCCATTGCTTTTGGTGTTTTAGACATGAAGTCCTTGCCCATGCCTATGTCCTGAATGGTATTGCGTAGGTTTTCTTCTAGGGTTTTTATGGTTTTAGGTCTAACATTTAAGTCTTTAATCCATCTTGAATTAATTTTTGTATAAGGTGTAAGGAAGGGATCCAGTTTCAGCTTTCTACATATGGCTCCTAGTTTTCCCAGCACCATTTCTTAAATAGGGAATCCTTTCCCCATTGCTTGTTTTTCTCAGGTTTGTCAAAGATCAGATGGTTGTAGATATGTGGCATTATTTCTGAGGGCTCTGTTCTGTTCCATTGATCTATATCTCTGTTTTGGTACCAGTACCATGCTGTTTTGGTTACTGTAGCCTTGTAGTATAATTTGAAGTCAGGTAGCATGATGCCTCCAGCTTTGTTCTTTTGGCTTAGGATTAACTTGGCGATGCGGGCTCTTTTTTGGTTCCATATGAACTTTAAAGTAGTTTTTCCCAATTCTGTGAAGAAAGTCATTGGTAGCTTGATGGGGATGATATTGAATCTATAAATTACCTTGGGCAGTATGGCCATTTTCACGATATTGATTCTTCCTACTCATGAGCATGGAATGTTCTTCCATTTGTTTGTATCCTCTTTTATTTCCTTGAGCAGTGGTTTGTAGTTCTCCTTGAAGAGGCCTTTCACATCCCTTGTAAGTTGGATTCCTAGGTATTTTATTCTCTTTGAAGCAATTGTGAATGGTAGTTCACTCATGATTTGGCTCTCTGTTTGTCTGTTATTGGTGTATAATAATGCTTGTGATTTTTGTACATTGATTTTGTATCCTGAGACTTTGCTGAAGTTGCTTATCAGCTTAAGGAGATTTTGGGCTGAGACAATGGGGTTTTCTAGATATACAATTATGTCATCTGCAAACAGGGACAATTTGACTTCCTCTTTTCCTAATTGAATACCCTTTATTTCCTTCTCCTGCCTAATTGCCCTGGCCAGAACTTCCAAAACTATGTTGAATAGGAGTGGTGAGAGAGGGCATCCCTGTCTTGTGTCAGTTTTCAAAGGCAATGCTTCCAGTTTTTGCCCATTCAGTATGATATTGGCTGTGGGTTTATCATAAATAGCTCTTATTATTTTGAGATACATCCCATCAATACCTAATTTATTGAGAGTTTTTAGCATGAAGCATTGTTGAATTTTGTCAAAGGCCTTTTCTGCATCTATTGAGATAATCATGTGGTTTTTGTCTTTGGTTCTGTTTATATGCTGGATTACATTTATTGATTTGTTTATGTTGAACCAGCCTTGCATCCCAAGGATGAAGCCCACTTGATCATGATGGTTAAGATTTTTGATGTGCTGCTGGACTTGGTTTGCCAGTATTTTATTGAGGATTTTTGCATCGATGTTCATCAGAGATATTGGTCTAAAATTCTCTTTTTTTGTTGGGTCTCTGCCTGGCTTTGGTATCAGGATGATGCCGGCCTCATAAAATGAGTTAGGGAGGAATCCCTCTTTTTCTATTGATTGGAATAGTTTCAGAAGGAATGGTACCAGCTCCTCCTTGTACCTCTGGTAGAATTCGGCTGTGAATCCATCTGGTCCTGGACTTTTTCTGGTTGATAAGATATTGATTATTGCCACAATTTCAAAGCCTGTTATTGGTCTATTCAGAGATTCAACTTCTTCCTGGTTTAGTCTTGGGAGGGTGTATGTGTTGAGGAATTTATCCATTTCCTCTAGATTTTCTAGTTTATTTGCATAGAGGTGTTTGTAGTATTCTCTGCTGGTAGTTTATATTTCTGTGGGATCGGTGGTGATATTCCGTGTATCATTTTTTATTGTGTCTATTTGATTCTTCTCTCTTTTCTTCTTTATTAGTCTTGCTAGTGGTCTATCAATTTTGTTGATCTTTTCAAAAAGCCAGCTCCTGGATTCATTAATTTTTTGAAGGGTTTTTTATGTCTCTATTTCCTTCAGTTCTGCTCTGATTTTAGTTATTTCTTGCCTTCTGCTAGCTTTTGAATGTGTTTGCTCTTGCTTTTCTAGTTCTTTTATCTTGCTTTTCTAGTTCTTTTAATTGTTATGTTAGGGTGTCAATTCTGGATCTTTCCTGCTTTCTTTTGTGGGCATTTAGTGCTATAAATTTCCCTCTACACACTGCTTTGAATGTGTCCCAGAGATTCTGGTATGTTGTGTCTTTGTTCTCGTTGGTTTCAAAGAACATCTTTATTTCTGCCTTCATTTCGTTATGTACCCAGTAGTCATTCAGGAGCAGGTTGTTCAGTTGCCATGTAGTTGAGCAGTTTTGAGTGAGTTTCTTAATCCTGAGGTCTAGTTTGATTGCACCGTGGTCTGAGAGACAGTTTGTTATAATTTCTGTTCTTTTACATTTTGCTGAGGAGTGCTTTACTTCCAACTATGTGGTCAATTTTGGAATAGGTGCGGTGTGCTGAAAAAAATGTGTATTCCGTTGATTTGGAGTGGTGAGTTCTGTAGATGTCTATTAGGTCTGCTTGGTGCAGAGCTGGGTTCAATTCCTGGATATCCTTGTTAACTTTCTGTCTCGTTGATCTGTCTAATGTTGACAGTGGGGTGTTAAAATCTCTCATTATTATTGTGTGGGAGTCTAAGTCTCTTTGTAGGTCACTAAGGACTTGCTTTATGAATCTGGGTGCTCCTGTATTGGGTGCATATATATTTAGGATAGTTAGCTCTTCTTGTTGAATTGATCCCTTGAGCATTATGTAATGGCCTTCTTTGTCTCTTTTGATCTTTGTTGGTTTAAAGTCTGTTTTATCAGAGACTAGGATTGCAACCCCTGCCTTTTTTTGTTTTCCATTTGCTTGGTAGATCTTCCTCCATCCCTTTATTTTGAGCCTATGTGTGTCTCTGCATGTGAGATGGGTTTCCTGAATACAGCACACTGATGGGTCTTGACTCTTTATCCAATTTGCCAGTCTGTGTCTTTTAATTGGAGCATTTAGCCCATTTACAATTAAAGTTAATATTGTTATGTGTGGATTTGATCCCGTCATTATGATGTTCGCTGGTTATTTTGCTCATTAGTTGATGCAGTTTCTTCCTAGCCTTGGTGGTCTTTACATTTTGGCATGTTTTTGCAGTGGCTGGTACCGGTTGTTCCTTTCCATGTTTAGTGCTTCCTTCAGGAGCTCTTTTAAGGCAGGCCTGGTGGTGACAAAATCTCTCAGCATTTGTTTGTGTGTAACGTATTTTATTTCTCCTTTACTTATGAAGCTTAGTTTGGCTGGATATGAAATTCTGGGTTGAAAATTCTTTTCTTTAAGAATGTCGAATATTGGCCCCCACTCTCTTCTGGCTTGTAGAGTTTCTGCCGAGAGATCCGCTGTTAGTCTGATGGGCTTCCCTTTGTGGGTAATCAGACTTTTCTCTCTGGTTGCCCTTAACATTTTTTCCTTCATTTCAACTTTGGTGAATCTGACAATTATGTGTCTTGGAGTTGCTCTTCTCGAGGAGTATCTTTGTGGCATTCTCTGTATTTCCTGAATGTGAATGTTGGCCTGCCTTGCTAGATTGGGGAAGTTCTGGACAGTATCCTGCAGAGTGTTTTCCAACTTGGTTCCATTCTCCCGGTCACTTTCAGATACACCAATCAGACGTAGATTTGGTCTTTTCACATAGTCCCATATTTCTTGGAGGGTTTGTTCATTTCTTTTTATTCTTTTTTCTCTAAACTTCCCTTCTCACTTCATTTCATTCATTTCGTCTTCCATCACTGATACCCTTTCTTCCAGTTGATGGCATCGGCTCCTGAGGCTTCTGCATTCTTCACGTAGTTCTCGAGCCTCGGCTTTCAGCTCCATCAGCTCCTTTAAGGACTTCTCTGGATTTGTTATTCTAGGTATCCATTCGTCTAATTTTTTTTCAAAGTTTTTAACTTCTTTGCCATTGGTTTGAATTTCCTCCTGTAGCTCGGAGTAATTTGATCGTCTGAAGCCTTCTTCTCTCAACTCGTCAAAGTCATTCTCCATCCAGCTTTGTTCCGTTGCTGGTGAGGAGCTGCACTCCTTTGGAGGAGGAGAGGCGCTCTGCTTTTTAGAGTTTCCAGTTTTTCTGCTCTGTTTTTTCCCCATCTTTGTGGTTTTATCTACTTTTGGTCTTTGATGATGGTAATGTACAGATGGGTTTTTGGTGTGGATGTCCTTTCTGTTTGTTAGTTTTCCTAACAGACAGGACCCTCAGCTGCAGGTCTGTTGGAGTTTGCTAGAGGTCCACTCCAGACCCTGTTTGCCTGGGTATCAGCAGCGGTGGCTGCAGAACATTGGTGGCTGTAGAACAGCGGATATTGGTGATCCACAAATGCTGCTGCCTGATCGTTCCTCTGGAAGTTTTGTCTCAGAGGAGTACCCTGCCATGTGAAGTGTCAGTCTGCCCCTACTGGGGTGTGCCTCTCAGTTAGGCTGCTCGGGGGTCAGGGACCCACTTGAGGAGGCAGTCTGCCTGTTCTCAGATCTCCAGCTGAGTGCTGGGAGAACCACTACTCTCTTCAAAGCTGTCAGACAGGGACATTTAAGTCTGCAGAGGTTACTGCTTTTGTTTGTCTGTGCCCTGACCCCAGAAGTGGAGCCTACAGAGGCAGGCAGGCCTCCTTGAGCTGTGGTGGGCTCCACCCAGTTTGAACTTCCTGGCTGCTTTGTTTACCTAATCAAGCCTGGGCAATGGCAGGCGCTCCTCCCCCAGCCTCGCTGCCGCCTTGCAGTTTGATCTCAGACTGCTGTGCTAGCTAACAGCGAGACTCCGTGGGCGTAGGACCCTCCAATCCATGTGCGGGATATAATCTCCTGGTGTGCCGTTTTTCAAGCCTGTTGGAAAAGCTCAGTATTAGGGTGGGAGTGACCCAAATTTCCAGGTGCCGTCTGTCACCCCTTTCTTTGACTAGGAAAGGGAACTCCCTGACCCCTTGTGCTTCCCGAGTGAGGCAATGCCTCTCCCTGCTTTGGCTCGCACCCAGTGCGCTGCACCCACTGTCCTGCACCCACTATCTGGCACTCCCTAGTGAGATGAACCCGGTACCTCAGATGGAAATGCAGAAATCACCCATCTTATGCGTTGCTCATGCTGGGAGCTGTAGACCAGAGCTGTTCCTATTCAGCCATAATTCTTTTGGTGATTTCCATTTCTCACAGTGACACAGTGACACAACATTTCTAAGTTTTGCTCATAGATTTATGACCTGGTTGCTCCCTGTCTCTTGAGCCTCACCTTCTACAAAGCCTACCTATTTTTGCCCTCTACCCTTAATGCTGTACATCTCAAGCAGAATAAACTACATTCAGTTTTCTAAACTTGTTGCACTGTTCTCTCTGCTTGAAATATTTTCTTTCCTTCCTTTTATAATGTCTGCTCTTTTTTCTAGATTCAGTGATCACTTATTCTAGGACAGCTTCCTTTTAACTCTGAGACTGGATACTTATTCTATGTATTCCCATAAAACATCCTGAACTTTGTGTTTTGCCTGGTATCAATTTTAATTGCTAAATCACTTGTATGTTTCATTCACTAGGTCTTAGATTCAATGAGGGCAGGGGCTGTCTTCTGTCTACAGTTTTATCCCTAATATTTGGCAGGAATCCTGGCACCTTACAGCCAGTCTGTACATGTGTGATGACTGGAGAATGAATGGATGCATGGATGGATGGATGGATGGATAAATGGATGGATGGATAAATTCACACCAAAGTGAAAATGATGTATTTATCTTAATTATCTGCTTCTAATTGGGCTATTTTACCTACAAAAATAGGCAGAGCATAACTCCTGTGAAAGAACTAGGTGGTCCTTTTAGTTCTCCTGATATTGCATGACACAGCCTCCAGTTCCACAGAAACAAATGAAGATAGCAGCCTTCCACTTTTGTCTGGGAGCCTTTGTCAATATGCACTCCTCGCTGTTTCTCCTCCTCCTCACCACCTCCCACAAACCATGGCTTAGAGGAAAATTCAATTAAGGATGAGTATTTCTTCAGAGCAAACACCATCTCTAATTTAAATAAGCAGATCCCAAGGAGTCAATTGGGCTCTTTTATGGTTGAGTAATGAGCCTGGAGGAGTGTGTTGCCATGTGTCAGATGCTATAATGATATCATCAACAATTTGTGCAAGCTTGACTTTTCTCTCCTCAGTTTTTATTGTTACTCACACTTTCATGTTCTTTGTTCCTTTTCTGAAGAAATGATTTGCCAAAAGTTAGCTTGTCTTAGGGTCTATGCCCAGGGAGAGGCCGAAACTTGGCTTGAAGTATTTGTTGGCCAAGATTCAATTATACTATTCATAATTTACTTGATTTTGTGAGTCTAAGGCAGGTAACATCAAAAATTGTTACTAAAAGCTGAGGACCTGGGATTTCCATTAATTCTTTTTTGTTAAAATTAGCAATATAATTTATTTATTGGTAGTATAAGAAAATGTGGTGCAACTTAGAAGAATGCTATCTTATATTTTGTCAATTATAACATTCAAACTACAAAACACAAAAATTCAAAATAGCTTTAACATTTTCCCTAATGTCTGTCTAGTTTCAAGTGCCTCATTTTAGGAGCTGTGTGTGTATATATATATACACACACACACACATATATATACATATGTATATATACATATACATATATATGTATACACACATACATATATATTCTTTCTATATGTGTATACATATAATAAGTATATATACACAGAAATATATTCAATTTTGTTTTCCTGGGTGAACATTTGCTTGGCTTATTTAGAATAAGTTTTCTATCACTCTTTTAACTAGAATGTCTCCCCAGTTTTATGGAGTTATAATTGACAAATAATAATTGTATGTATTCAAGGTATACATCATGATGTTTTGTGAAATGAGTGCCACAATCAAGATAATTAACATAGGCATCACCTCACCCAGTTATCTTCCATTAATTTTTGTGATTTGGCTAAGGAATAAAATGCCCACCCTCAAAGACTGATAAATAAAGTAGCTAAGTTTCAAGAGTTGGAAAAATTAGCTCTTAATTTTCCTGACATTGTGTTCTATCCCTGAATAAAGGACAGATTACTTCCTAAATTTTCTTCTTGTAAGTCACTCAGACGGACTTCTATAATTCTGAAAAGGAGACTTGGGACTAAGGACCAGAGAAGCTGCATTTCTGGAACTTATATATAAAATTTTACTTGTGTCTGTTTAAAAATTACTGAAGATATACATATTGATGGACTTTTATCAACAGTCACCTACTCCTATCTGCCTGACCAATATCAGAATAGAATGAAATGAAAATAAAATTCATGGTGTATCTCGATTCTTTTTGGAGTTGTAGCAAATTCAGCCAAAGTCAGCCAAATCTTTTAACAATTGTTTTGCAACAAATAGTCCCATATCAACTGATGGAAACTTGGCTGTCAGAAAACAGAGGTGTTGGGGAGGAGATATGGCGGCAGTGTGAGTGGTGAAAGAATAGATTTAAATGTCTCAGAGGCCATCACCATCCCCTTTCCTATAGTGGCAGATTACTAATTGATTTTGACATTCTCTGCTACTATGCTGAATTTAGCTTCAGAAATCTTGTTAGCCCAGTGTTCTAGGTAGATGCTGAAACTGATTGACATTAGTAAGAAAAAGATGATTTCTTTGTAACTAAAGTATTAAAAATGAAAGTACTAGGGTGGGGGAGTTCTTAAAAATGAATGAAAATGTAATCATGGAGATGGGCTTAAATTAGGAGTTCCAGTCAACATGGTTGTAGGATTCACTGAGTTTGAATGTAAGTTCTGTAGGCAGGATAGTTGTTCCAATGGGTAGAGGGCATTTGGGAGGTGCGGGAAAGCTGAGTATCCTGTGACCTACCTCTGATGGTATAAAGTACACAGATCTCCTCATCCTCTTCATTTATGGCCATGTGACTTTGTGAAAGTCACTATACTTCTATGAATCATACTGTCCTCATTTATAAAATTTTGTGACAAAGTTGTGGTAAGAATTAAATGATAGAATCAAAATAGTTTTGTAAATTATAAAGTGTTATGAAAACTTAGGATCGGGGAACTACTGATTTGTAACAAACACTAGCCTAATGAACTGAGATGGTTACTATATTAGTGGATGTGAAATTTTGAGATATATTGGAAGGATAAAAAGCTTACTAGAGCCAATCTACAGAGTAATCAAGCCTCCAAATTATGAACCAAATCACAAACAAGAGAAAATCACTGTGGAGGTAGGAGTGGGTGGGAGGCTTCCAAACCTAACATCCACAGGTACAAGAAGTGGGAGGGCACCCTGGAGCCTTCATCGGGGGATGAAGTGAGTTGCTCTTCTTGGAGTAACTAGGCTGCTGTGCTAAGCAGTGGGAAGCAGTGGCCATGGGTGTCGGGGCCAGAAGAAGAAAGGAAAAGTTGAGGTCTAGCCACATGTCCCACTCCTTTCCCGTGATGACCAGGGGCAGGTGAGGAAACCAGAATAGGCAGGCCCCAAGCTAGGTGCCTCAATAAAAAGACAAGAAAACACATAAAACCCACACCATGAAAAAGAGGCACTAAAGCCAACACACAGAAGAATTATTTCCTCTGGTTAGGAAACACTATTGTAGAAGACACTTATATGTGGAAGTGGGGACTGACTTTCAGAGGAGGGGGCCATTTGATGCTAGTCCAGATCCAGGTGTTTGTGAGGGTTTATCTAAACCCCAGAGACTCCACAAGAGCCACTGACATTGATCTACAACCTTCATTACAAGTTGTACATAGTACTTATGACATGTCCTCATTACTCACGCTGTGGTGTTGCAGAATCCTTCAGAGAATTGTGAAAGCTTGAAAGCCAGTAGTGCTTCCAGAAATGACGTCAGAGTGGGCTGAGATACTGAGATATGGGGGTGTCAATCCAGCACTGAGTTGAGTATATTCTGTGGGCAGGCTTCTAATAAAGCACTAGGTAGGGGTGGGTACATGCCAAGAAAGTGGCAAAACTTTGATCACATGACTTCAGATTGTTTTTCAGATGCTTACTATCCAGTGATATTCAAACTTTTTTTTTTTTTTTTTTTTTTTGGAGACGGAGTCTTGCTCTGTCGCCCAGGCTGGAGTGCAGTGGCGCGATCTCGGCTCACTGAAAGCTCCGCCTCCTAGGTTCACGCCACTCTTCTGCCTCAGCCTCCCGAGTAGTTGGGAATACAGGCACCCACCACCATGCCTGGCTAATTTTCTGTATTTTTAGTAGAGACGGGGTTTCACCGTGTTAGCCAGGATGGTCTTGATCTCCTGACCTCGTGATCTGCCCGCCTCGGCCTCTCAAAGTGCTGGGATTACAGGCGTGAGCCACTGCGCCTGGCCTCAAACTTCTAAATGTGATAATTATACAAACATTTAGTGAACATTTATCAAGTAGCAAGCATGAGAGGTGCATATATATATGTGTGTGTATATATATATATATATATATATACACATACACACAGATATATTATATATATATTTATATATATATATAAATGCCTGTGAGAAATAACCCTGATGGAGTTTTCTTCACTCTATTTTAGCTGCCTTTACACATAATATCACAAATAACAATATAGTGCAAGATGTTACAAGTGTAAATGAATGGTACGTACATGAATGGCTACAGTATTTAAAAAATAAGTCATCATGAGTTGGAGCTCCCTGAAAAGGTTTCATGAATGTGGTAAGCCATCACTGACCTTTAAGACTTCTGGCTGAGTAGCAGAAACAGTGAAAATGCTAGGCAGTCAGACTTGCAACTTGAAGGCTTTGTGAATTCTGAACAGGCATATAGTTAAGAAAAGATACAGACTCAGACTTTCCTCGTCAAACTTTGGAAAAAGGCAAGAAACACTCTAAAGAGTAATGATCAGAAAGAGAAGCCAGGCCAGACTGCTTTTTAGATCAGGTCCCTGATCCCATTCTTCCTCACTGGGTGGGACCTCCCAACCAACTGGGTGGCCTCCAGCCACCCCAACCGTTGTTCTCCAACTGACAGAAATTTGAAATCTCCCTGGAACAGCACTCCCAGACTGACTTAGCCACTCCAGCCTTCAGGCTTTGGAGAGTCCAAGCCGACCAGAGGTGGAGGCAGTGCCCCAACATAGTTCTCAAGAGAGGTGGAGGCAGTCCTCCAACTGCTCTGCAAAATGTGGTCAGACTGCTTTTTTAAGTGGGTTCCTGATTCCATTCCTCTTCACTGGGCAGTACCTCCCAACCAGGATCTCTAGCCACCCCTAGTGGGGTTCTCTGGCCAACAGAGGTTTGCAACCTCCCTGGGACAGATCTCCCAGAGGAAGGGGCAGCCCACCATCTTTGCTGTTTGATGACTTAACCAATCCTGCCTTCAGGCTTTGGAGTATCTGAGGTGATCGGGGGCTGAAGTGGACCCACAGCACAGCACAGCCACTCTACAAAAATGTGTCCAGACTGCTTTTTAAAGCAGGCCCCTGATTCCATTCCTCCTCACTAGGTTGGACCTCCCAACCAGGGTCTTCAGTCACCTACCCCAGGTGCATTCAGGCCGGCATCAGGTTCATAACTCCCTGGGGTGAAAATCCCAGAGGGAGAGTCAGACTGCCATCTTTGCTGTTTTGCAGACTTCGCTGGTGATACCTTTGGGTACTGGAAAACCTGAGGTAACTAGGGACTGGAGTGGACCCCTAAGTGTACCCCAGCAGCCTTACGGAAAAGTGGCCAGACTGTTAGATGGATGTCCATTCCCATATCTCCTCACTGGGAAGGTACTCTAGGTCTGGACCTCCAGCCACCAACCACCAGAGCTATTGAGTCAGTAGTAATTCGGCAACTCCCTGGACAGAGCTTCCAGGGGCAACTGAAAACCTCTCTGTCACTGAGTCTGCCACAGTCCTTGTTCCCCTTGGACTAATGAAGGAACAAAGACCCTAAGTGTCTTATCCACACCTCCAACAAGTTGCAATCAACCCAAAAAAAGACCAGTCCTTCTCCCACGGGTCCCACACAACCCCACTGCTCCTCACCAGACAGGGAACCCCTGGTTTGAGCCCATAGCACAGGCCTTCCATTCTAGGGTGATTGCACTATCTGATTGCTGACCTGCATCTCTCTGGGTTGGAGCCTCCAGGAGACAAGCAAAAGACCCTTTGGCACAACCACTACTGAGGTCCCTTCCTCTGCTACCTCCAAGCTGTGGAAGGAACGTAACCACTGAGATTGTACCAGAGCTGCAGTGGGCAGCCTAGGAGTGCCAAGTTGCAATCTATAGCCAGCACTCAAGGGGGAGAGGAATCCACACTTTCAGAGCATTGAGAGAGAACATGGCTGAAACTGTGAGGAACCATAGAAGAGCCACAGGACCGAGCAAGAATCTACCAACTGACCAATAAGCCTAAGTGCCACATGTTGAATCACACCCCAAAGCTTCAACACCAAAAGTCCCTCATTAACATAACCCCCTCTGAAACCAGAGACAAGAAGTCAGCTTCAAACAAAGACCCTACACAAAGACTCCATCTGGTGAAGACATCCAGAAAAGAAGTCTCTTGACTGTACTCAATGTAAACTGCAGTTAAATGAACATCCACATGCAGAGATGAGAAAGAACCAAAGCAAGAACCCTGGTAACTCAAATGGCCAGAATGTCATATGTCCTCCAAACAACCACACCAGTTCTTCAACAAGAGTTCTTAACCAGGCTGAACTGGCTGGAATGACAAAAATAGAATTCAGAATATGGATAGGAACAAAGATTATTGAGATTCAGGGGGATAGCAAAACCCAATCCAAGGAAAATAAAAATCACAACAAAGCCATACAGGAGCTGAAGGATGAAGTATCCAGTATAAAAAAGAAACTAATGGGTCGGACCGAGCTGAATGACACAATACAAGAATTTCACGATGCAACCACAGGTATTAACAGCAGAATAAACCAAGCTGAGGAAAGAATCTCAGAACTAGAAGACTGATTCTCTGAAATAAGACAGTCAGACAACAATAAAGAGAAAAGAAAAAGAAGGAATGAACAAAACCTCTGAGAAGTATGGTATTATGTAAAGAGGTCACATCTATGAATCACTGGCATCCCTGAAAGGAAGCAGGAGAAAGCAAAAAACTTGGAAAACACAATTTAGGATATCATCCATGAAAACTTCCCCAACCTTGCTAAAGATTAAATTCAGGAAATACAGAGAACTCCTGAAAGATTCTACACAAGAAGATTATCCCTAAGGCATAAAATCACAGTATTTTCCAAAGTTGAATTGAAAGAAAGAAAGAAAGAATGTTAAAGACAGAGGGAAAAGGCAGGTCACTTAAAAAGGGAACCCCATTAGGTTAACCCTGGACCTCTCAGTTGAAACCCTAAAAGCCAGAAGAGATTGAGGGCTTATATTCAACAATCATAAAGAAAAAAATCTTCAATCAAGAATTTTTTATCCAGCCAAACTAAGCTTCCTAAGTGAAGGAGAAATAAGATCCTCTTCAGATAAGCAAATGTGAGAGAAATGTGAGTTCCCTCCTCCTATCACCTACTCCTATCTTCCTGGCCAATGTCAGAATAGAATGAATGTAAGTAAAATTCATGGTGTATCTGGATTCTTTTTGGAGTTGTAGCAAATTCAGCCAAAGTTAGCCAAATCTTTTACAAATTGTTGTGCAACAAATATCCCATATCAACTGATGGAAACTTGGCTGTCAGAAAGCCAAGACCTGCCTTACAAGAGATCTTGAAAGGAGCACTAAATATAGAAAGAAAAGACAGCTACCAGCTAACACAAAAACACACTTAAATACACAGACCAGTGTCACTATATAGCAACCACACAAACAAGCCAACATAGTAACCAGCTAACTGCACAATGACAGGATCAAATTCACACATATCAATACTAACCTTGAATGTAAATGGGCTACATGCCCCACTTAAAAAGCACAGAGTGGTAAGGTGGATAAAGAAGCAAGACCCAATGGTATGCTGTCTTCAAGAGATCCATCTCACATGTAAGGATATGCATAGGCTCAAGATAAAAGGATGGAGGAAAATCTACCAAGCAAATGGAGAACAGGAAAAAGCAGAGTTGCAATCTTCATTTCGGACAAAACAGATTTCAAACTAATAAAGACTGAAAAAGACAAAGAAGGGCATTACACAATGGTAAAGTGTTCAATTCAACAAGAAGACCTAACTGTCCTAAATATAATATATGTACCCAACACAGGAGCACCCAGATTCATAAAGCAAGTTGTTAGAGACCTATAAAGAGAGATAGATTCTCACACAATATTAATGGGAGACTTCAGCACTCCACTGACAGTATTAGACTGATCATCAAGACAGAAAATTAACAAAGATATTTAGGACCTGAACTCAACATTGGACCAAATGGATCTGATAGACCTTTACAGAGCTTTCTACCCCAAAACAGCAGAATACACATTCTTCTTATCACTACATGGCACATACTCTAAAATCAACCACACAATTGGAATAAAACAATGCTCAACAAATGCAAAAGAACAACAATTATACCAAACACACTCTTGGACCACAGCACAATAAAAATAGAAGTAAAGACTAAGAAACATCACTCAAAACCATGCAATTCTATGGAAATTCAACAACATTCTCCTAATGACTTTTTGGGTAAATATGAAGTTAAAAGGCAGAAATCAAGAAATTCTTTGAAAATAATTAGAACAAAGATACAACTTACCAGAATCTCTGGGACACAGCTATGGCAGTGTTAAGAGGGACATTTATAGCACTAAATGCCCACATCAAAAAGTTAGGAAGATCTAAAACTAATAACCTAACATCACAACTGAAAGAATTAGAGAAGCAAGGACAAATAAACCCCAAAGCTAGCAGAAGACAAAACATACATAAATCAGAGCTGAACTGAAGGAAAATGAGACATTAAAAATCATTAAAAAGATCCAGGAATGCAGGGGTTGGTTTTTTGAAAAAACAAATAAGATAGGCTGCTAGTTAGATTAATAAAGAAGAAGAGAGAAGATCCAATTAAATACAATTAGAAATAATGAAGGGAATGTTACCACTGACCCCATAGAAATAAAAACAACCATCAGAAAATACTATGAACACCTCTATGCACACAAACTAGAAAACCTAGATTCTACCAGATGTTAAAATAAGAGCTGGTACCATTCCTATAGAAACTATTCCAAAAAAATTGAGAAAAAGGGACTCCTTCCAACTAATTCTATGAGGCCAGCATCATCTTGATATCAAAACCTGGCAGAGACACAACAACAAAAAAAATAAAACTTCAGGCCAATATCCTTAATGAACATTGATGCAAAAATCCTCAACAAAATATTGGCAAACTGAATCAAAAAGTTAATCCATCATGATCAGGTACACTTCATCCCCAGGATGCAAGGTTGGTTCAGCATATGCAAATCAATAAATGTGAGTCATCACATCAACAAAACTAAAGACAAAAACCACATGATTATCTCAACAAACACAGAAAGGGCTTTCTATAAAATTCAACATCCCTTCATGTTAAAAACTCTCAATAAACTAGGTACTGAAGGAACATACCTCAAAATAATAAAACCATCTATGACAAACCCACAGCCAGCATTATAATCAATGGACGAAAGGTGGAAGCATTCTTCTTAAAAACTGGTGCAAGACAAGGATTCCCTTTCACTACTTCAATTCAACATAGTATCAGAAGTCCTAGCCAGAGCAATCAGGCAAGAGAAAGAAATGAAGGGCATCCAAATAGGAAGAGAAGAAGACAAACTATTCCTGTTTGCAGATGACATGATTCTATATTTAGAAAACCCTATAGTCTTGGCCCAAAAGCTCCTTCAGCTGATAAATGACTTCAACAAAGTTTCAGGATACAAAATCAATGTACAAAGATCACTAGCATTCCTCTACACAAAAAACAGCCAAACAGAGAGTCAAATCAGAAAGGCAATCCCACTCACAATTGCCACAAAAGAATAAAATACCTAGGAATACAGCTAACCATGGAGGTTAAAGATCTTTACAATGAGACTTACAAGATCCTGCTCAAATCAGAGAAGACACAAAAAAGTAAAAATCATCCCCTGCTCATGGATAGGAAGAATCAATATCGTTAAAACGGTACTATCTAAAGGGATTTACAGATTCAGTGCTATTCCTATCAAGCTACCAATGACATTCTTCAAAGAACTAGAAAAATATATTTTAAAATTTATATAGAATCAATAAAGAGCCCAAATAGCCAAGGCAATCTTAAGCAAAAAGTTCAAAGCTGGAGCCATCATGTTACCCAACTTCAAACTATACTACAGTGCTACAGTAACTGAAACAGAATGATACATGTACAAAGACAGACACATAGGCCAATGGAACAGAATACAGAACTCAGAAATAAGGCCACACAGCTACAACCATCTGATCTTTGACAAAGCTGATTAAAACAAGCAATGGAAAAAAGACTCACTATTCAATATATGGTGCTGGGATAACTGCCTAACCATATGCAGAATATTGAAACCTGACCCCTTCCTTACCCCATATACAAAAATCAACTCAAGATGGATTAAAGACTTAAATGGAAAACCTAAAGCTATAAAAACCCTAAAAGACAACCTAGGCAATACCATCCTGGACATAAGAATGGGCAAAGATTTCATGACAAAGACACAAAAAGCAATTGCAACAGAAGCAAAAACTGATAAGTGGGATCTAATTAAACTTAAGAGCTTCTGCACTATGAAAGAAACTATCAACAGAGTCAACAGACAACCTACAGAATGGGAGAAAATATTTGCAAACTATGCATCTGACAAAGATCTTATATCCGGCATCTATAGGGAACTTAAACAACTTTGCAAGAGAAAAACAAACCACCGCATTAAAAAGTGGGCAAAGGATATGAACAGACACTTATCTAAAGAAGACATACACGTGGCCAACAAGCATATGAAGAAAAGTTCAATATCACTGATCATTAAAGGAATGCAAATCAAAACCACAATGAGATACCATCTCACAGTAGTCAGAATGTCTATTATTAAAAAGTCAAAAAACAACAGATGCTGGTGAGATTTTGGAGAAAAGGGAACACTTATACACTGTCGGAGGGAGTGTAAATTAGTTCATTGCTGAAATAAGTATGGTGATTCCTCAAAGAGCTGAAAGCAGAACTACCATTCAATCCAGCAACCTCATTACTGGTTATATTCCCAGAGGAATACAAATCATTCTACCTTAAAGATACATGTCACAAATGTTCATTTGCAGCACTACTCACAATAGCAAAGACATGGAATTAACCTAAATGCCCACCAATGACAGATAAAGAAAATGTGGTACAAATACACCATGAAATACTATGCAGCCACTATAAAGAATGAGGTTATGTCTTTTGCCGGGACATGGATGGAACTGGAGGCTATTATTCTTAGCACACTAATATAGGAACAGAAAGCCAAATACCATATGTTCTCACTTATAAGTGGGAGCGAAACGATAAGAAATTATTAACACACTGCCCTCCTACCATCCACCATGGCCCTGCTGCACTCCTCTCCGGGATTACCGCAGCCTTCCACCCAGGCCTTGCTGCTGCAGCCTCTGCCAGAGCCAGCTCCTGGTGGACCCATGTGGAAATGGGACCTCCAGATCCCATCCTGGGAGTCACTGAAGCCTTTAAGAGGGACATCAATAGCAAAAAGATGAATCTGGGAGTTGGGATGATAATGGGAAGCCGTACATGCTGCCTAGCGTGCTCAAGGCAGAGGCCCAGATTGCTGCAAAAAATGTGGACAAGGAATCCCTGCCAGTTGGGGGACTGGCTGAATTTTGCAAGGCATCTGTAGAACCAACCCTGGGTGAAAACAGCAAAGTCTTGAAAAGTGGCCAGTTTGTCACTGTGCAGACCATTTCTGGAACTGGGGCCTTAAGGATCGGAGCCAGTTTTCTCTAAAGATATTTTAAGTTCAGCTGAGATGTCTTTCTACCGAAACCAAGCTGGGTAAATCACACACCCATCTTCAGGGACGCTGGCATGCAGCTACAATGTTATCGGTATTATGACCCCAAGATTTGCAGTTTTGACTTCACGGGCGCTGTGGATGACTTTTAAAACATACTAGAGCAAAGTGTTCTTCTCCTGCATGCCTGCACCCACGCCCAGAATAGTGGAAGGAAATAGCAACAGTTGTGAAGAAAAGGAATCTCTTTGCGCTCTTTGACATGGCCTACCAAGGCTTTGCCAGTGGTGATGGTGATAAGGATGCCTGGGCTCTGCACCACTTCATCGAACAGGGCATTAATGTTTGTCTCTGCCAATCATATGCCAAGAACATGGGCTTATATGGTGAGCATGTAGGAGCCTTCACTGTGGTCTGCAAAGATGCAGATGAAGCCAAAAGGGTAGAGTCACAGTTGAAGATCTTGATTAGTCCCATGTATTCCAACTCTCCCCTCAATGGGGCCCAGATTGCTTCTACCATTCCAAACACCCCAGGTTTGTGAAAACAATGGTTGTAAGAAGTGAAAGGCATGGCCGACTGCATCATTAGCATGCGGACTCAGCTGGTCTTCAACCTCAAGAAGAAGGGTTCCACTCACAACTGGCAACACATCACTGACCAAATTGGCATGTCTTGTTTCACAGAGCTAAAGCCTGAACAGGTGGGGTGGCTGACCAAGGAGTTCTCCATCTACATGGCAAAGGACGGCCGCATCTCTGTGGCAGGGATAACCTCCAGCAACATGGGCTACCTTGCCCATGCCATTCACCAGGTCACCAAGTAATGTCCCTGGTGTGAAGAAACAGGGACAAACTTTCTGTCTTCAGCCTCTGTTATTGGGATATTCACACAGAGGATGAGAGAGGGTGGATGGTGGTGAGTGGATCATTTCTTTCAACCATAGTGTGTAACACTCAGTGATTGAATGTTTCTCAGAAAAGAACATGTAGTGACACAGGGCAGAGGCATTCGTGGCTGGCATCTGGAACATTGTGGCTCTAAACCAAACTCTCCCCTGTCCTTTTATCTCCAACTTTTCTCGAAGAGTTTACATGGGCAAGAAAGTCATCACACCAAAAAACCTGCCAATTATGCCATTGCAATATTTCAGAAGCTTTAACTGAAGTGTCAGGTTCCTCATGAGAAATAGCACACATTAGAGGCACTGAGAGAAGACCTAGTTCTGTCATGAACAGTTGGCCTCGTGACTGTCCTCCCATCATGGAGCAACCTTATCAACAGAACGCGTTGCAGAAATTATGTTTTATAAAAACCAGTGAATCTGCTGCCACTACAGCAAGGAAAATAATGTGGTTTCCTGTCTTATTTAAGAAAAAGAGGAGGCTCTCTTTTCTCCCTTGTCATTGCTGTTCTTTTCCTTACCGCACAAAGATTTTTAACTAATGTAGATTTTCATCCCGTTCTACTGCTTGACTGACAATCAACCCCATCCTATCGGGATTTATTTAAGAATAAAGAATATAATTTTCTTTTCTTTTCCTTTTAAGATGGAATCTCTCTCTGTTGCCCAGGTTGGAGTGCAGTGGCACGATCTCGGCTCACTGCAAGTTCTGGCTCACTGCAAGCTCTGCCTCCCAGGTTCACACCATTCTCCTGCCTCAGCCTCCCGAATAGCTGGGGCTACAGGCACCCGCCACCATGCCCAGCTAATTTTTTGTATTTTTAGTAGAGACGGGGTTTCACCATGTTAGCCAGGCTGGTCTTGATCTCCTGACCTCGTGATCCACCCGCCTCGGCCTCCCAAAGCACTGGGATTACAGGCGTGAGCCACTGTGCCTGGCCCAAGAACATAATTTTCTGCTGATGTCAAGCCCTCACCTTTCTCAGCAAAGAATCATGGAGAGTAGGTAACTGTACTTTATCTCAGCATCCTCTTGAATGATTGTGTAATCTTCTCCAGTTGGGATGTTGGCTCTGCCCAGTTGGACCTCCTCCCTTTGTTGAATGTGGTTGTGCAGTCACTCATCTCACACTGTGAGTCCAGTGGCGCAGGGTGGTGCCAAGAAAGAGGATATTCTAGGCTTTATGTGCTGCCAGCAGGATTCAGGCTTCACCCGCTGGAAGGAATCATCATTTGCTCTAATCATGTAGGCTTATTGCAGTCTGGTTTCTCTGTTACAATAAAATTACTGTAGATGCCCCTCCACTCAAAAAAAAAAAAAGGAATTATGAACACAAAGAAAGAAAGAACAGACACTGGGGTTTACTTGAGGGTGGAGAGTGGGAGGAGGGAGAGGAGCAGAAAAGATAACTATTGAGTACTGGGCTTAATACCTGGGTGATGAAATTATCTAAACAAACCCCTGTGACATGAGTTTACCTGTGTAACAAACCTTCGCATGTGCCCCCAAACCTAAAATAAAAGTTAAAAATAAAAAACAAGAAAGAAAAGCGAGTGTGCAGGGCACACTAGATACTATACACGTTGAGGTGAGGACTTCTGTCATTTTTGGCTGTCCAACATCTTGTAAATGTACTCTATATTTTGATTGTTCCCCTATTATGATTGTTCCCTTTGTTTGTTAGAATGGTGCTGGCATGTGATCTAGAGTCCACCAACTGGACCTGCAGTTTTGGAGTGAGTCATGTGAGAAAACAGACTGGGTGAAGATGCCAGTGGATTGGTTTATGGGTCCATGGTGGAAGCACTGTTATAGGGTGAGTTTCTTCTGGGAATAGTTTTTGGAAACTCAGTCATAAGCTTATTTCTCCAGCCCGCTGAGCTACTGAATATCCCATAATATATTTTTTTTCTGCTTAAACTAGCCAGAGTAGGTTCTATTTTTTGCAACAGATACCTAGCTGACATTCTATGGGCTCTAGATAACCTTTGTAGGTCTTGGCTTTACACCTGCCCCTCATCCCTCACTGGTCATTGAGTGTATCCTGTAGTAGAGGGATCAATCATGTATAAGTCATGATATAAAGGAGAGCACAAGTTAATTATCTCCCTCCACCTTGTTATTGTTGATTCAGAGGAGATCATCTTTCCCTACTCCCAGATGGAAACTCCAGTGAATTCCAAGGCTTTTCTATTTAGGACATTTAAAATAATAAGCACAGTGTGAAGTCAGTAACTATAATTATTATTATTTTTTAAAATTATTTATTTCAATTTTGTGGGTATATAGTAGATGTATATATTTATGGGGTGCATGAGATGTTCTGATTCAGGCATGCGATGAGTAATAATCACATCATGTAAAATGGGGTATCCATGCCCTCAAGCATTTATCCTTTGTGTTACAAGCAATCCAATTAGACTCTTTTAGTTATGTTAAAATGTACAATTAAATTATTACTGACTATAGTCACCTTGTTGTGCTGTCAAATACTAGGTCTTATTTATTCTTTCTATTTTTTTGTATCCATTAGCCATCTCCAACTTTCCCTCAAACCCCCACTACCCTTCCCAGCCTCTGGTAACCATCCTTCTACTCTCTATCTCCATGAGTTCAATTGTTTGATTTTTATATCTCACAAATAAGTGAGAACAAGAAATTAGAATTATTATTAAACAGATCTCAAAATGTGACTTAGTCGTGCATCTTCTCCTCCTCTCCCTGTATCAGCCTGTTTCAGCCTGGAAGCCTCTAGTGGGAAGGAGGGATGTGATTGGTTGCTTCTTATTCTGATCTTCTTTCTTACCCCGGGACTTGCTGACTAGGGAGTATAAAAGGGATAGAAAAAGCATCAGTTGAATTGAGTGAACAAAGTCAATTTAAACACGGCAGATGTTTAAAGCAGAATCTTCCAAGAAGCTCTTTTCTGGGTCTTTGGAAGCTATGATCAGGCCTCTCAGGCTTCAGTTTCCTTGTCCTTAGCAGACACTTCTCTAATGTAGATGGTCACTTATGCCTCCTGTAGCTCCTGGTAATGTAATATTCATCTCCAGGTTTTTGCTGCTGGGGTTCTTCTGCCTCCTTAGGTGGCCATATAGGATAAGCCCCCAAGGCTCTTTTTTACACATGGTTCCCATCACCATCCCTCACCCTGACAAACTGTAGTAGTATTGTTCCATCTCAATATAACAGCACATGCCCTGTTTCAGCCACTGGAACCATTAGCCCACATTTTGTATCAAGATTCTCATCAGACCTCAAACCAAAGCCCTATGTCTTTCAACTATAGTGGTCATATATTAAGCTCTCTCAGCAGTCCACAGAAGTAAAAAACCCTCCTATGTGTGAGATGAGATGGCAGACATCCCTTTCTAACATCCTGATATAGAAATAAAAGACAGGTATATGTTTTGTTAAAAATAAAGTGCTTTGAAAATCCAATAAACTGAATTCAGCAAACCCATATGCAAGGGTAGTAAGCTAGTCATTGGGGATACAGAAATGAATAAAACATAGTGTTTGCTGCCTGCATAAGCAGATTTGTAATTGCAAACAAAATAGTTGCAGAATGGCGTGTGTCAGGGAAAAACAGTCGCATAAATCACCTGCTAGAATGATTTAGCCAGAAGAGAAGATTCTTAAGAATGAGTAATAATATTTTTAAGGGAAAATAAACCATATTAACCCAATGGGAAATGCCTGGATGAATGAGATTGACAGAAAAATATGGGAAATTCTGAAATTGAGAGAGACTATGCTAGGAATTTGGCTCATTGAGGAGGGAGTTTCCTTTCAGTTTGCTGCACAGCAGTTTTAGATTGTGACATCTTGTCTTGAGGATATACCTTAAGTGATATCTGGGAGACTCACAGCTTCAGACATCTACATATTTTGTTTGGCTTCAAGTATCTATGTAAGTTTTTGACTGAGAACATCAGTGAATATTGACAAGACTTTTGCTTCTTTAGCATTCTCTCAGGGAATACAAAAGTACTAGAAATTCCTTAATGGATAGAATTATTTTCCTTGGATCAGTGTCTCAGGATTCTGAGGTCAGGAATCAGGAGACTTAACAGTTATATTAATCCTAGTAAGGTCAGAGGCTTCATCGAGGGAGAGGCGAGAGGGAAACCTTGTGAAGAAATAATTCTGTGCTCAATTTACATAGGTCTTTAAAATAATCAAAAGGAATACTTGTTATTTCATTATCTCCTTACAACATGCCTGCAAGATAGGTAGAGACCAGGATTACTTTTTTAAAATCCTGAATAAGTCAACAGTAAAGCTCATAATCTACTGGCCCCAAGTCTAGAGCATCTGCAAGAGACCTTACAATAAATGGAATGACTTAAAATAAATGGAATAAATAGAAATTACTGAGGATTATACCTGCAAATTCCTTCCTTTCCTTTTAATCCCCTCCACTTAGAGTCATCATTTCAGTGCCAAAGTTTTAAAGTGAAGCTCAACAAATAGAATAAAGAAAGTAACTTTATGTTGGTAAAAGGCATAATTAACATTAAAGACAAACATATGGAATCTCTAGGCACAGATAAATATATAAACAAAATACATAGGAAAAATTATCAAAAATTAAGAAAAAACAGAAATATAGTCAGGGTGAGATATTTTAGATATCACAAGCAGTTTACAACATTTGAAACATTAAAGAAAAATCTGAGCCTTGGTTTCATCATCTGTAAAACAGTGTTAATATTTACTATCAAATATGTTGAGGTTGATAGTGTTACTATCGAATATTTGGGAACACATATGTAAGGCACCAAGCACAACAGTTGTCATGAGTATGTGCTCAATACACAGTACTTTTTAAAAAGTAGAAATTGTAGCAGTTTATAGATGTATATACCCCCAAAACATAGGATTTATTTTCTTTCTGATAGTTATAAAATGTACATAAAAACGAGACATAAAATCTGAATAAACTAACAACATAAGAAATTCTTCAGATTATGTTGCTTGGTCACAGTGCAATTAAATGAAAGATTATTGTAAGTAATGATTTATTGTTCTAACTATTATTGATGCAAGAATTTAAATAAATCACAACTAAATCATATGGAAAATGTTTAAAACTCTCCAGTATAACCACTGAAATAACATGTAAGCCAATCAGCAAATAACATATTTGGAGAAAATAACAAAAATGAGAACTCATAATAAAGAAAACTTTTGGGGTGAGGTCACAGAGATGCTCAGAAGTCAATTCAGTCTTCATTGCTTTTACTATTAATATTAAAAATAATAATAAGATAAAGCATTTCACTTATTTAGTAAGAGAAAGCACATCTATTCAAAGTCCTAAGAATATTATCAGAAATTAAATAAAACAAAAGCCAAAAAAGATAAATTGTTAAGGAAAAAAATATTAAGGTGGAATTAGCAATTCCAAGAACTATAATTACACTTGCAAGACTGTGAATCTCATCAAAGAAGAAACTAAAATGAAAAGGAAGAAAAACAATGTAGAAGAGACTGATTATTTACAAGGGTTCCCTGAATAAAGACAGAGGAAATTTATCAGAGGGTTCGGTGGTGGAAGTCTTATTACCCTGGGCTCAGCACTGCAGGGCTTTCTTGCTGAATTTCTTGCCGAACATGAACGTTTTTAAGCCAGGCACCCAGAATAGGGAACTCCACCTGAGACAGAGACAGAGACAGAGAAGGAGTGGGCAGCTGCCCCTCAGAGTGAGCCAAATGCATTAAGGAGAGATGACTTTCTGTATGTATCTTTTCCATTCCTTCTCTAGTTGGTTTGAAGGTCTGGGTCATGGGAGGCCTACATGATCATCCTCAGGTTATGAGTGACGAGAAAGAGACAACACTGAGAGCAGGTGAGATTTAACACAGGAGGAGTGTCAAGGGCTGTCATCACTACTACATGCAGGACCACCACTGTAATTATGCTTTAGAAGTCAGGACACTCCACAGGGTGGGTGACTAAACAGGAGAATGCTGTCTAGCCGCCAAAACCTGCCTCACATGCCTGTAGTCCTGCATGCCAGTGGCTGTCAAGTACTGGATCAGAGTCCGGCTGTGCCACTTCCTTGAAACATTCATGTCTCCGGACCTTACTGGCTGGAAAAAACTGCAGCAGGAAGATGGCCTTACCTCACTTCTAGCTTCCAAGTCTCACAAGAGAGCACAGGCAGAACCGAAGCCACATCCAGGACCTGGGCTGAGAACATCTGGCACATGGAGCCTGTAGCATTCTACATTAACAACAAAACAAGACCCAAAACACAGAAGAAGTTTGGAAACAGATGTTAAGTGCTTATGGCCATATTCAGCACAATGTGTTTAGATGCAGGTTTCCTTTCATTTACCTTGTTTGTTTGGGGCTTCCTGAATCTGAGAATTGATGTCTTTTATCAATTCTAGAAAATGTGCCATTATCCACTCAAATGTTGCCTGTCCTGAGTTCCTACTTTCTCTTGGTTTTTGTCCTCTGAAGATTCGATTCAGCATTACTTTGTTTTTTTCATTGACTCACTAACAAAGGGGCTTTGTTTTAAGGGAGGTAATTTACCCAAAATATTAGGTTGTTTTCAACCTTTCAGCTGGACTCCACTGAGTTACATAAATAATAAAAATGGTTCTGAGGTAAAGTGTATGGTACGCTTAGTTTTTTCCCCCTTTAGCAATGGCAGTTTATTAAAGAACAAAAGCCTGTAGCCTATGGACTGTGACGTTTACACACTGTCTTTATGGTTTTCATAGACGTCTAAGGATGATTCATGCTTGCTAGCATGTAGCTAACTCTCAGGTCCAGCAAGAATGTCTTTGGACAGTCTTCTGTTAAAGCAAATTTTCTTAGGCAAATTCATCTGCCGCTCATGTCAAACAAAGCTTATTGCTCATTAAGAGGGAAAGTAACACATAGATAATGAAATGTCAGTTCTCAATGACAGGGAACAAAAGAGGGTTTATGTATAGCAGCTTCTAACCCTATCAGTGACATGGATGATTTGGAGACTTTTCCTGAGGGTTGCCAGGCATGAACTATTAATCAGAAACAATAACTAATATGTCTGAGAAGAAAGCAACAAGAAAACTGTCCCGTAGCAATTAGACAAGGCCAGACAACAAGACTTGACTCCTTGAGAGGTCAAATTAGGAAAGAAGTACAAGACAGTTTCCAATAGAGGTAGCCCAAATAGAGACACTCTGGCAGCAGTTTACAAATGTGCGATTAAAAGTAATTTTTTTTCCTCACTCAAGGGAAAGAAATGAAGGCTACTCCCTGTTACCTATACCCCTCACATGCATTGTCTCACAGATAGCAGGGGGCAAGTGAAATATTGCAGGTCACTGGCACTGATGCATGGCCATATGAACTCAATCCCCTCCAAGTCCTCTCTCCAGGCTACAGTGCATGCATTAAAATGAATTTTGATCTTGCCACTACTCTGCTTAAAATCCTTCAATGACACCTTCATTGCCTTCAAAGCAAAACCCAAATATGTTATATAAGATCACTGATGGTCTTAACGACTGGATTTTTCTCCACTCCATCAAAGTATTTTGGTTTTCTATGAACATATTGCATTGTTCCAAATCTCTGGTCATTGCCTTGGTCTCCCACACTTTAATCCTTTAATCAATGAATTCTATGCTCAAGGACTTTTGGGCTTGAGGGGGAAGAAGAGCGAGCGAGAGAGAGAGATAATGAGAGAGAGAAGTCCAACTCTTGTGGTTGTCAATGGAGAGTCAATGAAAGAGTCTTTGAAGTTTTATTCTGAGGTATACATGGCGACCATGACATAGCTCCAGAAGATCATGAAAACATGTGCCCAAGATGGTTGGGCTACAGCTTGGTTTTATACATTTTAGGAAGGCATAAGACATGAACTAATACATGTAAGATGTATAATTGGTTTGGTGGATTCAAAGATTTTCTGATTGGCAATCGATTGGAGGAGTTATTATCTAAAAATCTGGAATCAATAGAAAGGAATGTCTGTGTTAAAATAGGACGTTGTGCAAACTGAGGTTTTACTAAGCACATGAAACCTCCAGGTAGCAGGCTTCAGAGAGAATAGACAGTAAATATCTCTAATCAGACCTAACAAAGTGTGACTCTTAATTAAGCTCTTCTGGATCAGGGTAAAGACCTAGAAAGGGAAGGGGATTCTCTACAGAATGTAGATTTTCTCCACAAGAAACAGTTTTATAGGGCCATTTCAAAATATGTCAAAGAAATGTATTTTGGGGTAAAATACTTCCATTTCTATCATGGCTTGCTGTCTGTCATATGATGCTATATAGAGTCAGGTAGGAATTTGGTGTCTTATTGCTACAGAGTCTGTTTTGTCAGGCTTAAGATCTCTGTTTTAATGTTAATGCTGGTTCATTGTGCCTGAATTCCAAAGGGAGAAGAGTACAGTAAGGCGTGTCTGTCCTGCCCCCACCCCACCACATCATTTCCATCATGGCCAGAACCCAGAAATAGATTATCAGGTTTACTTTGGAATGCCCTTGGCCAAGAGGAGGATCCATCAGTCAGTTGAAAGGCTTAGAATTTTAATTTTGGTTTATATGGTAGAAGTTGTAGGAGGTCAAATTCAAGAGTTTTCTATATGTTTACCCAAACATATGGAAAACTATTCAGCTAATTCACCATGAAAGATGGTTGAATAGGAATAGCTCTGGACTGCAGCTCTCAGTGAGATCAATGAAGAAGGTGGGTGATTTCTGCATTTCCAACTGAGATACCCAGCTCATCTCATTGGGACTGGTTAGACAGTGGGTGAAGCCCATGGAGGGCAAGCTGAAGCAGGGTGGGATGTCACCTCACCTGGGAAGTGCAAGGGGTTGGGGAACTCCCTCCCCTAGCCAAGGGAAGCCATGAGGGACTGTGCTGTGAGGAACAACGCATTCCAGCCCAGATACTACGCTTTTCCCATGGTCTTCGCAACCCGCAGACCAGGAGAATCCCTCAGGTGCCTACACTACTAGGGCCCTGGGTTTCAGGCACAAAACTAGGCGGCCATTTGGGCAGACAGCGAGCTAGCTGCAAAAGTTTTTTTTCATACCCCAGTGGTGGTATGAAATTGGGGCAGTAATTAATAGCCTACCAACAAAAAAAGCCCAGGACCAGACAGATTCACAGCCGAATTCTACCAGAGATACAAAGAGGACCTGGTACCATTCCTTCTGAAACTATTGCAAACAGTAGATAAAGAGGGACTCCTCCATAACTCATTTTATGAGGCTAGCATCAGCCTGATATCAAAACCTGACAGAGATACAAAAAAAAAAAAAAAAAAAAAGAAAGAAAATTTCAGGTCAATATTCCTGATGACATCGATGCAAAAATCCTGAATAAAATACTGGCAAACTGAATCCAGCAGCACATCGAAAACCTTATCCACCACAATCAAGTCAGCTTCATCCCTGGGATGCAAGTCTGGTTCAATATATGCAAATCAATAAACATAATCCATCACATAAACAGAACCAATGACAAAAACCACATGATTCTCAATAGATGCAGAAAAGGCGTTTGATAAAATTCAACACCCCTTCATGATAAAAACTCTCAATAAACTAGGTATTGATGGAATGTATCTCAAAATAATAAGAGCTATTTATGACAAACCCACAGCCAATATCATACTGAAAGGGCAAAAGCTAGAAGCATTCCCTTTGAAAACTGACACAAGACAAGGATGCCCTCTCTTACCACTCCCATTCGCATAGTATTAGAAGTTCTGGCCAGGGCAATCAGGCAAGAGAAAGAAATAAAGGGTATTCAAATATGAAGAGGGGAAGTCAAATTGTCTTTGTTTGCAAATGGCATGATTGTATATTTAGAAAACCCCATCATCTCAACCCAAAATCTCCTTAAGCTGATAAGCAACTTCAGCAAGATCTCAGGATACAAAATCAATGTACAAAAGTCACAAGCATTCCTATACACCAAAAATAGACAAACAGAGAGCCAAATCATGAGTGAACTTCCATTCACAATTGCTACAGACAATAAAATACCTAGGAATACAACTTACAAGGAATGTGAAGGGCCTCTTCAAGGAGAGCTACAAACCACTGCTCAAGGCAATAAGAGAGGAAACAAACAAATGGAAAAACATTCCATGCTCATGGATAGGAAGAATCAATATCGTGAAAATGGCCATACTGCCCAAAGTAATTTATAGTTTCAATGCTATCCCCATGAAGCTACCATTGACTTTCTTCACAGAATTAGAAAAAGCTACTTTAAATTTCATATGGAACCAAACAAGAGCCCATATCACCAAGACAACCCTAAGCAAAAAGAACAAAGCTGGAGGCATCACACTACCTGACTTCAAAGTATACTACAAGGCTACAGTAACAAAAACAGCATGGTACTGGTACCAAAACAGATATATAGACCAATGGAACAGAACAGAGGCCTCAGAAATAACACCACACATCTACAGCTATCTGATCTTTGACAAACCTGAGAAAAACAAGCAATGGGGAAAGGATTCCCCATTTAATAAATGGTATTGGGAAAACTGGCTAGCCACATGCAGAAAACTGGACCCCTTCCTTACACCTTATACAAAAATTAACTCAAGGTGGATTAAAGACTTAAATGTAAGACCTAAAACCATAAAAACCCTAGAAGAAAACCTAGGCAATGCTATTCAGGACATAGGCATGGGCAAAGAGTTCATGACTAAAACACCAACAGCAATGGCAACAAAAGCCAATGACAAAGTGGATCTAATTAAACTAAAGAGCTTCTGCACAGCAGAAGAAACGATCATCGGAGTGAAGAGACAACCTACAGAATGGGAGAAAATTTTTGCAATCTATCCATCCGACAAAGGACTAATATCCAGAATCTGCAAGGAACTTTTAAACAAATTTACAAGAAAAAAACAACCCCATCAAAAAGTGGGCAAAGGAAATGAACAGACACTTCTCAAGAGAAGACATTTATGTGGCCAACACATATATGAGAAAAAGCTCATCATCACTGGTCATTAAAGAAATGCAAATCAAAACCACGATGAGATACCATCTCATGCCAGTTAGAATGGCGATCATTAAAAAGTCAGGAAACAACAGATGCTGGAGAGGATGTGGAGAAATAGGAAGGCTTTTACACTGTTGGTGTGAATGTAAATTAGTTCAACCATTGTGGAAGACAATGTGGTGATTCCTCAAGGATCTAGAACCAGAAATACCATTTGACCCAGCAATCCCATTACTGGGTGTATACCCAAAGATTATAAATCATTCTACTATAAACACACATGCACATGTATGTTTATTGCAGCACTGTTCAGAATAGCGAAAACTTGGAACCAACCTAAATGCCCATCAATGATAGACTGGATAAAGAAAATGTGGCATATATACACCATGGAATACTATGCAGACACACAAAAAAGTATGAGTTTATGTCCTTTGCAGGGACATGGATGAAGCTGGAAACCATCATTCTCAGCAAACTAACATAGGAACAGAAAACCAAACACCGCATGTTCTCACTCATAAGTGGGAGCTGAACAATGAGAACACATGGACACAGGAAGGGGAACATCACACACTGGGGCCTGTCAGGGGAGGGATGGCATTAGGAGAAATATCTAATGTAGATGAGAAGTTGATGCGTGCAGCAAACCACCATGGCAGGTGTGTACCTGTGTAACAAACCTGCATGTTCTGCACACGTATCCCAGAACTTAAAGTAAAATAATAACAATAATAATAATAATAATAAAGAAAACTACTCACTAACGAGAGAGGATGAGGCCCATATGCAGAAAAATATATAAAAACAAAAGAGACTGAAAGAGAGTCCTGGCAGCACTGGGTCCACAGTTCCAATTGGGTTTTATTATATCGTGTTGACTTGGCTGACTCCTTAAGAGATGTAAGTGATCCTTCTTAAGAGATGTGAGGAATTAAGTTAGAACATACTGATTATCTGTAAAACATTCCTTGTGGGCTTCAGGTTGAGCAAGCTTGTGCTGTTTGAACTTGGGGTGTGGAAAATTACACCTAAGAAATTTCCCTTTCATTGTTAGTACAAGTCAGTACGCAGGAAGCTGCTTGGGAAAAGATGCAATGGGGTGTGCCTTGTGATGATTCCTTTCTTTTCATTCACAAGAACCTGGCGCAGCTTACCCTCTGTAGGCACTGGCTGAGTACAGTACAAAGCCAGCAAACCAAGCCAGAAAGCCCATGACATATTAATAGCTCCATGAACTGCAGCTGAGAAAGGTGCCACTAGTTCAATAAAACCAAAGCCATAGAAAGAGAGGGTGAGGGTAGAGGAAAGGAACTGGGCTCTAGATCAGCGTCATAGGATATTAATAGCCAGGGTCTTTAAACTGGGGCACTACTTACCCTGCAGGTGCACCAAAATTAAGGTGTATGTGGCCACAAGTAGTTTTAGGGAAAACAAGTTCCAGACCCTCAATTTCCATAAAACTCTCCCTGAGAATATGCTGGGTTGTCCTTTTCAAACTTTGCTTAGGAAAAGAAAATCTTTCTCCCACTTTACATAAGAAGGAACTCCAAAGAGAGAAGTGTGGGGTGGTTATGGTGGATGTGTGTGTGTGTGTGTTGTGGGGAAGATTTAAAATACCGATATGTACAAAGCCTCCTTTATTTAGGCACCAGTCAATGTTCACTTGCATATTTTGCACAACTTCAAGGAGAAATTTGCTGGAAATTACATCTTTAGTAGTGTTAGAGCCTGGAAACAGATACTCCAAAATATGCTGCTTTGAACTGGACTTTGAGCCTCATAGTCTCTCTGAGGCCCCCACCTTCCCCCATTTCTCCCAAAGCATAGGATGAAGTTGCTCTCTAAATTTCCTTATCTACCTAAAGTCTGGACCTACAAGAGAAGAAAACAAAAACCTTTGGTCTCTTCCATGAGTTTTCATTAACTGAACCCCGATGATGAGAAACACAAATTCTGCCAATGTATATTTACAGAGGTTAATTATAAGCCAATATGAATGACCACGGCCCATAGTTGCACAATCTCAAGAGGGCCTGAGAAAGCGCACCCGAGGTGGTTGGGCTACTGTTTGGTTTTACACATTTCAGAGAGACAGAAATTGCAAGTAAAATAATAAATCAATACATACAAAATTTGGCCTGAACAGGCAGGACATTGGTCCGGCCTGAACAGGCAGACGTCTTGAAACTGGGGCTTACAAATCATAGATGGGTTTTAGGGATTCTCAAGATGACAACTGAGAGAGTTAAACTGTTGTATAAACACTTGAAGTCGGTAGAAAGAAATGCTTGAGTTAAGATACAGAGGGTCTGCTCTCTGTCGTGTGATGCTATACTAAAGTCGGGTTGGAAAGGAATCCACATTATACCAGGTTAATAGCAAACCAGAATCTATGGTTTCTAGGGTGTGATTCCGAAGGTCCCTTAGATAGGAATTTGGGCAAAAGACAAAAGGTCAAAGTTCAGTCCTCAATGCATATCGCAGGAAGGAAGACTAACGTCTGTTAAAAAACCTGTACAGACTTTTGTCACAAACCATTGCCTGCTCTGCAGGCCTAATAGACTTTGTCCTAGACCATTGTATGTTCTGCAAGTCCACTGAATTCTGCCTAGTAATTACTTATTGTTCTTCAACAGAATTCCTCTTCTCCCTGTCCCATACCTAGTTTGCCAGGATCCATGCCTCTATTCTTTCTGTAACCTCAAGATGGTATATAAGCTTCTGCATTAGGAAGTTGGGACTTCATTCTGAAGGCTCCTGCGTCATGCAAAGCTATGATCAAATAAATTTGTATGCTTTTTCTCCTATTAATCTGCCTTTTATGAGTTGATTTTTTAGCGAACTTTCTGAGGTTGAACGGGAAACTTTCCCTTTACCTATATAGCAACTATTTAAATTTGTGATGAAAAATTGAAATGTCAACTTATAAATATGCAAATCAATATAAACAGCTCTCACTTTGCTCAGTAGTGTGGCGTCATAAAAATAACTGTGCAAGCGAAAAATGTGCAATCTCAATAATCAATGGGAAGAATCACAATTGTTAACATGACCGCTAAAAATTTTGGTCAAAACATTAAAAACTCTCTTACTCTCGGTTATAAATGTATAAAACTAATACTTAGTATACTGCAACTTAAACACTAGAACATTCAGAATTTAAAACACTGAGAAGTAGAAAACTTATCAAGTGTAGCTTGAACAGTATTTGCCCTCTTATAAAACAGTGAACATCTTTTCCTTGTCTTGGTGATGTGAACCATATATAAAATCTTAAGCACATCCAACCGACTGAATGGATTCCTCCTCTAGAAGGGAAATCAACCAAAGTAAACCTCAGAAACTAGTTCTGGCCATGATGGGAAGGGGGAGTCAGACATTTCTCATTGTACTCTCCTCCCTTTGCAATTCAGGCACAGCTGACTGCATTCGTATTACAACACATCTTAAGACTGACAAAACAGACTCTTTGTAGCAATAAGACACCAAATTCCTACCTGATTCTAGTATAGCATCACATAACAGCAGGACCTAAAATAAATGAAAGTATTTTATCCCAAAATATATTTCTTTGACATATTTTGAAATGGCCCTGGAAAGCTGTCTCTTGTGGGGAAAATCTACATTTTGTAGAGAATCCCCTTTCCTTTTCCAGGTCTTTTCCTGATCCAGGAGATATTAATTAAGAGTCTGGCACCTTTTTAAGTCTGATTAGAGACATTTACTGGACATTTACTGGAGGTTTCATCTGCATGATAAAACCTTGGTCTGCAAAACATCTTATTTTAACCCAGACATTCTTTTCTATTGATTCTAGGTCTTTAGATAATAACAACTCTTTCAGCCAGTTGCCAATCAGAAAATCTTCAACTCTATGTATGACCTGGAGTGTGCCCCCACTGCCCGCTCCCTGCCAGCCCTTTGAGTTGTTCCACCTTTTCAGACAGAACCAATGTACACCATCCATGTATTGGTTGATTTCTGCCTTTAACTTCTATCACCTTAAATTTTATAAAACCAAACTGTAACACAACCACCTTGGTTCTCAGGACCTCCTGGGGCTGTGTCACAGGACTTGGTCGCTCATATTTGGCTCAGAATAAACCTTTTTAAATATTTTACAGAGTTTGATTTTTTTTTTTTGGTCAACAGTGAATTGTCATACTCCTTTTTAAGTTTGTATCTGTTTCCAACATCTTATCCTGTGTGCTTTCCATGTTGTGAAATATCTCTGAGAGTTCTCTTCATGTGAAGTTTTTTTTTTGACTGCAACATTTCCTTTGGGACATCATCCTCTCTGTCGGGACTACTTTTTCATTTCTGTTAGTAAGTTTGCTACAAATTTTTCCCAATTCTTTTAAAAGGTATTGAAGTAAAAGGTACTATTTAAAAGGTATTGAAATGTTAACATCTATTATTATTATTGAAAGGTAAAAGGTATTATTTAAAAATATTGAAGTAAAGAAAGGAGGGATTAAAGATTTAGTTCAGGTGGCCCATAGAGATGCTTGATTTGTGAGGTTGTTTCATTTAGACCCTTTTATTTTATACCTAGGAAAATAAGGCTTGCTCTATCTCACACAGTTAGTTAATGTTGGAGTCTGGTCAGAAGGTAGGTATCTGCAGGTGGTTTGGTATATTATGGTATATTATTCTGTCATAATAAAGTAAATCTTCTGGTAGAGGCTCTTCCATCAGCCGGAAGAAAAAAAATCATTGGCTGTCAGAGTAGACAGGGTTGATGTCATTTGATATAAGATATGGATGGTAACATGGGCCTTCAAGGTAATGTTCTTGAAGGATAGGCTGAATTTGAGGTAATGTAGATGAAGGGGAGTGGGTAGTGGTTGAGGTCCTGTAGGGTCAGAATGATATGGATGTTAAGGGCAGAGTAAGGGGAAGAGCGTGGCTGTCACGGGGGTCAGGGTTGGCAATGCAGCATGGAGTCAACAATGTTTGTGATCTTCCCAAGGAGGGCATCCAGGTTGAGATCTCATTATGTAGAAGAAAGCATATTGGAAAATGAGGGAGGAATTAGGGCAGTACAGGAAAATGAGATAATAGACTGTCGAATACCTTAAATTCTATTTAATTCACAATATGTAAGGCACCGGAGTGTTGTAAGTGTCAAGGGGTGCAGCATCAGCAGAATAAAAGAAGTCAGGATTGTCACATGCGTCCGTGTGAACAGACCACCAATCAGGCTTTGTGTGAGCAACAAGCCTGTTTATTTCACCTGGGTGCAGGCGGGCTGAGTCCGAAAAGAGAGTCAGTGAAGGGAGATGGGGTGGGGTCGTTTTATAGGATTTTGGCGGGTAGTGGAAAATTACAGTCAAAGGGGGTTTTTCTCTTGCGGGCAGGGGTGGGAGTCACAAGGTGCTCAGTTGGGGAGCTTCTGAGCCAGAAGGAATTTCACAAGGTTAATCTCTCAGTTAAGGTGGTGCAGGAACAAATCCCAATGGTGGAATGTCATCAGTTAAGGCAGTAACCTGCCATTTTCACTTTTGTGATTCTTCACTTGTTTCAGGCCATCTGGATGTATACTTGCAGGTCACAGGGGATATGTTGGCTTAGCTTGGGCCCAGAGGCCTGACATTCCTGTCTTTTTATATCAATAAGAAAAATAACATAAAATAGTATTGAAGAGTTGGGGCAGTGAAAATTTTTCGGGGGTTGTATGGAGAGATAATGGGCAATATTTCTCAGGGCTGCTTCGAGCAGGATTAGGGGCGGCGTGGGAACCTAGAGTGGGAGATATTAAGCTGAAGAAGATTTTGTGGTAAGGGGCGATATTGTGGGGTTGTTAGAAGGAGCATTTGTCGTATGGAATGATTAGTGATGGCCTGGATGCGGTTTTGTATGAATTGAAAAACTAAATGGAAGACACAAGGTCCGAATAAGAGAAGGAGAAAAACAGGTATTAAAGAACTAAGAATCGGGAGGGCCCAGAACATCTAATTAGAGAGTGCCCAAGGGGGTTCAGCATAATTACTTGCTTGGTTGGCGAGTTTTTTGGCTCTATCCTTGAGTTCTTTTGTTGTTGTTGTCATATACCAGGCCAGATTGATTTAGGTAAAAACAACACTCTTCATTTAAAAATTATACAGAGTCCTCTTTTTTAGCAGTAAGTAGAGGCCTCGGCGATTTTGGAGGAAAGAGAAATGCAAAGCCAGCAATTGTTTGTTAACAAGGAATTGCTTAACGGAATGATATCTGGGGGAGGCAGGGAAATGAGTGAGGGCGTAGGAATCCTGGGGACCAAGAAGCAGCAAAAGTTCTTAGGGTGCTCTGAGTTTCTGAGAAGGAAGTGGTGGAGAGAGAGGCCAAGAGCCAGCCTCTGACAATTCTAAACATTGCCCGTAGTCACAGATGCTCAGTTTATAGACTCAGAATGAGTGTAGTCTTTCAGTGCCTTGACAACCCTTCCCCAGCAGGGACATGTCAGGTTCAAAGTCCGGAGGTCACCTGAGTACTTAATTCCGAGTCCATTTACTCTAGGCCTCTCAGTCTCTGCTGAAGCAGGAACCAGCCCTGATCTCCTTATTTGGGTATTAAGGAGCTGGGAGCTCATCGGACCACTAGAGAACAGGCAGTTCGGGGAATTAAAGGCAGATTAACAAAGGTTTGAGAGTGGAACTGGGCTCCCTGAATGCCAAAAGGAGGAAGCTGTCTACGCCTTCTGAGCCCAAGGCTTTTTTGCTTCCTTTGCTTGGCTTATCCAGCAAGTAGCTGCAGTGTCCCAGGAATGTGCTAAGTAAAGGAAGCATATGGTTGGTTTCACTTTTAAAATTAATTGCAACCTAGAGAAACTGGCAGAGATAGTATCCCTCCGGGGCTTCCGCTTCTCTGTGATGCAACTGGGGCCTGGAGGGTGCAGCTATGATGCAAATAGCTTGGGCCAGCACCAGAGTAATCTCTAGTGGGTGGAACTGTCAGAGGGGATTTTCTTTCTGTTAGGAAAAAAAATTGCATTCTTGCCCAGTGGTAAGAGGAAGAAGCTCCCGCATTTGCTCAATGAATGGAGACACAGCTGCAGAGCAGGAAATCTGAGTTCTGGTTCACTCGACCTGCCTGATTGTAAAGAGTAGTTGATTTTTTTTTTTGGTCCCTGTAGAAGGGTCTTTCTCTTGGCCACTTTAAGCAAGGAATAAAATGGCTTGTTCTCTTCAAGGGAGGAAATCGATCCTCCAGATCTGGGCCAGCACATTTACTTCACACAGCATATTTCTGACCCACCCACAAAATTTGGAAGTTTGTAGTTAGAGAAAGTAGAAGGCTGTCCAGATGAAATAAATGTCCTTCTGCGTCAAAACAGAACTGCTGACTTGACAGACATGTGCTTTGCAAGACCATTTCCAGGAGTGATGACAGAGTTATGATGGCCCACAGAACCTTGTACTTTCATTTACATAATTTGTAAGTTACATCCTGCCTTTTCCTAAAAGGAAAGATTTATGGTGCTTTACAAAAACAAACAAAATGAGCAACCTGGTGATTACAGTAGAAATGGAAGTTCTAAGATAGGAAGATGGAAATATTTAATTAGTAAATATGCCAAAAGGGAAACCAATATTATTACTGTGAATTGCATGTTCAAATAGTGAAAAGAAAGCAGCTCAAGTAGCCAAGTAGCCAAATAATAAAAAAAAAGAAGAAAAGAGGAAAGAGAGGGACCTATACTTATATAATATCTAGCATTACACTATCATTACACTAGGCACTTTTGTAGCTTTCCTTTAGTCCTTAGAACAGCCCTATGAGGGAGTTATTATTGTTGTTCCTACTTTATAAACAATAACAGAGAGTTTAAATATAGTAGCCCAAGATTGTATGACTAGTAGTTGGGACTAGGATACAGCTTTTTATTTTCATGCCTAATGGGGATCCAAGAAGATAGATAGTCTCAGTGGAGTTAAGAGTGTGGGTTCTGGAGAAACAGATGTATGGGCTCAAATCCTGGCTCCAACAAGTACTAGATGGATGCCTTCTGGAACATTATTTAACTACTCCACGCCCCATCTCTGAAATGGGGATAATGAGGATTACATGTGATAATCTATATAAAGCAAGTAGAATAATACTTGGAACACAGTAAATGCTCACAAAGTATTAATAATTGTTATACAGAAACTGTGGGAGTGGGTTGGCCAACAACTGTTGTGGTTTGTATTTTTTTTCTTCCTGGGTATCTTTTAAAGATAAAATTGAAACAGTGTCTGTCTATCACTCCTCTATCATAATTATTTGTACATTTATGGCAGCATATTCTTTGGTTGGCTCTTCCTATGGCAATACATTGTAATATTCTCCATAGAAAATAGAAAGATAATTCAATATTTAACCTAGCATGGCTGATCAAAATTTGTTTTTTTATGGATGACAGACGGAAAATTTTTCTTTCATCTTCAGCACTATTTATTTATTTATTTATTTATTTATTTATTTATTTATTTATTTTTTGAGACGGAGTCTCGCTCTGTTGACCAGGCTGGAGTGTAGTGGCGCCACCTCTGCTCACTGCAAGCTCCGCCTCCCGTGTTCACGCCCTTGTCCCGCCTCAGCCTCCCGAGTAGCTGGGAGTACAGGCGCCCGCAACCATGCCCGGCTAATTTTTTTTTGTGTTTTTAGTAGAGACGGGGTTTCATCCTGTTAGCTAGGATGTTCTCGGTCTCCTGACCTCGTGATCTGCCCGCTTCGGCCTCTCAAAGTGCTGGGATTACAGGCGTGAGCCACCGCGTGTGGCCTCAGCACTCATTATTAAATGTTCCCGATGTAACTGCTTGCCCGAGGATAAAGCTTCAGAGAATTCCAGCCCTGGAGTTCTCTCACATCTAGGATGTGATCTAGGCTGAGAGCTGCTGCCTCAGAAGCTCGTCCAAATTGGCGAAGCTTTTTAGCTCCCGGTTTCCTATCCCCACTGGGCTAGTCTTCAGGATGTGAGGAGGCCTTGGAGACTGAGTCATAGTGGCTCTCAAGGCAACATCTCATTAGATTCTTCTTCTTGGAGTAAACAATAGAGTCCAGAAGCCTGATGAGGTCTGCTTCTGGGGGCAAGCAGGTTGTTTCTGGGGGCAACGTGCATGTGTAGGTACTGCTGGCAGTCCGTGGGCCCTACTCATGGCCCCAGGACCAATGTGGCCAGCCCTAGGCACCATGCCATTCTTTCCTCGGCTGCATTCTTCCCTGGTGAGGAGTTGGCAGGCCAGACGGTTATGCCTATCTGGAGCTGGTGGACTCCTAAACTTACTGCTTCTAGGGCTTGCTTGGATCTCTCCCCTGGGTTCATCCTTCAGAGGGTAAACCACAGTTGTGGTATGTGCATCCCTATGCTTCAGAGAGGCTGAAGAATAGTGGTATTCATCAGAGATGGGATGAGGTGGGAGTGGGCCCTCCAGATTATTATGAAGCCATATCTCCAAGTAAGAGGGGAGGATATGTTTTATTTAACAGTTTGGTACTCGATTGTAACATTCATGTATTTATATGTATAGTATGAGGGCCTCCCTTTGTACTCTTACCATGGCTTCACAAATTTTGTGTGTGGACCTGTTGGTGAGTGACAGATCTCTGATCACAATTTAGCATGTATCTTGGGCGCCTGCGCCCAGTTTGTTCAGCTCTTTTCATGAGCCTTCTTCACCCTTACTAAGAACAACTGCTTCTCCTATGTTTCTTGCAGTTTTACTCTGCTGGTCAAGTAAGAAATCTGAGGCTGCATTGGAGAAAGCATGCTCACTCTAGGTTAAGCTATAAAGCAGTTTGTTTTGGGTGCTCAGGCTTCTCTGACCCTTCTCTTTCCAGGCTCTGCTGTGCCCCAGGAGCACTCTCTCTCAAGTCCTTCTCAGGACAAGTGTTATATTTGTGTGAATTTATCTCAACAATTACCACTCTCAGGAATATTTGCATTTGAAGGCTATATAGGACATTGGCCTTCAGGGATGTTGGATTTTTGAGGGGTAAGAGATGAAGGGCTTATGTACTACCAGGTAGGCCAATGCCTGTGCAGCCTCTTCAAGGGTACAGATCTGCAGGTTAGTTCTCCAAAGTCAAGCAGAATTGGTGCATTTTGTTAAGCAGTGTTTAGATTATACAATAGAAACATCTGACCCTAAAGGTCCTGAAAGAACATTTTGTAAGGTACATAGCCCAAAAAGATATATATTTCATGAATAAATACATAATTATCCTGAGGGAAAAAGGATAATTCCACGATGCAACTATAGAGAAAAATCTAGAAAGCATATGAAGCATCTGTTATATGTATTGGTGGTTATTGCTTGAACAAAATTATATGCGTGGCTCAGATACATGTGTACATTGGGAAAGATAAAAACATTTCAGCCTTGCCTGACACAGTGGCTCATGCCTGTAACCCCAGCACTTTGGGAGGCCGAGGGTGGAGAATTGCTTAAGGCCAGGTGTTTGAGACCAACCTGTACAACATAATGAAACCCTATTGCTACAAAATAGTTTTTAAAAAATTAGCTGGGTGTGGTGATATGCATCAGTAGTCCTAGCTACTTGGGATGTGGAGGCAGGAGGACTGCTTAAGCCCAGGAATTTGAGGTTGCAGTGAGTTATGATCTTACCACTGCACTCTAGCCTGAGTGACAGAGCAAGAGCATATATTAAAAAAGAAAGAGAGAAAGAAAGAAGGAAAGAAAGAAGAAAAAGAAAGAGATAAAGAGAGAAAAAGAAAGAAAGAAAGAAAGAAAAAGAAAGAAAGAAAAGTCAGCCTATGAGGACAAGGCCCATTACTTATTCCCTTCTTGGAGGCCAAAGGAGAGCCAGTAATAATAGCTGAATTGTGTTAGATACACCTCTACAGGGAAAGTTGTTCTACAATTTCAATAGATTTCATCTGTTAGTTCACTTAAAAAATATTTGTTCACTCAGTTATTCACAGTCTCTGACATTTTTTCTTACCAAAATTTTGATCGAGCATTTCAAATGGTAGTTCAGACCAATGTGGAAGCATCTAATCTAGTGGAAAACAACATCATATATTTTAAGAAGCTTTGTGAGTATTGCCATGGTCACACGGTAAATCAGAGCAACAAAGCTCTAATAATGAAAGCCAGCATTTACGTAGTTCTTACTATGTGTTAGCATGGATCTAAATATTTCACATGTATTAACTCATTTAGTCTTCATAGCATCTTGATGAAGTTGGTACTATTATTAGCCTCATTAAATTGGTACTGTTGTGCTCTGATGAGGTGCAGGGCATACTTCCTCAAAATATGGCACCTTGGCATTTGAGAAAACAGCAGAAGCAGGAAGGTTTCTCTCACCTTCCCCTCTCCCTTTTCCCTGAAGCAGGTCATACAATGTTCATTACAGAGGTGCCCTCCTTATATCTGAGGTCAAGGAACGTCCTTATCTCTGAAGACACAGGAGACATGAGAAGAATCTGAACAAACAGAACTTGCTGTTTTCCCCAGTTTATTACTGTTAGATCCTACCCGCTTTGTTCAGGCATACTTCTCTAGGACTATCCACTTCTTTATCAGACTAAGCATAAAAATGCACAGATTTCCTTGTTTTTTTTTTTTTGAGTCTTCATTTCTGAAGTCTCCTGTGTCACATAAAACATATTAAATAAATTTGCATGCTTTTCTCTTGTTAATCTGACTTTCATACGAGCCTCAGCCATAAACCTCCAATGGGAAGAAAAGATATTTTTTTCTTTCCTGGACCTCATTTTAGGAAACTGGGGCACAGGGAAGTTATGTAGCCTGTACAAGATTACACATCTTACTAGGAGTGGAACTAGAGTTCATACTCAGGTAATCTGGGTCTGGATGCTTTGCTCTTGACCACTAACTATGCCATACTGTTTCTGATAGGAGGGCCAACCACATAATACTCACCTCTGTGGCCTCTGCACCTCGCTTATGAGCAAAATGCTTCAAGATATCAGTCTGTGAAACACCTTGTATAATAGGTACACATTTCACACTGTGTTCCCAAGGAGCTGTAGGGTTTCAAAGAGATGTATTAAGATTAGTTCTCAGTGGGAGGAGGAAGCTGATTTGGCCAAATCTGGAGTCACCCATCCTAATTCCCCTTTTGTCTGTTTTACATATCGTGGTTTCACATATTATTTATTTGGAAAAAGGGTTCTGTTATTGAGCATTCAAAAGAGTTTGGGGCCCAGAAAACAAAAATTCCATTGAATATACAAGTAACAAAAACTTTGACTTAGGTTCTAATGTAATAATAAGCAACAAAGACTTGGAGAAGCTGATCAAACCTGAACCTGACTCAAAGGTGTAACCCCCATGGGGTACATTGGATAACAGAATCAGGATCTAAAAATGTCTCTAAATTCTAAAGTTATGGACAGCATTAGCAAGTTAAATGACAGTGATAATGTAAATTTATAGATTTAGGACCAAAAACAAACCCAAATGAAAGAAAAGCAGATTCACTGGATAGATACTCTGGGGCTTTGTAAGGGCACATGTAAACAATAGCTAAAAGTTTAATAGCTAAGAGTTTAAATCAACAATATTTGAGACCAGTATGATTTCCTGATAAAGGAAGCAAAATAGTCTGCTCAGTGCTCCCCAGACTATGCACTATTTTCACCTCTGAGAAAACTTTAGAAGTGACACTGACAAGCTGGAGTTCATCCAGAAGATAATTGTAATAGTGAAGAGATGTGATACCCGGTCACAAGAGATTTGATTGAGGAACTAGGAATGCTTACCCTGAGAAGAGAGAACTTTGGCATGAGGGCCAGCTCTGAATATGAGTAGAGATGTCATGTGGCAGAGAGAGGGCCTTATCTGCCTCTAGAATGCAGAATTAACATATGGGAATCATAGAAAGGTAGATTTCACTTACTGTTAGGAACACTTTCCAGGGCTGTTAAAATAGAAATCATTGCCTGGAATTGGGTTAGTGGCTTCCCCAACAAGAAGATACTCATTTTGGGGCTGCATACCCAAAGAGAAAAAAAAAGAAATTAATCCTCATTTCATAGCCTAAGAAATCTCTCAAATTATTTCCAGCTCTAAGATTATATTATGCTATGACATTTTTTTGCTATAAAGAAAAAGGGGTAAAAATTAAGATGTTCTTTTTTCTTCTTAGGTGAAAATTGAAACTTATATCTGTGGCAGAAATAGTAAGACTCACTGCCATGGTCAGGTTGGGCTGCTAGAACAAAATACCAGAGACTGTCTGGCTTAAATAACGGACATTTATTTCTCACAGTTCTGGAAATGGGAAGTCCAAGATCAAGGTACTGGCACATTTAGTTCCTGGTGAGGACTCTTCCCAGCTTGCAGATGGCTGCCTTCTCACTATGCCCTCACATGAGGGAAAAAAACTTCTCTCTCCTTTTATAAGGACACTAATCCCATCATGGCAACAACATGACCCCATCTAACCCAAATTACCTCCCAAAAGCCTTACTCCTGAATACCACCATGTAGGGGATTAGGGCTTCAACATAAACATTTTAGGGGAACACGAGCATTCCATTTATAGCACCAAATATCCCATGTACTTACCTGTATTACCCAGTCTTCTTAACATTAGGCAGGGCTATGTGATTAGCTCTGGACACTGGGTGTGTATAGTGAGTTGAATGGTATCCCCCTAAAATTCACATCCAGCCAGAACCTTAGAATGCAACATTATTTGGCAATGGGGTCTTTGAAGATATAATCAGTTAAGACTCAGATAAACCCTAAGTCCAATGACTGGTGTCCTTATAAGAAGAAGAAAAGATACACAGAGCCAGAGAAGAGAATAATATGAAGATGGAGGTAGAGATTGGAGTGGTGCATGCATAAGCCAAGGGATCACCAAGGATTGCCAAGAGCCACGGGAAGATAGAGAAAGGCAAGAAAAAATTCTTTCCTACAGCCTTCAGAGAAAATATTCTTCTTCCTACAGCAGTGCATGTGCCTGCTGATCCCTTGGTTTCAGATTTCCAATATCTAGCATGGTGAGAGAATAAATTCCTGTTACTTCAAGCCACCAAATTTGTGATAATCTGTTATGGCAGCCACAGAAATGACAAATGTTACCTTCTGGTCTACAGCATTTAATTGCCAGTGTGTGACTCTTTCTCCTTCCCTTCCTTTGCCTCAGCAAATATGGAGGCTTCCTACTGAGATGGCAGAGAAGGAAACAACCTAGATTGTTGAATCCCAGAATGGAGAATAGTGGTCCTGAAGAGTTTGCAACACCTGCAGTGGAATTTGTATGAGTGATACTTAAGTTTTTCTAATGTTAAGTTATGGACATTTTGTTTTTGAAGCACAGTCTATTCTATCTTGACTAATAGTATTACTTGAAAAGGGTGAGAGGAGAAAAAATAGAACGCATTATACATTATTCACTAATCTAGGTCTCAGAGAAGCCTCAGAAATTCCTTATTAATTCACTATCCAATGAAGCTAAGTGCTTTTTTAAACTTGTAGTTCAGCAACCAGTACATGCTGTCATTTATGAAGTGAGTACAATGTGGCATTACATACACCAGGTAAGTCTAGGCCCAGTCTCAGAAAAGATGGTTTAGACTAAATTAACCTAAGGAGAGATAAATAGATAGATAGATAGATAGATAGATAGATGATAGATAGACAGATAGACAGAAACTCATGAGTAAGGAGTATGGGAGGCTAAGGGACATGCCTATCCAGAGCCTGGGATCTCCCACTTGGAGACCTCTCTCCAGGTATACAGAACTCCTTGTCCAAATAGTTCCAGTCCCTTTTCCAGGGCCTTCATGGGCCTCTTCCCCAGGCCTGTGTTCCTGAAAGAAGACCTGCCTCTAGGCCCAAAGGATGGCCACAGGGTTTCTCCTTGCAGGGATACAGACAGAGCCTGGATGGGCAGGTTGGTTTGCCCATGTGCAAGTGTTTATGGCTCATCACTTTCTTCTAAACTATTGTAATCAACGTAATATGAGAAAACATTTCATTTAACAGCCTCTTAGCTTGATTTATAACTTTAAAATATTTAAAATATGGTACGTGGGTCTCCATTTATTTTTCTATAACTGGACCTGAGAATGTGAGGAGTAAAAGTGCTTAGAAATATTTTCTTTTTCCTCATAGAATCTGCTTTTCTTTTTTCTGGATAAACTTCCAGTGGAATTTCCATCATAAAATTCACTGTTGGAGGTGGATATAAAATACCTTCAAACCTGATCACTGGCTGACCTTTATTTTCTCACTGTTTTAAAGCAAGGGGGTCTTATATAGCTTTTCAAATTGGTCTCTAACTTGCACTTAACCTGTCATGTTTTCTTAGGTCCTTCCTGAAGTTTTTCTCTATCCAGGAAGTGTTGAAAATTAGCAGAGAAAGCCAAAGTCCTCTGCACTACCCCCTCTCTTTTCTCCACGCCAACCTTGGAAATACATGCACATACATGTACACAGCCACGTGAAATTCCTGTAAAAACTGGAACTCTTGTTCTCACCACTGAGGTTCTCTGGTGTTTCCTTCCTCCTTTACTGCTCTAGTGCATTTTCCACTCAAAACTGTTGACTCAAAAGAAATAGAAAAAAACACCCTTAGGAAAAATAAAAAGGGAAGAGTTCTTGTCAGAGCATGGAAAATAAAATTCTAAAAATAGCTCATATTCTCATATTTCCCTATAGATATGATGCAAGCATTATCAAGTTCAGGAACTGTTGACTCCAATAACATGATTTCTGGTCCTTGGCTCTTGTCTTCCTTCTTTCCCATCAATGTTTTCTCAAAGCCATGTTCTGGGCAGTGACTCTTGATTGCAACCTTGTAATCAAGCTCCCAGAGACAAATTCTAGAGCTGTCCCCACCCCCCTGCCTTAAACTTGCAATTATATTTTTTATGGCGATATATGCAGATTGAGGGCTTATTTGCTACAAATAGCTCTTTAAATTTTCCTGGTATGGTGAAGGAGATTGAAGATGAAGATGGGACGAATGCATTCAGAATCAAATACAAATTAAGGAGCTGACTTCATAATGTTGATAAGATTGGGCACAACTCAGCAGGTTTTATGAGGCTATGACATTAAGATAATTCATCAGCCCATTAATTCATTCCACTAATCCTTCTATTATATTACTCTTATTCTAACAAAAAGGATCAAAGCAACTAAATTTTATGTATTGTGTTTCTATGACAAGAATTGTGTACACTTCTGGAAAACATAAGATTGTGACACAACTGTCCAGTAACTTAAAACTCGTTGGGGAAGGAAAACACATATTTCAGAAAGTGAAAACAACATAATACTTTATCAGGTGTTGTACTCCAAGTTTTATCTAATTTCCTCAGCCCACATTTTATGTAATAACCAAAGTTGTCATTCCAAAATGAAAATCTCATGTCAACAATCTGCTCAAAACCCATCAGTGGCTCACTGTTATATACTGGAAAATGTTGTAGTACCTTAGCATTGCATACTCAGTGTTCATGACCCTGTCTCCAACTACCTTTCTGAGCTCATCTCCAGTCACCGCCCCCCTCCTTCTGATGTGAAGAATGGGAGCTTCCTGAGAGCCATGACTATGTCTTACTCATCTGTGACTTCCCAGTATCATAATGGAGGCTTAGCGAACCCTGCATTTTTAATGAATAGAGTCTACTCACATATTAATCTCTTTTCAAAACAACTTTATGGTGAAACTTAACACATACAGAAAATGTAATAAAACAAATGAATAGCCTACTGAGATATCATAAAAAGAATACTCATGTGACTAACACCTCATTCAAAAATTAGAACATTGTTGGCTCTTTGGAAGGCCTCTGTCTGCCCTTTACAAATTACATCTCCTTCTCTTACTGCCAAAAGTAAATATTCACCACCCCTGTTAATCAGTTCTCAGGTCAGGACACATTCCCCCACCTCACCTTACCTCCATAATCTTTCCTTTGACTTCATACAGCCCTCGGGAGGCTCCCCTCTCTCATCTTGGAAACACTTGGGTTCTTTAACTTTCATTTGGCATCTGAAAAAAAAATTTTTAAATAAATGTATATTAATGATATCCTTCTTGTCTTACTTACATTATTTTGCTTTCACTGTATATATCTTCAGATAAAGGGGCGGGTGCAGTGGCTCATGCCTGTAATTCCAGCACTTTGGGAGGCCAGGGCGGGTGGATCACGAGGTCAGGAGTTCAAGACCAGCCTGGCCAAGATGGTGAAACCCTGTCTCTACTAAAACTACAAAAATTAGCTGGGTGCAGTAGCAGGAGCCTGTAATTCCAGCTACTTGGGAGGCTGAGGCAGGGGAATCTCTTGAATCTGGGTGGCAGAGGTTGTAGTGAGCTGAGATTGTGTGACTGCACTCCAGCCTTGGTGACAGAGTGAGACTCTTGTCTCAAAAAAATATATATATATTTAGATAATATTTTTTGATGTCTATACTCTGTGTTGCTATAGTCTATTCTTTACTTTTATAGTTAAGATTTCATTAGAGGTGCTCAGTGAATATTTATTGAATTAGTAATTAATGAATGAGTGAATGACAGTTACATCAAAGCACAGAAGAGGCAGAAATTTACTTAACCAGTGAAAGAGAAACAGTAGAATATAGTTTATGCAAATAGATAGACAGACACACACATACATGCACATGCACACAGAGGTGGAGAGAGAGAGAGAAATAGAGAAGCAGGACATTGTTCTGATGTCATGCACCTGAATATTCAAGAGTTTCACACACACAAAAATAACTATTTCCTTCTCTCCCCTCTCTCCTGTTACTCACTTCCTCAAACCAAAGCAGTGTTAGGAAATCCAGATATGCTTCAGACACAATCTTCATTTGTTTCAACACCACTGTTTATGATTGTAGAAGGCTTTTGGGACCAAGCAGTAAATGTCCTCCTTCAGCATTTTACTTGAAAGGAACCACTGCAAGAACATGGGCCAGACTACAGGATGACCTCCTTACATGGATATTCTAGGAAAGATTCCACATTATCAGGGAAACCGGAAGAGATGACAATGGAAAATCCTTTTCTACTCTATGATGGCATGAGTAAATGAAAGACACTGGCAGTCTAAAAATAATAATTAAGTCTGTAGTTTTACCTAGATATTAAGTTGGCAATGAAAGCTTAGGCCTAGGACATGAGGTTGTAACTCAAACTCTCCTAGGTTCCAGCTAGTACATACAGCTAAAGTGTTGAGTCAATCTATACTTATCCTTTCAACTCTTGGATTGAATAATTCTTAAACATATAAACGTGAATTCTGTTTCCTTGCTTTTCATATACTGTTCAATGATTCCCCACACCACCCATACTTTTCTTGTAGAACATGGCTCATTTTTGGAGATTCAAATAAAATGTATCCTCTCTATGAAGCTGACTTGATCCTTCATAAAAGTTAGGACTTTGTCTGTTCTACTTCCACAATAATTTTTTCTCAAAGTACTAAACACATTGTATTTCCATTAGGTGTATTTATCTGCTTTATAGAATTATAATCTCCTCAACTTAAAGGATTGAGTTTTATTTTATGTCAGACCTATAGTAGGTACTCAATATGTTTCTGAATGAATAAAAAATACAGACAAAGTAGTAAAATATGAGACAGAACAAAAGTTTTAAACACCAAGTACCAAAATAAGTATCTTCTGTTTGCCAGATATTAATTAGGTGCTGAGAAAAAGCAAATGAAACACGGAATAGGCATCTAGGAGCTCACAGTCCAGTGAGGGAAACAGAAGTGTGTGAACACATGCAATATGGCTAGAGGGAGGAAGCCAGACATGGGTAAGGGGCCTTGAGAGCCCATAGGACTGGCCTCTGTCTCAGAGGAATAAAAGACAAGTTCAAGTTGATTCATTAAGGACAGGTAGAAGTCACTCAGGTGGAGAAAGGAAATAGGTGGGGGGTAATCAAGGTGGTGGAAACAGAAGCGTTGAAGTCCTCATGGAAGGCCTATCTTAATAAAACTTGATCATAAAGCTTTGCGTGGAAATTCCCAGTGGTGAGAACAAACAGAAATTTGCTTCTACCAGGTGGAGTTGTGGCCCCGGTGTGTCTGCTGGGTGTACAAGAGAGGAAAAGGGGAATGACGGAAGTGCACAAGAGAATAGCTGGAGAGAGCATAAACCCATGCTCAACTAGAAGGGAGAGTAGTTTATTTCCATCTGACTAGGAAAAAGAGAAGAGAATGCCTCTCAGTCACAAATTGACTCACATTGCACTTAGATCTACAAAGAAAATTAGCTGCTTTCTTTATTTTCTGTGGTATGTCTAATCTTTCTTAAAATTCCTCCACACCTCCTTGGATGGGAAGGGCAGAGACTGTTAGCTTCCTACTTCCTGCATCACAAGTTTTCAGTTTGAATAGTATATTTTGAATGACTCCGTCTCTTTTGGGTAAATTCTCGGAATTTCGGATTTCCTCTCCCCATTTCTCCTCTTGACTACGACCCTTGCTCTTTTTCAAGTCTAATCTCATGTCAACAGAGAAGACAAATGAATGGAAATCATGTAGCATTCTCTGGAATCTCATTAGTCTCCTCTGGGCTCTTCTACAGGGCAGCCAGTCAAATATGTTCCCTGGACTATTGACGATCAAGGTGCAGCTGGTTTCATTTGGCCTTTTAGAGGACATGCAAGTGGCCATGACTGTAATCTAAAGTCAGGGCATTTGCCTGATGGTTTACATATGACAACCACTTTATTCAGACTCTAGGTCTTAGCAAGTCTCCTGCTCCTATCAATACCTCAGTATCTACTCACATGGTTGAGTACCATACACAACTTAGGGAAATAAGTAAAGATGCTTTAGGATCATCTTTCTGAGCACCCTCCCTCAGGATCTACAGACTTGGCATCTGGGTGTTTTCACTTGGTCCCTTCCCGTTGGGGTTCATCTTGAGTCGGGGAAATAAAGACATAAAAAATCTCTCCATAGCATTTAGTCAACTCTCTTTTATTTCCTATAATATATTAGGATAGAAGGGGCAACTGTTCTATTTCTTCTTTCTCAGCATAGACTTCCATTACATCATATCCTCCTTCTTCCTCCTTAGTAGGGAAGGAGTATTATTTTCATATCATGGGACAAAAAATAATTTGAGAAGAAACTCTAAAATATTAATTGGTCAGGCTGCTCTTGATAAAGGTCAGAGATAATAACCTAGTTTAATGACCCCACATATCACTCAATCACAAGAGTACTACCATGGCAAAAAGCAAAATTCAAAAGACAGAAGTGTTCTGATATGGAAGAACAAGGCCTTCAATGGACCTATAATCTTACAAAAACATAGAAAATACATGCAAAACAACTAAAATCCTCTATTTCAGAACTCTAGAAAATAACCAAACTACAGAAAAAACTGAAAATTGTCAATTCAAGAGAAACTACCTGTAATTAACAGGTAATTTAGTTAGAAGTCTATGTCAGCCAGGCGCAGTGGCTCATGCCTGTAATCTCAGCACTTTGGGAGGCTGAGGCAGGTGGATCACCTGAGGTCAGGAGTTTGAGACCAGCCTGGCCAACATGATGAAATCCCTTCTCTACTTAAAATACAAAAATTAGCTGAGCGTGGTGGTGGGCACCTGTAATCCCAGCTACTTGGAAGGCTGAGGCAGGAGAATGGCTTGAACCCGGGAGGCAGAGGTTGCAGTGAGCTGAGATCGTGCCATTGCACTCCAGCCTGGGTGACAAGAGTGAAACTCTGTTCCAAAAAACAAACAAAAAAAGAGTCTGTCATTTTAACTTGGGGTGATCCCTCTCTCATAACCCACCTCTGCAGCCCAGTGGTGTGGTAGTTGTAAAAAGACAGCAGTCTCACAGTAGAGATGACTGACTACTTCTGGAACTCAATTAAAAGTCCCATTAATAGAATAAAATAAATATTTTATCTGAATTAGCAGCTACTGGGAAAATTTCTATTCCCAGGGCACTGGTGTTATTTGATTTGACTCAGAGCTTAGCTCAATAACAACAACAAAAAGGCTCTATTCCCAAGGTGTTGCCTAAAACAATAGTAATTCTCTGGTAACACCACCACTGCTGTGCTAAATCTGTGATTTCAGTAGAGAAAAACAACAGCATGGCCAAAAATTTGAAGGAACATCCTGGAGATCTACACAAACATAGGGAGCTTCAAAGAACTCTGACATATTTCTGAAGAACTAGAAAACAGTGTGTGTGTATGTGTGTGTGTGTGTATGTCTGTGTGTCTGTGTCTTTGTGTCTGTGTGCATGGTTGCACCTGAGAAAGGAGAAGGCTCCAGTCACTCCCTTTCATGCCCAGCTGACATTGAGGTCCTCCACAAGCAGGAGGTAAAATCTAAGGCTGTTTTGCAAATTGCCTGAAGTTTGAAGGAATGCCTTCATATACAGAGCCCTTTGGCAAAGGGTGGAAAACATATAAGCAAAGCATTTAAAGAAACCTTCGGCAGATCATTGGCTGGCTAATAAAGTATACTGTCCCAAGGATAATCCCTAGGGCATATAGGCTTAAAATTAAAACAAATGAAACCAACCCTATAGTCTCATAGACTGTTCTTTTTGATAAACATAGAAATTGACCCTTCTGGTCTTAAAGCTTGAAATTTAAATTTGTTTTATCTGAGTTCCTTTCTCAGGAAAATGCCTTCAGGCCTTTAAAAAAGTATGAAAGAACTGAAACTCACCAGGTCACTGCACCAGATGCAGGACCCCTCATTCATCATGATTGCTTCCTTTCCCCTCCCTAGTTTCTGTTTTTTTACACATTGTTACATTTCTTCCCTGCTATATAAACCCTTTTTTTTAGTCAGTTAGGGAGACAGATTTGAGACTGAGCTCACATCTCAGCTGCAGCACCTGATTAAATCCTTCTTCCTTGGTGATATTTGTTGTTGTGGTGGTTGGCTTTCTGTGTGGTGAGATGCAGGACATAGACCAAACCCCCAGTGTTTTGGTCACACAATAACTTAAAACAAAACCTAGAAGATAACTCAGTAACCACAGATACTGTCGAATTAGTTCAGAATTAGTTTCCTCTTTGCTGCTTGCCTAACAAGCAGTGAAAACAACAATAACAAAAAAAGAAAAAAGAAAAGAAAGAAAATAGCAACAACAACAAACTTTGGGGGTGGTGATGGATGATCTGATAGTATGGTTGTTACACTATATTAACTAAAATATCCAGATTCAGCAAAAATTATAAGACATAAAGAGAATAATGAAAATATGACACATACATAAGAAAAAGGTAGCTAAGAGTTAAATGTCCTTAAGGGGTAACTGATACTGGTCCCCAAGGGGTAACTGATAATTTAAAGACAAAGACTTTAAATTATCGATTATAAATATGTTCAAATAACTAGAAAGTTAAAAGAAATTATGATAATAATGTCTCATCAATTAGAGAATATCAATAAGGAGATAGAAATCACTTTTAAAAGCCCAGTAGACATTTTGGAGTTGAAAAGTGTAATAATTGAAATTTAAAAATTCACTAGAGGAGCTTAAAAGCAGATCTGAGCTTGCAGAAGAACTGGTGAACTTGAAGACAGATTAGTCGAAATTATCCTGTTCTAGCAACAGAAAGAAAAAAGAATGAAGAAAAACTAATAACATCTCAGGGACCTGTGGATACAATTAAGTATATGAACATAGACAAAATGAGAGTTCCAGAAGAGAAAAGAGAAAACAGTAGAAAGGATACTTGAAGAAATAATGGCCAAAACTTCCCATATTTGATGAAAGCATCAATTTACATATCCAAGAATCTCAGTGAACTGTAAGTAAGATAAACTGAAAGAGATCCACACCAAGATACATCATAATCAAACTCTAAAAGGACAAAGACCAAGAGAGAATCTTGAAAGCAGCAAGAGAAGTCACTCATCACATACAAAGGCTTCTTATCAGAAATGAAGGAAGTCATAAGGCAGTGGGTAACATATTCAAAATGCTGAAGGAAAAAAAACTAACAAACAAGAATTCTATATCCAGAAAAACTATTCTTCACAAATGAGGGGAAATGACATTCCCAGATTTAAAAAATAACAACAATCAACACAAAACCCTGAGATAACTGTTAATAGCAGAGCTGTCCAAAGACATACTAAAGGAGGTGCTATAGGCTAAAATGCAAGGACATTAGATGATAACTAAAGTTTTACATGAAGAAACAAAGGGCACTGGAAAAGGTAAGTACATAGATTAAATATAAAACATTTTTGTTTCTAATTCCTTTCTTCTGACTTAAAAGGCAACTCCATAAGCAGTACACATAAAATTGAGTTGATATATTTGTAAAGTATAAATATATAATTTGCATGCAAATAATAGCACAAAGAAGAGGTGGAGGGAACAGGTATTTTGGAGCAAAGATTTTGTATACTGTCAAAATAAAGTTAGTATTAATTTGAACTAGATTTTTTAAGTGAAAATGGTAATTTTAGTCCCCAGGGCAACCACTATTAAAGTAACTTTAAACACATAGTAACAGAAACAATAAAAGAATCAAAAGGTACAATAGAAAATATGTATTTAACACAAAAGAAGGTAGTAACAGAGAAACAGAGGAACAAAAAGACATAACATACGAAAAATAAACAGCAAAATAGCAGACATAAATACTACTTACCAGTAGTGACAGTAAATGTAAACACTCCAATCAAAAGTATAAGTTGGCAAAATATATAAGAAAACATCTAATTATAGGCTGTCTAAAAAACATGCTTTGGATTCAAAGATATGATTAGGTTGAAAGTAAAAAGATAGAAATGATATACCAAAAAACAGTAACCAAAAGATAGCTGGGATGGCTATACTAGTATCAGACAAATAAGATTTTTAAAATAAAAACTATTACTAAATAAAATGAAGGACATTTAAAAAAATAAATGAAATGGTTAATCCACCAGAAATACATATTAATTATAAATATGTATGTACCTGAAAACAGAGTCCCAAAATGAAATAAGCAAAAATTCGTAGAGTTGAAGGGAAAAATAGAAAATTAAACAATAATAGTTGCGGACTTTTCAATCCCAAAAGGTCAAGAAAGAATTGGAAGACTTAAACTGCAATCAACTAGGCCTAGCTGACATCTATAAAATATTTCACCTCAACAAAGTAAAGGGTTAAATATACATTTTTCTCAAAACCACATAAAACTTTGCCATGATAGAGCGCATATTAGACAGGCCATAAAACAAGCTTTAGTAAATTTCAGTGTATTGAAATCATACAAATTACTTTCTCTGATCTAAAATTACATTAGAGATCAATAATTAGAAGAAAATTTAGGAAATCCACAGATATACAGAAATTAAATATACTCAAATAATCAATGTGTTGAAGAAATCCTAAGGGAAATTAGAAAATGCATTAAGATGAATGAAAATGAAAACGCAACACACTGAACTTACAGAAAATGGTTGTAGCAGTTTTTACAGGGAGATATATAGCTGTAAATGCCTATATTTAAAAAGAAGAAAAATCTTAAGTCAATAATCAGGTTTTCCACTTTAAGAAACTAGGAAAAGAAGAAAAAAACTAAACTTCAAAGAGGCAGAATTAAGGAATAATAAATATCAGAGGAGAAAGAGACAAGATAAAGAATAGAAAAACAGCACAGACAATCAAAGAAGCCAAAAGTTGGTTATTTGAAAAAAAATAAACAAAATTAGCAAACTTTTAGCTACACTGACCAAGAAAAAAAGAAAGACGATTTAAGTGACTGAACTACTCTGAGGAATAAAGAGGTGAGAAAACTCACTAGTGAAACTTATAGAAGGATTGAAAGGGGAAACTATAAAAAACTGTATAACAACACGTTTTATAACTTAGGTAAAATGGACAAACTCCTAGAAGGACACAAACTGCCAAAATAGACTCAAGCAGAAATAGAAAATCTGAATATGCCTATAACAAATAAATAGGTTGAATTAGTAATTTTAAAACTTTTAATAAAAGACCAAGTTCAGGTTTCACTGGTGAATTCTACCAAACATAAAAAAAATTACTACCAATCCTTCACAAACTATTCTAAAAAATAACACTATCAAAAAAGTGAAGGCAAGGAAACGCTTCTCAATTTATTCTATAAAGCTAGTACTACCATTACATAATCAGACAAAGGCATCTTAAAACTATAGGCCAATATGCCTTATGAATGTAAATGTAAAAATCTTCACAAATTACTAGCAAAAATGAATCTAGTGACATGTAAGAAGGATTATACAACATGACCAACAGGGATTTATCCCAGAAATGCAGTCATTTCAACATATGAAAGTCAACACATGTAATACACATTAATAAAGAACAAAAACCCAGGTGATTATTTCAACTGAGACAGAAAAACATTTGAGAAAATCCAGCACTCTTTTAATATAAAAGCACTCAACATATTAGGAGTGGAAGGAAAGTTCCTCAACTTGATAAAAGGCATCTACTAAAATCCCACAGTTAAATTCATACTTAATGTTAAAGACATTCCCCCTAAGATCAGATAAAAGGCTTTCTCACCAATTCTATGCAACATTATGTTAGAGACCTAACCAGGGCATTTAAGCCAAAAAAGTAAATTAAAAGCAATCAGATTTGAAAAGAAGTACAACTATCTCTACTGAAAGATGCCATGATCTTGTACATAGAAAATCCTAAACAATACATTAGAACTAGAAATCCTATTAGAATAGCCTATTAGAAGCCTAACAGAATAAATGAGTTCAGCAAGGTTGCAGAATATAATATCAATATATGAAAATCATATGCATTTCTTTATATTAGTAATCAGCAATCTAAAAATGAAATTAAGAAAACAATTTTATTTATACTAGCATCTAAAAGAATAAAATACTTAGGAATACATTTAACAAAAGAAGTACAAGCCTTATACTTTAAAAACTATAAAATATTATTTAAAAAATTAAAGATTTAGATAAATGGAAAGACATCCTATATTCACGCATTGGAATAGTTGATATCGTTAGGACAGCAATACTCCCATATTGATCTATAGATTCATTGCAATCCCTATTGATATGGAAGTGGGGCAGGGAAGTGGTGGGTAGAGAAGGGCGGGTCCCTGGTGAGGGCTCCGCACTCGGGCCTGTGCCCATGGACCTAGGTGAGGACAGGCACTCCTGTTTTTATGCCCAAGTGTTGCATTTTCCAAGACCACCCTGGCCCGCCATACCCCCCATCCTGTGCCTATAAAAACTCTGAGACACAGGCAAGCACAGGCACAAGCAGCTGGACATCAAGAGGAATGCACCAGCAGAAGTGCACACATGGAGCTGGACCTTGAGAGGAACACACTGGCGGAAGAGCACACCAACAGGCACTGGCAGACATTGGCAGGCCATTGACCAGTGGAATGATGTGGAGTTTGGCGGGGTGGTTGGAGGACAGCCTGGCTGCTGGGTGGCCCAAGTCTAGGGGAAAATCACCACCTTCCCATGCCATCCCCCTTCTGACTTCCCCATCCAGCTTGCTGAGAGCTATCACCACTCAATAAAAAACCTTGCACTCATTCTCCAAACCCACATGTAACCCAATTCTTCCAGTACACCAAGGCAAGAACCCCGATACAGAAAGCCCTCTGTCCTTGTGATAGGGTATATGGTCTAATTGAGCTGATAACACAAGCCACCTATAGATGGCAAAACTAAAAGAGCACACTGTAACACATGCCCTCTGGAGCTTCAGCTTTAAATATTCACCCCTAGACACTGCTGTTGGGTTGGAGCCCCACAACCCACCTGTCTGCATCCTCCCCTTAGGGGTTTGAGCAGTGAGGAACCAAAGAAGTGAGCCACTCCCCCTGTTGCACACCCTGTGAGGCGGATAAGGGAACTTTTCCCATTTCAACTGGGGGCTTGTCCAGGATCCCAGAAGGTGACTGAAAATGTCAAACTGTCAGATATGCCTCTTCCAAAACCCTGCCACCTCTCTCTCTCAAGTGTCCATCAACTGATGAATAAATAAACAAACATGGTGTTAAATATAATTTTGTAGGAGGCCGTGGACTTGAACTGAACTCCCACACTAAGCCTAAGAGAACAAACCAATATGAGTTTAAGTACAGTAGCTGAGCTTTAGTTAATTGCAGAAGACTCCATAACCAATTAAAGTGTGTATGTACCACATTTCTGTTTCCTATACATGCTGTCAGATCATATTACTGGTTGGAGTTCTCTGAGTCTGCTCTACCAGAGGACTGCCATATTCTCGAATTGTTTCTGTTTTGTTTTGCTTTGTTCTGTTTTGGTTATAATTGCTCAAATAAATGCTGTTGAATTTAATTAGTTTAAGATTTTTCCTTTTGACAGAGGTATGTTCATAAAATGTAATATAATTCATCCATAAAAAAGTTTGATAAGTGTTGTAATTCAAGGATGAACCTGAATACATGCTAAGTGAAAGAAACCAACCATAAAAGGCCATATAGTATATGATGCCATTTATCTAAAATGTCCAGAATAGGCAAATCCACAGTGACAGAAAGTACATTAGTGATTTCCAGGGGCTGCAGGGAAGGGGAGTGATTGCCAATGGGTATGGAGTTTCTGCTTGGTGGGATGAAAATGTTCCAAATTGAAATTTTGGTGATGGTTATACCATTCTGAAAACTACTGAACTATATACTTTAAATGAGTGAATTTTATGGTATTTGAATTATATATCAATAAAGTTGTTAAAAAGAGGAGGGAGGAATACCATAGAAAATGTGAAAGGTTAGTGGGTAGAATGCATAGCATATTAGGTTCCCTAAACAGTGCTTATCACTGGCTCTGCTAACTAGCTGCTTTTGGAGAATCGATAATGTGCTAGCATGTAGTGTGTCCCCTGGCTAATATCTATTTATTCAGATCTCTACATTTCTAAGCACTAATTTTAAACTATTAAGCTAAATCATATGGGTTATAAGTGATATTTCACACATGTCAAAGAGTTTTACACATGTCATTTTATTTGGACAGAAAGACAAACACTGCTAATGTCTCATGTAATTTTTAATTTTCTTTTCCTCACAGTATTTTATAAGAATTAAACAAGAAGCTCAAACTATTTAGGAAGTCTTTAAACAGCATTTCCCCCTCAATGTGTGCCAAGGAACATCAGTTTTGCTAAATGTTTTGGGTGGGAAAAAAAACACAAAAAAGGAGTTCCATAGTCAAAACTGTTTAGGAAGCTCTGTACAGGATTTTTTTTTCCCTTGGAAATTCTTAAGGAACATGAGACTATTAAAGGCTCTTAAAAGTTTCATTCACTCAACAAATATTTATTCAGTGCCTCCTAAGTGTAAGGCACTATTCTGGGCCTTGGAGACACAGTAGAAAACAAGATAGACAAAATTCTTGACGTGATGGAACTTAAGTTTGAATGTTGCACAAAGAAATCTGTTTTAACTATTTCACAACTTATATGATGACAAAACAACAATTTCAAGAAATAGTCATTACCATTCTGCATAATATGCTTTGTGAAATATGGGTCTACATTTATCTATATCAGTCCCTTAATGGGAATGCTAAAAGACGGAGAAAGCAGCATAAGCAAGTATCCCGAATCATATACAAACTGTATTTCTAGTCATTGGTGTTGCTCAAAAGACAATGGGAATTTAGCCCTTATCATTAAAAACAGGATATGATGGCCTGATTAAAAGTGAAGATGGGAAAGAAAGCACAGGAGAGAAGCAGTCAAAACATATTTTAGGTGACACGTTTTTGGATCTTTATAATTATGAATTCATTGACAAAAGCCAAATACAATTAGTTAGGGTACTATAAAGAAACAGGGACCAAAGTACTAAATTTAGTTACCATATGAGATATCTGGATGGAAGGAATTGTAAATTCCCACTTTTAACTAATGGGGAATTATAAAGTAATTACAAATCCCCTCTTTAAAATGTATTAGCAAACTACTAGGAGGTCAGGCACAACAATAGGTTGGGCAAGATAAAATTAATGTCAGAGAAAATTTTAAAATAAACAAATTATCCTTAAAGGTCATGATTTTCTCATCAATCTCTAATTTAAAACCCCTCTTTACTCCCACACTCTTTTCTCTAATAAGGCCCTGTTCCTTTCTCCCAATCAACTGGCCCATGACTTCCTTCTTCTCACCCCTGTCTCTCTGTCATGGCTGAAGAACAGTCTTCTCTTGTTCCAACAGCCTCCTCCTAGTCAGCTTGCCTCTAAGGCTGCCATTCTCTTGCATTTTCTTTCCCACCCTCACTTTTAATCAGGCCCTCACTTCCTGCTTCTTAGAGATAAAGACTGGATTCTCTTGGCCTTTTTATTTATTTATTTTGTGGTAAAATATACATAACCTGAAACTTGTCATTTAATCAATTTTAAATGTACAATTCAGTGGCATTAAGCAATTCAAAATATTGTGCAACTGTTACATCCCCATTATCCATTTCCAGAACTTGTTCATCTAAATGTTGGCATGTATAAAAAAAAGGGGTGCTAATTACACTGGCTTTACCCTGTAAGATTTCAAGAACTAAACATAATAATGTACCTGACTATACTCTGTTAGCTCTTAAAATACCATCCAAATGTTTATCGTTATAGTAAATAAAGTTGTAAAGTACTATCATCTAAGTAAAATACTATTCATTCATTTATTTATTCCACAAAATAGATCAAACTTCTGTTATATTCCATAGGGCAGAGGAGGGAAATTTCTCAAAAGGGAATGAGACAAGGCTCTTTTTCTGGAAGCACTCACAGTTTAGTCAGAAAGCTTTGTGCATAAACAACTCCAATTCAGGACTACAAATGGCATTGTAATGGTGTGAACAGTTGGTATGGCAATGACTGGTTGTGACAGAAGGTGTGGGGAGGCTTCATGGGGTCTGTAGTTAAGCTGGGTCTGGAAAGACGTTGGTGAGCTCATGATGGAAAAAGGATGGTGCCCTCAGGGTGCTATAGAGAACATAGCCATCTTGAAAGTGAAAAGATAACTGCTCCTTGGCCTAATTCAGAGTTCTGGAGACTCCAAGAAAATAAACACAGGAGGGGCCGGGCGTGGTGGCTCACGACTGTAATCCTAGCATTTTAGGAGGCTGAGGCGGGTGGGTCACCTGAAGTCAGGAGTTCGAGACCAGCCTGACCAACATGGAGAAACCCCATCTCTACTAAAAATACAAAATTAACCTGGCGTGGTGGTGCATGCCTGTAATTCCAGCTACTCAGGAGGCTGAGGCAGGAGAATCACTGGAACCCGGGAGGCGGAGTTTGTGGTGAGCCAAGATTGCACCATTGCTCTCCAACCTGGGCAACAAGAGTGAAACTCTGTCTCACAAAAAAAAAAAAAAAAAAAAAAAAAAAAAATCTTAATAAAAATAAAATAAACACAAGAAAAGCCCAGGGAGAGCAAGCTTTTGTCATACTCACTCTCACACCCAGGGACTTCTTTGGTAATCCTTCAGATTCCTTATTTTAGCTTCTGTGAATTTAAGTTTCTCTCAAAGCATGAATCACTCAATAAGATAAAGTTACCTGTGTAGTGTTGAGGGATTTCCTTTCCACTTATAAAAAATGATAAGAATAATAATGATAATTACAAAGCAATCAAAAGGTCACTGGATAGAAGAAGAACCATTTTCACAAGGTCAGGCCACAACCCCATTTGAGTTGATTTATAACTTGCTTCTGGACACTATCAGCCAACAGCATTGCACCGATCAGTGGCATTACCAAAAAGAAAAATAGCCTTGACTGACAAACTATGTATATCATTAACTATTTCCCCTGGGATTGGAATGCAGCAAGCCCAGCAGCCAGATCAGAGTTCCTTGGAGAAAGAGGTCTCAAGAGCCTGTTCCATTGTAGAGCACTCCAAGAGAGACGAAACCAGGAAGCTTCACTTGGCAACTTTCTTCAAGCAGAGAATCCCCATTAGACTGTAGATTTTTAAGAAGATGGGGCCCCTGATATTCTCTGTTGTATCCTCAGCACCTAGCACATGCAAGAGTGACAATAAATATGTGTTGTGGTGCATTCGATGGTCCAAAGATTGCTCCTTTACTAAGAAAGCACCAAGTTGCAAGTAAAATTCTCAACCTGAACAAAGTTATTTCTTTACTAATAAAGAAATTTCAGGGTCAGGCATGGTGGCTCATGGCTGTAATCCCAGTACTTTTGGAGTCTGATGTGGGAGGATCACTTGAGCCCAGGAGATTGAGACCATCCTGGGCAATGGAGGGAGATCTTATCTGTACAAAAAAAAAAAAAAAAAAAAAAAATTGCTGGGCTTGGTGGTGTGCACTTGTAGTCCCAGCTACTTTGGAAACTAAAGAGAGGAAAGAAAGAATAGAGAGAGGAAAGAAAGGAATGAAAGAAAGAGAAATTTCAGCTCTTGCCTCTTCCTCCTGCCCTTCAGAGTATTTGTGCCTTCGAAAGAAAAAATGGGAACAAGCAGGATTTTTCTTCCTTGCCCTGTCTTCTTGTTCCACAGCGTTTTTGTCCTTTCTCCCAGCCTAGGGAACAATAGGACCTCTTCCTGCACATGCTACTGAATCTAGAGGGACTAAAATCAGTAGGTCTCCTTTCCTATCTCTGCTTTTGGTTGCTGTTCCACAAGTACTACCTGAGGGTTAAATAAAAGGAGGCAGTTTCTCTTTAAGTCATGATCCTCCTCCATTTTTTTTTTCAGCAATAGCCTTTTTCTTTTACCATATTCCAAGAAATACAGTTTTGCAAATTCTCAATAGCATGACAGGATAACATGGCCAAGTTACACCCAAAGATGTTAAGTCACAAGCACAAACTCCCATGACACAGCTGGTTTGGCCCTGCCATTAGAAATCTTGTTTTCTCTTCTTTCCTGACTCTCTTCCTGGGCCTGCTAGAAGCCTCTTCCCTGTTCCCCTCCACTCTCAAATAACTTGTATTTCTCTCTTCATGATTCTCCTTAGTGTAGGAAACCCAGTTCTAAAATGCCTCTCACTGAGGCACAGCAATGCTCTGGAACCATATTCTTCCCAGGCCTATCTGTTAGTCATATTTCTTTTCAGGGATTCCCAGTCATATCAGCATATTTGAAAATATTTAAGGCCACATATTTCAATGTTTTTTCTTTCCAACCTTTTATTTTGGTTCAAGGGGTACATGTGAAGATTTGTTACATGGGTAAATTGTAGTCATGGGAGTTCAGTGTATAGAAAATTTTGTCACCCATGTAATCAACATTTCAATTTTAAGCATAAACCTCTATCCTTTGTCTGTGATTTTTTTTGTTTTGTTTTGTTTTTTGTTTTTTTGTTTTTTTTTTTTTTTTGAGACGGAGTCTCGCTCTGTCGCCCAGGCTGGAGTACAGTGGCGCAATCTCGGCTCACTGCAAGCTCCGCCTCCCGGGTTCACGCCATTCTCCTACCTCAGCCTCCCGAGTAGCTGGGACTACAGGCGCCCGCCTCTACGCCTGGCTAATTTTTTGTATTTTTAGTAGAGACGGGGTTTCACCGTGTTAGCCAGGATGGTCTAGATCTCCTGACCTTGTGATCCTCCTGCCTCGGCCTCCCAAAGTGCTGGGATTACAGGCGTGAGCCATCGCGCCCAGCCTGTGATTTTTTAAAAATAAATCTCCCAGGGAGTTTGTTATTTTTTTTCTAAAAGGCCAGAAGCCCATGATACCATTGATTTCTACCTTCAAATGTTGAATCCAAATGCAATATTTTATAAATCCCAAATTGGTGGCATATCATTCTCTAAAGAGAAACTAGTAAAATTAATAGAGCCAGATTTGAAAATGATGATAATCCAGCCCTGGATGTGGGATATAAATGAATACCAGCCCATAAAGGAACACCCACAGCAGCATCTTTATGAGCTGATGTAAACATTCCAAAGAGGTAAGTGTGGTTGGCAAAAAGTTCTACTTGAGGAATAAATGGGCCTGTAGACTCCTAAAGTTCTTCCTGAGAAACAAAGAGAGGAAGTAGTAGAGTAGGGCCTGAAAGTCTTTGTACCACAGGAGTCGAAAATGAAGAAGCAATCTGTCCAAGCTGACCCTATTCCAAATAGATTTTGTGCAATTGAAATAATTTTGAGCCCACAAAACTCTAGGCAATAATAATGGGGTAGGGGGCGCTTCCCAGTTATTTTTCTGCTGGGAACCTACCACTCACAGTAGATCTGGTCTGAGACTTTTTGGGTTTCAGTGCAATGCCTAGGAAAATGACTTTTGTTTTTTTTAGCAACCATTGCCCTTTGTGCAATTAATTTAGCTCCCCTTTGCCAGCACTGAATAGAGCAATGTTTAATAGTTCCAGCTAAACATTTTGTGTCTAAGTGTAAATCCACACATTCTTTAGAACCTCAGGTCCCTTGGTTAAGCATGCTTCCATTCCTTATACCCCCACTGGCTGGCACAGTGGCTACACACTTTATGTCTTCTGAAAACCTTTGCAGAAAACCTCTTCTTGCCTTCGTAATTGCAAATTTAACATTCTGCCATAGTCTTATAAATTTGCCCATCTGGGAGGTATTGTGTGCTTTCCCCTGGGTATAGACAAGAGATTAATTCAGGGGGAGTTTATGTAAATAAAATTAAAATACATAAATATCCAAATCAATACCATATTTTTCAAATATGTGTATATTTGTCATACTTGTAATATATTTATACATTACAGTAAAAATATTAATATATAAATATAAAATTTAGATCTGTATTTTTGAAGGATATACACATATGCGCATGCCTGGGCGCACACACACAGACACAGACATGGACATGGACATATATTAGACATGTTACAGTGAGTCCTTGTGGGGATAAAGGAGATAGAAATGGGGGATTGAAATTTAAAAAAAAGAGAGAGAAATAGGGCTTTTCATGGACTAAGGATGATGTACCTGTGGCCCAAAACAAAACAAAAGATGGGGAAGAATTTTCTTAGGTAGGGAAAAGAGATGAAAGAATGGATTAGGCAGAAGAAATGATACACAATTTACTCTCTCCTTAATGAACTCAACCCATACTTACAGAGCATCTACTATGTCCTAGGCATTAAGGATATCTCAGTAAACAGGACAGTCATCAACAATCAACAGTTCCAGTCACTGTTCAAAGCATATGACATGTATACTATAGTCCTCACATTAACCCGATTAAGACAAGTGCTATTATTTTGCCCAGTTTAAATGATGACAAAGTTAAGGCACATAGAAGTTAAGTGCCGAGTTGTCCTGCCACACGAGCAGTAAATGGCAGAGGCCAAGTTTGAATACCAGCAGTATGACTCTGGAACCCACATGACCACAGACTTAATCATGCCTTATACTTGCTTATAAATAGGAAACAGTGGCATGTGAGATGAGTACTGACAGAATTCAAATGCTCCAAGTTCTGCAGCTCTCGTCATTGACCTTTTGCTTGATAATTGATTGGACTGGCTCAGTCCCTATCCCAGGAGCCGTAGGAAGTCGGCTATGGTTCCCATGATCAAAAAGTCTTTGGGAGTGAGGGGAAGTGGACAAATCTATATTCCCTTGGTCATTCAGTACTGCAGCAAACTTTCCTACTCTGAACCTGATTCTGGTTATGCCTGTCTTTTTTCTATGTTCATATTATTTTTGGCATGAAATACTATTTGTTTTGTTCCTTGCCATCTCCCCCACACAACTCTGTCCCAGGACTGTTTACAAAATATATTTGCAGCAGAGTTTTATTGAAAGTTTGGGAGTTAATGAGAGGAGACTTCAGGGAAGCTCAGTATATGTATCAACTGAATATTTGACATTATTATCTCAAATTTCTCTGTGAGCACTTAGCCCAGCATGCTGACAGTTGTTTGGTCTGTTGCTCTTCCCAAATACACTTTTTGCAAAGTGGGAAAAGACTCTTTTAAAGATAGATAAAGAGAATGGCAAGATATGAGGAAAAGTCTTTGCAGCCAGACTAAGGAATCAGAATTTATCCGAAGGCAGTGAAAATCCATAAAAAGAGTTTCATGGGGGGACTATTGTAATCAGTTTCTTTCTTCCTCCCTTCTCTTCATCGCTCTCTCTTTTCCCTCCTCTCCTTCCTTCAGAAAAATAATGGTAGAGAATGAATTGGAGGAAGCAAGAGTAGAGATTACTGATGTTGCAACTTGAGTAATGATAGTGGGACCAGAGAAAAATGGATGGATTCAAGAGTTATTCAAGATTTAAATGATGAGAGAAGAGGCAGTGAGGCAGAAAGAGGCATAAAGAGAGGGGTACTGAATTGATTAGCGGGTGGAGTGATGGATTCACTAGGATAAGGAATCCAAAAGAAGAAATTAGTTTAAATGGGTATCTAATGAATTCCATTTTGGACATGCTGAGTAATCAAATTTCCAAATAATGATGATCAGTAGAAAGTCGGATATATGTACATCAGGAGTGGCCACACGAGAAGAGAAAAAGAACATGGACCAAATATCCATGAATACCAATCGTTTAGGAATGAATAAGGAAAGAGGAGCTGACTGTAAAGACTAAAGAGGATGGAACAGAGAAGTGGAAAGTAGGACAGAGAAACCAAAGAGTGTTTAAAGAAGGAAAGAGTAGTAGGTCATGCCAAAGCTCAGAGACATGTTCTGGAAATGGTGCTTCTCTGAGTTATGTTTCCCTAATTTGATTATAAACTTCTTGTGCCACTGTTGAGTTTAAAATTGGTGCTCAATAAGTAATTCTTGGTTGTCAGAACACATTCTTCCTCTGCTCCCAAGTATTTGAAGTCCATGCTCTTCTGAGAGCACATTGTTTTCCTTTACAAAGAATGACTGGTCATTTTCTTTGAAAACTTTAGAAAATCTGTAGCTGAGTTATTTGTACAGATATGTATGGCAGCAGTTAGTCTGTTGGCATGCTATCTCATTACATGGCAAACACCATATGTTTTAGAAAAGGGTGACTTTTCTCCTAACTTTCTATTTTACTGCCTACTGCTTACAGTGGTTTCCTGGGTGAACCTCTTATTCTCTAAAGCAACTAAACTTAAATAATTTATTTTCAGTTAATAAATATGGGAAATGGGGCTCTTGTGGGTGTGATAGAGGGTAGATATCTTAGATTATGTATTGCAGAGTGGCTGGTGTCACATATTTGCTAGAGCTAGTACTAATGATTCATGAAGGCTTGACTTTGTGGTTCATAGAGCAGTTCCCATTTGGACTCAGCAGCACCCTGAATCAGCTTACTTTAACAAGTCTGGTCACAATTCTGGAAATTGGGTACCTTATCAGTCACTCAGAGAAAGAAAAAATTTTGGAAAAATACTTCTTGTAGTTAAAAACAGGAATAAAAACAATTTCACTTCCTGTAATTGGTGTGAAATTTATCTGCTCAGGCTTGTGAGTGCTTGGAAATTGCCTTTACTTCTTTTTTTAGTTGCTTTTTTCCATTTGAGCTAATTTTGATCATAGAAAAACACTTAAAGCCAATTAGAAAATCTGTGGCTTTGGCAGCCATACTTATGCCTCCACTAAGAGGAAATAGACCTCAACTAGTTGGGTTCTCTAGAGGTAGTAGCTGTAATAAAATATTGAATTAGCTCGAAGCCTAGCCTCAAAGGAATGTAGCTGATTCACTTTTGATGTTTGCTGAGAAATCCAGCACTGAATAAAAGTTAGAAATGACTACTAGGCTACATTATCAATATATGCTTTTCCTTATTGTCTTTCAGATGGCAAGAGGATGAATAAAAATTCTCCCTCTTTTACATTTCTCACTCACTCATCAGATACTGCCTATGGTGAGTGAGAAATGACCTACAACAATTTGTTGTCACAGGAGAGGTCTTCCAACTTTCTGGCTTGTATTAAAGTGTGCATTCTTTCATTTTTACCCCAAGAATTAAATTGGCCAGGCCCTGTTATTATCATCTTTTACAGAAATGGCTTTCATCTGACATTTCTATAGATTATTCTTCTGCCTTTATATAGGATCATTTGGTACATTTGATTTTTAAGTCTTACATAAAACCATAATAGAAGATACTATCAGATACTATTTTCATGTCACTCACAGATATACATAATTCCTGGAAGTACTATTTGTGCCTTTTTATGAAATTAGAAAATAAACACTTTATCACCTATCATGTTTGCTTCTCTTTTTCCATGTCTGCCAGGGAATTTAGAGCCAAATATATTGCTCAAATACCATATGCTAGTTGGTCCTTCACCTGTTAATGCCCCTCTGTACTGTATGGTATCATAGTGGCTTCTGTACCAGAAATAGCATGGCCTTTGTTCATAGGTCAGAACAGGGTTCAAATCTCAGCTCTACATTTTGGCATTTCTGTGAACTTGGCAAGACACTTGATCTCTATGTATCCCAATCTCCTTTTGCGCAAAATGGATAAACTCACTGTCATTTCATTAAGGTATTTGCGTGAAATAAATGAAAGCCTATGCCGTGGCCCCCAGTAGGAACTCAAGCTATGTTGGGCTACTTTCTTTAAGATGGACCACCTTGAATTTTATTCTTAGATGCTTTGCTGAGTTTAAATCTGTTCATGGTGGGGTGCTGACTGGAAAGAGAAAGGATATCTCTCCAGCTGTATGAAAGGCCTTTTGTACAGAGGAGGAAGAAAGTCTGAGGGAAGCCAGACAGCTGTTTACAATCTCCTACATAATTTGAAAATTGAACTTTCTTTGTAATCATTTGTAGCAAAACATGGTTTTAGAAACCTGCTTAACATAGTGCTCCCAGAAAGCCACTGTGGAGTTAGTGGCTGGAGTCGATTGATTGGTGTTAGTGTAGGAAAACTAAATCCTCTTCATATCTCAATGTTGTCATTTAAAAACCTTGGCATGTTTTTATGAATTTTTCTTTTAGAATAAATACAAAACTATATGGTTTCTTCTACACTCTCTCACCTGACTTCACATTATAATTATAAAAATCATTTTCATAATGGGTATTGGGAAAATCAAGATTGTCTTTGGCCATGGAATCAATTCTCTTAAAGAAGATATGAGATTCAAAGCAAGCAGGAAAATTATCCCTAAGTTATAATCTCTATTTTATTATCAATCTATTGACTAGTAAATAGCAAGAATTATTTGGTTCACCAGTACATTGTTTTTTAAAATAAATGAAACTACAAATTGAGGTAGTTTAGTTTAGAAGTTAAAAAAACAGGCTGAGTCCTGACTACTGGGATTTAAATTCTGCTTTGCTGCTAGCTAGTGGTTTGATGTTGGGAAAACTACTTTGTGTCCCAGTTTTTTCACCTGTAAAATGAGTGCATAAGCTCTCTGTGCCTCAGTCTTTTAATCTATAAGATGTGAACGGTAGTGAACATACCTTATAAGATTGTTATGAGGGTTCAATGATTTAATACTTGCAAAGCACTTAGAACAGTGCCTGTCATGTAATGGGTTCCCTTAAAATAATTTTTTTTAAATAACTAAGCAGTGTTTTGTAATTCTCATTGTGGAGCTCTTTCACTGACCTGGTTAGCTGTATTCCTAGGTATTTTATTCTTCTTGTGGCAATTGTGAATGGGATTGCCTCCGTGATTTGGCTCTCGACTTGCTTGTTGTTGCTGTATAAAAATGCTAGTGATTTTTATACATCCATTTTGTATCCTGAAACTTTGCTGCAGTTATCAGCAGAAGAAGCTGCTGTTAACTTTAAGGCTGAGACTATGGGGTTTTCTAGATATAGAATCACGTCATCTGCAAACAGGGATAGTTTGACTTCCACTCTTCCTATTCAAATGCTCTTTATTTCTTTATCTTGCCTGATTGTTCTGGCTAACACTTCCAATATTATGTTGAATAGGAGTGGGAGAGAGGGCATCCTTGTCTTGTGCTGGTTTTCAAGTGGAATGAATGCTTCCAGGTTTTGCCCATTTAGTATGATGTTGGATATGGGTTTGACGTACATGGTTCATAATATTTTGAGATATGTTCCTTCAATACCTAGTTTATTGAGAATTTTTAACATGAAGAGTTGTTGAATTTTAGTGAAAGGCTTTTCTGCATCTACTGAGATAATCATGTGGCTTTTGCCTTTAGTTTGATTTATGGGATGAATCACATTTATTGATTTGTGTATGTTAACCAACCTTGTATCCAAGGGATGACACCTACTTGATTATGGTGGATTAGCATTTGATGTGCAGCTGGAACCAGTTTGCAAGTATTTTGTTGAGGATTTTTACAAAGCACGGCTCAAAGAAATCAGAGAAGACACAAACAAATGGAAAAGCATTCCATGCTCATGGATAGGAAGAATCAATACCATTAGAATGATTATACTGCCCAAAGCAAGTCACAGATTCAATGCTATTCCTGTCAAATTACCAATTACGTTCTTCACAGAACTAGAAAAAACTATTTAAAATTTGTATGGGACCTACCGTTTACTGCAAGTCCAGCAAAATAATTCATATGGAGTCAAGAAAGAGCCTGAATAGCCAAGGTAATCCTAAGCAAAAAGAACAAAGCTGGAGACATCAATTTAACTGACTTCAAACTGTACTACAGCGCTACAGTAACAAAAACAGCATGGTAGTGGTACAAAAACAGACACATAGACCAGTGGAACAGAATAGAGAGCCAAGAAATAAGGGCACATACCTATGACCATCGGATCTTTGACAGGCAATGGGGAAAATATTCCCTATTCAATAAATGGCACTGGGATAACTGGCTAGCCATATACAAAAGATTGAAACTGGACCCCTTTCTTACCCCATATACAAAAATTAACTCAAGTTGGATTAAAGACTTAAGTGGATAACCCAAAACTATAAAAACACTGGAAGATCACCTAGGTAATAATATCCTAGACATAGGAACAGGCAAAGATTTCATGACAAAGACACCAAAAACAATCACAACAAAAGCAAAAATTGACAAATGGGATCTAATTAAATTAAAGAGCTTCTTTCTGTACAGTGAAAGAAATTATCAACATAGTCAACAGGTAACCAACAGAATGAGAGAAAATATTTGTAAACTATGTGTCTGAAAATGGTCTAATATCCAGCATCTATAGAGAAATTAACAAATTTATAAGAGAAAAACAAACAATCCTATTAAAAAGTGGGCAAAGGACATGGACAGACACTTTTTAAAGAAAACATACATGTGGCCAACAAGCATATGATGAAAAGTTTAATATCACTGATCATTAGATAAATGCAAATTGAAACCACAATGAGATACCATCTCATACAAGTCAGAAGGGCTACTATTAAAATGTCAAAAACTAACAGATGCTGGTGAGTTTGCAGGGAAAAGGCAACACTTATACACTGTTGGTGGGAGTGTAAATTAGTTCCACCATTGTGGAAAGCAGTATGGTGATTTCTCAAAGAGCTAAAAGAAGAACTACCATTCCACTCAGCAATTCCATTACTGAGTATACGCCCAGAGGAATATAAAGCATTCTGTCATAAAGATACATGCACGTGAATGTTCACTGCACCATGATTCACAATAGCAAAGATATGGAATTAACCTAAATGCCCATCAATGGTAGACTGGATAAAGAAAATGTGGTATATATATATGGTATATATACACCATGAAATACCATGCAGCTATGAAAAAGAATAAGATCATGTCCTTTGCAGGGACATGCATAGAGCTAGAGGTTATTATCCTTAGCAAACTAATGCAGGAACAGAAAATCATATTCTGAATGTTCTCACTTCTAAGTGGGAGCTAAATGATGAGACCTCATGAACCCAAAGAAGGGAACAACAGACACTGGGGTCTACTTGAGGGAGGAGGGTGGGAGGAGGAAGAGAAGCAGAATAAAATAACTATTGGGTACTAGGCTTAATACCTAAATAATTTGCACGACAAACACTGATGACACAAATATACCTATATAGCAAACCTTCACATGTACCTTCAAACCTAAAATAAAAGTTAAAAGAATTTGTTAAATAACTAAAGAAAATGTATAGGACTGTAATCCCAGCACTTTGGGAGGCCAAGGTGGGAGGATTTCCTGAGCCCAGGAGTTTGAGACCAGCCTGGGCAATATAGGGACAACTTGTCTCTAAACAAAAAATTAAGGCTGGGAGTGCTGGCTCACACGTGTAATCCCAGAGCTTTGGGAGGCTGAGGCAGGTGGATCACTTGAGGTCAGGAGTTTGAGAACAGCCTGGCCAACATGGTGAAACCTCATCTCTACTAAAAATACAAAATACAAAAATTAACCGGGCATGGTGGTATGTGCCTGTAATCCCTGCTACTCAGGAGGCTGAGGCAGGAGAATCACTGGAACCCAAGAGGCGGAGGTTGCAGTGAGCTGAGTTCACACCACTGCACTTCAGCCTGGGCGACAGAATGAGACGGAGTGAAAAAAAAAATTAGGCAGGTGTGGTGGCTCATGTTTGTAGACTCAGCTACTTGTGAGGCTGAGGCAGGGGAATCACTTGAGCCTGGGAGGTTGAGGGTGCAGTGAGCTGTGATTGTGTCACTGCACTCCAGCCTGGATGACAAAGCGAGACCCTGTCACATAGTCGGTTAATAGTGAAGACATCATGGGCAGGTGTGCTGGCAGGTTGTTATGAAGGAGGAACATAGACTTTGGAGACAGGTTGAATTTGGACTCTATCACTTGCTGGCTATGGAAGTTTGGACCAGTCAATTTTTCCATCTGAAGAATCAATTTAGTACTCACTTAACAGAATTGTTGTGAGGATTAGAGCTAACCCATATACATGGCCTAGCACAATGTCTGTGCTAGCACAGTACCTTGCACATAGTGGGAAAGCATATTAGAAAAAGTATTTAGCTGCCTTAAAGAGGAAAAGGTAGAATAGGGTTACATATACAGTGGAAGGGGTATGGATTAGCTAACAGGAAGACTTTCTTGGCAATATATCTTTGAATAAAAAGGCTGGCACAGTTCACAAGGAGAATGTGCGGACTCTCCCTTTTAAGCACTTAAATTCCATGATAACTAAGCATCTGAATCAGTTAAGCTGGGTAGGATATAGAATCTAGAGATGAGTTTTTTCCCTCCCCACATCCCTTCTTCTTTCACTTTTCTTCCATTCTTCCACACTGATTGAATGCCTGAAATGTGCCAAACATTATCCCAGGCAACAGTGGTACACACAGGACTAGAATCCAATTCCTGCCCTTCAGAAGCTCACCATTTACTGCTTGTGTTGTATAACTGAATCTTTGCTGATGCCAAACATGAACTGCAGATAGTATTTAAAAAGTCATCTATGTCTTTTATGCTGACATAACCTCTTATATCTATAAAGGACTTTTCTCCTTCTCCTTATGCTCTCAATCAATATCTTCTCAGCACCTATTGTGTGTTAGGTGCTATAATGACGTCTGCTAATACAAAGTTCATTAAAACATAGTGCTGCTTTCCAGATGCTCACAGTATCATGGGAGAGATGCACATGCATACAATTGCCAGCAGCCTTTATATGCTGGAATAGTGACAGAAACAGAATTGTAGAGTAGAAAGTGTCTAAATTTTCACAGGAACATCAGGGAAGGCTTCAAGGGTAAGGAGAAATTTTATCTGGGCTTAAACAGGGAATTGATGCTTTCTAGATGGAGAAGGGAGAAGATTCCTATGCAGAGAGAAGAACTTGAAGTCCTCAGTGTACAGAACATTTGAGGGAAATGGAGAGATGCTCAGTGACCTGTAGACCAGTGGCAGGAAGGAGGCTATAAAAACAGTTGGTTGTAGGAAGATCTTCATGAAGGAGCTCAAACTCAGTCCTCTAGACCATGGGAAGCCAACAGAAATTTTTAAGAAGTGAGCAGTATCATTAGCTTTTCAGGAATATATTACTTGTGGAATAGGAGAAATGGTGATAAATGGACCAGTGAAGAGGCTGCTACAATAAGCCAGTAAAGATAAAACAAAAGCTTCAACTAAGGCAATATGATGGGGGATGAAGGAGGGGGGTAAGTTGTACAAGGTAAACGTGCAAGATTTGGAAACTGATAGGATCCGAGGGCTGAAGGAGAGAGAAGAATTAAAGTAGATTTAAAGGTCTCAAGTAGAGTAATTTGGTGGTTGGTATAGCCAATGGTCATGTGCTGGAATACAGAAGTAAGCTGGTAAATAAAATAATTCATAATTTGAAGAGCTTAAGTTTAAAGAGCCTTGAGACAAAGAATTTGGAGTTCAGCAGGAAATTTGGAATCACAGATTAGCAAGTTAGAGGAGAGGTATTCTGAAATGGAAAATTCTGAAATGGGAAATGAAGTTTGAAGCCACAGAAAGGGAGAAATCATCCAAAGACATTAAGGTTTTTTTCTTAATTTTAAAAAATCATGATGAAATACACAACATAAAGATTGCCATATTAACCATCTTTAAGTGTACAGTTCAGTGTCATTAAGTATATCCATATTTGTTGTGCAACTATCACCACCATCCATCTCCAGAACCCTTTCATCTTGCAAAATGAGAACTCCACCTTCTGTGGTTTGAATATTTGTGTACCCTCCAAAATTTGTGTTGAAAGTTGACACTCAATGCAGCAGTATTAAGATGTGGGGCATTTAGGAGGTGATTAGGTCATGAGGACTCCACCCCCATGGATAGGATTATCACCCTTAAAAAAGGCATGAGGGAGTAAATTCAGACTCTTTTTGTCCTTCTCTCCCTTCTTGCTTGTGAGGACACAGTGTTTGTGCATTCTGGAGAATGCAGCAACAAGGTGCCATCTTGGAAGTGGAGAGCAGTCCTCACCAGATGTTGAACCTGCTAGCGACTTGATCTTGTACTTTCCAGTCTTCAGAATTGTGAGAAATACATTCTGTTGTATATAAATTACTTGGTCTGTGGTGTTTTGTTATAGCAGCACAAATTGACTGAGATAATATGTATGAAACAATAACCCTCCATTCTCCTGCCAACAGTGCACAAGGGTTCTAATTGCTTCACAACTTTGTCAGCATTTGTATTGTTTTTTTATTATTTTTGGTAGTAGCTATCTTAATGGTTCTGAGAAGTTATTTCCTGGTTATTTGTGCTTCCATAATAATTAGTGAAATTGAGCATCTTTTCATGTACTTTTTAACCATTCATATATCTTCTTTGGAGAAATGTCTATTCAAGTCTTTTGATTATTTTTGAGTTGGTTGCTTTTTCATTGTTGAATTTTAGGAGTTTTCTATACACTCTGGATACTAATTTCTTATCAAGTGTATGATTTGCAAATTTTTCTCCCATTTTATTGGTTGCCTTTTTATTCTGTTGATATTATTCTTTGATGCACAAGTCGAATTTGTCTATTTTTCTTTTGTTGCCTGTGCTTTTAGTGTCATATCCAAGAAATCAATTCTAAATCAAATATCATGAAGTTTTGCCCTTTGTTTTCTCTTAAGCGTTTGATGGTTTTAGCTTCTATATTTAGGTCTTTCATTTGTTTTAAGTTAAATTTTGTATATGATGTAAAGTAAGAGTCTAAATTCATTCTCTTGCATATGGATGTCTGGTTTTCCTAACACCATTGTGTAGCTTTGGCAATCTTGTCACAGACCATTCAAATATGTGAGGATTTATTTCTGGGCTCTGCCTGCATTGTGTTTCACTGGTCTTTACATTGACCTTTATGCCATTACCATACTGTTTTTATTTTATTTATATTTTTAGCTTTATTGAGGTATAATTGACAAATAAAAATTATGTATATTTAAGGTGTACAATGTGATGTTTTGATATACATATACATTGTGCAATGATTACCATAATCAAGCTAATTAACATATTCATCACCTTACATCATTATCATTTTTTAATGTGTGGTGAGAAAATTTAAGATCTACCCTTTTAGCAAATTTCAAGTACAGATGCTTTTTGACTTACGATGGGGTTATGCAACCCTATCATAAGTAAGGGAATATGCTGAATCAATATTGCTTTCACATCATCATAAAGTCAAAAAATCCTAAGTCTAACCATAATACTGTCAGGTACACAGATATTGTAATATATTACAGTATTATTAATCATAGTAATCAAACTTTACATTATATCTCCAGAACTTACATCTTGCATAACTGAAACTATGTACCCTTTGATCACACCCAGCCCCTGAACCACCATTCTACTCTCCCCTATTAATCTGCATTTTTTGATATAAGTGAGAGATCATCCAGTGTGTGTCCTTCTGTACTAAGTTAATTTCACTTAATGTAATGTCCTCCAGGTTCAATCATATTGTCACAAATGACTGGATTTCCTTCTTTCTCAAGGCTGTATAATATTTTATTGCATATATATGTGTATGCCATATTTTCTTCATCCGCTTATCCATCAATGGACACTTAAGTTAATTCTATATCTTGACCATTATCAGTAATGCTACAATGAACATGGGAGTAAACATGCCTCTTCGAGATACTGATTTCATTTTCTTTGAATATATACCCAGTAACAGAATTGCTGGGCCATATGAATCTTATTTTTACTTTTTTGAAGAACCTCCTTACTGTTTTCCATAATGGCAATACCAATTTATATCTCCGCCAACAATGTACAAGGATTTTCTTTTCTGCATGTCCTCACCAATATTTATTATTTTTTCTTTTTGATAAATAGCTCTTCTAACACATGTGAGATGATATCTCACTGTGGTTTTAATGTGCATTTTTCTGATGATTAGTGATGTAGAGTATTTCTTCATACATTTCTTGGCCATTTGTACATCTTTTAAGAAATGTTGGCCAGACACGGTGGCTCACGCTTGTAATCCCAGCACTTTGGAAGGCTGAGATGGTCGATCACGCAGTCAGGAGTTCGAGACTAGCCTGGCCAACACAGTGAAACCCTGTCTCTACTAAAAATTCAAAAATTAGCTGGGCATGGTGGCGGGTGCCTTTAATACCAGCTACTCGTGAGGCTGTGGCAGGAGAATCGCTTGAACCCGGGAGGTGGAGGTTGCGGTGAGCTGAGATCGAGCTGTTGCATTCCCACCTGGGCAACAAGAGCAAAACTCCATCTCAAAAAAAAAAAAAAAAAAAAGAAAGAAAGAAAGAAAAAGAAATGTTTATTCAGGTTCTTTGCCCATTTTTTCTTTTCCAGGTTATTGGTTTTTTTCATCGCTGAGTTGTTTGAGTTCCTTGTGTACTTTGGATATTATGCTCTTATGAGACATAAGGATTACAAATATTTTCTCCCATCCCATAGATTGTCTCCTTGCTCTGTTGATTGTTTCTTTTGCTGTGCAGAAACTTTATAGTTTAATTGATGTTATTCAGTTTGTCTATTTTTGCTTTTGTGGCCTATGCTTTTGGGGTCATACTAAAAAGTCAGCACCCAGAAGAATGTCAACAAACTTTTCCCCTATATTTTCTTTTTCTTTAAACTTTTATTTTAGGTTCAGGGGTACACATGCAAGTTTATTATATAGGTAAGTTGTATGTCACAGGGGTTTAACTTGCAGATTATTTAGTCACCCAGGTAATAAGCATAGTACCCAATAGGTAGTTTTTCAATCCTTACCCTCCTCCTACTCTCTACCCTGAAGTAGGCCCCACTGTCTATTCCCTTTTCTGTATCCATGTATACTCTATGTTTATCTCCCATTTATAAGTGAGAACATGTGGTATTTGATTTTCTATTCCTGCATTAGTTCAGTTAGGCTAACGGCTTCCAGGTCCATCCATGTCACTGGAAAGAACACAATCTCATTCTTTTTTATGGCTACATAGTATTCCATGGTGCATATATACACTACATTTCCTTTATCCAGTCTACCATTGATGGGCATTTAGGTTGATTCCATATCTTTGCTATTGTGAATAGTGCCGCAATAAATGTACATGTGCATGTGTCTTTATGGTAAAACAATTTCTATTTATTTTGGTATATACCAAATAATGGGATTACTGGGTTGAATAGTACCTCTGTTTTAAGTTTTTTGAGAAATTGCCAAATAGTTTGCATACTGGCTGAATTAATTTACATTCCCACCAACAGTGTATTAGCGTTCCTTTTTCTCTGCAACTTTGCCAGCATCTGTTACTTTTTGTCTTTTTAATAACAGCCATTCTGATCAGCATAAGATAATATCTCATTGTGGTTTTTACTTGCATTTCTCTAGTGATTAATGATGTTGAGTATTTTTTCATATGCTTGTTGGCCATGTGTATGTCTTCTTTTGAAATGTGTCTGTTTATGTCCTTTGCTCACTTTTTAATGAGATTGTTTGTATTTTGCTTGATAATTTGATTAAGTTCCGTATAGATTCTGGATATTAGACCTTTGTCAGATCCATAATTTGCAAATATATTCTCCCATTCTGTAGACTATTTAGTCTGTTGATAGTTTCTTTTGCAGTGCAGAAGCTCTTTAGTTTAATTAGGTCCCATTCTCAATTATTGTTTCTGTTGCAATTGTCTTCGGGGTCTTCATTATGAACTCTTTGCCAGGGCCAATGTCCAGAAACTTATTTTCTAGGTTTTCTTGCAGCATTTTATAGTTTTAGGTTTTGCATTTATGTCTTTAATGCATCTTGAGTTGATTTTTGTGTATGTGTAAGGAAGGCATCCAGTTTCAATCTTCTGCACTTGGCTAACCAGCTTTCCCAGCACCATTAATTGAACAGGAGGTCCTTTCCTCATTCTTTGTTATTGTCAACTTTGTCAAACAAAGACTCTGTATTCTGTTCCGTAGGTCTGTGTGTCTGTTTTTGTTACTGTAGCTCTGTAGTAAAGTTTGAAGTTGGATAATGTAATTTCTCCAGCTTTGTTCTTTTTGTATAGTATTGCTTTGGCTATTCAGACTCTTTGTTGGTACCTTACAATTTTTTTTTTTTTTTTTGAGACGGAGTTTTGCTCTTCTTGCCCGGGCTAAAGTGCAGTGGCGCAATCTCGGCTCACTGCAACCTCCGCCTTCTGGTTTCAAGTGATTCTCCTGCCTCAGCCTCCCAAGTCGCTGGGATTACAGGCGCCCGCCACCATGCCCAGCTAATTATTATTATTTTTTTTGTATTTTTAGTAGAGACAGGGTTTCACCATGTTGGTCAGGTTGGTCTTGAACTGCTGACCTCATGATCCACCTGCCTCGGCCTCCCAAAGTGCTGGGATTACAGGCGTGAGCCACTGCACCCAGCCCATACCTTACAATTTTTTAAATAGTTTTTTCTAGTTATGTGAAGAATGTAATTGGTAGTTTGATAGGAATAGAATCGAATCTGTAAATTGCTTTGGGCCGTATGGCCATTTTAACAATATTTATTCTTCCTAGCTATCAACATGGAATGTTTTCCATTTATTTGTTACATCTTTGATTTCTTTCAGCAGCGTTTTGTAATGATTGTCGTGGAGATCTTTCACCTCTCTGGTTAGCTGTGTTCCTATGTATTTTATTTTTTTGTGTCTATTGGGAATGAAGTTGCCGTCTCTCAGTTTGGATGTTGTTGGTGTATAGAAATGCTATTGATTTTTGTACACTGATTTTGTGTCCTGAAACTTTGCTGAAGTTTTTATTTTTTTTTAAATCAGATCTAGGAGCTTTGGGGCAGAGACTATGGAGTTTTCTAGATACAGAATTATATCATCTGCAAACAGACATTTTGGCTTCCTTTCTTCCTATTTGGATGCTCTTTCTTTCTTCCTTCTTTCTTTTTTTTTCTTTCTTCTTTCCTTCCTTCCTTCCCTCTCTCTCTTTCTTTCTTTCTTTCCTTCTTTCTTCTTCTTTTTTTTTTTTTTTTGCCTGATTGCTCTGGTTGTGACTTCTAGTACAATGTTGAATTGGAGTGGTGAGAGAGAGCATCCTTGTCTTGGGCCAGTTTTCAAGGGGAATGCTTTCAGCTTTTGTCCAGTTGGTATGATGTTGAGGTTGTATATTTCCAAAAATTCATTCATTTCTTCTAGGTTTTCTAGTTTGTGCACATAGAGGTGTTAATAATGGTCTCTGAGGATTTTTTTTGTATTTCTAAGGGGTCAGTGGTAATGTCCCCTTTGTCATTTCTGATTGTGTTTATTTGGATCTCTCTCTTTTTTTATCAGTCTAGCTAGCAGTCTATCAATCTTATTTATTCTTTCAAAAAACCAACTCATGGATTTATTAATCTTTCTTATGGTCTTTTTGCATCTCCATTGCATTAGTTTGGCTCTGATTTTGGTTATTATCTTCTGCTAGCTTTGGGATCAATTTACTCTTGTTTTTCTAATTCCTCTAGGTGTAATAGTAGGTTGCTATTTTGAGATATTTCAAACTTTTTGATGTGGGTGTTTAGTGCTATAAACTTTCCTTTTAACACTGCTTTAGCTGTGTCCCAGATATTCTGGTATGTTGTGTCTTTGTTCTCATTAGTTTCAAAGCATTTCTTGATTTCTGCCTTAATTTCATTGTTTACTGAAAAGTCATTCAGGAGCAGGTTGTTTTCCATGTAACTGTATAGTTTTGAGCAACGTTTTTAGATTGATTTCTGTTTTTATAGTGTGGTCTGAGAGTGTGATTGGTGTAATTTCAGTTTTTTCCTAATTTGCTGAGAATTGTTTTATGACTGATCATGTGGTTGATTTTAGAGTATGTGCCATTTGTAGATGAGAAGAATGGATATTCTGTTGTCTTGCAGTGGAGAGTTCTGTAGATGTCTGTTAGGTCCATTTGGTCAAGCATTGAGTTCAGTCCCCAATATCTTTGTTAGTTTCCTGCCTCAATGATATGTCTAATACTGTCAGTGGGGTGTTAAATTCTCCTACGATTATTGTGTGGTTATCTAAGTCTCTTCATACTTCTCTAAGAATTTGTTTTATAAATCTGGGTGCTCCTGCATTGGATACATATATATTTAGGATATTTAGGTCTTCTTGTTGAATTGAACCCTTTACCATTGTGTAATGCCCTTCTTTGTCTTTTTGCTCTTTGTTGGTTTAAAGTCTGTTTCATCTGAAATTAGGATTGCAACCTTGCTTTTTTCTGTTTTTCATTTGCTTGGTAGATTTTTATCCATCCCTTTACTTTGAGCTCATGGGTGTCATGCATGTGACACACGTCTCTTCAAGATAGCATACAGTTGGTTCTTGCTTCTTTATCCAGCTTGCCACTCTGTGACTTTTAATTGGGGAAATTAGCTCTTTTACATTCAAGGTTAGTGTTTATATGTGCAGATTTGATCCTGTATTCATGTTGTTAGCTGGTTGTTATGCAGACTTGATTGTGTGATTGCTTTATAGTATCACTGGACTACGTACTTAAGTATGTTTTCGTAGGGGCCAATAATGATCTTTACTTTTCTTATTTAGCATTCCCTTTGAGATCCCTTATAAGTCCAGTCTGGTGGTAATCAATTCCCTTAGTATTTGATTGTCTGAAAAGGATGTTATTTCTCCATCACTTATAAAGCTTAGTTTGGCCGGTTATGAAATTCTTGGTTGAGAATTCTTTTCCTTTAAGCATGCAGAATACAGGACCTCAATATCTTCTGGCTTGAAGTGCTTCTAATAAAGGTCCACTGTTTGTCTGAGGGGGCTCCCTTTGTAGGTGACCTGCCCCTTCTTTCTAGCTGCTGATGCATGCCATCAGGGGAGGTACGGTGAGATTGTTATGTATGCACACACTGGAAAACTGGTCAAATGGGGCTGTGGGTGAGTGTGTAATGGCCAAGTGGTATGAGTGCCATGGTGTGGGGAGGCCATGGAAGAACTGGTGTGCATTGGCAGGGGTTGGTTTGCTGGAGCTCACCAACAGTCAGGTGCAGACTGCTGGTGAGAGAGGTATGATAAGGGTCCCTGGAAGGACGCTCGTTGTGCATCCTAGGATGTGCACAAGCAGGCATGACCAGGCTGGGGCCCTAGAAGAGGCCAGTAGACAATGGAGTGCTCAGATTGGATTGACCCACAGGGAAGACTATCTGGCTCTGTCCAGGTCTGGCAGCCACCCTAAGTCTAACATCTAGAGGAGCATGGCAAGCTTTGGGGAATGAGCATCCCTGGCCATGCTCTACTGTAGATGTTTCCACATGAAACCATCTGAGCTCCACATAGTCTGGGGTCCTGCCCCTGACACCTTCCTTTTTTCTTTTTTTTAGAATTTTAAATTTTATTTTTCATTGTTTTACTCCACATTATTTAACCCAATACGCCATTTTATTTTATTTTGGATTTTAAATTTGAACAGGTTTATTCTGAACCAATATGAAGCCCATTGCTCATGGAGCCTCAGAAGGTTCCAAGAACATGTGCCCAAGGTGGTTGAGTTACAGCTTGATTTTATACATTTTAGGGGGACAGAAGTTACAGGCAAATACGTATATCAATAAGTGGTAGGTAGACATTGGTTTGGCCTGGAAAGATGGGACATCTTAAAGCAAGGCTTCCAGGCCATAGGTAAATTCAGAGACTTTCTGATTGGCAACTGGTTGAAATAGTTAAGGTTTGCTGGTAAATGTCTCTTATTGGCCCTTAAAAGGTGTCAGACTTTCTGTAAAAGACTGAGTAAGGGAAGGAGATTCTTTATAGAATGCAAATTTTCCCCACAAGATATGGCTTTGCAGGGCCATTTCAAAATATGTCAAATAAATCTATTTTGGGGTAAAATACTTTGATTTCCTTCAGGATCTGCTATCTGTCATCTGCTATCTGTGGTGCTATACTAGAGATAGTTTGGAGTTGAGTATCTTATTGCTACAAAAAGTCTGCTTTGTCAATCCTTTATTTTTATTTTTATTTTTTTTTAAACTTTTAGGATCAGAGGTACATGTGTAGGTTTGCTATACAGGTAGACTCATGTCACAGGGCTTTATTGTACAGATTATTTCATCACTTAGGTACTAAACCTAGTACCCAATAGTTATTTTGTTCTGATCATCTCCCCACTCCTATTATCCACCCTCATGTTGGCCCCTGTGTCTGTTTTTTCCCTCCTTTATGTCCATGTGTTCTCATTTTTTAGCTCCTGCTTATAAGTGAGAACATGTGGTATCTATTTTTCTGTTCCTGTGTTAATTTGCTAAGGATAATGGCCTCCAGCTCCATCCATATTCCTGCAATAGACATGATTTCATTTTTTATTATGTGTGCATAGTATTCCATGGTGTATATGTACCACATTTTCTTTACCCAATTTGGCACTGATGGGCATTTCATTGATTCCATGTCTTGCTATTGTGAATAGTGCTGCAATGAACAAACGTGTATATATGTCTTTATGGCAGAATGATTTACATACCTCTGGGTATATATCCAAGAATGGGATTGCTGGATTGAATGGTAGTTTTGCTTTTAGCTCTTTGAGAAATTGCCACACTGCTTTTCACAATGATTGAACTAATTTACAATCCCAAAAACAGTGTATAAATGTTCTCTTTTCTCCACAACCTCACCAGTATCTTTTTTTAAACTTTTTATTTATTTTATTTTTATTTTTTGAAATAGAGTCTTGCTCTGTCATTCAGGCTGGAGTGTAGTGGCACCAACTCAGCTCACTGCGACCTCCACCTCCCAGGTTCAAGTGATCCTCATGCCTCAGCCGTCCAAGTAGCTGGGATTATTAGGTGGCAACCATGCCTGGCTAATTTTTGTATTTTTAGTAGAGATGGGGTTTCTCCATGTTGGCCAGGCTGGTCTCGACCTCCAGGGTGCTGGCCTCAGTGTGTGTGTTTTCAACAGCAGTGGTGGAAGTATGCCAGTGGTGGTGTTAGGACGGGGGGCAGGTCTGCTGTTTAATGTGCCTAGTTTCACTTTAGTGGCAATGTTGATGTAGCATTGGGGTGCGGGTGGGGGTTCAGGGCTGGCAGGATCTATACCCACCAATGTTCCAAGGACAATGATGGTGAAGGAAGGATAGGAGAATGGGTGCATTCATGCCAGCAGCAGTCCCTGCCACCTTTCAAAGCAGGTATCTTTGTCAGCTCATGTCCATGGGAATCATGGTTTCTCCATCTGATAGGATTCCAGAAATCTTTGGCGAGAATGGGCCACTCCTTGTCTGTTCAACTTATCACTTTCTAGGAGTTGCTGGGGACCAGAATGAGTCCCTATGCTTGGCAATCCCGTATGGGGTTCTCAGCTTTCTCATCTTTCAGCCCAGTGTCTTTATTCTCTGTCTACTCACTACCAATGCCTCCCCTCCAAAGATCTCCTCAGGGTGTGCTAGTCTTCCTGATATCACAGTCCCTCAATGGGAGATGATCCTCTTGGCTGCGTCTAGTCAGCCATATTGTTCCATTGAGCTTTACATTTTATTTTACTAGTTTTACAGATTTAGGTCTCATGTTTACATCTTTAATCCACTTTGAGGTTTTTAATATGGTGTGACATAAGTGTCCAGTTTCATTCTTCTACTTGCGAATATGCTGTTTTTTCCAATATCATTATTGAAATGACTGTTCCCCCCAACAGGACCTTTGTTAAATAAAAATTTTTTTTCTTTTTTTTAAATTATACTTTAAGTTTTAGGGTACATGTGCACAACATGTAGGTTAGTTACATATGTATACATGTGCCATGTTGGTGTGCTGAACGCAGTAACTCGTCATTTAACATTAGGTATATCTCCTAATGCTATCACTCCCCACTCCCCCCTCCCCGGACCCCACAACAGGCCCCAGTATGTGACAGTCCCCTTCCTGTGTCCATGTGTTCTCGTTGTCCAATTCCCACCTATGAGTGAGAACATGCGGTGTTTGGTGTTTTGCCCTTGTGATAGTTTACTGAGAATGATGGTTTCCAGCTTCATCCATGACTTGCTTTATGAATCTGGGTGCTCCTGTATTGGGTGCATATATATTTAGGATAGTTAACTCTTCCTGTTGAATTGATCCCTTGACCATTATGTAGTGGCCTTCTTTGTCTCTTTTGATCTTTGTTGGTGTAAAGTCTGTTTTATCAGAGACTAGGAATGCAACCCCTGCCTTTTTTTGTTTTCCATTTGCTTGGTAGATCTTCCTCCATCCCTTTATTTTGAGCCTATGTGTGTCTCTGCACGTGAGATGGGTTTCCTGAATACAGCACACTGATGGGTCTTGACTCTTTATCCAATTTGCCAGTCTGTGTCTTTTAACTGGAGCATTTAGCCCATTTACATTTAAGGTTAATATTGTTATGTGTGAATTTGATCCTGTCATTATGATGTTCGCTGGTTATTTTGCTCATTAGTTGATGCAGTTTCTTCCTAGCATTGATGGTCTTTACAATTTGGCATGTTTTTGCAGTGTCTGGTACTGGTTGTTCCTTTCCATGTTTAGTGCTTCCTTCAGGAGCTCTTTTAAGGCAGGCCTGGTGGTGACAAAATCTCTCAGCATTTGCTTGTCTGTAAAGTATTTTATTTCTCCTTCACTTATGAAGCTTATTTTGGCTGGATATGAAATTCTGGGTTGAAAATTCTTTTCTTTAAGAATGTTGAATATTGGCCCCCACTCTCTTCTGGCTTGTAGAGTTTCTGCCGAGAGATCTGCCATTAGTCTGATGGGCTTCCCTTTGTGGGTAACCCGACCTTTCTCTCTGGCTGCCCTTAACATTTTTTCCTTCATTTCAACTTTGGTGAATCTGACAATTATGTGTCTTGGAGTTGCTCTCCTCGAGGAGTATCTTTGTGGCGTTCTCTGTATTTCCTGAATGTGAATGTTGGCCTGCCCTGATAGATTGGGGAAGTTCTCCTGAATAATATCTTGCAGAGTGTTTTCCAACTTGGTTCCGTTCTTCCTATCACTTTCAGGTACACCAATCAGACATAGATTTGGTTTTTTCACGTAGTCCCATATTTCTTGGAGGCTTTGCTCATTTCTTTTTATTCTTTTTTCTCTAAACTTCCCTTCTGACTTCATTTCATTCATTTCATCTTCCATTACTGATACCCCATCTTCCAGTTGATCGAATCGGCTACTGAGGCTCGTGCATTCATCACATAGTTCTCGTGCCTTGGTTTTCAGCTCCATCAGGTCCTTTAAGGACTTCTCTGCATTGATTATTCTAGCTAGCCATTCATCTAATTTTTTTTCAAGGTTTTTATCTTCTTTGCCATGGGTTTGAACTTCCTCCTTTAGCTCAGAGTAGTTTGATCGTCTGAAGCCTTCTTCTCTCAACTCGTCAAAGTCATTCTCCGTCCAGCTTTGTTCCATTGCTCTTGAGGAGCTGCGTTCCTTTGGAGGAGGAGAGGCACTCTGATTTTTAGAGTTTCCAGTTTTTCTGCTCTGTTTTTTCCCCATCTTTGTGGTTTTATCTCCCTTTGGTCTTTGATGATGGTGATGTACAGATGGGGTTTAGGTGTGGATATCCTTTCTGTTTGTTAGTTTTTCTTCTAACAGTCAGGACCCTCAGTTTCAGGTCTGTTGGAGTTTGCTGGAGGTCCACTCCAGATGCTGTTTGCCTGGGTATCAGCAGCGGAGGCTGCAGAACAGCGGATATTGGTGAACAGCAGATGCTGCTGCCTGATCATTCCTCTGGAAGTTTTGTCTCAGAGGAATACCCGGCCGTGTGAGGTTTCAGTCTGCCCCTACTGGGGGGTGCCTCCCAGTTAGGCTACTCAGGGGACAGGGACCCACTTGAGGAGGCAGTCAGTCTGTTCTCAGATGTCCAGCTGCCTGCTGGGAGAACCACTACTCTCTTCAAGGCTGTCAGACAGGGACATTTAAGTCTGCAGCGGATTCTGCTGCCTTTCGTTTGGCTGTGCCCTGCCCCCAGAGGTGGAGTCTACAAATGCAGGCAGGCCTCCTTGAGCTGTGGTGGGCTCCACCTAGTTCAAGCTTCCCTGCCACTTTGTTTACCTACTTGAGCCTTGGCAATGGTGGGCACCCCTCCCCTAGCCTCGCTGCCACCTTGCAGTTTGATCTCAGACTGCTGTGCTAGCAAGAAGCGAGGCTCCGTGGGCATAGGGCCCTCTGAGCCATGCGCAGGATATAATCTCCTGGTGTGCCATTTGCTAAGACCATTGGAAAAGCACAGTATTAGGGTGGGAATGACCTGATTTTCCAGGTGCCGTCTCTCACCCCTTTCTTTGACTAGGAAAGAGAATTCCCTGACCTCTTGTGCTTCCCGGGTGAGGCGATGCCTTGCCCTGTTTCAGCTCAGGCTTGGTGCACTGCACCCACTCTCCTGCACCCACTTTCCGACACTCCCCAGTGAGATGAACCCGGTACCTCAGTTGAAAATGCAGAAATCACCCATCTTCTGTGTCGCTCAAGCTGGGAGCTGTAGACTGGAGCTGTTCCATTTGGCCATCTTGGCTTCACCCTGTTAAAGAAAAATTGACTGTAAATGTGTGAATTCCTATTGATTAATTGATTTCTCTATTCTTTTCCATTGGCTTATATACCTCTTTTTATGCGAGTATCATACTGTTTTTATTACTATAGCTTTGTAATATAATTTGAAATTAACTTGTGTAATGCTTTCAGCTTCATTCTTTATCTCAATATTGTTTTGGCTATTTCCCTTTTGATTTTTTCTTTGATCCATTGCTTTAGAGTGTGTTGTGTAATTTCCATATATTTGTCAATCTTTCAGCTTTCCAAACTTTTAAAATTTATTAAGTCGGGGGTGGAGCCAAGATTCAGGAAATACAGAGAACGCCACAAAGATACTCCTCGAGGAGAGCAACTCCAAGACACATAATTGTCAGATTCACCAAAGTTGAAATGAAGGAAAAAATGTTAAGGGTAGCCAGAGAGAAAGGTCGGGTTACCCACAAAGGGAAGCCCATCAGACTAACGGCAGATCTCTTGGCAGAAACTCTACAAGCCAGAAGAGAGTGGGGGCCAATATTCAACATTCTTAAAGAAAAGAATTTTCAACCCAGAATTTCATATCCAGCCAAAATAAGCTTCATAAGTGAAGGAGAAATAAAATCCTTTACAGACAAGCAAGTGCTGAGAGATTTTTGTCACCACCAGGCCTGCCCTACAAGAGCTCCTGAAGGAAGCACTAAACATGGAAAGGAACAACCGGTACCAGACACTGCAAAAACATGCCAAATTGTAAAGACCACCAAAGCTAGGAAGAAACTGCATCAACTAATGAGCAAAATAACCAGCGAACATCATAATGACAGGATCAAATTCACACATAACAATATTAACCTTAAATGTAAATGGGCTAAATGCTCCAATTAAAAGACACAGACTGGCAAATTGGATAAAGAGTCAAGACCCATCAGTGTGCTGTATTCAGGAAACCCATCTCACGTGCAGAGACACACATAGGCTCAAAATAAAGGGATGGAGGAAGATCTACCAAGCAAATGGAAAACAAAAAAAGGCAGGGGTTGCATTCCCAGTCTCTGATAAAACAGACTTTACACCAACAAAGGTCAAAAGAGACAAAGAAGGCCACTACATAATGGTCAAGGGATCAATTCAACAGGAAGAGTTAACTATCCTAAATATATATGCACCCAATACAGGAGCACCCAGATTCATAAAGCAAGTCCTTAGAGACCTACAAAGAGACTTAGACTCCCACACATTAATAATGGGAGACTTTAACACCCCACTGTCAACATTAGACAGATCAACGAGACAGAAAGTTAACAAGGATATTCAGGAATTGAACTCAGCTCTGCACCAAGCAGACCTAATAGACATCTACAGAACTCTCCACCCCAAATCAACAGAATATACATTCTTCTCAGCACCACACTGCACTTATTCTAAAATTGACCACATAGCTGGAAGTAAAGCACTCCTCAGCAAATGTAAAGGAACAGAAATTATAACAAACTGTCTCTCAGACCACAGTGCAATCAAACGAGAACTCAGGTTTAAGAAACTCACTCAAAACCACTCAACTACATGGAAACTGAACAACCTGCTCCTGAATGACTACTGGGTACGTAACGAAATGAAGGCAGAAATAAAGATGTTCTTTGAAACCAAAGAGAACAAAGACACAACATACCAGAATTTCTGGGACACATTCAAAGCAGTGTGTAGAGGGAAATTTATAGCACTACATGCCCACAAGAGAAAGCAGGAAAGATCTAAAATTGACACCCTAACATGACAATTGAAAGAACTAGAGAAGCAAGAGCAAACACATCCAAAAGCTAGCAGAAGGCAAGAAATAACTAAGATCAGAGCAGAACTGAAGGAAATAGAGACATAAAAAACCCTTCAAAAAATCAATGAATCCAGGAGCTGGTTTTTTGAAAACATCAACAAAATTGATAGACCGCTAGCAAGACTAATAAAGAAGAAAAGAGAGAAGAATCAAATAGACGCAATAAAAAATGATAAAGGGGTTATCACCACCAATCCCACAGAAATACAAACTACCATCAGAGAATACTATCAACAGCTCTATGCAAATAAACTAGAAAATCTAGAAGAAATGGATAAATTCCTCGACACACACACCCTCCCAAGACTAAACCAGGAAGAAGTTGAATCTCTGAATAGACCAATAACAGGCTCTGAAATTGAGGCAATAATTAATTGCTTACCAACCAAAAAAAGTCCAGGACCAGATGGATTCACAGCTGAATTCTACCAGAGGTACAAGGATGAGCTGGTACCATTCCTTCTGATACTATTGCAATCAATAGAAAAAGAGGGAATCCTCCCTAACTCATTTTATGAGGCCAGCATCATCCTGATACCAAAGCCTGGCAGAGACACAACAAAAAGGGAGAATTTTAGACCAGTATCCCTGATGAACATTGATGCAAAAATCCTCAATAAAATACTGGCAAACTGAATCCAGCAGCACATCAAGAAGTTTATCCACCATGAGCAAGTGGGCTTCATCCCTGGGATGCAAGGCTGGTTCAACATACACAAATCAATAAATGTAATCCAGCATATAAACAGAACCAATGACAAAAACCATATGATTATCTCAAGGCCTTTGACAAAATTCAACAACGCTTCATGCTAAAAACTCTCAATAAATTAGGTATTGATGGGACGTATCTCAAAATAGTAAGAGCTATCTATGACAAACCCATGGCCAATATCATACTGAATGGGCAAAAACTGGAAGCATTCCCTTTGAAAACTGGCACAAGACAGGGATGCCCTCTCTCACCACTCCTATTCAATATAGTGTTGAAAGTTCTGGCGAGGGCAATCAGGCAGGAGAAGGAAATAAAGGGTATTCAATTAGGAAAAGAGGAAGTCAAATTGTCCCTGTTTGCAGATGACATGATTGTATATCTAGAAAACCCCATCATCTCAGGCCAAAATCTCCTTAAGCTGATAGGCAACTTCAGCAAAGTCTCAGGATACAAAATCAATGTGCAAAAATCACAAGCATTCTTATACACCAATAACAGACAAACAGAGAGCCAAATCATGAGTGAACTCCCATTCACAATTGCTTCAAAGAGAATAAAATACCTAGGAATCCAACTTACAAGGGACGTGAAGGACCTCTTCAAGGAGAACTACAAACCACTGAACCACTGCTGAATGAAATAAAAGAGGATACAAACAGATGGAAGAACATTCCATGCTCATGGGTAGGAAGAATCAATATCGTGAAAATGGCCATACTGCCCAAGGTAATTTATAGATTCACCATCCCCATCAAGCTACCAATGACTTTCTTCACAGAATTGGAAAAAACTACTTTAAATTTCATATGGAACCAAAAAGAGCCCGCATTGCCAAGTCAATCCTAAGCCAAAAGAACAAAGCTGGAGGCATCACGCTATCTGACTTCAATGTATACTACAAGGCTACAGTAAGCAAAACAGCATGGTACTGGTACCAAAACAGACATAAAGACCAATGGAAAAGAACAGAGCCCTCAGAAATAATGCCGCATATCTACAACCATCTGATCTTTGACAAACCTGACAAAAATAAGAAATGGGGAAAGGATTCCCTATTTAATAAACGGTGCTGGGAAAACTGGCTAGCCATATGTAGAAAGCTGAAACTGGATCCCTTCCTTACACCTTATACAAAAATTATTTCAAGATGGATTAAAGACTTAAATGTTAGACCTAAAACCATAAAAACCCTAGAAGAAAACCTAGGCAATACCATTAAGGACATAGGCATGGGCAAGGACTTCATGCCTAAAACACCAAAAGCAATGGCAACAAAAGCCAAAATTGACAAATGAGATCTAATTAAACTAAATAGCTTCTGCACAGCAAAAGAAACTACCATCAGAGTGAACAGGCAACCTACAGAATGGGAGAAAATTTTTGCAATCTACTCATCTGACAAAGGGCTAATATCGAGAATCTACAATGAAGTCAAACAAATTTACAAGAAAAAAACAAACAACCCCATCAAAAAGTGGGCAAAGGATATGAACAGACACTTCTCAAAAGAAGACATTTATGCAGCCAAAAAACACATGAAAAAATGCTCATCATCACTGGCCATCAGAGAAATGCAAATCAAAACCAGAATGAGATACCATCTCACACCAGTTAGAATGGCGATCATTAAAAAGTCAGGAAATAACAGGTGCTGGAGAGGATGTGGAGAAATAGGAACACTTTTATACTGTTGGTGGGACTGTAATCTAGTTCAACCATTGTGGAAGTCGTTGTGGCGATTCCTCAGGGATCTTGAACTAGAAATACGATTTGACCCAGCAATCTGATAACTGGGTATATATTCAAAGGACTATAAATCATGCTGCTATAAAGACACATGCACACGTATGTTTATTGCGGCATTATTTGCAATAGCAAAGACTTGGAACCAACCCAAATGTCCAACAATGATAGACTGGATTAAGAAAATGTGGCACATATACACCATGGAATACTATGCAGCCATAAAAAATGATGAGTTCATGTCCTTTGTAGGGACTTGATGAAGCTGGAAACCACCATTCTCAGCAAACTATCACAAGGACAAAAAAACCAAAGACTGCATGTTCTCACTCATAGGTGGGAATTGAGCAATGAGAACACATGGACACAGGAAGGGGAACATCACACACTGGGGCCTGTTGTGGTGTGGGGGACGGTGGAGGGATAGCATTAGGAGATATACCTAATGTTAAATGATCAGTTACTGGTTTCAGCACACCAAGATGGTACATGTATACATATGTAACTAACCTACATGTTGTGAACATGTACCCTAAAACTTAAAGTATAAAAAAAAAAAAGAAAAAATTCCCTTGATCCAGAATTTTCAGGTTGTAATGCTATGGCTCACTCCCTCATCATAAATGGATTCAGAATAGGAAAATGTTAAAAGTTTAGGTTACTAGGTCAGGTGCCTTCTATCAATAAAACTATGAGAAACCTAAAAAAAAAAAAAGTTTCTTAAGCCTTGTTTTGTGGCCTAACATTTGACCTATCCTGGGTAATGTTCCATGTGCATTTAAGAAAAATGTATATTCTGCTATTGTTGGGTAGAATGCTCTGTATGTGTCTGTTAGGTTCGAGCAGTGTATAGTGTTGCTCAAATCCTCTATTTTCTTATTAATCTTCTCTCCAGTTATTATGTCAATGATTAAAAATGGAGTATTGAAGTTTTCTACTATTATTGTTCAGCTATGCATTTCTCCCTTCAATTCTGTCATTGTTTGCCTTATATATTTAGGAGCTCTGATGTATGATGCATATTTATTTATAAATGTTATATTTTTGGTAAATTAACCCTCCTATCATTATACAATGCCCTTCTTTGTTTATTGAACAGTTTTTAGCTTAAAGTCTGTTTTGTCTAATTTTAGTATAACCACCTTTGTTCTTCTTAACTATTTGCTTAGAATATATTTTTCCATTTTTTCACTTTTAACATATGTGTGTCCTATAGAGTTACACTGAGTCTCTTGTATACAGTACATACTTGGATCTTGTTACATTACCCATTCTGCCAATATATGTGTTTTGATCAGAGCGTTTAGCCCATTTACTTAGTAATTACTGATAAAAAAGAACTTACTATTGATATTTCGTTGTTTTCTGTATATCTTATAACTTTTTTTGCCCCTTGTTTCCTCCCTTACTGCCTTCTTTTGTGTTTAGTTGGGTTTTTTTTGTTGTTCATTTTGTTTTTGTTTTTGTTTTTTTTGTGGTGATGCTACTGGGGCTTGTTGCCTGATGTGTTAGAAGTTAATATTATGACACTGGATTTTTGGGGGAAAAAAAGTTTTTTATTATTAGTTGACTTTGAAGGAGACAGAAGTCTAGTTTAAATTTGTCTCTCCATGTTGCCTTTAAGACAGTAATTTTATTAGAAAAGTTTTAGGGGGTGGATTTTGAGATTAGCAGGTGATTGGTGGAAGGAAAGGTAAGGTCTGGAAAATCTTTTGGCATGTATAGTTTTTTAATGTCTTTTTATGGATTTCATGTGTAAATTTAGGTGGAGTTAGTATAAAATATGTGGTGGAAATTTAGACTGTGACATTGGTAAGCTCATTTTGTGTAAATTTTAGCCAGCTATATTGGTTTTCATTGATTTTTGTTGGTTGTGTTATCTTATTAGTGAAGGGAGTTTAGCCTTTTAGCAAGTTGGTTTTTCTTCGCACGTGTCCAGATGCAAATTCAAACATTTTTGATCGTTATTGGTTTCTTTAACTCTTTGGGGCCCAGTTTCAGTGACATTTTGGTTCTCTTCTCAATTCTCTTTGCATATATGCTATAGATATCTTCTTTGTGTTTAACGGGGATTACATGAAACATCCCAAAGTTAGAACGATCTGTTTAAAACTGATAATGACTTAACTTTGCTTATGTACAAAACTCTGGTTCTTTACAGTTCCATCCTCCTCTATTTTATGTTATTCATGACACAAATTACATCTTTACATTTCGTGTACTCATTAGCATAAATTTATAATTATTTTTGTGCTTCTGTGTTTTTGATTTTATTAATCATTAAAAGTGGAGTTAAAAACCAACATTATAAGTTTTTATATCTGCCCATATGTTTACATTTACCAGAAAATTTTATATTTTCACATGGCTTTGAGTTACTGCCTAGCATCCTTTCATTTCAACTTGAAGGTCTCCCTTTAGCATCTTTTGTAGGGAAGGTCTAGTGGTAATGAATTCTCTTGGCTTTTTATAAAATCTGGGAAGTCTTAATTTCTCTCTCATTATTCCTTTATTATCAATATGTAATAAATGTACACAGTTTTGGGGTGCATGTGATAATTTAATATATTTATATATCTCCCTTAATGTTAAAGGACACATAAAATTCTGTTTTTACAGGTGTTTTTTTTCTCTGAGATGCTCTCTTTATTATAAAAGCATTTTTTGTAACTTTTCTTTTAGGGTTGGGGTACATGTGCAGATTTGTTATATAGGAAACACATCTTGTGTTATGGGGGTTTGTTGTACAGTTTACTTTGTCACTCGGGTACTAAGCCTAGTATCAAATAGTTATTTTTTCTGATCCTCTCCCTCCTCTCATCCTCCAACCTCAAGGAGGCCCCAGTACCTGTTTTTTTCTTTGTGCTCATGAATTCTCATCATTTAGCTCCTGTTTATTAGTGAGTACATGCGGTATTTGGTTTTCTGTTCTTGCATTAGTTTGCTAAGGATAATGGCTTCCAGCTTCATCCATGTTCCTGCAAAAGATATGATCTCATTCTTTTTATGTCTGCATAGTATTCCATGGTGTAGATATACCACATTATTTTTTATCCAACTTGGCACTGGTGGGCTTTTAGGTTGATTCCATGTCTTTGCTATTGTGAACAGTGCTGCAATTAACATTCACATGCATGCGTCTTTATGGGAAAATGATTTATATTCCTCTGGGTATATACTCAGTAATGGTATTGCTGGGTTGAGTGGTAGTTCTGCTTTTAGCTCTTTGAGGAATCACCACACTGCTTTCCACAATGGTTGAACTAACTTACACCCCACCAACAGTGTATAAGTGTTCCCTTTTCTCTGCACTCTCTCCAGCATCTGTTATTTTTTGACTTTTTAATAACAGCCATTCTGACCGGTGTGAGATGGTATCTATTGTGGTTTTGATTTGCATTTCTCTAATGATCAGTGATATTGAGGTTTTTTTTCATATGCTGGTTGGCTGCATCTATGTCTTCTTTAGAAAAGTGTCTGTTCGTATCCTTTGCCCACTTTTTAATGGAGTTGTTATTTTTTTCTTGTAAATTTATTTAAGCTGCTTGTAGATGCTTGATATCAGGCCTTTGTCAGATGCATAGTTTGCAAATGTTTTTTTCCCATTCTGTAGGTTGTCTGTTGACTATGTTGATAGTTTCTTTCGCTGTGCAGAAGCTCTTTAGTTTAACTAGATCACATTTGTCAATTTTTGCTTTTGTTGTGATGGCTTTTGGTGTCTTTGTTATGAAATCTTCGCCAGTTCCTATGTTCAGGATGATATTGCCTAGGTTGCTTTTTATAGTTTTGGGTTTTCCATTTAAATCTTTAATCCATCTTGAGTTGATTTTTGTATGTAGAGTAAGGAAGAGGTCCAGTTTCAATCTTCTGCATATGGCTAGCCAGTTATTCCAGCACCATTTATTGAATAGGAAGTCCTTTCCCCATTGCTGGTTTTTGTTAGCTTTGTTGAAGATCAGATGGTCGTAGGTATGTGGCCTTATTTCTGGGCTCTCTATTCTGTTCCATTGGTCTATGTTTCTGCTCTGTTTTTGTACCAGTACCATGGTACTTTGGTTACTGTAGCCTTGTAGTATAGTTTGAAGTCAGGTAATGTGATACTTTTGGCTCTGCTATTTTTGCTTAGCATTGTGTTGGCTATTCAGGCTCTTTGTTGGTGCCTTATGAATTTTAAAATAGTCTTTTTCTAGTTTTGTGAAAAACGTCATTGTTAGCTTGATAGGAATAGCACTGAATCTTCTTTACAGTTTTTTTTTTTCTGTCAACACTTTAAATATAACCTACTGTCTTCTGGCCTGAAAGTCTTCTATTGAGAAGCCTGCTGACAATCTTATTGAAGATTTCTCATTTGTAAAGAGTAATTATTTTTCTTGAGATTTTCAAAATTCTTTATGTCTTTGACTTTCAGTAGTTTGAATACAGTGTGTCTTGCTGTGTTGTGTTTAGTTTAATCCTATTTGGTGTTTGCTGAGCTTCTTGAATTTGTACATCCATGTCTTTTCTCAAATTTGGGAAGTGTTCAGCCATCATGTCTTCAAATGAGCACTCTTTCTTTTCTCTTTTTTTCTTTTTCTAGGACTCCCATAATTCATGCAGTTGATGGTGTCCCATAAGTCCGTTAGGCTCATTTAACTTTTATTCTTTTTTCTTTTTGTTACTCAGAGTTGATGATTTCAAATTACCTGTCTTCATCTTTATAAATTATCTTCCTCTGTTGATTCCCTCTAGTGAATTTTTACATTCAGTTCTTGTATTTATTTCTTAGATCTAGAAATCTGTTTGGTTTTTTTTTTTTTTTGGTAATTCCTCTTTTTTGATATTTTCATTTTGTTCCTACAATATGTTCTGATTTCTTTTAGTTCTCTGTCCTTTTCTCTAGGTCTTTGAGCATATTTAAGACAATTGTTTTAAAGTCTTTGTCTAATTTTTCTGAAGTCTGTGTTTCTTTAGGGTACATTCCTAGAGGCTTGTTTTGTTCTTTTGAGCATGTTTCCTTGTTTCTTTGTATGTCTGGATCTTTTGTTCAATTGGGCATTTGAAAAAATAGTCACCTCTTCCTGTCTTTGCAGATTGGCTTTGTGCAGAAAAAGACCTTCACCAATCAGCCTAGCATGAAGGCTGAAGGTCTTCTCAGACCTTTTCTGAGCATTCATGTTCTCTGTATTTGTGCACGTGCTTTCCCTCCAATTCTCCTATATACAGAGCTTTATTTAACATGCCTTAATTTCTCTAAGAGTCTCATCCTTCTTCTCAAAGTCTTAGATATTTTACTGTATTTCTCTGCTCATTATTTCTTGTCCCCAGTCACCTGTGCATTTTCATCTGCTTGCATCTCTCACAGGCTGAGGTTGTTGCTACCGCTTTCAGTGGCTTTCAATATCCAAACTATGACTACATTCTTGCCTGAGTTCCAAGCCAGGAAAGAGAGAAACCAGTCCTGCCGGCAGCCTCCAGACAGACACTGTAAACATGTCCCGCTTTTTTTTTTTCATCCTGTTTCAAGGGAAGAGGCAGGAATTGGGTGGCTTCCTCTTAACCCCACTGCACTATGATGAGAGAGAGACTAGGGCAAAGGCTAAGAAAAATGCCATGAAATTTTCTACCATTTTGAGTGTGGCTTTTGCTTGGTTGGACATTTTCTTGGTTGCTGCAGTCTCTTGACTGGTTTCTAGAGCTCTCACAAGGCTATTAAGCCATTCCTTTGTTGTTTACTTCATGTTTCTGTGGTGGAACCAGGACCTGGATTTTTCTATTCTGCCATCTTGCTGACATCATCTTCTCCAGAGATAGCTTTTAATCTGAAAAGACAATTAAGATTGAACACCAGTGAATTCTACCATTAAAGGAAAATGGGAAAGGACTCCATAAAGATGCCTAATGATAAGGCAAAAAGAAGGGAGAGAACCAAAAGAGAATCATATCCTAGAAACCAAGATAAGAAGCAGTCTCAAGAAATTTTTGGTAAGTAGTGTTAAAATCTACAAAGATATCAAATAAGATGATGACTTATATCAGCCAACTGGATTTGGAACTGTAGAATGCTGAGGGTGGAAGCAACATGTTATGTAGCTATGGGAAGAGTCTACCTGAATAGTGAAGCTGCATAACCACTAAGTGTCTCAAAAAACTGAAACATGATGTCAAACACAAGACTGTTTAGAAAAAGGATAAAGCACTCAGGATTTATGAAATACTATTTGTAGAGCTGTACAGAAAACTGTTTTTCAAATCAATTCCAGCAAAAAAAAATGTTGGCTTCTGATTTGCTTTTCCCCAATTTACAACATATGTGTCTTCTGATTCTGTGTCATCTCTTGTTTATTTCTACTCTTTCAAGTGATGCTTTTGTGGCTAAGAAATCAAAGGCCAGATTTCTCTTCTTAATATGAATTCTATTTAACTACTTTGATTTTCCAAACTTCCCTTTGCATCCCATCGTGTATCCTAGGGGCATTACAGATTTCTCCTTTGATAGTATCATATTTCTACATTTTAAATCTAAATCCAAATGGATAAATATCTTTACATAACTGATCAGTCAGAATTAAAAGAAACAAGTGAAAAAATGCTCCTCAGGGGGCCAATATCCTGGGTGTGATGACAGTAAGCCAGTTAATTTTGTTCTAATCCAAAACCAGAGACTGCACTTATCCCGCAATCCTATCCTGTAGCCCCATCAATGCATGCTTTTCACCATAAAAGAATATAAGATAGAATGTGTGAAAGATGATGGGCAAAGTTCATTTCTACTCAGAAAAATAATTAAAATTATATGTAATATTTGACTCAAAGAGGATCAATATATTATTTCACTTACTTACTCACTCTTCTCATAAATATTTCTTGGACAACCATACTATGTCAGGCACTGTGTGTGCAGAGGTAAACATAGTCCCATCCCCTCAGAGGCTTACACAGTCATAGATACTATTAAAGAGATAGGTACAATGCACTGTGGTAGGTGAAAAGAAGGAGTAACCAATACCACAATTATAAGCTGACAACAAACTCAAGAGTTGTTTGGGAGGTATGCCAGACAACAAACTCAAGAGTTGTTTGGGAGGTATGCCAGACAACAAACTCAAGAGTTGTTTGGGAGGTATGTCAGCTGCTCAGTTCATTTTAGATGGGCTTATTACTGTCATCCCTATTGATAAGAATGTACTTGCTGTATTTACTTCTTTAACATGAGTGTGGTTTTGTGGCAGGCTTTACATTACAGCGTGGTTTGATATACATCAGGAAACAGTTATACAGAGTAATCACTCAGTGCCTACAGGGTGTATAGTAAGGTCCTGGTAATTAAAAACCACAGACAGGGTGCTCCTGGGCCTTCAGTATGGACAAGACCAGTGTGAGTCATGCTGTTTGTATGACAAGCTTTAGGTGATACAATGAGTACAAACATTGCTTTGCTTCCTTTCCTTGGTGTTATTTCATAGCTCTCAGGAGTCAGAATCTTACAGGAGAGAAAGAGTGGACCATTACAGTCAAACATAAGAGACTACCAGACTTTAGCTATACAATATAAAATGTTGTTATCAGTGTTGTGATGTTCAGTAAATAAAACCACCATGGAGTTCAATGTGAAACAAAACATTCAACATAAACTTGGCTCTGGTTATAGATGATTAGTCAAGGTAGAGTGGTATAAACATAGTACTTATAAATTTAAGTCTTGAAAGCTGAATCTAGTCTGATCGCTGCTCCGTGGTGATATAATGTTAGTAAAACCATCCAACCATCCATCCATCCATCCATCCATCCATCCATCCATCCATCCACTCATTCAATGTTTATTGTGCCTCCTCTATGATCCAGGCCTTAGGTGGGTTTCAGGTGTTAGGAGATTTTAACAACTCCTTGCCTTTAGAGGCCTACACCCAAATAGAGAAGATGGTATGCAGATGATTATATTGTGGTAATACCAGTGCTGTCATACGGATAAATACAGTGGGATCTGGGAACACATGGAAGAGGCATTTAACTAAGATGAAAAGGCCAGGAGGTGGTTTCTCTAGGAGGTAGTATGTGGATGAAGTTTAGAGTATGACAACAACTGGCCAGCACAAGATTAAGAAAGAGAAAGTCTAAAGGATGGTTTGTCTCTCAGATATTGGCACTTTCATAATAGAAAGCAGATTCTTGCCATAAGGCAAGATCCTTATTAACCTAATTTGGGGTAAGAACTTCCTTTAAGTAAGAAACCAAGAAAGAAACATACTGAGAATGCTTCTCAAATACAAAGTGGAAGAACTGCAACTTGTAATCGTCAGACTTTTTCAGCAGCAAAACAGTACTGGGCCTCCTGATAATCACCTTCAGGCAGTCCCATCTCCTCTCTGAAAAGACTCAGGGTGTTTCAGAAGGAACACTAGTTAGAGCTTAGACATGTATTCTAACCAAACTCTCATCTCACAGTTGAATTCCTGTTTTGCCCAGTTTTGAGCTCAGGAAATAAGCTTGAGGATAGGCTATAATCCCTAATAATGTTTTCAGAGTTTAAAGCCCACCTGATCTATTGCCTTCTTTTTACCCATTTGGCACCAAAGGAGAGGAAGACATGTCCATGTGAAAACACTTGATTATATATTACTATTTATTTTCCTGAATATTAAAACATTCTTGAAAAATTTTCCAACAACAATGTATTACTATATACATTCAATGTGGATACCATGCATCTATTAAACATCATTTTATATATTACTTAAACACAGTGCCAGTTATGTCATACTGTGTAAAAAGTAGGTTATGGAACTATATGAAAAGTATGATTTTAAATTTGTATGTCAAAAAAGTCTACACACGTTTTTCTTCTTCAATGTCTTACTCTTTGATGACTGGTGCAGGGATTACTACAGAGACAGCTTACAGCCAAGGATACACAAGTGGATGTTATGTTCTAAGTTAAACTTGTATGTGAAAAAGCTGCCTGTTATGTCTTACAAAGAGGGACATTCCATCAAATATTCTAGCAACCTCCCTTTCCTATATTGATAAAAATGGCTAGAGTGGGGAAGAAGGGGTCATGGAAGCAAGGGAACATATTAGAAGAGCATCTCTGAGGAAAAGCCTTCTTGTGGAGTTGTTCAATGTGGTGTGTCAGAGAGGGGATGGTTCCTCTTCATTGCCCACTGTACCCTTGTATCTCCATGGAGCGAGGCGGAACAATATCGACTTAACAGGTGTCTAGGCCACATCATGGAATTGGCAACAGACCACCTATCCCAAAAGACTGTCTGGGGGAAAGATGAACCTGCATTGAGGGAACCCTGGAAATCCACTGGGAGTGGAGGGACGATGCAGCAGTGCTGTCTCAAGCAATCCCTGGCATCAGAAGGTATCAGAGGGGTGGCTGGCATCCTAGTATGCAAAAGGACAACTCAAAGATGTCCACACCTTAATTTCTGGAACATCTGGCTATATTACCTTATGTGGCCAAAGAGACTTTGCAGATGTAATAAGATTATGGGAAATTAAAATTGGGAAATTATCCTGGATTATCTGATGGGCCCAATGTAATCACAAGGGGGATAAAAGCAGATAACTTCATGGCTGAAGTTAGAGAGATACCACAAGTCACAGAGATTCAAATCATGAGAAGGACTTGACCTGGTATTGTTGGTTTGAAGATGGAGACCAGAATTCTCCCAACTACTTGAAGGAGCCTAGAAACCAATTCTCCTCAAGAGCCTTCGGATAAGAGGCCAGGCTGGTCAACATGTTGATTTCAGCCTTGTGCAACCCTAAGTAGAATATGCAGTTGAGTCCACCAGACTTTAGGCCTACAGAACTGTGAGATGGGTGCTGTTTCAAGATCATTACATTTCTGGCAATTTGTTATGGCAGCAATATAAAATGAATACACACCCAAGATCACTTAATGGTAACCCAAAAAGATCATGGCCCAGTAAAGTCACTCCAATCTCCGTTGATGGTCTTCACTGGCCTGAGCAGTCTTCTTTTCCCACCCCCGCATGTGCCCTCTCTGCCATTGATGTTGAGCTGGTGACTAAGGCACAGAGAATGTGAGAAAAAGGGAAAGTAGGTCATATCCATACCACCTTTTCCTCAATTGCTGCAAGTTCACACTGATAGGGTGTATAGGGTTTGGGGTAAATTTAAAAAAAAGTGAAGTTTGGCAACAATTATTGAAAAAGTAAATCCTTCTCTGTATTTACATTGCTGTGTTTAGACTATAATTCTTATTTGTTTTATAGATATAGAAAAATAAAAAATTAATTAAATCTGCATGCTAATAGTGGTTATAGCTAGTTGGTTATATCTTTGATTATATCTTACAAAGAGGGACATTAAAATCATACATAATTATGATTTTAATGATTTACTATACTTTCCTAGATTTTCCAAAATTCCTACTGTTATACTGTTAAAATGTTATTTTAAAGGAAGTATACTTATTGTAGGAATTCAATTTTTGTTTCCCTTAATGGTTTGCATACTTTTGACGGTATAGTCTTTATCTTCTACATTTCCCCCCTATTTTCCCAAGTACCTAGTACAACAATGTGTTATTTGAAAATTGGAGGAAAACTAGTCTTCAAATTTTTTATGTCAGTAAACCTTGAATGTGTTTATCCTTATCACTTACTAGGGAGATTTTGTTGCAATAATTTCTAAGTAATTATTTAGTTACTTAGCAAAATAGTACTAGTTTGTTTCATCAAGAGTCTTGAGTAGTTTTTCTCGGTGTCCACAATTCCATTATTGGAAAAATGAAGGGACTAGTTAATCTTTTTCAGCTTTTACAGTTTAGGATTACAAGATGACAAAAGAACATCCTAAGGATCCTATCTATACACTCATGTTTTAGACTCAACAAATGTCCAAAATGTTCTGTGCTCTGTCAATTTCTTCAGATAAGTGAACACAGCAGCTAAATAAACACTTAAGAAATTTGGCTGATTTACAGTTCATTTTTGATCTCATAATATGTGTGTGTGTGCGTGTGTGTGTGTGTGTGTGTGTGGTGGGGAGGGATTTCATAGGAAAACACACATGAAACTATTTATAACAAATATGAAATAAGTGGTGAAATAAGTGGCCTGGTAAGTTCAATTGCAAAGACAGAAAAGCATAACAACTGTCCCACATTTGTATAGGGCTTTAGAGTTTTCAACGTACATATACATATATATATATTTTAACGGATAAATAAATTAACATCAACAAGTATTTTTTTTGACATGGTCAAGGTCATACATAGCTAAGTATACAGAATCAGACCTAGATTCTGGAATGCTTGACCCCTTGGCTGGGCTCTTTCTACCTCATCAAGGTGCTGCCCTGGAGCTCTTTCCACTACTTCAAAACATTGAGAGGCAATAGGAGCTGAGAAGGTTTGGCCTCCTCATGTCCACTAGCTCCAAGCCACTATGTGAGACTGTGGCAGACAGGCAGGCTGGATTCAGAAAAGGGAAATAATGGAGTCAGAACCCACTTCTCCTTTCCTTAGCTCATTCAATTCAGAAACCCCTGCTATTTACTCTTATTGGCCCTCCATCCACTGGAAAACCACATGCTATGCTTTAAGCATTTGTGGTAAATACAATTGATGGTGAATTTGCATATTTCCTGCTTTTAACCTAAAGTGGTCTTGTACATTGGTTGACTTCAAATCAGCATGGTCAAGTCCTTCTTTGGGGCTGATCAACTCCTATGTCGTTGAGAGAAAGTGCTCAATTAGTGTTAGTTGTTGCTGTCATTCCTGTGATACTGTTTTAATCAACAGAATCTTCACACCAAGTTTAGTGCCTTCAGCATTTCCATAGTGACCCTAATGGTTGTTGAAATCATCTGTCATCCCTACCACAATTCTTGTCTCATTCCTCCTCCTTTTGAACTCTCTGAGAGCTTTATTTTCTTCTACAATGAAAATACCACAATTAACCCCTCCATTTGGTTTCCATAATTCTACTTGGCTCTAGATTTCTCTCTTAATTAATACTCCCTTACCCACTTTTTGTCCACAAATTTTACTATTAGATATTACTATGATCCTTAAATTAATGTGAAAGATAAGATTTTAAATAAATGGGTGTGATATAAACAGTATTGGACTATAACGGGTTTTTTTCTCAGTTGGCATCATTTACTTCTAAGAAAATTGAGCCATGAGAAAATGTTTGTGGCAAGACATATTTTTGTTATTTTCCACACATTTAATATCTTAACACTAATTTAAAATTTGATTTACAATCTGGCTCCATCTGGAAGCCTGAATTATTTTGAGATTAAAGAGGAAAAAGAGGAAGAATTATAGAATTGAAGATGGAGCAAAAAAATAAAAGCTTATTTTCAAAAAGATATGTGTATTTAGTAAGAACTTTTCCTTCAAAAAATATATTGGTTGATGTCATATTCAGAAGTGACATAAAGATCCTTAACTGCGCTAATTACTCCCCATTTTAAAATCTTTTCTCTTCTGACGCCAAATTCAGACACTCATTACACAATGCAATACACAATGCAAAGAATAGATTTTGGAATTGAACTGATCTGGATTTGAATGTTACTTGTTGTATGACCTTGGGTAAGTTGTTAAACATTTCTTAACCTCAATTTTCTCATGTGTAAAATGGAACTAATAAGACCTACTGTGTAATGGTATTGTGAAGGTTAAATAAACAAAATAATGCATGAGTTGAAACTTTAAAACGTGGCACCTGGTAAAGAGCATGGCTTTAATATGTATTTGTTTCCTTGTTATTACTCTATCATTTTCTGTCTTCTTTTTTCTTTACAGTTGATGCTTGAAATTGCCACTCAGTGGTGTTGCAGTCAGAGAGGCTGATATCTGACAGGATCTAGGAATTCATGGGATAAGATATAGAAGCCGTGTACGTGTGGAGAAGGGGAATATTCTTACTTTCAGCCAAAGAGATTTGCCCTAGGCTTGTTGAGAGAATGAAGACTTAAAATAATTTGGACCTTATGTTGGCATAATTTTCATATGTAACACCTCTGGGATGTTTGTTCTTTATTTAGTAAATAGAACTGCCTATTGGGTTCCATTGGCACCATTCCACCAAGCAGCATTCCATAATGTTGCATATGAGTCAATTTTTTCCATTGACATACCATTCAAAATTTCCTCATTATAGAGGAATATCCTACCGCATTCACAACTAGAGTCACCAAACTGGATAGATGAGTAGCTTGGCCTGAATAACTCTAGATGGTTGGCCAATTCTTGCCTGAATTATATTACCTGGTAACTCCAGGGAAGTTACATAAGGCCCTACAAAGAAGATCTGTGATTGTAAACATATTTTCCATGCAATTTTGTAATGCTCAAATGTAAGAAAATAGCAATGACCAGATGATGGATTCCTTAAGATCAGAGACCTTGTCTTATTTCTCTTTATTTCTCCATTGCCAAATTAAATACCTGACATACATACACACACACACACATACATATCAAATATATATCATATACTATTCAGCAAGTGTATTAATAGGAACAGTAATTGATCGGTTTAAGAGAATGACATATAAGCTTTTCCATCTGAATAACCTCTCTGCAAACTTATATCTCAGTGTAGACATTATCTCCTTGGTATTTGGTGCTCTCCCAATTACTACATTTCTCTCTGTTCTGCTCTTGTATATTTGTCTCTTTCTCCAGCTACCTAAAGAAACAAAGCAAAATGAAATGAAAAATAAAAAACTTTAAGATAGGGACTGACCCTTGTCTATCAGTATTCAAGCTTTTAACATTGTACTTGCTACAGAAAAGGCATTCAATATTTTTTAAATAAACAAGAGAAATAACATGTCCTGTGTATTTAGGAATCATTTCATATAGAAAAGCAAAAATCAGCTTTTATTTATTTAGGTTCCTGGTTCCAAAACCAACAAATCTAGTATTAACCAAATGGCTACAAGATCAATGTGAATGGCACAAGATCATGTAAAAAATAGAAAACCAGATGAGAAAGAGTCTTAGACTGTAGAGCATATGAACACATGTCAGAGTTGGGTGCTGAAAGCAGTGGATGTGCTGATTATTCTCCACTGAAGCTGGTATGTAGTAGTTTGAAGGGGGAAATTTTAGGACCTTGTCAAAGGGGGAACCAAATAGAAGAGTAAAGGGAAAATATTTTTCTTCTATTCCCTCTTCCAGGGCCACCCCCCAAAATTCAGATTTGGGGGGAATACTTAATCTCAGGAGTCTTAAGACCCTTTTAACTCAACTAGATTGATAGGTAAAATACATAATTCTATGGCAATCGATGCAATATTGGGCAAGATGTAATTTAACAGCAATGCTCATTCATTACAGATTCTAGGGTGATGTTTGATGGTTTCAAATAGGAAGTATTATGCCATATTGCACAATGGCCAATGTTTTCATTGAGATCCTAAGCAGCAAGTCATTCTTCCCATCAAAAGGTATTTAAGATACTCCTCCTATGGCCAAAATACAAAATGCTCATTAGTCCAGAAAGGGCATACACACACACACACACACACACACACACACACACACACACACACAAAACAACATGCCACTGACATAGAGGGCTCAGGCTAGAGAGATAGGGACCTATAACATCACAGAGCCATTCTAAATGATTAGTTGTAAGGCAGGTGGCTAGCACAGAAAGGCTTCAATGGAAATTGGCCATTAGACTTTTTACTTGAAGTTGTACTTGAGCTAGTAAAACATAGCCAAACAATAAAGAATTTGGTAAAGGTTCCAAAAAAGTGGAAATCCAAAAAAAGACAGCACAAAGCAACACAATGTGGGGGCATAGAGGAGGGTCCCCAGGTTGTGAAATCAAAACACCACTTGAATTTGATCTATTTCCTAGATCAACCTGATTAGGATTGTTACTAGTTCTATAGACAGGATGATCTGAAGGTTGATATAGTCCTTGTATATCTTTTAGAATTTATTGTACCTATAATATGTACATGTGTATATGTATGTATATAATATGGACATGTAATACCTTCACATACATCTACTTATGTATAATGAACTGTACGTAATTCTCTTTATGGAGTAGGCATTTATTAATTTTAACAGATACTGTTGTTTCTTTCAAAAAATTCCAAGTTTAAAACCCTATTTATAGATCATGTCTGTCTATTTTCTCCCATTATTGATTTACTGCATATATCCATCTATGTGTCTTCAAGTCAAATGAGCCCTATTTGTCGTGACAGTAATACTCTGACACCCAGAGTAGACAAAATTAGTTGTGTATTATTCCTCACTGAGTTCTGACATATTGAAAAATTCTGATTGATTATGCTATACCCATACACTATCTCAAGGATAAAGTCATGATAAACAGTGGTATTAGGGGAATGTGGCGAGGAGTGCAGACCTGAGTACTAACAGATTTGGAGGAAACTGATGTCCACCTAATGCCCTCTTACAGACTTTAATATATCTTCTACTCTGTTGACTCTACATGGGGTGTACCTGACATACTTCAGCATAAAGAGGTAGAAAAAATATGAGTTTTGGGGCCCAACATAGGAGGATTCAATCCCTATTCTGCCTTTATGGGCAAATGATTAATCTTCCTGAATGTCAGTTCATCATTCTAACAGATACAGAGAATACAGGGCTGTTTGATGTTCAGATGTAATCATTTGTACGCAGAGAAGAAGCAGTAAGTGCCTAATGCATTTTAAGGTAATTTAGTCAGTAAGTGAACTGAAACCATGTTGTTCTATAATTAATTCTGAATTCAAAGCAGCCATGGATGCAGTTCAAATTGCTTAATCAAACATATCTTAGAACCTTTTTTTCAATATTAAAAATACAGAATAGAGGTTTTCTTTGACCTTTTTTCCTGAAATTTCTTACTTTGCAGCTCTTGAATGAAAAATACCAGCTTCATTTAAAAATTTAGGATTTTGTCATTGTTTATATTGAGTTCTTATTTTAATTTCTAATATTTACAGATGCTTATACCTCTGAATATTTATTTCTAAAGTTTTATCATACCCTCAAGAAAGAGTACCCTCCTCTCTCTTCTTAAACAGTTTATTTCTAACCCGCTATTTCAACGGTTTCAGTTTATCAAGGTCTGTTTTCTCAGGCACTTTCTTATGTATAGTATCAATTTGGGCGTCTGTCTCCCTGCGGATAAGGTTTCAATTTGGTTAGATGGCAAATTCATTGGCAGCTGTTACTTTTTTTTTTTTTTTTTTTGAGACGGAGTCTCACTCTGTCGCCGGACTGGAGTGCAGTGGCGCAATCTCGGCTCACTGCAACCTCCACCTCCTGGGTTCAAGCGATTCCCTTGCATCAGCCTCCCGAGTAGCTGGGACCGTAGGCGCGCGCCACCACGCCTGGCTAATTTTTTGTATTTTAGTAGAGACGGGGTTTCACCATGTTGGCCAGGGCAGCTCTTACTTTTTAAAATATCCCCCAAATCTCCTAGCACAGTAGTGGGCAGATAGTAAATGTTTGACATGGATTTGCTTGTCAGATTTAATTGAAAAACAAACAAACAAAAAAAACCCAGAAACTTCATGCTCAAGTATCTGAGCCAGGGACGGACCATAAACCCGAAGCTTGAATTGGTGCTCATTTACCTCTTGTCAAATCCTGAGATATAACATGTAATCCTGATAACTTACACCAAAATCGTGCCAACTGTGACTCATTGCTCTAGAATTTCAGAAAGTCTTGCCTACTGTTACCTGTCTTAACTTGAAGTTTCCTCATTTCTAAATCCTATTTCATGAAAAGAGGCCCTAGAATATAGTCTTCTTGAAATAAGTATGTCATCTTTCTTAAGATACTGTCATAAGGTTAAATAATTAATAAGGATATTCCAGGGCCTAACAGTGGTTAAAGGCGGAAGGAGGAACTGGATTTTATTTAAAACAGTTTCTCATGTGAATAAATGTTTACCTAAGGTAGCAAGCCAGGGAAATTCCCTCAAAAATTTGGAAAGCAGACAGGAAAAGGGGCAGATCATAAAAACAGGAAGGACATAATTTAACTTCCAATTTTAAGTTCTGTGCTTGTGTATATGAATTCCAGATCTGATGCAAGTGCAAAGGTTATGGGATCAAGGCATCAGTCTTTTTCTAGAGTAAGTTTATTCTTTATCCCTGCATTGCAGCATCTAAGTACAGAGCCACAAAAACATTTGTTGTGTTGAAAAATCATTTTTGTGTAACTGGTCTTTTAAGAAGTAGTTTATTGAACAAGGTAAAATAGGGCCCAAATTAAAATTTTGACAGTTCAGAGAGAAATATTGCTAATAATATTGTAAATAGTGCAATATTAAGACAAAATGGTTGGATTACAAAGCAGTATCTGTGGGCTTGAGTTTTCACTCCATCATTAACCAGCCAGCAGTGATTTGAGACACTACTCACACCCTCTTGTCCTTAGTTTCCTTTTTTTGTAAAGGAGGATGTTAAATCTCTGGACTTTTTTCTAATTTATAAATCGTCAATTCTCTCTTAGATTAAAAAATAGGTTTTCCAAAATACTTTCATTGTACTTCCTTTTGTTTAAGTAAACTTTAGGTGAATTTTATCTTGTGGGAAAGATAAAGAATGTTCATTCTTTTCTAGGATTTAATAATTGAATTAAACTTCACTACATCGCTAAAGAGGGTAGAGAAGAGATAATCTAACATTTATGGAATGCATAAACTTTTCACCTTCATTTCATTCTCCACAAAAGCATTATAAAGTGAAAATTTTCTCCATTTTACAGTGAAGGAAACTGAAGCTCAGAGAACTCAAGTAACATGCCTAAGGCCACAGAGCAGGTAGGAACTGGGCAGTGCCAGCCTCTGCTCTTGAGGTCTGTCTGATTTAAAAGCCTGTGTGACTGAGGTCCATAGAACCAGGAGACTTCCTCAATTTTGTAGTAAACCCATATTTTTGGGCCCAGGAAGAAAACCCAAGGTTTTTTTTTTTTTTTTTTTGGAATAGAGTATAAGCTCTGGCTGAGGGCAGGATGCAGGAAAATATCCTTCTGTAAAATAACTTCTTATGCCAGAACTAGATTATCAGAGTTTAAAAATGATGAAATATAAAATTGAGCTTGTTGTATTTACAATTTTTTATTAAATTCTTGTAATACACTTGATATTTTCTAGAGACTCAGAATGAACGCATTCTATACACTAGAAATTGATGAAACATTTTTGTGAGTATAGATTTTATTTTTCCAGGTTTACTGAAGTATAATTGACAAATAAAAATTGTGGGTATTTAAGGTAAACAAGATGATGACTTGATTAAAACTCTATTTTTTCCAAACTAGAGATCCTAGCCTCTCCAACTTCCTAACACTCTGCCGCTCATGTACATGATATCTGGAGTATGGTAGGGGGATTAATCTCAAACTTTATTTTTTCTTATAAAAAGTGATTTTCTTATCTAGAAATAATCTGGAATACTTTCTTAGATGAGAGCACACCACTTTATTCTCCCAAGCCTCCTCTACACGTGCACTGTACTGCCGTTTGATTTAGGAAAGAAATTTTTTTCCCCTCTGAACTTCCCTTGTGCTTTTTTTTTTATGTTCTGAGTTTGTGTTGGCTTTCAGCCTTCCGTTCCTTTTGTTGTATTTGATCTGGTGCCAAATGAGAGTCAGCACTTAAGTTATAAGTATCATTTTCTAACACAGTGACAGAAGGAAAACTCCGCCTTCCACACCCACTACTAATTACCATATTGCTACAAAACATGACATTGCATCCTTCACCCATCACTTGTGAATTTTTGTTTTCCACAGCTCTCATTTCTCCAAAAATGTGTTTGAGCCACTTGGAAAATATGCCTTTAAGCCATTCAAGAACTCAAGGAGCTCAGAGATCATCCTGGAAGCTGTGGCTCTTTTGCTCAATAGTTATGTTGCTATTTCTTTGCTCCTTCAGTTGGCTAATCTTTATTTTTCTCCAATTAGAGGTAAGGAGGCAATTGTACCTAAGGTTACTATTTGCTATAATCCTCTATTTATTTGTTTTTCTAGTTGTTATCATTGTCACTCAGTATTGTTAGCAATAGTTGGAAGGAAGAGATGTGTATACATAATGTAAATACAATTCTAATATTGTCATGACATGGCGTTTGAAGTTTATCTAAAGGTTTTGAGATAAAAGGTATCAGAAAATGCTAAATGTTAGCTGCAGAACTCTGTTAGATAGAGAGAACTGGTTAAGCCAATTGACAGGGGCCTGTGGAGTATTTTTCCTTCCCTCTGCTATAGCTCTTGGTGGAATAAAAAAGGTAAAAATATGAATGAATATCAAGGAATGGGATGCAAGCTATAGTCTTATTTATGGAAAAGACTTAAAAAAATAGTGAAAGACAGGATTAAGTAAATGACAGGTGGTTTGTGTGTCTTTGAGGAGGGAAGTGGCCCTGAGCTAGGTGTAAGAAGATCTGGATTCTGGTTCTGGGTCTCCTAATAACCAGCTGTATAAATTTGATAAAGACATTTAATCTCTCTAGTTTGCAGCTTCTTTATCTAAAAAAACTGGTGGTAGGGGAATGGATTTATTATGATGTTTCTTCTAGCTATAAAATGTCATGATCAAGAATTTATTTAAGGGTAGTATGAAGAATAAATGCCTAAGTCACTCAAAAGCAGGGAACAATGACTTTAGATTGAGTTGATCAGGGAAGACTTCATGGAGGAATGAGAAAGCCCATATCTATTTGGGAAGCCCCTGATGCTTGTCAGGAATTTCCCATTGAGATGCAGGCCAAGCTGTGGGCCTAGAGAATGGGATGGTACACTGGGAATGGAGATTAGTTTTGTTCTTTACTAAAAAATCTTTCCTCACAGTTAACTACGTAGCACTGATCAAAAAGAAAATAAGAAATGCTTTATTTATTTCAGGATTTAGCCTATTTCTGGCTAAATTTGAAGACTCTAAGTTTTGGGGAGAATAAAGTGGCATATGTCCATCTGAGAAAGAGTTGAAATGTGACTGCAGAAACACTTTTCTTAAGGGAACTGACCAGCAAAGATTTCAAAGATATAGTTCTACCACTTAAGATAAGTAAAAGTAATTGAGAAAAGATGCAGGAGGAAGCAGTCCCCTATTGATATTAATTTAGAGTAGGTATAGCTTTGGCCAATTTTTCCACAGTAGCCCATTAATTTGTATTCCATAACTGTATACAAGGCTTATGTGCAACAGAGGCATTTCTAATTACAACCCTGCTCTCTCAAGAAATGTATGAAGCAGAAGTGTGAACTTTCTGGGTCAGTGAAGTTGAAAGAAAGAATTGTCAGAAATTCTTAGTGTCTAGATTTCTGAAGAAGAGGAAGGGTGAGAATAGCAATAACTTAAATTTGGAAGTGCTTCTTTCTTCTAAAAATTATAAGATTAATTAGCCAGATAACCCTGAAGAACACTGAATATAAGCATCATCAGTTCCTACATATGACTCAGGAATGAATACACAGAAGCCTTTCCCAAAGGCACCCAGCAGTTCTTGCAAAGGGAAAGAGAAAGTCTAATAATGCCAGATCATCTGGGACACCTCTCTTCAGAATCAAACTGGATTAATCCCATGTGTTTGAGCTCTGATTCTGGTTTCTCTCTCCTAGATCCAGTTTCTCAATGAAATGTTCTACCTCTAAAGATAACCCAGAGTTTGTTTCAAATTTGGGGAAGTATAAAATGTTTTTAGAATATTGTTCTGACAGGACACTTGCAGGATTTGTTTCTATGGGAAAAGCCAGTGGCCTGGCCAACCATACATGATATTAGCTTCTGCATTTCACTTTCCACTTACCTGTACTTCCCTTTCCCTATTGGCCACAAATAAATATCTCTGGAAAAGAAGTCTGAGAGGCTGGCAGATAGTGATTCATTATGATGTGGCCACTTCCACATTGTCACAATACCCATGAACCGTGAAGTTTTATTTTGGTCTCCACTCTAGTTTTTACATACAAAGTCCCACTTTCCAGATTGTCTAGACACTACTTTAAAAAGTGTACACTTAAAAGAAAGTGTAACACTTTAAAAAGTGTTAGATGGGAAGCTTGGCTCCTTGGGTCAATTTTTTTCTTTTTTTCTCTCTTCTTTGAGAAAATATTTAACTAAAAGGATAGCTGTGAGTCCAAGGAGTTTGGTCAATCCCTCAGTGAAAATAATCTCACAGGAATTATCACTAAGAAATCAAATGTTCAGCAGAGTCTGAACTTCAGCAAAATGAAGGATACTTTCAGAAGGGGAAGTTGTACTTATACTTAAAAGCAGAGCAGATTTTATTTTCACTGATGATTTGATTAGGGTTGGTTTGGAGAGAGAATGATTGTTTTGGCCATTTTGAGCCGAACTACGTAAATCTAGCCTTAAATCAAGAAGAGGTTACAAAAGCAACTGATCCTTCTAAGCAAAAATAACGAACCCATATGTGTCTTTAAAAGTGGGTATTTACTACTTCCAAACATCAGCAGAATTATAAATAGAAACTTACCCCACAGAGTGGTAGAGGTGAGAGTGTTGACCCAGACAGGCTGGGTGTAGATCTCATTCTTGCCTTTTATTGGCTGCATGACCTTAGGCTAGTTACTTAATCCCTCTCATCCTCATTTCCTCATCTGCAAAATGAGCAACCTAATTTTTGTAGAGTTGTGCTAAGGATTAATGAGACAGTAGAGTATCTGACATAAAGTAGCTCCCAGTAGAGGGGAGTGATTAATATTTGCCCCATTACTATTAATGAGATAATAATGGGCAAAAATTTAACAAGACCATTTAACAATATGGATAGTCTTTGCCTACCTATATCACTCTCTCAATCAAACACTATATCTCAGAGCCAAATTTATGATTTTGCAATTAGATGGATTTTTAGTGGTGGCAATAATTAGAGAGTATCACAGTGATGGTCTCTGTAGCGCTAAATAGACATAAAGCAGCCTGCAGTATATTATACGGAATTTCTGACTCTGGAAATTAGTTTGGACTTAGGTTGTCTATAGCTTAGGTTTCTCTGAGCACATCTCATACATGCTAGTAGATGGTGCAGATACTATCTGTGGCACGTATTTTGGCACTCATTCATATTTAGATTGTTACCAAATTGCTTTGGGTGTGTAATCATGTCTTTCTAGAAAGATTATAAACTTCTTGAGAAGCAAGGACCAAAAATTACATTTGTTTCTCATGCTTACAATGCTGTACAATGTTGGAAATATGGATGCTTAAATTGTAGTTCAATTCTTCATTACAATCACCATCATCACCCAAACAGCTAATATTTATTGAACAGGTCCAGGCAGGATATCTAGGCAAAGCCCTTATTAAAAACGACCTCATTTAACCCCAACAACTTCAACAAGCTAGGTGCTATTATTTCTCCCATTTTATAGATGAGGAAATTGGGGTTAAGGGAGTCTTTGTCACGTCCCTATCATGGGTTGAACTAAATTGAATTTCAACATCTCCTCCAGGAAACACCAAAATGAGGATGAAATAATTGCAAGAGGCCAGGCACAGTGGCTCACGCCTATAATCCCAGCACTTTGGGAGGCTGAGGCGGGTAGATTGCTTGAGGTCAAGAGTTTGAGACCAGCCTGGGCAACATGGCAAAACCCTGTCTCTACAAAAAAATACAAAAAAAATAGCTGGGCTTGGTGGCATGCACCTGTAGTCCCAGCTACTCAGGGGGCTGACGTGGGAGAATTGGTTGAGTCCAGGAGGATGAGGCTGTAGTGAACTGAGATAACACCACTGCACTCCAGCCTGGGCAACGGAATGAGACCCTGTCTCAAAAAACAACAACAACAACAACAACAACAAAAAAAAACAAGTGTAGGGAATCAAAAAATTTATTTCCTAGAATAGTGGCTTTCAGACTTTTTAATTGCACCTCCCTTTCAATAACATATTATCAGTATAATTCCCAACATTTGTATGCTAATTATTATACTATATACAAGTACTAATAATATGTACACTAAAGAGATACACAAAATATATATTTATAAGGGTGAGCCAAATAATATATTCAATGTAACTCTCACAATGCAAAACCATTTTGCTTTCACCAAAATGTTATATTTTCTATAATCATTAATATGTCATAAACATTACTAAAATAAGTAAAATATTTTAATAACGTGGTGAATGCATTTATTTTATTTTTTAATCTGAGCTTAACACTATGTGATACAGCAATTTGAAGTTTGATATGTTAATTTACCTTGTTTCATGATTTTGACCATCATGACTGAAAAATTACCCGACAAACAAATATAGATTAAAATGGAAGAACACATCTTTGGATATTCTTATCATGTCATACCACTTAATTTTCAATCCATCATTCAATGATGGATGCCTCTCTTTCCTTCCTTCCACAACTAAATTCCAAGATCTATAGCTTTAACACCTCCCTCGCATAAACTCACTCACTTGCTTCTCTCTATCTTCATTATACTCTAATGACAAAAGCTCGACTATGGAAAACCTCCAATGCTGATTAAATCCAACTGCTCTGTCTCTTTCACTGTTGAATATATCTGAAGAAAAACATAAAATTTTTTGAAAGGTCTTACTTTAAATTCACAGCCACTGCCTTCAAGTGGATTTCATTGTTGCTCTGGAAACAGCCCATGTTTCCCCAGTCCATTCACTCTCCTCTACTGGATGATTTCATACCTTTAGCTTCTCTTCAAACATCTAATAACTCTTCCCCATTCTCACTCTCCACTGATAACGTTGCCTCCATATTTTAAGAGAAAATAGAAGTACGGAGGAAAGAAGTTCCAATATCAACAACTCATTGGCATTTGTGTCCAGGTATACTGTTATTCTGTCTTGTCACTATGGATAAATTGTCCATGCATCTATCCAAGCCATCTATGAACTAAATCTTATCCTCTCTTGCCTACTCAGGGACATTGCTGCAACAGTTCTCTCCTCGCTCTTACATATTATGCCTCATCCATTTTACAGAAACATTTCCATCAAATGGAAATAGAAAAACGTGTTGTCATTTCTCTCACATTAAAACGTAACAACAACAACAACAACAACAACAACAAAAAACCTCTTTGATCTCTCATCCTCATCCAAACTCCACTCATTTTTTTCTGCTCTCCCTACAGCAAAATTCCTCCAACTTCTCTTGTCCCATTTACCCTTAAATTTATTTTAACTAAGCTTCTGCCCTCTTCACATATCACAGAAACTAATTTTGTCAAGAACTCCAGTGACTACCATGTTGCTCAATCTATCAGTCAATTCACTGTACTCTTCTTACTTGATCTATCAACAGCATTTGACACCAGCTGATCACTCGTCCTTCATGAAATACTTTCTTTTCTTGGCTTCCAAACATCAGACTCTCCTAGTTTCCTTTCAGACTCAGCTTTTCCTTTCTATTGTCCCTTGCTTGTTCTTTCTCATTCTCCGACCTCTAAACATCACAACGCCCCAGTGTTCCTCTCCATCTACACCCACTAACATGATGGCCTCATACAATCTCACAGCTTAAAACATCAACTATGAGCTTAAGACTCTTAAATGTATATCACCAGAGCTCCTTAAATTTCAGCCTGCTTGACACACTTACTTGGATTTATAATAAGCATCACAAACTAATATGTCCACAACCAAACTCATCATTGTTCCCCTCCCCATTTATTCCTCTTACATCTTATCCATTTTAGTGAATAACAACTTTATCTTTCCAATTATGCAGGCCTAAAATACTGGAGTCATCTTTGTTTCTTCTCATTCCCTACCCCATATCCATGTCAGGAACTTCTGTTGGCTCTATTTTCCAACCAAGTATCACCATCTACAGAGCTAGCACCTTGGTCAGAGACACCATGCTCTCTTGCCTAGATGAATGACTGTAATGATCTCTTAGCTAGTCTCACTACATTTGCCCTTGCCTCTGTTTAATTTGTTCCTAGCATAGCAGCCAGAGAAATCCTACAAAAGGAAAGTGTGCAACACGTTTAAGTTCAAAAAGTCTTTTAAGCACTTTGCCATTAGGAAACCAATAACCTTTGGGTGATACAAAAAATGTTTGTGGTTATGCCTGAATTTACTACAACGTATTTTTGAGCATTTAGCATTAACTACTTGTGTTTGTAAAATTAACCACACACTGATGGCATCTTGTAGCATGTGAACTGCCGTACATTGCAGTAGTCTGAAACTTGGAACTGTTTTTCAGGGTATCTCAGATACTGTATATGACATGTAGTTATCTGAATATTATACATGGGTGGTTTCATCAATCTGAGTTGTAAATATTTCTAGGGCTTAATTTACTGTTTTAAATAAAATAAACATAAATAGAAGCTTCACTATTTTCCTTTCACATGCCAACAGATCACCTTGTGCAGTCACTGGGGTGTGGAAACTGCTATTTTGTTGAAAAACTTTTAGAGCCCAAGGTTGGGGGGGGGGTCCGATATCAAATAGTTGTCCTGTAGGTATAGATTAGGTAATGGAATGAGATCTTGACCTTTGTCTAAAAGACCTAAAAGGGAAGCTAGGTAATAAAAGGTAAAGGATGGAGCCACTCAACTTTAAAGGGAGGCTGAGAGGGCTGAGACATGGTGAAGGGAAGGATTTTTTTTATGGTTATAGAACACTAGTTTGCTTCAGGAATTCAAAGCTCTAAATAAATCAATCAAAAAAATTAATGACACTGTCATCATCCTAATCAATTCATCTTTTATTTCCCCAACAGACTGCTAAGGAGCCCTGTATGGCTAAGTTTGGTGAGTAACCTATCTTGCATGTCTTTTACTTTTCTTAGTTTTTGATGCAAGAAGGCAGGTGTCAGTGATCTCAAGAAAACCTGTATTTTCTTTTATTCATTTCTGAGCTACTATGTATAATTACTTATCATGTACTGGGCAGTTGCCCAAGAGCTGAGGCTTTCAGAGGTAAACCAGGCAAAAGAAGCCCATGCCCTGATAAAGCTTATGTTGAAGGCTGCATCTCTGGCCAGGAATGAGCATCTCTCTTACTGGCCTATGAATCTGAGATCCGGGAATCTCCTTTTAATTCTGTGTTTTAATAAACACAACAAGTTTCAGATTTCTACAACCTTTCCTTAAAGTCTTTCTCATGTTTCACATATTGCTAATGTCCAATGGAGTATGTGAGAGAGTGCCATTGTTGTTTCTAAATGTATAGAAGAGCAATGAGAGTTGGAAAAGTGGCCACTTCCTCTACTATTTTCTCTTCTAAGCTTAGCTTCTGAGTCATTTTCCCTTGTGGTCACCTGATATTTGCTTAGAAAACACACCAGTTTACAGTTACACTGAGCCTTAGATTCTTAGAATACATGGAAAATTTCAGATAAATACATTTTTTTTAAAGTTGTTTATAGGTTTCAGGCCAAACATACATTTTCAGTTGAGAACAGACCATTTCTAGAGTTAACTCTGCAACCCCTGTGTTCCTATATAGTTTAAACCAGTAGGTTTCCTTGGCTTGTGGGAATTAGAAAATGTCCTTTTGCCTGTCTCTTTCTTTGTGTTTTGTTTTTGTTTTGCCCATAAGTGGAATGGAATGCATGGCATGTGTGAAATTATGCCTTGATGTGGTAAAAGTTGAGAAACTCAAGTGATGCTAAGGTGGTCTTTAAATGACCCCCTTTCACAGAATTAAATGGGAGAACCAATGACACTTCTTCCTGGTGACCTGCCTATTGCCTATTACATGTCAAGGAAGAAGAAATTTACTGGGCTCCGAGCTCATTGGCGATACTGGGTGGCTTTGTCTTTTGTTCTAGTGATCGCTCTTTCATTCTCCTCCAGAATCTACCTTCAGAGTCTTATATTAGTCATTCATATGAATGAGCATTGAAGTAAAAATGTTACCTCTTCCAGGGTGTTTCCTCATCAAGTTTTCTTTTTAATTATGGGACAAAGGACAAAAATTATGGAGAATTGCAGAACAGATAAGCATTCTGGGTGGTAAAAGCACCTCCCGGGGCTGTGAGATCACACTGCTGTGCAAAACCAAGTAATGTTAGGCAAACATCTAAGTTTCATATGTGCTAATGAAAATGAATGATTAGGTCTTTACCTTTTCTTTACCATTTGGGACAGTATTGCACTAGGGATCCTTATATTTAAATAGTCAAGTTATTTCTATTTATAAACTCATAAATTTACAATTAGCTATTTTTGGGGGATTTATTTAATGAATCCTAAGTAGGTCTTAAATGATATATACCTACAAACTGAGGAGAACAGCCATAATTTAGACACAAAGCACCTAATTCAGGAACATGGAAGTATCATTCAATCAATAAATATTTATGGAACATCTACCAGGTACCAGGGACTTTTTCAGGTGCTGAAAATACAAGAATGAACAAAATAGAGATATATTTGTCCTAAAAAATTTTACATTCAAAGTGATACAAGATGGACAATAAACAAATGAACAATTTAGTTTATAACATCCTAGACACTGACACACTTTATGAAGAAAACTCAAGCAAGGTAAAATGAGGGAATGATAGGAGAACACTTTTTAATATAGCATAATTAAGGAAAGCCACACTGATAAAGTGATAAACAGCCAGTGGTATTTACACCGAAAATGCCTGGAAAGGCATGGACTGCCAACCCTGGTTTTCAAAATTTTGGCTTGTGATTTCTTTCTCCATTAGTCTTTTCTTCTCCTTTCTTTTTCCCACAAATATTAATCAACAAGAGATGCGAAGTCACTTAAGTCATTTTTCTATTCCAAATTCTTTTCCTTAGAATTCTTGCTCCAAGCAAGAAATACTCTTTGGATTTGCAATTTCTCTAAAACAAGGAGTAGATAGGTACTTAAAATAGAAAAATTCTGCTTGAAGAGAACTAGTGTAGATCAGGTAAAGAAACAACATGTATGTGGTAAATAATTAACTACAATCTGGAAAAGGATGAAATAATGAAATAACTATGCTTTCATCTTTTTTATCCTTGTATATTTCTTATAGGACCATTACCCTCAAAATGGCAAATGGCATCTTCTGAACCTCCTTGCGTGAATAAGGTGTCTGACTGGAAGCTGGAGATACTTCAGAATGGCTTATATTTAATTTATGGCCAAGTGGCTCCCAATGCAAACTACAATGATGTAGCTCCTTTTGAGGTGCGGCTGTATAAAAACAAAGACATGATACAAACTCTAACAAACAAATCTAAAATCCAAAATGTAGGAGGGACTTATGAATTGCATGTTGGGGACACCATAGACTTGATATTCAACTCTGAGCATCAGGTTCTAAAAAATAATACATACTGGGGTATCATTTTACTAGCAAATCCCCAATTCATCTCCTAGAGACTTGATTTGATCTCCTCATTCCCTTCAGCACATGTAGAGGTGCCAGTGGGTGGATTGGAGGGAGAAGATATTCAATTTCTAGAGTTTGTCTGTCTACAAAAATCAACACAAACAGAACTCCTCTGCACGTGAATTTTCATCTATCATGCCTATCTGAAAGAGACTCAGGGGAAGAGCCAAAGACTTTTGGTTGGATCTGCAGAGATACTTCATTAATCCATGATAAAACAAATATGGATGACAGAGGACATGTGCTTTTCAAAGAATCTTTATCTAATTCTTGAATTCATGAGTGGAAAAATGGAGTTCTATTCCCATGGAAGATTTACCTGGTATGCAAAAAGGATCTGGGGCAGTAGCCTGGCTTTGTTCTCATATTCTTGGGCTGCTGTAATTCATTCTTCTCATACTCCCATCTTCTGAGACCCTCCCAATAAAAAGTAGACTGATAGGATGGCCACAGATATGCCTACCATACCCTACTTTAGATATGGTGGTGTTAGAAGATAAAGAACAATCTGAGAACTATTGGAATAGAGGTACAAGTGGCATAAAATGGAATGTACGCTATCTGGAAATTTCTCTTGGTTTTATCTTCCTCAGGATGCAGGGTGCTTTAAAAAGCCTTATCAAAGGAGTCATTCCGAACCCTCACGTAGAGCTTTGTGAGACCTTACTGTTGGTGTGTGTGTCTAAACATTGCTAATTGTAAAGAAAGAGTAACCATTAGTAATCATTAGGTTTAACCCCAGAATGGTATTATCATTACTGGATTATGTCATGTAATGATTTAGTATTTTTAGCTAGCTTTCCACAGTTTGCAAAGTGCTTTCGTAAAACAGTTAGCAATTCTATGAAGTTAATTGGGCAGGCATTTGGGGGAAAATTTTAGTGATGAGAATGTGATAGCATAGCATAGCCAACTTTCCTCAACTCATAGGACAAGTGACTACAAGAGGCAATGGGTAGTCCCCTGCATTGCACTGTCTCAGCTTTAGAATTGTTATTTCTGCTATCGTGTTATAAGACTCTAAAACTTAGCGAATTCACTTTTCAGGAAGCATATTCCCCTTTAGCCCAAGGTGAGCAGAGTGAAGCTACAACAGATCTTTCCTTTACCAGCACACTTTTTTTTTTTTTCCTGCCTGAATCAGGGAGATCCAGGATGCTGTTCAGGCCTTATCCCAACCAAATTCCCCTCTTCACTTTGCAGGGCCCATCTTAGTCAAATGTGCTAACTTCTAAAATAATAAATAGCACTAATTCAAAATTTTTGGACTCTTAAATTAGCTACTTGCAGGTTCTTGTTGAAAGGTATATAATATTACATTGTAAACAAATTTAAAATATTTATGGATATTTGTGAAAAGCTGCATTATGTTAAATAATATTACATGTAAAGCTATTTAAAAGAGGTTTTTTTTGTATTTTGTTTAACAAAAATTGCTCAGGAGCATGCTAAGCCTGAGGCCAAGTTGTTTCTTAGTATGACTTTTTAAAAAAACATCTGCTGAGTAGCTACAGGGCCAAAGACTTGGAGAGCTTGTTTCTGTTGCATTTGCATATCTTCTCAGGAAATTAAAGTGTGTCATACATATGTGTGTGTGTGTGTGTGTGTGTGTGTATATGTGTGTGTGTATATATATGTATACTTATAAAATCTTGGTGTTCTTGATCTTTGTTGTGTTATAAGCAATGTGTGCTGGAGTGGGCTGGTGCTAGCTTATAAGCACATATTATTAAATTTTCAGGAATGTTGCACTTTAGTTATTAACTATAGGCATTCTTGAAATTGGCTATGGTGGGAGTATTTATACCATGTAAATTGGCAAACACTACACATTTTCCTTTTGGACAGCTAGTTCACCAGCACACCACTGTGAAACTCTCCTTAATGACTCCTCTCTGCCCCCGCTTCATTCCTGGGATAATCATAGCAGACTAAGGGAGAAAATGAAATTGTAAAAATTTGGCATACTGGTGATTTCTCAGGGCAAGCAGAGGTTACTACAGCTGCAGCTAGAGGGATGACTACCAACAGGTGACCTTTACATTTTCCTGATGTTATAATTTTAGCTTTTGTTTTCAATGTATACTGTTTTCCTGTTTCTCCACATAGTAGTCTGCATTTTAAATCTATAATAAAACATGCTGATAACTGGGTTGCAGCTGATTTATCTGTGGGTCATCAGACTAGAGTTAGTAATCCAGGGAACACAAAGGTACATCATAGCAATCTTTGCCCATATGAAACACTGTTTGGCAAGTGTTAGGCAGAAGTGAGAGCTGGATGCAACTGACTTTTCATCATAGCTGTTCCCATTTCCGATGAGTTAGTCAACAGTTTCACTTTCTGACTTTTACCTACCTCCTTTTCTCCACCCTGCCCACATTCACCATCAAAGCCATTGTCAACCCTTCTCACACTGTTTTTGCCTTCCATTTTGCCCCATCAAACAAGAGCATGCTATATGACTATGGATTAAGTTTCCGCTTCTGAAGATGGCAGTTAATTGAAAAGGGATGTAATCTAGTCAACAAACTCCTTAGATGAAGTGTATCGGTACATCTTGAAAATGAAATTCCTGCCTTTGTGTTCCACCCCAATTAGGCAATTTCCTTTGGGAGGACATATTTTTATTAGAGAGAAGGAGAAGACAAAATCTGATTGACTGAAAAGTTAACAGTTTAGAGATTTCCATCAGGTAGAAGCTACAAATGATGCTTTGGCACACATTTACTCTCTGATCCAAAAGAATGCATGCCTATTCTAGGGTTTACTTGAAATTCTGCGACAGTCACTCCACTGATTATGACTCTTCCATGAGTCTCCCATCTATGCATAGGAAATTTGTACACATGCCTTGCCCCTACAAACTAAGAGAGTATGAGCCCACCTCAATATAGCAAAATTCTCCTGCCTCCACTACCAAGCAGTTGGCCTTTCTTTTCCAGACAGATTTTCTGGGTGGGGTCAGACTAGTCCAGTATCAGCTTTAGCTGTATCAGATGGAGGCAGGCACCCATTCTTTGTATCTCCTAATAGCAAGAAATATTTTTCAAAGCTACTTTAGAAATTCCCTTGAAGTCTCCTTACCACGCTTCTGGTTAGAAAGTTTCATTGCTCCCAGTTCTTCCTGCAAAAGAAAGTGGGTAAGGACTCACAGAATGGCCACAGCTCTAAGTGTTGTCATCAATACCTCCTTCTCCCTCTTCTGGCCTTATTTTATCTCTCTCTCTCTTTTTTTTTTTTTTGACAGAATCTCACTCTGTTGCCCATGCTGGAGTGCAGTGGCTCACTGCAGCCTCTTCCTCCCAGGTTCAAGCAATTCTCATGCCTCAGCCTCTCGAGTAGCTGGGACTAGAGGCTCCCACCACCAGGCCTGGCTAATTTTTGTATTTTTAGTTGAGATGGGGTTTCATCATATTGGTCAGGCTGGTCTTGAATTCCTGGCCTCAAGTGATCCACCCAACTTGATCTCCCAAAGTGTTGGGATTACAGGCATGAGCCACAGCACCCGATCCTCATTTTATCTTTCATCTGGGTGAAATGTTTACAAGTGAGTGGAGGGAGGGGACTTACTTCCCTTTACAAATTCTGCATATTGCAGGAGGAGGAATTGTCTTACTCTCACTTTGGTAACCAGGTACCAATCATATTGTGTCTGCGTTGAAACTGTCAACAAGAGTCAGATTTTAACACTGAGTTTTACTTATATGTCCAAAAGGAATATTAAGGGCTTGTAATAAAATGCAGGAATACAAACACCTCCAAACCATCATCACAGAATCAATAATAAAATAGGGCTAAATCAAAGGTAGAGGGAGAGGAAAATTGTTCAGAAAAGTTAGACTTAAGAACATTATTACTAATTAACATAAAGCATTGCTTTTAATTTCTTGATAGTCAAGAAAAATTAGATAAAAAATTAGAGAAAATATGCTCTGTGTTGTGTCTTGGAGTGATAGCTCAACTAAATGTTTTGAACTCCTTAAAGTTGATTACTGCTATCACAAACCAGTAAATTCAAATAAGATAAATGGAAGAACTTTGGGAGGCTGAGGTGGGTGGATCATGAGGTCAGGAAATGGAGACCATCTTGGCTAACATGGTGAAACCCCATCTCTAGTAAATATAAAAAAAATTAGCTGGGCATGGTGGCATGTGCCTGTAGTCCCAGCTACTCAGGAGGCTAAGGCAGGAGAATCACTTGAACCCGAGAGGCGGAGGTTGCAGTGAGCCGAGATCGCGCCACTGCACTCCAGCCTGACCAACAGCGAGACTCTGTCACAAAAAAAAAAAAAAAAAAAGATAAATGGAAGCATGCATTTTGCTATCTTGGGCATATTAAATCTGCTTAGAGTTCAGCACTAGGAAATAGTTTTATTCCCTTATAAAGGAAATAAAATCATTTAATTTAATTTTTTAAAGCACACTGGTTATGTAGAAAAAGACACTTTTTCCTAGTGCTGAGCTCTAAGCAGATTTAACGTGCAAGATAGCAAAATGCAGACTCTTCCTTTATCTTATTTGTATCTACTGGTTTGTGATAGCAGTAAACAACTTTAAGGAGTTCAAAACAGTTTATTTGAGCTATCACTCCAAGACACAACACATAGCAGTAGTGGTGAACCCAATTATGTTGTTTGAGCAAGTACATCAGAGGGTTTATTTGACCTGCCTTAAAGATCTTAGGAAGTGTCTGACAATAGGAAAACAAAAATTCAATGAACAAGGTCTGTTAGATTAAACCAACTCCCCTATCTCTTCAATAGCATAATCACAATGGGAATCTCAGATTTCAGTGTTCAAGGTGATCATTTCCATCCAGCTTTGGTGTTATCCAAGGACACCACAGGAGTGGCATGCCTCTCACGTAGAGCCTTAACAGCACACAGTCTCAGACTGAGGTATACTGGCTGGTTTTAGTTTCTTAGAATGGAAGATACAGATAATCTTTTTGTCTTCTCTCCCTGCAGTTTGGTTGTACCTCTTGGATAACAGGCTAGGATTCTGATGACCTAGATTCCCACATCTGACACAGTGCCTGGCTCACAGTCCTTGATTGACTGTTGCAAATAAATGAGTCAAAAATGTATCTGGGTGTTTATGTTAATGTATAAATAGCATTATCTTGTGCATTTTGTATGGCAGAGTCCAGGGGGCAAAGCCCTCAGGCTCCCTTTCCTCACTGTCTCTCATCCCATCACTTACTGTTCACAAGTATTCTTCACCTTCCTCCACAAAATCTGTTCTCAGGAACATTGTTAATGTAATTAAAGAAAGGAAACTTATAAACTCACTTGCACTAAGCGAAAGTGGCTAATATACTATCTTGCCTTGTGTCACTAAAGCAGGATAGAATCCGATTTGTTTTAAGCTTGCCAAATAGATGCACCAAGAAGCAATTGCCTTTACAATAACCCTAGGCAAAAACATTTATTTAATAATCAATGGCAGAGTTTTTCTTTTTTTTCTCCTAATGCTATCCCTCCCCTAGCCCCCCATCCCCTGACAGGCCCCGTTGTGTGATGTTCCCCTCCCTGTGTCCATGTGTTCTCATTGTTCAACTCCCACTTATGAGTGAGAACATGGGGTATTTGGTTTTCTCTTCCTGTGTTAGCTTGCTGAGAATGATGGTTTCCAGCTTCATCCATGTCCCTGCAAAGGACATGAAAGTCATTCTTTTTTATGGCTGCATGGTATTCCATGGTGTATATATGCCACATTTTCTTTATCCAGCCTATCACTGATGGGTATTTGGGTTGGTTCCAAGTCTTTGCTATTGTAAATAGTGCTGCAATACACATACATGTGAATGTGTCTTTATAGGAGAATAATTTATAATCTTTTGGGTATGAACCCAGTAAAGGGATTGCTTGGTCAAATGGTATTTCTTGTTCTAGACCCTTGAGGAATCACCACACTGTCTTCAACAATGGTTAAACTAATTTACACTCCCATCAACAGTGTAAAAGTGTTCCTATTTCTCTACATCCTCTCCAGCATCTATTGTTTCCTGACTTTTTAATGATCGCCATTCTAACTGGCATGAGATGGTATCTCATTGAGGTTTTGATTTGCATTTCTCTAATGACCAGTATGTCATATGTTTGTTGGTGCATAAATATCTTCTTTTGAGAAGTATCTGTTCATATCCTTTGCTTACTTTTGGATAGGGTTGTTTGTTTTTTTCTTGTAAATTTGTTTAAGTTCCTTGTAGATTCTGGATATTAGCCCTTTGTCAGATGGATAGACGGCAAAAATTTTCTCCCATTTTGTAGGCTGCCTGTTCACTCTAATGACAGTTTGTTTTGCTGTGCAGAAGCCCTTTGGTTTAATTAGATCCCATTTGTCAATTTTGGCTTTTGCTGTAATTGCTTTTGGCGTTTTAGTCATGAAGTCTTTGCCTATGCCTATGTCCTGAATGATATTACATAAGTTTTCTTCTAGGGTTTGTATGGTTTTAGGTCTTACATTTAAGTCTTTAATCAACCTTGAGTTAATTTTTGTATAAGGCCTAAGAAAGGGGTCCAGTTTCTGTTTTCTGCATATGGCTAGCCAGTTTTCCCAATATCATTTATTAAATAGGGAATCCTTTCCCCGTTGCTTGTTTTTGTCAAGTTTGTCAAAGATCAAATGGTTGTAGATATGTGGTGTTATTTCTGAGGCCTCTGTTCTGTTCCATTGTTCTACATGTCTATTTTGGTACCAGGACCATGATATTTTGGTTACTGTAGCCTTGTAATATACTTTGAAGTCAAGTAGTGTGAGGACTCCAGCTTTGTTCTTTTTGCTTAGGATTGTCTTGGATATCCAAGACATATACGGGCTCTTTTTTGGTTCCATATGAAATTTAAAGTAGTTTTTTCTAATTCTGTGAAGAAAGTCAATGGTAGCTTGATGGGGATAGCATTGAATCTATAAATTACTTTGGGCTCTCTGGTCTTTTCTATGATATTGATTCTTCCTGTCCATGAGGATGGAATGTTTTTCCATTTGTTTGTGTCCTCCTTTATTTCATTGAACAGTGGTTTGTAGTTCTCCTTGAAGAAGTCCTTCACATCCCTTGTAAGTTGTATTTCTAGGTATTTTATTCTTCTTGTAGCAATTGTGAATGGGAGTTCATTCATGATTTGGCTCTCTGTTTGTCTGTTATTGGTGTATAGGAATGCTTGTGATTTTTGCACATTGGTTTTGTAACCTGAGAATTTGCTGAAGTTGCTTATCAGCTTAAGGAGACTTGGGGCTGAGATGATGGGGTTTTCTAAATATACAATCTTGTCATCTACAAACACCAATAATTTGACTTCCTCTCTTCATATTTGAATACACTTTATTTCTTTCTCTTGCCTGATTGACCTGGCCAGAACTTCCAATACTATGTTGAATAGGAGTGGTGAGAGAGGGCATCCTTGTCTTGTGCCAGTTTTCAAAAGGAATGCTTCCAGCTTTTGCCCATTCAGTATGATATTGGCTATGGGTTTGTCATAAATAGCTCTTATTATTTTGAGATATGTTCTGCCAATAGCTAGTTTATTGAGAGTTTTTAGTATGAAGGGGTGTTGAATTTTATCAAAGGCCTTTTCTGCATCTATTGAGATAATCATGTTGTTTTTGTCATTGGTTCTGTTTATGTGATGGATTACATTTATTGATTTGTGTATGTTGAAGCAGCCTTGCATCCCAGGGATGAAGCCGACTTGATTGTGGTGGATAAGCTTTTTGATGTGCTAGTGGATTTGGTTTGCCAGTATTTTATTGAGGATTTTTGCATCAATGTTTATCAGGGATATTGGCCTGAAATTTTCTTTTTTTGTATTGTCTCTGGCAGGTTTAGGTATCAGTATGATGCTGTCCTCGTAAAATGAGTTAGGGAGGAGTCCCTCTTTTTCTATTGTTTGGAATAGTTTCAGAAGGAATGTTACCAGCTCCTGTTTGTACCTCTGGTAGAATTAGGCTGTGAATCTGTCTGGTCCTGAGGTTTTTGGGGTTGGTAGGCTATTAATTACTGCCTCAATTTCAGAACTTGTTATTGGTCTATTCAGGGATTCAACTTCTTCCTAGTTTAGTCTTGGGATGGTGTATGTGTTCAGGAATTTATCCATTTCTTCTAGATTTTCTAGTTTATTTGCATAGAGGTGTTTACAGTATTCTCTGATGGTAGTTTGTATTTCTGTGGGATCATGGTGATCCACCCTTTATCATTTTTTATTGTGTCTATTTGATGCTTCTCTCTCTCTCTCTTTTTTTTTTTTTGAGACAGAGTCTCGGTCTGTTGCCCAGGCTGGAGTGCGCTGGTGTGATCTTGGTTCACTCCAAGCTCTGCCTCCCAGGTTCATGCCATTCTCCCACCTCAGCCTCCTGAGTAGCTGGGACTACAGGCACCCGCCACCACACCCGGCTAATTTTTGTATTTTTTAGTAGAGGCAGGGTTTCACCATGTTAGTCAGGATGGTCTCGATCTCCTGACCTCGTGATCTGCCCTCCTCAGCCTCCCAAAGTGTTGGGATTACAGGTGTGAGCCACTGCACCCAGCCCTCTCTTTTTTCTTTATTAGTCTGGCTAGTAGTCTATGTATTTTGTTAATCTTTTCAAAAAACCAGCTCCTGGATTCATTGATTTTTTTGAAGGGTTTTTCATGTCTCAATATGCTTCAGTTCCACTCTGATCTTAGTTATTTCTTGTCTTCTGCTAGCTTTTGAATTTGTTTGCTCTTGCCTCACTAGTTCTTTTAATTGTGATGTTAGGATACCGATTTTAGATCTTTCTTGCTTTCTCCTGTGGGCATTTATTGCTATAAATTTCCCTCTAAACACTGCTTTAGCTATGTCCCAGAAATCCTGGTACATGGTGTCTTTGAAAGAAAGTCATTGGTTCTTTCACAACAACATTGTGTCATTGGTTTGAAAGAAGTAACTTATTTCTGCCTTAATTTTGTTATTTATCCAGTAGTCATTCAGGAGTAGGTGGTTGAGTTGTCATGTAGTTGTGTGGTTTTCAGTGAGTTTATTTATCCTGACTTCTAATTTGATTGCACTGTGGTCTGAGAGGCTGTTTGTTATGATTTCCATTCTTTTGCATTTGCTGAGGAGTGTTTTACTTCCAATTATGTGGTCAATTTTAGAATAAGTGCGATGTGGTGCTGAGAAGAATGTATAGTCTGTTGATTTCTGGTGCAGAGTTCTGTAGATGTCAATTAGGTCCACTTGGTCCAGAGCTGAGTTGAAGTCCTGAACATCCTTGCTAATTTTCTCTCTCGTTGATCTGTCTAATATTGACAGTGGGGTGTTAAAGTGTCCCACTATTATTGTGTGGGAGTCTAAGTCTCTTTGTGGGCCTCTAAGGACTTGCTTTATGAATCTGGGTGCTCCTGTATTGGGTGCATATATATTTAGGATAGTTAGCTCTTCTTGTTGCATTGATCCATTTACCATTACGTGATGCCCTTCTTTGTCTTTTTTGATCTTTGTTGGTTTAAAGTCTGTTTTATCAGAGACTAGGATTGCAACCCCTGCTCTTTTTTTGCTTTCTATTTGCTTGGTAAATATTCTTCCATCCCTTTATTTTGAGCCTATGTGTGTCTTTGCACGTGAGATGGGTCTCTTGAGTATAGCACACCAATGGGTCTTGACTCTTTATCCAATTTATCAGTCTGTGTCTTTTAATTGGGGCATTTAGCCCATTTACATTTAAGGTTAATTTTGTTATATGTGAATTTCATCCTGTCATTATGATGCTAGTTGGTTATTTTGCCCATTAGTTGATGCAGTCTTTTTATGGTGTCGATGGTCTTTACAATTTGGTATGTTTTTGCAGTGGCTGGTACCGGTTGGTCCTTTCCCTGTTTAGTGCTTCCTTCAGGAGCTCTTGTAAGGCAAACCTGGTGGTGACAAAATCTCTCAGCATTTGCTTGTCTGTAAAGGATTTTATTTCTCCTTCACTTATGAAGCTTAGTTTGGCTGGATATGAAATTCTGGGCTGAAAATTCTTTACTTTAAGAATGTTGAATATTAGCCCCCACTCTCTTCTGTCTTGTAGGATTTCTGCAGAGAGATCTGCTGTTAGTCTCATGAGCTTTCCTTTGTGGGTAACCCGACCTTTCTTTCTGGCTGCACTTAAGAATTTTTCCTTCATTTCAACCTTGGTGAATCTGATGATTACATGTCTTGGGGTTGCTCTTCTGTAAGAGTGTCTTTGTGGTGTTCTCTGTGTTTTCTGTATTTGAATGTTGGCCTGCCTTGCTAGGTTGGGGAAGTTCTCCTGGATAATATCCTGAAGAGTGTTTTCCAACTGGATTGCATTCTCCCTGTCACTTTCAGGTACACCAGTGAAACATAGATTTGGTCTTTTCACATAGTCCCATATTTCTTGGAGGCTTTGTTCATTCCTTTTTATTCTTTTTCCTTGAATCTTGTCTTCTCCCTTTATTTCATTAAGTTGATCTTCAATCTCTGATATCCTTTCTTTTGCTTGATCTATTCAGCTACTGATACTTGTGTATGCTTCACAAAGTTCTCGTGCTGTGTTTTTCAGCTCCATTAGGTCATTTATGTTCTTCTCTAAACTGGTTATTCTAGTTAGCAATTCATCTAACCTTTTTTCAAGGTTCTTAGCTTCCTTGCATTGGTTTAGAACATGCTCCTTTAGCACGTAGGAGTTTGTTATTACCCACCTTCTGAAGCCTACTTCTGTCAATTCATTGAACTCATTCTCCGTCCAGCTTTGTTCCCTTGCTGGCGAGGAGTTGTGATCCTTTAGAGGAGAAGAGGCTGTCTGGTTTTTGGAATTTTCAGCCTTTTTGCACTGGTTTTTCCTCATCTTCGTGGATTTATCTACCTTTGGTCTCTGATGTTGGTGACCTTCGGATAGGATTTTTGTGTGGATGTCATTTTTGTTGATGTTGATGCTATTCCTTTCCCTTTGTTAGTTTTCCTTCTAACAGGACCTTCTTCTGCAGGTCTGCTAAAGTTTGCTGAAGGTCCACTCCAGACCCTGTTTGCCTGGGTATCACCAGCAGAGGCTGCAGAACAGCAAAGATTGCTGCCTGTTCTTCCTTCTGGAAGCTTTGTTCCAGTGGGGCACCAAATGGCAGAGTTTTTCAAAGTGAGGCTCGTGGATGTTGTATTAGATTCACCAAAGATGCTTGGAAAAAAAAAGGTAATTCATCAGTCTCATTTACAGTCACTTGAATAAACATTTCTAGGAGCGAGGCCTAGGAATAAAATTTCTAACCAGCTCTGACCCATGGGTAATTCTTATTTACACTACAGCTTAAGAGTCACTGCTTTATGAATGCAACATTGAATCTCATCTGAACATTTTTCAACCATTTAAAAAGAGTAAATGCTTCTAAACAAATAAACAAAACAATACAAAAAAGCAACAAAATCTCACAGTTGGTGCTGCCCATGAAATTTCCCATAACCCATCTCTCATCACAAGAGCAAGTAGCTTTCTGTCCTCTATGCATGTCTAAATAATGGTCATGCCCTTTAATTTTCATAACCTAATGGTAACATTGCCACTTGAACATTGGCATTCTAAGGCATCTGAGCCTTGCTACAATCAACATCACCTTATTTACCTGTATGATAACTCCCAATATATATCTCTAGCCCAAGTTGCTCTCATTTACTTCAGACTTATAGATCCAAATATCTACACAACAATTTCACATGGAGGTATAATGGACACCTCAAACTCAACATGTCCAAAATGGATCTCTCAATGTTCTCCCATACCAGCTTTTCTTAAAGCTCCCCTCATTTCAATTGTATTGCTTAGGCCAAAAGCCTCTGAGTCATGGAGTCATTCTTGACTTTTGTCTTTCACTTATCTAATCTTAGGACATTATTTTGTCTTTACCCATAAAGAGAATATGACCTCTTTTCTCCTGTAACTCTTGTCCATGCCACCAAAATTATTTCAACAGCTTCATAATTTGTTACTCTGATTTTACGTTGGTAGTTAGGCAAACTTGTTTGCAAGTCTCAGCTTTGTCATTTACTATTTATTTGGATCTTGGACCATTTACTTGCCCTTTCTGAAACTCGATTTCTTTGGTTATTTTCTTTACTGGTATTTATCCAGTGCCTGATAGATAAATGGGAACTTGATAAGTATTTATTAAATCAAGGAATACATTTAAAATATTTTAAAAATACCAACTAATATATGTAAAGTTTCAGATACAAGGTAGACATGAAATAAATGGTGTCTGCCATTGTTTCTATTTTTATTAAATATTTGAACATATATTTACATTTTTGAACTTTATCTTTTCCCAAGTTAAAAAATATTTTCTTAACATCTATCTGTTATTGTCTCTCTCCTCCCCAAGAGGAGTTAAGTCCAAAGATAAAAGCATTTTGCTTATTCAATACTCTATGACCAACACCTATAATAGTACCTGGAATATTGAAGACATTCAACAAATATTGAAGTGAATGAAAAAAATAACAGGATCCTGGGTCTTGGTTAGAGTTACCAGTAAGACTATATATATATATATATATATATATATATATATATATATACACACACACACACAAAATATATGTATATATATATATTTACAAAACAAAACCATACAAAAGATAAACAAAACCATACAAAAGATCAACAAAACCAAAAGTTGCTTATTCGAAAAGATAAATCAGATTGATAGACCACTAGCTAAATGAATAAAGGAAAAAAGAGAAAAGATAAAAATAAACACAATAGGAAATTACAAAGGTAACATTACCACTGACCCCACAGAGACACCAAAACCTCAGAGACCATTATGAACATGTCTAAGCATACAAACTGGAAAACCTAGAAGAAATGGATAAATTCTTGGAAACACATAACCTCTCAAGATTCAACCAGGAAGAAATTGAGACCCTGAACAGACAAATAATGAGCTCCAAAATGGAATTAGGAACAAACAAACAAACAAAAAACCTACCAAATAGAAAAAGCCCTGGACCAGACAGATTCACAGACAAATAGACAAATTCTACCAGACATATAAAGAAGAGGTGGTACCAATCCTACTAAAATTATTCTAAAAAATTGAGGAGGGACTTTTTCCTAACACATTCTATGAAGCTGGCATCATTCTAATATCAAAACCTGGCAGAGCACAACAACAACAACATAATTTCAGGCCAATATCCCTGAAAAACACAGATGCAAAAATTCTTGACTAGCAAACTGAATCCTGCAGCACATCAAAAAGCTCATGCATCATGATCAAGCAGGCTTTATTCCTGGGATGCAAGATTGGTTCAACATATGCAAATCAACAAATGTGATTTACCTTATAAACAGAATTAAAAACAAAAACCACATGATCATCTCAATAGAAACAGGAAAGACTTTCAACAAAATTCAATATCCCATGTTTAAAATACTCAACAAACTAGGCATCAAAAGTTCATACCTCAAAATAATAAGAGCCATCTATGATAAACCCACAGCCAACATCATACTGAATTGGCAAAAGCTGAAAGCATTCCTGTGTTAGTCCTTTCTCACACTGCTATGAAGAAATATCCAAGACTGGGTAATTTATAAAGGAAAGAGGTTTAATTGACTCACAATTCTACATGGCTTGGGAGGCCTCAGGGAACTTACAATCATAGCAGAAGACAAAGGAGAAGCAGGCACTTTCTTTATAGGGCAGCAGGATGGAGTGAGGGCAAGCAGGGGAAATGCCAGATGCTTATAAAACCATCAGACCTTATGAGAACTCATTCACTATCATGAGAACAGCATGGGGGAAACTGCCCCCATGATCCAATTACCTCCACCTGGTCCTGCCCTTGACACATAGAGATTATGGGGATTACAATTCATGATGGGACTTAGGTGAGAACACAGAGCCAAACCATATCAATTCCCCTTGGGAAACGGAACAAGACAAGGAGGCTCACTCTCACCACTCCTATTCAACTTAGTACTGGAAATCCTAGCCCGAGTAATTGGGCAAGAGAAAGACATAAAATGTATCCAAATTGGAAGAAATAAATCAAACTATCTCTGTTTACATATAACATGATTCCATATCTAAAAAGCCCCATAGTCTCTGCCTAAAAACTTCTAGATCTGATAAACGACTTCAGCAAAGTTTCAGGATACAAAATCAATGTATAAAAATCAGTAGCATTTCTAAACATCAACAATGTTCAAGCTGAGAGCCAAATCAAGAATGCAATCTCATTCATAATAGCCACAAAAAGAATAAAATACCTAGGAATAAAACTAACCAGGGAGGTGAAAGATCTCTGTAATGAGAATTACAAAATACTGCTGAAAGAAATTGGAAAAACACAAACAAATGGAAACACATTCCATGATCACGGATAGGAAGAATCAATATTGTTAAAATGGCCATACTTCCAAAGCATGTCATAGATTGAATGCTATTCCTATCAAATTACCAATGACATTTTTCATAGAATTAGGAAAAAATTATTCTAACATTTATTTAAAACCAAAAAAAGAGCTCAAATAGCCAAGACAACCCTATGCCAAAAGAACAAAGCTGGAGATATCACATTACTCAACTTCAAACTATGCTACATGGCTACAGTAACTAAAACAACATGATATTGATACAAAAACAGAGATATAGACCAATGGAATGCATTAGTTAACCCAGAAATAAAGTTGTACCCCCACAACCATCTGATTTTTGACAAAACCAACAAAGAAAAGCAATGCGGAAGTGACTCCCTATTCAATAAATGGTGCTAGGCTAACTGGCCAGCCATATGCAGAAGAATAGAACTGGATCTGTACCTTTCACCATATACAAAAATCAACTAAAAATGAATTGAAGACTTAAATGTACAACCTAAAACTAAAAAAATTCTAGAAGAAAACCTAGGATACACCATTCTGGACATTGGCCCTGGCAAAGACTTCCTGAGGAAGACTCCAAAAGCAATTGCAAAAAAACAAATTTGACAATTTGGACCTAATTGAAAGAGTTTCTGCATAGGGAAAGAAATAATCAACGGTGTAACCAGATAATCTACAGAATAGGAGAAAATATTTGCAAACGACGCATCTAACAAAGGCCTAATATCCAGAATCTATGAGGAACTTAAACAAATCAAACAACCCCATTTAAAAATGGGCAAAGGATATAAACAGACACTTCTCAAAAGAATACATACACACAGCCAACAAGTATATGAAAAATTGCTCAATATCACTAATCATTAGGGAAATGCAAGTCAAAACCACAATGAGATATCATCTCACTCTAGTCAGAATGGGTACTATTAAAAAGTCAAAAAAAAAAAAAAAAAAAAGAAAAGGTGGTGGCAAGGTTGTGGAGAAAACGGAACACTTATACACTGTTGGTGAAAAGATAAATTAGTTCAGCCACACGTCCATAGACTACTATACAACCATAAAAAAGAACAAGATCATATTCTTTGCAGCAACATGGATGCAGCTGGAGGACATTATCCTTAGCTAACTAATACAGGAACAGAAAATCAAGCACTACATGCTCTCACTTACAAGTGAAATTAAACATTGAGTACAACAGACACAAAGAAGGGAATAATACACACTGGGGCCTACTTGAGGGTGTAGGGCAAGAGGAAGGTGAGGATTGAAAAACTATCTACTGGGTATTATGTTGACTGCCTGGATGACAAAATTATCTGTACACCAAACCCCTGTGACAGGCAATTTACCCATGTAACAAACCTACACATGTACTCCATGAACCTAAATTAAAAGTTGTTGATATGGTTTCGATCTGTGTTTGCACCAAATCTCATGGAGGTGAGGCCTGGTGGGAGGTGACTGGATCACGGAGGGGGATTTCTCATGAATCATTTAGCACCATCCTCTTGGTGCTGTTTTTGTGATAGTGAATGAGTTCTTGAGAGGTCTGCTTGTTTAACAGTGTGCGGCACTTCCCCTGCTTCTTGCTTGTTGCTCCAGCCATGTGATGTGCCTGCTTCTCCTTCACCATGATTGTAAGTTTCCTGAGGCCTTCCTAGAAGCCAAGCAGATGCCAGCATTATGCTTCCTGTACAGCCAGCAGAACTGTGAGACAATTAAACCTCTTTCCTTTATAAATTATCCAGTCTCAGATATTTCTTTATAGCAATGTAAAAACAGCATAATACAGTTGGAAAGAAAAAAAAAGAATGTATGACATAGAATTATCAGAATTTAATGATTATGATAGAAACAATAGAAACTATTGGGATTTCTCCTAAGCTTGTAATGATTTCCTTATTGGACTTGCTTATCTATAAAGCTGGGACTCAGCAGTCTCATTTTTGCCATGTGAGCCTACTCTTAGAGGTGATTTTTCCAGGATTAACTATTCTGAGATGGTCTCTTGGCTGGAGAAGATAAACATTTGGGAGCTATGGGAAAGTTCATCTGCTCCCTGTAAATGGAGTGAGATGCAGTTAAAGCCAGTATGGGTAGGACATAAAGATAAAAGTGATATGCAGAGAAGAGCAGAAATAAAATATGGTGTGACAGTTAACTTGATGTATCAGCTTGACTGGACTAAGGGACTCCCAGGTGGCCTGGTAAAACATTATCTCTGTGTGTGTCTGTGAGGATGTTTTAGTTGACTGGGAAAGCAAAGACTAGGTCCTGGTTTACAAATGGTTCTACATGATATGCAGGCACTGCCTGAAAGCGGACAGCTGCATGCCTCTCTCTAGGACATTGCCCTGGAGGACAGTGGTGAAGAAAAATTCTGCCACCTGGTTATTCACTTTGCTTGGGTGTAGAAATGGCCAGATGTGAGATTATATACCTGTTCATGGAAAGTAGCCCATGGTTTGGCTGGATAGTCAGGGACTTGAAAGAAATGTGGTTGGAAAATTGGTGACAAAGAAACTGGGGGGAGGGGTATGTGGATAGACCTCTCTAAATGGGCAACGAATCATTTCTGTCCCTTGTGAATGCTCATCAAAGGGTGACCTCCACAGAGGAGGAATTTAATAATCAAGTGGATAGGATGACCTTTTCTGTAAATACCAGTCAAACTCTTTCTTCAGCCACCCTTGTGATCACCCAATGGGCTAGAAACAAAGTGGCTGTGGTGGCAGGGATGAAGGTTATGCATGGACTCAGCAACATGGACTTCCAGTTACTAAGGCTGATTTGGCTACAGCCACAACTGAATGGCTGACATGCCAGCAGCAGAGACCAACACTAAGCCCCTGATACAGCACTGTTCCCCTCAGTTGATCAGCTAGTTACCTGGTAGCAGGTCGATTACATTGGACTGCTTCTTAATGGAGGGGACAGCATTTTTTCCTTACTGGAAGAGACACATACTCTGGATATGTATTTGCCTTCCCTGCATGCAACTTCTGCCAAAAACACTGTTCATGGATTAACAGAATGCCTTGCCCACTGTCATGGTATCCACACAGCATGGTTTCTGATAAAAAAAAAACTCACTTCACAGACAATAAAATGTGGCAATGGGTCCATGTTCATAGAATTCACTGGTCTTACCATGTTCCCCACCATCTTGAAAGGCTGTTTGAAGACTCAGTTACAGTGCCAACTAGACGGCAATATCTTGCAGGGCTGGAGCAAGGTTCTCCAGAAAGCTGCATATGCTCTGAATCAGGTTTCATGGGCCCAAGAATCAAAGGGTGGAAATGGAAATGGTATCACTCACCATTACCCTTAGTGGTCCCCTAGCAAAATTAAAGCCTAAAAGTCTTAGTTCCAGAGGCAAAAATGCTCCCACAAGGAGACACAATTATGATTCCATTAAACAAGAACTTAAGACTCACCCCTGGTCACTTTGGTTTCCTCATGCTCTGAGTCAATAGGCCAGGAAGTGTTACAGTGTTGGGTGAGGCGATTGATCTGGATTATGAAGAAAAAAATGAATTACTACTTCACAATAGATGTAAGAGCTGGGCGCAGTGGCTCAAGCCTGTAATCCCAGCACTTTGGGAGGCCTAGGCAGGCAGATCACAAGGTCAGGAGATCAAGACCATCCTGCCTAACACGGTGAAACCCTGTCTCTACTAAAAATACAAAAAATTAGCCAGGCGTGGTGGCAAGCACCTGTAGTCCCAGCTACTCAGGAGGCTAAGGCAGGAGAATGGTGTGAACCTGGGAGGCGGAACTTGCAGTGAGCAGAGATCATGCCACTGCACTCCAGCCTGGGTGACAAAGCAAGACTCCATCTCAAAAAAATAAAAAGTAAATGAATAAAAATAAAAAAAAACACACACACAATGGAGGTAAGAAAGAGTATATCTGGAATACAGAAAGTCCCCCAGGGCATCTCTTAGTATTATAATGTCTTGTGATTAAGGTAAAAACTACAACTCAATGGAGGCAAGACTACAGAATGGCCCAGACCCTTTAGCAATAAACATTTAGGTCGCTCCTTCAGGTAAAGAACCATGACCAGCTGAAGTTCTTGCTGAAGGCAAAAGGAATATAGAATAGGTAATGGAAAAGGGTAGTTAGAAATGCCAGCTATGACCATGTGACTAGTTATAGAACTGAGGACTGCAATTCCTGTGATTGTCATGAGTAGTTTCTCTTCATTTTGTTATAAATACCTCTGTGTGTTTGTGTATGTGTGTGCACTTGTGTGTGTATGAAAACAAATATCTGTTTTCTTTCCTCTTTTATTTTTTTATTATGTAACATAAGAGGTATTGACTTTAGATCATAGTATTTAAATATTGTTAATTGTACATCATACTATTTAAGTTATGGGCTATCAGGAGAAGAGTAAACATTACTTAAGGATTTGACCTCCTCTTCTGGGGAAGGGATTAGTGCATTTTTGGTTGCACATAGGATAGCTGTATTGTATTAGGTGGAATTATGACCTTATTATTGTCTTTATTTAGAAATTAAATATGGTGTAAGGGTATGCCTATGGATGCCAAGTTGACAAGGGATGAATTTGTTATGGCTAATTTTGTGTCAACTTGACTGGACAAAGGGATGCCCAGGTAGCTGGTAAAACATTTCTGGGTGTGTCTTTGAAGGTGTTTCTGGAAGAGATTAGTACTTGAATGAGTAGACTGGATAAAGATCTGCCCTTACCAATGAAGGTGGGCATCATGCAATCACCTGAAGGCCTGAATAGAACAAAAAGGAGGAGGAAGGATGAATTTGCTCTCTCTCTTCTTGAGTTAGGACATCCATCTTCTCTTGCCCTCAGACATCAGAGCTCCTGGTTCTTGCCTTTGGATTCCAGGACTTACACCAGCACCCACTATCCTTACCCCAGTTCTTAGACCCTTTGCCTTGGACTAAGAGTTATACTATCAGCTCCCTGGTTCTTAGGTCTTTGGACTTGGACTGAATTATACCACTGGCTTTTCTGGTCCTCCATATTAGAACTTCTTAGCCTTCATAATTTTGTAAGCCAATTTCTACCCTATCTATCTATCATCTGTCTATCTATCTATCTATCTATCTATCTATCTATCTATCTATCTATCTAATCTCCTACTGATTCTGTTTCTCTGGATAATCTTGACTAATACATACAGGAAGAAACTCCATTGAACTGTTTCTGATGCATAAGGCCCATGTACATTTTTGTCCTTGGATTATGCAAGAATTATTGTACCTTTATGACAGATCGTTTTTTCCACTCATTTAGCTTAAGTTGGTTTCTATTAATTGTAATCAGAATCTTAACCAGTATAGTGATTGATTGAAAGTGAGGGATAAAGAAGAGGAAGAACCTTCTTAGACATATTGAGGAAGATGGTGATGTTTTTATGGTGGGGAATATGCAAGGAGGAATTGGAGAAAATTTAGTGTGGATGAGATAATGTGTTTAGGTTTATAAAGGTATAGTTTCAGATGTTTGCAGAATATCCAAGTGGGCTTTACCAGTATGCAGCTGGAACTCAGGAGGAGTTGCATGAGATGGGATGAATATTTAAAAGTCAACAGCCTTCTGGGTGAAGTCACTGACAAGGATAAAATCGCTATAGAGAGTGGGTAAAGTGAAAATGGGGCAAATGACTGAGACGTGGGGATCACCAACATTTGAAGACAGGCAAAGGAAGGAAATCCTGTAAAGGAGCAACCAGGGACAAATGACATTAACTGGAAGAAAATAATAGGTCCACAGAAACAGACAGTGAGAGATTAAGAATAAAGGAGTGGTCAACAATGTTAGAGGCTCCAAGAAGTCAAATACTAAGAGGATTGAACATTGCTAATTGGATTTTGCTGGTAGATAATTTTTGACAACATAAACAAGATCATTTTCTGTGACATCTGGGGGCATAATCCAGATATCAATGATTAAAGAACAAATGGGAAGTATAATTACTAGATAAGGAGAAATGGAAGATGAGACAAAAAAATTACACTACTCTTTGTAGAAACTTGGTTGTAGGAAAAAAAAAAAGAATTGTGGAGTGGTAGAGAGCAGGTAACCTCAGGGGTAAGGGAGAAAAAAGGCATATGCCTGGAAAGCCAGGTATTAATGTTTGGTCAGGGCATCCTCTTCCCAGCAGAGTGCTGGAGACACACAGTGTGATCCATGTCCTTGTGCAACAAAATGAGCTGGACAAATCTAATTACTTTTCTTGGTAATTTGATCTAGAACTTAGGAAAAAAACGTACCATTTTCCAGTGAAGAAGAAGTGAAATGATGCCATGGAATTGTTGATAGGCTGGAAAAATAAAGCTGATGTGAGGGGAAAGCAAGGGCTGTCATATGAATAGGAGAGAGAGAGAGGAAGAGACCACGTAGCTTTTCGAAAGAAAAAGTTTAAAACAGTCAACGCTCGGGGCTGCTTTAGTTTCTGACATAATTTCAGTTCCTGTTTCAGGCCTTGTAAATCCTTTTAACAAACCACCCTTTTTCCTTGATTTAGTATAAATGGGTCATTTTTCTTTCAATAAAATGAGCTACTTAACTATTTTTAATTCTATAACTTGTCTTTTTAAGACATTTAAAACAATCTGTTATTTTCTAGGCTATATCACCTCTGGGGAGGCAATTGTGTGCTGTCGTTAGGAGAATGGGCTTAGATGTAGACAGGCTTGTTTAAATCTTGACTCTGCTATTTATATTTTGTGTGAGCTTGAGCAATTTGTGTGCCTTCTCTGGGGATAGGTGTTCTTATGTGTCAAGGGAGGATAATTAATTCTACTGTACAGAGTAGTTTAAGGATTAAAGTAAAATAATACACAGAAAAAACTTAGTTCAGTGTTTGGCACATAGAAAGAGCTCAATAGGGCCGGGTGCGGTGGCTCACCCCTGTAATCCCAGCACTTTGGGAGGCCGAGGCAGGTGGATCACCAGGTCAGGAAATTGAGACCATCTTGGCTAACACGGTGAAATCCCGTCTCTACTAAAAATACAAAAAAACAAAATTAGCCAGGCGTGGTGGCGGGCACCTGTAGTCCCAGCTACTTGGGAGGCTGAGGCAGGAGAATGGCATGAATCCAGGAGGCGGAGCTTGCAGTGAGCCGAGATCACACCACTGCACTCCAGCCTGGGCAACAGAGCGAGACTCTGTCTCAAAAAAAAAAAAAAAATGCTTGATAGATGCTGATTTTCAAAATATTTTTATCAGTTTACAACTAGCTATTTTAGGTAGCTTTTTCTCTGTTTATCTTAAATTTGTTTCTTTTTTAGCTTCAATGAGTTCCTTCTAGCAACCAAGTATATAATTAGTTTCTTCACGCTCTATGAATTTGCATCTTGTATGTTTGCATGGTGCTTGAAAAGATAAATGTTGAAAAGCTTGAATCTCTATGACTTGTTCTATTAATAGTTGCCTTTTATTATATTGTCTCTAGAAATACAGAATTGGAGGTTATATTTTACTTAAACTACAAAAATAATGATGAAACATTTGGATGTATTTTATATAAAGAAAATATGGAATTATTCATTCATTCATGAATTTTTTTCACTGCACATATATTTATTAAGGTTTTTCTATGTACAAAGCACAGGTAGGCACCAAAGATGATGTGAAGATTTCTAAGATATTGTGACTTCCTCAAGAAGCTACATCTGCTAGGATAGACAGACTGATTCAAATCAGAACTATGGAGTTGAAAATATTTTAAATAAAGAAAATTAATCCCTAATCTCTCATTTACAAATGGGGAAGCTGAGACACAGTGAGGTTAAGGGAATGCAGGAATTGGAATCTGGATTGCTCAAATCCTTGCCCAGTTCTTTTCCCACTAGCTCATCCAATACTGTAAAGAAAGAAGCAAGTGCGATGATAAGCAGAGGACTATAGTAAAGAAATATAACAAACTCTAGCTAAATGGGAGAAAGAGGAGGCATTTTAGTCTTTGTGTGATAAAAGAGTAGCAGGTGAGGATGCAATATGAGCAAGAACACAGAAGGGTGGCAGAGAGTGTATGTAGTCCCATGGCCTGGTGAAGATGACATGTGGAGATATGAAATGGGAACCAACACTGGGCAACAGGAGGCCAAATCCCAAGCTGCTAGAAGGCTAGCCCAAGGAATCTCTGCTTTCCTATTCAGGAACTTTTAAGTTATTTTAGAAGTTTATGGCTTGATCGGACCTGTTTCAAAGAAAGTAACTCTGGTGGTGTGATGAAAGATGAGTGGGAGAGACAGAGCAAGACCACCTAAGAAGCTATGGAGATAGGCTAGGAGGATCATGGTCTACAGAGCAGAAGCAATGGAGAGGAGGAGAGCTCTGCCAGAGGAGCAGGAGTAAGAAAACATGGATCTCGAGCAACAGGTATGGTTCTGAGAATAATGGTCTGAATCATAACTAAAACAAATGCTTCAATATTGTAGCTTTTTAAAATCGACAAATGGATAAAATTATTTTCACTAAAATAATCAAATGCATTTTGAAGTTTTGATGCTTTTAATAACATAACAAGATGTTTTTTTAAAAATCATTCAATGAGGACAAGAAACCAGCCTTCAAAACTAGTTCATATCTTCCTCCTTGGTACCTTTTTGCCTTCCACAATCACTAAAGCAGAATTGACGGCTCTCCTTTGTACCACTACGGTACTGGATATATATTGTTATTATACTAAGTATTTGTGTAAATATCTGTTTTTCTAATGTACTCTAATCTTCTTGAGAATAGGAACATACTTTTATTTTGTTTCTCTGGTGACTAGCTTAGTTCCTTATCTGTGTATATTATCACAGCCTTCTATGTACACATTTCTCCATCTTTTTTATAAGGATGGCAAAATTGTTTGATAAAATCCGTATGTGCTAGGTCTATGAAATCTCTTTCGTGTGTCAGCAAACACAGATGCCCAAACAGGAAGTGTGTGGGGTCCTAAAAGAACATGTTATTAGTGAACCCACTCTGATCCTAAAATATCACCACTTCCTTTTCTGTGTTAAGAATCTTTTAAACGTTCTATTTTGGATTATTTTTGTTACTGAGACCAAACACTTTGGCCTCTAGTGTTTAGAGTTGTGAAACAGCTCATATTTATTGACAGCTTACTGTGTGCCACGTACTCTCCTAAGTAATCCTCATGACTTCTTGAAATATATCCTTTTATTATCCCATTTTATAGATGAAGAAGCTGAAGAACAGGGATGTTCAATAACTTGATTAAAATCACAAAACCAGTAAGGAATAAAGCCAGAAGTTTTTCTCAGCAGTCTAAGTCCAGGGCGTATTCTCTCAACCAATCCACAACATTTTCTTTCATTGTATTCTACACTGTAAAGTTGAAAATATAAATAACATTTATCAATTTTTAGTTTTCTGGAATTTTTCTAATTCTATACTGTCTCCAAAATTTGCCATGAATTATAAAATAATTTACCAAGATAAATAGAGCTAAACCCATTCAAAAATCACAGGAAGTCCAGTATATTCATATCTCTTATCTGAATTGCCCTTTCTAGTCTGCACAGCATTTCATTGACTCAGATGTTTCAGTCTTTCTGTGAATCTTCCTATAGATCCCCAGGCAGATGTGGATATTTTTAAAGTTCTATTCCCCCTGGGTTTTGTATTCACCTCTGTTACTATAATTATTTCAGTATATTTCTTATATATTTTATCATTATTTGCATGTCTATCTTTTTTTTTTTTTTTTTTTTTTTGAGATGAAGTCTTGCTCTTATTCCCCAGGCTGGAGTGCAATGGTGCGATCTCGGCTCACTGCAACCTCTGCCTCCCAGGTTCGAGTGATTCTCCTGCCTCAGCCTCCCAAGTACCTGGGATTACAGGCACCTGCCACCACGCTAGGCTAATTTTTGTATTTTTATTAGAGACGGGGTTTCACCATGTTGCCCAGGCTGGTCTCTAACTCCTTACCTCAGGTGATCCGCCCGCCTCAGCCTCCCAAAGTGCTAGGATTACAGGTGTGAGCCACTGCACCTGGCTGCATGTCTATCTTCTTACTGGACTACCAACCTCTTGACAGAAGAGATTATATCTTCTCATCATAATAGAGGTACCCAGTAAATATTACCAATAGAAATGGGAGAAAAGCAAAGGGGGTCTTGAAAAACTCAGGTTTCTCTGACATAAATATTAACATGACATTATTATTCCCAAGAAATCAGGCTCTTATTTTTTCTTGTTAATCTTCTCTAAACAGACAAGCAGAAACAATGAAACAAAGAAAGCAGTCTTTTTATTCACTTCAGACTCCCTCCTCTCACCACCACCACACTTTAGTTCATTCTGGGCTACAGACTTTCTGGCTCTATTCTGAGAGATTTATGTCATTGCTTTAAAATTGTCTTCATTATGTGCCCTGTCTCTCATCTTTTATTTCTATGCTTTTGGCTCTGAGCCCATCAGAAAAGCTATTTGCAGTGCCACATTTCTCCTCCTATATGCACTTCTTTACTTACTCATTGGATGATACACTGTTGCCATGTCAGGAACTTCTTTTTGATAGTTTCTCATCTCTCTCAAGCTACTCGCTGTCTTTCTCCCAACTGCAGTTGATTGAATTCTGACTGGTTTTCAAAATTTTTCTTCTCCAAAATATAGGGATTCTGACCAGTGATTCTCTTTATTGGTAATTTGCATGATAATTCCATATGCATTTTCATCTCTATAACTTTAGAACATGAAGAAGCTGAAGTTAGGGAATTTAGAAAAGTACTCAAGGTGAGACATCTTCCGAGTGGCAGGAAGTTGCTTAAAACCATGTCTGTCTGATGCTAAAGCACATGCATTTTATCCGTTACATAGCAGGCCTCAAGACACACATTGTCCAAGGCAAACCTTAGTACCAGATCACTCAAGGCCAATCAGGAAGTACTTAGCAGAGCTGTAATTAGAAGCAAAGTTTCTGACTGCTAATGCAGTGCTTTTTCCATGTCTTGACATCCTCCATTACTAGGTCTGAGTAGAGAGCACAAACACTGACTTGGTATTTTATATAGTATTTTGAAGGATTAGATGAGCTTTGAGTGTGGCAGGATATAGCATCATTAGATCCAAATATCATGTTGGAAAAACACTGGCATCTCTTTATTTCCTGTCTTCATTCACATGAAGTAGAAATCATCGGTACATTCCATCAAAGGCTCTGCTGATGCAATACTAAAGCTTTAGGCAGATGGCACTATCAATAGTTCCTTTTCCAGAGTCATTGTTAAGGCACCCTTCCTCTTATTTTTCCACTTCTGCTTTCATAATAAAAATAGAGAGAGGTTTATAGAAAACATGAGAGTAGGGGAAATTAGTTCAGGAATTTTCTCTGGAGCTTTAAAAATAAGCTAAGATATACTAGGGAATACATTTTAGTCTGCTGACTCCCTTCAGTTATATTGGTTTTGTTGTACAGTCCCATTCTTCAGCTCTCTACCCCTTTAAGGACAATCATTCAGCCTTTGCTGATAGCCAGTTCTCCTAACATCTATCCACTGCCTCATTCAGAGTAACTCTAATTCCTTTCTCATCTAATGGGCCTTCCAATGTTTGAAAAGTATTAATATGAGCCACTAAGTCTTCTCTCCCTAGGTTGAACATCTCAGTGGTTCTATGTATACATGAAAGAATGGAGATCTAAGAGTTAATTACCTAGCTCTGCCACTTACTAACCATGTTGCCTGGTCAAGACACTTAATGTCTCTCACTTTTTACATTGCCACTTATAAAAATGGATGTAATAACACTTATCTCAGAGGATAGTTATGGGGTCAAAATTAATATCAGAGAGTGTGTCAAACACTTGCATACTGTAAATTGCTATATAAATGTGATCATGGCTACCCTGCCCCTGCTGGGCATAAACTGGAATAAAATGCTTCAGAATGGGGTAGATCTATAAAGGATATAGGGAGATCATTTGTTTCATCAACAAAAACAATATTCTTTGTAGGCCTAAAGTGGAATTAGATGTTGTTAGTAGCTATGCTAGTTCATTTTAATCTTGTGGTCAACTGAAACACCCAGATTTTCTGAGGTCCTTTCTATTTTGTTGACATACAATCATGTTATTTATCTTAGATGTGGGAATTTATCTTTGTGCCAGTTAAATTTTGCACTATTGGTCTTGGCTCAATGCTAGCATATTTTGATAGTATTTAGAATACTAAGTGAGTCTTCTTGAATAAATTTTGCTTTCCAGCTTTGTAACATCTGGAAATAGATCTGTTTTCTTTCTAATATCCTTTGCCTATGGCCTGCATAGGACATAGCTTTGTCCTCACTTTTCTATTGCAGAACTGGAAGACTATGCACCTGTAGATACAGGAGGTCTTGAAATACTTTGGGATGGGATCCATAATCTCTTGAAGGGTCTAAGAAAAGCCCCATTGGTGACGTTTCTTTCCTTGGGTTGGTAGTATGAGGAAGAAAAATTAAGTGGCTTACTTTCCATGCCAATACTTGTGAAAGGTCTCTACTTTTTGGAGGAAAATTGATAATATCTAGAGTAAGATTATAGACTGAGAACTTAAAATTTTACTTGTCATAGTGATGAAAGGAAAAATCTTGACTTGTCTACTTTCAAGCTGTGAAGACCTTTCCACACCCATTTATTGCATATGAGCTCTTCTGCTTTTCACAGGAATGCAGAAGAGTATATTTATTTGCCGCCTTAGTCCATATGTGTTGCTATAACAGAATACCACATGTAGGGTAATTGAAAAAGAACAGAAATGTATTTCTCATAATCTGGGTTCTAGGAAGTCTTAGATCAAGACTCTGATACCTGCTATGAGCCTTCTTGCTGCAGCCTCACATGGCAGAAGGCAGAAGGGCAAGAGAGAGCAAATTCACTCCTAAGAGCAAAATCTTCAGGACTTAAACACTTTCTCATAAGGCCCCACTTTGCAACATTGTTGCCTTGGGAATTAAGTTTCCAACACATTGGCTTTTGATGGCACATTTAGACCATAGCATTCTGCCCCTGGCTCCCCAAATTGATATCCTTCTCAAGTGTCATGCCATCCCAATAGCCCCCAAAGTCTTAACTTATTTCAGTATCAAATTTCTCTCCAGCTACGACTGTGTGAAATCAAACAAGTTATGTTTTCAAAATATAACGGAAGAATAGGAATATAATAGACATTCTCCTTCCAAGAGGTAGAAATAAGCTAGAAGAAAGGGGTAACTTGTCCCAGGTAAGTCCAAAACTCAACAGGGTAAGCAACACTAAATCTTAAGGACTGAGAATAGTCTTCTTTGACTCTCTGTCTCACCTCTTGGACACACTGGTGTGGGAATTGGGTCCCCAAGATTTCAGGCCACTGTGTCTTCATGGCTTTGATGAACATAGCCATGTATTCATTGCTCTAAAGTTCTGCCATCCATAAAGTCCTAGGACATAGACATAATTCAGTTAAGTTTTTTGCCACTTTATAGCAAAGATGACCTTTTCCCTAGTTTCCAATAAGATATTCCTGATTTTGTTCTCAGACTTTATGAGAATGACTTTTACTGTCCAACATTGCTTGTGACCAGTTAGGCAATCTCTAAGAAGATTCAGACTCTACCTACAACTCTTTCCTTCTGAGCCCTCATAAGAATTGCTGTTAATGCTCCACTTACGATACAGGCTCTTTCCAGTATTTATTTCAAAACTGTTCTAGCCTTCACCCATTACTCAGTTCCAAAGCTGTTTCCATGTTTGTAGGTATTTGTTGTAGCAAATAATTGCTGTCTTAGTTCATTTATGCTCCTGGTACCAATTTCTGTCTTAGTTCATTTGTGCTGCTGTGACAGAATATTACAGACTGTGTACCTTATAAAGAACGGAAATTTATTTCTCATAGTCTTGGGATCTGGAAAACCCAAGATTAAGGTGCTGGCATCTGTTGTGGGTCTTCTTGCTACATCCTCACTTGCAGAAGAGAGTACACTCACCCCTGTAAGTCCTTTTTTTTTTTTTCTTTTTAGAAAATAGAGATGGGGCTAGCTGTGTTGACCAGGCTGGTCTTGAACTCCTGGTCTCAAGTGATCCTACTGCCATGGCCTCCCAAAATGCTGGGATTAGAGATGTGAGCCATTGTGCCTAGTCTTGTAAGCCCTTTTTATAGTGGTATTGATCCATGCATGAGAGCAGTACCCTCATGAACTGTGCATCTCTAAAAGGCCCCACCTCTCAACACTGTTGTACTGGGAACTGAGTTTCTAACACATGAATTTTGGAGCACACATTCAGACCATAGCAGTTGTCTTTTTATAGCCCAAGAATATGTAACTTAACAACTCACTTATATCACTTGCATCTTCTGGAACACTGACTAATTTTAGGAAGTTTCAGGCATATCTTTCCAACTTTGGGACTATAATATCTAACTTTAGATAGAGTATAGAACAGTGGCTTGATTAAAAATTCTCAGTGGCAAGCAGCAAAGATCATGTTTCTGAACTTCAGTTTCTCATCTGAAAAAGAGAATTACAATGCTTATAAGTTTGAAATGTTGATAAGTAGCCCAGATTTGTTTTGTTCTTATAAAAGTGTCCATCATAGAAGTAACTGTAACTCTAGATATTGTCCTGTGAATGATAAATTTGGGAACTAAAAGTCTAATCATGGCTCTAACATGAAAATGTCCCACTAGAGACAAACCCAGTGATAAAAGGATGAAGCTTTTCAGGAATGTTATTATAGATTAAGCAGCCAGGGAGGAGACACTGAACAGGATTAGCTTTGGTACTTGGGCTTTAAAAATATTCATACAGATCTTTCTCTGAGCCTTCGTGCTCAACTCAGCATTTAGTTCTATCTTTTCCTATGCATCCCACTTTCTTAATCTTTGATGACTTTGTGATATTTTAAATTTCTGCCTTTATAGCCAGTTCTTCTTCTGTGTCTTCAAACATGTTTAGATTTTTTCGATCTTGAAAAATTTTTCTTTGATCCTGCTACCAACTCCAGCAATAGGTGAGGTGGGCTTTTCAAACCGTAGTCTATACCCCTTTGCTTATACTTCCTTATCTTTAAGTTATTCATGGGTTTGTGTTCCACCTCTACCACCAAAATGGAAATTTTAAGGTTATCCATGATGTCTCAAATGACGTATTCTCAGTTTTCTTATTTTTTGGCTTCTTTGAAGGATTAATTTGATTGACTCTTAAAGTCTTAAAACTCTCCCTGGCCCGTGACCTTCAAAATGTTTTACTGTTCTAGTTTTTTATGCTGCTCTAGTTGCCTTTCCAGTGCCCTTAAAATAAATTCCAAGCTATTCACAATGACTTACAAGCTCATTTATAGTTTTGGTCATTTGTCTAACTCTCTAGATTCATCTCTTGCCATCTTCTACCTTGTACTTTATACTCCTCTTGCTAACATTCTTTGGTTTCTTGATAATTGCTGTTTGTCCTTATTCAACTCTGTCCCTGGGACATGCTGCTCCTTCTCCTAGGATACCCATCCCACTTTCCCTTCATTTGGCTAACTCTACTCATTCCTTGTCTCAGCTGAAATGTGAGTTCCCCAGGGAGATATTCCCCAGCCTTTAAAGTAGGGCTGTATACTCTTTGAACACAGAGATCTATATCAAAACATTTATGTTTTTAACTGGAAGTTACCTCAATTAAGCTATAGGCTTTAAGAAGAATGTTTTTATGGCTGTATCTTTCTATAATGTGGCACATATAATTACTTACAAATGGTTGTTGAATGAATGCATAAATGAATGAGTGATCATCCATTCTCTGTCATCTCTATCGATTTCTCTTTTTCCTCTGTCCTTTCATGCACAAAAGTTGGGATAATTATATCTCTCATAATTATTGCATGGCATTTTTGTGAAGATTGAATGAGGTAATGTACACAAAATGATTTATTTCCAAATTCATGCATATAAGTATGCATAAAAACAGACATGCAACAAGATCACTTGATATAATTATTTTCCCTCACTAGCAAGACTTAGTCTCTTTTTTATGGTAAATGATGCTTTCAGAAATATCCATATTAGAATTCTCAGGCACTTCTGAGATTGGACAAATTTGTGTTAATCCTGATTAACCAAAGATACAAGAAGATTTGAGTGAAGGTTATAAAAATCACTGACATCCTTGTGAGGGTTCTCAGGAAAATTTGAGATTTTCTTTTTGCTTTTTTTTTTTTTTTTTTTTTTTGTGGAGGGGAACAGAGTCTCACTCTGTTACTCAGGTTGGATTGCAGCAGGGCAATCATGGCTCACTGCAGCCTCAACTTCCCAGACTTAAGAGGTTCTTCCACCTCAGCCTCCTGAGTAGCTTGGGACTATAGGCATAGGCTACCACACTCAGCTAATTTTTAAATTTTTTTGTAGAGACAGGGTCTCACTATGTTGCTCAGGCTGGTTTTGAACTCCTGGCCACAAGTGATCCTCCTACCTCAGCCTCCCAAAAAGCTAGGATTATAGGCATGAGACACTGCACCTGGCCACTTTTTGCAATCTTAACTCAGGACATAGGAAATTATCCATAAAATAATAATTTCTACCGATAGTTATTCTATCTTGAAAGTAAATCCATATTAAACAATGCCTTTCCTCATACTATAGTATGTTTTTTTTTCAATTTTCCTTGTTTTTGATTCCAGAAAGTTATCTAAGTTCTTTATTAATTAGTTTGTCATGGAACCACAAAAGGATAGATTTGAGAAGTTACAAAATCAGGAAGGGCTTTTATGTCCTTGTATTCACCTGTTGTTTTGGGGGAAATCTTGGTGTGCTTTTAGATAATCTCTGACAGTAGAGTAGAAATGAATAATATTTTTTAGAATTATATTTGAGAAAATCCAAATCCAAGAAGAAGTAATTTGCCTATAGTTCTCTGTGACAGTAGAGTCACAGAACTATACATAGAAATAAGATAATTTTTGATACCAACTTCTAAAAGCTAATCGCCAAGCTGTTTTCACAAATTCTGTTGATCACAACACATTCTGAAGTACTACTACTAATTCAAATTACTTATACTGGGCTTTGGTCTGATTGGATAATACTAATGAAACAAATAAACTAGGTTAAGTCCCTGGAAATTTCCTTATTTTACAGTATTCTAGCTTGTACTAATGTTTTACTAAAAGGGAAGCAGCCAGGAAAGAGGAAACAATACAAAATGATGTCATGTAGTCATGGAACGTGTTCTGGTTTAGTAATATTCATTTGAACTCATGCAAGTCAGCAGCCCTGGCCCATACTCACTGCTTCCTGGTCCAGCACTACAGTAGAGCAGAACCCACATATGGTTATGCTAGAGGGAATAGTGTGTACCTTTGCTAGGCTCTAAGGCAGGATAAAAATATCTACTCAAAGTGGAATCTCAGTATTTGGAACAGGGAATGAATATGCCAAGAACTCCAGGTTGCTAACATATCTTCTGGAGCTGAAGAATAAGTATAACTAATACTTACTAGCACTTAGTGTACCAGGAGCTCTTCTAAGTACTTTATGTGGAACAATTTATTTAATCCTAACAGATCTATGCCAAATAAGACAACTGAAATGTAGAGAAGATAAGAAACTTGCTCAAGTTCATGCAAGAAGTAAACGGCAATGTTAGGCTACAAGCATAGGTAGTTTGACTTTAGGACTGAACTCTTTATCATTTTGCTGTATTAGCTCACTTGTCAATGTCCATTGTAAGCCTCATTTAAGGCATGCAATCCTTACAAGATATTGTGTTAATTGGAGGAGAGTTACTGTCTAGATTGAGAGTAATTATTATGAAGCATACTGATAGTTGACATAAAAATGACAAATGAAAACGTCATTTAATCAAATATTAATTGAACACCACATAACTGACCTCTGGGAAGAACTGAGGAAGCTGTAAAAAAATGGAAACTTGAACCTGCTGACCAAGGCACCAGGCCAGCCTTCCTGAGGACTCTAGCAGCAAATTTACCCATGGACCACTAGAAAGCCATCCTAGAATTTCTGGTTAGACTGACTGATGAAGAGCTTCCCCTGCCAAAGTGAGTCTGTAAAGACTGAAATAAGTGACTACTTCTTTAATTGTGCAGACATCAACACATGGCCAAAAAGATCACACACAATCAGGGAAACATGATACTATCCAAGGAACAAAAAAAAGTGCCAGTAAATGACATGAAGGAAATGATTTACCAACTATCTGATAAAAAATTCAAAATAATCATCTTAGAAAAGCTCAGTGAGCTACAAGAGGATAAAGATAGATAACTAAACAAAATTAGAAATAGTACATGAAAAAAATGAGTTCAACAAAGAGACAGTAACCATAAAAACAACCAAACATAAATCATGACGCAAAATAACATAATTACTGAGATAAAAAATTCCATAGAGAACTTCAACAGCAGATTTGATAAAGCTGAAGAAAGAATCAAGGAGACTGAAGGTAGATCATTTGAATGACCAGTCAGAGGAACGAACAGCACAGAAACAGAAAGAGGAGGAAAGATTACTTTTAAAAATAGTGACAGAAAACTTCCCAAATCTGTAGAGGAAAGGGAACATCCAGATCCATAAACCCCATTGAATCCCAAATAAATTAAATATAAACACATCTTTACCGAGACACATTATAATCTCTCAAAAGTAAAAGTGAAAGATAATTTTCAAAGCAGCAAGAGAAAAGCAACTAGTCACATACAAGATAACACCAAAAGGAAATTTGTGGATTCCTCAGTAGAAAGCTTGCAGGCCAAGGGAGAGTGGAATGAAATAGTCAAAATACTGAAAAAAAAAATCCCATCATCCAAGAGTACTATTCTAGGCAAGGCTTTTAGAAATGAAACAGAGGTAAGGACTTTCCCAGAGAACAAAAGCTGTGAGAGTTCATTACCACTAGACATGCCTTATGAGAAATGCTAAGAAAATTCTTCAAACTGAAAGGAAATCATGCTATTTAGTAATATAAAACATATGAAAATATAAAATTTAGGGATCAAAGTAAGTATACAACCAAATTCAGATTATTCTCATACTGCAGTGGTGGTGTAAGTAGGTATAAGTGCGTAAATCACTTATGTCATTAGTATAAAGATTAAAAGACAAAGCTATTAAAATTAATGATAGCTGTAATAATTTGTTAAGGAATAAACAGTATAACAAGATATAAATTGTTTTTAAATGTGATTGAAGTAAAGTTGCTATGAGCTTAAATGAGACTGTTACAACTACAAGATATTTTATTTAAGCCTCATAACCATAAGGCAAAAACATAATAGATACACAATAGCAAAATAGTCAAAGCATACCACTAGAGAAAAATCATCTAATAACAAAGGAAGACAGCAAAAGAGGAAAAAAAGAACAAAGGAGCTACAAAGCAAGAAGAAAACAATGAACAAAATGGCAATAGTAAGGACTCACTTATCAATAATTACCTTGAATGTAAATGTATTAAATTTTCTAATAAAAAACCAGAGTGGCTGAACAGATTAAAAGAAGAAAACCAGCAGCAAGACCAACTATATGCTGCCTACAAGAGACCCACTTCATGTTTAAAAATATATATAGGCTAGAAGTGAAAAGATAGAAAAAGATATTCCAGGCAAATAGAAAATTTAAAAAGCAGGGGTAGCAATACTTACATAAAATAGATTTTAAGTCAAAAACTGTAAAAAGAGACAAAGAAGGTCATTATATAATGATAAAGAGGTCAATCCTTCAAGAGGAACAACAGTTGTATATATATGCACCCATCATAGGAATACCTAAATAGATAAAGCAAATATTAATAGATCTGAAGGGAGATATAGACTGCAATAAAATGCAATACAATAATAGTAGGGGACTTCAATATCCTACTTTCAACAATAGATAGATCATCCAGGCAGAAAATCAATAAGGAAACATTGGGCTTCTACACTCTAGACCAAATGGGCCTAACAAACACATACAGAACATTCCATTTAGAGTAGTAAAATACACATTCTTCTTAAATGCATATGCAATATTCTCCAGGATAATAATGTTAAACTGCAAAAAAGTTGTAATAACTTTTAGGACATTGAAATCACAGCAAGTATATTTTTAACCACCATGGTATGAAACTAGAAGTCAATGACAGAGGAATTTTGAAACATTCACAAATATATGGAAATTAAATAATATGAACAACCAATGGATCAAGAAGAAATTAAAAGGGCAATTAAAAGATATCTAGAAACAAATGAAAATGGAAACACAACATATCAAAACTTATGAGATGTAGCAAAAACAGTTTTAAGAGTTAAGTTTATAGCAATAAATGCCTACATCAAAAAAGAAGACAGATCTCAAATAAACAGCCAAACATTGTACCTCAAGGAATTAGAAAAAAAAAAAAATCTGAGCCCAAATCTAGTAGAAAGGAAACAATAAACATCAGAACAAAAATAAATAAAACAGAGACTAGTAAAACAATGCAAAAGATCAGTGAAACTAAGTTTTTTGAAAAGACTAACAAAATCAACAAACCTTTAGACTAAGAAAAAATAGAGAAGACATAAATAAAATCAGAAGACATAAAATCAGAAAGACATAAATAAAATCAGGAGACATTATAACTGATACCACAGAAGCACAAAAAATCAAAGAGACTACTACAAACAATCATACACCAACATACTGGACAACCTAGAGGAAACAAATAAATTCCTAGAAACATAGAATTTACCAAGACTGAACAATAAAGAAATAGGAAATTTAAACAGAACAATCACAAGTGAGGAAATTGAAATATTAATAAAAAGACTCCCATCATAGAAAAGCCCAGGACCAGAAAGTTTCACTGCTGAATTCTACCAAACATTTAGAATGGTAATACAAATTCTCCTCAAACTCTTCCAAGATAATCAAAGAGGAGGGAATACTTTGAAACTAATTTTATGAAGCCAGAATTACCTTGATATGAAATCTAGGCAATTACACTACAAGAAATGAAAATTACAGACCAGTATTTCTGATGAACATAGATGTAAAAAATCCTCAACAAAATATTAGCAAACCTAATTCAACAACACATTAAGAAAATCATATACTATGATCAAGTTGGATTTATCTCAGAGATGCAAGGACACTTCAACTTATGGAAATCAATAAATGCTATATACCACATTAACATTATGAAGGCCAAAAGACATATGATCATTTCAATAGATGAAGAAAAAGTATTTGTCAAAATTCAACATCTTTCAATAATAATAACCCTTAACAAATTAGGTATAGAAGGAGTGTACCACAACACAATGAAAACCATATATGAAAAACTCACAGCTAACATTACAGTCACTGGTAAAAAGTTGAAAGCTTTTCCTTTAAGATCAGGAAGAAGATAATGATCTCTACTCTCACCTCTTCTAGTCAGTGTAGTCCATTGACTTCATATGTAAGTCCTAGCTAGAGCAGTTTAGCAAGAGAAAGAAATGAAGGGCATCAAAATTAGAAAGAAAGAAATTAAATTGTCTCTGCAGACAAAATGATCTCAGAAAAGAACACCTTGAAGACTTCCAAAAAACTGTTAGAACTAATAAATGAATTCAGTGAAGTTGCAGGACACAAAATTAACATATGGAGCAGAGAGCAAAATGTTGAAATAAAAGCCTACATTGTTTGTTCCCCCTGCTGGAACACCAGACTATAACAACTATCTGCACACAGAAAAGCACTGTCAGAAGAACCAAAAATCAAGGAAGCAATCACAGTACCTCGTTTTAACTTTGTATTGTGGAAAGAGGCATTGAGGAGGGCAGGAGAGATGGTCCTCAATCACCAATGCCACCCATCCCCCATCCCGAGCAGCAGCTGTGTGGTATGGATAATCTCTGCATTTTGGGGAGGGAGAGCACAGCAAATTGGGAACTTTATATTGACTTCAGTATTGCCCTGTCACAGCAGATAATAAAGCCATGCTAGGCTAAGCCAGCACCCATGCATGGAGGAGCATTTGGACAAACCCTAGCCAGAGGAGGATTGCCCATCCCAGTGGTTGGAATTGAGTTTCTCGGCAAGCGTCACCATTGTGAGCTGAAGTGCTCTGGGGCCCTAGGTACCAGTTTAGCCACAGCAGGATAGAGCAACAGCAGGCTCTTCGGGTCCCTGAGTGCAGGACTAGGTTTATGGACAGCATTTCTGGTCCTGCTCTGGGCCAGAAGGGAGCCCACTGCCCTGAAAGGTGAATCCTAGGCCTGGCAGCACTCACCATAAGCTGATGGGAGAGCCCTTGGGCTTTAAGAGAACATTGGTGGTGGCCTAGGAAAACTCCCCCACCTTCCCCCCACTACCATGGACTGGTGTTGGTGGCAGCCACAGGGAGAGGCTCCTCTGCCTGTGGAACAGGGAAGGAAGAGCAGGAAAGACTTTGTATTGTGGTATGAGTGCCAACTTAGCTGCAGTAGAATAGAATATTAAGTAAATTGCTAAGGTTTTTGACTCCAATTCCTGGCTTCTAGATAGCATCTCTGGACATGCCCAGGACTAGGGGGAACTGAAGGGAAGGGCCTTGCGACAGTGTTGTGTTGTCTTCAGGTCTGACACAATGCAGTCCCAGTGATGGTGGCCACAGGGGTGCTTACCTCATCACACCTCCAGTTCCAGGTGGTTCAGCACAGAGAGAGAGGCTTCATATGTTTTGGAGAAAGTAAGCGAAAAGAACAAGGGTCTCTCCTGGTAACCCAGATAATTATTCCAGATTTTATCCAAGACAACCAAGGTGGTACCTCTACGAGTCTGGAAAAAGCACAGCATTATTGAGTTTGGGGTTCAAGTCCCTTCAAATACCTAGAAAGCCTTCCCAAGAACGATAGGTACAAATAAGCCCAGACTGTGAAGACTATAATAAATACCTAACTCCTCAATGCCCAGACACTGAAGAACATCTGCAAGCATTAACACCAACTAGGAAAACATGACCTCACCAAATGAATTAAATTAAGCAGAAGAAGGAATTAGTGAGCTTGAAGATAGGCTATTTCAAAATACATAGTCACGGACAAAAGAAAAAAATAATAAAAAGTGATGAAGCCTGCCTACAAGATCTTGAAAATAGCTTAAAAATGGCAAATCAAAGAGTTATTGGCCTTAAAGAAGAGTTAGAGAAACACATAGGGGTAAGAAAATTTATTTAAAGGGATAATATCAGAGAACTTCTCAAACCTAGAGAAGTATATTAATATCCAAGTAGAAGAAGGTTGTAGAACACCAAGCTGATTTAACCCAAGGAAGACTACCTTAAGACATTTAATAATCAAACTCTGAAAGGTCAAGGATAAAGAAAGGATACTAAAAGTAGCAAGAGAAAAGAAACAACATAGAACGGCGCTCCAATATGTCTGGCAGCAGTCTTTTCAGTGGAAAGAAGGCCAGGAGGGAGTGGCACGAAGTGCTGAAGGAAAAAAAGAAAACTTTTACCCTAGAATAGTATATCTGGTGAAAATATCCTTTAAGCATGAAGAAATAAAACCCTTGCCAAACAAAAGCTGAGGGATTTCATCAACTCTGTCTTATAAGAAATGCTAAAGGGAGATCTTCCTTCTGAAATAAAAGGACCTTTTTTTTTTTTTTTTTTTTTTTTTTCAGATGACGTCTTGCTCTGTTACCAGGCTGGGGAGTGCAATGGCACCATCATGACTCACAGCAGCCTCAACCTCCCAGGCTCAAGTACAGATGGGATTTCATCATGTTGCCCAGGCTGATCAAAAACTCCTGAGCTCAGGCAATATGCCTGCCTTGGCCTCCCAAAGTACTGGGATTTTAGGTGTGAGCCACTGCACCCAGCCCAAGAAAAGGACTTTAATGAGCAAGAAGAAATCATCTGAAGGTATACAACTTGCTGATAATAGTAAACACATAGAAAAATACAGAACAGTATAACACAGTACTCACGGTGTGTAAACTTCTCTTAAGTAGAAAGACTAAATGATGACTCAATAAAAAATAACAACTACGACAACTTTTCAAAACATAGACAGTACAATAAGACATAAAGAGAACTAAAAGTTAAATAGCAAGGGAATAAAGTCAAAGTATACAGTTGTGGACCAAGTGCAGTGGCTCATACCTGTAATCTCAACACTTTGGGAGGCCAAGGCAGGTGCATCACTTGAGGTCAGGAGTTTGAGACCAGCCTGGCCAACATGGCGAAACCCTGTCTCTACTGAAAATACAAAAATTAGTTGGACATGGTGGCCCAGGCCTGTAATCCCAGCTACTTGAGAGGCTAAGGTAGGAGAATCATGGAGGCTGCAGTGAGCCGAGATGGCATTGCTGGACTCCAGCCTGGGTGACAGAGCAAGACTCTATCTCAAAAAAAAAAAAAAAAAAAGAAAAGCATACAGTTTTTAAAGAGTTATTTTGTGTGTTTTTTATGCAATCAGTGTCAAGTTTTCATCAGTTTAAAATAATCAGCTATAAAATATTATTTGAAAGCCCCATGGTAACCTCAAATCAAAAAATCTACAACAGCTACACAAAAAACAAAGAGCATGAAATTAAAGCAGACCACCAAAGAAAATCACTTTCACCAAAAAGCAGATAAGAAGGAATAAAACAAGGAAGAGAAGACTGCAAAACAATGAAAAAACAAATAGCACAATGGCAGGAGTAAGTTCTTAATTCTCAATAATAACATTAAATTTAAGTGGATTTAAGTCTCTAATCAAAAGACAGAGTGGCTGAATTAATTTTAAAAATGACCCAATGATCTGTTGTCTATAAGAAACACACTTCAGTTATAAAGATACAAATAGACTGAAAGTAAAGGGATAGAAAAATATATTCCATGCCAATGGAAACCAAAGAATAGCAGGAGTAGCCATGTGTATATTAGACAAAATAGATTTAAAGAAAAAACTATAAGAAGAGACAGAGATGGTCATTATATGATGAAAAAGGGGTCAATTCAGTAAGAGGATATAATGAATGTAAATGTATTTGAACCCAACACTTGAGCATCCAGATATAAAAACCAAATCAAATTAGAGCTAAAGAGATAGGCCCCAGTACAATAATAGCAGGAGACTTCAACACTCTACTTTCAGCATCGGACAGATCTCCCAGACAGAAAATCAATAACAACAAAAATTGTATTCAATCTGCACTATAGAACAAATGGACCTAATAGATTTCTTGAAGCAAATGATAATGGAAATACAACATACCAAAAGCTATGGGATACAGCTAAAGCAGTACTAAGAGGGAAGTTCATAGCTATAAGTGCCTGCATCAAAAAAGAACATCTTCAACCAAATAATGTATCTTAAAGAACTAGAAAAGCAAGAGCAAATCAAACCAAATATTACTAGAAGAAAAGAAATGATAAAAATCAGAGCAGAAATAAATGAATTTAATTGAAGAAAACAATGCAAAAGATTAATAAAACAAAAAGTTGTTTTCTTGAAAAGATAAACAAAATTTGCAAATCTTTAGTCAGACTCAGAAAAAGAGAAGACACAAATAAATGAAATCAGAGACGTAAAAGGAGACATAACAACTGTAAACACAGAAATTCAAAGGATCATTAGTGGCTACTATAAGCAAATTTGGAAAATCTAGAAGAAATGGTTAAACTCCTATACACATATAACCTACTAAAATTCAATCATGAAGAAATCCAAAACCTGAACAGACCAATAACAAGTAACAAGATCAAGGCCATAATAAGACATCTCCCAGTAAAGAAAAGCCCAGGACCTGATGGATTCACTGCTGAATTTTACAAACATTTAAAAGAAGAATTAATACCAATCCTCCTTAAACTGTTCCAAAAAATAGAGGAAGAGGGAATACTTCCAAGTTAATCCCAGGAGGCCAATATTACCCTAATACCAAAGCCAAACAGACACATCAAAAAAAGAAAACTACAAGGCAACATGTCTGATAAATATCGATGCAAAAATCCACAACAAAATGCTAGCAAACTGAATTCAACAATACATTAAAAGATCATTCATCATTACCAAGTGGAATTTATCCCAGGGATGTAAGGATGGTTCAACATATGCAAATCAATCAATATGATACATTTTATCTACAGAATGAAGGACAGAAACCATATGATCATTTCAATTAATGCTGAAAAAAGCATTTGATAAAATTCAACATCCCTTCATGATAAAAATCCTCAAAAAATGAGATAGAAGGAACATACCTAAACATAATAAATGCTATATATTATAGACCCATAGATAGTATTATGCTAAATGGGGAAAAACTGAAAGCCTTTCCTCTAGATCTGGAACATGAAAGGTTGACAACTTTCACCATTGTTATTCAACATAGTTCTGGAAGTCTTAGCTAGAGCAATGAAACAAGAGAAAGAAATAAAAGGCATCCACATTGAAAAGGAATAAGTCAAATTACCTTTGTTTACAGATGATATGATCTTGTATTTGGAAAAGCCTCGACTCAGCCAAAAAACTATTAGAACTAATAAATTCAGTAAATTTACAGGATATAAAAGTGAAATACCAAAATCAGTAGTATTTCTATATGCCAACAGTGAACACTCTGAAAGAGAAATTTAAAAAGTGATCTCATTTACAGTAGTCACAAATAAAATTAAATACCTAGGAATTAGCCAAAGAAGTAAAACGTCTCTAAAATGAAAACTATAAAACATTGATGAAAGGAAATGAAGGGGACACCAAAACATGAAAAAGTATTCCATATTCATGGATTGAAAATAATCAATATTGTTAAAATGTCCATACTACCCAAAACAATCTAAAGATTCATTGCAATCCCTATCAAAATACCAATGACATTATTCATAAAATGGAAAAAAATCCTAAAATTTATATGGAATCAAAAAAGATCCATAATAGTGAAAGCTACCCTGAGCAAAAATAATACAACTGGAGGAATCACATTACCTGACTTCAAATTATACTACAGAGCTATAGTTACCAAAACTGCATGGTAGTGGCATAAAACCAGATGTATAGACCAATGAAACAGTATAAAGAAGCCCGAAACAAATCCACACACCTATAGTGAACTTATTTTCAACAAAAATGCGGAGAACATACATTGGAGAAAAGACAGACTCTTCAGTAAATGGTGCAGGGAAAATTGAGTATTCATATGCAGAAGAATGAAAATTGATCCGTATCTCTCACCTTATACAAAAATAAAACGAAAATGGATAAATACTTAAATCTAACACCTCAAATTATGAAACTATTACATGAAAACATTAGCATTCTAGTAGTTGAGGAGAAAAAGCCCTGTGTGTTTTTTTCCTAAGAAGAGGGAATATTGAGAAAGGGAATTATCTCCTCTGCCTCTTTCATGGAGGAAGTGTTGAAAGAACACTAAAATTACAGCCAAAAAGGCTGAATGCTGGTTTTACTATCTTAAAGCAGAGAAGCAATTGGCAAAAGCTTCTCTAATAAGCAGGCTCCCATTGGGGCCTGAGGCCAGTAAGACAGAGACCACACATTTAATGCGGAAGACTGTTTAAGAGCCTAAGCCTTTGTTCCCAGTTAGCCACACCCTCAGTCTGCCTATGCCCTTCTTGTTGTGAATGGCTCTCCTTGATGATGAATGGTGATGCCGTGGGGCGGGAGTGAGAGATGGAAGTATGGAAAGACAAGAGCTTTCTGTGCCAGCTTTCACTAACAATGAGAAGGAAAAACACAGCATTTGGCTCACTCTGGTTTCCCTCTGGCTTCACACAGCTCCCTGAAGAATACTCTCAGTTGCCTCTTTCCCAGGAGGTCTTTGGGATTCACAGATGAACTCCAACATACAATGAAGGATTGTGATGGCTAGAATTGAGGCAGGAGGGCAATTTAATTTCCTAAATTTTCTGCTCTCATCTTAAGATGAAACAGCCCTTCCTCAGCCCCACATACCTGCTCTGCACACTTTGGTCTTTGTGTTTTAAGTTCCTACTGTTTGGAATACCCTTCTATTCCTTCCTCTCTAAATCTGCCAGTCCTCCAAGGCTCAGCTGAATTTATTTTCCATAAGTCCTTTCCATCACATAAGTAAACTCTACCTTGAACTCTTCCTCAGGACTCCCATCATAAAGTTTGCATTATCATAGAGATACCTTACACTTCTTTAATTGCTTTGGATGTATTCACTTTGTTTTCTAAACTGTACACAAAAAGGGACTAGGTCACAGAATTGTTTCGTATCCAGAGAAGAAGGTACGTAGTGCTGGGCCCATAAATGGGCCTTATAGATGCTTGCTTGATTGGCTCTGTGGTGATCTATACCATTAGACAATTAGAATGGGTGGAGCAGTGGAGACTCAGGACTCAGGGAAGATGCAAGGATAACCAGCATGAGGGTAATGACAGGAGGAGCTGTCAGAGAGCCACCTGCTAGCTGTAAGTACATGCCACAGCTTGCTTATGGGTATCCTGTTGAAGTTCCTATTTTATTAGATTGCTAAAGAAAAGAAGCCCTCCTCATAGACACAGAGGGATGAACATGGACGATCTTCAGGGTTCTCAGTGAGAGAAGTCTGAATATCAAAACAAGCTGTCAGCACCTCCCTGTTCACCCCTTGGCTGGTACATCACATTTTTGTCTTTGTCAGCTTTGGTATATATAATAATTTGCATGGGGTAAGTATGCTTCATTCACAGGGATATTGGCGAAACTTGCATAAGAATGGAGCATGTTTTCTACACTTTACAGTTCACAACACGCTTTTGAACTTACTGGAATTCCTGGACCCACCCAAGACTGGAAATGAGGGGTTTAGCATTGTTAAAGCATCATAGTATCATTTCTTGTGATGAGAGTCTCTCTTACCTCAAGAATCAAAAATATGCAGAAACCCACCCAAGTAAGAGTTCACATGAGGAGAATGAGGGCTACTCTAACTTATTTTGGGAAATGTATCAAAGTTGAGATTGTGGCTACATGGAAAAAATTCTCTTGTTGTTAATAATGTGGATGCTTGGAAAATGAAAGAGGATTTGTAGAATGTCATCCCTACTTTTATTAGTCCTTTCTCACACTGCTGATAAAGACATGACTAAGACTGAGTAATTTACACAGGAAAAAGATTTAATGGACTCACAGTTCCACGTAGCTGGAGATTGTGAGAGGAGACCTCACAATCATGGTGGAAGGCAAAAGGCACATCTTACATGGCAGCAGACAAGAGAGAGAATAACAGTCAGGCAAAAGGGGTTTCCTCTTATAAAACCATCAGATCTTGTGAGATTTATTCACTAGCACAAGAATAGTATGATGGAAACCACCCCCATGATTCAATTATCACCCACTTTTTCCCTCCCACAACACATGGAAATTATGGGAGCTATAATTCAAGATGAGATTTGGGTGGGGACACAGCCAAACCATATCATTCTGCCCCTGGCCCCTCCAAAATCTCATGCCCCCACATTTCGAAAACCATTCATGCCTTCTCAACAGTCCCCCAAAGTCTTAACTCATTTCAGCATTAACTCAAAAGTCCATGGTCCAAAGTCTCATCTGAGACAAGGCAAGTCCCTTCCACCTATGAGCCTGTAAAATCAAAAGCAAGTTAGATACTTCCTAGATACAATAGGGGTACAGGCATTGGGTAAGTACAGCCATTCCAAATGGGAGAAATTGGCCAAAACAAAGGGGCTACAGGTCCCATGCAAGTCCAAAATCCAGCAGGGCAGTCAAATCTTAAAGCTCCAACATGAACTCCTTTGACTCCATCTCTCACATCCAGGTCATGCTGATACAAGAGGTGGGTTCCTTTGGTCTTGGGCAGCTCTGCCCCTGTGGCTTTGTAGGGTACAGACCCTGCTCCTGGCTGTTTTCACAGGCTGGCATTGTGTCTATGGCTTTTCCAGGTGCATGGTGCAATCTGCCAGTGAATCTATCATTCTGGGATCTGGAGGACAGTGGCTGTCTTCTCACAGCTCCACTAGGCAGTGCCTCAGTGGAGACTCTGTGTGGGGGCTTCAACCCCACATTTCCCTTCCACACTGCTCTAGCAGAGGTTCTCCATGAGGGCCCTACCCCTGCAGCAAACTTCTGCCTGGACATCCAGGTGTTTCCATACATCCTTTGAAATCTAGGCAGAAATTCCCAAACCTCAATTCTTGACTTCTGTGCACTGGCAGGCTCAACACCACGTGCAAGCTGCCAAGGCTTGTGGCTTGCACCCTCTGAAGCCCAAGCTGTACCTTTGTCCATTTTAGCCATGGCTAGAGCAGCTGGGATGCAGGGCATCAAGTTCCTAGGCTGCACACAGCAGGTATGGGGCCAGGGGGGCGCTGGTCCTGGCCCAGGAAACCATCTTTTCCTTCTAGGTCTCTGGGCCTATGATGGGAGGGTCTGCTGCAAAGGTCTCTGACATGTCCTGGAGACATTTTCCCCATTGTCTTGGCAATTAACATTTGGCTCCTTGTTACTTATGCAAATATCTGTAGCCAGCTTGAATTTCTTCTCACAAAATGGGTTTTTCTTTTCTATTGCAAAGTCAGGCTGCAAATTTTTCAAACTTTTATGCTCTGTTTCCCATTTAAAACTGAATGCTTTAACAGCACCCATGTCACCACTTGAATGCTTTGCTGCTTAGAAATTTCTCCCACCAGATATCCTAAGTCAGCTCCCTCAAGTTCAAAGTTCCACAAATCTCTAGGGCAGGGCCAAAATGCTGCCAGTCTTTTTGCTAAAACATAGCAAGAGTCACCTTTACTCCAGTTCCCAATGAGTTGCTCATCTCCATCTGAGACCACCTCAGCCTGGATTTCATTGTCTATATCATTATCAGCATTTTGGTCAAAGCCATTCAACGAGTCTCTAGGAAGTTCCAAACTTTCCCACATTGTTCTGTCTTCTTCTGAGTCTTCCAAACTATTCCAACCTCTGCCTGTTATCCAATTCCAAAGTTGCTTCCACATGTTCAAGTATCCTTTCAGTAATGCCCCATTCTGCTGGTACCAATTTACTGTATTAGTCTGTTCTCATGCTGCTGATGAAGAAATACCTGAGACCGGGTAATTTATAAAGAAAAAAAGGTTTAATGGATTCACAGTTCCACATGGCTGGGGAGGCCTCAAAATCATGGTGGAAGGTGAAAGGCATGTCTTACATGGCAACAGAAAAGAGAGAGAATGAGGGTCAAGTGAAGTGGTTTCTCCTTATAAAACCATCAGATCTCATGAGACTTATTCACTACCATGAGAACAGTATGAGGGAAACCATCCCAATGATTCAGTTATCACCAATAGGTCCCTCCCACAGCATGTGGGAATTATGGGAGCTACAATTCAAGATGAGATTTGGGTGGGAACACAGCCAAACCATATCACTACTTTAACTGCTTATGGTTTTATTTATTGTTATTAATAACAATAGAACTGTTGCACATATGTACCTTTGTGTGGATGTGTTGAGGAGAAGGTTGAAGGAATGAAGGGATAAGTTGAGCAATGATCCTGACATCCAGGAAAAATCATAAGCTTTATGTATTATTCTTGGAAAAACTCACCAATTCATTTATTTATTCACTCAACATTTATTTATTAATGCAATAATTTGTTGAATACTTACTTTGCACCTGTCCTACAATTTAGGGATCCAATAGTACTACCCCAGGTTATTGGCCTAAACAGAGTAGGTAAATACTAAATATTATATAGTGGCACAAAGGAGAAAATAAGATGGAGATGAAATGCAGGTCAGCAAAGGGCTCTCAAAAAAGATATTTAGTTGGATTTTTAAAGGAAATAAAACTTAGTCAACAAGACATTTCAGACAGAGAGAATAGTGCTTGCAAAGGCGCAAAAGCCCGAAAACGATAAGCACATTCCAAAGATTATACGTAGTCTGGTGAATGGCGAGAAGGAGTATTGATGGGAGAGACTAAGAGTAGTCAAGACAATCAGGGTAAGATGTATATGCCATGGGTAGTGTACTTTTTTTTTTTTTAGTCTCACCAGTATCTCTTCCCCCTTCAAGGGATAATATAACCCTGGTTTTCTTTGGGAAACCACATATTCCAACTCCTTGTAACCTTGGTTAGCCTTTTCTTTGTTCAATCTCATAGGGAAGGTAATGACTAAAGGTGCCTCACCTAGGGTTATAGGTGCCTCACCTAGGGTTATAGCCTCCTTGTCATACTGATTAGTTTAAGGCATGTAACCCAAACTAGGCCTGTTGGAGCCTTGGGATACCAGATCTTTCTTCCTTTGGAATCTCGAATTATATAAATTGTTATAAGTAGTTACCTTCCCTGGCCTAAAGTTTTTGGCCAAATAAGGCAAACACACAGAGGAAAGCAGAATTCAAGAATGGAGTGAGAGAGAGCAAGAGAAAGGGAAAGGTGAAGGCTTGGTGACACTACTTGATCCCTGTGCCTGAAGTTTTTGGTTAATCCATGGACATTCAAGTCACATGATTTGTTTCTACTGGAGTCACTCTGAATCAAATTTTCATTACTCTGACCATAAAAGTTACATGAATGTTAAAACTATGTTAAGGATTTTGGACTTTATTATCTGGACAGTGAGGGGGGTTTTGTGTGATATATAAGCAAATTTAGTTTTGCCTAATAAATTCAAATTCCATTTAAAGAAGGTTGTTCTGGGAAGTGCATTAATTGGATGGACTTGGATTTGCCAAATATAACTTGTGTGATCTTAGATCTTCAGTCACGAAACTCTTCACATACATTTAATCTCTTGAAAAATGCAGAGCATTAATGCTGCTTTGGCCTTCCCCACAAAGGGCTATGTGAGGTTTTCAAGTGAGATCTGTGAAAGTATTCTGTAATGTGTTAAGTACAATATGTATATCAGTAAGTCATGAATATTAGAGAATATTGCCATAGTAAGGTTGTGAGTACATTTATTAGATTTTTTTTTGCTGAACTTGTGAATCAGATAGACTTTTTTATGAGGATTTATCATAATTTGGCTGACAACATACAAATCTGCTTTACCTAAAATTAAAAGAGAAAAAAGAATGGGATGGAAACAGGAAAAGAAAACAACAAAAAAACTATGGCCAAATTTGTTAGTGTGGATGCACCTGTTAGAAGAGCTGAAGAGTTTTGATGATATAAGATCACAGTTAGCAGCAGCGTGAACTGGTAGAAAGAAGAGTCAAGGGAGGAGACTTCAAATTCCAAGTATGTTTTTGACTCATTGTGTGACTATGGGAAGACATTCCTTAGCCTTCAAGAATCTAAATGTTGAGCTTTATCCTCAGAATTACTGGAATCCTAACGATCTGTGGGATTCTTTCTGCAACCTCAATATCACAAAGTGGAATCTGGCAATACTGGAAAATTGGATCCTGGGTATTGTCAAAAGAAATCTGGAGGACCATCTCTGAAAGCAGAGAGTAGCATGTTCTATGCATTCCTCAGTCTTTCTCATAGACTTCTCAGCTTTGACAGGGGCAGGGTCATGGTATATAGCTATTTGTGTTATTAAGCACCTGGCTTATGTAGGTGCTAACTTAGCAAATAGTTGATGGAAATGACAATCTCTAATAGAACAATGGTTGGCAGCAGTCAGGAAACAAACAAAAACTTTTAAAGGGCCCCAAGTTTTGATTTTGACCTCATTAGTGCCATGCTAAAATACACCTGAACCATCTAGTTCTTGGTTTTATCTATGGGAAACAATGGAGGAAGAGAACATCACCCAATAAGTGAAATGTCTTTGCCTTTTGACTTCTGCCTTATTCCAGCCAATTGCTCTATAAATTCCCTCCATTAAGTCAAACCAATCTCACTAATGGTGAAACAACTCAAAACATGCTACTTTCATGAACAAAGGTTGTTAATATGAATTTTTGTTTTTTAGTGACTGGAGGGCCACTCAGAACTCATTACTCTCAGCCTCCCAATAACTGCTAAGCAGGAACAGTTTTCTATGGTGCTATAGAGGATACTAATGTATAGTGGTAGAGTTCCAGATAGAATTTTAAATTGTATTCTGTACCTTCTCTTGGACAAAGCGATGACAATAGGAGGGAACTTTTTGTAATATAAGTTCAACTATGAAATCCTGAGAACATGCCTCGAGCCTTATTGCTCTTAAGGTTGAAAGTAAAGGTGTGAAATCAATCTATCACTCAAAAATGTTAATTGAGCATCTGTTGAATGCCAAACACTATGGTAGATGATCAGTCTACAGAGCTAATTAAGACTCATGAAGTCTTAATTAGCTTCATGAAGGCAAACATACCAAGAAATAATTTCAATATAGAATGTAAATGCTGTGATGGAGGTAGAGATACAGAGTAGCTTTGTCTGGTGTAGAATTTCTAGAAAAGCTTTATATAATGTAATATAAGGGAAAAAATTTGAATTAACTTTGGAAAAATGGGTAGAGATTCCGCTTGTGACTGTGTTGTGGGGCAGCTGGGGGATGGTTGAGAATAATCCAGGCAGAGGGAAGACTGGACATGCCTCCATTTTTCTTTTTAATGCACATGCTTTTCCATATACAATCTTTTTTACAGGATTTTTTTTTTTTTTTTTTTTTTTTTGGTCAGTGAAGTGGTGGCAAAGGAGAGACACATCAGAAACATCTTTTCAGAACCAATACATGCCATAAGAAAGAAGCTGAAGGCTGCTAATTTGATTACCTATAGCCATATTTACTATCCTAAAGTTTTACTCAGCTTGCCTTCCAGACCAAACTGGGATAGCATAGGGAAGGAGTTGGAGTTTGCCATTTTAGTGGAGCTTAGGGATTCTATGTAATGGATAAACATGTTTAGTTGTTTAGACTGTTAAGCAAAGGGAAAATCTGACTTAAGACTAGGATCTCAATCATTAACATCATTCAAGTGTTCCTTGCCCTTCATGGGACCCTATTAACTATATCCTCCTGCTCTTAATGAGGCACTGGGGAATTTACAACATTTAACCCAAATACTTTCATCCAAACATATTTATTCAATTATTTTTGCTTCCATCAAAGCAAAAATTGCACTGGACAAAGTTAAGCAGTCAAGAAAAGACTTTATCAAGGCTATTGTAATAGGATAGAGAGACCAGAACTCAGTCTGAGCTCCACTCTGTTGAAACAAAGGGTGAGAGGGTTTTTAAGTTCTGTGGTGAGCTAGAGGAAAAGTATTGGAAGATGTTGAGGGAAGTCATAGACCAATTGTGTTTGCTAATTGACTTTATCTGAAAGAAAAATACAGTTCTCATATCTTTATGACGAGGAAGTAGTTTTGCAACTTGGAGCAAGGCATTCACTGAAGTTAGGCTCCTACCTTCTGACACAGAAGGGGAAATGTGCTAATATCTTCCTTGATGATTACATTTCAAAGTTTGAGATATAACTCTTTTAAAAAGCCTCCTGCCATTTTTAAAACCTAAGCTCCACTAAAAACCCCTATGCTCCATTAAAATGGCAAACTCCAGCTCCTCCCCTATGCCATCTCAAGTTGGTTTGGGAGGCAAGCTAAGTAAACTATAAATGTTTATTATAAAACTTACAGCCAGAGAAAGAACTTACAATTACAAGTTCTAAAGCAAATCGCCCAAGAAAATGGAGATCAGGGCCTAGAGTTAGGAGTAAGCCTGTCTGAAGTTCAGTCAAGCCAAGGGAACCATTATGACCATCTCATTCACTTCCCTAAAGGCATTTTACTAGGTATAACTTACCATACTCCTTTTCTTTGCATGCCCCACTTCTACTTCTTCCCTTTGCCCTCAGTGTAATTAAGCTCATAGGCAACAAAGAAGCAAAAACAATGACCTCAGCAAGAGATAGCTTTAGAATCCCTTCCTACTGTTTCAACTCTTTAAAAACTCAAACTGGGTTTGAACAATTATAATAGCAGATGCTTCTTTTAGCATGAGTCTTCCTGGTTTATGTGAAACAATGGTTGAAAAAAAACCAGGCACCCTACTATTGAGGTAGAAGACACCAGACAAGAACCAATGCTGGATTTGAACAAGACACACTTTTTTTTTTTCTGGCTGGAAATGAAGTAGAGTACTTTCCTCTCCGGAGAGCCTAGACTCCCCATACTGGAAAGGAACCCTGATTCTCCATTTAACTTCTATCTTATATATGTTGTTCCTGATAATAGGAAAGGAGTAGTGGTGCTCAACTTATTTTATGAGCCTATTGTAGTGTTGATTCCAAAAACAAATAAGATGCTTCAACAGTTTGTCATTATTAAAAAAAAAGAATAGCCAGGAAATTCCTGAGCTTAGCAGAAATATGTACCAGGCTATTCCTAGTCTTTAATGAAATGCACTGAGTTTTTTTTTTTATTGTGGTTAATGAAAAAACCTTAGTGCATTCCAGTAAAGACTAAGAATAAGAGAAGGATGACCTCTAACACCGCTACTACTTCACACAGTACTATACATGCTGGTAAATATCACTAGGAAAGCAAAAGAAATAAGAAATTCAAGGACTGGAAGACAAGAGATAAAACTAACATTTCACGAGTGATATAATTTTCTACCTAGAAAAAGCAACAGAAGTGCAGGCTATTAAGACTATTAAGAGTTAATACTTAAAACTATTAAGAGTTCAATGTGCTTGCTGGATTAAAGATTACTTTACAAAATTAAAGGGCACATTTTTTCTTTAGTAGTAGTCAAATACAAAAATGAAATTTAAAAAGATATTTCTCTCAATAACAAAAAAGTTATCCGAAGTTAAGATGCCAAAGAATATACAAGTTTTCTAGAAGATGACCTGAACAAATTTAGACGCATTTTATAGTCTTGGATTTGAGGACTTAATATTACAAAGATACCAATTCACTCCACATTTATTTATAAATTCAATATAAACCCAATAAAACTTGAATATGAATCTTTGAAGAAACTAAAATCACCTTATTCTAACATCTCAGAAAAAGGACTATAGACAGAAGTGCCCTAAGAATTAAGTGCCATAAGAAATGCCCTACCATTTATAAGAAATACTAAACATAGTAATAAAAGTAATTTCCCAGACCATAGAGCTCTGAAAACAGACCCATGTACAAACAGCAAAGACAGCCCTGCAAACCAACGAGGAAAGGACAGATAATTTAGTGAATGGTGTGAAGAAAACTGGCTTGCAACACATCAAATAATAAAACTAAAGCCCTTTTAACAGTAAATGCAAAAGGAATATTATGAATGAATTCAGAACCAAATGTTAAAATGAAAACTACAAAGTTTATACCAGAAAATGAAGAAGAATACCCTTGTTACCTAAGATTGAAGGAAAATATTCTTTTTGTTTTTGTTTTTGTTTTTTTGTTTGTTTTTTTTTATTATTATACCTTAAGTTTTAGGGTACACGTGCGCAATTTTCAGGTTAGTTACATATGTATACATGTGACATGCTGGTGCGCTGCACCCACTAACTCATCATCTAGCATTAGGTATATCTCCCAATGCTATCCCTCCACCCTCCCCCCACCCCACAACAGTCCCCAGAGTGTGATGTTCCCCTTCCTGTGTCCATGTGTTCTCATTGTTCCATTCCCACCTATGAGTGAGAATATGCGGTGTTTGGTTTTTTGTTCTTGCGATAGTTTACTGAGAATGATGATTTCCAGTTTCATCCATGTCCCTACAAAGGACATGAACTCATCATTTTTTATGGCTGCATAGTATTCCATGGTGTATATGTGCCACATTTTCTTAATCCAGTCTATCATTGTTGGATATTTGGGTTGGTTCCAAGTCTTTGCTATTGTGAATAGTGCTGCAATAAACATACGTGTGCATGTGTCTTTATAGCAGCATGATTTATAGTCCTTTGGGTATATACCCAGTAATGGGATGGCTGGGTCAAATGGTATTTCTAGTTCTAGATCCCTGAGGAATCGCCACACTGACTTCCACAATGGTTGAACTAGTTTACAGTCCCACCAACAGTGTAAAAGTGTTCCTATTTCTTCACATCCTCTCCAGCACCTGTTGTTTCCTGACTTTTTAATGATTGCCATTCTAACTGGTGTGAGATGATATCTCATAGTGGTTTTGATTTGCATTTCTCTGATGGCCAGTGATGGTGAGCATTTTTTCATGTGTTTTTTAGCTGCATAAATGTCTTCTTTTGAGAAGTGTCTGTTCATGTCCTTCGCCCACTTTTTGATGGGGTTGTTTGATTTTTTCTTGTAAATTTGTTGGAGTTCATTGTAGATTCTGGATATTAGCCCTTTGTCAGATGAGAAGGTTGCAAAAATTTTCTCCCATTTTGTGGGTTGCCTGTTCACTCTGATGGTAGTTTGTTTTGCTGTGCAGAAGCTCTTTAGTTTAATTAGATTCCATTTGTCAATTTTGGCTTTTGTTGCCATTGCTTTTGGTGTTTTAGTCATGAAGTCCTTGCCCATGCCTATGTCCTGAATGGTAATGCCTAGGTTTTCTACTAGGGTTTTTATGGTTTTAGGTCTAACGTTTAAGTCTTTAATCCATCTTGAATTGATTTTTGTATAAGGTGTAAGGAAGGGATCCAGTTTCAGCTTTCTACATATGGCTAGCCAGTTTTCCCAGCACCATTTATTAAATAGGGAATTCTTTCCCCATTGCTTGTTTTTTTCAGGTTTGTCAAAGATCAGATAGTTGTACATATATGGCGTTATTTCTGAGGGCTCTGATCTGTTCCATTGATCTATATCTCTGTTTTGGTACCAGAACCATGCTGTGTTGGTTACTGTAGCCTTGTAGTATAGTTTGAAGTCAGGTAGCATGATGCCTCCAGCTTTGTTCTTTTGGCTTAGGATTGACTTGGTGATGCGGGCTGTTTTTTGGTTCCATATAAACTTTAAAGTAGTTTTTTCCAATTCTGTGAAGAAAGTCATCCTTGATGAACATTGATGCAAAAATCCTCAATAAAATGCTGGCAAACCGAATCCAGCAGCACATCAAAAAGCTTATCCACCATGATCAAGTGGGCTTCATCCCTGGGATGCAAGGCTGGTTCAATATATGCAAATCAATAAATGTAATCCAGCATATAAACAGAACCAAAGACAAAAACCACATGATTATCTCAATAGATGCAGAAAAGGCCTTTGACAAAATTCAACAACCCTTCATGCTAAAAACTCTCAATAAATTAGGTATTGATGGGACATATCTCAAAATAATAAGAGCTATCTATGACAAACCCACAGCCAATATCATACTGAATGGGCAAAAACTGGAAGCATTCCCTTTGAAAACTGGCACAAGACAGGGATGCCCTCTCTCACCACTCCTATTCAACATAGTGTTGGAAGTTCTGGCCAGGGCAGTTAGGCAGGAGAAGGAAATAAAGGGTATTCAATTAGGAAAAGAGGAAGTCAAATTGTCCCTGTTTGCAGACAACATGATTGTATATCTAGAAAACCCCATTGTCTCAGCCCAAAATCTCCTTCAGCTGATAAGCAACTTCAGCAAAGTCTCAGGATACAAAATCAATGTACAAAAATCACAAGCATTCTTATACACCAATAACAGACAAACAGAGAGCCAAATCATGAGTGAACTCCCATTCACAATTGCTTCAAAGAGAATAAAATACCTAGGAATCCACCTTACAAGGGACGTGAAGGACCTCTTTAAGGAGAACTACAAACCACTGCTCAATGAAATTGAAGAGGATACAAACAAATGGAAGAACATTCCATGCTCATGGGTAGGAAGAATCAATATCGCGAAAATGGCCATACTGCCCAAGGTAATTTATAGATTCAATGCCATTCCCATCAAGCTACCAATGACTTTCTTCACAGAATTGGAAAATATTCTTAAACAGTATTTTCCCTGAGAGAGGAGGAGCCAAGATGGCCGAATAGGAACAGCTCCGGTCTACAGCTCCCAGCGTGAGTGACGCAGAAGACGGGTGATTTCTGCATTTCCATCTGAGGTACCGGGTTCATCTCACTAGGGAGTGCCAGACAGTGGGTGCAGGCCAGTGGGTGTGCACAACGGGTGCGAGCCGAAGCAGGGCGAGGCATTGCCTCACCTGGGAAGCGCAAGGGGTCAGGGAGTTCCCTTTCCGAGTCAAAGAAAGGGGTGACGGAGGCACCTGGAAAATCGGGTCACTCCCACCTGAATATTGCACTTTTCAGACCGGCTTAAAAAACAGCGCACCACGAGACTATATCCCACACCTGGCTTGGAGGTTCCTACGCCCATGGAATCTCGCTGATTGCTACCACAGCAGTCTGAGATCAAACTGCAAGGCGGCAGCGAAGCTGGGGGAAGGGCGCCCGCCATTGCCCAGGCTTGCTTAGGTAAACAAAGCAGCCAGGAAGCTCGAACTGGGTGGAGCCCACCACAGCTCAAGGAGGCCTGCCTGCCTCTGTAGGCTCCACCTCTGGGGGGCAGGGCACAGACAAACAAAAAGACAGCAGTAACCTCTGCAGACTTAAATGTCCCTGTCTGACAGCTTTGAAGAGAGCAGTGGTTCTCCCAGCACGCAGCTGGAGATCTGAGAACGGGCAGACTGCCTCCTCAAGTGGGTCCCTGACCCCTGACCCCCGAGCAGCCTAACTGGGAGGCACCCCCCAGCAGGGGCACACTGACACCTCACACGGCAGGGTATTCCAACAGACCTGCAGCTGAGGGTCCTGTCTGTTAGAAGGAAAACTAACAAACAGAAAGGACATCCACACCGAAAACCCATCTGTACATCACCATCATCAAAGACCAAAAGTAGATAAAACCACACAGACGGGGAAAAAACAGAACAGAAAGACTGGAAACTCTAAAACACAGAGCACCTCTCCTCCTCCAAAGGAACGCAGTTCCTCACCAGCAACGGAACAAAGCTGGATGGAGAATGACTTTGACGAACGAGCTGAGAGAAGAAGGTTTCAGACGATCAAATTACTCTGAGCTACGGGAGGACATTCAAACCAAAGGCAAAGAAGTTGAAAACTTTGAAAAAAATTTAGAAGAATGTATAACTAGAATAACCAATACAGAGAAGTGCTTAAAGGAGCTGATGGAGCTGAAAACCAAGGCTCGAGAACTACGTGAAGAATGCAGAAGCCTCAGGAGCTGATGCGATCAACTGGAAGAAAGGGTATCAGCAATGGAAGATGAAATGAATGAAATGAAGCGAGAAGGGAAGTTTAGAGAAAAAAGAATAAAAAGAAATGAGCAAAGCCTCCAAGAAATATGGGACTATGTGAAAAGACCAAATCTACGTCTGATTGGTGTACCTGAAAGTGATGGGGAGAATGGAACCAAGTTGGAAAACACTCTGCAGGATATTATCCAGGAGAACTTCCCCAATCTAGCAAGGCAGGCCAACATTCAGATTCAGGAAATACAGAGAATGCCACAAAGATACTCCTCGAGTAGAGCAACTCCAAGACACATAATTGTCAGATTCACCAAAGTTGAAATGAAGGAAAAAATGTTAAGGGCAGCCAGAGAGAAAGGTGGGGTTACCCTCAAAGGGAAGCCCATCAGACTAACAGCGGATCTCTCGGCAGAAACCCTACAAGCCAGAAGAGAGTGGGGGCCAATATTCAACATTCTTAAAGAAAAGAATTTTCAACCCAGAATTTCATATCCAGCCAAACTAAGCTTCATAAGTGAAGGAGAAATAAAATACTTTACAGACAAGCAAATGCTGAGAGATTTTGTCACCACCAGGCCTGCCCTAAAAGAGCTCCTGAAGGAAGCGCTAAACATGGAAAGGAACAACCGGTACCAGCCGCTGCAAAATCATGCCAAAATGTAAAGACCATCGAGACAAGGAAGAAACTGCATCAACTAACGAGCAAAATCACCAGCTAACATCATAATGACAGGATCAAATTCACACATAATATTAACTTTAAATGTAAATGGAATAAATTCTCCAATTAAAAGACACAGACTGGCAAGTTGGATAAAGAGTCAAGACCCATCAGTGTGCTGTATTCAGGAAACCCATCTCACGTGCAGAGACACACATAGGCTCAAAATAAAAGGATGGAGGAAGATCTACCAAGCAAATGGAAAACAAAAAAAGGCAGGGGTTGCAATCCTAGTCTCTGATAAAATAGACTTTAAACCAACAAAGATCAAAAGAGACAAAGAAGGACATTACATAATGGTAAAGGGATCAATTCAACAAGAGGAGCTAACTATCCTAAATATATATGCACCCAATACAGGAGCACCCAGATTCATAAAGCAAGTCCTGAGTGACCTACAAAGAGACTTAGACTCCCACACATTAATAATGGGAGACTTTAACACCCCACTGTCAACATTAGACAGATCAACGAGACAGAAAGTCAACAAGGATACCCAGGAATTGAACTCAGTTCTGCACCAAGCGGACCTAATAGACATCTACAGAACTCTCCACCCCAAATCAACAGAATATACATTTTTTTCAGCACCACACCACACCTATTCCAAAATTGACCACATAGTTGGAAGTAAAGCTCTCCTCAGCAAATGTAAAAGAACAGAAATTATAACAAACTATCTCTCAGACCACAGTGCAATCAAACTAGAACTCAGGATTAAGAATCTCACTCAAAGCCGCTCAACTACATGGAAACTGAACAACCTGCTCCTGAATGACTACTGGGTACATAACGAAATGAAGGCAGAAATAAAGATGTTCTTTGAAACCAACGAGAACAAAGACACAACATACCAGAATCTCTGGGACGCATTCAAAGCAGTGTGTAGAGGGAAATTTATAGCACTAAATGCCCACAAGAGAAAGCAGGAAAGATCCAAAATTGACACCCTAACATCACAATTAAAAGAACTAGAAAAGCAAGAGCAAACACATTCAAAAGCTAGCAGAAGGCAAGAAATAACTAAAATCAGAGCAGAACTGAAGGAAATAGAGACACAAAAAACCCTTCAAAAAATCAATGAATCCAGGAGCTGGTTTTTTGAAAGGATCAACAAAATTGATAGACTGCTAGCAAGAATAATAAAGAAAAAAAGAGAGAAGAATCAAATAGACACAATAAAAAATGATAAAGGGGATATCACCACTGATCCCACAGACATACAAACTACCATCATAGAATACTACAAAAACCTCTACGCAAATAAACTAGAAAATCTAGAAGAAATGGATACATTCCTCGACACATACACTCTCCCAAGACTAAACCAGGAAGAAGTTGAATCTCTGAATAGACCAATAACAGGAGCTGAAATTGTGGCAATAATCAGTAGTTTACCAACCAAAAAGAGTCCAGGACCAGATGGATTCACAGCCGAATTCTACCAGAGGTACAAGGAGGAACTGGTACCATTCCTTCTGAAACTATTCCAATCAATAGAAAAAGAGGGAATCCTCCCTAACTCATTTTATGAGGCCAGCATCATTCTGATACCAAAGCCGGGCAGAGACACAACCAAAAAAGAGAATTTTAGACCAATATCCTTGATGAACATTGATGCAAAAATCCTCAATAAAATACTGGCAAACCGAATCCAGCAGCACATCAAAAAGCTTATCCACCATGATCAAGTGGGCTTCATCCCTGGGATGCAAGGCTGGTTCAATATACGCAAATCAATAAATGTAATCCAGCATATAATCAGAGCCAAAGACAAAAACCACATGATTATCTCAATAGATGCAGAAAAAGCCTTTGACAAAATTCAACAACCCTTCATGCTAAAAACTCTCAATAAATTAGGTATTGATGGGACGTATTTCAAAATAATAAGAGCTATCTATGACAAACCCACAGCCAATATCATACTGAATGGGCAAAAACTGGAAGCATTCCCTTTGAAAACTGGCACAAGACAGGGATGCCCTCTCTCACCGCTCCTATTCAACATAGTGTTGGAAGTTCTGGCCAGGGCAATCAGGCAGGAGAAGGAAATAAAGGGTATTCAATTAGGAAAAGAGGAAGTCAAATTGTCCCTGTTTGCAGACAACATGATTGTTTATCTAGAAAACCCCATCGTCTCAGCCCAAAATCTCCTTAAGCTGATAAGCAAATTCAGCAAAGTCTCAGGATACAAAATCAATGTACAAAAATCACAAGCATTCTTATACACCAACAACAGACAAACAGAGAGCCAAATCATGAGTGAACTCCCATTCACAATTGCTTCAAAGAGAATAAAATACCTAGGAATCCAACTTACAAGGGATGTGAAGTACCTCTTCAAGGAGAACTACAAACCACTGCTCAAGGAAATAAAAGAGGATACAAACAAATGGAAGAACATTCCATGCTCATGGGTAGGAAGAATCAATATCGTGAAAATGGCCATACTGCCCAAGGTAATTTACAGATTCAATGCCATCCCCATCAAGCTACCAATGCCTTTCTTCACAGAATTGGAAAAAACTACTTTAAAGTTCATATGGAACCAAAAAAGAGCCCGCATCACCATGTCAATCCTAAGCCAAAAGAACAAAGCTGGAGGCATCACACTACCTGACTTCAAACTATACTACAAGGCTACAGTAACCAAAACAAAATGGTACTGGTACCAAAACAGAGATATAGATCAATGGAACAGAACAGAGCTCTCAGAAATAACGCCGCATACCTACAACTATCTGATCTTTGACAAACCTGAGAAAAACAAGAAATGGGGAAAGGATTCCCTATTTAATAAATGGTGCTGGGAAAACTGGATAGCCATATGTAGAAAGCTGAAACTGGATCCCTTCCTTACACCTTATACAAAAATCAATTCAAGATGGATTAAAGATTTAAACGTTAGACCTAAAACCATAAAAACCCTAGAAGAAAACCTAGGCATTACCATTCAGGACATAGGCGTGCAAGGACTTCATGTCCAAAACACCAAAAGCAATGGCAACAAAAGCCAAAATTGACAAATTGGATCTAATTAAACTAAAGAGCTTCTGCACAGCAAAACAAACTACCATCAGAGTGAACAGGCAACCTACAAAATGGGAGAAAATTTTCGCAACCTACTCATCTGACAAAGGGCTAATATCCAGAATCTACAATGAACTCCAACAAATTTACAAGAAAAAATCAAACAACCCCATCAAAAAGTGGGCGAAGGACATGAACAGACACTTCTCAAAAGAAGACATATATGCAGCCAAAAAATACATGAAAAAATGCTCATCATTACTGGCCATCAGAGAAATGCAAATCAAAACCACTATGAGATATCATCTCACACCAGTTAGAATGGCAATCATTAAAAAGTCAGGAAACAACAGGTGCTGGAGAGGATGTGGAGAAATAGGAACACTTTTACACTGTTGGTGGGACTGTAAACTAGTTCAACCATTGTGGAAGTCAGTGTGGCGATTCCTCAGGGATCTAGAACTAGAAATACCATTTGACCCAGCCATCCCATTACTGGGTATATACCCAAAGGACTATAAATCATGCTGCTATAAAGACACATGCACACGTATGTTTATTGCGGCATTATTCACAATAGCAAAGACTTGGAACCAACCCAAATGTCCAACAATGTTAGACTGGATTAAGAAAATGTGGCACATATACACCATGGAATACTATGCAGCCATAAAAAATGATGAGTTCATGTCCTTTGTAGGGACATGGATGAAATTGGAAACCATCATTTTCAGTAAACTATCGCAAGAACAAAAAACCAAACACCGCATATTCTCCCTCATAGGTGGGAATTGAACAGTGAGATCACATGGACACAGGAAGGGGAATATCACACTCTGGGGACTGTTGTGGGGTGGGGGGAGGGGGGAGGGATAGCATTGGGAGATATACCTAATGCTAGATGACAAGTTAGTGGGTGCAGCGCACCAGCATGGCACATGTATACATATGTAACTAACCTGCACAATGTGCACATGTACCCTAAAACTTAAAGTATAATAAAAAAAAATAGAAGTAAATTTAAAAAAAAAAACAGTATTTTCCCTTAAAATTAATAAATTATGAATAAAATAATTGATGAACTTGATTACATCATAATTAGGTCTTTCTGTTGGATGAAGCATGTCATGGATAAAGTTTACAGACAGGTTACATACTGAGAGATGTTTAAATATCTAAAACCATGAAAGACCAATATTTAGCATGAGAAATACTTGCAAATCAACAAGAAGAAGAAGAAAGAAATCCCCGATTAAAAAAAAATGTGCTAAGGGCATGATTGGGTAATTTACAAAAGAGCAAATCAACAACAACAAGAAGACAGAAATCCCCAATAAAAAAGTGTGCTAAGGATATGATTGGGTAGTTTACAAAAGAGAAAATCCAAAAGGCTAGCAAACATATGAAAAACTGCTCTCAAACTCATTAGTAGTCACAGAAATGTAAATTAATCAATAATGAGACATTACTTTACACATGTTAAACTGGCAAAAAATGAGAAAGCTGGACATTGCCAAATGATAATGGGAATGTTGTGGCATCTTCCTGGGAGAGTAGAGACTGTTGCAGAGATCAGTCTAGCCGTCCTTAGTCCTAGTAAACATCCCCACACTTTATGACTCAGCGATTATACTTCTGGATAATCAACAAAAAGAAGTTCTCACACAGTATCCTGAGGTCACATTTTCAAGGAAGCTCATCATACTGTTGCTTTAGGTGGTGGAAATTAGAGATGATCTTGGTGTCCATTCAGTGAGAAAGAAAGAGATTGAAAATGGAGTATTCCTGTCATGAAGAACTATACAGCAGAAACAGTGACAGAGTACATATGCCTAGAGCAACATGAGTGGATGCTAGAAACCTATGTCTCACTTTTTAAATAGAAGGAAAAGAAACAGGAATGAAATCTGTAAATAATTTTATTGGCATAAATTTAAAATTCATGCACATGAAATACATATTTTGTAAAACAGACAATAAAAAGTTTCACATATTTTGTAAAAACATATAAAAGGATATATATTAAGCACATTAGAATGCTTGCCTATTCTGTGGAGGGGGGATTGGAGAAAGAAGTAGGAAGAGAAGTAAGAAGAAATGAATGAATAAAAGAAATTAAAAGAGGGGCCAGCGTGGACCTATGATAATAATGTGATTCTGAGGAGTATCATTGACTTATAGAGTAAATATATATAATAATATTATCTTTATATATAATTCTGCAATATACAACAAATATATTGTAGTATAATTATATTATAATAGCACATGAATATATACAATTTATATAATACATAAAATATAGCATAATTATATATACTACGTTATATAATGTATATAATTACATGTCACAATCATCTCTTTGTATGTCCATGAAGGGTTGGTTCCAGGGTCCCTGCACTGTGGATATCAAAATCCGTGCATGCTCAGGTTCCTCATATAAAGTAGTATAATATTTGCATATAACTTATACACATCCTCCCATGTATTTTAAATCACCTCTAGATTACTTGTTATACCTAATATAACAAGTTAGGAGGCTTTTAGGGCAATCTTGAATGAAGTGGTGGTTTGGGTTAAAATTCTATCAGGAGAAATAATGAGTTGTAGTCTGACTCAGGCATCTTTGGAGGACTGACTGATTGATTGGAGGTGGTGTATAAGGAAAGGAAGGAAACCAGGGACAAGTTAAATCTGAGATTTAATGTGTCATATAATCAAGTGGAGATGTCAACTAGGCAGCTGATTGTAAGAGACTGGAGGTCTTTGATGAGGCAGCAGCTGGAAAAATAACTATAACTACTGTAATGCTTAATTTTTCTGAAGGATTGAGAGTTGATCATACAGTTTCCATGCTTTTGGAAAATCTTTCTAAAATATACATCCTTCATAATCCAGTAGAGTATATACTCAGTGCATATAAGCATGTCTTCAATTAATAGTGGTGATTAAGTGATTAATTCACAGTTCATTATACTTACATTTGATATACTTACATTTGATATGATTGAGGCAAATCAATGGGCAAAGTACTTACTAGGGCAATTTCTTCATCTATAAAATGAGTATAACAATATTATCTTGCAGGGTTGTTATAAAAATAAGAATAAATGTATGCAAAATACCTGGTGAATAGTAGGTATCAATGTATAATAACTTTTTTGTAGATTATATTCTAGTCAAGGTAGAGCTAACTATAAGGCAATCTGAGCAACTTTCTCTGAAATGAAGGGGCTCCAGATGAAACTTTCTCAGTCTAAGTGACATTTCAGGAAATAATACTCAATAGGCTAACATTTCCTTTCAGAGTTAAGGCAATGGCTCTCAGCAACCTAGGGTTTATTTAATTTTTACCTTGCATACAATACCTGTATTATTGGCCTCAAGAAGTCCAATACTAACTTTGTTTTGGTATGTATTTGTATTAGTCAGGATTCTCCACAGAAACAGAACAACAAATAAAACGTGTGTGTGTATGTAGTGAGAGAGAAAGAGAGAGAGAGAAGGGGGGCGGGAGAGAGAGAGAGCAGAGAGAGAGAGAGAGAGAGACATTTTAAGGAATTGGCTCATGTGATTGTGGGGGCTAACAATTCCAAATTCTGGGTAAGTCAGCAGGCTGGCGAGAAGACTTAATGTTGTAACTTGAGTCCAAGGGTAGCCTGGAGGCAGAATTTCTTCCTATTTGGAGGACCTCAGTCTTTTTCTCTCAAAGCCTTCAACTGATTGGAAAAGGTTCACCCACATTATGAGGGGTAGTCTGCTTTATTGAAAGTCTCTGATTTAAATATTAAGCTCATCTAAAAACAGCTTCACAGCAACATCTAGACTGGTGTTTTACTCAATATATAGGTATTGTAGCCTAGTCAAATTGACACATAAAATTAACCATCACAATGTTCATTACTGGGGTTTAACAAAGGTGGTACTATTTATTTCATACAGCTGAAAAAGAAAACATCCAGCAACTATATGAAAGAAAGCTTCAGTTTTTAAAATTCCAAAACAGGGCAAGCTCACTCATTCCACATCAGTGTCTTTAGTGTCTTCAACCATTTCCTGCCAAGGTGAGATTCTACAAACTCATAGTTTTTCTTAATACTACAAGCTTTCTTTCTACGCACTCCTCCTTCTCCTCCACTCCCATCTTATCAAATATAGGTGTAAGCACTGATGAAATATAGGTGTAAGCACTTTTAAAAGAAATGTCTCTATAAAGAAGAAAACATTATAAGCAGAAGGGAGACTATATTTAAACAGACAGTACTAGATATCACACACGTTGGTAATTGTACCACAGAAAAAGGCATAAAACAGAGAAGAAGACAACAATAAAACAACAATAAAAAGCTTCTTTCCAGTGCTTTCTCCTCAAACAGGCCATGAAATGGTCACCACCGACCTATGGCCAAGAAATGACTTGGGGAAGTGAGAGTTCCAGGTCAGCCTCATTGCATGGCAGTTCATATTTTACTCTTCAATGACTTTGAAAGGAACTGACTAATTTGAACCAAACGTAGCAAATTATTACCAAACCCCAGCATGCATCATCATGCTTATTTATTTTCAAAACAGAATACTTTTAATCACTGAGAGATGTTTTGGGCACATAGGACATAGTCTGGCTATGTTTACTACACAAATATTTTTAAGCCCAATTATCAATTATCAGTAAACCCAAGTATTTCCATTAATTCTGTGGGCAAAGACATTAAGGCAATATGACAAATATTTTAAGGTGAGCAAAAGTTTCACCTCCAGTTACCTGGGCAGGAAGTGTGGACAAACCAGTTTGGTTCTATTGTGCTGGTGGTTGCGAGGAAGAAATCATACCATAGCAGAGTTTCAATATGCCTTAAACATAGTATGATTCCTCACACATTTGAAAGATATTCCATTCATTTCAACAATGTTTACTGAGTTCCTATCATGTTCAAAGCCCTGAACTAGGTGGAGGTCGTGGTTTGGGGGAAGATTTACAGATGGGTAAATCATAGGCTCTACTCTTCTCATAATTAAAATTTAGAAGGAAGCATAAAAGCAGTATGTCATATAAGACAAAATATAGTCAGAAACCTAAGAACAGAAATATTTGTGTAGTGGTTTATTGGCCAAATGTCTTTTTGTACTTTAAGAAGAAGAAGGGTTGGGACAACCAACCTCGATTACCTTTGAAAAAGTTGCTCAATGGCCAAGAATCTTGGATAAACTCAGCTTATTTTGAAAATAGTCTCCAGCGCTAACAACAAAGCCTTCCCCATCACTTCATTCTGTTCTTGGTCTTCCTGATTTAGATCTCCAGTGAGATTTTAGAAATCTGCTTCTGTAAGTGGCATTAGGCCATCAGGTGCCTGACACTGCTAATACCTTTGGGAGGCCCAGGCTGCACCCTGGCTTTCCAAGAACACAGAATGCAAAATGAATACTGAATGCCATCAAACATTCTGGGTGCCCTCCACCTTGTCCTTGACCTGATGTGAGCCTGCATCTCTCACCTATCCTCTGTTTCCTTGGTCTGCCCTGGGCCAAAGCCAAGAGCTCCTTGCTTTTTTTTTTTTTTTTTTTTTTTTTTTTTTTGAGTCACTACCAAACTTGTTGACTTTGGCCTTTCCTTGTGATAATTTTCAGTTTAACTGTTTGTTCTGGCCACAGAGATTTCAGTCTAGCTTACAAACTACTTTTATTGTATAACTCAGGGTTTAGGCCAGATTGGTAGCTGGCTCCAGTTACACACCCTGGCTAATGATTCAACAGCTATTGTGTTCCTGGGAAGCTTCTGGTTAGAACTGGATGAAATGATGTGACGTCAGTGGCTGCCAAACTGCACAATTCTTTAGTTTACGTTTCAGTTTAAAGTGATTATAAAGTTATTTTGGGCACTTTTTTTGAGGGACCTTGACACTTGCCACAAAAAACAAAGCCAGATGTTTTTCAGGATTTGATTCCTCTCCACTCATCTCTGTCCCAGTCAGGAACTCAAGGACACCTGCCTTTGGAACTTAAACTTTGATGATGCAATTCATATAAAGTTCAGAATGTCCAGGTTCAAACAGGGCTACATCCATACTAGCGATTCATTAAAGATTTTGGGGGAGAATATATCTCTCCACTGCCTCTTACCATTTTTCCCTAACATTTCCTCCATTCAGTTAATCACTCAATTATTCATCAAATATTTATTGAGTGCTTGCTATGTGCCAGAGACTGTTCTGGGTACAGGGAATGTATCAGGGAATAAAAGTAGCACAAGTTCTGTTCTCATGAAGCTTATACCCCTTAAAATATACAGGGTTAAAGACAGTAAATACCTTGGCGAATTATACATTATTATAAATGGTTATAATTGATATAAAGAAAAATAAGGTAGGGAAAGGGAAAAGGAGGATGAGGCCAAAAGGAGATGTGGATTTGAATAGGGTACTTCTTTGTTAAAACACTGGGCTATTACGAAGGATTGGCAAAAAAAAATTGAGAAAGAATGGCCAGTGAGGTAGGGGGTAAACAAGAGGAGGGTGGTTTTGGTGGTCACACCACTTTGGGAAACTGTTTGACAATATCTTCTAAAGCTAAATATGACCCTGTGGCTCTACAACTGTACTCCTGGCTATGCACCCAGCAGAAACGAGTGCTTATGTGCAAAAAAAAGAAAAAAAAAAGAAAAGAAAACTGGGAAAACTAAAAACATGTACAAGAATGTTCTTAAGAGCTTATTCACAATAGCCAAAAATTAGAAACAGTCCGAATATTTATTCATGGTAGAAAGGATAGACATGCTGTGATATAATTGTACAATGGAATATAAAGTAGAAATGAAAAAGAATGAACTACTGCTACACTCAAACAACATGGATGGATCTCACAGAAGTATACTGCATGAAAAAATCTAGACACAAGAGTGTATATTGTATGAGTCCATCAATATATTTAAAAATATTTAAGTTATTTTAAATTTTAAAATTTAAAAATAGACAAAACTAATCTGTGGTGATAAAGTAGAAAATAGACATTACCTTTGGGGAGACAGAGACTGAGAAGGGGCATAAGGGAGCCTGTCAAGGACTGGTGTTATTCTTATCTTGATCAGAGTAGTGCTAAAGTGCTATATATTTAAGATCTGTGCATGTCACTGTGTACAAGTCATACATATATATATATACTATGAAATACTATGCAGCCATAAAAAGGAATGAGATCATGTCCTTTGCAGGTACATAGATGAAGCTGGAAGCCATCACCTTCAGCAAACTAACACAGGAACAGAAAACCAAACACCACATGTTCTCACTCATAAGTGGGAGTTGAACAATGAGAACACATAGACACAGGGAGGGGAACAACACACACCAGGGCCTGTAGGCAGGAGGGATGTGGGCCTGTAGGCAGGAGGGGTGGTGAGGGGAGGGAGAGCATCAGGACAATTAGCTAATGCATGCAGGGCTTAAAACCTAGTTGGCAGGTTGATAGGTTCAGCAAATCACCATGGCACATGTATACCTATGTAACAAACCTGCACATTCCACACATGCATCCTGGAACTTAAAGTAAACAAAATTAAAAATAAAAATAAAAAGAATTTTAAAAATAAAAATAAAAAAAATTAGAAGTAGAATTGGGAACAGGGACTGGGAACAATTCTTTCATTTTTTTTCCCCTTAACACTAAGTTTAAGTTCTAAGTACATAGACTGTTAAGACTGGGAGATGATTTAAAAATCATCCTGTCCAAACTCCTTCCATAATAGTCAATGAAGCATGCTGCTTTCCTGTGGATGGAGTCTGGATATGTGGCTTTTTGGGTGTTGATCACTTTTCTATAAATTATTTTTGTTGACTTTTTCAATTATGGAAGTCAATAGGTAAAGTACAGCAAAAAAGAGGGTAAACTTAAGGCATGATTTCTTTAAAGATCAAAGATATTGAAACGTGTTCCACATGGAGATGCGAAATTCCAACCAACTCCTCCCTGATGTTTTATTTATTTATTTATTTATTTATTTAGTTTTTTGAGACGGAGTCTCGCTCTGTCGCCCAGGCTGGAGTGCAGTGGCGCGATCTCCGCTCACTGCAAGCTCCACCTCCCCGGTTCACGCCATTCTCCTGCCTCAGCCTGCCGAGTAGCTGGGACTACAGGCGCCTGCCACTACACCTGGCTAATTTTTTTTTTTTTTTTTTTTTGTATTTTTAGTAGAGACGGGGTTTCACCGTGTTAGCTAGGATGGTCTGGATCTCCTGAACCCGCGATCCACCTGTCTCGGCCTCCCAAAGTGCTAGGATTACAGGCGTGAGCCACCATGCCCCGCCGATATTTTATTTTTTAAAAGCACCATTTCTGAGTTGAGAAAGCATGTTTACGGTAGAAGGCATGAGGTGTGCCAACACAAATCCTGGATTATTCCAATCTAGGGGTTTCTCCATGTATGAAAGAAATATAAAAATCTTCTTAGCTTGAATTGCATCTTTTAAATATTTTTAGGCAAGCTGGTGTAAAGATAACATATCCAAGAATGGCTCCAAGTAATGTCATAACCCAACCAAACCACTCAACATGTGCTGGCCCTGGTGAGGAGCCTTACCTTTTATGTTGATTTGGAAATAATGACATAGCATAAACCGAGCCCTCTCTCTCTTGAAGCCAAACCAACTTCCAGAGCTACCACCTTTCCTTGCCAAAGAAAGCACCCTGAGCCACGTGAACCTTTCTTGCACAGTCCTCAACAGTGTGACGTGGCAACAGCGGTATGACTGAGAGCTTATGAATTGGGAAAAGGAGGTTGCTGGCCCAGAGGGAAACTTCTCCTGCCTTCTCTCTTGAGCACACCAAAGTTATGTAGGAAGGGAAGCCTTCTCTTCCCTCAGCAGGTACAAATTTAAAAAGGATAGAAACTGTCTGTGGTAGCTGCTGGCACAGGAGGGAAAAAGCTGTTTGTTTTGTAAGAATAAGATGGGGCAGGAATTGGAGAGGAGATTCAGGGAAACCCTTGTCTGCGGATTGCAATCTGTGCTGTAGGAAATTATGTAATTGAGGTTTCATAAGCATCCAGGTTACTGAAGCTAATACTGTTCACCTCCTAGGACACAAGTCTTTAAAAAGTCTAGATGACAATACTTTTTGGGAAAATTAATATTAAGGCATTCATTCTGTTATTAGAAGATGGGATGGAGAGATGATGGAGACGATTAAAAGGGTATATGGCTTTCAACACCAACTTGTGTCTCATATGTGAACAAAAGTGATATTTTTAGAGATCAAAATGATGCTCATATGCAGCATGCATTGTAGGTTTTCATTAAACGTTTTGATTGAGAAGCGAATTTATGTTAGCTACTAGGTCTTTTAAAGATAAACTTAGATTTTTTAAAAAAGCAATACACATCTTAAAATTATTTATATTGAGATTTATTTATAGCTAGGCATTATCGCTTGTGAACTTCTTAAAAGGCAAATTATTGGGCCCCACACTAAAATCAGGAGTTTATGTTTTAACAAGTTGAGAAACACCACATCAGGGAATCATCAGAAACAATGCCATCAGTTTTCACATGATCAACCACATGCAACATATTTTAAAAAGGCATACTCAGAGTTTTACTTGCAATTAGATTGATCTAAAAATCAACATAATTATAAGCTTGCAAATTTTAAAAATGTTAAGTAGAGAAAGGAAATTTTCTTTGTGCTGCTGCACATAGGCAGACTGCTGATAATATTCCAAAGTAGGCTAGACTGGCACATGCTAGAAAACTTTATTCCACGCAAACACATGATTACATGTTCCTAATTCCTGGAAATGTTACACAGCTGCTGTACTTGGTGGTCCTTTCCCACAGTAACACATCCTCCATGTTAAAGCCAAAAAAAATTTCCACATGCAACATTGGTCATATGACTTTATATCCAGGCTTGAAAAACCTCCAGGCTTTCCCATGCCCACAGGCTAAAGACCAAAATCCCCAGCATGGCCTCGGAGGCCCCACACATTCTGGCCCCAACCTACTTCTCCACCCTTGTGTCCTACTGTGCTCCCTGGTGAGTTCTGTGCTTTGGCCACAGTGGCCTTCTCTGTGTCCCGTTGAATCCTTACCACCTCTCCTGCCACAAATTCTTTTCATATGCTTTAACCTCTGCCTAGAACACTGTTCTCCCTTTGTCTTTGTGTATTTAATTCCTCCTCATCCTTCAAATCGCAGTTCAGTCCTCACCTCCACAAGGCGACCTTCCCTGACCTTCTCCCCCAACCTCCAACCAGGTCACACTCCTCTTTTATGTTTGAAGAGCACAATACTTTATCTTTCAGAGCACTCCTCCTAAGTAAAATCTTGCATTTATCTGTGAGACTCTTGACTACTTCTATTTCCCCCACCATTCAGTCAACTCCCTACAGGTAAGCTCTCTTTTAATTCCCGGTGTCCAGTCAGCACAGGACTTGACATATAGCAAGAGCTTGAGGAGGATTTTAATGAATGGATAAATGGATGAATGGAGGAATGAATGAATGAATGAATAGCAGTTTGGCTATATTTATAGGACTTCTTACTATTTAAGTTGTTTATCATAGGCATTGACCTGTGTCACACCATCTGCATTCCCTTGTTTAAGGTCCAGATAGTCTTACTGGAAGGGAAAAAAGACATTCCAGAAAGTATTGGTGTTTTTTGTTTATCACCCTGCCTGAGTCTTGAGATTTGCTTGAGGGAGAAAACTGAACTAGAAGCCAAATATTTCTCTTAGCTGCAACTGTCTCTATTAGCATGTGCACACTAGCTTTGCCACAGTGGATTGGATGTGAACCATACACTGCTTTCTGGCATCATATCAGCAGGCTCGGCCCATCAGTTTCTTTCACCTGAGCTTGTTCTGACAAGGTTAAAGCTTTCACATTCCTAGAGCCTAAGACAGTACCTAGCTAAAGTCGAAATTGGCATGTAAAGTATGTGGAGGGATTTGTGTGAGAGCAAAGCTTGGGCTGAACAAGCTAGTGACACGGGTTGTGCTCGCAGCCCAATTTGTTTGAGGGGATGGGGGCCCTGGATATATCATGTTCCAAGAGAAGAGCATAAGTTCCCTCCGTGGGAGTGGGCAGACTTATCAGTAGCAATACTAGATGCAAAAAGATAATAAAATTCTATTTCAAAATATTGAGGAAAAATAGTTTTGGACTTAAAATTTTATATCCAGTAGCATTTTCATTTAAAAAGAGGGCTTGATAAAAAAAATTCTTAGGCTTAGAAAGCCTCAGGTTTGCCTCATAGAGATACTATACTGAATATGGTTTTAGAGGAAGTTCTAACTAAAAGAAACATATCCAAGAGTTGCTTGAGATGAGAAAATAAGGGTAATCAAATACCTTGGTGAATTTTATTGTTCTCTTTTTTAAAAAATCTAGAACCAAAGAAAAACAAAAAGGGAAATATTTGATCCAGAAGAAAAACTTAGACAACATGAATACATGAATATGGAGACAAAACATAGTATTTTTAATAGCAAGATAAGAGAATTGATACATTAAGAAACCAATAGGGATATAGGCACATAAGTATTGATTCTACAAGAAAAAATAGAATATGTAATTTTAAAGTAGTACAAGAAAATGTAATCTATCCTTGGGAAAGCAGAAAATAGAGAAAGGGAACTAAAGGAAGCTATGAAAAATGAATAAAGACTAACTCTCTGGGCTGCTCAATGGTAGTGCATTGGGATCTGGCAGTGGCCTGGGGAAGAGACAGAATTAATAGACATTTTGTTTTGGAGGAGAAACCCTTGGTGACCTCATCACAATTATTCATCTTTTCCTTTCTGATCACCACAAAGCTGAGGAGCCTTCATAGTGCCCATTGTTCTGACTCAACCACTGTGTAATCAAAGTAATCTATTTGGAAATTAGGGTTTTTGTTTGCCCTGCCCTGGGCACCAGGGAAGGTCTTGAAAGTTTGCCCAGCTCTTAAATTTCAAATTAAGGAACTGACAGAGACAAATGGCAGGCCAGGTTAATAACAGTGCAAAAAATTGGCATAAATGTGCTGGACCCATAGTCTCTCTATGTAGTCTGTTTGCTATTCTATGGATCAAGGATAAATGAGTAATTTGAAATGCGCAACCACTATACTTGTCAACTAGTTGCAAAACTTGGGGCCCAAAACAACCATAAGAGACAAAATATCTCTGAGAACTGAAAACTTGTGTATTTGACTTTTCTATATATACAGAACCCCAAGCACTTGACTTTGATAGTAAATTCAAAATGGAAGGAGAATTAGCTTGCATGGGAAGAAATTAGCTTTCTGGGTTGAACATTCCAGTTCCAGAGGAATGTGTTGATCTTCTACTTTCTCAAGACAGAAAGGCAAGACACATTTTTGGTATTTCTGCTCTAAGACAAGCCTCCATAGTGATTTCTCAGATTCTTTCTGAATGGAAGGCACATTCCCTGGCTTGATGGAGCATTCACTGAACTGGGTAGCCTAGAAAGCTTCAGTTCTTGAAGACATGTTTACTTAGCAGTGAGCTTAGATGCTATCTGTGGGAGCAGATGTTTCAACACCCATTTTAGCAAACCCATCTGGAATGCTGGAGGAGCATTCCAGAGTGGAATATATTCTAGCATCCAACAGGGAGAAATGGGAAGTTCATATTCAAGACTCTTCATTCTCAGGCTAAGGAATCATGAATATCTTTACCAGCATGCACAATTAGCCTTCCCAAAGGGCACCAGAAAAAAAAAAAGACATAGAAAAAAAAGGATATAGAAAAGAAATTTTAGGATCTACTAATTTCCTTTAAGTGTACTTAATTTCACTTGGGTTCTGGTTGCATAAATTAGGTATTATTTAAATAAATTTTTGTAACTTTTTCAAGGCAATTGTTTTCAGAGAATATTGTTGACTGGCATATTTTGCCTTTCTAATTTTTTAGGACTCTCAGGAATTTTTAAGTTTTAGGATAAGCACTCTTCCACATAATTTTATTAACAAACTTATTAGAAAATACTCTATAACATACATATTCAAAATTCAGTTGTTTGTATAAATCTGCGCATGCCCACAGAGTTTCTCCTAAGCAATCGTATTCTGCAAAACCTATTTACCTTTCCCATAAATCAGAACTGGAGATGTATGTATCTTTGTAATTTAGACCTCACAGTTTATCTCTGTGAAACTACAGAACTTAATTTAGTCATCACTACAAAACTACTATTTCTGTTTACTATCAGAAGGATTCTCAGAGGCTTGAACTGGCTAGAGTTATTGCACTCTAAACCTGATGGATTAATGGGAACTGTGGGTTGGGTAACAGTCTGGTTTTTTTGTTCTGTTTTATTTATTTATTTAACAAATTTTATTTATTAACTTTTTTCTTTTAACTCCATTTTCATTATGACACCTCATCCTAATTAATTCTGCTAGGGTTTTCTAAAAGTAAGAATAAATATTCTCTTACATACACATAATAGCAAATAGCACAAACACCCTTAAGACATTAATAGTGATTTCCTAGTAATTGTCTTCTATCTAATCAATATTCAAGTTGCCCCAGTTGTCTCCAGAACACCTTTTGGTTAGAATTTAATTTCTTTTGATTTAGGACAGACCCCAGTCCCACAACGTTTTATTTGGTTTTGTTTTTATGACAATTGACTTTTTGATAGGACCAGGTAAGTTGTTTTGTAGAAAATCCCACAGGCTACATTCTGTGTGTTGGGGGGTGGGTAGTAGGGGAGCCCAGGGTGGGGGTGATGTTTTAACTTGTTGCTCTAAACCTATATTTCCTATAAACTGAAAGTTAGGACTAAATAACTTTTAGTTATTTTTCTGTCTCTTGTAATCTAGCAGTGTACCTGGAACACAGGTATGAATGAATGAATGAATGAAATATTTAATATGTACATCAAGGAGGCTGAACTAAAGAAACCTGAAGTAATTTTCGTAATCTAGCACCATAAGTTACACTGCTAGATTACAAGAGACAGAAAAATAACTAAAATATAGTTCCTGCCTTTGATGAGTTCAAAGTTGAGTTAGGATACAGACATGGAAAGAATGATCATTTCATCCAGGAAAACTTTCCTAACTTCCTCATTTGGCATTGAAAAGAGACATGCTGCTCCCTTCATGTTTCTCTAGAACTCTCTCTATATGCCCAATATTGTTTCTCTCATAGCATTGTGATTATTCATTCCTTGTCATTTTTCTCACTAGACTGAGAATTCCTTGAATTCTCTGAGTTTTTTTGCCTTTGGGTCTCCAGCATCCAGCAATAATCCCTGAAACATAATAGATGCCCAGTAAATAACTGACAGGTGTACACAGTGTTATTAGAGATTAGAGAGACATGTATTTATTAACTGTTATTAGAGAAATATTAGACTAGTGGTGTGGAAATATTGAGAAAGTGACTTTTGAATTAGAATTCTAAAGGATGGATAGGAAAAGACTGCAGAAAACGATATTATAAGGAAAGGGAACTGCAGGTAAAAAGGCCCATGGTTTCCAGAGAACAAAACAACACTTCAAAGGGCAAAATATAAGGGATAAATTATCAGGGTGAGAATGTGGGTTGGGATTAGATTTTGAAGGGACTTGAATGCAATGTTAAAAGTGTTTAGATTCTATCCCATAGGCAACAGAGGGAAATTAGAAGCTTTTTAAGATAAGGAATGACACAATTACTTTCAGTTTTTCAACATGATTGTTCTAGTATAGGACTGGAATGGAGAAAATTGATGTCAAGGAGGATAAACAAAAAAGAAAAAAAAAATTGAGAGCAATACAGTGACTTGACCAATATCACAGTGCTAACCCACCAGCATCCCATTAACATAATCTGGAGCAGGGCAAGAATAGTGAGTTTAAGGTTATAAGATGTGAGCATAAGTGTTATTCAGAGGTGAGTGAGTTAAGAGAAACTAGAGTTACTCAAAATGAACCCATGGATGAGGGAGGAAGTAAGCTGAGTCATAAGGAAAGATTCAAGAATTGTTAAAATAGGCTTAAAGGAAAAGAATACATTCTAAGCATGGACTGAAACAGTGAAAGGCCTAGACAAATTGCTGGGTGAATGTGCTGGCTGTGGGGTAGGGACTAGAAGGAAATAGGGTTGCAGAGATAATTAGGGGCTAGTTTGTTTATGGCTCTTGAATAAATAATGTTAATATATATATATAGCTCTAAACTGTTATCATCTCCAACTCTATTCCAGCTGTCATAAGTGATTTATTTATTAGTCATCTAGCTAGAGAGATGAAAGGTTAGTTGTTCAGCTAATTGGTTACTTTAGAGCCATGTACCTTATAAGGGACTTTTTCCTGGCCATGTGTTTTCCACTGGTCAGAGGTGGGTAGGTCCCATTTTCTGGGATGGAACTACCCTGGGCTTCTTCATTGCCACTTACCACACATGAAACTACAGTTGAAACCCACTGATAGGCTGACAGGGATAGTCAACAAATATGACATGCTAAGACGGGACTCTAAGAATCTGAAAGCATCCTGCAGACACATACATTTCAATGAGGTGCGAAGCTTTTCACCACATAAAGCCAATCTCCATCCAGAGGAAGAGATGTGAGATAAATTTTACACTCAGGATTCCTTCCCACAGATTCTCACAAATGCCGTTCAGGTACTGGCAGCAACCAAAAGTTCATTGCAGTTTTTTTTTTTTTTTTTTTTTTTTTAATATCACTTGTTCCAGGAATTGGGGAGGGTGAAGGCTGGGATGGAAGACTTTTCCTTGGGGCCCTAAATCTACACAGCTGCTTTCAAATGAGACTAAAAGCATTATACAGCATAACTTCTATTTATTTCCTTTTTTTGTTGAAAATTTTGTTTTAAAACTTTTCTCCTTTCTGTGTCTCTCTGAGCTATTATGCCAGGATGGGCCTTGGAAACACAAGTAGTTCAAGCAATTAGAACAAATGAAGGACCTTTTCAAACCATTCTACTTTCTTTTGTTCAATTCATTTAATGTATCCATTCATTCAGTAAACCATTCACCCATTCATTCCTTCATTTGTTGAACAAATTTTTAGGAGTGCCTACTACGTACCAGACACAGTTCTAGGCATTACAAATACATCAGTGAGGCCAAGCGCCGTAGCTCACGCCTGTAATCCCAGCACTTTGGGAGGCCGAGACGGGCGGATCACAAGGTCAGGAGACCGAGACCATTCTGGCTAACACGGTGAAACCCCGTCTCTACTAAAAATACAAAAAGTTAGCTGGGCGTGGAGGCGGTCGCCTGTAGTTCCAGCTACTAGGGAGACTGAGCGAGGAGAATGGCGTGAACCCGGGAGGCAGAGCTTGCAGTGAGCCGAGATCGCGCCACTGCACTCCAGCCTGGGCGACAGAGCGAGACTCTGTTTCAAGAAAAAAAAAAAAAAAAAAAAAAGCATCAGTGAATGAAACAGATGCATTCCTCTGTCCTTGTATAACTTAACTTCAAACAAAGAGAGACTTACCTTACGTAATAAACACATAGGAAGTAAAGCATAGAATATGTTAGAAGGTATAAGTACTATGGAGAAAGGGAATGCAGCCAAAAATGAGAGATTTAGAGTGCAGGAGGAGATAGGAAGGAGGATGTAAGAATTGCAATTCAAAGAATGGTGGTCAAGGAGGCATTGGGAAGATGACATTTATTAGCAAAGCTTTGAGGGAGGTGCCTTCTGCATAGCAAAGTGCTGCTTTACTCTTCTCAAGCAAGTTTTGTAGCCAGTGCTATTCTCAATTTTTCCAGGCCTCCAGAGAATGCTGTTTGCCATGGAGGTTCCTTTCATCAAAAAGATGGACAGTTGGTCCAAACCAAGTCCTTCACCTTGATGCAGAAGACTTGGATGATTTTTAAATCTTCTCTGCTATGAAGCTTCTACAAGGGAATTCTGAGAATAATATCATTCTCTCCAGTCTCTTACTTCTTTGCATGGTTTCCCCCTTTCCTATATTCTGTATCCATCTCTACATAGCAACAATTATCTAAAGAAAATAGGGGAGATCTTGGCTTTTGTTTGAATTTCCTAGAATATTGAGGAAAGAATGTATATAGCTAGCAGTGTTTGAATATGTACTCTGTCCAAGTACCATTTTGTGTGCTTACGTGTGTAGTAAAACTCATAAAAACCTTAAGAGGCAAGTATTTGTATTAGTCAGTTTTACAGATAAAGAAATTAAGGCTTAAATAAGTTAAATAACCTGTCTAAGGTCATAAAGCTCACATATTTAGAGCCAGGATTTGAACCCATTGTTTATTCTGAAGCCCACACAATGTTTGGGAGTCACTTCAAAGTTCACATCTGGCCACTGCTAAGCCAAGTTTTAACTCTGTCTTTTTGCAAGACTACAAGTGCCTGAATCAACATATCTTAAATCATGCCTTCCTATGATAGTTAATATAATATCTGATATTACTTTTCCACTCAGCCCCTTTTTCTCCTCTAAGTAAAGAAAATTTAACAATAGACAATAAATGGAGATCCAAACAAGCTTACAATGTGGTTTTTAATTAAACACACTTTAAAGACGGAAAGGAGGGAGGACAAATAGAGCAGCAAGGAAAAGAGTAGATTCATGCCTATGGGAGTCCCACAGGTCACCACCACGAAAAAAGCCACATACCCTTATTTTACTTATGTTATTTCCTACTTACTCAAAGTGCCCTTGCCAAGTATTTACCAAATGCCAGTCACCACAGTTATGGGAACATTTCTACACATCAGTAATGTTAATAGTGTTAATAGTTATAATCCAAATGTCACTGTTTTACTTCCATATACCCACAGAGGTCTTCAATTGTGATACATGAAAAAGCTGGTTAAGAAAGGGTTTGCTCTTTAATTTTCTTCAGTATTACAAATTAGAAAAAAAGAAAAGTTTTGAGAAGTAAAACCTTTAGAGAGCAGAGGAAAGCCACAATTTTTTTTCCTGTATAAATGTTTTTCTTTCTTTCTTTCCTTTTTATTTCTAACTTTTAAGTTCAGGGGTACATGTGTGGAATGAACAGGTTTGTTATATAGGTAAACGTGTGCCATCTTGGTTTGCTGCACAGATCATCTCATCATCCAGCTATCAAGCACAGCATCCATTAGCTAATCTTGATGCTCTCCCTCCAACCACCCCAACCCTCCAACAGGCCCCAATATGTGTTGTTTCCCCCCATGTGTCCATGTGTTTTCATCATTCAGCTTCCACTTATAAGTGAGAACATGCAGTATTTGGTTTTCTGTTTCTGAGTTAGTTTGCTGAGGATAATGGCTTCCAGCTCCATTCATGTCCCTGTGAAGTGCATGATCTGTTCCTTTTTATGGCTGCATAGTATTGCATGATATATAAGTACCACACTTTTTTTTAATCTAGTCTGTCATTGATGGGTATTTAGGTTGATTCCATGTTTTTGTTATCATGAATAGTGCTGCAATGAACATATGCATGCGTATATCTTTATCATAGAATGATTTATATTCCTTTCGGTATATACCCAGTAATGGGATTGCTGGGTCAAATGGTATTTCTGCCTCTAGGTCTTTGAGGAATACCCACATTGTCTTCCACAATGGTTGAACTAATTTACACTCCCATCAACCATGTAAAAGTGTTCTTTTTTTCTCCACGATCTCACCAGCATGTTGTTTTTTGACTTTTTACAACAGCCGTTCTAACTGGCTTGAGATGGTATCTCATCGTGGTTTTGATTTGCATTTCTCTAAAGATCAGTGATGTTGACCTTCTTTTCATATATTTGCTGGCCGCATGTATGTCTTCTCTTTAGAAGTGTCTGTTCATTTTCTTTGCCCACTTTTTAATGGGGTTGTTTGATTTTTTTCTTGTAAATTTGTTGAAGGGAGGAAAGCCAAAATTACAATTTATTTTGGTAAAAGGGAGAGTGATTTCCTTCTGGGTGCAAAACACCATAACTTTCCAGAGCCCCATGCATTTAATTGATATTGGTTATACCCTGCTTAATCTGTATATCTTCATAAATTTTTCAATTTTGTTTATTGTGATAAAATACACATAACATAAAATTTATCATCTTACTGGTTTTAGGTGTACAATCTTCATAATCATAATATTATAGTCATAATCATAGTCATGATATTTCATAATATGAGGTATGCATCTTTTGTGAAATCAATGCTTAGGAAGACTTAACTCTGAGAGAGTGTATCCTTTCCTATTAGCTTTAGTGGGTGAGTAGTTCCAAGAATTAGATATGATGCACCCAAGATGGATGCTGAAGGTCCTCCAAGCATCTTTTATTATCATTCCCACTTGGATAAGTAGGAGTCTCTTGAACTTTGGGTGCCTCATCTCTAATTCTTGGAACTACTAATCTACTAAAGGTAATAGGAAACAATACACTCTCTCAGAGCTAAGTCCTTCTCTTCAAGGAGAACTACAAACCACTGCTCAAGGAAATAAGAGAGAACACAAACAATGGAAAAGCATTCCATGCTCATGGATAGAAAGAATCAGTATCCTGAAAATGGCCACACTGCCGAAAGTAATTTATAGATTTAATGCTATTCCTGTCAAGTCTCCATTGACTTTCCTCACAGAACTAGAAAAAAATACTTTAAATTTCATATGGAATCAAAAAGAGCTCATATAGCCAAGACAATTTTAAACAAAAAGAACAAAGGGAAGCATCATGCTACCTGACTTCAAACTATACTGCAAGGCTACAGTAACCAAAACAGCATGGTCTTGGTACCAAAACAGATATATAGACCAATGTAACAGAACAGAGTCCTCAGAAATAACACCACACACCTACAACCATCTGATCTTCAGCAAACCTGACAAAAACAAGCAATGGGGAAAGGATTCCCTATTTAATAAATGGTACTGGGAAAACTGGCTAGCCATAGGCAGAAAACAGAAACTGGACTCCTTCCTTACACCTTATACAAAAATTAACTCAAGATGGATTAAAGACTTAAATGTAAAACCTAAAACTATAAAAACCCTAGAAGAAAACCTAGGCAATACCATTCAGGACATAGGCATGGGCAAAGACCTCATGACTAAAACACCAGAAGAAATTGCAACAAAAGCCAAAATTGACAAATGGGTTCTAATTAAACTAAAGAGCTTCTGTACAACAAAATAAACTATCATCAGAGTGAACAGGCAACCTGCAGAATAGGAGAAAATTTTTACAATCTACCCATCTGACAAAGGTCTAATATCCAAACCTTACAAGAAACTTAAAGAACTGAAACAAATTTGCAAGAAAACAAAACCCCATCAAAAAGTGGGCAAAGGATATGAACGGACACTTCTCAAAAAGAAGACATTATGTGGCCAAGAAACATATGAAGAAAAGCTCATGATCACTGGTCATTAGAGAAATGCAAATCAAAACCACAATGAGAGACCATCTCACACCAGTTAGAATGGAGATCATTAAAAAGTCAGGAAACAACAGATGCTGACGAGGATGCAGAGAAACAGGAACACTTTTACACTGTTGGTGGGAGCGTAAATTAGTTCAACCATTGTGGAAGACAGTGTGGCAATTCCTCAAGGATCTAGAACCAGAAATATCATTTGACTGGGTATATATGCAAGGATTATAAATCATTCTACTGTAAAGATGCATGCACACGTATGTTTATTGCAGCACTATTTACAACAGCAAAGTCATGGAACCAACCCAAATGGCCATCAATGATAGACTGGATAAAGAAAATGTGGCACATATATACCATGGAATACTATGCAGCCTTAAAAAGAAATGTGTCCGTGAACTTTGCAGGGACATGGATGAAGCTGGAAACCATTATCCTCAGAAAACTAATACAGGAACAGAAAACCAAACACCACATGTTCTCACTTATAAGTCAGAGCTGAACAATGAGAACACAGGGACACGGGGAGGGAAATATCACACACTGGGGCCTGTCGGAGGGTGAGAGGCAAGGGGAGGGAGAGCATTAGGACAAATACCTAATGCAGGTGGACCTTAAAACCTAGATGACAGGTTGATAGGTGTAGCAAACCATCATGGCACATGTATACCTATGTAACAAACCTGTGTGTTCAGCACATGTATCCCAGAACTTAAAGTATAATTTAAAAAAAAATGAAAAAGAAAAAAAGATACTTGGAATAGGTTTTTACTGGCTGTATTTCAGAGACTGCTTGGATTCACAGACATCTAGAAAGAAATTATAAAATTCTCTTTGATTTGTTTTTACCGCAACAATTTCTCCAATCTGTCAGGTGATTACATAAACTGAAAGGCAAAAGTTAGCTATGTTTGTATGTACAAGCTGTCTGGTGACTTGGCAAGGGAAACCTGCCAACACCGTTACAGTAAAAGGAGAGTCAGGCAGAAGTAAATCAGTAAACTTGAAGAAAGAAAGGTCTGTGGGCATTTCATGTGTGAATATTTTAATTGAATTTTTAAAAACTGAATCTATTTTTCTATAAAGAAGCATTTGTTTAGGTGTATTTTCTCAGCAAGGAAATGTTCCTCCCCATTCCTTGAAAAGTCATACCCCAAAGACCCCAAGGGAAGTGGCCCTAGGAGGGGTAGTTTGAATGAATGTTGTAGTAGGGAAAGCTGGAGAGAGTGAGAGTCAAGGCTGTGAAATGGGAATTTAGGTGGAGCTGCATGGAGGATGCGGAGTGAGGAAATGCTGCCGCGTTGAGGGAAGTAGCAGACAAGGCAAGGAAGTAGAGGAGGTTTACATGTGTACTGCTTGCCCCAGTGTTTCATTATCTTAGTGTTCCCTAGATCTGCCAGGTTATATCCCAGGGGAGGAACACAGAGACATCCTCACCCCAGAAAGACAGAAAACTAACTTCTAACCCAGTTCCCTAGCCTCATGAAAGCTTTTACCATTTTCTACTTCATTTAGAGAAGGCTGACCTAATTTCAATTTCATTTAAACTGATTTCCTCTAACCTGACATCTAGGCGCATACTCTGTTAGGTATTCTAAATGGTAAAGAATTTAAACAATTGTTTTTCCTCTGAAGGAGCCAAGGTAATTTTCCCAGGGAACACTTTATATTTTAGTTCTACAATATTCCTCAAATTCCATTCAGCTGATTGCTCATATCTGCGAGTATGCTCCTTGGTCCGCTTATTCTAGTGACCAGCAGATGATCTGTGGATCTGTGTGCTCCTACTCAGGTCTCCCCTGGCAGCAATCTCAGAGGTAGAAAAGATCTTGCAAGATATCTGGTTCTGGGTTCAGCTCTGTCACCAGACAAGTTAACATCTAGTCCAAACTAGACAGATGTGTGTGTGAAATGAGGGACAGAAACTAATGTCATCTGGACTGCTTCCCCAAATCCTCTGCCTACTACCTGACATCTGGCAGCACTTCCCTGTGCTGCTGTTTCCTTCTGCTCTCCATCCGACCATCAAGATGATTGTGCCCCCATCCAGGCTGGAAATAATGAGTGCCTAGAGAAGTCACCAAGCCCCATTCTCACAATCTCCCTTTCCTTCCTCTGAGTCTTACCACTCTTCTAATACCTCTGAAGGGCAAAGGGCCAAAATAAGTGGGTTCACTTCCTAGAGACTTCCACCCCTCTTTTATGAGTTGGTCTTTGACCTAGAAATGGCTGCAAACACTGTATGCTAGAAGCAGTGTGTGTTTACGATATCCTGAGTTTTACATTAGCTTTATGAAACTCAGTAGCAAGGATGAACTTGTTTAAAATAAAAATCTAGACCTTCACACCTCCTCTTTGTATATTTTCCCACTTTGTTTTCACATGGAAACATCTGGAAATAAATACTACTGCATTTATGGCCTACAGCAAAAAAGGCTTATCCATGGCCTAAAATGGATTTAACTAAGGTTCCTCACATATAAATTCAGGTCAATACCTCTGAATGCCACGTGAGGAAGGTGAAAACTCACTGTTTTATTTGTACGATTTTATTATGTAACCAGGCTAGTGCTTTAATGAAATGTTTTATTTGAATTGATTCGTCTTCAATAGAAATTAATTAGCTTGAAATTAATTTGACCAAAGGAATCTTCTATTCAGAAGCCAACTCCTCTTTAAATGGCTCTCTCATTCTAGATTTGTGAATCTGTAGCAAACCTTTGCTCAACATTTTAGCACAAACTAGGCATTTTATTAAAAGTGTTTGTTGGCTGGGCGTGGTGGCTCATACCTGTAATCCCAACACTTTGGGAGGCTGAGGCAGGTGGATCACTTGAGGTCAGGAGTTCGAGACCAGCCTGGCTAACATGGTGAAACCCTGTCTCTACTAAAAATACAAAAAAAAATTAGCTGGGCATGGTGGAGCACGTCTGCAATCCCAGCTACTTGGGAGGCTGAGGCAGGATAATTGCTTGAGCCTAAGAGGCAGAGGTTGCAGTGAGCTGAGATCTGAGATCTTGCCACTGTACTCCAGCCTGGGTGACACAGAGAGACTCCGTCTCAAAAAAAAAAAAAAGTGTTTGTTTACTGACATTATGCAGCATGTGGAGAGGAATGAATTTGCCCCCTCACCCCACCCCCTCCCCCAAATTTCCACGAAACTACTTGAGGTCAAGAACCAGTTTCCATAATGTTTTAGTTCCCACTCTGCTTCCTTCTCTTTTATCCAACTGGTTCTCAATAGCAGAACTGAAGAGAGGTTTATCCAGTAATAGTAACAAATTTAGCCTTTTTACTAATGAGCTGTTTTTTCCATAAGTGTAATTTGTTTTACTTTCCCATATCATAAAGTTGTGCTGATATTTATAGAAGTTCTTAATTTGGTGGAAGGGGGAACAGACTGAATCAATGTGTTACACTTACTAAGTTGATTATAATCCATTTTATTTGAATTGGTCATAAAATAGTGTCATTTACCCTCTTAAATATCTTAACAATGAATCTAGAAAACCTCAGATTCTGAGGAAATATTAACAAATAAAATACATGAGATTGATTTCAGCTCAGCTTGTCAAAACAAAGCCCAACTTGTCAAAAGAGCTATACTTCCATTCTTTACCACAAAAAGAATCTGAAACCCCTGGTTCTTTTTCCATGCTGAAAAAAACTACATGCAAACAAAACTATTGATATATGGAGCACCTGTATAGTAAATAATACAAGTGGTGGGCCACCACATTATTTATTTTGATGGTACATATTCAGTCAACTTTAATGTAATGCAAAGTGTTCATGCATCTGCTGTCACGCCTACTTAGCCAACTCTGGATTAAGGCTCTAGGTTACCTTTATTCCTGCACCAGGGGAGATAAGCACCCAATCCTGGAAATTGGAGCCACTAGGGTTAATAGTACTAGTGGGAGATTTAATACCAAACACTGACTATTTGTTCTTGATTTGATTTTTTTTTTCTTTTTGAGACAAGATCTCACTCTCTCACCCAGACTGAAGTGCAGTGGTGCAATCATATTTCACTGCAACCTTGATCTCCTTGGCTGCAGCAATCCTCCTGCCTCAGCCTCCCAGGTAGCTAGGACTACAGGTGTGAGCCACCATGCCTGGTCTAATCTGATATTCTCAAACACTATCTCAAAGCTCCATCTCTGTTCAGCCCATTGTAGAAGATGCTTTTGCTACTTATTTCTCTGAGAAATTTAAGGTTAATTAGGCATGAAATATCTGAACTTCCTGTCTCTCTACCCACATAATTACCTACATTTATATTCTCCCTTTCTTTTCTTTATTTGTGGAGCAAAATGAATTGTCCTTTCTCTGGTTCAAGGCAAACACACTGCTCTGCACTTTGGATGTCAGCTCCTCCTGTCCCCAGCAGGACTCAGCTCCAGCAATCATCATCCCTCTGTTTTCTCTGTTTTCAATCTGCCCTTTCCATTGATCATCTTATAACCATGCTCATAAGCAACTTCTCCCCTCTATTTGCCTCATGATTTATTTTCTTCTAAGACACTTCTTTTACCTTCCATTAAAATCTCAACTTGCTGTAATCTGGCTTCTACCCCAAAAAATCCCCTGAAGCAGTTCTTGTTAAGTGCATCGGTCTTAGCAGAACTTTGATACGTTTGACAGTTCATTGCTATTCCCTTAAAATGCTCTGCCCCTGCATTTTTATAGTAAAAGATTCTGTCTAAAAGTTGGTGTCTCCTGAGGACCTATCCTCGTGATATTTTTCTCATTCTACATTGCTCCCTGGATGATCTGATCTACTTCCATTGTTTTAACTGCTTCCTAGAGGCTGGTGTAGCTGATGTAGTTGTTTTGTTTTCCTTCTTAAAGTGTAGTCACTTTTTGTGCTAGCAGTGTTAAAAGGTCACCTTGTGTCCCTTCTTGGTTATGCAGATATGTAGCAGGCAGTTTCCTGCCCTAAGGAAAGGTGTCATGCAAGTTTTCACTAATTTATTGGAATTATCCCAGCCTCCTGAGATACAGAGCTCCATACAGAGCTCTGGGCAGAACATAAAACAACTTGCCTAAGGACCCCTGAGGATCCTTCCATGTAGGTAAGTGTAAATAACCCCAATCCCAGAATGGATGCTCACATAGGCCTCGTGGGGAAGCAAAGTGATAAGTTTCCTAAAGAACCGCCATGAATAGAAACAGAGATTTAGTGGGCTAGCCCTGGGGCTGCCTCAGGAGAGGCAAAGGGGAAAGATGTTTCTCTGTCCTTGAAGTAGCCAATGTGGGGACCCCTGGAGGGTGACCCAAACCATTATCTTTCTCTTACTTCTTAAATCCTGTCAGACACCAAATCTTTCTGATTCTAACTTTCAAATATCTCTTGTCTCTTTCTCCCCTTCCAATTTCATTGTCATTGATTTGAGTCTGTCCCTCATCATCTCTCACCCCGACAGTTGCAATCAATTCTTTACTGGTTTCCTACCTAAATGTCTTACCACTAAAAATGCAAACTTGATATATCACCTGTCTGCCTAAGACCACTTGGTGGTTTCCCACTATTCCCAGACTAAAGCCCAAACTCCTTCACATGTGCCAAATGCACTCCATTTTCCAGAGTCTGCCTATCTCTTCTACCTCAATGTTTTCATTTCCTGCCTGCAGGAAAACCAAATTATGTATAGTTGTTCTTAATCCCATGGTGTTTTTTGCTTTCTGTCTTATTCCATTGGCCTGCTATAAGAAAATACCATAGAGTGGGTAGCTTATAAACAACAGAAGTTTATTTCTCACAGTTCTGCAGGCTCAGAAATCCAAACTCACGGCACCAACAAATTCAGTGTCTGGTGAGGGCCCGTTTCCTGGTTCACAGTTGGCACCTTCTAGCTGTATCCTCACATAGTGAAAGAGGCAAGGAAGCTCTCTGGGGCATCTTTTATAAGGCACTAATCCCATTTATGAGGATACAACCTTCATGACCTAATCACCTCTCAACATCCAACACCTAATACCATCATCCTGGGCATTAGGAATTCAGCATATGACTTTTGAAGGAACAAACATTCAGACCATGGCATTTTCATCTCTTTGTCCACACTGTTCATGAATCTAGAATACTCTTCACCTTTTATCTTGCTCTTAATCATTTTTCAAGACCCCGCTTGGGCATCATCAATTCGCTGTCTCCTAACCCATTTTCTGTATAACTGTTGTGCTTTTTCCTCTTAGTTATCCTTGTTGCCAACCTCCCTCCCCACCCCATCAGACTATTCAGCTATTCAAGAATTCTCAATGTCATTGCTTAGAAGCCCATCCTGACAGTTATCCAGCCAGTTAGTGCAAAACAAGTGGTAATAACACATTGTTGAGAAGATTGGGAAATGACACATACAAAAATATCTTCGCCATCTGGAGGATTACAGTAGGCCTCAGCTTTATTTTCCTCCTGACATTATTCATGTCGCTTTTATTTACCTCTCTCTGACAAGACATATACCACTGATAATAACTTATTTCCTGTAGATTCTCCAGATGATATTAAAAGGAATGTGACTAATTATGTACTTATGAGGTGTTTCACTCTCTTCCTACTTTGTGTAATTCCCACTCCTTGAAGTAATTAGCAAATGTTTCATAGGACCACGCAGTACAGTCATTAAGGGTGCAAGTTTTGAAATTAGACCAACAGACTTGACTTTAAATACTCACTCTACCACATGTTGTGTAACTTTGGAATTTTAATCTCTCTAAGACTTAATTCGCCATCTCTAAAATGGAAATAATATTAATGTCTACCACATAAAGGTTAGCTTTATGATGTTCTTTGGGGAATGATGAAAATTAGGACCGGCAGGGAGACCTGCAGGAGAAGAGAAAATTCGGAAGAGAGAACTCATGTCCGCATGTTAGCTTGGAGTTAACATAATGATTCCTTCACTGAAGTGAAGCAGGAACACCTTTGGGTAACAGCTGCATGGACAGAGACTCTTCCACTCCGTCAGGTGGGAGGCAGTGGAAATGATTCATGCTACCTGCAGGAGAGTGAAGCTGGTGGAATGAGAAACTGTGTAGGAAGCTCTCTAAGTTGTAGCGTAACTTTCTGTTCCTCCACCTTGGTTCAGGAGCAACCCTAAGGTTGTGACAACAGTGGGTTATCTGTGGGAACTTTGGAAAGGGCTTGAGAATTCTTACAAGGCTGGCCCACTTGACAATCAAGCCTATGTCTATGGACAGTGCTTATCCTTTCAGTGTGGATAGACCAATGGCAGATGCTGGTCAGCTGATCAGGACCAAAGGGTGAGCCGGACACAGAGTGGGCCCTACACACAAGTGCAAAACCAAAGGAATGTGTTTCTGTGGAACTCCCTGCCTCCCAAGCCTATGTCCTCCTAAGGGCCTTGAGCTCTTCATTTCTAAGACTCTCCTCTACAAATGAGGCAGGCTCTAGACAGCTCTAAGGAGAATGGGGAGTATGTCTGTTAATGACTCAGCAGCTGAGGGACTAAGTTCGAATCTTAGTATTTGATCAAATCTAACATAGAAAAGTGCACCTTTTCTATCATGGGCTTTCCAAAAGCAAATGTTTCAATCCCAACCATGAGGAGCTGCAATTCTCTTAGCCAAACGAATTTTCATTATAGAAATAGTGCTGTAGGCTTCCTCAGAGATGTCCCCATTTTTGGGTAGCATCTCTGTGTCAATTTGCCAGCTCACAATGTTCTCTTCTGCACAGTGCTACCCAGACTACCATGAGTTCAACATCTGTTCCTGAGGATGAGGGTCAGAAGGGGAGTTTAGGATGTTCCTTTAGTAAATGGGAGACTTATGCCCCTATAGTCCCAATTATTAATATGATGAATCTTACATTTTATCTGCTTTAGGTCAACTTTATAATTTCCACTAAATTGGAAGACTGTCATCTAAAATGGTCTCTTCTTACTTATTCACTGGTTAGTCAAACACGTGATGTAACTAACTGCTCCTCCAATTCCTTGAAAGTAAGAAAGGGGACATGAAGTCATCTCAAGGCATTTCTTAAGAAAATAGGGCAGGTCCTGGGGTTGGCTTCTGTCTTTTGCAACACTGGACCGTTAGGAGTACATGTATGTACAATACCCATGTATCCCCTGCTGGGGTTCACCAGGGTAGATTCAAATATTTTTGTTAAATAAATAAAATACAGATAAGGGTGAAATCTTCCGTGCACCTCTCTCCAGTTGTAGTCACGATCATGAGATAGGGTTTTATCATTTCTGTGAAATTTTTTCTACATAGCAACAATAATAACATTCATAGTAATAATAACTAACACATGTAGTGCTTATGGTGTGCCCAGCACTATTCTAAGCACTTTCTATGTATTCACTTGTATAATTGTACTACCCTACAAGGTAAGTTTTATTGTCATTCCCATTTTATTAATGAGGAAACCAAAGCTCAGAGTTGCCCAAGGTCACATGATAAGTAGGAGAGTCAAAATCTGTAAAAATATATAGAGTGATTTTAAAGTAACATTAATGGTATCATAATTTGCTTTGTAAGTTACTGTTTGTGATATTTGTCCAAGTTAATAAATACAGCTCTCATTCATTCATTTAGATTGTCACACAAAATTACATCATATGGCTTTTCCACATTATACTTATCTATTCTTCTGTTCATGGACCTCTAGATAGTTTGTAATGTTTAATATGATAAACAATGTTGTCAAGTAACATTCTTGTATATATGTTCTTTTTGCAGGTATGCAACAATTTCTCTAGTGTAATATACCTAGAATTGAAATTGATTAGTCATAGAACATTTTGACAAATTGTGTCAATTTATACTTCTACCAGTAATATATGGAAGTTATTCTTTGCTTCAAACTTTTACAAATACCTAATATTGTTAGGCTTTTAGATTCTGCACCCACCCACACAAAATCTGATAGAAGTAAGATAATATCTTGTTGTGGTTTAGATTTGTGTTTTCCTGATTTCTGGTAAAATTGAGCATCTTACCTTTACTAGCCATTGAGACATTCTCTGTGCTTTGATTTTGCCTCTTCCGTTTTTTGCCAATTTTTCCTTTGAGTAATTTTTCTTTTTTGTATTGGTTTCTGGGAGTCCTTTATATATTTTGAATAGTAATCTTTAGTCTCCACATGCTTATCTTTAGTTTATTTATACTGTGTGACATTATCCAGTGGATAATGTTTATTAAGTGGGGTGTTCATATATCATAAATCTTTTCACTGACACTTGCTTGGAATCCATGGGCTTAATCTCATTATGTTCTTTATTCCTGTTTAGGACTTACCAACACAAACACCAGATTCCTAGATCCATATCTCCTGTAGTTCAATTCTCAATAGTTTCCACATATCATCTAATTTACCTTTTTCTCCTGCCCTTTCCCAATTCTCAAAACCCTTCCATTGTGCCCTATGCAATGTATGGTCATGAAGAACAAAATTCCTTATATTCTTAAATTCTTTTCTGAATACTCCTTTCATCTTCTTGCTCTAAGAGGAAAGTAGTTCACCCTGAGGACACAGCTTGCCCTGCAGCCCACTCAAGTGGGGCTATTTTATTCCGTGAAGTTTTCTACCACCAGGTATGAAGGTGGAGTATCCTCATGTCGCCTCAGTGCTACTTTCAGATCATTATTTCTCCTCTTCTAAAATCCTTCCCTCTCTCTCACCACATCTCTGTATCTCTTGTGTGGTAATTCAAAAATATGTTCCCCAAAGCCTTTGATATTTCTTTCATTGAGAGGTGGGGGCTGTGTCCCTTCCCTTGAATCTGACTTCTGGGACTGAATTCAGTGATGTGATGCTGTAGCTGTTTCTAGATCTAGGCGTCATGAAACCATCTGCTTCTACATTTTATCTCTTGAGATTCTGACTTTTGAACCCAGCTAAATTATTTGTGTCAATTACGCAACATGTAGATCAGCCTAAGTGGAAAGAAACAAAGATGTCCAGCCTACAGCCCAGCTGAGCTCCCAGCCAACAGCCAGCATCAACTTGCCAGCCATGTGAGACATTAAAAGAAAAACCTGTTTTTCTTTTGCACACACATTTCACTTCTGACCTCAGATATGTGTGGGTTTTCCCCTACATATTAGGCAATTCTCTAATTCTCTGTGAATGCCTACTGACTGTCCTATAATTTAAGTCAGTTCTGACATTAACTACCCAGAATTAGTGCAGATCTCACAAGGTAAGGACTCAGCCCCATAAGACTGCCCCTACTTTACATATCAATTGCAAGTCCCATGTTGTCACCTGTACTTCTAACGAATTGGCTATAAATCAGGCATTCCTGCAACTCTCTCCTCAGGTTTGAAAATTTGCTATAATCATTCATTAAACTGTAGGACACTCTTACTTATGTTTATCAGTTTATTATAAAGAACAGCTAAGTGGAAAAGATGCATAAAGCAAAGTATGGGGTGGGGGTGTAGAGAGCTTTTGTGACCTTTCCAGGTGTGCCACCTTCCCAGTACCTTCATGTGTTCACCAACCTGGATCCCATCATTGAAAGTTTTATGAAGGTTCCATTATGTATACATGATTGATCAAATTATTGGTCATTGGTGACTGAACTCAGTCTGTATCCCTTTTTTCCCCTTTGGAGATCAAGGGATGGGCATGAAAGTTCCAACCCTCTAATCACAAGGTCATTTTCTCTAGCAAATGGCCCCCATCCTCCAAGCATCACATCATTAGCATAAACTCATTTAAGGTTAAAAAAGGGCTTATCTATGAGTACACAAAAGATGCTCCTTTCACTCTTATCACTTAAGGAATTCCAAGGGTTTTAGGAGCTTTGTGCCAGGAACCAGGGACAGAGTCCAAATGTATATTTCTTGCTATATCACAATATTACAGTCATCTTAGAAGTGGATCTTCTAGCCCCACATAAACAGCTTGAGCTGATATCACATGGAGCAGAGACATGGTTTCCCCACCAAGGTCTGTCCAAATTGCAGATTCACAGCTACATTAATGATTGTTATTTTAATCCACTAGGTTTTGATGTACTTTGCTATATAACTAAGGGTGCTTTCCTTCTGAAATTTTATGAGTCTATACTTAAAAAAATGGCTAGTATCCTAGACTTAAGATGAGAACCAATCTTTGTTAGTTGTTCATAGATTACGGCCTGATTATTCCAACAGTTTCCTCATTGTAATAAATGCCTTCTGCAGAGCTTCCCAGATTGAACAAATAACTCAGTATTGGATAAGACAACATTTCTTTCCTCTTAATTTGGATTCAGTCTGGAGTGCTATATGCACTTTTCGGAATTTAGTTAAATAAACACAACCTATCTTGGCTTCATCATGTTTTTATTAAGTATGCTGACTCTTCTCTGAACTAAGTTACATTCATGCTTTATACTTTGTCTAATGCTTAGAAATATCTAGACAAAATTCTTTGTCAGTAGCTCCTAAGGCATAGAGAAGACACTAATACTCACTTCAACTGGAGAGAAATGCTTGAGTGGAGAGGCAATGGGCATGTGTTTTTTTTTGTTTTTTGTTTTTGAGATGGAGTACCGCTCTGTCACCCAGGCTGGAGTGCAGTGGTGCGATCTCGGCTCACTGCAAGCTCCGCCTCCCAGGTTCATGCCATTCTCCTGCCTCAGCCTCCCGAGTAGCTGGGACTACAGGCACCTGCCACCACGCCCGGCTACTTTTTTGTATTTTTAGTAGAGACAGCGTTTCACCGTGTTAGCCAGGATAGTCTTGATCTCCTGACCTCGTGATCCACCCGCCTCAGCCTCCCAAAGTGCTGGGATTACAGGCATGAGCCACCGCGCCCGGCCATGGGCATGTTTAAAACAAAAGAATGGTTATTCTTCTTCTCTTTTACTACCTCTTTTCCGGAAACAAATTCTGACAGTCCTTTTGCTCTACCCCCATTTCTGGATAACAAGAGGAAGAAGAGTAATCAAAAGAAGGTGAGAAGCAGCAGAGGTGAGGGGTGGAATGGGAGGGCATCCCAGAGAGCATATCTACATTTTTATAGCACTGGGAACTTTTTTTTTCAAAAGGGATACTTCCTGTGAAGTAGATAGTATGAAAGTATACTTCCTATGAAGAATCCCTATTTATGGGCCTTCAAGAATTAGTGATTTACAGGACATCATGCACTTTGTGGCAGCAAACAACCTGGAATCTAAATAATCTTAGGGATTAATTTTATTCTAATATCCCTGCAAAGGATGTTGGAGGTCAACTACCACCAGGGCCCTGAAAGAAATCACCAAGGATGTAGAGGCTGATGTTCCTAAGTCAACACCCACACCTGCCCCCCTGGAAGTGGCTCATCTCCTCCTCCAAAGTTTTCTGTTTCTTCTTTCCTCCAGACCAAACTTCAATCTCCTGCTCTAATTCTCCCCAGGTTTAGGAATGGGGTTGAAAGAGGAGCTCATGGGCTCACCTGAGTCTTTCATGGAGGTGGGAACGGGCAAGCAGAGAGTGATAGTCAGGAATTATATTGTTGTCTTCTTTATGTTCTTTTTGTTTGTTTGTTTAGTTATTTAGTGGAAGAGTGAGGATGATCATTTTAGGGTACAGAACTCCCCTTTGCTCTTACACTCCCCACATGACGCCAGAGAACAAAACGAAGCTAACTGGCATATAGCCATGCCCTAGTCTGCACTTCCTTTCATTTTATTCACATCAAAAAAAAAAAAAGAGTGAATTTATATGTCCTTGGGAAAACAAAGAACATTTTTTTTTCTCACAGTGTCAGAGCTGGAAGGCAACTTGGAGATGTGGAGGCCGGCAGTCTCAGTCTCAGGCTCTATTATATAGCACCCTGGGGCTCTGTGGAGGGAAAGCCGAGGGAATGCCAACCAGGAAACTTCTCTGCCCACTTCAACCAGCATGGCATTGCTTCTGCCTCTTTTATATACCATAGCTTTATGTAAGATTTTATTAATGAAAGGCTACCATTAAAAAAAAAGTATAAAGAGCCACCCTTCTGCTCCAATCACCTTATATTGCAGAGGACAAAACAAAGATCCAGTAAAATGAATGGATTTCCCAGGAACTTGAGTGTGCAGCAGAAGCAGAATCTAAGCCTTTTAACCCCCTTTCCAGTGTCCTTTGTTTCTCACCAAGTTTCCCAGTCCTTTACCCACTCAGACTTCTGCAGCTGGGATATGGGAATGGATTGACTTTGAATTTCACCCTCTTGAGTTAGCTGTCTTCAAGGCCTTACCATTGTCACTGCTCCTGCTCTGCACTCAGCTCATCATGAGCTGGAAGCGTGTGTCTCCATACTGATAATGCTCTGTGCATCCCCTCATGAGCCACACTAAGCCACAGTCATTGGCATGGACTCAGCTTGCAGGGCTGCAGGAGGTTGACTCACTCACTGTGCTGAGAACATCCTCCTGCCAGCTCATCAGTGCCCCCAACTCCAGACCATATACCTCTTAAGACATGAACAAGTTTATTACCTTCCAAATGTGAATGGGTAGAATATTCTGCTAAGGCCATGCTTGTGCTTTCATTTCAGAGTGGGATTTCGTTGCCTTCCTGGCCCTAAATTGCTCTGAAATGATAAATGTTCTTGTCTGTATTAATAATCCTGGCACTTTTTATTTGGTCTTCTAGTTTTTGTTTTGTGGTTCTGCCTTTGCAACAGAATGGAAGATTTCTTGAAAGCTGGGATTAGTTTCTGAGAACCATATTTTTCAAACCTCAAAGTGGGACTTATAAATAAGAATATGCATAGAAAGCTTGGACAGAATATTAGAATCAAAGACTGTCCTGAGAGAGACAGCATTTGTAGCAATTGGTAAATACACATAGCAGAATGCTATGTTTTTAATAGGATCCTGGGGAAAAACATTAGACTCAGGCTTTGGAGACCTCATGAAAGCATATAAATGACCTAGAGACATCCTATGATGGTCAAGAATAAAAATGAAATAAATGATGCACTCATTGATGATAAGCAGAATGAAAGATAGCTATGCATTTGGAGATAATGGAATGACGGTATCCTTTTCAATGCAACCCAGAAAACATTGTTGAGCATTGTCTATAAGTAAGGTTAGGGCTAGGCACCCTGTGGGATGCTGGTTCAAAAAGAACATCCAGAATTCCTTGCTAATGCTGCAACATAGTACGGGACAGAAGTGGAGTAGGACCAGATGGAAAGTCAGAGTGAATAAGTTGTTTGTGGTCTGGTAAAGGGCTTTGAAATGAAGTTGAGTTTTTGGATGACCACTTTAAATCACTCCAGGACTTTGTCAAAGTTCTGGGATTAAGAAAACTGCATTAGCTGCAGTGTTAAGGGTGATTTGGAGAAAGTTATTGCTAGAGGTGAGCAGGAATGAAAAGACTTAGGTTTTAACTTGGGCCTTGTGTTAGCCAAATGGCCCCAAACTGCTGGTGAGAAAATTTGTCTAAGTTTTTGTCATTTAACAGCAATAAAAATATTGATCTCAGTTGTTAATGGAAAAGACCATAATGTAAAAAGCTATGATGACTTGAAACTGTTCCATTACTTTTCATTTCATTTAGTTATGCTTTATGAGACATGTCAAAAAAGGAAGCAACATTGCTTTCTAGAGAAATATTTATTTCCTGAACTGATGTCACCAAATGAAGTCATATGGGAGGGCTTTTCCTCCAAAAGGAGGACTAATGGTGACATAATGTGGTCCAAAGCATGAGCAGGCAATTTCTTGAGAGTGAAGAGATGACAGACAGCCTAGAGAGAGAGAGAGAGCCTAGAGAGAGAGAGAGAGAGAGAGAGCCCAGAAAGAAAAGGCAAGGCAGAACTGCTTAGCCCCACAATGTTCTGAATTAATCTGATAATTTTCTTGTTCATAGAAACACTCCAGATTCTCAGAAATGTAAGTTTCCATCAAAAGGTGTTTAACATCCTTGGTCTTTGTGAAGTATGTGGTCTTTTCAGTTTTTCAAATCAAGGCAAATAGGCAACCCAGGAAGGATTACTGTTGACCTCGGTGACTGCAGTGTCTAACTTACTCTCACCTGCTTCCTGTCCTTTGCAGAATAAAGTGTTAAGCCAATGAATCAAACAAGTAAGCAATCAATGTGCAATAGAAGGGATTAATCCTCTCATTTAGAGCTACTTTTTCAATGCATACTCCTGCTCCTGTTAGCTTATCGGTCTTAGCCTCACAAGTGGCCAGAGAGTTGATTGCAAGAACTGCTTAATGAGCCATGAATTAAGGGACATGATAAACTCAGTTCTTGATATCTGAAGTTCATAAATACATTTTTTAAAATAGAAAAGATATTAGATAGTTACAAGAATAAAATCCCTTTAGAATAGCTGTGATTTCCTGGGGAATAGAATGTAGGGACCTAGTGGGGCTAGAGATGGAATAACTGGTGATTTGGCCTTTCTGATATCTTTAAGGCAGGGAAGTCAAAGTTTGGCATAATTTCTACAAGACCCCTAAAACTCTCCCAGTTTCTATTAGATCCCTTACCACATTGTATTGCAGATGTCTACATACAAAGCTTCCACTATCAATTCTGCAGGGTGCAGCTTTCTACTCTCCTAAATCTCGGAAGCAATAACAGCCTTTTATTTTTATTTGTATTCTTACTTTCTTCAAAGCAGATGCCTATAAGATGTTGAGTAGGTGGGTGGGTAGGTAGGTAGATAGATGGAGAGAAATCATCACACTCACTATGGTTAATCAACTCAAGCCTGGAAATGGAAGGAAATTAACACTGCCTCATGGAAATTAACACATTAATTTAAAACTGTTAATTTCCATGAGGCATTTCAGGTAAACTAAGGAATGTATGTTGGTAATTAAATGAGCAATCTACTGAAAAAGCACTCACCAGTTTTCAGAGAAATTTATTTTCAAGAAAGGCAAGTCACAAGTGAAGATATTTGCACCCTTTCTCTTTTAATTATAGCAATACAATAGAATGACGTTCCAGAAAAGGCCAATGAGGATTAACATCCTGATATTTTGCAAGTCTTCCCTTTGACAAGTCAATTATTCCAATCCTTGGGAGTGATTTTTAAATACTGTCTTCTAGAACAGGGGTTTTTAACTTTCTTTTTCTTACGTTACACACATCTCTGTCTCTCTACTCCTCTCCCTCTGTTTTTCCTTCTCCTCCTTGCCACCTCACACCGCTTTCCTGTCTCCTCACATCTGCACTCCCTTTAAGCAATTATTCTGTCTGTGTTTATTGCCTTGGGGGAGGAATGTGAAATGGTAAAAAGTTGGAATACCCTGAGAGCTATTTCTTTGCTTTAGTTCTAAAATCCTCAGTTCTGTGGGGGAAAAGAGGCAGTTCTGTGTTCATCCAAAATATATGAAGAACAAACTTGAAGGATAACATTCCCTCGATGCTAGAAAAAGCTTCTCCAGGATGGGGAAGATGTAGAGAAAGAACAGATATGATGAAAGCAGACAGGTGGGTGGACTCCAGAGACAAAGGCCTGATATCCTGCTGCCTCAAGAGTCCTAGAGAGGTGGCAAGACCTCTGAGAGATTTAACATAGTAGAAAGCTGCACCCTGCAGAAGGAGCAGCAGAACCAGAGACAAGAACTGTGGTCCAAGACAGGAGAAGGCTGTGGATCAGCTAAAAGATTACCATATCCCAGGATGATCTGGCAGCAGAAAAATGGTCCCCATTACACATATGAGGCCCAGAATCTGTGAAGAGATCCACCACCCTTTTCCACAGGCAGTTCAGGAATGACATGAATAGGCTAATGACTGAGGACCAGGCTGAACCAGGGAGTCTCAGTAAAATCCTGTGGGAACAAATGATGTGAGAACCAGAAGTGTTCCTGCAACACAATGCCTGGTTCCCTATAAGCTCTTCAGAACTGATCCACAGCCCTGCAGAAAAGAGGAAGAAATCTTAAATTGAGCTTAGTTTCCCTTTCTAGGATAGAATCATAGACTCAAAATACTAATTAAGTAGAGATATAAAAATTGTAAACAATTTGTATATGCTGCACATCTAAGTGTAGATTGAGATACATTCTTGTTATTTATTGATATCTGTCTTCCACCTATTCATCTATCCATCCTTCACCATTTTTTAGGAAGAACCTAAGCCCGCTTATGAGTATATATGATCAATCAAAGAACCTTGGTGCTACTATAATAGACACATAAATTGGACAAGGCATTGCAGTTCAGGTGCCAAGAGGGACCAGACAGCCAACATAAATAAATGAAGCCTGTCCAAGAAAGCGCGATCCTTTGTTTAAACTGTATCTATTTTTACTGACTATAGTGTGTGTTCTATGGTATTAAACATCCTATTTAAAATTTGTGCATGTGTGTGTGTGTGTGAAATGTTAAATTATTGCATTTTTATTTTTGTAATTGAGTTCTTAGATTAGGAACAAGAATCCTGGCAATGTTAGATCTTGTATTGCACTTTGTGGCATGCCATATATAGAATTCAGCCTTATATTTTTAAACCAGGAAGGATGTTTTGTTTTATTCATTATAGTAACAGCCAGTCACAAATATAGGTTTTTCCAAACAGACTTTTCACAATTTTTTTATATTGAAGGAACTGTTCGTCTGCTCTGGACTAATACCAATAATAGTAATTGTAAATAACAACTTAGACAATTTTTGGTCATTTTCAAAAAGTCTGAAATCAGAAAACCATTTCTGAAATGTAGTCTTCCAATCCCTAAATTGGGGATGTTAGTTTAGGCCACCACTTTCATGGTGGGGAGAGTCAATTTTAGTATATGAAAGTGGCTCATATTCTTTCTTGACAAATGAGCTTCCCAAAATCATAATTTTGTCAGGAGGAAGCAAATTAAATAATATATTTGTGTACCTTTTTACCTATTAATGAATGCCTCTGTAGAAAAAAAAATTAAAATATTTAGTTTGATCCAACTTCTCCCATAAGTTATTTCTATAATTTCCCTTTGAATAACATGAACATATCAGCTTTTTTTCCCAACAAATCAAAAAGCTTTTGGCACCATATAATAATGAACATATGAACATATGTTCTATAGCAGATTAGGTATCAACCATATCGTTCATTAAGAAAGTATTGCACTATCTGTGGTTCAGACACAGAAGCATGGAGTTAATTACAATATTCATGATGAGGGAAAAATCTAACTTTCTAGCAAAAAGTGGTTTCTACAAAAGATGTAGCGAGCAGATTTAAGTTCCAAGTCCTTTTAAAACAATGCCACACTGGATTTAAGTTTCACTATGAAGACATGTTAACATCAAGTTCCAACAGTATTCACAAGAGTACCATTTGAAGTCATACTTAGTACTTTTGATTAGTCTAAATTAAATTTTTCAAGACTATTCTCAATACATAATTTCCTGAAGTTGTGTCTCTCCTAGGCCTCTTATGTCTCTTCCAAATGTTATTTAGTAATGGTAAAATATTCATTAACACTGTATTAGTCCATTCTCATGCTGCTATGAAGAAATGCCCAAGACTGGGTAATTTATAAAGAAAAGAGGTTTAATTGACTCACACTTCTGCATGGCTGAGGAAGCCTCAGGAAACTTACAATCATGGTAGACAGCACCTCTTCACAGGGCAGCAGGAGAGAGAGTGAGTGCCTAGTGAAGTGGGGAAAAGCCACTTACGAAATCATATCTCATAAGAACTTACTGTCATGAGAACAGCATGGGGGAACTGCCCCCATGATGTAATCACCTCCCACAAGGTTCCTCCTCAAACACGTGGGGATTACAATTTGGATTACAATTCAAGATGAGATTTGGGTGGGGACACAGAGCCAGACCATATCAAAGACCATAAAAATAGGATGGCATTATTTAAATCTGCTCCCACCCACTGCAATATAAGACACCACAAATGATTTCACTTTTTTACAAAATTCATTCTATAGGCTTTCACCTATGTCTTCAAAATAATGAGCAACATTATACCTGATTAGACTTCCATTCATAAATGGCCATTCCTGATTAGTACCCATCATCTCTGCTGCAACACTGACACACTGTTATGGTCTGAAAGTTTGTATCCCCCTGAATTCTTATGCTGACATTCTAGCCCTCAATATGATGCTTTTAGGAGGTGAAATCTTTGGGAGGTAATAAGGGTTAGATGAGGTCATGAATGTGGGGCCTTCATGATAAAACTAATGACCTTATAAAGAGAAGGAGACACAAGACCTCTCTCTGCTCTCTCTTGAGGGCACCTTGAGAAGATGGCAGTCTGTAACCTGGAAGAGGCCCCTCCCCAGAACCTGACCATGCTGGCACTCCACTCTCATCTCAGACTTCTAGCCTCCAGAATTGTAAGAAATAAATTTCTGGTTTTTTAAGCCACCTGGTCCATCGGTATTTTGTTATATATAGCAGCCTGAACTGAATAATACAAACACTTTTACAACATTGTCATCTGTAAACACTTTTGATTCTAGGAAAATTTTTCTTAATATATGCAAGCATTTTACAATAGCCTGTCATTTAGTCGTAAATTAGCCTTGTTTACACATTATGCCTTTTGTAGTTGACCAAGTTTTTATCCTACATAATCCCCATATTCATATTGCTGTCTTTAGGTTGCATTCTGTTGTCTCAAGCACACATTTTTTGCACATTAATTATATAAACATTTTTTACTTTTTAAAAATAGTGTGAAGTTTTCTTTTGTTTGGTCTTTAACCTAAACAAGGCTTATATTACCAAAAAACAATTAATACAAGGATTTATAGGGAAGTTGAATTTGGGAGGGGCCAATATTCTCATCTCATCTCCTCTCATCTCACCTCATCTCATCTCAATGGCATTTTAGGCTAGTGAGCAACTCTGCAAGAAGGTTAAGACTTCAGTCTTCTTACGGTTTACTGTCTACTTCTATTTATTTCAGGGTGTGCATACAACAAATGAATCATGCTATTGATGCTGCTGTATCTTTTTCTCCAAAGATGCTCTCTTGCTACTAACAGAACACTAAGCTTTATACCGGAAGTGATGTTTGAAGCATGTCAGTTAATGAATTAAAACACCAAAACAGGCCAAGTATTGTCAGCTAGTTTGGGGTTTTAAGATAAACCAGATGTGAAGGTGCTAATATTAACTTGCCAGTCTTTTAATAGCAACTAATTCAAACAAATTGCTTTTCACACATTGTGGGCAACTAAATCTGTGCCACCAGCTTGCAGCTTGCAAGTGACTAGAGATCTTTGCTTTATGAGAGGAGCACTTTTCTTGTAGCTTTATTTTCCAGCTATTTAATTCACTACCATACTCTTCTAGCCATTCCCAGCCATATTGGGCTGCCAGAAATGTTGCTTCTGGCAAACTTCACAGCAGTCCTTTTTTCCTCCCTGCATGCAATAAGCACAAGCTCAGCTCACTGAGTGAGATGCTGTGCCAAGCTCCAGGGACTCAGGATGTGAGGAATACTCACACTTCACTGATGACACCCTGGTTACATTCAGGGGCCACATGATGGGCCCTGGCCCACCGAAGTGCTTGGTGGTGCAAAGATGGATGTGCCATCTTCATGGCCTCAGTCACACAGGAGGTAAGAGGGCATTGCAGCTTATCAGGCCCTACCTGAGCATGAGGCTGAGGCCACATTGCCACTGCTCATGCTCCTTCCTCAAAATGTGCTCACCCTGTTCCTTGTTTGATTTTTTCGTGTCTTCCCATCACTCTTACGCTACAAGCCAAGCTTCTAGCAGGGCATGTGAGCCCCACTCCTCAACCAGCCTGGCTGTTGATTCTCCTCTAATGTCTCTTCTCTTCTCATTTGTCACCCTGGGAGCCAGTTGAGTGTACCCTTCCCTGACTTTTATTTTTTCTTTCTTTTTTTTTTTGAGACAGGGTCTCGCTCTGTCACCTAGGCTGGAGTGCAGTGCCTCACTGCAGACTGCAGCCTTGAATTCCTGGACTCAAAGAATCCTCCCACCTCATCCTCCTGAGTAGCTGGGGCCACAGGCATGCACCACCACACCCAGCTAATTTTTTTGTAGAAACAGGGTTTCACCATGTTGCCCAGTCTGGTCTAGAGCTCCTGAGCTCAAGCAATCCACCCACCTTGGCCTCCCAAAGAGCTGGGATTACAGGTGTGAGCCACCACCTCAGGGCTTGGTTTTTCATTGTTCTGTCATACGCTGTGAACTCCTGGAGGCTGAGATTGCTAGTTTTTGTCCTTGCATCACTAGCACAGCAATCCCAGATAAATTGGACATCTTAAATATAGGCAAATGACAAATGCTAATAGCTTCCAAAAGTTTTCAACCAGTCTTTTAATAAAGATTTAGTGAGTGTTTATTAAATGCAAAGCTCTCTTTTGTGCATGACACAAAGATAAATGAGATGCATAGTTTACATTCCAGGAACTTCAAGTCTAGTAGCAACATGCAAGCACGCAGACCTCCAAACGAAAACCAGTGACGTGGGGGCTGTCTGGACTCTGCACAGTTGACCTACATAGTAGTACAAATTTAAGTTTGTTGCAAAAATAGGGTTATTTGTATAGAAAAGCCGAGTTTTCATCTTCTCTTGAAAAAGTAAAGAAATTTGGCATCACTGCTTTGCATTGTCACATGGCAATCCTGGGCTAAAGCTGAGAAGTAGCCTCCCCTTATATGGGGCAGTTGGACAGACAGCTGATAGTACTCTGAGCACTCATTACTAGTCAGCGTCTTACTCCAGCCATTTTACCCCTTGGCTATCTTGCTGGCCCTTCCAAACCAAGCCTTTATGAAAATATATGCTGGTCATAAGAGTGAGAAATAAATAATCATAAGTGAAAGGTTCTGATTTAAAGGCTTAAAGTTACATATTATACAGTGAAACTTGTCTTGGCAAGGGTAAAGAGTAATTAAGGAAATAATTTTTTGCATGTAACTAATTTTTGCTGTGGTTTCATGGAAAGCAGCTTAAATTTAAGCTTCAGGAATTCTTACAAGATGTCACCACAAATTACTAGCAAACCAAAAAGACTTCAATTACAATTATAGTCTAAGTCTCTCTCTGGCTGAAATCTTAGAAAAACATTTATTCAAAGTGTCTTATTAAAAATCTTTAAATAAAAGCAAGGAAATTAACCTACTTTTCTTTTTCCTTTCTTCCTTCCTTCCTTCCTTGCTTCTTTTTTTTAATTCTTGAGATGAAAAGAGAAAGAAATTTCTTATTGTAGTAGATGCTGTTGGTACCCTGCTCAGGTTCCCTTCACTGAGTGGGCCCAACCATCCCCCAACAGCCTTGAGTGTCACTGCTAAGGGTCCACAGCTTCCCCTTCTTCAGAGAGCTGCTCTCCCAGAGAAGCCACTTCCCTGAAGGCAGCCAACCACCCATGACTTATTGACAGGGCTTATGTAATACCGGTCCCCTCGTCTCCAAGTAAGACTAACCTTGTGGTATAATTCATGCTCCAGAATTCCTCGCAGGTCACAGGCTGAAGGTAGCCCCAGCTACCTTCCTTATTTTCCACCCCTACCCTACCCCACTTCCCTCCGTTTCTTTTTCCTGAGAGCACTTCCTCAACAAATTGCCTTCACAAAAATCCCTGTCTCAGGCTCTGCCTCGAGGGAAGCTGACCTAAGACATCTATCACCTGAGTAGATCCACCTGGCTCCCACTCTAAGGACTCCGTAAGTTTAAATACTTCGCTGCCAAGTTGAGGGAAGCAGGAAAATTTAACACCTCTGTGCCTGGGCCCTGTTCAAGGACACCTCCTGGCTTGTGCCCCTGCCATCAGAAATTTATTCTGCTGTAGACTTACCAGATACACCCCTCAGATCAAGATAGAACTGCCCTATTCAGATCAAGAAAATACATATTGCTACTGTACTCCCACCAAATATACATTTTCCCATAGGTTTCTAGAAGAAATAATCTAAAAAGTTTGATTCTCACTTTTGAATCAAATAAGGAAAACAGACAGAATAAGACAAAGAGGGAAGGATTCTCATGAAAATAGGCCAAAGTAATCAGAAGCTTTTGTGATCATTAATTAAATAAATTTCCACTTCATCCAGAACATCAGCAATCCCATGCATAGCCTATGATTAAGAGTCTAGTTAAAAATTTTTTGTTGACATGTATTTCTCCTGATGACTAAAAGTCATACTGAGTGGTGAGAAACTTTCTTTGGTTGGGACTCTTAAGCAGTGGCTTGCAATGGTGTTGCAATATACTAGAATGTTTTCAGTTATCAGAAATGGGGGCAGGTTGCCATAAGTTTTCAAAGATTCCATGTTTAGACAATATTCATTTTAGTTGCTTTCATTTGAAAACCTAAATTTTTAAAAATAACCCATGTAAAAATTCAGAGCACTGCAAAATAAAATAACAATAATAAGAAGTAATGACACCTTCCAAGTTGGGAATTTCCATCTTGAGAACTAGATCGTTAAAAGATCACCACCAAAAAGTAAAATAAAAGGTTTTATAGTTGTAAGACAACAATCAACAATAGGTAAGTTAAGCAGGGAAGAATGCAACAATGTTTTAAGAGCACATAGTTTGTCATTTCCTAGAGCATGCTATTTACTGAATGGGTCCTCTCCTAAATTAAGAGTCCTTGGAACTTTAGTGTACTCTCAGAAATATGAGTTTTGATCAGGCACCATGGGAATTCTATACAACCTCCTTGGAGGGTGTCTACTGTCACTTGGCTGAGGGAGTGTAGATTGGGGGACATATAGGACAGTAGGGAAAGAAACTGTAGTAGATTTTACATAAATTCTCTCATTTGCACCTAACAGAGATCTAATTAGTGGTGGCCATTAAGACTAATCTATGGATTCAAAAACTGAAGTTGAGAGGTTAAGTAACTTATTGCTTCCATCATTTCATGGGCAAAGTCTTGACAACAAAGTGGTAGGGTAGACTAACAGTGGAACCTTAGCCTGACCGTATTCTCTACCTCTACCCATTGGAGTAAAGAGAATGCCTATCCAAAGGGATTCATTTGGAAGCATGTCAGTAGAAAAACCAGAGATACTTTTAATTTAGGTCGAGAAACTTTCTTTAGAAATAGGAGGCAATGTACTATAGCAATAAGAACATAGCTATGGGGGTCAGGTAAATTGATTTAAGATTTCAGGTCTCCAAAGATTTAGCTGTGGAGCATTACCAGAGGTGCCTTAATATATCTGAGCCTCAGTCCTTAAGTGATAACAGTAGTACCTACTTCATAGGATGATTGTTGGGATTAAGATAATGCATATAAATCTAGGCCAGGCGTGGTAGCCTATATCCTATGCCTATAATCCCAGCACTTTGGGAGGCCAAGGTAGGTGGATCATCTGAGGTCAGGAGTTCAAGAGCAGCTTGGCCAACATGGCAAAACCCCATCTCTACTAAAAATACCAAGATTAGCCAGGTGTGGTGGCGTGGGCCTGTAGTCCCAGATACTTGGGGGCTGAGGCAGAAGAATCACTGGAATCAGGGAGGTAGAAGTTGCACTGAGTCAAGATTGCACCACTGTACTCCAGCCTGGGTGACAGAGTAAGACTCTGTCTCAAAAAACAAATTAATTAAATAAATAAATAAATCTAGAGCAGTGTATAGAAAATAGTAAACATTCATTGATGGTAGGGAAAACTGTTAATATGACCTATCTGGCATTTTCCTTCCTTCAGGTCTCTTGTGTAATGTTGGTTTATCACTAATATAATCTCTTTGTCTGTCTCCACTTATTTTATTATTTATTCATTTTATCGATAAATAAAATTGTATATATTTATGGTGTACAACATGTTTTGAAATGTGTATACATTGTGGAATTGCTAAATCAAGATAACTAGCATATGTACTGCCTAACATACTTATAAGGCACTTGTGGTGAGAACACTTAAAATATACTCTTTTAACAGTTTTCAAATGTGCAATATATTGTTATTAACTATAGCCACCATGTTGTACAATAGATCTCTTGAACTTACTTCTCCAGTCTAATTGAAATTTTGTATTTTTTGACCAATATCTCTTCAGCCCTTCCCTGTCCACTCTGGTAACCACTATTCTACTTAGATTCCTATTTTCTAGTAAAGTAATAGTTTCTCATTCTTAAATTTGTTTTATTTATTGTTACCAAGTATCAGATAGAGGGTAGCCAGATGTTCCTCAAGTCAAAACAGATATCACAAACAGTAGAGACCTCTTTTACAGTTTGCCTCCACAACAACCACCTCTAAAAACATATATTTGGGACTTTCTATTTCGTAGGGTTAGGTACGCCAAGTTTACCTGGACCTGAGACATCTGGTCACTCAACAATTCTGCCTGGGGTGATAGTCTCTCACTGGGCACAACTCACTAAATTGAAAGGACAATGGCTACTGTTGCCCCTCGGAGGCCTGATGATGGCAGGAACAGGGAAAGGGTCTGGATGATAGAACTCAAATAGTAGGGCTTCCTTTTGCTTGAGAAAGATCATTTTCTCCTCTTATTCTTCCTGCACATACAGCCCCAGATACAGCACAGTAAAATTCTTAAGGAAGTGAATTCTCTGCAATGGTAAACTTTATGTGTCAACTTGATGAGGTCATGGGATGTCCAGATATTTGGTCAAACATTATTTTGGGTGTGTGTGTGAGGGTGTTTTTTTGATGAGATTAATCTTTGAATTGATAGACTGAGTAAAGAGGATTGCCTTCCCTGAAGTGGGTGGGCCTCAGCCACTCAGCTGAAGGCCTACTAGAATAAGAAGGCTGACCTTCCTGTGAGTAGAGGGGAATTCCACTTCCTTGACTGCTATGAACTACTATGAACTTGGTCTTTTCCGGCCTTTGGGCTGGAAACCCGGACTGAAACATTATCTCTCTTGGGTCTCCAGATTGCCACCTGAAGATCTTGAGACTTCACATCCTTCATAATTGCATATTCCTCATCTCTCTTACGACCTCTCTCTCTCTACACATGTACATGTGCACATGTGTGCACATGCATGCACACACACACGCATGCATGTGCATGCATACACACACATTGTTCTGTTTCTCTGGAGAACTTTAACATACTCTCTCAGAACTTAACCTGTTTTTAAATCTGTTCATTTTTAGTAAGAATATCTGAGAAATAAAATCTCCATTCTTAAGAACTAGCATTGTTTTTTTAAAAGAGAATAAAGCATACAAGGAGGAAATACCTTCTTGCCAGTCTGTGATGTGTGTGTATGCACATGCGCGCGTGTGTGTGTGAAGGATTTGGTTTCTAAGGAATAAAGAAAGATAATAATGAGGAGTATCAACAGCAGATCTGTAAGTTATTTTATGGTATTTTATGATATTTCACATATTATTCAGATGCTGCTTTAATTTTTCAAGATCCTAGCTGGAAGAAGTATGAAAATGTGATTCCTGTTGAATGCCATCCAAGAGAAATAGACTCTGGCAGTATAGGGGCAGCAACTTTATGAAGAATTCCTTTGGTTATATGAAGAAAACAATAGAATTGCCATATTGTCAAGCAATTCTACTCTTAGTATATACTCAAGAGAAATGAAATCATATATTCACTAAAAATGTGCACACACTCATAGCAGCATTACCCAGAATAGCCAAAAAGTAGAAACAACTCAAGTGTCCATCAGCTGGTTAATGGATAAATAAAAATGTGGTATATCTATACAATGGAATATAACTTACTCTCAGAAAAGGAATGAAGTACTAACACAGGTTGCAACATGAATGATCCTTGAGAACATTATGCTAAGTGAAAGCAACCAGTCACAAAAGCACACATATTTATACAGCATTTCCATGATACTATTTATACAGCATTTTCGTAATAGGCAAATCATGGAGACAGGAAGTAAATTAGTGGTTGCTAGAGGTTGGAGGGGAGAATAGGAAATGGATTATTCAAGCATAGATTTCTTTTGAGAGTGATGAAAATATTCTGGAATTAGATAGTGATATCTGCAGTTATGTGAATATACTGAAAACTGTTGAACTGTACATTTTAAAATAGTGATTTTTATGGTATGTGAATCTCATTTAAAAAATCAAGAGCAGTGTAAATTATCCATTCTTTCCATGATAGAGCAGGACAAATGATGAATGTATATGTTGGCCAGTGGCATAAGTGCAATTTGAAGCTTCATAGCATGGTAATTTGTGGCTTACAGAATGCTCACATTCTTCAGTACCTTAAAATTGTTGATCCTAATGTGCTCCTCTTCTCTTTTCTTCTCATCCCCACTTTTATCCTCTACCATACATACAAGTCATTTCTAGTGTAAATTTTAGCTGTACATTTCCATGTTGCAGACATTACAATTTTCAACATGTTCAATGACTAGGCCCAGAAGAGGATGTCATCCAAGGCAATGTTTTCCAAAGTGGATCAAAATTACTGAGGAAGGGAGTCTTTTAAAAAATCAGCTTCCAGGACTATGCATAGAAGCAAGGAATTTACCTTGATCACGAGCATCGCAGGAGATGGATGCATAGGCACATCCACGTTTGGGAATCTGCTTCTAGAAATTGAGCAAGACTTAATGCGGGTTCTTTGCCTGTTCACTCAGTGATGACAATTATGGTTAAATAAACTTTCCTAGGCCTCTGAACTTATCATTGACTCTGTCTCCTTTGTAACTCTGCTCTCCTCTTCCCAGATGACTGGCCATCTGGATGCTGTAGTGTCAGGGGAAGTACACAAAGCAGCCTTCCCCATTCCGTGTGAGAAGACTGACATTCTCTGCACTTAAAGGCAAAGATGCTTGCATCAAATTTACCGAATAAGGCACAGACTCACTTCAGGACCCTGTGTCCCATTGTTCCTTCTATATTTGGAAGACTAAACTAAGAGAGTTCTGATAATGGACCAAGGGATACACCATCTATGACGTTATTATTAACACAAATGGGTTAAATAAGAGGAAAAATAATTTATCATCTGTGTCCCTCGCAGGCAAACAGGAAATCCTTCTGATAGTTATCTGGCCAGCATGACTCAGCATGGCTGTGACTCATCTTCCATTCCCTGGTGTATTTCTAATGTGTACCCATAGTGTGAGTCCATGGAGGCTGCCAGGTTTTTGTAATCCCTCTTCTACCCCTACCCTCAACCTCCCAGGCAGCCTGAGATCTGACAAAGAGAAGTTAAAAAACGCAAATATTCCAAATCAGTGACTGGAAAAAGTGATATCACAAGCGAAACAAGAATCCAGTCCATAGGCCAAGACTGCTATCTCTCTCTCTTTTTTTTTTTTTTTTTTGAGATAGAGTCTCGCTCTGTTGCCCAGGCTGGAATGCAGTGGCGCGATATTGGCTGACTGCAAGCTCCGCCTCCCGGGTTCACGCCATTCTCCTGAGTAGAGTAGCTGGGACTACAGGCGACCGCCACCACACCCAGCTAATTTTTTTGTATTTTTTTTAGTAGAGACGGGGTTTCACCGTGTTGGCCTGGATGGTCTCGAGCTCCTGACCTAGCTACCTGCCTGCCTCAGCCTCCCAAAGTGCTGGGATTACAGGGGTGAGCCACCACGCCCGGCCCAAGTCTGCTATCTCTATTCCAACAAGGTAAGAACCAATCTCCAAAACAGGCCTCTAAATGAAACTGATTTTTTCTTCTTAAGCAACCTACATCAAGACCAAAACCTAATTAATGACTTCTTAAATTCTATTTTTTTAATATATAAATCCCCCCAAACATTTAAAAATACCTTACTTTCTAGAGCCACTATCTAGGAGCCACTTCTGCTCTGGCTGTCCAGTTTCACCTGAGTTTCTCTTCCTGGCTGTGTTTTTCTGTTCTTAGGCTGGTGATGAATACCAACAGTAACCCTGAGAAGTTCACCTTTGTCCCTTCCACTCAGCCCACTGTGTGCCATACTGGGAACTGAAGAACTAGCCTCAGGGTAAAGAAAGCTAGTGATTGCAATCAAAATGAAGCAGAACATCACATAAGATTTGATTCCATGGGATTATCCCAGAACCCCACGTTCCTAGACCTGATACCATCTTCAAGCAGAAGGTGGAATTGACTTTCCCTATATTCCAACTTTTCAGCTGTAATTCCTCCTTTTGGCATGTGCCCCATTTAAGATGCCTTTGATGTTCAAGTTAACTTGGTTTTATATTTAGTAAGCATTGTACAAGTATAGCAAGCAGGAGTGTACTTTGATCATGACTGCCCATTTCTCACTGTCACTCCATTTCTGTAGATCAGTGATTTTCAAAGCATAGTTCTCAGACCTGTGACAACATCAGCACCTTGGAATATGTAGAAATGCAGATTCTTAGGCCCCACCTCACAAAACTCTGGGATGGAGTCTAGCAATCTGTGTTTTAATAAGTTTTTCAGGTCATTCTAATACATGCTAAAGCTTGAGAGCCCCTGCTCTGGTATCCATGAGATAGCAGTTTATGCCTTCTATTGTGAAGCTCAAAGCCAACCAGATAGTACAGAACCTCTAGGAGAAAGGCAGAGGATCTGAAGCTGATGTTGGGGCAAAACACAGAAGCCACCTTTAGGCTAAACAACTGTAGCAATATTGGCAGCATAAGCAGCAGAGGGCAGAAGGGGCTATGACCATTGAGTCTCCTTTTGCTGGGTTTCCCACTAACCTCTTTTGTCTCCTCTGTGTCCCTGGATTTTCTTTCAGTTGATCAGCACTTGGGAGTATACACATTCCTATTTGAACATTACTCCTTCCACAGACAGTGAGTGGCTCTCTTTCTCATCTTCCAAAATATGAACGTGTACACAGAGTTCGTAATTTTATTACATGGGAGCCAAATAAACAGAGCACAGTTCACGGAAAGAACAAAGAGTTTAGCTTGAGTCCTAGACACTTTTAAATGATCAAAATATATTTATTTATTCTATGAGTTCAGTATGATGGTAGACCTTGTTAACAATTGGCTAACGTGTTCATGAGGGTATTTTGGTTTATTTTATTTTCATGTGTTGGTGTTCAGCAATAGTCTACTATCACATCTCCTAGGTTTCACTTTCCTCCTTCCTTCCAATCCACTTGCTATACAGAAGCCAAAAGGTTTTTTTTTTTTTTAAAGAAAATTCCTTCCCACCACTTCCTTCCTTAGAAATATCCAATGACTTCAAATTGCACTTGAGATAAAAGTTAAATGAATTTCTAAAACTTACAAGAGTCTTCATAATCTGGTCCTTATGCGGGTTCCTACTTCCTCAGCTACCACGTTCCCCTTTCATATTCACTAGGCTTTGGTCACCATGGCCTTGATGCTCCTCAACAACTCAGTCTTCTTACCGTAGGGCTTTTGCATTTGCTGTTCTCTTTGCCTGGAGGGATCCTTCCACTATTTTCACATGCCTGGCCCCACTTTGGTCATTCATGTCTCAAGTCAAATATTCTCTTCTCTAGGAAACATGAGCACCTACTCTTTATTAGCCAATCCCTGTATGATTGCTATCATGCTCCCTTTTATAGTTAAATAAAGCTCCTTTTTACAGTTATAACCAGCTAAATAAAATTATCTATCTATCTATCTATCTATCTATCTATCTATCTAATAATTCACCTTTCGGTCTGTTGTTTGTTTAGTACTTTTTTTGTCTGTCTCCCCTCACTTGGAATCTAAGCTCCATGAAAGCAGAGACCTTTTCTGTCTTTCTCACACCTGTACTCCCAGGTATAATAGGATAATAAATATTTTCTGAATAAATATGTGAACAAATGCACATGTGTTACAGAATAGTTTGAAGAATAGTCTTATATAAAGTTATTTTTTAAAATAAATCAATTATTTATAAGACTCTAGGAAGATAAACGTGAATTATTATACAGTATCATGTTGTAAAATCTGAATTACTTAGGGGAAAGTAAGCATAAAGTCTAGAAATATTTTCAATATGGAATATTGGAGCTCAGTGGAGTATTCAAAAAGTATTTATTTACTTATTTATTTTTGTACATGAATAAGTTCTTTAGTGGCGATTTCTAAGATTTTGGTGCACCCATCATCCAAGCATTGTACACTGTACCCATGTGTAGTCTTTTATTCCTCACCCCTTCCCACCCTTTCCTCTGAGTCCCCAAAGTTCACTGTATTATTCCTATGCCTTTGCATCCTAATAGCTTAGCTCCCACTTATGAGTGAGAACATACAATGTTTGGTTTTTCATTCCTGAGTTACTTCACTTAGAATAATGGTCTCCAGTTCCATCCACGTTGCCGTGATCGCAATTATTTCATTCCTTTTTATAGCTGATTAGTATCCTTCAGTGTGTGTGTGTGTGTGTGTGTGTGTGTGTGTGTGTGTGTACCACATTTTCTTTATCTATTGTTGATTGATGGACATTTGGGCTAGTTCTGTATTTTTGCAATTGCGAATTGTGCTGATATAAACATGTGTGTGCAAGTACCTTTTTTGTATAATGATTTCTTTTCCTCTGGGTAGATACCCAGGAGTGGGACTTCTGGATCAAGTGGTAGATCTACTTTTGGTTCCTTAAGGAATCTCCACTGTTTCCATAGTGGTTGTACTAGTTTATAGACCCACCAACAGTGTAAAATTATTCCCTTTTCACTTATGTGATCATATCCTTTCCTCAGGGCAAGAATGCTCTCTAACCATGAAACAGATTAATGTCTTTTATTTTAATAAAATTATCAGCCTTTTCCTTTTGCCCACAGGGAAGTCTTTGGGGCCTGGAATATAGCATGACAATTTGCATTCAGACCACTGTCTCCAAAAATGTCATCACAGAAAGCTATCTTGCAAACCACAGTCATATTTTCTAATGAGTAAGTGCAACTCGACAAGCAGGTGGATTTGTCTGCCTCATAAGGTGGATATATCTTTAAAGGAAAGGAGGAAAACAAAGGGAATTTCCAACTGCAATTTTCGTTTGAAAAATCTGTGCCAGAGTTAAGTGGTTCAAAAGAAAAGAAAATAATTAGAGAGGTAGAAGAATTGTGTAAATCACCTAGCCCAAACTTCTGCCCCCTGTGAAAACCCCACCCTCTGTAGCTTCTATAACAGCTTTTTCTTGATCATTTCCAATCTATTACCTCATAAGACAGCCCATTCCACATTTGAAAATTTTGAATTACTAGGTCACTCTTTCCTATAGTGGGTTTAAATTGGCCTCTTTAAAGCTTCCCCTTTACCTCTGCCCTGTTAGAGCAACCCAAAATGAGTTTGCTCCCTTTCCCACACAACATTCCTTCAAACATGGAATCACATCATTTCTTCCTTTTTCTCTTTTGAGACCAAGCTTTCTCAATGCCTTTATTTGTTTCTTCTTTGATTTGTTTCCAAGCTTGTAATCATTCTGATTCCTTTTCTCTGTACATGCTTCAACTTACCAGTATTTCTCTTAAAACCTGAACTCCAGGCTGGGTACGGTGGCTCACGCCTGTAATCCCAGCACTTTGGGAGGCCGAGGCAGGTGGATCACCTGAGGTCAGGAGTTTGAGACAAGCCTGACCAATAGGGTGAAACCCTGTCTCTACTAAACATACAAAAATTAGCCGGGCATGGTGGCATGTGCCTGTAGTCCCACCTACTCGGGAGGCTGAGACAGGGGAATTGCTTGAACCCAGGAGACGGAGGTTGCAGTGAGCCGAGATTGTGCCACTGCACTCCAGCCTGGGCAAGAGAGCGAGACTCCATTTCAAAAACAAAAACCCTAAACCCCAGAGGTAAACACAACAGTAAACAGGTAGCTCAGCTGTTCATGGTATGCAACATCTAACATTCCCTTTATTTTAGTACTGTTCCCAGTCTAAGACTAAGTTAGTGTTTTGACAAGCTTTATCACAGCTGATTCACATTTGGAACGTATGTACTAAGAACATCTCTCACTTTAGGAATGTCTCAAATCCTCTGCCAGATATTATCTGAAGTTATATGATGACAGAGGGACACTTAGTACTGTTCAGTTTAGGATTTCCCAGGTTTTTAAGGTTTTCAGTATAGTTAGCAATAAAGGCAAGAATTCATTCTGTCTAGGTGGACTTTCCAGGTGAATTAAAGGATTTACTTTCATTTGTAAGCCTTATTCTAAGTCTCTGACTTTCTTCGATAGTTCTTTATCAACAACTCTTTTACAAAGGTTCTAGCTCTCAGAGAGAGGTGTCCAGAAACAAATGGCCCCAAACGGAGAGCAGCTTCTCAAGCTTCTTATTTCTTTTCAGATACAGTCTCAGATGCTAACTAATGAGTCTCCATGGTTTGGATGCTAATTATTTGGCTTTTCTTTTTTTTTTAAATTTCCTTCTAACAACATCCATGTTTTAAAGCACAATAAAACATCACACTACAAACCTCAGAACTGTAGTTCCAGATGGCTAAATGTTTTTTCTGCCAAGACCTTGGGAATTCCCTCCTTCTCTTGTTGCGACAAGCACTGACTTTCTGACCTCTGAGGCATCAACTAAGGTTTATGTTTATTAATATTCATCCAAAAAGCATTAGATGATCTAATCAATCTAGGTCCTTCCTGCCTTACTTTGAATTTGCCATTGGCAAGAAGAGTTGGAAATAATGTGAAACTAAAGCTGAAACATTCCTGACTTAGGTATGTGCTGTGAATATCACACTGTATGATCTAAGGCATTTATAGCCCTGATCGCTTCTGCATGTCTTTAGCAAGGTACTGTTCATCTACAGAGACAGCAATCAATACATGTGTCTAGTGAATGAAGTGACTTGTATTACAGGCCTCCCCCTTGACCTTCCATACATGCCTAGATGCATAGGATGCCCAACATCTATCACTGACTACATGGACCAGTTCTCTACTTTTCCCACCAAATTCCTGAAGGGGCCTGGCATAGAGTCATCAAGATAAGGTCAGATCCCCTGTTCTCTCGGAAGTTGGCCATCCCTGCCTCTGAGCCTCAATTGCCCCTTCTTGGCATTATAATCCCTTTGGTCATTGCGCTTTCCATTGTCTATAGACATTGCTGCAGGATCCCACTCAAACTTATGTTCTATAGCATTATCTACCAGTCCCTCCAAAACATCCCCATCTATGTTATGCTCCTTACTCTCAGAACTTCAAAATATGTGTAGAAAACTAAGGTAAGAAATATAATTATGTTCAGATAGGAATAATGTGGTAGTTTGTTAACATAGAGGTTGAAAGTGCCAGGTTTTAGAGCCAAGCTGCCTAGGTTTGAAGCCCAGCTCTACCACCTACTAGCTAATCCACAGGCAAGCTATTTAACTTTTCTGTGCTTCAGTTTTCTCATCTGTAAAATAAAGCTAATAATATCTACTTTATAGTGTTATTATTAGTATTAAATTTATGTAAAATTCCTTAAAAAGTATGCGGCATATAATACCTACTCAGTAAGCACTAGGTATTATTTCCTCCAGTCAGTACTACCAATTAAACATTTTAAAGGCTTCATTTAGATGAGTAATGGTAAGGACTTCAGGAATCGCTGCTTTGGAAGTAATTTAGAATCCAGAAAAAATATTCTGATGCTTTTTCAAGCCACATTACTTAGGTATTTAGCTATCACTTAGGAATAAAGGCAACTAAGAAAGCCAAAAATACCATAATTTCCATGCATAGAAGCAAGGACACTGAAGCAGTGGTGTTGAAAGTGCTGTACATATCCTGATGGTGTGAGAAGACTTTCTGAGGGATATACACACATAGATGTCTGTAAGGGACTGAATTTTCAGATATTCAGCTTCCACAAAGTGTCTGAGATGTGTGAGATGAAGCATAGGTTTTTCTCCCCCACTCGTACACAATAACTTTTCTTCCATAGAAAAGCATAGGTTTTTCTCCCCACTCCTACACAATAACTTTTCTTCCACTTTACAAAAGAAAGTAGCCTTCCTCACCTATCCTAAAGTTACTTTGGATCATTGCTCCAGAGTGTAAAAACCCAATGGGTGACAAACAAAGGGACATTTTAAAATATTGATGTTAATGTTGAGAAAGTAAATAATGCTAATAAGTGGATATTTGTTGCAAATCAGGTGGTTTCCAGCTCTTTGATTAAGAAAAAATTCAAGGAGGATCTAATCAATTTTTCAGTTGACAGATCATTCAATAAGATTTCCATTACTCAATTCCCAGTGTGCTTGCTGACATTTAACAAAGAAGCGGGGAGATTAAGTGACATTTTTATAATATTCCATTTCCACTCCAATCTACTTAGTCATGTGAATAAAATTCTCAGTGCTTTATATGTATGAAAATAAAAAGTAAGAATAATATTGATGCTGAAACTTGCTTCATTCTAGTAATGAGATATTCATTGATAGATACCTGAAATAATTTGAAGAAAAACAGTCCTATTAATTTTTTTAAGTTTGAAATTTTATCCAATTACAGGCATACCTCATTTTATTGCACTTCACTCTGCTGCCCTTCCCAGGTAATGTGCTTTTTTTACCAATTGAAGGTTTGTGGCAACTCTGTGTCAAACATGTCCGTCAGCACCATTTTCCCAACAGCGTGTACTCACTGTATGTGTCTGTGTCACATTTTGGTAATTCTCATAATATCAAGGTTTCTCATTATTATTATATCTGTTATGGTGATCTGTCATCAGTGATCTTTAATATTACTATTGTAATTGTTTGGGGGCACCACAAACGTTGTGTGTGTTCTGACTGCTCCACTGACCTGTTATTCCCCTGTCTTTCGTTCTTCTTGGGCCTCCCTATTCCCTGAAACACAAAATATTGAAATTAGGCCAATTAATAACCCTACAATGGCCTTTACATGTTCAAGTGAAAGGAAGTCTCATGTGTCTCACATTAACTCAAAAGCTAGTTATGATTAAGCTTAGTGAGAAAGGCATGTTGACAGCCAAGATAAGCTGAAGGCTAGGCCAAACAGCCAAGTTGCAAATGCAAAGAAATAGTTCTTAAAGGAAATTAGAGTGCTACTTCAGTGAACACATGATTGATAAGAAAGCGAAAGAGCCTTATTGCAGATATGGATAAAGTTTTAGTGGTCTGGATAGATCAAACCAGCCACAACATTCCCTTAAGCCAAAGCCTAATCCAGAGCAAGGTCCTAAGTGTCTTCAATTCTGTGAAGTCTGAGAGAGGTGAGGAAGCAGCAGAAGAAAACTCTGAAGCTAGCAGAGGTTGGTTCATGAGGTTTAAGGAAACAAGCCGTCACTGTCACATAAAATGCAAAGTAAAGCAGTAAACACTGATGTAGAAGCTGCAGCAAGTTATATCAAAGATCTAGCTAAGATCATTGATAAAGGTGGCTTCATCAACAAATAGATTTTCACTGGAGATGGAACAGCCTTCTATTGCAAAATGGTGCCATCTAGTACTTTCATAGCTAGAAAGTAGTCAATGCCTGGCTTCAAAGCTTCAAAGGACATGCTGATTCTCTTGTTAGGGGCTAATGCAGCTGATGACTTTAAGTTGAAGCCAGTGTTCATTTTCCATTCTGAATATTCTAAGGCCCTTAAGAATTCTGTGAAATTCACTCTGCCTATGCTCTAGAAATAAAACAAAGCCTCAATGATAGCACATTTGTTTATAACATGGTTTAACAAATATTTTAAGCCCACTCTTGAGGTGTACTGCTCAGAAATAAAAATTATTTCAAAATATTACTGCTCATTAACAAAGCACCTGACCACTCAAGAGCTCTAATGGACATGTACAAGGAGATTAATGTTGTTTTCATGACTGCTAACACAAACCCATTCTTCAGCCCATAGATCAAGTATTTCAACTTTCAAATGTTATTATTCAAGAAATTCATTTTGTAAGGCTATGGCTGCCATAAATACATTCATCTGATGGATTTGGGCAAAGTAAATTGAAAACTATCCAAAAAGATTCACCATTTTAGCTGTCATTGAGAACATTCATAATTTACGGGTGGAGTTCAAAATATCAACATCAACAGGAATTTGGAAGAAGTTGATTTCAACATTCACAGATGACTTTGAGGGTTTCAAGAATTCACTGGAGGACCTAACTGAAGATGTGGTAGAAATAACAAGAGAAGATAATTAGAAGTAGTTTGTGAAGATGTGACTGAATTGCTGCCATCTCATGATAAAACTAGAGCAGATTAAGAGTTGCTTCTTATAGATGAGCAAAAAACGTGATTTCTTGAGATGGAATCTACTCCTGGTGAAGATGCTATGAATGTTGTTGAAATGACAACAAAGTGTTTAGAATATTTTATAAACTTAGTTGATAAAGCATTAGAACAATTTGAGAGGATTGACTCCAATTCTGAAAGAAGTTATACTGTCAGTAAAATGCTATCAGACAGCATAACATGCTACAGAGAAATATTTCATGAAATGAAGACTCAATTGATTTGGCAAACTTCATGTTACCTTATTTTCAGAAATTGCCACAGCTGCTCTGACCTCCAGCGACCACCACCCTGATCAATCAGCAGCCTTTAGCACTGAGGCCACACTATCCACCAGCAAAGATATTAGATTAAGACTCACTGAGGCTCAGATGATCAGTAGCATTTGTAAGTAATAAAATATTTGTAAATTAAGGTATGTACATTGTTTTTTAGATAGAATGCTATTGCATACTTAATGGACTACAGTATGGTTTAAATATAACTTTGTTTTTAAGATGGGGTCTTGCTATTTTGCTCAAGCTGGTCTCAAACTCCTAAGCTGGGACTACAAGCATGCACCACCACGCCCAGCTCTAAACATAACTTTTATATACACTGGGAAGCTGAAAAATTTGTGTGACTATCTTTACTGCAATATTTGTTTTATTGTTTTCTGGAACCAAATGCACAACATCTCCAAGGTATTCCTGTATATTACCTCCCACATATTATATATTCGTGTTTGATCCATTTTGTACTAATAACTTGGACAGTAGTGCAACCTGGGAAAATTTTTAACTAATGAAATTTCAATTTATCTAGTACATATGTTTGCTACAAAGAAAAATTATAAGGTAATCAATGAAAAAATTTCAGGGCTAAAATAGATTACACTAAGGGAACTTAATAATGTGACAGGCATGATATAGTTTTAGATCATTTTACAAAAGTTTTGGGGATGATGTGAGCAAAATGTCTGGAAATCGCTATATTTAAGTATACTGTCTTTTTGTATATTAGTACCCAATGTAGGACTAGCGTATGCTATGCAGAGGTACAAAAAATGGGCAGGATTTCTGGTTGCCAAACTTCCTAGAAGAAACTCCATAATATTATTGTTATGTGTGCGTACTCCTCAAAGCATGCTAAGTGGCAAACCTCTTCTCTATATCTTTTGTCTCTGCTGTGCTTTCTAGGGCTGACTTCATTTCCTTAATATTAGCTTCAGGTATAATTCACCACTGGAAAACTAGAAGAAAGACCTAGTTTTTCAAAGACCTAGGGTCAAGTCTCCATCTCTTAAACCCTTGGGTTTTCCACGACTCTTCAGTCAAATCTCAGTTCTGCCATTCACTGGCTCTATGTCCTTAGATGGATTACTTAACTTCTCTAAACCTAGCAGTTTCATGGGTAAAGATGATGTTATAATGCTTAGCTCATAGGATCATTTTGAGTATCAAATGAAATAATATATTCATTGTGTTTAACACTGCATGGAATATAATAAACATTATTCTTAACATTTGTGTCCTAATTTTACCATTTCTAAATCCCAAAGAATTTCATAACTGCTTCATTTTCTCATTTTTATTCATGGCTCTAATTAATTAATAGGGAGTTTATTATTTACATGCTACCTTCTACCTTCCTAATGAAGAGAAATGGCATGGATGGATAGAATGAAAACATACATATACTTGTTTATCAGATTCGAGTTATTTGATTCAAGACCAGAAGTCATAGGACTCATTGTATGGGCTGAATCTATACACTCATGGTAAAGACAACTAAAATTTTTTGGATGGTTTGATTTTCCCCATTAGAAATAATCATCCTGATGGTGTGCTGCACCCATTAACTTGTCATTTAGCATTAGCTATATCTCCTAATGCTATCCCTCCCCCATCCCCCCACCCCACAACAGTCCCCGGTGTGTGATGTTCCCCTTCCTGTGTCCATGTGTTCTCATTGTTCAATTCCCACCTATGAGTGAGAACATGCAGTGTTTGGTTTTTTGTCCTTGTGATAGTTTGCTCAGAATGATGGTTTCCAGCTTCATCCATGTCCCTACAAAGGACATGAACTCATCATTTTTTATGGCTGCATAGTATTCCATGGTGTATATGTGCCACATTTTCTTAATCCAGTCTATAGTGGTTGGACATTTGGGTTGGTTCCAAGTCTTTGCTATTGTGAATAGTGCTGCAATAAGCATAGGTGTGCATGTGTCTTTATAGCAGCATGATTTATAATCCTTTGGATATATACCCAGTAATGGGATGGCTGGGTCAAATGGTATTTCTAGTTCTAGATCCCTGAGGAATCACCACAACGACTTCCACAATGGTTGAACTAGTTTACAGTCCCACCAACAGTGTAAAAGTGTTCCTATTTCTCCACATCCTCTCCAGCACCTGTTGTTTCCTAACTTTTTAATGATCGCCATTCTAACTGGTGTGAGATGGTATCTCATTGTGGTTTTGATTTGTATTTCTCTGATGGCCAGTGATGATGAGCATTTTTTCATGTGTCTTTTGGCTGCATAAAAGTCTTCTTTTGAGAAGTGTCTGTTCATATCCTTCGCCTACTTTTTGATGGGGTTGTTTGTTTTTTTCTTGTAAATTTGTTTGAGTTCATTGTAGATTCTGGATATTAGCCCTTTGTCAGATGAGTAGGTTGGAAAAATTTTCTCCCATTCTGTAGGTTGCCTGTTCACTCTGATGGTGGTTTCTTTTGCTGTGCAGAAGCTCTTTAGTTTAATTAGATTCCATTTGTTAATTTTGGCTTTTGTTGCCATTGTTTTTGGTGTTTTAGACATGAAGTCCTTGCCCATGCCTATGTCCTGAATGGTATTGCCTAGGGTTTCTTCTAGGGTTTTTATGGTTTTAGGTCTAACATGTAAGTCTTTAATCCATCTTGAATTAATGTTTGTATAGGTGTAAGGAAGGGATCCAGTTTCAGCTTTCTACGTGTATACATATGTAACAAACCTGCACATTGTGTACACGTATCCTAAAACTTAAAGTATAATAATAATAAAAAAAAGAAATATCCTGAGAACATAGAAGTGTCTAATTGATAATTCAGAAAGACTGGCTCTTTATGGTGTGTCTTATTTAACCATACTTGCATAAACCTGGCTATGGTGTCTTTGCTGAAGTAGTGTGTTAAACAGTTGATATTATTAGGCTAACATTGGTAGGAAAGAATTTGAATATAATTTTTCAGAGCATATTTGTGTGGGTGTAAGCTCTGGAGATACTCTTAGGGAAATCTTCACTAAGCACTGGGGTGTGGTAGGAATAGATTTATTATCCTGAAAATGGTTTTGTTTGGTTTTTAGAAACCATAATATAACTCATATTAACAGTGAATCCTAGGTCATACCAATCATCAATCCAGTTTAGAGAAAAGGTCGAAAGGAATATCTTGCAGGCAAAAATTAATCTCTAATGTTAATCTCAAAAAGGATATAGTCAAATCACTTCTCACTGGAAATTACACATTTATTATTCTTCCCCCATTCAGCTAGTCGGTCCAACTGGAAACATATAAGCCATGCTTAGCTCCATCCAACTGGTCATTAAGACTTACTAATTCATCCTCCTTAAAGTATCTACTTAAAGTACCTACTTAAAGAGACCCCCATTTCCTCTCCCAATTGCACTGCTTAAATTTAGGACCTCACTTTCTCTTTTTTGGACTTTCCTGCCAGAGAAAACCATCTAAAATGCAAATTTACTCTTCAAAAATCTCCTTACTGCATGCAAGATAAAGTCTAAGTTCTTTAGCATGACATATAACGTCTTCCAAGATTGGGCCCTTGTCTGTCTTCCTTTTCTCTTCCTTGTCTGTCTCCTCTTTCATGTGTATACTCTAGCCAGATTGAACTGCTTACATTTTCCCCAGACTCAAATATGCTCTCTTCTACAGCCCTTCCCAACCTCCCCAAGTAGAGAAAGCCACTCCCATGTCTGTCTCATCATTGCACCTAGTTCGTATACTGTTACATTACATGCAGTTATTGGTTTCTTTTTTATTGTCTGCTCACTTAGATTCTGTGCGGAGAACATAGACTATGTTATATAATCTCTGACTTTACCCCCAGTGTTGAACATAATATACACAGAAGACACTCAACAGATAGCTGAAGATGTAATGAATAAACAAATGCATCTTTTCTATACACATGTTGGACCCCAACATATGAAAGTGTTTTTCCTTAGTTTCTAATAAAATTCCTTTGGGAAATCCCAGTATGATTCAGTTGTGCCATGGAAAAGGCCAAAATTGATTTTGGTTGTGACAGCACTCGGATCACAATCTTATGAGAGAAGTGTACCTTTCAGTACAGGATAAGGCAGTAGATGTAAGAATCAACATAACAAAATCTCAAAGGGAAGAGGAAACTTGAACTGTAGAGTCAGCTTTGCCTAACTGGTTCCCCCAAACTCTATGGAGGTTTTCCTCCTGGAATTCTTCTCTGCTAAAATCTGTAAGATTTGGTGTTTTGGTTTCATAGTGAAGGGTGTTTTCTCTAAAGATAACAAAATATCAATCTCTCTGATGCAGTATAAATGAAAGAAACAGATCCACGGCAAAGTAAAGGGGCTGACCTCACATAGGGGCACAGAAAATTCATCAATTTTCATAGGAAGGGAGGGAGAACCTGTGGGCACAGGGGCAGGTAAGTTGAAGGTTTGAAGAAGAAGAATGAGGAGGTTATTTTCTGATTGTTCTTATCTCCTCAGTGAAGAACCAAGCAAAGTAATCAGCTGAAAGGAAGGAACAGTAGGTTTATTGGAGGATTGAAGAGAGAGGAAACAGTGTGAACCAAAGCTATCATTATGTAGGGAAGGGATGTGCTAGTAAGTCCAGTGTGATTAATGTCATTTGAGGTTAGTGCTGCAGCTCTATTCAGCTACTCAGTGCAAACAAAAATAGGTGAAGTATTGGATTTAACCACGTGAATGTAATGAAGATCTAAAGGGATGAGGCAGTTGAAGGTGTATGTGACAGAGCAATGATGAGGATAATGAACCAATCGATTAAACTGAGAAAGGTGAGAAGAGCAGCTGTGGAAGGGATAATGAGCAATGAAAAGAGGAAACAGTGAATGGAAAAGATTCCATGGGCAGTGGAGGAGGGTTACAAGAAGAACTGAATTGGAAACATGCAAGTAGGGATCAGAGAGTTTTGAGGGAGATTTGGTTCTTGCAAAGTATATGGTCTAGGGTATAACTCTGGGAGTAGATGACTGAGGTGAGCTGGGGTAGCATTTAAGAGCATTGGGAAAGAGATCAAGGGACTGAGAGAACAAGTATAGAATGGATTGTCCCTGTGGATATTGAAGTAATCAAAAATTCTGATAAGAGTAGTGGGTGAGGAAAAACATGGTGAACTGGAGGCTAAAATTTTTTATTGAAAAGAGAGGTGAGACTTAGGGCTTAGGAGGTAGGTAGGTGATGAGTATGGAATCTACTGGCAGGCATTTTCAGATAATGTTTTTAAAGGATTAACAATATTTGGGAGAAGCACTGAGAATCAAAGACACATATCTCATCTCTAGTATATAGTACAAGGTTTATGAGAGGAAAAAAAACATCTTCACTTGAAAGGGATGTGGGAGAAGCAGTATGTTTAAAGGAGACCCGGATTTCACTTAGGACAAGCTAATGAAGAGAGTTGCGAGAGAAGAGGCTGTGTATACTGGAGATATTGTTGAGGCTTGACCATAAGAAGAGAAACCAGAGAAAGGGTTTGGGGGACCTGCCTGGGAAGAGATGGGAGATGGAGTCAAAGTAGGAAATATAACGAGCAGTGTGAGGAGAAGAGAGGCAGGATAACCTGAGGGCATGCCCTAAAGACTCCAAGGTGAAGGCAGATGATCGATTCTGACTACAGCGCCTTCTTGCATTTAGTCCTTAGGCAGTTTGTGGTGGTAAGTTTTGGAGGAGTATTAAACATGAGTTTGGGAGCCTGGGAAGGGTCTCACTAGAGGCATGTAGAGCTCTGTGGGCCTCCTTTCAATCCTGGAATGGAACAATTGCAGATATTCAAAAGACGCTCTATGGGCTTGCTTTCTGTTAAGTAGATGCTAACTGATCATTTGTTTTATTCGTTTATCAATTATTTATGGGGAGCCCACAATGTGGAGGGCACTGTTTTAGACTTTGGATAAACAAACACACCTTTGGGTCTCCTGGACTTTACGGTTTAGTGGGAGAGAGATATTTAAAGTAAATAAACCAAGAAACACAATATCCAACTGTGCCATTGCTATAAAGACAAAGAACAGGGTGTAATGAGATCATGCAACCGGGTACCTTATGGTATTTAATTCTTCTACATTCTTTGAGTGTACCATGTTGCCTAGCTCCAAAAACACAGCTAAGAAGTAAAAGTGAAAACATATGTTAAGGTTTGATTATTTTCTGAATTAACTAATGAGACTGATTAAGGTGAGACTAAGAAGTAGTGAGACTGATCCCAAAAAGCCACCAAGAAATTACTAATTGCCTCATAATTATAATATCCAGATAAAACTTATTTTTCTACTAGTATATAGCCCTTCTCTTGAATTAACTTTAAACTGTAATTAAGTGACCAGTGTTGTTTAAATATGAGAAAACATTGTGTGGATGTCACTTTGGCACAGAGATACCAGATATGAATAAATGGGAAAACCTCAACTCCATTCATTGTTCTGGGTGGAGGTGGTAGGAAGTTGCCCACAATAAAATGCAAAAGTGCCTTCTGCTGAAATGTGCCCTGAGCCCACTTAGTCACAATATTAAAATGCAGATCCAAGTATTTGGAACAATATGCTCAACTTCTGGTCTATAGCTCCTGAAATGCACTGGGTCCCTATGACTCACTGGCAGAACACGGTTGAAAGAATGTCGAACTCATAAGAGAAAAATGTAACTCCCTGAGATGAATACAACCAACAAGAGAGTGCTTGCCAATGAGAAAATATTGAATTGTTAAAATGCAGTTCTGGAGAAGGCAATACAGGTGTGGAAGGAATATTCTATACTTGTCTCTATCACAGGAGTGTGTTGCTACTTCCAGCAAACTCACTTTCCAAAGAGAAGTCTTCGTAACATTTCTTCAAGGCCAATAATGCCAAGAGTGAAGTTTGCATAAGCTTTAAAAATTTCCCAACTTACCTACCAACTGAAAAATAGGTCAACTTTCAGTCTCAAGAGTAAGAAACTAAATGCATCAATGGGAAGAAACTAACTGCATCAATGGGGTCCTTTTTCCAGTTCAAATTAGGGACTTTAAGTCAGTTTTCCTTGGGAGTCTCCCAGCCTGAAGGAAATAAAAAAAAAAAATAAAAGCAATTAACACCACTTCAGAACTAGACTAGAGATCCACAAGGTAAACATTTTGAGAAAAAGCTAAGAAAAAATCCAAAAGATGAAGGAACAAGGCATCCAGTTCATCCAGAATCCTTCAAGCTTCTCTTTAGACTCATCCACTCACCCACCCATCCATCCATCCATCCATCTTTCCATCCAACTTTCTATTTGATTTTTGTTCGGCTGTCGTTGACCAAGCAGCTACTAAGTGTCTAGCTGAGGTTCACATATCGACAAGACACAGTTCCAGTCTTTGAGGAGCTAATTTGTAATGTTGCAACAAGCCACCAGGTAACCACACAGACAATTTCCATACTATCTAAGAACTGTCATGATAGAGTTAGCACAGGTGCTTTGGGGACACATAATAGGGTGGGGAACTTCATTCAGTAAAGGGCAGGGTAGAGGGGGAGCAGGTCAATGTCTTTAAGGAAGTCATATCCATGCCAAGATGTGAAAGGGGTAGGAGTCAGGCAAAGGAGAGAGGAGAAGGAAAAGTATGGATAAAAAACAAGTGTGTGCTGCTCATTCCTGGGTAGAATCTACAGTGGCCAGGCTTGTAACTCAGCTTGGGCCCCAGTAGGCTCTGTAGGAATGAAGGGTCTCCTGAGGCTCTAACATCCACTCAGACCCAAAGCAGTGAGGCTAGAGGGCTAATAAAATGTGTGGTGATATAAATGTTTTCAGTAAATATTTACATGAGGTAAATATTCAGTGATGGGTGATGGAAGATGGAAGATGGAGCCAGAAGGTAAAACCCTTCTGGAAAGTAATATTTTAGGCCAGAATCTAAAAGTGAGTAAATTCAGGTGAGTAAGAGAATGGAAACAAGTATCCTAAGCCTAGCAAATGCCACCTGCCATGGCCAAGAGAGTGCTATGGCCAGAGTACAGGGAAGACCTCAGAAAGACAGGCAAGGAGTTGGGTGGAGAAGACAAAGTGAACCTAGGCAGTGCCTACAAATTTGTGAAATGTTATTTTGAATATCCCCAAAGATGGCAAATCTTTGTTTTATAAAGGTGATTATTGAAAGTAGCTGAATGTCATGGAGCCCAAACTGATGAACCATATGAAAAATAATCTGAAAGAGTGTCTTTTAGCCCAAAACAAGATTTAAGTTATGAAATAACAACATAAACATTTTCTTATAAACTGGCTCTGAAGTAACCCAAAAAAGAAAGACAAAGCAAAGAACAGGGCTATAATATGCTCTCAGAAAAAATAGTTTCTTAAATTAAGTGGATGGCCTCCAAAGGTGACTTCCTTAAAGTGACAGCACTCGGTTAGATGCTTGTAAATTTAGACAAGATATTTTTAAGTTCTGACTCAGTGATGTCTAATCTCTTGAGAATATCCCCTGAGAGTAGATTAAATATTTGTGAAGATATAAATTGCATTGAAAAGCACACTCCAGATTTTGGAGCTATGGAATAATTCTCTTTGAAAGGGATGTAATAGGCGCCTCACCTTCTCCAACTCTCACCCTAAGCAGTGTCTTTATCCTTTCTTAGATTTCCTCCTGGGTTTCTTTCACTGGCTGAATATGGATAATGTTGATTTTGTATCATTAACAGATGCAAAACCTCTCAGGGGAAGTTTCCTCTTGATTATACACAAGAGCTTTGACAAGTCTCAAACTATAACATAGAAGAGGGTGGGACGCACCATCTGAGACTTCCCAGCAAATCTTTATCTCATAGTAAGGGTGGGATGGGGAACACATTTTCAAGGTCATTGTGAGCAAGGAAGTGTTAATTCAAAATAAACTATGAGTTGCTATTTAATTGGGGCAGGGATCAATGTGTGGGGCTTAAAAGTCTGGGTTTAGTGCTTTCAGGCCCTTTACCTAAATTTCAGCGACCATGTTTTGGTTTGGTTTGGTTTTTTAGAGAGGGACACATCTAATGGTGACATATTTGAAGAGTTAACCTGTTAGAGATGTAACACCTGTGTTGTCTGTTGTTGTACAACATAGAACTGAACCAATGACTAAGTTAAAGGAGAGGTAGATTTCAACTTATTGCATGGAAGAATTTGGTGATAATTGCTTGAAAAAGAGTGAGTTCTTCCTTAAGTAATGAAAATTCCCCCACCCCTGTTGTCACCATCAGAACAGGCTGGACAGATATGCAAGAAGTCTTTATACATTGGCTGGGGTGGGGATGTTGGTTTGGCACAGATTTTGTAATCAGGGCAGCACTTTAGCCACACAGACCTACTGAATCAGTATCAAAGGAAGAAAAGGGGAAGCCTGGCAATCTGAACTTTTAACAAGTTGCTCAGATAATCAATGTAGTGTGCAGCTTTCCAGGCACCAGGACTCCATCCAGCACATGTAAACCAGTGGTCTAAAGATCTATTTTCTGACCTCTGGGTAATTTCTGTTGTTATATCGACTCTCTCTCGCAAAACCTTTCTTCTTCCCCTATATGCTCAGGCTCAATGTTAGAAATCCATTATCTTACCAGTCTGGAATATAATTCTGGTTGGAATAACTGGCTTAGATGATATTTGAAGGCATGATTTACACTCATAATTTATGACTAAATATTAATTTAACAACTCTCACATTGTGCCACTGAGGTAGAAAAACCACAGAATTGGACTGAATGCACTTGAGTTGGCATTGATGCAGTTTTTTGCATCACTTGGACAGTGTTGGATTCTAAAATAGATTGTCAGAATCTTGGCAAACAGGATACACGTAAGGAAGAGTTTAGGAAAGGCCACCTGTGAAGTAGGGGAATGTCTGAAAAAAAAAAAACTCTAAAAGTCCTTTCAATTCCTGTGATTCTATTTTTAAAACTGGCTAATATAAGAACAGCAGTATTTAGAGTAAAACCAGATTCTTACTTGCTCAATCAATCCTCCTCATCTGGGGAATAAACAAAGTGTCTGGGAGAATAGCCAAGTTTGTCCTCAGTAATCCCCCGCTCCACCTCTGAACACCTCCATTTTAGTTTTGCAGTAATAAACTATTTATTGGTCATTGCTTTGACTGGTAACTCTGCATGACAAAATTGAAATCCTTTCCTGTAATAAAATCATTCTCACTGGGGAAGTGCGGGGTGAGCTACTTGTTTAGGAAGCTTTGTTCCTTAGAAACCAAACTTCAGAGAAAAAGGGAACAGCTTCTCTAAGATGGGCAGGTAAGTGTTGAGCTCAATATCCAAACAAATTCATCTCCTCCAGCCCAAATCTTCACTAATTCTTATTTTTTTTCCAGCTTAGTTATCCTTTCTGCTCTGCAGATGAAAACCCTCATCTGAAGAAGTTTTGGGAGAAAATATTCTTTTTTTTTCTTGTTCCTAGTGGCATATAACATAATCCAAATATTCAAAATTGGCTCCCTTCTGTAATATTTTATCTTTAGTTATGAATTCCTGATAGGAGAATAAATCAGTTAATTAAGTGCCCAAAAGTTCAAATAGTTTTATAAACTACATTTTTCATTCAGAATTCAGAGACCTCTACTAGGAATTTCAAAATAGGCTTTGCATATGTTTGTTAAGACAAACATATATTCATTTGCATAAAAGTAGCATTGATTTCCAAGAGATTCACCAATGTGTTAAAAAAAAAAAACAATAAGTAGAATGCTATGTTCTAAAGCTGTATCTTTGCCTCAATGAGAAGCTTTAGAAGCAGTGCTTTTATGTGATCAGGGTAATTTCTATACAAATAACCCATGATAATACCACTTTGAAAAACTTTCTGGTGCTACCAGGAAGGAAGGAGCATGAGTAGGTATTTGAATGAAATTCCTCCTTCCTCTGATAGCTGACAGCATTTCTGTCTCTGATAACTCCTTCCTATGAGGTAGAAATTCATTTGTTTCATCATTAAGCCCTGAGAAGTGTGGCTGCAATAGAAGCAGAATAATTTGAAGTGATGAAAGGATTTATTTGCTACAATTTTGGTGGGAGCTGCTCTTCTTGAGAAATTCCATTTTTTCCAAGAGTGGTGGGAAGTTTCACATCTTCTGGGACAGGCTGTTAGAAAAGGGCAATGAAGGGGCTGATGGGTCAGGCTGGCAAGGAGGAGCCAAGCAGAGAACAGCATGGTTCTGAAGACACTGGAGAGAAGGTTGGAAAGAATGGCTGATTTTTAGTAACTATTGTGAGTGAAATTTGGGGGATAGACAGAGATGACCAAAGATTTTTAGAGAGTTTATTGTGATAGCTGCAGAAGGCAGTCAAATGAGCCAGTCAAATGCCTAGGTAGATAGGGGTGGGTCCCCAGTGAAACATGACCTTCAAATCAAAGACAGTTTAGAGCCTGAAAGCCAAGCTGTAAGTCCTGCATAAATCAAGGACTGAATTAAAAATCTCTCTTCCTGTTTGGCACACTTTCCTCTGATTGATCCTCAACCTTCACCTACTTTATGTAAATCTACCCTTCCCTAATTGGTTTTTTACACTGTCATGCTCACTTTTGAGTGGTGCCTTTGTTTTAGCCTTTTTGGAATACTCACAAACCAGTCAGCATGCACTCCCCGATTCTGAGCCCACAAAATCCCCAGACCCAGCCACACTGGTGGAGAGACCACCTGACTTCAGGTAGGGGACCATCCTTGCATCCCCTCTCCACCGAGAGCTATTCCATTGTTCAATAAAATTATTCTCCATCCTCCTCACCCTTCAATTATCAGTGTACCCTCATTCTTCTTGGACATGGGACAAAAACTCGGGAACCACCAAACAGGAGTACTAGCTGTAACACAGGTAGGCTGGGGCACACCTGGCCCAGCTGCAGGCTGAGCATGGATCCCATAGCATGGGGTCCTGCCTGGCACACAAGCCAGGCATGGCTCAGGTGGCATGTGGGAGGCCCAGGGCTGAGTGAGGCCCGGGTGAGGACGTTGCCAGCAGTGGAGGTCCCCAGCTGGCACAAAATGACCAAGAAAAATCCTGCATCAGTTGTACGATGTCCTGAATAGATGCTCTCTGCTGCTGCCTTCTACACATCAGTAAGGTTTTATGAGATTATCAAGGTTTCAATAATTGGATAATGGTTCTTTCTAAGCATAATGTGGTGACTTGGTTCAAGGACAGAATCAGATGGTCTGTCTTTATATTCATTAAATAATTATTCAAACCAAGTTTATTTTCAATAAAGTTCAAGGACAGTAAGCACATTTGGAACACCTGTGTTTAACTCTTGACTCTCAGTTGTTGGGGAGCAAAATCTGAGTCAGACAGCCTGTAGAATTCTCTCTAATGGGATATTTAAACTGGCCAGCTCACAAAATGGCACATCTTTTACTTTGATTTTTAATTTTATTTTATTACAACTTAGATAGATAGATAGATATAGTCTTTTCCCTCTTTTAAACCTGTTCTCTTATTGTTCTGCCATCCTTCTCTTTCCTCAAGCCTGGGCATTGAGAAAGCTGAAGGACGTGACAATATATTACACTCTCCGGCCAACATCCTAGACTTATTTTTTTTATTAATAAGTTTTTGAGATAGAGTATCACTCTGTCACTCAGGCTGGAATGCAGTGGCATGATCTTGGCTCACTACAGCCTTGACCTCATGGGCTCAAGCAATCCTCCCACCTGAGCCTCCTGAGTAGCTGAGACAACAAATGCACACTGTCATGCCTGGCTAATTTTTGTATTTTTGGTAGAGACAGTGTTTTGTCATGTTGCCCAGGCTGGTCTCAAACTCCTGGGCTCAAGCAATCCTCCTTCCTCAGACTCCCAAAGTGTTGAGATTACTAGGCATGGGCCACCATGCCTGGCCCCAGACTGAGTTTTTTGAAAAACTAGAAATAATATTAGTAGCAACTACTTATCTAATTCACCCACAATGATTTAACCTAAAAATCATTGTGATTGAAAGGTGGCAAATAGGATTTTTAAATTAGACTTACATTGCAGTTGTGTAAGAACATAGAGATCATCTAATATTTGTGCTGCCTATAAAGATATGGAGGCCCAGAGAGTTTGAGTGACTTGCCGAAGTCGCAGAACAGGGTAGTTGATATAAGAATATAAGACTTGTCTATGTTTCTGTCTCATTACCCCACAGAAGATAATGCTTAAATTCCTTTACATTTAAAGGAATAAAAGATATAAAAATCATAAATGAGAAAGTAAAATTATAATTATCTGCAGATAATAGGTAGATATATATATATATATCTGATAAAACTTGCAATTGATTTAAAATTACTACCAATGACAAGAAAAAATAGCATAGTTACTGATTAAATAACTGATTAATACAGTTTGGTAGTTTTCAATACAAAAATAAATGACAATTATAATGGGGAAAAGATACCATTTATGAAAAAATAAAACAGGTAAGTTAATGGGTGCAGCACACCAACATGGCACATGTATACATATGTAACAAACCTGCATGTTGTGCACACGTACCCTAAAACTTAAAGTATAATAATAATAAAATTTAAAAAAAAAAGAAACAGGCTTAGCAAAAAAATATGCAGGACCTATCTAAAGAAAGCTTTAAATTCTACCCAGGAAGATACAAGGAATCTGGAAACAATGGAAAATAACCGTTTTCTTTTTGGATAGGAATATGCAATATTTAAATGATATCAATTCTCTCTATATTAAGGCAGAATGTTAAAGCAATCCTGATAAACATACCAGGAAGATTTTCTATGATATGACAAACTGATAATAATAATAATTATATAAAAATACACAAAAAAAGTGATCAACAGGAAGAATCCACACAATGAGGGATGGATGAGTGGTACTCCTAGCTACTACAATATATCATGTCTCTCTCGTATTACCAGCACACAGAGGAACGCCAGTTATACAGTAGGCACTCAATAAATACACTGAACAAAGACATAAAAGAATGAATTTAGCCAGAATAATGAAAACTATTTGGTGCTGGTAGAGGCAGACAGATCTACCGAATAGCCTTGAGAATTTGGAGACATATCCAAATATACATGGGAAATTAGCATAAAATAAAAAGTGGTATTAGAATCAGTAAATGATGTTGGTATAATTAGGTAGCCATTTGTAGAAATCAAAAACAAAAAAGCTAGATGGCTACCTCACCCCTTATATCAAAATAAATTCCTGGTGCAGAAGGAAATAAAGGTTAATTTTATTTTACAGATGACCTTTCTAAACAAAATTAAAAGTCCAGAAACCTAAAGACAAAGATTAAAATGTTTGACTACCTTAAAAATTAATACATGTTTAAAAATTCAGCAGAAACAGGCAAACAAATAAACAAAACCCCATCATAAACTAGGAGTCATATAAGTTTGGAAGATAAATGGGATTTAGATTAATTTGTAACAGAAACTGAGGGAAGTTGGCAGTCTGGGAAGTAAGCAAAACCAGCATAAACAGTGCTAAGAAGATGAATAAAATGAGTGAGTATCCGATATGAGGGTCCGAATGGGGAGAAACAAAGGAAGCAAGTGGACAGTATTAGTCATTAGCTGGTTTACTTTTGTTTCAGCTGAGAGGCCGGAACCACATCTGCTCCTCCAGAGCGTAACAGGTAACAGTCCCTTCTTTGGATGCAGTTAACTATGATGCAACAGAAGAGATATGTGCCTAGATACGAATTCACAACATGTAGCCTCCGCTCGGTTGATGATTAGACTTTATACTAAAGGAATAAAAGCAGCAGAGGTGTTGGGTGTTTTTAGCATTCTCACTCTCACAGCATTGCTCAGAGTCCAGGCTGATGATAATCTGGGCTGAGAAGCAGAAAGACTCAGTCCCCAGCTGTCCACGGCCCCTCTCAGTACTGTATGGAATAGGTATGCCTCTCAGTGTTTTCCAATGATAGCTGTAGCCCTGTCCTGGCCAACTGGTCAGCTGAGCTACCCTTTGCACAGATGTATGTGGGATAGTCTTGGAGCCTATCCTGTGTACGTGGGATAGTCTCGGAGCCTATCCTATACCACAAGCAGCTTTGGAATAAACATCCTCTTTGGTGTGGAATGAGAGCTTAGTCATCCAAGGAAAAAATGCGAAAAGAGGGAGGAAATGATTACCTCTGCTTCTTAAAATCTTTTTGAATGTAAGTATATAAGTAAAACAAGGACCAAGAATGATAAGAGGGAGTTTCCATGAAAGTCCAGGAAGGGAGGTACTGTATTTGAGGTTTTGGTATAAACCATAGTAATCCTGCTTGCAGCTCTGGCAAATGCACTCCTCACTAGACCCCTGGGTTGGTTATTTTCTTTAATCCTAAAGGTCCAGAGTGCCACATGCTCTTTTACCTCACACTTGTCCCCTCCCCACCAACCTTTTTTTTAGTATGTGGGGTTTGGACCTATTCTGCCCAAAAAGTCTGGATTCTTGAGTCTTGGCCTTTCCAACATGCAGCAAGTAAAAGCTACTTAAATTTTTATGAGTAACGACTCTTGGCTTGAATTAACAGTTTTGCTAATCTTCAGTGAGTAGCTTTAACAATATTGCTATCTTTATGACAGAACGATTTATATTCCTTTGGGTATATACCCAGTAATGGGATTGCTGGGTCAAATAGTAGTTCTGTTTTTAGCTCTTTGAGGAATTGCCACACTGCTTTCCACGATGGTTGAACTAATTTACATTCCCACCATCACCAACAGTGTATACATGTTCCTTTTTCCCACAACCTCACCAGCACCTGTAATTTTTTGACTTTTTAATAATAGCCATTTTGACTGATGTAAGATGGTATCTCATTGTGGTTTTGATTTGCATTTATCTAATGATCGGTGATATTGAGCTTTTTTCGTAGGCTTTCTAGCTGCATGTATGTCTTCTTTTGAAATGTGTCTGTTCATGTTCTTTGCCCACTTTTTATGGGGTTGTTTGTTTTCTTCCTGTAAGTTTAAGTTCCTTGTAGATGTTGGTTATTAGGCCTTTGTCCAATGCATAGTTTCCTAAAATTTTCTCCCATTCTGTAGGTTGTCTGTTCGCTCAGCAGTTTCTTTTGCTGTGCAGAAGCTCTTTAGTTTAATTAGATCCCATTTGTCAATTTTTGCTTTTGTTACAATTGCTTTTGGCATCTTCGTCATGAAATCTTTGCCCATTCCTATGTTCAGAATGGTATTGTTCAGGGTTTTTATAGTTCTGGGTTTTCTATTTAAGTATTTAATTCATCTTGAGTTGATTTTTGTATATGGTATAAGGAAGGGGTTCAGTTTCAATCTTCCGCATATGGCTAGTCAGTTATCCCAGCACTATTTATTGAATAGGGAGTCTTTTCTCCATTGCTTGTTTTTGTCACTTTGTTGAAGATCAGATGGTTGCAACTATGTAGGCTTATTTGTGGGCCCTCTATTCTGTTCCATTTTTCTATGTGTCTGTTTTTGTACTAGTACCATGTTGTTTTGTTTACTGTAGCCCTGTAGTATAGTTTGAAGTTAGGTAGCATGATGCCCCCTGCTTTGTTGTTTTTGCTTAGGATTGCCTTGGCTAGGGCATATACCCAAAGAAATATAAATCATTCTATTATAAAAACATATGCACATATGAATATGTCCATTGCAGCACTGTTCACAATAGCAAAGACATGGGATCAACCTAAATGCCCATCAAAGGTAGATTGGATAAAGAAAATGTGGTACATATACACCATGGAATACTATACAGCCACAAAAAATAATGATATCATGTTCTTTGCAGGAACATGGGTGGAACTGGAAGCGATTATCCTCAGCAAACTCATGCAGGAACAGAAAACCAAATACCACACGTTCTCACTTATAAGTGGAGGCTAAATGAGGAGAACACACTGGGGGCAACACCAGACACTGGGGCCTAACAGATGATGGAAGGTGGGAGGAGGGATAGGATCAGGAAAAATAATTAATAGCTACTAGGCTGAGTACCTGGGTGATGAAATAATCTGTACAACAAACCCCCTATCACACGAGTTTACCTATACAACAAACCTGCACATGCACCCCTGAACTTAAAATAAAAGTTAAGAAAAAAACACAGAATATTGCTATCAGTGAAAATCCTTTTTTGACACCACTAGTAATTAAACTCATTGAATTTACATTCCAACTGGGGTAATGAATCACTTCCTCATCCCCACCCCAGCCTGATGGCACCACCTTTTTCAGCTCTAAATACATTTTGTTATTTGGGTTTGATTTAAAAGCCTCGGTCCTGTAGCAGTCAGTTCCCACCAGATGAAAGCCAAAACAGAAACTACACAGGAAAATCCTGGAGATCTGCTGAGTCACAGTGGAGCCATCTGCTGAGTCACAGTGGAGCCATTTTCATACATATCTAAAGGAAAGAGACTACAGGAAATATAAAAAAACTTTAGTGATGGCAAGGAGCTTTGTTAAATTAATGATAGCATTTTTGTCTCTCAAGGATGAAAGAAGAGTTCAAAATCTGAAGGCTTATTAAGGGCAAGCAATTTACCTAGTTCCTCATGCTTCCATTAAATGGTGCGGCCAACTTCCTTCAGAGTTTTCCACAGTGAAAGTTAAGGGAGCAACATTGGAGGCAGTTTCTCAGCAAGGTTTTAGATTCCACATCTGAAAGCAGGATGTATGGTGAATATGCAAAGGAAGCAATAGTTTAAAAAGTTATTATTAGGCTTTGCAGGTAGAAAAGGAAATGGCAGTTTCTGAATGTTGATAACGAATGAACCTTAGCCACAACATGTTCTAAGTCATTCAAAGGTGGAAGACAGAGTAAACATTTGCAGTTTCCACAGGGAAGCACCTGCGGTGTGTGGTTCTAAGAAGATCAGCAGTGGCTTAAGATCTAAGGCAGAAGGAATTTAGCACATTTAAAGAGCAGTGTTCAAATATCTCATTTGAGTCTCATAGCTACTGGAGAGAAGCCAGCCTGTTCATCAGAGCATTGAGGCTCCAAGAGTGAATGTGTAAATGATTTTCTACTGCCATGGTATCTAGTTCCTGTAAATGGAGATGCCATCCCCATAGAATGTCCTGATGGTTTAGTCACTACTAAATTTGCACCCTCCATCATTATCTGCCTATCTATAGTTCCCTACCTGTTTTGACATTTATAAAAAAAAAATCTCTTGTAAAAATTTCATGAAAATAGAATTCTCTACATGGTTTTAAAATTTCCTTTGCTTCTAATTAATGTGTCATAATTGATGTAGATTTATATAATGCAATTTTATTCAATAGTAATTAAGATATCTGAGCCAAGATAAATATTACCAAGATTTTAGATTCTTCTTTTCGCATCTGCCTCATCCATTCTCAACACTTTTTCTAGTTAGCTACCTTTCCAGAAAGCTTCAGCCAACCTGCACCCTAACATTTGATGTTTTCTTGCAAGATTCTCCTAAGTTCTCTATTTCCTGGACTTTGGGGTTGTTTTGCATTGCTGGTTAAATTCTATAATTGTGTCCAGTGCTTTTCTCCCTGCCAAATATAAAATTCAAATGGGCTTATCCATTTAATCAGGCATATGCCCATTATTTACTCTTGAATTTCTCAGCCTCTCTCTCTTTCCTTTGAGATGCAGTCAAACACACTCAAAATCAGCCTTTCCTCAGAGGCCAGAAAATCACTGACAGCTCTACAGATGTCTTAAGAGTTAGACTAGGTGAGGCAAGAAGTCCATTGACACAGTTGAGCCATTTAATTTAGTCCATTGTTTTTGATGCTGGATCTTTATGGGTAATTACCTGCTAGACATCTCCAGCTTATATTTGAAGAGCTGTTTTGGAATCAGTAATATTTAGGGCTGGACATGTAGATTTGTATTCTTTTCTGAAGAGATGGTAATTGGATCCAGAAAGTAGAAGAATACATGTTAAGCACAACAATTATCTTGAACGTTGATAGAAATGTTTCATGTTGAGCCTCTAGCAGACACCGTTGGCTTTCTCTCCCCAGATCTCCAGTCTTTCCTCATGTTTCAATTCATCCTCCTCAGCTTCTTTGTACTTTTGCTTCTAATGCCAACATCTGACACTCCCCTCAGATACTCCTCTGACTAGTAGGGCTGTTTTTCCTACCAGAGTAGAAAGCCAGAAAAGTACTGGAAAAATTACCCTACCACATCCACCCACCATTAGTCAATGACTAACCAGTGAAGAAGTATGAAAATCCAGCTGCCTTACATAACAAACGGCCCAGTTTTCTTTGGGATCAGATTGGAGCTCTTCTCTAGAGGGCTTTGTCTGAAATTATATCCTTGCTTGACCCTCTCCCCTTCTCTATCCTACTTTTCCTAATCCCTTACTGAGATCTGAAAAATATAACCTAAGATAACTTCTTGCATGTGTAAATGTAGGGGTCACCATCAATGGAGAGTCAAGTGCAGACAGTCAAGCAACAGAGGTCAGTGTTACAAAGGATGATGGTAGTTCACTGATGCAAAGCTATACTGGAGTTAAAAAGGATAAAATGGTGTACAAACTAGCCTGAACCTGGCAGTGAATAGGTCACCAGAAACATTTGGACTGTGGTTTTCATGGATTAAAACAAATCTTTACTGGAATACAGAGAGATCTGGAGAAAAGTAGCTATTAGAAAGTCATAGTTACAACTAAGTGTAGATTATTTTCTGGGAGAATGTATCCTATCCCTATACTTGCTCATTTATTTTAATCACAAATATGCATTGAATATCTGCTATATACACAAAGCACTCTGCTTGGCACTTGGAACTGTTTGCAGTTAACAAATTAGAGCTCACAGTTTATTGGAGAAAACACATTAAAAATGAATTGCATGTAAAAAAAATAGGCAAGTAGTGCTTGTGGTAAGTGCCTTGATTAATGTTTGCAAGGATGTAAGACAGCATATAACAAGAAGCCAGACACAGGTTGAGGGATCATCGGCTGATATCCCTGAGGAAGGAAGGTATAAACTGAACCTAAAGTGTCAGAAGGATTAACTGGGCAATGGAGGTGAAAGATAGCATTTTACAAGGGAACAGCATAAACAAGGCCCTCAAGGCAGGAAGAAAACATTTTCTAAGACAGATAACTAATTTTTTCCAACTATCAGGAAAATCTCTCCAAAGGAATATATTTTGGGGCTCCTTAAGAATTTCAAATTATTTGGTTCAAAACTTCACTGAAACACACAGTAAATAATTCGTTTTACATCTTGGGTAATTCAGGTATTAGGCATATGCAGATTGGCCATTCAGATAAATAACTATGTACACATATCATTTAATTTCAACTTGAACTATTTTGGCATTATCTAGAAACACTGCCATTAATGATTCCATTTGAGGGAACAGAAATTCACCCCACCTGCACTTGCTTTCCTGAAGAAAATGGCTCAGGACTGTCCTGAATTCATAGGCTAGCCTTTAAGCTCTGAAACTCTAAGGATAGGATAAACTTCACTTTTAATGTGGGTCACATTGAGGATCTGAAAAAGGAGAAACCTACTCCAGGTCAGGAAGTTTGAATGACACTTCATTGTCTCACTTGTCATCTGGCCAACATTTCAGAAAGAAAAGGAATAAATATGCTTTAAGGTAACACAAAGGATATGACCCCCGGCTCATTTAGGAAAAAAAAATTGGAGTGACATTTAAGAAGAAGAAAACCAAGACTACCAACTCTGAATGCAGACATGTGCTTAGGCTGGGTAAAAACTTCTAAAGAGCAGTAATGGAATTCCCATGGGTTACTAGAGTTATGACTTGACTAGCCTAAAAATTAATGGTGAATTTCCCTGCAGATTTTTCTCTACTACAGACAGACTTGTTGTGACTAGATTTCTTGCTCCCTATTTCAGTTTTAATAAATAAATTTTCCCTGATTGGAGATGAAGGTATTCAAACTTAAAGGATTGGGAAAGGAAGATAATAATCCTCCAGGGTTTTTATGAAAACCACAACAGTGAAATTGAAGAACTCCATGTAGGGAAACAATGTTTATTTATCAATGGCCATGGAAGAAGCATTCCTCTCTAATAAGGGGTATGTATACTTTGACCTGCCCTTAACACTCACTTCCTAGGAATGTATGATGAGATCTTCAGAAGTTTAATTAGAAACACTAATGCTTTCATGGGCTGATATAATTATTCTAGTTAGTCTTTAAGACTTTTATACATTCTCTTCATACATTACTTATAGTATATTCTCTTGCTGAAACTACTTGCTAGTGTCAGCTGAATGTCACAGTTGGACGAGAAGGTAGTGGCCCTTAAGGAAGGATATATTATAAACATATGTATTACATATATTTGTACAACATATTACATATTACAAAACTGCAAATCAAGTTTCAATTCCATTTCAAATATTACTCCACCAACCAACATTTTTGAGTCTGGGTTGGATTTATTTAGGTTCTGAGCCAGTGAACTTGTGTTAACTTCCAAAGCTCAGACATTGCTACATGACCTTGGAAGACTTAAGTGGGAAGGATCTTTAGATAGTTTTGTCTAGAATGAATCACATAAAAATTTCTTGTATAATATAGTCATTTTCTAGAGTGGCTGGCTGCCATCTTGCTTGTAATGAAATATAATCTATGTTATTCTGCTCCATTATCTAATAAAAACCAAGCTACACAGTCAGAAAATGACCTGGCATTTGCAGTAGCCGAGTCTGCTGAATAATTAGGAGAAGCACATACAAAATGTTAAACCATGAAAAAGCTTTGTATTACCACAATTGGCTTCATAAAAATTCTTCAGCTGCTGTATGTATTTCTTCATTACACATCCAAAGACTCAGTGACTAACAATGTCACTGGTAGACATATATTCATAACAGTGTTAGTCATGGGATCTTAAAACTAGCTAAGATACATTCTGAAACTTATCTGAAACAACAGAGGTTTGTTTAAGTTTACCACAGGGACAGTATTTTCAAGTCTTCTATAAGGTCAGTACTGCATCATGACATTTACTTTTAATAGAAGAGAAACTGAATAACGTAATTTTTGAGCTCAGCATACTGCTAGTAATTTATAAACTGTCCACAATTATTTTCCTTCTAAGTTGAAGAATAGTGAACATAAAATATAGAAAAGATGCTAACTATCTACGTTAACATTCTACAGGACCAGTTCAAAAACTCAGAGCATTACGGAAACACTGATTTGTATTTTAAAAATCATTTTATATCACTTTCGCATTCACTAATTTGAGATATACTTATCTCAAATTAGTGATCCATACATCAACATACATGCATTAATGAACATAACCAAGTTGATATAGTCAGTTCCAAGTCTAGATGTTAAATATCCTCATTCAAAATAAAACTCACCTTTCACTATGTTCTTTGCCTCAATTTTATTGTGATCTAAGATGATGCAATAGTATAGAGTGCTGACTGTTAACCTGATTCCATAGAAAATTCAAAGTCAAAAACATTGAATTTTATTGATTCCATAATTAATTAATTTGTTGTTAAACATTCAGGGTTTTTTGACATCTAAAATATACTTTTAGAAAAATTTGCCGCCACTACAATAACTCTAGTGCTTTGATTTATTATTCAGACTACCTATCAAAGTCAAAACTTAGAAGCACCACTGTTAACTCTTAATCATTGACACTAATAGTGAATGATTCTTATATAATTAGCATCTACTTAAACCACCAAGTCCTTTGACTTACTTATTTAGCCACTTGCTCAACACTTTGTCTCAATTAGAATTTAATCAGTAGCAAAATTGACTAGAATTCATTTTTAAATTAATTTACACTTTACTCTCCAAGGTTTTTATAACCAAGGACACAATTCCAAGTCTCTACAATAAGAAGGGAAGAACAAGTAAGAATGTTGCGATATCTTCAAGCTTTTCAAGACAGATAATTCAGAAGAGTTAGCTCTTCATCCTTGATCTAGTTTGCGGTTGGTACGTTTCTCTTGCTTTTCCTTCCTTTCTTAAAAGTGACTGGGAAAATTCTGATGGAAGAAAGGACTGATAAATGATCATGATCAATCAGAATTGAAGATGATTTTAGAATTTAATTTAGAATTTAATTTACTCATATTAAAGTACCTTTATTTTACACTTGTGGACATTAAAGTAATGAATGCTCCATTAATTCTAGAAGTCTAAAAATATTTGAAAAGTTATAATTTCAATAAAACCATGTGCCACCTGCACATCAGTAACTTATTTATTAATGGAAGAAAGTAAGTCTTCCTATTCAGTTAAAATTTTCCTCCAGCACACAGTAACTGAGCATTGTTTGGGTCGTGCTGTGGAGAAGTATAACTTGAGGGTAGGAGTGAGGGAGCTCTAGAGTGAAGACAGCCAGGACTCACAGATGCCACCTACAAGCCTGTGAGAGAGCTGGGGGATGACTTGATGAGGAGGATCAGAGGGGAAGTAGAGAGCCATGTCAAATGAAAAAATGTTTTGGCGGTAGAATTGAGCAGACCTGCCCAACTGAAGGAGGAGAAGTCATCAAGGTAATTCCAAGATTTCCAACTTGGATGATGGAGGAAATGGGGGAATAGTAATAGAGAAAGAGAATGCAATAAGAGAACCAGGACTTTTCTGGTTTCACTGGGGAGTTGAGTTGTAGGGAGAAGCAGAGAAGAATAGATAAGTTCTGCATTAGAACTGGGGTATGTCTATCTGCAGGAGCAGGACAACAGGGAGAGAGGTCTAGGAGTGGTTAGAAATATGGATGCATAGCTCAAAAGAACTCCAGGATAAAGGTAAAAGGCAGATTTTTAGGGCATAGAGATGAGAAATGAAGAGATAATTAGCACAAACACTCAGAAAAAGAGTGAAGAGCAAGAAGACAACAGAAGTTGGAGTGCTGATAAACAACAATTAAGAGAAAAGTAGAAGCAATTGAAAGAATGGGTAAAGGATATAGGAGGAGAATAAGAAGAGAATAGATTCTGTCTTGAAGTAGAAGGGGGAGCAAGTTTCAAGAAAGAAGAAGTGGTCAATATTGTTAAATACCATGCAAGTTTCAAAGAAATGGTAAGAAAAATAAGAACAGCAAAGAAGTCATTAGATTTGGGAGACAGGATTTTTTTCACTGGTGACCTTTGTGGAGGCCAGAACATAAAGGGCAGAAGTCAAATTTAGTGGACAATAATGCGTAAAAGGTAGAGGAGTGGAGGTGGTAAGACATTATTTTATTAAACGGGGTGGTAAAGAGAAGGAAGTTGGGCAGTGCAGAGTTTTTCAGAAAGGGGAAATCATAAACATGCCTGTGGCTAAGTGTTTGAAACCCAGGCAGAAAAAGACAAAAAAAAAAAAAATGGAGAAACAAAGAATGAAACTGATTAATAAGGCAAAATCCCTGAGGATTCAAGAGGAGATGTGTCCAAAAACATAAGCAGAAGCATTAACCTAGCAATTCAGAAAAAAATATTTTTTCCACTTTGGGAGGAGAAAAAAAATGGGTGAAGATACAGTATATGTATGATATGAGAGCAGTTTTACTTGATAGTATTTCCTTTCTCTATAAAATAAGAACTGGGTCATCTGCTGAAGGCCGAGGTGGGTGGATCACCTGAGGTTGGGAGTTTGAGACCAGCCTGACCAACATGGAGAAATGCCATCTCTACTTAAAAAAAAAAAAAAAAAAAAAAAAAAAAAAATATATATATATATATATATATATATATATATATGTACAAAATTAGCCATGTGGTGGCACATACCTGTAATCCCAGTTACTTGAGAGGCTGAGGCAGGAGAATCGCTTGAACCTAGGAGGTGGAGGTTGTGGTGAGCTGAGATTGCACCATTCATTGCACTCCAGCCTGGGCAACAAGAGCAAAACTCCGTCTCAAAAACAAAACAAAACAAAAAACAAACAAACAAACAAAAAATCAGAAAAGTTTGGTGGGGAATAAAAACAGACACTGATGGAAAGAATAAAGGAATGGTTGAGAAAGGTTGACTGAAATTAGAGATAATACATTTGTAATTAAATTTATCATCAGCATCATGAACTTTTTTACAGAAGGTTATAGGAAACCCAAATCAAAAATAGAATAATCAGAATATTAAGTTATAATCTGGATGCTTTCATTTGGCAGAGTAATAAGGAGATGAGAAAAATTGCAGGATATGGAGATAGTGTATTTGAAAGTTAAGGCAAGGGGAGTCAGTGAGGGACCTGGGAAAATAAACCTAATAAACTAGATCAAAGAAGCTAGAATTCAAAATGATTTCAGGCACAGGGTTTAGTGGGTGCCAGGGAGAGAGAAATATAGAAGAATAAAAAGTTGTGGCCAAAAGGAACATTTCAGAGTTAAAGACTCCAAAGGGCACACTTTTCCAGGTACTGACCAAGTCCAGGACAGGTATAAAAATAAGGGTGTTGCTGAAATGGACAGGAAGGGATAATTGTAGAAGAAAGATGAAGTAACTGTGATGGCACTAGATAAACCATCAGGATAAAGAATAAGATAGAATGTTGAGGACCCAGTGTGGACCAGTAATTAGATTCTACATCTGTTCTGGGGAGTAAATTTTGATTGGGAAAATGACAAAAAAGAGGGTGAGGAAATGGAGAACATTCTATTGCTAATAATCATATATTACATCTCATAGGGTACGAAACCGCTGCTATGTGAAGCTGATGAGAAAAGGCTGGTAGGTTAGAAGGCATGACTGTCAGTAAGATAAAGGCTGTCAAGCTAAGAGCGTAGTCAGAAAGAATGTGTGGGTGGGCAAAGAGTGCAGGCCCAACCTCCCAGACTCAAAAGAAGGAGCTGTGATGGAATGAGTGCTTCTACTTGAGGGGGTTTCAAAGGAAGTGGTGTCACTGATAAAAGAGGTGAATAAAGAATCCACAGAAAATGTGGAAAATGTAGACATTTAAGTGTAGGTGTTACCAAAGAGATAAAAATATAGACTTACTGAAACTTTGGTGCTTGGACATAATATTAAAACATATTACAAAAACAGACTTCTTACACCAGAGGAATAGAAGATAAAACACATTATCTTCCCTCTTTATCATGATATCTTTAAAGCGTAAATCATTTTAGGCACTCCAAAAGTATTTTATAAATAGTTGAAATATTCTGTCCACCTACAAAGAACATGAGGTTTTTCATAATTGGATTACTATTGGTTTATGTTGAGCTGGCTGCCTCCTGTAGTTCTATTACTTTGGTTCCAATTTTATTCATAAAAACCTGGGTTTAATGATGTAGCCTATGACTATAAAATAAATAAAGCTAATGAGATATAAGGGGTTTGTATGCATGGCTTAGGCCTCTTTTGGACCCAACCTAGCTTTACAAGAATAGATTCAAACATTCATTTACAAAATTCCATAATTTTTAAAAGATGTTTTAGAAGACCTGAGCTCCTTGGAGGTACTTCAAGAACCATGATAGGAACCAAGATAAGGCTAAGGAAGTGTAATTTTTGATGATACAAGTTTCCTGAAGAGGCAGGAATAGAACAGAATGGAGAACACAGGTGAAAACACAAAGAGGAATATGTCTTTCACTGGATTCCAAAGGACGAAGGCAAAAATATATACAGTAAGATTGCAGGTGGGGTTTCATGAAGATAAGAAGTTCCTACCTGAAGACTACTTTTTTGGTAAAGTAAAAGGTGAGAGAGGTTCTTTGTTGAGATTGTGGGAGAATTCTTTCAGATAAGAGGCTTATGGAGAGTGCATGAGCTCTGAAATAGCTGCTATTGGAAATGGGAGCTAGAACTGATGAAATATTTGACTGTTGAGCAGCAATGAGGGCCAAGTTAAGGTTGAAGACCCTATAATGGCCCCAAAGTATAGAGAGAAAAGAGTTGGACCGAAACAATACATATTTTAAATAGTTTGAATCTTTTCAGGCTGGCGTGGTGGAAGGTCAATAGGCAAGTAATGAATCATGTAGTTTAGGCTGAATAGAGAAAGACAGGAAGGACAGGAAGAGGCTAAATACTTGGTGACCAGGAGGGATCAAAAGACTAGCAGTCTTGGGCAGGCATGGTGGCTGACACCTGTAATCCCAGCACTTTGGGAGGCCAAGGTGGGCAGATCATGAGGTCAGGAGATCGAGACCATCCTGGCCAACATGGTGAAACCCTGTTTCTACTAAAAAAAAAAAAAAAAAAAAGACTAGCAGTTTTGATAAGATATGAGAATAGCAGAAGTAACAGAGTGACAGGATTGAAGGACTACAGTCTATGATCAGAGAGCAGAATGCTTGAATTTAAGATTTCATGGGTGGGGGAAGTAGGGATGGTTAATGGGTACAAAAAGATAATTAGATAGAATAAGCAAGATCTAGTATTTAATAGGAAAGCAGGATGACTACATTCAACAATAATTCATTGTACATTTTTAAAAAACTAAGAGTATAATTCGATTGTTTGTAACACAAAGAAAGGAGAAATGCTTCAGCTGATGGATACCCCATTTACCCTAATGTGATTAATATGCATTCTACACCTATATCAAAATATCTCATATACTGCATAAATATATACACCTACTATATACCCACAAAAATTAAAAAAAGAAAAATAAAGATTTCAGGAGAGATTTCAGGTGGGTGATATCAAGGTCCAATGTATGGTCATTGGACTATATGGCTTAAGTGGAATATACATAAAGCTCACTGTAGTCTCTGTCCTATTTATCTCTCTATGTATCGGTCAATCAATTAATCAATCATCTTATCTAGCTATAACACTACTGGTCCCTAAGCATCTATACATGTATAATAGCTGACCATGCTTAAGGTGAGTTGCAGTGAAGTAACCGTCTTGTGAATGTTGTTACTAATAAGCTGATGCTATTGTAATTTTTGCATACATCTTGAAAAATGATCTGATTGGTTCTAGTGCTTCAATATACTAAACTATTTGTATATAGTATTTGTGTTGAGGCACATGTTGGTTTTTCCCTCTCCTGACAGTTATGAAAAAATTATTTTGACTACATTAGTGGTCAATATTCCTAGTTCTGATTATAAATATGTTACTACAATTTCTTCTACTCTTGTATCACCTCTGTTAATAAAATAAAAAAAATTGTATCTCAAATTACATATAATTTAATCCTGGAGTAAGGAATAATACTGTTTTATCTAAGAAGGTATTAAGGGCAGGCTGACAGGTGGAAGAAATTGGGTGTAAACTTTCAACATTCAGATATTTATGGCCTAAAATTCCATCATTATCACTTCATGCCTTTCAATTAAGCTCTAGTTAGTCTCTCTCCAGGTTTCTTTTAAAAGGCAATTATACACATCAAAAGAATAACCAATAAAATCCTGTCATGTTAGTGTAAATTAATTTATCACATCACTCTCCTATATGGTCCCTACAAGATGAGAAGACGAAGCAAGCATGGGAAACTTGGAAATTTGTGGGAATGGAGCACTGGCTGAAATGGAGAATAGAGTATAAAAACATGAAAAGCGAGTGTTGTAATACCTTCATCTTTTCAGCTATATTCAAAAGCCTTTAAAGGAAAGGGATCATATATTCTTACATGACTCATATAACAATTCTTGTCCTCTTAAAAATAAAGCATATATTTACAGGTGAATAGCTAAAGATTTCAGAGATTTTATTGCATATATATCCCAAGATCCCACAACACTTGTTACAAGATCTATTCCTTCAAACCAATGACTTCAGAAATCTTTTTAAACACATTACTGTGTTTCATGATTTAGAGGGCTGTATGCATAACTATGGATACAATAGAATTCCCATGGTGATTATGACAAGCCCCAAGGCAAGTGGTTTTCATCATATTTGTTGTCCCAATGTCACATTTGTCATCATTTTTGTTTGTCATGTCCCAGTGATATAAAGGAATTCATCCCTGCCAAGCCCAAGTTCAAAAGGTGAAGAAATAGACTCCACTCCTTGGTGGGAGGAGCAGTAAAGCTGCACTACAAAAAGGAGATGCTACAGGGATGAGAAGAATGCTTCGCCATTTTTGCAAATTAATCCACATACATTTTATAGACATAAATATAAGTGTGGAAGGATACATAGCAAACTGATAATATTGTCCACTTCAGGGAAAGGATCAGCAAGGGAGACAATATTTTATTCACTTGTATTTGTTTGACTTACACCAAACATACATTACCTTCATAAATTTTATTAAGCAGAGAGTTTTAGTAAATATAAAAGTTATAATAATTATATTTCTATCACCAAAAGTTTAATTTCATGGACACCTTAATTCATTAACACTCAAAAGAATAGAAAATAGAAAGAAAACACCCAAATAGAGCAAGTTTGTCAATATCATAGTACTATTGTTAAAGGAAACCAAAGGAAGAAATGACTTTACTGAATGATCCACAGAATTGTTTTGCAGTTTCACAGCTCACAGATTGTTTTTCACCGGACGCATCTAAGCTTCTAGTGTCGAGTTTCACTTTCAAATGTCAAAGCAACACCTCAGGAAATACACATGGCTCAGCCTGTTGCCTTTGCTTATAAAAAATCGACTCCCTTTTCAGTTAGTACTGATGGATGAAAGGACATTCTCTGATCTTTTCACCAGTAACCAGTCATATAAATCCTCCGATGAGCTCTAATTTAGTAATCTGAAATGTACAGTACTATTCACAAGTTTTTCATGACTCAGAATTTGCAAAGAATTTGATCAGGTTTCCTTTTCTAGTTTTGGTGGTATTGAGTCTGGGGAATTAATATCATAATGATCTATAAAAATGTTTCAGCTGGCTTTCGCGCTCTCTCGCGCTCTCTCTCTTTTTCTCTCTCTTTCGGTTAATATCTTTGCATCTGTGTTTCCACCAAAGAAATTTGGAACACATATCATATGACAGTGTTGTTGACACACCCCATATCTGCTCTTCAGCTTGTGTGGACACTTCTTTTTTCACTAGAGTGCTTTATTATGACTTACCTTGCTACTGTCCTGCAGGTGAACAACCCACAGACTGTGGTACCAAAATGTTTTGCGCTGAAGCTTGTAAGACAGTCACCCCTTGCATTGTTCATTCAGGCTTGATAGGATTCTCTGCAGGAAATCATCTTGAAGAGCTTGTCTTTGAAGAATACCTCTCACCACACAATTGCCCATATCTCAGGCCCTTTTTGTTCAACAGCCAAGTCATCATGTATTAATACTGTTTATACTGCCCTAAAACACAGGGACATCCAAAGGCATGCTACACCAGATAAGAGAATGAAAACCCCCTTCTACCAGTCAATCATCAGCTCTAAGGTCTTATTTCTATATTTCACTGAGTCATTTTGGAAATCATGCATGTGAAAGTCTTTTGATCTTGTATCAGCATTGGGGAAAATGAACAACTTTCTCGTATTGATTTTACAGCTAAAATTTCTCCATCCAACTGAATTGCTCAAATTGGTTAAAATCATAAATTGGCTGAAAACCAATACAAGCGAATAAAACATTGTGTCCCTTGCTGATCCTTTCCCTGAAGTGGACAGTATTATCCGTTTGCTATGTATTCTTCCACCCCTTTCTTTACAAACCAAAACAAATTGGTTAAAATCACAAATTGGCAGAAAATAACAACTTTCCAGTTACTGATTTTTTAAACATAAAGGTAATTTATGTATATCATAAGATCATAAGACTGTTTTATAATTTTTATGTTTTGATTCATTTTACATCTTTTCTTCAGAAAGTATTTGTTTAATGGTCATTTGGTTGCAGTTCTTTGTAAATGTTAATTTATATTTTAGTATTTTTATTTATTTTTGGAAACTATTTCTCACATTATTTGTGTAGCCTAGGTAGTTAGTTTACTGCAGGAAAAGAGTTTTATTGTTATCTGGCCACAAAGGTGATCTCGACGTATCAAATCTTATCAGAAAGTCTCGTCTTAATCTTTACTGAAATCTGGATGTTTCTGTTTACTTGGAATGCTAGGAGGTCCTTTTGAATGTTAGTCAGCTTTACTCTCCTTGTTCTCTAGACTTTTAAAGATATTTTCACAGGAGTCTACTAAAGACACCTTCCCCCCACTCAGCCCCAACCCCACCTCATGCACAGCCTCCTCTCTGGGATTCTGCCTTGTAGCATAAAGAAGGTCTAATTAGGATAAGGATACATCAACAGGCAAGGAGCCAAACACCAGCAGGCAAAGAGCCAAAGACCAGCCTTACTCTCCTTGGTGCAAGAATAAGGCTAAGCTACCAGAGTTCTGTGTTTTTGTTGGCAAAGCTCATGTCGTTTCAGGAAAAAGACTATTCCTGCCCAGGCCCATCTCCATGGTTCCAGAAACCTCATTGTCCTTTAAATATGCAGGCAACTATTCTGGGTTACCTTCACCACCAGCACCATCACAGTAATTCTGAAAATGACAGTTATTGGTGTCTCTGTGCTTTGGGAATACCCTTCTTCCCAGAATCACAGTGCATGTTAGCACTGGTGGCTTCCTCCTCCTCAGTCAGCTATCAAGAAAGCCAGAGATATCATCAGCCTTGGAAAGGAAAGGACAGCCCAACAGCCTTGCCATACAGGATTTTCCAGTAGACCTGATAATGAGAATTCTGAGATTATGTTGGTTAGGCCTGGAATGAAAAAAGAAAAACTCAGAGAGGGCAGGATGACATAGGCAAGGCAGCTAGCTTGGCCATCAATAGACTGCTCTTTCCAACTCTGTGAAACATCCTTCCTCTTCCCCTGGAGTAGTCCCTCAATATATGCTTCTATTTTCATTCCTCCCTGATTTTCTAGAGCCTGGTTCCATCATTTATGAACCCATTCCTTCTTAGCATGGGATCCCCTAAAAGAAGACACTGAGACAAAGATTCACATACTGATAGTTTATTTGGAAAGTCATCAGGGGAGTGGAGAAGTGAGACAGGAAAGGGGAGCAACCAAGGGTTACTACAATGGAGCAGACCAAAGAGTAATCCTGTGGAAAGCCCCAGGAACCAGCCTGGGAGCTGCCACAGAGGAATCTTACTGTGTGTCCAGGGAGGAATGTATACACCAAATTTCTTCCGTCATTGTTTGAGGGCTCTTCTAGGGGGTGAATAGACATTCTGGGACTTCTGTCCTGACACAAACCTAGGTAAAGCATCCTCCCAAAGGCTTAGAAACCTTCAGGCCAAGAAATGCAGATCCTGGACAGGAGGAGCACACTGCAGGTGGGGGTGGAATGGGCCAATGTCTGCCTTTCCTCACCTTTCCATTTGATAGAGGAAGAAAAAGAGAAAGAGGAGGAATGGAAAGAATGGAAAGCTTACCCCGCCCCCCAAAAAAAATAAAGACAGGAAAAGAGAAGGAGAAGAAAAAAAATTGATTTTACTATTTATTTAGCATCTACTATGTGCAAAGCATCTTACTGACTTGTCGTGGCAATCTTACAAGTTAGGCATTTTATCATACCTATTTTACAGATGAAGATACTGAGTTTAAAGAAGTTAGGTAAAATCCCCATCCCCCCCGCCACCCCAAATTAAACAACTAGCAGGTTAAGAAGTTAGAATTCAAATCCAGTTTCTCCTTCCTATCTCAAAATCCTTTAGTACTTTATCATTGTTTAGATATATATGGCTCTCCATGATCTGATCCAGTGTAATATGAAAACCCTTAGCCTGGGAGTTGGAAGAGCAGAGTTTCAGTCCTGAAGATGCCACCCAAAGCCCCACTGGAATCATGCCCAGTCATTCCATCTCTGGGCCTCATTTTCTTTGTCAGTAAAACAAGGAGCAACACTACATGATGTTTAGGGCATCTGCCAGTTCTAACAGTTTAGGATTCTACTTTCCAGCCTTATCTTGAGTTAATCTCCTACACACAACTATATTCCAACTAAACTGGAAAAAATCTTCATTTCCTTAATATACTCAATGCTTTTCCAACTCTCCTACTCTCTCCCAAAGGCTGTCCCTGCCTGATTACTTCATGCCTAAATCCTCCATAATTTCCAAATACTATCTTGTCCAGAAAGGCATTATTTTACCACTCAAGCAAGAAATAATATCTCATTTATCTGAAGTCTCATAATATTTTTTATTTTTTTATAATGCCAAATTCTATGTTTTATTCTCTCCTATATAAAACCTGTGAAGTTACCTTACACATAACCATGCATCACCATGTATAGCATAGACTCTGGAGTCACATTTCCTGGGTTAGAATCCCAGCTCTACCACTTTCTAGCTACACAACCTTGGGCAAAGTTTTCTGTGTCTCAGTTTCCTCCTCTGTAACATGGTATAATAATATTACTTACTTTAGTGGAAGCTTGGAAAGTTTACATGAATTAATATTTGTAAAGTGCTTAGAGCAGTTTCTGAGACAATAACCACTATGTATGTGTTTGTTATCATTATTAGAAATTGTTAGTTCTCTTTCTTTTTAGTTTGTAATACTTTGAGAGTGCCTATTATCTCTCTTAGCATCTTATAAATTTTCTGAGCATAGGAATGTGTCTCTTTACTTTTATATCTTTTTTCTTTTCTTTTTTTTTTTTTTTTTTTGAGATGGCATCTGGCTCTGTCGCCCAGGCTGGAGTGCAGTGGCGTGATCTTGGCTCACTGCAAGCTCCACTTCCCAGGTTCACGCCATTCTCCTGCCTCAGCCTTCTGAGTAGCTGGGACTACAGGTGCCTGCCACCACGCCCGGCTAACGTTTTTGTATTTTTTTAGTAGAGATGGGGCTTCTCCATGTTAGCCAGGATGGTCTCGATCTCCTGACCTCATGATCCGCCCACCTCGGCCTCTGAAAGTGCTGGGATTACAGGCGTGAGCCACCGCGCCCGGCCTACTTTTGTATCTTTTCAGCATAATTTCTTATGTGTAGCAAGGACCCAATATATATTTGATGAATATGTGTCTATGTGTGTGTGCTAATGTAATGTTATGTGTGTACCTGTCATTATCTTCTTTTGTTGTGTACCTTGATTTTTTTGTCTTTTTGTTTTCCTTCTGCAGAAGTCCTAGAGTAGGAATTGTTTTATCATTTTGTTTTTTTGTATTATAATGATATGTTTGTATTAAGGTCCTTGAAGAGCTTTTCCTTTGTGGGGTTTATAATTGTCTACTAAAACATACAGCATGTTAGATTATTAGATGTGTATTTGTTAAATGAATAAGCATAGGACATATGAACAAATAATATATACTTAATAAATACAGACTTTGGTACTTCTCCCTCTACCCTACTACCAAGTATGAAATCCTAAGATTAAAACCACTTTAAATTGTATGTTTTACCCTCAACTCTAGTCAAGAATAGATTTTCTGAGGTGTTTCTTCAAAACAAAACCAAATCTACGTTATTATTTTCTGCAAAACTTTCAGATGCCCCCCGATAGAGTGTGTCACAGAGTGGACAGAAACTTGGAAGGTCTGAGTCACTAGATAGAACTTGAGTGCATCTTCAAAACAGTTAAGAATATCAATAAATGATGCTTCAAATCAACATGAATTTTATTTTTTACAGATAAGATAAACATAACTTTTCTAGGTATTGGTAACAACTTCCCAGCATTAGGGGACAGTTTACAAATTTCTCTTTGTTGTTTTTAGCTAGTTTGGTTGGTTAGATCAGAAGTTCTGGCTAAACAGAATGTCTTGGTCAAATTAGGGAAATGAGATGAGTTTTTATGAAAGTCAACAAGCTTGGCTAATGTCTCATTTTCTTTTAAACCCATGGCTTTTAAGACATTGATAGGGCAATGCACTAGCTATCATGGATGATATAGTTTGGATGTTTGTTATCTCCAAATCGCATGTTTAAATGTAATTCCTAATCTTGGAGATACAGCCTGGTGGGAGGTGTTTGGATCATGGGGGGCTTCATGAATGGCTTGATGACCTTCCTGCAGTAATGAGTTCATGTGGGAGCTGGTTGTTTGAAAGAGCCTGGCACCTATCTCTCTCTCTCTCTCTTTCTCCCTCTCTTGCCATGTGACATACTGGCTCCCCTTGTGCCTTCTGCCATGATTGTAAGCTTTCTGAGGCCATCACTAGGAGCAGACACTGGTGCCATGCTTCCTGTACAGCCTGCAGAACCATCAGCCAAAATCAACCTACATTATTTATAAATTACCCAGTCTCAGGTATTCCTTTATAGAAATGCAAATGGGCTAACACAAAAAATTGGTACTTATGAGTGGGGCATTGCTATGAAGAGACTTGAAAATGTAGAAGCAGCTTTAGAACTGGGTAACAGGCAGAGATTGGAAGAATTTGAAGAACTCAGAAGAAGAAAGGAAGATGAGGGAAAGTTTGAAACTTCCTAGAGAATTGTTAGGTGGTTGTAAGAAAATGCTGATACAAATATGGACAATGAAGGCCAGACTGATGAGATCTCAGATAGAAATAAGGAGGTTATCAGCCATGGAGCAAAGGTCACCCATGTTACACCCCAGCAAAGAACTTGACTGCATTTTGTCCATGCCCTTCAGTTTTGGGGGATGGCTGAACTTAAGAGTGATGACCTAGGATATTTTGCGGAATAAATTTCTAAGCAGCAAAGCATTCTAGAAGTGGTGTGGTTACTTCTAACAGCCTACAGTCAGATACAAGAGCAAAAGAAAGACTTAAAGTTGGAACTTATATTTCAAAGGGAAGCAGAGCATAAAAAATTGGAAAATGTGTGGTCTGACCATGTAGTAAAGAAGGAAATAGTGTTTTCAAGGAAATAATTCAAGAGGCCTGCAAAGCAACCACTTGTTAGAGAGATTTGCATGATTAAAAGGGAGTCAAGTGCTAATAGCCAAGACAATGGGAAAAAGATCTTCAATGTAGCCCCTCTCATTGCAAGCCCAGAAGACAGAATGGTTTCAGTGGCCAGATTCAGGGCACTGCTGCCCTGTGCCACCTTGGAAGGCCATTCCCCACCTCCTGGCTGCTTATGCTACAGCCAAGGCTCAAACGGCCCCAGGTAGAGCTCGGGCTAACCCTATGGAAGGCTCAGCCATAAGCCTTGGTGGTTTCCAGGAAATGTTAAGCCTGCAAGTGCCAGAATACAAGAGTGAAGAAAGGTTGCCAGTTTCCACCTAGATTTCAGAGGATATATTGGAAAGCTTTGTGTCCAAGCAGAAGCCTACCTCAGGGGCAGGGTGCCCCCAGAGTGCCTCTATTAGGGCAGTACTTAGGGGAAATGTGGGGTTGCAGCCCCACACAGAGTGCCAATTGAGGCACTGCCTAGTGGAGCTGTGGGAAGGGGGCCACTGCCTTCCAGACCCCAGAATGGTAGATCCACCTGTAGCTTGCATCCTGAGTATGGAAAAGCCACAGGCATTGGACTCCAACCCATGAAAGCAGCCATAGAGGCTGCACCTGGCAAACTCAAAGAGCAGAGCTGCCCAAGGCCATGTCCTACTCCCTGCACCAGTGTGCCCAGGATGTGGGACATGGAGGCAAAGATGATATTAGAGCTTTAAGATTTAATGTCTGCCCTGCTGGGTTTTGGACTTGTGTGGGGCCTGTTGTCCTTCTCTTTTGTCCAATTTCTCCCTTTTGAAATGGGATTATTTTACCAATGCACATACAATTGTTTTGTCTTGGAAATATATAACTTGTTTTTTTTTAATTTTAGAGGCTCATAGCTGGAGGAACTTACTTTGAGTCTCAAATGAGACTTTGGACTACTGAGTTAATGATGGGATGAGTTAAGACTTTGGGGGAACTTTTGGGAAGGGAAGACTTTGGCACCTCTCTCTCTCTCGCTCACTATTGCCATGTGATACTCCAGCTCCCCGCTTCATCTTCTGCCATGATTATAACTTTCCTGAGGCCTCACCAGAAGCAGATGCTGATGCCATGCTGTTGTACAGCCTGCAGAACTGTGAGCCATATAAACCTCTTTTCTTTATAAATTACTCAGCCTCAGGTATTCCTTCATAGCAACACAAATGGACTAATGGAATGGATAATTGTAGTAATAATATTATTAATAAACTAGAATTTCCTTGAAGATAAGGCATTTTACTCATCTCTGAGTCCTCTAATCTCTAGCCCAGATGTAGTAAATTCTGTACCTTGTCTACCCAAATCTCTTCTTCCCTTTTGTGCTCTTAGAAACCCAATTGTGTTCAGATATTAGAACACTAGCTGCTTTATGGAGGCTGAGCATCTATCTATCCCTGAAGGAGAAAGGTGAATCTTTATTAATTTCATTAAGCCAACATGGTTCATCCAAATTCCCTTGTCAATTATGGATTAAGAAGGGGCATATGACACAATTTTGCCTTATGAAAATGGACAAAAAGGCTCCTAGGGACTTTTTGGAAGAGTTATCTTTGTTCTTAAGGAAGAACCAAAGACGAAGACATTTCCTTCTCAGCCCATGGACATTGCAACCTATTGTGATACCTGGAACTGTAGCTGCCATCTTGGGCTTGAAAAGAATTTATCCTATACAACAAGGAAAACTCTGAGGATAACATAACTGAAAGACTGAGTAAACATGGGTGCTTGATAACAATTCTGAGTCATTAGTGTAACCAACCCTGAAACTCCTTCACCTTTGGACTTCTTATAAGAAAGAAACTTTGAGTTGATTTTCTGCTACTTGCAGCCAAAGCATCTTAATTGATAGAGCTGGGGTACTTGTATGATTTTCTGCCTAAATGATTTATTATTCTTAATATTAGTCTTAATAACATATTATAATAATACACATAGTAATACTTTACAACATTTACCCTACCCTGGAAAGCAACATACTAAGCATTTGTATAAATTATTTCATTTAATAGCAATATTTGATTGAGATAGATGCCATTATTCTCTTCTTATATATAGGGAAACTGAGGCCTGAAAAGGTAAAGTAACTTGACAAAATGCTCACAGTCGGTGACAAATCCCAGGTTTTGAACCTAAGTCACTCTGAATGGACTCTATCATCTTTCAATGACCCTATTTTAATTGACTTCACAATTAGTTTTTCTCACTAACATTTTGATAAGCTCAAGATTATCATGTTCATTTCAAAAAATGAAGTACAGTACAGTCCAAGAGGCTGGGCTATTTGACAAAATTCATAGTTCTAAAAAATTTAGCATTTCTTTGTTGCTACTCCCTCACTATTAAATCAGTACACATTTGATCAGTTTTTCCTAGGTTAGACAGACAGCTTTACAAGGCAAACAAAATTGCCACTCCAAAGAGGCACAGAGAAGTTACTTACTCATGAATATTATTATTAATAACAGAGAATTAATAACACATTTATTTAATTTAAAAATATGACAAGGACCAAGTATAGAATGATAGGGAAATCTGTTCCCAACAGGAAGGCATCTATCTAGTGAAGAAGCATTTTTAAAAACCCACAGTCACTTAAAATCTCTGGAAATTGTCCTAAGGCTATCCAGCAAATTGAAAAACATTCATTTAAGAAAAAAAATTATTGATAAGAACTGTGAGAGTCTGAAGCATTTGAGCCAATCTCCACTCTATTACTGACTCCTATCCTCACCCCAGCTCTGTGTTACAGAATCTCTATTATCCTGGGCGATGTGCAAACAAGAAAGCATAAGCTCCTTCTTCCCACAGCTCCCAATCTAGAGAGGTTACTTTGAAACCTGAAACCTGCAAACACAAGGTGAGTATTATCTCAAGCAATAGTGATATGTGCTTGTTCACCATAGAAAGTTGAAAACTTGGCTCCTCCTAATGGGCCCATTCCTGGAGACAGAATTACTTTTGATGCTTTCCCTGGAGAGCCCAACAAGGAGCTGAATCATAAGGAGAGGATTTGGGAGCAGATCCAACCTGATCTTAACACTATTAATGAGTGTGTGGCTCCATACCAAGGAGCTCCCTTTGAGGTGAAAGGGAAAGGAGTGTGCAGGGCTCAAACCAAAACCAACAGTGGAATCAAGTCAAATAACAGCCTTCCATTACTGAAATACATTAGAGAAAACTTTAATAATCACGAAGGAATACGTTTGTCACTTGTACCTTAAAAAATAAAAACAAAATAGAAAAGCATTTTCTTGCAGGTTTGAACATTCTTTTTCCTGCCTGTAGGAAGTACTGGTAAATTTTAAAGACTTTTCATGCTGGCTTTATTTGGAGTTTCATCAGTGACCACTTGAATTTTAATACTTTTCATAGACTCCTTCAAAAGGTATTGGCACTTGGGTCAGTTGGCACTTGTCCTGGCTGAAAGATCTACTTACACTTTCAGAAATGATTAATGCCACATAACAGTTTTGGTAGGCACAGGATCTTAGCTTAGCCTGGCACATTCATATCTGATGACACCCTTGGGAAAGTAGTTATTCTCTAGGTCAGTAGGAAGATAGCCAATGCCACTGACCATGTTACATTTCTATTTCCTGAACTACAGTAAAAAAAATGTGAAAGACTTCAGCATGGGGAATACTTTTTGTCAATAGAAACATAAGACAAAGAAGACTGAGGGACCCCCCTGTTAACTTAAGAGGACTGAGAATACAGGACTTAAAAGGTCAGGCTAGGACAGCCAGCTAGGGAGAAGGTAAGATACTGGGGGAATCTAATCAGGCCACTAAATCAAGGCACCATGCTAACAGCAGATATTCTGAAAGAAATGAACCTGACGTATTGTCTAAAGAAGTTTTAACATCTCAACTTTACTTAGCCATATTCTCATTAATTGATTTTATAATTCAGAAAGGTTGAGTATCTCTTATTCTTTTCACCAATAACATGATATGTATAAATATTACCCAAACAAATTAATGTGGTACAAAATGAAAACAATCAAAATATCACTCTGGAAAGGCAAGATACTACAAGTAAGACAGGCATAGTATTGCTCCTAACAAGTACTTAGCTCAAAACTCTGAATCAGTTTTTGATAGTCTCAACACCTATACTCAGACCTTTTCCTTGTATTCATTAGCAAACAAGCATTTATTAGGTATCTTGAAGTGTGAGCAGGAAGCTCAGTATCACTGACCCAACGATCTTGGGCTGAGTTATATAGATAAAACTGTTTCTAAGGAGTTTAGAATGAAATACTGGTTTTCATTCTCGAGGCAGAGGTTTGACCACACAAAAACATAAGGGAGGGAAACTAAGTAGGATCTTTCTGCCTAGCAAGAAGGGGTAGAACAGAATTCTGTTCTGTTTACAAACAGGTAGAATTCTTCTGTTTACAAACAGGTAGAATTCTGAAGTGGAAAGACTGTATATTCTGGATCTTCAGCTTCTCGTCACCTCCTGCTTATTAGGGCCTATTTCACCACTTGGGTCCTTCTGTCCTCTCTTCCTCCTCCTCTCTCAAAGCCTCTTCCTCATCAAAAACATTACATAGTTAACTGATATGTTTGAAGTTAGTGTTCCTACTCCACATTAAACCTTAAGTCTCATTATAAATAAAAGTTTCTCTCTTTCACCCCACCCCTCACCTCCCAAAAATTCCAAGCTGCAACCAAGAGGTGATCTGAGTTGGCTGGAATAAAGAGACAGGGAAGGGAGGGTTACAGTCCAGTATTTTCCACACTTTTAGTGTCCTGTGTGTAATTCTGCAGCTGGATGGTCAGGGATGTTATACTCTAACAGAGCCACACTGCTACTTATAAAATTGGCTTGGGCTATGCACAACTGTTTTGTTAAGACACTAAAGATGACCATTTGAAAGCCTGTGGGAAAAGGAGGTAATTTGACCCTCTGTGTGTTAGAAAGGCATAAAACATTTGAATGTCAGTCAAAATTTGTTTAAGACCTGGGAGGGACTCCCTTCCCTTTTGAAAACTGCGTTGAGGTTTTTAAGAACCACAGACAGTCTGTGTCTCCACAGCCAGCTCATTCAGGGCATACCCAGGAATGGCAGGAGGCCTTTCAGGAAGATGTGTTCCCCTGAGAAGCTGCTCAGCACCTCTTCCCTCAGCACCTGCCAACTTTCTGCAAAATTGAAAGTAAGATAATGGTTTGGTGTGTTCAAGCCCACACTCCTGCCACCCTGGATTTATTTATCTCCCCTATGCTGTAAGTCTCCTTTTTCTATATTTTAAATTCTGATTTGCTTAGATTTACGGTAGAAGTACTCAGTAAAGCCAATCCACTTTTTATTGGCATAAAATTGGCCAGTGGTGAGACGACATAACAGAACTGAAACTTGAAACTGTGGACAGACTCACTTTTCTGGAGTTGAGTCTGCCTTTTCGGAGTGACAGAGTGTTGTCAATACTCTGTAACTGGCAGAATCTGTTTCCTTCCTGGTATTTTGTGCCTCCATCCCTGGGGGGAGAAAAGGGCAATTTGAAAATGTACTGCCATAGACATTCTGGTGAAAAAGGGTCAAGTGACTAAAGCAGAGAGCTGATAATCAGAGATGACTTGACGCTTACTAAGGCACAGCAATTCATAGGCACTGGCTCTGGTGGTGAGAAATTGCTGCTGGGAATGTGAGGAAGGAAGGTCAAAGCACATTTTTTGGCTAGTAGGACAATGAAGACATCTTCCCCAGAAGTTGGCCCATTCTTGCCACCCATTCATTTTCTCTCATGACCCTATCCTGCCTCAGCAATTTAATCACACATCCAGACACTTGGCCATGGTGTGCTCACTGTCCCGTAAAGCTTAGCCTAGCTTGGCTCCTCCAGGTCCCTGTGGCCTCAGCACCAATGACACACTGCAGAAGAGCTTTCCTCAACTGCCCACTGAAGTTGCATCTCCCGCCCCTGCAGTTTTCACTCTCTCCCCTGTTTCCCTGCTTCATCATCTTCATAGCACTCATCTCGCTATGAAATGACCTTGCTTCTTTGTTTCTGTGGGTACGTGTCACGTCTCACTTTTCTCAGCAAAGTGTAAGGTCCAGAAAAGGCAGGAGCTGCATCTTTCTGATTCATTGCTACATTCTGCGTACCTGGGAAAGTGCCTGGAACACTAGGGGCTTAAGATATTTGTGGAATGAATGAAGTAATGAGTAGCAGTAGTTGTAGGTAGAAAGATGCAAACTAGACTCAGAACCAGGGATTCTGATCTCTTGGTTAGCTCTTTTATGTATCCTGCTACCCCAAGTTTGCATAAACAGAGTAGGTGAAGGCACATGTATAAAATCATACTTCTCAGATCAGGGTATAAGGTCAGAGTGACCAGATAAAGTCATTGATTTCACCATATCTCACATCCAAATATATGTCTCTGAATCTAGCTTACCTGAGTAGGTAAGCTCATAGACCCTGAAGTGCACTGCTGAGTTCATGGCTTACCTATGCAACTGGCTTAGTGGTGTGACCTTGGGCAAATTAGCCTTTCTGTGAGTCAGTTTAAATCTACCCTGTGCTACCACTATCATGGCAGTGACTACATGATACTATCTCCTTAACTAGGTCAGAAGCTTCTCAATGGCAGAAGCTATGTCTTATTAAATTGAGTATCACCAGCAACTAGTGGGTGCTCAATAAATGTCTGTGGAATAAATAAATGGATAAGCCCTAATTAAATTTACTTTATGACACAAACTCCCATCCATTCTATCACTCAGTCCCCAAACTGGTAATCAGCTCATGTCACTCACTTCCTCACAAGTCTCTGTGCTGTGATTAGAATAAAGTATAAACTCCTTATTCAAGAGCCCAAGACTTCATGATCTAATCCCAAACTGCCTTTCCAGAGTTATTTCTTACCATATACCCCATGGATCTTGCGCTCTCAGCCCACCCTTCTCTGAATTCTTACACTTCGATAGTTTTAGATCTTGGGATATTGAAGGAGAACTCATGAATCAGTCTTATTTGGGAAACTTCGTTCTCTCTGGAGGAATTAATTTCTCGTTCTGATTTATTCCCAATTCAACATGCCTCTGTTTTATGTTAATTATATTTTTCTGGTTTCTTATTTAATTTCTCCCTCCTCCATTGAATTGTAAGGTCCTTAAGGACAGACAGTTTGTCTCATTACTCTCTGCTCACTGTTTTCTATTCCCAATCGCAAGGTAGTGACTTTATACAGTAGATAATCAATAATTATTTTTTAATTAAATATACTCAACTGATAATTTTTACCTTATTTTGTATATAAGTTTAAAATCTGAAGCTCCTAAAGCAAAAATGTGCCCAAATAACACGTTAGATTCTACTCAAGATTTATTCTAAGCACTGCAATTTCAAAAAATAGAAAAAAAAGGAAAACATTTTAAAACTATATGCCTGATAAAGGGTTAAGAGACAAAATATTTAAAGTACTGCTACCACTCAGCAGCAATAAACAAACAAAAACACACTTCCACTTAAAAAGCAGGAAAGGATACAAAAAATACAATGGAACCACGATTTTGTTTTTTACAAGAATAAACAAGATAGATAGATGCTGGCTGGTTTAAAAAAGAAAAACAAGAGAAGATCCAAATAAATACAATCAGAAATGACAAAGATGACATTAAAATTAATCCCACATAATACAAAAGATCCTCAGAGACTGCTATGAACAGCTGTATGCACACAAATTAGAAAATCTAGAGGAAATGAATAAATTCCTGGAAACATATAATCTCCCAGAATTGAATCAGAAAGAGACTGAAATCCTGAATAGACTAATATTTAGTTCTGAAATTGAATCAGTAATAAAATACATAGCAGCCCCCACAAAAAGCCCTGCATCAGATGGATTTGCAGCCAGATTCTACCATATGTACAAAGAACTAGTACCAATCTTACTGAAACTAGTCCAGAAAGTTAAAAAGGAGAGGCTCTTCCCCAACTCATTCTATGAAACTGGCATCAGTTTAATACCAAAATCTTGCAGAAACACAATGAGAAAAGAAAAGTTCAAGCCAATATCCCTGATAAACATAGATGCAAAAATCTTCAACAAAATACTAGCAAATTCTATCCAGCAGCACATCAAAAAGTTAATTCATGACAATCAAGTAGGCTTTATTCCTGGGAAGCAGGGTTGTTTCAACATATGCAAATCAATAAATGTGATTCACGACATAAACAAAATTAGAAACAAAAACTATATGATCATCTCAATGATACAGGAAAAACTTTTAGTAAAAATTCAACATCCATTCATGATAAAAACCCTCAACAGACTACATATAGAAGGAACATACCTCAAAATAATAAGAGCCATCTATGACAAACCCACAGCCAACATCATATTAAATGGGCAAAAGCTGGAACCATTATCTTTGAGAACTGGAACAAGCCAAGGATGACCACTCTCACCACTCTTATTCAACACAGTACTGAAGTCTTAGCCAGAGTAATCAGAAAAGAAAAAGAAAGAAAAGCCATCCAAACAGGAAAAGAAGATGCCAAACTATCTCTCTTCACTGACAATATGCTATTATTCCTAGAAAACCCTTAATAACTCTGCCAAAAAAGCCCTAGAACTGATAAGTGACTTTATTAAAGTTCCAGGATACAAATTCAATATACAAAAATTAGTAGCATTTCTACACACCAATAATGTCTGGGCTGAATGTCAAATCAAGAACACAATCTTACTTACAATAGCCACAAAGAATATGAAACACCTAGGATTACAGTTCACCAAGGAGGTGAAAGATCTCTACAAGGAGAACTACAAAAGTTTGAGGAAAGAATCAGAAATGACACAAATAAATGGAAAAAACACTTCATGCTTATAGATTAGAAGAATCAATATAGTTAAAATGGTCATACTACCCAAAGAAATGTACAAATTCAGTGCTATTCCTATAAAACAACCAGTATCATTTTGCACAGAAATAGAAAAAAACTCTCCTAAAATTCATATGGAACCAAAAAATAAAACAAATAGTTAAAACAATACTACACAAAAGAACAAAGCCAGAGGCATCACACTACCCGACTTTAAATTATACTATAAGGCTACAGTAACCAAAACAGCATGGTGCTGGTACAAAAACAGACACATAAACCATGGAACAGAAAAGAAAACTCATAAATAAAGCTGCACACCTATAACCATCTGATCTTTGACAAGGCTAACAAAAACATGCAATAGGGAAAGATGCCTTATTCAATAAGTGGTACTACAATAACTGGCTACCCATATGCAGAAAAATAAAACTGGACCCACACCTTTCACCATATGCAAAAATTAACTCACGATGGAATAAAGATTTAAATGTAAGACATCAAACTATAAAAATCCTAGAAGAAAACCTAGGAAATACCCCATCTCAACATCAGCCTTGGCAAAGAATTTTTGGCCAAGTTCCCAAAAGCAACTGCAATAAAAACAAAAGTTGACAAGTGAGAACAAATGAAAGAGCTTGTGCATAGCAAAATAAACTATCAACAGAGTAAACAGACAACCTACAGAATGGGAGAAAATATTTTCAAACTATGCATTCAACAAATTTCTAATATTTAGAATCTACAAGGAACTTAAATCAACAACTGAAAAACAAACCACAAGCATTCTTATACACCAATAACAGACAAACAGAGAGCCAAATCATGAGTGAACTCCCATTCACAATTGCTTCAAAGAGAATAAAATACCTAGGAATCCAACTTACAAGGGATGTGAAAGACCTCTTCAAGGAGAACTACAAACCACCGCTCAATGAAATAAAAGAGGATACAAACAAATGGGAGAACATTCCATGCTCATGGGTAGGAAGAATCAATATCGTGAAAATGGCCATACTGCCCAAGGTAATTTATAAATTCAATGCCATCCCCATCAAGCTACCAATGACTTTCTTCACAGAACTGGAAAAAACTACTTTAAAGTTCATATGGAACCAAAAAAGAGCCTGCATCACCAAGTCAATCCTAAGCCAAAAGAACAAAGCTGGAGGCATCATGCTACCTGACTTCAAACTATACTACAAGGCTACAGTAACAAAAACAGCATGGTACTGGTACCAAAACAGAGATATAGATCAATGGAACAGAACAGAGCCCTCAGAAATAATGCCACATATCTACAACCATCTGATCTTTGACAAACCTGACAAAAACAAGAAATGGGGAAAGGATTCCCTATTTAATAAATGGTGCTGGGAAAACTGGCTAGCCATATGTAGAAAGCTGAAACTGGATCCCTTCCTTACACCATATACAAAAATTAATTCAAGATGGATTAAAGACTTACATGTTAGACCTAAAACCATAAAAACCCTAGAAGAAAACCTAGGCAATACCATTCAGGACATAGGCATGGGCAAGGACTTCATGTCTAAAACACCAAAAGCAATGGCAACAAAAGCCAAAATTGACAAATGGGATCTAATTAAACTAAAGAGCTTCTGCACAGCAAAACAAACTACCATCAGAGTGAACAGGCAACCTACAGAATGGGAGAAAATTTTCGCAACCTACTCATCTGACAAAGGGCTAATATCCAGAATCTACAATGAACTCAAACAAATTTACAAGAAAAAAAACGAACAACCCCATCAAAAAGTGGACAAAGGATATGAACAGACACTTCTCAAAAGAAGACATTTATGCAGCCAAAAAACACATGAAAAAATGCTCATCATCACTGGCCATCAGAGAAATGCAAATCAAAACCACAATGAGATACCATCTCACACCAGTTAGAATGGCGATCATTAAAAAGTCAGGAAACAACAGGTGCTGGAGAGGATGTGGAGAAATAGGAACACTTTTACACTGTTGGTGGGACTGTAAACTAGTTCAACCATTGTGGAAGTCAGTGTGGCGATTCCTCAGGGATCTAGAACTAGAAATACCATTTGACCCAGCCATCCCATTACTAGGTATATACCCAAAGGATTATAAATCATGCTGCTATAAAGACACATGCACATGCATCTTTATTGCGGCACTATTCACAATAGCAAAGACTTGGAACCAACCCAAATGTCCAACCACTATAGACTGGATTAAGAAAATGTGGCATATATACACCATGGAATACTATGCAGCCATAAAAAATGAAGAGTTCATGTCCTTTGTAGGGACATGGATGAAACTGGAAACCATCATTCTCAGCAAACTATCGCAACAATAAAAAACCAAACACTGCACGTTCTCACTCATAGGTGGGAATTGAACAATGGGAACACATGGACACAGGAAGGGGAACATCACACTCCCGGGACTGTTGAGGGATGGGGGGAGGGTGGAGGGATAGCATTAGGAGATATACCTAATGTTAAATGACGAGTTAATGGGTGCAGCACACCAACATGGCACATGTATACATGTGTAACAAACCTGCACATTGTGCACATGTACCCTAAAACTTAAAGTATAATAATAATAATAAATAAATAAATAAATAAGTAAATAAATAAAAATGGGCAAAGGACATGAACAGATACTTCTCAAAAAAAAAAAAAATGCAAGCAGCCAAAAGGACATATGACAAAATGTTCATCATCACTAATCATCAGAGAAATGCAAATCAAAACCACAGTTAGCTGCCATTTCACACCAATCAGAATGGCTATTATTAAAAAGTCAAAAAAAAATAACAGGTGCTGGCAAGGCTGCAGAGAAAAAGGAACATTTATGCACTGTTGGTGGAAATATAAATTAGTTCAGCCACTATGGGAAGCAGTTCGACGATTTCTCAAATAACTTAACAGGAAACTACCATTAAAGCCAGCAATCCCATTACTGGGTGTATAACCAAAAGAAAATAAATCATTCTAACAAAAAGATCCATGCATTTGCATGTTCATTGCCATGCTATTCACAATACTGAAGACATAGAAGCAACCTAGGTGCCCATCAATGGTAGATTAAAGAAAGAAAATGTGGTACATATATACTATAGAATATTATGCAGCCATAAAAGAATGAAATAATGTCCTTTGTAGCAACATGGATGCAACTGGAGACCATAATCCTAAACAAATTAATGCAGGAACAGAAAATCAAATACTGCCATGTCTTCACTTATAACTGACAGATAAAATTGAGCATACATAGACATAAACATGGGAAGAATAGGCACTGTGGACTACTAGAGGGAGGAAGAAGGGAGGTGGGTAGGGGTTGAAAGACTATCTATTGGGTACTATGCTCATTCCCTGGGTGGTGGAATCAAAACCCCAAACCTCCGCATCACACAATATACCTATGTAACAAACCTGCACAGGTACTCTGTGTATGTAAAATAAAAGTTGATTTTAAAAAAAAAAGTGGGAAAAAGGAACAGAATAGAATTTGTTCCCAAAGAAAACTAACAGCCAAAAGATATATGAGAAGGTGTTCAATAAAACAAATTATCAAGAAAATGCAAATCAAAACCACAATGAGGTATCACTTCACAACTGTTAGAATGGATTTTTAAAAAAGAATACATTATACATTGCTCATGGAAATATAAATGGGTGTAGCCACTATGGAAGACAGTATGAAGGTGCCTCCAAAAATTAAAAGTAGAACTATCATATTACCCAGCAATCCCACTTCTGCGTATATGTTCAAAAGAATTAAAATCAGGACCTTGAAGAGGTAGTTGCACTCCCACATTGATTGCAGCTTTATTCACAATATCCAAAATATGGGAGAAACCTAAATGTTCATTGGGGAGTGAATGGGTTAAGAAAATATGATGTATGCATACAATGAAATATTACTTAGCTTTAAATAAAAGGAAATCATTTTATCTGTAACTACATGGATGAACCTGGAGGACATTGTACTAAGTGAAATAAGCAAGATACAGAAGGAAAAATACTATACAATCCTATTTATATGAGAAATCAAAAATAGTCAAACTCATAGAAGCAGAGAGTAGAAGTGTAGTTGCCAGGAGCTGGGAGGAGGGAGACACAAGGAGATGTCTGTCAAAGGGTACAGAGTTTCAGTTTGCAAGATGAGTAAGTCATAGAAATCTACTGACTTGCCTATAGTTAACAATGCTGTATGACATATTTAAAAATTTGCTAAGAGGGTAGATCTTTTGTTAAGTGTTTTTATCACAATATAATAAATAAGCAGGGCAGAAGGAAACTTTTGGAGATGATGGATATGTTTATAGCATGAATTGAGGTGATGGTTTAATCATGTATATGTATCTCTAAACTCACCAAATTCTATACAACAAATATGTACAACTTTTTGTATATCGATCATACCTCAATAAAGGGTTTTTTAAAAAAAAATCATAGAAAATGCAAATGTCATTACTTAATCACAAAATTCTTTAAATATCTTAATAACATTGTTGCCAACCAAAAACCAAGTACAATTTAATATATGAGAATAATAATATTATTACTATTATTATTCTATTAAGAAAGCCATGATTTCTTTGAAGGCAGCATCTGTTTCAGCAGAATAAATGGGCATTTCCTTTATTGATTTTAGATGATATGAGATATAAGTCATACCACAAGGACTATTTTAAGATATGTCTATCGAAGCTTCAAGACATTGTCAATGATGCCAAGGTAAATAGTGATATAGGAAAAGCCAAATCTCCTTTCAATGCATTCATAGCCAAAGAAATAATATAGTGTTTAAAAGGAAAAATGCAACTGACATCACTGGCCCTCTTAAAACAGCCTTAAGTTTGCACCCCTAAAAATTCATTTCTCTCCTCTCATCCTGTCTGCAACTTCTACCATTCCTCTCAGATGCCCAGGGAAATTCCAGTGCTCTCCTGTCATTGACCAAAGAAGAGTACATCAACTGTGGTAGAATTTGCTGGTCCCCTAGTGAATGTGTCAGTAACTCATGTGTCTCTCCAAATATTGCTCAGCATGTAATATTAATACATGGGTTTTTGCCTCATTTATATCTCAGACAATAACAATGCAAATGAGTGTGGATGAACACAGAGGCTGGGGATAGGGATGAAGTCAGAGTGGTAAAGGAGGTAGAGAGAAAGGGTGATATGAAGGGAAATCCCCTTCCTGCCTCCGGGCTCAGCACTTTTTTTTTTCTCTCTGAAGTATCAGTTTCCATCAAGCCTGGCTTAGTGAGCACTGTTTGTGAACTTAACCTTCTGTAGACCCTGTAGGGGGTTACAGAGAAAATTTTACAAATTTGTGGAGCAATCTATTATTATACATGGAAAACAATTAGAAAATAATATAGGGCATTTCATTACCAAAGGTCATTTATAATCAAATGATTCAGAATTCTTGCTTTGGAGAGTCATGGTGAAGAGATACAGAGGCCAGAATTTATAATGATGGTTTTTCTGAAGATCCTGGAGTTTAAACTTACTTTGGAAAGGAAACAATTATGACAGATAGAGTACAGGCATCAACATATTAGAAGGAGTTTGGAGAAATAAATCTGAACTTTTCCTTTTTACAAAAGGAAACTTAAAGTCTCTTAAGAAGGTCATTTTCAAAGGTCCTTTTCAATGGTCATTTTATTTTAGGCTTACTCAATTCTACTTTCCTTCCCAGTTATTTAAAAACCTTAATTACCTAACATAAATGACGAGTTAATGAGTGCAGCACACCAACATGGCACATGTATACATATGTAACAAACCTGCATGTTGTGCACATATACCCTAGAACTTAAAGTATAATTAAAAAAACCTTAAGGGTAAATTTACTTTGACTTTACGCTCAGTTGTCTCTCTATGTGGAGTCCAGGTTACTTCTCTTGCAATGGAATCTTGAAATAAGAAAGAGTAAAAATAAAATCTCAAAAATAAAATTATCCTCTTCCCCTTTTCCTTCCCTTCCTAAGAAATGTGTAGCCAATGAGTAGGCTGAATAAGATAGGCACCTAAATGTCGTGGTGAAAGGAGAATATCTTGATGCAAGAAGTTGGAGTTAATGATTGGTGAGTCAGGCATCCACACAGGAGCCATAGCCAAAGAAAGGTGAGGAGGGTGTCCATGAAGAAGGCCAGCCTGGTGTGGGCACTTGGGCATGAATAGTGTTAGTTAGTAAGGCCTTTACAACAATGGTGGCCCAAAGTGGCCCAGCAGAGAAGGGTCCCATCAAGAGTGTGTGAACTGGACATCCTTAGAGAGAGCTGGAAGGAAGGTCATGATGTGTGAGAGCCCAAAAAAGATGCAGAGCACAACACTGAGGGTAGTGTACTATGGGATGTGGGAGCCCAGGTGATAGACGAAGAAGGGGTCCGCATGGGAGGGCAGCCTGGTGTGGGTGTGGGTGTCAGAGTCTAAATAGGTTGATGAGGGCATCCACATAGGTGCACGGGGTGTCTGCTCCCAAGTGGAATGAAGGAGGGAACCCAAGTATTGAATGTTGTAACCTGAACAAGGAAGTATTGGAGTCTATGAGGCCACAGAGGGTTCCAGCTTGAGGATGCAATCAAGCACAGAATATTTGAGCTCAGGTGGTGGTAGTCAGGAATCTGTTTAGGGATTGAGGTGGTGGAAACAGGAGATTGGTTATAAACAGAGAAGTTGATAAAATAAGAAAAACATTCAGGATAATAGAAGCCTGAACCATATGATGTTGAACTGCAACTGGAGGTATTGGCATGAAAATATAGATTTATATATATATATATATATATATATATATATATATATATATATATGTAGATAAAGAAATAAATATGATGAAAGTGTGTATGTGTACAGACACAAATATGTAGATAGATACATACATAGATTTATCTGTGTCTATATCTACATTTCTCATTAGTTCTGTCCACTGAGAGGGTCTGGGAGCAGGGACACCTCAAGAACAATGAGCACATCTAGCTTCTTCCAGAATGTGATTTCTAAATATCATTCTCAGGCCAGGCTTGGTGGCTCACCCCTATAATCCCAGCACTTTGGGAGTCTGAGGCAGGTGGATTGCTTGATCCCATGAGTTTGAGACCAGCCTGGGCAACGTGGCAAAACCCTGTCTCTACCAAAAGATAAAAATAAAAATTAGCCAGGCATGGTGATGCACATTTGTAGTCCCAGCTACTTAGGAAGCTGAGGTGGGAGGATCGCTTGAGCCCAGGAGGCAGAGGTTGCAGTGAGCCAAGATTTCATTACTACTCTGCAGCCTGGGCAACAGAGTGAGACCTGTCTCAAAAGGAAGGGAGGTGAGGGGAGGGAAGGGGAGGGGAGTGGGGGAGGGAAGGAGGGAAGAAGGGAGGGAGGAAAAGAAAGAAAGAGGAAGAAAGATCATTATCTACTAAAATGGACCAGGATTCTTGGAGCAATGGCTGATTCCACAGCTGGAGTAGAAAATGTACAAAAGAAGCTACAAATATCTTGCTATGCCAGAAAGAAAGTGCTCAAAGAATAATAGAATTGCATCAAAAGGACACAGAAGCCAGATTAAAGGGCTCTCACTGGCCAAACTGTAGACAATTTGAACATCTAAAATAAACATTGGTAGTAAATGCATTTAATCTATGGAATAAAATAGAAATCTATGAGCTTATGTTAAGATGAAGAAATAAAGTTTTATGAAGAATAGAATATTTACATGGCCTGAAAGCATTGTCCCACAACATACGTATGAATTACAAAGGAAAAAAGAGTGACTTTATCCTGGCAAGCCTGGATAATATCACCTTAATCAAAGGACCAAATTAACATAATCAGTAATATGACAAATCAAAATTGTATGTCATCTTATAGGAAGAAATAAGAACACAGCATCACTTCAGTGCTATATTTGCCAAAGAATACCCTGAATTTCACCATGTTTCAACAATCAGATTCATGAATCTAATCTAATCAAACATCATACAAAATCAAATTGAAAGACACTCTACAAAATAACAAACCCGCAATCATCAGAAGTGTCAAGGTCATGAAAGTTAAGAAGAGAAGACTAAGATGAAGGCAATCTAAAGAGACACAACTAAATGCAACATGTAATCCTGAACTGGATCCTTCTCCTCTAAAAGACATCAGTGGGACAATTGCTGAAACTTCAGTGAGGGTTAGAATAGAATGACAGAAATATCTCAGTGTTGGGCCAGGCGCAGTGGCTCACACCTGTAATGCTAGCACTTTGGGAGGCCAAGGAGGGTGGATCACCTGAAGTCAGGAGTTCGAGACCAGCCTGGCCAATATGGTGAAACTCTGTCTCTACTAAAAATACAAAAATTAGCCAGGTGTGGTGGCAGGTGCCTATAATCACAGCTACTCAGGAGGTGAGGCAGGAGAATCACTTGAACCTGGGGGGCAGAGGTTGCAGTGAGCCAAGATCATGCCACTTCACTCTAGCCTGGGCAACAGAGTGAAACCCTGTCTCAAAAAAAAAAAAAAAAAAAAATCCCAGTGTTAATTTCTTGATTTTGATGGTCGTTTTGTGGCTATATAGGAGAATTTCCTTATTTGTTATGAATACATACTAAAGTTTTCAGATGTAACAGGGCATCCTGTCAACAACTTTCCTGTAAGTTTGAGGTAGTTTGACAAAGGTCTTAAGTGGAGTTGACAAAGGTCTTAAGTGACAAAGGTCTTAAGTTGACAAAGGTCTTAAGTCACTCCTGGGTGACTCAGTAGGGAAGGACATAGGGCTTTTGTGCAGAATAGGTGTGGACCTTTGTCCTCACTCTTTATTCTCCCAGCATACTCTACAACACCCAGAGGCTGAGAGAATGATGTGTCTATGTGATTTCATAGCAGAGATGTCCTGGTGTGTGTGCAGGACAGCACTTTCTAGTTCTGAGTCATCATGTAAAGTGAGCTTCCTCTGATCTTTTCAATATAAATGATTTTTTTAAAGCCCTTCCTTCTCAAACCCATTCCCATGCAGGTTACTCTCTAGTTGTAAGATGGGAGCAGGAATTGGGGAATAACCCTGGGTTTGGAAAGTTAAGACCTAGTTTGACCTTGGTCTCTTTGAGAAGCCTTACCTCTCTGGTTGCCATGAACATCAGTTGAGATATGTGTGAAAACTCTTTGATGTATGTTATGTAAATGCTAGTATAATAATGGCTACTTCCCATCATCAGGGCTCACAGGAGGCAAAATTAAGTCATAGGTGAAGTTGTTCTCAGTTTTCTTTCTCTGTTGTCCTTTTCACCACTGTAGCAACTATTACTTTGGTGTTCTGATGGTAACTTTGTATTCCCCTCATTGCTTCTACATTTATTATTTGAAAATAATTTGTAAGGAAGATTTGTTCATTTTCCCTCATTTATTTATTCAGTCATATATATCAGGATCTAAAAATTCAGAATATATAAAATCAGTGTACATATAGTATATATTATTGATTCGTATGTATTTATTAATTTGAACTTTTCATCTAAGAATAATTTTAGATTTACAGGAAAGTTGCAGAGCTCTCATATATCTCTCATCTAGTTTCAGTTTCCTCCACGCCATCATCTTACATTACAATAGTGCATTTGCCAAAACTAAGAAACTGACATTGGTACATCACTATTCACTAAACTCCAGATTCTATGTGGATTCCCTCAGTTTCTCTATCCATGTATTTTGCTGTTCCAGGAGCCAACCCAACACACCCTACTGTATTTTGTTTTTATACTTCCTCAGTCTCCTCTGGTCTGAGATAGCATGTTTTTCCTTTATCGCCTTGAGGAAAGACATCTCATTCATAGTACAATCAGATTCATTTGATACAGTCTGCATTCCATCCTGGGATCCCATCAATATCTTGGGTGATTTTTATATTTGCATACAATGAAGTTTATTCTCTGTAATGTATACATCTACAGGTTTTAGCAAAAGCATAGTGATGTATTCACCACCATGGTACCATACAGATTAGTTTTGTCACTCCAAAAATTCCCTTGTGCAGCCCATTTGCAGTCAACTCTTCCTACTTCCTCAAATCCCTGGTATCAAATGATCTGGATTTTTGTGTGTCTATAATTTTGTCTTTTCAAGAATGTCACACATAGAATCATACATATAACCTTTGGGATCTGGCTTCTTTCACTCAGAAAAATACATTTAAGATTTGTTTGTGCTATTTCATGAATCTATAGTTTATTTTTATTACTGAATAACTGTCCATTCCATGGATATACCAGTTTATCCATTCACTTGATGAAGAGCATCTTGGTTATTTCCAATTTTGGGTGATTATGAATAAAGCACAAAATATAAACATTTTATATATGGGATTTTGTGAATATATTTTTTCAATTCTCTTAAGCAAATAACTAAGATTGAGATTCCTAGATCAAATGGCAAGTGTGTGTTTAACTTTAAAAGAAACTGTCCAATTCTACCAAAGGACTATACCATTTTGCATTCCCACCAGTCAGTGAATGAGAGTTCCTGTTACTCTACATCTTTGTCAGCCTTTGGTGTTGTCTGTTTTTTTCCAAGACATTTTAATAGTTATTTGGTAGTATATCATTATGGTTTTAATTCACAATTCTCTACTAACTAGTGATATCATGCATTTTTATGTTTATTTGCCATCCACATATTTTCTTTGGTGAAGTATATGTTAAGATCTTTTGACCATTTTAAAAATTAGGATATTTGTTCCCTTTTGTTGAATTTTAAAAGTTGTTTCGTATATTCTAGAAATAAATTATCAGATATTTAATTGGAAAATATTTTCTCCCAGTCTGTGAGTTTTCTTTTCATTTGCTTACCAGTATTTTTCACAAAGCAAAACTTTTAATTTAAATAAAGTTTGATTTACTTTTTCTTTTATTGATTATGCTTTTGGTTTTGTATATAAAAGTTACTGCCAAATAAAAATTCATGTAGATTTTCTCTTATATATTTTCTTTGAGAATTTTATAGTTTTAACTTCTCCCTTTAGATCTGTGATCCATTTAGAGTTAATTACTGTGTATGGTGTAAGGTAAAAGTCAAAGTTCACTTATTACATAAGGATAACCAATGGTTCTGGGACTACTTGTTTAAAAAGTGTATTATTTTCTTATTAAGTTGCCTTGGCATCTTTTGCTGAAAATCAATTGATTATATATAAAAGCAGGTGTATTTCTGAATTATCTTGTTTATTCCATTATCTATAGGTCTCTCCTTAGATCAATACTCTATTGTCTTTATTACTGTAGCTTTATGATCATAGCTTTATAGCTATATCATTTTTAAAATCAGGTAATATGAGTCTTCCAACTTTGTTCTTCTTTTTAAAAATTGTTGGCTATTCTCAATCTTTTGCATTTATATGTAAATTTTAGAATCAGCTTGTCAGTTTCTACGAAAAATTTCACTAAGATTTTGATTGAGATAACACAGAATCAATATATCAATTTTTGTATAATTGATATCTTTTAAATATTGAATCTTCTGATCCATAAACATAGTATATCTGCTTATTTAGGTCTCTTTAATTTCTCTGAGAATAAGGTGTTTGTTGAAGATGCAATAGTACTATCTGACAATTAAGGTCCACACAGAAAGGCACGGTATTTAGAGCGATCTAAAGCAGTGTAGTGTGATGACAAATACCTTTATAAACTTAAAAATCCACTCAGGTAAGTGCAATTTAGTAATTAATATCATGATGACTCAAAGTTATTAAGAGAGTATTAAATGCTATCCACTGTATTGTTTTTGTTTTTTTAATGTAACTTTTGAGCACAGTGTACTGTGCCATATACTTTATTTATAAATTTCTGAATTCCACAAAACATTCCTATGAGATAAAAATGGTTACTATCTCCATTTAACACATGATAAACTGAAGACTAGGGCATTTTGAGTTGTTCATTTAGTCTTCATTGGCCCACTAGCAAATGGTGCCTCAAAGCCAACATGTTCAAATGACTCTCCCCTCTCCCCATCAGGACCTCTATATTTGCCCCCATATCACTCCAGCCATGAGTAGGACAGTGCATGGAGCAGCCTCACCTCCTCCTGCTCATCACCCAGCAGCTTGTAAAGCCTGTATCCAGGGCTACACAGTTTCTATATTCTGTCCAAATTTCAAATATCACCATCAAAAATAACTACCGTATCTTTATTATTATACCCCTGGCTATACCACATTTTTAAATGTATTTAATTGACAAAAAATGTATATACTTATTGTGTACAACATGATGTTTTAAAATATATATACATTGTGGAATCCAGTATATTGTTTAATGAGGCAAAACAATATATACTTTTAAAGAAATCTTTTCATTAATATTTAGAAAAATAAAAGAAACATACTATGGAGCTTAAAAGAGAAATCTTCAGTTAAACGGAAAATTCACTAAAAGAAATAGTTTATTTCCAATGATGATGAAAGATTGAAGTACCTCTACAGAAGACATTCTTTTTAGTTTTAAAAGTAAAATAAGCATGCCAGATTTCTCATTCTGCCTGGGGAACTCCCTGAGACAGATAGTAGGAGTTTTTCTTTCATTATACTCAAGATGTTTTTTGATCTTGTTTGTGATTTCAGAAAGTGGCTCACAATGTGTCAGGGCCTCTAAGAACTCCCCACAAGAAATGCAACCTGTTTTCTCTCACTGAAAAAAAAAAAAAAAAAAAAAAGGGAAACCCTGGTTTTCTTGTAGATGTACTTTGGTTTCACAGAGAAGAGATGAAAGTTGTCAGCTTTATTTTTCTTTTCCTCATAACACTAGGTAAATCTCCTTTGACTTTGAAGCTTTGGTACTTGGAGACTGAATCAACATAGACAATAGAACAGTAAAGGAAGTTTGGTCATTTTGGGCAATCGTTTTATGCATCACACTTTTCTATGATTCTACACGAAATGCCCCAAAGTTAGAATATTAGAGTCTAGTTATACATGTGAGCTATTCTACTCAGTCAAGGCTGAACCAATTATAAAGGGCCTCAAAAGTTCATTCATATTATGTGCTATAGACTCAGCCTTAGTAGATTATATGGTAAGAAACAGTGAAAACTATTTTCTGATTAAACATTTATATTATTATAAAAATTATTTAATTCTGTTCTGGAAGGCTGTGTTGGTATATACTATTATCACTGAGAAGGTTAAATGTGGGAGGAAGGAACAAAATAAAAGTTATGCCTATGGAGGATATAAACTACCATTTAGTTTTCATACATCTTCCATTATTATTATTATAAAACATTCTCTGGAATCCCGGAAGACACTGATTTTTTTTAACCAGTATTCTACTCCCTAGCAGTAGAAAAATAATATTTCACTATAAGACTTCTCTTTTTCCTTTTTTTTTGCCATGATGATTTTGGCCTATGCCTATTTCTCATTTTATTTTGCTCAGAAAAAATATGAAAAATGTAATTTAACATTTCATGTTCACATCAACAAAATGTCACATTTTTCAAAGTAAATTACAACTCAATTCAATCTTTATATCATTCATATGTGGTATTTAATATTGTATGGGAGAAACTCTTGGTCCTATTTGGCCTTTTAAAGACTTTTAGTTGGCCCATATTACTTATCATAGAAACCATATAAACAGGGCACATGTACTACACACATTGCAACTCAGCCATCCACACCTACCTCACACTCTAAAATCCCCTGAGATCTACGGGGTTCTTTGCCTCATTTGAATTCTCCTCCATGTTCTGAGACTCACCACTCATCTCTGCTCTTACATTGCTGATGTTATTTTAGACCTTTTATCCTTTTAGACACAATATCAAAATCTACCAGTTAGAATGATGTATTGTAACTTTGGATAAGATGCTCTTACTTACATCACCCCACCCAGCTCCATCTGGGCTTCGTGAATGTAAATCCTCACTAAGATTTGCCTAACTGGAATAGAAGCTGAATGTTAGTACTAGGAAGGTTAAGATTGAAAGCAATTTAGGAAGAAGACAAGGAGGGCAGTTATGGTACTGTTGCAACTACTATGTGAGAGATAAATGAAAATAAGGAATATATGAAAGTGAGTAAAGAGAGTAGAATAAGCAGGATTTTGAGGGGCTTAGGAGAAAAGGAATGACATCTGTGTTCCTTTTTGGCATTATTTAAGTTGTCCCATTCACTGAGATAGAGGAAACAGAGCAAGCAGATTTAGGGGGAGAAGACACTGAGACCAGGTGTGGATCTGTGGAGTCTGCAATGCCTGTCAGACATTTTGATGAGGATATCTACTGGCACCAAGACATCTAGGTCTGGAATTCAGGAGAATCTGCACTGGAGATATTAATTTGGAAGGAGCGAAAGAGATGGGAAGGAATGATATCACCTAGAGAGAGTATGCAGAGTGAGGGGGTGCTGAAAAATGAAGTCTTATGGAGCAACAATAAAAAACAAATAAGTAAAAAAGTATGAAACCCAGTGAAAGAGATCAAGTCAGAGTGGCCAGAGAGATAGCAGCAAGATCCAGAGAGAGTCCCACAGCTCTCCTCTTGTCAATTAGGTTTAGCATTTTGAAGAATTTTGGTGACCTTAGAGTCATTGTTACCTTTGAGGTAGTAGACATGATCAGCTGTGAAGAGTGAGAGTAAAAGTTTTAAATGTGGTGAAGGATTGGCATAGCCACTGAGGAAATTGCAGGCAGAGCCCAGGTGAGGATGGAGACTATTAGCTGTGTCAACCTATCACTCCTGTTGTTTTCTCCAAGAAGATGAAATGTAAGAGTAGAAAAAGTGGATGCCATGAAAAGAAATTAAGATTTTATCATGTAGGACTCACCCAAGTTGAAATTTAATAAAGAAGGCATAGGGAAAGAATGGGAATTAAGTGGTTTGAAAGTAAAAAATTGAAGTAATGTACCATAAGATCTAGTCCAGAAAGCAAAGGGAGTGAGGCTAGGAGAGGATAATGCAGTAGTCAAAAAAGGAAGAGCTGAAATATCTGATGTCTTTTTGGATGAAAGAATAAATAACATTGAGGTAAAGAATTGGGAGGATAGTCTGGGTGTTAATTGAGATAGTCAGGGTGTTAATCAGGGCTGGGGTTACAGATTTTAAGATTTCATAGGTTTAATAACTTCAAATGATGATAAAGTTTAGTGTGTGACCTTGGGTGTCATTTGCTAAAGCCTATTGTGGATTAAGATTGATGAGTAGATAATGTCCAGGAACTCTGAGGATAGGGCATTGAGCGCACCATCCCCTAAACGTTGAAGTCACCCAAGATAATTATGACTTGGAAGTTGAGATAAAACTTTTGAATGTGGGTAAATGATGGCAAAAATATTAGATGACGCAGCCCAGGAGAGGTAAAGGATGGTGTAGCAAAATGGTATGAATTTAGAATGAGGAAAGTAAGCAGGGGTAGAAGAGTAAAGCTCTCCAATAACTCTCAAACTTTGGTATGTGTAAGAATCACCTAAAAGGCTTGTTAAAAACACATATTGCTGGGCCCTATCCCCAGAGTTTTTGATTCAATAGGTCTGGTGTTGGGCCAAGAAATTTGCATTTCTAACAAGTTTCCAGGTTTGGAGACCACACTTTCAGAACCACTATTCTGGAAGCAACTACAATGAGAATTTAGCAGAGATGACCTTGCCAGATATGAAAGAATAAACAGCCTCCATAAGATAGGGCCCAGGTCAGAGAGCAAATGTTTCAGAGGAGAGTTGCAATTCTAGTTCCTATTAAAGAAACAAGTGGAGAAATCATTCATCAATGTGAATAAGGATGGAAGAACTCTATTCACATGGTCTGGAGGTTCCTAAGGATGTCGTAAAATAGGTTAGAGAAAGGTCAGCAATGGTTGGGTATATGATGCTCTAGGGAGGAAGCACAGACTGTGGAGAATAAAGAAGAACCCACAGGGCTCCAATTTAAGGGAGCAGCTGAGGAAGACTAGGTTATAAAGTCCTGTGTTAACAAAGGCTAAGATGCCAAGGTTGCCAGGTGAACCTAGAGCTGGCTCAGCCACCAGTAGACATTGCTGCTCTTGAAACAGCAAATAGGACTTAAGTCTTTATCCCATAGTGAAACCAAGGGTGCTCTAAGATATGGGGAGTGTACCTAAGTTCTCTGCCTATTCAGCTGGTCAGCTCACAATTCCTTTATGTGAACAACAGGAAAGTGAAAGATGGGAACTCCTGGGGTATTTTCTCTTGATTCAACAATGTTCCAAGGTGTGGCCTTTGGGGACATAGTCCTATGTGTAATATCAAGATTTGGATTGATGTCTAGAGATGACCAGCTTGTTTGGAGAGTACCCAGAATTTAGATATTAACTAACCTATGCAAAAATGTAAATCCTTTTAAAATGTGCCGAATTGTTAAATGCTAACCACTTTTCAGTGATATATGTGAATTACATTAACAGAAAATTTCAAACTTTGCCACTTACAACATTAAAATTATATTTTAATTATAAAAATTCTTTTTAATAGCCACTTCAAATTTTAGTGAGCTCTACAGAGGCTGACATATTTAAAATATCTTTTACACTGGGTTATTTTTCTTCAGACTGCTTGAAAGTTATTTTTGAATAAAAGATTATTTTTCTCATAAATCTACATGAATTTATGTTGTAGTAGTGAGGTTACCTGGCTTGGATATTTAGTAGTTGATATTAGAACTGGAGAAAATTGTATTGACAGCTGACTTAATAGAGATTTTTCTCTGCTCTCTCTGTTCTTCTATTTTGTTGTATCTCTTTATAGATAAACGTTCTATAATATGAAAAAAGAAAATATTTTTTCTATGTATTTTTCAGGTAGCTTTATAGTTTCCTTTTAGTGCCGTCATTTCATTTGAAAAGTATCATAATTTTTCTATTTTTCCCATTACTATTTGTGGTGGAGCTGGGTTTTGTTTATCCAGATAATAAAACAACATTAGTTTTCCAGGCCTTGGAATAAACCTCTGTGGTTCATGGTTTCAATCTCTGTGTTTAAGTCTCTGGCCTTGAGGTACTGCTGTTGGAGTCATCCTTCATTTTTCATCAAATAGCATATGCTTTCAGCTGAGTCATTTTCCTTAGCCTGTTTCCTGCTTGTAGAATTTTGGGAGCCCAACAGTCTTTTCCAACAGTCCCATAGTCCTCTATCTGTTCATTTAAGTCAAAGCCGGCAGTGTTTCTGCAGGTATACAACTCTTGGGAAACTTGTGGGTCTCCTGTGTATTTACTCCATTAGAAAAGAGACACATATACTCCCACTCCACTGGGCATCTTTAGGTAATCTCAGTTCTATTTTTGGCATCTGCTAAGATGGCTGAGGGGAATCTAGCAGTTACATATCTAATCTCTTCAAAGAGTCCCCTATATAACTTCTGACATTTTGTTCCTTTCAAGGTAGTAGCAAAAGATTGTTTAGCCACAATCCTTAGCTTTCTCACCAGAGCATGCTTTCTTGACAGTGAATTCTATTTTAGAATTTTTTTTTTTTTTTTTGCAATTTGGATAGTGTATTAGTCAGAGTTCTCCAGAAAGACAGAACCAATAGGATGGATGGATAAATAGATGGGTAGACAGATGGATGGATGGATGATAGATATATTAGATTGATAGATAGATGATAGATAGACAGACAGACAGATAGACAGACAGATTTATTAGGGGAATTTGCTCATGTGGTTACAGAAACTGAGAAGTCCCAAAACAGGGACTTTCCAAGGGCAGGAAAATAAGAGTGTCTCAGCTCCAGGGAAGTTGGGAGAGAGAGGGAGGGAAGATACCTATGTACCTGTGTTTAGGGTAGTTCTTCCCCACTCAGTCTACTGATTTACATGTCAATCTCCTCTTAAAACACCCTCACAGACACACCCAGGAATAATTATTTAAAAGTTCTCTAGATATTCCTTAATCCAGTCAAGTTGAGACATAAAATTAATTATCACGGATAGACTAAGAATTTGCCAAATCATCTTGTCCTGTTTCCTTTTCATGTAACAGTTCTTCCCTTAATTTATCTCTGCCTTCTCACATTTTAATATAAGAAGCAAGAAGAAATTGGGCCACACCTTCAACGCTTTGCTTGGAAATCAAATTTCCAAACAAATTTCCAAATTCATTACATACAAATCCTGCTTTCCACATAACTGCAAGAAGCTTTTAAACTAAGCTTCCTGTCATTATATAACAAAGATCCTCTTTTCTCCAGCTCTCAATAACATGTTCCTATCTGAGCCCTCACTGTCAATACCTATAACATCTATAATTCTATAAAAAGTCTATTTATGATTATTTTTATATTCTCCAAGACAATATATTTTTTCTACCATGGTCTTCACTTCTTTCTGAGTCCTAATTAGCAGTGTCACTAGCATGCATATTTTTACTAGCAATCGGCTCAAGGCAATCTAGGGTTTTTCTGTCGTGTTCCATGAAATTATTCCAGTCTCTATCATTGCCCAATACATAAGCCACTTACATATTTTTAGGCATTTGTTACACACTGCTTCCTAACCAAAATCTGTGTTAGTTTTCTATTGCTGCTGTAACAAATTACCACAAACTTAGTGCTTAACACAAATTTATTCCTTACTATTCTGTGTCAGAATTGCACTTGTCTGTAATCAAGGTGTCAATAGGGCTGCCTTCTTTCTGGAGGCACCAGGGAAGAATCTGTTTCCTTGCTTTTTCCAGCTTCTAGAGGCTGCTTGCATTCCTTGGCTCATGACTCTTTCCTCCCTCTTCAAAGCCAGGGCAGAGTATATTCAAATTTCCTCTCAGGCATTCTTGATGCCTTCTTATAAGGATTCTTGTGATTATATTGCATCTCAGATAATCCATGATAATCCCCCCATCTCAAGTTCCTTAACTTAATCACACTTGCAAATTCCCTTTTGCCACATAGGGAAACATATTCACAGGTTTGGGAGGTCATTATTCTTTCTACCACAAGGTGAGCACTTAGATTATTGATTTGAGATCTTTTCTCTTTTATAATATATTCACTTGGTGCTCTAAAGTTTCCTCAGCACTGCTTTAGTTGTGCCCCACAAATTTTGATCAGTTGTATTTTAATTTTCATTAAGTCCAATGTTTTTTCCTCTTGAAACTTCCTCTTTGACCCATGGATTATTTATAAATATGCTATTTACTTTTCAAGTGTTTGAAGACTTTTTATTATCTTTTTAAACTTTTATTTATTTATTTTTTGGGATGGAGTCTCGCTCTGTCGCCCAGGCTGGAGTGCAGTGGCGTGATCTCTGCTCACTGCAAGCTCCGCCTCCCGAGTTCACGCCACTCTCCTGCCTCAGCCTCCGAGTAGCTGAGTAATTTGTTACTACAGGTGCCCGCCACCACACTCGGCTAATTTTTTGTATTTTTAGTAGAGACGGGGTTTCACTGTGTTAACCAGGATGGTCTCGATTTCCTGACCTCGTGATCCACCGCCTTGGCTTCCCAAAGTGCTGGGATTACAGGCGTGAGCCACCACACCCGGCCTTGTCTTTTTTTATTTCTAATTTGATTTCATTGTGATCAGAGGACACACTGTATAATTTCAATTCTTTTAAATTTGTTGAGTTTTTCTGTTTTTTAATTTTAGGATCAAGATATAGTCGATCTTGGTGTGTGTTTCTTTGGAATTTGCAAAGAGTTCTGCTGCTGTTGGATGAATTGTTCTATAAATGTCAATTATATTTTGTTAGATGCTGTTGTTTAATTCTATAGTCTTGCTTTTTTTGTCTAGTTTTCAGTTTTGACAGACTTGTGTTGAAGTTTACAACTATAATTGTGGATTTGTCTAGTTATTTTCAGTTTTTGCTTCAAATATTTTACTTCTCTGTTGCTTGGTGCATTTACATTTAATATTGCTCTGTCTTCTTCATGGAGTCATCCCCTAATTATATAATCTCTCTGTTTTGCAATTTTCTTTGCTCTTGAATCTAAATTATTTGATAGTAATATAGCCACTTGTTTCTTTTGATTAATGTTTGTAAGATACCTTTTCTACCATTTTAATTTTCAACCTGCCTATATCATTATATTTTAAGTGAGTTTCTTGTAGACAACATATAGTTTTCATAATTTTTAGTGTACTGTGCAATCTCTGACTTGCAATTGGTATAGTTAGACTACATTTAAGGTAATTATTGATATATTAAGACTTAAATCTACCACTTAATTTTTGTTTTCTGCTTTGCATTTCTGTTATTTCTTTGTTTTCTTTCTCTTGTCTTCGTCTGGTATGCTAGAGAAGTTTTTACATTTCCTCTTTGATTAGCTTTAGAGTTTTTAATTATATCTTTTATATAGTTTTTTTTAGTGGTTTCTTTAGGTATTATGTTTACATACATAACTTATCACAGTCCACTGTCATAGTCATTTTACCAGTTGAAATAAAGTGCCCCTTTATCCTCCCCTGTTAATAATGTAATTTCCTTAAATATTTCTTCTACATATGAAGCCAGTTATAAAATATAATTTTTCCTTCAACTATCAAACATAATAGAAAAAACTCTAGGAGAATTAAAACCTAATATATTTACCCATATTTTTGTTTACTGTGTTCTTTCTTCCTTCTTGATGTTCTGAGATTCCTTCTTGTACTGTTTCTTTGTCTATAAAGGGGCAGGTAATAAACATTTTAGTCTCAGTGGGCTGTGGGTGAGTATCTTTTGTAACTACTCAATCCAACAGTTGTAGTGTGAAAACAGCCTGAAGCAATATTAAACAAATAGGTTTTGCTGTGTTCCAATAAAAATTTACAAAACAGGCAGCAGACCAGACTGACCCCTGTCTAAACAAGAGCATTTTCCATAATCACTTCACCTTTTTTTTTAAATGCTGATGCAACCTTAGATTCAAACAATGTGGAATTTAGCTTAAACATACAAACTGGAAACCTAATCTATGACTGTATTTCCTAATGTAATGTGCAATTACTGATTCCTTTGGCATGAGTTCTATAACCACATAATCATCTTTTATAAGCAGTTTCTTTGTTGTAGTACTGGGAGCCTTATCTCTGACAGCAAACTTGTGTTTTCTTTTTTTATTTTTTGAGACAGAGTCTTGCTCTGTCACCCATGCTGGAATGCAGTGGCGCGATCTCAGCTCACTGCAAGCTCTGCCTCCCAGGTTCACGCCATTCTCCTGCCTCAGCCTCCCAAGTAGCTGGGACTACAGGCACCCGCCACCACACCCGGCTAATTTTTTTGTATTTTTTAGTAGAGACGGGGTTTCACTGTGTTAGCCAGGATGGTCTCGATCTTCTGACCTTATGATCCGCCCACCTCGGCCTCCCAAAGTGCTGGGATTACAGGTGTGAGCCACCACGCCTGGCCCAAACTTGTGTTTTCTTAATTTAATCTTGTCATGATATGAGATTTCCTGCCTTAAATATACTTATTAACTATTATGTTAGATTTTTTAAGTTTTAAGTGGGCTGGCATTTTTAAAAATACATTTTTCAATATTTGGTTAAAATTATACTTTTTTATATATACTCATTTTGATATTAAATTGTATAATTAGTAATTTCAAAATTAAAATGACCAAATATCATAGAAATCGTATTGTCATCACCAATTGTTGTACTCTATCAAATTGTTGCAACTGATAGAACTCTTTTTTAAAAAAAATTATTCTTGGGGTACAATGCTTGAAAAAGCATGACATGGTACATAGAAATAGACATATAAAGCCAGGAGTGGGGAAACTTGTGTTTTTGAAAGCTGTAAATATTTAGGCTGATTTCCCAAAGAGGAATTCAGAATTATTTAGGGGGAGAGAACTTATTTTGTCTTTAGAAATACTTTAATAAGCCTTTACTTAATGTAAAATTAGACCTGGTGTTTAGTCTGAAAGAGAAAGATAGCTCAAAGGCAGAGCTATATTTCTTTGTTTAATAAACAGAATTTTGGCATTCTCTCCTGGCTAGACACTGGGGGAAAGGAGACTAAAATGAGGCCCGAGCAAAGAGCGTGTGGTGGGCAGTCCTGAGAGAAACAGTGGTTTGGAGCCACCTAAGGCCTAAACAAGAAAAGCAACCAGTGACAAATTTGCTATGTTGTGGATTGCGAAGGAATGTTAAGAAAATAATATGTCTAATATTGCATTTGTCTGTTGTCTCTGCATTGTGTTGTAATCCCACCATGATATTCCCAAACATACAGCATAGGTCAATTAAACACAATAGCCTTTTGGCAGTGAGGGGGATATGTTCATGCCTATCTATGGGATGAAGGGGTGAAGGGAGAGAGGAGCAGCCAGGAAAGGTAAGGTGAGAGAGGACCAGAGCCAGGGACTGGGAGCAGGAATACAGACCTTGTGGCATCCAGGTGGGACTGGTTCCCCTCCTACTTCCCTGACCTTTCTTTCTCAATCTCACCTGTGCTGGCTCCTCCTCATTTCCTAAACTATAAACATGAACTCTAAACCTCTTTTCTTCAGACCTGGTTATATTCATCTCCAAGGCCAGAACTTTTCAAAATGTGGCCTTGCAACCCATTAGTGCATTGTAAAGTCAATTTAGAAGAATGTGACCTGTATTTTTGATGAAATAAATTAAATATAACTGAAAATGTCAGAGTATAATATATGTGGTAAAGGTTGGCTTTTCTCATGAAACTTTTGAATCAGAGTGTATGTGTATCTGTGTGTTGGGGGTGGCAGGATGGAAGAATGTGTTTACCATGTTGTAATGTGACATGCGTAAATTTATTCTGTGGCTTGTGGTCCATAAAGTTTAAAAAAGCACAGCATTAGGTGATCTCATCCAGTGTGATGGTTTTACATACCACCTCTATGCCATGATTCGTAAATACAAATCTACATCTTCAGTGGAACTTAATTGCTAAATTCAACTCACCTACCCAGCTATTTAGTTGATACTGCAATTTGGATGTCCATCAGGTATTTCAAACCAGCATGACCAAATCTGAATACCTGGGTCCCCACATGCATGCCCTACCTGCTCTTCCTGCAGTCTTTCTCATCTCAGAATATGGGAACTTTACCTTTCTGGTTCCTCAGGCCAAAAACTTTGCAGTCATCTTTAACTTTCTCTCTTTCTCTCTCTCTCTCCCTGTCTCCCTCCCTCCCTCCCTCTCCCTCCTTCTCCCTATCACCTTCTCTCCTTCTCTCTCTCTCTCTCTCCCCCTCTTTCTCATAGCCTACATTCAGTGCTCCATCATATTCTGTAAGCTCAAACTGTTGCATGTGTTACCATTTGTAACATTTACCATTTGTCGTTACCTCCACAGTCACCACTCTAGTTTAGTTGCGCTCGTATTATTCTAATAGCTTCCTTCTTCTTCACTTGCCTATCTTCAGCCTATTTTCAATATAACAGCCAAAATCATCCTGTACAAATATAAATCAGAGCATATCTCTTCTCTAACTTAGAACCTCTTAATAGCTTCTCAAACTCATGCAAGTAAAATCCAAAGTCCTTACAATGGCTTCAAGGCCCTACATGAACTTTATTACCACACGGCTCCTCTCTGACCTCATCCTCTACCACTCTCCTCATAACTTTTTTTTTTCCAGCATTTGCCTCCTTGCAGTTCTTTGAACTTACCAGTCATGTGTCTACCTCAGAGCCTTGACATATACTATTCAATATTCCTGAAAATTCTTACACCAAATACATGGTGATTCCATCATTGCATCAGGCCTTTACTTAAATGTCACTTTATACAGAGGCCCTCTCTCTACTTATTATCCGTTTTCCGACTTTAGTTTTCTCTATAGCACATATAGCTATGCATATAAGAAGGCTTAGATTTTTTAAGACCTGTAATTAATCATAAAAAGAGTGAACAATATGAAATGTCAGTAAAGAACAATTTCCAGGGAATCAAAGATGCTGTACACATATAGAAATTATTAAAGAAGAGAAAAATGAATACATAGATGAGGATAAAATTGAGAGAAATAAAATGCCAAAGTTTTTTTCACACCCCCGTGGTACCTGGAACCCCAGTGAGACAGGCCCGTTCCCTCCCCTGGAAATGGGGCTGAAGCCAGGGAGCCAAGTGGTCTCGCTCAGCAGGTCCCACTCCCACGGAGCCCAGCAAGCTAAGAACCACTGGCTTGAAATTCTCACCGCCAGCACAGCGTACTGAAGTTGACCTGGGACTATCTAGCATGGTGGGGGGAGGGGCGTCTGCCATTACTGAGGCTCGAGTAGGTGGTTTTCCCCTGACAGTGCTAAGGAGGCTGGGAGGTGTGGACTGGGCAAATTTACCACAGTGCGGTAAAGCAACTGTGACCAGACTGCTTCTCTAGTTTCCTCCTCACTGGGAAGGGGCATCTCTGAAGGAAAGGGAATAGCCCCAGTCAGATGCTTACAGATAAACTCCCATCTCCCTGGGACAGAGCACCTGGAGGATGGGGCAGCTGTGGGAGCAGCTTCAGCGCATTTAATCGTTCCTGCCTGCTGGCTCTGAAGAGAACAGCTGATCCTGACAAAAGGGATTCTCCTAGCACAGTACACCAGCTCTGCTAAAGGACAGACTGCCTCAAGTGGGTCCCTGACCCTGGAGCCTCCTGACTGGGAGAGACCTCTCAACAGGGGTCGACAGACACCTTATAGAGGGGAGCTCCGGCTGGCCTCAGGCTGGTGCCCTCTGGGATGAAGCTTCCAGAGAAAGGAGCAAGCAGCAATATTTGCTGTTCTGCAGCCTCCACTGGTGATACCCAGGGTCTGAAGCGGACCTCCAGCAAACTGCATCAGACCTGCAGAAGATGGGCCTGACTGTTAGAATAAAAACTAACAAATAGAAAGCAACAACATCAACATCAACATAAAGGACCCCCACGCAAAAACCCCATCCAAAGGTCATCAGCCACAAAGATCAAAGGTAGACAAATCCACAAAGATGAGGAAAAACCACTGCAAAAAGGCTGAACATTCCAAAAACCAGAATGCCTCTTCTCCTCCAAGTGATCATAACTCCTCTCCAGTAAGGGCACAAAATTGGATGGAGAATGAGATTGACAAATTGACAGAAGTAGGCTTCAGAAAGTGGGTAATAACAAACCCCTCTGAGCTAAAGGAGTATGTTCCAGCACAACGCAAGGAAGATAAGAACTTTAATAAAACGTTACAGGAATGGCTAACTAGAATAACCAGTTTAAAGAAGAACATAAATGACCCAATGGAGCTGGAAAACACAGTACAAGAACTTTGTAAAACATACACAAGTATCAATAGCTGATTTGATCAAGCAGAAGAAAGGATATCAGAGATTGAAGATCAACTTACTGAAATAAGGCGTGAAGACAAGATTAGAGAAAAAAGAATGAAGAGGAACAAACAAAGCCTCCAAGAAATATGGGACTATGTGAAAAGACCAAACCGATGTTTGATTGGCATACCTGAAAGTGATGGGGAGAATGGAACCAAGCTGGAAAACATTCTTCAGGATATTATCCAGGAGAACTTCCCCAACCTAACAAGACAAGCCAATATTCAAATTCAGGAAATACAGAGAAAACCACAAAGATACTCCTCGAGAAGAGCAACCCCAAGACACATAATCGTCAGATTCTCCAAGGTTGAAACAAAGGAAAAAATGTTAAGGGCAGCCAGAGAGAAAGGTCAGGTTACCTACAAAGGGAAGCCCATCAGATTAACAGTAGGTCTGTCTGCAGAAACCCTACAAGCCAGAAGAGAGTGGGGAACAATATTCAACATTCTTAAAAGAAAAGAATTTTCAACCCAGAATTTCATATCCAGCCAAACTAAGCTTCATAAGTGAAGGAGAAATAAATCCTTTCCTGACAAGCAAATGCTGAGGGATTTTGTCACCACCAGGCCTGCCTTACAAGAGCTCCTGAAAGAAGCACTGAATATGGAAAGGAGAAACTTGTAATGGCCACTGCAAAAACACACCAAAATATAAAGACCAAACAACAAAGTCAAATTTTCTCTGTTTGCAGATGACCATGATTGTAGATTTAGAAAACCGCATCGTTTCAGCCCAAAAACTCTTTAAGCTAATAAGCAACTTCAGTGAAGTCTCAGGATACACAATCAGTGTGCAAAAATCACAAGCATTCCTATACACCAACAATAGAGAAACAGAGAGCCAAATCATGAGTGAACTCCCATTCACAATTGCTACAAAGAGAGTAAAATACCTAGGAATACAACTTACAAGGGACATGAAGGACCTCTTCAAGGAGAACTACAAACCACTGATTAAGGAAATAAGAGAGAACACAAACAAATGGAAAAAAAAAAATGTCATGCTCATGGATAGGAAAAATCAATATCGTGAAAATGGCCATACTGCCCAAAGTAATTTATAGATTCAATGCTATTCCCACTAATCTACCATTGACTTTCTTCACAGAATTAGAAAAAACTACTTTAAATTTCATATGGAACCAAAAAAGAGCCTATATAGCCAAGACAATCCTAAGCAAAAAGAGCAAAGCTGGAGGCATCATGCTACCTGACTTCAAATTATACTACAAGCCTACAGTAACCAAAACAGCAGGGTACTGGTACCAAAACAGATATATAGACCAATGGAACAGAACAGAGGCCTCAGAAATAACACCACACATCTACAACCATCTGATTTTCAACAAACCTGACAAAAACAAGCAATGGGAAAAGGATTCCTTATTTAATAAATGGTACTGGGAAAACTGGCTAGCCATAGGCAGAAAACAGAAACTGGACCCCTTCCTTACATCTTATACAAAAATTAACTCAAGACAGATTAAAGACTTAAATATAAAACCCCAAACCATAAAAACCCTAGAAGAAAACCTAGGCAATACCATTCAGGACATAGGCATGGGCAAAGACTTCATGACTAAAACACCAAAAGCAATGGCAACAAAAGCCAAAATTGACAAATGGGATCTAATCAAACTAAAGAGCTTCTGCACAGCAAAATAAACTATCATCAGAGTGAACAGACAACCTACAGAATGGGAGAAAATTTTTGTAATCTACCCATCTGATAAAGGTCTACTATCCAGAATCTACAAAGAACTTAAACAATACAAGAAAGAAACAACCCCATCAAAAAGTGGGCAAAGGATACGAACAGACACTTATCAAAAGAAGACATTTATGTGGCCAACAGACGTATGAAAAAAACCTCATCATCACTCGTCATTAGAGAAATGCAAATCAAACCCACAATTAGATACCATCTCACGCCAGTTAGAATGGTGATCATTAAAAAGTCTTGAAACAACAGATGCTGGTGAGGCTATGGAGAAATAGGAACGCTTTTACACTGTTGGTGGGAGTGCAAATTAGTTCAATCATTGTGGAAGACAGTGTGGTTATTCCTCAAGGATCTAGAACCAGAAATACCACTTGACCCAGCAATCCCATTACTGGGTACATGCCCAAAGGATTATAAATCATTCTACTTTAAAGACACATGCACATGTATGTTTATTGCAGCACTATTTACAATAGTAAAGACTTGGAACCAACCCAAATGCTTATCAATGATAGACTGGATAAAGAAAATGTAGCATATATACACCGTGGAATACCATGCAGCCATAAAAAAGAATGAGTTCATGTCCTTCGCAGGGACATGGATGAAGCTGGAAGCCATCATTCTCAGCAAACTAACACAGGAACAAAAAACTAAACACCACATGTTCTCACTCATAAGTGGGAGTTGAACAATGAGAACACATGGACACAGAGAGAAGAACATCACACACTGGGGCCTGTCGGTGGGGTGGGAGGTTGGGGGGCAAGGGGAGGGAGAGCATTAGGACAAATACCTAATGCATGTGGGGCTTAAAACCCAGATGACAGGCTAATAAGTGCAGCAAACCACCATGACACATGTATACCTATGTAACAAACCTGCACATTCTGAACATGTATCCCAGAACTTAAAGTAAAATAAAAAATAAAAAAATTAATGTATCGGATATAAAAGGTTAAGATTTTAAAAAATTCTATCAATGAGGTAAAAGGTTCAAAAGGTGAAAAATGTGGGTATATAAATTAACCCAAGTTAAAGATTAAAAAAGGAATTATATAAGAAAAACATAGAAGAAAAAATGAGGGGAAAAAGAGCACAAAATTTGAAAATAAGAAATATGCATGAAGGATGAAACTGTCAGGAGGGAGGACCAAGGAAAATCCTTTGGTCTGTATTCTGCCCTGAGGGCAGGGAATTGGGTTATCTCTGATTTATCTCTTTCCTCCAATTCGTAATTCATGCAGTGGCAGGCCAGGTCTACTAACAACTATTTCAGTACTGACTGAGTGGGTTAAGTTAAATATTAAAAGCCAGTGCCCTTATACAAAGGCTGGGATGTAAAAAAAACCCCACCAAGATTTTGGCTTAGGCCTTTCCTGGGCCTTAAAGCATGACAAAATAACGAAGGAATTCTTAACAGGACCCATTTAGGATTAAACAAGTTTTATTGTGGGTCTGAAGAAACTCCCCAGACCTCCACAAACAAGTTTACTGGGGGTCTGAAGGAACTCCTCAAACCTACATGATTTAGCAGGAGACAAAATAAGGGCAATCACCCCAGCACCTGGACCCATTTAGATTAAGTAAATGTACTGAGGCTCCAGAGGAAGGTCTTCAGGACTCAGACCTTAGTTATAGATTAAAAGAAGCTAATCACTTATGTCTTTAGATGAATGCATACTTACATGTAGATGAATAGCTTAGAAGGTATATAAGCTTTGGAAAACTGTAATTTTGAGTTGGTCTGGTGATAATTTCCAGGTCTTCTCCCTATAACCGGTTACAGAAATAAAAACTCTCTTCCTCCCCAGTTCATCTGCATCTTGTTATTGTGCCGCGAGAAATAGCAGCCTGACCCTCAGTTTGATCCGGGATAAAAATTTGGCACACAAGCCAGGAATTAAGGACAGTGCTGCATTCAGCGGCTGGCAACTTGCTATGAGACAGTCTTCAGGAGGATCCCAGAAGCTGCTGGGTGAGGTTTCCCCCGGGACCCTCCAGAGGGCTGTTGTGCGCAAATCTGCATGTCCTTTTCACTACTGAGGAGAAACAGAGATCAGGAGCAGATGCGCTCAAAGGGTGAGTTAACCAGATTCTATGCTAGGAGCCTACTGTTTCCTATCTGGGCTTGGTAAGCCATTTGTCTGATACCGCCAAGGGAAGCAATAAGGCTCTCTCATATATCTGCTTTGCATTTTGATTGAGATCAGGTTTTGAGTTGGTTCTGAGTCTGTTTTGCCTGAGTGCACTCCCCCTTGTGTTGTTCAAAATTTGTCTCCACTTGTTTGTGTAAGGAATAATTTAGACCAATATCAAAAGGAATAATCTTTTGATACCATGTAAACTTGAAAATGGGAGTTATAGGGTACATTCCTGCTGAGAGGCCTCTAGGAAGGAATTTTATTTTTTTAGGAGTTCATTGGTTAAAAGTCAGCTTAATTAAAGCTAACATCCAAGATATGTGTATGTACGTGTACATGCGTGCATGTTTGTATTTAAAAGGCCTTCATGTTTTTGTTTTTATTTCTTTCCTAGGACCTTGTCTTTTTGAGCAAACTTTTTTTTTTTCTTCTCAGTTGACTGAATTCTGTTTTCTTCATTAATAGCTATTACAACAAAAGCTACTCTAGGGTTTTTAAGAAAATTAAGTGTAATTTAGACACTTAGAAATGTCTTTGTTTATGAAAAAAATTTGAGCGCACTGTAAAAGCATCACATGGTCTAGCCTCGTAATAATTCTCCCTTTTTGAAAACCCAGGATTCAGTGTGGGACCTGCCCAGATCTCAAAGATCCAGTTAGGAAAAAGGAGGTCTTATGAATCAATAAAATGTATTTCTATTGGCATGCCTAATATGTCTATGTATATGTCTTGTGCACACCATGTTTCACTACTGAAAATATATAAAAGAGTTCTAATTAATTGGCTCAAAGAAAAATAAAAGCACTTAAATACTTTAACAGAAAAAAGGAAAGACTAGTCAAATGCTTTTTCAAGTTTACGTGACTTAAGTAAAATCTTTAATAAATAAGCTAGCTTTAAAAATTATTGGTAAAGTAATATTAAAAATATCTTAAGAGTTGCTAGCATACATTTTTGTTTGCAGTTATCAATCAAGGAATTTCATACTTATCTCTGCCAAATACTATAAGGTATTTGATATAGGGGCTACAAAACTGTAACTCAGCCCAAAACAGAATGATCTTTGCTTGTGTAATTTTTTAATAAATGAAACAGTAATATTGGTTTAATGAAGATAGCTACATTTTGAACTATTTAGTAAAATACCCTAACTTCTAATCTTGTGGCCTTAGGCAGCCTAGTCCACAAACATGAAGGAAGTTTGTTCTGGGGAACAAAAAAGATGACTGTTATCATCTTTGTTTCGGTGCTAAAGTATAAACTAAGTTAATGAACAAGAATAGCTTGGAGGTTAGAAGCAAGATGGAGTCAGTTAGGTCAGATCATTTTCGCTGTCTGAGTTATAATTTTGCAATGGTGGTTTTATAACTTTACATGATGACTTTTGCAATTTTCATAAATAATCTAGGTAAACAATTAAAACAAATAATTAGATAAATGTAATGGGATAAATACTCATAAACAAACTTGTCACTATTTGGGTGTTTCCCAATAAAAATATATTGTAGGAAAATATTCTTTCTAAAAATTGTGCCCTTTTTAAAGGGCAAGTAATTTTTGTCTAATTCAAAGCTTATTTAAAGGTTATATATAAAACAAGGTAAAAGAAATCAGAAAATATATAAGAGAGATATAAAGAAAGTGATAAAAATAAAGAGTTTTAAAAACTATTGGTAAAATTAAAATATCTTCAAAAGTATAAACATTTGGTCTAAATTATGCAGGTAAAATATTAGGTTTGCTAAATGCTTTAGGTCATAAACTGCTTCTTTGACTTAAAAATTGTGAATTTATTTTGGAGTATTAAATTCTAGATAAGGCCTGGGACACATGGAGTTAGACACTGGAATAAGTAAGACCTTATCTACTTTCGTCTGGGTCCTAGGCTCCACACCTAGCACATAATTAAATCACAGACTTACCAAGGTTTTCACCATAAGTAAAGGTTGCTAAGAGTTAACAGTGTAACATGTATTTAAGACTATTGAAGAAACAGTTTACATGCAAGGTGTGTAAGGAAAGTAAAACACTCTTTTGGTTAAAAGATTATAAGGAGGCATGAGAATGTGGATTTTTGCCTTTTAAAGGTTAAAGGATTGTTTTAAGTGGATAAAATACAGATGAAGATTTAAGCAAGTTGTGGAAGGTAGATTGTAAAGGAAATTCTGTGTGTAAACATATTGGTTAGAGTTAAAGCAGTATCATCCAGTTTTTCTGTAAATTGAGCATTAAAATAAAAGCACAATGGAGTTCTCTCAGAGCACTAACCTGCTCTTTAACAAAAATTGTAAAGGATTATAAAAGATCTACAAAAACCTTACTTTATGGTCAAACATTAAAATTGAGTAAATATATCTATAAGGATTTATTAAGAATTGGGTTTAACATTAATAGCATACTAATGTAAAGGTGAAATTTGGCTTATTTGGTATAAAAATCGTACAGAAAGCATTGTCAAATATGAGATGGTGTTTGGTTTTCTTTAGGCTATATTTGTATAAATATGTTATTGGTATGTGTCCCAAAATCATGTGAAACTCCTATCATTCTGATATGTCTTAGTGTATGTTATCAGTAATAACTATAATTGTTATGTTAAATTATTGTGTGCTACAGAGGTAACAGATTTCCCTGTCAATTGTTGTCTTGTTTTGGTCCTCTTTAGAAGGTGCTCTTGAATGCAGGTTTCTAATAGCTTTGGAGATTGTGACATCAGAATAGAGGAAAAACATTCAGTACTCTTGAAGAACTAAAATATTCATTAATATCAAGCAGGATGGGAATTAACTGCATGAACTGAACTGATAGGAGATTGAAGTGATCTTTTTGACTTTTTGCTTAAAATGTTCCTGATCCTTTGTTTTTCTTTTCAGAGTCAAGGAAGCTTTTCTTTTGTGCTATTAACAGATTTTAACAATTAAGTAAAGTATACTCCTATGAACAAAATTTGGAGCATATTTGTTTCTCTCTGCCTTGTCCCTCTAGAATTTGGAAACTATCTGTGAGTATTCTTAATTTATGGCAATATAGTTATTTGCATAAGTGCAATAAAAATCTGTTTTCTTTTGTAACATGTCACAATTGGAACACCTGGTTATTTTAACAAGGCTTTCACTGGAATGGTATGCTCTTGTTTAAGGAATCAAACAACTTATGGAGCCAATAAAGCCCTTGGAAACCTGGCCTCATATTTTGTGTACACAGTCCCTGTATAGGGTTTCTGATCTGTGGTAAATATAGAATGTCACTTTCTGACAGGCCAGGAACCCCAAGTTATCTTGGAACCTCAAGAGGAGAGGAATTCACCCAACTCATAGGTATTTGATGGTAGAAATCCATGGCTGGGTTCATCTTTAAAAAGATCTTATCTTGGATTCCTTCTATAGAACAAAGTTCTATCAAAGACAATATAAAAGGCCTATGTGAAAAATAATTATTCTTGCAGCACTGTATACAAATAATTAGGCCAAGTGTAATAACGCAAACCAGTCCTACCATGATTTGTCTTTTAATAAAAATGGGAAACTGGAGAAAGAAAAATTATTTTTCAAAAACTACAGTACACCTGTTGCTAAATTCTAGTCTTGTGTGATGTTTTTCCTATGATTTCAGCATCTGCATCACCTGGGAACTCATTAGAGATGCAGATTCTCAGGCAGCACTCAGACCTGCTGAATCAGAATCTGTGGATGGGAATCAGAAATCTGTGCTTTAACAAGCCCAGGGGGGTACCGATGATGCTAATGTTTAAGATGTCTGGTTTACATGATCTTTACTATTGTATTTTCACTTAATCAAGTATTGCTAGAATACAGACTCTAGAGTCAGATGACAGAGATCTGAATCCCAGCTCTGCCCCTTAAAGATGCTTTATGACCTTGTACATGTTACTCGGCCTCTTTACACTGCAGTTTCCTCATTTGTTAAAGGGAGATGGCATCCTAGTTGCTAGGCCCCCTGCCTGCTGTGTCTTCCCTCTCCTTTCCTTCTTCACAGAGTTAGAGGAGTTAGATTCCTCACATTTCTGTATGTACTTCAATGGTTCTCCTGCACTTTCAGAAAGCAATCAAACTCCCAGCGATGGCATCCAAGGCCTCTCAGGACTATCCAGCACCTTCCTTACCATTCATTTCTCCACTTGCTGCTTTCACACCAGCAGGACTAAATGCCTTGGAGCTAACTTCCCAGGGGAGTCACATCATTTCAAATTGTCACTTTCCAGGTCTGTGGCTCATTCCTCTATCACCCAGAACAACACCAGCCGTCCCTTCAGATCCCGCCTCTTCAGTGAGGCTCCCGCAACACCCTCTCTTCTCTTCTCCGTCTTCTGCAGAAATGATCAGTTCTTCCACTGGATTATCACCCTATCTGACACATAAATCAGTTATGAGGCTGAAGCTCCTTGAGGGTGAGAGGCATTTTCTTGGGCCTTTGACAGGAAGCGCAGTAGCTGACACACAGAAGCATGCCCTCACTGAGCTTTTCCTCACAGAAGAAGGGGTGAGAAAAATGGGGAGCGAAATGCTAGTGGACTTATCTGAATCTTCCACTAGACTATAAGCTTTGTAAGAGTGGCAACACTGTCTCACACAGTGATCCCCAACCTTTTTGTTAGATTCTCATAAGGAAAGCGCAACCCAGATCTCTCGCATACAGTTCATGGTAGGGTTCATGCTCCTATGAGAATCTAATGCGGGAATACTCACCACTGCTCACCTCCTATTGAGTGGCCCAGTTCCTAACAGGCTACAGACTGGTGCCCCGGCCATGGCCGGGCCTTGGGGATCCCTGGTCTAGCACATTTTATCACTGTGTTTCCAATGCTACCTCAGTGCCTGTCACACAATAAATGGGCAGATATTGATTGAATAAATGAATGAGTGGAAATCTAACAATCAGCACCAAAATGGAGTCACTTCTTCATGAGAAGGCAGGAAATAGATTGGATGAGGAATATTATTTACTGTGACATCAAACACTGCCTATAAATGATCTCATGTATCCTCCCAATTTGTGCAAGTCAGAATTTATGGTGCCTCTGTAAGAGAGGATAAAGCTGAGACTCAAAACAGTGGAAGTAATTCACCAAAGGTTAAACTAGGGTCAGAGGTCAGATTTGAAGTCAGGGTCAGTCTGAAATCAAAAATTCTGCTAAATTGCTTGAAACTGTTTTCCCTAAAAACTTATTACTTCAATAGTAGAAATAAGGGACAATGCCAGTCACGATGCCAGAGAGAAAAACGTGATAGTGACCAAAAAAAAAAAAAAAAAAAAAGGGAAGAAAGGCAGGGGAGATTTGGGTGATTGCAATGAATCAATGACCTAAGAGAAACAAAGAAATGGAATGGGGAAAGTCAAAATGGGGAATAAAAAATAAGGAAAAGGAGCCCAGGGAGGACAGACAATGGCAAAAGCTGAGCTCAAGGAGCCTGTTAAGAGCAGGAAATGCTAAACAGTTTTGGAAACAATTTGAACACTATCAAAAGCAAACCCACAGGGCCTTTCTGCAACTTCAGCACCTCTGACTGCTAAGCAAGTTACAGTAAAATCCAGAAGTAGGGCAGAAGAGCAGCTCTGCGTGGGAGTTCAAAGCCACGTCAGCTCCAGGCCAGGGGGATTGCCCTGGGTGAGGACAGCCAGGGACCTATGCAGGGTGTGAGTATTTGATCAGAAGCTAGCAGGGACACAGTCCCCAGGGCACAGTCAGCTGGAGCACACTGTCTTCATTTCAGGGGACTGGAGGAGTTCCCTGGAATGAGGAAAAATATAAAGCAAAGATAATAGTACAGGCAACAGCTTTATGATTCTAGGGCTTCAAATACGACTTAAGATTTGAAGGGCGGGAAGGATGTAGATGAGTGCAGAGGGAGAAGAGGGTCTTTTAGGTGGAAAAACACCAGGAGCAAAGGCTCTAGAGTGGGAATTATTGCTTAGGGTGTGTGAGCATGCACGCATCTGTGCAAGGGGTGAGGAAAATTGACAGGGACACCTATAATACATTTGTTTTGGGAAATGAAAGGAAACAGGACTAAATATATACTTTAAAAAAATCTCTAGCCTAATTTGGACTGAAGTGTTACATGGAGTATATCTTTCAGATCACAGCATTAGTTTAAAACTAGATGTAATTTTAGAGAACCTCCCGCATAAACCCCTCATAAAATGGGACCAGTCAGTTTATGTGGCTGGATAAGAAAGTTTGAAAATAAGAACAATACATTTTCTGTTGTTAAATGCTAAATGAGTTAAAGAATAATATGCACTATTAGGGCATTTCTGGGAAATACAAGGCCTCCCTCCCTCCCTCTCTCTCCCCCCCCTTCCTTCCTTCCCTTCCTTTCTTCTTCTCTTCCTTCCTCTCTTCTCTCTTACCCTTCCTTCCTTCCTCCCTCCCTCTTCTCTCTCATCCTTCTTTCCTTCCTTCTTTCTTTCCTCCATTACTATGTACTAAATACCAACTGTATGCCAGGCACATAATAAGGGAACGTGACTGACATGATCATTGGCTAAATGCAGCTTCTCCAGTAAGAGGTGAGAGGGTGGGAGTTGTGGGGCTTGGGGTTGGTGCAAGGCTGCCTCTGTCCAATTCAATAAGCTTGATTTGGCTCTTTTTCGTCCAAGTAAGAAGAAGCTCAGTAGTTTGTACTCAGCTTTCATTTCTATTTCCTGAGTTTATTAAATAACTTTCCATAAAAATAGCTAAGCTTAACAAGAATTAAAATGATGCAAGCAGTTTGTAGATTAGTAAACGTAGTGACAAAACATGTGGGAAAGGTTCAGCCTCTGTAATAATTACGAGAAAAACAGTTTAAAACAAGTATTGCATATTGATTGAATTAGTTAAACAAATTTACTTAACATAATTATATATAAAATAATGAATTAGTTCAACCACTCTGGAGAGCTATCTGGCAGTATAAGAGCTATAGGATTCATTATACCTATTATTTAGTCCTCTCATTTTGACCATATATTTTAAGAAAAAAAAAATAAAAGGTGAAACATCAGAAATAATACTGCTTGTGATAGTTTCAAAACTTGAACAAGCTCCAGAGAACTAGCAATTTCCATGGCTTCCCTGGTATTCCCTAGAGCTTCTGTCCAATATCCAGTCTTCACTGTCATCCTCCCTAGTCCATCTTCCAGAGGACACATTTTCTCATGAAAATATCCAATAAAACTCAATATACTCCTTATATTATTATTTTAAAAGTCAATAAAAATAGAAAGTGGCTATCTACATGTCAAAACTGTTCTCTCTTTATAAGTGAATTCATTACAGGTTGGCTCATTTAAATGACAAATCTCCTCTAGCATTTACCAGTGTGATTTTTAGAGTAAATATTTGACAGAGAGGCTGGGAACAGAAAAAGGTCTACAGAACTACCTGATAAAATGTCATCAGATATCAAAACCAAACTCCACTTAAATGATTAAAAAGATAAAGAGGAAGTCGAATTTTAGTATCACATGCAACACAGGGATTCCTCAATCCATGATAACATGAATAGCCTGTGAGAGTCACCAAGGGGTAGGCACAGGAGGATGTGAGGAATGCCCTGTGCCCACATTTTCCTGAGGTCGTTCTGCAGACAATACTTCTGGAAATGGTAGCAGTGTCCTTTGTTTCCCAAAGGGTTTGGGGGGGCCAAACTAATCTGAGAACAACTTGGAAAAACAAAGCAAAAAAGTTGGCTTCTCACAGGATTTGGGGTTCTGTGTATTTCCAAGAGGGGAATCTGCACTGAAGCAGTTCCCACATTTGTTAAAGGAATCCTGTTTGGCAGAAGCATCTGGAGAGTTGATGTCAGGAAGAAGCCACTTAAGGGAACACTGGGATTTGTATTTAATTAACTTTGTAAGAAAAACATTCTGTAAAACTTGAAACAAACGCTAATTACACTTGTAATCCTAGCACTTTGGGAAGCCAAGGCAGGCAGATCGCCTGAGCTCAGGAGTTCTAGACCAGCCTGGCCAACAAGGTAAAACCCCGTCTCTACTAAAGTACAAAAAAAAAGAAATTATCTGGGCAAGGTGGCCAGCGCCTGTAGTCCCAGCTCCTTGGGAGGCTGAGGCACAAGAATTGCTTGAACCCAAGAGGCAGAGGTTCCAGTGAGCCGAAAATGCACCACTGCCCTCCAGCCTGAGTGACAGAGCAAGGCTCAGTCTTAAAAAAAAAAAAAAAAAGCTAACTACATTTATTATGTTTTGTCCTCTGATCTTTAATATTTTACATAATTGTAGTCATTGTATACATATTATTTCATACTTAATTTTTTACTTGACACAGTATTCCATTATTCTTTATTATTTCCAAGTGTTGACACAGTTAACATTGCTATCATTTAAAATACTATATATCTACAATTTTGAAACAGCATAGAGTACACAACTATTCTCAATTCATTTCAACAGACATGTATTATTAACTGTCTAGAATCTGAGGTTCTCAACACCTTTCCTGCCCCAAAACATCTCAGGGGTAAAATGCATTCTCGTAACCAATATTGGCTCACTCTGGCAATTGTTTCAGAATCTTCTGGGTTAGAGGAGGGCTGGGGTGGGGGTTGTAATTGCTAAGGAACTGATAACCACACATGATTTTCATTGCCCCTCTCCACTACTGTCTTAGTTGAGAATCTCTGTCTTAGACACTATGAATGAGACACAGTCCCAATTCTTAAGAAGTTCACAAAAAGTCAGATGTAGATACATAGACACACATATGCAGGTGCAAACACAATGCTATAACGTAAGGCTGGGTGTGAGGTAAGGTGAGGTCATATTAAAATACATAAATAAATAAATAAATAAAAGTTCTAAGATGCTCCACAGAGAAGACAAATGACTTCTACTGGGAACTTTTGGAATGAATTTTAAGGAAGACATAATCTTTTCCTCCATTTTTTCCCTCATCCCACAAATTCAGTTCATCAGCAAGTCCTTCGAAATCTAACAATAGAGAATGCTTACTGAGTGCTTACTCTGCCATGGACTTTTAAAAGTGCTTTATAAGTATTAACTTTAGTATTCATCATATCCCTATAAGTAGATATCCTCTATCTGATCTTACAGACAGACATATTGAGGATAATGAAGTTCAGTAAGTTGCTAAAGATCCCACAACTAGCGTTAGAGCTTGGTGAGCCCAGGGAGTCTAAGTCCAGAACCTGCATGTCCATCCCTATGCCATTGGTTCCCATCAGTCACATTCCATCAGTCACATCCCACATACTTCTCTTCAAACCCACTCCCTCCACTCTGATGAAGCCAGCATCATCTTCTGCTTGGATTTGTGCAATGGCTTCCTAAATGCCCTCCTTGCTTCCCCACCTTCCCCCTTTGTTAATCCAGTCTCCCTGTGTCATCCTGGGTGATCTTTCTAAAATATATGCCACTTGTTGTTTAAACCCCTTCAGTATCTCCTATCTCACCTACAGTAAAACCCAAGTTTCCTACGAAGATCCAGTGAACAAAAAACCCTGCATCACCTGACTTCTACCCAGCTCTACCACCTCACCTCACACTAGGCTCCACACACTTTGGCTTCTTTTTTTCTTCCAGATCTTTCCCTCCTCTGGGACTTCTCACTTGCTCCCCTCTGCCTGGCATAACATTCCCCAGACTCCTCCCATGGCAGGCTCCTCAGCTTCACAGACCTCCCTATCTGAAACGCATCCCTCTGTTGTTCACTCTCACATCATACTCATTTCTTCTGTAGCACTTTTCTCAGAAGTATTGTTAATTGTTCACTTATTAATAAATTGTCCCCACTAAACTATAAACTCCATGAAGACAAGGTCTGCCTTATTCACTCCTGTTTTCTCAGCAGCTAGCACAGTTCCTAGCATATAGTTGGTGCTCAATAAATATTTCTTGAATAATGAATGAATTAAGAGTAGAAATGTATAAATAAAATGCCAAATTGAATTCTCATGTGCCAAAGTGGCTCATGGCTGCCTCAGGTTGAACATGCCTTAAAAGAAAGTAGAAAGCCAGGAAACACAGCAGTCTCACTTATGCTTTCTAGACTGTGCAGCACAGTGTCATGGAACAAAAACGTAAAATGAATGTTGGAGACCTAGAGCTTCAGAATTTTCTTGACTTATTTTACAAGCTATTAAAAAAGAATATATAGGCTGGGCGCGGTGGCTCACGCCTGTAATCCCAGCACTTTGGGAGGCCGAGGCGGGTGGATCACGAGGTCAGGAGATCGAGACCATCCTGGCTAACACGGTGAAACCCTGTCTCTACTAAAAATACAAAAAAAAAAATTAGCTGGGCGTGGTGGCAGGGGCCTGTAGTCCCAGCTGCTAAAGAGGCTGAGGCAGGAGAATGGTGTGAACCCGGGAGGCGGAGCTTGCAGTGAGCCGAGATCATGCCACTGCACTCCAGCCTGGGCGACAGAGTGAGACTCCATCAAAAAACAAAAACAAAAACAAAAAAAAACAAAACAAACAACAACAACAACAACAAAATATATATATATATATGAAGAGGAGGAGGAGGAGACTATATATATATAAGACGGAGGAGGAGGGGAAGAGGAGGGAGAGGAGGAGAAGGGGGATAGAGAGAAGGGGAGGAAATGCTAATATTTATTCATTAGGTCCTGTTCTAAATGCTTTTATGTATAAACGCATTTACTTCTTATAACAACTGCTAGGGTTATCTGTCCCAGCATAATTAACTATCCCTAATATTAGTGGCTGAAACAAAAGGCATTTTCATTATAGCTCACAGTTATGTCATGTAGGAGTCTGAGCAGAGCTGGGATGGACCATTTGTCTGTTTTGCACAGCATTTACTTGGTGATCTTCAGCCAGACTGATAGGCAGGTCTAAGATGCCCTCATTCCCATGTCAGGCACCTTGGTGGTGACGGCTGAAGGCTAGGCTCTACTGAGTCTTTCCTCCTCTCCCTCTCCATGTGGTGTCTCCAGAGTAGCTGGTCTTCTTACATGGAAGCTCAGGGCTCTAAGAGACCAAGGAAAAGCTGCCAGTCGTCATAAAGGCTAGGTCCACAGCGAACACACCATCCCTTCCATATTACTTCATCTGTAAAAGCAGTCACAGCCCAGCCCAGATTTGGAGAGAGGAGAAATAAACACCAAATAAACACCAGCTCTTTTTTGGTTATTTTTTTGAGACAGCGTCTTGCTTTGTGGCGTGGACGTGCACATGGTGCAATCTTGGCTCACTGCAACCTCCGCCTCCCAGGTCCAAGCAATCCTCCTACCTCTGCCTCGTGAATAGCTGGGACTACAGGGGTGTGCCACCACATCCAACTAATTATTTATTTATTTATTTATTTATTTATTTATTTATTTATTTATTAGTAGAGATGGGGTTTCACCATGTTGGCCAGGCTGGTCTTGAACTCCTGGTCTCAAGTGATCTGCCTTCCTCGGCCTCCCAAAGTGTTGGGATTACAGGCGTGAGACATTGGGCCTGACCTAAACACCCCCGTTGATGAGAAAAGAGGGGAAGAATTTGTGGCCACCTTTAATCTGTCATAATAATCTGAGATTTGTTGTCATTTTTCTTTGCTGCACCTGAGCAGCCATAATAATCCTATTATTTCTAGTCTTCAGAGAAACTACTGAAGCACAGAGAATTGGTAGGCCCAGACAAGCCTCTGCCTTAATTTCTACATTGGTCAAGTGGGGGTAGTTAATTCTTTTCCTAACTGTTTTACAGAGTAAACCAGGAGATAAATATTGAGTAACAATCATGTACAATATGCTTATGTACAATAGTGCTCACCATTGTAGAAGGAAAAATTAAGAATAACAACCCAGTTTCTTACTCTACATGTGAAAATTATTTGAAAATTAAAAACATCCACCATATATATATATATATATATATATATATATGGAACTATTATCTGATCTATTCTAAATAACCCCCTGTAAGAAACATGAAATTTAGCTTCAAGAGATCAAGGTGCTGTTCTCTATGAATGGCTGTGGGACCCTGAAGAAGTCACGTCACCTTCCTGTGTCTCTTTGCCTGTAAAACTAAGGATTGTACTAGATGAGTTCTAGGCTTCCTCCCAAATTTGGGTATCTATGATTCAAAGTTTTAAAAATGCTTTTGTGTTACTACTCACATTTGCTGTGGGACGGGTTCCCCCACCTAAAATAGCTACCTCATCCTAGTTCCAGCAGAGAAGGCTTGTCTGTTCTTGGTTGGAAAGCAGCCACCCTTATAGTAGGAAAGGCTGCCTGATTTCCCCTTTGCAGCAGGTACATTCAAAGACACACAAAGGTAACTTTGTCCAGTGGCATCGGAAGTCCATGTTCCCAAGAGCATGCGGAATATGTAGACTTTTTATTATCTCTGGGAATATGTCCTATAAAAATGCCCCTGCTCCCTGCTTTTCCTCCTCTTTTAAGAGTATAGCTGGAGAATCAAAATAGTTATCACAAGAAAACAACATCAAACTTTCATTTTCCAAGGTAGTTACCACAACAAATGCACATTCTTGCTTTGGGCTTTGAAGAGTTCCCTTCATTTCCTCTGTTACTGGCTATCAGTGGGTTTGGGTATGACACACCTTCTCTCTCACTCACAGCCATAAAGGTAAAGGGTACTGAGAGAGAGTAAGCCATGACTCATTTTTACATCTTTTGGTTTTTGATCAAATGCCAACAGATGGCAAGAGATAAATAAATGAGTCTTCAATAATGGCGTATGTGGAAACCGGTAACATTATGGGTGATTATTCAAGTTTCATTATTAATTTTCTTCTTCCTAAAATTATAAATAAATGTAGCACAATAGGCAAAGGACACTATCCTAATACCTTCTGGGAGTAGAAAGAAGTTGCCTTCCCAGCAGCACTATTCAACTCTACATGCAATTTACTCACACATATTCAAGTAAGAGGTAAGGTAATAACTGCTTACCATAAAACCTTGGGGTTTCAGATCATCATGGCAAATGCACATTATTTGTGTAACAAATTATAGAAAGAGTTTCTCTTTTTAAATGCATTCATTTTCTTTCCTTAAAAGCAACAGAAAAGGGAAAACGCTTTCTCAAATGACCAATATCAACCTCTTATGCAACCTAAGTAGTATACAGAGTTGAAAAGAACATGAGAGAAACCAGCCCCCTCATTTTACAAAGAAAGCAAACTATGATTCAGAAATAAATGACTTGTCCAAGAAAACAGAGGCAATGGGTAGTCAGGCCCAGACTAGTCAGGCCTCCTGAGCCTCATCACAGAGCTCTTTCCAGCATCCGTGATGCTTCTAGAAGAGATAGCCTCGGCATTTATTCCATTATTCCGCTGGACTATGACATTTTGAGGAGAGACAGAAGATGAAACAGCAGTCCTCCTTTATAAGCATGGTATCTGAAGTGCAGCAGGTGCTTATAGATATCTATGGAATGAATATATCAAAAATGCATCATTTTGGACAAAAATAATAATAATCTGACCTAAAAACCACAGCCAAAAAAAGTCATAAGGATGATTGCAAGTGGGAGTGTGTTCTCTAAGTGTTCCTTGATGTAATTCTCACCTCTTCAACAATATTTTAAACTCTGTATGAGCTGAAGCTATGTAATTTATATATTTTCCTTCCTTCACACCAGAATATCAGGAATGCTATTGAAAATCCCACATTTTTGGTCCCCAAATCAGGACATATAATGTGAAAAGAAGTTTTTCACTGCTTCTTGAGGTGGTGAGCTAGCTGTCTAGCAGATGGAACTGTTGTTGTTTTAACAGCTTTATTGACATATAATTCACATACCATACATTTAGTTATTCAAAGTGTACAATTCAGTGGCTCACCAACTTGTGCAACCGTCATTCCAATAAATTTTAGAGCATTTTCGTCACCTCAGAAAGAAATCCCGTATCTCATAGCCTTAATTTCAACCTCCACCCACCCTATCTCCCAGTCCCTGACAACCACTCACCTACTTTCTGTCTCTATAGATTTGCCTGTTCTGGACTTTTCATATAAATAGAACCACACAATATTTAGTCCTTTGTGACTGGTTTCCTTCAGCTGGCATGATGTTTCTAAGGCCCATTTGTGTTGAACATGCATCAGTACTTCATTTCTTCTATGGCCAAATAATAATCCATTATATGGATATAGTACATTTTATTTATTCATTTATCATTGATGGACATTTGGGTTGCTTACACTGTTTGGCTGTTATGAGTAATGCTAACAGATTTTTTGAAGAACACAACTTTCATTTCTCTTATGTGTATATCTAGGGGTGGAATTGCTGAATTATTAGCAGATGGTTTTACTGTAGAAATATTTGAGTTAGTGAAACATTTTTTATGACTTATGAAGGAAATTAGACCCAATAATTGAAACAAGATCCATCTCATATATATTGATGCAAAGGCTAAGGGAGGAATTTATTCATCTTTTTTGAGCTGGCTTTAAGTCCAGAGTCAATCCTTGCCATTTCCCTATTGTAGAAAATCCTTGTTGTAGACAGATGACCCTATTGTGGACAGGTGCACATTTTCCAAGTATACCTCTCTCTCTACTCAATAAATCCATAGAATGATTCTGAAAATGCATACTTAATATTAGGAACTTCACAGAGCTATGAATATATATATATTTCACCTCAGACCTCCTCAGGCAGAAGAAGACAAGAGAAAGACTATATTTCTTATTTTCTTAAAGAGACATGATCCATCTGGATAATATCAACAAAACTTTACATTCTAAAGTTGCAAATAAAATTATTAATAGCAGTCATGTTTAAAGAACAGTAGAGATGTATGCACTATAGACATATTCTATTGAAATTCTATTCAGATTCAATGTGAACTCTATGTTTGTGTCCATTTAATAAAATCTAGAGGCTGGCATTACTGTTTTAAAGTTATAATAGAATTGTATAGTTTATATACTCTTGTTTTCAAAAATCATCTGCTTATATGTTTGACTTAATTGAGAATTAGTTCTTGATCAGTAGCACATCCCTCACCCAATGTATGGCATTATTTGTTTGGCAAAATATGATCCACTTCATAATGGTCTGCTTTGTGACATAGCTTCCAGGAACTCACTGTGGTAAAAACTGGGGACTTTCTGCACCGCTTGTGTTGGACTGTACCTTCCCTGATCTTACCATCAGCTCAGCTGAAGGTGACTCCCCATTGTGTTATCAAGGTAGTACTGGCAAGAATGTGAGGTGGTGACCCTGAGGATGGTGGTTCAGACTCTCACCACCAAAAAGTACCCGCTAGGGATAAGACTGTGCTCTTTATACCTCTCTTCAGAGAAAAATTTAAAAATTTTGTTAACTGTTATTTACCCAGCTGTTTTAAACCCCCTGGCTATTGATCTTCAACTTTTGATAATGTAACTGAAAAGTCAGACACTTTACTTTGTATTCAGTGCTCTGAATGTCAGACCTTAATCTGAACACACTGGATCCTAAGGTCTTAGCTCAACTGTCTAATGGCCTTCACATTAATAATAATCCGGAGTTCCTTCTCAATTATGAACCCATAAAATATGATGTCAGCCTATTTTATCTATATGGTCAGGATTATTGTATTCAATTCAAAGGTCCTGTGACACAGGGAAAGAAGAACACTTTGGAATGCCTGGATTCAAGCCCTGGCTCTGCCATTTGAAAAATGAGTACTTTGGATAAGTCACAATCAATCAGAACCACAATTTACTCTTTTATAAGTTGGAGGTAATTATAGTGTGGCAGAGACAACATAGCATGTGTTCACCAAATCTCATCTCATTTTCCTTTTCCTGGACAAGAAAAACACTACATTTCTCAGCCTTCCTTGCAGTGAGCTTGGAGCCAGGAGAACTGGGCTATGAAGAGGGAGATTTAATTCCTAAAAACATCCCATTGGGAGCTCCAACTCTCTCTCCTTCTGCTATGGTAAGCTCAGAGGCCATGTGTTTAGATGTTTTCTGTATTTTCTTAGATTCTGTATTTTTCTGTGTGACATCCATCAATCACAGGCCAACTCATGGCCAAAGCTGTTTACATCTCCCCTGCAATCCAGCTTTTACCACCGCATAAAAATCAAATCACAAACAAAACAATTCTGAGTCCATACCTCCTACTGCTCTCTTTATCTAACTCTCACATACCGAGCCACTATTTCCCCTGCCCTAAATCACCCAGGGCTGGGTGCCAGAAAACTAGGGCCCAGAACCCACCTCTAGTAGCCCAGAGCACCCCAACATTATTCCAATCATCCAATCCTAAGCTGCTTCGCCTGCCCTGCTTTGCCTTTCCATGAGAAAACATGAGGAAGCCTCTGGGCCAGGCCTTCCCCTCGTGCCTGCTTCTGCCTCCTGACTGACTGTGCTTCCCCACGTGGTCCTATGTGGTGCCCTGTACTTCGAGGACCTGGGGAACTATAAGCTTTTCTTCCAATGGCATTGACCATTCCATGTTATCACTCAGTCGCCTTTATAAATTAAGACCCAGACCCAAATTAAGATAATGGTTTTGTAAGATGAAGAATCTTTGCTGACCAGCATTGGACTTGTATGACAGGGTGATCAACATTTGTTTTGCTAAAACACTGAAATTTTGGCAGTTCTTTGTTTCTGCAACTTAGTTGAACATGTCCTGACCAACACAAAATCCTAAGTTTTCAAGGTTATTTTAATGATTAGGAAAAAAACCCAAATGTATGTAAAGTACAAAGCAGTTCATAGTACAATGTAGGAACTCAAAAAATGGTAATCATTATTATGATTATTATTCAACAACAATCCCTAAAAATACTATATGCAAATAAAGCAAACCTGTCTCTCTATTACCCCATCAGGTAGAAAAAGAAAAACAATTTTTCACCAAATATGGAAGATATGTTTGAGACATTCTGACTTAAAACAGAAATTTTGGTGTTAAAAAAATACACTTTGGCAGTTTTTTCAGAGACAGGGAGTCACCCTTCAGAGAAGCTAAAAACAAGGACAAAAACTTACTCACTGGGAGTGGCACTCTGTCTTAGACATTACAGACAGAAAACTGTAGTGACTTCAAAGGAAACCCATATTAAGAGACAAGCACAGATGCTCTAAATTATAGTCATCGTTTTGCTTCCAGTTTCTTCTCACATGGACAATCTATGTAGCCAGGAATCAGCAAGATTTATTAAGAGGTGCATAGCCAGTCACTTTGTGCATCTCTTCACAGTTTATAAAGCACCGGCAAACATCCTAATAGCCATATGAGGTGATCAGGTAAGCCATTTGCTATTAGTACACAGAGAAGTGAGTTCCCTGTGTGGAATGGCAAATTACGCCCCCCACCCTTTCCACTTCCCTTTCCAATTGCACTTTCTATATGCACTCCCAGAACTTAGAGATTATATTTTTCCCCAAATGTAAAATCAGGAAAAGTTTATAGGCAATGGATGGCATTAGGATCCACACAGATAATTTACAAACTTGCTGCTCACAGTGAATCCATGGGCCAGCAGCATCGACATCACTTGGAGCTTAGAAATACGGAATCTCAGGCCCCGCCCCAGACCTACTAAGTCAGATTCTGAATTTGAACAAGATATCCAGGTACTTTCTGTACACATTAAAATTTGAGAAGCATTGCTCTAGAAGAGTATCTGTAATTGTGTGACTGAGATTTGGGGACCTCGAAATTGAATCAGGAAAATAGCATGTAGACTCAGGGAAGAGTAGAGTACAGTTGCAACTAATAAGCCTGAATAAACGTAAAGTTGATTCTATCTGAAAGTAGAAGCTGTTAATGGAAGGGAAACAAGCTGCTTAGAATCTAGAAAAGCAAAACCCAAAAAGCAACATTTTCCTTAAGTCTTCTTCACTATTTAGTAAAGATGACCCCCTGATCTACCAATCTGTGTATTTATTTTAAGAGATGATGAGTGCATTTGACCACCAAAGCTGAGTGTCCCAGGTAATCTACTTATAATCAAATTTTATGTGTTCCATGTAACTTTCTGATTATAATTTAACTGCCCATATCATGTAGTTTTTCTAAATGGAGAGACTGACCAATCAGACCAAAACATTCTCGAATGGCTGTCCACGCTCAAAATCTGATTGAGTGTGGTTAGGACAAACAAGTCTACTTGAATAAACTGTGTATATACTCATACAATTTTTTGACATATGTAGCCACTTCCTAGAAACACTACTACCTGAGGTTCTGATGGAATGGTCACATGGTATCTCTGGATAATAACAACAAACATTTATTTAGTACTTCATATATTCCAAAAGTACTTTGCCTGTATTACATAATTTAATTCTCATAAGTCATATATTATAATTCCCATTTCACAGATGAGGAAACAGAGGCATAAAGTCATTAAGTAACTTGACTAAGTTATGAATTGACAGAAACAGGATTTTAGCCCAGGCAGTTCAGTACCACACCAGAGCCTGCTATCTTGATCACCATGTTATGTGGCCTTCATCTTGTCCCTCAACAATTGTTACACATTGGCCTCTTCCTATTTCCCCCACCCATCATTTTTAGATTAAGTTCAAAAACACAAGCAAATCTAAGGTGCCAGGAACTAGAACTTTTGATATGACCAAGACATTAAAGCCTCAAGCCTAAGTAGGTGACATTTTCTATGTGGCTGAGGATGCTCCCCTGGGGTTTACAGGTTAAACCGCAGATGTGCTGGATCCTAAGAAGTCATTCTCTAACTGGCACCTCCTCAGACTTGCTTCCTCTGGTCTTGAGAATGAAATTATTCAGATGCCAATGTCAAAGGGGGCTAGAAAAAAGACAGGGGACAAAGTTCACTTTGCTTGAGGCTTAGGTAAAGAGGAGTCTAATTAACTCAACAAATAACTCTATTGGTGTTTATACCAAAAGCTTTGTAGAAATATACAACATGCTTTGCATTACTTGGATCTCTATAAGTATATTTCTCTTGGAATCATCACAGGAAGTGGCAGCAGCTGCACAGAACTCAAGGATTTTCAACCCTGGATCAGTGCTTTGCAATCCTTTCTCTGCCCCAGCACATCTGTGAAATACAACATGTTTCCATAAGTTACAGTGGCTCACTTCAAATAAGATTTATGAAAGACTATATGTTTCCACTCCTTTCCAGTACAAAATAATAAAGCTGTGTTTTTCAGTGCTTTTTATGCTAAATATTAATACATGCCATTGCCCTAGGGAGAAAAATCAATTTCCGTAAAAACGAGAAGCATATCAACTTAAACTGAACCTGAACACTTGGTATGCTTCTCCTATGTCCCTTCTGGTCCTTGTCAATATCAAAGAAACAAAAGTGTTATCAAAAAGGCAAAAACTAATAAATGCAGTGACCTACTTCATTCTATGTTTGTTAGAAAACTAACATGATTTATTTTATTATGCATTTAAAATATATTTAATCAATTCCCCCATTATTTTCAAATAGTTTCTAGCTAGCTAACTAGCTAGCTGTCATTATCTAGAAAACTCTTAGGACTACTTTCCAAGGGTCAGAAGGAAGTTATTTGCATATGATCACCCAACAAATGAAAATGCTAGCATCTGGTGTTAACTAATTTATTTATAAATGTTGACCATGGCAGTTGATGAGTTTATTTACTGTTTATAGAAATCATATAAGCCTCTATTAACTTAATATTTTTTAAAAGTAGATTTAGAATTTCCAAAACATGTAAAATTAAACAAGTCACCTATTTTTAACTTAATTTGGAGTACTAAAAGTTTACAAAACTTAAGTGCACTTCTGACAGTTTATTTACTTATTTTATTAATTTTTTTGAACTGTGTTTACTTTTTTCAAGGGTTTAAGAGTTTAAAGAAGCATAAAAATGATCTATTCATGCACAATCAATTAAGGTGCAAGACACTATAAGGAACTGTAAAAGATATTCATGAAACACTGAGGGGAGACCAGACAGTCTACCACATCAAAATGAAATTCAACAACAGTGACGCTGGCCAGGAAATTTGAAGGAAGGCAAGCACAATTGTAAAACAGGAGAGCTAAATGGCATAGATTAATCAATAAAAGTATTGATTAATGAAAAGAATCAATGTATAGCAGCATAATATAAGAAATATGTTACAGTTATGACAACTGTAATGCATGATATTTAGGATAAAAGTTAAACACAATTCAATGAATATAGTAATTTTATTAATAACTACTAATATCAGCTAGAGAGAGTTTATGTTATGACATATAACTAAAATGTAAAGCAGAAATAGGAATCTTTATATCTAAATGTTGGTGCCAAGCAATTATTGCTTTCAGATAATTTTCAAGAACTTGCTGAACCAAATCACTGAATCACCAAATTGTTATCCAGAATTTAACAAATTGTTGCATGAGTTTACTTTTCCACCAAGTACCTGTTTCCCATATGTTAATGATGAGTATTTTTTTATTAAAAATTTTCCAATTTGCTAAGCAACAGAACTATATTATTTTAAATTCTCTTTTTTCCAGTGAAATTGAATACCTTTCTGCATATTTCTCAGACTTTAATATTCGTTTTAGAAATTTCCTGCCTGTGCCCCCACCCATTTTTCTATTGGAATAATCATTTTTATCTTATTGGCCTAAAGAAACATTCATATATTCTGGCTATTTATACACCATCTATGTTAAAATATTTTTCATGATTAGAAATTTGCTTTTTAATTGTTTTAAATAGCTCTATTCCAAGCACTGTCCTTTGAATGTCTCCTCCAAAATGCATGTTGAAATTCAGTTGCTCTTGTGATGATATTAAAAGGTGGGACCCTTAAAAGGTGATTAGGCCATAAGGATTCCACCTTCATGAATGGATTAATGTCATTATCTCATGAGTGAATGAGAATAGGTTATTATAAAAGCAAATTTGGCCCCCTCTTGCTCTTTCTTGCTTTACCCTCACTTGTCCTTCTGCCTTCCACCATTAAATGACATGACATGAAGGCCCTTGGAAGATGCAGGTACCATGTTTTTCTACTTCCCAGCCTCCAGAACCATATGGCAAAAACATTTCTTTTCCAACAGGCATCCTACAGAATGGGAGAACATTTTTGTAATCTACCCATCTGACAAAGGGCTAATATCCAGAATCTACAAGGAACTTAAACAAATTTACAAGAAAAAAACAAAGAACCCCATCAAAAAGTGGGAGAAGGATATGAACAAACACTTCTCAAAAGAAGACATTTATGCAGCCAACAAAGATATGAAAAAAAGCTCATTATTACTAGTCATTAGAGAAATGAAAATCAAAACCACAATGAGATACCATATCACGCCAGTTAGAATGGTAATCATTAAAAAGTCAGGAAACAACAGATGCTGGAGAGGATGTGGAGAAGTAGGAATGCTTTTACTCTGTTGGTGGGAGTGTAAATTAGTTCAACCACTGTGGAAGACAGTGTGGAAATTCCTCAAGGATCTAGAACCAGAAATACCATTTGACCCAGCAATCCCATTACTGGGTACATACTCAAAAGATTATAAATCATTCTACTATAAAGACACATGTACACATATGTTTATTGCAGCACTATTCACAATAGCAAAGACTTGGAACCAACCCAAATGCCCATCAATTATAGGCTGGATAAAGAAAATGTGGCACATATACACCATGTAATACTATGCAGCCATAAAAAACGGTGAGTTCATGTCCTTCACAGGGACATGGATGAAGCTGGAAGCCATCATTCTCAGCAAACTAACACAGGAACAGGAAACTAAACACCGCATGTTCTCAGTCATAAGTGGGAGTTAATGAGAACACATGGACACAGGGAGGGGAACATCACACACTGGGGCCTGTTGGGGGGTTGGGGGCTAGGGGAGGGAGAGCATTAGGAGAAATACCTAATGTAGATGACGGGTTGATGGGTGCAGCAAACTACCAAGGTGTGTGTATACCTATATAACAAATCTGCACGTTCTGCACATGTATCCCAGAACTTAAAGTATAATAACAAAAAAGAATCTATTTTGCCATATTTTCTGAATTTTTTGCAATAGGCATTTTAACAATAAAAATAACAATAAATGATATGAAAAAAAAGAAATTTATTTTCAAGTTACCCAGTCTGTGATAGTCTGTAATAGCAACACAAAATGGGCTAAGACAGCAAGCAACTGAGTTATAGTTTATTTAGGTTTATAGCAACAAATCTGTACCTAGCTGACCTTATGCCCTCATTGGCTTTCTGTGCCTCTTCTGTTTGCCTGAAAGATAGAAGCACCTCTGTGTTTTACCTCACTTCTATCTCTCCCTTCAGAGGTGAATGCACTTCGGCAGTTTTCAGAACTCTGAGCTGATACTTCCTAAATCGATATCACTATCCTTAACTCAGACCACTCTATAAGCTGGTACTATGGTTTCATTTTACTGACAGATACTTCTAAGATTTCATTCATTCATCTACCACTCCAATGTGTATAGCACCCCTTATGCATACCTACTAAATATTAAATATTGTGAAGTTTTATCATCTCAAATACAAAGATTTCCAACCAAATTCAGCTGCTGTCCCACATTCCATCCTGCCCTTTATAATTTCTCTCTCTACTAATTGTATCCCCAACTTTCTGCTGCTTTATCTAAAATGTCATGACTCTTCTCTCTCTATTATTATCACGTGCAATCAGTCTCTGTTAATTCTTCCTCCAGTGGCTCAAAAATCAACTCCTTTTTTTCACGCAGCTGCCATGCTGGTCTAAGGCCTCATCAAGTGGCACCTGTTTAATTAACCGCCATCAACTTTTATTGGCCTCACTGATTCCCATCTGTTTCTCACTTCAATTCATTTTGTACCCTGTGCTGAATTACTCTTCCTGCAGCATGGCTCTGAAAATGTCATTCCTCTGTTCAAGAATTTTGAGTGCTTCCTTCTGCTTATGGAAATAAGCCCCCAATTTGCCAGTCCCTCAGTAGAGATTTCTCATGAGCTGGATTCTCCCTATCCCAACTCATATTTCACTATTCCACTTCAGAAACACATTTAACATTGTTTCTGCACTATCCTCTGTACAAGCCTCCGTGCCTTTGCTCATCCAACTTTGATTATACCCCTCACTTCTCTCTATTAGTCCAAACTCTGTTAAACTAACTCTTCAGGGCACAGCTCAAGTCTTTTCCAGGAAGCTGGCCCCAGCTAAAACCACAGTTTAGTTTTCTTAGAACTGGAGTAGACTTCATAGAGCACCCTCAGGGACTCTAAGCCGCAAAAATATTAAATTCTATTCAACAAAAATTTATTGAATATTCATTATGCACTAAGCCCCAGACTAGGAACTGGGAACAAGAAAAACAAATAGATGTGATCTCTCTTTTTAAGGGACTCTTGCTTATTGGAGGGTACAAAATATATAAACATACAATTGCATTAAAAGCTGTCAAGTTCTAAGATGGAGATAAACACATGCTGTGAGAATGAGAAGGATGGGCATTTAGTCTAGCTGAGGATTCAAGGAAAGAGTCCTAGTTGAGACATCTTGTGATAAGAATGTTAAAGATGAGCAAGAGCTACCAAGACAAAAGTGGGAAAGAAATTTGAGACAAAGGGAACAAAATAAATGAATGCAGAGACATAAACAGTGGGAAGGAGGTGAGGAACTAGAAGCCTGGTAGCACTAGACTATAATGTTGTGAAACAAGAACTGGTGAGAGATGAGATGGGAAGTGACTGGAGAGACTAAGCCAGGCATTTGGGGTTTTGTAAACTATATTAAGAACTTTGTACTCTAATCTGTAAATGATGAAGAACCATTAAAAATGTTTACACAAGGAGGTTAAATGATTGGGTTTTGCTTTTAGAAAAAGTATGCTCCTTACGTTGTAGAGACCAGATTTAAGGGAAGCAAGTCAGGAGAAAGGAAACTACAGATTGCGATGTTCCAAGGAGAGGACAAGGACCTAAGTAAGGAAATCGTTATTGGGGATGAGCCTGAAAACAGATTTAAAAAATAGTTATGAGCTAAAACCATTAGACCTTGCTGATTGCCTAGATGTAGAAGGCCCAGGACAATGAGAAGTCTTACATAATTATTTAATCTCTGGTTTGGGCAACAAGATGGTTATGCCAGTAATTAAGCTAGAAATAAAGGAACCATTGGTGAACAGAGAACAACAATGAAGACAGTTCCAGGTATGTTGAGTTTGAGATTCTTCTGGGACATATCAAGCTAAAGATTACATATGAGTTCTAGGGTAAAGATTAAGTTTGACATTAGTTGTCATTCCAGTTATAAATGAAACAATGACAAGGATGAAATTCCTCAAGCAAAGTATGTAAAGAAATGGAGACTTTGGGGTAATGTTAGAAACCTGGGTTATTGTAGTTACTGGACACACAGAAGAGGAAGAGCCCCAAAAGACAAGAAAGAAATCACTCAAAGAAGCAAGAGGAATGCCAGGACAGATTGGAGTCAAGAAACTAAACCAGAGGGTTTTAAGATAGGGCGTAAGATACGGACTGAGAAAGCATCCTTGGGTTTCGCAATACAAAGTTCATTGGTGACCTTTAGAAGTGAGTCTAGGCTCCGAACCGTGATGTGTTGAAGTGTAAATGAATTACAGTCATGAATACAGTTTACTTAGCTGAAAACGAAAGGAGAAGAATTAGGGCACAGCTAGAGGCGATGCAAGGCCAAGAAATAGCTGACTGAGGCTAAAGGAATACAGATTGCAGAGGCACACAGTAAATGAGGGTCTTTATTTCATTACAAATATACAGTTTAATACTCAAAAATATCTTTCAAACACGAGGTCAGAAGGGAAATAAAGTTGCATGAATTGCCTTTGGTAGAGTTCTAACTACTTTGTGTACAGGAACATTATGTTTCTATTTTCACTGGGACCCAGAAGCACGCAGAGCTGCCTCCTCTCTTTCGTCACATGTCTCCTGAGATCCTTGAATAACTCAATTTTGGGATGTAATCATTTTGCTTTCAGGGAAGCTGAATACCATTTTTGTGAGGAATCATTCCACCACCATGTGGCTACTCTTGAGAATAGCATTTTTCTCAACTTCCTCCTAGAGCTAGCTACTGGGTTGAGTTCCCAGAGAAGGAGAATTCCACAGCTCAAAGAACTTTAGAAACCCTCTCTTTATTTTGCAGATAAGGAGAGCAAAGATAACTTGCCTAATTTTTCAAAATTTCCGTATATTTTAACTGGTTATGAATATTTTATACATTATGAGTGATTATATATATATAAAGCAGACAACAAAAAACACATACAAAATCTTTCCATGTTCATTCAAACCCAAGGACAACATCCCTGTCAGACTGTCTTAAGTAAAAAATATTGATGAAATGCAGCAATACACAGAGATCAGTGTTTCTAAACTAATCTTTAACAACAACATCCTGCCTTGAGGCTAACATGATGTTTTGTTTAAATTTAAGCCATTTCCAAAAAAAGTTTTAATTTCCGCAAGTTCAGATTGGTAAAATAGAAAGCATACCTACAGAGGATCAGTCCTTAGGTGATAATTAGAATGTGTTTATTATCTTAAGATATAAAACCCAGTTGTATAATATCTTTTGTCATTTTGCTTTTCTCTATCTTTTTTTGTGATAATAAAAATAACAGATGTCATTAAAGAAAATGTGAAGGTTTCAAGGGAAAAAGACATAAAAGTCACTAAAAGAGTTCATAACCCAATAGTATTTTAAAAAATTTTTTGGCACTTTTAATCCCTTATAACTGCTTTAAGTTAAAGAAATCAAGCTCACTATTTTATTTATCCCATTGAATTAGCTAAGAGTTAAAAAATGATTTCTTATATTTACAGAAGTTATTTCACTCTTCATATTAATCACACTTAATCAAAAAGTGTCACAAACTCTTAAGACTTTAAATAAATGTAAAACTGTTAAAACAGAGCAAAGTTGACAAGGTTTGGGCCACCTTTATGCAAGGTGGCATCTTCAGCCAGACTGTCCATATGTTCATTAATGCTGTCTTTAATTATTTCTAAAAATCTTTAAGGCATTGGCTGCTCCCTGCATCTTTAATCTGCTGGTCCAAAGATGCTTCTGGTGAATGGAAGTGCTCTAAATTAGCAAAACTAGAATAACCTAAGCTTTGAAATGTTTCAAATCAAGGCAATGGACTTCTTCTGAATAGTACAGTTGATCCTTGAACCATACAGGTTTGAACTGTGTGGGTCCACTTACAGAGAGATATTCTTCCACCTCTGCCACCCCTGAGCAAGATCAACTCCTCGGTCTCAGCCTACTTAACATGAAGACAATGAAGATGAAGATCTTTATGATGATCTAGTTCCACTTAATAAACAGTAAATATATTCTGTCTTCCTTATGATTTTCTTAATAACATTTTCTGTTCCCTAGCTTTATTGTAAGAATATAGCACGTAATACATATATTAATAACATATAAAATTCAAAACAGTACAAAATGGCTGTTTATGTTATAGTTAAGGCTTCCAGTCAACAGTAGGCTATTAATAGTTAAGTTTTTGGGGAGTCAAAAGTTAAATGCAGATTTGCAACTGCACAGGGTCAGGGGAGTTGGCACCTCTAACCCTTGTGTGTTGTTCAGGGCTCAACTGTAATGATGTCAATAACGATGACGATAACACCTTCTAAACCTTTTAAAGCATAAATGTTTTATGAACCTCTCATTTAGTCATCTTAACAACCCAACTTTACAAACGAAGGATTGTTAAGTAATGGCCCTACTTCACACAGCTAATATTCAGATAGTTCCTCTCTGCCCTAAAACCTGGAAGTGTGTCAGCTTCAGTAACCACAGTCCCATAGTCCAAAACAGTTTCTAAATACTGAATGCTTAGCCAGCCCCAGGGTTTCTGATTCTTTTCAAACTACATCAATGTGATTACATCACACCTGCAGTGGGTAAGATCTTGTAAAATTATACCTGCCCCACTTTTTTGCTTTTTTTTTTTTTTATTAAGTCAGCCTAAGGAGTTCATTTCTGGGGAAATACCAGGATATTTTACAAAAGAAATGCAAAGAGAAAAAAATGTGCTAATATTCAGTTTCTGATATACAAAACAGAATTATTCAGAAGCCAATATTCTGACAGAGGGTTTTTCCAAACTCTTTTATTACCCCACATCAAGAACCCAACTCACAGACATGGCTCATCGTGTGGAGATGATAGATCCCTGGGTCTCTGATGGCAAACCCCCTGAGAGTCTTGCTGCTCAAAGACATGACTCTGGAAATAAAAGGAAAGGCCACTCCCCCATGAATTTTTAATAAAACACAGAAAATTAGAAGGCAGGAGAGCAAGACTCTTAACCATGTGTATTCCAATTGCCCCCATTCCAGGCCTTGGCCCATGGATGAGGGAATGCATTAGAGTAAAACTGAGGGCAAGAGGGCTGCTTATTCCCTGCTCCCTGTTGAGGCATCTGGGGAATAATTACACCAACCTGATATATGACTACATCAGTTAGGAAGCTCAGTGTGGAGGGAGTCTCTTAAGTTCAGCTTTCCAAAGTAACCTTTGATTCCCATGGGGTATCAGGGATGAGTCAAGATCCAGCCACCAGCTGCTGAATCCACAGTGGCAGTGGCCTTATTGAAGGGGCTGAGGTGGATCTTGGAGCCAGTGAATTAGCAGGAGGACACAGTGGAGCCCCCAGGGCCTGAAGCCAATGGGAGACAGGGCTAAGCTAGGCCAGCAAAAGGGCACTACTAGGTTCTGAGGAAGCCAGGAGGGAAATGGGGCAACAAGAGACCAGCCACTGACTTCACAACAAAATACCAGGAAGGCAAACAGCAAATAGGTGAACACAAACATCACCCAGAGTCCAGAGAACATGGGCCCCAAAGGGCCAAAATCCTCCGCTCAGACCTCCTTATCCAGATGTCTGGATACCATCTTTGAGAGAAACGTAGAATAGTGAGCAGTCAAAAAAAAAAAAAAAAAAAGAATAGTGGAGCAGTCATAGAGAACACAGTTGTTGTTGTCATTGTTGTTGCTTCCTGGAGTCTGAGCATTACTTAAAGGAATGGATTAAATTATCTGATTTAACTAATTTAAATCCAAATGAACACTGTGAATATTTTCCTCCAGTAGCCAACAGATGGCTCCTCCTGAAGAGGATGAAGTGAGCTCTGAAGAAAAGAAAGACATTATTTTTTTCAGAGGTTCCTAGTTAAGGTGGCAAATTTAATATATGCATCTAATTTTACTTCTCCTTATAAACTACAATAAAGGAATCTTTCAAAAGACATAAATCCACAGGAACGGTTGGAATAGGAGAAAAGGCCAAAGCAACACAACTTGGTCTCTGAGCTAGAAGCAGATGGGCAAGTGAAAACTAACTTAGCAGGTCTGAGAAAGCTGAATCTCATCCTGACAGCGGACAAAACTGAGAAGAACCAACCCAATTAACACCAGAAAATCGAGGCTTAGGAACTGAGGGCTTAGGTCTCTGGAATTGCGGTGAAAGGGCTGTCTAGAATAAGGAGGAGCAAGCGAGGACTTTTTTCAGTAGCAGTTAGAATGCCTAGATTCCCTTATCTTCTCCATATTTTCCCTTTCACACATTGGTAGAATTTGAAGATTTGTTTTCTTTCTTTCTTTCTTTTTTGAGACAGAGTCTTGCTCTGTCACCCAGGCTGGAGTGCAGTGGTGTGCTCTCAGCTCACTGCAAGCTCCATTTCCCAGGTTCACGCCATTCTCCTGCCTCAGCACCCCCAGCAGCTGGGACTACAGGCGCCCGCCACCACGCCCAGCTAATTTTTTGTATTTCTAGTAGAGATGGGGTTTCACCGTGTTAGTCAGGATGATCTCGATCTCCTGACCTCGTGATCTGCCCGCCTCGGCCTCTCAAAGTGCTGGGATTACAGGCGTGAGCCACCGCGCTCGGCCTGAAGATTTGTTTTCTAAACAGGGTCCCTGGATCTAGGGGACAGCATGTACAGTTGTGGGCGTAGGTAACTGACCCAACACAAAGAGGGAGAGACCATGCATTGTGAATGGGAAATGCATCACACTCTTGCTGTCTTCCCCAACTCTGCTTTCAGAACACTGGTAGAAAGACCCTTGCCTTCCAGGCAGGAAGTTGGAATCTAGCCAACCAGTCTAAATTGACATAATGTGATGCAAGAAATAACTATGGTGAGGGCCACCTTCACTAAGACCCTTGTGTCAACTGAGCCATCTTTTTAACTTGAGTACAGAATATGCCAGGGGTCCAGGTACAGATTCTTACCTGTCCTTGGCTTTTCTTGACCATTTGCTGATTGAAGTTCCTGCCCTTCAGCTTAGGTCAGCTGAAGACATTTCTTTCATATCAAAGAATCATTCTGCTTTGCCCTGCCCCTGAAGCCTGCAGAGAGGTGGTGGTGAGATAAGAAGCAGTAAATAAAAAGCAGCCACTCCATTTGGCCACATTTCTATCACATGCCCAGAGCCTGGTCCATCCATCAGCCTCACCAGATGTCCCAAGTGTGCTGACTCATGTTTTTTGCTTGTAATCATGCCCACTGACTTCCCCAAGAGGCTCTTATAAACTCTCAGGAAAACTAAAGCCAGTCCATGGCCCAGAGACTGGTTAGATTATCATCTCCCAGGAGCTGTCATTCGATAGGGACAATGTTACACTTTCTATACACAGCAAGATCTATGCTTAGCACTCAAATTCCCAAAAGCTAAACAATACACTGTTTAGAGATTCATACAAGAGTGGTGATCTATAAACCTTAGTTGTTACAGGAAAGTAAAGATTTTTTTTAAAAGTAAAGGCGTTCAGATCACACCTGGTCTAGCCTATGTGCTCATGGCTCAAAGTAACACTAAAGACTCAGGTAACACTCTGGAAAACGTAATAGCACAAACACCACCTCTCTGGGGCCCTTCTAAAAGTGAGTAACATGAAGAAGTCAGAGGCCTTCTCCCCCTTATTGCACGGACCACACAGCTCTGCCATCTAGTTGTGACAGGAATTAGATTTTTGTGAGCAAGTAGGAATCATTTCTTGAAAACTCCCAAGTGTAGTTAAGTGGCAAGGATAGTGGAGAAAAATTATCAAGGATTGGGCTCTCAAATCAGATTAAGTCAAACCCAGACTCTAAAACCTACTATCACCTTAGACAATTTTCATAACTTAAGAGAAATTGTTTTCTTTATATGTAAAATAAGTGTTTTTATGGTCACAATTTTTTTGTTATTGCTCAATAAATGACATTCACCAGTTTGCTGAACAAATACTTACTGAGCATGCATTATGTGTTAGGCACTGAATTGGAATTTAGAATGCATCAGTTTAAAAAAATGTATATTTCTGTCTTTATGGACCTCGTATTCTAAAGGGGTTATAAATAAAAAATAAAAAAAATAAACAGAGTAAGTAAATATGCAATATGTTAGAAAGTAAGCCCTATGGAGTGGAGGAGAGCATGGCGAGAGAGATGAGGAGTTTCAGGGAGGTGCAGTTTGCAATTTTAAATAACTTGATTAAAATAGACTTTGTTGAGAAGAAAACAATTCAGCAGAGGCTTAAAGGATGAGGGATTACAAGCCATAATGCAAATAAATGCTTTTACTACACATGACTCATGACAAAGTAGGTGCTCAATTACAAAGTATTGATGAGGGGGAGGAAGAGGAGAATGAAGAGAATTTGCGAGTGTTCAAAGTCCCAAAATAGCAGATGAGTGGGGTAATGGGCTATAAAATTTCGGCTCATCTGAGGAGCATGATACTTTCTCATAATAGTAACTATCATTTATTAAGCATTTCCTATATGCTAAGCATACTGATAATTTCTAAAATATTCTGTCACATCTAATTCTTGCAAATAACCCTGTGAGGTCAAACTGAGGCAGAGAGAGATAAGTAATTTGCTCAAGGGACACGCACCTGCCAGTAAATTAAAGACAGCAAGAATTTTGAACACATGTGTCTGAGGCTGAAGCTCTTAGCCACTAATGTTGCTCTGCCTCTCAGATTTGTTCTCAGACCCAATGAGACTAGTGGAAGTGTGGGTCACATGGAGGGGACAGAGGAATGGAGTAACAGGGCCAGGACTATATAGTTCCTTTGTCTGTATTCAATCATGTTGCCTTGCTAAGCTAGCCTAACCTAAATATTATACGAATTAGACAGAAGGTCTTCTAGACAGTAAGCCTCCATGAATAGAAGATAAAAAGCCATTATACAATCACCTCCTAGGGTTTCTACAAATAATAGATTAGATCTTCTTCAAGCTAGACAGGCTTTCCCAAAGCATGTTCCTTAGCACCCCAGACTCAAGAGATGCTACACAATAAAATAAAAGTCGGTGATCCTAGAGGCGTGAGAGGCCTTACGTCTGCAGCACCCACGCAGTGCCTGGCATATAAGAGGACTGAATAATGCATATGTGTTGACTGACTCCCAAGGAAAACTGTGCAACTTTGTCTAACCCAGTGTCCCGCATACACAGCTCAATGCAAAAGCCTTCTGTCCCCTGACCTAGCCTACCATAGGGAAAGTGGCTCTGTGGTACTGAGGCATGCCACTGCACATGGGGAGGAAAGGGATAGTTCATCCAAGATCCACCTCAATCTAGAGAAAACGTTTAGTTTAAACTTAAGCGCAAATCAAAGTTCAGATAGAAAGCTCTCTTATGCATTAAAATGTTGGGGGTAAAATGTGAAGGCCTTGAAATACGAGAAAACAAAACTGAGAAATTTTACCCTGTGCCTTGGTTTCACAGGGTAATAGGCAGAAACTGAAACCAACAGACATTTCTGTTGACAAGTTCATCTTCTCAAGCCCTACAGCCCAGGAAGATTGTCATATTATTTAAAATAAGCAAGAGACTCCTCACCACAAAGCTAAAGGGCAAAGCAAATCTGTCACACTCCTCAAGGGACACACAGCTAGAAGGGCTCACCTAAATGCAGAAATGCTGAAAAGAAAGGGGGAGGGAAAGCAAGATGCCTCCTCCTCCACTTTCTCTGACTGAGGCTCTGAAGTCTGCTCCTTGCTGCATGAGTGACAAGGACTCGGTCGGCTCTAAAACACCAAAAAATGGGGGAAGTGACACTGGGTGACATTCTCCATGAGAGAGATGAGTAATAGTCTCAAAAAGTGCATGGTCTACTACCCCTACAGACTTTAGCATGACACCTCCCCCACCGAAACAGTGAGCCAGCAACAAATAGCAAATGTCACAGAAAACAAATCTCTTACAGTTGGGTCCCTCCCCAGCTGAGGTTTCAGAGGAGGGAGGCCAGCCAAGAATACAGAAGTGGTGAAAAGTCTGGCCATGTAAACCCCTTGGGTGCTTTTATACACAGGCGCTATAACTGAGCATCCCTAAGTGCCAAGGCCTACGTTAAGTTTCTTTTTAAAATACTCTATCTTATTTAAATAAATGTAGAGGGCAGTCACAATCAGCTTAGTTAATGATGCAAACACTGGAAACCAAAGGGGGTCAAAGAAGAGATGTACATTATACACACATATGAACACACACACACACACACACACACACACACACACACACACACACCCCTTCCGCCATTCCTGGTCTATTATTTTATAAATGAAGAACTTCAGAGCAAGTAGTGCATTCAAGCAAGCCTGCCTTGTCTGAGTACCAGTAGAAAAGGGATGTTTATGTGCTGATGACAGATGAATGATTAGGGCTCTTCTAGCTTGATTTTCAGGTCCCGAGATGGTGCCACTTCCTTATTTCCCCTTCTGCTGCTGCTCCGAGTCACTGCAGAGCTCTGGTCACGTGCACACTAAGTGAGGACACCTCAGCCAAACATTGGGCCCTAGGGACAGCAAAGTTGTAGCTACTGACTATTATAAAAGGCTATATTTCTTAATGATTAAGTAGAAGAATAAAAGAGATTAATAAGGGGGAGAAAAAGACTATTACTTCTATCTAATAGTTACTCAGTAAATGGTATTGAAAATTCATAGCACATTGATACAATACTGACTCTGGAGGGAAAATACAAAGCAGGCTTCCAAAGTATCCAAAATAAGGTAATTTTCATTTTCATTTCATATCTAGCAGAATCTGATATTTGCCAGGTCAGGGGTCTTTTCACTCAGGCCTTATTATGATATGGGATTAATAATGCTATCCCTGGGATAATCCTTCCACTTTCACCACCATCAAAAACACCACAATCCTCTGCTTGTCCCCAAACTGTCTGACTACACCAGCAAATAGACATGGCTAGAGGAAAACAAAACATTCTATTTTCATGTTGTTCAGGTGCCTGGAGTACATATCTGGCACATAGTAAATTAAATATCTGTTAACAAGTATTTGTTGTTAAGTTGTTCATTTGTTTTATAAAGACAGGTTCTTGTGAGCAAGAACTGTCACCCATACTGGAATGCAGTGATGCGATCACAGCTCATTGTAACCTTGAACTCCTTTGCTCAAATGATCCTTTTGCCTCAGCATCCTGGATAGCTAGGACTATAGGTGAGCACCACCATGCCCAGCTAATGCTTTTTATCTTTTGCAGAATCAAAGGTCCTTGTATGTTAGGCTGGTCTCAAACTCCTGGCCTCAAGCGATCCTCCTACCTTGGCGTTCTAAAGGGATTACTGGTATAAGCTACTGCACCTGGCCTATTTGTTGTTAAATGAAAACATAGTCTTCCTTAGGAGGTAAGATGAGTGACAAATTACTTGAAAACTTGGTCAGGTGTTTCATATTTATGTAAATTGGTGAGATTAAAGGATGGGACCCATGAATGAGCTTCGGGAGGGGGGTGTCCAAAGTTTTTTGTCTTGTTATTTTCTGTGTGTTTTTAATGAACTCCTCATGTGCTATGAATCAGAAATCTATAGGTTGTATATGTTTTTCTTACAGGATATTCTCTCCCACAAGTACCTTGATGTGCATGAGTGTTAGAATACTACTACATTGTAGAATGAGGTGGGAAGAAAGTGAGATCCTTTGATAAAACAGAAATCTTAAAGAACTGTAATAAGAATTGACATCAGGTACTCAGTCTCTCTCCCTCGATAGTTCTTTACCTCACTTTATAACCTAACAAGTGTGTGCTTTTAGCTTCATTAAACACAGTCCAAGAGTCAAAGGCAAAGCCTCATCACTTTGCCTTTCTTGTCATCCTAACCCAGTAACTCTTTTTTTCTCTCAAGCTGCACCCATTTCCATCATTTGACCTTCTATAATTCCCTCAACCATTCCTTCAAAGCTCAGTACTAATACCCTTTTCTCCCTTATTCCCACTTTTTTCAAAGTTCCCATCTTTTTCTCCTACCCTGAAAATTCCCCACCCCGTTTGTTCATCCCTCTTTATTTCATGCACTTATTCTTACTCACCCGATTTGACCTTTGTATTTGCTTTTCTTGTGGGGTTACCCATATTTTTTACTTTCTCTTTTCCATTTTTGTCACACCTCCTGCCAAAAAACAAACAAACAAACAAACAAACAAACAAAAAACCTTTTCTCCTAGAATCCCACTTCCTTGCTCTTCTCTCTAGGTTATTCTTACCTTTCTGCTCCTCTTGAATTATATAAAGCTTGACTTCTACATTCTTACTTAGAAAGAAAATGTAATGATTCTTAAATGTCTATTACTTGTGTCCTTGGATTTTACCCCAGAACTTTTTCAGCTTCATCTAGAGTTTTTATAGATCAATATTGGCATATAACAGGACCTCCTTGTTTCAAGCTTCTTCCCCTCACATATTCACTATAGTAAAGGAAACCACATAAGCTTTAGCAAATTGGAAGGGACAAAGCTGACAAAACCATAGAACACTCAACTTGCTCTTCTTCTTCTTATTTCCTCCTTCTGTATAACTTCTCTCTGGCAAATTGTGTCGTATTATATCAACTTGCATATGATTGATTCTCATATTATTTTTGATTATAAATAGTCACATATTAGTGACTATTATAAAAGGCGATATTTCTTAATGATTAAGTAGAAGAAAAAAGAGATTAATAAGGGGGAGAAAAAACTATTACTTCTATCTAATAGTTAGTAAATGGTATTGAAAATTCTTAGGACATATATATTCTTTATGTCCTTTTGTTTCTCTCTCCTCTCCTTCTAGGACTCCCATGGTACATATATTGGTATGTGAAAAAATAATGGCAGAAAATGTCCCAAACTGATGAAAATCTTAATCTACACATCAAAAAAGCTCAACAACTCCAAGTAGAATAAGCTGAAAGAGGTACACACCTACACATGTATTAGTCAAACTGTCAAAGATAAAAATGAATCCCAAAAGCAGCCAGCAAAAATGATTCATCACATACAAGGGATCTGCAATGAAATGAACAGCTGACATATGATCTGAAACTAAGAAGGCCAAAAAAGTTGGATGACATATTTAAAGTGCTAAAAGAAAAAGAATCTCACACAAAAATTCTATATTGAGCAAAATTTTCTTTCAGAAGTGAAGGGGAGTTTAAGACATTCTCAGATAAACAAAAACTGAGAAAATTTACTGCTAGCAGATCTCCCTCACAAGAAATAGTATAGGGAATTCTTCAGGCAAAATTAAACAACACTAGAGAGTAACTTGAATCCACACAAAGAAATAAAGAGCATAAGTAAAGTTAAGTACATGGTGAAATTGAGTTTGATATTGTCCAGTCTGAGGAACAAAAAGAAAAAAAAGCGTGAAGAAAAATAAACAGTTTAAGAGTCCTAGGGATCTGGTGAGAGGTAATTGAATCATGGGGTAGTTCTTCCATGCTATTGTCATGACAGTGATTAAGTTCTCATGAGATCTGATGGTTTTATAAGGGCTTCTCCCTTCACTCAGCTTTCATACTTCTCCATGCTGCCGCCATGTGAAGAAGGATGTGTTTGCTTTCCCTTCCACCATGATTGTAAGTTCCCTGAGGCCTCCCCAGCCATGTTGAACTGTGAGTCAATTAAACCTCTTTCCTTTACAAATTTCCCAGTCTCAGGTATGTCTTAACTAGCAGTGTTAGAACAGACTAATACAGTAAATTGGTACCACAGAGAGTGGGGTGCTGCTGTAAAGAAACCCAAAAATGTGGAAGTGACTTTGGATCTGGGCAGAGGTTGAAACAGTTTGGAGGCTCAGAAGCAGAAAGAAAAATGTGAAAATGTTTGGAGCTCCCTAGACTTGTTGAATGGCTTTGACCAAAATACTGATAGTGATATGGACAATAAAATGCAGGCTGAAGTGCTCTCAGATGGAGATGAGGAACTTTTTAGGAATGGGAATAAAGGTCACTCTTGCTAGGCAAAGAGACCGGCAGCATCTTTTGGTTCTGCCCTAGAGATCTGTGAAACGTTGAACTTGAGAGAGATGACTTAGAGTATCTGGTGAAAGAAATTCCTAAGTGGCAAAGCATTTAAGAGGATGCAGAGCATAAAAATTTGGAAAATTTGCAGCCTGATGATGTGATAGAAAAGAAAACCTCATTTTCTGGGGAGAAATTCAAGCCAGTAGTGGAAATTTGCATAATCACCAAGACAATGGGGAAAATGTCTCCAGAGCATATAAGAGACACAGCAGCCCCTCCCATCACAGGCCCGGAGGCCTAGGAGGGAAAAATGGTTTCATGGGCTGGGCCCCGGGCCCCCTTGCTCAATGCAGCCTCAGGACATGGTGCCCTGCACCCCAGCTGCTTCAGCTCTAGCTGTGGCTAAAAGGGGACAATGTACAGCTCAGGCCATTGTTTCAGAGGGCTCAAGCCCCAAGCCTTGGCACCTTATACATAGTGTTGGGCCTGTGGGTGCATAGAAGTCAAGAATTGAGGTTTGGGAACCTCTGCCTAGATTTCAGAGGATGTATGGAAATACTTGAATGTTTAGGCAGAAGTTTGCTGCAGAAGCAGAGCCCTCATGGAGAACTTTTGCTAGGGTAATGCAGAAGGGAAATGTAGGGTTAGAGCCCCCACAGAGACCCCACGGTGACACTGCCTGATGGAGCTGTGAGAAGAAGGCCACCATCCTCCAGACCACAGAATGGTAGATCCACTAACAGCTCACACCATGCACCTGGAAAAGCCACAGAAACTCAATGCCAGCCCAGGAAAGCAGCCTGGAAATGGGCTGTACCCTGAAAAGCCACAGGGGCAAAGCTGCCCAAGGCTGTGGGAGCCCACCTTGCATAAGTGTCCCCTGGATGTGAGACATAGAGTCAAAGGAGATCATTTTGGAACTTTAAGGTTTAATGACTGCCCTTTTGGATTTTGGATTTGCACAGGGGCTGTAGCCCCTTTGTTTTGGCCAATTTTTTTGAATGTGTGTATTTATGCAATGCCCTGTACCCCAATGTGTGTATTTACCCAATGCCTGTACCAAAACCAAGTAACTAACTTGCATTTGATTTTACAGGCTCCTAGATGGAAGGGATTTGCCTTGTCTCAGATGAGACTTTGGACTTGACCTTTTGAGTTAATGCTGGAATGAGTTAAGGCTTTGAGGGACTGTTGGAAAGATATGACGGTGTTTTGAAATGTGAGGACATGAGATCTGGGAGGGACCAGGAATGGAATAATATGGTTTGGATGTGTACTCACCCAAATCTCATCTTGAATTATAGTTCCCATAATCTCTGTATGTCATGGGAGGGCCCCAGTGGGAGGTAATCAAATCATGGGGTCAATTTCCCCCATACTATTCTCGTGATAGTGAGTAAGTTCTCATGAGATCTGATGGCTTTATAAGGGGCTCCCCCTTCACTCGGTTCTCATACTTCCCTTTGCTGCTGCCAGGTGAAGAAGGACATGTTTACTTTCCCTTCTGCCATAATTGTAAGTTTCCTGAGGCCTCCCCAGACATGCTGAACTGTGAGTCATTTAAACCTCTTTCCTTCTTTCCTTTATAAATTATCTAGTCTCAGGTATGTCTTTATCAGCAGCATTAGATTTAACTAATACAGACATCTTTAGAACACTGCTGCCTTCCACTTCTCCACCATATCAAGAGCAGAATACATGTTTTTCTCAAGAGCACATGCAGCATTCTCCAGTATTGACCATAAGATAGGCTATAAAACAAATCAATACGATTAAAAGGTTGAAATTATATGAAATACATTTTGTGACTACAGAAAAAAAGCTGTTTTTCTGTACTCACAGAACTTTTGACAACAAATGTGTGGATTTTCCACAGCAAATAATTATCCAATGCTCAGTGGGTACCAACTGGGTATCATATAATTCAATTCAATTCTGACTCTGTCTACTTGGAGTTAGCACCAGATCTCACAAGTTAAGGGGCTCAACCACACACATACTTCAGTCAACAATTACATGTCCAGGCCTCCTGTACCTCTGGCTTACCAGCTATAAATCAGTTTCCCACAACCCCCTCCTCAGGGTTGATCATTTGCTTTGTGAAAGTTATCAGAATCAAAATGGAATCACTTGTGTTTAAAAAAAAAACTGAAAAATAGAGCTGGGAAAGGGCATGAAGAGGGAGTTCTCATACTTGTATGCCTGATAACAAAACTATCACAAAAGAGAGCAAAAACCACAACCTTACACAGAGGCCATTGCAGCCTTACACAAAAATACTTATACGAGGATATCTGCCCAGAAACCACTTGGCATCACCCTTTTTATTGATCCTTGTAGCCAAGGATAATCATTTCAAAAAAAATTATATAATCCTCTTCAGTCTTCTTGTTAAAACGTTTGTCTTCCTTTGCCTCCCTGAGTATGCACAGTTTACTATGGCACACATATTCCCATTGCAATGCCCTATTCCTGAATAAATATCTTTTTCTTTTAGAGAGGCTCTGTATATTATTTAGGTTGACTTAAGTGATGTCAGAAATGGGACCTGAAGAAAGATCACTATCACAAGAAATGGTTGATTCTTGGAACCAATATGCAGTACTCAAAAGAGCTCTTTGAGCTCACCACTTCCATATCTTGCCTTTTCTGCCCTGGTGAGTCTTCTCTTAGGCCAAGCCTTCCTATTTTTGGTAGAGGCTTTGGATATTATTTGAAATGTAGTTTGATTGTAAGGACCTCTTAATAAAGAACCTTACATGCCTTCTGCAATGATTAAAAAAAAAAACTTTTTGCCTTCTCTAGTAAATCCTTCCTGGTATAAAGACAGAGTACTCTGGTTTCTGCTTTTTATCTGTGAGGCATATCTTTTCTGGTGAATTCACTTTTGGCCTGTATGCCTAATTCAATATTTTGTTTTATCTGCATGCCTGAGTTAAAATTTTTGTGAACACCTTTATCTTGGTTTGATTTAATTTGGTCTGTAAATGATTTGGCTCTTTTCCCTTGCTTATTTGCAAAAATCTCCCAAGAGCAAAATAAGCATTCTAAGTGATGCATGCAAGATGGCTAATTAAAAGCAACTATGGCAGTCATTATCATCTAAACTCCTGACATTCCCTGACAGAATTTATAGGATTTTCTTTGCTCTTAAGAAATTAATAAGACATAGAATGGGTTTCTCAAACATTGAGGCATGCCAGGTTTTCTGGGAATGCAGCTAGCTACATATTATAGTCTCTTCCCATGAATATTTTTAAACTGATGGGCAAATTATGTCAAGGAAAGTGTAGAATGCAGGTGGTCATTATTCAAAATCTCTTTAAAAATATCTGTAACTGTAGAGTTAACATGCAGAGCCTACTGAGTTCTCTATCTCCCTTTTTTTCTGCCAACTTTGAATCTGCTGACTTTTCTACTGGTGTTGAGATAAAACTTACCGTCTATTGCATTCTAGTCAAGATTTTTTTTTAGGGTCCTTAAAGGGCTTTCAAATTAATGACTTCACAAATTGCAACAGCTTCATGGTAACCAACAACCTAGGTGCCATTTGGAAAGGTAAATTTAGGTTTTCTTGATCGACAATCACTTAGGGGATGAAATAGCTAATTCATCTAAAAGGAAAGAACTAGATAAATATGTTTATAAAGGTGAGGCTTTCAGATCAAACAGGTCACAATCCTGAACTCAGAGCAATAATATAAGGCATCTTTGTCCCGCACAAAATGTTTATTGTGTCTGCCATACAGGGGCCAAAAAGAAAATTTAAAAACTGCTAAAATGCTCCCCTACCCACAATTGACTGACTAGTCAAACAAACCAGTCCAGGAAACAAAACAGATCCAAGGCCACTTGGAGATTTTTTTTCTTATACAATTCAGCCAGTCCTAGCTAAAATGTAGACATTGAAAATTTAACTCTAAACTCATTTGAAAATGTAAAAAGAGGAACATGTGGTAAAAGAGGTTTTGTAAAAATCAAACTGCTTCAGAATTGCTTTACCCAAAATTTTTGTCCACAGCCTTCACCAGATTAACTATTGGGGCAAATAAAGTCTAGCCATGTGAACAGGTTCCAATTTTGTCAGAAATACAATTTGATCCCAATAGTTTTTTTTAGTAGACAAGGAAATTTGTATTACTATCTCATGACTAACATTCTGAGATGAAATCTATAAGATCTTTGTGTGTGTGTGTATATATGTGATTTGATGTGTTTAATGCATATGTACATATATTGTGTTGTATGTTGTGGCTACATGATAAAATCTGGCAGTCAGCCAGAAATCCCTTAAAGAATTCTATTAAGATTGGCTTACAAACCAGGATCAGATTGATTCACAGCCAAATTCTACCAGATATACTAAAAAGCTGGTACCATTCCTACTGAAACTATTTCAAAATATTGATAGGAGGGACTCCTCTCTAACTCATTCTCTGAGGCCAGTATCATTCTGATATCAAAACCTAGCAGAGACATAACAAAAAAAGAAAACTTCAGGCCAATATCCTTGATGAACATTGATGCAAAAATCTTCAACCAAACACTAGCAAACTGAATTCAACAGCACATAAAACAGGTAATCCATCATGATCAAGTAGGCTTTATCCCTGGGATACAAGGTTGATTCAGCATACACAAATTAATAAATATAATTCATCACATAAACAAAACTAAACACACTAATCACATAATTATCTCAATGGATGCAGAAAAGGCTTTCAATAAAATACAGTATACTTGCAGATTAAAAACCATGAATAAACTAGATAGTGAAGGAATATACCTCAAAATAATAAGAGACATATATGACAAACCCATAGCCAACATTATACAGAATCTGCAAAAGCTGGAAGCATTCCCCCTGAAAACCAGCACAAACAAGGGTGCCCTCTATCACCGCTCTTATTCAACATAGTATTGGAAGTCCTTGCCAGAACAATCAGACAAGAGAAAGAAATAAAGGCTATTCAAATAAGAAAAGGGGAAGTCAGACTATCCCTGTTTTCAGATGACATATTGCTATATCTAGAAAACCTCAGAGTCTCTGCCCAAAAGCCACTTGAGCTGATAAACAATGTCAGCAAGGTTACAGGATACAAAATCAATAGCAAATCAGTAGCATTTCTGTATATCAACAACATCCAAGCTGAGAGCCAAATCAGAAATATGATCCCATTCACAATTGTCACAAAGAGAATAAAATACTTAAGAAAACAGCTAGCCAGGGAGGTGAAAGATCTCTACAGCGAAAATTACAAACACTTCAAAGAAATCAGAGATGACACAAACAAATGGAAAAACATCCCATGCTCATGGATAGGAAGAATTAATATTGTTAAATGTCCATACTGCCCAAAGCAATTTACAGATTCAGTGCTATTCCCGTCAAACTACCAATGACATTCTTCATAGAACTAGAAAAATTATTGTAAAATTTGAATGGAACAAAAAAAGACCTTGAATAGCCAAATCAATCCTAAACAAAAAGAACAAAGCTAGAGACATCATGTTACCCAACTTCAAACTATACTACACACAGTAACCAAAACAACATAATTTAGGTACAAAAACAGACACATAGAAAAATGGACTAGAATAGAGAACCAAGAAATAAGGCTACAAACTTATAACCATCTGATCTTTGACAAAACTGACAAAAACAAACAATGAGGAAAGGACTTCCTTTTCAATAAATGGTGCTGGGATTAACTTGCTAGCCATATGCAAAAAATTGAAACTGGACCACTTCTTTACACCATATACATAAATCAACTCAAGATGGATTAAAGACTTAAATGGCAAACTCAAAACTATAAAAACTCTGGAAGATAACCTTGGAAATACCATTCTGGACATAAGAATGGGCAAAGATTTCATGACAAAGATGCCAAAAGTGATTGTAACAAAAGCAAAAATTGACAAACAGGACCTAATTAAACCAAAGAGCTTCTGCACAGCAAAAGGAACTATCAACAGAGTAAATGGACACCTCCAGAATGGAAGAAAATATTTGGAAACTATGCATCTGACAAAGGTCTGATATACAGCATCTATAAGGAACTTAAACTTACAAGCAAAAAAAAAAACAAAAAATCTTATTAAAAAGTTGGCAAAGGACATGAACAGACATTTTCTAAAGAAGACACATGCAATGCAACCAACAAGCATATGAAAAAAATGTTCAATATCGTTAGAGAAATGCAAATCAAAACCACAGTGGGATATCATCTCATACCAGTCAAAATGGCTACTATTAAAAAGTCAAAGAATAGCAGATGTTGGTGAGGTTGCAGCAAAATGGGAATGCTCATACACTACTGGTGGGTGTGTAAATTAGTTCAATCATTGTGAAAAGTGGTGTGGTGATTCCTCAAAGAGGAAATACCAAACAGAAATACAATTTGACCCAGCAATCCCATTACTGGGTATATACAAAAAGGAATATAAACTGTTCTACGATAAAAACACATGTGTGCGTATGTTCACTGCAGCGCTATGAACAATAGCAGACATGGAATCAACTTAAATGCCCATCAACATCAGGCTGGATAAAGAAAATATGGTACATATACACCATGGAATACTGTGCAGCCATTAAAAAGAATGAGATCATATCCTTTGCAGAAACACGGATGAAGCTGGAGGCCATTATCCTTAGCAAACTAACACAGGAACAGAAAAGCAAATACCCCATGTTCTCACTTATAAGTGGAGCTAAATAATGAGAATCAAAAAGCACAAAGAGAAGAACAGCCACTGGGGCCTACTTGAGGAAGGAGGTTAGAAGGAGGGAGAGAATCAAAAAATGTAACTATCAGGTGCTATGCTTAGTATCTCAGTGAGGAAATAATCTGCACAACATGCTCCCATGACAGAAGTTTACCTATATAACAAACCTGCATATGTACCCTTGAACCTAAAAAAAAAGTTAAAAAAAAGACAACGGAAGAAAAAACTACTTTAAAGTTCATATGGAACCAAAAAAGAGCCCGCATTGCCAAGTCAATCCTAAGCCAAAAGAACAAAGCTGGAGGCATCACACTACCTGACTTCAAACTATACTACAAGGCTACAGTAACCAAAACAGCATGGTGCTGGTACCAAAACAGAGATATAGATCAATGGAACAGAACAGAGCCCTCAGAAATAATGCCGCATATCTACAACTATCTGATCTTTGACAAACCTGAGAAAAGCAAGCAATGGGGAAAGGATTCCCTATTTAATAAATGGTTCTGGGAAAACTGGCTAGCCATACGTAGAAAGCTGAAACTGGATCCCTTCCTTACACCTTATACAAAAATCAATTCAAGATGGATTAAAGACTTACATGTTAGACCTAAAACCATAAAAACCCTAGAAGAAAACCTAGGCATTACCATTCAGGACATAGGCCTGGGCAAGGACTTCATGTCTAAAACATCAAAAGCAATGGCAACAAAAGCCAAAATTGACAAATGGGATCTAATTAAACTAAAGAGCTCCTGCACAGCAAAAGAAACTACCATCAGAGTGAACAGGCAACCTACAGAATGGGAGAAAATTTTCGCAACCTACTCATCTGACAAAGGGCTAATATCCAGACTCTACAATGAACTCAAATAAATTTACAAGAAAAAAACAAACAACCCCATCATAAAGTGGGCAAAGGACATGAACAGACACTTCTCAAAAGAAGACATTTATGCAGCCAAAAAACACATGAAAAAATGCTCATCATCACTGGCCATCAGAGAAATGCAAATCAAAACCACAATGAGATACCATCTCACACCAGTTAGAATGGCAATCATTAAAAAGTCAGGAAACAACAGGTGCTGGAGAGGATGTGGAGAAATAGGAACACTTTTACACTGTTGGTGGGACTGTAAACTAGTTCAACCATTGTGGAAGTCAGTGTGGCGATTCCTCAGGGATCTAGAACTAGAAATACCATTTGACCCAGCCATCCCATTACTGGGTATATACCCAAAGGACTATAAATCATGCTGCTATAAAGACACCTGGACACGTATGTTTATTGAGGCATTATTCACAATAGCAAAGACTTGGAACCAACCCAAATGTCCAACCACTATAGACTGGATTAAGAAAATGTGGCACATATACACCATGGAATACTATGCAGCCATAAAAAATGATGATTTCATGTCCTTTGTAGGGACATGGATGAAATTGGAAATCATCATTGTCAGTAAACTATCACAAGAACAAAAAACCAAACACCGCATATTCTCACTCATAGGTGGGAATGGAACAGTGAGATCACATGGACACAGGAAGAGGAACATCACACTCTGGGAACTGTTGTGGGGTGGGGGGAGAGGGGAGGGATAACATTGGGAGATATACTTAATGCTAGATGACGAGTTAGTGGGTGCAGTGCACCAGCATGGCACATGTATACATATGTAAGTAACCTGCAGAATGTGTACATGTACCCTAAAACTTAAAGTTTAATTAAAAAAAAAAAGTCTAACAGTTCAAAAAAAAAAAAGTAAAAAAGGATTGGTTTACATAAATGAACACTCATATAAAATGTACACTAATTCAACCAAATGCCTTCAATTTCACACAACTTTAGTAAATTCTTAATAAATAAGCTGGTTTAAAAATTATTAGTAAAATAAAAATAGAGATATCTTTAAATTGTCAGCATATATTTTTGCCTGGGTTTACTGATCAAACATTCTTATATATGTCTCTCCTAGATGTCTTAAGATATCAATGTTTGTCACAAAGTTTATAAAACTATAAAACCAACCTAAAATAGAATGACTCTATTTGTGCAACTCTTTAATAAGTAAGACTAAGTTAATATTATTGGTTTAATAAAAATACCTCTATCTTCTGAGTTAAATTTGAGGCTCTTACTTAGGTGAACACCTGATACTCATAAGCTATAAAAATTGTTGACACAGAAATAATTTGAAAAGATTCTAGCTTTGTCTAATATTTCAGTTTGTATACTCAATTGATGAATTGCCTAAAATAAATAAATTAGGTAAATGTAAATGGGATAAACATTTATAAATAAACTTTTTACATAATATGAAATCTCAAAGTTATGTTAAATTAAATAATAGATGCTGATTAATTGTCTGGGTCATTGTCACATAGGATTTTTAAAACCAGAAACACATTACTGGACATAAATATAAGTTTATTCTTGGCTTCTTAAATTTTATGGGAAGACTAAATATATTAGGATTTATTAATATACATAAAAATTATGTTATGGAAAACCATGTGCTTAAAAACTATAAAATGATTCTTATCTATTAAATAATGACATGTGAGAGACATTTAAACATTTCTTGCTTCCTTGATTTCTACTAAAGTTAAAGATACTAAGAGTTGAAATTCTAATTAATGTATGTAATTCTATACACAAATTGTACCAAAAAGTAAGATGTGTTTTTCATTTTAAAAATAACTTTTTTTTTTTTTGAGACAGAGTCTCACACTGTCACCAGGCTGGAGTGCAATAGTGTGATCTTGGCTCGCTGCAACGTCTGCCTCCTAGGTTCAAGCAATTCTCCTGCCTGAGCCTCCCGAGTAGCTGGGACTACAGGTGCATGCCAACATGCACAGCTAATTTTGTATTTTTAGTAGATATAAGGCTTCACCACATTGACCAAGCTGGTCTCAAACTCCTGACCTCAGCTAATCTGCCTGCTTCAACCTCCCAAAGTGCTGGGATTACAGATGTGAGCCACCGTGCCCAGCTGGTCTTGATTATAAATTATAAAATCTGTTTCTTTAACAGCTACCCTCTAAACTGCAGACAGTTTCTATTTTTGACACATTTTTTTCTGAAATCTATTTAATTTTTCCAGTTCAGGTTTAACTAAGAAATGATAGTTTCATGGAATGGTAATTTCATTTCTCAAGGTAGTTTTCCCCTTGAAATTTCTCAAATTCATATTTCAGAGGCTCACCTCTTGCTGTATCTTGCTGCATGTATTTTGCAGTTATGCATAATTGCCTTCAGCTCTCCTTCCTCCCCTTAAAAAGTCGTATATTTTGGCCAGGCATGGTGGCTCACACCTGTAATCCCAGCACTTTGGGAGGCCAAGGCGGGTGGATCACCTGAGGTCAGGAGTTCAAGAACAGCCTGGCCAACATGGTGAAATTCCGTATCTACTAAATACAAACAATTAGCCGGGCATGGTGGTGCATGCCTGTAATCCCAGCTACTCGGGAGGTGGAGGCAGGAGAATTCCATGAACCGGGGAGGCAGAGGTTGCAGTGAGCTAAGATCAGGCCACTGCACTCCAGCCTAAGTGACAGAGCCAGACTCCATCTCAAAAAGAAAAAAAAGGTGTATATTTTTGTTTGGCTTGGATAATAACTCTCCTTCAACCTTTATGCCAGTTCCTGTGACTTTTTTCTCCTCTTCTAACTCTGCTATTCTAACCTGATGCTGAAATGTTTATCTTGAAGTCCTAGAAAAGCAATGCTTTCCTCCAGTATAACTTGATTCTGTACTCTTGACTTTTCTTGCTATGTTGGAATTGTCCAACGTAATTGTGTACAGAATTGGTCCCTTCCAGTGGGTTCTTGGTCTCGCTAACTTCAAGAGTGAAGCTGTGGACCCTCGCAGTGAGTGTTACAGTTCTTAAAGATGGTGTGTCTGGAGTTTGTTCCTTCAGATGTTCAGATGTGTCTGGAGTTTCCTCCTTTCAGTGGGTTCGTGGTCTCACTTGACTTCAGGAGTGAAGCTGCAGACCTTCACAGTGAGTGTTATAGCTCTTAAAGGTGGTGGTCCAGAGTTGTTTGTTCCTCCCGGTGGGTTTGTGGTCTTGCTGACTTTAGGAGTGAAGCTGCAGACCTTCACAGTGAGTGTTACAGCTCATAAAGGTAGTGCAGACCCAAAGAGTGAGCAGCAGCAAGATTTATTGTGAAGAGTGAAAGAACAATGCTTCCACAGTGTGGAAGGGGACCTGAGCAGGTTGCTGCTGCTGGCTTGAGAGGCCAGCTTTTACTCCCTTATTTGGCCCTGCCCACATCCTGCTGATTGGTCCATTTTACAGAGTGCTGATTGGCCCATTTTTACAGAGTGCTGATTGGTGCATTTACAAACCTTTAGCTAGACACAGAGCACTGATTGGTGCATTTTTACAGAGTGCTAATTGGTGCGTTTACAAACCTTTAGATAGACACAGAGTGCTGATTGGTGCATTTTTTACAGAGTGCTGATGGGTGCATTTACAATCCTTTAGCTAGACAGAAAAGTTTTCCAAGTCCCCACCCGACCCAGAAGCCCAGCTGGCTTCACCTCTCAATCCCCCCTCTAAACAGGACACCCCAACTGCTGTTGGGAATTGGGCGATGACTACTGTAGCTACTTCCTGCTGGATAGGGGCGAAGAAGGGGCCCTACAATTGTAGTGTCCTCCAGAGGGGAACTCTTTAGGCCAGTGAAAGGGCCAGCAGGTCAGTCCAGGGGTCCTTGGTAGAAGTTGTTAGTTGAGCTCATTTGGGGTTCCATTTGTAAGACCATCTGTAGCTTGATGGCCTTGATCCTAGAGGAAACAAATTTGACAAGGAAGTTAAAAATACAGGTCCTGAAGGTGAGTAATAGTAAGATGGCTGTCACGGGACCTAGGAAGGGAAGAAGCCATGTTGCCCAACTCCAGAGGTTGGTATAAGAGTTTGAAAGGCGTTGTCTGATTTCAGAAGTCTTTTCCTGTAAACACCGGGTGGCATCTCTTACTATCCATGACTGGTTAGTGTAAAAACAACACTCTCTTCCCCTAAGAAGGCACAGAGTCCTCCTTTCTCAGCAGTGAGGCGGTCTAAGCCTTGGTGGTTTTGGAGAGTCACTGCTGCCAAAGAGTCTATTTGGGATCATAGAGTAAGGATAGATTCCATTGTTTCTTGCAAACTGTCTGAGAAATCCTCTGAGAGTGTGTGGTAGTAAGATAATGAAGTAGATAAACAAGCTATTCCAGTTCCTGTAGCAGTGGCCATTCCTAAAACCATGTAAGTGGGGGTATTAGTTGTATGGCTCTGTGCTGATGGACTTGAGCTTTCAGGGGCACTGATAAGGTCTGATTTCCATAAGATTAGAAGTTAGGATAATACATGTTACACTGTTAACTCTTTTAGCAAACTTTACTTTTGTTGAAAACCTTGTAAGTTTGGGATTTCAATTATTTTTTGCTATTAATAAGACCTCATTCAGTCCATATTAACTTAGAATTGATATAGATGGCTCCTTCCTGATTCTGTAAGTACTTTAAAGTTTGGCTGAGTGCAAACAGCTTGCAGGTTTGAGCAGACCAATTATTAGGCAATTTTCCTAACTCTGATTCTACAAGAGTTTCCTTATCACTTACTGAATACCCATTGTGTCTTTTTTCCTTAATTGCCTGGGAGGAGCCATCTATCATCCTGTCCTGAAGGGAGTTCCTCCTAGATCTGGTTGGACCTTTGTATGGTAATTAATTAAGATTTAGATCCCCTGTTAGGAAACCTGCTGGGTTAAGGATTTTTGATAGGAAGGCTATGGGTTGTCAGTGGCCTCAGTGCTTTCAGGCTATGCCCTTGTTTACACTGACAACAAGGTGGTATTGGAGTGCTATAGGGATATGGAGAAGACCTTAAATTATCAATTATAGGTTTTAAATTTACCCTGGTTTTTAAAGGAATACAATACACTGTTTTTTCTTTACTACTTCCAACTCTCCTTCTTTCTCTTTGACTTCTTCTTTGTCTGTCTGTCTCTCTCTGACTCCCTCTTTGTCTCTTCCTCTCTTTTCTTCTTTGACTTTGTCTGTCTCTTCCTCTCTCTCTCTGACTCCTTTGTCTGTGTCTTTTCCTCTCTCTGTCTCCTTCTCTTTGTCTCTCTGTTTCTTCCTCTCTCTCTTTCTGTCTCTTTCTCTATTTCCTTTCTGCTGCTTCTGCCAGCTGCTTATGCTGCCGTTCTCCCCTCTCCTTCCCTTTTTGATGGCTTCATCTGTGTAAGACTGCCACCTCCTTTGGTTTTTGTACTGTGTGCAATAACTCCATGGTTTCCTTGTAATATTTAATGGGGGTTCCCCTAGAGGTTAGGAACTCCCTTTCTTTCCATATTGCAGCATGGGTATGTAGGATTAGATAAACATACTTACTATCTGTAGCAAAGTCTCCCAATTACAACTGAGGAGGTGGGAGAAATACCTGGTTACAGGCCATCCCAGGATTCCTCGGATGGTAACGGACCTTGAGGACAGTCGTCTGGGACAGGAGATTAACACTGAGAAGGCCGTGCCAGTGTCCAGGAGGAAGTCTCAATTTCCTGGCCTCAATGGTTAAATGTACCCGGGGCTCAGTGAGGGTGACGACATGAGCTGGCGCTTGCCCCAGGCACCCTCAGTCCTGTTGTTGGATCATCTGGTTGGGGGCTTCTGGGTCAGAGAACCATTGCACTCTGGGGCAGTGCGCCTTCCAGTGACTGCCTCAGCATAGCAGACATTGATGAGGGGATGGCTTGTTTCTTGTTGGACAATCTTTTTTAAAGTGTCCTTGTAAACCACACTGATAACAAGCCCTACCCAGTGACTGGCCTGCTCCATTTTCTGTCCTGTCTGAACCACCAAGGTTTGTTTGTCTGAGGACCATGCCTAAGGCTGCGGCCTTTCTCTGATCTTGCTTTTCCTTTTTGGCCTGTTCCTCTTGGCCCCTATTATAGAACACCGAGATTGCCAGGTTTAATAATGCCTCCAGAGTTTGTTCAGGGCCTAGGGCTCACATTTGGAGCTTTCTCCTGATATCTGCAGCTGATTGGGTAATAAACTTATCTTTTAGGATCAATTGACCCTCTAGTGAGTCAGGTGACAGAGGAGTATATTTTCTTAAGGCCTCCCATAGCCACTTGAGGAAGGCAGAAGGATTTTCTTCCTTTCCCTGAGTTATGGTAGACATTATTGAATAATTCATGCACTTTTCCCTAATTCTCCTTAGTCCTTCTAGAACACAGGTCAACAGATGTTTGTGACTCCAGTCCCCATGATCTGAGTTGAGGTCCCAGTGGGGATCCATACTGTGGACGGCTTGCTGACCAGTAGGGAATTTATCCCTTTCTTCAGCTGTCATTCTATCATTTACTTGACTAAGATACCAGGTATCTCCAAACTCTCAGGCTGCAGCTAAAGCCGCATTCTTTTCATTAAAGGCCAGGGTTTGATCTAATAACATGACATCTCTCCAAGTGAGGTCGAAGGTTTGCCCTAGACCCTGTAGGACATCTATATACCTATCAGGATCATCTGAAAGCTTCCCCAGGTCTGCCTTGATCTGCTTTAAATCAGAGAGGGAGAAGGGGACATGTACCCAGGTTGGGCCGAATTCCCCTCCCTCTACAGCTTCAAGGGGACATGACTGATAGCCTGGGGGTTTTTGTGGTCCTTTGGATATTTCTTTGCTTGTTTCTTTCTGGGCAGGGGAGATTAGAGGAGGCTTATCATTAATAGGAAGGGGAGCTATAGGGAGGCTGGGATATGGAGGTAGGCTGACAGGTCCTCCTGTGGGATGTAAATTGCAAGCTTTACATAGTTGTGGATTCTCCTTCAATGAAAAGAAAGCCTGGACATATGGTATTTCACTCCATTTCCCTTCCCTCTTACAGAAAAGTTCAAGCTACAGGATAGTATTGTAATTTTTACTTCCCTCAGGTGACCATTTTTCCCCATCAGAGAGAATATTGGGGCCAAACCATAGTCCAGAAAAAAATGAGCCACCTCTTTTTCAGGGTTTGCAGGTCAAATTGATCCCAATGGCTTAGGATGCATTTCAAGGCTGAGCCTGTTGATGCCTGAGTGTTTCCCACCTGAAAGAAAAAAACCGCCTGCGGTTTGGGTTTGTTTGTTTCTCCCGGTGCCCCAGAACCCACAACGGTCCCTGGACCCTGCTGATCAGAATAGTTGCGCTAACCGACGCAGCAACAGAAACACCTCTTGCCCAAGAACCCACAATGGTCCCTGGACTCTGCTGATTGGAATAGTTGAGCTCACCGACACAGCAGCAGAAACACCTCTTGCCCAAGAACCCACAACAGTCCCTAGACCCTGCTGATCAGAAGAGTTGCGCTCACTGATGCAGCAGCAGAAACACTAGTTTTCCTCCTAGACCACAGGGAGGACCAAGGAATGTCAGATTTAGTCGCCCTTACCAATGCATTCTCAAAAACCTGCACCCTTGCCTGTCCTCCTAGACCACAAAGAGGACCAAGAAAAATCGGATTTAGTGGCCCTTATTGATGCATTCTGGAAAACCTGTTAAAGTCCTAAGCATTCTCCTGTTAGTATTGGGACTTTACCCTTGTGCTATAAAGATGTTATGCCCCAAAAATGAAGTGGAGGGCCATACCCTGAGGGAGGGAAGGGATTTCCAGGGTTGGAAGAGTGATGCCTTTTGTCTTCACTTATACGAATAGGAAGGATATAATTTCTGAGGATCCTCATATTCTAGCTTCAGGAATAGCTTTTGTTATGCCTGCTAGTCTGAGGAGGGATCCTAAAATTCTACATAAGATAGTACCCCCCACCATGAGGCTTTGGGCAAAAATTATGTCTTTCTGATTGGTGAGCCCGGGTGCCTAAAGAAGGGAATAGAGTCCTGGAGTTTATACTAGAAATCATTCTTATAGGAGAAACTAGAAAAGCACCAGAGACAGGGAGTGGTTTTCAGAAGTGGGACTAGCCTCCGAGAAGAGAGGTGAGAGTAAGTTTGTCTGACAGGCATTAGGACCCAGGAGGCAAGGGTCAGGATAGATAAGATAGATGGGCGAGTCTTACTTGGGCAACATGACTTTGAGGGTTCTGCTCATGGCTGCAGAGTCAACCAACTTGTTGTTGGAATCCCGGAGCTGAATGGCTTTCCTCTCTGTCGACCCTCGGCTCCCACCCGACCCAGAAGCCCAGCCAGCTTCACCTCTCATAATCAGAAAACTTCTCATGCTATTATTAAGAGCCATGTATCGCCTACTCAACATGCTGGGTTTTGTTTGTTACTCTATAATATGATGTGCATTGATACTGAATACACTCTTCTTGTGTCTGATTAAATTTAAGTACACTTTTCATCAGGTTCAACTTCCAGGTTATGTAAATGGGCTTCCTGTAAAGATAAGCAATCATACTACCAGAAGCTTTTCTTGACCTTTTTAGTAATTGGCCTAAAAAAAAGAATTCATGTTTCATCAAGATAATTTATTGTGTTGTCGTTATTAAGTTTTTGATTACTTGGGAAAACTGAGCTTTGAAAGAATTAGAGTTTTTTCACCCATGTAACTTTTGGTATTATTTTCAAAATCTTCTAGCACTCTGGTTAAATTTTTGACTATTATTTTACAGTGGCCTGTGAACCTATTTTGATCAGGCATTTCAAACTTCTTGATATCTTTAATGTGCTTCCCCAGGATCAAAATTCTAAATTAATTTTTTTAATCTAGAATCACCTTTTGATTTTCCAGTTAGGCCCCAGAAAGCCTAAATATATATATATATCTTATCTTGTAGAGATATTAAATGATTAGGCTTATTTAGTAAATTGTATAAGAAATGTTTTCAAATGAGAAGTGATGCTAGATCGTCTTTCAGTTACGTTTATGTGTATGTTATTAATATGAGTGTTTTAAAAGTTATATAAATTCATTGAAATCTAATATGTTCTTAGTCATAATTTTGGTGTTATGTTAAATCTTTAAATTATATTCGTGTGTGTATATATGTATATATGTGTGTGTGTTATTAATATGAGTATTCTAAGAATTATACAAGATTGATGGCAGTCTGGTGGTCCTGATATAATGCTGTCAGTCATGCGTCTGGTTGTTATCTTAAAATGTTGTATATAATATAAATAAATTCCCTTATCAATTGTGAACTTTCATCAGATTTTTAACAATAACTATTGTAAGATTTTGTCATCCACAATGAATTCTTTTCTAAAATCATTTGTAATCAAATTCATGGAAAAGACTCTAATGAGTACTCTTGAACAGAGATTTCTAATAACTTTAAATTCAATTGACTAAATTAAAAAATTTAGAACTCTAATGAAGAAACTAATGGTTTCATGAAACTGATGTTCAAGAATAAGCAGAACAAAAATTATATGAGATTAAGTAACTGATGAAAACAATGTTTTTATGACTTTTATTTAAAATATTATTGATTCTTTACTTAAATGTTTTGTTTTCCAGATTTAAGAAAATTTTCTCAGGCTATATATAGTTTACAATAATTTAGTAAAGTATACTTTTAAAAACAAAGGTGGAAGCATTTGCTTTTTCTTTCTACTTGATTTTTCCAAAATTCAGAAACTGTTTGTGAGTATTCTTATTTTTATGACAATATGGTTATTTGAATAAGTTCAGCAAAATTTTTTTCTCTCTTTATAGCAGGATACAACTGGAAACATTGGTTATATTACCAAGGCTTTGACTGAAACATCATATTTAAAAATGTGGATAGAATGCCTAATTTCAAGAGTTTTCAGGCCAATATTTATGGTGAGTGAGTAAGTATTGTCCATTTTTGGCATGTTCATGACCCTTAAGACTGTAAGTAAAATCTAAAGTCTGCCTTGGTTTGGCTTCCTGGCCTCCAGAGGTTTTTAAATAAGATTCCTGTGTGATCAATATAGAGAGAAAAAGTTACATTTGTCAAAAAAGACAATAATGCACCTGTTATTAGATTGTAGTCGTGTGCATTGCTTTCAAGTTTTTCTTATCTACCTATAGAGTAGACTAGATCCTAAATTTTTCTAGATTTCTCCAATTTGGATTTATTCAGCTTTCTTCCATGGGATTATTAAAAATGAAAACTACTTTGTTCCTAAAGCCCTGTAGCTAAAACTAGATGAATTTTAAGGAACAAGCCTTGTTCCCAATGTATGGACCACACAAAAAGTTCACCAAACCACCCAATCCATAACAAGGAACATTCAAACTACAAATCAGAATTAGAAGTTGACAACAACACACTGTACTGGCTTTTCCCAAAATGTCAGAACAAGACTCCATATCCTAATGAAGCTCTCTTACACCTCTTAATGTCTACCCTTTTTCACTTGGCAGGATAATGGTGTAATTAAAATTTTACAATCAGTAGTTTCTACTAGTAACTTGATAGAATCTGACTTAAGAGATCTTTTAGTATCTATTGGTTAACTAAGGAAATGTCTGTGCTATTACTAATACTATATACTGTACCTGGATAAATTCCTCTGGGAAAGTTAAGACCCATATTCATAAAATAAGAAAATCAACCACATGGTAACAACAGGTCTCACCTAATTCCCTATGGTCATTTGATTTATTCAACTGGTTGCCTTTAGGCCTAGGTTAATGTCCCAAAATCATTATGCAAACTGGGATCGTCACATTACTATTAATTTCACTTTGTATTTTCCCTTTTAAAACCTTGTATATCTTAGTTATTGAAATTTTTTGCAGGGATACAACACCTTACAGCATAATGCTGGTCCAGCACTTTGAGGTGATAGCAAAAGACTATGACACAGACAAAATTGAACTTAATAATGAACTCCAGGTATACTTTGCCTGAGAGCCACACCCTTAAAACCCCTCTTGTGGCTCAAATGTGGCTAAAGGGTTTTAACACTGACTCCTAGTCATCAATCACTTCCCCAATGTGGGATGAGACCAGCAACCTGGGTCAGATCCATCCCAACACCAAGGGACAGCAAAACCTAACTACAGGATAATTAATCAGGGATACTTTTGAAAAAAGATATTTTAAAAATGGAGGAAATGTGAAAGTTATCAGAATCAAAATTGAGTCACTTGCATTTTAAAAAAAAGGGCCTGACAAATAAAGCTGGGAGGCCATGAAGAGAAGATTCCCACACTTGTATGCCTGATAACAAAACTATCACGAACAACTATGAAAAAAAAAACACAACTTTGCACAAAGGCCATTACAACCTTGTGCAAAAAATACTTTAGCAAAGACACTTGCCCAGCAACTGCCTGTCCAATCATGGTAATGCCGATTCAAGGTTGGACACGCAGTTGCTAGGCAGATGTCCTTGCAGAAGTATTTTTTCTGTAATATTGATCCTTGTAGCTAAGGATAATCATTTGAAAACAGTTACATAACCCTCCTCATTTTTCCTTCGAAAACTTTTGTCTTCTTTTACCTTCCTGAATACACACATAGTTTACTATGACATGCAAAATCTCACTGTAATGCCCTATTCCCAAATATCTTTTTGTTTTAAAGAGCCTCTCTTAGTTATCTAGGTTGGCAGCCAGAATGGCTCACAGAGCTAGGAAAATGATTTACTTACTAAGTTACCACTATATTATAAAAGAATATAGTTTAGGAACACCAAGGTGGAAGAGATATATATAACAAGGTATTTGGGAATAGGCACATGCCCTCTCCAGGCATGACACTCTCCCACCACCAACTCAGAAGCTGGCTAAACTATGTTCTCTTGTTTTTTCATGGAGGCTTTATTATGTACACATGATTAATTAAATCATGGGCCATTTCTCATTAAGTCAATCTCCACCCCTTCTCCCTTTCCTCAGAGGTTTGAGGATGAAGCTGAGAGTTCCAACCCTCTAACTGCATGACTGGTTCCCCAGAAAACCAGCTCCCATATTTCAAAAGTCACCTAATTAGCATAAATTTAGATATGGTTGAAAGGTGGTTATTTTGAATAACAAAAGACACTCCTCTCAATCCTAAAAATTCCAAGAATTTTAAGAGTTATGTGCCAGAAACCAGGGACAATGATCAAATATATATTCCTTATGATATGACCATATCACACTGACCACATAGAATGAAATTAGAAATCAATGACAGAAGGAAATCTGATAATATGAAAATATGTGGAAATTAAACAATGTTTTTCTAAATAATAAATAGTTAAAAATAATTAGAGGCTATATTAAGGTGGAATAAAGATGAAAGACAACATACAAAAATTTATGGGGTGAAGCTGAAGCAGTGCTCAAAAGGAAAACTATAGCTGTAAATCCCAGTATTAAAATAGAAGAAGGTCAGATTTGGTGGCATGCACCTGTAATCCCAGCACTTTGGGAGGCTGAGGCAGGAATATTACTTATACCCAGGAGTTTGAGGCTGCTCTGATTGTGCCACTTCACTCCAGTCTGTGCAATAAGTGAGACCCTGTCTCTCTAAAAAAAGAAGTAGGATAACATTAATAAATCTAGTGTTCCACCTTAAGAAACTAGAAAAAGAATAGCAAACTAAATGCAAAAACACAGAAGGAAAAGAATACTAAAGATTAGAGTGGAAATAAAATAGCAAAACAATAGAAAAGCTCCACAAAAACAAAATTAGATTCTATAAAAGGATTAACAAATTGATAATATTCAGTTGGGCTGACCAGGGGAAACCAGACAAGGCTCAGTTACTAAAATCATGAATGAAAGAGGACACCATTACCAATTTTATTGAAAAAAAGATAATAAGGAAATATTGGGAGCAATCATATGCCTACAAATTAGATAAATGAAATGGAAAAATTATTGGAAAGATACAAGCTACGGAAGCTGACTCAAGAAGGATTGGAATATCTGAATGGATTACAACAAATAAAGGGATTAAATTAGTCTCCCTCCTAAAAAAAAAAAAAAAAAAAGCTCAATGGCCTCACTGGTGAAATCTATAAATGTTTAAGGAAGAATTAATACCAGCTGTTTGCAAACTCTTCCAAAACATAGAAAAGAAGGGAACACTTCAATTTATTTTATGAGGCCAGTGTTACCCTAAGATCAAAGCCAGAAATAAGACATCACGACAAAGGAAAACTACAGACCAATAACTCTTAGTAATAAAGAATCAATAATATTTAACATAATACTAGTAACCTATTTCTAGAAACATATATAAAGGATTACACACCATGACAAAGTGGGATTTAGCCCAGAAATGCAAGGTCGGCTTAACACACAATAATCATTCAATGTAATACATCATATTAGTAGAATGAAAGACAGAAACCAGATGATTATTTCAACTGATACAGTAAAAAGCATTTGAAACATTCAAGAAACTATGAATGGAAGGGAACTTTATTGACCTAATAAAGACGTCTATGAAAAACCCACAGATAAGATCATAATTAATGGTGAAGCTGAATGCTTTACCCTTAAGATCAGGAATAAAACAAAGATATCTGTTTTCACCACTTCTATCCTACAGTGCACTAGAAATTCTGTCAAGGAAATTAGGAAAGAAAAATCAAAGACAGGAACTCAAGTTGGAAAGGAAGAAATAAAGCTATCTCTATTTGCAAACAATCTTAAATATAGAAAATTCTGAGAAATTCCGAAATGACTATTAGAATTTAAAAAGGAGTTCATCAAATTTTCAGGATACAATGCAAATATACAAAAATTAATTGCATTTTATACACTAGCAATAAACAACCTAAAAAATTAAGAAAACAAATTTTACTTAAATAGCATCAAAAACCATAAAATATTAGCAAAAGGAGTACAAGACATACATTGAAATGACAAAACACTGTTGAAAGACATTTTATTTTATTTATTTACTCATTTATTTATTTTTTGAGATAGAGTCTCGCTCTGTCACTCAACACCCAGGCTGGAGTGCAATGGCGCGATCTCGGCTCACTGCAACCTCCGCCTCCCGGGTTCAAGCAATTCTCCTGACTCAGCCACCTGAGTAGCTGGTATTACAGGTGCATGCCACCATGCCCAGCTAATTTTTGTATTTTTAGTAGACTTGGGGTTTTGCCATGTTAGCCAGGCAGATGTTGAACTCCTGACCTCAAGTGATCTGCCCACCTCAGCCTCCCAAAGTGCTGGGATTACAAGCATGAGCCACCATGCCCAGCCCAAAGGACATATTAAAATATATAAATTAATGGAAAGATATCCCACATTCATGGATCAGAAAACTTGATATTGTTAAAATGGGGATACTCCTCAAATTAATTTATGGATTCAATATAACGCCTAATAAAAACAGCTTTTTTCCCAGAAATTGACAAACTGACTTAAAAAAAAAAAACTCATGGAAATGAAAAAGTAGTAGAATAGCTAAAACAATCATCAAAAAGAACAAAATTGGGGGACTTACTTTACTATTTCAAAATCTTACTGCAAAGCTACAGTAATTAAGACAGTGTGATACAGGCATCAGGATAAGCATATAGATCAATGGAATAGAAATGAGAGTCTAGAAATAAACCTTTACATTTACAGTTAACTGATTTTTGACAAGTGTATCACGACAATTCAAAGCAAACTAAATGAGGACAGAATAGTTTGTTTCAACAAATGGTGCCCGGACAACTAGCTAACCACATGTAACAGAATTACATTGGACGCTTCCCTCACAAAGTTAATTCAAAAAGTATAATAGACCTAAATATAATGGTTAATACCCTAACATTATTAGGAGAAAACAAAGGATTGAACCCTCATGGCCTTAAATCTAGGCAATAGATTTCTAGATGTGACTCCAAAAGCATGAGCAAAAAAGACAAAAACAGATAAATTGGGCTTTATTGAAATTTAAAGCATATGTGCTTCAGGAAAACAATCAAGACATGAAAAGACAACAAAAAGTAAGATAAAATATTTGCAAGTTGTTATCTCATAAGGAACTTGTACCTTGAATATATAAAGAACTTTTACAACTCAATAATAAAAAGACAAGTAACCCAATCAAAGTTATATAAATACATATTTCTCCAAGAAACATATAAAAATGGCCAATAAGCACATGAAGGAATGCTCAACATTAGTCAATAAGAAATTGCAAATCAAAACCACAATGAATGCCATTTTATTCCCACTAGGATAACTAAAGCCAAAAAGACAAAAGCCAGCAAGTGTTGGTAAAGATTAGAGAAATTGGAACTCTTATACATTGCTGGTGGGATTATAAAATGGTTCATCCATTTTGGAAAATTGTTTAGCATTTCCTCAAAATATTAAACATAGAGTTATCATATGACCCAGCAACTCCACTCCTAGGTGTATTGCCATGAGAAATATAAACATATGTTACACAAACCTTTGTATAAAAATGAATATTTATGGCCTCATTATTTATTACAGCCCCAAAGTAGAAACAACCAAATGTCCATTACCTGATGAATGCAAAAAATGTTTTATATATATATATGAATATTATTCAACAACTAAAAAGGAATGAAGTACTAAGACATGCTACAACATGGATGAACCTTGAAAACATAATGCTAAGAGTCCTTTCACAAAAACACACACATAGTGTATAATTCCATTTATAGGAAATGTCCAGAATAGGCAAATCCATAGGGACAGAGAACAGATGTGTTATTTCCAGGGACTAGGGTCAGGGAGAATGGGGAGTGATTCCTAATGGATACAAGGTTTCCTTTCTGGGTGATGAAAGTGTTCTGGAATTAGAGAGTTGTGATGGTTGTACAACTCTGCAACTCTGTGAAAATACTAAAAACCACCAAATTGTACACCTTTAAAAGATAGATTTTTATGGTATATTAATATCTTACTAAATCTATTATTGAAAAACAAATTAGGAGAAGTATAATAGGCAAAAATGACCACACTTAACTGCCCCCCTACCAGTCCTTCTGTATTCTATGACCTTCCTCCTTTCCATCCTTCCACATTCAGGCTGAGCCTTCCTTCCACTCTCTCTCTTTTCTCCTCCATCTCACTTATTCAGATTCTCCTAGAAATATCAGCCTGGTTCACCCTGGGATTTTGAAGGCCCTCTGCTTTGCCTTCCTTGCTTTGCATATGAGTACTCTGAATCACAGAGAGGAGAGGTGACCCACCCAAGGCTTTGGAGTTAAGAAGTGATCAAGCCAGGGGATCTGCAATGAGAAGTGTTCTCTCTCTGGCCCCTCAGTGCTTCCTATCTACCTATGCAGAAAAATGGCTTGCTAAAGATCTAAGAAGCACCTGGATGGCCCTCCTTCCCTGAGAAGTTAACTTACTATGGGTTAACTTCTGGGCCTTCCAGCCTAGACTTTCTTCTTCCTGGGCTCTCTCTTCCTCTTTCCTCTGTCCTCTGCCTCCCATTACATTTTCATCTTCTCCCCAAACCTCTCTTCTACATCTCACCCTACCCACCTTTGAATCTAGCAGCTTTCCTCTGAACCTCCTTCCCTCCTCCATTTATCCCCACATTTCCTCCAGAAATCTCTGCTGATGCGTCCCCAGGCTCACTCTCCCAAATCTGACAGTAAAACAAGAATATATAGGCAGTTTGGGCCATGTGTTAGAATTATAGTTAATTGCCAAATTTCCTTGCAGCATATATAATGGATAAAAGTAGCAAGTAAGTCTTTAATATGCATTGTTAGCTTCTGAAGCTTCCTTATTCCTTGTACATATTTTATCTTCCTCCAAACACCCATGAGTATCATGAATAGCATCTAACAAACTTAGTTAAGCATAAGAAAGTAACTGACACATAGACCACGAAAGTGAAAAATTTACATCATTATACCACACATACACACACACAAACACACTCATACACTCACAGAGAGAGCAAGAGAGACTCGAATGCCTAGCATTACTGTAATTTTTGTCTCTGTGAGTGATCTTGCCTGCTACAGCTAAGAGAGTTTCCTAAAAACTGATTAAATTGATTGGGTTAGAATAGTTTTAACCCAATTTCTCTTTAATTCCTCTCAGAAGTGAGAGTGGGGCTCTCTCTGACCCCTCATATTTCCAGGTTCTAGGCTCCAGGGGCAGAGAGCTGCTAATAGCCAAGTAATAAACCCACATGCCTTAACTAGGCTCTGAGGTGGAAAAAACAGACAAGTTGGCTTCATACTAACAACAGAAGCTTTAGCTTGTCACCTTCTTCCATTGCCCCAGGGCTGACAGGAGGGCCAGTGTTATGAACATATAGCCTGTGCAGTCACAGAGGTCCACGTGCTTAGAACGAAACCATGCTTGGTTTAATGCTCTGCCATCTCTGTCTTGAAATTCTCAATTACTTTTTAAGTGGGTGCCCTGCACTTTCATTTTTCATTGAATCTCACAAATTATTTAGCCAGTCATAACCACAGTCACCTGTGAGAAGAGTGAGCATGTGCTAGGTCAGTATTTGGTCCTCTTCTCCCTCACCTCCTTGGTTTTGTAGCAGATTTCTCTGATCTTCTCCTGCTCCTGATGTGGGGGATAGAAAGGTAAAAGGTAAGGGAGAGTTGAGAAGAAAATATTTTCCCAAGTGCATAAATAATCAGTTGAGGGTCACCATTCTGTTCCCTAGGAAAGATGAGGGTTTTTTCAGCTTTTCTTTTTAATTAAGGAGGAAAGAGTCAACCATGTAAGATGAGACAATGAAGTGTGGTATGTGTATGTATGTGTGCATATATTAAAGAAGTTTCATTTTCTATGTGCCAGACACTGCATCAAGAATTTTGTGTATATAATCTAATTTATTCCTCAAGATCAACTATGAGGTAAATATTACTATTATTCCAACTTACACATGGAGAAAATGATTCTTGGAAAAATTAAATAGGCAAGGTGGCAGAGCAAGATGGCACAACACCAATTTAACAACTGTCTACACATTAAAAAAAGCATCTTCATAAGAACTAGAAATCAGGCGAGCATTCACAGTACTTGGTTTTAACTTCACATTGCTGAAGACGTAGGAAAAACAGTCTTGAATTGCGGACACTACCCCTTCCCCATTCCCCAGCAGCAATGGCAAAGTGCAGACAACATTTCTGTGCTCTGGGGAGAGGGAGATCACAGCAATTGTGAGGCATTGAACTCAGTGCTGCCCTATTATAACAGAAAACAAAACCAGACCAAACTCAGCTGATGCCTGCCCATGGGGGGAGCATTTAAACCAGCCCTGGAGCTCTTGAAAGGCAGTCTAGGCCACAAGGACTGCAATTCTTTGGCAAGTCCTAGTGCTGAACTGGTCCCAGAAACAATGGACTGGGGGACCACAGGACCTACTGAGAAACCAACTGGGGCAGCTAAGGGAGTGCAGGCATCTCTCCTTCCCTTACCACAGGCTGCATAGCTCTTGGCTCCAAAAAAAGACCCCTTCCCTCCAGTTGAGGAGAGGAAAGGGAAGAATAGAGAGGACTTTGTCCTACATCTTGGATACCAGCTCAACCACAGCAGGATAGGGCACTGGTCAGAGTCATGAGGCCCTCTTTCCAGACAACATTTCTAGATACACCCAGGGCCAGAAGGGAACTGACTGCCTTGAAGGAAAGAACTCAGTCCTGTCAGTATTCATCACTTGCTAACTGAAGAGTCCTTGGGCCCTGAATAACCAGCAGTGATACCCAGGTACTACACTGAGGGCCTTGGATGAGACTTGGAGACTTACTGGTGTTGGGTGAGACTCAGCACATTCCCAGCTGTGGTAGCTATGGGGCAAGATTCCTTCCACTCGAGAAAGGCAGAGGGAAAAATAAAGAGGACTTTCTCTTGCACCTTATGTACCAGCTCAGTCACAGGGGTTTAGAGCACCAAGCAGGCTTATGGAGACCCCAATTCTGGTACTTGGCTTTTTGATAGCATTTCTGGACATTCCCTGAGCCAGAGGGGAGCCCACTGCTCTGAAGGGTGAGTCTCAGATTAGGCAGCATTCACTGCAAGCTGAATGAAGAGCCCTCAGGCCATAAAAGAACATCAGCTATACTCCGGCAGTACTCCTCATGGGTTTCTGGTGGCAGTGGCCATGGGGTGAGGCTCCTCTGCCTTTGGAAAGGTGAGGTAAGAGTAGAAAGGACTGCATCTTGTGGTTTGAGTGACAGCTCAGTGACAGTAAAATAGAACACCAAGTAGACTTCTAAGGTTTTTAACTCTAGTCCCTGACTCTCAGATGGCACCTCTGGACCTACCTGGGGCCTGGGGAAACTTGCCACTCTGAAGAGAAGGACACAGGTCTAGCTAGCTTTGCCACCTACTGATTGTAGAGCCCCAGGGCCTTGAGTGAACATAAGACATAGCCATGGAGTGGTTATAGCAGGTCTTGGGTGAGACCCAGTGCTGTTTGGTTTCAAGCCTGACCCAGTGCAGTCCTGGTGGTGGTGGCCACAGAGGTGCCTGTGTCAGTCCACTCCAGCTCCAGGTGGCTCAGAACAGAGAGAAAGACTTCTTACATTTGAGAGAAAGTAAAAAAACAAGAGAACAAGAATCTATGCCTAGTAATCCAGAAAATTCTTCCAGATCTTGTCTGGAAGAGCCATCTTCCAGAAAGAAAGACCATCAAGGTGTTACCTCTATGAGTCTGCAAGAACCACAGCATTACTGGGCTTGGCATGCCCTCTAAAGCAGATACAGCTTAGATCACAACACCAAGTTTCTTTGAATATATGGAAAGCCTTCTCATGAAGCCCAGGTAGAAACAAGCCCAGACTGAGAAGACTACAATGAATACATAACTCTTCAATGCTCAGACACCGAAGAACATCTATAAGCATCAACACAATCCAGGAAGACATGACCTAACCAAATGAACTAATTAAGGCACCAGGAACCAATTCTGGAAAAAAAAAAAACCAGAAATATGTAACCTTTCAGACGGAGAATTCCAAATAGCTGTGTTGAAGAAACTCAAAAGAAATTCAAGATAATACAGAGAAGGAATTCAGAATTATATCAGATAAATTGAACAAAGAAATTGAAATAATTTGAAAGAATCAAGCACAAATTCTGGAGCTAAAAAATGCAACTGGAATACTAAAGAAGGCATCAGAGCTTTTTAATAGCAGAATTGATAAAGCAGAAGAAAGAATTAGTGAGCTTGAAGACAAGCTATTTGAAAATGCACGGTCAGAGAAGACAAAAGAAATAACAACAGAAAATGAAACGCATCAACAGGATCTATAAAATGGCCCCCAAAGGGCAAATCTAAGAGTTATTGGCCTTAAAGATGAGCTAGAGAAAGCAATAGGGGTAGGAAGTTTTTTCAAAGAGAAAATAACAAAGAACTTCCCAAACCTAAAGAAAGACATCAATAGCCAAGTACAAGAAGCTTATAGAACACCAAGCAGATTTAACCCAAAGAAGACTACCTCAAGGTATTTAATAATCAAATTCCCAAAGGTCAAGGATAAAGAAAGGATCCTAAAAGCAGCCAGAGGGAAAAAACAAATAACATAAAATGGAGCTCCAGTATGTCTGACAGCAAACTTTTCAGTGGAAACCTTACAGGCCAGGAAAGAATGGCATGACATATTCAAAGTGCTGAAGGAAAAATATTTTACCCTAGAATAATATATCCAGTGAAAATATTCTTCAAACATGAAGAAGAAATAAAGACTTTCCCAGACAAGCAAAAGCTGAGGGATTTCATGAACACCAGAATTATCCTACAAAAAATGCTAAAGAGAGTACTTCGATCAGAAAGAAAAGCATGTTAATGAGCAATAAGAAATCATCTGAAGCCACAAAATTCACTGGTAAGAGTAAGTACACAGAAAAACACAGACTATTATTACATTGTAACAGTGGTGTGTAAACTACTCTTAAGCAGAAAGACTAAATGATGAACGAATCAAAAATGATAACTACAACAACTTTTTTTTTTGAGACAAAGTCTCACTCTATCGCCCAGGCTGGAGTGCAGTGGCGTGATCTTGGCTCACTGCAAGCTCCGCCTCCCAGGTTCAAGCGATTCTCCTGCCTCAGCCTCCCAGGTAGCTGGGACTACAGGTGCGCCCACCACCATGCCGGCTAATTTTTTGTATTTTTAGTAGAGACGGGGTTTCACCATGTACAACAACTTTTTAAAGATAGTACAATAAAATATAAATAGAAAGAACAAAAACTTAAAAAACATGGTCATGAAGTTAAGGTGTAGATTTCTTATTAGTTTTCTTTTTGCTTATTTGTTTATGCAAACAGTGTTAACTTGTTATCAGCTTAAAATAATGGGTTATAAGATAGTATCTGCAAGCCTCGTGGTAACCTCAAACCAAATATACACAATGGATAAACAAGAAAATAAAAAACAAGAAACTAAATTATATCACCAGAGAAAATTACCTTCATTAAAAGGAAGACAGGAAAGAAAGAATAAAGAAAGGGAAGACCACAAAACAACCAGAAAACAAATAACAAAATGACAGGAGTGAGTCCTTATTTATCAATAATAACACTGAATATAAATAAATTAAACTCTCCAATCAAAAGACACAAAGTGGCTGAATGAAGGAAAAAACAAGATCCAATGATCTGTGGCCTACAAGAAACACACTTCACCTTTGAAGACACACATAGACTAAAAATAAAAGGATGGAAAAAAATATCCCACAGCAATGGAAACCAAAAAAGAACAGGAGTAGCTATACTTAGACAAAATAGATTTCAAGAGAAAAACTGTCAGAAGGGACAAAGAAGGTCACTATATAATGACAACAGGGTCAGTTAAGCAACAGGAAATGACAGTTTAAAATATATATGCACCCAACACTGGAGAACCCATATATACAAAGCAAATATTAGAGCTAAAGAGAGAGACAGACTCCAATACTATAATAACTGGAGACTTCAGCAATCCACTTTCAGCATTGGACAGGTCTTCCAGACAGAAAATCAACAAAGAAACATTTGAACTTAATCTACACTATAGATCAAATGGATCTAACAGATATGTATGGAACATTTTATCCAATGGCTAAAGAATACACATTACTTACCTCAGCACATGGATCACTCTCAAGGATAGACCATATGTTAGGTTATAAAATGTCTTAAAACATTTTTAAAAATTAAAATAATATCAAACATCTTTTCTGACCACAAGGGAATGAAACTAGAAGTCAATAACAAGAGGAATTTTGGAAACTGTACGAACATGAGGAAATTAACAATACGCTCCTGAATGACCAGTGGATCAATGAAGAAATTCAGAAGGAAATTGAAAAATTTCTTGAAACAAATGATAATGGAAACACAACGTATCAAAATCTATGGGATACAGCAAAAGCAGCACTAAAAGGGAAATTTATAGTTATAAGTGCCTGCATCAAAAAAAGAAAAAAAAAACTTCAAATAACCAAATGATACATCTCAAATAACTAGAAAAGCAAGAGCAAACCAAATCCAAAATTAGTAGAAGAAATAATAAAGATCAGAAGAGAAATAAATAAAATTAAAATGATGAAAACAATACAAAGATCGTAAGATAAAACAAAAGTTCGTTTTTTGAAAAGTTAAACAAAATTGACAAATCTTTAGCCAGACTAAAAAAAAAGAGAGAAGATCAAAATAAATAAAATCAGAGATGAAAAAGGAAACATTACAACTGATACCACAGAAATTCAAAGGATCATTAGTGGCTGAGCAACTATATACTAAAAATTGGAAAACCTAGAAGAAATGGAGAAATTTCTAGACACATACAACCTACCATGATTGAACCAGGAAGAAATTCAAAATCTGAACACACCAATAACGAGTAATGAAATCAAAGCTGTAATCAAAAGTCTCTCAGTAAAGAAAAGGCTGGGACTCAATGGCTTCACTGCTGTTTCCATGGAACATTAAAAGAATACCAATCTTACACCAACTATTCCAAAAAAACAGAAGAGGAGGGAATACTTCCAAACCAATTCCATGAAGCCAGTATTACCCTAATACCAAAACCAGACAAAGACACATCAAAAAAAAAAAACTACAGGCCAATAACTCCAATAAATACTGATGCAAAAATCCTAAACAAAATATTAGTAAACTCAATTCAATAACACATTAAAGAGATTATTTATCATGACCAAGTGGGATTTATTCCTGGAATGAAAAAAATTGCTCAACATAAACAAATCAATCAATATGATACATCATATCAACAAAATGAAAGACAAACAGCACATTATTTTTTCAATTGATGCTGAAAACATTTTGATAAAATTAAAAATTCCTTCACAGTAAAACTCTTAAAAAACTGAATATAGAAGAAATGTACCTTAACATAATAAAAGCCATATGTGAAAACCACACAGGTAGTATCATACTGAATGGGGAAAAACTGCAAGTCTTTCCTCTAATACCTGGAACATGAGAAGGATTTCCACTTTCACCTCTGTTATTCAACATAGTACTGGAAATCCTAGCAAGAGCAACCAGACAAGTGAAAGAAATAAAGGAAAATTGGAAAGGAAGAAGTCAAATTATCCTTGATTGCAGAGGATATAATCTTATATTTGGAAAAACCTAAATACTCCATCAAAAAACTATTAGTGCTAATAAAGGAATTCAGTAAAGTTGCAGGATACAAAATCAGTATACAAAAATCCGTAGCATTTCCATATGCTGACAGTGAACAATCTAAAAAAGAAATTTAAAAAGTAATCCCATTTACAACAGCCACACATAAGATTAAATACCTAGGAATTAACCAAAGAAGTGAAAGATTGCTATAATAAAAACTATAAAATACAGATGAAAGAAATTGAAGAGGACTATGGAAAGATATTCCATTTTCGTGGACTGGAAGAATCAATATTGTTAAAATGTCCATACTATCCAAAGTAATCTAAAGTTTCAATTCAACCTCTATCAAAATATCAATGACATTCTTCACAGAAATAGAAAAAAATCCTCAAATTTATATGGAACCACAAAAGACCCAGAATAGTCGAAACCATCCTAAGCAAAAGGAACAAAACTGGACGAATCACATTATCTGACTTCAAATTATATTACAGAGCTATAGTAACCAAAACAGCATGGTAATGGCATGAAAACAGACACATAGACAATGAACAGAATAGAGAACTCAAAAACTAATCCACACACCTACAATGAACTCATTTTTGACAAATATGCCAAGAATATACACTGAGGGAAAGACAGTCTCTTCAATAGGGACTGGAAAAACTAAATACTCATATGCAAAATAATGAAACTTGACCCATATCTCTTGCCATGTAAAAAATCAGATCAAAATGGATTAAAGACTTTAATCAAAGACCTCAAACTATGAAACTACTACAAAAAAACATTGGAGAAACTCTCCCGGACATCGGTCTGGGTGGAAATTTCTTGGGTAATATCCCACACACAGGCAACCAAAGCAAACATGGACAAACGGGATCCCATCAAGTTAAAAAGCTTCTGTACAGCAAAGAAAACAATAAACAAAGTGAAGAGACAACCCACAGAATAGGAGAAGATACTTGCAAACTACCCATTTGATTAACAACCAAAATATATAAGGAGCTGAAACAACTCCATAAGAAAAAAAATCTAATAATCTGATTTAAAAATGGGCAAAAGATTTGAATGGACATTTCTAAAAGAAAACTTGCAAATGTCAAAGAGGTGTATGGAAAGGTACCCAACATCATTGATCATCAGAGAAATGCAAATCAAAACTACAATGAGATATCATTTCACCCCAGTTAAAATGCCTTATATCCAAAGACAGGCAATAACAAATGCTGATGAAGATGTGGAGAAAGGGAACCTTCCTACACTGTTGGTGGGAATGTAAATTAGTACAACCACTATGGAGAACAGTTTAGAAGTTCCTCAAAAACTAAAACTAGAACTACCATATTATCCAACAATCCCACTGCTGGGTATATACCCAAAAGAAAGGAAGTCAGTATACTGAAAAGATATCTGCATTCCCATGTTTGTTGCAGCACTGTTCACAATAGGCAAAATTTTGGAAGCAACTTAAATGTCCATCAACAGATGAATGGATTAAAATGTGGTACTTATACACAATGTAGTACTATTTAGCCATAAAAAAAGGATGACATCCTCTCATTTGCAGCAATGTGGATGGAACTGCAGCTCATTATACTAAGTGAAATAAGCCAGGCATAGAAAGAAAAACATCACATGTTCTCACTTACTGGTGGGAGCTAAAAATCGAAACAAGTGAACTTATGGAGATAGAGAGTAGAAGGATGGTTACCAGAGGCTGGGAAAATAAAGAACCACTAAGAAATGGGCATTCAACCCACACAGGATGACCGCTGTCTCCTCACTTACCTCACTTTGTCACACCATCCTTACTCTGGCCTGGAGCCTGTTCATCTATAAAAGGAAGAGCTCACTCAGAACAAGAGCCATGGCCTGGAAGGGACAGTGACCAAATGGGAGGATTTTTGTATGAATAAGATGACCTTCAGGTTTTCCTGTGTTTTCTCATCCCATCATCTCTACCTAGTGTTTTCTTCAGTGAGCACGTTTCTTCATGAGAAAACAGTCCTGCTTTCTCTTCCCGGAATGGACACAGTGCAGGAAACCACACACTGACCTATATGCAAAATTGACCTTGACATATGTGGTTTAGAAGTGTACCAGTCAAGCAGGGGTTGGGTTACTAATCTTAGCAGTATCACTGGACTGTTTTGCTGGTTTTTCATGAGAGTTTTAGAGATAGAAGGGGTTTTTCTTCACTGGGGTGTGGAGGAAAAAGAAGAATGAAGAAGGGGAATTATTTGTGACATTCACCTCTCACTCTACCAAATGATTGGTAAAATAATTTGAAAGGATACCACTGTATAGTACGAACAGTTCTGGCCCCCAGAATTGACAGAATTACTATTATGTAGTATTCAAAGTCATGTTGGATTATTTTTCCTCCAAAACACCTATAGTATGCCTATAAAAGAGTCTCAATAGGTGCATAAATTACTACCGACTTGTGTTTTTTTCTATGAATTGCATAGATGTACTTCTGCTCCCTACTTTCCCGGCTAGACTATAAGCTCCTTGAAGGAAGAAACTCCTTCATAATTCTGTTGCATAGTCCATTATACATTTCACAATTCTGGGCATATTATAGGAATCGACAATCAAAGATCCCCTAGAAAAATCTAGGAGAAATAGATGCCATCAAGAGTACACCTTCCTCAGAGCACTTGGGCTAACTCAGAACTTTGTCAGATTTTCAGGAGTACAAGCTCTTGGTTTGTTAAGCTATCTTGAGATGGAAAAATGCTTGTGTTTGGGGCTTACTGTAAGAAGAGGGAATCTGACATCAGCATCTTCAAAAAAGACATTTAATTGTACAAGAATTATAAGTGAATGAATAAACTAAGGTGTGTGTACCTTTTGAAAGACAAATGTCACTCAGAGAATTCTAGGTTTGGTAATACTTGGGGTATACACCACATCCTTAAGGCCCAAAAGAAGTTGAGAGTAGTAAACATTAACTATCATATCCCACATCTTTTTAAATAAAAAACTCTAACATTTGCACATAATTTTATATTTTTCCGGCTTTTCATATCCATTTTCAAATGTGAGTTCATATTGATTTTATGGGTTAGGGCAGGGAAAAACATACAGAGAGAAATTAATTGATTTCTCAAATGTCAAAAAGTTCAGAAAAACTAAGATAAAAATCTTAATGCAGTATTTTTCCTTCACATCCATCCACTTCATTTGCAGACATTCCTTTAGGCAATCTATTGAAAATAATACCTTGAGTATGAATTTCAGCTTACAGTTTACAAAGCACATACATTATGTCATTATACATACCATTATACATGGTATGTCACTATACAACTCTAGTTGAGTTAGCTCATTCTGGTCACATTAAATACTGGTTGTAGTAAATCTCCCCAGACTCCAGTGCATTTTATTTTTTTTCTCAGTCATTCTTGACTGTGGTCCACAACTTCTAATTTGTCACCTTCATTTTGTTTATGATATGAAGAAAATTTTCTATTTTCTGACTTTGTGTCTCATCAAGTTGTTTGCTTTTACTCAAGTTATCTTCCACTTGTTTAGACCAATCTGAGTGGGGGAAGTGTGTGTGTGTGTGTGTGTGTGTGTGTGTGTGTGTGTATGTATGTATGTTTTTGACAACCATGTAGAATTTATTTGGTTTTTGGCTTATTTATTATTTTTTATCTTACCAAAATCTGGATTGTACATATAGTATCAACACATTTTTGTGTTAGATTTTCATCCTTCAAGGATTTTTTTAAATGGTTCTGTCTTAGAGTTACCCAAAAGCAGACACTGAAACAAGCAGTTGGGTACAAGCAGTTTATTTTGAGAGGTGATCTAAGAAACACAGGTGAGAAAGTGGGAAAAATGAAACAAGGAAAAGCAAAAAGCCGATAAGGGATATATTAACAAGTGGGTTATCAGTGTGGGCAACTGGGACTGAGCTCTCTTGAGGACCTTATGAGAAATCATATGGAACATGTGTCAGGAATCCTACTCCCCCTTCCCCAACGCACACATACGCACACACAAACACTTCTGGGTAGCACTTGCTTGTTTTGATGGTTATCTCAGAGATGAGGAACAAGGCTAATGTCAGGAATCCAGATGGTACTCATATTTGTCACGAAAGACTCTCTAGCATGAGCTCATTGGTCTAAATAAAACTTTGCCAGAACTGGAAAAAGTTCACCTCTTCCCTCAGAACCTAAATGTCTCACATGTGATGGAAATAGTCAATTTTCTGACCCATGAACTGAGATCTCCCTCTTCTCAGACTCAGTCTTCATATGGTGAGGCAAGCCAACATCAAGATCAGAGAATTATTGAGAGCTACTTAGCACCAACCTCAAATGCAATACCACTTAAAAATAAACTCAAAATGGAATAAATCTAACAATAAACTTAGCAAAAAGCCTCCTTACGATGTTTGGCTTAAAGGAAAGTAGCCTGCTCTGTCCCAGTTTGCGCAAAGTTTTCTAGATACCTATGAGCTCATGCTAGAGCTTCTGCCTGACAGACATGAGCACAATCTGGGTTTCTGACCTTGGGCTTTTCCCTGACATCTGAGATTGTAAGGGATGATATGGGGCGATAAATATAGTCATTTCTAGTACCTTTCACAGATAAATTATAATCTTGGGAAATGTTGCCTTGTTTAGGTCTGTGAGTAGCTGAGTGATATCCTACATCACCTATAGATCCTTATCTGAGGTACCTTCTGCCATTAGAGAACGTGTTTATTCTAATAACATAACTGAAAAATGAAGCCGAGAATCTTGAAGCTTTCCTTTTTGGCAGCTATGCTGGTTTCTGTTTGGAGACTGTCATTTATGTACCCCCTTGTGGAGCTGTAATCTCACTGCAATATCTCATTGCCACATTAACATATGCACCATACAACATCAATGTCAGCTCTTAGGGGGAAACATATCTGACAAAAAGCATCAAAATAAAAGAAAAATACTGACAAGAAGACAAAAAATTTTTCCTTCCAGAATTAACCAGAAAATGGTAACAAAGAAAGCAAACAGACACTAACAAGTGATTACCCTCACAGCTGGCATTTACACATAAAAGGACTTTGCCATATGATGTAATCCAAGGCATTGCAGGAAAATATGTAAGTGCAAGTTCTCCCTAGAGGACCCTAGGTTAGTGACCCACTGTTTCTGTTTCTGTTTCTGATTAAGAATTGAGTCGCAATTTACCAGGTAAGGTATTTTTCACAAGCACCTCATATAATCCACATAAGAACTTCATCGAGTATTATTGTCCTAAATTTACATATGATAAAATGAAGCTGAGAAACATTAAATGATTTGCCTAAGGTCACACAACCAGTAAGAGGCAAAGCTGGGACTGTCAGGAACTCAGCTGAGAGAGAGAGAGAGAGAGAGAGAGAGAGAGAGAGAGAGAGAGCTGAGTGGCCAGGTATCAGCGCAGCCTATTAAAACAACCAGTAAAAATGACAGGATTCAGCTTTTAATCACATGCTGCAATGGCATAAGCAAGAGGCTAAAACTGGCGGAGGCACTGACTCCCCCTGTTCCATTTTTCCCAAAAGAAAGGCACACCAATTAAGAGTCAGATGGATCATCATAGATATGAGAAGAGGAGTGCTGGGGAGAGAAGAGGAGAAGGGCTAGGGGTGGGGAAAATTCCTGAGTATTGGGTCAGAATGTGGAAACATGTCTTCAAGGTTTTTCCCTCCTCCTGCATAAGAAGGTTTCAGCAGAGGAACCTGAAGAAGGTCTCTGTCGGAGGTGTCAGAGACCTTGGAATGAAGGTTCCTGGGTTACGAAGGTAAATATGTGAAAGAGCATGATTGGCTGGGGGACCTGAGTCCTTGACTGCCACTCTCTCCTGAGGCTGCAGTGCATTGGCTATAAAGTCTGGTGAGGGAAAGGCAGATTTCCCCACGAGGCCTGCCAGGTAAAGCCATTGTAATTGCCTATGGTCAGGCCTGAAAATTCACACATGGATTTTAACCAGGGGCTGTACTCTTCAGGGACTTCTTCAGAGGACTTGAGATTGTAGTTTAATTTCATTCCCGCTGCACTGGGAGTAATTCCCACACATGGGGACACCATCTCTTTGTGTCTGTCCAGAATGGCATAAGCAGATTAACTACTACTCAAGTTGTCACAGAAATATTTTACATATGAGTACAAGAAAAGGAAGATAAAAGGTCGAAGAGGAAGCAAAATGGCAGAAGTGATTTTTTTTTAGGTTTGAGAACAGTAATGGTTATTACGATGAATTAAGGATAAATAAGCAATTGTTTTAAAAACTTTCTTTGTCATGGCTCCAGATACATTACTCTCTTTCTTTCTTCCTCCCAATTTCAGATCTTTTAATGCTTAACCCAGTGTACCAATCATGAGGTAACTGGTAACAATTCTTAAATGAAAAAATATTCATACAACACTAAATTTAGATCTTCCTATGTTTGTAGAACATACTGAATTCATGTAGAATTCATTAATTCCTCTCACTCTTTGATGGATACATGACAGTTAAGCTTTCTGAAGCCTACTTTGATAACTTTCAAGTAGCCAACCCTCACTGAGAATCATTTCTTGTAATTTTTTCCCTAAATTCTTCCTTTTTAAATCACTTCCTTATGAAAACAAAATTATTTTCTGGCTATTTGTAATGATAGAGAATAACACTGAATATTTAAAATGTTATCAGATAAAAGATCCAACCTGAGTTCAGCTCTAAAACTATAAGCTCTTCTTTGTCTTATTCTATCTTCCCAAGACTATTATGCCAACCTCATATCTTTTCTGTTTCTCTACCCCTGAAGATTATAGTTACTTCTCAGTCACTTCACTTCCAAAATAACATTCCTTTAAAAATCACAGTCAGCAGGGACTTCTGAGAGATTGTGTAGCCTCTCTGAAGCCCATAAAAGTAAGAGTAAAAATTGTTTGTCGCTGCATGGGTAAAGCCAGCATTTGAATTGTCTTCTTTCAAACATAGATATCCTGCAAATGGAAAATTAGAGTAACCTTGCCTCTCTCTGACTACCCTCACACCCAAGTTCAGCTTATTAGAAAGAAGCCAGTAAGGTAAAGGGAAGAGAAGTTTGCATCTCCACAATCTCCTTACATGTAGTGAGTTACTATTAGGTTGGTGCAAAAGTAATTGTGGTTTTTGCCACTTTATAATATAAAGTGCTGAATGTGGGGGCGGGTGTGTGTGTGTGTGATGTAGAGAAATAGGCATTAGTATAAGATGGCCATTGAGAGCTATAATGGCATCAAGAAATGTTTAAGTTTGCTTATGGCTTTGCTCCCCCTTCCTATAGAATCCTGTCGCTGTACTTGAGCCAGCCAATTAAGAGTCAGCTTGTTGACACACGTTAAATATGTGGTAATAAAGAAATGAGAAGAAAATAGTTTGCACAGTCCGAGTCAATTCTCATATTTCAAAAGAGAAACAAAGAATGCAACTGGCAATACGTAATCCGAATCCTCCCATCTTAGCTTCTCAAATAAAAGCAGATAGCTGTCAAGTAAGTAAAGCCCTTCTCTCAAAGACTATTCCTTCACTGTGATTAGGTTGACTCCCACCAAGAATTTCTTGTGGAACACATCTACCAGGCATGCAATATCCACGTCAAATAAATAAGAATGTTCATGAAGCTCACTGTTTTGAAGAAGTGGGTGCCAAGTGACCTATTATTTCTGGAGCCAGATGCCCCTGCGTCACTGGATTCTGCCATCTTCTGCCCTTTACAAGCAGAAAAGTCTCTCCTTTCCTTCTCAGCACCACCATGGCATTCTCTCATCCCTGTTTTTCTCCCCCACTTCCATCTTGTTTCTCTATCTTCACTCTTTGCCTTCTTTTCAGCCTCCTCCTCTTCTCCAAGCGGGCTTCACACTCTTCTCTCTGGCAGTGTGATGAGGCAGAAATCCCAGCTGGCACATATCATTCCAACAGGCCCCATATTGATTGCCTGGTAACAAAAATGAAACAAAACGTAAACAACAAAGTCACGTTCTGTTCCAGAGAGATTAGGTCATTCACTTTCCAGAAGGACATGTATTATTTCTCCCCAAATCTCTGCAGTTACTTGAACCCAAAATGTTAGGAAGAAAATAGAGCTGGCCTTGCCTGAAGGCAGTGGACCTCTTCAGTGTAATTTGGGGCCCTAGAGGGAATCCTAGGGGTTGTTGGAGGATAGTTGGGACCTGAATAAGACAAAATAAATGATACAGAATCACAGAGCTATTGGAAACTTCAGAGATGACCCAAGCCAATAGCTTAATTTTTACAGATGAGAAGACAGACTGCGATAGATAAAAGAGACTGTTCAAGACCATCTTACTTGTTACAAGCTGCCAAGAGTTAATTGTCCAATGTAGCCATGCCTTGTTTTTTAATTGTATGCCTTCTGCAAAACAGAAGGCATACTGTTAATACCAAACCAACCATATACTATATAACATATAACCAGACCCCTCTTTACTTTCACCCTAATAACTATACCTTGTTTTTACCCACTCCATATCTAGCCATTCTATCTTATATCTGAGAAACATGTGATTTCTAATCCTCTAATTTTACCTCCTTGTTTTAGTAATTTTGGAAGTGACTTCTGGTCCCTCACCTGGCTCTGACTTCATCCCTGGTACGGATTCACTCTCTGCTCAATCCTCCAACTCAACGCATGATGGACCAAATAGTTATCATTCTCCATTTTCAACTCCTTATCTCCATCCACTCCATAGGGCATCCAGAAACTGATATAGCCCTGCTCCCCAACCCCAGTCTGAGCTTGTAAAAAGCCCCATGGGATGACATACTTGAAGGGCCTCAATGGTAACAGCTAATATGGATTCAATTAAATTGCACTGTGTACAACTCCTGGAGTCCATGCAGCAGTCCTAGTACAAAGTCTAACACCAACAACTTTGACCCCAGAACCAATGCAATGAAGACCCACAGAGATCTGCATTGCCACATCCTCAACAACCAATATTCCGTCCAGGCTATGACTGGCTCTAGATGAACCTAAGTGCCTTTCGCCATAGTCATCTCTCCAGGGGAAAGCTGGGGCCAGTTGTCTTCTCAATTCCATAGCTCACCATGCCTCACACTTCTGGTATCTTCACTTGTCTTCTGACACCTAAGCCCCTCCCTGGTTTAATCTCTTTTGTACCTTCATCACGATCACTGCTCTGTAATTCCACTCTTGTGCCCTCCCTAACAATCCTTTCCAGAGGACTTTCCTCACTTTCAGTCACCCCCAGACATGCCCAAAACTGTTTTACCTAGAATAGTTCCAGATTTAAAAGATTAAATTCAGTCACCCCACTCTCTGAATACAAACTTTTACTTTTCACTCTTAAATTTCCCTCACTCAGTTACTCTCCTTATGCCAACTCTTTGTCTTAACCAGATCTGTCATCCAATGACCCTCTCAACTTTCTCTCAGTTAGCGCCTTTCTACTGTCACTTCTTTCCCTACCTGGAATCTACTCTAAACATTGTAAAATGCAGTACACCTTTTTGAGCAATCTCATTCATTTCCATTGGGTAAGACAATACCAAATATTCTTTCTCCAGCCGAGATTCCCCCCTTGAAACTCTCAATCCCCCCTGAAACTCTAGTTCTACATATCAAAGTGCTAAGTAGCTATTTCTTACTGAAGATTCCATAAACACCAAAAGTTCGGCATCTCCATAATTGAACTAATAATTTTACCAATAGACTTTATCTACTGAAATAGGGTGAGGTTCTGGAATCCATTAGGGAGTGAGCTGCCTTCATCTGCACAATGGCAAATGCCCATCTCTTTACAAATGTAAACAGAAGATCCAAATCATAAAGTATGTTTTATGAATGCCTTACACTGCTCCTGACACCCCAACAAAACAAGCTCTGATCCCTAGTGAGTTATCCGCAACAACTCTTAAGTAAGGCTACTTTCAAGCAATAGTGATGGAATTAACCAAAATGGTCATAACTCTAACAACCACCCACCATCATCCACACGTTGCCTAGTTAATCACATTTTGATCTTTCCATTGTGGATCCTGATAGATTTAGTGTACTACATTACCTAATAACCTTCCTTTACTTCGCTAGTCTGGAATTTCAAATACAGCTTGCCTATACTTTCTTTATTCCAGGAATATTTTCTGCCCAAGCCACACATTCCTTATAAGTTAGTTTTCTACTGTCTGGTGACCCACCTAAGAACCTAATGTTTACAAGTTCATTAGTTATCTAATTGTTAATTGTACATTGTCTATGTATTTCATTAGACTATGAGCTCCATATAGATGGTGGCTTTTTAAAAATTTACTGTGCTTTTGTCTTCAATACCAGGAGGAGTAAGTAGTACACAGTAAGTGCCCAACAAATAAGCATTGTTGTATACATGGAAATTTTACAGTGATGGCTTTCAGGCTTATTGGTAACTGATGATTGGGGGAGAAATGAATAAAAGAATGATATTTTGGATTGCCTGAAATAAAGAAAAATGAAAGATAAGATAAATACTGGGTAGGGAAACCATCAAAATATAAATATGTATATTAGGTAAGTAAATAAATACAAATAAGAGATTTGGTGTTAACAAGACAGTGGCATAAAAATGACTAAATAGTTCATAAGGGAAAAATATTAAAGAAAATGTGGACAGAAAGGGCAGGACATAGAAGACTATGTAGATAATTGAGAAATATAAAACTGCAACTTTGGTAATGTAGCTTTCCTTGGTTTAGTTGAATCTATTATAATGGTAATAATAACAACTACCATTTGTTAAGTTTGCATTGTGTCTTGCACTCTGATAAATCCTTTACATACAAAGATAACACACTTTGGGACAACCAGGTAGAGCAATCTGGGATAAAAATCAACTGAGTTGGGCATGGATCATGAAAACTGAGTGTAGAGAAGTAAGGTCAGGACAAATTTCTATGTAAGATTTACATAGAAAGTGTACAGAACTGAAAGTGTACAGAACTGAATTGTGTAGCTACACCCTGGTACTAGGATTCTTCAATTTAAAATAAGGCAAATTCATTGAATTCTCAATTGAGGACAGATTGGGATGCTGCCTGTGACTCACTAATCATTCCACAATGTTTACAACACTCCACTCTGTAAAAGGTAGTAGGAAACAGAAATGCATAAAATAAATCTCTGCTCCAGAAGCAGAGACCTGAAGGAAACTAGATAATTGAAGGTCAGAACAATGATGCCTATATAGGAGTACAAAAAAGAGGTGATGCCCTGACCACAGCAGTAATAATCATAACATTTGGAAAGGATTTTTACGTGAGCGAGATCATACATGACCTTTTTTGGGTGGAGGGGAAAGAAGGGGAGGGCACCTTTTGTTTCAGCACCAAAGACAAACTCTGAGCACATGTTCTTGTCTGAGAAATTGAAGCCTATCATGGGCTTCCACCTCTTACCCTATGTCTACCACTGCAGCCTCTCCTTTCCTTTTCTCTAGTCTCCTCCAGAAAAGGAAAGAACCTTTTATTGATCTTAGTTTCTCCCTTCTCCTTGTATACCTTGTTCTACTATTGATTATTGATTTTTGAACTCTTCTTGCTACTATTCCTCAATCTCTCTACTATCTATAAACCTAGTCGTCATATCCTTTCCATTAAAACATTATATAACCTTACACAACCATCCACCCTAGACACTGCCCTATCTTTTCCTTCTCTTTGAGATCAACCTTATAGAAGGAGCAGATTATGCCTACTGCTTTAATTCTGCCCCTCCCTATTCACCCTTAAGACCCCACAACTCTATGGAAACCACTCAGACAAGGCCCGTAATTGTCAAATCCAAAGGAATCCTCTTAATGGTTACCTAATCGTTTATGCAATAGCATTGTTTCACAGTGTTCCTTGGGATCCAGTTCCCTGTACTATTATTAACAGTTGTTATGTAGGGGGAAAAGGAAGAGATATGTGCCCAGACCATGAGCTTTGGAAACTTTAATTTGGAAATTAAAATCTATGTTGTCTGTATAGCAAGACTTCTCAGAGACATTATTATGCTAATGTTTTGGGGGATTCTGCAAGAGAAGTATGTAGACTTCAGCATTTATCTCACTAAGTTGACCAGTTTTCCAAAACAGTAAATCATGGAAGAGTTATTCCTTGGAACAGTCTTTGAGAAATACTTTATCCCTTGATATAGGTGATCATTCCATTCAATATCTTTTCCCCTTTGATACTATGATTCCTTAACTCTTGCTTTGCTCCTGCCTCCTAACACTTCTCAACCAAACTTTGCTTTCCCCACTCAATCTTTAAACATTAGTGTTTTCCTTGCTTCTATACTAGGCCTCTTCCTATGCATGTTCTTTTTGAATAATCTCATCTGCTATCCAGATTTTACTACTTGCTATAAATTGATGATCCCCAGATCTATGTGTTTGACCAAGATCTCTTCATTCCATTCCAGGCCATATATCTACAGGTTTTTTTAATTTTTCCACCTGAATATATTCCCAGTATTTCTCACCCAGCATATCTAAAACTTTTCCCCCAAATTCTGATTTTTTCTTGTGTTTCCTATCATGTTTAAGGGTAACACCGGCCATTCAATCTTCTAAACTACAAACCTGGGAATCATCGAAGACTTTTTCTCTGCCTTGCTTTCACATGTGATCAGTAACAAATCCTATAATTACCATCACTAACCAAGTCTATTCATTTATTGAGCAAAAGCTTATTGAGTACTAACTCTATATCAGCTATCAACTTAAGTGCTTTGGATATAGTATCAGACAAGAGACATAAGGTCTCCTCCACCATGGCACTTATATTTTAGCAGGGAAAACATAAACGATATACACGAGTCATGAGCTGAATTGTGACCCCCACTACGAAATTCATATGTGTAGGTCCTAACTCCCAGTGTCTCAAAAGGTGAGTATATTTGGAGACAGGTTTTAAAGAAGTAACTAAGTTAAAATGAAGCCACTAGGGGGTCTCTTATCCAGTATCTCTGATGTCCCTATAAGAAGAGAAAATTTGGACTCAGGTACAGAAGGAAGATAGTGTGAAGACACAGGGAGAAGACAACCACCTACAAGTCAAGGAGAGAGGCCTTAAAAAAACCCAACCCTGCCAACACCTTGATCTCAGACTTCTGGAATCCAGAAGAGTTAGAAAATAAATTCCTGTTGTTTAAGCCACTCTTTTTGTTGTATTTTATGGCAACCTCAGCAAACTAATACAACATATAAACAAAGCAAAAAGAAACTTATTGATGGTGAAAAGTACTATTGAAAAACATTAGAGAGATGTGATAGCAAAGTCAAATGCCCAGAGACAGAGACCAGCCTGGCATGCTCTAAGGAAGAAAGGCCTTTGCAAAGAAGGAAGAGAAAAAGAAAAGAAAGGTGACAGAAGTTGAGGTTGAGAAGTTGGCAGGACAGATTCTAAATGGCTTTATAGCCCAAAATAAGGAACTTGGATTTTATATCAGACTTCCTCAACCTCAGCACTATTGACATTTTAGATTGCAAAATGCTTTGGTGTTGGAGGTTGTACTATGCATTGTAGGATGTTTGGTGGCATCCTTGGCCTTTACCCACTGGACGCCTGTAGGAGACCTTGCTCCTTCCCCTAACTCCATTGTGACAAACAAAAATGTTTCTAGACATTGCTAAATGTTACCTGGAGGTAAAACTGCCTTTGTTTTGCAATCACTGCTCTGTAAGAAGCGGAAAGTCACTGAAAGGTTTTAAACAGGGGATAAAAATATTGGACTTATGTTTTCTGAATGCTACTATGATAAGAATGGGTTGGAAGAAATGAGGGTAGAAGTAGAGAGAGTTGGTAGTTTGAACTAGGGACTAGTTTAGTTCCAGAAAAGAAAGAATAAATAAAACAGAATGAAGAAATATGGAAGGTAGGGCTTGCTGATAGATTCTATGTGGGGGCAATGAAAAGGAAGGAAGGTTTGAGGGGAGGGCAGAGAGGTTGAGAAATCAACAGCTTTGTTTTAGACATGGTAAGTTTAAAATGACTGCTTGCCATTGCAGAAGAGGTGTCAATGAGAAGATGGATACATTAATTTGAAACTCTAAGGAGAGATCAGAACTGGAGATAAAAATTTGGGAATCAGCCTGTAGATAGTATTAAGCCACAAGCCTAATTGAGAAACATTTTGTGTACTCCATAAATATATATACTTACTATGTACTCACAAAAATTAAAATTAAAAAAAGACTAGATGAGATCATCTAGGGATACCATAATGACAGTGAAAAGAAGAGGCTATTTTTCTTTACCTATTTCTTCTTTAATGAATTACCAATATATATCCTGTGACCATTTTTTATTTGAGGATTTCATAATTTTGTATCATTTTGAGGATGATTTTAATATTAAGAATATTAACTGTCTAGCTAATATGGTAATCAAATCTAGTCATCCTTTCCTCTATGGATTCTGAATTTACTGCCATGCTCCAGAAATGTCCTACTTGTTACCCTAAGATTATAGGAATATTCATAATGCTGGAACTAAGATGGGCCTAATCACTTTCCCCAACTCTTCTCTGGGTTGTAACTAACTATTGAGTAAATCCACAGTGAGCTAAAAGGAGAGTAAATATATATTAATAAAAACTCAATAATTCCTGTAGTACAGAGCTCCCTGCTAAAACACTCAGCTTATAGCTGAAGCCAAAATAGAGCTTTCCTAAATCCAGAGTTGGGGAGTATATGGCCTACCAAGAAGATGACATGAGTTTTTACCCAACTAGCTGCCCCACAGGCTTATCAACAGTTGGACAGAAAGGCCAAGAAAGCCCAGCAGAGTAAGGCACCTCCAGGCCCGCTCCAACCTGAGCCAGCTGCAACTCTTCTACAAAAGGAAGAAGAGCTGAGAGTACACTGTCCTTACCTCTCCATGCTATGGTCAGTGCAGGAAAGAGAGTGTGAAGTCTGTTCCTGCTTTTAAAGCAAACCATACCTTCTAGGACACTGGACTCAACCTAGGGGATAACAGAGTGTTACCCATCAGGTTAACTACTCCTCCTCCCTTAGAGAATACCATGCAAGTGATCAAAAGAAACACAGAAACCCCCTCTCAGGAACTCCCTAGAAAGGATGGAAGGATAAATGGGACTTCCTTTTCATATGGGCTCAGAGAAATATGGGTGGGGAAGAAAAGAGTCTTCCCACTAGAATGCACCTAAATTTTTTGTTATTAATTTCAGAAAACATTACACTTTCAGGTTTTCTGCTAATAAACAACATGCAAATATCTTCACCCCATTCCTCAGCAAAGCTGATGCTGAATGACAGAATGGGGGAAGGTTTTGGACCATTTTGTGGTGGTCATTTCTCTGAACTAAGTGAAACAGTCTATTTATAAAGACTCTGCTACACGTGGCACAGGGCCTCATAATCTGCTTGAAGCATAAGCGACCTGGGCCTATTTTGTTCATCAGCAGCCAGAATAGCAGCAGCAGCAATAAACATCCATGGACTGTCTACTGGACATGGGGCACTGTGTGAGGTCCTGAAGGAAGAAAGGTATAAAGTTCTATCCTTATCTTCAACATCTGGTCAGGAGAACTACCCTTGCTGATAGAATTTTCTTTTCTAGGGAGTAGATTTTTTATACCAGAGAACCTACCAGACTTTACTACCATATGAAAAGGTTTAAGGAAGTTTTCTGAGTAATTATTTGGTACCCAGATATGCCTAAAAACCATAAGGTAGGCAGACTTCTAAAGATATCTCCCCGAGAGTTCCACACTCTGGCTATTCAATCAAACATTAGTATAGGTACCACTGTGAAGAGATGGTATTAGGGTTACTAATCAGCTGTCCTTAAAATAGAGAGGCTATCTTGGATTATCTGCGTAACTCCAATGCAATCACATAAATCCTTAAAAGCAGAAACTGAGACAGAAGACTCAGTCAGAGAGATGTGACAGAAGACGTAGGCAGAGGAGCGTTGAGGAAGAAAGGAAGGTCATGGAGAGATAAAGGATGAAAAGAACTCCAACTTCTGTTGCTAGGGGTGTGCATCAGAGAACGCAAGTGCTCTCCAGAAACTAGAACAACTCTGGACCAACAGCTAACAAGGAAATAAATCATTCAGTCCTACAATGGCATGGAACTGAATCTGGCCAAAATCTTGAGTGAGCCTGGAAGTCAGCTCATCCCCAGATGCTGGCATCTTTATTTCAACCTTGTGAGATTCAAAGCAGTTTCAGGTGCTGTGCCTGAACCTCTGAGCTACAGAACTGTGAGATAATAAATGGATGCTGTTTTCTGCTGCTAAATTTGAGGTAATTGGTACAGCATCAATAGAAAACTAATACAGCCCAAGAAAGTTATATCATGAGGCTAACGTAAGGAGCATCTGACTAAGAAAGGAGCAGAGAGTGGCTGAGTATCCCTTTTTCACAAGGTTATTTGAGGAGCACTAAGTTTGGGGTTATTTAACACTCTTGTCTTTCCATTAATATATTTGCCTATCTCCAGACTCCGTGCTAGGGAAGGATATATTTCCAAAGAATTTAAATTAAGCAAGGTCTCACCAGCAACCTAATCTGTACCTTTTAAAAATAATAGGATAAGCTGGGTGCAGTGGCTCATGCCTGTAATCCCAGAACTTTAGGGGGCTGAAGCAGGAGGATCACTTAAGCTCAGGAATTCAGCGCCAACCTGAGCAACATAGTAAGACCTCCTCTCTAGTAGAAATTTTAAAAATTAGCTAGGTGTGGTGGCACACACTTATGTCCTAGTTACTAGGGAGTCTGAGGCAGGAGCATTACTTGAGCCCAGGAGATTAGGGGTACAGTGAGCCATGATTGTGCTACTCCTCTCCAACCTGGGTGACACAGCAAGCCTGTCTCAAAAAACAAATAAATAAATAAATAATCAAATAAAAATAATTGGTGACTTTCAAGACATAAAGTAAGAAGAGTGTCCTTTGAGGGTTGTGATAGATGGCATTACTATTCTTCCAAATATTCCAGTTCCCCTTTCTGTGATGTCCTTCCCTGTAGGAGGATTATGTATTATCCTCCATGACATCAGCTTTAGCCATGTGATTTGCTTTGGTTCATTACATGCAAGCAGAAGTGATGTTTTTTCACTTACGAGCAGAAGCTTTAAAACACAGCATGTGATCACTAGGCTCTATTTCCCTCTCCCATGAGCCCAGCAACACCACAGTTAGAGGCCACGCCGTCATCCTGGGTCCCACAGTGAACAAGGCATGGACCAGAGCCTCAGTCGGTCAGTGATGGACATGTAACTTGAGCAGGAAATAAACCTGTATATCCCACTTGGATTTGGGGGTCATTAGTTACCACAGCATAACTTAGCCAAGCTGACTGATATAAGTCCTATAACTTGCCAACCTCTTTAATGACTGGGAGTCATTAAACAAGGCCCCCTAAAGCAAACTGTTTCAGTTCAAGTGGATATATGTAAAAGGCTCTTCTTGGTTATGCAGATAAGTTGAGTGACATTATCGAGGGAGGGCAAAATGCCTTGAGTAATACCTATATTGGTTAAAGAAGCATAGGCTCTGTCACAACAACGGGTAGATTCCCAAATCTCAGAAACTCACAAAATTAAAATTTCTCATGTAGACGAGCTCCAATGCAGGTTAATCACTCTTCTGATGGCTCCCCTCTAAGTAGTGATTTAAGGCTCATGCTGTTCCCAACTTGCAATGCAACCATTTTGGAATCCTTATTTCCAAACACATAGTTAAAGAGCTCATGGAAGATCTCACAGAAAAGTTTTTATAGCAAGGCCCAGGAAAGGTAAGGCCCATATTCTCTAGGCAGATTTCATCACAGATTCCACCTAGTTGAAAGGAGGACTGGAAAATGAAATCTTCCTATGTGACCAGGAAGAAAATAAAATGGTTCCATGAACAGTTACATTTTATCTGCTATAGTAAGGTAGTATTTTTACAGGAAAAAAGATATAAAACATGTTGAATTTTGAGAAGCTTTAAAAAGGCTGTGTTGCCACTTGGATGATAATGGTTAACAGGGAAGAACATTGAATATTGGCTCTTTGAGTAATAGTTATTGGAATCCAACCAGACCTCAGTATTGGTGAGCTTGTGCCTCTGGATGTGTCTGTGTATGTTAACCAAAAGTGCTTTCTGCTAAAGCCATATCCATACGGACTGAGTGTAGCCACTTCAGAAATGGAGGTGTCTGGACAACCCAGGGCCATGCTGCTTCAGTGGACAAGCAGCACTGGAGGGACATACCTGACTTGTCTTCAGCAGCAACCCCAAGTGGTGATGGGCAACATACTGTTCAAAGCCCAGTTCTCCCTATACCTAGCATTAGAAAAGGACTGATCTCTCTTTGGGTCAAATAAACCCTGGAAGGAATTCTTAGGGGAATTTAAGAGGGGGAGCTTCAAAAGCTTCTTTTCACTTACAAGAAGAAACTTTAAGAGACAGCATGTGATCACTAGGCCCTACTTCCTTCTCCCATGAGCCCAGCAGCATCCCGGTTAGAGGCCACACCAGCATCCTGGGTCCCACAATGAAGATGACATTGACCAGAGCCTCAACTGGTCAATGATGGACATGTAACTTGAGCAAGAAACAAACCTGTATATCCCACTTGGATTTGGGGGTCATTAGTTACCACAGCATTTTCAAAAGAAAATGTGTTGCAATTCAAGAAAATAATTTGTAAACTAAAAGATGTCTCATATTTGAATAACAAATTTTTTGAGCAATTCATTCTGGTTTACTAAAGAGAGATATAGTATAAAGATAATAGAGGAGTGGAATAAGAGCATCAAAATAAAAGAAATCTAAGGGAGAGAAGTAAGCAATTCATCTTGATTAATTTTATTTTATTTTTAATCAATAACCCCCAACATGGCAGCAATGCAAACCACATAGGCCAGCTGGTCAGAACAGTACCCACTGAGAGATGGACAGTTTTGTGGGAGGTGATTCCACTTTAGAAATTCAAGGTGTAGAGAACACAGCAGCATATCTGCTCTGTGCAGTATTGAGACATGGGTAGGAGCAAGAGGATACCCTTCCAGTATGTAATTAAAGCACTTGTGTGACTGTGGGCGTTAGATCAAACTTCCTACATAAACAGGATCTACATGTGAGAACACTTTCAAAGGTTGAATGTTGAGCTTTGCTAGAGACAGAGCAGCAGGTGGGCAGCCAGCCAACCAGTCACATGGGACTGAAACTGACGTTCTGAAGCCCATTAGGCTCCTCACAATGTTCTGCATTGGCTCAGCCCACTCAAATACAAACCCAAGTGAGGTGCTTCTCACCTGTGGGTTGCCCCTACGCAAACCCCAACTGTGCATCTGATCTAATCTGAAGAGACCTTTTATACAGAGAATAGACTTGGTCAAACACACCTCCCTCATGGGAAAATGGCATCTCTGCCCAAGAGCATGATTTTCCCTGGGGAACTACCAAATTATTTGTTCTCACTAAAAGGGTGGAATGATAGGATTGTTAAGAAAGCTGACTGCTTTTCCATCTGTTTATCAAGCCAACTGCCTGACTTAAGGTGTCTATGATTATACAATTAGGTAGCTGTAACCCAAGCCCCCTGGCCTATGCTGGGTAGCAACTAAAGTATCTTTGATCTCTTCAGCCTCTGAACTGTGTTGACATGGCTCCAAGGCTCCCAAGTCTCATCCTTTCTCTAGTAACCCAGTGTCTACTGCTCTGTTGAATGGATGCTGATGTCTGTCACTGTGGGTTCTATCCCTACAGCTGGTGTTCTTCTCAATAAAATGGTGACCACTTGGCTGTGGACCCCAACTCCCACCAGAAGTGAGAGACTAGCCCACAGTAGTTGCAAGCCTCACCAATATGATGCCTACATCCCCTGCCCTAGCTCTGAGTCAATACCCAAAGGAGGTTTAATGCTTTATCTCACAGCGTTCTTTATCAAAGAATCCGGGACATAGTCCCAAAGATTAGGCCAGAATGCATTAAAGTAACACCATACTAGGATCAACTCAAAACTGATCCCCCTAATTATAAGCCAGCATCCCAGCCACCACGACATTTTATATTAGTGGCACTCACTGCCCATCTCCCAAGACATCTCTCTTCCTATCCTGCAAGTCATTGTTCTCTATCTAAATAACTCTTTATTCGGTATCATCAGTTCCAGAATGTCTCTCTCTAGTTAGCCCAGGAGACCCTAATGCAAACAGTACCTGTGGTCTGTCCTCATATAGCAAGTTTCCTGAGGTGGGCATGCAAATTAAGCTCCTGGGCACCCCTAGGTAAAGCCTTCCTTTACAATGTACCAGCCCTGAGAATGAAGAGATGAAGAAAATGCTACCCAAGTCTTCAAGGAGCTCTAAGTCTAGTAAGCAGACAAGTCCATAAGCAGACAATTCCTTGAGAAAGCACAATGTTACCGATGACATAGATCATAGCACAGAGTAAGGACAATTTTGGTAAACCATAATTGTTGGAAAGAACCAAGGAATTCCCCAGCTGGGATCAGGGACAGCACCTTCTGTAGCCTTACAGTGGATTCTGTGGGATAGAGACGAATTGAACTTGTGGGAAAGGGGAAAACAGATTTATTCATTTGGGTATTTGGTTTTCCCTTCTGTCAGGTTGCCAGAATCATTACTTTCATGAATAATTTGCTGTCCTAATACAACTGTGCTTTCTGAATAGCTCACTAGAGAATGACAAATCTAACTTCCAAGGAAGAATCTTCATGAAAACAAACAAAAAAAAATGAGCTGAACCAATTACATCATGTCAGCATGCAAATACAGAACCTAGAACAATAAACTTATAATGATTGAAAGCAACGATTATATATTATGTTCATATTACGGAAACACAGTCAAAGTAGTTTAGTCCCCACAATGCCAACAGGTACTTTATTACAAAAAAACACCTAGGTTCTTCAAAAGTTTCCCAAAGTCAACTACAGAAACAAGAACAGAACCCCATTTTTATTAACACATATAATAAACCTAGGGAATACTAAAGGGTGAACTTGATCTCAAAACCGTTTATGTCTCTTCCTTTCTTCCTCCCACTTTCTGAGGACATAGGAGAAGTTATGGCAATAGGCGTGTTTAGGAGGACGTGGCTATGTATGGACTTGAGGAACCCGCCTGTCTTTTCTAAAGGCATCTGAAGACACCAGCATTTTCCTGAGCTGGGAGAATGAGAAACAAGAGGAATTATGAATGTAGCTAGGAGGAGAAAGAGTAGTATTGATAGAGGCTGGCAATAAATCAGATTTCTCAAGCTTATAAAATGTCTCAGCAATAATGATCCTTGGAATTCAGCCACAAGTCACCCTATTGTCCTAATTAGAGCATATACACTGCTGCTAAGTGATTCTCCCTAGCCAATATGGGGTCTCTGGTAGACAATATCTCAGCCTCTCCAATTATTGCTTCTCTACTCCTTAACCACAAGTTTCTTCCATTTAATACAGAACGCCCTACCTTCCACTATAAGATAAAGGTCAGAGTCAAAACCAAAGAGTTTCACAAAAACAATAACCACCTTGTTCCCCACAACCTCTCTCTGCCTCATCACCTCCCCAAAGGGAAAAAAAAATGCAAGAAGGGATCTTTGTTTGAATGGAAATTGGTTAAACTTTTTTTTTCAGTTTCCACACTACTTTTTTTCTCTTGGTTTCTAGTGACCTTTCAGATACCGAATAATTAAATGCAGAAGCTGCCATAATTGAAAAATCTAAATTTAAAAGTGATACAACAATTCTGCCATCTCTTATTTATGGGGCAACTGAGACTCTAAAATTTCAGAGATTCCCTGCCTCTTACCAGCATTGCCATACCTTTCCAGGGATGCCGATGTTTTTTAAGTGATGAAAGAACTATGACTCACAGCTCAGAAATGTATCATGAGAATTTTGTTTTATGTCTAGAAACCTAGTAAGGGATGTTCAGGAAATATGTTCAGCTATAGATAGAGTTATCTATAACTGAAATATGTTGGAGATGCATGAGAAATTTCTCAAATTATAAAAACACACACAATCAGATTTCACTGCCTAGATCCCTAAACTCTCCAGCCTTCTGAAATATGTTTTTTAACTACCCAAATAAAATGGCCCAAGTCCAGTTCTCAAACCACCAAGTTCCAAACTGAGGGAATTCCTTGGTCATAAGACAGAAAAATGGAGTGATGTCTACTCTCCCTCCATCAGTTCATTCTGCAGCCTGACTCTCCATGACTACCTGGCTCTCACTCTTGGGACTGTTCTCCCCTTCCAACACTGCCTTTCCCACCCTGAATGCCAACCTTCTTTTTATGCCCTAAAGCACTTTGTTGTGTATATAATTAAATTTTAATGAAATTTTAGGAAGAAGTATAGTGGAGCTGAGATATTTATAGAGATGTTAGTTACTGCTATCCTAAAGATCCTTGACCACCTCCACCACAGACAAGGCCTTACATGCCAACAATTTCCTCAGGCCTCATGTTGGATGTCCCTTCCATGTATGTCCTCCCTTTTGTTTTTTCTGAACCTGTGAGAGAGGCTGCCCATGTATATTAGTCTCCATACTTTACTACACAGGGTAATTAACTTCTCCCTTTGTTTTCCCCTCTCTCACCAGGTTACTCATCAAAAACACCAATTAAGGTGATTTTTCTCAGCAAAACACTCTTTACTTAAGACAGATTTATACTATGCCTGTGGAAGGTAGAAATGGAGGTAGTTGGTTTTTGTTTTAAATAACATTCTTTTTCTTTTCACTACGAACACACACACACACACACACACACACACACACACAAGCACTAAAATATTCTGGAAGAATATGTACTCAATTATTAAAGAGATTATCCCTGATGGCTGTAATTTAGCAAAGTTGGGAGATTTGCCTGTGTGTGTGTATGTGTGTGTGTTATAAGACACTTTTTAGTTCCCAAGTCCTACTTTTCAATAAAAAATTAAAAAGTAAAAACATTGTTAGTGGAGACAGAAATTTGGGGATAATCCTTGATGGCTCTCCTTCCTCACATCCTCTCCATTTGCAAGTTCTACCTTCAGGATGTCATATGCCTACCCACTTCTCTCTTTCTTTACTATCACTGACCCCATTCATGAGCCACTACTTTTAACTTGAGTACCACAATAGCCTCCTAACATGCCTCCATGCTTTCATTTTGACAATTCATCCTTTATACAGCAATGCTAGAATTGTGTTATGAACACTTCCCTGATTAATATTCTTTGAAAGCTTCAGAAGGACTTAAGCCCTGCAGGACTTGACCCTGGCCTTTCTCTCCATCCTCCTTCTTGTTCACAGCACTCTCAGTACGCCAGTCTGGAGCACACCAAATTCACCCCTGCCCCAAGAGTTCAGCCCCTGTTTATCTCTTGCCATGGGGCTGGTTTCTTCATATTTTACATGTCAATGACACAACCACAGAAGGCTTTCTCCGAGCATACTACCTGACATAGATCACAGCATCATTCTCCAGTGGAGATGCTGGCAACAATACAACTGCTTGATTACTCATTTATCTGTGCTTCAAATGGAGTGTGAGTTCCACAGGACAGAGACCACATTTGTTTGTCCTCTCTTGCATCCTCTAAAAATTAATACGATATGTGACTAATAGAATGTAGGCATGAATAAATGAAGAAATGGAGCACCTTCTTTTTGGAAAGTGTTGTGCTGGGAAATTTATATATAGGTGTAAAAACCTGGCTTGTGTCTTCTAGGATCTTACCTTCAAAAGAGGAATAAGACATGAATAAATGATGACAATATGTTACAAAAATTCAGGAGAGGAAGATATGCTAGTTAAGGTAACCAAGAGCTTTGCAGATGAGTGTGTATTTGAGATGCACGCTGATGGATTAAGGATCAAAATTGCAATAGTCCAGGTAGAATTAGCAAAGACATGAACATATAAAGTACAAAACACAGCTGGGGGTGAAGGAGGGTGGTGGATTAAGCAATTTTCCTAGACGAGTTCTGTATAGTCTGACTTAAGTAGGGAAAGACAAGTTGGGACCAAATTTTCAAAGACTGTGAAAATCAGAATAAGAAGATGAAACATTTGGTTTTTAAAGAGAATATTAACATGATCACAGTAAATTTAAGCAAGGGGAATTTTGTTGTGGCCTATAAGAGCAACTGGAAGGTGTTTTAGTTTGCTAGGGCTGCCCTAATAAAATACCACAGACTGGGTAACTTAAATGGTAGGAATTAATTTTCTCCTAGTCTTGAGGCTGAAAGTCCAAGACCAAGATGTCAGTAGGTTTGGTTTCTTCTGAGGGCTTTTTCCTTGGCTTGCAGATGCTAGCTTTCCTGCTATGTGCTCACATGGTCTTCTCTGTGCATACCTGGGTCTGGTATCTCACTCTGTGTCCTCATCTCCTACTCTTATTAGAACACCAGTCACAGTGGATTAGGGCTCACCTTAATGGCCTCATTTAACTTGACTGCCCTATCCCTAAATGCAATCTTATTCTGAGGTACTGAGGCTTAGGGCTTCAACATATGAATTTTGAGAGGAAGAAATTCGGCCCCTGGCAGAAGGTGAGAGAGGAGAGGGGATGATTTTTGAAGTTGAATGTCAAGATCTCCCATCTTCCCTTCCTGAGTATCATGAGATCCCCTCTTTAGCTCTGTGAGTCATAAAGAAATGCTGGAGGGGTCTTTGATGTATTCAATTAGAAAATAAACCTTGTAATTTTAATGTAAAAAAAATGAGTATGATGGTTTCTGGTTAGTGTATATTCTCTTTCCTCCTTCCTATAATACCATGAAATTCTTATAAAAGTCAAAGTCAGGTTTTTGTATTCTGAATCTTTAATCTATAAAGACTGTGGGGAAAAAGTTTTTCATGGCTTTAGTGTCAGGAATGAATACTTTTCTCCTCTACCACAAGTTGTTACCTGATGAATCCTAAAAATTTTGTGAACAATTATATTCACTTTGTGAACAATTACATCAGTTCCTAAACAGGCCCATCTCCAATAAGTGTAGTAAATTCTAAGATAGATTTTCTGCTCTAGTTTCACCCCGAACCCATCTAATGTCCCCCACATTTATTTTCCCAATGCCTTATTTTTCCTATTCATTTACTTTCTTTTTAGCTTTGTGAGCCTTCATAAATCCTCTTTGTAACAAGGTAGAATTTTTTAAAGTATTGACTTAATAATTACATGGTTAAAGTCCTGCATATCACAGTTCCCACTAGATACATGCTCATGACCAAAAAAAAAAAAAAAAAAAGGAAAGTAAATTACAGAAAGAAAGTGGGAGGGGAGGAAAGGAGAAGTTCTCCTGTTCCAGCCTCCTCCCAACTCTACTCACACACTGAATCATCCTCTCTCTTTGTTGTTCCTCATTATCAACCCCATCCTCATCTCCCTGAACTCCTTTAGCTAAGAGGTGTTACCCATGTGATATTCCAGTGAAAACCATGAAGCCATCGGCTCACATTCTGACCGCACCTTACCTTTGGACACATGCTGTCTAATGTTGAAGTCTATTTTGTGTGCATATATCTTGTCTTCCTGAGTAGATCATCAATTTGAAGGGAAAATTCATATCTTTTGATTCTCTGAAAACCCACAGGTGTGTCACAATGCTAGGAACATAGTGGTTCATCATTAAATACTTATATCACTGAATTCCTTAATTCAGAGCCTCTAAAAAGAGTAGAAAAGTTAGAAATAAAAATAGCAAAAGCTAAAAGGAAGGTGCAGATTCAAGAAATACTCTCAGTTGTACCTGTGTGGGAGCTTCTTGAGACCAGGAAAGACCACATGGGGACTGACCACAGGACATTTAAAAGAGAGAAAGTCAATAGGAGGGAGGAAGGAATGCTCACAGTGTTCTTTGGAGGAATATTCAGACTCATGGAAAAGAGTTAGTCTAACAAGCAAAAGAGTGTAGGCTATAAAGGTAGAGAGAACCTAGAGGAAAAGAAAGGAGGATAAAAAGAGAACTGGCATTTGCTGAGCACCAGTGCCATCCAATGTGCTGAATGCTTAATATGACTTAATCTTCTCAGTAAAACTGTGAGCTAGGTACACAAAGAAACAGGCTGCTGGATGCTAACAATTTCCTTAAAGTCACAAAGCTCTTAAGTCACAACGCTGAGTGCTGAGGCCCAATCTCTCTGGCATTAAAACCCAAGCTCATGATTCAGTACCGCACACTGGGTGTCAAACCTGGGGTTTCAGTGATGTAAATGGTAGGAGATACATCAAGAGAGAATGATCTTAGAAGAATGAAATGAAGTGCAAGGTAGAGGTTTCCAAAGGAAAGATGGCAAGCACCAGACCTAAACAAGGGCATACATGCCCCACCAGGATGGGGCTATCTCTTAAATGGCACCAAACACTCGCGGGCAGTCCACTTTATTCCACAAAATTTGATAATTCACATAATCTCCCTTCTGGCTCCTGTGATCATTCTCTTTAAGTTCCCATAGTTAAGAGAATTTAACTTTTAAGTTTCCCTGTTTTCCCCTTTCCTAACATTGTAATTGAGCACTCCCAGGAAACCAAGAATACTGTTTATTGGCATGACATAACATATCTCATTTTTAAACTATGGTCCCTTCAGAGAATGAAAAGACGAGCCACAGATAGGAAGAAAGTATTTGCAAAACAAATATCTGGTAAAGGAATTGTATCCAAAATATACCAAAAACTCTTGAAATATCAAGTTAAAAAGCAAACAACCCAATTTAAAAATGGGGAAAAGATGTAAACATATAGTAAAGATGGTATATAGATGGCAGATAAATACACGGAAAGATCTTCAACATCATATGTCATTAGGGAATTGCAAATTAAAACAAGATACCACCATACACCAATTGGAATGGCAAAAATCCAAAACCAAAATACAGACATTAAATGCTGGTAAGGGTGTGGAGCAACAGGAACTCTAATTTATGGCCTGTGGGAATGAAAAATTGTACAGCTGCTTTGGAAGACAGTTTGAAAATTTCTTACAAAGCGAAGCATGGTCTTACCATACAACTGCAATCCAGCAATTGCACTCCTTGGTAGCTGTGTTTTACGTCTGAAACAAATCTTAAAGCTATTTGTCACTAGGAAATGTTGCTTACAATGAATATATCTTCTTTCTCATGTGTAGTGACTCTACTAATAACAACTTTTGTCTAAAATTTAATTTCAGGTTTTCAAAGAACAAAATGACATTTTGTTTCATAATTGTGAGAATAAAGGGATGTTTCTCTCTAAAGAGGTTAAAAGAGAAAGAGAAATCTCTCTTTTGAAAATCTTCATCTCCTTTCATCCTTATCCATCAAATCTTTTATTCAGGTTCAGGATTATCTTTGCTGTACCAAGACCTAAAGAAAAATGAGAAAGTGGCTAGAGATTACATACCTTCAACTAGAAATGCAGTCAATTTGAGACGAATTCCACTCCACCCTCCCACAAGACACATAGAAAAAAAAATAACTGTAAAGTCCACGCTGGAGTATGATCATTTGCTTGTTATGACTTTATGTGGTTTCATAAAAGGAGAGGGACAGTCATTATGTCACCGTGTTTGCAAAAATGGGAAAGAAAGAAGAGGAAGCAATAGAACTCCTGGAAAGCTACAGACCCAGTGCAGAGTGAAACCCAGTGGGGTATTGGGACGTTGGGGAAATTCCTCCAAGTCTGGAAAGCAAAAAACTGAGACACTGGATTTCAAGTTTAGAGTACATTCAAATTAGAAGTTTAAATTAAAAGTAGAAAAGAATACAGGTACAGGAGTGAATATTTGAGTTCAAGTGCCCTCTTTTTGGCAGATTCACTTCTTTGGACAGTTTTTCACTAATGATAGGTGTTTACTTCCTGATTCATGGTGGTGCTCTCAGTAGTGTGCCAGGATCGGGGGATTACGATTCGGCATTCCAGTGAGAGTTTAAGCTTTGTGAGACCTTTTGAACTGAGACTGTCGAGCCCTTCTTCTATAGTTCCAGTCCATTCAGCAGGCCCCGGTGAGAACATCAATTCCTTTATGGAACCAAGAAACTAACTAGGCAAAATATCGATTCCCCTACCCTAAGAATCATGATCCCCTGCTTTGTTCCTGAGAAAAGGGGTAGCTAGAAAACAGCTGGCCCTTTCCAACCTTCCAGAAACACCCTTGACACAGCTCCTGCATCCCCATGAGCTACCCGGTCTATACACTCCTACCCAGGTCTCTGAATATACAAGACTTTCCCATTTTTCTTGGGTCTCTGCCTTCTCCAGGGAACCCTATGCTGAGCTCTAACTAACTGACTGGGAACTACTGGATATCTAGATATTGCTATCTAGATATTGCTAGTCATCTCTTCTGAATTTTCCATGTTCATTTTGGAATAAGGAGGTGTGAAGTAATACATATAAGGAAATACAAATTGCTCAATAAACAGTAAGCGGCAAATTAGAGAAGGTACAATAGAGGACACAAAGACTAAAACGAAAATAATTTAAACTGGTAGTTCTCAAAATGGGAAAGCATCAAAATCATACAGAATGCATCTCCAAAATAAATACGTCCAGACGGCACCCAGATCCAGTGAATAAAAATGTCAGGGAGTGGAAAAAAGAGTACGATTTTTACAAAGCTCCGTAAGTGATTTCGATTCTCAACCCTATCTAAAGTCACCAGCTGAATGCAGATAGAATTTGTAACTGAGCCTGAGCATTTATTTTCGTGGCTATTTTCCTTCTGTTCATTTTGAAATAAAAAGTGTGCAGTGATCAGGTATAAGGAAACAAAAATTATCCAATGAATATTAAGCAATGAGTTAAATTAAAATTAGAATGTGATTCCTATTTTTCATTGACTACATTTTCTTCTTGGACATGTAAAACAATTCTTTTAAAACTCCTTTTTAGTTTAAGAAAACAGAATACATGAAGTTTCACAGAAAGAAATCAATGAACCCGAACACATAGAGAAGAGAATTTTCAAGTTAATTCTGTGGTTAATCTGCAGTCACTTCCTTTTTTTTTTTTTTTTTTAATTTTACTTTAAGTTCCAGGATACATGTGCAGAACATGCAGATTTGTTACACAGGTATACACTGTTTTAATTTTTATTGCTCTAATGTTTTTGGCATTCACAAGTACAAAACAATCAACAATCTTTTTTTTAGGTTGTCAGCCTAATTATTTATAATTACATATATGGAAAATAGATGTAGAATAGAAGATTGGGGAGATTGAACTAAAACTGGATTGATCCCCTAGAAGTTTTATTTTGTCATTTGGCTTTTTGTCCTAAAAGTAAAATGTCTCCAAAAATTAGCTAGTAAATAGTTCATTTTAGTTGTGTACTTATTCACAACCATTTACCGCAAGTGAACTTTAGAAGAAAGCCACCATGTTTATGTGAGGAGTTAGGATGGGGATAGGTCACATTGGCACATCTATGAGGGGCAGCCCCCAAGGATGCTTTAATACTCTACTAAACATTCTAAAAATCCCATAGGGCTTTGACCTCCCATATAACCTAATCCTAGTCAGAGGTGAGTTTACTGGCATCACCCAGCAGAAAAAGGCAGGTTCTGTGTGGGAGTAGAGATAATTAACAAGTAAAGTATGACTGGAGACTTGGGGGGCTGAGTAGTCAAAGCTGTGGTTTAAGTAACAATTTCAGTTTTGAGTAGTTGGGGCCCCTCTGATGGCTAGGAAAGCGATATTTGATAGAGAGCCAGACACTAGCTCTAAAGACCTCCCACCAGAAACTTCAGATCACCTAGAAGCAGGAAATGCTTGGTAGAACCGTTGGCAGCTCAGGATCTCTGGCCAATTTCTTAAAGGCCACATTTTAGAGTTGGAGTTGGGCTTCTCTATCATTTTCTAGTTCTCAACCTTAGTTTTCTTTTCCCCCAAGTTTAATTAAGGTAATAAGAAAAATGGTTTTGTTTATGTGGCTTCTGTCACTTAGTTCTTGGGGTACATTAAATTTTTAATTTACCAATATAAATAACTCACCTGTCAAACTTTTATTCATTCTCCAAGACCCTGTTTAGATTTCACCTACAGTATAAAGACTCACCTAATTACCCTTGGTAGTTAAGCACTCATGCTTTGTGCTGCCATTAAATTTTACAGATATCCTTATTACAGAAAAAAATATTACATTGTAACTTATGACATGTCTATCTCCTTCGGGCAAAAACCATGTTTTATTCATATCCTATCTCTGTTCTTTGGTTCTAACCTCAATTAACATTCTTGGGAAAAATAAAATAATGAGAGAAAAGAAGGAAGAAAGGAAGAGGAAAAGAAAAAACAATAAAACCTTCTTTATTTAAACAATTATTCCTAGAGGACAAGAATTCAGTTCATCCTTTGCTCACATGAAGTGATTGGAATGAACAAAAACAGACTTGCAGACAATGTGTTGAAAGAGTAGGTCAACTTTTCTTTCTACGAGGCCATCTCTCAAAAGCAGCTTATGTCTCGGAAGTGTTTCAGATCACTGTGTCTGGAAACTCTGTAGTTCCTTTCCCAGGAAAAAGACCAGGATGTCTGTTTGGCTTAAAAGCCCTTAAGAATAGCTTAAGTTATACATCCCAGTCCTCCAAATGAGTGGAAGTGCAAGGTTCTACATATAGCACCTGCTCAATAAATACTTAGCAAAGTTACACAGGAATTTCTTGAAGAAATAGACAATTCATCTGAAATGAATTCTATTTTCACTGGAGGAAAACTAAAGTCTGCACCAACTGCTCCAGAATGACCAAAGAGAGCAAGCTTAGGCTCAGCTTTCCAAGTTAGAACTGATGGCTAGTGCTCTTCCTGGGGCGGGGGGAAATGAATTCATAGTGAATAAATAGCTGGTTTTAGAAAAACTGAAAAAAAAATTTTGAAAAGGAGACTATAGAGGCACAATCTGCGAAAGTTACTTTACTATAAATATGGATTTGCGCCTGCCCTTTTTTTTTTTTGACGGAGTCTCGCTCTGTCCCCCAGGCTGGAGTGCAGTGGCATGATCTCAGCTCACTGCAAGCTCTGCCTTCCCGGTTCACGCCATTCTCCTGTCTCAGCCTTCCGAGTAGCTGGGACTACAGGCGCCGGCCACCACACCTGGCTAATTTTTTTTTTTGTATTTTTAGTAGAGACAGAGTTTCACCATGTTAGCCAGGATGGTCTCGATCTCCTGACCTCATGATCCACCCACCTCAGCCTCCCGAAGTGCTGGGATTACAGGCATGAGCCACCGCACCTGGCCGTGCCTGCCCTTTTAAAAGACAATTGGATAGAAGTTCGGAAACGTAGAATTCTAATTCTGCTGTTGACAATTAATAGATAGATGACTTTAACAAGTCATTTTTCATTTTCTGTGCCTCAGTTTCCTTGTCTCTTCAAGACGTATAACAATCCCTGATACACCTCGGAGTTGTGGTAATTCCAAACAGTTATGTGATCAAATTCTCAGCAGTTTAAACTCCTCAGAATCCTCTAACAGCGGCTCTTTGTGTCTAGACAATGAGAAAAGAAATGTTTGTGAAATAAGTGGAATGGAACAGGAAGAATGAATTTTCTGGCTTAATTTTCTGATTTCAAAGAAACTTATTCTTTCAGGAGGATGTTTTGATCAATAAGATGAAAAGTATTCAGTAACATCCAATAGCTTTTCAAAGCTCATGTCATTGTGAGATCTTTTTGTTGTTGTTACTGATTTTATTGACCATATAGTTTAAAGAGATTTTCCTTATAATACATTTTGATATTTCACATTGTATTTCTTTACTTTCCATATTTCGTAATGAGATATAGATGGCAGGAATGAGGTAAATAGAAGAAATATCCCATCTGATAAATCACTTTCAGTCCTCATTTTCTCTCAACTATTAAATGAAGTCAATAAATTGTGAAACAGGGCATGAGAGTTAAAGCATCACAGCTGCAGATCTAAGAATCCAAGTACCAGACATGTGGGATATCAAAGGGACAAACAACACTTTAATTCAACAAGAAGTTCTTCAATAATGTTAGCATAATAACTTTTCTTGAATATTTACCAAGTACAAATTGCTCAATTCAAATTTAACCTGATTGTAAAACAAGAAATTATAGTCAGCTGGAAGGCTGACTAGCTGAACATGAACCAATGGATGACAGAAAGAAACTCTCCAATAAAGCAATTAAAATGACAGAGAGATGAGAAAATAATTGTGACTTTCTGGAAAGGCGTGAATTTTCTTTCCTCCGGGAAGGTTAGGTAGACAATTGCTATCGTAAAATCCAAGTTCTTGCAGAAGACAATATTAAAGAAATGGCTGTCCATGTAGTCCAGAAGAGCAGCCAGGTCCTGTGGTAGAACCCTATGGGTGATTGCTCCACAGAATTTCGCTAGTGTGGTTGGGAAGAGGAATAAAGTGTATGGCTGTAGAATGAGGTGAGTGGGTTTTTCTGCACAAAGATAACCCAAGAATCATCTTTGTGATTGGTAATCTGCACCGTGTTTGGGATCTCTTGCCCCAATTTTCAGATATTTGCATAAGTGCTCGGAAGAAGAAATATGTCACTTACTAATAGTAAAAGGACACACAGCACTTATATAAATAGAGATAACATGAGTGCAAAAGTGAATAAAGCAAAAATTTCCCCTTCAAGAAGTTCACAGTCTAAAATTGGGGCTCTTAACCTGTAGCCTATAAATAAAATTCAAAGAAATCCATTAAAATGAGTAGAAAAAAATATATGACTTTATTTTCACTAACTGCAAACTGAAACTTGGAATATTCTTTAATTATGAATGTAGGCATTAAACTAACCACAGCTGTATAAGCAGTAATTGTGACCTTGTCACTGGTTGAAATTACAGATATCGTAATATTTCTAACACTCATTGCAGATATTGTAAGCTACAGAGCTTGTGGATAACCAAGATGTATTTATGCTCATCACTACTGAAGTTACGTTAATAATTAGACCCACCAGTTAATGTTATTTAATGCTTTAATAAGGAAGCACATATATTGCAATAGCATATATTTGGGATTTTTTACTATTTTGATAACCATATTTCAGTAGAATTGGTTTCCTTGGTAATCCCATGCACTTTGCTTTATACATTTTAAAATATTATTCTGAGAAAAGGTTCATAGGCTTCACCCTATGGCCAAGGGGATTTACATAACAGAAGATTAAGAAACCCCATTCTCCAGAAAACTAAATGCTGCATAATCTCACTTATAAATAGGAGCTAAATGATGAGAACACACAGACACATCGAGTGGAACAACACACACTGGGGCCTATCGGAGAGTAGAGGTTTGGACAAGGGAGAGGATCAGGAAAAATAACTAAAGGGTACTAGGCTTAATACTTGGGTGATGAAATAATCTATACAACAAACTCCCATGACACAAGTTTACCTATATAATGAACCTTCACATGTACCCCTGAACTTAAAAGTTTAAAAAATATATTGTATATATGCATAGACATGTCCTTAAAATATTTTTTTAAAGAACCTTCATTCTCTTCTCTGAGAATCAGACAAGTACACAGCTCTTGCACCAGCCTGACGGAAGTGTGGTGACTGTCTTTTGATTGAAGTCTTGTCTTCTAGATTTCTAGTTGCTTCTCTGAGCTACTCTAGAAACTTTTTTTTTTTAAAGTAAAGCACTTTAATTGCAGGGAAAAAAAAAATGCCAGAATTTAGAGGTGAAACAATACAGGGGCCAAGACCAAAAAATTTTATTTGGACATTCAGAGGCTAGAAAGCCACTGTCCCGTTCCCCAGAGCCTCTGAGAAGTTGACTGAGAACCAATTAAAGAATGGCATCTATTCCTCCTCATCCTACCATCACCTCAGTCAGTCTGTGACCTGGTAACAGTGACTCCTCTCCTCACATCCAGTCCTCCCTGGCTGGAGCTCCTCAGGCCCGGCAGGCAGCTTACAGCTTCTCTGGCTTTGTGATTCCTTGCCCAAGAACGTACCCAAGGAGACCCTGTGGTGTAGGTGTGGGCCAGAAGCGCAGCCACCTGACAGAGCTCTCCTGGGAAAATGCCTTTCCAAGTAGCCTCTCAGGGTATGCAAAACTCTCTCCTAACACCCCAGTGTGTTCTATGTATTGGTGACTCCTCTTTTGGAGATTGTGAAGGCTCAAATCAGGTCCATATATTTTTCTCCTTAAAGGGATTACCGAAGGCAAAGGCAACACAATTTCTGCCTGGTTTTCCAGGTAGGACTTCATCTTACTGCAGAATAGTAAGCAGCAGCAGCCCTTGGCAGAAACCAAGCAGGGCAATAGATTTCACCCTTTCCCAGTCCTCTCTTGGTCAGGACTTCAGGCCCATCTTGGCCATCATCTCTTCATACACCATCTACGCCATTGCTGCCATTAGAGTTCTGCAGAGGGCTCGGGGGATGCCACCTTGGAAGAAGCCACGTAGTCCATAGTCTTTGAAAGTAAGTGTCACTGCTTGGCCAATCCATTGAAACTTCAGTGGGTAAAGCTGCATATGAGTTTTGATAACATCCGCAGGTTGAGTTACCAGTGAGGCGAGAATACCAGCAAATATCCCACAGCTGAAATTTGTAATAGGAATAAAGGTTGCATCCACCTGGTCATGGGGCACTATGTTTTTGGTCTGGTTGTAAAACATCAGGTAGTTTCCTGAAAAGGGCATATCTCGAAGGAGAGTTGCTGTCAGGCCACTGAAGAGGCCCCGGTGCCCCTCACTGCGATAGATGCTCCTCACGGCAGCGTAGATACTCTCATAGCCATATTTCCCACTCTCATAGCACATCTTGATTACAGTGATGGGTAACATACAGACCCCTGCAACAGAGAGAGAGCCCACCCCCAGCATGATTGACTCCAGGGCGGTTGGGGGATGGCCTCGCAAGAAATACCGCTTCAAAGACTAGAGAGTGCCAAAGTAGATTCCAACGCCAGGGACACATCTCACAACGGAAGGGGACATCCCTTTCCAAAGGCCTAAAAGACTCTCCGTGTGAACCACCTTCAAGAGTACAGCCAACATCCCAACACGTCTAGACCCATGATCTGAGGGCTGGAGGGTTTGCAGGCGTGTTTTAAGGAGATCCAGAGGTTGGAAAAGGAGGGTAGAGCAGGTTCCACTGATGGAGCCACACAGGAAAGCCTTGATCACCAGATGTAACTGGTGGTGCCTCATGTTTTCTTCATACCATAAGCGTTTCCACTGTGTCTCTGACATCTTGGGGTTGCAGCAGTGACGAATGTGAGTTCTGAATCATTGGAGATGAGGCCCGCGAGTGCTCTGGGCCCAGGGTGCCGTCGACGGGTGCTTGGGCCCAGCCCTGGAGGCCTCGAAGAAGGTGAGGGGATGGCTTACTTTAAGCCAAGGGCTCTCTGACCTCTGCGCCTGTAAGCATGCAGCCGCCCGGGTTCAGATCCTGCTAACACAGGGGCTGCAGGCGCAGAACAATTCCGCCACAGGAATTACGCGCCGCTCTTCACCCGCGCGGCAGACTCCGCGGCTCTGCTCTCCTGCCCATCCTGCCCCGCCGCGGGCTTCAGCACCGGAGGAGATGAGGTTCTGTGTCTAGAACCTTTCAATAAGTCCTTTTCCTGCTTATATAATCTAGAGCTTATACCTATTAATTGCAACCAAGACTCTCAGCTAGAACAATATTTAATCAGTACTTGTATGTTATGATTTTAATAAATATATTTTATTAAGAAGTACAAATAGCTATCACATACTAAATTTCATAAATATTAGCAGTTTAGTAAGTCTCCCTACTGAATCTATTCCATCCTAATAGATGCTGCCACCTACTTTATAGCAACTACCAAATGACAGGCCTAGTACCTAACAAAAGTTAAAAGGGGGACTTGCCTTGCCTTGAAAATTCAGCCCCCTGTAATCCCAGCCCTTTGGGAGGCCAAGGCAGGCAGATGGCTTGAGTCCAGGAGTTCACAGACCAGCCTGGGCAACATGATGAAACTCCGTCTCTACAAAAAATACAAAAATTAGCCGGGCTTGGTGGTGCATACTTGTAGTTCCAACTACTCAGGAGGCTGAGGTGTGAAGATCGCTTGAGCCTGGGAGGCAGAGGTTGCAGTGAGCTGTGATCACTCTAGCCTGGGCAACAGAGCAAGACGCCATCTCAAAAAAAAGAAGGAAGGAAGGAAGGAAGGAAGGAAGGAAAGAAAGAAAGAAAGAAAGAAAGAAAGAAAGAAAGAAAGAAAGAAAGAAAGAAAGAGAAAATAGAAAAGGAAATTCAGTCCCGTGAAGTAATAGCAATTTTTATATACTTGTGAAATATAAACTGTCTTGAATATCTCACTAATTATTTAATACATGCTGCTTCACTACTGGGCTTTTCTTATTCTCTCCAATTGCCCAAATGACTTACCAAGGCAATAGGTAGTGATGATGGCTCAGTGATATAGAATTTGACAATAATTCTATTCGCGCTTTCTTGGACCCAGAGGGATTTAATTATTGAGGAAAGAAAGACAGTCTCCTTGATTGGAGGACAGCGGCACTCCTATGATTTGGATACCCAAGAGCAAAGTTAAATGGAGATTCTAGGGCAGACATGCAAGTGGGCTTGATCTCACTTATCTACTGTGATCTGACAGCAGTGGCTGTCAGGAGCATGGTGACGGGAAGTATCTTGAGGCTACATCCTGGCTAAGCAAGAAAAACATAAGACAATTAACAATGCTTGCAAGGATGCAGAAGTGGTGACAAGAGCCCATATTGGCTCTACATGTTATCATGAAAAAATTAACCAAATAAGACCACGAAGGAGAGTTAGATTACAAGAAACTCCTTATTCTGTATAGTGGCTATGTACAGCCTTAATTTTGATTCTCAATAGACCTGCTGAGATTTCTTAGGGCCTGGATGAATAGTCCAATATCACAAGCCATTAACATACATGAAAATTAAAGATGTAATACTAGCAAGTGATCCTCTTGGAAATGTCCCCATCAGGTTCCAGCTGACCAAATGTAAACTTATTTAAGTATGTTTGTAGATCTTGAGCTCTTAGCCACAAACATCACTTTAAATGATGAGTAAAAATAGATAAGTACTTCAAACATTGGCAAACACTCAAAGATTCAAAACCAAATGTTTCTTCCTAGTTTACCTTGTTTAAAAAGATGACACAAACTACTCCTAAAAACTAGTGACTGCCTACATTGGTAAACATTCTGGTCCTGGTGGCCTCTGGTGTTTCTTCCTTCTAGTCATGTTGTCCTTTTAAGCAAGGGTCACTCTTACTCCTCAGAGGAAAGTCAACATGACTCACTTTCAGAAACTGAAAGTACACCATGTCCACATAAGCAGTGCTGCTTACTGTATAACCGCAAAACCACATCAGAATAAGTCAGCTGCTCAGGAAGGAGAAGAAGGAGTGAGCTGAACAAACTCACCCCCATTCCAGATGGGGAGACTTTAAGAGTAGCCACAGGCTTCTTTGTTAAGCAGAGACTTAGATCAGAGGAGAAATGTCAGTGGCAGGCAGTGCAAGCAGGGTCCCTGGCTTCTGGTTACTGAATACATTGAAACAAGAGCCCACTCAAGGCCCCACTGTAAAGCCCTGAGGTTTTGGCTTCATCATCTCTTTCCTTTCCTTTGGTACATTCTTTCCCTAGTTTTCATCTCTCTCTGAACGTCAGGTGCTCTCTTGCCAAACCTCGTGTTAAGTGATTTTGGACAGGGTTTAAAGAAGTGGATCTTTTCTCTGAGTTAGATATTGTTAGGATCCCATGACTGGGTATCTTAATAATTCTTACCTAGAAGGTGTGAAGAATAAAACGAGACTGACTAAAGCATTCCTTGGTAAAGCAGCAGCAATCTCTTATATCAATAAGGATAGGGGCACACTGGTCATTTTTGTGGTCACTTTTAGACAACGCTCTTGGTTTCATCTGTGCTCAGACAGGATTATAGAGTGGATTTTATTTCTTTCTCTATTGTGATCACAGAGTGCCTTTTCTGATGTTGGCATTCTATGAAATTGTTTCTACTCAACAGGAGAACACTGGCCTAGCCATGAGTGCAGCACTAGCTTTAGCAACACCAAGGTCTAGCCTGTTCTCCATTCTTTCCTTGGGACAATCCACTCTTCCAAGTGACATAAACTAATCAGAAGAATTAATATCAGTTAACAAGAGTTAAGGGGCTGGGGAGGGGGGGTGTTCCGTACTTGCATTATAATAGTGACCTTTTAGAGAAAAGGCTGACCCCAGATAAACCATAATAGAGAAACTGGGTGGAAGAAAATAGATTCAGGAATTCTCCAATTAAACCATATAGGCAACCAGCTCCTCTGCCACCATATTAGCTGATCCTACATTTCATACCCACAGTTGAACTTCCAGGTAATCAACTAAATGAGGTCCATTCATGTTACCCTACTGTGCAGGCTTTTGGGATGGTTTGCCAACCACACTTCTAGAAGTCTCTCCTTTCATACAGAATCTCCTCTCATCTGGCAAGCTAGTCTCTTCTTGTTTTTCTGGTTTCTAAATGAATTCATATTGGAGCTTAACTTGCCAACCCTTATGAGTTGCTTTCAGAATGATCGCAACTGTTCTGAACAAGCCACCCTTTCTTGCTTGACTTCCCACTACTTTGGAGAGTGATTGTGAATCCTTGTGACTTCTCTTCACAGTACTCTTCTGCCACCTGGTGAAAGTTCGTAACACAACAAGACACTAGAGTTGCCATTCACTTTCAACTTCTACACACCCTGACACCAACACTAAGAAAACAGACACACTCACAGATGTCAGTCCATAAACACCTTGTAGGCATCTGATGCTCCCAGAAGAGGCCTGTCCACTAGGATTTCTGGGATGACCCCTCACCCATCTCTCCTTCTTCCGCCTCTCTGAAGGAAATAGCTGATTGAGAAGGATCCAGTTTTTTGCTAAGAGTTCACATTGAGACTGGAAAGGAAATGAGAATAAAAAGTATCTGGACTTCTGAAGGGGCCACAGTCAGCTCTGTGGGATAAGTGAAGCAGGAATTCCTGAGGACATCTTGCTGGTTCTCACCATCTTGTCTATAGTTCGTCCTAACAAATAAATCCGATGTCAACATTTATATCAAAGAAACAAGAAATAAATACCTATCTGTTTACCTCCTGTTTATATTAGGCCAGACATTTTACTTAATCTTCAGAATAGCTCTGTGAGATAATATATATAATTGTATAAATCTATGGGGTACAATATGATGTTTTCATCTATGTATACATTGTAGAAAGACTCAGTCAAGCTAATTAAAATATCGATCGCTTCACCAACTTATCATTTTTTGTAATGAGAACATTAAAAATCTATTCTTTTAGTAATTTTGAAATATATAATAACATATTATTAGCCACGGTCACCATGCAGTGTAATAGAACACTAAAATATATTTCTCTAATCTAACTTAAACTTTATACCCTTTGATCAACATCTTCCCTTTCCCAACACCTTCCAGAATATGTTAACACTCCCACTTCACAGAAAGAAAATGAAGGCATGGAGAGGCTAAGCAATGTGTCCAAAGTGACGTCCCTGGTTAGAGGAAGAGTTGAGGCTGAACCTCAGAGAGAAACGCCCTTGCAACTGCTGTACTTTTCTGACTCTTGCTATGCCACCTGGAGTACTGATCACTGGAGGAGAGAAAGAGGGAAAGAAACTCCCTACCTCCTTCCTGAGTCGACATTCTGTACCTCTTGGTACTGCATTTCTCAGGCACCCTAGTGCCCTTGGACCAGATTCCCAGCTTCCATGGCCTCAGGGAACATGGAATACTAATCATCCTTTTCCTTTGTCCTGGATAGTTGTAATAAGGAATCAGCAAGAGAAACTGAAAATCTAAATTCTCCTTCAGATCTAACTATTAAAAAATATGAAGCAATTAATAAAGTATGTATGTAGACATGTAAATAGAATAATAATATTTTAAATGTAACCTAAATGTTTGAAGGAACTTTTAAATAGATTTAAAAAGAAAATTAATTTTTAAAATCAAAATAATTTCTGAATCTTTTCTGCACACGAATGAACCTTTAGGGTCATGAAAAAGCTCAAACTGATGTATTTGAGATGTAAGAAGGACACCAGAAATGGAGTGCTTGCAACCCAGCCACCTGCCCTGACTGGCCAGCCTGGTGGCTCCTTCCTAGAGGAGAGATCAGGTAGGGCTCACTGGCATGGAGAAAAGCTGGTAAGTGTTGCTCTCTTAGGGAATCTCTGAACATAAGGAATGGGGAACAAGGAGAGGGGGAAAAAAGGAGGAACTCCTTCAAAGGACACTTTGGTCTGAGTGGCATCCATGGCAGAGACCATGAAAGGAACTCACAGATGACTCTCTGGAATAGAGATCACGAAGTGATGATGGTTCAAGAGCCAACTCCATTCCCATAGATGTGTTTTGATTGACTCACTCAGTGCTTTGTAAACTGTGAATTAGTGCCAGCATTTACAAATCAGGAAATTTCATATCAGTTTGTATTTTTGACTTGTCATGAGAAATGGAAGATCTGGTAATGCCAGGCCCACATCCCCACGTGAGAACAAGCTGAGTCCATCCAGGCCCTTCAGAGGATCAAGTGACTACTGCAGGCAGGCTGCAGTAGTCACTCAGCTTCCGTCTGGGAACCTAGAAGCAATTGAGTCTTTGGCTTTTGATCCAGCGGTGGCTGGCCACCCCACCAGCAAAGAACAGTGTACTGCCCCTAAAATCTGCCCACCCACCTAATTCTCAGCCTTCAGACAGGGCCATGACCACATGAATGTAGAGGCTATGGCCCCTCACCCCATTTAAGGATGTCCATAATTTGGTTAATCTTTCTGTACTTGTCAACTTGTGAATTGTTAAAGGCCAGAAGCTGACTCTTATTTTTCTTTGGACCCTATCCTCCTCCCCACTTTCACCCCTCTCAGTTCCTAATAAAGTGCCTTGCCTATAGTAGACTGTCAATAAATGTTGAATACATTTTTTTAAAAAAATCGCTGAGTGGGCGTTGTCTTCTACTGCCATCTAGCGACCATAAAATAGAATCATGCCTAAACACTGACACACCTGTAGGAATCACATGTTCCTTGCCCATCCATCTATTCATCTTCTTTCTTCCTTCCTTTATTTTTTTCATATTCTTATTTTTTCATTCCTTTGTCTATTCATTCATCCTTTCACTCAATACATACGTTTTGCTCATCACCTAGGTGACAGACACTGTGAGCTATGAAGAATCAATACAAACGTGCATAGATACAGAGAACTCCTATTGCTAGCCAAGAGGGAACAAGTCCACTACAGCCACTGTCTCTCATGGATTACAACTGAAAATAGTGGACAAAACATAAACTGCAACTACTTGAGAGCTCTAAAAAAATTAAGAATGCAAGCAAATTAGGAAGGAGAAGCTAAGCTTGAAGAAAAATCCATTCACAGGTGAATTTCCTTGGTATTTTTGTTCTTTTGTTTTCCCACTTTGACTCAAGAGTGGTTCCATCATGGAAGCGAGCAGCAAAAGCTCTAAGAGTATTTCTGATCAGAGGGCCCAGAAAATAGGTCCCCATAAAAAGAGGACTGGGAAAAATGGGAAGAGTAGAAAATTCCCATCAGTTTTTCTATTTTTTCCCAGTTCTACACCAAGGGCAGCCCACCCATGAACCTACAATGTGGTGGCAACAATGTCTCCAGTACCTAACACCTTGAGGGAAAACCCAAATTTTGGGCCAGAGGAACTAGAAAGGAACCAAAAGGAAATCCTGTAGTACAAAAAGGGTAGATGAATCACTTTTATGTTTTATCTTCCTCTCTCTTTTCTCTGCCATTTTGCTCTAAAGGCAGCCCCGATCATGGAGAATTATGGGTATTATGGTCACTATAGCTTCAAGTTAAATCTTATCTTTCTAGTGACCACATAACTAGGAAAACAAGCCCTTGGAAGTCAGAGAATTTGGGGGAAAGAAATACTTGAGGGGAAAGAGCTAGAGAAGGAAATCTTCTAATTCTGTAGCTAAAGACACACTGGAGTTATCTCTGAGTAGCACATGCACAGACAGACCCAGAGCAGCACAGCAAAGGCCTTGAAAATGTAACTAACATTGGAATCACCATCCAGAAAGGTGAGCTAAAACTTGCAGTCTGAACCTAACAAAATTGAGTATCTACAAAAGCAAAATAACAACAACCAAAAAATAACCTTCCCCAAAGGACTTTATTAGGACATAGAGTCTCCCCATATAGTACTCAAATTGTCAATAAAATCCAAAATAACTTGACATATAGCACCAAAAACATCTAACCACTCGTAAGGGAAAACAAAATCAACAGATGTCAATCCTGCGATGACCCAGATATGGGAATCAGACAGAATTTAGAGCAGTTACTATAATTGTGCTTCTAGAAGGAACCACTTTTGAAATGGATAAAAAAATAGAAGTGCTCAGCAGAGAAGCAGGAGCTACAAATACAGAATCAAATGGTGATTTTAGAACTAAAAAATATAATATCTGAAATATAAAATTTACTGGATGGACTCAAGGGAGATAATAGAGGAGTCAGCAAGCAAGTATAGATCAATAAAAATTATTCAATCTGAAGAATTCAGAGGGAAATTATTTTAAAAAACAGAGCTCCAGAGACCTAGAGGAAAATATTCAAAAGTCTAATATTCATATCATTGAAATCCCAGAAAAAGATGAGAGAGAGATTGGCACAGAAAAAAAATTTGAAGAAATAATGGCTTAAAATATGTAAATTATGAAATGAAAAACATAATGTGTAGGGAGCAGGAAATATGTAGTTTTTCTATGTAATGGAATTTAAGGGGTTATCAGCTTAAAACGTACTGTTATACCTATAAGACGTTATATATACACATCTTGGTGACCACAAAACAAAAACCTATAGTAGATATATAACAGACAAAGAAAAAAATCAAAGCATACCACTACAACAAATCATCAAATCACAAAAGAAGACTCAAAATAAGCAAAAAAAAAAAGAAAGAAAGAAAGAAAGAGAAATCTAACAAAATGGCAATAGGAAGTTCTTACCTACTGATAATTACCTTGAAAGTAAATAGATTAAATTCTCTAAGCAAAATAAATAGAGTGGTTGAATGGGGTGGTTTTGTTTGTCTGTTTGTTTGTTTTTGAAATGGAGTCTCGCTCTGTCACCCAGGCAGGAGGGCAGTGGCACAGTCTCAGCTCACTGCAACCTCTCCCTCCCAGGTTCAAGTGATTCTCCTGCCTCAGCCTCCCAAGTAGCTGGGACTACAGGTGCACACTACCACACCTGGCTAATATTTTGTATTTTTAGTAGAGACACATTTCCCCATGTTGGCCAGGCTGGTCTCAAACTCCTGACCTCAAGTGATCTGCCTGTCTCAGCTTCTCAAAGTGCTGAGATTACAGGGATGAGCCACCACACCTAGCCCTGAATGGATTTTTTTAAACCCTAACTATATGCTCTTTATAAGATACTTACTTCAGCTTCTAGGACATGTATAGACTGAAAGTGAAGGGATAGAAAAAGACATTCCATGAAAATGGAAAGGAAAAGATAGCAAATGTAGCTATACTTACGTCAAAATAGACTTTAAGTCAAAACTGTAAAAAGAAACAAAGAAGGCAATTTTTAATGACAAAGGAATCAATATATTAAGAAGATATAACAATTATAAATATATATGCAGGCGACATCAGAGTGCCTAAATACATAAAACACATACTAATAGATCTGAAGGGAGGAATAGACAGTAAAACAATAATAGTGGAGGACTTCAATACCTCACTTTCAACAATTAATAGATCATTCATACAATCAATGAGGAAATATTGGACTTAAACTACACTTTAGACCAAATGGACCTAACAGATGTATACAAAACACTCTCTCCAACAGAAGCATGTACACATTTGTCTTGAGTGCACATGAAACATTCTCTGGGATAGATCATATGTTAGGCCACAAAAGAAGTATTTAAATATGTTAGAAAATTGTAATCATACCAAGTATCTTCTCTGATCACAATGGTATGAAAATAGAAATTAATAACAGGAAAATTCAAAAATATGTGGAAGTTAAATAATGTGTTCCTGAACAGTTAATGGGTAAAGAAAAGAAATCAAAGGGGAAATTTTAAAATATCTTGAGACAAACAAAAATGGAAACAAACATACTAAAACTTAAGGGATGTAGCAAAAGCAGTTATAAGAGGGAAGTTCACGGTAGTTAATGCCTACATTAAAAAGAAAGAACTCAAGTAAACAACTTAATGTTACACTTCAAGGAACTAGAAAGAGAAGAACAAACTAAGCCCAAAGTTGATAGAAGAAAGATCCAAGCAGAAATAAGTGAAACAGAGACTAGAAAGCAATATAAAAGATCAATGAAACCAAAAGGTTTTTTTGAGAAGATTTTTAAAATTCAGCTACACTAAGAAAAAAAGAAAGAAAACTCAAATAAAATCAGTAATGAAAGAAGAGACGTTATGACAAATACCACAGAAATACAAAGGATTGTAAGAGACTACAAGAAACAATTATACACCAAAAAACTGAACAGTCTATAAGAAATGGATAAATCCTAAATATGTATGTGTATATATATATATATATATATATATATATATATATATATATATATATACATAAAACTTATCAAGTCTGAAACAAAAAGAAATAGAAAATCTGAACATACCAATAATGAGTAATAAGATTAAATCAGGAATCAAAAATCTCCCATCAAATTAAAGCCCAATAATAGATGGCCTCACTGGTGAATTCTATTAAGCATTGAAAGAGGAATGAATACCAATCATTCTCACTCTCCCAAAAAAATCGAAGAGGAGGGAAAACTTACAAAGGGATTTTTATGAGGCTAGTACTATCCTGATGCTAAAGTCAGACAAAGACACTACAAGAAAAGATTACAGGTCAATATTCCTGATGAACGTAAATGCAAAAATCCTCTGACAAAACAGCTACAAATTGAATTAAACAGCACATTAAAAGAATCCTACACTATAATCAAATGAGATTTATCCCTATGATGCAAGGATGGTTCAACAAATGTAAATCACTAAATGTGATGCACCACATTAACAGAATGAAGGATTACAATTGTATGATCATCTCAATAGATGCAGAAAAAGCATTTGAAAAAAAAATCAGTATGCTTCTATGACAAAAACTCCCAACAAATTGCGTTTAGCAATAATGTACTTCCACACGATAAGGTCATATATCACAAGCCTACAGCTAACATTCTATTCAATAGTGAAAAGTTGGAAGCCTTTCCTCTAGGATCAGGAACAAGATAAGGATACCAACTCCCACCACTTATATTCAACATTGTACTGGAAGTCCTAGGCAGAGAAATTATGAAAGAAAAAGAAATAAAAGCCATCTAAATCAGAAAAGAAGAAGTAAAATTGTCTCTCTTTGCAGATGACGTGGCCATATATAGAAAACTTTAAAGACTCCAAACACAAAAAAACTGTTAGAACTAACAAGTGAATTCACTAAAGTTACAAAACAGAAAATCGACATACAAAAATAAGTTGCATTTTTATACATTAACAATTAACTATTCAAAAAAGAAATTAAGAAAACAATTCAATTTACTATAGCATCAAAAAGAAGAAAATACTTAGGAATAAATTTAACCAGGGAGATGAAAGATCTGTATACTGAAAACTTTAAAACATTAATGAAAGGAGTGGAAGAAAAAGAAACCACAAATAAATGGAAAGATATCTTGTGTTTATGTATTATAGAATCAATATCAAAATGTTCATACTACCCAAAGTGATCTACAGATTCAATGTAATATTCCACCAGCAAAAAGATTATGACTTGCTGAAGGCATGGTATGCCTATAATATAAAGCATGGCAAAGAATAGTAAATAGAGAAATAAAAACCAGAGGGAAGAAATTATAAAATAATAAAAAAGTAAACCTAAATGTAGCCATATCGATAATTTCATTGAATATAAATGGTCTCAACATGCCAATTAAAAGATAGAAATTGTCAGAGTGGGGAAACAAAGAAGATCACCTAAAAGCTCTGTAGAATTGAAAATTAAGGCCAGGCGCGGTGGCTCATGCCTGTACTCCCAGCACTTTGGGAAACCGAGGTGGGCAGATCAACTGAAGTCAGGAGTTCAAGACCAGCCTGGCCAACATGTCAAAACCCAGTCTCTACTACAAATACAAATATTAGCTGGGCTTGGTGACACGTACCTGTAATCCCAGTTACTTGAGAAACTAAGACAGGAGAATACCTTGGACCTGGGAGGTGGAGGCTGCAGTGAGCCAAGATCACACCACTGCACTCCAGCCTGGGAGACAGGGTGAGCCTCCGTCAAAAAAAAAAAAAAAAGAAAGAAAGAAAAAATTAAACAACACCCTTCTAAATAACCCATTGATCAAAAAGTCTCAAGAGAATTCAGAAAATATTTTGACCTACTTAAATATGAAAAGAACATATCAAAAATTGGGGGATACAATTAAAGTCTATAAGCAGCTTACTATAAATATTATTATATAGATCAATTAAAAATAAAAGAATAGAAAATGACAAACCATCAACATACACTAACAAAAAGAATGCAAGAATGGCTATATTGTTATCAAAGCAAACTTCAGAACAAGGAACATTGTCAGGGAGGAAGAGAGGCAAACATACCAAGAACACATAACAATCCAGGTATGTATGTGCAAAACCACAGAGCTTCAAAATACATGAATCGAAAACTGATACAACTAAAAGGAAAAATGGACAAATCTACAATTATACTTGGAGACATCAAAGCACCTCCTGATAATTAACAGAAGTAGAAAATAGGCAAGAATTAAGAAGACCTGAACAACCAGAAAAGTGAACATTTTATAGCTGCTCAGTCCCTTGTCTTTTGAGAGAAAAAAAACATTCTAGAAAAGATAAAAATGAATTTATTTTATGAACAACCCTATTTGACCTAAGTTCCATGAACACTATTCTTCATCAACTAAATACTGGTTGGAACAGACTTATCTTTTATAAAAATTAACAGAAGTTATAATTCAATCTCTAGGTCATTTGTATGGCAGAAATATTACATATAGTTAATATTATTTACAAAGTCATGTTATTTTGACATTATGACAAATTGTGTCAGAAATGCCCAGAGTACCTTCTCTTAGCCTTTTCCTGGGGACTTAATTTTGTTTTTTCTTAGTTATGTCTAGATTTAATCATTGCTTCTGCCAATTCAGTTTCTAGGTTCTGATGTTCAGTTGTGTATAATAGACTATGAAATATAGTGATCTGATAGTTTACTAGCGTATTTAAAGGAAATATCTTTTAAAAGTAAATAGTTTGTGGCAGGCATCAGTCTATGAAAGGGAAGCCTAATTTTGAAAACTATAAGCTTTCATATTATATAATATGTGAAAACCTCATATATGTGAAAGCATTATCGCTATGTATTTTTAATAGCATTATACCAGAAATTTTTAGAAGATTATATACTTTTTAATTAAATTATAGCAGTGAAAATAGCAAACACAAGAACTAGATTTTGGACAGAAGAAGAAAGAAATACATAAAATCTCTTTCACCCTTTTTTCTGATTCTTTTTCAAAATAGCAAACTTTTGCCTGTTGTGACTGAAATGTACTACCAAATATGACTTCTCAGGGTCTTTCATATTTCAAATATTGTATCAATGTGTTTTATTTTTAATTCTCTAATTTATGATAACTTGTTTTTCTAGTTTGTGGTATGCAAAGATATGTGCAGAGCCTTTCAAATAAAGTGACTCTGAACAAAAACAAAAAAAAGAAGATCTGAACATTCTCCGTCAACTTGACCTAATTAATATTTATAAAGTATTCTGCCCTAGAACAAGAGAATATACATTCTTTTCAAGTGTATGTGGAACATTCACCAAGGTAGATCAGAGATTAGCAAACTATAACCTGTGGACAAAATTTCACCCACCATCTATTTTTGTAAATTAGTCTTATTGAGACATAACCATGCCAATTTGTTTGTGTGTTGTCTGTGGCTATTTTTGTGTCACAAAGGCAGAGATGAATAGTGCAGGAGAGACCATATGGCCCTAACACCAAAAGTATTTACTATCTGACCCTTTACAGAAAAGGTTACCTACCAATCTTCTGCACCATAAGCAAACTATAGCCAATTGAAAACAATAGAAAGCATTGTTTTCTTTGACCGTAAGAGAATTAAATTAGAAATTAATAACGAGGGTATCTGGAAAATTCCAAAAATTTTGGAAATTAAGTAAAACCTTTCTAAGTAACCCATTGATCAAAAAGGAAGTCTCAAGAGAATTCAGAAAATATTCTAAATTACCTAAATATTAAAATACAGGGCCAGACACAGTGGCTCCCACCTGTAATCCCAGCACTTTGGGAGGCCAAGGCAGGTGCTTCACTTGAGGCCAGGAGTTCAAGACCAGCCTGGCAAACATGATGAAACCCCATCTCTACTAAAGATACAAAAAAAATAGCTGGGAGTGGTGGCACACACCTGTAGTCCCAGCTACTGAGACACGAGACATGAGAATCACTTGAACCCGGGAGGTGGAGTTTGCAGTGACCCGAGATTGTGCCACTGCACTCCAGCCTGGGTAACAGAGTAAGACTCTTGTCTCAAAAAATAACTACATAAATAAATAATGTTTCAACTCTGGACAATATCCATTGACTTCCAGCCAAGAAACATGAGGAAAAAAAGAAAAGAATAAAGCTTTTAAATTTATATTCCAACTTTATACCTTAAGAAACTAGAAAAATAAGAGCAAATTAAACACAAAGCAAATGGAAGGAAGAAAATAAGAAAGAGCACAAATCAATAAAATTAAAAACACAAAATAGAGAACATTTATAAAATCAATTGTATTAAAACATCAAAATTATTAATAAACCCCTAGCCAGACTAAGACAGAAAAAAGATAACACAAATTATCAATATCAGGAATGAAAGAAGGGATATTACTACAGATACTACAGACATTAAAAGGGTACAAGAGAATACTACAAATAACTTTATGCCCATACATTCAATGACTTAAATAAAATGGAATAAATCTTTAAAGATACACTGCCAAAATTCACTTGAGAAGAAATAAGTAAACTGAGCCATCTATTAAAAGCTGAATTTATAGTTTAAAACCTTCCAACAAAGAAAAGTACCACAAGACTTCACTGATAATATCAACCAAACATTTGAGAAAGTAATAACATTAAATCAACATAATTTTTTCCAGAAAATAGACTAGGAGAAATATTTTCTAAATTTTTTTGTGAGGTCATCATTACCCTGACAACAAAACCAGACAAAATGTATGCAAGAGAATAAAATTACAAACCAATATCCTTCATGAGCATGATCACGAAAAATTCCCAATGAATTATTAACAAGTAATATCCAGGAACATATAAGAAGGAATATACACCATGAGCAAGATAAGTTTATCTACGAAATGAAAGAATGTTTCTTCATTTGAAAATCAATCAGTATAATTAATCATATCAGCAAACTAAAAAAAAAAAAACTATGTGATTATCTTGATTATCTTCATAGATGCAGAAAAAAACATTTGACAAAACTCAATGTCCAGTCATAATTTTTTTAAAAAACTTACAGCAAACTATAAATATAAGGTTGTCTTCTTAAACTGATTGAAGGCAGCTATGAAAAATGTACAGTTAATTTTTTATGGAGAAATAGTGAATACTTAGGACCAAGACAAGGCTAGCTGCTCTCACTACTCTTATTTGACATTGTACTTTCTGTTTAGCTAGTTCAGTAACACAAAAAAAGGAAGTAAAAAACATACAGATTGGAAAGGAGGAAATAAAACTTTTTATTCAGATACATTTGTCTATGTGGAAAATCTTAAGGAATCTACAAAAAGACCCCAGGAATTAATAAGTGAGTTTAGCAAGGTTGCAGGATACAAGACCAATATACAAAATCAATTCTATTTCTCAGTAACAGCAATGGTCAATTTTCTAATCTTTTAATTTTTTAAAAATCTTAGGTGCTGTTTACAATACCACAGACAATAAAATATTTATGCATTGTATATATTTCTTAATATAGCATATTTGATACCACACACATACATACATAGGATCTGTATGCTTAAAATAACACAAAATTAATGGAAAAAAATCAAAATAGACCTAAATAAATGTAGTGATATACTGTGTTCATGGATTGAAAGCCTCAATATTGTTAAGATGTCAGTTCTTCTCAAACTGATATATAGATTCAATGCAATATCGATCAGAAACCCCGCAGGATTTTATGTAGATATCAACAAGCTGATTCTAAAATGCATATGAGGAAGCAAAGATACGAGAACAGTCAAAACCATTGGGATAAAAAATTAAGTCTGATTTTCAAGACTTACTATAAAAAAGTGGTCCTCAATTGGAGACAATCCCCCTCCCCCACCACCACTGCCAGAGGATATTTAGTAATGTCTGAGGACATGTTTTTATTAATATACAATAATTTTACATATTTATGGGGTACATGTGATACCATGCATACAATGTGTAATGATAAGGGTAGTTGGGATATCCATCAACTTGGACATTTATCATTTCTTTGTGTCAAGAACATTCCACATCTTGTCTTTTAGCATTGAATACACAATAAATAATTGATAACTATAGTCACATTACTGTGCTATCATCGAACACCAAAAATTACTCTTTCTAACTAGATATTTTGTACCCATTAACCAAACTCTCTTCATACCCCCTACCCGCTACCCTTCTCAGCCCCTGGTAACCATTCTCTACATCCATGAGATCAACTTTTCTAACTCCCACATATAAGTAAAAACATGCAATATTTGTCTTTCTGTACCAGGGTTATTTTAATTAACATAATGCCCTCCAAGCTCATCTGAAGACATTTTTGAATGTCATGACTCAGGGAATGCTACTAGCATCTAGTAAGTAGAAGCCAGGCATGCTGCTAAAATTCGCATGATGCCTTCCACGGCAAAGAATTATCTGGCCCAAAATATCAATAGGGCTAAGGGTGAGAAATTCTGCAATAAGGCTACAGTAATAAAGACAGTGTGGTATTGACAAAAAGATAAAAAACTGAAGAAGAAAAAGAAAAAGAAAGAAAGAAACAAAGAAGGAAGGAAGGAAGGAAAGAAAGAAAGAAAATAAAGTGTCTAGAAGGAAAGAAAAAGAAAGAAAGAAAGAAAGAGAGAAAGAAAGAAAGAAAATAAAGTGTCCAGTTGTAGACCAACACAAATTGACTTTGACAAAGATGGAAAGTCAATTTATTGGAGAAACGATAGTCTTTTCATCAAATGGTTCTAGGGAAATTGAGCATTTATGTGCAGAAAAATGATTCTTGTCTCATATCATATATTTTTTTTTAAGTTACCTTACAATGGATCATAGGCTTAACTGTAAAACTTCTAGAAAAAAAAAAACACAGGGGAAAATCTTTGTGAATCTGGGTTAGGCAAACGTGGCATACTATATATAACCCATTTTCTTTATACAGTCAAATGTTCACCAACACTTAGGTTAATTCCATGACTTTGCTGTTGTGAATATGTTCATCAGAAATATTGGCTCATAGTTTTTTTTTTTTTTTTCAATGTCATTGCCTGATTTTGGTATCAGGGTGATACTGGTTTCATAGAACAAGCTTGGGAGGAATAGCTCCCCCTTAATGGTGTGAAAAAACTACGGTAAGATTGGTATCAGCTCTTCTTCGCACATCTGGTAAAATTTGTTTTTAAATCTGTCTGGTCCTGGGCTTTTGTTGTTTGTTGAAAGATTTTTTTTTTTTTTTTTTTTTTTTGAGACGGCGTCTCACTCTGTTGCCCAGGCTGGAGTGCAGCGGTGCGATCTCGGCTCACTGCAAGTTCCGCCTCCCGAGTCCACGCCATTCTCCTGCCTCAGCCTCCCGAGTAGCTGGGACTACAGGCGCCCGCCACCATGCCTGGCTAATTTTTTTTTTTTTTTTTTTTTTTTTTTTTTTGTATTTTTAGTAGAGACTGAGTTTCACCGTGTTAGCTGGGAGAAAGATTTTTCTTTATTACTGATTCAATTTCATTACTTGTTATTGGTCTGTTTAGGATTTCTATTTCTTCCTGGTTCAAACGTGGAAGGTTGCATGTTTCCAGGAATTTATCCATTTCTTCCAGGTTTTCTAGGGTGTACACATAGGGATGTTGATAATTCTGGAGTTGTTTTGTTTTGTTTTCTGACAAAGTTTCACTCTCAATGCCCAGGCTAGAGTGCAATGGCACAGTCTTGGCTCACTATGACCTCCCTCTCCTGGGTTCAAGCGATTCTCCTGCCTCAGCCTCCAAAGTAGCTGGGACTACAGGCACCCGTCACCATGCCCAGCCAATTTTTAAATTATTATTATTTTTAGTAAAGACGGGGTTTCAACATGTTGGCCAGGCTGATCTTGAACTCCTGACCTCAGGTGTTCCGCCCGCCTCCCCCTCCCAAAGTGTTGGGATTACAGGCATGAGCCACTGCACCGGGCCAGTTCTGGAGATCTTTTGTATTTCTGTGGTATCAGTTGTAATGTTGTCACCTTTACCATTTGTGATTGTGCTTACATGATTCTTTTTTCTTGCTTAAACTAGCTAGTGATCTACCTGTTTTATTTATCCTTTCAAAGAATCAATTTTTCATTTTGTTGATTCTTTGTAATTTTTTTTTGTCTGAATCTCATTTAGTTCTGATTTGATCTTTGTTATTTCTTTTCTTCTGCTAGCTTTGGGTTTGGATTGCTCTTGCTTTTCTAGTCCCTTGAAGTGCAAAGTTAGGCTGCTAATTTTAGATTTTTCTATCTTTTTTATGTAGGTATATAATGCTATACATTTTCCCTTTAGTACTACTTTTGCTGTTTCCCAGAGGTTTTGGTATCTTGTGCCTCTATATTATTTGTTTCAAAGAAAATTTGATTTTGGCCTTAATTTTGTTTACCCAAAAGTCATTCAGGAGCAAGTTGTTTAGTTCCTATGTACTTGTGTAAGTTTCAGGGTTCCTGTTGGCATTGATTTCTAATTTTATTTCCTTGTGGTCCAAGAAGACATTTGATATGATTTAAATTTTTTCGAAGTTGTAGAGACTTGTTTTGTGGCCAAGCATATGGTCAGTTTTGGAGAATGTTTCATGTGCAGGTGAGAAAACTGTATATTCTGTGGTTGTTGGGTAGGATGTTCTGTAAATGTCTATTAGGTCCATTTGGTCTAGAGTTCAGTTTAAGTCCAGAGTTTGTTGACTTTCTACCTCCATGACTTCTCTAGTTATGTCAGGGGAGTGCTGAAGTCCCTGACTACTACTGTATTGCTGTCCATTTCTTCTCTTAGGTCTGGCAGTATTTGTTTTATGAATCTGCATGCCCTGGTGTTGGGTACACATATATTTAGGATGGTTAAATCTGCTTGTTGTATTGAACCCTTTATAATTACATAATACCCTTTTTAGTCTTTTTAAAAAATTGTGTTGGTTTAAAGTTTGTTTTATCTGATACAATAAGGATGGCTACTCCTATTTGCTTTTGTTTTACATTTTCATGGTACATGTTTTCCATCCCTTTACTTTGAGTCCGTAGGTGCTTTAACCATTAAGTCGTTCTCTTGTAGGCAAAAGATGATTGGGTCTTGGTTCTTTTAATCCAGTTTTCCTAGATCTATAGTATATATATTTTATGTGGAGCATTTTGGCCATTTACTTTTAAAGTTAATATTCAATGTGTAGTTTTGTTTCTGTCATAGCATTGTTAGCTAGTTGCCTTGGGTCTCAATTGTACAATTGCTTTATAGGGTCTGTGGGCTTTCTTTTACATGTGCTTTTATGATGGCAAGTATTGTCCTTTTGTTTTCATATTTATGACTAATTTGATCATTTCTTGTAGGGTCAGTCTAGTGGTGATTAATTCCCTTATCATTTGCTTGTCTGGAAAAGTCTATTTCTCCTTCATTTATGAAGCTTAGTTTGGCAGGATATAAAATTCTTGGCTAGCATTTTCTTTTCTTTAAAGAAGTGAAAAATAGGCCCACTTTTCTCTTCTAGCTTGTAAGGCATCTGCTGAGAAGTCTGCTGTTAGTCTGATGGAATTTATTTTATCAGTGATTTGACATTTCTCTCTAGCTCCCTTTAATATTTATTCTGTCACATTGACCTTGGATAGTCTGATGATTATATGCCTTGGTGATGTTTGTCTTGTATAGTATCTTCCAGCTGTTATCTGAATTTCTTCTACCTAAATGTTTACATCTCTAATAAGATCAGAGAAATCTTCCTGAATTATTCCTTAAATATGTTTTCCAAACTACTTACTTTTTCTTCTTTTTCCTCAGGAATGTCTGTAATTTGTGGGTTTGCTCACTTTACATAATTCCATATTTCTTAAAGACTTTGTTCATTTTTTAGCATTCATTTTTCTTTGATTTTGTCTGACTGGGTTAATTCCAAATACCAGTCTTCAAGCTCTGAAATTCTTTCTTCTGCTTGGTCTAGTCTATTGTTAAAGATTTCAACAGTGTTTTGAAATTCCTTCAGTAAATTTTTCATTTTCAGATATTCTTTTTGGTTTTTCAGAAGATGTCTATCTTATCTTTCATCTCCTGAATTGTTTTTCTGGTTTCTTTGTGTTGGTTTTCAACTTTCTCTTGGATATCATTGAGCTTTCCTACAATTCTGATATAGTTTGACTGTGTCCCTACCCAAATCTCATCTTGAATTGTAGCTCCCATAATCCCCATGTGTCATGGGAGGGACCTGGTGGAAGGTAATTGAATCATGGCAGTGGTGTTTCCTGTGCTGTTCTCATGATAGTGAATAAGTCTCATGAGATCTGATGGTTTTATAAAGGGCAGTTCCCCTGCATGTTCTCTTTTGCCTGCCGCCATGTAAGATGTGCCTTTGCTCCTCCTTCACCTTCCACCATGATTGTGAGGCCTCCCCAGCCATGTGGAACTGTGAGTTCTTTAAACCTCTTTTTCTTTATAAATTACCCAGTCTTGGGTATTTCCTCATAGCAATATCAAAATGGACTAATAAAAATCCATATCTTGAATTGTTTGTCATTTTAAAGTTTTCATTTTGGTTAGGATCCGTTCCTAGAGTGCTAGTGTGTTTTTGGGGGAGTGTCACAACATTCTGTTTCTTCATGGTGCTGAAGTTCTTGTGCTGGTTCCTTCTCATTTGTAGAAGCTGTCACTTCTTATTTTGAATTTACTTTCATTTGGATGAGATTTTTTTTCTTCCCCCCTTGAGGGTGTGACTGTTGCATATATGGGGTAGAGTCCTTTGGTTTTGTTTCTATGTGTTTTTAGGGAGCCAAGGCTCTATATGAATTCTTTGGTCATAGATAGTCTTAGTGTAGTGGTTTTCACAAATGCTAGTTGCTTGTAGATTGTAGTATTTGTGTGCTGTGCATGTGGTCAAGCTCACTACCTCCTATAGAAATGGGGATGTAGAAGTTTTGAGAGGCTTGTTTCCCAGCACTGTGCCCTTGTGTCAGCAGGAATCATATTGGGGTTGTGCAGTTCACCCTACAGACCAGCAGGTGACACTTGCTGGTAAGAGCCAATTGAGTGCTATACACTGATGTCAGCAGAAGTTGTGATGGACCATGCAATTTGACCTCCTGGCCAGTAGGTGGTGCTTGCAGGCAAAAGGCAGTTGCAGTGATGGCAGTGGAATTTTTACTTGGACTTTATTGATGGGGGAATGTACCAGGGTGTTCCTGGTGAGGGGCAGAGTGTGGAGCTCTCAGGGGTTCTCTCCCATGCTCTGCTGCCAAGGTGGCTGAAGAGGGGAAAGTTGAGCAAGGCGGTGTTAGGTGAGCCCACAGTCAAGCTCCCCTGGCTGGATGCAAGCACCAAGCTTGGTGAGGTTCTATGGGTAGCTCTCAGGCCTCTGGGACAACCCTCCAGGGAGGGGCAGAGGTCCTTCGCCTGCAACACAGGGCACTCTCAAGGGAAGAGAGGCGCCCAGGGTCTTCAGAGCAGCAGGCAGCTGTCAGGCCCACTCACCTCCCACAACCCCAAGAGCAACAGGCCTAACCCATTAGGTTAGTTTCAACCCATCCATGCCAAGATCACCAAGCTATTCCATGTATTCTAGACCACGAGACACCCTGCAGCAGAAATCGCTATCAGGCCACACCCTTCCCACCAGCGTTGTGAAGAGAGGGGTGCCCAGCTCCTGCACCACCACATGAACCTGACACACTCTTCTCTGTGTTTTAACAGAGGAGATCCTCCACTGGAGATCAGGCCGTAGATCTTATCTCCATACTTCTGGGTGGTGTGCTTGAGGCCTAGAAAATTGGAACCAGGCCAACTTAATTACCCTCTGTCTCCTTGGGGTCTAGCACCAACTATGATGGGGGAGTAAAGTGCTCCCAGGCTGCCACCAACAAACCACTCAGGCGGAGCAGTAAAGGCTATACTGTGGGTCTCCTCCCAGCTCCTCCTGGGAATGGCCAGGCAGTCTTAGGAGGGACCAGCAGGGATGGAGGCATGTGGTTCGGATGCATCTTAGTCCTGTGGCAATGGCATTGGGGCTTGTCTTGGGTGCATGAGTGCCTGACCTCCACTCTCTCCTGGCCTGGCAGACAACAGGAGCTGCAACTTCTTAGGACAGGATGCAAAGCCTTGGAAGGTGGGCACCCAGAGTTGCATTTTGCTGCAGCTGTGAAAAAAAGATCTTTAGCATGCAGTTTCAAGCAGTCCCTTGGTGTGTTCTCTAGGCAGCTCCCCCTGCCAGTCTGTAGAGGTCATAGGAACTCTTGTAGCTAGGAGCTCAGAGGTCCACAGCAGGAATGAGGTGTCCCAGGGTTCCTTTACTCACTGCTTCCTTGGGTGTGACCTGGGTCTAGGGGTCAGTCCTGATGCCAAGCAGGCAGCCCTGTTTCCTCTTTCTTCAACCACGAGGTCTTCTGTTGCTTCTCTATTAAATTTCAGTGTTTTCTCTCAAAAGTTCTGTTCGAAGTGTGAAGGTTTACTCAATATTTTGGTTTTTCTCCATGGAAGAGGTGCATCCCAGCCACATTTACTCAGCTATGTTTAATTCTTCCAGTTTTTACATAATTCTCAACAAATTGCAATGTCAGTGAGAACCTAATATAAACTACAAGTAAGCATTTAATCTACTTGTAGTTATAAGCCACTTTACTATTTAGTATACTTCTGCCGTTTTGACATTAGTTGTCAGATGACATGCAGAGGAGCTCCCAGAAATGAATTTTATTAACTGTGTAAATAAGCTGTGAACTAAAGAGAACCCTCAGAGAGTTACAGAGCTGAAGCACATCATGATGATCATCTGTTTCAAATGCTTCAATGTACAGACAGAAAACTGAAGGCTGAGAAGGAAAATTACTGGTTTGCTAAGCTTACATGAGACTTACACATTGAGGGAACCAGACCTTTAGAAATCAAGTCAAACAGAGAAGCAATTGTAACTGTTAACAGCTCATATTGAAATCTCAGGATAGCTTCAATTAAATTGATCGAGGCACTTAAAAAATCATGAGTCTTAATTTTTGGTTCTAAAGTCAAGTCACCAACAATATTTAATAACTGACTCTATTCATTATCATAAATATAAATCAGACAAAATCACCCAGAACTTAAACACTAAAATGATCAAAAGTAAGGTTTTGTGTTACCCATCTTCTTCCACTTTAACTTGTTATTGCATTTGTAATACATATTACAGCATGGGGAGGAGAGGTGTCTGATCTGTGCTTGACACAACTGGGGAATATACACACATATCTACTGATACAATTTTATACCAGCAGACATGTTCAGCTCTAAATTCAAAGCAAGGCTGGTGTACAGCTATCTTTCCTTAATTGTCATAAGGTATTCATATATGTGTACAGTGACGGCAAAAGAAGTTTTGTTCTGCAGACTATTTTTAAAAGGTTTTTAAAAAGTTTTTCTAAATAGTTAAAATATATTTTAAAAATATATGAGTCACATTTTTATGGAATCCAGGAAATATTTTCACTGAACTCTTCTTTGGGATATAGTTGAAAATCAGTAATATAGAGACCACTGGTTGTAAATGCAAACAGCTTGAGTGTCAGGTCTCTAGCCCTCTTCTCCTTAGGTCCACTCTAGTTTTCATACAGGTCCTGAGAACCTAGGCTTCTACTAGTAGCCATGCTAATTCCTTCCCAGAGGCAGTTTGAGGTGGCTTCAAGAGGAAGCAAGTCTTCTCTGCTTACCACCTGTGCTTGTAGATTCTCTAGATGAATTCAGACAAGACTGACTTTCAGAATGAATACAACTAAGGCTATTAATCTGTGACCTCAGTGTACAGGAATTATCATCCCCATCATGAGGATGAGGCAGGTCATAGAAATTGAAGAGCTTGCCCCAGTCACCTACCAAATAAATGGCAAAGTAAAGCTATCTGAAGTGAGGTCTTCTCTGCTTACAACTTGTGTCCTATGTCCACTCCAGTTTTCATGCAGGCCCTGAGGACCTAGGCTCCTCCAAGTAGCTATGGGAATTCCTTCCCAGAGGCAGTTTGAGGTGGCTTCAAAAAGAGGAAGTTCTCTGCTTATAAGCTGTGCTTGTTTGCCAGCAAGGTTTGCTGCTAGGTGACCACAGCACCCCTACAATCTTAGAGCATGAGACAACTGTACATTAGACATGACACAGATGGTGCTAGGGGAGAGCATGGGCTTAGGGGGTCAGGTAGATCTCGCTTCAGATAGCTTTGCTTTGCCATTTATTTGGCAGGTGACTGCGGTGAGCTTTTCAATTTCTCTGAGCTGCCTCATCCACATGATGGGGATAATAATTTCTGTATTCTGAGGTCACAGATTAATAGCCTGAGTTGTATTCATTCTGAAAGTAAGTCCTATCTGAATTCATCTAGAGAATCTATCAAGTAGCCTCAAATACAAGGGAAAGAAATTATTCAAAGGCAGAAAGTTATTCAAATACAAGGGAAGGAAGTCATTCAAAGGCAGAAAGAGTCCATGTGCCTGATTTTGGTCCAAGGGTAGAATTGGAGAGATAGAATAGTGCGCCTTCTTATCCGGTGACAGGGCTCCACATGTTATGCCAGAATCTTTGAGAGGAGGAGCTCTAATAAAGAGAGAATTAAAAAATAAATTGTTTCCCCAAAATATTTGCCATTACATCAAGAGTACAAAGGATTCTGATTTGAAACCCATGGAAGAAAACAAGGATGAAAGAGACTTGCACATCTTTTTCTTAATTGAAATATGCACAGTAAAGTAAAAACCTCACATAATTTCATCACATAAAAAGGACATAAATACTAAAAGAAGTTTCACTTTCATTCCCAGAATGCTTTGAGCCTACCCCACCCCTATTCATCTTAACCCCACCCCTCCCACTCCCAGAAAACTACAGTCATTTTGTTATATAACTTTAGAGACTTCTTTCTGTGATTATACACACACAAATACACAAATATTCTTTTTATTTTTTAATTTTTAAAATTTTTAGACATTTAGGGGGTACAAGCACAGATTTCTTACATGTATATATTGCTTAGTGGTGATGTCTGTTCTTTTAGTGTACCCATGACCTGAATAGTGAACATTGTACCCAATGGGTAATTTTTCAACTCTTACCATGTCCCTCCCACTCTCCCATTTTGTTATCTCCAATGTCTATTTTTCCATTCTCTATGTCCATGACATACACATATATTGTTCTTAAATGAGACTGTGCTATGCATATTGGACTGAAATTGCTAAAAGCATCTCATACTCATGCTTTCAGGTCACTATTTATGGGTCACCATACCAAAGCTCCTGGGAGATTTCCCTGTTATTTCAGAGTCCTGAAAATGAATACTGCTATATATAAAAAAACACTTTCTATAAGACTTCCTTAATCCTTTTCAGGAAGAGTAAAGTATCTCTTCAACTGTTTTCCTAAAACATGTGTGTTGCTTATATATTCACTGTATCCCTAATTACATTCTTTTAGTATAGGTGCCAGTTACTGGTAACAACAAAAAAATCAACCTCTGCCAGAATATTTAAAGAGGTTTATTCTGAGCCAATATGAGTGACTATGGCCTGGGGAAACTGTCTCAAGAGGTCCCGAGAAAGTGTGCCCAAGGCAGTTGGGTTAACGTTTGGGAGGGAGACAGAAATTGCATGTCAAAACATAAACGAATACATGGGAGTTGTACATTGAGTCTATTCAAAAAGGCAGGACATCTGGCAGTGAGAGCTTACAAGACACAGGTGAGTTTAGGGATTATTTAGTTGGCAATTGGTTGAAAGAGTTGAGCTTTGTCTAAAAACTTGGAGTCAGTAGAAAGGAATGCTTCAGTTAAGACAAGGGGGTCTGTTTTCTGTTACATGATGCCATACCAGAGTCTGGTTGCAAAAGTAAGCCACAATATACTGGGTCAAAAAAACTTGTTTAACATAATTTTATGTCTTGTAGATTTGACTCCCTGTGGGCCCTTAAAAAGAAATCTGAGAAAGTAAAAATGTCAGAGTTCAGTCCTTACCTGTTTTTTTCCACTAGACTGCAAAGTTCTTACTGAAAAAGGCCTTCCCTACTCTTGACACCTGGACTTCCAAGGGTCTGGAATAAGGCCAATCAAGCCACAATATCTGAAAGAACATGCGATGGGAAGTCAGATCTGAGATTTACGCTCTACCCTGCTAATAATTTGCACCTCATGTGGAGAAGTTCCAGCCCACCTGGATTGTCGCTTCTTCGTTTTTAAAATCTGTTTACATTCAAGGACTGGGATAAACTAGATGTCCTTTAAGGCCACTTCAAACTTTAACATGCGAAACACAAAACTGATGTCTGCAACATGGAATAGTAATAGCTAAAGAGAAAAATGCTTACTATCAAAATATTATTGTTGTCTGACACTAAAATACATATTTTGTGTATGAGACAGGGTCTTGCTGTGTTGCCCAGGCTAGAGTGCAGTGGCACGATCTCTGCTCGCTGCAGCCTCAACCTTCCAGGCTCAAGTGATCCTCCTGCCTCAGCCTCCTGAAGAGCTGGGACTACAGGAATGCACCACCATGCCTGGATAATTTTTGTATTTTTTATAGAGACAGTGCTTTGCCATATTGCCTAGACTGATCTCAAACTCCTGGGCTCAAGCAATCTGCCTGCCTTGGCCTTCCAAAGTGCTAGGATTACAGGTGTGTGCCACTGTGCCCTGCCTGTAAAATACACATTTTAGTCAGTAAAAGTTAGTTACATGTAACTATTCTTATTTGTATGTGAATAACTCTTAAATTCCCATCAGCAACATAGTTAGAAATTATTCCTTAGAGTAGGATATTTTACAGATGGCTTTGTGGCAGGCCAATTCTCCCTGACAATCACACAGACAGGCCTGCATGACAGTCACACAGACAGGCCTACATAGCACTCCAGTTACACAGACAAATTTCCATAGCACTGTCTTACCATTGAGCAAATAGTCAAACCTAGGGAAATCAATGCCCAGACATCAAAACTAGAAATGAAACATATGGTCAGTAGGAACCTTGCATGGGCTTCTCCCTAACCTGGAGCAAACCAAAATAATAGAGACAGTCTTACATTCCTACTGCCAGGACCCATCTTGCATTGACAAAATCTGAGACAAGTCAAGGTAACAGAGGCAGCTGTTTGAATAGATTCATCGGAGAGTCTAAGGCAGCTCTCCGGACCAAGCTGTAAAGGAGATGAGATAGAAATAATCACTCTGGTACCGCAGTAGACAGGCCTTGAAGGTACTGGGGCCCTTTTAATTGGACTTAGCAAGCAATTTTTGCCTCTGACCTTCTAGTTGAAACAGAATCAGTTACCAATAGACTTAGGCGAATGCTATACTGCACATAGGCACATAGCCCCAACCTATATAAGCGCTAAGAAAATTGTAACACTTTGAGTTGGTGGAATTACCTCCGGCCTTCTCTGTGTATCTGGTTACAGTGATAAATTCCCTTCTTTCCTAGTTTGTCTGCTTCTCATTATTGGGACTGGAGAAAACGCAGTCGGACCTGGCTTGGTTCCGGGAATAGCTTGGCAAACAAAATGTACTAATAATTGATTGATTTTCATTATTTTGTTTTTTAAAAGGCAACTTTTCGTGACCCCACATTCCAATTCCAGGGGTTTCTCTATACTGCCTAATTATTCTACAATCACCTAAAAGTATTACTACTATTACTAAAACTATTACTAGTATTAATTTTTATAATAATAAAGATAATAAATTATTACATGGTGCTTCAAAGTTAATCTCTTTCACACCGAAGTTAAATAGATAAAGTAGATAATATTGCTTTCTTGATTGCATGGCCTAAAAACCCTAAGCTAGAGAAATTAGATCACTTACCCAAGGTTGCAAAGCTAATTACTATTGGCTCCTTGGTCAAAATCCAGGGTTTTTGTGCAAGAACAGAAAAATATGTTACTCCATCACTAACAAACAGTGGCAGTTAAACAGGGCTGGACTGCCAAAGAAGAGTCACAGGACCCAAAATGATGATGGTTCACACAAAGGATACACTATTGTAACAGCATTAATATAAGGATATACATCATGGCTAAAGCCTGACTTACAGGAACGGCTCTGGGGAGACCAGGTACAGGCTCCTACTATACCCGCTCTGTGAAGGCTGTGACTGAACACACTTTCTCCAATTACAAATGCATGGAACAACTTGGAACCAGAAAGCCCAAAATGGAATCTCAACTGAGGGTTGTTCTTTTATACACATATTTTGCTGATCAAAAACGCATATTCCTGGCTGGGCACAGTGGCTCACACCTGTAATCCTAGCACTTTGGGAGGCCAAGGCAGGTGGATCACCTGAGGTCAGGGGTTGGAGACCAGCCTGGAAAACGTGGTGAAACCCTGTCTCTACCAAAAATACAAAAATTACTCGGTTCTAGTGGCATGTACCTGTAATTCCAGCTACTCAGGAGGCTAAATCAGGAGAATCGTTGCATCCCAGGAGGCAGAGGCTGCAGTGAGCTGAGATAGTGCCACTGCACTCCAGCCTGGGTGACAGAATGAGACTCCATCTCAAAACAAAACAAACAAACAAACAAAAAACCCCACATATTCCTGCTATGCAACCAACCCAATAGCAGAGCCCTCCAGAAAGCTCACTAACATCAAGTGCAAATCAACAATCTTACTCTCACAAGCCAGTACAAACTGCCTCACACTCCTCAGAGCAACACTAGTATTCAGTAACCAGGGTAGTGCCATGCGGGAACTTTAGCAAAATGCCTCAGGCTAATTCCAGGCCTGCTGGAATTAACCCTGAGGACACATCTTCCTCCATTGTATTTACCACCTAGAGAGCAAAGAAGTCCTGCAGTCTTTTGAAACTAAAACAATTCTGCATTCTATCCTTTCCATTATTGAAGTGTTTGTACTTGTAAAATAATCTATCCTGTTCCTACAGTGATAGGAATGCCATAGAAAGTATTATTTCAAAGTCTTTGGAGGTTTAGTACATCATCAACATTTTTACATTAATACAGAGCACTCAGGTGTTTGGACACATGGTTGCACCTGAGGATCCTGCCAATAACAGCCGCTATTCTATAGGAGCTAGGGAGCTGTCTTGTCAATCTCATCTACCAGCTCAATAACCCCTGCTCTCCAATTTATGTTCCCCTCAGATTTTCACACTCATCTTAATCAGTTCATCTCAGCTTGTTAAGGTAAAAAGCACTGTTGTATTACAAAATTCCAGTCCCCAAAACCTGGTTTTGCTGACTAAGCTGCCAACTGGCAGAAGAATTCAAGCACTCATTATCAGGACACGTTTCTTCCAAGCTCCCCCAGCATTGAGCCTCACTGCTGATGCTCCACAGTTGGGATAGGGCAGGATCTCAACTTCAGGACTCTGTTCGGCTTTAAGGATCATACACTTCTTTAAAGACTGATGCCACCATCAAGCTTAAGTAATACCTACAATTGCCACTAGGTAGAACCAGTGAGCCAAAGGTATGTGCAGGGATTTAAAAAAAAAAAACAAACAAAAACAAAACAAAAATCCAGAAAAGAAAGAGAGAAGAAAAGGAGGGATATCGATTGAATATTTACTAATATTGGTTGAATATTTACTTATTTTTCATTTAGCCCTATATGTGATGATCATCAGCCTGGTAGGGGAGGGAGACATGTGCCCTCTGATTTCACATCATGATACATCCAAAGGTATCCTCCCAATTTAGCTTTCCAACATCTCAATATCCCTGAAGGGGAAAAATATGAAATCATCAGACAAATGATAGGATGTTGAAAACGAAAGCAGATGAAATAATCAACATACATTTTTTAAATGCAAGTCACTGTTCTATTCGTTCTGCCAGTGTATAAATTTTTGTGCCTCATTTGAACTCTATCATATTCATTTAAGTCAGGCTTGAAAGGTATTATTTATCACTCCTTTCTTTGTACCATAAAGGAGGCTGAAGCTCAGAGTGATTAAGTTCCCTACTATCATAGCACTAGCAGATGCCAAGCAAGTCCAGATATGCCTGACTTCAAAGTCTTTTCTTCAAGTTAAACCGCAAACATCTCCCCAAATGACCGACTTTATGTAAGGCTTTCCAGGGAGCCAAGAAAAAAAAAAGCCACTTTATTTCTGGAGACGTGCCTCAGCTCATATTTCATTCAAACTTCTCTTTTGACAGACAGGAATTGAGCGACTTGGCCAAGGCCACACAGCAATTCAGACACAGCACCAAGGCTAGAATCCAGTTCTCCAGATGTGGTAAAGAGGAGAGGCAGGAATTACAGATGAAAGAAGAAAAGGTGAGGTGGCACTTCTAGGCTGAAACAGTGGTTCCACATTCACACCAGCATAATAATCACTGGTTATCTTTTTCTAGTTCTTCCAAGGGTCAGGCACTTTGCTAAGCGCTTCACAACCACCCTACTATTGTTGGATGCCTGATAGCATCATTTTTCTCTTTTTCCTAGAACAATATGCATATTTTCCTTTGGGGAATTGCCTCTCTTATATCCTTTGCAAGGTGGTTGATATGAATTTGATTCCACTCTCCCAACTAGGAGTTAGCCTTAAGTCTAATATTTGAACTCTTTGGCCCAATGGTTGTTCAGAGTTGTGTTTGTGAACTAATGCAGGACTTGAGACATAAGGAGACTTTTGCTGAAGACTTCTCAGAAATGACTTTTCCTTCTTCCATGGGAACTACCAGAAGAGAAATTCCCCTCTTTTATATGGTGCAATGTGAGGACATAAGGTCCAGAATCATTGATGCTGCCTTGCGGCAAGGCTGCCTGAGCACATAGCTAATAGCAGAAGGAAAGTATAGTGAAGAGAATTGCAGAGTAATGACACAAGAGACCTTAGGGCATTGTGAGCATCTGAATCAAACCACACCTGAAGTCAGGCCCACTTCAGGACTTCACAAACATAGTTCCTTTAAGCTGGTTTGGGTTAAACTTTCTGTTGCTCACAACCAAAGGCATCTTAACTGCCACATGTAATTGCTAGCATTATCACTGTTTTGTGGATAAGAAAATTGCCCAAGGTCATAGCATTTGTAAGAGTAAGATTTGACCCAGAATGGTCTGGCCCCAAAACCTTAACCATTAACCACAAATTACTGCCTTCATATATCAATATCCCTAAAAGAGGAAACTGTGTCTTTCCTGCTGGCATTAGCAAGGGAGCTGCTGCTTAGTCCTTTCCCTTAACCCTCAGGCTTTCTATGGAACCTCTTTTAAATAACTTCAACTAATCACACACATCCACAGGACTAAAATGCTGCTAGATTAATGATTGAGGCTCATGGGTACAAATAGAATTGTTCCATGTGATTCCCAGGTCAGGAATTGATCACGTGTCTCCACGTGATCTCTCTGTGCTCAGAAGCAATCATTCCTGGAGCTTGGTGACATCACAGAAAAATGTGTCTAGTCACTGACATTGCCGGGCAAAACAGAGTCAAAGCAAACATTGTGACAATGTGGCTTCATAAACACATTGCTGGTAGCACACTTGCCAAGAAGATGAGAGCCAGATCAAAAACAAACCCACTGCATCATCCAAAGCACCTCCAGGATATCATTTTGAACTGCTCAGTCTCCACTCTCAGATTGAGTCTGGGAAAAGGCTCTCAAATGTCCCCCAGCCCCCACCATGCTCAAACTGCCCATTGCCCACTTTCACTTAGCCAAGCTACAAAATCACCCTTTTCTAAGGTGGATCTGTAGGGTTTATTTCATGATTTAAAAAAAAAAAAAAAAAAAGCTCAGATGGGGGAAAGCTCATCAAAATATTTTCCAGTGATATCCACCAGAAAGACTTTCTGAAAATAATTGCTCACAAAGTAAGATGACAATAAGAGGTCACCTATGTCTCTTGGCAGCTAAACTCTTCAGTCTTTGTGATAGAAATATTTTGCCTCACTGCTTCCAGCTTGTTTTTCTTTTTTTTTTTTTTTTGAGACGGAGTCTCGCTCTGTCGCCCAGGCTGGAGTGCAGTGGCGCGATCTCGGCTCACTGCAAGCTCCGCCTCCCGGGTTCACGCCATTCTCCTGCCTCAGCCTCCCCGAGTAGCTGGGACTACAGGCGCCCGCTACCACGCCCGGCTAATTTTTTGTATTTTTAGTAGAGACGGGGTTTCACCGTGTTAGCCAGGATGGTCTCGATCTCCTGACCTCGTGATCCGCCCGCCTCGGCCTCCCAAAGTGCTGGGATTACAGGCGTGAGCCACCGCGCCCGGCCTCCAGCTTGTTTTTCTAGCAATTATTTTTCATTATCACCCTGACCTTTTCTGTCTTTTTGCAAGCACACCTCCTCCTCCATGGCCCCCTCCCTGTATGTGGCCTCTGTAGTTAGTGGAATTTGAAAGGTATACCCCAACAGCTGGGCTTTTGATGTGGGTTTTGCAACATGGTTTTCTTATTGACTATTCAAAATAATCTCAACTATTTTTTTCAATCATTCTATTTGGTCTTCTGTTTGTACTTTAGAATAGGCCTCCCCAGAGAGCAGCACAACAAGATGAATCTCCTCTGCATGTTTCCATCACATGACAGAGAGTCACAGGGAGGGAGAGGAGGAGGTGAGGATAGGAAACCCTGCCTATGCACAAGTGGAGGAAGATGAAAGACAGGACTCTAAATGATACCACCCCAGCCTATGCCAAGAGGGAGAGAAATAATGCTTTGAGTGGGCGGCAGTGATTACATATGGTTCTGGGGAGTCAGTCCAAAAGTCTGCAAATCAGTAACTTTATCTTCACCTACACCGGGTGATACTCTGAACAATGATTATTAAAGTATGTTAAGAAGCTCAGCTCTGGAATTATGGGCAAGTCAGTTGACCTGAACAATAGCTTTTGTGACAAACACTGGAATAGACTGTGTCTGCTGGATGACCTTCCAGACTGTCTTGACCCCCCTCCAGGGGCTCACTCTGATGAAGTAGAAACTGGTTTGTTTTAGACATGCTGCTCAGGCATCTCCCTAGAGGCACACAAAGGAGTCCATCAGGAGAGGTCACTGCTGCAGAGCCTCTAGGCCCCTAGATGAGCACTAAAGAGGTGGTACTGTGGAGACGAACTTCAAGTAGAAAGAGCAAGACTGGGGTAGATTTTTCCTAGGCTCACAGTGTTAACCCTGTGTGTGGCCTTGGAAGTCATTTAGTTCAAAAACCTGTTTTCTTTTCCTGTTACTCTTAATTTTCTCCAGACTACACACCCTCATTCTTTTGAGCTCTCTACCTACCTAAAGGATCAAAATCCCCTCAAGTGTCCTGATCATTCTCTACTCGACATGCCACAGCTTGTCCAGGACATTCCTACATGAGGCTCACTGAACTAGGCACAGAATTCCAAGTATAGTCTAACCAGTACAGAGAATGGAAGATCACTTTCCATGTTCCAGTCCATAGGGCATCCCCTTGGACCACATTTGAGTCAGAAATATACAACTGTTCTTTCTACCTTTCCTCAACAGCCTTCTCTCCAAAAGTCGGTAAAAATACTTAAACATTATAATCCACTGGACAAAAATCCAGTTGTCCTTGGTTATATTTCAACTCCAGACCAACCCAATCCAGATAAGCAAAGCAGAACTGGCAGTCAAGAGTGTATGGAGGTCATAAGAAAGACACAGAAGCCAGTCCATATGAATTAAGACAGACTCTCATCAGTCCTGCATGGTTAAAACTTGTTCCTATTACATAGTTGATAAATAAAGTAATTTCTCAAAGAAACCTTGGACATTATGAAAAAAGAAGCAACTAGGAGTCCACTTAGCAACTTCTCAGAAGTTATTAAATATGAACAGATACCCACAGTACCACTAGGCTGTGTACACAGAAGGATGAAAGATGATGTTGGTTGACTTCTCCATCTCTTGCAACCTGTTTACAACTGTTAATTCTGTAATTCATGCTTCAAAATACTCTAAACTTTGAAGTGATACTATATTATCTAACCTATAAAATAACAAAATGTTAACAGAGTAACGTAGATTGACTAATTCTTAAGGTAAAGAGTCTGTCCTGAAAAGCATAATAGTGTGTCATTCAGGTGATTGGTAGAAAGGAATTGTCATAATTCTCAAATAGATTATTTTTCCAGGATTTAGGCCTCTTTCCTTTAAATGACAGTGATCCCAAGAAAACCAAGAAAGTGGTTAGTGCCTCAGTTAAATGCTGTATAGCCAGTTTTGAAATTACTTAAATATCAGTAAAAATGCATATGTGAAGAATTGTCTTCAAAAAGAAATCACAGACTTCAAAATCACTAGTATTGTCTTTTTAAATTGTATTCTATTTATTATCAGAGGGAGGTTGATAGTTTACTTCGCTCTCAGAATTTTGCACCTTCAAATAGTGTCATTCTCATCTAATTTTTTTTTACTTTTACATTTACATTTAAGGAATCTTTGTTTCTGATCTTGAGATGTGGAATGAGGCTAGAGAGATGGCCAGATTGTCAGAGATCCTCTTAATGTTGTTTGGTATCTCTGGGGAATTAATAGAAATATTGTGGACTAAAGAGAGCTTAGAAAAGTGCTCTAGATGACTTCTACAGTGAGTACGGCTATTTTGGATACTTAAGCTTCATGAAGTACCTTCATAAAAAGGAAAAAAATGAATTTTAAAGGAGGCTTAGGAAGACAAATCCCAATGCTAAAAGAAAAGGCAATATAATTAAGACTATGCTTTCAAAAGCTGAGGTAAATTATTTGGGGGTTGGTTTTATAGCTCTTTCTCTCTAGAGAATAATATAAAGGTACTTCAATATATAGATTTCTGCCTGTGCTAGCTATCATCCAAGAATGACTGGCAGATTCCCATGGGTAAAAATCTCCCCTAAACAAATTCACATACTCAGGATCAGCAGGAGAGCTTGATTCTGTCCCTTCTTTTCTTACAAGCTGAGGAGGAAAACAAGAGGCCCATGCAAATTAAGTCAGTGTGCAAGCTACCATTTTTTCTTGTTAATCACTGGCTAAAATGAATAAAACACTTAACCTATTATTTGGCCAAATTTCAAAATCCCTGAATTATAGTGCAGTGTTGATATCAGTGGGTGAAAAAGCAGATTTTCTTTCCTGCCTAATTCAGAAGGTGGAAATTAGATACACTTTACCTTAGCAAGAGTCAGCCAAGTTTTTACCTCTTAGCAAGATCAGTGGTTCTCTATGAGCACTGGAACCACTTGGAAAGCTTGTGAAAATGCACAATACTGGGTCCCACAGGGATTTTGATTCAGTGTATTGGGAGGCAGGTCTAGGAAACTACATTAGAAACAAACACCACAGGCGTTCTTCAGTCCACACTTTGAGATACCCTTTTATAGAAACTTTATCACCCCATAGGTATACACAAAGCAGCTACAAATGATCCATGTGAATGATGAAATGATAGTACATTTTTGGCACAAATAAAGATTTCTTTTATTTTTCTTCTCCTCCATCCCCTTGTCTCACTATTACTTTTCTGTCTTCTCACCACCCTTTCTGTCTTCCTGCTTTTACACTGTTTCTTTCACCTCTGTCTTTGCACTGTCAGCTATGAATCATAAAAAAGGAAAATGGAAGCAGAAGAAAAGGCCTCACTTGTCTGGACTTTCTGAGTACCAGACAGTCATTCACTGATGTCCTTAAATTTAAGAAATTTCAGTGAATCAGGTGCTGATGATATAATGACCTTAATATACAAATACATGATTTTTTTATTGCTAAAAGTGTTGAAATCTCCACAAAGCAAAAGATTGGAGAGATAAAAGACAAGGAAATTCTATGTAATCAATTTTATATATTACTTGTTAGCATCTCAGAGAAAGACTTATTGAAAGACTGAAGCTAGAGAATAAGAATACCAATAACAAATTCATTCACTCATTCTTTCATGTATTCAAACATAAAGAATTATATTTCTATCTTCTTTGCCAAGGCATGAGAGAAAAGTGAAATAAGATGTATTTTTCATTGTTGTTAAAAAGTTATTCGATAAATAATTAAAAATCAAGATAACAAAGAAAAGCAAATGGAAGACTGAAAGTGTTTTTACAATATAATGTTAACTTTTGTTCTTGTTATCTAAAACTGAAGGATCTCTGTCATAATTCACAATTATATCTTTACTTAAGTCACTCAATCAATATTGGGTTGACTCTTATCAAGCTCCTGACAAAATTAAGTGAAGATGGGTTATCTTACCCACTTTCATTTCTCAGAGTTATTACTTATCAACTGATGTCCATATATCCCAAGGATCCCATGGATAAAATACAAGGGGTTCATGAACTCAGATGGAAAAAAAAACACCTTTATTTTTGCTTACTTCTAACTAATATTTTACATTCTCTTCTTACATGAATGTACGAAATAAACCAAAGTAATATTAGCAGTATATATGACTGATAATGGAAACCACAGATATTTTTCTTATCACATTAAAGTTATACAAATTTGTTGAGATAGCACTTACATTTATCACTATTTTAAACTATGGTAGTTTATGCAGAAGCTGATAGATCTTGTTATTTAATGTGTTAATATATATTAATATGTCACAATTTTTCAAATAGTTCAATAACTGTATTTCAATATCATTAATTTCCTTGTAATCTTATATACTTTGTTGTATGCATGTAAAATACTATTTTAAAAGAGGTCCATAGCATAAGAAAGTTAACTCTAGTAATAAATTCTTAATTCCAACAAAATTCTAATACCATGTCAAATTAGATAATCTTTAAACAAAATAATATTAGCTTAGCTCCCCGTATGAATTCCTTCAATGAGCATAACTTAATATTATGCCCTTGAATTTTGGGTGATTGTAAGAGGCATCTACCAATAGAACATCTGCACAGGCATTGCCAAATTCTGTAGTTATTATCCATTATAAGGAAATACACTAAGTTAATTTCTGTTAGAAATGAATTTTTATAGTTCTGTTTAACTAAACCACAAGAACTGTCTCTTTTTCGTTTGCCTTTTAGTTGTTGTCATTGTTTTGCTAAGACTGCCCAGAAAGTCAGGGCCAAATGTAGTACCTGATGATAATGAAAACATCATCTCAGTTTTGCTGTAAAGTTGCCTCCTTTCCATTAAAATAGTTTCTGTTATACTGTTTTACCTGTCCTGTATTATACTTTAAAAAAAATTATAGCTTGACACAAGATGTTTTTTGAAGTAGGAAGGGTGAGAAATACGAACAAATTATTCTTAATGGCTTTGCAGAACATATTATAAAGTCCTTCTATTGACATATCGTATGAGCTCTTTCCCATCCTGGGAAAGGAAAATCAAAGGGTCTGCACTTCCCCCCGACCCCTATCTAAGTTCTAAAAGCTTTCCAAGTCATCAGTGTTCATCAGCACTACAACCCTCATCAACTGCTAGAAATGGAAGGGCTTCTGCTCCTGGATGTTAGTTGTAGAAGCCCAGGCAGGCCATGCCCACCACAAGAAGATTCCACCAGGCCTAGTAGAAATAATCTGCCCCCATGACATTCCAGTGATTCAGTTCTCCCAAGCATTAATTAGCAGTTATGCAAATATTCATGAACAGCGGAAGGACTTGGGCTTTTAAGGAGTTACTCACAAAACCAGCATCTGATTTTTTAAATCAATGTAATTGCTACCCACTTCCTACTCTCTTCCTTCCTTTCCCATCCTCACTCTCATTCCCCCACAACCCAGATTCACTCATCCAAGGGAACTTCCAGAGGCTTCCTGAAGATTTCCCAGGAAAAACAAAGGAATAAAGGTTCCAAAAGAGAAGTGGCAACCCATTTGAATCATTTCAAATCAAGAATGAGATGCCTTGAGACTTCACCCTGAGAGAAGCACCCAATGTGCCCACCCACCAAGTGTCGATTTTGGCCTGACTCACTGGTATTGAGAGGAAGCAATGAGTTTTCATAGTGAATTCGTGATCAGGAATAAGGAGAGCTGAGTGATGTAACTTTGTTCTACCCTTGATCTGTTGGAAGATCCAAGGCATATTTTACCCATCAGTTTTTCAATGGGTGCTCAATGACTAGCCCTCCTTACAAATTATTCTGTTCTCTCGGGAAGAAAAATTATAACCAAAACCCACACAAGGCTCAACTTATGGTACCAAAGGGTAGAAAATATTTTCTGCTTAGGAAGTAGTGGTCATGGAAAAAGAAAAAGATAAAGAAAGAAGAAAAATAAGAAAGACAGAAAGGAAAACAGGAAGGAAGGATGGAAGGAAAGAAGGATAGAAGGAAAGACGGATGGAAGGAAGGAGGGAAGGAAGGAGGGAAGGAAGGAAAGGAGGAAGGAAGGAGGGAAGAAAGGAAGGACAAAACAATCCTGAGGCTGAGGCCTAATTTCACAATTTACCTTGTGTATTTTTCTTGTATTTGTCTGTTTATCATAATGATGATTTAAGTTTTACCTTAGAGTCATAATTTCTCAATACAAATTCCACCCTTGAATAATTGATCAATGCCTCTCAGGAAGTCAGAAGGCTAAAAAGAGCATTAAATCATTCAACAGAGAGATCATAAATAACCACCATGTGTGAAGCCCTAGAATAAAGAATAAGGAATATTTTAGTGAATAAAACAAGCCCTAAAATTAAAAATCAGTTGTATTTCAATGAATAAAAGTATATTCTACTTACTAAGGTAAGTATTAATTTCTGTAATAAATTTTCTGTAATAAACTTTAAGGACTGCATGCAAGACTCTATCCTACATCAATTGACTGCAAATCAATCACTTTAATTAAGCTAAGCCCTCGCTCATGGAAATGTTTTTGGTCATTTTTCATAAGGTTAAATATGCATCTACCCCATGAGTCAGCAATTCCACTTCTAGGTGAATGCCCCCCCAAAATGAATAATATGCCCATAAAATACTTGTTGTACAAGAATAGTCATAACAAATTTATCCATAAAAGACAAAATCTGGAAATGACCCAGACGTTATCAACAGAGAATGGAGAAACAATTTTTAGTGTATTCTTACAATGGAAAACTATTCAGCAATAAAAATATATGAACTTCTGATACATGCAACAACATGAGTGAATCTTAAAGACATTACAACATAATGAAAGTAAGAAGCCAAGAATAGGAAAAACTGAGGTATAGTGACATAAGTCCAAAAATGGTTACCTTTGGTGAGGGATTAACTGGAGAAGGGCATGAGGGAACTTTCAAGGATGTTGGGAAAAGTCTGTATCTTATTACGAATGGTGGTTACTGAAAATTTAAAATATTCCTTCTTTGTTTTATGTAAATTATACCATAACTTTTAAAATAAACCTATATATAATTGTTTCTTCTAGTTCTCCTGCTCACCTTAAAAAAAAAAAGAAATGAAAACAGAGAAAAAAAGAGAAGAATAAAAGACAGGCATAGTCTTTGTAGTCCAATAAGGAGAGACAGACAATTCACAAGGAAATAAGCACACTGATAATCAAAAGTTATTGATAAATGCATGAGGTAATTGAACAGAGTGTAGTAATACAGAATAGTGGGGAGGGCTCTTGTTAGCATGACTGCGGAAGGCCTTTCTGAGATCACCCGAGAGCAAACAAGCCACATATGGAGTTTATGAGTAAAGAGAAGCATTTCAAGAAGAAGAAATAGCATGTGCAAAGACTCTGGGGTTAGAGTGTGATGGTTCCCGGAGTCAAAGGGGCCAGTGCAGTTGGAGCATAGTGGAGATGAGGATGGGGAGGTAGAAAGGGGCCAGACCACACAGGCCAGACAGGCCATGGTCAAGAGTTTAGATGTTATCCTTAGAGTAACAGAAAATTATGAAGGGGTTAATGCTGGGGAGCTGTACAATCTAGTTTATGTTTTCTAAATCATTACTGTGGCTGCTGGCATGAAAATGAACAAGAGGAGCCCATGTGCTTTGTAAATCAGGTTCTGTCATGAAAGTTATTAACCTCTTTGAGACGGGATTTAGTTTTTCGGTTGTATAAAGCAATTTTACTCTATCATTTTGATCTTAAAGTTTTGAGTGGGATGTGTAAAAGAAGGATAGTCCTCTACTAATTGAAATTGGTTAGCTTTTTTCTGATCATTTTATTTTGTTCTTCAACCTGAAGAGAAAATTACTCACATACTCTTGACAGCAGAATGGAACTTGTTTGTTAATAAAATGCAGTCCCTACTGTTGAGACTGAAGCTTCTGGAGGGACATAGAGAAAGGATAAAGAAGAAGTTGCCCCCAACCAGCCAGTCCCAGCCACTGGGTCATTTCAGAATCAATTGGTGTAAGTATGGGGAGAAGGATAAGTACAGACTTCAAAGCTAGATTGTCTTCTTCAGTATTCTGCAAGTATCTTAAAAACAAATGCATAGGTTAGCAAAAAAGAGAAAAGCAATTTTCTCATCTCTTCTCCCCAACACCTCATCTCCCAGCCTCATAAAGAGTAGACAGCTCAGCCTGCAAAGCGAACATGGAAAACACCCATCAAATCTACAGCTGAGGAGTCCCCAGAGAGAGACACAATTTCATACATCAAAGGCTGCAAACATCCTCAGGTTGTCTGATTATGCACTACTTGGAACAATGAATAATATTCCACCCCCATGGGGCTGCCTGATTAAACAAAAAGTAAAAGTTGACAAACAGTGTGGGGAAACAGTGACAAACTCAGACACCTTATATCTGCAGTGGAAATCAATGCTCAGCAAATGTGAGGTGAGGAAATCCCACACCATGGGAGAGATCAAAAGAAAAAGCTCTAGCTGTTTAGCTTGTTTTCAGCGTGTCAACTGAAGCAGGTGTCTTCTCACTCAGAAATCCGCAGAGCAGGGAGTACCCAAGGTGACCTCCACCTCCCACATCCCACTTGGAAACAAAAGTTTTACTTGAGAACAGATTTCCCCAGTATCTTTAGATCACTAAGTTGTTTTAAGAGCAATAAAATAAAAGGTTAGAAAGAACAACAATGCAGTCTTATCAAGTTATAAACAAAGAAAAAGAAAGACCATCAGAGAGAATAAGCTGTACCTACAGACACATTGGAACCTGATTTCCACACCCCCGGCCAGGAAAACATTTTTCTCAGAAGCCACCAACCGAGCGTCTTCATTTACTTGAATCTGTCAATGTCCGAGTATTCTTCGTTCACCGGGAATTAAGCCCTAGCCACAGTACTTGCCATGCTTTTGCCACTAAAGTCAATTCATGCTTTATTTATCGTTGAGATCTGTTCGCTCTCTCTCTGCTCCTCATGTGTAATTTTTAAAAATTTAAGTGTTTTGTCAAAGCAAAGAGTCTGAAGGTTAACTATGGGTTCCCACAGAATTTAGAAAATAGAAAAAGAGAATCCTGGCTCTTCTTAATTAGAGCATGAGGTTTTAACTCAGTATACATAAATTCAGGCCCATTATCTAAAAGAGAAAATAAATGTTAAGTACTGCTTGTTTATATTCAGAATCTAAACATCTCCATAAGATTCCAAAATGAAAATTTGGTGGCATTTTTGAAGTCACTAAGAAAGCCAAACATTCAGGAAGCCTTCATTTCTTTTCAGAAAAGGCAAAATAAGTCCACTTCTGGCTCTCCTAGAAAAGAGGGTTTTGCTTGCAAGTGTTTCAATTTGAATCCTTGGAAAATGAAGACAATCTGAGGGTCAGTTTTGCTCTCACCCTCATTTTCTTTCACTGTCTTTTGTTCTTTTGCCAGAGAAGCCCGCACTGAACTGTGAATGTGATGGTCAATACTTTATTTAAGAGATCTTCAATAAAGCATACTACCTAAGTGCTAGTTTTCATGGAATCTTTGGGGTCTTGGAAACCACTGCTGAATTAGCAGCAACAGCAGGCAGGATGTGCCGTGGCCAACCCATGGGGTCTTGTCACTTCTGAAGACCCTAAGCCTGGCTCCCTCTGATGTATCCGTGGCCACAGTCACTTCCCACTCACCCTTGGTGAGAAGCAAGGCAGACTCTATGCAAGTATTCTGATTACCACACACCGAAATTGACCCAAGAAGAAGCCAGCATGGTAGAAAGCAGAATGCTGTAACCCTTTGGGCTGCTAAATCAACACTTTGAAACCTGCCCTATCTCTGAACTTTCTGACACATGAAAGAATTGCAAACCTTATATTAAAGGCACATTTGAGTCTGAGAATTCTGCTACTTGCTGGCAAAATTACCCTGATCCAGGGAGTCAGCATTAGTCAGAGAATGTTTTTTGGGTGCCTTATGTGCCAGGCACAACACTGGACACTAGGTACACAGCAGTGAATAGAAGGGAATTCGCCCTTATGGTCAAGTGGAGAAGACACACATTAAATACATAAATATACATAATGAAGAAATTTCTAATGTGCAAAAGTACTACAAAGAAGAATACAGGGGCCTCTGGACATGTACAGCTAGGGGAACTTTTAGGGTCTGGTGGAGCCAGAGAAGGCCTTCTTGAAGAAAGTCGCATTTAATTTGAGCCTGGAACAATAAGTGGGAGTTATTTAAACAAAGAGTGTGTGACTTGGGGGAAGGAGGGTCAGGTAAAGGGACAGCACATGAAGGGACATTTCAGCGCATGAACTTTAATTGGCCCTAGTATTCAGGTCCACACAGAAGATGGCAGGAACAGAAATTGGGAGGCTTCCACTGAGGCTGGAGGGGTAAGAGTCAGTGTAGTGGCACAAGTAGCCAGAGGGCCACATCAGTAGGTGAGCCAAGTTAAGAAATTGGGGCTCACCTCAATGAGAAGCCCTGGAAGAGTTTTAAGCAAAGAAGTGAACAGCAGAACCAGATGTGTGATATGTGATCTTAAAAGAATACTCCAATAGCAAGGTGAAGAATGGATTCCTGGAGGTCAAGAGTAGGGCCAGAAGAGCAGGAAACCAAGTGAAAGGACAAGGATGGGAAAGAATCTTACAGGATGGAAAGCATGGAGGTGGTAGACTTGATAATGGGTTGGACAGAGGAGTAAAGGAGAGAGCGTAATCAGAAGTGATCCCTGATCCCTGGCCTCATGTGTGGAGAACAGTGCCATTTACTGAGATTCAGAGCAGGGAAGTTGGTGGGGCAGGTGGTAGGGAGGAGGAGGAGGGCCATAATTTAGTTCAAGGAATGTTCATTTTCAGGTACATATGAGACAGCTAAGTTTGCTCTCTGTCTCTCTCGAGAAATATGTTGATCAAATATTTAAAAGCAGGCTCAGAAATCTGGGGACCTTATTTTCAACACTGAATTTGGGTACTTAGTTACACAAACAACAAAGTCTCCATGACCAATACATACACCTGGCCCTTGTGGTTTTCTAGCTGGAGTAACTACCCAACATTCCCATTTAAGGTAGGGGCCCACAGTATGTTGCACTTTGCTTCTCCTTCCAGAAGATCAGTAAAAGAACCATAATACAGCACTCTGTACTTCTGAGATGACCAGAGCTGATCTTCGATGAGATCAAAAAAATAAAACCTTAAAAAAAAAGGGTTCTTAAAAAGGGTTCTATCCCACTGTCTAAGCTCTTCCATGCTCAATACAGGCTATCTGTCTTCATGAAAGGTACACCACCTGGACCATCATTGTTCTATTCCAAAGGGACATCACAGGCCATGTCAGCAATGACCTTTTATTGGCCCTAGTATTTGGATCCACACAGAGGAGAACAAAACAGCCTCAGAGAATAACACAGATGCTTCACATTTGGATCAATGAGTATTCAATGGCGTGATTAAATAAGATGTCTATATGCTCAGCTAGGGAAACCCTATTTCATTTATATTCACTATTATCTATATTTAATAACTATTTACCACTATATACAAGCAAGTAAATGTGTTGCTATATACAAGCAAGCAAATGTAATAACTATTGACCACTATATACAAACAAGCAAATGACTTGAATTGTATTTTTCTTGAAAAGGAATAATGTTTAAACAACCGTCAACCATATTAAAGTACTACAAGCTTCCTGGGAGTGTCTTTTATCTATGGCACATATTGTTTGGACTCTAACTGGGTTTTTAATTGGGAATCTAATGGGTTTATCATGTACAACATGATAATTTGAAATATGTATACATTGTGGCATGGCTAAAAGAAAACCTCTGTCTCTGTCCAATGGCTATAACTATAATGTTATAAGATGGAGTGGGCTTGTCTATTTGGTGATTTCTCCAGTGCTCCTCCCTGCTTTCATTTTCCTGTATAATCTCTTGCAATTATGGTAAAATTGTAGCAGAACATGTCAAAATGAATCATCTATCCCCCCAAATGTCTACTTACCAAAAGTAAATAAGGCTTACCTACTTGTAGCCCTTGTTCGTTATGAAAATTATTGAAACCTCAAGCAACTAAAGCCTACCTCCAGACAAGACCACAGCACGCTGCCAGGAAATGTCTCTTCAGAAGAGGGGGCTCATAGGAAAGCAGTTTTCTCTTCTTTTGTTCTAGGAGGAAAGAGACATTTGGCTATGTAGAAGGAGGGCTCAGAAAGGTAACTTATGAGGAGAATGAAAGCTCTGGAACTAGAGAATTTTTTTTGACAACTGGCTCATCCTAACCACAGATAAGCAGAGGCTGGTTTCCTGACATGAAGGCCTGGAAGGGAACTAGGAGTGCACTTGGAAGAAGCCAGAGTCAGGGACAGGAAGGAATCACTAAGAGAGTGCTATTGAGATGGGGAAGTGACAATGGAAGGAGACAAAGCCAGGGCCTTCTCTTTGTGATTTTTATTTTACACATTGTTTTCATTTTCCTTTCCTTCCCTCCCCCTTCCCCCAACACCAGCTTATTCCTGCAAACCCTCTGAGGAAACAAGTATTTTGCCTATGAATTGCCTGGGTGGGTCTGAGCTGGATAATCTAGCAAGCTCCTTCAATGTTCCTTCTCTTCATACAAGGTATAAAAGCTACAGAAGTTGAAAAGTGGTGTATGTATTGAATATGTCATTGATATATTAATTTATAAGGGCATTTATACATTTGACTGACCTACAAAAATTCCTTTCTTCTATATACAGGTTAAGTCAATAAGACACAGCCAAAGACCAAGGAGCATTTTCTTAAAAGTCCTGGCAGACAGCAGGCTGTTGATCCCTCTGACCTCTCTATCCGAGTGGTGTGCCACATCCTCTTCCTCTCTCTGCCCATCTCTGGGTGTGCCATCTCTATAAGTACCACCCACAGTGGGGAAGAGGTGAGGGTGTCTGCCTTTAAAGAATGGACAATTTCTTAGTTTTGTTTCTTCTTAGTGACTTAAAACTAAAGGTTCATTGAGTTGGGAAGTCACAACTATTGACTAGAAGGAGACCTTAAAAGGATTTATTGCCCTCATATGTTGTTTTTCCCACTCTTCCCCTATTCATGAAACATCTGCTCAGCACAGTGGCAGAAGGAGTGATTTACTGGGCCTTGCCCACACCAAGAGCATTACTGTTTATTGCTTTTGTTCACATCTGTCTGCTGGGTCATTCCCACCTATCTCTCAAGGGATATAGGTCCAGCTCTTGACCCACATCCTTTCTAGAAATGGTTTTACCATCTTGTTCCACAATGAATCCCCCGACTCCTATAATTCAGACCAGAGCTGATCTGGAACGTTTACTTGACATTTGTCATGCCCAGAACTGCCATGGTTCTAATCTTTTTGTGATCATCTAAACATTTACATAGAAGGCCTGTCCTACCAACTTGACTGTAATCTCTTTAAAGACTGAAGGGTGCAACACCCAGCCCAGGGCTGAGCATTCCTAATAAGGACCTTCAAAAATATTTAGAAGTATTAGTTTTCTGCTAATAAATAAATTTCTAATTTCCATCCTCCACTTTATTCTTCATCTTGCCTAATTGAATTGATTTCTTTTCCACTTCTCTTTCAAATTTCTTTATGTGTTTGGCTCTTTTCCCCTTAATAATATGCTATATTTTACTATAAAAGTCCTCAAGTGAGTCTGTATCTGCTCTCTCCAGTTTTTCTTCTCTTATTCTTTCTTACACTCCTTCAAATAAGATGTTTGTCCTCAAAGTCACACCAAACCTGCTCTTATCAAAGTCACCAATGACCCCTACTTTGTTGGCTCAATTCTCAGCATTTCTGAGCACTCGTCATACTTGATCTGTAAAAATCATTTGACATAGTAGACCATTCCCTACTCCTTCATACACTTTCTCCACCTGATTTCTAGGAGCCCACACTCTGGTTTTCCTCCTACCCTGTGGGTCACTTCTTTTCCCTCTCCTTTACTGGTTTCTCCTCTTCTTTCTAATCTCTTTATCCTGGTGTATGCCAAGACTCAGTCCTTGTTCCTCTGTTTTTCTCTGTCAACATTCACTTATCCAGTCTCATGACTTTCAATAGTGTTATATTCCATGACTCTCAAATTTCTACATCCAGCCCAAACCTCTCTCTTGAACTTTAGAATCATATCCAGAACTGCCTACTTTATATTTTTGAATATAAAGTGTTGAAATATAAAGTGTTGGAAACACAAGTCCCTTTAGGTTCAACTTATCCAAAACAGAACTTTTCCTCTTCTCTCTCACACGTGAACTCCTGATCTTCCCTGTCTTCATCTTGGTTAATTGTTACTTCATCCCTCCAGTCACTCAGGTCAAAAATAACCTGTGTGTGTCTGAGCTGGGTATCATCAAACCCACCCAGCATGCCTGACCTCTTTCTCTCTCACAACCCACATCCTATCAGTCAGTAAATCCTGTCACCTCTTGCCTTGAAAATATTTCCAGGATCTGACCACTTCTCACTACCTCTGCTGCTCCCACCCTGGCCCTTTTCACCCTCACCTATCTCTTGGATTGTTGCCACAGCTCTTTCCTGGTCTCCTTGCCTTTACCGTTGCCCATCCATAGTCTCTTCACAACGCAGAAGTCAGACCCTCTTAAAGCATAAGTCAGATCATATCACTCCCCTAAAGAGGATCCCTACCTCACTCAGAGTAAAACCCAAAGCCCTTACAGTGCCCAGTAAGGACGTGCCTGAATAACCCTTCACCTACCTCCTTAATTCTCTGACCTCACTTCATATGACTCTCCTCATCCCCCACTCCACTCCAGACAAACTGACCTCCTTGTGCTGCCTGGAACATGCCAGCAACTCTCCTTCCTTAGGTTCTTTATACCAGCTGTTGCCTCTGCCTGGAAACACGCATGCCCCTGAAATCTACCTGAATCATTCCCTCATCCCCTCTTAAGCCTTCACTCAAATGTCGTTTTCAGCGAGACCTACTCTGGCCTTCCTATGTAATACTACAACCGCATTCTATCTCATACTCTTATACTTTCCCTATCTTGCTCTACTTCTCTTTTTTTCTTAATCCTATCACCGTATAACATGTAACATACTTATTTGTTTCATTTATTATTTCTGTCTCCACCAGCAGCAATAAAAGCTTCATGAGGATAGGGGTCTATGTTTGCTCACCAATATGTCTCAAGTCCTTCGAATGGTGCTTTCACATGTATGGAGGAATGAGTCAGTGTGTTCAGAAACCCACTCAATCCCACAGCAATAGAGAGCAGCCTGTTGCATATGCCCCTAACTCAGAAAAGACAAATCCAAAAGGGACTTGACTATTCATCAAAGTATAAGGCTTAGGACCCCATTTTCCCTCTGTGTTCCCACGTAAGCATTGCCTGCCATCCCCTTCATACAAGTTACTGTGCAAAAAAGGAATTTACCTTGATATGTGGATTCCACTGTAGCCACAGGACTGGGAATACATGACAGAATGTTGTTATGAACTATTATTTACTTTTCTAAGAAAGAACAGATTCTCTTCCTTCAATAATTATTAAGCTCTGACTCTGTGCCAGGAATGGGGAACATGCAGAAAAGGACCCTAATCTCCTGGGGATTTAATTCTAGTATAATTGCATATCCTCATCCTCAGTCTCCACCAAGGTCTGTCTTCAGATGGCCAGCTGGTAGAATGTTATTTCCCCTGGTGGGGAAAGAAGGAAAAACCCAGGCTCTACATTACTCTTATCCTTTAAAACCTTGCTACTCAAAGTGTGGTCCCCAACTAGCAGTATTAGCCTCAACTGGAACTTACTAGAAGTGCAGTATCTCAGGTCCCATCCTAGGCCAACTGAACCAGAAACTGCATTTTAATAAGACCCAGAGATGATTCTTATAAACCAAAATGTTCATACATGTTGAGGTGCACTGCCTTGGAATTCTCTACTGAATGCACTCGCATAGGTATTACATCAATTATGTGATAAGAAAAATTTGAAGAGTAGAAAGGAGTGAACTAACTTCATGTTTTCCTTTTGCTAAAGGACAAAATATCAATTGATTACATGAATGATAACATGAACTGTAGTAAAAAAAATCTAGATTAATGAGTCTGATCACTTACAAATTTATAGAACACAGGCTGATCTGAAATAAACGTGATAATCATTTGCTGAGATTTTGCGCTGTCATACACATTCAAAAGGCAATATTTAAAATGATTTAAGTAGATATGTTTAAAAGGGTAGACTCTGAGGTTAGATTTTCTGATTTCTAAGCCTGTTACTCTATCGCCAGCTGTGTTTCCTGGGCTAATTTGCTTGGCCTCTCTTAAGTTTCAGTTTCTTCTTCTGTACAATAGGAATAATAATACTAGTACTTATTTCACAAGTTTATTGTAAGAACAAAATGAGGCAATGTTTATAAAGAAGTAAGCATAGTGTTGGTACAATATGGTTGTCTTATAGTATACTGAATTGCATATAGTAAGAATTCAGTAAATGCTGTATTACTATTATTTCAATCAACATTCAATTTATCCAACAAATATTTTACTTATAGTATACAATAATATAGAAAAATCAGGATGGAGTATGAGGAGCCTACTTAGATAAGCAGGTCAGTCAAGTCCTCTTCGGGGAGAGGAAATTTACATGGAAACCTGGAGAATGAGAAGTAGCCAGTCACATAATGAGCGATAAAAATCAAGTGGGTGAAGAGAAGAGCTGCTCAAGACGGGTCAAAATCAGGCAGGGCATCATATTCCAGAAGAGGGGTTTGGATCATTTTCATAATCATTGTGAAGCTACTGAATGCTTTTGGACAAAGGAGTGAGTTAAATAGAAATGTGTGTTGGGGCTCCAGTGGGGACAAGGGTCTAGAAAATGTTCCCAAGACATATGAAGATGTATCAACATATTGTCAGTTTCTAAGGAATTGTTACTCAAATAGTCTGACTTGAGGTTTCCTGCCAAAGTGGAAAATCCTCCTCCCATGTCCTCCCACCCTTCATTTTGCTACTCGGCCCCTTCTCATTTAACACTTCCAGAGCCCAGCCCACACGTCAGTTTCTTTGTGAAACTTGTCTTTGTGAAACTCTGGCTTATGTCCGCTCTGTTCAGGGCTCTTTTTTGGGATCACTCAGAGCACCTGGCACATGCCTCTGGAGTAGAGCCTGTAGCTCATGCAACTGTAAATAGCTGCAATTCCTTTCTCTCTGCCATACTCGTATAAGGCTAAATATACCCTTTCCAGCTTTGAAGTCTTAGCAACTATTATAAAGTGGGGACACTGGCACATAGTGAGCACTCAGTACATGTTATTTTGAATAAATGACCTAATATTTGTTTACCATTTCTTTCCTTACTACAAAAATTGTGCCTAATTCAACTTCTGCATGTCAATGGCAAACTGAGGACCCTGAAACTTGGAGTTTTCTTGAGAAAATTATCTCTTTTAGTGACAATCCCCTGGAAGATAAAGATCTCAATTTGCAATATATCTAACAAAGTGGACATGTATTTTGCTCACTTTTTTTTTTTATCTTCAGCTAAGGATTATTACCATAGGAACCATAGAAGAATTTCTATACTACCAGTGCTGTGTTCTGTTTTTCTTAGACTTTCCTTTCTGTAGCCCTCTGCGGTGCTTCTCATCTACAGAGGGGAAACTGAAGCACAGGAAAAGCCGGCCACACAATGAGTCAGTGATCAGACAAGGCTTCCTGTGAGAGAATTTCTCCGGAGGCATCTCTGAGGCAGACACACTCACCCCTGACACTACCTCACCTTCCATGCTCTCTCTCTCTTATGTATCCTCCCAGGTACAGCTTTAACTCTTCCCTCATCCTATCAGTCCTGGCCTGTGTTCTTGGCCACCCCAGAAAACCCAGTTACCTCACCTCTGACCCCTCATCTGGACCAAACCTCCTATGCTGTCCCCTGTCCTTATCCTCCCTCAGAACTAGTCACTCTTCCTTGTCACCATTGCCTTCCTGCCACCTTCCCCCATCTGGGCACAGATACCTTGAAGGCCTGCTCTTTGAAACAAATAAAGAACCTCAAGTTGACAAAGAACCCGAAGGATCACCAAATACCACTCCAAAGGTATTTTCCAGAGTACCTTCTGGATCAACCAATTTGTGCTAATGGGAGGTTAAAGGAAAGGAGGAAAGGCCTAAACTGGAAGGAGCCAAAATAAAGTACCCTTTCAACTTTCAGAGTGATATAACTGCTGTATCTGCTTAGTCAAGACCAGCATGCTAGCATGTTCACTGGTAGAGTTGGAATTCATCTCTACCAAAACTTTTCTTGGGCCTGAGAGGACAGGAGAGAAGAAATTCCCTTACTGATGAATCTGTAACATACATCCTTGCCAGAGAGTATTCAGGTTTAGGCAACCTAAAACTTAAACAATTTTGGTGGCATCTTTTAGAAAAAAGAATATTACAAATTACAAATACAAAATTAGGTACCAATGTGAGCATTTATTTAGAATAAGAAGAGAAATCATAACAAATTGCACATTTTTAAAAAGCTGATGAATACCATTTATGGTATCATCACAAAATTCACGGCCTTCCAGGCCCAGAGTAGTGAGGAGCTCTGAAGTTTGTTTCACTGGCATATGAAACTCTGACATCAACTCTGGAGTTCTTTTTCTCTTTCATTTCCTGCCTATATTTTTTGAAAGGTTATCTGTCCTCATCTCCCCTGTTTTGTCACCACTGAATCACTCCCTGTATGTAGGCACTTAGTTCCAGTCCACATCACCTCAATGAAACAATTGTCTCCAATGTTCCCAGTGGTTCCTGGTCCCCAAATCAGAGCCCTCATGCTCCTATCTCTCATTAGCCGTAGGCACTCATCACCATGTTTTCCTTCCAAAATTTAATCTGCCTTGGCATGCAAGAGCCTATATTGTCACAATTTTTCTATGGCATGTGTTAATCTTTCTTTTTCATTGGTTTTACATCCTCTTTCCATTCACCAATCAGGTATAATCCAAGGCTCTATCCTCAACCTTTTTTGCTCTTGTCACTCCACATGTTTCTCCATCACCTCTCAAATCTTCAAACATACAGGTAATTCCCCAATTGCCTCTCTGGCCCTGACATCTCTCCTGTGTGTCAGTCCTACCAATTTCACAGAACACCTCCCTGTTAAAGTACCCCTGGACCTCAAACTCAGTGTGCTCAGAACCAAACCAACTGCACTCACTCCTAAACTGGATATGGCCCTCACTACATACTGAAACTCACTGTTTCTAACGTTAAACACTTCATTCTTCCCCCTAATTAGCTGCTTATCAGAAACTCCTCCTTTCTGTTAAAGGTTTGACCTAAGTGGATGATACTCAGTCATAATCTCAGCATAGGAAATGACACTGTCTTTCTTTTGTCTTTTCTGCCTAAAGAAATTCACTCGGGTTTCTTCCTCATGAGAACAGGAAGTTGCTCTGAAGGGCTGCCTGAGAGGAAGAGCGTCGGCAACCCACTAGGTAAGGTCTGGTTTAAATTTAATTCTCTGTTTGTCTCCAAGACAGCCCACCACAAGACTTAACTCAGCCTAATATTCAGTCAATAGAGATGATGATTGCAAAGTCAGAAGGCCTCCTTGGCAGCATCCTAGAGACTCTTACTTCCTAAAGCTGGAAGGCAAAAAAAAACTCTGAGGATCAGTTCTAGGTCTTAATGACAGGTTAGTAGACTCCAGGGAAATTTAAATCCTCAACTTTGGCAAGTCTGCTTTGTCAGAAGAAGGACCCTAGTTGAAAAACAATGGTACCTTGAGACTTGGAAATAGGACATTTGGGTCAATATACTCAAAAACCTTGAAACACCAAATTCATTTGACCTTTCTGGATGAGCAGAACTATCCTACTCTTCCCTATTAAAGGCTAACACTTCTCCTTTACATGAAGATGACACAGCAGCCACTGTCTTGAAAAACAATATTTTCAAAGGTCAGAATTTACTCCCACCTCCCTTTCTGGCCACCTGGCCAATAACTAGGCTCATTCACAACATAGTATGTCACAGTGGGGAAAAGCAAACTCCACCACCACCACCACAACCATCCCTCAGTGAACACAATAAATCCAAACCAATTTTGCATCCTAGGGGAAATGGCAGGGGTGGTAGTCCTTATCATATTTCCATTTAATTTACCAGTCTAACCCATAAAGAAACTCTATGGATCCTGGAGGATGCCCATGGACTGCTGCAAACTCCATCTGTACTGGCTCTAAGTGCACTTGCTGTGACAGATGTGATGTCTTTGTTAGAATAGATTAGCACAGCCTCAGCTACATGTGCCATTGACCTAGCCAATGAGTTCCTTTACATCCTTTCAAGACAATAGATCAAAAGCAGCCCACATTCATATGGAAGGGACAATAGTCTACATTTTTGGTCTTCCCCTAGGGTTGTATTATCCTCTTCCTCTGGCATAATATAGTCTGAAGGGGCTTGGACTGTCTGAACATTCCAAAGAACATAATATTAGTATCTTCTATAGATAACACCATGTTAATCAGCCAATGAGCAAGATGTGGCAAATATTTTGGAGACCTTTGTAGGATGTGTGTACTCCAGAGGGTAGGAAAATATGCTGGGAAGATTCAGGGGCCTGTCACATCAGTCAAGATTGTAGGGGTCCGGTTGTCTGGGGAACAAATTACACAACTCCTTTACCAGAATCTTCCTCTCCCCTTGCCCTTTTATCCTTCCACCACAATTCATGCAGACCTCCAACCACCCTATTCTTTAGCTTATGAGTGGCACCATAAACTAGAGATCCAAAACAGAACTCATTATCTTCCCCAGAAACCCTCCTCCTCTTCTATTTTACATCTCTTGATGAATGTCTTCATCACCCGCCCAACTGCCCTGCCTGGAATCTGGGCATTCACTCAGGCTTTATCTCTCCCTTTGCCCCTATGTTCAGTTAGTCACTGAGTCCTAAACATTTCTCATGTCTGGTTTCTCATCTTCTCTGCTGCACTTACCCCAATTCTAGCCATAAGCATCCCTTTCCTGGACTGACACTAGAAACAAATATTATTTGAGAAGAATACCAACTTTTGGAAACCTGTTGGTCTGTTGACTTGAGTTTAACTTTCATTTGGCTATTCTCCACTATGTTAATTTGGACAAGTGAATTAACCTCTTTAAGCCTCAGTTTCTTCATTTGTAAAATAAGGTTGGCATGAAGACAAAATGAAACAAATGTGTAAAGTGCCTGGCAGAGGAACGAGTTTATAAGTGACAGCAATGGGCAGAATTGGTAGTAGTCATAGTACAAGAGCCTTCCTTACTGATCTCACTGTCTTTAATGACAAGCCTCTGATTTATATTGCCTAAATGATTATTTCAACATGTAGATCTGATTATGTTGCCGTGTTGCTCCCTTGCATTGATTCCTATGGACTAGCTGATAATATAAAACCCCTTTGCATGATTAACAAGGTTCTTTGTGGCCTTTCCCATCTTTTCCCTACACTCTCTGCACCCTGTACCATCACCATTACATTTTTCATTTAGACAATAAAAACTTATTTGTGCTCGTCTGAACAACTAATGCTCTGTCATGCCTCAATGTCTGCATATGCTAGTCCTTTATATAAAAATACATCTGCCATCTCTTCCTCGTCTCTTATGTCTTAACTAAAAGCTCTTTCCTCTGAGAAGCCTTCACTGAATTTTATCTAAAGCCCCCATGAACTCTATACACTCCTCTGCTCTAGCAAGATGCCATTATATTCTGACTCTATTCATACCATTCTCCCTGACTTTACTGCATCATCCTTGAGGTCAGGGAGTCCGTCATGTTCATATTTGCCCCCTGCCCAACCCTATACCTAGTACATACTAAAAGCTGAAGGAAACAATGAAGAAATGATGGCCACCATCTCATGCAGAATTAAATCCATATTTAATAACATGTTAATGAGACAAATCTCAACCCACAAGTTCAAGCATGAACAAAATGAAACTTTATTTTGTTACCACTTGTGATGGTTACTACTGAGTGTCAACTTGATTGGATTGAAGGATACAAAGTATCAATCCTGGGTGTGCCTGTGAGGGTGTTGCCAAAAGAGATTAACATTTGCATCAGTGGGCTGGAGAACGCACATTCACCCTTAATCTGGTGGGCACAATCTATTCTCCTTCCAGCAAATATAAAGCAGGCAGAAAAACATGAAAAAGAGAGATGGGCCTAGGCTCCTAGCCTACATCTTTCTCCCATGCTGGATGCTTCCTGCCCTAGAACATCGGACTCCAAGTTCTTCAGTTTTGGGACTTGGACTTGCTTTCCTTGCAAGTATATATATATATATATATATATATATATATATATATATATATATGGAAATATATATATATGGAAATATATATATGGAAATATATATATCTATGGAAATATATATATATGGAAATATATATGGAAATATATATATGGAAATATATATGGAAATATATATGGAAATATATATATATGGAAATATATATATATGGAAATATATATGGAAATATATATATATGGAAATATATATGGAAATATATATATATGGAAATATATATGGAAATATATATATGGAAATATATATATATGGAAATATATATATATGGAAATATATATATGGAAATATATATATGGAAATATATATATGGAAATATATATATGGAAATATATATATATGGAAATATATATATGGAAATATATATATATGGAAATATATATATGGAAATATATATATATGGAAATATATATATATGGAAATATATATATGGAAATATATATGGAAATATATATATATGGAAATATATATATGGAAGTATATCTATATGCAAGTGTATATATAAGTATATATGCAAGTATCTATATGCAAGTATATATATAAGTATATATACCTAGGTATATATACTTATAGTATATATACTTATAGTATATATATAAGTATATATACTTATATATATTATAAGTGTATATACTTATAGTATATATATATTCTTATATATATTATATATATTCTAATAGTATGGAGAACATTGATAGTCCTTGGCATGAACTGTTTAGAGAGTTATGCCAAATAAATGCATTTGGCACTCCTAGTTCACCACTCATGAGAGGCAAGGAGTTTAGTGACTCTATACATAATAACTTTGACTATATGTGTAGAACCAAGGAACATAATGAAGCTGGTTGATTGCTCCTAAGTTCAGTGGACAAAGTGATGAAAGAAAATGATGAACTTAGGCCTTCTGTCTCCTGGCTTCAGAAGCAGGTATTGAGCCTCAAATCTGCTAAGATTGCCCTGAGTGAGAGTCTTATCTTCTGTAGAGAAAGAGCTGAAATTGTGGAAAAAGAGACACAAGCTCTTATCTTGTGAGTGGCTGACCTGCAATGAAAGGTGCATGCACAGCCCCACCAGGTGTCTACTCTTAAAGTGAGGGCATTGATTGGAAAAGAATGGGACCCAGCAACTTGGAATGGGGATGTATGGGAGGACCCTGATGAAGTTGGGGACACTGAGTTTGTAAACTCTGATGAAATTTTTTTGCCAGAAGGAACAGCTTCCCCATCCCTAGTAGTGGCAACATCCCCTCCCTGACCCAAGCTGTCATCAGCCTTTCCACCTTTCTCTGAGGAGATAAACCCTGTGCTGCCTGAGGAAACAGTGATGACCTCCCCTGAAGCAGTTGCCAGGCAAAATAATGTTGATTCTCCTCAGGAGTCACCCCCAAATCCCCTGTTTGCTTCTAAACCTATAACTAAAGTCCCAGTGAGCCCCAGAGGTAAGGTTAAGAGTGTGATTACCATGAGGAGGTGCACTACACTATAAAAGAACTATTTGAGTTCTCTAATTTATATAAACAGCAACCTGGAGAACAGACGTGGGAATGGATATTAAGGGTATGGGATAATGGTGGAAGGAACATAGAGTTGGATCAGGCTGAATTTATTGAATTGGGGCCACTAAGTAGGGGCTCTGCATTTAATGTTGCAGCTTGGGGAGTTAAAAAAGGTTCTGATCATTTATTAGCTTGGTTAACTGAAATATGGATTAAAAGATGTCCCACTGTGAGTGAGCTGGAAATGCCTGATCTCCTTGGTTTAATGCAGAGGAAGGGTTCCAAAGGTTTAGGGATATTGGGATAGTGGAATGGATTAGTCACTTTAGACCTACTCATCCCAGCTAGGAGGGTCCAGAAGGTATACTTTTGACCAATGCCTTGCAAAATAGATTTGTGAAGGCAGCACCTGCATCTTTGAAGAGCCCTGTAATTGCTCTTCTCTGTATGTCAGATCTAACCATGGGAATTTAGTCACTCAACTACAAAATTTAAATACAATGGGAATAATTGGATCCTGACAGGGGCCAAGCGGCAGCACTCAACTGTCAAAGGCAAGGTGGGCGTAGCTACTGTGATGGACAGCAGAAGCAAAGCACTAATCAGAATAGTCTGATTTGTGTGGAGCTCTGGCATTGGCTAATTAATCACACTGTTCCTAGAAGTGAAATTGATAGGAAGCCTACTGCATTCCTACTTAAATTATACAAACAGAAAACTTCTAGGTCAAAAAGACAAAAGACTAATTTGAATTATAAAAACAGAGAATCACAGCCCCTCAATCAATTTCCAGACTTGAGTCAGTTTACAGACCCAGAACCCCTTGAATGAATGGGAGCCCAGGTCCCCTTGAGAAAGGACCCCACTACATTACCAGAAATTTATGCAGTGAATTTTTCTCCCATCCGTCCCCAAAGAGACCTCCAGCCTTTTACCAGGGTAACTGTGCATTGGGGAAAGGGAAATGGTCAGACATTTCAGGGACTACTAGACACTGTCTTTGAGCTGACATTGGTTCCAGGGGACCCAAAACGTCATTGTGGTCCTCCAGTTAAGGGTAGGGGCTTATGGAGGTCAGGTAATTAATGGAGTTTTAGCTCAGGTCCAACTTACAGTGATTTCAATGGGTCCCCAGACACATCCTGTGGTCATTTCCCAAGTGCCAGAATGCATAGTTGGCATAGACATACTTAGCAGCTGGTAGAACCCCCACATTGGCTCCCTGACTGGTAGGGCGAGGGCTACCATGGTGGAAAAGGCCAAATGGAAGCCATTAGAGCTGCCTCTACCTAGAAAAACAGTAAATCAAAAACAGTGTCGCATCCCTGGAGGGACTGTGGAGATTAGTGCCACCATCAAGGACTTGAAAGATGCAGGGGTTGTGATTCCCACCACATTCTCATTCAACTCTCCCATTTGAGCTGTGCAGAAGACAGATGGATCTTGCGGAATGACAGTGGATTATCATAAGCTTAACCAAGTGGTGACTCCAATTGCAGCTGCTGTACCAGAGGTGGTTTCATTGCTTGAGCAAACTAACACATCTCCTGGTACCTGGTACACCATCATTGACTTGGTAAATGTCTTTTTCTCCATTCCTGTCCATAAGGCCCACCAGAAGCAATTTGCCTTCAGCTGGCAAGGCCAGCAATATGCCTTTGCTGTCCTACCTCAGGGTGTATCAACTCTCTGGCTTTGGGTTATAATCCAAGAGACCTTGATCACTTTTTGCTTCCACAAGATATCACACTGGTCCATTACATTGATGACATTATGCTGATTGGATCCAGTAAGCAAGAAGTAGCAAACACACTGGACTTATTAGTGAGACATTTGCATGCCAGAGGATGGGAAATAAATCTGACTAAAATCCAGGGAACTTCTACCTCAGTAAAATTTCTAGGGGTCCAGTGGTGTGGGGCCTGTTGAGATATTCTTTCTAAGGTAAAAGATAAATTGCTGAATTTGGCCCCTCCTACAACCAAGAAACAGGCACAATGCCTAGTGGGCCTATTGGGATTTTGGAGGCAACACATTCCTCATTTGGGTGTGTTACTCCAGCCTATTTATCGAGTGACTCAAAAGTCTCTCAGTTTTGAGTGGGGTCCAGAACAGGAGAAAGCTCTGCAATAGGTACAGGCTGCTGTGCAAGCTGCTCTGCCACTTAGGCCATATGACCCAGCAGATCCAATGGTGCTTGAGGTTTCAGTGGCAGATAGGGATGCTGTTTGGAACCTCTGGCAGGCTTCCATAGGTGAATCACAGTGGAGGCCTCTAGGATTTTGGAGCAAGTCCCTGCCATCTTCTGCAGATAACTACTCTCCTTTTGAGAGGCAGCTCTTGGTCTGTTACTGGGCTTTGGTGGATACTGAACGTTTAGCTATGGGTCATCAAGTCATCATGGTGACCTGAACTGCCTATCATGAACTGGAGACTTTCTGACCCATCTAGCCATAAAGTGGGTCATGCACAGCAGCATTCCATCATCAGATGGAAGTGCTATATACATGATCGTGTTTGAGCAGATCCTGAAGGCGCAAGTAAGTTACATGAGGAAGTGGTTCAAATGCCCATGTTCTCCACTCCTGCCACCTGCCTTCTCTCCCCCAGCCTGTGCCAATGGCCTCATGGGGAGTTCCCTATGATCAATTGACAGAGGAAGAGAAGACTACGGCCTGTTTCACATATGGTTCTGCACGATACGCAGGCACCACCTGAAAGTGGACAGCTGCAGCACTACAACCCCTTTCCAGGACATTCCTGAAGGACAGCGGTAAAGGAAAATCTTCCCAGTGGACAGAACTTCGAGCAGTGCACCTGGTTGTGCACTTTGCATGGAAGGAGAAATAGCCAGATGTGTGATTATATACTGATTCATGGACTGTAGCCAATAGTTTAGCTGGATATTCAGGGACTTGGAAGAAGCATGATTGGAAAATTGGTGACAAAGAAATTTGGGGAAGAGGTATGTGGATGGACCTCTCTGAGTGGTCAAAAACCGTAAAGATATTTGTATCCCATGTGAGTGCTCACCTTAGCAGAGGTGACCTTAGCAGAGGAGGAGTTTAATAATCAAGTGGATAGGACATCCCATTCTGTGGACACCACTTAGCCTCTTTCCCTAGCCACCCCGGTCATCGCCAAATGGGCCCATGTACAAAGTGGCCATGGTGGCAGGGATGGAAGTTACGCATGGGCTCAGCAACATGGACTTCCACTTACCAAGGCTGACCTGGCTATGGCCACTACTGACTGCCCAGTTTGCAAGCAACAGAGACCAACACTGAGCCCTCAATATGGCACTATTCCTCAGGGTGATCAGCAAGCTACCTGGTGGCAGGTTGATTATATTGGACATCTTCCATCATGGAAAGGGCAGAGGTTTGTCCTTACTGGAATAGACACTTAATCCAGATATGGGTTTGCCTATCCTGCACGTAATGTTTCTTCCAAGACTACCATCCATGAACTCACGGAATGCCTTATCCACCATCATGGTATTTCACACAGCATTGCATCTGACCAAGGCAGTAACTTTACAGCTAAAGAAGTGTGGCAGTGGGTCATGCTCATGGAATTGATTGGTCTTACCATGTTCCCCATCATCCTGAAGCAGCTGGATTGATAAAACAGTGGACTGGCCTTTTGAAATCACAATTACAATGCCAACTGGGTGACGATACTTTGCAGGGCTCAGGCAAAGTTCTCCAGAAGGCCATGTATGCTCTGAATCAGCATCCAATATATGGTATTGTTTCTCCCATAGCCAGGATTCCTGGGTCCAGGAATCAACGGGTAGAAATGGAAGTGGCACCACTCACCATCACCCCTAGTGATCCACTAGCAAAATTTTTGCGTCCTGTTACCGTGACATTACATTCTGCTGGCCTAGAGGTCTTAGTTCCAGAGGGAGGTATGCTGCCACCAGGAGACACAAATACGATTCCATTAAACTGGAAGTTAAGATTGCCACCTGGACACTTTAGGCTCCTCCTACCTTCAAGTCAATAGGCTAAGAAGATAGTAACAGCATTGGCTGGGGTGATTTAACCCCCAGACTATCAAGATGAAATCAGTCTACTACTGCACAACGGAGGAAGAGTAGCATGGAATACAGGAGATTCATTAGGGCATCTCTTAGTATTACCATGCCCTGTGATTAAGGTCAATGGGAAACTACAACATCCCAATCCAGGCAGGACTATGAAGGATCCAGACCCTTCAAAAATGAAGGTTTGGGTCACTCCACCAGGAAAAACCATGACCTGCTGAAGTGCTTGCTGAAGGCAAAGGGAATACAAATGGGTAGTAGAAGAAGGTAGTCATCAATACCAGCTATGACCACGTGACCAGCTGCAGACACGAGGACTGTAACAGTCATGAGTATTTCCTCCTTCTTTTCTTAAAAACATGTTTGCACATGTATACACTTGTACTAAGAAAATATCTTCATTTTATTTCATTTTTCCTTTATCATGTGATGTAAGATTTATTGACTTCTTATCAACATTTAAGCATTGTTAACTTTATGTAGTATTTGGATTGGAGCTTGGTGCATTTCCACTTGTACAAAGGATAGTTGTATTATGTTAGGTGTAATTATGACCTCATTATTACCTTTATTTGAAGATTATGTATGATCTCAGGAGCTGTGTATGGGTTCAAGTTGACAAGGGGTGGACTTGTGATGATTAATACTGAGTGTCACCTTGATTGGACTAAAGGATACAAGTATTAATCCTCAATCTGTCTGTGTGGGTGTTGCCAAAAGAGATTAACATTTGAGTCAGTGGGCTGAGGAAGGCACATCCACCCTGAATCTGGTGGGCACAATCTAATCAGCTTCCAGCGAATATAAAGCAGGAAGAAAAACATGAAAATGAGAGACAGGCCTAGCTTCCCAGCCTACATTTTTCTCCCGTGCTGGATGTTTCCTGCCCCAGAACATCAGACTCCAAGTTCTTCATTTTTGGGACTCAGACTGGCTCTCCTTGCTCCTCAGCTTGCAGACAGCCTATTGTGGGACCTTGTGATTGTGTAAGTTAATATTTAATAAACTCCGCTTTATATATATATAAACTTACACACACACAAACACACACACACACACACATATATATATAATCCTGTTAGTTCTGTCCTTCTAAGAGAACACTGACTAATCACCACTCATCTTAATTTTTATTTTCTGCACCCATTCCATTGCTGGAGGAAATTACATCTTAATTTAATTCCATTTTCTCAATTATTTGAATTTATTTCTCCACTGTTCCCCCTGGTTGTGTCTAAGCAGTATCCCAGATCCCATCCCATGTGCATCAAGGCACAGGGAAGGAGGAGGACAATCACCTGACCTTCAGTCTTCACCTGTCCCCTTTGGCATCAACAGAGACACTGTCTCACCCATCTGGTTTATGGTTTCTGTGCTGTACAAGACACAGCTACATTCTTCTTGCCCCACTCAGAGATCTGCTTAGGTTGGGCTCTCTCTCAGAGACTTCCATACTGTTCTTAGTGGGCATCCAGAATATATTTAGTTGTTCTGCATGCCCTATTGGGGTCTTTTGACTTAAATATCACACGTGGTCCCCTCTACTCCACTACTCCCACCTTATTCAGAGTACAGGGAAACGTCGACAAAACTGTCATCACGCCTGGCTTCACTGAGATTATAAATCATAGTCACTTTCTGCTCTCTGACCCCACAAATACACATTGGATTTGTATCATATGCTCCTTTCATTTCCAGACTGAGCCTGAAGGAGGGCATGGAGAAGGTCCTTTCTCAGGAACGCACATGAGCATTTACTGCTGCAATACACATTACTGCTTCCCATCCAGAGCACATCTTTCCCACAGAGGTAGAAGAGTTTTCTAATCTATAATAGTAAAAGCTAGCTCTGACTGATCCCCACCCTTCCAAATCTATTATATTAGTCTTTAACTTGATTATCTGAGACTTTGGGACTACTGAGACTCCAGAACATGAGTTCTTATAACTTAAAATAAGCTCTTGAGACTGAACAGCCAAGAATCTGATTCTTCATTAATTTAACACATATTCATTGAATACCACTATAGACTGTTGTAGATTCACGGGACACCTGGCAATAAGTTGTCTCCTTAGAGAGCTTACATCCTGATGGGATCATATTTTCCTGAGTGTTTCTATAATAGCCCTTCTTTAAAGCAGTACACATACACAATCCTAGCTAATTGTGCCATGGCAGGACAGTTCTTAGGCTAATCAAAAGGGAGAGAGGGGCTGGGCATCGTGGCTTACTCCTGCAATCCCAACATTTTGGGAGGCTGAGGTAGGAGGATCACTTGAGCTCAGGAGTTCAAGACCATCCTGGGCGACAGGGTGAGACCTCATCTCTACTAAAAATAAAAGAAATTAGTTGGGCATGGCAGCGTGCACCTGTAGTTCCAGTTACTCAGGAGACTGAGGCAGGAGGCTCACTTGAGCTCAAAAGCGTGAGGCTGCAGTGAATCATTATCATGCCACTGCACTTCAGCCTGATTGACAGAGCAAAACCCTGTCTCGAAAAAAAAAAAAGAAAGAAAAAAAAAAGGCAGAAAGAGAGAAGCGTGTATCAGTTAATTTATTACTAAAAGTTCAGTCGCTATGTCATGCAAAACCTTCCATGAGATGCCCCACTCCTAAACTACCTCCTGATACTCCCCTACAAATGGCCTATGCTCCAGTCACACACACTGCTGACAAAGACAACAGTGGGCTGTGCTCTCCTACCCCTTCATTCATTGATCCTTTCTTCTCCGAGAAACTTTTTAAGCTGCTTCAATTGGACCTACCCTCATGAAGCCTTCCCTGCCCACTAAGACTGAGTTAGAGGTCTTTTGTTTGTGCTGTGCTGTCATAGCATTTTGTGTTCATTCTTTCCATAGTATTCATCTCACAGAATTTGCTATGCATCTGATATTACCACCTCACCATTAACCTCCTTGAAAACAAGGATTGGTTTTCCTTTATCTCTATATAGCCATACCTAGCCCAGAGCCTAACATATCAGATAGATATTCAAAGAATATTTGTTAAATGATACATACCTTTTGAAATGTATATATTTCCCAGATTAAAAATTATTTAGCATAGGTTGAAATTAGAAAATAAAATATTGGGATGATTTTAGAAAAAAAATCAAATAGAGGTAGAGAACAGAAGGTGTCTATTAATGAGGCTGGGCATGGTGGCTCATGCCTGTAATCCCAGCACTTTGGGAGGCTGAGGCAGGAGGATCATTTGAGGCCAGGAGTTCAAGACCAGCCTGGCCAACATGGTGAAACCCTGTCTCTACTAAAAATACAAAAATTAGTTGGGCATGGTGGCACTTGTCTGTAATCCCTGCTACTCGGGAGGTTGAGGCACGAGAATCACTTGAACCCAGAAGGTGGAGTTTGCAGCAAGCTGAGATCGCGCCACTGCACTCCAGCCTGGGCAACAGAGCAAGATTCTATCTCAGAAAAAAAAAAAAAAAAGAGAAGGTATCTATTAATGAAAGGAAAACTCTGAGAAAATTAGAGATAGATTCCTTTATTCCTAGGCCTTAGGAACAACCTATAGACTCATAATATATTCCTAGGTCATATTATCTGTTAGTGCCTTGAGTTGAACCTGTGGTAATTATTTGCTAAGTAAACAATTATCTTATATTTAATTTTTTGAAAAGGGGCATTTCCTTTTTTAAAGATAAATCTCTCAATTATTCTGAATGTTGAATCACAATATCCAAAGATAAATCTCTCAATTTTTCTGAATGTTGGATCACAATATCCTTGGAATTAAGTAAGTTTGTTTTTATAATAATGACCAGCTTTTGGACTGTGCATTTAACATATAGCAAAGGTACTAATTCTGAATAATTTCTTTTAGATTTGAAACACCAGAGATGTGCATATGTGCATAAAAAATGTATCAAAATTTAACTGATAGGTAATAAGACTTCTTGGTAGCATGATCACTGTGCTCCACTCTCACAATTGTGAATGCATGAGAATAAAATAAATTAATGAATAAAAAGACTATTCGTGAGACAGAGTGACTTAAATAGAAATGAAAATCTCTAAAATTTTTACAGAAAAGCTAAAATTTAGCATGCTAAGGAATCTAGCATTCCAATCTCTGACCTTTCCACAATCTAGCATCTTCAAACTCCCCATTATCTAGTGTTGTGAAATGTTGCCTGGATTCTTCATGGGAAAAATGCCAACCCCCATCGCTAATACTATTGCATCTTGTGTACAGTCTATGTAGCTGTACACCTACAACCATCTGATCTTCAACAAAGTCAACAATAACAAGAAATGCAGAAAGATTCCCTAGTCAATAAATGGTGCTGAGATAACTGGCTAGCCATATACGAAAGATTGAAACTGGACTCCTTCTTTTTACCATATACAAAAATCAACTCAAGATGGACTAAAGACTCAAACATAAAACCTAAAACTATAAAAACCCTAGAAGAAAACCTAGCAAATATCATTCTGGACATAGGCCTTGGAAAAGATTTCATGACAGAAACTCCAACAGAAATTGCAACAGAAACAAAAATTGACAAGTGGGGCCTAATTAAGCTGGAGCTTGTGCAGAGCAAAAGAAACTATCAACAGAGTAAACAGAGAGCCTACAGAATGGGAGAAAATATTTGCAAACTATGCATCTGACAAAGATCTAATATCCAGAATCTATAAGGAACTTAAACAAATCAACAAGCAAAAAGCAAAACCCAATTAAAAAATGAGCAAAGGTCATGAACAGACACTTTTCAAAAGAAGACATGAATCCAGCCAACAGGCATATAAAAACATGCTCATCATTACTAATTATTAGAGAAATGCAATTCAAAACCACAGTGAGATATCATCTCACACCTGTCAGGATGGCTATTATTAAAAAGACAAAAAATAATAGATGCCGGTGAGGTTGCAGAGAAAAGGAGACATTTATACACTGCTGGTGGGAATGTAAATTAGTTCAGCCACTGTGGAAAGCTGCTCAGAGATTTCTCAAAGAACTTAAAGTAGAACTACCATTCAACCTAGCAATCCCATTACCGGGTATGCATCCTAAAGAAAGCAAATCATTCTACCAAAAAGACACATGCACGTGTACATTCATCACAGCACTTTTCACAATAACAGACATGTAATTAACCTAGATGTCCATCAACGATGGACTGGATAAAGAAAATGTGGTATATATATATATACCATAGAATACTATGCAGCCATAAATAAAATAAAATTATGTCCTTTGCAGGAACATGGATAGAGTTGGAGGCCATTATCCTAAGCAAATTAGTGCAGAAACAGAAAACCAAATACTGCACGTTCTCACTTATAAGTGGGAGCTGAACAGAGTACACATGTACACAAATAGGTGAACAATAGACACCAAGGCCTACTTGAGGGTAGAAAGTAGGAGAAGGGTGAGGATCGGAAAACTACTTATTAGATACTCTGCTCACTACCTGGGTGACAAAAACATTTGTACACCAAATCCCAGCAACATACAATTTACCCATGTGACGAACCAGCACATGTACCCCCTGAACCTAAAAAAAAAGTTAGAAGAAAAAAAATTTATATATATATTTAATAAATGATTGGATAAATTGATTTATAAATAAATGAAATGTCAAGATGCAAGAAATTTCAAGGTCAGAAGACTTTTTTTAATGTGAGATTCCAATTCCAAATGAAAGGGGAAGGTTTAAGTCAATTCAGGTCTTTTATAAGGCTTTATCATTGAGTATCTCAAAAGTGATGAGAAGAGTTTTCATTCAGTGATGTTACTGAAGTTGTTATTTGAATAGTCAATAATCATTGCACCAAAGGTTAGATATTCTTGCTCTAGAGCTGTCAGTGAAGCTTCTAGATTGTAAACCCCAGAGGATTTGGGAACTCAGTGTATTCTGTTTGAAAATAGAAATAACACTAGTTCACATACCCAGAGAAATTTAACCTGTATCACAACCTACTAGAGATAAAAGTAACCTTGAGTTTGCACTTACATCTGCGACTCCCTGTCACAGTTAAAGTGTCATTCATTCAACAAGTACTTACTGAGCACTCACTCTATGCTCATCTCAATGCAGGGACCAAGAATGCCATGGTGAGCAAGACAGACCGGATCCCTCACTGAGCTGTGAGCATATCACTTCACAATATCTGCCCCTCCCTTCCTCAACCCCCTGCATTTTCTGTATCTTGACCTTATTATGCCTGCCCTACTCTCTGGCAGGCGGAAGAAGAGTGCTGGGAGCTTGCTGGAATGCTACAGATGCCTGGCTGCACCACAAAAGAGAAGCTATCTTTTGTTTGTGCTCTCTTCAGATCCCTTTACTGCTGAGGAATTGCAGGTGCATAAAGGGAAATAAATAATCTCAATCCCCAGAGTCCCGCAAACCGTGGAAGGAACTTCTAAATGTTTCGAGTCTATGTGTTTCATCTACTGAGAAGAAAAATTGAAGACTACTCAAGCAAAATGACCTGGCTGCTATGGTAGGAGAATTGGAACTAGGCTTCTGACTCCTCGGCCCATCTTAATGCCTCTCCATCAGAAGGGCTGTCTTAAGCCAAAACCACCACGGCTAATCCATGGGAATGCCAGCTGAGAATTCTGTCCTGCTAAGCAATGTGCTAGTGTGCAGTATGGCTAATCTCAAACTCAGACACAAGGAGGTATGAGCACCCAGATGCTAGACTGCTAGAAGACACATCAAGCTTAAGAGGTCCCTGACACTTGATAAAATCATTGGTACAAATCCAATGTATGACAAAATTTCATAAGTCACACTTGTATTTCTGTCCTCTTCCATCAACCCCCCCATTGAAAACTCTCATGGAACTGAAGGCTACATTCAAGTGTGGCTTAAAAACCGTATTTTATATAAAAGCTAAGATCCAGATACAACCCATGAGTGGAGCAGATGGAACCAAATGCCATACCTGGCTGAAGTAAAAAACCCCTTTCTCCAAAAGGATCTCCCACCTAACCCATGAAATTACTATAATCCCCACCACTGCAATGGTCCTGATGGGCCTTATAAGGAAAAAAACACATTTTAAGTGTGTAAAGGCACTGAGTTACCTGAGAAGAATTACAAATTAGCCTAATACTTTCTCCAGGGTGAATTTTGAACTCATTCAATCGCCTACCATTATCAAGTGAGAGAATGAAACTCAAGAAGGCTGAATTTTGATAAAAGGCAAAAGATAAAGACAGAAAGAAATGGAGCCTCCTGGCCTGGAGTGGTATAACACCTTAGGTAAGGAAACTCAAAAACAAAGGGAAAAATTCCTAAAGTGAAAAGAGATCACCAGATATAAATGTTGCCTATTTAATTATCTTGAGCAAGTCTAAACATCTAGGGCCTACTTTGACCCACTTTCAGTTTGAGTTGAGAAAGAGCAAAATTAGATTTTAAAAAGAGTTGAAAGAAACATTAGTGATTAATGTTCTTTAAAGACACCAAACTACTGATAATCAAAATCAGATGCTATATTAAACAAGACTCTACAGGCGTGGCCAAGGCTTTGCAGACAACAGATAGACAGAGGCCCAGGTAGCATAAAGAGCCATTTCTGGACTTCCCAAGGGGTCAGTGTGGGCAAGACAGCAAGAGTACTAGGAAAAAGTTGTCTATCTAATATGAATTTCACCGCTGCAATTATACTATAAAATATTTGTTTGTTTCTTTTGGTTTTCAGAAGCAAAATTGTGTAGGTAGACCATGGCTTGGCTACTTACAGTATGACATTAGCGTATGTGCACACATCTGTGTTTTCTCATCTGTAGAAATGGAAATATCTACCATGCAAGATTGTTGTTAGAAAGTGCCTAGAATGGCCACTGAGTTTCTCCTCTCTACCTTCCTCACCAACCTCCTTCTTCTCCTTCTCCTTGCCACCAACTGCAGAATCTCAGTCCCGCAACAGCTGTCCTGCCTGAAATTCTCCCAGTAGACCTAATCACACCATATATTCCATAGACTTGTTATGAAAATTCATCTTATTTCTTTCTGAATTCAAAAAACCCTTGAAAAAATGTGTATCAGTGAGGGTCCAACCAGGAAAAAGAACGCCACTGCAAGTGTTTAAAATAGCAAATGTTTGCACAAGTAAACAGAGAGCAGAGAAGGCAATGGGGGATGGTGGGGCACTAGCCCCATTAGCCAGGCAGACAAAGGAAGGAGAAGTGATTACTAAAACCTGGTGGCCACTTGCAGAGGCTGGAGTCAAAGCCAGACTCCCAGGCAGTAGTGCAGACATGGGGAGGACGCAGCTGTTGGTGGAGCTGCTGTGTGAATCAGGAAGGAAGGGAGAGAAGTCCCAGATTCCTCCTCTCCTCTGCCCCTGCATTTCCCACCAGTGCCTCCAGAAGTCTGGGAAGCACAGAGGGCAGGGGCCAAGGCAGAGCAGGGGAAGCAAAAGAGACTCTGTCAGGGAGCAAAGAGACTAGGAAATGAACTGTCCCTAACACACTTCCCAATTGTCAGCCAACACCTTCGTTAACAGCTAACATTTTATTATGCACCTGTGGGTAATAACCTGAGAGCAAGACCCTTTGGGAAAGCAGGATTTGACAGTTTGAGTTCAAGAAGATGGAAAGCATCAAAGAATAAGAAAAAAAAATCCAGCACATTCATGATAAGAAGTTATAAAACTATAAGATATATAGGAAAAAGATTAAGAAATGCACAAAATCTATGTAAAGAAAACTATGACTTTTCTGAAGGAATATAAGACACCTAAATAAATGCTGAGTCACACCAGATTTTCATAGAAAGGTAAACTTTATAGTGTAAGGCACTCAAATTCCCCCCCAAGTTATATTATAATAAATTCCATGTAATTCTAATCAAATAGAATACACTATGGCAGAGAAGTGGGAGGAAGGGAGGAGCATTTGACAAATTGATTATAAAATCTGTATAAAGAATAAATATACAAAATTTGCCAAAAAGACTTTGAAGGAAAATGTTATAAAGGTACATATTTAAATATATTAAAATATATTTAACATATATGCTTAACAGTAGACATGTATATTAAAGTATATTTAATAATAATATATTTATTAAAATAAAGTTATTAGTCCAGTAATAAACAATGGGATCAAAAGAACAGAAGAGAGTTCAGAACCAAACCCAAGCACAAAGGGAAGCTTAGCCTAAAATAGTACTGTCATTTCAAATGAATCAGTATTTTTAAAATGGCATTGTTATCAGTTCTCTATTTTGAAAAAATTAAATTTACTACCCACCCCACAGTAAATAAAAATAAATTTTTAAATACATCCTGGAGCTAAAACACCAAAAAAACTTTATATTAGAAACAGAGAAAAGTAGATTTAATAGTTATAAAGTGAGGTAAGTCTAAGAGTGACAAGAAGCTATAAGGGAAATAGATTTATTTAAAAAAATTAAACTTTCTGCATGGAAAAAGTTAACAGAATACACAATGGGAGGAAACATTTGTAATACATGCAACAGATAAAGAGTTACCTTCATGCCATATAAAGAGAGGCCATAAACTCCTAGACTGGCTAGTTAGGCATACTTGAACAGGAAAGGGAGGGCCCCCCCGGGAATGTCAGGTGACTCTGAAATGAGAATTGCTTACAGCCGCTGCCAGGGGAAGATAATCTCCCAATAGATAGAAAACACCTGTAGCTAGTGATCAGCAGCTTCCTGATAAGATCTCAAGAGTTGAGTGAGCAGGCTCAAGCACGTGCTCTAAGAGGCAAAACGGCAGATGTATGACCTTCCTCTGGGGATATTTCACCAGTAAAGGAAAATCACCCCTAGAGAGCATGCACACAACCTCAGTAAACGTACTATGCATGTGGCCCCTCCCAGGTACTGGCAGGCCACTGCACATGTGGAGAGACCACCCTAAAGGAAGAATCAGGGGAGGAGAAATGCAAACCCCAAAACCAAGCCAATGTATAAAAATCCCAAGCCAAGGGCTCAACGGGGCACTTGGATCTCTCAAGTCACTCCCTTGGCCCTCTTCCAAGTGTATTTTGCTTCCTTTTGCTCCTTCTCTAAAACTTTTTAATAAAGTCTCACTCCTGCTCTAAAGCTTGCTTCAGTCTCTCCCTCTGCCTTAAATCTACTTCTGTCCCTCAGCTGAATTTTTTCTTCCCAGGAGGCAAGGATCAAGTTTGCTGCAGACTCATACAGCTTCACCACTGGTAACAAAACCAGTAACAAAAAGACAACAGCTTAAATTTTAAGTGAGTAAATTACATTAGGCAATTCACTAGAGGGGAATTATAAATGGCAATAAATAAAGCTAAAAATGAAAGTTTCAGCTTCTCGAATATTTTTTAAATGCAAATTTTTAATAAGATATCATTTTTGCCTGTCAGTCTTATAAAAATTTCTACAAATGATTATATAGAATAGTGCATATAGTATAGAGAAAAGATACTCCTACATGACATGGGTGGGAATGTGAATTGGTACAATTACAGAGAGCAATTTGACAATAATCATCCAAAGTTATAACGGCCCGGGCATGGTGGCTCATGCCTGTAATCCCAGAACTTTGGGAGGCCGAGGCAGGAGGATCACATGAGGTGAGGAGTTCGAGACCAGCTGGCCAACATGGCGACACCCCTACTCTACTAAAAATACAAAATTTGTCAGGCATGGTGGCACATGCCTGTAATCCCAGATACTTGGGAAGCTGAGGCAGGAGAATTGCTTGAACCTAGGAGGTGGAGGTTGTGGTGAGCTGAGATGGCATCACTGCACTCCAGCCTGGGCAACAGAGTGAGACTCCATTTCAAAAAAAAAGGTATAGTGTATAGTTTATGCCTTGCCCTTCCAATTCTACCTTTTTATCTTAGGGAAATGCACAAAGATGTGTGTGTGAATGCTGCAGCACTTTTTTTTTTCAAAGAGCAAAATTTGGGAATAACCTAAATGATCCTTAGCAGAAAACTAACTGAAAATGTGATGGTGTATGCAGAAAGCCATTAAAAAGAACAAGCATATCTGTATTTAAGGAGTAAGAGGAGATGCCCATATTGTTTGTTCAACTATTCATTCAGCACATTTACATTGAGCACCAGAATAGAAGTAGACATGGACCTAATTGGAGAAATAGACAAATAGGAAAAAAAAAAAAAAAGTCTAGGAAATAATTACCATAGGTGCTGTGAAGGAAACAGAGTGAAAAATAGTAGGTGTAATCCTTGATTCATCTCTTTCCCATGCACCCAACACCAAATCAGAGGGCCTGAAAACTCTATCAAAACATATGTCAAAATTTTCCACTTATCTCCAATTCCCCTGAAAAACAAACTATGCTTTTCAGTGGCTTCCCTTAGTACTAACAATATAATCTAAATTCCTCACCCCAGTTTACAAAGCCCTACTGAATCGGTGTCCCGGTCTACCTCTCCAGCATAATCTCTTGGCATCCCTCGATCCTAGCCACATGGTTCTTTATTTTATTCCTGCTACATGCCAAGCTTTTTCTTGTTTTTGGATCACTGATGTTGCCTGGTGGTTTTGAACAACCAGGGAGAAGGAAGGCACCCCCAGAGGGCAGTTTGGAAATGAATAGGGGTCATATTTGGTTGTCACTGACTAGGAGACCTACTGTCATTTAGGCACTTAAGAATGCTAAGTGTATTGCTATGTGCATTACAGTCCCACATAATAATGCATTGTTTTATCCAAAATACCAAAAGCGGGCCTGTGAAAAGCTGTTTTATCTATCTAAAATGTTCTTTCATCTAATAATTGCACTGGCATTTTAAATGATACTTCCTCAGAGAGATTTCCTTCTAATGTAGTTACCTTGTCTCTCTTTCCATTAAAGTTTCATTCTATTTTAATTCTCTCCATAGCATTTATCAGCATTTGAAAATTTCCTAATTTATCTATTTGCTTGTTTACTTTTTCCATTCACCTTCCCCACTCCTCCAAACTGGGCTGTAAATTTAAAGGGGGAAAGGAAGATATATCTGTCTTGTTCACCATTCTATTCCCTAAACAATGCTTGGGACCTAGTAAGTGCTTAACAAATGTTTGTTGAATAAATAAAGAATATTGGCATTATAATGGGGCAGCATTATTACAGGACGCCAACACTTACCCAAAGGTAGCTGTTGGGTCAGGGTGTTTGCACTACGGTCCTTCCTGTGGTCACCAGAAATAAGTTACAGGAAAGGGGTCATGATCCAGACCCCAGGAGAGGGTTCTCTGATCTCGCGCAAGAAAGAATTCAGGGTGAGTCTGCAGTGCAAAGTGAAAGCAAGTTTATTAAGAAAGTAAAGAAATAAAAGAATGGCTACTCCATAGACAGAGCAGTCCTGAGGGCTGCTGGTTGCCCATTTTTATGGTTATTTCTTGATGATATGCTAAACAAAGGGTGGATTATTCATGCTCCCCCTGTTTAGACCATATAGTGTAACTTCCTCACATTGCCATGGCATTCGTAAACTGGGAATGTAGTAGTGGGGACAACCAGAGATCACTTTCATGGCCATCTTGGTTTTGCTAGGATTTAGCCAGCTTCTTTACTGCAACCTGTTTTATCAGCAAGGTCTTTATGACCTGTATCTTGTGTCGACCTCCTATGACTTAGAATGACTCCTGTGACTTAGAATGCCTTAACCATCTGGGAATGCAGCCCAGTAGGTCTCACCCTCATTTCACCCAGCTCCTATTTAAGATGGAGTTGCTCTGGTTCACGTGCCTCTGACAGTATGAGCCTATTTGGGCTAAGAGTGCTTAGATCAAACCAGCCTGCTCTTGAATCCTAGTTCTGCTGTGACCTTGGGAAAATTATTTACCCTCTCTGAAACTCAATGAGTTTTTTTGGCTTTTTTTTTTCTCTTTTGAGGTGGAGTTTCACTCTGTTGCCCAGGCTGGAGCGCAATGGCGCGATCTCCGCTCACCGCAACCTCCGCCTCCCAGGTTCAAACGATTCTCCTGCCTCAGCCTCCCGAGTAGCTGGGATTACGGGTGTGCGCCACCGTGCCTGGCTAATTTTGTATTTTTAGTAGAGATGGGGATTCTCCATGTTGGTCAGGCTGGTCTCGAACTCCCAATCTCAGGTGATCCGCCCACCTCAGCCTCCCAAAGTGATGGGATTACAGGCGTGAGCCACCACGCCCGGCCTCAATGAGTTTTTAATTTACAAAATTGAGCTAGCAATGCTTGACTTGTGGTTGATGAGGATTAGTAGACATAAATGTAGGGTGATTTGCATAATCCTTATAAAAAGGGAGTCAATAAATGAAAACTATTATTGCTCTATGTATACTTCATAATTTGACTCAGGGAAAGAACAAGTCTTGTGTCCAATTATTTTTAGATAAAAAGTTGATATTCATATAGTGAGTCATAAATGTGAACTTGGTAGTAGGGCAGAAAAAATCATGCCCACACTCATCTTTCTTTCAAAAGTGAATCCAGCTATCTGGCCATCTCCTCCCACTGACTACACTGCCTTCCAGAACTCCCTCCAAAAGCAGTCTTTTCCTGTACTTTTAGAAAGTTAGGAAGAGCTAATTGGCCAGCCTAGTCAACAACCTCAGGGAACCCAAGAACAGAGCACTAAAGGAAGTATGAACCATCCCAGTCCCCTGCCTGGCTTTCTTCTGGTCCCCACCCCTCCCACACCCCTCCTAAGACAGACTTTATTAGAAGCCAGAACACAGCCCACCCAAATGATGGAAAGAGGATGCTGAAGTTTGAGATTAAGTCTTCCCTTGTAGCTCACACTTCAGAGTTCTGTTTAACACCTTGTGTCTCTTTCTCACCATCTAGTCAAAACTGTCATCTCTTCTCAATGAAGTTGCGGTGAGGAGAATAAATACATTTCCTGTTACCAGAATCCCCAGTGTCTACAGTCTTTAATCTCTGTTGGAAAAGTCTAGAATCTTAGTTTGTAGGTTTAGGGCCAGGGAAAAGCTTCCTGAATCTTGCAGCAACCTTTTCTTCCAATCTGGACCAACTTCTAAAACTTTTCCTTTCGAAAAATGTGTATGAAGTTCCCTCCCACAGACTAGAAGTGGTGCAGGAGTGGTGTTTGGGTGGAGTGTGTGAGAGAATTGGACCCTAGACAAAATAAAACTAAAACATCCTGGCCCAGAGAAACGTTTGCAATGTCAGTAGATGCTTATCTGATTCTCTACTCTCCTTGGCAAAAATTCTTGTCTTGCGTTCAGTGTTTTACATGTGTGGACACTAAAAGCTTGAAAATATCCAGAATGTCTCTTACTTCAACTCACATTGTCTTTGAAGTGGTTCACCCACCAAAAGCCAGGGCTGCAACACAAGAACCAAGAAGTTTTATTCCCTCTGTGGCAAGCAGCACTGGAGGAGGGGGATTTCCTCAGCAGTTCACATCCCCTGGGATGTCCTGGGTGGAGTGAAAGCTTTAACTACGTATAAGGATAACAATGAGTTTAAGCATTATGTTACCCCAGTCAAACATTTAAATATCACCCTATTTAATTTTGTTTCAGGATTAAAATATAGGCATCAAAAAGGCTAATCAAGCCATGCACAGTGGCTCATGCCTGTAATCCCAGCACTTTGGGAGGCCGAGGCAGGAGGATCACTTGAGTTCAGGAGTTCAAGACCTGCATGGCCAACATGGTGAAACACCGTCTCCACTAAAAATACAAAAATTAGCTGGGCATGATGGCAGGCACCTATAATCCCAGCTACTCGGGAGGCTGAGGCAAGAGAATCACTTGAACCCGGGAGGTGGAGATTGCAGTGAGCTGAGATCATGCCACTGCACTTGAGCCTGGGCAACAAAGCAAGACTCTGTCTCAAAAAAACAACGGCTAATCATATTAATCTGTGCATACAATTAGCACAAAATATATTAATGTATTCAAGTAACATTTATAGAGCATATGACACATACCCACAGCTGCTTTTCTGTGTATTATTTCACATTAAAAAAACAATAAAGACTAGAGGTATGAGAAGATATTTTTAATGGTTATGCCAATGTGAGATAGTATTCTTTTATACCCAGAGAGTGAGATTTACCTACCCATTGTTCCTAACTGGCTTTTTTATGGTTGATGAGATTTTATGTGTGGTAGGTCAATTTTGGATGGTCAATTTTGTGGGAATATTGAACAGTCAGAATTTTTTTAACAATGACTCTATCAGGAAAGTTGCTGAGGAATATAGCAATTCCACTGACCTACCTTCAGGAATGCATTTCCCAGTCACAAACTGGCTTCATTCCATTTGGCATTAACAACATTCCTATAAAGTCGTAAGAATAGAAATCAGCTTCCTCATTTTACAGAGGGGATAAGTGAGTCTCAAGATGTTCATGTGACTTACTTAAGGTCACACACATAGCTAGTTGAGTAGCAGGGGCTGGACTCAAACACAGGCCCTCTGATCGCAAGCTCAATTTCTTTCCTTCTTCTCTTATTAAAACTAGGATGCTATTGGTGGCATGGAGGCAATAGGGGCAATTCAGTTAGATCACAGGAGAGAGAGAGAGAGAGAGGGAGAAACTAGTAACTGTCAGGAAGTAACTAAAGAAGAGACTAAAGAAGACCACTATCTATTAGGTCCTGATATCAAATATATATTTATTAATATATTATCATATTTATGTTATATAGTGCAGAGTTATAGATATTAGGCAAAGTGAGACTGAAATTGAAAAGCAAAGAGATGAACGTAAAATAAGAGGTGTCACTGAAAATTAATGGAATGAGGCTTATGGTGAGTGCCGTATTATAAGGCATAATTCTAAGAAGTCTCTTTGCATATGGAAACTCTAAAGATAAATTTTAGGTCTAGATGACTAGGATGAAGTTGCAGCACCATTTATTCGCTATGTCACCTTTCAGTTGTTTTCATGTATAAAATGAGGATAACAATTTACCTTACGGGATTGTAGTGAAATTTGAACAAGATAAGGTAGAGGAGAGAGATTTGTAAGCTATTAAATGCTGTATGAGGCAGCAAAAAACTATGGCCAGTGTTTGCAACTTACCATATGGAGGATTTCAATTAAATCTAAGAAAGAATATCCTATAGTGTAATAATATAGTCCAGTGCAGAATGGGCTCCCTCATGTTTCACTGAGCCCCTTCTCCAGGAAGTTTTCAAGCAGAGGTTGTGTGGCCATCTGTTGGAAATGTGGCAAAGAGGACTTCCATCTTAGAAGGGAGGGCACCTAATATTATTTCTAATGATTACTTCTGAATCCAAGATCTGCGATGAGTGATATTTGGCAACTGGGGTGGCAGTTTCAGGTTTGGTACAAACTCAGTAATGTGTAGCAGGAAACAGAGTTCTCTGCCTCTATCACAGACTGTGCCTCCAACATGACAGCAGCAAAACCCCAACACAATAGAGTGGCACCAATATCCACCCAGAATACATGTTTATGCACACACATACGTTTACACACACATGTTAATTGGGCCAAAAATCAGAGAATTATCATTTCACCCACTCCCACATCCAGTCCATTAGCAAATCTAGTTAACTCTGGTATCAAAAGTACTTCTTAACCACTTTATTACATTCAACACCCTGGTTCAAGCCACCATGATCTCTCATCTAGGTTGCTGAAGTAGCCTTTTTACTAGTCTCCCAACTCAGTCTTGACCCACCACAGTCTGTTCTCCATAAGCAACTAGAATAGTCCTTTTACACTGTAAATTTGGTCATTTCACTCTCTGCTCTCGGTCCTCTAATGACTTTCCATCACACTTAGAATAAAATCCACACTGCTTTTCAAAGCTTCCAGGGCCCTACACCATTTGGTCCCTGAATACCTCTTCAATTTTGTTTCCTGCCAGCTCACTCCAATGTACAAAGCCTTTTGGTCTTAAGATTTTGCACTTGCAGTTTCTCTGCTTGGTGTGCTCTTTCCTAGATGTCCATGTGGCTTGTTCTTTCACGACTTGTCATACAAACATCCTTCTTCCATCACTCCCTACTGCCTTACCTTGTTTTTCTTTTTAGCACTTCCTACCACATGACTTATTAAATATTTATTTGCTTTTTTATTGTCTACCGTCTCTCCATTAAAATACAATGCTATAAGGGATTTCATTCATATGATTGTATCCACAGTACCTAAGGAAGTTTCTGGTAGACATTCAATAAACACTTGTTGAATGAGTAAATGAATGAATGAATTATACTATGAGTAAATGAATGAATGAATTATGCTATTTCAAATACTAGAATTTTTAATGGTATGCTTAAGGAGATATTTGTAGCAAATTTGGGGAATGGTGATGATGTCTAACACTCATTTTTAGGTGTAGTTTATTCTGTGTGTGTCATAAGGTAATGTGTCTCCATTGCCTCAAACCTTCAGTTAACTTTATGCACAGCAACTTGTGGTAGTAATGCCTGGAAGGCAATAAAGGCATTCCACAGTGGGAGTGTCAGGAATGCAGACAGCATATCCACTGCAGAAACCAGTGAAAGCCAGGAAACCTGCAATAATGTGGATTGCCCAAGGGAATAAGGGTCTACCCTGACATCCTCAAAAAACCTGAAGACTAAACTTTCCCCAGAATGTGAAATGAGGCTTATGTCATTCTATGGAGAATTAGAAGAAAAGAGTGATCCCTTAGGGCTGAAGGAACCTCCAAGTAGGGGAGGAGGAATATCTGCATTGCCCTTTTTCTGAAGATGTACCAGTCAGAACTCTGGAAAAATGTTTCCCAGTAAAGGGGAAGCTTTGGTAAAAGTGAAAAGTCATCACTGGGGTGAATCTTTCCTATCTTCTGGGTGAACCTGTAAGGACAGAATACCCACTTAGCTATCTACATTGCCAAGGCAGGTTGGCTTCCCAGTGAATCCCAAAGGTCCCTGGTACTGTCAATGACTATATTATTTCTAAATAGGATTTATTTCTGAACCCTCCTCCACAAAGAATGGGGTTCTAATCTCCTTTTTTAAGAATCACCTCATTCTGTCTTTGGATAATCCAAAACCTTGGGAAAGAAAAAAAAATCAGAATGCAAAAATTTATCTCTACAAACACAAGAACTTACCCAGACCCCTTAGAAAAATGTAACTCATTCAACATGTGGCCTTCACACTTCCTTAGATAAGGACCAGGGAAAGTCTAGGGCTTAACCCGCTGAGGAAATTTATACCATGGCTTTGGGAGAGGCAGGCAGCTTCTCTCACCAATTCTTCTCTTTCTATGAGCAACTGTTTCACGTAAGTCACACTCACAATGATGCCCCCACAATAGAGCTCTTTTCCTGTTAAGCTGTGGTAAGTCAAAACCTACTTCAGAGACGACAAAGTCACCACTTTGGGGGACTGAGAAAAGAGGTGAGTTTCATGTGTTTTTGGTTGCTTGAAAAGAAAAAAAAAAAAGAAAACCTCAAACTACTGAACTAGAAGCACCCTTTACGTATGTGTTTGTCTGGAGTGTTCTACTTTGGATTTAGCATTTCATAGAGGAACAATGCCAATCCAATTTTCAATAAACATATTTAAAAGTTTTTAATTTTTTACATTTCTTATGTTCCAACTGAGGTTAAAAAAAAATCAAAGTTCCAAACGGACAGTCAATATCTCTTCTCTGGAATCAGTGAAGCATAGCGAGCTACAATCCTACCTTCAGAAAGTCCCAGAGGCGTCCTAGTACAGCTCAGACTTAGGAAGATGAAAGTGCCAGTAGTATCACTACCAGCCGATGGCATCATGTCAGCTCAGAATGCCCAGCCCCTTTCCCACTTCCTCTGTGCTGTGGTACCATTATCTAGAAGGGTCCATTAGCAAAAGAATCATGGTCTAGCAAACTTCCTATGACCCTTTGGAACTGGCATACTTGATGGTTGAAGCCAAAAGAGGAAAGACAGGATGAGGAGGATTTCACCCTGAGGGCTAGAATACAGACCAGCATCCAGCCAAAGGAAAGGTAAATGTACCTATCAGACTTTCTCCAGGAAGCACCAGCTCAGGAACCTGACCCTCCAGAGCAGATGAATAAATACAAAAGTTTTAGGGAGAGCAGATGACACATTCCAAAGTGAAACTTTGGTTTTGTTCATTAATTTATTAGACAAGTATTTGAATATACTCTAAATGACAGTTTTACCTCTGGTGACCCAGCAGTTTTCCTTGTCTCTGCCCTAACTCCTGGTAATGCCAAGGACCAAATATATCCTTGTTGTTTTCCAATGCCATGAATTAGAATGCATTAGTTTTTTTCAATCTGTAACCTCAAAATACCACTGGATAATTTACTCAATGCTGGATAACCACTCACACACATTCAAGATGTGTCACTAATATAGATTCAGAGTACTCCTAAAAACATATGCACATATATAAGCCAAGAGACACCTGCCTTATAACTAAGGTCAACAAATATATATTGAGTTTCTAATGTGTGTCAAGCACTAGGTGAGTTTGTGTGGATGGAGTGGTAAACAAGGTTGAAAAAAACCCAAAAAACCTTGCTTTTGGAAATTTTATTCCAGTGGAAAAAAACAAATATTTTTAAAGTGGTCAAAATATATATAATCACAAGTTTTGGTAAGTACTAAGAAAGAAAAAAATAACCATAAAATAATGACAAAAGGAGGGGACTCTATTTAGGATACCTGAGGAGATGACACTTGAATGTCACATGAGAAACCTGAACCAGAGAAATTCTGGTGATGGAAATGGAGCCCATGTGCATGGAGACAGTCTGTCCAGATGTTTGTCTCTCCTGGGAAACGAGAAACGCAGTCAGAGCTGGGGATAGTGAGGGGTAAAACAAAAAGTTTTCACCTTGTTTGGTCTGGAAGATGCAGGTGGTTTGGTCTGGGTTGTCCATTAATGAAAGGGGATCTGCCCAGAGATTGCATAGTTCGTAAGTGGAAGAATGAAGGTTTTAATCTAAGTTTTTAGTCCAAAGTCTATGTCCTTTCCACTATGCCACTTCTCTGCCCCCAGGCAAAAACAAGTAACCATGACATCTATAGAAATTTGGATGAGTGTAACACTGGTCATAATATTGGTAATGGAAACTCTGGGAGGTGGAGAGCAAAGACAATGTATAGAGAGAAGGAAGGCCTGGAAAGATTTGCTTCATAGTTCTTCCCACCCCAATAAATTATTCTTTTTTTTTAGACAGAGTCTCACTCTGTTGCCACAGGCTGGAGTGCAGTGGCCCCTGATCTCAGATCACCACAAGCTCCGCCTCCTGGGTTCACGCCATTCTCCTGCCTCAGCCTCCCAAGTAGCTGGGACTACAGGCGCCCACCACCACGCCTAGCTAATTTTTTGTATTTTTTTTTAGTAGAGACGGGGTCTCACCATGTTAGCCAGGATGGTCTCAATCTCCCGACCTCGTGATCCACCGGCCTTGGCCTCCCAAAGTGCTGGGATTACAGGCATGAGCCACTGTGCCCAGCAATAAATTATTCTTAAAGATATGTGCATATATACATATAAAGATATGTACATACTTGAACAAATGTACATAGTGTTGGAAAAGATATATACATACTTGAACAAAGGTACATACTGTTGGAAATGATTTCATATACAGGGATAATTTGAGGATTTAGAGGAGAGAAGAAAATGTTAAAAAGGGACAAGGAAGGGAAGAGGAAAGGTGAGTCTAGCAGACAAGTGAAAATTGTCCTATTTCTCCACTGAGACCAGGTGGAAGGAAGAGATCATGCAGATGCAGGTGGAATTGTGTTTTTGTGTAGAAGAGAGTTGCATAGTGGGAGGAAGGCATGTGGTTGGTTTGCAAGAGGAAAAAATATAATGTTATTGACTCTATAAGTAAAGAAAAATGCTTAAGATTGAACTGAAGAAAAGTGCTAGACAATGTTGAATGACCACTGAGTTCATCAGTGTAAGGTAGAGGTTCTCAACCAGAGGCAACTTTGGCCCCCTCCACACCATGGGGACATTTCGCAATGTCTGGAGATATTTTTTGGTTGTCACATGTTTTGCGGGGGGGGGGATGCTCCTGGCATCTAGTTGGTAGAGAGAAAGGGTGCTGCTAAACATCCTACAGTGTACAGGACGACCTTATAGCAAGCAATTTTTCAGCTCAGAATGTCACAGATCCATGGTTGAGAAACTCCAAAGTAAAGTGATTTCATATTTATATATATATCATCTCTGCAAGACAATGTTAGGAAACAGTGATCCTCTCTGCGGGCAAAAATTGAGCCACTAGACAGGGTGGAACGAGGACTTATTTTTGTCATATATCCTTATGTATCTTTTAAAATTTGTACCATGTACATGTACTACCTATTCAAATCAATCAAAAAATAAAACTAAGTCAGTGACAGATCAATCATTGATTGATTTAAATTCATGTTAGATAAAAATAAACTAAAACTAGGCAGCCTGTTTGTGTAATTTTTGTCCAGCAACATCCAGCTTCTGGGATGACAGCTTAAAGAAAATAGGATTTTTGCAAGGGGAATACATTGGAGGAAGAGAGTATTTTGGAGTTGAGAGTCTTTCCAAGGTGCTGGTTGTCATGACAGATGATGACATTTATGCTGGACATAGAGAGAAGTGAAGACGTGGAAGGAGCTGATGTGTATATAAGAAAATAATAAAGTTTATTAATTAGAAGTCTCAATATTTTCAAAAATATTTTAGAAAAGAAAATGTTGGACCAATTCCGCTGGAATAATAGAAGATGATGTTGTGAAAATAAGACACCTAAAATCAAATTCCAAAGGAGTTACTATAATTTTTAATGATAACAAAGTCTAGGGAGAGCCCATGATAGTGAGTGGTTGAAGAAAATAGGAAAAGGCCGTTGTGAATGACAAGCATGAGAATACAAGAAACCAGGTGCTTAGATGGATCCCACAGATCAGTGGCCTCTGGAGAATGAAGTGGCTCTAATAGAGTGGCTTAGTAGTGGCAGACACTATTTTTTGATGTTCTATGTGTCTGATACTTTCAGCTCTTTTTTTGTTCAAGGAAGGTCAAGTGACCTAACCAGTGCTTACATAGGCAGTACGTGGAAGAACAAAGATTCAAATCTAAGTTTTTTAGTCCAAAATATGTGCCCTTTCCACTGTGCCATGGTTCTGCCTTCAGGAAAATATAATTTCTCATCAAATCTATGGAAAGTTGGCTAAGCTTAACATTGGTCATAATATTGGTAATGGAAACTCTGGGAGGTGAAGAGGAAAGAGAATATATAGAGAGAAGGAAGGCCTAGCAAAGGCAGAAAGATTTGATTCATAGTTCTTCTCACTCCAGTAAATTATTCTTAAAAGTGGTCTGATATCATAATGAATGAAGAAATCAAGGAGGAAAGAAATAATAAGCAAAAAATTCAAATATTAGTAAATTCTAAAAATTATTTGTATCCTAACATATACTTTTTATTACATGTTTTCATTTCACAAAAATGCACATCTACATAAATATTTATTATATTATAGGAAAACATCATTAGTAGCTGACAATCAATGATTTTTAAGCACTATTAGAGTTGATTGTCAGGAAGCATTCAAAATCTTGACCAAATGCAACCCATATTTTCCTAATATGTACTTCACAATATCTACATTCTCTCTTTAGTCATACACACACACACACACACACACACACACACACCCCTACAATTGCACTGGAAATACACATGCTGTGTTAGGAATGAAATGAGTCCCCAAAACATCTCTCTTGCTTATCTGTTAGTTTCACCGATGGCTCAGGATATGCATTTAGAAGTGAAGATGCTGCCAGTGGGGCATTGGCCTCTTTCAGCCTCTTTAGCTTATTATGCAAGCCTCTAGTCTTCCTTTTCCATCCCTTAAATCCTCAGGTCACAACCATGTATCTGAAAGACAGTCCCCCTTGAGGTAGCAAGGCCCACCTTGAGAGGTGAGTTAAAAGGTGTCCTTTTCAATCTGCCTAAATACTCTCAGGCACTAAGATGAGTGTAGAACACCTGGTAGCTGCTTTTTCATGCTTCTCCCTCTTCACATGGCAGCCCAGAGTTCTATGTTCTTCCGTCATATTCCTCCATTTGTCTGGCTCATAAACATTAGGTGAGTTGAGGAGCTACAGACATTTTGAACCCTGTGGTCTCAAGGTCCACTTGGTTCATGTCTTCTTACTTGACCTCAAATGCATGTAAGAAGACCCTCACTGAATACAACATTCTCGGTGCCTGTAACAAAGAATCATAATGGAAAGAATCCCAAAGTGCTTCTCTTAGAGCTTATATAAGCCGAAAAACGTCTGAGATTCCTCAAAATTGACCAGAGAGAGCTCAGATACGTTGACATATAAATGATCAGCACTGGTAAGATTGAACACTGCCCCCAGGTAGCTGCTGCGGGCCCACATCTGCCCAGTAGTGCAGTAGCTCATCATCTTCCCCTCCATCATCACCAGATCCTGGGGATACTTAGAGTTCCTCATGTAGACCTTGTGGCTCAGGGGCAGGTTGTTGCAAGATTGACCCCGGAAGTATACTTTGGAATATACAAAGTACAGCCCAGTTTCATTGATCACAAGGCCACCCTTCTTATACTTCACTCCAGAAAGCAGGACAATTCCATAGGTGTCTTCCCATTCCAGAGGCATGGACCTTGAGTTGGACTTGCCTGAAATAAATCCAAAAGGAGCTTTCAACAAGGAATAGTCATGCATCCAACAAACTAAGTTTCTAAGGCAAAACTGTGGGCCCTTCCTTCAACAAATGTTTCACCCAGAATGACAGCTGGTATAGAACTGGCTGAGGGGTCAGAACTTGATCCATCACAGAATTTCCTCAACAACGTTGTCCTATTTTGTCATCCACACAATTGGAACAATAGTATATACCCGTAATCCATTGCAGTAAGAAATTATTGAGAAAATATTTGCTCTCTGGAACAAAGATTTTACTATCTTCAGAACTAGCACCAAATCTGCTAGGCTTTGAAGTCCTTTCCTGAAGGAAAAAGCCAAATCCAAGGAACTCTAAAGTTCTAAAGTTGGGAAGGATCTTAGGGACCATCTGGTCCATCTTCTCACCTGCAGTAAGAATTATTCAGCCCCTCAATTTGGGGTACAGTTCCCTTTTCTTTGTATCCCCACAACATCATGAACATAACCTAAATCTCTGAAGTACTGAAATTATCATAAGTGCCTGTCTTTCCCTATTAGATGTCAAGCTCCCTGGGGGCAAGAGCCATGTGCTACTCATCTTCACATCCCCAAATTGGCACACAGCAGGTATTCAGTAAGTGTCTGCTGATGTGACCGGATCATTCTATAATTTCTGCCTAAATAATTCCAGGGACAATAGCCTACCACTTTCTGTGATATTTATTCCATTATTTATGTAGTTTATAATGGGAGTGCCCATACCATATCATTTCACTCCACTTTACAGGCACATATTGAAACTCTACAAGTGCCAGGATTGAGTCTCCCTTCTCACTCCTATTTATACTCTTGGACAAAGCAGAGTGAAGCTCTTCCAGAAAACCAAGAAAGCACTGACTAAAATAAGTCCTCATTCCTCACCTTCTCATCTCTCACCTCTTGGATCTGTGCCCCCAATCCCCCAAGGGACTTTGGAATGACTGAAAAGAATGAGCTTCTTATGGGCAGGGGTCATGTCATAATCAGCTCCAGGTCTCCAATTTAGAAGAGGGCCTTGCCCAGAGAATAGGGGATCAAAGTGTGTTCATAAGACTGACTCGACAAGAAAAGTGTTAGTATTATTGGGTTCAAATACTGTCTCCAGGAAGTAACAACTCTCTAGAGCCTGGTAATGGAAACCAGGCAGCCATTTTGCCTTTTGCCAAAAGCTTTCCCAAATCTCACCTGTACCTTCCAGATACAGACCTGTTAAATGGGCCACTTTCCTCAGCTCCTTTTTTTCAGGGGGTGGACTGGGGTGGCCTGTATCATAGAGAGAGGAAAAATATATGTTAAAATGAAATAGCAACTATTATTTTGGTGGGAATTTAAATCCAATCATTTTAAAAAAAAGATTTTAAAACCGTAAATGGCAACAGTCTAACATATACTAATCATGTAGGTCTGAACTGCAGGATTCATAGTAGTCTATATTTCAGAAACAAAGAGGTAAAAAAATAAACCAAATTAAGATTGACATATGTATAAATTATAATGTTACAATAAAACATAATTAATATAAACATTTATTCATAAAGAGCTGTCATGTCAGTTATTGCATTTAGAACTCACCACAACCCTTTGAGGTAGGTATTATTGTCCCACCTTATCGATTGCAAAATGAGCTTAGAAGTTGGGTGACTAATCCAAGAAGACCCAGCTAGTCAGCATCACAGATGGGACCACACCCTGCTCTCCTGACGCCAATTCCAGGGCTCTGTCCACTCTGATTCTCTTGTTCCAAAGACTTACAGGACAGAGGCTGAAGAAGACTACTGATCTGTCTGCGTGTCACCAGATCTTCCCCCAGTGACATTTTACAATCTGCCCCAAATTAATTATCTTAAGACCTCTGACAATCACCTCATATCACTGAGTCCTCAAACACCTTTAATTGCTCCTCCCCGAAGATGCCGTCGTATACAAGTATCCCCATCACACAATCCCAGCCCATCTGTCCAGCCTTATCTCCTTACTCCCACTGAGCATTGCCACACAACGGGAGTTCTGTGGCCTACACATACCCCCACTTTCCTTCCTCTGTGCCTTTGTTCATGCCATGTCTTCTGCCCGTAATGTTCTTTCAAGCAGATTTCTGTGTCAAATTCCTAAACATCCCATAAGGACTACCTATTACCGCTTTCTTTGGGAAACCCTCTCAAGCCTTTTTTGATCAAATATGATCTGCCCCTCTTTTGAAATCTAGGATCCCTCTGTCTTCCCCTCTCTTGTCATTTCTGACTCCTCTTGTCTCTGGGGTAACTACATAAATTATCTTATTCCCCTCAAATAACGACAAGTTCCTTACGATACGTTGAGTTCACCAGAGAAGCCCAGTTTCTAACACAGGGCATGTTACTAGCAAATGTTGGACAAATTAAATGGAAGGATAGACAATAGTTCTCAAAACAGACACTATTTCTCTGACTTCAACTGTTTCAGACAAGATAGACAGCTGCCACTTAGCTAATGAATTCAGCTAACTGAGACTTCAATAAATATTCACAGGAGATGCTTGTCTATGTCAGGTTCGTGATTAGCCTGTAAAACTCACATATGGTATGAGAATGGCCCAATCCACAGAGAACATTAGCTGAGCAATCATGACCTCTCTAGTCATCCAAGACAACCCACCATGTAGGAGGTGTTAGCGAACAGGAAAGGCAAAACTGAGTCTCCTCTGCATTCCTACACCGCAAACCACCCGAGCAACTAATCTGGCACTCAGCCACGCACCGGCAGGAAACGGAACAGAGAACCACATGTTGCATGTCTTTATATCCCTCACAGAGCCTAGTACAACGTTATTCTTACAGAACATGCTCACTAAGAATATCTGCTGTACCTATACTGGAATAAATAAATTGCAAGGATATCCTAGACACTGGTTATGAGTGCTTCCTGCCCCAGGGTTTTTGCATGTGCCGTTCCCAGCGCTGAAATGCCCGCCCCCAGCCCCACCCCACTCCACAGCACATGCACACAGCCGTTCACTCATCGGGCTTCTGACCCCCAAGGTGTTAGCGTAAACAACACCTCCTTAAAGAAGATTCTCAGGTTGTACTTAGTACAACTTTGGAATTGCATGGTCTGTTTGCTTGCTTTTGTTTAGCTTCTTCCCCCTGCTAAAAGCTCCATAAGGACAGGCCCCCTGGGCTGGCTCATCCTCAATCAGCATCCAACACCCAACATCTAGCCTCACACATGTGAATGAATAAAAGATTTAATTAGTTAACCGGAAAAAAATGGAAAATGTAAAAAGGAGCAAATTAGAAAGTATAAATAATCTATAATAGTATCTCCCAGAGAAAATCACTGTTAGTATGTCAGTGTGTAAAACTTTCCAGTTCCTAAGAATATAAAAATGTGCATACATGGTTACATAGTCAGTATGAAACTAAACATACCCTTTTGTAACTTGTCTTTTTATCTAACAATACAGAGTGCACAATCCCCAAAGCATTAAATGTCCTTCTGATACATCACTTTTAGTTGCTGCTTATTATGTGCTTGTCTGAATACACCATAATGTATATAACTAATCTCGTATGAGGCATTCAAGTTTCTTCTGAATTATTTATTATAAATAGGCTCATAAGGAAGTAATGAACATCCTTATATATAAATCTTCGGGCACATCTCTGATTATTTTCTTAAGATAAATTCTTAGCGATAGGATTACAACGTAAACTACTAGTTACAAGCTTTTGCTATGTATTTCTAAAGCGCTCTTCAAAAAAAGTTATAGCAATTTACATGTATACTGGCTGAAACTAATGTTTGCACAGGCACTTTTCTCTCAAATCTTTGTCAGTCTGGGTTTTTTTTTAATCTTTATTAATTTGATGAAAATTGGTATTCCCTATTTTTAATTTGCATCTCTTTTCTTATTAGTAAAGTTACTGATTTGATTTCCATGTGATGATTTACCAATTTCTGGTTTATTTGGGTTGATCTAGAGAACATAATTGCTTACTGGGGTAGATGGATCTGACTCACCTGATCATTTGACTTTTAATCACTAAATTGACTCCAGAGAGTGGGTGAAAGATGAATAATTAGATACCTATCAGACCAGGCACATTCCACAGATTTTCAAAATGATCTTATTTCAGACGTCCTCCAGAGGCTTTACTTTTCTATCAAATATTTCCACTCTGCTTGTGTACATATGGACTTTCTAACATTTAAGGATTAGGACACAGAAGCAGGGGCCAGAGCATCCCAACAGTGGCTCATATAAGAACTTAACAGTCTAGGATAGTAGACAGGCGACTGGGTCATGTGCAGTAGCCACATCCGGAGAAACTGGAACTTGCTTCACTTAATAGATGGCCAGTGCTGCCTTCTTCTTTATTCTGAGTTTCTAAGGATGAGATCTACCTATAGTCTTTGCAGAGGTATCCTGCTTTTCATCTATTTCTTATTCCATGCTCACTACAGAGAGACAGGAGTTTCCCTCCTTCATGAGGCACCAGTCCAGTACTGGAAAGCCCTGTAGGTGACAAGGCATCAAGAGCCTGTGTTCCTTCTAGCCCCAATGGCATACCAGTGGTCTTGGGCATATTCACCTAATCCATCTGGTATTTTGTTTCTCTTCCAAAAAATGAAATGGCTGGACTAGATATATTCTAAGCTTCCTTCCACCTCTAAAAATTCAATGAATCTCATTGTAAATCTAAATCTAAAATTTCAATGAATCTTAGACTAGTGAAGCACACTGTAAAATCTATCTGTACAGAGCTTGCACAACTATGCCCTGAAATTTCATGAGATCAGTGTTCAACCTATCATCTTCTTGCCCTAGCTCCCATACAAAGGATTTTCCTTTGTGATCAAGGGTACCTCATGACTGCCTCTGTGGGTGAAGCTGAACATCCTTTGAATGATGGCTGAAGTCTTCCCTTAAGCTTCTCAGTGACTTCAAGAAAAACCATTCTAATGTGGGGAATTGATTATCCATGTTTTAAAAGCTTACATCCTATAAAACATATTGTAAATAAAGCTTCAATGTAATCTCTTTAGGGCATTTAAAAGAGGAAAGGACGTTTCTCAGAAACATCTGTCTCTGCCTTCATTTCGCCTTCTCTTCCCAGGAGTTACAGCCACTGGCGTGTGTGCCAGGACCAGGATGTCTGTGGAAGGGGACAGGCCTGGAGCCACTTCTCAGGGGGCAAAGGTCCAGGGTTGTATATGTGTGTCTCTTTCCAAAGTCAAGTGGAAGTGATTTTGAATTGTGTGCAGTGCTCAGCTATATTGATTGTGAGCAATTCAATTCACTTCACATTTTTAAAGCAGCTCAAGGAATCATAGACCAGAGATTCTGAATTAGCCAGAATTCCTCTTATAGTGTACAGAAACCAAAGTGTGGGACAGAATTTAAGGCATTCCATTAACATAGTTCTGTGCTGAGGATCATCTTTGGGAACTCAATGTACATGCGAAAAAAGACTCACCTATTTGCTTCTCCAAAGATGATGCTGTGTGCATCTGGCTGGTAGACTAGTAAAACAGAAAGAGAAAAGATGTATAATAAAAATAAAATTCTTTAAGCAAAAGAGGCAGAATCGTCAAATAAACCAAGCCCTGGAAAGAGAATCCAAATACCTCAGAAGTTCTGCTAACTTGGGCTTTGGCCAAGCAATTTTGCCTCACTGTCCCTCAGTTTTGTGATTTGGAATCGTACCAATTTTCAAGATTTAGTTTGGTCATCTGAACAAATTTACTTCCAAGCAAAACTTAAAAGTTTTGTTTGTTTGTTTTTTACTCCTTAAATCAATAGGTATGAGGCAGTAAGTGGTTCAACAGACTGAGTTGACAACTGAGGAAAGACAAACTGTTGGGCTCTGATTCTTTACAAAGTAAAAAATATTCCCTTCACCCCTATGAGCCTCCATTTCTCTGTCTATAGAATAGAATAACTAGAACAACCCATTTCTAAGAAAAAAAAAAAAAGGATTGAAAAGCACTTTGCAAGCCAGGCAGTGGGCCCTCCATCCCCTTATGCCTGGTGCCTCCAGGGCACAGCAGTCTGCCGGCAGGCTTACCTCTCGGAGTTCTGCCAGCTCCTTCTGTAGGTGGAAGAGCTGAAACATCCCCAGGCCCAATCCTACCAAGGCAACCAGAACCATGAAAAACATCACAAGGAGACACAGGCCTGTGCTGTGGTTCCCTCTCTTCTTCAGGGGTGGCAGCGGTAGTGGAGGCAGTGGTGGCGGCGGCGGCGGAGGTGGTAGTGGTGGCGGTGGCGGTGGTGGTGGTGGCCTCCTTTGACCAGGCCTTCTGGGCACAGAGGTTGGACAGGGAAGAACTGTGCCTGGAGGGGCCCAGGGAGAGCTGGCACTGCTGTCCACCCAGTAGATCTGGGGATATGGGTAATTGAAGGGCTGCTGCATGGCAGCTGGTGAGTCAGGCCAGCCCCAGCAAACGGTTTTACTTCTTCTCAGTCCTGTAGAGGCTGAGGTGTCAAGGACGGGACCCTGTTGCTGACTGCTCAAGAGGAGGCAAGCTGGATCTCTCTTATAGAGTTTCCATAGCTAAGGGAAACACCTCTGTCTTTCTCTTTCTCTATCTCTCTCTCTCTGATTCTGCTTCTCAAAGAAACACCCACTCACTTTGCAGCTGAAGCTGAGAAGCCTCAAGAAGCTCAGAGCAAACCCCTGGAAGTTTCCGCCCACAATTTTCTGATAACAGCCTTCAAGGCCTCAGTTGCTGTCGCTGTGCTACCCAAACAGGTTAGTAGGCTATGCTCACCTTCCTGGGATCCTGCAGAGCAGGTCAGCATGGGGGTATAGCCCTGTTAGTGTGAACTGCTCCCAGCTACAGGAGAATGGTCAGTGGGGCTATAATTTTATGAATTATAATTGCATGCTTTTTTATACATTATAATTGTATAATTTTAAGAATTCTACCATATACACAACCAAAAAACTATTTAAAAATCCCAAAATAACTCTAACAAAAATTGTTCAGAACCGTATTTTTTAAACTATAAAAATTTTACTGAAAATGGCTCTGAGGGGAGAGACCATGGAGTCATGGCCAGAGAAGTCACTCCCACATTTTAGTTTTTGCAGGAGGAAAACATCTGTTGCCATCATCTCTTCCCCACACACAACTACCATTTACCCTGACCTGCCGATCACCATAATTTACAGGTTAAAAACCTGCTACACCCACTTTAGAAATTAGATCAGAGGCTGCAAACCAGTGGAACCCACAGAGCTGCTTTGTATTTCGCAATGTTTTCATTTTCATTGTTTGCCCAGTTTATTTATTTACTTATTTATTTAAATAGAGACAGAGTCTCACTCTGTCACCCAGGCTGGAGTGCAGTGGTGCTATCGTAGTTAACTGCAGCCTCAAACTCCTGGGCTCAAGCAATCCTCTTGCCTTGGCCTCCTGAGTAGCTGGGATTATAGGCATAAGTCACTACACCTGACTAATTTATTCTTTTTTTTTTTTGTACAGATGGGGACTTGCTATGTTGCCCAGGCTTGTCTCAAACTCCTAGCTTCAAGACATCCTCCTGCCTCAGTTTCCCAAAGTGCTGGAATTACAGGCATGAGCCACTGCACTGAGCCCAACTGACCACTTTTAATATCAACATTAAAAATATTTTAAAATATATATATTAAATACACATTAAAATACATATTTCTATTCTGTTTTGAAATATCAGAATATCAGACACCCTCGAGGCCATCTCTGCAAACCCAATCAGTGGGAAGTATGTAGCAGCTGCCCCTGAGAATGAGAGACAGGAGTTCTGGGTCACCCAGCCTCCACCACTGGCCTGTGTCTCACACACCACCTCACTATCTGAAAGGCCTGCCTGGTCCCTGCCAACATTTCTGTGTGCTGCCCCTGTTATGGTTGCCAGATGAAATACATGGTGCCCAGTTAAATTTGAATTTCAGATAAATAATACATTATTTTTAGGACAAGTAGGTCTTAAACATGTCCAAACATGGAATATACTAAACAATTATTCATCATATATCTGACATTCAAATCTAACTCTGTGTCCTATTTCTTTGTTTTGCTTTTTTTTTTTTTTTTTTTTTTTTGGTAGTTGTTGTTGTTGTTTAAAGCTGGCCTCTCTACTTGGGCTCATCTCACCATTTCCTCTGGCCTCACATACCATTTATATGCCAATAACTTCCAAGTAGTTAGCTTCAGTCCTAATCATTCTCCAATAGAAGCCAAATAAATCCCCCATAAATCAAAATTTTTCATTTTTTTCATGTTTATTACTTTTCAAATTTCGTTAGTTTTTATATCATGCTTTGGGATTTCCATTACTATCATTCAGGCCCACTCACCTGTACCACACCAACCCCAAGGGTACTATTTCTCTGATACATTCTGCCCATCCCACCCCATCCCCAACCCTGTACAACCCCTTTCTCCTGAGGCCACTCTTTCTGGTGGCAACTTCATCTCCTTTCTTTTCCTCTCCCCCAACGTTTAACTGGTCACCCAGGACTGTCGCTTTTACCTGAGACCTGTTCCTTACCCTCCCCTCAGTGTACTGCCCCCCTGCCCCATCCTCGCTACTCCCATTTTTCTTACTGCTGTTGCCTGGGGTCAGACTTTATCTCTCACTTGAAATACTGCAATAATGCCCTAACAGGTGCCCTGCCACCGACCTTTCCCAAGCCCAAATCACCCAGTAAAATGCTATAAGAAAAATGCTTTTTAAAAAACAAACCTAATGATCTCACTTCCCTGCCTTCTGTTGGAAGGTTTGATTCAGGAGCAAGGCAAGCTTCTTACCGTTACCCAAGGCTCTTTAGCGTCAGCTCCTACTGCCTCCTTACCAGGCACTCCTGCTCACATCCCACTCTCCACTCTTAAACAGTGCAAGGGATGAGACTAGCAAGACAGTGCACGAGTTAACGAGCTTTTGAACTCACATGTGACTTTATTCATCGTTATGAATTCAACTAACTTTAAATTTCATAATCAGAAATTGTAATTTTAAGAATTCTACCATATAGACAACAAAAAAACTATTTGAAAATCCCAAAATAACTGTAAGAAAAATTGTCCAGAACCATATATATGTATTTTTTATTTTTTTGAGATTGAGTCTTACTCTGTCGCCAGGCTGGCACGCAATGGCGTGATCTCAGCTCACTGCAACATCTGCCTCCTGGGTTCAAGTGATTCTCCTGCCTTAGCCTCCCGAGTAGCTGGGACTACAGGCACATGCCACCACACACAGCTAATTTTTGTATTTTTAGTAGAGATGGGGTTTCACCATGTTGGCCAGGATGGTCTCGATCTCTTGACCTCGTGATCTGCCCGCCTCAGCCTCCCAAAGTGCTGGGATTACAGGCGTGAGCCACCGTGCATGGCCCATATCTTTTAAATTATAAAAATTCTACTGAAAATGTCAAAGATTCAAATAAGTGGGAAAAATACACCATATCCTGGATGGGGAGGTGGTGTTGCATGATGGTTGGGAGTGGGTGGTTCTGGAGTTAAACTATGTGACTTCCAATCCCAGCTCTTCTGCTCATTAACTGTGTGAACTGGACAGGTCACCTTCCCTCCTCGGTGCCACAGTTTTCTCATTTATAAAAATAAGCATGATCATAATAGTACTTGCTTTACGGGGGTTGGGAGGATTAAATGAGTCAAAGCATTTGATACACTTAGAATAGTCCCTAGCACCAAGGTAGGCACTCAAAAGATGTTGTAAATTTAGTGAATCTTTCCCCAAATAATTCATCTGTAGACTTAATATAATCGACCTTCTTCCATTAAGGACAAACAAAGTGGAGAGAGGGAGAGAGGTTGCAGGGGAAAGTGCAAAGTCCACGTTTGACATCCAGTATCTCTCTGAGATCCTACCCTGAACTGATGAGCCTCTCCATTTCAGACTAGTACCTCTCGATTTTTCTATCTCAAACTCCCACAGGAACTTCCAGCACTGTCCAATAAGAATTATGCTGTATTTTTACATCTCCTTCTTCCCTGCTGCTTCTGTTGATTCATTCTGCAACAGAAGAAATTAGAAGACCATACCTGCCCCCAACTCTCCTGCTATCCTCCAGGCATAGAGAGAATCTGAACTGAAATAGAGTCAAAGAGAGCATCTTTAAACACTCATATTGATCTTCAGTAATGCCACCAAACATCACAGGTTGGCAAAGTCATGGAAAAATAAAACAACCCTATGTACAATAACAGGGACCCATTATGTTTTGGGGTATTTCCAAACCTTATTAATAAGGAGAAATAATTGTTACAAGTAGATCTTAGTTCTGTGAATGCTAAAGAAAATAATATTTGCCTTTGAGAGATGAACTTAATAAATAAATCAAAGGCTGGTGGCTCCCACAGGCTGGGAATTTAAATGGAAGAGCTTTGCTAAGTCTTGCTCTACCCTCCCCAATTACACCTGCAGAATCTCTGATTCTGGAACCAGAGGTTCCTTGAGGATAGACAAAGGAGAAATATTCAGAGCTGACAATCTCTTTGAGGAGGAGGGGGGGGCTTACGAGCCATAGAGATTCAAAGGGACCTGGGTGACACTTGGGAGCAAATTTATATGGAGGACAAAATAGGAGAAACCACCTTATACTAGTTGTTATGATTTTTTAAAGTATCTTCTCATTAGATGAAAATTCAAGTTATCTTCAATTGTGGTCCCTCCGGCATTGTAATTTCCTTCAGAAATTGTCTTAACCATCTAGAAAAAGGATTTAAGTATGCTGCTACACCTAGGATGTTAGTCACATGGAGGTTAAAAGGACAGGGGCATAAAGAGAACAAAGTTCCTATTTCTTTCTTCCATCCAGTGTTCTACCAGGGAAGTGGACTCAGTGGATTGTAACTCAGAGCTCCAGAGGTGACTCAGCAGTCGCAGAGAGTGATGCATAAGGAAAGTAGCTGCTATGAACCTTCACAAACCTAGAGGAGACTTCCAAGGGCATCTGCCAAGTTAGTAAGAAAACCAAATCTGATTTTCCCCAGAGGTGAGCAAAGACCCCAGTACACTCCTGGCTGAAACTTGTTTATTCACAGACATGCACCTATATATTTAATTTCACTAAGTGATTTCTGGATGCTCATCTGAGTGGCTGAATGCCTTGACACCACCACCAATTATGAAGAACTATTTTATCCCATGTCCTCAGCTCTACTTGGTATTATCCATCTTTTAATTTTTGCCAAGCATTATGACTATAAAGTTATATATCATTGTCTATTGATCTTCCTTTTTCTGATCTCTTGTGAGGTTAAACATCTGATCATATGCTTGTTGGCATTCAAGTTTTCCTTTTTGTATATATTTCCTGTTCACATGCCATGCCCATTTTTAAACTGGGTTTCTTACCTTTTTTTGTGCTGATTTGCAGGATCTCCTTGTACTTAATATTATAGATATAATCCATAGTTGCACAGGTTTTGTATTTAGACTTTAATCCATCTGGAGTCCACCTTTGTGAGATGAGACAGGAGTCTATTTTTCTCCATGTATGATCTAATTTTTCCACACATCCCATCTTTTCTTCCACTGAATTGGCATATTTATCACATATCAAGTTTCCACATATAGTCGAGTCTTTTTCTGAACTCTTATTTCTATTTCATTGATCTGTTTATCTATTCTGATACCAGGGTCACATTGTTTCTGTAATTGCAGCTTTGTGGAATGTCTTGAGAGATGGTATGGCAAAATCCCCTCCTTTTTGTTTTTCTCTTTTTAAAATCGACTCAACTTTGGGCATATTTAATTTCATTTTTTCATATGTATATGTATATATATGAAATATATATGGAAAAATATATATGTGTATATATGTATATGTATATGAAAAAACTATCATGTTCCTAAAACATCCTACTGAACCATTAAATGTAATTGCAATAATTTGGAGGAACTGTTATTTTTACCCTATCCGTAACAGTTTTTCATATTTTTATGACCTTTAAAATTTTTCTCCAGAGTAGTCTCATACACCCTTTCTTAGATGAATTGCTTGATGCTTTGTAATTTTGTTGTGGTTACAAATGGGGTCTTATTTTCTGTGGTATTTTCAGATGCTGTGGTAGGTAGTCTCTAAGATGATGCCAATAATTGCCCACTTCCTGGTATTTATGCACTTCTATTATACCCTCTCCTTGAGAGTGGCCTAGACTTAACTGACTCAATTCTAGCTAATAGAATACAGCAGAAATGATGGGATTTCTCCTCTAAGATTAAACTGCAAAAAGAACTACAGTTTTCATCTCTTCCTCCCCTCCCCTATTCTAGGGGAAGCAAACTTCCAGATTGTGCGTAGACCAATAGAGAGGCCCATGTCGCAAAGAAGTAATTTTTCTGGCGAACATCCAGCAAGGACCTGAAGCCTCCAACAGCAACGTGAGTGAGTCACATGAGTGGATTCTGCTCCAGTTGAGCCTGGAGATGATTGCAGCCCAACCTCTCTCATAGGTTAGCCCAAGTCACCCAGCAAAACCAAGCTTGGATTCCTGACCCACAGAAATTGTGAGATAATAAATATTTTTTATTTCAAATCATTATGCTTTGGGGTAAATTTTTATGCAGCAATAGACACCTAATAACAGACGGTTATTGTTGGTTTAGATAAATACTCTTTATTTTGTAATAAATAATATTGATTCTTGCAAACTTGTGGATCTCTCTTTTTACTTTTGATAGTGTGTCTGTTGATTCTGTTTTTTAATAGAGATCTATATTATCAGTGGAAAAGGTGACCATTTTTTATCTTTTTTTCAATCCTTATACCTCATTCTTTTTCTTTTCATATTGTCCCAGACCTCAAGAACTCTTTAGAACAGTACCCGTGATTTTGGACCTGTTTGTCTTCATCCTACTCTTGAAGAGTCTGCATCTAAAGTTTCTCATAATAAGTGTGAGTATATTTTCCAAAGGTATTTGGATTTTTGTCTGTTGCCTCTGTCACTAAGAGAATTTCCCTATTGTATCAATAGGATCTCATCTGCAAACAGCTGAAACACTCAAATTAGAATAACTTAAGAAGGACTTAATAAAAGGGATTGTTTACAAACACAAAGGTGGGAAACCAAAAGGGATCCTATGATGCTCTAGAGCTTGTAGGACCAGGGTTGTTGACTTCCAGTTAAGAATTGCCAGCCTGTCTAAGGTGACCACACAAGGAGGAGCCACAATCAGTACCCTGTTCCACCACCTCCTTCTCTTCTGCTGGTACTCCACATTGGGCAAACTCTACTGAAGTCCAGACAGCAAGGAAACCCACTGACATGGTCCATACAGGTTAAGTTCTCAGGAGAGAGAGCAAAATGTAGTCTGTATAATGTTGACCATTTGAAACTTATTGAGACTTTTCTTGCAGCTAATACTCTATTTTTGTGAGAGTGTCTCTTATTTGAAAAAAAATCTATTTTCAATTTGCTATAAATCCATGTATTTGGTATAATTTACATATATATATCAGTTGAGGCTTTTTAATTATATCATTCAAGTGTGCTGTATCTTTGCTTGACATTTCAGTCTCTAAAATGAATATATTAAAATTTCCAAGTGCAATTAATAATATATTTATTTCTTTATATATTTGTCATTTGATCCCTTGTTTTGAGCTATCTTGTTAGATACATATATGTTCCTAATTATTTTACTTTCACTCCTATGAGTGTATTTTGCCCAATTTTTAGCCTTAGAATATTTCCTTACCTTGGATTCTGTTCTGCCTGATACTAAAATTGCTACTGTGGTTATACTAGGGCTTATATATTAATACCATCTTATTTCATGGTTATTTATCAGGTTCCTCCTGCCCTCTTCCTTCCTTTTACTAGCTAGACCAAATTGTTTTTCTGCTGGTAGAAAATTTGAATATTCTTATTTTTATTCTTCTGGTGGTTACTTTTAATTTATCAAAAAAATGGGCTCTTGTCTATTTTTCCACCAATCTCTTAAATTTATAAATATCTATATAGTTCTCTGAACAGCATTAGCACTTTAGTATAACCACTCCATTCCCAGCCACTACCTCCATCATGTTGGTGGAGTGCCATGTCGATAGCACCTAAAATTTAAATTCTGGATTGTGTTGTATTTTTATGTTTCCTTTGTCTTCATACTTAAATGATGGTTTACTTGAATATACATTTCCAAATATGACATACTTTTTTCCCAAAAAATGGCAAACATAACTTTTTGTCTTCTTGTATCCAGGGCTGTTATTGAGAAGTTGGTGGTCAATCTAACTCTCATTCCTTTTCAGGTGATTTGCCATTTTTCTCCAGAAGCTTTCAGAATGTTCTCTTTCTATAATTAATTACACTAATGAAATTATTAGTGTAATAATGTAATTATTGGTGTAATTTGTTATGAGAATGATTATGCAATTATGATTATGTAACTAATTATGGCAATGTGGGAAACAGAAATGTGCAGAACCATAGCTCTGGCACCAAGGGTATCTGACACTCTTCCACTCTGAGCTGTTGTATGCATCTACCCACATGCACACCCAGACCCAAGCACCACCCTTCTCCCCTCAAGAGTTTCTCAGGTCTATGTCAGTTTCTCAGGCCCATCAAGACAATTCTTGTTTCTGGGGATTGAGTCTGTCAGAGGATGGAGTCAGAAACCCATGTTAGTATGTCATCTTCTCAGCCCTGCTACAATCCTTATCTCTGTTACTTCTAACATTATTGTGGGGATTAATGAAATGACTAATTCATGTGAGGCACTTAGAAGAGTGTCCAGCATATAGTAAATGCTCTACAACTGTTAGCTGTAATTATTATTTATCACAATCATCATTAATAATATGCACTATGGTCCCATAAAAATTAGTATGTATATTATTTTCATAGATGAGTAATTGGACTCAGAGAAGAAAAGTAACCCTGGTGACGAGTGTAACCAGGATTCACTCACACCTCCACCTGTCATCTCCAAAAGGTGTCTGCTCTTTCTGCAGTTAAGTATCCCTTATCTCAAATGCTTGGGACCAGAAGTGTTTTGGATTTTGAACTTAATTTTAAGATTTTAGAATATTTCCACATACATAATGAGATATCTTGGAGGTGGGACCCAATTCTTAACACAAAATTCATCTATATTTTGCACGCACCTTGTACACATAGCTGAAGATAATATTATAGGATATTTTCAATAATTCTGCGCATGAAACAAAATTTTGATTTTGTTCTTACTGTGATCCACGTGAGATCACATGTGGAATTTTCCACCTGTTGTATCAGATTGGCTCTCAGAAAGTTTTGGATTTGGGAGCATTTTGGATTTGAGATTTTGGGATTAGGACTGCTCAACCTGTATTATCCTTTATGTATATGGCCTTTTCTACTCCCACCTCACAAGATCTGATAGGCTCAGGAAATTCTGCAAGATATTAAAGATTGCTTATTGTACTTTAGTAAGTCGATGGCCAAAACTTGCTGTATGCTTCAATTTGATAAGATTAGTCTCTAAGAGAAAAAGAACTTTATTGTCCTTTTCTACTGTGAAAGGATGAGTTGAGCGATAAGCTATCACACATAACTCTTTTTTCGCCAAGTTACAGGAGGTTGAAGGGGAGAATCCAGAGGCTGTGCATGACAGTAGCAATGGAGTCAAAATTATCATTCAACTCTGACACCCCACAAAACTGTAATACTGTGATCTCAGGACTATGCCCTTTCTTTCCCTGTCCCATTTATATCAGTCGGGGTCTGGTCAGAAAAACAGAAGCCACTCTAAGTATATAGAGTAAGAAATGGTTTAATATAGGAATTAAAAGCTAGGCAAGTAAAGATCAGGAAGGCCACTTTTAAGAAACTTTAAAGTGTGTGCTTGTGCTACAACCAATCATTTCAGTTGCCGGGAGCACTGACCTGATGATTCTTAGGAGGATACCCAAAAGCAGTGAGAAAATTCCACACTGCCTCTACTCTCTCAGTAGCTGCTATGAAGAACAATGGCTTCCCCTTCTCTTCTACCCTCTAAATCTCATGCAACTTCCTCTTATTGGTGGAATCCAGTTGGGATCCCATTTGCAATGGAGGATAGAAATTGTAATTGTAATTTCTAGACTATGCTCCTGGGGACAGGGAAAAGTATAGAATAACAGAGATGGTACTGAGTACTAACAAATTATACGTGGTGCACTGTGTCTATTTGTTCATCATCACTGGTAAAAACTCAGAAATATATGTTGATTGAATTAATGAATGCAGAAGGGTCCCAGTTCTGGAACAGGATTTCTTGCTGGGAATTCTGCACCCTCATTCAGTGATGCCATGTGCTCCAGGCCCTGATGGCACTGTGAAGCCCTTATTGGCCTGTTGCTGACTTTACTGTAGAAGAAGCATGACAACACTGTGTGTTCCCCACCTTTCACTGAGGTGGGTCGTGTCACTGCTTCAGATGCCGCTGATGCAAATGTAAACCTAATCATGTCAGTCTGCTGTTTCAAATAACACTTCGGTCACTTTCTATTGACTTTAGAATAAAATCTGAACTTTTTACCATGACTTCCATGAACTTGCATTTTCTGGACTCTTTCTAACTCTCCAACTTATCTCACTTTACTCTATTCCTCTCTCATCACATTGTCTGCACAACCTTTCAGTTCATCAAACGTGGCAAGTTTTTTCCACATAAGGGCCTTGGCTTGAGATGCTCCCATTGCCTGGAATCCTCTTTGCCCCACTTCTGCCCCATTCTTGTATGACCAGCTCCTAGAATCCTTCCATCCTAAACATCACTTCCTCAAAGAGGCCTTTGCTGGTCACTCCATCTAGGTGAGATAATCCCTGTTAGGATTCTCTTTCATAATATTCTGAGTTTTTTTTTCTTTTTTAGTACTTATCGCAGTTTCTCATTAGACACACACACACATATATACACACACATATTTACACATATTTTTATAATGTCTTTCTTCCTCACTGTACTCCAACTCCACAAATACAGGAGGTATGTAGACCCAGCCTAGCAGAGTGCCTGACAACTAATATGCACTCAATAAATAATTGTTGAAACAACTCTAACAGATTCCCCAAGTAATAGTTTTACAGCACCCTCAAGTTGCAATTCATTCACTTTTTCAACTTATCAATTTTTGACCCTTAAATGCTGCAAAAAAAATTAGAAGATATTTAAGAGAAATTACACAGGCTTACTCCCAACAGCATTCATTCCCATTAATAATCCAACTGGATCCCATGGCAACTTTTCTTCTTTGTTGCCTCCAGATAACCTTCTTCCCACTCAAAAAGCCAGGGAGCATCACTGTCCTCCCTCCTGGTGCAAAGGTTTAAATACCATTCAGTGCATTCACTATTTCTTTCAGGAGGCTCATCAGGCTCTCTTGCAGTTAGAACCCTTGTGACGAACCCTGATATGGTAAAGTTCAGGCAGTGACTCTGCAGATTGATCATCTTTTATTCTCAGTCCTCATATTCAAGTGTGATACATTGTGCATGACTGAGAACAGTGTGGAGGTCACACATGGGTTACTAAATCGTATCATGACTAACAGTCCGAATTTCTCAAAAAGAAATGGCGAAGCATGAATTCCAAACTTAGATTAATGCCTGGTATTAGAGGAACTCAAAAAAACAAATATTTGTTGATCAGATGAATACAGATGAATAAACTGACACTCAAATAAGTTAAATGACTTGCCTGAGATTATGCATTCTGTGGGTGTTTGAGGCAAAATTCTAACTCAGAGGGCCCATTGTGAGAGTACTTATAAAAAAACAGTGATCCATGTTGGGCGCAGTGGTTCATACCTGTAATCCCAGCAGTTTGGGAGGCCGAGGTGGGTGGATCACTTGAGGTCAGGAGACCAGCCTGGCCAACATGGTGAAACCAGTCTCTACCCAAAACACAAAAAATTAGCCAGGCATGGTGGTGGGCGCCTGTAATCCCAGCTATTCAGGAGGCTGATGCAGGAGAATCACTTAAATCCAGGAGGCGGAGGTTGCAGTAAGCTGAGATCGTGCCACTGCACTCCAGGCTGGACAACAGAGCAAGACTCTGTCTCAAACAAAAACAAAAAATGCAGTGCTCCAGGTGATCCTGTGAGTAGCGCCCCCAAGTGCCTAAGGCTAAAGGGACCATCACCTGCAGGACAGTGAGGAGGTGGGATAAGGTGGGAGGCGCACCTCAAACAACATGTATTAAGAATGGAAACGCCTGGGTCTTGTGGGCTCTTTTATGCGGCCTTTTTTGGCCTTTGTAATGCTTCATTACAAAAACATGTGTCATGGTGGGTTTGTGGGAAAGTAGATGCACCAAAGGCTGACTTAAATGTCAAAGACGTTGCTTTTGTCACCCACTGTTTCCTTTGAGCACCTAGCAGATGTTGGTCAAGGGTGTGCAGCTGGATGCCTCGAGAGCCTTCCACCCCGGGGGGCTCATGAGAAGCAAGTTTTAAGCATATGGGCTCTGTGTCTGAGGTGTGGCTTCCTGTCTGTCACAGACCTGGGGACGATAGGAAAAGTATGGCCCCAGCCAGTAGTGAAAAGGTCCCTAGCTCTTGTACCAGTTTTTACAAATGAGGTCTCTCTCCTGAGCCTTATTTGCAAGCCAGCTGCAGTACTGTTATCTTAGTCTGCTCACACTGCTATAATAAAATATTATAGACTGGGTTGCCTAAACAACAGAAAGTTATTTTCTCACAGTTCTGTAAACTGGAATTCCAAGATCAGGGTGCCAGCATGGTCAGGTTCTGGCGTGGGCTCTTTTCCTGGCTTGCAGATATCCTCCTCCCTGTGAGTTCACATGGCAGAAAGTGAACTCATTCTTGCTCTTCTGATAAGGCCACTAATCCTAGCACATTCAGACTCCATCCTTTTGGCCTCATTTAACCTTAAGTACCTCATGTAAGTCCTCTCTTCAAATATAGTCACATTAGGGGTTAGAGTTTCAATGCATTAATTTGGGAGAGTACAAAATTCAGTTCGTAACAACTGTCTTACCCACCTAAATCCTTAGGCAACTCTACACTAACATGGAGATCATCCTGCCCTGTCTCTTATTTCAAACATGTGGACATTGAGAGGGGAGAGGGTTTTCCCAAGACCACACAGCCAGCATGTGGAAGAGTTAGAAAGAAAATCTGCCCTGTCTCTTAGTGCTTCCCCACCACATCTTAGATGTCTGGAAATAGAAAAATGGCAAGCATTTGTTTCTGTTCAATTCCACCCATATCTATCTTGAGCACCTAATACGTACATGGCACCCACGGAGGGTGCGAACACATAATGGTCAAGGCACAATTCCTTAGGGCGTTCACAGTCTGGGGGCCATGTTCCTAGTGTTGTCTTTACATTCCCTCAACTTCACCAGTTGTTTCCGTCCTTCATAGTTAAAATACTAACTCAATATTCTTTTGGGATAGGTGAGGAAGAAAAAGGAAAGGAAAGAAGCATTTATTTAGCACCTACTATATGCCAAGCACTGTGCCAGGAACATTATAGATATTGTCTTATTTGGCTCTCAAGTCGTCTTCTAAGATAAGTATTATTATCCCCCTTTTGCCAATGATCCAGGGACGTTGAAGAATCCATGGAGTGGTTAAGCTTGGATTTGAATTCAGGCCTTTCCACCAGACCACACTGTCCCCTCCTCTTTGCGGACTCTCGCATGCCCTTAGAATGCCTTTGACAAATAAGATTCCCCCCAACAAATAGTACAGTAAAATCCCTACTTGTTGTCCTAGGAATTCCAAGTTGGAGTTTCTCATTCTCACTTTCAAACACCCCCACACTCCCACTCCCACCACTTCTCCATGCCTCCTATTTTTATTTTTTTAAAAGATAAAGAAAAAAATTTGAAAGCCACACTCTCAATCACTAGCTATAATCATCTCACTAAATTGTCTGTGCTCCAGGCTCCGAGCCTTCTCAGACTCTGCATCCTTCCCCTCACCAACGACAAGACAGGAAGGTCAGGTGCTGTCACCTCTTCTATTTACAGAAGAGGAACTTGGACGCCAACAAGGCTGTGTCCCTCTGCAGCAGGAATCCCAAGATGAAGCACAACTCAAGTCTTCAGGGGTCCCTACTCCTGGACTTCACTGAACCACACTGAGTGTTGGGTTTCCATGTCATGTTTGTGTGTTTTTTTTCCATTTCCTGGGAAATCTCTATCATTGAAGCCCCTTCCTTGGTTTGTTCCCTTCATTCATAACTAATCCTATTTTATGTTATTCTAGCTTCCTGGTTTGACATAGTTCTCCAGGTTGTGCCTGGGAATGTCCTCTGCTCAAAAAGTTCTTTCTTCTTCCTGGGGAACTCTTCCTTTCAAAATCGGCTCAAACATTACCACCTGTGTGAAGCCTTTCCAGGCACAGTGAATCCTTTGCTCTCAGTTCCTGTAGCCTGCTTATTATAACACTTAACACACCAAGTCATTGGGAATCTCTCCTATTTCCTAAACTCAAGCATTATAACTACTGGGACAATTTCTTGTTAATTTTGGAGTCTATAATTCCTAGTTCAGAGACTGGTACACTGAAAATGCTCAGTAAATATTTACTGAGTATTGCTAGCCTATATAGACCCTATGGGGTAGAACTAGAACCAACAGCGGAAGGTTCAGCTCCACTAGACACTGAGTTTCTCAAGGACAGGAGGAACATCTTTCATCTCTGGATCCCTACTGAGTTAACCATCAAAGTGCTGCAAGCAGAATGAGTTGTCCTGAGCAATGGTTGTTTCCCAGTTCCGAGAGATGTCTGAGCACCAGACAAATGATGGCAGGGGTTTGGGGTGGAGGGCTGCACTACATGTCCAGAAGGCCTTACCGTACTCCAAAGTCCATAGTGCTATGGTGAGGGAGAGGTTGATTAAAGGAACGAAAGACAGGTGAGAAAAGAGGAGGACAGAGGAAGGTGGAGGTGAAAGAAGCAAAGAAGAAGAAGAAAAAAAGGTCAGTGAGGAAAGGGAGGTTGAAAACTGGAGAAAAGGGGGGGATTGGAGGGATTGGCAGGAAGAACCAAGTAAGAGAATGGGGCCTCCTGAACCTCAGGTAGGAGACCCCTCCTAGCCCATAGATACAGTCATAGAGAAGAAAAGCTGAAATGTCATAAGCTGCTGATATTAGAAGTCAGTCAGAAATAGACCTATTACCCATCCCACCCAAACAGAAGCCAAAATCCAAAGAGGCCTGTTCTTCTGCCCCAGGCTATCCTTCCTGTGCCAGGTCCAGAGCCCCCTGATGCTGCCCTCTGACAGAGTCCCTGTCTGCCTACCCAGGCATCCTCTGGCTGTCTCCCATTCCCCTGCCTCGTCACTGTGAAGGCCAGCCTACCTGCTCTTTCTTTGCCGGCTTTAGAAACTCGCCCCCATCAGCACTGCGGAGGTTAACCTTTGCATCTTGCCATCCACCTCTGATCTGCCCTTCCCCTAACAGGGCCTGGTTTTCACATACAGGCCTGAGACACCTCTGTCCATCCCCAGGACAGCTGTCCATATATGACTCACTGGTTCAGCTGCCTCTTCCTAGACTTCTAACCAATAAACACCCTCAATCCTACAATGCACTTTACCTTGCCCCATCCAGGCTCTCACACATCAAAGTGACTTAACCACAAAGAAAGAGAGCCCTGGCTCAGCCCTGGGCTCTCTTTGATGCCCATACTGTAAGGGTGGGAATTTCAGCAAGGGAGCAAAGGTGCCAGGGTTTCCTTTACCTCTGGATTAACCTTCCCTTACAGCTCTGTACCTCCCTTATTTCTGCATAGCAAGCACTTCTCTGGCTCCTGTGTCAAGTGTGTGTGTGTGTGTGTGTGTGTGTGTGTGTGTGCGCATGCATGTGTGACCCCCCGCAGATTCCTGCTCCTTCTCCCTGTGCTCAGGTTACCCAGCACCAGACTCAGGGCAAAGGAGGAGGCTGGAGAGAATCACGTGACAGAGAATAAAGACACAGATAAGGACCTAGTAACTGTGGTCGCTAAAGTGGTTTCATTTCCCCAACACTCCTTCAGTAGATTCTGTTTCAGCTCCTGCTCCACACACAGGAAGGGGGGCAGCGAGGTGGGTGGGACATGGAGGAAGTGGCCAGAGGAGCATCAGGAGATGCTTCCTTTTGCAGAAGGCCTGGGGGCACAAGCTAGGCACAATGACCTCTCCCCCCAAGTATCTCCTGCCCAACAGCCCCTTTCTCTGGTTCACAGACACATCTTTTCTGTGTTCTCCATTTTTTCTCAATTTCCTACATCTACATACTGTTTTATTTCTTGGAAGGAAATCCGTGTGTTCAGACATGAGAGTCAGAACTAGAAGTAATTTTAGCACTCAGCCATCCATGCACTCATTCATTCATTCATTCATTCATTCTGTGTATCTACCACGTGTCCCTCTGCTAGGCATGGACCCTGCCCCCAGGTCTCAACAATGTGATCATCCACCATCACTTCCTCAACGTTCAGTTGGAAATCTGAGATGGAATGACCTTCCCAAACTGTACTGGGCATCGTGGTTGGCAGCCTGCCATTTCCAATAATGAAATGCCTCAGAGCAAACAGGAAAAGATTAAATATTAAATATGTTTGGTTTAGAGATTTCCTGTGCACAGATGTCGCTCATTCCCTGCCTCATGTTCTCTGTGCTTCATGCATTCAGGGGATGATCGGATCATGGTTGGTGGGCAGCTTCATGCCACAAGGTCAGAGATACTTATAGTTGGTTGACAGTGTTCCAGACATAAGTGTGGTCCCTGCTGGGTCTGAAGATATCCACATCCTAATGACATCTCTTGTCCTGAAGGAAGGGTTGAACATTATTGTCTCTCAAACTCCCCTTCCTGAATCAAGCAGAAAGTTTTAGGTTTTTTTTTTTTTTTAACCTGTACAGCATTTAAGCTTCCTCACCTAGAAATATAGGCTATAACTCAGATTATTATGGATTTGACTATCAGCTAAAAATCAAACTCTTTAGAAAAAAGACAGACTACACTAGAGAGTATCCAGTCCAAACTATAATATAAAAGATGAGAAAACTGAGGCCCAGGAAAACAGTGAATTACCCAGGCTCATTCAGTTGTGAGTGGCAGGGCCAGAGTCAAAACCTCCATTCCCCCAGCATCAGTCAAGGCCAGGCACTCACCACAGAAGCACAAACCCTAGCTGCCCTGGAGATAGGAATCAAACCATATGAAAATGTACTTCTATCCAGATAAATCTATGATGTCATTTTGCCCTTAGATAATTGATCTTAGAAACTATACATTTGTCCTCAGCTGGACATAGCATAGCAGAGACTATGCTTCTTGATTCTCTGAACTGAGGGAAAAAAATTGATATTTGCCCTCCTCAAGAAAATATCCAACATTTTAAAACCTGCTTCTTAAGGTATGAGGAGGGGTCTGGGGAGGGGGAGAACCAATTTCAGGAGCCCAGCCCTTAAAACATACATGGAGAGAAATGAGTGTTTCTATATGAACACTCTTAAATTTTTTTTTTCTTTTTTTGAGATGGAGTCTCGCTCTGTTGCCCAGGCTGGAGTGCAGTGGCATGATCTCAGCTCACTGCAACCTCTACCTCCTGGGTTCAAGCAATTCTCCTGCTTCAGTCTCCTGAGTAGTTGGGACTACAGGTATGTGCCACCACACCTGGCTAATTTTTTTGTATTTTTAGTACAGACAGAGGTTTCACCATACTGGTCAGGTTGGTCTCGAACTCCTGACCTCAAATGATCCACCCGCCTTGGCCTCCCAAAATGCTGGGATCACAGTCGTGAGCCACCGCGCCTGGCTGAACACTCTTAAACTCACATAGCAGAGTTCTTGTGGAGTGACAGCACTTGGCCATTGTAGTGTAAATTTGCCCTGCAACCATCACCCCATTTTTGCTAACAACTGTCCAATTTTCTTTGAGCAACCACCTGTGCTTCCCCCCGTTTATGGTTCAGTTGCAGCTGGTCCCACTGCTCCAGGCATAAGGACAGAATCCAGCTTGCTTCATTAAAGCCATGAGTCTCGTCAGCCCCAGTGACTAGATTATGGATGGTCCAATGCCCCATCTGACTGTTTCTGAGTAGCTCTGGGACCTTTGCTGAAGCTACTGGGAAAGAAGTGCTTTTGCTCTGCTGGGCTTGGCTGGTCATCCACATGGGAGTGTCTACAGATGGCAGAGCTGAGAGATGGACAAAGACAGATTCCAACTGGACCTTAATCTGGGAAATCCATCACTAAATTTTTTAAGTTGTAGAAGTCAGAATTTTCTTTTTTTTTTTTTCCAGTGTAAGCCTATTTGAGTTGGGTTTCTGTCATTTGCAACCAAAAGAGACCTAATATACCCTCAACAAGGACACTGAGTAGATGCTTAAAGAGAATAAGAGTTTAAGTTAAAGGGCAATGAAAACTGCCTGAGTCCTGCCAGCTCCTGAGAAGAGGAAAGGTTAACTTCACCCAAATGGGGGCCCTGGCCCTAAGTAGGGTGCTTTAGTGGGAGAGCAGAGCTTACCAGGAGACAAGAGCTCATCCCGGGCTGACCTCTAGTTCCCCACCCACCTAACATTCCACTGAGTTTCAGTGTGAGAATATGAAACTGCTTTTGTTGAGGTTTCACCTCCTCCGACTCCCACAATTCTTTCCAGGTCCCCAGAATATAATTTTTCAATTAGAGGTACCCCTAAATGCCTGAAATTAGAGTTCATCACCACTACATATTCTCTCTTGCTAAAACCCAAGTTTCCATCATGTATGATGGACATCCCGATCTCAAAGTCCTTCTTTCCCTGCCTTCATCCAGCACAAACAGGGCAGACTTCAGTCCTTTCACAAAGACACAGCATTAAGCCTTCATGACTTACTAGAAATCCTACTTTTTGAGTAGAAGCCTTCATTTCTTATTGTCTTTCCTGGGTGATTTTCTGCTAATCTTCAGTCCCTCTTCCCTCCCTGGAGTTTGGGGGAAGGTCAGTGGTGTAAATTATAGACTGATAAGCCCCTGCAAAGCCAGGCAACCTAATCAACCACTCCACCAATACTTCCTGAGCACCTGGCACCAGGTACCATTGTGGGGATATAATGAAATGGAAAATATTCCATGTCCTCAAGGATGTTACACAGCTACCAGGGGTGGAAAGATTGTCTGTAGCTCTCAGACGGTAAAGTAGCTATAAAGTTCATGGGAAGTCTAAGCATAACACGTTTCTGAAGCTCATGCCACGCCATGTGCTCTACCGCCATGACCCAATCTGTTTGAAATGTTTAGGCAGTCTGCCTGGAAATCCTGCTAGCATGTGGCCAGTGCAGGTCATCAAGTCACCAGGAGCGGGCAAGGGAATGGTGCAAGGCTAAGAGCTCTTTGGTTCTACCGTGGCTTATTGAGTTCCTGTGGCATAAAGCTCTACACTAACTGCTTCAGGGAGGCAAAGAGGAACAAGTCAGTCTAGGAACCCTGATTGTCCACGGTCAGAAAAACAGCACTGAAGCTGAGAAGTTCTTATGTAACAGTAACTACATTAAAAAGAGAAAGTGCGAGAAACACTTTAAGAAGACTCCAAATTAGTACTGTGTTAAAGAAGAGAGATGGCATATTTAGACTGGAGAAGGAGGAAAGAACAGAGTTGGGAACTGAAGAAATATTTCATGGGGAAGGCTGAATTTGACATGGGGCTTAAAGAATTATTATCTCCATTTATTTTAGCTTTATTTTTAAACAAATAACAACAACAAAACCTTTGGGCACATTTTATTGGAAGCATCATATGAAGAAAATTACCAATTAAAGAGAAATGGTCAATCTGGTAAGTGACCTGAATCCTCGTTGCTAAGTTTGCTCAGAACCCTCTGGGCATTCCTGCCAGCCTGGCTTAGTCTGCTCATGGAGCTGCAACCACAACAGACCATCCTGTTCCTCAACCAGCCCTCCCTTAAAAGGCAAGGCACACACATGCTATGCCCTTGGGTGGATATTTATCCACAGCCAACCTTCCAGGGCACAAGCTTCACAGGCAGTCACCTGCCGCCCAAGGCTGCTCCTCTCCTCATGCAGGATTCTACCCTGGTTACTTTCCTTTGGAGAGGCTCTGACATAACGAGAATCAGGGTTTCCAGAGATGAGACAGATCAGAGACTGATCTGCCCACAGCACTCTGCGGTCTGGGCTCGAGAGCTCAAGCGTTCCAGAATGCAGTGGAACATGTGTGTACTCCACCAAGCAACAGAAATTCAGCCGTCATCTTGTTCCATAGGGCAGCAACATGCAGGGCAGAGGGAGAACCACTCCTGGGTCTTCTAGAAAACCAAGCCAGCCTCAGTCACACTCACAGGGGATCTCAGAATGTTAGACAAAGGAGGCTTCACACACCGGAAGCCCAGGCAGCAGAAGCCAGACACAACCACAGCACACAGAAAGTCAAAGATACTGGGTAGATATAGAGCAGTGCCAGGAGTAGATTTTAGTGTTTGATTTTTGTCGATTATAAGTGTGCATCCTGTTTATCTGCCTAGTGAAATGCATAGAGATAAGTCCCAGCCTGTAGATATAAAGGACGTGTTTCATCTTTTTTCATGCATGAGTGTGTGTATGAATATGCAAACAGAATGAGTGTATTGATGTCTCACAACCAGGTAAAGTTGCATTCCTGTGACTCACTGAAAATGTAAGACATTTCACACTCATGAATAACCAGCCCCCAAACCACAGGACACAAACCATGTCCTTTTACTTGGTTTTCAAATAACCTCATGCATAGTTTTGTGCTTTGAGAGCAGAGGAAAGAAACTTTCTTATTGGAAAAGGAAAAGAAAAACAGAGGACAGGAGAATTCTTCTCCCACCAAGCAGCTCCTTCCTTGAAGATCTTTCCAAAGAGACTGTTCATTTAGTCAACAAAGATCCGTGGAAAATTTAAGAATATGCAGAAACCCTCAATTTACTCACTATCTAGTGGGGGATATGGAAAAGTAACTATAAACTTTAAAAAACAGTTATAACCGTATGGTAAGAGTAGACACAAGTACCTTACAAGCAAGGAGGGCGGTCATCAATTTCACACTTGCAGGATCACAGGTGTCAGAGGTTGTAACCCTCAAGCTAGGCCCCCAAGTGATACAATAGGTAGAAGGCAGTTAAGCTGAAAGGAAAAAGAGTCATTCAAGGCAGACAAGAGAGCATGAAAAGAGAGCAAGATATGTTGTGCAACCTGCCAGCTAGGGTTCACCTGGCTTTATTTTTCTCTATGGTACTTAGTGCCATCTGATATTTTACACAATTCTTTGTTTATTGTCTGTCTCCAACTACAATGTAAGCCCCCTGAGGGCAGGGACTTTGTTTTACTCTCTGCTACATCCCCAGAACGTAGAATAGACTTGGTACAAGGAGGCATTAATAAATACTTGCTGAATGCACAAATGTTAGAGAGGAGTGAGAAATGAGGCTGGACTGCCAGGCAAGGTAGCCCCCGCAGGTCATGAGGGCCTTGTGTGCTGTGCTAATGCGTGTGGATGTTACCTTGGAGATCTAGAATAGTGTTCACAAGCTAGCAGCCCACAAGCTAAACACAGAAGTGTTTTGCTTGACCAATAACAGGTTTTTCATATTAAGATATTTTGTATAAAAACCCAGGTTGCCGAATTTCCTTTAAAAATTCAGAGGATGCAGTAACAAGGGGCCTGTAGTCTCGTAAGGCAAAGTCGGCTGGTGCTGAGCAGTAAGTGCCCCTTTAATAACACCTGTGTTCTTCAGTCCAGCACAGTCTGCCCCAGTCCCAATTGTCTTGCTTCAGGCCTTCCTTGCTCATAATCATCTGCCAGTTCCATGTAGATAAATGAGTTTGCAACCTCTAGCCTAGGTTCAGAATGTCTAGTTTAAAAATTCCACCAAGATAATGAGTCTCCAAAACACCCCCCTACAATGAGTCATGCCTTCCAGTGTATTTATGCCCTCCCACAGTGAATGTGAGCTGCTTCTGTGTAACTAATAGAATGCAAGGGAAGTGACGCTGTGGGGCTTCCAAGGATAGCTCATGAGAAGGCAGACATCGCACAAGAAGTCTGACTATCCTGAGGCCTCCATGCTGTGAGGAAGTCCAAGCTAACAATCTGGAGACACCACACAGAGAAAGAGAGTGAGATGCCCTGCCAGTCCCCAAGGGTTCAAGCCATCCCATCTGAGATGCTAGATACAGGAAACCCATCTTGGACACTCAGGCCAGAAGCCATCTACCTGCAACCATTCACAATCATATGGGAGACCCCAAGAGAGAATTACTCAGCTGAGCCCATTCAATCCACAGAACCATGATAAATAATAGTAAATTGATTTAAACCACTTCCTTTTTGGTGGATCATTACATAGCAATAGATTACCAAAACACCTCCATTACCATTTATGAACTGTATGGTCTTCTGCAAATTATTCAGCATTTTAAGCTTACATTTCCTCATCTTTCAAGTAAGGATCATAATATCACTGCCCGCAGAGTTTTTTGAAATTAATGAATGAGATCATGAATGGAATGTACTTAGCTGTGAAGCTAGAACAAATATGATCGATGAATTATAAGTGCTCAATAATGGTTAATCATTATTTTACTTTGCGTCTCATTATTATGGTTATTGAAGTTTGTCTAGTGAGTAGCACGTCTCAAAACCAGCATGCAGAAAAGGAAGAAGAGGGGAGAAGAGGCTAGGAAGGTGGTGATGGACAGATCAATTTCAAGGAGGGTTTCCAGGAGAAGACAGTTCTCAGTGTGATGGGTATGACTTGATATCCCAGACTCCAGGGAGCCCGGCAATTGACTATTTCACCCATTTTGGTGTTCTGTTGTAAGCATTCTGCAAGCTCCTATAAAGTCACAATTCATTAATTTGTAACTTATTAAAAATATTACACAGCACAGATTATATATGTCAGGCATTGTACTAGGTGCTGGGGATAGCAGTGAACAAAGATCCCTGCCTTCATACAGCTTCCACTCTAATGTTTATCAAACAAATAAAGAAGTAAAATAGAAAGTATGGCAGATGGTGATAAGTGATAGATGCAGGAGGAAGATAAGAGGGAGGGTCCCTGAAGAATCTCTAACTGGCCTATGCACTGGGAGAACACGGTGGGGCCCCAGGGGAAGTTCGTGCCATTTGCAGTGGGGAGGAGCCTGGCCTCTTCAGCTCCTGTGCGTGGCCTAGAATCAGTCTGTGAGATGGAGGCCTGTTAGCAAGAACCCTGCTTGCTTTGCTGAGAGTTTTTTTTTTTTCTTTTTTCCTTCTCGCCCAATAAATTCTGTTCCCCTCACCCAACGTGTCTGCATGCCTAACTTTTCCTGCTTGTGTGACAAGAATCCGGTTTTAGCAGAATGAAGGAGCAAAGTTCTGCAAATAAGTACAATTAAAAAATAAATAAATAAATAAATAAGGGCGATAATGAGTGTGGGGTGAAGGAAACTGGATTGTAATTGTAAGTCAAGGAAGTCTTCCCTGCTCATGGTGGAAAATGAAAGCGGTATCTGGGTGTGGAGGGACCATCGCTTAGGCATACAGAAGGATCCAAACATATAAAGGAGCTCATACCGTTATATCTAGTGATTATCAGTGACACTAATGGATATATATGTTTTCTCCCAATGATTCTATAAGGCAAATGTTATATATTATTCTTAATTTACTCAGTCACTTTTTTATCCTATTGCGCTGTATTTCTCTTTAAGCAATTTTAAATTCTTTCTGGAAGAGGCAAGACAATGTATTAATCAAGTGAAATTGGATTAAGTAATAAACAATTCCATAATCTCATCAGTTTAACATAACAATAACATATGCCTGACATATATAATCTGTGCTATATGAATATTTTTTAATGTTATAAATTAATAAATTGTGATTTGATAGGAGCTTTCAGAATCTTTAGTATAGAACACCAAAATGAAGTAAATAGCTAGTTCTCTGCCTTCCTGGAGTTTGGTATATCAAGTCATACCCACCACAGTGAGAACTGTCTTCTCCTGGAAACCCTCCTTGAGGTTGATCTGTCTATCACAAACATTAACAATAGTGTATTTTTTGTTCACGCCAAGTCCATACTGGGTGGGATCAACAGTGCCTTCATTTAGGGACCCTGACCAGCTGAAGCTCCACTGTCTACACTGCCAATCACTGCAGCAGAGAGAAGGAAAGCTGGAAAATTGGCATCAGCTCTTAAATGCTTCTCTTGGAAGGGACAAAAGTCTTCACCTCTGCTCACATTTTATTGGCTAGAGCAGGACATAGGTGTGATCATCCTCAATGCCTAAATGGAAAAAAAAAATAGATATTGATGAATAGCTTAATGTCTATCTTTTTAATTTAATTTTATTTATTTATTTTTGAGATGGAGTCTCGCTCTGTTGCCAAGGCTGGAGTGCAATGGCATGATCTCGGCTCACTGCAACTTCCGCCTCCTGGGTTAAAGCAATTCTCCTGCCTCAGCCTCCCAAGTAGCTGGGATTACCAGCACCCGCCACCACGCCCAGCTAATTTTTGTATTTTTAGTAGAGATGGAGTTTCACCATGTTGGTCAGGGTAGTCTAGAATTCCTGACCTCAGGTGATCCACCCGCCTCGCATCCCAAAGTACTGGGATTACAGGTGTGAGCCACCACGCCCGGCCTAGTTTATCCTAGGTGGATAAGTGAATAAACAGAGGTGATAGATAATAATAAATGATAGATAATTGATAGATATATGATTGGATAGATAAAAGAAAGGGAAACTGAGTCTTAGAAATGGTAGATAATTTGTCCACAATCATACAGTTTGTAAGTAGCTGAGTCAAGATCAGAACACAGATCTGTTTGGATTTCAAACTGGTCTTAGTGACAGAGTTCGTGGACTCCATAATGCTGAACAGAGTTCCTTGATACCAGGTTAGATTTTAGAAAATAAATGTGCCTTTCTGACTGTGTTAAGTTTATCTTTGAATTTTGTTTTCATGAAGCACGGTTTGAAGAACTCTCGCACTTTTTTTTCATTAAAACCCTATCATTATTCAACTACTCTAGAGAGTACCTCACTCAGCTGAGACTGAATGTTCCACGAGAACACAGTTTGAGAATTGCCATAATTAAAGCCTCACTCTGAAGCATTTTCCAACACCAACAGCTGGATTCTCCAAACACCAACTGGGTGTCCAACAATTCTATTCAATTTTAACACTAACTGCCCAGAGTTAGTGCAGACTCCACGGCTTAAGGGCCCAGTGCCACAAGACTATCCCTACTTCAGATGCCAGTCACAAGCCCTAGACCTCTTGTACTTCTGGCCAACTGGTTGTCAACTGGGGGCTCCTATGATCCCCTCTTCAGGTTCAATAATTTGCTCAAACGGCTTACAAAACTCAGGGAAACACTTTTCTTAGGTTTACCCGTTTATTATCATTTTACAAGGGACACTAACGAACAGCCAGATAACGAGGTTCATAGAGTGAGGTTCAGAAGGGCCCCCAGGGCAGGAGCTTCTGTCTCCACAGAGTTGGAGTGTACCACCATCCTGGCATGTGGATGGTTTTACCAGCCCAGAAGCTCTACAAACTCTGTCATTTAGTGGTTTTCCAGTATTTAGGCATAATTGATTAAATCATAGGCCACTGGTGTTTAGCTCAGTCTCTAGTCCCTTTCCCCACGCCAGAGGTCTGGGGGTGGGGCTAGAATTTCAAACCCTCTCTGCATTTGTCTTTCCTGTGACCAGCCTCCATCCTGAAGCTACCTTAGTGTCCCGGAGCCACCAGTCATCATTAGCATACAAAAGACATTCTTATCACTCTGGATATTCCAAGGGTTATAGGAGCTGGTGCCAGGCAGGAACTAGGAAAAGACCAAAAAAGTTTTTAAAATTGTATCACATTCACCATGCTCATTCTAATTTTATTGCAGAATATTTAGAACTTATAGCTCTGAATGGAGAGACAGTAAGCGGCTTTCAAGAAACAGATAATAGAAGGAGTGTGGGACATCGGAAAGAAACAATCATCCTCAGCATTTTATTTTATTTTATTTATTATTATTTGTTTGCAACACAGTCTTGCTCTGTCACCCAGGCTGGAGTGCAGTGGCGTGATCTCTGCTCACTGCAACCTCCACCTCCTGGGTTCAAGCAATTCTCCTGCCTCAGTCTCCCAAGTAGCTGGGACTACAGGCGCCTACCACCACACCCAGCTATTTTTTTTTTTGTTTTTTGTATTTTTAGTAGAGATGGGATTGCACCATGTTGGCCAGCCTGGTCTCAAACTCCTGACCTCAGGTGATCCACCCATCTCTGCCTCCCAAAGTCCTGGGATTACAGATGTGAGCCACCGCACCCAGCATCCTCAGTATTTTAGAAGTTGTTCAACTGAATAGATTCTGGAAATGACTGAAACTTAGCATCAATATTTGAATGAGTTTTAATAGATAGTGTGTTCACATCTTCAATGTGGAGTCCTGATAAGTAAGCAACAAGGAAGAAGGGGCCCCAGGTGGGGGAAGGCCCCAAGTGGGGAAGAACAATGAACAATTGTTCTGAGAGCTGACTAATCACACCTGTAATCCCAGCACTTTGGGAGGCTGAGGTAGGTGGATCACAAGGTCAGGAGATCGAGACTATCCTGGCCAATATGGTGAAACCCTGTCTCTATTAAAAATATAAAAAGTAGCTGGGTGTGGTGGTGCATGCCTGTAATCCCAGGTACTCAGGAGACTGAGGCAAGAGAATTGCTTGGACCTGGGAGTGGAGATTGTAGTGAGCCAATATCACGCCACTACACTCCAGCCTGGTGACGGAGCAAGACTCCATCTCAAAAAAAAAAAAAAAAAAAAAAAAAGGCTAATCACAAACAATGGGATTAGTACCCTTGTAAGAAGAAGCCAGCTAGCTAGCTCTATTTCTGTCATATGCGGTCACAGCAAGAAGCCAGCCATCTATAGACCAGAACTCAACCCTGCTGACACCCTGATCTCAGACTTCCAACCTCCAGGATTGTGAGAAGTAAATGTTTGTTGTTTAAGCCACCCAGTTTATGGTACCTTGTTATAGTAGCCTGAGCTAGACATTACCTTTCCAAAATGAAAACATTTTAAAATTCTGAAACACATTTGTTCCCACAGGCTTGAATCAGAAATAGTGACCTAGATTATTATCATCCTTTCCATTGATGAAATTTTCCAGATATTTTGCCCACTGAACCAGCTTGAGAGCTGTTATTCTACTCCTTGTAATGATGCCTTTCTTACCTTCCCAGGCTGATATGGGACATGATTATTCTTCCTGTTGTCTGTTATCAGTGAATTATGTCACTTTTCCTGTGTCCTTCTCTCTTATTTATCTTCCTCCATTAAAACACCGTACTCTTTTAGTTTTACTGTCTGTGGACGGCTTAAATGTTAGATAGCTCAGTGGAGGGTCAGTGTGACGACTCTTGCATCTGCACCCAGATCTTTGTCCGGAATCCAGGAGGAATCAGGTCACATGAATGAATCGAAGATCGTAAATGTGGAGGAATTTATTGCCAATAAAAGTGCCTCTCAGTGGGATGGGGAACTGGAAAGGGGATGGAGTGGGAAGGTAGTCTTCTCCTGGAGTTCGGCCGTCCCCAGCCAAACTTTTCTCCAAGGTCCCACTGTCAAGCCGTTCCTCTGAAGTCAAGCTGCTTCTCTCCGACGTTTGGCTGCTTCTCTTCTCTCCTTCTCTGCCACTCTGCCACTCTGCCATTCTGCCGGTGGAGCCTGGGTTTTTTATGAGTACAGGATGGGGGTCAAGGTGGGCCAGGTTGGTTTTAGAAAAGGCAGCATTCAGGGGGGAAACGAGGAATAGATGTTCTCACTTTGGGCAGCAGGTCCAGGCTTGAGGGTGGGGCTTTGCCAGGGACCCCACCCTTTTCTGCCTAGTATTTCCCTAGTATTGCCTCCTGTCTGTATCAGTGCCACTCTTCTGTGTTCCTGCATAAAACTTCCCGCTCCTGGACAAGTTCTGTTTGTATCTGAGCTAGTATAGAAATGTGGGCCTCTGAGGATGTTGGCTTCCCATTTCTTCCTCATTGAATACTTTGTGACTTATTGCCAGAATTTTGAAAACAGCCAGATTGAAAAAAAAAAAAAAAAGTCTGGTGTGATTTTTGCTGTGTCCTGCAGGTCTCTCTTTAGGGATATGTGATGCAACACCAAAGGGAGGCTTAATCAATTTTTTTCTCTCACCCTCCATTCCCTTACCAAAAAAGGAAGCAAGATCTTGAAACACATTGTATTAAACTAGGGGTTTTAAGCCTGTTTGGGAGTGACAGAGCCTTTCATTAAATTGATGAAAGATTCCAAGAAAGATAAGACTTCTGGAAAAAACTTCTACAAAAATAAGAACAAATGGAAATGTTTGCAAAGAATTTCATGTTTCTCAGATACTCTCTGCTAAGCCCAGATTAAGAACTTCCATTCTAGACTGCTGATTCTCAAAGAGGCCCTTGTAACAGTAAGAGAAATCTAACATAACTGACTCCATCTTGTTTCTAACCTCACAAGCTGACTGCCTTTGCTCATCCCTGCATGTAGGCCAAGCTAACTATGGCAGGAATTTAGTTTATAGTTCAAAGCAAGGATGAAAATAGTCCCTTTTGAAAACTAAGCTTAAAGGAGATAAGGAGGGTGTATGCACAAGCAACAATGTTATGCCAAGATTTACAGGAGCACTGTGACCTGACCAAAGACAAATAACTTTTGCAACCTCCTTGGACTCCAGCTGATGCTCGTGTGTCTGTGGTCACGAGTCACCTCCTGACTTTAACGTCCCCTTGTTCCCCCTTCCCCAACATAAAAAGAAGCTTGAGATGTATGCCTTTTAAGATGGTTCTTTAGGACATTAGTCCATCTTCTCGGCTTGCTGGCTTTCCAAAATAATAAGTAAATAGAGTCTCCTAAAAAAATAAACTCTCTTTCCTTGCCCCAACACCTTGTCTCTTGACTAACTGGCTGTTGCGCGGTGAGCAATACCAGCTTTGGATGCGACTACGCCCTGAGAGGTTCCTCAGATCCCTGGGCAGTTAGGTTCAAATTCTATACTATACTCCCCTCCCACGCTGAGACACAGACCTGGCACCATCATCTGGGAAACCTTTTCAATAATGAGAAATGGATTCAACATGTGTCCTCAGTCTCATGTTACTCAAGGGAAATAATTCCCCTGGGTGGGCTATGCCTTTCGTCTGAAATCTTTTTTCTGTAAGAGACAGTTACCATGGAAGAAGGAAATTGTCCTGAGATAAATACCTATCAGGATTAATCTTGTCCTTGATTCAGACTTTTGAACTTAAGCTCCCTGGTCACTTGTATCTTTAGTTTCCTCTCTGTCAATTATTAAATACGATTTAAAACTAAGATCTTCTCATATTTACTTTGGATTTTTTCTATGTGCTCTATGGAGAAAAGCAATGAAGCAAGAGAGGAAGTGACTCACTTCTCTCCACTCCTTACCCAAAAGAAATTTAAAATTCCTAGGGTACCCATAGATTTTAGGAACAGAAGTTAATTCAGTCGATTAGCCCAGAATACAACCAATAAGGATCCCATAAGGATCCACGACCACAGCCAAAGACTGCTCCCCTCGCCCCAGCTAGCCATCATCTCAATCATAAGCCATCATCTCAAACATGGACACAGGGAAGGCTAGAGAGTAATTGGAAGCCTCATACATACCAAACCCCATGAGCAGAAAAACTCAAGATGGTGGCTCAGAAATTACATCTTCGTATGCTGAGAGAAAGCCAAGAGGAGATATAAAAATCTGATGACTTTCACCTTAGGAAAGAAACTGAAACCCATTTGGTCAGTGACCAATTGTCGCTATGAAGCTCACTGCACTTTATGCCTCTGAGCTTCTACAGACTCTTTCTGGACAAAATGTCCTCCTGTTGCCTACTCCTAACTCCTACCCATCCCTGACAATGCTCCTCACCACTGTTTCTGTCACCTGGTAAACTCCTGCTTGTTTTTCAAGACATACCTCAAGAGGCAGTTCCTCTGTGAAATCTGCCCTCCCCTGGTGGAATTATACCCTCCTTGTTCCTACAGTTTTAATCATGTCACTGCTAGAGCATTTAAACATGATATTATAGTAGTGGGTATTTGTTTGCATTTCTTGGTCCACTCTCCTCACTAGATTATAAGTTCCTGAGACTAGGGACTGTGTTTTATGCATGTCACATAACACCTAAAACAGCTCTGCCTGAAGCGCCAGCATTTGGTCATGGTGAAGCTTCAAAACTGCAAATGCAGCTATTAGGTTGGTGCAAAAGTAATTGCGGTTTTTCCATTGAAAGTAATGGCAAAAACTGCAATTACTTTTGCACCAACATAAAATTAATATTTCAGACAGAGATCTCCAATAATTCATTGATTATGACTTTTAGCTGAATTATGCATATCTTTTGGCATTAGAGGGCTTCAATTTTTCAGGAACCTCTCAGTTCTAATCAGGAGGAGAGACAGATAAGCAAATTGTCATCATAATGATAGTATGATTAAATGTCAGAATAGACGCATTTTGGGGGTGATGAAGATGGCTAGAACATTTTTTTCTAAATGTGTATTTAGACAGTCTTTGTCTGAAAGTTATGAGATTTTTTTCCTGAAAGGCATGTGTGTGTGTGCACAAACGTGTGTGTGTCCATGTGGATTTGTCCACACAGCACTCACAGGAGACGGAAGCAGGCCCAGGTAAAGCAGGAGGGCAGGTAAGCCTGACCTTCTCCCTTCTCAGGCCACCGTGAAGGAAAATGGAGAAGGTTTGAAACAGCCCAGCATGACCTGAACTGGGCCTCCTGCTCCCCAACCCCCAACTCAGTGGGGGTGAATGTATTATTGGGAGAATGTATTATTGGACCATGAGGATTTTAAAGGACTGAGTTGAGCTGCTGAGGAAAAGTTTTGAAATGGGTCAAGCAATAAAAGATTTTCTCAGGCCCTTTTTTGAACTCAGGGCGCTAAATCAGTTGCAAATGATTTGGCAGTCACTAGGCCCCGCAGAGATTCCCAGGACCTATAAAACATACAGTGAAAGCCACATGATTACAAACACGGGGAGAAATTAGCTCACCTAAATACCAGTGGAAGTTTGTACATCTGTAACTCCTACTACATGAGGCATGAAATGTATAAACAATTCATGTTCTTCAGTGGAATTTCTGGGGACAATAAATCATTTCCTCACATTTTATTTAAAGAATTATCTTTTACTTACGTTACTACTCTTCATTAAAAATTACAGAATGGAATTCATAACCACTTCCATACAAATTCGTGACCACTTTTCAAAAATGACTTCACTGATAATCTCTGTCAGAAATGACAGTCCATGGATCAGTTTGCAGAGTCACCATAAGACTGACTAAATCTAATTAGCACCAAACTCAAAGAGGTTTACTAAATGTTCACAAATAGCCAACAGAGATGGCTCTAAATTGATCTAGACCACAGAAAAGAAAATTAGCACTCTAAAATGCCCAGTTCTATTTATTTGACACAATTGTAACTAGGCAGACAACAATGTGCTTCAGCTAGCCTCGGATAGGCAATATGGCCCTGTGGCAAATATTTTAGTTATTGCTGAGCAACTTGATAAGCTCAGTTGCTCTGGGACACAAAGACATGCGGACCCGAGCTAACAAAGCACCTGTGAGTGGTGTTCTGGGGTTTTAGGGGGAGACCAGAGACTCTAAGGGTAAAGAGAGCCACAGCTTCCGTTCTCTGCTGTGTTCATAGTTGTTATTTTTAAATCAAGCCTCTTTGATCTGATGTATATTAGCATTTCATGCTCCCTCAAATCAATATTCTGTTTCATGTGGGGATTTTGAGTCATTTTTATACTTTCTGTTTTAAAGTTCCATAAACCCCAATAAATAAGAATTCTGATTGCCTACTCCTGGGGTGGGAAGACTTTTCTTTACTGTGAATATAAATCCTGTTCATTTCTCCTGATTGATGCCTGGACTTTAGGACTTGACAGTATAGAGACTTCCTGACCCCTTATGGCTGAGAGCTGTGGCAGACCCTGCCTAATCAATAGTGTTCATAAAGTATTTATTTTGCCTCATGGAACAAAACACCTCTTTGAAAGAACTTTTATATTCCTATCTGATGACTACATGCTATATGTATTCTCAGCACCTTGCCCCTAAATTGGACATTTTCTCTTAAAACTTCCTGTTTATCTTAAAGAACACTCTTTAGACTCCCAATTTCCTGGACTAAATCTTTTTTTAAAAAAATTTTTTCCATTAAGAAATTTGGTACCCATAATCTGTTCAAAGAGCATTATGACTTTTTTCCAAAGTTCCATTAAAAAGTATGCTTTGGGAGGTTTTTGGCTAATTTTTTTTAAAAGTAAACTCAGAGGACAGATACTAAGTGCAGCATTCTGTCCCAAATAGGTATCAAAAGTACAAAGTTAATGCATTTCTGACTTCTAGGTCTCACCAGGCTGTAACTACAAAATAAGGACTTTAAGGGACAAGTTCCACTGGCTTAATGCCAGAAATTGGTGCTTCTGCAAAGCGTCCCACCTTCTGAATTCCTCAGTTATCAGATAGGAATATAAAAGTTCTTTCAAAGAGGAAATTCCTCAGAGGGCTGTCCCAGATATTCTCAGGTAGTGTCCCGTCATGTCTCCACCAGGAGGTATTACAGCACGGTGGTTCAGGGCTTGGGCATTGAAGTCAGACAAATGGGGTTTGAATCCCACCTCTTTCACTTCTTAACTTTGTAACCTCATTATGTTTCAGTTTACCTATCTTTAAACTGAGACAATAACAGCATATATATGTGTATATATACGTGTGTGTGTGTGTGTGTGTGTGTGTGTGTTGTTAAATAGGAGAACACACATACAGTGCTTTAGCATTGTCTCAGCACACAGTACTACTTCTGTCAGATGGGAGGTTTTGGCTGCAAGAAACACAAAACCCAACTGAGGATGGCTTAAACATAATAAAGATCTATTCTTCCATTTAACAAGGAGTCTTAAGGTGGAGTGGCTTCAGGATGGCTTGATTCAGTGACTCAGTAATGTCATAAGGCACTTCTTTTCCCACTCTGCAGTCTTCACCATGTCAACTTTCCTCAGACAGGCTTCTGTCATATGTGAGAGATTTACACATATCATCCAGACAAGAAATTGTCCAGAAGGGGGAAAAAGTCCATCTTTTACTACAGCTTGCTTTATAAGAGTGAAGAAACCTTTCTCAAAAACATGCTTCTCCGCAGAATTCTCTACTTATCATTGGCTAGAATTGTACCACATATCCATGCCTAAGACAATCACTTGTAAGGAGAATAGATTTACAGTGATTGACATAAATCGACCAAGATTTACCCCGATGTAGGAATAAGATCACTTCCCCCAGGAATATGTGCCCCCTGACGTTGGGAGAAAAAGCAACACAGGGCACTGGTATCTGAATCCCACCTAGAAAATGTAAAAGTTGAGAGAGAGGCTTGCTTATTACTCTGATGGTGTAGACAAAGAGTTTGCTATCATGCTGGAATTGGACAGCATTCCTAGAGTTAGTGGGCCAAGAATGCATGTTTTATGGAGACAAAATATAAATGGCACATGAGAGCCATTTGGCAGAGATTGGATTGGGTGCATGAAAGAGCAATAAGGACTCAGCAGAAAGAAACTAGAGGTATTGCTGGATCCTTGGAGCTGGGTAAGAATATCTGATAAGCCAGAGACTAGTATTTCATCCATATCAAGGGAACATAGGTGAGAAAACCTGAGTAAGAGATTTCATGAGGAAACCCTCAAGAGTATCCATGAAGGAAAAATTCATTTTTAAATGTCTGCTAGACAGAAAGACATGAGCCTCCAGAGAGCCTGAAGCCATCTTATGACAGCACAAGTCAAATTGGAATTCTCTTGCTCTCTTTACTTCTCTTTTCTTCTACTCCAGTCCTGGAGGTATCTGAAACTTCAGTTAGCAAGTGAGAGGAGAAAGAGTGGATAAAGAAGCAAGAAGATGTCAGCCATACTCACCCAGGTGTCGAATCTGCCTCAGGTCTTAACCTGGGAACAGCAGAGTATCCCTAAATCATGAAATGGAAAGTTTAGGTTTTATCTCGGACTGCATATTCTTTTTTTTTTTTTTTTCCTTGAGACAGATTTTCACTCTGTCACCCAGGCTGGAGTGAAGTGGTGCAATCTCGGCTCACCACAACTTCTGCCCCCTGGGTTCAAGCAATTCTCTTGCCTCAGCCTCCTGAGTAGCTGGGATTATAGGTGCCCGGCTAATTTTTTCATATTTTTAGTAGGGGTTTCACCATATTGGCCAGGCTGGTCTCAAACTCCTGACCTCAGGTGATCCACCCACCTCGGCCTCTCAAAGTGCTAGGGTTACAGGCATGAGCCACCATGCCTTGCCTGAGACTGCATATTCTAAAAGGTAATTTGAGACTGCTTCATAATTTACAGTGAGTGGCCAGAGCAATAATGAGGTCCACCTAATTTTTTCTCTAGAAGCAAGGGCAGAATTATTAAAAGTAGCTGCAGTTTTTGCCATTACTTTCAATGTATACATATATGTATATTATATATAGATTATTATATATTATTAAATATATAGTAATTAATTTTATAGAGTATTACTTTTAATTGCAAAAACCACAATTAAGTTTGCCCCAACCTAATATATGGTAATTATATACTATGTATATTTACATATTACAATGTATACTACATATGCATATTACATATATGTATATATACTATAAAATATGTACTATAATACACATATTACATATATGTGTATATATTACCATATAATTAAATATGTACTATATATTTACATATTACTATATATATTACATATATGTATATATACACTATAAAATATATGCCATATGTACATATTACATATGTGTATATATATTAGTATATATAAAGACATATGTATAAATATATAGTATATATAAATATATACTATATATTTACTTACATTATATATACATATATACTATAATTATACTATATATAATTACATATATGTATATATAACTATATAGTATATATAATTAAATTAAAATAAATTATAAGTTATATAGATATATAGATTTAATTATATATAGCAGTATATAATTAAATTAAATGTATAATTAAGTATATTATATTAATATAGTTTACATTGATATTAAAATTATAATTATATATTATAAAATAATAATATATTATAGAATAATAATAATTATATATTATAGAATTGTATATCATTAAATATATGTATAGTTATATATAACTAAGAATGGCAGATATATATGTATTACTATGTATTTAATATATGTAATAACTATAGGTGTATACATATGTATATTCATATAAACAGGTAATTAAATGCAATAATTAAAACAGCATTGGTTAAGAAAAAGATAGAAAGATCAATGGAACAGAAAAGGAAATCCTGAAACCTGAGACATAAAAATAGGAATGATGAGCATAGGAAGTGGGTGAATAGAGAGTAGAGGTTCTGGAATTGAACCTTGAGGCAGTCCAATATGACAAGAGATGAGAACAAGGGACCAAAAAGGAGTCACCATTGTTGTATAAGGGAAACTGCAGTGCCCTGGAAGCCAGGTAAAGAAAGTGTTGCAGCAAGGGAATGATCAGCTAAGTTAAATGCTGCTGATGGGTCAAGTAAGATGAGAACTGAGAACTCTTCACTGGTTTTAGTAACGAGGTCATTGATGCTCTTGACAAGGGCAGTTTCAGTAGTGGTGAGATTGATGGCCTGACTGGGGTGAGTTCAAGAAAAAATGTTAAGAAATCAATGGTGAGGGCAGCCATCTCTTTTGAGGAGTTTTGCTATAAAATGGAGCAGAGAAATAGGCAGTAGCTGGCGGAAAAAGTGGGATCAAAGGGTTCATAATGGGCGGAAGTAACAGCATATTAGTAGGCTGATTGGAGAGACCTATTTGAAGGGAAAAAAGATGGTGCAGGAGAGAACAAAATGAGGCAATGTCCTCAGACAGGTTAAATGAAGAATGAAATTGAGGACTAAACTCTGACATGTTTTTCGTATCTTGCCAAATTCCTACCTAAGGGACCTGGGGAGTCACACCCTGCAAGCCATAAAGTCTCATCAGAGGGGTTTTATTTAACCCAGTATTAGGTGGCCTGCTTTCCAACCTGGCTCTGGCATTACATCACATAACAAATAAGGAAAGAAATCAAAATGTTTTAACCCCAATTATATTTTCTTGTCATGTCTTGAAATTGCCCTGCAAAGTTGTCTCTTGTGGGAAAAATCTACATTCTGTAGAAAATCTCTTTTTGCTTTTTTTTTTTAAAAAAGTCTTTTTTTCCATATCCAGGAGATAATTAACTAAAAGTCAGGCACCTTTTAGGTTCAATAAGAAAACATTTTACAACCTATTCTCTCTGAAGCCCGCTAACTAAAATCTTCCTCTGCACAATAAAACTTTGGTCTCCACAATTCTTTATCTTAGCCCAAACATTTCCTTTCTATTGATCTCAGGTCCTTAGACAAACTCAACCAATTGTCAACCAGAAAATTTTAAAATTTACCTGTGGCCTGGAAGCTCCTGCTTTGAGTAGTCCCTCCTTTCTGAACCAAACTAATGTACATCTTGGATGTATTTGATTGATGTCTCCCCAAATTATATAAAATCGGACTGTGCCCTAATCACCTTGGGCACATGTTCTCAGGACCTCCTGAGGGCTGTGTCACCAGCCAAGGTAAGTCATATTTGGCTCAGAATAAATCTCTTCAAATATTTTACATAGTTGGACTCTTTTTTGTTGACACAATCTAGTTCACCAGTAGAGCATTGGCGTCCAGGAGACAGCTACATGAGCAAAGACAGATAATATGAACAGAAGTTGGTAGGTGGGAGCTTGTGAGAAGATCTTTAATTACTTCTGCATTTTCTCAGTGAAATAGGAAGGTCATCAGCTGACAGTAGGAACAGGGAAATGTGTGTGTTTTGAGGAGAAAGTTTGAAATAGTTCAGGAGAATCAATAAATGCACTAGAAAAATGTAGTAAAATTGCCAGCTGCAGTAAGGGCCTACTTGAGATAATCGTCATGAATTGATGTGAGAAGAGTCATGGCGATTCTCCCTGGTCAACTTTAGCTTTGTGAACAGAGGGTGCAGTAGCAGAAAGCGGGATTTAACCAAGGTTTTGCTTTTCTCAGCAATATATCAAGACAAGAGATGGCAAGGTAGTTGAAAATATATGAAAAAGAGCAGTTTTAAGGACTGACCATGGAATTCAAGCTGGGTAAGAAGAGTAAGGACTTCAAGGGAATGAGGGAGGGTGCAAAAGTGGTGTTGTAGGAGTTCCCTTAGTTCAGCTAAAAATGGGGTCCTTGTCACATGACCATGAGAGATTAGGCTCGCAGACACATTGAAGGGTGAGAAAAATGGAATTTATTGGGTGAAAAGGAAAAAAAAGGGAAACAGGGACTCTCAGCAAAGCAAGAGTCCTGCTACCCAGTTTCCCACCTCACAGATTCATCCCCATGTTCCACCTCAGAACAGGAGAAGCCAGGCTCCTCCCTACTGCAAAGGGTGTGAACTTCTGTGGCTCCACCTCATTCTCCCAGTGCACAGGCTGGTTGGAGTTTCTCTGGGGACCCCTTTATACTCGGCTGTTTCATTCCTCCCTCTAAAGAAGTATATCCAAGTGTCTTTAGAATAAGGATAAGGACAAAGACCAATCCTAACTGCTTCCTGCTGACAGGGGGCACTGTTTTGAGGAAAATGACAGTCAGCGCTCCCTCAGAGACCTAAGGGTTCTCAGCAGAAGGGGCCATCATCCAAGACTCCAGTTGCATGACTGTTTGGAGTTTGATGACCTGAAGGCAAGAAGAGACAAACCAGGTCATTAGAAAACATGTATTAAAATGAGAAAAGCAGGGGGTAAGGACAGCTCAAAAATCCCGAGGCCTTTTACCATTTTGCCAACATGTTGGGCTCCTGGGTTCCCTTCCCCTGAGTCCAATCCTAAGCCAACCAGTTTAAGGTTTGGGAAATTAACTTTTCCCAGTTCAGAGGATGCATCCAAGGGGAGTGTCCCATAGTATGGAGACACAATTACCTATCAGTGAAGAGAGGACAGAGGAGGAAAAAAGAAGAAGAAGGTGTTTTTTTTCAAAGGAGATTCAGGATGCATTTGAAAGGGGTACAGAGTGAAGATGAACGGCTACCCATCTAGAAAGAGAGGAGCAGGCATCCCTTGTTGCGGGAAGTCAGGGACCCCGAACAGAGGGACCGGTTGAAGCTGTGGCAGAAGAACATAAATTGTGAAGATTTCATGGACATTTATCAGTTCCCAAAATTAATACTTTTATAATTTCTTATGCCTGTGTTTACTGCAGTCTCTGAACATAAATTGTGAAGATTTCATGGACATTTATCACTTCCCCAAACAATACTCTTATAATTTTTTATGCCGTCTTTACTTTAATCTCTTAATCCCATCATCTTCGTAAACTGAGGATGTATGTCACCTCAGGACCCTGTGACGATTGAGTTAACTGTACAAATTGTTTGTAAAACATGTGTGTTTGAGCAATATGAAATCAGTGCACCCTGAAAAAGAACAGAATAACAGCGATTTTTCAGGGAACAAGGAAAAATAACCATAAGATCTGACTGCCTGCAGGGTCGGGCAGAATAGAGCCATATTTTTCTTCTCACACAGAGCCTATAGACGGACGTGTGAGTAGGAGAAATATCGCTAAATTCTTTTCCCAGCAAGGAATATTAATAATTGATAACCCTGGGGGAAGGAATGCATTCCCAGGGGTAGGTCTATAAACGACCGCTCTGGGAATGTCTGTCTTATGTGGTTGAGATAAGGGATGAAATATGCCCTGGTCTCCTGCAGTGCCCTCAGGCTTACTAGGATTGGGAAATTTCAGCCTGGTGAATTCTAGTCAGACAGGTTGTCTGCTCTCAAACCCTGTTTCCTGTTAAGATGTTTATCAAGACAATACGTGCCCAGCGGGACATGGACCCTCATCAGTAATTCTAATTTCGCCCTTGCTTTGTGATCTTGCTCTGCTCTTTTGCCTTGTGATCTTTTATTGCCCTTTGAAGCATGTGATCTCTGTGACCCACTCCCTATTCGTACACCCCTCCCCTTTTGAAATCCCTAATAAAAACTTGCTGGTTTTGTGGCTTGAGGTTGCCACCACAGTCCTACCAATATGTGGTGGCACCCCCGGAGGCCCAGCTGTAAAATTTCTCTCTTTCTCTTTATTTCTCAGACCAGCCGACTCTTAGGGAAAATAGAAAATAACCTATGTTGAAATACTGGGGGCTTGTTCCCCCGATAATCCCTGGTTCCTTTCTCTTCCAAGCAGATACCCAAGGTACGTGAGGGACAGTAGGAAGAACATCCTCTTTCTTTCTCTGTCCTTGCAGCCCCAAGTCCCAGCGACCTTGGCAGGTGCCATGATGAGTGCCAAACGGCTTGTACCCATGAAGCAGGGAGGGCCTAGAGAATAGAAATTATCTGCTCTCACCTATGTCTCTTTCCCCCTGCTGTCAGTAGCCTTGGCATTCCCTAGACCTCATTTTTGCCAGTGATACTAGCATGACCTTTATCCATGAAACAGGAGGCTTGTCTTAATCAGCAGGAATCAACCATGCTCACTTGTGCTCTGCCTTTTAACTTCCATTATCATCTGCCTCTGGATCCCTTAGATCCAGTTTTCTTTCCTAGGGATCCAAAGCTTAGAATTGACAAAATTCTTTGGGACAAAACTGTGTCTTGGTGGGGTTGTGGGATGGTGCATGGACTCCTTATCAATAAGCCGAATGCTAAGGTGAAACTGTGGAACTGAGCCCTCCTCCAACAAGGGAGAGAAAAGGATGTCTTGTGATACATTCAGATGACTGGTAGCTAGTTATGCTTGCTAAGATTTGGGTGCATGGTGCTTGGCTTTGGTTAGCTCCCTTAGTCTTACTTTCCCAAAAGGAATCCTCTGAGTGATGGATGTCCTATTTATTCCCAACACCTGGCAGGATTTGCAGGATAATTGCTCAGAACTAGAATATTGATCCAGACTTCTACATTACCCATCCCTTTTGTTCTTTCTGAGCTGCAGCAGGAGATTGCTGGTTGGTTCACAGCAACAAGCAGGGTGTCTAAAATGTAGGCAAAAACCTAAAAACAACTAATGAGCTTATAATTTAATGACAAATGTATGAGTTTTGAAACATAATTTCTCTCCGGTCCTCATTTTTGTTAAAAAAAATCATGATAGGACTGAGTTGTTTGCAATAGATTTTAATCTTATACTTGGCCTGATTACTTGCATAAAGTGCAACAAGAATAATTATTTCTACACAGGCCTTTTGGATTGGCTTTGATGGAACTCTATTCTGTAAGGAATCTCAGATAAGACCTTTTAAATTCAAGCCCAGCCAGGGGTTTGTATCCTCAAACACCTGTTAGTTGGGTGATCCTCTCCTCTTAAGGTCCCAAGATTAACTTGGAGCTCCTAGGCCTGTTAGAAAGTGACATTCTTTATTGACCACAGGTCAGGAGCCCTGTAGAGAGACTATGTAGATGATGGTATGAGGCCAGTTTTTTCCCCAAGGGGCTGTTATCAGCTCTGCAAGTCAGGCTTGATTCCTTAAAGTGAAGCATACACTTCCAGTCAAAGCCTTGGTAAAACAACCAGTTTCTCCAATTGCATCCCGTTGCAAAAGAAAAATGGATTCTTATTGCACTGATCCAAACAACTATATTGCTATGAATTAAGAATACTCACAGATGGTTTCCAAATTCTAGAAGAACCAGGAAGAGAGAAACAAACATGCTCCAAATTTTGTTCACAGGAGTATACCTTACTCAATTATTAATGGCCATAAATAGTTCAAAGTAAGTTTCCTCAACTCTGAAAAACAAAACAAAGTTCAGCAACATTTCAAGCCAAAGTAAAAAAGATTTGCTTCAGTTTCCTGAGTTCAGTCCATTTAGTTATTGATTTGTTTGATATTCATGAACATTTTAGCTCTTCATGAGTCCTGTACATTTTTCATTTATTCCAATGTCACAGTCTCCAAAGTTATCAAAAACCTGTGTTTGAGGTCACCTACCTATAGTTCTATAGCTTTTTATAAACTGTCTTTTGAAAAAGATTAGAACAAGACAACAATTGTCTACGAATAACAAAATGTCCAGGGTAGTTACAGTTAGAAACATGATTGACAAAGAAGTTTGGTTATCTCCACGGTTTACAATAACTTAACATAACCTTAATTATGATTGATAGCATATACTTAGACATTAGAATTTTAGGAATCCCATATGGTTTTGGAACATATATTAGTATTATTCACCAAAATATACCTAAAGAAGATTGAACATCATTTTGTCGATCCCATGTACCTAAACATGTAAAATAATCCTGTTTACCTCTCTTTTCTGAACACTCCAGAGGCCCTCTGATATATCCAAAAAGCCAGGTGTCAGGAAAGAAAATTTTGAAACTAAAGTTTGATTTTAAGAAGCCTGTTAAATATGTTAGCAGTTTAAAACACCTGATGTTATAAAATAGAATTCTAGATGACCATAATTGTTTATTTTGCCAAAATGATGACTCAGAAATTTTAAAGAAGCAAAAGCCTTTTATAACCCTTTACAAATTTTGCCAAAGGGCAAATCAGTGCCCCAAGAATACTCTGTTGTGCTTTCATTCAAAAACTACACAATATACCCCCCTGAACCTAGTCAATATGTTCACACAGAGAATCTCTTTCACAAGATTAATTCCCACAATCCTTCCACCACTTTTTTGAACCCGCAGCTTTATCCTAATTTAGAATAATTCTTTAACCCTAGGCAAGAATTTACATTTTCATGCCTTTTTGTAATCTTTTATTAAAAACACATTTTACTGTTCTTAAATACCTTGCATGTGAATCTATTTTCAGTAGTTTCAATTACATGTTATAATGGTAACCTCTAGCAATTTTAACTTTAATGTAAAACCTGGCAAGTTGTTTTAATTTTGTGCCAGGTGCAGCCAAGGTTTGACTCCTTCCAGCATAATTAAGAGCATGGTTAGTTCCATATGTCCCCAGGCCTTACCACCAAAAAGCAGTTTATAACCTCAAAACACTTAGCAAAGCTTGCATCTGACCTGCGTAATTTAGTCCACCTATTTATATTTTGATGACATCTGCTTTTTACCAGTAATCTTTAAGGTTGTTTTTATTTCTCAAATATTAAAGTCATGTGAACTGAAAGGTATCACAGCTTTTACCTTCCCTTTAAAAAATATTTGATTCAAGTGCTTGTCTTCCTTTAGGCCAATTAATTAGAGCTCCTTTTCTAGACATCACACACAACACATATATAGCTACACAGGCAGAAGAAAACACAGTCACCAGGTGGAGTCCTTTAAGAGACATGGCTAGAAAAACATGCAGATATCAAACCAGAAAGGACTAATTCCCCAAGGCAGGATTGCTAAACAAAGCCTTGCTGCTGGGTTACAGGCCATGCCCCCAAGTTGTAAAACAAGATGGAGGCCTGAAGCAAAGTTTTCTACGAACCATACAGACACTCAAAGCACACCAGTTGGCTACAGCTTAAGACCAGCCTCACAAATCCTTTTTCACAATTAAAACTTTACAGAGAATATAAAGAGTGATCCTTATCATTCTTAGCTTAGAAAAACGTCTTCTAAGAGGAAAAAAACCTTTCTTAAAAGTCAGCTCTTGACCTGGTGGAGAAAAGGAAGGAAAAAAAAAAACACTTTAAAAATGCCTAGGGGAGAACCTCTTATTCTTATGCAACTGGGTTCCTCTTCCGGAGGGAGAAACTTAATTGCTGTCAGATGAGAGTTGAACTCCTTCGCAGGGGAAGATGAAGACACTGTTAATGTGTGGCATTCCCCAGCCCCAACTGGGAAGGGAGGGGGAGTGAGGAGCCACTGTTCACCTGTCCATCCAGAAAAAGGAAGGAAAAGGCCATGGAAAGACCCCTGACCCTGGGAGTAATGGGGGTGAGGGCCTGGTTTCCCCTACCCTCAGAAGTCCAGAGATGAAAACACTTAGAAGTGAAAGGGAGAGATTTCTTGGTTTGCATCTCAGTCACCCTTTCTTAAGCCCCATGTTGGGTGTCAATGCTGTTGTAGGACTTTCTCCTTAGTTCAGCTAAAAACAAGGTCCTTGTCACACGACCATGAGAGATTAGGCTCACAGACACTTTGAAGGTTGAGAAAAATGGAATTTATTGGGTGAAGAGGAAATAAAGGGAAAGAGGAACTCTCAGCAAAGCAAGAGTCCTGCTAGCCAGTTTCCTGCCTCACAGATTCAATGGCAGGTTCCACTCCAGAACAGGAGAGGCCAAGCTCCTCTCCACTGCAAAGGGCACAAACTTTTGTAGCTCCAACCTGTTCTCTCAGTGCACAGGCTGGTCATAGTTTCTCTAGGGACCCCTTTATACTTGGCTGTCCCAGTGGTATGACTAATGGATTGTAGGATATGGTGGGATGAAAGAATTGTTAAGAGTTAGGGTGGGAAGGGGGTATGAGCTAGTAAAACAGGAGGTGGTAGTCAGAACCAGATGCTTAAAATTCGTATTAAGAAAGAATTATGGATTTTGGTAATGATAAAAACTAGGATTTCATCACGGGAGTAAGTGGCCAATACAGTCTGGAGAACAAGATCATTAGAGAAAGCAAGGAACTGAGAAACTAGAAAAACTAATGTAAGATAGATATTGAAATCATCAAGAATTATAACAGAAGCAGCAATGGAATAAGTGACCCCAAGAATAAGGGTGAGAGAAAACAGGGGATCATTTGCAATAAGGAGAGACAGCAGGTGGTATAGTTTGTTGATACAAGATTCAAAGAGAAATTTAAGCAAAAGTGGAGAGTAGTCTTATAGTGGCATTGAAGATTAAGGACAACAACTAGCCTATCTTCAGGCCCATTGGTGTGAGGGGTATAGGAAAAAAAAGTGACCTCCTGAGAAGGATTCAGGGAAGTAGTTTCAAATAGAACAGAGGCAAAGCGAAGGCTGAAAGAAATGAAAGATTCCAGGGAATTTTACTAATGACTGGATTAGAGTTCCAGAGGGCACAGAAGTGTTTTAGGAGTTGGGGATGGAATATGGATCCAGAAAAAAGAATGTTACAAGTCATATGAGGCTTCTTGTGGTTATAAAATTAACAAGAATCTAAGACATGAAATTCACCTTAATGGTTTTGAGGCACAAAGTTGGCAAGACTTCATACTGGGCAGTAGAAAGGGGTGGCAACATCTTTGCAGGAGCTCTGCAGAGCTTTGGTTTGCCCTACTGACCCTCATGATGACAAAACTGAGGGGTGGTCTTTCTCAGAGTATACTGGACTCAAAACTCCCTACTGACCTTTCAAATGGTGGTGATGATGGAGAGAGGCTGGAGATGATGGAAGTCTTACACCAAGCATAATGAGCTCCTTTCTTGACCCCTGCTGATAGATGTACAGAAACCAAGGATCAGAACCCTGAGCATCTGAAAACTGATGGCTTATGTTTAGTGTGTACTATGCCATGTATATGACAGTTATTAGCACTCTTGATCCTCAAAGCAACCCTTTGAAATAGGTGCTCTTATCTTCATTTACAGGTGAGAAATCTCATGTTTAATGAGACTGTGATTTGTCCAATGCCGTACCCAGTAAGAGGTGGATAGCAAATATGAAAACAGGCAGTCTGACTTTAAAGCACTTGCTTTTGAGACAGGGTCTCACTCTGTTGCCTAGGCTGGAGTGCAGTGGTACAATCATAGCTCACTGCAACCTGAAACTCCTGGGCTCAAGTGGTCCTCCTGCTTCAGCCTCCTGAGTAGCTAGGACTACAGGCATGGACCACCATGCTCAGCTTATTTTTATTTATTTATTTATCTATTTACAGAGTCTCGCTCTGTCGTCCACCATGCCCAGCTTTTATTTATTTATTTAGAGACAGAGTCTCACTCTGTTGTCCAGGCTGGAGTGCAGTGGCACGATCTCGGCTCACTGCAACCTCCACCTCCTGGGTTCAAGCAATTCTCCTGCCTCAGCCTCCCGAGTAGCTGGGATTACAGGTGCATGCCACCATACCTGGCTAATTTTTGTATTTTTTTAGTAGAGATGGAGTTTCACCATGTTGGCCAGGCTGGTCTTGAACTCCTCCTGACCTTGTGATCCACCCACCTCAGCCTCCCAAATGCTGGCATTACAGGCATGAGCCACCACGCCTGGCCATGCCCAGCTTATTTTAAAAAAACTTTTTGTGGAGATGGGGTCTTGATATGTTGTCTAGGCTAGTCTTGAACTCCCGGCCTCAAGTGATCCTCCCATCTTGGCCTCCCAACGTGCTGGGATTACAAGTATGAGCCACTGTGCCCAGTCAGCACCTGCTCTTAAACTGTGTAATATACCATTTCCCTGGGGAGCTGGCTATTTTAAACTATCCTGGAATTAAAACTTGCTCTTTATTCACTTTTTAAAAAATCATCAATACTTATGTTTGCTCAAAAGTCCTTACAAGTGTTATAAGGCATTTGTTTGGGTTTTAGTATTTGGTGATCTGTCAAAAAATATGAAGCAGATTTGGTAGCCCAGGCTATATGACTTCAAAATAGCAGTAATAAACTCTGTTGTAAGCAAGTATTTGAAAGATCCTTTTTTTTTGAGATGGAGTTTTGTTCTTGTCGCCCAGGCTGGAGTGCAGTGGTGCGATCTCAGCTCACTGCAACCTCTGCCTCCTGGGTTCAAGGGATTCTCCCACCTCAGCCTCCCCAGTAGCTGGAATTACAGGTGTGCACCACCACACTTGGCTAATTTTTCTATTTTTAGTACAGACGGGGTTTCACCATGTTTGCAAGGCTGGTCTCGAACTCCTGACCTCAAATGATCCACCTGCCTCGGCCTCCCAAAATGCTGGGATTATAGGCGTGAGCCACCATACCCAGCCTGAAATATTAATTTTTAAAGTAATAGATTAAGTGGAGTGTAATGCGGAGGTTATTGCTCCAACAGGATATTTTAAAGAATGTGTTAACTATAAATACTCGTGGGTTGGGATAAAATTTCAGTGACAACATCAACACATTACTCAAAAAAGCTCTTCCTGCTCACTTGGGCAGCTCATCCACTAAAACTGGGATGATTCAGAGAAAGTAAGTATGGACCTTGCACAAGGACAATATTCAAAGTCAGGAAGTAGTCTATTTTTTTTAGACACTAAATAGACAATACAACCAAATGAACCTTGAATGGACCCTGGACCAAAATAAACAAATGAGGGTAACTGAAGAAATTTGACTATATACTGTGTATTAGATATTATGGAGTTATTAATTTTCTTACATATTATACGGGTATTATGGTCACATAAGTGAATGTCCTTACTTTAGGAAAAAATATGCTACAGTATTTAGGGGGAAAGGGTCATAATGTCCCAACTTGCTTACAAATGGCTCACCAAAAGATGTTTCTTTATATATATACACATAACACACATACATATCTTTATACATACATATATACATATAATACACATATACATATAAAACACATACACATGAAGAAAACTAAAAAGATTAGCAACTGGTGAATCTGGGCAAAGGCACATGGTGTTCAACTTATCTACAGATTTGAAATTTTTTAAATCAATCAGTTGAAGAAAAGCAGTACTTCTAAGTTGTCCTGTTGTGTGATTTTGAATAGACTTATCCAATTACATTAACCAATATAAGTTTATATCTATCTCATGTTCATGCGTACAAGTTTGTATATTCAAACTGAGGACACATCTAAAAATGGAAAAATAAGCAGCAAGGTAAGGGAAGCACAATAACTGCAGACGGAATAAAAAATGTTTGCCACTGGGAAGCAAGAAATCTTTGGTAGAGAAAGATGGGTGGTACTGGTAGTGTGTGTGTGTGTGTGTGTGTGCGTTGTGTGTGAGTGAAATGGTACAGAATAGAGAACTGTTTTCTGTTCTTACTTTATAAGCCTTATAAAACTAATTTATCAAATTATATGTATGCATAACTTTTTTTTTTTGAGACAGTCTCACTCTGCCACCCAGGCTGGAGTGCAGTGGTGCAATCTCAGCTCACTGCAACCTGTCTGCCTCCCAGGTTCAAGCAATTCTCCTGCCTCAGCCTCCTGAGTAGCTGGGACTACAGGCATGTGCTACCATGCCCGGCTACTTTTTTTTAATTTTTATTAGAGACGGGTTTTCACCATGTTGGTCAGGCTGGTCTCGAACTCCTCAAATGATCCCCTGCCTCGGCCTCCCAAAGTGTTAGGATTATAGGCGTGAGCCACAACTTTAATGTTTTTAAAAATTCAATTAAAAGAATTGTTTTACTTTGCATCCTTGTTCTTACCAATTCCCTAGTTTCCTTTTATTTCATACTGTTTTAATGCTTTACTTAACATTAGAAGAAATAAAATGAGGTTGATCATCAGGGAACACTAAAAATCCCATTGGATAAATATCTATATAGTTTTTGCTTCTTAATAGGCATAAATCTATTATTTTCACTTAAGTTTTTTTTCTCATGTAGTTATGTGAGAGAGGAAAAAATAAACCTCATGTTACAAAATGTTATGCTGTATTTAGATATGAAAAACTGAAATTCTGATAGCATAGGGAGCAAAATGTTTATGTAAAAGTACCATCATTTTGTAGTTGGCTGAAATGTGATCAATATTGAATGGAATGCTGCTATATTTAACTTTAAAAGTGGCAAAAACTTAAATCTCTGTTCAAAGATTAATAATTTCTGAGTTCTCTTTTAAAAGACAGAAGAGCCAGTAATTAATAAAGACAAGTGTTCAGATTTATTTGGAAATTCACAGTTTCTAATGGCACTACAGCTCCGTAGTTACATATTGAAAATTCTCTTCCCACAACACACAGATCACATAATTTCTCACTGTATCTCTGCTCTCATCTGGACCTCTTTTCAAGGGGCTTCTATAAAATCAGGCCCTCTTGCTCTGAATAGCTAATTGTGCAGACAGGAAAGAAATTTAAATCTTCTAAAACACGCTGTTAACCTAAAGCAGCAACTTAAACAAACAAAAAAGGCGTTAAATAAGTCACATTACAAACAATACCCAAGAAAGGTATTAGGCAAGTTTAAAAACAGTTATCACTACTAAAAGTGCTCAATAAGTTATAACTTAAACATCACAACAATAAATGGTCAATTCTCTCCCTTTCAAAAAGAAACATGTTCCACTTTCATTCATTACTGTACAATCATACTAAGAAATCATTTTATTCAAATACAGTTGCTGCCAATTATTTTTTAAAGACAAAAAAAAAGACAGAGACATCGACATCACATATGTATTACCTCTGCACATTTGTAGCCAATACAAAGCAAACATCAAGGAATAATAATCTCTTTAGACTTAACCAATTAGATTAAGCTTGACAAACTCACTAACTGGATCTGTGCATATGTATGCAGGCAGTGATTATATCATGAGACTTGTACTAATTGGCCAAACCTTCAAATTTTATATTCATACTAATAAAAACAGTGAAAGTTTGGAGGATTAGTGTTTATTGTGTATGTTTAAAATGTAAGCTAAAGAAAACCTTCACAAATGGTTAAGTGTGTTTAAAAGGTGAATTTGTCAAAAATTTGTCTGCATATATCAGTTGTTTGCAAAAAAAGATCCTGTAGGGATTTTTCCTCATTGAGTTAGTAACTAAGTAAGAAGTAATCCAGTCTGAATAAGTGAAAATAACAAGAGCATCACCATCTACCTAACAGAACAGACTTAAAAATTCCATTAAGTGTTCATTTCCAGTGAGTTTGCTAAACAAAGATCCAGTTGGCAAGTTTTTAGGATCTTTAGACTGTCTGATCCACACTCCTGAGCTTCAGGCACAGACCCCCTCAAAGCATTGTAGTGTTTGCAGCTTCAAAAACCTAACAAAGTTATAAAAGAAATCAAATAACAGAAAAAGTTATCCCTCCTCTTCCAGTGGCATTATAAATAGACAAAAGGCACATAAATATGGGAAGGTGCAAGAAATAGGAACAAAGCTAAAGGAAGAGGTTTAGGCTTTCATTCCTATCCCACCTAAGGAACTGGGCTTCCAAATTACTTTTGTCCCAGTAATTAATCTTGTGAAAAAACATCTTTATAAAATGTCTACCATTGTCCTTATAGGAAGTGATCAGCTTTGTAAAACTGTAGCTCATTAACCAAGATTGACACAATCCCATCTACTTTTTAAAAAGGTAGAAACCATAATTTCTGAATGCCTTTCCCATTAATATTTTCTCCCTCCCCCAAACCCTTCAAATACTACAGACTGTTCTTCAAAGAACAACAACAAAAAAGTCTTCTGTATGAAAAGTTCAATTAATTTTAGATATGTCCCGAGACTGCTGTAACACCAAATGTTCCCACGGTGATCTCTTTGTTTCCTTTGATTATGTCATGCAGGCTCGGCAATGATCCCGACTTAGTCTGTATTAGAGTTTTTATCAATTTTCCTTGGTCTTGGACTTTAGATCGTCTTCGTTTTAAAGCCCTCTTCTCAGTTTTTGTCTTTTGAGACTGTCCATTGCACAGACTTGTGCAAGCTGAAATGCCACAAAAATAGGACTCTTCTGACTGTGATGAAGTTTCTGAGCTTCCTTCAGATGGAGGACCTTTATAAGAAGAGTGATAAACTTCTCCCATATTAGAAAAATCTCTCTGGTTCGTAAAGGGCTTTCTTCCTTTTATGTCGCCATTGGCTATGGGGTGCAATGGTTCTTCAGGCTTTATGGTCTCAATTTTTTCAATTTTGTACTTGCAGCGCTTCTTCTACAACACAAGTAAAAGAAAAGTTAGTAATGATACTTCCCATAGTAACCTTATCAAACACCTAGAGAGCTGAGCTAATAGAGAAGTGCCACCTCCTGGTGAAAAGTAAAACAGTATTATAAACAGCACAGAACACATACATTGTTATGTTCTATATAGATACTAGCATCATCTTCCCATTTTGTAAATACTACTGAATCAAAACTCTTTAAATTGCTTACCTGCTACCTATGAATATAGGTTTAGGGAGTGATACTAATATCTGAATACCTACTAACTGCCAGAGAGCATACAGGTTGCTTTCATGTATTATGGCAGCTATTAACCCTGAAAGGTCGGTATTTTATCCTTGATTCTTAAATGAGAAAAGCAAGGTTCAGATGTTTGGTTCTTTGCCCAAGTTACAATGTAGTAAGCAGCCGGGTTGAGAATGAATCTTAGGCTATTTGCCTACAAAGCCCAAGTTCTTTCACCTAGATGAAATTACAACTAAAATTAGTATAACTTAATTTGAAAGGCAAAATGAAAAAGCAAAGACTTTGAAGCCAAAAAATCCTAAGTACATTCTGAGTTGCTGTTTTTTTATTAAAAAAAAAAATGAGGATAACATCATCTTCAGGTTGTGGTGAGGATTAGAGGAACGGTGCATGCTCTGTGCTTGGCATGCATTCGGTAATAAATAATGACAATCATCCAAGGATCAACAAATTTTTTTTGTGAAGGGTCAGACAGTAAATATTTTAGGCTTTGCAGGTCACACATTTTCTCTCTTGCATGCTGTTCTGTTTTATCACTCTTTAAAAATGAGAAAACCTATCTGGCTCATGGCCCATATGGCCTGTGGGTCACAGCTTGCTGACCCCTGTTAATATTTATTTACAACATTATCATGATAGAAAATAAACATTCAGTTAAGGACTACTTAAAGGTAATTACCTTAAACCTTTCAACCTCTTTTCTTCATTTATTATCACAAAACATAGCAATAAACTTAAAAAGAAATAAACAATTACCTTCTTTTCTGGAGAAAACTTGAGGGGTTCTACAATGTACAAATCATTTGGGTCTACTGTAAGTAAAAAAAAAAAAAAGCAGATGTAAAATGTAAAGTGGATTTGGTGGATTTGCTATAATTAAACACTAAAATAAGACAAATCATTCATTCCTTATTATCCTCTAGTAATAGAACCAATGAATTTGTATCAGGTTAACTATATATTTATGCATTTTAAATTAGTAAGCAAAAAGAGGCAAGGTGGAAGATGATATGATTCCTATGCTTGACTGGTCGTCTTCAAATAACTATACTTCCTTAAGTTGTTAACTAGTAGCTGGTTATCAACCAATACAATAACGATCTTTCTTTGGGCCCAGCCTCACTCTTTTACCTGATAAGAAAAGAAACATTCCTGGGTAAGCTCACACCAAACCTACAGATCATTTGAATACTTCCCTAAAAGACTAGCCTCTAAACTGTGTCACAAAGGTAGATTAACAATGTGCAACAAGTAGTCGTGACCGTGTTTGGAAGCCAGTTAGAGAAATAAACACAAAAAGAGATCCAAGATATTTTTCTCTGTTTATTACTATGATCAAAACTATGAAATCCCAATCTAAAAACAGCTTGAACATGCAATATATATCACTAAGCAATAATGAATGAACACTTCTGGCATAGTGAGTAAATTAGATTTATTAGTTTTAGCCCAAAGTTTCTAAGGTTTCATTACTCTAAGCAGCTTCAAGATATATCCCAACCCCACCCCCACACTGACAAAATAGACACACATTTTTAAAAGGCTATGAGACTTTAGTCCTATTCAATCCACTAAAAATAAACAATTTAAGGTCTGACAGAGACAAAAGCTTACACATAGTAAATTCACTACAGAAGCTCTACACATTTGGGAAATTTATTAATACAATTCAACCAATTATAATTTTTTACATTATATTTCAGAGATTTATTGAGAAAGTCATCAAATATATGAAAATATCAAAACATCCCTCTAAACAGTCATTTCTACCAGATTACTAATCTTAATTTACTTTCTTTAATAATGATGTCTATTTCTAGAAACAGTTATGTTATTCAGATCAACCTCTACAATGAAAGCAACTAAGTAATGATAGTTTGTTTTTTTTAAAAAAAATCACTAAAAGCATTGAAAAGCTGCCAAGAAAGTAATCCCTAGGCTAAAACTGAAAGAAAAGTGGGAACCCGGACAGTCAAGTAGAAGACAAAAGTCATTTTTGCCCTGAAAACATTTGCCAACACAAGAATATATGAACTTTGGTTCTGATGGTATCATAAGGGAATGGATCAGAAATCAGGTCCTAGGGCCCACCCAAAGTTTAGTGTAATAAGATACCATCTCCCTGTGTACAGTAAACTGAGACTCCAAAGGACTATATTCTCAGGTAAAGAATGAAGCCATGCATGAACTTGCAGTCCAAATTATCATCACCTGGTGGCCCAACAAACCACAAGTCATGAATGTAAGGTATTACATGAATGTAACACACACACAAATTCCCTCTCAAATAAGAACCTATATTCTAGGCCTCAAATTATCCCTACAAATAACTTTTCAAAGAGAAAAAGTAGCACACAAAGACACAACATACCCTGAGTAAGAGCTTACAAAGACAATGAACAGACTCACAAAAATTTAAGATATTAGATTTATCAAACACAAACTATAAAGATAATTATGCTTAATATGTCTAGAAAATAAGCTTGAAAATATCTGCAGGAAACATATAACAAGGAAAATACAGACCTGGATTTTTAAAAAATACAAAAAGAACTCCTGGAAATGGAAAAAATAACTGAAATTGAAAACCCAATGAATAAATTTGCAACAGTAAGACTGCTGGCCTGGAAACACATCAGAAGATATCATCCAAAATACAGCATAAAAAGTCAAAAAGGTGGAATGTTTACAAGACAGGGAAGATATACGGAGAAGTAATATGTTTAATTAAATATGAGAATCTAAAAGAGACTGGGGCACAGGGAATATCTGGGAGGAAAAAATAATGGTTGAGAATTTCTCAATAACAAGTAAAAGAAACCTACAAATCCAGAGCTCCAAAGAGCCTCACGAATCTCAAAATGATAAAGAAAAAGAAGAGGAGAATATTTCAGTTTTAACTAATGACAAATGAAAGCTCTGAAGAATAAAAACATTAGTAAACGTGGGGTAAATTTAAATGAACATTAAGTGTAAAAAGAAATACCTTGTTGAGTTAAAATTAAGCAGAAAGAATAGAATTAAAATATACAAGAACAGTAACATAAATAAGGCTTGGGACAAATAAGAGTTTTAAGATCTATGTATTGTTAAGGAGAAGATACAAGTATTGATGAACTTGAGACTTTGGCAAACATTAATACTTCTGACTTCTAGGGTAACTAGTAAAAGAACAGAACCAGTACACAACTTCCAACATAATGGCAGTAAAAGGGAATATTTACTTCCTCCCCAATAAAAAATCTTAATGAAAGCATGGAAGGGGAAAAAAAAAAAAAATTAAAAGGGATACCCCTGCCCATCTAATTTTTATAAACCTTACATACCAAAATCCAACATGAGAAAATATTACATGCCAATCTTATTCATATAGATGCAAAATTTCTAAATAATTATCTAACAAAATTATGTAGAAATAATATATACAATACAAAATTCACACACGTATATCATGAGCAACTGGTATTAAAAATGCAATATAAGTTTAACATTAGAAAATCTAATATAATTCATGTTTGTAACATTAAAAATGGAAATAAAATATAATATAAAAAAATTTATAGAATACCTATGACAATAGGTAACACATAATGACAAAATACAGAATAAAAAATCCACAAAACATCTATGACAAATACAATCTTAGCAATAAAACACTGTAAGCTTTCCCTTTGGAACAAGACAAAGATGCCTGTCAATCACTTTTATTTAACATTGCTGAAAATGCAAGCTAACACAGTTAAGAAAGCAAAGGAAATAAAAGCTATAAGGACTGCAAAGGAAAAAACAAAACTGTCTTTGTTCTCAGTATACGTACCTGTATTCACTGAAAATCCAAAATAATCTGCAAGTGAACTAGTAAAACGACACTGCTTATATAGAAAGTTCACCCTAAAATTCACATAAAATCTCAAGTGACCTCAAATAAGGAAAATAATTTTAAAAAGAATGAAGTTAGATAACTCACACTTCCAGATTTCAAAACACATTACAAAGGTATAGTAATCAAAGTGGTAGAGTACTGGCATAAACACAGACAAATACACCAATGGCACAAAATAAAGAACACAGAGATAAGCCCTCATGTACGTGGTCAACTCATTTTTAAGAAGGGTGCAAAGACCACTCAATGGGAAAAGGACAGTCTCTTCAACAAATGGTGCTGGAAAAACTGAATATTCACATTCCAAAGAATGAAACTGGACCCTTATCTTATACTATATACAAAAATCAACACAAAATAGATTAAAGACATAAATCTATAAAAGTCTTGGAAGAAAACAGGGGAAAAGCTTCATGACCTTGAACTTGATAATGATTTCTTGGATATGACCCAAAAGTACAGGCAACAAAAACACAATAGACAAATGGGACTTCGTTGAACTTAAAAACTGTACATCCAAGGACACAATCAAAACAGTGAAAAAGCAACCTAAAGGATGAAAGAAAATATTTGCAAATCATATTATCTAATGGGGGTTATAATCCATAACGGAGGTTATAAAGAATTCCCTGAACTTAAAAACAAAAAACTCAAACAATCCAACTAAAAAATGAGCAAAGAGATATCTGTATACCCCTGAACAGCACTACTCAAACAACAGCCAAGAGGGGAAGCAATCCAAATGTCCACTTACAGATGAATGGATAAAGGAAATGAGGTACATAAATAAAATGGATGGAATATTATTTCACCCTTTAATAGGAAAAAATTCTGTCACATGCTATAATGTAGATGAACCTTGAGGACATTATGTTGAGTGAAATAAGCCAATCACAGAAAGACAAATACTGTATGAATCCACTTATATGGGGTATCTGAAGTAGTTGAATTCATAGAAACAGAAAATAGAATAGTGGTTGCCAGGGACTGAGAGAGGGAGAAAAGGGGAATTGGTTAATGGACACAGAGTTCAGGTTTGCAAGACGAAAACATTCGGAAGATCTGTTTCACAACAATGTAACTATACTTACTACTAATGAACTGTGCACTTAAAAACTGTTAAAATGATAAATTTTATGTGCTTTTTATCACAATAAGAAAAAGACATGGTCTCTCCCACAGAGCTTAGAAGTGAAAATAAGGCAAGTAAAAATAGGTAAAATCAAAGCATACTATGATAAATGCCATAACAACAAGAACTTATCAAACAACAGAAGAAATAAATGAATTAACTATTGGTAGAATCAGGACTAAAGTCAGTCTCCTACCTACTCTACTCAACTTTCTTTACTGGTAAAGATACACCAAGATGACACTGTTGTTTAAAATAGAAGTAATTCTATTATCAGGTGCAAAAAGCTACTCTGTTTGGCCCTAAAAAATTGGATAAAGAGAAGAGAAATAGTAAGATAGTCACGATTTCACTTAAGACTAGAAATGCTGAGAAGCAAAAATCTAACGTATTTCCTAATTGCATGGGTATACCTCAAATAAGGAATGTTTAGAATATGAAGTAACTGTAACTCTCATACGCAGCTGATAGAAGGGCAAATTCATAAAACAGTGTGGAAAATTGTATGACAGTATTTACTAAAGCTGAACACACACATACCCTATGATTCACCAATCCCATTTCCAGTGTATACCCAACAGAAATGCACAGGTGTTTACCAAAAGTATGTAACAACCTCAAAATGAAAATAATCTAAATGTAAATGAATAATGTACAGTATACCTATATAATGGAATACTATAAGGAACGAAAATAAACAAATGCCTATAGTCAATGGCATGGTGAATCTCACAATGGTTACACATCAAAATACTGGCTACTCTGGGAAAGGATGGGCAGTGACTAAAAGAGCACAAGGAAGTTTTTGAGGTGCTCATGTTCTACTTCTTAATTTAGGTGTTATTTGCACAGCTGTATTGTTTGTGAAAATTCATTACGTTTTACACATAATTATACTTAAATTAAAAATTTCACTTATAAAAAGACATATCAACCAAAAGAAAAAGAAAAAAGCAAGGAGGAAGAAGAGATTTACTAGCTTTAAGTAAACACATGTAATGGGTTAAGTCTGTAAAGCTTTGTGATAATAATAAAACAGTGAAGCCCAGGAATGATTACTTGAATAATTTAATCAATTGAAACATGCTACTCAGTTACTAAATCCTACAACCATCGATTATTAAGAAAGCACTCCTAAATAAAATATGTAATTAATTTAGTTATTTTAATATTAGTATGAAAACAAATTTCTAATTCTATTAATATGCATTAATTACAAGATACTGAAATAGGAAAATATCCACTCAGTACACATCCATTCATTTAAATGTAAGTATTTATTTAGTGTTAGACAATGGAACCTAATTATAGGTTCTGGAGCTAAAAAAAAGAGACCAGATTTTTGTTCAGAAAGTGCCTCATAGTCCTAAACTAGAGACAAAAGGGGTCCTACCTGTATAAGAAGAGGAGGCAGAAAAGCACAGGATGCTATGGGAGCACATTCAGGTTTTCCATATCTGTTGAACTTTCTCAAACATCCCTTTCTAAAAAGAAATACTTCTAAACAGGAGCATGTGCAAACAAAGCTACCAACTGCTAATTAAACTAAGCCCCCCTCCCTACCCTCTGGGCTTTTAGGAACAAAGACAGATATAAAATGTGAAAATGATAAAGTGGCTTGACACAGCACAAAGACAAAGGCTACTTGTATCCATTTTTTGTTGCAGATGGTCATGAACACAACACTGACATTATATTTATGCCAGAAGCTAGTTTCATGTTTATATATACATATTATATATCCACAGAAATCTACCTTCTTTGCCAGTTAACTGTAGAGACTTGGATCTCATGAGTGGGAATGAAGTTCTTCTTTTCAAATTCATATCATCATAGGAAGAGAAACACCTAACACATTAGGAAAAATACATATTGGTTACAACGAGTAAAGCACATATAATTTACTCTTTTGTTGAGGCTACACAGAGGTTATTGAGAACTGTACATACCACACGGGACTAACTCTAACACTCCAGTTATTGCTAATACAGGTGGAAAAAAAAATTTAGAGATCTTTGTCTAAAAGGTACTGTATTAAAATAGTATTCTCTTCTTCCTTTGAATTCCACATTTAAGCATCTTTCTCAACCAAATATTTCAGGGGTTTCATGCACTTACTATTAGTGTTTTCTCTATTATAGTCTACAGAGCCAGGTTAGGCATAGGACCATCTTACTATCGAATGATGTTTTTAATGTTTTGGTTTCAAGATAATCATATAGGGAAAGAAATTACCTCAGTCTCCCTTTATTTGCTTAAAATTTCTCAAAAATATACAAAGCATAGTAAAAAAAATAAAATTGTGAAATATAATGCTGATATTACCTTTTAGGGCTTGGATACTGATTACTTTTAGGAAGTTTTGAAATATAATCTCCATCAAATTGAGAAGTATTTCGACAACGCTGCATACAAAGCATCAGTCCCAAGACAACACAAAGAACCAAAGATATGACAAGATAGCTTTGTCGATCTGAAACCTGAGATGAGAAGAGGGTTAAATAATAATCATAGGAAATCATATTAGGAAAAATATAAGGGTATCTAAAATTCAAAGGACAAATCATTTTAAGTATTTTTTTAATGTGCTTCAAAGACCAGAAATGCAGGGCATGCTCTTTGAAAATAAACTATGACATTAAAGAAAAAAAATTCTTTGCAGCATTCCAATTCTTTCTATAGGAGTGAAACCTATGGAAGTTTTAGAAATAAAACAAGAAATATATTTACACCTTTATCTATCTCACCAATTGTTAACATTTTGTCACATTTTGTTTGTCTTTCCATTTACACTATCTCCTCCTCAAGGAGAAAAAATAATTGTGCTTTTACCCAGTCTTTCCCATCTTATAAAATGAACTATCAACCACCCAGTTACGTAAGCCCAAAACTTAGAGATCAACCTTAGTTCCTTAAGGCTTATCTTTCTACAACTTACAAATATTCTGAATTCAACAAGTTTACACTGTTCTCCACTTTTAGAATCCTACTCTAAGTCAATACCACCTCATTCAGGCTACTGCAATTACTTTTTTTTTTTTTTTTGAGACAGAGCCTTGCTCTGTTGCCCAGGCTGGAATGCAGTGGTGTGACCTTGGCTTATTGCAACCTCCACCTCCTGGGTTCAACTAATTCTCCTGCCTTGGCCTCCCAAGCTCCCAAGTTGCTGGGATTACAGGCACATGCCACCACACCGGCTAATTTTCTTGTATTCTTAGAAGAGACGGCGTTTCATCATGTTGGCGAGGCTGGTCTCCACCTCCTGACCTCGAGTGATCTGACCACCTGGGCCACCCAAAGCGCTGGGATTACAGGCAAAAGCCATCATGCCTGGCCTGCAATTACCTCTTAATTGGTTTCCTGTCTGCTTCTGCTCCTGCTGTTCCCCAACAGGCAGTTCTCCACAAAGCAACAAATGGAGAGCTTCTCAAAGTGCTAAGCATTAATGACATGACCCATATCACTTCTTAATACTTCTAATGATACAAAGATTCAAATAAAATTCAAACTCTAAATTGTCTACGAAGTCCTACATGACCAGGCCTCTGCCAATATCTTGAACCCATTTCTCAGCTTCACTTTTCTCACTCACTCTGCTCCAGCCATACCAGCTTTCTTTCTGCTGTCAAACACATTACACTGTTTCTACTCTCCAGTCCTTTGCCCTAGTTCTGCTAGAAACAGGTTTGTTATCATTCCAGGCAATGTGTGGCTGCTAACTCCTCTTGAGTACTTAGTTGTAATACCACCTCCTCAGATAAGCCTTCCAAGATCACTCTAACTAAAGCAGCATCCCTTACTGCTACCACCCTACACACACACACACACACACACACACACACACACATTTAATTTTCTTCATAGTACGTATCACTAGGAGAAATTATCATCTATTTATTTATTTACTAAATGTATTCTATCCCTCCCCCAGGACGTAAACCCTGTGAGGCCAGGGACTATTAACTACCGTATACCACAACCTAGGAGTGTACAGCTCGCACTTCACATACACTAGATGCTCAATAAAAAGTTTTTAAATCAATGAAATGTTTGCTTTGTTAAGCAACTTTATAGGCCTTTTTGAATTGAAAATGAAGTACGTGTTGCTACTATCAATGCTTACAAAAGGCCTGCTAGAAGTTTTATACCTATATTATAGGTATGGCCTAAATTATGAAAGCCATATTTTACAAAAGACTATGATAATATATTTTCAAAACTTAAAAATGCCATATTCTGGTTTTTGAAAAAGTTCACTACAAATGACAATTTTGTTTGGTCAAAGTTTTAGGTACCATGTTCATGTTAACAAGCCTGGCTTTATGACAACCTCTATACATGCATTGGGTCTCGCAATACCAGCAATAACAATTACCTCCCGTTTCAATTCTGCTACTGTTGCTGATAAATTTGAAACAAGCTGTGTCATGTTGGTCAGCTGTGCCTGTAGCAACTGGATGGCTTCAGTTTGCCGCTGATCCTATGATAAAGGAATTTATTTTTTTTTGAATATTAACTACAAACTATTAACATTATAAATTGAAGTCAAATAATCTAAAAAAAACCATTAAGTTATTCCAAAACAAATGTATTAATAGGAATCTCAATGAGTAAGTAAACTTTGAACAGAAATTTTAGAAATAAACAAAACACGAAGTATCTGGGACCGTGTCTAACCCTCCCCAACAAGAATTATTATTTATTTATTTTTGTCACCCACTGCTACAATGTGAAATACTGTATAACAGAATTTGGTAAATTACTTTTCAAATTAACATGTGTTCCATATATATAAACTAGCATATAACCAGAAATATTTAAGAAGTCAGTGTTTTTAAAGCAAAGCAGTTGGCGCAAAGACAAATTGAAAATTTTCTGAAGAATTTTTTTGGTTATAAAGTAGGCCCAAAACCAAGTTTTAAAAATTTCCTTCATAGCATATTATATTGGAACTTAGGATGGTACATAGTGAAATATCCATAATTGTTCATCCAACCAATGCTAAAATATCACCAATGAAAGAAATGCATCAAAAATGCCTATCTTTCCATCTGTTTTAGGCAGCACTGAATTTTAGAAACTTTTATAATCAACAAAGATGTCTTATTTATAATATAGTTTGTATGCATACTTTAGGGAATTCTACATCACAATCATAGTTATGACCCTGTATTAGGGAGACTTTAACTGAAAATTTCAACTTTTATTTTTTTTTGAGACGGAGTCTCGCTCTGTCGCCCAGGCTGGAGTGCAGTGGCGCAATCTCAGCTCACTGCAAGCTCCGCCTCCCGGGTTCATGCCATTCTCCTGCCTCAGCCTCCCGAGTAGCTGGGACTACAGGTGCCCGCCACTATGCCCGGCTAATTATTTGTATTTTTAGTAGAGACGGGGTTTCACCGTGTTAGCCAGGATGGTCGAAAATTTGAACTTTTAATAAAGTTAGGGAGGAGGAAACGAGGGCAGGAAGAAGTCAAGGAAATCTAAAACTCTTTTAGGACCTTATATGAAATATCTACATAGCTATTTATTATTCTAGACCTAAGTTTTTCATATTTTGATTCAAAAACTTTTTTAAAAAGCTGTGTACCTGTGTGTGGAGAGGGGGGGTGTATAAAACTGTAACAAAATATTTCACTTACTTCCCTTACTGTGATCCACTATGGTACTTTCTATCCTACTTCATCTTTCCAAAATGCTAAATGTGACTTTTTAAATTGTTTCTTTTGAATCCTGACTTACATTTGACTCTGATGAATTCAAGACAGTTATAAACATTTAAAGGACAAGCTATTAAAGTTAGTAAGTTGATTAACACTTCTAATCAGGATTAACTTCCAATACTATTAATATACAACATTGTTGAAAAGTACTCACATAAGTCTTTGAGACACAAGACATAGATGCTACATATCAGCAAAGAGAAAATACAGAGGAAGGGGCTTTCGTATTCAAACTAATGAAAGCTAAATAACACACTGCGTTCATGAGTCAGAAGCCTTAATATTAAGATGACATTATGCAAATTAATCTATAAATTCATCAACACAATCTCAATCAAGATTCAATTTTGGTAGAGATTAACAAGCTGAGCCTAAAATCCACACAGAAACGCAAAAAACTACTACAGCCAAAACAATCTTGTAAAAGAATAAAATTGGAGGACTTAACATTAGCTGACTAAAAATGTTAATATAAAGCTACAACAAACATAACATTGTGTTATTACCTTAAAGATAGACAAGCAGATCAATAGAACAAAAGCCCAGAAACAGACCCACATATATATGGTTAACTGATTTTTATCAAATATACAAAGGAAATTCTGTGGAGAAAGGACGCTCATTCCAACGAATGATTCTAGAACAAATGGATGTCTATATGCTTTGCTCTTCTAACCCTGACTTTCCAAAAAGAACTTTGATCCATACCCTGTAACACATCAAAGTTAACTCAAAATGAATCATGGGCCTAATATAAAACTAAACTATTAAGCTTCTAGAAAAAACAAAGGAAAAAATCTTTGTGATTTTGCGTTAGGCAAATATTTCATAGAGCAAAGAGAAAACTGATATATTGGGCTTCAACAAATCAAAAACTTCTGCTCTTCAAACCACACTGTAAAGAGAATAAGAAAACAAGTAATGGATTGGGAGAAAATATTTGCAAAGTGTATCTCCAATTTATAACGTGCCATGAATAGGAAAGTAAGATGCACCTAACAAAACTCCGCAGTATAAGGCCTCCTCACTTCACCATCCCCGAGACCCAAATAACCTTTTAGAAAAGTGTAAAATTTCTTTATTATGTGACAACACACATATCACACTAGAGGTGCAATACTAGAATAGTTCCCTTAAAATCAGCAAGATAGGGGAACGGTCATAATTACCAGTCCTATTGTATCACTATATGGCTCTAGCCAAGAGATAGGGGGAAAAAAAAGGTATGACGATCAAAAAGAAGAAACAAAGCCGTTCTTACTTGCAGTCAATAAGATTATCTACATTAAAAAAAATACAAACAAAAATATTTTAGAGTTTAACAAAGTTGCAGGAAAGTCCTCTATGTTTCTATTTAACACACACACACAATGTACTATGAATAATGCTAAAGAAAACTTTCTTGGAAGGTTCCAAGATGGCCGAATAGGAACAGCTCCAGTCTACAGCCCCCAGCATCAGCGACGCAGAAGACGGGTGATTTCTGCATTACCAACTGAGGTACTGGGTTCATCTCAGTGGGGCTTGTTGGACAGTGGGTGCAGCCCATGGAGTGTGAGCCAAAGCAGGGCGGGGCACCGCCACACCCGGGAAGTGCAAGGGTGAGGGAATTCCCTTTCCTAGCCAAGGGAAGCTGTGACAGATGGTACCTGGAAAATTGAGACGCTCCCACCCTAACACTGTGCTTTTCCAATGGTCTTAGCAAATGGCACACCAGGAGATTATATCCCGTGCATGGCTCGGAGGGTCCCATGCCCACGGAGCCTCGCTCACTGCTATCACAGCAGTCTGAGATTGAACTGCAAGGCAGCAGTGAGGCTAGGGGAGGGGCATCTGCCATTGCTGAGGCTTGAGTAGGTAAACAAAGCAGCCAGGAAGCTCGAACTGGGTGGAGCCCAGCGCAGCTCAAGGAGGCCTGCCTGCCTCTGTAGACTCCGTCTCTGGGGGCAGGGCATAGCTGAACAAAAGGCAGCAGAAATTTCTGCAGACTTAAACGTCCCCGTCTGACAGCTTTGAAGAGAGTAGTGGTTCTCCAAGCATGGAGTTTGAGATCTGAGAATGAACAGACTGCCTCCTCAAGTGGGTCCCTGACCCCCGTGTAGCCTAACTGGGAGGCACCTCGCAGTAGGGGCCAACTGACACCTCATATGGGGCCGGGTGCCCCTCTGAGACAAAGCTTTCAGAGGAAGGATCAGGCAGCAACATTTGCCATTCTGCAATATTGGCTGTTCTGCAGCCTCCACTGGTGATACCCAGGCAAACAGGGTTTGGAGTGGACCTCCAGCAAACTCCAGCAGACCTGCAGCTGAGGGTCCTGACTGTGAGAAGGAAAACTACCAAACAGGAAGGACATTCCACCAAAACCCCATCTGTACGTTACCATCATCAAAGACCAAAGGAAGATAAAACCACAAAGATGGGGAGAAACCAGAGCAGAAAAGCTGAAAATTCTAAAAATGAGAGCGCCTCTTCTCCTCCAAAGGAATGCAGCTCCTCGCCAGCAACAGAACAAAGCTGGATGGAGAATGACTTTGACAAGTACACAGAAGTAGGCTTCAGACAACTGGTAATAACAAACTTCTCTGAGCTAAAGGAAGATGTTCAAACCCATCACAAAGAAGCTAAAAATCTTGAAAAAAGATTAGACGAATGGCTAACTAGAATAAACAGCATAGAGAATACCTTAATTGATCTGATGGAGCTGAAAACCATGGCACGAGAACTACGTGACTCATGCACAAGCTTCAGTAGACAATTCGATCAAGTGGAGGAAAGGGTATCAGTGATTGAAGATCAAATGAACGAAATGAAGCGAGAAGAGAAGTTTAGAGAAAAAAAGAGTAAAAACAAATGAACAAGGACTCCAAGAAATATGGGACTATGTGAAAAGACCAAATCTACATTTGAATGGTGTACCTGAAAGTGACGGGGAAAATGGAACCAAGTTGGAAAACATGCTGCAGGGTATTATCCACGAGAACTTCCCCAACCTAGCAAGGCAGGCCAACATTCAAATTCAGGAAATACACAGAACGCCACAAAGATACTCCTCGAGAAGAGCAACTCCAAGACACATAATTGTCAGATTCACCAAAGTTGAAATGAAGGAAAAAATATTAAGGGCAGCCAGAGAGAAAGGTCGGGTTACCCACAAAGGGAAGCCCATCAGACTAACAGTGGATCTCTTGGCAGAAACTCTACAAGTCAGAAGAGAGTGGGGGCCAATATTCAACATTCTTAAAGAAAGGAATTTTCAACCCAGAACTTCATATCCAGCCAAACTAAGCTTCATAAGTGAAGGAGAAACAAACTGCTTTACAGACAAGCAAACGTGAGATTTTGTCACCACCAGGCCTGCCTTACAAGAGCTCCTGAAGGAAGCACGAAAAGTGGAAAGGAACGATTGGTACCAGCCACTGCAAAAACATGCCAAATTGTAAAGACCATCAAGGCTAGGAAGAAACTGCATGAACTAACGAGCAAAATAACCAGCTAACATCATAATGACAGGATCACATTCACATATAACAATATTAACCTTAAATGTAAATGGGCTAAAAGCTCCAATTAAAAGACACAGACTGGCAAATTGGATAGTCAAGACCCATCAGTGTGCTGTATTTAGGAGACCCATCTCATGTGCAGAGACACACACAGGCTCAAAATAAAGGGATGGAGGAAGATCTACCAAACAAATGGAAAACAAAAAAAAGCAGGGGTTACAATCGTAGTCTCTGATAAAACAGACTTTAAACCAACAAAGATCAAAAGAGACAAAGAAGGCCATTACATAATGGTAAAGGGATCAATTCAACAAGAAGAGCTAACCATCCTAAATACATATATGCACCCAATACAGGAGCACCCAGATTCATGAAGCAAGTCCTTAGAGACCTACAATGTACAATGAGACTCAGACTCCCACACAATAATGGGAGACTTTAACACCCCACTGTCAACATTCGACAGATCAATAAGACAGAAAGTTAACAAAGATATCCAGGACTTGAACTCAGCTCTGCACTGAGCCAACTTAATAGACATCTACTGAACTCTCCACCCTAAATCAACAAAATATACATTCTTTTCGGCACCACAAAATTATTCCAAAATTGACCACATAGCTGGAGGTAAAGCACTCCTCAGCAAATGTAAAAGAACAGAAATTATAACAAACTGGCTCTCAGACCACAGTGCAATCGAATTAGAACTCAGGATTAAGAAACTCACTCAAAACTGCTCAACTACATGGAAACTGAACAATCTGCTCCTGAATGACTACTGGGTACATAACGAAATGAAGGCAGAAATAAAGATGTTCTTTGAAACCAATGAGAACAAAGACACAACATACCAGAATCTCTGGGACACATTTAAAGCAGTGTGTACAGGGAAATTTATAGCACTAAATGCCCACAAGAAAAAGTAAGAAAGATCTAAAATTGATACCCTAACATCACAATTAAAAGAACTAGAGAAGCAAGAGCAAACCATTCAAAAGCTAGCAGAAGGCAAGAAATAACTAAAATCAGAGCAGAACTGAAGGAGACAGAGACACAAAAAACCCTTCAAAAAAAAAAAATCAATAAATTCAGGAGCTGGTTTTTTGAAAAGATCAACAAAATTGATAGACCACTAGCAAGACTAATAAAGAAGAAAAGAGAGAAGAAAAAAATAGATGCAAAAAAATTGATAAAGGGGATATCACCACCAATCCCACAGAAATACAAACTACCATCAGAGAATACTATAAACACCTCTACGCAAATAAACTAGAAAATCCAGAAGAAATGGATAAATTCCTGGACACATACACCCTCCCAAGACTAAACCAGGAAGAAGTTGAATCTCTGAATAGACCAATAACAGGCTCTGAAATTGAGGCAATAATTAATAGCCTACCAACCAAAAAAAGTCCAGGACCAGACAGATTCACAGATGAATTTTACCAGAGGTACAAAGAGGAGCTGGTACCATTCCTTCTGAAACTGTCCCAATCAACAGAAAAAGAGGGAATCCTCCCTAACTCATTTTATGAGGCCAGCATCATTCTGATACCAAAGCCTGGCAGAGACACAACAAAACAAGAGAATTTTAGACCAATATCCCTGATGAACATTGATGCAAAAATCCTCAATAAAATACTGGCAAACCGAATCCAGCAGCACATCAAAAAGCTTACCCACCACGATCAAGTTGGCTTCATCCCTGGGATGCACGGCTGGTTCAACACATGGAAATCAATAAATGTAATCCATCATATAAACAGAACCAAAGACAAAAATCACATGATTAACTCAACAGATGCAGAAAAGGCCTTTGACAAAATTCAACAACCCTTCATGCTAAAAACTCTCAATTAACTAGGTATTGATGGGATGTAGCTCAAAATAATAAGAGCTATTTATGACAAACCCACAGCCAATATCATACTGAATGGACAAAAACTGGAAGCATTCCCTTTGAAAACTGGCACAAGACAAGGATGCCCTCTCTCACCACTCCTATTCAACATAGTGCTGGAAGTTCTGCCCAGGGCAATCAGGCAGGAGAAAGAAATAAAGGGTATTCAATTAGGAAAAGAGGAAGTCAAATTGTCCCTGTTTGCAGATAACATGACTGTATATTTAGAAAACCCCATCATCTCAGCCCAAAATCTCCCTAAGCTGATAAGCAACTTCAGCAAAGTCTCAGGATATAAAATCAATGTGCAAAAATCACAAGCATTCCTATACACCAATAACAGACAAACAGAGAGCCAAATCATGAGTGAACTCTCATTCACAATTGCTTCAAAGAGAATAAAATACCTAGGAATCCAACTTAAAAGGGATGTGAAGGAACTCTTCAAGAACTACAAACCACTGCTGAAGGAAATAAAGGAAGACACAAACAAATGGAAGAACATCCCATGTTCATGGGTAGGAAGAACCAATATCGTGAAAATGGCCATACTGCCCAAGATAATTTATAGATTCAATGCTATCCCCATCAAGCCACCAATGACTTTCTTTACAGAATTGGAAAAAACTACTTTAAAGTTCATAAGGAACCAAAAAAGAGCCCACATTGCCAAGACAATCCTAAGCAAAAAGAACAAAGCTGGAGGCATCATGCTACCTGACTTCAAACTATACTACAAGGCTACAGTAACAAAAACAGCATGGTAATGGTACCAAAACAGAGATATAGACCAATGGAACAGAACAGAACCCTCAGAAATAATACCACACATCTACAACCATCTGATCTTTGACAAACCTGACCAAAACAAGAAATGGGGAAAGGATTCCCTATTTAATAAATGGTGCTAGGAAAACTGGCTAGCCATATGTAGAAAGCTGAAACTGGATCCCTTCCTTACACCTTATACAAAAATTAATTCAAGATGGATTAAAGACTTAAATGTTAGACCTAAAACCATAAAAACCCTAGAAGAAAACCTAGGCAATACCATTCAGCACATAGGCATAGGCAAGGACATCATGACTAAAACACCAAAAGCAATGGCAACAAAAGCTGAAATTGACAAATGAGATCTAATTAAACTAAAGAGCTTCTGCACAGCAAAAGAAACTACCATCAGAGTGAACAGGCAACCTACAGAATGGGAGAAAATTTTTGCAATCTACCCATCTGACAAAGGGCTAATATCCAGAATCTACGAAGAACTGAAATTTACAAGAAAAAATCAAACAACCCCATCAAAAAGTAGGGAAAGGATATGAACAGACACTTCTCAAAAGAAGACATTTATGCAGCCAACAGACACATGAGAAAATGCTCATCATCACTGGTCATCAGAGAAATGCAATTCAAAACCACAATGAGATACCATCTCACACCAGTTAAAATGGCAATCATTAAAAAGTCAGGAAACAACAGGTGCTGGAGAGGATGTGGAGAAATAGGAACACTGTTACATTGCTGGTTGGACTGTAAACTAGTTCAACCATGGTGGAAGACAGTGTGGCGATTCCTCAGAGATCTAGAACTAGAAATACCATTTGACCCAGCAATCCCATTACTGGGTATATACCCAAAGGATTATAAATCATGCTGCTATAAAGACACATGCACACGTATGTTTACTGTGGCACTATTCACAATAGCAAAGACTTGGAACCAACCCAAATGTCCAACAATGATAGACTGGATTAAGAAAATGTGGCACATATACACCATGGAATACTATGCAGCCATAAAAAAGGATGAGTTCATGTCCTTTGCAGGGACATGGATGAAGCTGGAAACCATCATTCTGAGCAAACTATCACAAGGACAGAAAACCAAACACTGCACATTCTCACTCATAGGTGGGAATTGAACAATGAGAATACTTGGACACAGGGTGGGGAACATCACACACCAGGGCCTGTTGTGGGGTGGGGGGAGGGGGGAGGGATAGCATTAGGAGATATACCTAATATAAATGACGAGTTAATGGGTACAGCAGCAGCACACCAACATGGCACTTGTATACATATGTAACAAACTTGCACGTTGTACACATGTACCCTAGAACTTAAAAGTATAATTAAAAAAAAAATTAAACAAATCTTTCTCTACAGAAGATAATGATGCTAATAGCTATGTAACTTTCCAAACATGACATCACATTAATATAACAGGCTTAAACACCAGCTAGCAGGGGGAAAAAGTGAAACTACAATACTTACTGTTTACCAGTGAGACCCTACAGAATTCAGTGGAAATTTATATAAAAAGTAAATAAGGGATGTAGAAACCAACCTGCTCCTCTGCTATTCTTGAAGTATTCTGAAGTTTCACGATTGTTTTATTGAAAGCCTTTTGCATTTCTTCCATTTGTTTTCGGTACCTATGAAGTAAGAATTGGTCTAAATCAGCTTTAATTTCTTACTTATTCCACTTAGTAATGGAAACATACTTCTGATTTTGATATATGAGACAAATCTATTTTTCTGAAAGTGACTCTTATTCAGGCCTATGCAATACAATTCTATTTATCTTCTGCTATGTAAAATTTAGTAATTTCTGTGGTTCCCTTGGGATGCAGATGGAGGTAGGGAAAAGTAAGAGCAGGTATGGGGTAGCTAAGTGGGCATGTTACACATGAACACACACACACACATGATTAGCCAATTAATTCTATGTATGGATTAGAAAAATTTCCTACTTCAGATATAAGACTGCCTTGGTGACACCTTATTAGTGGCATTTCAATTTAAGAGATGTAAGAAAAGGTGGTGTTTCAGGAACTCTGGACACTTGTGCCTAGATGTTTGCAAAACGTTGGTAGAGAAGCCCTAAGGACAGACAATGGACACACAGAGGATAAAAAAAAGAGTAAATAGGTTTAAAAAGCCAGGCCTGGTGTCTTAATGAATTGGCACTGTCTCTGGCACTTAAAAGCAGAAATTATTACAACTAGAACTAGGATGCCGAGACCTGTTTAAAAGAGAGCAAACTGCAAATGTGCCCAATCATCCAGTTCAGTCCATCTCTGTCTTCACTTATCTAAACTCTTAAGTGATATCTGGTCAAATTCCACTAAAAGCTTTAAGGTCTATATACTATCATTTTTTTCCATGAGCCCTCTGGGAATCAAGCAGAAAAAGTGGCTAAAGTTAAGCAACCGAAAAAAGGTGAAAGTGAGTATAGATAATTCAAACTTGTTGCCAGCCTAATAAAAGTGTTTTGTCACTGGAAAGTACTTTTAAAATTAAAAACAAAAAATCAATTCATTAAGGCACTGATCAGCATTCAAGTAGCTTTCTTTCTCTCTCTTGCTAAAATTGCGCTTACCTCTATTATATCATGAGATAATTAAATCCTCTCCTGTAATCACAGGTCATACTCTATGCTGCTTAACTCACTGTGTGAAGCTGACTGTGCTAATTCATAATAAAGCTTACCTTTGGCTAAGCTCCTCCAGATAGCGACCACTGAGAGACATGTTAACTTCTAAGGCTTTAATACGATTATTAAGTCTCATAAATACTGACTCCTTTTGGTTTGATCCATGTACAAGATTTCCATTAGCATATCCTAGATCTGTAGAATTTTGCAATTCAGCATAAAAATCTGTAGCTGTCCTCTGTAACCCTCTCAAAAGGGCATCTTCTGGAGACTGTTCTTCTTCTTTTACTTCAGGTAATGAAGAAGAATCCACAACAGAAATCAAAGTTTGCTTTGCTGTGTCAGCTATATTCATTTTGGCTTCCCCATCTTCATTGTCGGGTACAGTGGCTGTATTTATTGGTGGCACTATTGTTTCAGACAGCTTTGTGAAAATTTGCATGGAGTTCACATCTTCTTTTATAATATTATCCATTAACTCATTAACTTTATTTGTTTCATAGGTAATAGATGGTTTCTCTATAGAACTAAAGCTCTCAGACTTTTGTTCTGTTTCATTATCGATCTCAACAGAACTCTCTTGGGGAATCACTGGTGATGGTATATGTCCTGCCTCATATTCAACAGACTCAGATACTTCTATTTTAGGCAAGGGATTGATTTCTGGGGTAATATCTAAAAGAAGAGACTGAGAAAGAGTTTGAGAATGGCTTGGTTCAAGTTCAACTGCATCTACAGTGTGATTCACCAAGTCATCCTGGTGCATACTACTACTTAAATCACCCAGAACAACAGTTTCAGCTTCCCTTTCTATATTCGTATTTTCCAATTCTCCACTCAGAGGTTGCAATACTGAAACATCTACTGATTCCGCAGGAAGTAGTAAGGGTGGTTGAGCTAACACAAGATAATCTTTTCCTTTACTCAAAGCAGTTCGGCTGCGCTGCCGATAAAGAGCAACTCTAACTGAACACCATTTATATATGTATTCTGAAAAACTAGAAATACAACAAATTGTGGTCAGTTCACTGCAAAATATTTGTGTCTCTGACTCAAACCAGGGTGATGATTCATCTTCCTGTTCACCGCTGCCCAGAAGGGTCACTGTAGATGGACTTGCCTCCTCTTCCTCCTCTTGAACTAACTGTACAATGGGACTCTCTTTTGGAGTATCTGGTGTTGACGGCTCCATGTCATGTGTGTGTACTTCAGTGGTTACATACCTAGAAATACATATATCATAATTATAAATCACTTACTTAGAAGTCTAAAGTTGAAATATGTTAAAGAAAAATAAATGTATCCATACAGAAGATAAAAGGTTGGAAATATAGAAGAAATTTGTTTTTGGATAAATGTTTCACCTACAAAACACTTTTATTATAAAAACAAATACTGCTCAGAAATGATAAGAGAAATACTATTTATCAAGTGACTAGCCAGATGACTCAAACCACCATATTTACCATATCAAACTTGCTTTCTTTTAATCTGTTTAAGAATTGTTTCTAAGTGAATACTTCCATTCACTGAATGTAGTGTTCCTTTCCTCTCATAAATATTCACTGAATCTTTACAAGCTTCACTATCCCTTACACATCAGAAATTAAGCCAACTAAGAGCTAGCTTAATAAACTAGCTTAAATAAGGTCCAGAGCTAAAACTAGAATCTAGGATTCTTAATATTTATGAGTGCACTTTGTACTTGAATACCCTATTTTCAAAAGGCAGCTAGGTTGGTCTCAAACATAATTTTTCTAAGAATGATTTGAGGAACTCCAATACAGCATTAAACACACAACGCACACACACACCTACACACATAGGATTATCTACTTTAAGGACAAGAAACATATCTCCCTTCCTAAAATAATTTTGCTATCATCTAGGCTAATCTTCTAAGCCAAATACCTAACCACTTTAATAACAATTCTGGCTTATGATATGCTAACAGTGCTGCTATTAAACTACTAGTGCCACTATTAATATTCTATCCCATTTTGAGGCTGTGGAGTATGTATGTGGCATACAGGAGAGTGGGGGGATGAAGCTTATGGGGACAGTGTTATAAATTATAATGCTTGTGATTCCTTCCAAGATAAAGATAGTTAATTACTGGGTGTAGCCTTATACATAAAAAGTCCAATATGAAAAAATATGGTAATTTCAATACCAAAAATAATTATGCTCAAACACACATTTTCCCATTCTGAAAAATTACTAAGCATGCCAGGAAATGTCTTCAAATAAAGACTAATGTCACAATAGCAAAGACAGAAGAAAGTAATAAAATAGTATCTATGATGTAGACTTTCATTTTGGTAGTAAAACAGTAAATGGACCAAATTAAAACATAATTAGACTACACTTCGGTAAATAAAAAGATATTTATAGCCATATATATTTAGTCTCTAATAATATTTCTTACATATTCAGGTAATATATTGCTTTTCTACCAAATAATTTATGACAGTAAAAACAAGTAATGTCTGAAGAAGGGGAGAGAGAAAAATTATATTGAATTTGGTAAAAAATACTGAATACAGATGTTATATCCCATCATACACACTGTAATCAGAAATATACTTTAAAAGTTTTTTCTCAAATTCACATGGCAAAACCTACTAAAACCTAGGAAAAGAAAATAAGTTGGCTTTCCGTAACTTTAACAGTGACATCCTATCATGGATTCCTTCATTTTCACATATTTGCTTCAAAAGATTACTTCAAAAGCATTAAAAAGAATTTAAGACAAACATGAAGAAATACTGAATAAGAAATTATGCAAAAATATCTATTAAAAAACTAATATGGAAAAATAAAAACTGCTACGTTAGCCTGTGACTACAGCTTTCAACAAATATTCCTACTTGTGCACATATGTGTATGAAAGTGTGTACATATATATATAAAAAACCAAATCAGTTTTATTTAGTTTTGAAAAATACGACATAGCGTGTTGTTAACTGAAGAAACCTAGTTACAAAATCAGGAACAGCAATCACAGCTCCACATAATTAGAAACACCAAGAATGTCTCTATCCCCAATAGATTTCTTAGGTCCTTTTCAGAATCAATAACACATACGCTATATTTTCTAATTACCCAATAAATATCTCCAGTAACTTTCAGGATTAACACAGGATAATATAATTTTCTCACTATGCCTTTCAAAGCATCAAAATATCATTTTTGAAATAGTATAGTTCTCAGGAATTGCAGTTCAAAGCATACCCACTGCAGGTCTCATTACATACTATCTTGAACTAAGTGGTTCATTTCAAATATCTTATACTCTTTAAGTAGAGTTGTTCTAAGATAAAGGACTTGCAAAGTTTTGTAGGGAGTGTATCTAATGAAATATACATAAATTAAGTCTACAATAACTACCTGATTATCCAAATCATTATAAGCTTATTATTTATTATAGGTAAGAAGTAGAGGTACCAACTAAAGTAACCACCTCTGGCAGAAAAGACAAAAAAGGTAAAAGATATATCTATTACCTATTTAGATACATCCCTGCCCAAAGTGTCCCCACTGCAACCTGGGGAAAGGCCTACATGATTCAGAGAAATGGAACAGTTAAGAGCTTGCTGTGTGGCAAATACATTATTCAAGAACCACTGCTCTAGGTATTTTGGTAGCTTTCTAGGGATACCACAGATCAATGCTTTTAAACTTGAACTTAATAAAAAAAAGGGGGGGCCTTTAAAATTTGTCCTCAAGCCTATACCTGCAGAGTAAGGTCAATTATTTCCAGTATGGAAAAGAGTCACTGTTGTGAATAATGAAAGTAATATATAATACCCCCCCCAAAAAAAGTTTGATCTGAATTATATTCCCAGTATGCATATACACTAATGGGAAGAAGCAACTCAGATTTTCTAAGTGGCCACAGAATGTCTATCCTATGATTCAGAGCTCTCTACAGGTAATCATTTCACACACAAATCACAAATTCCTTTTTTTATACTAATATACTTATCTCTCCATTGTAACAAAATTCTATTTAATATCACATTATAACTTACTCAGGAGATGGAACAGGAGTTGAAACAGGAGTTGATTCAGGCATTTTAGGTGCAGCTGTGGCAGTGGCATTCTCAGATATACTTTTATTTCCTATTTTAAGAAAGATGCCCAATGTTGAGTTCAATTTTAAAAGCTGTACCATGAAAATATTTTACTAAAACAAATTTCTTGGAAGAGAAGAAAAAAGCCAAATAGGTTTGCTACTGCAGACTTTTTCTTAAAAAATCAAAGTTCTTTTAGGAAGAAATGATCATATAAGATCACAAGTAATATATATCGTTTCTCAATTTCTCAGATAATTAAATCAAGTCAGGTGACTATGAATGTTGTGTAACCTTACGTGATTAATATGCCTTCTAGATACTGAAAGAGTTGTTAAATGAGAGGAAATAAATGAGTCATTTTAAGTGTTCACTTGGATCTAAGCATTTTTTAAAAAAACAAAAAGGCAAGACTGTTTCTTCTTGCCAAAAATATTATCATCTGTCATTCTCTAAGGAAAAGATGGCTTTCTAAATCAAGTAGCTATTTAACACATAAAAGAATAACATACTTGAAGTACCATTAGGACATCAAAATCTCGGTAAAGAGATAAGGAATAAAATCATTGCTATTAATATTAGAGCTAGGAGAAGTCAAAAGGCAAATTCATAAGTTTTATATAGACAGTATTCTTTTATAAAACAGAACTTGTGAAATTCAAATAAACAATGAATAATAAAGATTGGTAAGTTCCTCTGAATTATTTCTATATTTCTAAATGTAAACAATCAAATTTTCTTAACTCATTACTTGATTTTCCTAAATATAAGGATCCCTGGAGTACCAGCTATTTAAAAGACCCATAAAATGATTAGGTACCTTCTGTCAGGTCTTCAGTTTTTGCTCCCAGAATATTAGCAGCAATATTCACCATATTTAGAATGGCATCTAAAACAAAATTCAATCAGAAAAAGTACCAAATACCTAAATATTCTAATATAAATTAATATCAGATAGTCAAAAAATCATTTAGAATGATCTTTTGCATTTTTTGACTGGTTACTTTTGTATTCACCTCACAACTAAAGTCCAATATAGGACACAAATAAATTTTAGCCAAAAGTGTAAAGTGTGTATCTAAATTTTTATGTTCAAAAGGAATTTTATATTTAAATATACTTTTCGTTTTGGAGACGGAGTCTTGCTCTGTTGCCCAGGCTGGAGTGCAGTGGTGCAATCTCGGCTCACTGCAACAACCTCTGCCTCCCAGGTTCAAGCAATTCCCCTGCCTCAGCCTCCCGAGTAGCTGGGACTACAGGCACATGCCACCACGTCCAGCTAATTTTTTGTATTTTAGTAGAGACAGGGTTTCACTGTGTTGCCCAGGCTGCTCTCAAACTCCTGAGCTGAGGAAATCTGCCCACCTCAGCCTCTCAAAGTGCTAGGATTACAGCTGTTAGCCACCGCGCCTGGCCTTAAATATACTTTTCTTGTAAAACTTCCCTAGACACTTTACCAAAACACTGTCTTCAGCATACTATAAACTCAAGTATAACTCAACATACAGTCTGTACTGGGACAGGGAAAAAAATGTGATGACCAAAATTCTTATTTTACAGAAAAACCTATTTTTCTTTAAAAATTCTCTACAGTTTAAAATTTTAAAAAAGTGTAAAAAAGCAAATGCTTTTCCTACATTATGTGATTATCACAGGTAAAAACAAAACAGAGATTATCCAAAAAAAAGCAGAAAACATTTTCAATGATTAGCCTATCATATCTATGGTAATATGGTTAAATTCTAAATTGATATTGCATAGAATCAAATCTCTTTGATGACTTTTAAAAAACTCATTGACCAAAACAGCAATCTTTTTAAATCATAAAGCATACAAATTCTTTAGTTAATTGGCTGGGGACAGGTATGGGGCAGATTAATGAAAAGTCAAGGTCATAAAACAAAGTGTTGTAAAAAGCAATTTGCATACCTGCTAACCCTACTTCTCTTTTGAAGGAGGATATTTACATGAAAAAAGTGGTACAAACCTCAATATCTACATAGATATATTTATACATGAGCATAACAAAATATCAGAACTCCATAAAAAATGGTACTGGGAATAGAAGACCTTCCTTCCAGTAATGTGATGTAATTTCAAGTGAAATTAACTTTCATTCCCAGTCTAACCTTTGAAATTCCACTAGAAGTTAATTCTTTGGTATCAGATACTCCTACTATTAAAATACTAAGATCTGGCAGGGGCTACATATTAATCATCATACATTATTTCTGTCTTAATCTCCCTTCCTAAAGCGATCCACAGAGTATTCATCATATTTTCAATGAAAACCAGAGATGTGAAAAGTAGAAAAGGATCTAAGAGAGAAAAATCTACTACATCAGGAAGGTTGCAAGTAAACCAAAGAGTGCTGCCTGGAGCTCATCCTGTAAATATATGCTTCAGGATGGGAGAAATAGTAGCAGATTTCAAACTGCTTTAAAGTGATAGCTAGGAATCAGCCATAATGTTGATCTTCACGAAATTATGAGTGTATACGCTGAAAGTCAACAAAGCAGTGGTACTTTGTTTCTAATCATTACTGTAACACACAAAGGCTCAATATTTGCCATTTTAAAATGTTTAAATAACATTTTTAATATTGCCCTTTGACCTGGCAAACTGATAAACAGAAGTGGCCTTAATTCTTACTTAAGCTAAAGAGATGCTGCGGTATGAGATAACAAAAATGGAAACTCCGTATTCCCTCATAAACCAAGATGAAGTCTGGAATGGAAACTGTTATTTCCTCATACACCCTTTATAATGCCAACCAATACTGCAATATTATTTATGATGCCCCACCTACACTGCCACCTATAGTCAAAACTGACTGCTTCACAAAACCCAAATTGTGCAATCAACAGTTTATATACTTTGTTTCAAAGTGAGATCTTATATGAGATTTCGAATTTTTTGACATTCATTATTAAATAATTCAAGAAGATAAATGTGTTAATCTGTGTAAAGAAAGTAGCTTTACAGTATTATTTCTGAACCTAAATTTTAACACCAGTACCTACAATAAAGATCCTTCTATTCACCCTTTTAAAATATTATTTATTATCATCATTTCAGGAAACGTGGTAACAAAAGCAAAATTTAGCAAATTTCTTCTCAGCCCATTTAACCTAAAATAATTTTCCCATGTTTACAGAACACTGCCTAATGTATCTTTTTTGTCTTTTGAGAGAAAGCAGAATTGTGAATATTCTATTCTATTTTCAATTTGTATCTAAACACATGATAGTTTGTATACACCATGATTATCTGGCCATTAAAAAACTTTCAGAATAGACTAAAATGACATCTTTGAATATAATTGCCAAACTAGAGATAAATATCCCTAATTTCTCCTGGATTAGTCAACTTTTAAATTTTTGAATTGGGCAACTTATTCATCCCGCCTCATTCCTTTAGGAATAAAATGCTCCTAATATTTGGTCCTAAAGACCAAATATCTCCATATTATTTACTCAGTCTTCAGTGCTCCAATGTCTCTTTTTGATAAAGAAAACAAACATTTTTCCAGGCTGCTGAAGTTGAAGAGTTTATATAATACAACAGAAGATAAACCAACAAAAAAAGACTTCCTCCTATGTGTACTATCTCTGAAGCATGCCCACATTTTCTAGGAAAATGGTCCTTCTAGGATCTACTTTTTTTCCACAAAAAATACTTGAGAAGTAAAAACTACATTTTCTCTTCAACATGCACATGCACCTATCTCCCTTTAGCAGATAGGGTGATTTTAACAAAAACCAAAACCACATATTTAAGAGCAAAGGCAGACCTGCGCCAATATCAAAGTAGGCAGAGGTCTGGCAAATTCACATGACAAAGAACAAGAAAATCAGAGTGATATGGAGAAATCTTGCTGATGTAAAAGATTTAAATGTTTTAGTTCAAGAATGTAAACAAAAGAATCAGGAAGCCATACACACAAAGCCAAGAATGCTGCTCTAAGATAACAGCTTCTCCCTTTTTAGTAGTTAAGTAAATTATATAATATCAAGAATGTTTATGCAGTGTGGATGCTCTTTGACATCCAACTCTCAGCACAGGCAAAGTATTCTGGTGACATATTTCCTATAACTAGTAACTACTTGAGAGCAAAAAGAAAAGGAGTTTCTATTAAGATTAAAGACAATTCTAGCTTGTGGATACTATGTACACATTAAAAACAAGAAAAAAAACTAGTTTCAAAATGGGCCAATTTCAAGCTAATTTAGAAAGCAGTGATGATTATAGTCAAACTCAAGACATTCTTGTGCCAAAGACCAGTTCTTTGAATCAGAACTACTGAAGTTCTGATTCCACTTTATTATTTACTTCTTCAAGTTATACCACCTTGGAGGCTATAGCTAATTCAGTCCCAAACTTCAGAGAAGAGTAGAAGGACACAGATACAGAAGGCAGCAGTGTTAGGCCAAGTCTATAAAGTTTTATGACAATAAAGTCTTATCACTCAGCTCTTACTGCCTCTCTTGTTCTAAAACTTCAGGAGGTGGAGATCATTTTAAATCTCATTTTAGAGACTCAGCTGACATCCTCCCACCCATCTTATCTCACTGTATAAATTCTTTCAATACCTAGAACACTGGAAGATAACCTTGCCCTCCCAGAGATCTGTAAAAGGAAAATTAAGTGATATACCTTCAAGGAGAAAGATCCAAACAGAAGTATCTAAACAAGATTCTATGTCTAATTAATTGATATACTGATCAGAGACATGAATACAAACAGGGAAATGTCTTCCCCTGATATATGATTAGGTTTTTGTTTTGTTTTGTTTTGTTTTGTTTTTGAGACAGAGTCTCACTCTGTCCCCCAGGCTGGAGTGCAGTGGTGCGATCTCAACTCACAGCAACCTCCGCCTCCTGGGTTCAAGCGATTCTCCTGCGTCAGCTCTGGAGTAGCTGGGATTATAGGCGCACGCACCATGCTTGGCTAATTTTTGTATTTTTAGTAGAGATGGGGTTTCACCATGTTGGCCAGGCTGGTCTCAAACTCCTGACCTCAGGTCATCCGCCTATCTAGGCCTCCCAAAGTACTGGGATTACAAGCATGAGCCGCTGTGCCTGGCCTATGGTTAGGTTTTAATGGCATCTAGAAGTTAACCACATAGGAAGATATAGCAAGAAAATCCAGAATATCAACACACTTTTCCTTTATCTGAAACTACAATAAGACATTATTTCCTTAAGGTGTCCTCTTTTTTCCAGTACCTACCAGAAGCTAGAGATCTTTTAGTCTGGGGCTATTTTCTGACCCCATAAAATAATAATGCTTCCTCAGAGCTAATTCAACATTACTGAGCTACATAAATGGCAGAATAATGACTACTATGTAACATATAAAATGCAAATTAAGGGAAACAAAAACATTAATATCCAGACAGATAAGACATTTCTTTCACTCCTAAAAAATACATCACATAGCAGTGAATAAGACTTATTTTTATATCAATAACTAGATAGCTAGGAATCCTATTTAAAAGTAATCACTAATATCTAGAAAGTCAGAAGCCTAGCAATAAAGTAAAACAAAATATACTGAACTGATATGTAATAAAGTTGAATATTACTTTGTAATCACAAAAGATTTTCCTTCTACAGGTATTTTTAACACTCTTTTTCCCATCCCCTAAAAAGTCCACTGAGGTCTATACTCTTCTATGGAGGGGGAAGAAGGCAAGGAAGGCAAGGAAGGCAGGAAGAGAAAGAAAAGAAAGGAAAGAAAGAAAGAAAAGGCTAGAAGGAGAGATGAAAGAGGTAATTTTAACTCTATATACTGTGGCTACACAAAATATCAACCTAAGTATTTAGACTACTGGTTGAATAGCTAAAAAACTTACAAAGTCAATGTTCACAGACATCGGTATTCAACAATTCAATTCACTAAGAGCAAAAAGTGACAAGCACACGCAACTAGTCTTCGATTTTACTAAGATTTGTTTTTATTAAATTTGATTAATAATTTTCAAATAAAAAGAAAACTACTTGTAGTTAATTTTACATTTTTCAGAAATAATCAAAAACATCATTGAAATATACCTACACAGAATCTAACCATGAAAAATAAAGTGTCAGTCAGGTAATGGTCTTTCTAGTAGTCTCCTTAGTGAGCCTACCACTAGGTTGGGATTCGACTTTGGAATAACAACAAACTAAAGCACCAGTATATCTTATTCATTGTTTCTTAGTTTACAAGGAGTATATTATTACTAGTATTCTTATTGGTATTCATTATCATGATGGTAGGAGCACCCTTTATATTTTGTAACTAAATGGCAAACTAACCATACCCATAGATTAACTGTGGTATGACTGTTTTAATAATTCTTTCCCCAAGAAAATCCATAGCCCTTTCTTCACTATAAGGAATCTGTCCCAAAATGTCAGCGCCTAATTAGAGTAGAAGAAACACCTTTATTACGATTGCATTTGTCTCTCTCCTCTTTCTTTTCATATATTCTTATCGCATTTCTATAAAAATACTTTTCAAAAGACAGTATCTTTTATTTCAACTCAAAGTTCAACACTGGGAGAATTCTCCTCAACCATACCATGACAAAATGTCTGTGTGTGTCAGAATGAAAAAGTAGTAGAATGAATAGAAAATCCTCAAAATACTCACTTGTAGCAGAACCAAGAAGATTTTTTGAGGATTTATCCTCTCCAGTATTATAATCCAGTGGATAATCTGTTAAAAACGAAAATAAAAGTAATTATGCTGAGATCTAGCTCCAATGGTAACATATTTAAAAGCTCAAATTATGTCCTGTCAAAGTCAGCTGACATTTAAAACATTTTATGATAAATATGAATCATATATCTAAAACATGTTCACAAAAAGCATGTAAGATTAAGAAACCATTTAACAAACAAATATAAACCAAGGAAAATAACTGTAATGCTTACCAAAATTTTAACCACATTTATAAGACGTTTTTATTCAAGCTTTCAATATACTTTACCAACTCTTAGTCAATGTCTTCATTTCACTCTTGAGAAAATTTAGATTGTTCAAACAATAGTTTAACACATCTTAAAATAAGGACTTAAAGAGGAAATGGAGAGTGTCATAAAACTTTCCTCTAACTCTTTAGAGTCACAGGATTTCTCAATGGCTCACAGGAAGCCAAAATGTGCTTGCTCTTAGGCTCATGGGAAATCACAGGCATTAAAGCTCATTTCTACTATTTCAGTATCTTGTGAGTTTAACAGATTTTTGGCCCTGGCATAGGGATATAATCATAATTTATACCATTAATGTTATAGAAGGGAGTTTCAGTTACAAATAAGTGATAGATAAGCTTGGAAAGCAATACGAATACAAAGCAATCATATTAGAAAACAGATTTAAGTAAAAGTTGATTAGAGTTAAAAACAACAAAACAAAAGCCTGAAGACAACAGTCATATTGATTTAAGTAAGCTATACTCCCCCATTACTATTCGATTTTTAAAAAGTAAAAAAAATATACCTAACAGTCATCTGTTTGATGTCACTTACCATAGTCCTCATCAAATAGTTCCTGGCGTTCTGAGTGATACTGGGAATCAGCAATTTCTTCATATTCTTCCACCATGCTAGTGCCAAATACCCTATCAACAACAATTTCATTAAAGACTTCCAAAACAAAACACTCGTTAAGACTAATCTCTTCACAATAAATGACAAACATCAACTTTGGTCATATTTTGAGGGCCACTGGCTTTTGGACTCAAAAATAATGGCTGCTCCTTACATTTAAGTCATCTACTGTTTCAATTAAAATGTAAAACTAATCTATTTAAGGCATTTAAATGGATGAGTTTTCATATCAGTCTAAAACGTTTCTGTGTATTATCATCATAGCAAAATAGCAAGCAAGTTAAAACAAATATACAAAATGAGGTTTTTTTTTTAAAAGAGGATATTTTGACATTTTTCCAAAATGCATTCAAAAGAAAGGTTTCACAGTTTTTATTTCTATGGTATTAACTCACGTAAGAGAAAATTATTTCTTCACTTTAAATATATCGAAAATTTTGTATATCAATTTTTTTAAAAACTCAATAAATGTATTTTGTTCTGCATTACCTTATAAGGCTTAATGGACAAAAGTGCTCTGATCCAAAATGTGATAGCAACTCAACCTAAAGAATAAAAGCACATAAAATGGGAAGCCAGCAGAGAGCATGTAAGATTATCTAACAATATACTCAGTTTTTTCATTATAACATTTCTAAACATTTCTATAAAGTCCTTATTTTCCCCAAAATCAATACTTGTAAAGTTTTTGTAATGCATTAATACGCCATGCCCTGTTATTTAATAGTGCAAAAGAGAAGGTTGCTAACCTTTATGTACTTGATGAACATCTGAAGCAAGAGAAAGGAAAAGAAAAAGAAATCAGTTCCAAAGTCTAGACATCATGCAATAAGCATCTTTAAATATTTGTAAATTATGTTGTATAAAGTATAGAGAGTAATGTCATGTGATGGATAACACTGTAGTATTCTTAATTCCTTGCAGAAATAAAAGCAATGATTTAAATTTTTGCCATCACTACCTGAGAGTATAATCTAAATGATTGCAATGAAATAAATTAACTTTAAGGTTATAAGTTAACTAATCTACAAGCCATTGCTGTTATTTTATATAGCTGTTAGATAGAAAGCATTCTAAAAGCAATTAATAAACAGTATCTAGAAACAATCTTTTACTTTAAGTATTACAGACATGTATCAAGTATATATCCATATATGAATTTATATATTGATATATATGCACATATACATATATATTCTACACATATACATATTGGTAACAGTCCATTATGGAATGATATTTATACTTGTATATTATATACAACTTATTTCGGGGAAAGTATGAATTTTTGGTATGCTATGTTATTTCAAGTACAACTTACAGAAGTGGAAGATATATACCAATTGGCCTTTCGAATGTATGCTATTAAAAAGTAGTAGATTTGGGTGTAGTTATTTTAAGATAAGGAACATCCAGGTAAAAAACTTACATAACATTATTACCATAAAATGAAAATCAGAAAGTAATTTTTCTCTGCTTTTCATGAGCTGTAAGTAAATGTTTCTTGCCTTTAGACTCAATTCTACCAAAGAAGGTTTTTTATAAAACTAATATTTAAAATGCTGTATAATCTCCCACCATAAAAGGAACAAGGTGGAAAGTTTTATAAGGCATTCTTTATGTTTCCAATAAAATATCCTTCCAAAATTAAATACGATTTTATCACCTAGCAAATGATTTTTAACGTTTTTGCCTCTTCAGAGTGAAGAAAGTGTACTGTATAAAAAATTAAGTAATTGTTTCAGTACTCATTTTAGAAGGAATTGAAAACATTCCTTAATTTTTTTGAACTAATAATTTTGAATTAACTGAGAATATCAACTTTATTTTAAAAATAGAATTTAGCATTTTTATACTGAGATTAAGAATACTACAAGTTTACCTATTTATAGAAGTCAATTTAAAACATGCTTTAAAAAGAGATGGTAAAATCACAGAAGACAAAATTAGGTAGCTATAAGTTCTCACATTTAAAGAAGAAAGGATAGAAATTAGAACTGCTGCCATTCCAAAAATGTCATAATATTAATTCAATAGTACTTTAAGGTATGGCTATAATTTTAAAGAAAAAAAAGAGGAAAGGAAGGAGTAAGAATTTTCCCTATTTTGTCTAACCCAATTCAAAAGTGATAATTTTACTTAATTAGTTGGTAGAAGCAGCAGTGGAAATATAAAACACCAGTGTTTAAAACTCTATTTTATTTGCAATTGGTACTTGGACACAGAATATTTCATTTGGCTATACAAAGAAAAAGACAAAAGCTGTAACAATGCCAAATAAGTGGACGTTAAAGATGAAATGGTCTAAGAATCAGAGTCTAACAAGAAATTACATCTGCTTTAAAGACTTCAGTGACCAGCAATGATTTCAGTTTCAAAATAGAAAGAAATATACTATGAAGATGACATTTTGCATAAAGACTCAAAAAACTTAAATAGTTATAATTTGGAATTTTATCAGGGCCATAAATAACAAAAAAACTGGCCTAGGCTTCCAGCAATGCAAAAGGGAATGTAGCAATATTTGATTCATGAAATAATATACCCAAGTAAGAATTATCTATTAAGTGGTATAGTGTAGTCTATTTCTTAACTTTTCTGATTTCTAAAAAGATGAGGTGTATAAAGTGTGAATAACACGTATATTTTCATTATAGAACATAGTCCTGTATGTGTAAACATTACCTTGACATATTTTGCATACATCTGTTCATCTAAAGGGAAACTCTGTACATTCCGCTCATCTCTACCATGAAAAGTACCCAGCTTAATCCACTTATTTGTTGGATATCTAAAAAATATAAGCAATATGTTCTTTTTTAAAAATTATAAACCACATATTGAAAGGTTCTATCATATTTTCAAAATATAATTTTTTTCCTTTCCAGGTGAACACGCTGACTTAACAGTTTAATACATAAATACATACATTTAATACATTTTCTTTTCCAACTGAACTGACGGGTTTCTCTTTACCAGGAAAGAATGCCTTGAAAAATCACACCATTAACAAAAAGTAGGACCAGTACCACTTCTTGGGGTTTGGGAGGAGGTTTTATAACAGAAAGTCACCAAGAGACTGTCTTGGAAGAAGGTGGCACAGCTCTTCACATACTGACATGTGTGTAATAATGTAAAGTATAAATACAAGTACTGGTGGAAAGAGAATGGGAAGAAAAAACTTTTAAAACCACATCTGAGTTTGACATATCTATTCCCCTTTAAAGGAGACTTTGGTATTTAATATAAAAGTCTAAAACTATTATATCTGTTTACTGAAACATTATAAGAACTCCTCAAAATAATGAGCCCTCTCACCACGTTAAAAAAATACACTTTACTTATCAGAGCTGTGTATGTTCATTTGACATATAAGAAAATTGCAGCTGAGAGAAAAAGAAGTGAACTGAGCAAGGGTAGCGGCAGAATAACAGAATTCTCAAGAGGTCTTGAGAACCGATTTCAAAAACTGTATATATGCAGTGCTGAGTGTGAGGTGGAGGAAGAAACACCAAGGAAAACCCTTAATGATTAAATGACAAAATAACAGTTCCATAAAGAAACAGCATCCTACATGGCATATCGTGGACACTCAAAAAGTATTTATGAAATGATTTCACATCTCTGTTGAACAAAAAATAATGTGTACACATTAAAAATGATACGTGTAAAAGACTAAAGAGTATTTCCAGGATGTAAAAGTACATATTTTTATAGAATTAATAAATAAGTGCATAGTAAAGACTGGAAGAAATATATTAAAATGCTAATAAGGGCTATCTCTGGTTGACAAAATGCAGTTCTATTCCAAATTCCTCACAACATATATTTATTTCTTTTATAATCACACATGTACAAAAAAAGTTTTAGAATATATTTTAATAAAAATATACCTCATAAAGCACCTACACATGTATGTTTTTAACAACTTTTAAAAGAAATGTTTAGAAACAAGACAGCATAATGACTGCAAGTGAGGACTTTGAAGTCAGAGTTGTAGTTCTGAATCTTGGTTCTAAAACTCACAAGTCATGTGACCTGGGCAAGGCACTTAATCTCCCCTTTTCTGTTTCCCCACATTATAAGAGAATAATATCATATGGTTATGTTTAAAGCATATGAGCTAATGAAGGTAAAAGGTAAGTGATTAACAAGAGCCTACAATACAGTCGTATTATCGTTGTTATTACAAACTGACCTTTAAAAAATAAATGGACTGAAGTCAAAATGTGACCCACTTTTTTGTTTTTTTGTTTTTCTTTTTTTCAGAGATCCAACATAGACCCTATAGAAACAGCTTTAGAATTTACCTGTCACTGATAGAAACCAGAAAATCTTTAGGAGTAGAAGAAAATAATTCATAATTTGCAATATCAAGCTGTTTTACTTGAATTGGTTCACAAAGTTCAATAACAAACCTTCAAAAAGAACAAAAGACAATTACTTAAACCAATCAAAATAACAGTTCATATTAAATATGACATTAACAGTTTCCATAAATTAGACTACCATTAAGAGTTACTCATTAAAATGTTAAGAGGAGGGTATGTAGCCTTAGTTGTCTATAAGAAGCATCTTTAAATACTTCCCAAAGGATACCATTAGTGGGGGGAAAAGACCTGTAAATAAAACAATATTGATTTTGCTCCATCATTTTTTTTTAAAAATTCCTTTTTTAGATAACACTCATTCTTGGAGAAGGGATGACTTTCTTAAGAACAGACAGTGATAGTGTAAAATGACTAGTCTAGAGGATAGTTTGGCATATACATTGTCTTAAAAAGTTATCATAGTCTTCGATTTAGTTCTTAGAAATTTATCTTAAGGATTCAAGGCTTCAGATGTCCACCTTTGTATATATATTTTGCTATATCGAAGTACACACAGTCTATAAGGGCAGGGGGGGAAATCAAGTTAAATATTTAGCAAAGAGAATTAACAAATTATGGTTCATCCAGACAATGAAATACTAAGCAGCCATTAAAACTGGTACCAGAAACTATCATTTCATTTACATAAAAAATCTAGAGACTGTAAACTAATTTATAGTAACAGAAAGCAGATCTGTAATTGCTGTGGGGGAAGAGAGTTTGAGAGAAATTACAAAGAGGTATGATGAAACTTTTGGGAATGATGGATATGTTTGTTATCTTTATTGTGGTGATGGCTTCAGATACATAAATGTCAAAACTTACCAAATTATACACTTTGACATGTAGTTTATTATACATGCAATTTATTGTATGTCAACTATACCCCAATAAAGCTGTTTTTTTTTAAAATGATGCTAAGATTTACATTTATTAACATGGAAAGATGCCAAAAATATTGCTGCTTAGGAAAAAATTAAAAGCATGGTTCCATGTGCATAATATAAAACTGCATATAGCATGGCATTGGCGGAAAATAAATACCCATGACATGTAACACTCTGGGTATACACAGCACTGGATGGCCTACTTATAGATAAACGAATGCTCCAGGCTTATGTTCCACCCCTACTCTCATTGTATCTTTCTTCTTGTAATATCTAACAGTCACCCAGAAGAAACATACTCCTTTTTAGCACTGCCCCCTTATTCTTTTTTTTTTTTTTTTTTTTTTTTTTTTTTATTGATCATTCTTGGGTGTTTCTCACAGAGGGGGATTTGGCAGGGTCATAGGACAATAGTGGAGGGAGGGTCAGCAGATAAACAAATGAACAAAGGTCTCTGGTTTTCCTATGCAGAGGACCCTGCGGCCTTCCGCAGTGTTTGTGTCCCTGGGTACTTGAGATTAGGGAGTGGTGATGACTCTTAATGAGCATGCTGCCTTCAAGCATCTGTTTAACAAAGCACATCTTGCACCACCCTTAATCCATTTAACCCTGAGTGGACACAGCACATGTTTCAGGGAGCACAGGGTTGGGGGTAGGGTCACCGATCAACAGGATCACAAGGCAGAAGAATTTTTCTTAGTACAGAACAAAATGAAAAGTCTCCCGTGTCTACCTCTTTCCACACAGACATGGCAACCATCCGATTTCTCAATCCTTTCCCCGCCCTTCCCCCCTTTCTATTCCACAAAACCACCATTGTCATCATGGTCCGTTCTCAATGAGCTGTTGGGTACACCTCCCAAACGGGGTGGTGGCTGGGTAGAGGGGCTCCTCACTTCCCAGTAGGGGCGGCCGGGCAGAGGCGCCCCTCACCTCCCGGACCGGGTGGCTTGCCAGGCGGGGGCTGACCCCCCACCTCCCTCCCGGACGGGGCGGCTGGCCGGGCGGGGGGCTGACCCCCCCACCTCCCTCCCGGACGGGGCGGCTGGCCGGGCGGGGGGCTGACCCCCCCACCTCCCTCCCATTACGGGCGGCTGGCCGGGCATGGGGCTCACCCCCCCACCTTCCTTCCAGGATTGGGGTGGCTCCCGGGCAGAGACGCTCCTAACTTCCCCAAACGGGGGGGCTGCGGGCCGGACGGGCTCCTAATTTTTCGGCCGGGGCGGTGCCCGGGCGGGGGTTCTCCTCACTTCTCGAACAGGGCGGCTGGGCAGAGACGTTCCTCAACTCCCAGACGGGGTCGCGCCCGGGTAGAGGCGCTCCTCACATCCCAGACGGGGCGGCGGGGCAGAGGCGCTCCCCACATCTCAGACGATGGGCGGCCGGGCAGAGAAGCTCCTCACTTCATAGATGGGATGGCGGCAGGGAAGAGGCGCTCCTCACTTCCTAGATGGGATGGCGGCCGGGCAGAGACGCTCCTCACTTTCCAGACTGGGCAGCCAGGCAGAGGGGCTCCTCACGTCCCAGACGATGGGCGGCCAGGCAGAGACTCTCCTCACTTCCCAGACGGGGTGGCGGCCGGGCACAGGCTGCAATCTTGGCACTTTGGGAGGCCAAGGCAGGCGGCTGGGAGGTGGAGGTTGTAGCGAGCCGAGATCAGGCCACTGCACTCCAGCCTGGGCACCATTGAGCACTGAGTGAACCAGACTCCGTCTGCAATCCCGGCACCTCGGGAGGCCGAGGCTGGCGGATCACTCGCAGTTAGGAGCTGGAGACCAGCCCGGCCAACACAGCGAAACCCCGTCTCCACCAAAAAAATACGAAAACCAGTCAGGCGTGGTGGCGCGCGCCTGCAATCGCAGGCACTCCGCAGGCTGAGGCAGGAGAATCAGGCAGGGAGGCTGCAGTGTGCCGAGATGGCAGCAGTACCCCCCTTATTCTTACAGTTCCTGAATACCTCTGCCTCATTCATCTGCCACTTCCTATTAATCCTTCAAGATTCAGCTCAGGAATTACCTCTTCCAGGAAGCCTTCTCTCATCTCCTCTTGCAGTTACGCATCATCACTCTTTCAATAACACCCTTTCAACAGTACTTTTTATACCATTTCATAATTGTTTAACCAGATCTGCCATTTTTTGCTTTTTGTGACCTCCTCAAAAGGAAAGGAAGGCATTTTGTCCTCAGTTTTGCATAGTATCAGCACTAATCAATCATAAAAGCTTATTAAATTATTATATGTCAATGTAACCCTAATGTAAAAGCTTAACATAATATGCATATATATGTAGAATGTACTTTTTAAAATTGTGTATAACTCACCAAATTTTAGTGCTGCAAGGATTCAACATGTAAAGATCCATATTTTCTATAAGAATAGCAGATGTGCTCTATTTTAAAAAGAGGAAAGGAAACAAATTACTTAAGGAATAATGAAGAAAGTATTTATTTTAACTTTAAAGTTTTCTGGGACTTCTGTATTTTTAGATCTTAAGTACACCTAAGACTTTAAAACACTCACTTGGGAAAAAAGCATAAAAGTGGCTAAGATTCACCATTCACGGCAACAGCATTAAATTAGTGTTACAATGATACATTTAAAATTCAATGCCTGTTACTTTAAAGAAAAAAATAATATTTTAGTTATTTCCTTTTTAAAATTTCATACGGGTTTTAAAAGTTAAAAAATGCAGGGCAAAATACATCAGCCAATATAAGTAAGAATTCATACAAGATAATGTTTTGAAAAGTATATTCTGCTTTTATTAGTGAATAAGGAAAATATCTCACATTAAAATATAGTTCCCAGTAAACAAATAACCTGTATTTTAAAAAGTCGTTAATTTCCTATATATACAAAATTTTATATTTAAACACCTACCTTGGCTTCTGGATTAGCTGCTAGAATTTTGGCACCACATTCTACTGAGGCATAATTATTTCGATTTTTCTGGACCTTTTTGGTGGCATGTGAACCTCCATTAGAAGATGCATGCATCGACTGACCTGCAGACAAACCGTTATTATAAATATTTATATATATATTTGATGATTATGACTGAAAATACCTCTAGCAACACTGATCTCCAAAGCAATAAGCTGTCTTCTAGAAAAGAATAGGTTTTAACACTTGAGAGAATATTTTAAAAATTCATAAAAAAATCAAAGTGCTCCACCTCAATAGCTTAAAATATCCCCCCAAAACAAATTAACTACAAAATTCTACATTACTTATGTCTAAGTAACATAACTCACAAAATGAAGCTTGTCCATGAGAATCAAAGCTTTCTGTATTTATATCTATTATAAACATCTATTAAGGATGTATTTCTTACATTATTTTATTGTTTTTTTTTTAAGCTCTGGGGTACACACGCAAGATGTGCAGGTTTGTTACATAGGTAAACATGTGCCATGGTGGTGTGCTGCACCTAATAACCCATCACACAGGGAATAAATTATAATTTTAGTCACCCTCCTCTGCCTCATAACATAAGCAAGCTTTTCTTTAGGTATGTTCTTGAAACATCATATGTAAAACACCTTTTGGTAAGTTAAAGAATATTTTAAACCCAAGGATTTTATGCAAGTTCTTTTTGAGTTCCATATGAATTTTAAAATAGTTTCCATGCCTCAATTTTCCTCGTATTGTGATGAAAATCACTGCTATGCCTTATTTTATGCTCACTTAATAATTTACAAGAATGGATTTTAATTAAAACTAAAACTGTATGTAATTATATACAGGTACATGATGGATGGATGGATCAACAGCAACTTGGTTAAGTTTCACCTTTAAAAAGTTTTCAAAAGTAAATTTTATTTTGTTTTACCAATCAAAAAAAGAAAGCATATTAAACTACACCATATACTTAAAAAAAAAATTTAAAGAACTCAAATACTTCCTTACTTTTTTCTTTTTCTACTTCCATAACTTTCTTCTTCCATTCATCAAATGTTGGTATATCTTCTGGATCTTTGGGACTTGCTACTGATGTAGGGTCAATGTCTCCTGGTTTTGTATAATCAGAGCTCTGAAAGAAACACCAAAAAGTAAGAAGACTTCAACTTTCAAATAATACAAATAAATTTTAGAAATAAATACAAATGTTTCTGTCAAATTAAAGTTCCAATTTATAATGAATGATTATATTTTGAAAAAATAAAAAACGTAAAAAGAAAGGTTTTGGTTTACTTAAAAGTTGAATTTCTCTTGAGATAATTTAAACATTCTTTTTAGGATGTGTTCCTTCACTTGTTAAGTGATATAAGCATAGGTCGTTGAAAAAAATAATTTATAAAACTCTAAAGCAAACAATTACTCATATATAGCCTGTACAAATGAATAAATTGTATACTTGCCATGCATCCACCTTAAAATATAAGTTAATACATCCATTAAAGGAAGCTAGATAATTTTAGATGTTTTAATATTATTTCCACAATATCCTTAAAAAGAAACACTGTGTACACAAAAATTTTAAGGCAAATTAAAAATTCTAAATGTGAAAAAACAAAACTTTACATTTTAGAAGAAAATTTAAAAATCTTTATAAATCATGTTAATAAGATGCAGAATGCATAAATCATTTTTAAAAGCTGATACATTTGGTTAGGTTAACCATAAATGACATGGACGAATAAGTCACACACTGAGAGAAGTATCTGCAATACATTCAGTCAACAAAGAATTATTATTAAGTATAAAGAGTATCAGCAAATCAAATAAGGGGATGGGGTGGGTGGGAAGCAAAGAATAAAATCAATAAATTTGTAAAAAGAAATACAATTTCAGTAATAATCATGGAATCCAAATGAAAGCCTGAGATATCATATAAATCAGTGGTCCACAACTTTTCTGAAACCAGGGACCAGTTTCATGGAAAACAGTTTTCCCATGGATGGGGCAGGGAGATGGTTTTGGGATGAACTGTTCCACCTTAGATCATAAGGCATTAGATTCTCATAAGGAGTGCACAACCTAGATCCCTCACATGTGCAGTTCACAATAGGGTTCACACTCATATAAGATTCTAATGCCACCACTGATATGACAGGAGGCAGAATTCAGGCGATAATGCTTGCTTACCTGCTGCTCACCACCTGTCGTGCGCCTGGTTCCTAACAGGCCATGGACTGGTGCTGGTCTGTGGCCTGGGGGTTGGGGCATGCTGACATAAATTATACAAATCTAATGGAGTTTAAAGTGTGATAGTCTGTGGCCAAGTGTGAAATATCTGTTGAGCCAAGAGAAATCTATGCTAAAAGGAGTTTAAAATTTAACAATATTAAGATGTGCATAATCCCTAAATACACCCCATGTATAAATCTAAGTGAAAACACTCATGTGTGTCCAAAAGATATGCATAAGAATGTTCATTAGAGCATTGCTTTTAATACCAAAAATAATAACCTAAATATCCATTAAATGAGGAATGGATGAACTGCAGTAGTCACTATAAACAGAGCAGTGGAAACAATGAACAAATCTCAAAACAATGTTGAATAAAATGTTACTTAAGAATGTCATTTATATTAAACTATGCCATATAATATATATTATTTATACTTATTTGAAAAGCTCTAAAACTAAACAAAAAAAATACTAAATTCAAGACAGTGGTTATATCTGAAGACAAGAGAAGGAATACTGAGGAAGGGCATCCAATCTTGTGACTTTTTTTCCTCTTAAACTGAATAATGAATACAGACATTTATTCCATTATTGAATCATTTCTGTATTCCTAAAACAAAGTTTTGATGTGTTCACTAACACTATATTGAGAAGTGTACAAAATCTATTAGATAGGAAACTCTGGTAAACAATATAAGTCTCATTTAGTTTATATTTGCTACATAAGAGCATGCTTTTGAGCACTAACATGAAATATCCATAACTTCTGGGACTATTTCTTCTTTTCTTCAAAGGAAGTAGAGCCATTTCCAAACCTCCCTTTAGGAAGACAGCAATTTGGTCCCCATCCAACTTCCACCTTAGAGTGCTTTACAGAACAAGTTGATTTACTAAATGAAGTGTATGGCTACTTAAAACAATACATGGCAGAAAAAGACAAAAGAGCTAGTATTACCACTAATTTAATTTTTTCAATTAGATAATAAAAATCTAGTTTGAATATAAGGAAGGAGACAGGACTCAATTGATTCCGGAGGCAGGGCTCTGACACCGAACCATATGCATGCCCACATAAAACAGGTCAGGAGCAGTTTCTGTAAGACATGCCCACCAGCGTGCCTTGTCAGTTTAGCACTGCCATGGCAACACCTGGAAGTTACCACCCCTTTCCATGACAAGGATCCAGCAACCTGGAAGTTACCACCATTTTCCTAGAAATTTCTGCGTAAACCACCCCTTAATTTGCATATAATTAAAAGTGGGTATGACTGCAGAACTGCCTCTGAGCTGCTGCTCTAGGCACCCTGCCTGTGGGGTAGCCCTGTTCCTCAAAGAGCAGTACTTCTGCTGCTGCTGTATACAGTCAATTCAATAAAAGTTGCTGTTTAACACCACCAGCTTGCCCTTGAATTCTTTCCTAGGTGAAGCCAAGAACCTTCCTGGGCTAATCCCCAATTTGGGGGCTTCCCTGTCCTGAATCATCTGGTGACCACGAAGGGATGAAGAAAGCAGAGATGGCAGTGACTGGAGGAGAGGCAAGATGATGCAACAGCAGAGATGGAGAGAAGGTGATTGGCAAGAGCCAATGAGAGATGGCAGTCAGAGAAACAGCAAGAAAACAGCAAGGGACAATGAGAGACAGCAGTTAACAAAACAAGACAGCAAGACATGGCAGCAGGTGAGATGACCAGAGAGGTAACTAAGCAGAGCTGTAAAACCTGAGCTCTAACACTAATCAAAAGCTCTTTTGAGAGTCATCATTTTCCCTGGCAGACAGCACAGCTGAGCAGACGAGCAAGTGGCCATAATGCCACTGCCTCATATGGGACCCACTGCTCTGACAGGCAGACCAGTAGGTTACCAGCCCCTGTGCAAGCCCCTCCCACTGCAGCAGCTGAGCCCACTCTAGATGAGGGAACCTGGATGAAGACCCAAATCCCATGTGGAAGACCAGTCACATTTTGGCTTCTGTGGATGGGTGTGTCCCCTCTACCACCCCCCATAATTATCAGGTAAGCTAGGGAACAAAAGCCTTTGGCTAAGTGGTCAGTTAAAAGCCCCCATCGTTAGTGTGCCCTGAAACACATCCTGAGCACCTCTTCCACTGGTCCTTGCCCTTCTAGTTCATTATTCCACCAGTCATTTCATTTTCAATCCTAAAATGTGTGCAGTCTTATTGTTTGCTTTTAACTTTCTGTCAACTGTGTGTGGCAATTATTTAAGGTGGGACACTTAGTTGTGAGAGGTCCCCCCAGTGTGTTGACTCTGGGACACCACAGTCACATTCTGTGACCTCAACTCAGTCATGGGACACTGTTGGCTGCACCCGGGGTGCACTAGGGTTTTTGGCATTGGTGAAGGGACCCTCGTTGGCTGAAATGCAGGCACTCTGGGTTTACAGCATTGGTATTATAGACTGCACCCAAGATGCGCTGGGGTTTTTGGCATTGACATTCCTTTAGGACTGTGGGTTATAGCCCCTCTCCCTAGGGAAGTATTAGTCTTGCCCTTTTCTGTCCTAAAGTTAGAAGTATTATTTTCCTAACAGCGAGTTGCAACTCCTTCTTGGGAGCTGTCTTATAACTGCTTTGCTTGTAACTGCCCCTCTTGGTCAAAGGAATTGGGAGTTCACAGGCTCCTGACCTCAAATGGACAGCCACCTACAGCAGTCAACAAGTGGCTACCTATTTTCTCAGTGTCTCCACTACCAGGTAGGTTCTCCAGCAAGTCAGGGCCTCTGAAGTCTCCACTTTGGCAACCCTTTCCTAGGTAAATTACTTATGTGCATAGGCTTTAAAATGATTAAAATGGCATGAGAATAGAATAGAACAGAACAGAACAGAACAGAACAGATCAGAACAGAATAGAATAGACTGAGCTTATTGTATGGTATAAAATCTAAAAATGGTAAAATGATTCTCATCTATAAAATTCTAATGTCTGGTAGGCAGTTCAGGATTTCTTGCTAGGTTTACATAAAATGTGCTAAAGAAATGTATTTTTTATTGGGAAAAAATGTTTTGTTTAATTTGGAAGTTACTAAAAGGGAAGTTCAAAATATAAGGAAACCATTAGGTAGAAAAGAGAGACATAAAGAATGTTATGGATAGAAAATGTTTTCTCTTTGTTTTGCAAAGGATATAAAAAAAGAGTAATTTTATATGAGGGAGAAATCTTGCATAGTAAATCCTTGTCCTAAAGTAAAATGTCCAGTTATTCAAGAAAGAGGTAGTATAGGACAACGTATTAGTCCATTCTCACATTGCTGTAAAGAACAACCTGAGATTGGGTAATTTATGAAAAAAAAAAAAAAGTTTAACTGAATCACAGTTCTGCAGGCTGTACAGGAAACACAGTTGAGAAGGCCTCAGGAAACTTACAATCATGGTGGAAGACTGAAGGGGAAGCAAGCACCTTTTACACATGGTGGCGCAGGAGAAAGAGAGTGAAGGGGGAAGTGCAACACACTTTTAAACAACCAGATCACGCAAGAACTCATTCATCACCAAGGCCCTGGGCAGCTCCACCCCTGTGGTTCTGCAGGGTAGAGCCCCCATAACTGCTTTCAGGAGCTGGTGTTGAGTGCCTGCTACTTTTCCAGGTGCACGGTGCAAGCTGTTGGTGGATCTAACATTCTGGGGTCTGGAGGATGGTGGCCCTCTTCTCACAGCTCCATTAGGCAGTGCTCCAGTGGGGATGCTGGGGATTGGGGGTTCCCACCCCATATTTCCCCTCTGCACTGCTCTTGTAGAGGTTCTCCATGACGGCTCTGTCCCTGCAGCAGACTTCTGCCTGGACATCCAGACATTTGCATACATCCTCTGAAATCTAGGCAGAAGTTCCCAAACCTCAACTCCTGCCCTTTTTGCACTCATAGGCCCAATATCACACGGAAGCTGCAAAGGCTCGGGGCTTGCACCCTTTGAAGCAATGGCCTGATCTGTACCTTTGCCCCTTTCAACCACAGCTGAAGTTGGAGCAGCTGGGATGCAGGGTGCCATGTCCGGAGGCTGCACAGAGCAGCAGGACCCGGGGACTGGCCCACGCAACCATTTTTCCCTCTTAGGTCTCCTGGCCTGCGATGGGAGGGGCTGCCATGAAGGTGCCTGAAATGCCCTAAAAGCATTTCCCCCACTTTCTTGGCTATTAACATTTGGCTCCTCTCTACTTATGCAAATTTCTGCAGGCTTGAATCCCTCCCCAGTGAATGGGTTTTTCTTTTCTACCACAAGTCAGGCTGCAAATTTTCCAAACTTTTATACTCTGCTTCCGTTTTAAATATAAGTTCCAGTTTTAGGCCATTTCTTTGTTTATGCAAATGAGCACAGGCTTTTAGAAGTAGCCAGGCCACATCTTGAATACTTTACTGCCTAGAAATTTCTTCTGCCAGATACCCTAAATCATCTCTCTCAAGTTCAAAGTCCCACAGATCCTTAAAGCAGAGGCACAATGCCACCAGGCTCTTTGCTAAATCACAGCAAGAGTCACCTCTGCTCAAATTCCCAATGAGTTCCTCATCTCCATCTGAAACCACCTCAGCCTGAATTTCACTGTCCATATTACTATCAGTATTCTGGTCAAAACCATTCAACAAGTCTCTAGGAAGTTCCAAACTTTCTGTTACCTTCCTGTCTTCTGAGCCCTCCAAACTGTCCAACCTCTGCCCATTTCCCAGTTCCAAAGTCACTTCCATATTTTCAAGTACCTTTTTAACAATGCCCCACTTCTCTGGTACCAATTTTCTATATTAGTCTGTTCTTACACTGCTATAAAGAACTATTTGAGACTAGGTGTTTTACGAAGAAAAGAGGTTTAATTTTTAATTGACTCACAGTTTCTTAGGTTGTACAGGAAGCATGGTTAGGGAGGCCTCAGGAAACTTACAATCACAGCAGAAGGGCAAAGGGGAAGCAAGTACCTTCTTTACATGGCAGTGCAGGAGGAAGAGAGTGAAGGGGTAAGCACTACACACTTTTAAACTAGATCTTGTGAGAAGTCACTATCACAAGAACAGCAAGGGGAAATTCCACCCCCACAATTCAATCACCTCCCATCTGGCCGCTCCTCTAACGTGGGGATTACAACTCAACATGAGGTTTGGGTGGCGACACAGAGCTAAACCATATCAGACAAGTAAGAAAATTCAAGCATGTTGTGGAGGGTCTGTGTTATGTCGTGACAAGGTTCATAAAGGAGACTTTTATAAAAAGAAATTTTGTGTATGATTAAACTTGGTATAATTAAAAGGAAATTGTTTACAATACACTTTCTAAAGAATGGTCTAACTGGGTGCACTGGCTCACACCTGTTAATCCCAGCACTTTGGAAGGCCAAGGCGGGTGATCACGAGGTCAAGAGATCAAGACCATCCTGGCCATGGCCAACATGGTGAAACCCCATCTCTACTAAAAATACAAAAATTAGATGGGCATGGTGGTGCACGCCTGTAGTCCCAGCTATGGGAGGCTGAGGCAAGAGAATCACTTGAACCCGGGAGGCGGAGGTTGCAGTGAGCAGAGATCGCACCACTGCACTCCAGATTGGCAACAGAGCAAGACTCCATCTCAAAATAAAAAAAAAAAAAAAAAAAATGTTAAAACCCAATTTTCTTAAAATGTTAATTTGCTAAATTACCAGAAATTTTGCTTTTCAATCTTGTAATCTATTCTTTTGAAAGCTTCTCAGATTCATTTAACTCTTTTAGCTTTTTTTGTGAGCTCCTGTGAGTTTTTCTCCTCCAGCTACAACTGCTGTTGTGACCTGAGGCTAAAATGTTTAGTCTTAGAGAGAGGTCTGTGGGAGCAGTGTTTTCCTCCAGTATAGCTTAATTCTATGCTGTTGTTTTTTTATTGATGTGTAACTTATTTTGGCTTTTGGTTTTGACTCTGATATTGCTTAGAAGTGTTTGGGGGGCTGGTAGGTGCCTGCCCAAATCCATTCCCTTTGGCCAGGAAGGGAGCATCTGTTCAGTCTGTTGGGGGGCTACAGATTTTGATTTTTGTTTTGTATTCCTCCTTGTTGTCAGAAGGTGCTGGATGCAATGTTAATGGCAAAGATTTTATTTTCTCCTGTGCCAATGCTGAGGTAGTATGCTGCCTGCCCCAGGTCCATTGTGTCCCTTGGTGGGAACCCTGTGGCCAGGGGACTTGGAGTCAGGGGACTTGTAGCCAGGGGATGTTCTGGGCCAGACAAGAGTAGAGGTGAGTGGGTACTCATTGGTCCTTGAACCCTTTTGAGCACTGGGGGAGCAAAATAGTGTAATACTTCTTTTCGATCACTTTAGCCAACCTCCTAGGAAACACCTCTCTTGTCCTTATTGGGTGTAGAGGCCATGCTAAGGCCCAACCGCAGATATCATGTTGTCACTATTAATCTTGTTTGCTCTCCCAATTACCCTGAGCTGGTGTGGGTAGAAACATAATTCTACAGTAAATATTTCAAAAATTATAGCATCAGGGCACCACCTTCATGGTTGCTAGATTCGTCATCAACATCCCCAGGATAAAGATTTCAATCTTCTGACTTATCCAAAAAATCTCACAAACATCCCCCACAGACCTCCTAACTAACCACAGCAATCCTGAAATACCCAAACCCTTACTTGATAAGTGGAATGAACTCCCCCCACTGAATGAAATCCACCTGAACCTCCCCACCATTACCTGGACCTGGGAAGTTGGGTATGTATACCTCCAGTGCACTCATGATCCTACCTTCTGCATCTTTTGTGCTAATGACACTAAAGCAGAAGTTTCCCTGCAATGCTCTGAATACAACTCTAGCTGCCAAGATACCAATGCTGCAGTGAGGTAAATGGGATTCCACTTGAAAGCAAGGAGACCATACATGGTGGCTTCTCCTGGATTAGAATATACAGGGGAAAAACAACTATCTAGTCTGGGAAGGTGGCGGTGCCACCCTCTTTCAGAAAACAAAGATTGTTCAACTACCCCCATTAGAATAGGGGGAAAGTATCTCTATAGACTCAAGTTGGCAACAAAGAATAAAGATCACACCCCATAGGGTCTCCATTTGTGCCCCAATTCAGCTCATTTTTCTTTGTGGCCATGAATGGGAAGAAGTTACACCCCATAACCACTCCTGACTCCCGAGGTAGTCATCTGTTTTTTGTTTTTTAATTCTGGATAGTTAAAAGTCAACATCTTCTCTTTTAGGAGTAGCTTTCCCTTATGTATCAAAACTTGGAACTGAGGTGAATACATGTTAGCCACTCTTGCCCCTTCAGGGATCACAGTCATAGTAACACCAGAAGTAAATGAGCAATAGGATTAATTCTGGCAGGAATCAGGGCAGCAGTACCCTTGGGTGGCTTTGCTTAAAGTGAACCCTAAACAACTTGACTCAAACCCTAGAATCCTTAGCCACCAACACAGGTCATGCACTAAAGAGAATTCAAGAGTCCCTAGACTCTTTGGCAAATGTATTTCTCAATAACAGACTAGCACTGGACTATTTACTAGCTGAACAAGGTAGAGTATGTGCAGTTATTAATAAAACCTGCTGCACCTATATGAACAACTCCAGACAGGTTGAGATTAACATTCAAAAGATCTATGAGTAAACTACCTGGTTACAGATATAACCAGGGCACTCATTGCAACTACAGCTGGTCAACTATCAAAACTGCCTTCGCAAGTCTCAACTGGCTTTTACCTACCTCTTCTGGGACCTTTGAAGGCTGTCTTGTTACTAATTTTTGGTCCTTGCTCGTTTAACCTCTTAGCAAAGTTTTGTCTTAGATTACAACAGTTCCAGGTAAAGATAACGTTAGCACAAGGCTTCCAACTCATCCTGTCTCTGGGCCCCTATCAGTTATCCAAAGATTTTCACTCATCTGGTGCTAGACAGGGCCTACACTGTAAACTCAGCAGGAAGCAGTTACAGAAGATGGATCTCTGTCCTTGTGCAGCCTTCTTAAGATTAAGGAGGAGTATCTAATCTCTGAGGGAGGAATGAGGTGGGAAGGTGGGATTCAATTCTGGAGGCGGGTCTTGGACATCAGATCAAATTGAGTACCAGCTAAAACAGGTCCCAGACGGAAGCAAATTTCTGTAAGCCAAGCCCACCAATGTGCTATGTCTGTTTACCACTGCCACAGCAACACCTGGAAGTTACCACCTCTTTCCATGGCAACACCCAAAAGTTACTACCCCTTCCCATAACAACTGCCTGACAACCCAGAAGTTACCACCTTTTCCCTAGAAATTTCTGCATAAACTACCCTTTAATTTGCATATAATTAAAATTGTATATAAGCATGACTGCAGAACTGCTTCTGAGCTGCTATTCTGGGCACAATGCTTATGGGGTAGCCCTACTCCACAAAGAGCATTACCTCTGCTGCTGCTGCTGTACACTGCCGCTTCAATTAAAGTCGCTGTTTAATACCACTGGCTTGCCCTTGAATTCTTTCCTGGGCTAAGCCAAGAACCCTCCCGGGCTAAGCACTAATTTTGGGGCTTGCCTGTCCTGCATCAGATACATTGAGAAAATAAACAAGAAACATACACTTATAAAAATTTACCTAGCTGAGATACTAACAAAGTAAAGCTCAAATACAAAAACTGCAACAAAAAGAACATACATTTACCCTTTGAAGCCCAGCCAAAGAAATCACTATATCCTCCTAGCAACAAATAAGAGAACAAATACAATAAAAATCACTTTGTAATGCACTGTCTATAAACAATACAACAAAATCAGTTTGGAAAGCATTCTCTGTATAAGTACGGCAATCAGTGTCTCACAGATCCTTGAAATAAGAGGCTAGCACAAGGCATCAGAAAGCAAATTCTCTCCCACTCACACAAACTTAACGGGACAGAGTTATTCTGAAGTAGATACTACATAAAACTATTGGCTATTACTCATAATGTGCTCATTATCTGTCATGATTTTTCTGGGATACTAATTCATTTAGAAAGTAATTAATACAGTTAATTAAAATTCTACTCTTTTGCCGATTAGCATAGACTCACAAACAGTTTAAGTCTCTAAGGTAATAAAGAAATTTCAGTCTGCTAAGGAGAACAAGCAAATCTAGGACAAAGTTAGCTGCCATGCTTGAATTTTACATTTGACATTATTATAAATACCTTCAAAGATGTGTTTTAACGTTTGTCTAATTTTATTCATGGATGTGATATCTGACAACTAAACTTTAACATATGCGTGATTTGGTATCACTGAGAAAAGTAGTTCCTTCAAGATGTTAGACTATGAAATCCTGAGCTCCTATATTTGTAAGAAACATCGTCAAAACAGTTGGTCCCGTGATAGTGAAAGTCTCCAGAATGAAGTTTAGTTAGTCGTAAGTGAAGATTCACTGAAAATACGTGAAAAAGAAAGCAGAGAACAAAAGATCCCCAAATTAAAGAGGAATAAATATGGATGTGGTAGTCAGCACACTGAACTACTCATGGACCCTATTTATTTTTGTTTTTGTTAAGTTTATGGAATATACTTCATCTCTGTAACTTAGTTATTGCTTACCTGAGGGAAGTTTAAATTGCTGTGTTGATACTATTTCAAGAAATTCTACAGTGCATGAAGTCAAGGTAGAACTCAGAAGGAGAAAAGAAAGTAAAACTGTTCCACTGTGATAAGCCCTGCCTTAATTATAAGAATCACACTCTAAAATATAAGGTGGTCTGGTTGTATTTTGCACACAAATAATGAAAGGTAAAATGTTCCATTAAAATAGTTCTGACTGAAGAGCCTAAATTTAATCTTGTATTATTAACTTGTATTCTGAAGATAATTAAATGTAATTAGTCATACCTTCTTCTAGATAGCTTTCTAAGAAGATGATTAAATAAGGACTTTATGTATCTGCTATCAAACAGCTGTGGGTGGCACAAAATCATTTAATAATATATAACCAGAGAGAGTTCACACTTGAAACAACTTTATGTGATAAACACTATAATGGAAACAGAATCACTTGCTCTCAGGGAGCACAGTTCGTGTTAGTTCCACATGTTATTGTCTACTTAATCTCCCTGATTTTATGACAAATATAGTTAGCAAATTATTATAAGCTTAGCTAATAACAAAAATGCATTACATAAAGAAGTAAGAGATAGTGCAAGTTATATACCTACCTCATTTTTTAAATTATCTGAAGCATTCAATGCAGATTTTGGATCACCACCGCCCTGTTCACTTGCTGAAACTTTTGATTCAAATTCTGATTTTGTTATCTTTCCTTTACCATGTGAAGATGATACATTTTCTATATGCTGGCCAACAAGGCTGTTTAAAACCAAAAGATATATTAAATAAACAGATTTTACTGGATAACAAATTCTATACAATCTAAATTCTTTGAACTCATGCACAAAGTAAACCAAGGAAGAAACACAAAGAGATCAGCTTTCTCTCAATCAAAGTGGAATTTAACATACACCAAAGTCCATTCAAACAGGACACTGCTGTTATTACAGAATCATAAGAAGGACAAACAACTGCTCCTACCCACCTGTCAGGTGGACTGACAAAGGAAGGTTGTTCAATTGGAGCACTAGCATCAAGGGCCTCACCAACATCACAATCAGTTTCAGACTGCTCAGTTTCACTTGGTTTGGCTATCGGAATAGTACCAGATTTTTCTATTTCACTAAAAAAAGAAACAAGAAACATAATCTGGTAATTAAATAAACTTGAGGTAATATACATTAAAAACACTATTAGTGATTTCCAAAACATAATGTAAACCAAAGAAAGAAAATTTTAAATCATGTAAAGTCAATTGCTGACTTGATCTGTTATTGTCCTCAGCTTCTAAATAACTACTTACCAAATATGAGGTTAATATTTGGTCTTTCAAAAATAAGATTTTTAAAAATTACTTATTCTCAATGTATCTTCTCTAAAGTTTAATTTCCATCATTACTATACTAATTCTACCAGCATTAAAGTTGTTACTTATGGCATCCTTCAAAAGTCATTATCTCAAGACATTTCACTAAAATTTTAAGGTGTTCTTAGAATTTCGTTTTTAAAATATAAACCTTCCTATTTTTCCCTGCCTCACCTCCATTTCATTAACCAGTCATTTTTAATATAATGGGAGTATAGCATTCACTCTTCAGATATATAGTATCTAGCCTTAAATTCCTTCTGAATCATTTAAATTTAAAAGTTTAAATACTATCATTATTTCTCAACATGTCTTCTGTTCCCTGGCCCATACTGAGACAAGCTTCTAAATGGTAACCATAATATCTTGTGCAACTCCTTCAACCCAGGCCCTTACATTCTTGAGTTATGTACCAGTTATTCTTCTTGCACTTTATTTATGTCAACTCATTTGATAAAGGAAATGCTTAATGTAGTATTAAGAGAAGGACATTTTGTTTTGTTCTTTGGACTGCTGCAGGAAGAAGCTAGGAGAAGTACATAACAAATTTTCTAAATTAAGGATCACTTAAACCTAAACACTCTGAATATTTATTATCGAGTTTGAAAAAGTTAGCGATTCACACGAAGACATAAAAATGAATGAAATGACAGTGATACTTAATGGAAATGAATAACCTGACATTTGAGTTGATAATTATAGGGAATTCAATTCAAATAAGCACTGTTTCCTAAGTAGAACCTTACTTTGCTCAGACTATATAGAGATTTCATATCTGGGATCTATCAGCTTCATTGAGTTAGTTAGCTAAATAAACTTGTTATAAAATCATTACATTCAAAACACACAAACGCATGCACACATACGCACACAAAACACAAGCACTGTAATTTAGGTCTGCTATATAGCCTAAACTTCAAACTTGAGTATCAAGCTGCTTTATCTTTTAAGGAAATTTTTCTATCACTAACTAAGGAGATTCTTTTTTGTGTTTGTTTTTTGTAACAACTTACTCAAGCTTTGAGATTGGAGTGATTTCTGAGGTAGATGAGCTGGAAATATTTTCAACAGTTTCACTGTCCACAACTGCATTGGAAGACTCTTCATGCAAATCAACTGTAGGGAGTGTCTCCACCACCGGTGGACTTAACTTTTTTGACTCTGTATTCTGTTTAAAAAAACAAGTCAGCTAAATTAAATGTTGAGATTAATATAACATCTCTTTAGCAGAACGGGCATTTATGGAAAGCATTTCTGAAAAATGACAATATAAACAATGTTCACTAAAAAAAGTACTTTTATAAAAATCCTTTCTTCCAATATTACCGCCCTAAGGAATGCATTTCATATGAAAATACAGGCCCTAAGCATTTTTCATGGCATTTCATAAACTAGGAAAGCACTTTCTCCCTACCTATTTCCTACTTTGCATCAGGACCTACAGAGATTTCCCTCTTCTCTAATTGATGAATGATAGTAGCAACAAAGAAACCCTATGGACATGTACAAAACAGTACAATACATAGTTCTTGACCCTGAGCAGTTTAGGAAATAATGTGTATCAATAAGCAACGATATAAGATATGTTCAAGTAACACCATGAAGCAATAAATGATTCTTACTGCTCCTTCAGTCTTGAATGACCTGGGCCTTTCAGTCCTCCAAAACACAATGTGAAATCTACCTAACACCTGTTCATATTTGAAAACCTCTATCAGCACCTCCTCCTCCAAGATCAACCCTAAACAGAATTAACTACTCCCTTTCCCCTATGCCTCCAGTGTTCTCTGTACACTTTTATCACTGCATCTATAACAACTCAATTGCCATTATTCATGTCTCCCTCTCTTCTTCAACTATACCATAAATGTCCTCAGTAAGAACTATGTTCTCTTGATCCTCATATTCCCAGTGTCTAGCACAGTATCTAGCGCACAGTAGGTGTTTAAATGCTCAATAAATGAATATCAAGTGAGAGGTACTCATGTTCAGCTCAAGGAAAAAGAAACTAAGGACTATGATGAATTAGAAGAGCTAGGCATTAAAGAAAAGGAGGGCCAGTACAAGAGCACAAACAAACATCGAGGCACGCAGTCCGGAGAATATAAAGTATGATCATTTGGGGAATTATTTACACCGAGAAATTCACAAAAAAATATAAATAGTCATCTGCATTTTTATGATGGAGGCCTTGAGAAAATGACTACTGCCTTATTATCAAATACTATATTACCATATGAACATGTATTCAAAATTTAAAAATTAATGAGATACTTTACATGCTTTTTTTTTTTTTTTTGAGACAGAGTCTCACTCTGTTGCCCCAGGCTGGAGTGCAGTGGCATGATCTCGGCTCACTGCAACCTCCGCCTCCTGGGTTCAAGCAATTCTCCTGCCTCAGCCTCCTGAGTAGCTGAGACTATAGGCGTGCACCACCACACCTGGCTAATTTTTGTATTTTTGGTAGAGACAGGGTTTCACCATGTTGGCCAGGCTGGTCTCGAACTCCTGACCTCAGGTGATCCACTGTGCCCGGCCTACATGCTATTTTTTAATTAAGTCTTCAAAATCCAATGTGTATTTTACACTTACAGTAAATTTCAATTTGGACTAGCCGCATTTCAAGTGCTTAATGGCCACATGTGGCTAGTGGCTACTGTAATGAACAACATAGGTATACAAGACATGGTAAGCACTCGGAAGTATTTGAGCACAACTACATCATAATAAAAGTTTTATGAATAACGGTAGGAGTGTTCAGGATAGTCATACAATTGTAAGGGCTACAAGTATCATTTTTCTCTTACTCCTATGCATAAACCCTTGACAAATGTCTTCCAGAATCCAATAAAATGAAACTAATTCTATTGCTTTAGATAACTCAGTAAGTTATAAAATAGCCCTGGCTCTTGCAAAAAGTACAAGGTTAAAAAATAAAAAATGAAAAAAAAATTAGCCAAGGCTGTATTTTTTTAAAAAGAAAGAATTCTCCCTCATTCTGAGTTGAAATGTGTGTTCTTTTTTTAATATTCGAGATTTTAGTTTTTCCTTAGTCCTTCTGCCTACAGATAAAATATCCCCAGTACCTTCAGCCATTACTGATATTACATGGTTTCCAGATACCTCAGCATTCTGATCAGTTTATGGTGTATATATTCTAGTTTTTAGTATTTTTCATAAAGTCTGGTGCACAAAATAAACAATATTCAGAATGTAATATGAGAGAAAAAGGGAAAAAACATATTTTGATCTATTATCTATTCATACCCACAATAAGTGGAAATCTTGGTTATCAAAATACTCTGTGTTCTACATAAAAATACTCCCTTTTGTTCCAAGTGATTCAGGTTAGAAAAAAATTTCTTAACAACTGAAAATCTGAAGAGACAAGATACATCATAATGAACCAAAATAGAACCGAGGAAGAAATGAGGATTTATACTCAAACTTTTACTACCAAGAGACTAGTCACATTTATTATTATCTGTAATTTTACATGTTCTCAAAAGTAGTACTATTAGCAGGTAAGTAATCTTAAGTCCAGTTACAGAGTACCTCAAAGTGAAAAAACTAACAATACACACACAATATGGTGACCAAAGGTTTTCAATCTTGTAAAGTAGTTTGAAATGACATATTATTGAAAATCAAAGCGACATAGCTTACTTGTACATCCACAATAGAATCATCTTTTAATTTATGTTCTTTTGGAGAAATAGGTAAATTTGAACCTGATTTTCCCAATGATTCGGCATTGATAGGTCCCTCTCTTTCATCCTATATAACAACAACAACAAAAATCACCTGATAAAACTGTTTTACAAAACAGTTATAAAGCAATACGAAGATGGTTTTTTTCCATACTTTAAAACCAAAAAACTGCCTTGTTTATTTGACTCTAATTAATTTCATTTGTATACAAGATTATTGTCTATTTCCTTGAATCCCCTCATTGCTACAACATTTAAAATGTGCAATACACCAGTTCAAGAACTTCATTTGATTTCTTAATAAGCATTTTAGTCTTACCATCCAGCACCGTTGTAAGCACCTAGTAAAACTCCAATGAATACCTGACAAATGAAGATACATAAAGCTCTTTCTTTCATCTCTTTTTTGACATACATTCAAGTTAGAATTTCTAATACCTTTATGCCTTCTAGAGTGTAATTTTCATAAAAGTTCATATTCAATCTTTGTTTACCTGAGCCTATCTAGCTCATACTAGGTATCTAAATGTTTACTGAAAGAACATGCTTTCCCCCTTAATGCTTTGCTTAAATTCACTTTTATGACATTTGTTTGCAAAATGCTTCATCAAAAGGGGGATTAAATCAAAATCTTATATACTGTGTGGGTGAAAATATAAAATTATAGTTTTTTTTGAGATATGCGGCAAGTCTTCAAAATTTTAAATGCTCCATCCCAGAAATATATCCAACATAACTTAAATTTAAATAATCCACTCTAAATATGCCCAAAAAACCCTCAAGTATGTAATTGTAAGTATGTGTTGATACACACACCCACATGTGTGCACACATGGCAGGGAACAAAATGCAAAAGTTTGTCAATAAAGAACAACTGATAAATAATGTCTATATAACAAGATTAAAATGCAGCCATTCAGAATATATCAACATGAAAAGATGATATATGAGCTATCACTGGAGGGGAAGGGGGATGGCAATTTGTAATATATTTATATGATATTTTCATGGAAATAAAAATATTAATTTGTGGGCAAATATAAAGGTGTTATCTATACCCACAGAACAAGGTCCAAACGTTTTCACAAGAAATAGTAGACTGTTGTTCCTTTGGGGAAAGGAATGAGACATAAATAATAAATATTTTATACCAATATAAATTACTTCAGTAATTTTAAATAAATACACTGAAGTTAAAGGCAAAAGCCAAATCAAGTCAATACTCTCCATTTATCATTTAGAATGGTAAAATAATACATGTTTTAAGACCATGAGGTTTTTTGGAGTCTTTATATTTACTGCACCTAATTACATAAAACAAACTACAAAGCCACTGACTGTAGATTCTCCCTGGAATACTCACTTCTAATAGTTCTCATTTGCAAAATTGGGGTTTCTTTAAAAACTCTATTATAGATCATTAAAAACAAATCACTCATTTTCAGCTCTCTGAACATGCACTACCCTATACTACAGGACTAAGGATGTTACAAAATTCCAAATACAAGCAACAAGAATAAACATATAAATATCTCTGAGCCGTCATAATTTAAGAATTACCTGAGTAATAGCAAAGAAAAATACGAATCTCCACCAAAAATTATGGCATGGCATTTTTGAAATTACTTTTATTCTGAATGTTTTCAGACACTCTCAGAAAGCTGACACACAAATTATAATGTTAACTTTATTTAAGGCACCTTTTTCTGGAATTGTACATCTTCATTTTCTAGTGCGCAGTTGTCATCTTGAGAGTAATATGATGACGCTGAAGCTGAAGAACTCTCTTTACAACATACACGCCAGCTGGGAAGCCTGTAAAACACCCACCACCACCAACAAACAGAAAAAGAGAAAGAGAAAGAAAGAAGAAAAGTTGTTAAGTCAACATATTTCTATATGGGCTAGAATTTGAGGCGATAAACAGACAGATGGTTCCTATCCTAATACCTTTTAACAATTTAATGACGAAAATCAATACGTATAAGAAAAACATAAACATTATTATCAGCATTCCAAGTAAGACATTATGAATTCCATGAAGGTACAACAGGAAAGTCTTCACCAGAAGCAGTATCTGATAATTATCACACAAGGTACACAGAAAGCTGTCAAATAGCTAACCTCCTCGGAAAGTACCAGTTCTTATAAATTCTAACAAATATTTAAGAACAGATAATCCTAAAGTTACCTCAACTGTTTAAAAGCATAGAAGCTTCCAAATTATTTTTGCATAGAGAACCTAACAGTGATATCAAAAACTAACAGAAATAGCACATACATAAATGAATACTAGAGGTTAATAGTACTTATGAAATAACATGCAAAACTTATCAAGAAAACAATAAAAAAGAAAGTCTCTAGGAACATACCAAAGGAGAAATATACCACAATTATTATCAAGTAGAGTTAAGCTCTGACATTCAAAACTAGTCCAACATAATAAAATCAACTTGATTTGCTATGCAAAAATATCAAGGAAAAATATGTTACGATTATATCCATAGCCACTGAAAAACATCTGATAAACTTATACATCCATCAATGTTTTAAGAATCAATAATGAAACAGGAATAATTATATATTTAACATGGAAAATACATATGTAATACATAAAACTAAAAGTCAGTATTATATTTAGTGAGGAAACCTAAAAAGACACCTATATAGATCTGAAATAAGACAAGAATGTCCATTTTCATTAGCATTACAAAACATGAAGATAAAAGAGGCATAAAAATGGAAAAGACAGTAAAATTATCTGTAGTTCCAAACAATGAGTGTATCTGCATTAACTGCAGATGAGTTTATATAATTGGAAAATTCAAAAGAATCACCTATTAAAAGAAGTCCCAGATATAAAAATTATATTCCCAAGTATAAAATTAAGAAGCAAATCAACACTCTCTCAAACCATAACAAGGACTCATTTATGATAGAAACAATAACGTGTCCAGATAGAAACTTGGCAAGAAATCTTCTAGTAAGTAGAACTGTTTGAAATTGCCAATATTTGACAATCCTTTTACTTGGAAAAAGTGTCAATTTCACAATTCAAAATAATATATAGGGGTAGTTTGAACTACATACTGAGGTGGTAAAAAGGGAGACTTTTTATATAACAAGCCAGAAATAGTCAAGAATATTCTTATATGAGGGGCTAGATCTATATGAAACTACAGTAATTACAGCAATATGATACTGAGATAACAGAGGCAAAGGAAACCCCCAGGGTGACTAGAAAGACAAATCCCAGGAAGATAGCTGTAAACAAGGAATAGAGGGCAATCAGCCTAGGTTAGTTTATCAGAAGCACCCAAATAACACCAGAAGAAATGGAATGCCTAGGTTTAAAAGACAGACTTTGGGGATTTAATCTTTTCTTAAACCTACTGCTTTCATTTTAGAAACTGTATTTCTATTTTTTTTTTTTTTCCCTGAAGGAAGGTTTTCAACTTGAATGTATGGTGACAAGTTTTTCTTGTTGTGGCAACCTACGATCTTTAATACTTCTAGGCATCCTGCCATTTTAAGGGTGTATGTTACAACTATGTGTCTAAAAAAATAATCGTTAAGTATTAGGGTAAAAGAGAAATCAATTCATTCTTACTAAAAAGAACAGCAGAGGGACTCAGGAAAAATTTTCCAAACAATATAGCAACTGAAGAGCCAAGGAAGATTTCATTAAGAAAGCAGAAAACATTCTTTATTGTGCCAAGGGAAATTTCATTACAGAAGAAAGCATTCTTTAATGTGAAAGTGATTGAGAAAAAAATACCTTTTAAAAATGATATCCAATGGCTTGCAATGACAGCTTTTTATATCTGCCTAATGCAGAATTACTGAACCAGCTATCTTTAACCATTGTTTTTTATCATACTATCAAATCTAGCAAAATAATGCAATAATGAATTCCAGAAAGACACATTAATGTGCAATAAAGAATATACTAATATGCAAATGAGCCAAGCCTAATAATTGCAAAGAAGGAGTCTGCAATTATTAGGCTTGGCTAATAAAACTAAACTGGAGTCTGTCACTTTCAAATGAATTGTTTTCCTCTGAGTTTTAATGAAGAAACTTTACAAGCATGTAAGATTACCCAGTAAGTACCAATTATTATGTTAGGAAACATTAGGGGTAATTTTCAACTCATTTAAAAATTTGAGTAAGTATATACAGTTTTAAGAAAATATGAAAACAACAAAGTAGCCATTTTAATTAACATAGAAACCAAACAAGATGGAAAACATTATGTTATTAAGACAGCGATTTATTATCTATGAGTAAAAAGAAGAAAGAATTACAAATATATATGCACCTAACAATGTAGAAAATATACTACAACCACTGGCAAAGCTACAGGTGGAAAGAGAATAAACAAAAAGTATGGTGGTCTATTTTAAATTACCTCACAAAATAACAGATTAAGTGGACAAAATGATATTTATATTCCATGTAAGAAGCTCAAAGATACAGAATTTTATACCACATATAAATTAAAACATTCTTCTCAAGGACACGTGGAACATTTCCCAAATACCGATAGTAAACTAAAGCCTCAAAAGAAGCCTCAAATTCCAAAAACTCAAGCTCTAAAAGATTATATTCTCCAACCATGCTGCAACAAAATTTGAAATAACAGAAAGACAGCTAACAATATCCCAAGCCTGGAAGCAAGAAATATGTAGCAAAATAATCCTTAGGTTAAAGAGGAAACAATATTATGAAATAATCAGCAGAAGACTACCAATCACAATTGGTGGGATGTAGATAAGACAATAGCAGGAAAACTATGCTTCTGAATACATTGAGACAAATGCTGAAAACAAAAGAGCTAATCAACTCAAAAAGATAAAAGAGAGTACAAATGCAAAGAAACAAGGAAGGATATATGGATAGGCATTGCTAAAATAGAGAACAAAAAACAGCAAAGAAAATTAAGAAAATCAAAAGTTGGTTCTTTGAAGAAAGTATTAGACAAACTTCTGGCAAAACCAATAAAGGGAAGATAGTAATGGGAATTAACACAATATGGAATAAAAAGAAAAAACAACCACAGAGGAAACATTTTTAAAATTATAAAATATTATAAACTATATATAACAATATATTTGAAAACAGGAGAAATGGATAAATTTCTAGAAACATTGCAAAACTGGCATAAGGAATGGAAAAAACTGATAATAGACTGATAAACTTGAATGGATCTATCAACTTCTCACACACAGGAGAAAATTCAAACCGTTTTTAAATTTTTTATTTGGAAATAATTTCAAATTTCAGAAGAGTAGGCAGCATAGTACAAAAAAAAATCTACAAATGCTTTAGCTGTATCAATCCATTGTTAATATTTTACTTAATTTGTTCCATTATTTGTCATTTGCCCATGCTCACTCATCCTTCCTCTCTCCCTCTGTTCCCTCTCTCCCAGTAACTTACCTCTAAAATACTGTGATATCTATTTCCACAGAATAGGGATATTCTCTTGCATAACTACAATACAGGTATCAACTTCAGTAAATGTTACATTGACACAAAAATTTACTGTCCACATTGCAATTTTGTCAATTAATCCAATGTCTTTTTTAGAATTCCTTTCTCCAGTACAGAATTAAATCTATGATCATGTCCTGCATTTGTCATGTCTATTCAGTATCATTTAACTTGGAACAGTTCTGGAGCTTTATTTTATGTGGCACTAACATTTTTGAAGGCTACAGTCCCCTTTCTTTTTAAATAATATGGTTCTTATGTGAGATTTGTCTGATGTATCATGATGACCAGATTCAGATTAGGTATTCTCAGTCAGAATCCTTCATTGTGTCTTTCTCAGGATATTATAATGATGTTGTGACTTTCTCAGGATATTGTATCGAAAAGCATATAATATCCGTTTCAGCAGTTGCAATTCTACTTTTAGGTACTTCTCAACAGCAATGAAAACTATGTCTACAAAAAGCCTTGTACAAGAATGTCCATAGTAGTTTTTACTCCTAATAGCGAAAACCTGGAAGCAGTCCAGATAACCACTAACAGAAGAATAAATAAACTGTAGTACATTCATACAGTGTACTACTACTCAGCAATAAAAAGGAACTAATTAATGACAAAGGAAACAAAATGGGTAAATCTCAGACATTACATTGAGTAAAAGAAGTCAAACACATGAGCTAATACTGTATAACTCCATTTAGATGATGTTCCAGAATTGGCAAAACTAATCCATGGTGACAGAAATCAGATCACTACTTGCCTCTGGGGGATTCACCAGAAAGGGACATGAGAGAACTTTCTAGGGTGATGAGAATATTCTATATCTTGAGGGGGTGTGAGTTACACAGGTGTATGCATGTGTCAAAACTGATCCAACTATACAGTTAAGATCTGTGCATTTCGCTGTACATAATTTATTTTGAGACAGGGTCCCACTCTATCACCCAGGCTGGGGTGCAGTGGTGCAATCTCAGCTCACTGCGGCCTCCCCCTTCCCGGGCTCAAGTGATCCTTCCACCTCAGCCTCCAGAATAGCTGGGACTACATGCAAGCACCAAAATGTCTGGCTAATTTTTGTATTTTTGGAAGAGATGGGGTTTTGCCATGTTGCCCAGGCTAGTCTCGAACTCCTGGGGTCAAGTGATCCACCCGCCTTGGCCTCCCAAAGTGCTGGGATTACAGGTGTGAGCCACTGTGCCTGGCCTATACAGGTTTTATTACTTGTTCAAGATCCTGTAATTAATAAGTGAGGGACCGGGGGTTAAAACTTGGATTTTTTTGACTCTGAAGCCTGCGCCTCTTAGCCACTACTACACGGCCTTCATATTTATCACTTGTTGCCACTACGAAAATCATGAAGTAGTTAATCAGAACTTCTCCTTTGTGATAGTTGTTTTATTTTTGTATTATGCTGTATCTAGCTTTGACCAGTATCACCAATTCTTGAGTGAATGTAACAGTGTTATCTTCTTACCTTTCTTTTCATTTATCTGTTGGCTAGAAAATATTAAACATGAAACGTAGCAATATGGAAAAATCCAACAATTTGGAGAGAGATCTAAGTTTGCAAGGTGAGTGATGGGCAACTTATGAGCTTCAGTTTCCTTATTTGTAAAAATTAGATTAATACTTTAATCCAAGAGTATGGACAAATTTAAGAGGAGATCAGGAGTCAGAGACCAGCCTGGGCAACAAGGCAAAACTCCGTCTCTACAAAACATACAAAAATTAGCCAGGCATGGTGGCGCACACCTCTGGTCCCAGCTACTCAGGAGGCTGAGGTGGAAGGAAAATCACCAGTTCCCAGGGAGGTCAAGGCTGCGGTGAGTGGTGATCATGCTGCTGTACTCCAGACTGGGGGACAGAGCAAGACCCTGCCAGGAAAGAAAGGAAAGGAAAGGAAAGGAAAGGAAGGAAGGAAGGACGGACGGACGGACAGAAGGACGGAAGGCAGGCAGGCCAGCCTATATGCCTCAACTCAGTATCAACATTGTAAAATTGACTTATTAGGAGGAACTGAAATAAATGTATATGCTATGCTTAGCCTGGCACAGAATATGTGCTGAAATGTCAGTTATTATCAGCCACTACCTTTTCTGTCTACTTTCACTTATCAAATTTCACAGTAGTTTATACTTGTAATCTCAATGTTTTCACCTTCTATTTAGTCCTCAGCCTGCTGAAATCTAGTTTCTGTCCTCATTGTACCACTGAGACTAGTATGGTGTGGCAGAAGTTAGCTTTTTTTGATTTCCCTGCTGCATGTGGTACCTCTGACTGCTGTTTTAACTTAAACCATCTCCTCTTTGACTTGTCAAATTACACACTTCTGCTTTTCATCTCACACTGACTCTTGTTTCTGAGTCTCCTTTGATATGCTGCTTCTGTTCACTATTTAAATTCTGATGCTCCAAGGGTTTGGTTCTGAAATCTTCCCTTTATATTCTACATAGGAGACTTACGTACTCTCATGGTTTTTAGTTGACAGCTACTGAAACTTTATCTTCAGCCCTTATCTTTTCCTAACTGGTCCATTCCTTAAAACCCTTCTGTGATACCCTACCTTAATGTTGAGGATAAACAAAGCTCATTTAAAAGTTGCATCTCTCTTCCTTCATATTCCAAGGTATCTCAAAAACATCTAAATCCAAAATTGAATACATTAGCTTCCTTTTCCAAATCTCTTCCTCCTATATCCTTGATCCCACCATCTGGTACTGCTATCTACCCAGTCCTCAAACTAGAAACCTGAAAAACACCTGTGACTACTCCTTTGCCTTCACCCTCCCTTGACCATCTTGTTTATTCTACTCTAAATTTCTTCAAATCATTTCTCAATCCCCATTCTGACTGCCTTAACTCAAGCCCTTATCTCTTACCTAGAGCAACCTCCTAACAGATCTCCCTAATTCCTAACTTGCTACGTCTGCAAATCAACCATTCACACCTCTGCCAAAAATCTAACAGTAAATTATCACACTACCATTCCCCTGCTTAAGACCTTTTACAGACTCCATTAACTACATGACAAAACTCAAGCTTCTCTCCACATGCTATTTAAAAATCTCTAAAATTCTACTAAGTCTTCAGCTTCATATTTCCTGTCACTCTCCCTGCCTTTCACTTTATGCTTCAGCGATACAGAGCTACCTGTAATAGTTCCTTGAACACAGACTGTGCTGTCTCATGTCTCTGGCTCATGCTGTTCCCTCTTTCAAGAATGTTCTGTACCTGCTCCCACTCCCACTATCTAAAACATAACTCAATACCTATAATTCTTCTCTCTTGGGGCAAGAAACTAATAAGGGTCTAAAACATTTTCCTGATTTCCACAATCTGGGGTTGGTGGGTGGCCCGCTCTAAATTCCCACAGCCCTTTGGCTATCTCTACCTGAGCACATACACACTGAAATGAAATTAACTGTTTATTTTTGTTTCTCACATAAGACTAAGCAACTCCAAGGCAGAGAATACACTGCCCTGTTGCCAGCATGATGATCTATTGAGCTCCTACTTTGAACTATGAATTAGAAAAGCTTTTTCAGAGCTTTAAAAAGAAGAATGAGAAAACACTTTGTGGTAAAAGAAATAACTAAACTAGGCAACAAAGAATTGCTTCTTAAACATAAATTCAAAGTTAATCCCTTGTACAGAAATATAGTGCCAGCCACTCAATTAGCGCAGTATGGTTAAAGTTATCAGTGAAAATTGTAGTTTTTGAATATTACTTCCTGGATATCTGAAAAAATTTACTGAAATCCTGTAAGTATTGAGAAACTTGTGGGAAATGGGTGAATAATGTGGAAGCCATTTTGGTCAAACACTGGTAATAAAACAAGACCAAAAGATCACCAGGCCTCTAGTGCCTTTGCTTAAGCAACCTAGTTTCTCTCCATCACAATGTTTTATTAAAAGACAGATATTCTTCTAAACCACGTATCAGTCTGGAGCTCTTTTAAGGTTGCTTCTCTTCTGCTTGGTCTATCTGCTAATAGGTAAGAGCATACTGGGCCTCTTTCTCCTTGCAGTTTTTATTCTATTTGGCTGCATCAACAGTCCATAGTCAAATCACGTGCAATTGTACAGCTTAGCTGAGAAAGTTCTATGTTCTAGTGCCTGTTTCTAATTAAACCTTTGCATTTCAGTAGTTCTGACTTTTAACTTCACTCTGATGTAGGATTGGGTCTTAAATTTTCTTAGCTTAATATTCCACATATCAAATTCTATTAGAAAATTGTTTCACTAAACTGGCCCATAATTTCATTGATCCAACATAGAGAAGCACTTAGTAAACAAATGTGATATGTTCTGTTTTTATATCCTACCATTATAACCTACCATTAGAAATTCAGCCAATACAATTTGTCCTCTAAGATGCTGGAAATAATCATGCCCTATACTTGATAATAATATATTTTCAGAAATTGGGTACAGTGTATTTAGCCTCTAAAACACAAGTGACAGTAGTTTTGTTACCTTAATTTTCAATTAGAGACTACAAAAATAGTCCTCAAATAAATTACTACCAGGCCAACAGATCAGTCATGCTCAAACAAAGTCTCTATTAGGAAAAGCAGAAAATAAAGCTACAACAGTAAGTGTGGGTCAGACTGCAGGCATTTAAAAATTATCAAGGTTTAAAGTTTTATCCTTCAAGGAGCCTTTGAAAGATATTTCATCAGGGGACTGACATAATCAAAGCTGCATGTAAGACAAATCCAGTGGCACTGTGTAAAATGGGTTGCAGCATACAAGTATGAAGCTACTCTACATGTTAACTTTTTTTTTTTTATGTACTCTTCTACATCTCCTGGCTACCAAACAAATGTGTGGAATTCATGCCTACCAGCTCTCCAAATATCTTCTATTATTCTCCACTCCCAAAAGCTATCAATCACTTCCCTCTTTTGAAAAGTTTCTCAGTTTTCAAGCTCTCCAAACTTATCTAAGACATTTTATATTGTTGACCACTTAAATGACTTCCTTAAATCTCTTTCCATCCATCCTTTCCAGTTTCCTCCTTTCTTTCAGAGCTTTACTATGCTTGGCACCTTTCTTTATTCTGTTTCAAAAGTCCAATGTTCTCTTTCAAAAATGATTCCCTCTATGACAGCGGTCCCCAACCTTTTGGCACCAGAGACCAGTTTCATGGAAGACTACTTTGCCATGGATGGGGTGGGGGGCCATTAGATTCTCATAAGGAGTACACAACCTAGATCCCTCGCGTGTGTGGTTCATAGTAGGGTTCATGCTCCTATGAGAATCTAATTCTGCTGCTAATCTGACAGGAGGTGGAGCTCAGGCAGTAATGCTCACTCACCTGCTGTTCACCTCCTGTTGTGAGGTCAGGGTCCTAACAGACCACGGAGCAGTACTGGTCCGCAGCCCAGGGGCTGGGGACCTCTGCTTTACGAGGATAACTCCAGCCAACTTTTTTTCTTTTTTTTTGAGACGGAGTTTCGCTCTTGTTGACCAGGCTGGAGTGCAATGGCACGATCTTGGTTCACCGCAACCTCCGTCTCCTAGGTTCAAGTGATTCTCCTGCCTCAGCCTCCCAAGTAGGTGGGATTACAGGCATGCGCTACCATGCCCGGCTAATTTTCTATTTTTTTTAGTAGAGACGGGGTTTCTCCATGTTGGTCAGGCTGGTCTCGAACTCCTGACCTCAGGTGATCCGCCTGCCTCGACCTCCCAAAGTGCTGGGATTACAGGCATAAGCCACCGTGCCTGGCACTCCAGGCCAAATTTTATCTGCATTCAAGTCTGCATTTTTAAGTGCCCATAAAATGTCTCCACTTGGATATTCCATTCACCTCCAACTAACAGCTCCTTCCCCTTCCAAGCCCTTTGCCAACTCTTCCACTTCTTTTTGACCACCACCAATTCTTCTAGTTGCCCAAGTTAAAACAAACAAGCAAACAAACAGAAAACAAACAAAAAATGCTTAACATTTCTTTTCTCATTGAACTTTATTTCACAGATTCATAATTTTAGGCCCTAGAATGTACTCTCAGTGACAGTGTGCTCCAAGAAAGCAGTTACTTTGTTTTGTCCACCAGAATCCTGTATAGGATACAGCACACTGAAGCCTAAGTAAATATCTCTTTGCATTGAGATGGACAACAGAAAGGGGATGTTGAACAGAGTTTGGTTAGAGGCAAACTAAAATCCAGTTATTTAGAATCCTAGCCTAATGCTGTTATCTGCTGCACTGCACTGCACTACTGCCAGCTTGCCAACCTTTCACAAAATTAAATCATTTACCTCCTCAAAAATCTCTATTTATTGTACCCTGTTCTTTATTTCTACTGCCAAGATGAAGTCCTTCTTATGACAAGCCTCAATTACTCCAAGGGCTTTTTAGCCCGGTCATCCCTTGGGATCCAGAAGGGGTTGGATCCAGGATCCGAAGATACCAAAATCTGAGAATGCTCCAGTCTCTTACATAAAATGGCATTTGCATATCACCTATGCATATCCTCCCATATAAATATCTAGAGGTGATTTAAAATATCTAGAGATGATTTAAAACATCTATGCATATCCTTCCATATAAGTATCTAGAGGTGATTTAAAATATCTAGAGGTGATTTAAAACATCTATGCATATCCTCCCATATAATATCTAGAGGTGATTTAAAACCTAACACTATGTAAATGCTATGTAAATAGCTGTTATACAACATTGTTTTTATTTGTATTTTTATTGTTGTATTGTTATTTTTATTGTTTTTAAAATATATTTTCAACCTGAGGTTGGTTGAATCTGTGGATGTGGAAAGCCAATTGTATTCACCCCTCTAAGTCTCCTTCCTCTAAAAACAAATCTAGCACAATTATGTCAAAATAATGTTCTCACAACACCACTTTTCTTGCTGAATCTTTATTATCTAATTCTTTGGACTGGTTTGCAAAATCTACCACAATCTCTGAAATCTCTCTCTTTCTCCTCAGGCTTTTCTGTTTACTACCACTCTTACCCATATCAACTAGATTATCTCTTCCATTCATAACTCTCTTTCTCCTTGACAATTAAGTGCCATCTACCCACTGCAAGCAGGCAGACAGACATACACATGCACACACAAAGAAATAGCCATTATTCATGTTATCAACACCAGTACATCTTATTTCAGCTCATGAAGCTCCTGTTTGCACAGAAGCAGAGTTTATAAACCACACATTTCCCTTAAACCCAAGTCAAGCCTTCCTTGAGAACTCTAGCCCTCATTTTCTCCTCTTAAGCACTTACTATGCAGTTCAGTTTTATGTGTTGTTTATTAACATTCAAATCAAGTATCTTAGAATGTTAGACATATAAAAAATAAACTGAGTTCACCTAATACAGTAATACAGACTTGAATGCATAAAAGAGTATCACAAACTTACTGACAAAATCTACAAGGTAAGAATCCTAGGTATGCGTATTTCTTTTAAAAGTTTCATGAACAATTCCAATGTCCATTCCTTCCTAGGCTAATACAGGCACCCACATTTTCAGATGAAAAAAACTGACACTTTGCCAGATAAAATTATTAACTAGAAAAAGTGAAGAAACTTGCCCAAGACCATCTACCAGCCAACTGGCAGCACAGCATACCGGTTAAGAGAACACAGGCTTAGAACCTGGCCTTCTTAGTTCTGGCTCTGTTGCTTCCTGGCTGTAAGAACTTGGGCAAGCTGTTAAGAACTTAACTTCTTTGTGCCCACCTTTCTTCATCTTTAAAATGGAGTGTCTGCCTTAAAACATCTATACAGAGAATAAAATAATTTAATGCATATTACACTGAATAGTATTTAGTACTTAGAAGAGAAATAATCACTCAATAAATGTTCATATTAACAATGAAAAGAAAGAACTACAACCAAGCTCTGACATAGTTTTATGCCTTTCACACTACACCACTATCTGTATTGTAACAAGCAGCTTATATACAGAGCTCAAGTCTCACAATTCTTCTGTATCCTTCATCACACCAAATACATTGTGAATAATCAAATAATATTTAAGTGGATTTATAAATTCCCATTTTTAACTCTGAAACCTAGGCCATCTTATTTCTACTCAACAAATTACCAAAGTAGCTAGAGTCAATGAATAACTCATACAGTAGTGCTTACTACGAGTGAGGCACTGTTCTTAGCCTTTACATGTTTTTTCTCCAGTAGATTACAAACGCTACATAATAATACAAAATTAGCTTAGTACCTATGAACCGTATTAATGTTACAGAATACTTTCTGATACAGCCAGGTGTCACTTTCATGTAAAATATAAAATAATTTTAACTAGCAATTAATTATAAAGTCCTAAAACCAAATCTTCTTTCAAAAAAACTTGCATTTATTAAACAAATTCATCCCAAAGGATTAACACTCTTATACTGCAAATATTCAAAAGCAATTTCCTATTCCCTTGTGACATGTACAATTTGACTTTTAAATTAGTCTAAAATATGGCCTTGAAAAACATAACATACAACTGGCACTAAAGTATAATCTAAAACATGTAGATAAGTTTCAAGAGATTTCATCTCTTTCCAGTTATGTATAAACTACTAAACAAAAGCATCACGTACATACAGGTGTTTCTATTTGAAGATGACTTGAGAATAATAAAGCACTTAAATTTTTATAAGTTTCCCTTTCATTATAAGCATAAGAATATTAATTATACATATTGATTCTTTTCTCCATTCAGACTGTTGAGAAAAGTGAAAGAGTGATGTACAAGTTCATGAACAAACGAAAAATGAAATAACCAATACTCAAAAGAGCTGATACCTTTTATTTTTTCCATTGCCTGTCAACCCTACTGCCTGCTTCCATTCCAGTATATCCTCAAATGTTTAATAACATAAAGGACCAACATGAAACACGTCATTTGCCGTCTTTTATTGGACACAGTGTTCAAGTGTTATGCAAAGATGTCACACACCTTCTTTCACAGACCTTTTCCTATTAAGTGGCTTCATCTAACTTGTCTGAAGGGATCTGACACTGTATGACCCGACACCTCTTATAAATAAAAATACCAGGTGCTTTCTTCAGAATATATATCCTAGAGCAAAGATAAACTTTTTTTCCTCAGTCTTTCACATTAAGTTCCACTAAAAAAATCATTTTTGTAAAGGTCATCTTTCATTGGTTTATTCAAGGAAAGAAAAAAAAGGCATCAAATGATTTGGAGAAGTGGGATTGTTTTATTATTTTATTTATTTCAAATATTATTCAGAAAAGAAATAGATTCCGTACCTTGAAAGTTTAGAGACAGAAGCAGAAACAAGCAAAAAAATTCCTCCAGATTTCCTGGGGAATTTTCAAAATGTTTTATCGATATGTTTCCAATATGCTCTATTCATCACCTCAAAAAAGAAAAAACAGCTTATATATTGTTCTAGTTTTTAAATTTTTTTCTGCTCACTTATGTATATTAATAGACCAGCAATCATGAGAGAAAAAGCAAAAGGGTACAGAAATGTAATCACAAACCAGGAAATAAACCTCTTAAACTGATAAAAACTGGTCTGACATACTCAGAAAAATTACTACTAAGGACAAAAAGGCCAACATCTTGATTTAGATATCAACTCTCTTCTAGTGGGACCACGACTTAGGACCTCGTGCCTCCAAAGTACGTCCCCTACATTCCACTTTACCCTCCACAGCAATCTAATTAAAAGATCCATGTGACCTCATGCTCCTGTTCTCCAGTTTAAACCACTTCACTTACTCATCCTCTGTCAGGTGGTTAGAATTAGAATTCATCTGCATGATAATCAAATCCTTTCAAAACCTAGCTCTAGCCTCCCTTCCCATCTCTCCTCACATACACTCACGCTCTAGATAACTGGGTAAGTGTTCTCTCTGCCTACAACAAAATTCGCTCATTGTGAACTATCCATCCTGCAGACCATTTTATGGATGAGAGCTGAGGTTCACAGAAGTAACTTGTCCAAAGACATACAGTTAGTGACAGAACCACAAGTAGGATATGAATTCTTCCTTTGCTGTTCCTAAAAACCTTTGTAAGTACCTGTTATATTTGCCAAATGTATGAGACTTGTTTAAATGTCAAGCTCTTCCCGAAAGTCTAAATATAAGCTTCTCCAAGATGATCCTTTGGGGTGAAGGAAGAATAGATTTGTTTAGTTTTAAAAAATAAGTTTTACTAAGATTAATGTAAGGATTCATACAGAAACCCAGGGAAAGAGTGGAAGTCCCACAAACAATGGGTTTTACTTACAGCACACCATGATTCACTGTGGTTTATGTTTCCCCAGTTAGGTAGACTTAGGAATTATTCAGTTTTAACTGAATTGACCCTCACAACATCGGGAAGCAGCTTTTAAAAAAATTACTGCAAAGAATTTAATAATGCAAGCACAGCCAACAAGAAAATGACAGGGCTGACTCCTAAGTAGTTGAAGCTATTCCTCTTCTATACTATGACATAAAATAATCTAGTAGGTCAATCACATAGCTCTCACTAAAAATTATTATTTTAATGAGAACAAAAGGTACCGTTAACAGAAATTATTATTTTTTTCTCATTTTTCTTAAATATCTAACTTGCATTAATTACATACACTAATATACTATTACTATATTGGCACATGTACATAACTTATAGACAATTAAGGTGGATGCACAAGGTTTTACTAATTAAGGGACACACTCAGAATATCCACTAATTATGTTTTTTTCCTCTTTAGGGTGATGCAGCTTTCCCAGTTTGCCCAGGACTGAGGGAGTATGGTATAGGGTATAGGCTGAATAATGCGCCCCCCTCAAAGATGTCTGCATCCTAATCCCTAAATATGTTACCTTACATAGTAAAAGAGATTTTGCAGATGTGATTAAATTAAGGATTATGAGATAGGGAGATTATCCTGGAATGTCTGGCTGGACCCAATGTAATCACAATAGTCCTTATAAGAGGAAGAGGCAGGAGGACCAGTCATTAGTAGACATAAGGACTGAAAAAAGGGTTGGAGTGCTGATGTGAGGAAGGGGCCACAGAATACAGGTGGCCTCTAGAAAAAGATTCTCCCCTCAGAGCCTCCAAAAAGAACGAGCCCAGTTGACATCTTAACTTTATTTAGCCCTGTGAGACATATCTTGGACTTCTCATCCACAGAATTGTAAGGTAATAAATGTGTGTTGTTCAAGCCACTAAATTTGTGTCAATTTGCTACAGCAGGCATAAGAAACTAATGCAGGGAATTCCTAGGTTATGCGACTTCCAGTGTTAAAACCAAGACAAGCTGGTGACCCTCTATCTTGGATTTTCGGTGCTCATAAAAACATCTGGCACAGTAGGTATGAGAACAAAATGTGGTTGAATAATGTTATGATGAAATATTTACATAATACGCTGTTACTGTGTTACAAAGATCTGTCATTTGTATTATTTCATCCTCCTAACAACCCTGTGAAGTATGAATGGATCAATTTCCCCATTCTGAGGATATAACAACTAAGGTTCAAAGAAGTTACATAACAAGTCAAAGAACACATATCTAGTAAATGATGGAGCCACATATATAAAATACAGGCCTCTGACCTATAAAGTACTCAGGAGCCTGTGCTGCCTAGGTTCAAATTTAAGCTCCGAAGCTTAACAGCTGCTTAAACTTAGCCAAGTTAACCTCTCTACTTCCTCACATGTAAAATGCAAAAGGAAGTTAATAATAATACCTATCTTATAGGGTTCTTATAAAGATTAAAGGTGTTATTGTCAAGTAAACATCATGTGTCTGACACACAGCTGTCAGCAAATATTAGCTATCATTGCTCTGTGCTGCAGCTATAGTGCATTTATGCCTAGAATACTCTATACTACTTGATCAAAAATTATAAACTATGCAAAAGGAAAAAACAGCAACAAAAATTAATAATGACATAGATGAAATGGTTTTTCTGTAAACATAATCTAAGGTTAGTACTCAAGGCTACAAGACAAAAGCAGAGGGGAGACATAATCAAGATCTACAAAATTATGATAGTAAACATAACACAGTAATATTGGTAGCATGAGAGGGGAAACCTCAGAAACTAGAATACTGTAGAACAGACATACAGCACTCAATGTACAAAACAGAAACGGATCACAAAATTTTGAGACAATTTGTGAATAACAAAAGAGACAAAAGTGGCTACTAAAAGGCACTCATCAACTCTTGCAAACGTTTTATCTAACCCTAGGACTTGTTGGTAGCCATTTCTGTTAAAGGGAATGAGGTTGTTGGGAAAAGAAATACCACACCAGATTGCAGCAAAAGTTAGAAATCCATTAAGTGCCATTAATTCCAACTTGGCACAAAAGCAGAGGCTTCAAAGAAAAAACATACCCTTTGCCAATCAGCACCAGGTACCACTCCTCTTCCCCAATCTCATTCATCATCATCACCCTTTAAAAAACCCTTTAAGCCTTAATGTCCTATTTTAATGCCTTTTAATCGTTTTGCTAAAGAATAATTAAAATGTCTCTAAATTTGGCAGTCTAAACAAATCTCAAAATATACTAACCCAATAGTTTCTTAAGCTAAAGTTTCTTAAAATGTTCACACTCTTAAACTCTCCACATCCATTTTCCTCACTAGGAGTTAAAAAACTTGACAGAAGTTTATTACTACTACTTTCAATACCAGGCCAACCGATTTGTTCCCTAACAGGGAAATTCATTAGCTCTTCACTAGAGCTAATGATTGAAGGTGAGAAAACATACTGAGGGTTAGCTTAATCAAAAGATAGCCAGAAATTCCCAAAAGAAATAGAAGCAGAGTTAACTTAAATTTACAAATGATTGTAAGAATCACATTCTATTGCTTGATTTCGTTTACACCATCCAATTAAAAAATTAAAAAAAGCCAGAGATACTGGTGTGTTTTTAAACTTGAATGAAAGTGTTCACCTTTTCCTTATTAGCCATTTCAGAAACTTTTGATGATGAATAACATGGTTTAAAGATGGGCAAGACCAAGAAGAAAGAGGAAAGAAAATACACAGTCTACAAATATAACTAGGCAGCCCCAGAAAGAGATGGAAATGAATACAAGCTTCAGTATCTACAAATTTAAATTTAAAATGAGGTGAGTGGATTTATCTCTTACAGGCACTTCTCCGTACCCAACACAGTAAGTAGAAAGGGGAGGATTTTATTAAAAACAGGAGACGGGTATTAAAAGGATTCAGAATGAAAGGTAATAAGTCAATTGTTTTTGTTCTCAAAAACTTCTATCATTCTTCCAATAAAAATCCCTCAGCCAGGCGAGTGTTTTCTCTTCCCCTTGTTTATGTATTATTTTATGTGAGCAACAACTCTACAATTTCAGTGCTTCTGGAATCCATAAGGCATCCATAAAAATGAAAATAGTGTTGGTGCTTTGCAGAAATAAGCAAAACAGGAAACTTAATTTCTATTTTAATATAACAAACAGCAAATCGCCTAGACTGAAGAAGCATCTTTTCAGTCATCAATTGTCACACATCTTTGAAGAAATTCCCTGGGAGGAAAGAATGGCTTTTCCAAGTACGGTGACAGCAGTCCCTCGACTTACAAGCTTTCTCTGCTCCTCAAAAAACTCCAGAAGTGCCTGGGATTAACAGAAACTCCGTAAAACTTAAGGAGTGCTTTAGGGACAAAGCACTCTTCCCGCCTTGAAAATACAGCATTTACCTTCCCGTCACTAAGGGGCATTACCAAAAACTACTACACACACTACATCTAAGACACCCTCTCCACCAAACCAATTGAAAAAGTGCTTCATAACACACATACACACACGCCCCCCAAGTTTCCAAAAACAGCGGCCCGAGTGTACTTGGGATCAAACGCTGTGCGAGAAATGTCCAGGAGAACTACTGCTTATACATTACTCTTACCTTCATGACCACTCACGTTTTAAAATCGCACGTCCGGAACGCATCACATCCGACGTGCTTTATCCCCTTACCACACTAAGAACGCAAAGACTGGCGGCAAATCGGAGCAACTTACTTACCATCAATCTGAACACCCACCCCAAACCCTGCACCGTCTCCAAGGGGTAGAGGAACTGAGTACAAAGGCACTTGGTGGTTCCCTCTACCTTGGCACCTCTCTCTCTCCCACTGAGTCTCTGTAAATTCCAAAATACACCATGAAAATCTCCGCACAGAGCACTACCAGACCAGTCAGATGGAGAGTCGAGAAGTAATCGGTTTGTCCCTTCCACGGGGGCCTTGGAAACCCGGACCCTAAAAGCCAAAATGACCAGGGGGTGTGACCTGGGCTGCTCCCTCCCATTTACTCCCCTCACGGGAACTCCCTTGTCGTCGCGGCTACTCACCAGACCAGAGAGCACAGAAAGAGGCAGGAGACCAGGGCCAAGGCCCGCCGGTGCTTCTTCATCTTCTCCTCCTTCTTCCCCCTGCCAGAAGGCGGCACATCCTCCCGGCAGCCGCCACTGCCGAGGCCAAGATGGAGGAGCCGGAGCAGGAGCGCGAGAATGTGACCGATAGTCCTAAGGGCTATGGCGCTGGCTGAGCGGCTCCTCAGTGGCTCGCGTCCTGGCAGCCCTCTCTGAGGGCCCCACAGAGGCGCGGACAGGGGCGCTTCACAGGACTCCGGGGACCGCCGCCGCTGCAGCCACCGGCTCGTCCACGCCCGCCTCCTGCAGCCGCCACTGCCGCCCCATATCCTCCCCGCCCGCCGGGGGCCTTGCTCCGTGAGGCCAGCGACCAACGGCCGCCGCGTACTCGCCTCTCAACAGCCAATCGCCGGCGGGGCCGCGACACCTCACACACCGCTGAGCTGGAAAGGGACGCGTCACCCAAGTCCCGCGGCGCCCGCACCCCCACCAGCCTCTGCGCAGGCCACGCCCCCTTCGACGTCGCAGGCGGAGAAGCCGGAGGCAGGAGACCACAAAGCGCAGGAGCAGATGCTCTCGCCGCTCCGCCCGCCCCAGGTCCCGCCCACTTGCTGGCTTGCGTTCAGAAAGCCGGGAGGAGCCCAGTGATCCTCAGCATTTCCCCTTACAGTGGACCGCCCTTCGTCCCTCGCGCGCTGAGTCCGCGCAAGGGCCTTTGGGAGTTGTAGTTTGCCTTCCAGAATTCGTTTTTCTCTTTCCCAGTCCCTCCTAGAATCCATGGTTTTGTTAGAGAAGTCTATAGTTTCGCTGCTCACCACGAGACTGATCAGCTTTGGAACTGTTGCACTGTTTTCCTCTTTTGAGCACAGTTCGTGGAATGGCCTAGAATGACGTGTGTGTTGTGAGGGAAGCTGCACCAAGCCCTTTCCCTGTGGCAATGGACTGCCCCATTGAGCTAGATGTTGATTGGTAGATAGAAAGGGGCGTGCCAAGAATCCTCTCATCTGATTGGTTGCAGCGGAAAACCTTTCGCTTTTTCTTCTCTTCAGCAAGAATTTCGCCGCTTGCCGGGTTCCTCACTTTAAGTGTGCTTCGTTGCTTTTCGTTCTGTTGGTTTCGAACTTTGGGTTCTCTGCGATGGAGTCGGAAGGGAGGAGTTGTCCCCATTAGAGGAGCACCCACAGACGCTCCAAGTCCTGGGGTTCACCTAAAGTGGGGAAGGCAGTCGCTTACACTCACCTAAGAAGAGCAAAAAGTGACCACTTCTCAATACTAAGTAACGGGGCAGCATGCCCATTCCAAGTGTTTACGCCGCTGAGGGGACGGAGGCTGCAATGGTCTGTGCCTTGGAACATGGCATAATGTTTAGTGTGAAAAATGTTTAAAGGACGGGTTACTTATTGTTCATGTGGCCGTAGGGAAAAAACCCTCAGTAAAATGCCCACCTAACGCCTAATTTTGAGCCGCGGAATTTCCTTATGAACCTTCTAAGTTGAATTGGATGTTAATTATAGTCCCAAAGAACTGAATGATTTGATCCGCTCTGTGATTCTTGGATATAAGTCAATTTGATGTTAGAGAAATTATACAAAGGGTGATAATTTTTGTTTTAAAGGAGTTCACCCTGAACTGCCTTTTCTGGCAGTAATTAGGTACAGTTCCACTTATCTGCTGATGCCACTCTTAGTATATGACAATAAAATCCTTTCATCTGTCACCTATTGCGGGAAGCAAGTATTTATCTCACCCAAAAACAGTATCAAATGATTAATATGCAAGTTTAAAAGAAAGTAGGGGCAATGAAAGGGTAGGGATAAATTGACATTCTTTACCATGTTGGACACTCTTTTCCTCTTACTCCAGGAACTTTTATTCAGGATAGGAAACAGCTGAGGTATCCCTCAGCTGATCCTCAGTGCATCACAGCCAAAGAAGTTATATTAGAATACGTGCTTATCTCAAATCTAGGAAGTTATCAAGTTACATCTCCTAACCCTCTCATCCCAAACTCACAAACCCATCCACTTATTTTCCACCAAGTCCCTGCAATGATTTTTTGAAACATGCAAGTACAAATAATTTTACTTTTTTCTTTCTCTTTCATTCCTTCCTTGACTGCCTGCCTGCCTTCCTCCCTTCCTTCCTTCCTTCTCCTGCAGTTGGAGCTTTATTAATACCCCCGTGGTAGGCTTTCCATTCACCTAATTATCATCCAATTATTAGCTTTTACTATTTCAATCTATAAATGTTCTTTTCTCTTTTTGCAGCTTCATTTCCATGGTTTCATGTTAAGGTTTAATCCTTCACTACTCCGAGCTTTTTCCATTTTTCTCTTGAGCAATTTTAATTTTCAACTATACTGTTGACTCCTAAACCTATATCCCATCCTCTTTTCAAGTAGTTGCTGGACATATTATTCTATCACTTCCAATTTTACCTGCACAAAATTGAACTCATTTTCCCCATAAATTAGCTTCTTCACGTGACTTTCTATATTTGTGTTGATTCTTTCCTATTCTAAGACTTCAGATGAAATAAATAGAAGTTCCATAGAGCTGACCTTTAAAGAACTGGTAGACATTTTTCCACATATCTGTTAAATATAATGAGAAAAAGAACAGAGAAAATTTTCTTACAACTCAATAGACAAGTATAAGAAAGTGAGTAATAGTTATATAAAATAAAACTAGTATAGATGAATGTCACCATACTTAAAAGTATAACATATGCCAAAAATGGCAAGAAAGAATATAGAAAAAGAGCATGTATAATGTATAATCTTTCATATATAATATTTAATTATATATATAATCTTTTAAGGCTTAGGCTAAGTAACCACTATCAACCACCCCTTAACTATAATACAGTAATTCTCAACCTGGGGCAGACTTCCCCCCAGGGTGAGATTGGCATTGTGTGAACACATTTTTTGCTTGTCACATTGGAGAAGTACTACTGGCATCTAGTGAGTAGAGGCCAGGGATGCTGTTTCACATCCTACGGTGCACAAGAAAGCCCTCCACAACAAAAATTATTTGGCCAAAAAGTCAAAAGTGCCAAGGTTGAGAAACCCTGCTGTAACAGAATCTCCCAATTCAATAAAATCTATAAAGCACTGACCACACACAGGATAACTCGTTTGCCCTGCAGATCCTTGGATTATTCAGCAAGTCACTAGGGCCTAAACTGCACAATGAACATGAGTTCTCCCATTCCTAAAAGGGTGACTAAACCAGAAACTCTGGGCAGCTCAAGTCCCTGCCTTGATAAAGATCAGATACTCTGTTTGCTTATGGTAAAAGAGAACAAGCAGACCTTAGAAAAGGAACCAACCCCTTCTGGCTATCTCGTTTGTTCTTTATCTCATATACAAATCATATTTAAGACACCCAAGAGAACTGTGTTGTCTAAGATGGTGGTATTTCATGAGCAAGCTTTTATGTATTTTGATTTAGTTGAAAAATTACCTGCTCCTTTCAATATTACAAAATGCTGAGATCCTATATGTCTCCAAAGGATCTTAGAGACCAATGACATTTAGATGCTTCCAGAGTAAAAGTCAGTTAAAACAGAAGTTTCCTGGAAATCAGTCAAAGAAAGGTTGGGGAATGGAAAACAGACAAATGGACAATAAAAGAGACTAAATAAGATGGAAAAATGGTGAATGTGGCAATCAGCACTTAACATTTTAACCGCATAAAAAGTATAAACAGAACTTTTAAAACTGTCCCCCCGATCATCTTCTTTATATATATAAATATGTGTGTAGAATAGCATATACCTTCTTTATTTAGTTACTACCTACCTGAAAAGAGCCTTAACTACTTAGCCTAATCTACCTTAACAGAGCACTGGTAATTTGGCCACTTCAGGAGGTAAAGGTAGAAATCAGAAGAAGACATAGATTGCTTTATTAGTACAGTCTGAGAACTCAGTCTCTTGAGGGCGGGAAGATCTGAGGGCGGGAAGATCACAGAGTGCAATGTTGGCATGCACGGTTCTGTTTTTACTGCAAATAACAAAAGGTAAGATTTCCCTTTTTAAAAATTCTACTTTGTGATCCCAAATTCAGTCTTCTATCACTGCGTTAACATATGTTTATTTTGAAGATACATGAATTGAATAGGCTCATAATGGAATCAACTAGAGGAAGGGAATGATTACATGTGGGTGACAGAGAAGGAGACATCAAAGATGGTCCAATTTCTAAGAACGTATGTGCCATTATATGAGTAGGAAAGTCAGGAGTTGCAGATTTACAATTTAAGAGACTAGTATGGTTTTGGAAGCACAGTATTGAGGTTCTGGTGGAAGTATCTAGCAAGAATTTACAAGTACAAGATTCAAAATAGGGAGAGAAAGTAGCAACTGAAGCAGCATGTTGGGGATTGTAACTGATGCGTCCTTTAGTACCTCCTGTATAACGCTCTCAGATGAAGCTTCCTAAAACATTATCTTCATCATGTCCTTTCTTTGATGCAAAAATCTCCTACAGGTCTGACGTATTTGTGAAATAAAGTCCTGCCTCCTTGGCCTGGCATTCAAAGCTTTCCATAATCAAACCCAGTTGATGTAGTTCAAGCTTTATTTCCCACTGTTTTCTTTCATAACTCAACCTTCTCACCAGACCACACTGTTTATTATGACCTGAAACACCTGTGCCTGCCCTCATGACACTGTTTTTATTTAATAGTCATTTGTCTCCCCAAGCAGTGAATAAATTCCTTATTGCAGAGAGGTCATGTGTTTTATTGATATATATCACACAGTGACTTTTTTTATTACAGAGGCCCAAGAAATAATTTTTTACTTTTTACTTATTTCTTTGTCTAATCACCTTAAATTACAATTTGCCTTATAATTTAAATTCCTAGAAGTAGCAAGCCCTTAGGATGAGAACGTTTTATGCAGTTGACTAGTCTAGAGCACCTAGCCAACTATTTCTTTCTCTATAAATTACCAAATTAGCTTTTTAGCATAACATTATTTGACTTATGTCTGAATAGATTTTCCTAGGTTCTAGTTACCCTAAGTAACCTGGAGAAATAAAGTGTTCAGTAAATATTTATTGAGCCTTTTTTGTATTAAAGATGCTGAGACAGAAATTTGCTCCAGGAAAAGTTTAGCGTTCTAGCAGGGAGTCTTAATCTTCTGAACTGAACCCTTTTGGTAGTCTGGTAAAACCCTTTTCAGAATGTTTATAAAGGTATAAAATAAAACACATAGATTACCAAGGAAACTAATTGTAGGGAAATACAGTTATTAAAATATTACAAAGCAAATTTGTGATCTAATAAGGTGTGCTTTTTCATTAATGCATAAATAACAAGGTCTAACAGCAGGTCTCCTAATGTCAATAATTCCAAAATGGTGATGAGTATAAGAGACATTCCAAGATACCTACAATATGCATAATGTGATATGAAAACATCTGTGATTAATATTGGTGACAAAGTTGTAGATACAGCCAGTACTACCACAGTTTGTTACCTACATTCACAATAAAATCAAATTCTAAATTTCAGTAGAGGTTAGGAGAATGGAGATATAATTATTATTCCCTCCATGGACCTGTGAATTATATACATGGATCCCAACTAAGAAGTCCTGCAAAAGAGCAATGTTTTTTAAACTGTGGGGTCACAATTCATTAGAGAGTCAAGAAATGAATCTTGAGGGAATCCAGCAGCACTTTTTAAAAACTAAAAGACAATAATTTAGAAAATATCAGAGTGTGTCTCAGCAAGAGGAAGTATTTTTGTGGGGCAATCTTATTTCAGTAATATATGTGATGTGTGTATACGTGTGTGTGTACTGTTATATACATATATGCATACTAGGTTGCAATGTAAAATATATGTCTGGGATTTTTTTGTTTTGTTTGTTTTTTGTTTGTTTGTTTGTTTGTTTGTTTTGAGACAGATTCTTGCTCTGTCACCCAGGCTGCAGTGCAGTGGCACGATCTTGGCTCACTGCAACCTCTGCCTCCCAGGTTCAAGCAATTCTCCTGCCTCAGCCTCCGGAGTAGCTGGCAGGAGTAGCTTACAGGTACACATCACCACGCCTGGCAAATTTTTGTATTTTTAGTACAGACAGGGTTTTGCCATGTTGGCCAGGCTGGTCTTGAACTCCTGACCTCAAGTGATCTGCCTGCCTCTACCTCCCAAAGTGCTGGGATTACAGGAGTGAGCCACCACTCCCTGCCAAATATATGTCTTAAAGTGAGTTACAGTCAAAATAATGTGAAAGCCACTGCTCTAGGGGAAATGAAATACATAAGATATATGGAATAAATGCCTCAAATAATATGAATTGTGAGTATCACAAGATTTTAGAGGAAAAGGAAATTACCTTTTTGTGAGGAAATTATCAAAGACTTAAAAGAGGCAGATATAATGTGGTTCTTTAAAAATGAGTATGATTTTCATAGAGATATGAAGAGAAGGTATTTCAGCTATAGGGAACAGTAAGCACTAGAATCGAATTCAAAACTATTTTACAACCCTTATGTGCCTTCTAATTTTGTCTAAAAGTGTCAATAACTTGACACTTATTTGGTATTCTGTGTTTGAAATAGTGAAGGTGAGCTCTAATCAAATAAAATAAACAGGTATTTTTTAAACACATAAAATACTTCACTATAGGTACTGTGGGGATTTTTTTAAAAAGCATTAGAGATATTATTTTCTATGAAACAAAGTATTCAAGAACATTAAAATAACAAAATGTGGTACAAATACAAAGTGATCAAAGTTCAAGATAATTAAGTTGGGGTAAAGATAATATATTCATTGCACACATGCAATTACTTTTACTCACAAAACCCCATAAAACAACAGAAAAGAGTCTGTTTGTTTGTTAATACCCAGGCTGCAAGGATGGGAGATCAGGTGAGAGGGCCATAAGAAAAAAAACTTGAAGCTGGAAAGCAGATAAGTAAGAAATTCTTCCTAACATGATGATTTGCTGATCTGACAAGCCTAGTTTACCACCTTTAATAATCCTGGCATAATTAATAATAGTACCAACTTTTACTTTTGTAGAAGTGGAAAAGATGTGATATTTTTACCCATCATAAGAGTCACGGGGCTGGGCGCGGTGGCTCACGCCTGTAATCCCAGCACTTTGGGAGGCAGAGGCGGGCGGATCATGAGGTCAGGAGATCGAGACCATCCTGGCTAACACGGTGAAACCCCGCCTCTACTAAAAATACAAAAAATTAGCCGGGCATGGTGGCGGGCGCCTGTAGTCCCAGCTACTCGGGAGGCTGAGGCAGGAGAATGGCGTGAACCCGGGAGGCGGAGCTTGCAGTGAGCCGAGATCGCGCCACTGCACTCCAGCCTGGGCGACAGAGCGAGACTCTGTCTCAAAAAAAAAAAAAAAAGAGTCACGGCTGACACTCCTATAGCAAAAGACTGGTTAACAAAGGAGAAGCATAACAAATTTACTTAATCAAAAAGTTTTACTTGACACAGGAAACTTCAGAAATGAACACACAAAGACCTAGGTAAAACTGTCCATTTTTATGCTTAAATTCAATGAAGAATGGACAGCCATGTAGAAATGTAACTGGACAAAAAGGGTATGATAATGATAGTAGATATTGTCTAATGGTATGATCATGTCTAATGGTAATAAAATGAGAGGGGAAAACCCAACAAAGACTGTCTGTTCAGATTCTTCTTGGCCTCTCTGTGTAGCATTTCTTCCTTCTGGGTATAGGGCATGACCTCTTTTGGAATGATAGTCTTATAATCTACAATCAGACACGGTAGGCCTATAATCTACTATCAGACATGGTAGGTCAGATAACTTCTTTATGGCCAGCTGCTACACAAAAAAGCAGGAGAAGATTAGAGTAATATTTCTGGGTTTTATGACTAGCTTTGGGGAAGAGGAGCTCTAGTTTTCATGACCTGCCTCAGGGAAGGAGAGGCAAGAGACAGGAGGGCACAGAGAGACTTTGCTTCTGAGTCCTTCCAATCTCCTTTAGTTCAAAATACTCAGCATGCCAAGGCTTCATACTTTAGGGTATCATTTCCTGAGCCCCAGTACCTTCAAATGTGTTTTAGTTTGAACAATAAATAACATGGTTAACCTCAACACAGACAGACATGAGAAAACTGAACCTTAATTTAGCAATGAGAAATGGCAAAATTGATTCAATATGACATGCAGAATCCCCAAAAAGCTCATTCAGGAAATAGCAGCACCAAGTCCAGCTGGCAGTGAGATTAAAGGTATATGTGTTTGGGGCCCAGCACAGTGGCTGACACCTGTAATCCTAGCACTTTGGGAGGCCAAGCTGGGTGGATCACTTGAGTTCAAGAGTTCGAGACCAGCCTGGCCAACATGGCAAAACCCCGTCTCTACTAACAATATAAAAATTAGCCAGGCGTAGTGGCACACACCTGTAGACCCAGCTACTCCAGGGGCTGAGGCACGACAATCGCTGGAGCCCAGGAGGTGGAGGTTGCAATGAGCTGAGATCACACCACTGCACTCCAGCCTGGGCAACAGAGCAAGACCCTGTCTCAATAATAATAATAATAATAATAATAATAATAATAATATAATAATAAATAAAGGTATGTGTGTTTGGTGCTTGTGGTGGTAGGAAGTGATTGCAAGTTAAGAACTATCAGATACCCTCCCCAACTCTACATGGCTAGATGACTGTCCCTACCCCATCCCCAGCAAAAGACTATAGATTTATTATCAGGGGAGAAAAAGATAAAGTCTGGACTTGGGAATGCCAAGCATAGTTTACGGCATGGGTACCATGCAAAAAAGTAAGTGCGTTTTTGTGACAACTGGAGATTTGAATAAGAACTGGGCATTAAGTGATAAAAATTATTGTTATTTTTTTCTTAGATATGACAATACTACATGTGGTTATGTAGGAAATGTTCTTATTTTTGAGGAGATATATGCCGAAATATTTAAGAGTGAAGTCCACGATGACACCCTAGCTTCAAAAGTTTAGAGAGGAAGAAAACAGATATGGCAAACTGTTAACAATTGTTGAATATAGATGGAGGATACAGGGGTAGTTGTTGTGCTGTTCTTTCAACTCTTCTGTATGTTTGAAGTTTTTATAATGGCAATTTTGCGGGAAGAAATGAATGAGGACACATTTGAAGCTGAGACCTCAGGCGTCTTTCTGCATCAGCAGCCAGTCTCTCTCTCTAGGGAGAGGATTGGAAGAATCTTCTCTGAGAAATCTGATCATTCCAGAGGAAATAAATAAAAGATGACTGATATCTGACTTTTCCCAGCTAGTTCACCCTACAGGGAAGATCATAGTCAAGCCCTTACCATGTACTCAGAGTATCCAGTCAGCATTTTAGTGCTCCACTCTTAAAAAGGAACAGGTAACTAATGATTACCAGGCATGAGAAAATGCTCTTACATGACAGATGGAGATGAATATTCATAAATAGGAAAACAAAACAAAAAACAATTTGGAGAATAATAAAAACTATACATTGAGAGAGAAACAAAAAATTCTAACATTGCCAGATACTGCCACCCTGTAATAGGAGCAGGATACTATAAGAAAGGGACCTGTCGAGAACAGCAACAATCATCAAAAAAGTTCTTGTAAAGCAAAGCTATGAAAGAAGAAAGAAAAAATTCAATAGAAGAATTAGAAAATAAAGTCAAAGAAATCATCAGAAAGTGGCCAAAAAGACAGGAGACTAATCCAGGAGGTCTAGTATACATACACTAGAAAGAAAAGAGAGAAAACAGAGGTGAGAAAATAAATATTTTTCCAGATATTTTCTTAGATTTGAAAAATCTAAGTTTCCAAACTGAAACTTATACATCCTAGTCTAAATGCCTAGCACAGTGGGACTGTGCCTCAGTCGACATTAAGGCACATCACTGTGATATTTTGGAAACACTAGAGAAAGAGATCACAGAAGTTTTAGAATTAGCAGAAAAAGATAGATCACACACACAAAGAACCAGGAATCAGAACCATTTCAGACCTCTCATTTACACAGGAAGTCGAAAGATAGTGGAGTAATAATGTCTTTCAAACACTGTAGGAAGATTATTTCCAACCAAGAATTTTATGCTCAACTAAACTATCAATCGTCAGGGACAATAAAAACATTGTGAGACAAGCAAGACCTCAAGAAATTTACCTGCTGTGGGCCATTTCTCATGAAAGGAGATCTTGCTCTACGAAAACAAGGGAAGAATCCAAAAAAGAGAAAGTCATGTGATACAGGAAACAGGCAATCCAATACAGAGAAAAGAGGTGATGAGAATCCCTGGGGTGATAGTGAACGAAGAACCCAGCATAATAACTGAATATCAGGCATAGGAGGCAGCCTGATTGCAGCAGTGGAAGACACTGGGAGAGACCTCTTCAGGAAAATCACATCAATAGAATACCTACTGCATCTGAGTATATCGAGGGCTAATGTACAGAATTGTGAAAAGTTACTAGAATTCGTGAGAAATACTGTCTTAGTCTGTTTGGGCTGCTATAATAAAATACCATAAACTGGGTAGATTATAAACAACAGATATTTATTTCTGACAGTTCTGGAGGCTGGGAGGTCTAAGATCAAGGCATCAGTCTAATATCTCACCACTGTGATGAGAGCCCACTTTCTCATGCATAGACAGCACTTTCTTGCTGTGTCGTTATAGGGTGGAAGGGGTGAAAAGTCTCTCTTGGGCTTGGGCCTCTTTTATAAGGATACTAACCTTACTTATGAGGGCTTTGAGCTCATGATGTAATCACATCCCAAAGACCCCATCCCCAAATACTACCACTTTGAAGGGTAAGATTTTGACATATAAATTTGGGGGAACACAAACATTCAGACCTTAGCAGCAAGCACTTAGAAAACTAAGAAAAAACAAAAATAATTTAGAAAACAGAGCTATGCAAGAAAAGCTCATCTGTGAATGGTATTTACATAATCTTCATAATATATACACTGAAAATTAATCAAAATCATTATGTAAAATCATAATCAGGAAGATGAGGGGATAGGAAAGATTATAAGTCTCTGGTTGGGGTTATTGGTCAGAGAAAAGGAGAAAAAGCAAAATCTCAACTTCCATAGCAGAATGTCACTAATGCCTAAAATTAAAAAATGCAAAAACAGAATAACAACACGTTATTTAGGACATGGAGGTAAATATCAAAATAGTTGGCTAGTAAGAGGTGAAAGCAGTTGCTTTTTAAACAGGGATAAATAGAAGGAGGTGATAGGGAACTGCTATTTTTCATAACAAATCTTTTTAGAATTATATGGTTCTTGTGTATTCATATAACTGAATTTTTTTTAATTTAAGATGTTATGGTTATCATGATGTTTGTGAATTGCGGCCAAATAAGTCTGTATTTTTTATACTTTTTTCTATTGCATTCATCTATGCCTCTATTACTGAATATATGGAGCAAAGAAAATTATTTATTATAATGTATAGATTTTGCAATTCTTCCATTCAGTCGCTAGACTTCAAAATCTAAAGAGAATGCAAGAAAATAATATTTGGCTTTTTGAAAAAGAAATAGAGATGTGAAGCAAAGGATGAATATTTTCCTATGGATTATTTTTCTATTTTAGAATATAAAAGTATACTAGAACGCTCCCTGTAGTACCTGCTTTCAGAACTATTTAATGTACAAAATAAATTCTTTTCCTTGCCTTACATTTTCTTCTTTTCTCTGTTATTTATATGTATATTTTAGAACTATCTATTGATTCTATAAAGTTAAGCATTTACCTGGATAATTAAGGAAAACTTACTTTACCACAGTTATTCAGATATTATCCTGGTTTGAGGCCTGAATTGTAAAGATCATTATATGGATCAAATAATTTCTTCTCTTCATTTTGCACAGGGAGGTGATGTGATATTAGAGTGTGTCAGTCTGTAATTGGACCTGCATGAAATGATATTCAAGGTAAACAGATATTGAGGAGTCTTTGCAGTTTCTTTTGGTTACACATCTTTCATTTAGTTACACTTAAATGAGTCAAACAATTTAATTGAACCTTGGGAAAATCTGTTCCATAAGAGAGCATTAAACATTAATCATTTCACATCACCAAATAATTAATGAAGAGTAACAGTGATGCTTCTAGGGAAGGTTAGTAACTGTTGAGTATAAAACATTTTTATTTAAAGTTTTTGAAGGCCACCTCAAAAGCCACTTTCTCCAAAGGGTCTTTCCCTCTTGCAGAGCCCTCCATTGCAATTCCTCCACTCTGTGAACCTCCATAGTATGGATTATCACATTGTAACCTACACTGTAGTTAGTATGTCCTTCCCTGGGAGACTGGAAACATCTCCACATCACCCACAGACTTTGCATTATCCCTGGCACAAAGGAGGCAATTAACGAAGCCTGACTATGAGAATGATAGTGATGATGATGACAATGATTCAAGAAGTGGGAAATTTAAATTTCTGGAGCACCTTCTAAACACAGAATTAGAGCCTTTATGTGTATTATTTAATTTAAAACCAAAACTAGAAAAAAAGCCCTACAAGTAAAAAATACAATCCTCATTATATTACGTATGAACTAGAACATTAAAATCTGACTTTTCAGAAACATTTGGCCTTTTTGAGGACTCTCAGTAGTTCTAGTCCCATCCTCCAAGATAAAACTGAAAAGAAATTGTATACTCCAAGATGTTTAAAAGAAAAATAAAATGCATATTATTAAAGAATAGGAATGAGGTTTAAAAAAAGACTTTTGATAACTCTAAGTAGAATTTAGAATCCTGGATTAAGTTTAAAATAATTTTGGTTAATTTTAAGCATTGTATGTTTTTTGTTTTTTAGAGACAGGGTCTCACTCTGTTGTACAGGTTGGAGTTCAGTGGCATGATCATGGCTCACTGCAGCCTCCATCTCCTTGGCTCAGTTGATCCTCCCACCTTGGCCTCCCAAATAGCTGGGACTGCAGGTGCAAACCACCATGCCCAGGTAATTTTTAAAATTTTTTTTGTAGAGATGAGGCTCTCACTGTGTTGCCTAGGCTCATCTCGAACTCCTGGGCTCAAGTGATCTGCTCACCTCCACTCCCCAAAGTTATGGGATTACAGGCATAAGCCACCTGCCTGGCCGAATGTTTTTACTTTTATTTTTCCCAGAGCTTACTTATCAGCTTAAAATTTTAATATGATGCATATATTTGCATAATTGCAATGAACTCTATCTGCTTTTCAGTCAGAGACTTACATTTGCTGGAAATATCTTGATAAATGGGCAGAATATTTTGAATTAATTTTATATTGTATTTATCTGCAATGTTGCCAATGTAGGTACAGATAATTTGTAAAAGGTACGTAAGGCATCTGTGAGGTGTTTTTTTCTTTCTTTTTTTTTTTTTTTTTAACTCATGCAAGTATTTCTTTGTGTTTTCATTCTTCTTTGGTCAATTGTAATTTCTCCTAAATAGCAATTTCCCCAATTTTCCTTAAGATAGAATCTCCCTTAAAAGTATAGTTTCTTCAGCTTACCCTAGAACCTCAGAACTAGCATCTCCAGAAGGACCCTGAAATCTGTACTTAGTAGGTAGCTTTTACTGTCAGATAAGTTTGGAAACTGCTCTAAAACATTCTTTCCCAGGCTCCTAGAGCCATTATTTTTACAAAAGGAAATAAAACATTTCCATTGTACTGTACTCAAAATGTGGTTGCAGAAAAAGTAGGTAAACATTATTTCTCTTCTAATTTCATTCACTGTTCAAGTTGTATCACCACTCATTAATTGACAGCTCACATTTCCATTTTAGGGTGAAAAAGTAAGATATATTCTATAATTATTCTGGGAATGATAACATCTGATATTTCAAACAATAATAATATCTATATAATTATTCTGCTGTGACTCCCTCGCCCTATCAAGTAAACTCTCTGAAGCCAGTTTCTCATTTTTTTTTTTACCTGTTTCTCACAGGCCCAAAAGAGGTATATAATAGATTTAAAATACATGTTTATTGAGTTGAAACAAATTAAATTGTGAAGTATTGATAAGGCAGAAAGCAAATGATAATTATATTGGCACAACTTTTTCATTATGTTATTGCTTAGAGATCATTCTATCTTCCATCTATCAAGATCCAACTGCTATCACTCAAGATTCCACATGGCAAAGGAAGAGAATACAGAAGCTCTTTCCACTAATCCTGCCTCCCTTAATGAACTCACATTTCTTCTTTCTCTGCTCTTTTTCCAAGCTCACTCTATTGACTCTTTTTTATCCATCCACACCCAAGTAATGGCTTTATATCTGTATTCACAATATATAACCTAGAGTGAAAACCTCAGTGAGGCAGAGATTCTCTCAGCAGAGCTTTCTGGTCTTGGTCAGAACATTAATAAAATAAATAAGCCAGCCCCAGGCTATAAGCTAAGCCATTTCAATAATGAAGGTGGAACCTTTCTTTCTCTAGTGGGAAAGTAACTTGAAGCAAATACATGCTATCCTGAAGCAAGGGGTCTTTCTCTGCCATCTAAAATAGCTCTGGGCCTAAAACGCTGTGATTCATCAGGTCCTACAGCATCAAACACCTGTATAGCAGATACTAAATATTTGATGAAGAAAAGGAAAATTGGAAAGGAAGGAAAAAAAGGAAGGAAGATTTTATCATTTTATTAAAAGTATTATCTGTAATTTTTAATGTAATATTATACTTTCAATGTTTATTTCAAAGTTCTTTCATCTGAAAACCACAAGTTATCAATAATCATAAGTTTGACATGTGTGGCTATGAATATATATAAATATGAATATATAACATGAATATCTTTAGGATTTCATCTGGAAAAAGTATTGTAAGGTCTACAATTTTTCCATTATCTAATCACAAACATGTCTTTGTTATAGAAGCAAAATTGGGTCCTCAAATGGCTTTTTCACATTCCTGTTGTCTACAGAGTATGTAATTACTACAGTCTAGGGATATATATGTAAAGTATTAGAAAACAAAGGTAAAAAAGAAATAAAGGAACTTGGGGTTTGTTGTGTTGAAGTCTTCGGTGTATGTGCAGACTGCAGGATGACACAGTGACTGTCTGAAACTGTTCTAATATGAAGAAGCTAGAACTTTCAGGAAAAGGCTGGAGAGTTGAAGGGAGAACAGTATAAGCTATTCAGTTTTTTTTGTTTTGGTCAAGAGGATACAGCTGGAGCCCAAAATAGCAGCACTTATTAAGTTAAATGCAATTTCCTGAACATGTTGGTATTTTGGGTGTAGAATCTGTATGTGCCTGTTTCTGCATGTAGTCAGTGGTCTCTCCAAATTAAAAAGATGGTTTAAAAATACCAGATTAGAGTTGGAGAGGTCTTGGTGCATTTCTAGCATCTATAAGACTAACAACTGTAGGATGAAAGCCAAAGTGGAGTGAGGGATATCTAGCATGTGAGCAGACGAGTGAAAATGGGTTTCTGTAAGACACATGATCAATACTGGAAGGTGACATTTTATTTTCATCACTTTTCTCTATCTATTCTCTCTGTGTTCATCACCTCTTCTCCAGACTCTCTCAGCCATGTGCCTGCTTGCCTTCAGCTTCTTCACCAAAACACACACATGCGTACGTGCACAAACACACACACACTTTTTCAAAGTCTGATAAGTTTTATCGAGAGCATCACATTTGGTTTCAGAGCCAATATGTTTTCATTATGGAGATTAACTCTCACCTGACACAGGATAAGCGCAACAGGTGTTCAGAGGAGAAAGAGGGATGGAGTAAGCTGAGCTGCTCAAGGAAGGTAAAGGGGGAGATGCACCTAGGACTGGGCCCCAAAATATAGATGCATTTTCACTGGCAGAGGGGGCATGTGTATGTGCCTATTAAGTTTAAGGGATGGGGTGGCACTTTCCAGGCAGTGGGAAGGGAATACAAACCAAGACATGTAGACAATGTCCCATTTACTAAAGGAAAAGATGGATGTTCAATTTACCTTGAGACAAGGCTATGTGTGTATGTGTGTGTGTGTATATATATGTATACATATATATATATTATATATATATATACACATATCAGGGGGTTGTAGGAGGCAAAAGTGAAAAAAAAGTGAAAAGGTAGTTTTGGAAAGATTACAGAAGACCTTAAATGCCCTGTTAAGATCACCCACCACCACCACCCCTTCTGACACGCACACACACACACACACACACACATGCATGTGTGCTGCTCTTTCACTTGTCCAAGGATGGAACTTGTCCAAGTTGTTTCTATTTCCTTCCAGCAAGAAACCAATACAGATTCTCAGCCTTAATCTTGAAAAAAAAAATCACCAAATGAATCTCTCACTTCCTGAAGCCTAACAGATGATTACTGTGCTGGAGAACTAATTTGCCTACTGAATGAACAGTTTATCTTGGAGAAGAAATTGGTCACCAGAGAACCAGGAAACCCAAAAGAACCTTCTGAGGTCATCAGAACATATAGGTATTATTTCTTTAATATTCTCACAACATTAAAAACCTGTCCAGATAAATTGATATAGACAGGGAAGGAGGAAGAATATGACCAAGGAATAGGGAGAGACAAAAAGAGGAGTAATGGAGGGAGCTGGGGCAAGGAGAAGAGGGAGTGAATAAAGAACATGGCAAGCCCTCTAGCTTTGTATTTATCATGGAGACCCTCATGAAGCCATTTCTCTGTCTCCCTGCATATTCTGAGAAAAACAATCTTCGAAGGATTGGTCTATAGTAGAAGGAAGCCTAATGAACAGTGGAAGAGATACCGCTATGTCTTTTTTGTTTTTCGTTGCTTTTGCAGGCAGCAGTAGATACATAGTTTTGTATGTGACATTTTATTTTATTTTATTATTTTATTTAGACGGAGTCTCGCTCTGTCACCCAGGCTGGAGTGCAGTAGCATGATCTCGGCTCACTGCAAACTCTGCCTTCCAGGTTCAAGCTATTATCCTGCCTCAGCCTCCTGAGTAGCTGGGATTACAGGTGTGCGCCACCACGCCAGGCTAATTTTTGTATTTTTAGTAGAGATGGGATTTCACCATGTTGGTCAGGCTGGTCTCCAACTCCTGACCTCGTGATCCACCTGCCTCAGCCTCCCAAAGTGCTGGGATTACAGGCCTCAGCCACCACACCCGGCCTTTTTTTTTTTTTTTTTTTCTTAAAAAAGAGGGATTTGTTTATAAATGTAAAAAGCTAAAAGCTGGATTATGATAGGAGCAATGGAGTGATAAAAATAACATATTATAGGAAATAGGGCCTAGTCTCATGCCTTCCTGTTGCAGTTGCTTGAGACACTGAAAATACATAATCAGGAAGCAGTCCCTGGGTTCTTCCTTTTGGACCAGAAATGACTGGTGAGAGCCGGGGATAGAGAGAAACAGTTCCTCTTTAGCATATTTGCATTATTATTAGTATATTTGTTTGAACATCCAAGCACTATCAGGAAGTGCATAGAAGGACAAACACTGTGCAACTGTACTGCCAAGGGCCACAGTCTCACAACATAAACTATAAGATCAGCCACTGCAACTCTTACAAACTGTCATTTATGAGAGGAGACCATGGGAGTCAAAGTGATGCACTCTAACAACAGTGATGTCCCCAGGAAGAGAATACACAAAAAATGGAATTAACTTTATTATTAGGGAGATGTGTTTAAGGATTTGATTTTTCCTGTTTAATAATTCACTTGATACTTCTATTTTAAAGTTAAAAATACCAACATGTGTCCATCCAATGTTTCCCTAAAATAATTTTTATTTGCCAAAGGACATTTCATGTGAAGCTGGCAAACAGCATATTGATTAGGACAGGCTGTGTAGAAAGAAGACTTATCTTTAGGCCCCATATGGCTACATGATCCTCTGATATTGTCAGTGTGTCTTGGAGCTTCTTCCAAGATACAGCTGTCTTCAAACACATGCTACCTAGGGCTTTTGATGAGTAAATAAAATTCTGGGGGCAGGGAAATAGCCCACACCTATACACCCTGTAATTCAAACCTGCTGTGTTTCAGCTTTCACACCTTTCTGCAACACAGAAAACTTGCTTACATTACAAAAATCACATGCACACACATACATTGACATGGGAAAGAACAGGTGGTTTTGTGTCATGCCTCATGACTACTGAAATTATGGGTGGCTTTATTATCTATTGTTTCTATGCAGACTACATAATTTTTGTTCATAAAACTAAAATTAACAAAGAAAGAGTATTTTTCTCCCACTGCTCTTTAGTATCTGAATGTCAATGCTGCTCATTGACTCTGATAAAATGAAGACAGTGCAGTCAGTGGAAGAGACACAAAGTATGGTATCAGAAAAGACCTGAACTAGAATGCTAGAACTCCAGAATCTCATTCACCACTTATGTGACCTTAGGTAAGGTTCTTAATTTCTCTAAGACTCTGTAAAATTGTAATCACCCTATAGGTTCACCTTGCCTGCTGCCTAGACAGAGCCAATTTATCATGACAGGGGAATTGCAATAGAGAAGAGTAATTCACGCAGAGCTGAATGCGTAGGAGACTAGAGTTTTACTATTACTCAAATCAGTCTCCCTGAGCATTCAGGGATCTAAGTTGTTAAGGACAGCTTGGTGGGTGGGGGGAAGCCAGTGGCCCCCAAATCAGATGAGACAGTTTATCCATCTGGGTGGTGCACTTGATGGAGCCAGTTTATCCATTAAGTGCAGGGTCGGCAAAATATCTCAAGCATTGGTCTCAGGTTTTACAATAGTGATTTTTATCCCCAGGGGAAATTTGGGAAGGGTCAGAATCTTGTAGCCTCCAGCTGCATGACCCCTAAACCATAATTTCTAATCTTTTGACTAACTTGTTAGTCCTGCAAAGGCACTCTGGTCCCCAGGCAAGAAGGGGGTTTGTTTTGAGAAAGGGCTGTTACCATCTTTGTCTCAAACTATAAAATAAGTTCCTCCCCAAATTAGTTCAGTGTACACCCAGGAATGAACAAGGACAGCTTGGAGGTTAGAAGCAAGATGAAATTGATAAGGTCAGATCTCTTTCACTGTCTCAGTTATAATTTTGCAATGGCAGTTTCAAACTGAGAATAATGAGACTCCTCTGGAGTTGAAGTGAGAATCGAATAAGGTAATAGTAGTATCCAGCAAAGTGCCCAGCACCAAGTCGTCATTTAGTAAATATTGAATCTGGATGTTCACTAAATGTTCAGAATCAGTTGAATGTGAATCTGAATCAATGGAGTAGAAGAGAACATGAAATGCTTGAAAAACATCCATTAGGACTATTTTTAGTCCTGTAAGCAGTTCAGGTGATTGAAGAATATGTTTGGTGTTGTGTTCTATTAATCTGGAGATCAATAGTAAAGTTCCCTTGTATGACGTTTTCTCAGTAATGAATCTAATCTTTTCAGTATCCCTGGCTAAGATCTGCACATAATAAATTTGACATAAATATGATTCTTTAAAGCCTATATTTCCTTCCTTCCTTGTACACATATTTCCAAAATTCTACTTATAATGATAGTGTCCTTACATTCCACTGTACTTCTAAGTATTCACTAATTACTTTTGCAAACTCCTTTCATTAACAAGGAGAAAAATATCCTTAAGCTGTGTAAACTATGACAATACCTTTAGAATATTTAAAGCTGAGAGAGACAAATTAAACATATGATGTCTGTGTTTTAGAATGTCTAAATGTCTATATTCTTCCTCAGGGCTGGACAGGAAGCAAGTCCTCCCTTAAATCAGCCATGAAAGATGAAATGATAGCACAAAAGCTTGTGTCAGCAGACCAGGTGGAGCTGAAGTTTCCTATTCCTCAGCTCACTCATTGTGACTCTGTAGGCAGGGTTCTCACTGAGATCACCATGAATAATCCAGATAAAGACAGGCCTGTAGCAAGCAGAGTCATGCTGGCCAAATAAATTTATTATGAGTATTTTCCTAGTACCTTATGTAAAGTAGAGGGAAGCTGACTCTTGAGGATATATCCAGAAATAACCAGAGGTACTCCTGAGAATGTACCCAGAAATACCCAGACATACTCTTAAGAATGTACCCAGAAATGTGAAAACTTAATCACATACTGCTATTTGTTTATGAAATATAAAATTGGAGAACTAATTACAACCAAAACCAACTCCAATTTTTAACATGATAGTTAGAATAACTTAGCATGGAGATTGGTAAAAGGATCTATATCTACTATCACTTCTGACTCACAAAGATATGAATCAATTTTCTAATGCCTTTGTGTTTCACTTTTTGCATCTGTGAAAGAAGCGACTACACTTAGGTAGTAGATTTTTATTATTTGTTTCTGACCATCACCAGTTTTCTTGAGACTGGACATTCCCTGTGCTTTGGGGTTTGGCTTTGTGAGACAAGGGAATCCTTTTTTGCCTAAGCTAGTTCAAGTTGAGTTTCTGACCTTTGGAATCAAATGAGTTCCAATTGACATGCCCTAACTATTCAGAGATGACAGAAGAATATAATTTTTCAGATGAAAGGAGCAATATAATATTTTACATAATAGAGTAGTGACAGATAAATTGTTTTTTATTATTTAATCAGTTTCTAGAAAATAATTAGAAATGACAAGCAATGCTTTTGTTGACTTTACTTGACAGAATGCATAACTCATAAAAGGAATAACCAAATATTTGTTAACAACTGACTTCCTCTGTGAAATCTAAGTTATAAAACTATTTCAAACAACATTATTTCCTAATCATCAAACCCAGTGATTATTTTCTTCCTTTTCTTATGTCTCAAGTTAACTTACCCAACTGTGTTTGTAATCAGAGCCCTTTTTGGTTCCTTGGGAAATTTTATCCCATCAGTTCCAAATTCCCATCAATTAGAACTTGTTTTTTTGTATCTTCAGCCTCCATCTCTACTGCTCTCTTCCCATCTGGTCACATGTATTATTTTATCTTTCCTGTCTTAATTTAAAAATGTCACCCTACGAGCGAGACTCTGTCTCAAAAAAAAAAAAGTCACCCTAACTTCATTTTCCTTGTAAGATAAAGATAAAACTATTTTTTCCTCTGACTCAAATAAACCTCTAAAGAGAAGAAGAGGCACAATAACCTAGTAGTCAAAAATGTTGCACAAACCTGAATTTGAATTTGAGCTTCATCAGTTCCAGATGATCAGTAATGTAATGCTGTAAATCAACTTCTGTAAGTTACTATTCAGTCTGTGTTGCGATTTGCTCATCTTTAAGACGGGGATAATATTATACCTGCATGCCAAGTGTTCAGTGGAATACTAGACACACAACTAAACCTCTCCAATAAACACTAGCTGTCATTATCACCATTATTATTATAACCCCATCTCCATTTCTTTATTAGCTGCCATTTTTCTCTATGTATTGCACTCCATCTTTTCTCCTGTCATTCTTCTTAGCTCAACATTTCTAATTAATAAACCTAACACCTCAATTGTTCAACATTACTCTTCAGCATTTGGCCTAGTAAATCACCATCTCCTTTTTTGAATCTCATCCCTTCTTTGACTTTTCTCGTTCTCTTCCTAGCCCTTTAAATTCTTCTCTGTTTCTTGACTAGTTCTATTTTCTTCTTTAATGGGAGCTTTATGCAGCTGATTTATTGGTTCTTTTCTTCTGTGGAGAGCAGGGCCATTGAGTCGTTGGATCCAGAACCCAAGTGCTAATGAAGTGTATTGTGCAGGGAAAGGTTTGGACCACAGGGTTCTCACCAAGAAAGCCAGGTCTTGTGTGGTGCCCAAAGATGCAGTGGAGTAAAGGACTATAAGGGGCGCTAGAAGAAGGTCAAGGACAAGTCTTCATCCATTCAGTATTCAATATTATCACACTTAGTTTTGGGCCAGATTATAATTAGACAGTATATAAAGGAAGATTTAAATTTGATAAAACATTTATCAGAAATTCAACATGCATCTAAATGTTAGCTTTTTATAATCATTAGACTACTTTTATAGTATAGTAATTAGTAACATAATTGCTGCAAAGTGAACACTGTACATAGCTAATTTCTTGAGTCCACATCATGATCTGCCATCCTTCTTTCGTTACAAATTCCCCTGAAGTTGTCCAGCTGTTTCTCTTATTTTCCAGTATTTCTCTATAATTTTATTTCTTCTTCATGTCTCATTGCAACTTTGATTATTGTCTCCTTAAGGATTCTTAAAATCCGAACACGAGAAACTTCACATCTGAGGAAGTGTGAGAATGAGATCCAAGCCATCCCCAAAGCAGGCAAGGAACTCCATTTTTCTGGAAGATCTGTTGTTTAGCTCTGTAGGAAATGGGGCCTGATGTATCTCATCAGGTGATTAGAGTAATTTTTCAGTATTTGTTCAAATATATCTTCTAATGTTTTGAATTAATCTTGATTAATCTTGATTTGAATTAATCTTGATTCTGATATAATTAACTAATAAAGATCTATAGGTTGGGCATGGTGGCTCAAGCCTGTAATCCCAGCACTTTGGAAGGCTGGGACAGGAGGATCACTTGAGTCCAGCAGTTCAAGATCAGCTTGGGTAACATGGGAAATCCTATCTCTACAAAAAATAAAAAAGCTAGCCAGGCACGGTGGCATGCACCTGAAGTCCCCGGTACCCAGTTGGGTGAGGGGAGGGAAGGGTGGGCTGAGGTGAGAAGATCACCTGAGCTTGGGAGGCCGAGGCTGTGGTAAGCTGTGATTGTGCCACTATACTTCCAGCCTGGGCAATAGAGTGAGACCTTGTCTCAGAAAAAAAAAAAAAAAAGCTATATTTTTCCATTGTCTGTCTTGTGAACTATTCCTCCCTGACCTCTACTAAGAGGTCATCTCCCTTGTGCAATATTCCTTGAAAACAGGTTTGCCTTTTTTCTTTTTTTTTTTTTGAGGTGGAGTCTCACTCTATCGCCCATGCTGGAGTGCAGTGGCATGACCTTGGCTCACTGCAACCTTTGCCTCCTGGGTTCAAGCAATTTTCCTGTCTCAGCCTCCCAAGTACCTGCGACTACAGGCACACACCACCACACCCAGGTTTTTTTTTTTTTTTTTTTTTTTTTTTTTTTTGTATTTTTAGTAGAGACGGGGTTTCACCATGTTGACCAGGCTGTTCTTGAACTCCTGACTGCAGGTGATCCACCCGCCTTGGCCTCCCAAAGTGCTGAGATTACAGGCATAAGCCACTGCGCCCGGCCCCTGTTTTTTTCATCTGTGAAGTCCAATATCTTTCATGAGTTAGACACCTAGGCAGAAACAGGGAAATACGCTGCAAAGATTCTGATAAAACCTGCTTCTGTTGTAATAAAGGCTAACGATCCACTGAGACTCAGACTCCCGGGGATGGTTAGCCAATGAAAGCACATAATTTACCTCTTCTTCCTCTTTCCTCACGGCGATTGGCCAGAGCAGTGCAGCCTCCTTCCCATCACTTCCCTCTCTCTGAACATGGTCTCTGTGAACTGGGATTTTGGAAGTGGACCTGCAAGATTGATTACTGGGTACGGAGAAAATGCAGTATCTACATTTTCAGTTCTCATTGTTTCATTTGATCCTTTATACTATCAAATGAGGCAGGTAGATTAGATATAACCACATTTCATAAACAAAGAAATCTAGAGTTTAAAAAGGTCAAGAGGGTTCTATAAGATTATTCTGATAGTGGCTAAAAAATTTTTCTGACAGTGGCAATTAGGTCTTCAGACTTATATCCAATCACTTGCAATTCCCATGCTCATGGATTTTTTAGGGTATTACTCTACATAGTGTAATAGTAACAATACCCTATTATAATGAGTATTATGTAACAATATTATTCTATGTGGTGTCAGTGTGTAACAGTAATGTTTTCCTTTTACAAATGTAAAGTACTTATATATATATATTATCTAGTTTTAATTCAGGAATAAATCACTAAGACTCTAAGCCCCCCACTCTATTAGTCAGGAGGCAATCTTTCTAGTAAGTAGACCTGCTTACCTGATGTATTCATTCTGCACCTCAGAAATTGCCTTGTCATTTTCCTAAAATTTTAGGTGAGCTTCTTTTATTATGAGGAATATATTTGTATCCAAGATTTACAGCAGCAATTTGATCCTCTAAGTAGGCAACCTTAGTGGTTGGATGTATTCTGATTCAAAATGAATCAAATGACTTTTAAAGTGAAAATCCCCATGTTAAAACCATAAAGTTCTCCAGTAGACGATAACTCCCCTTGAGGGTAAATAAATGTCTTATGTATCTATATTCTTAGCTCCATAGCACTCTGCCTGGTACATACTACATATTCAATAAATATTGAGTAAATAAATGAATGGCTTTAGTCATCTTCTTCTTCTTCTTCTTTTTTTTTTTTTTTTGAGATGGAGTCTCACTGTGTCACCCAGGCTGGACTATAGTGGTGTGATCTCAACTCACTGCCACCTCCACCTCCCGGGTTCAAGTGATTCTCCTGCCTCAGCCTCCCAAGTAGGTGGGACTACAGGCACCCACCACCATGCCCAGCTAATTTTTGTACTATTATTATTATTTTTTAGTAGAGACAGGGCTTCACCATGTTGGTCAGGCTGGTCTTGAACTCCTGACCTCAGGTGATCCGCATGCCTTGGCCTCCCAAAATGCTGGGATTACAGGCATGTGCCACCACATCTGCCTGATTTTACTCATCTTCTAGAAATACCTACTCTACAGATCCACCAGTCAACTACCAAGCAGCTTCCAAGCTTGGGGTTTTGCCATTGCCTGTAGTCCTAGGGCACAAATTTATTACAGAAAAGCCGACAGAGATACAATGGCAAACTCAGGGGGCATTAGATTAGTACACTAAGAAAAATGTAATCTTCAACAAGACCATGGCCACAAATACACTTAGGCCCAATTCTGACTAGAAAACATGTAACATCTAAATCCACAGATATTCAAGGGAAGTAGCCTACCAATAGAGAAAGCTAGAGATAGAAGACAAGCACTATGGTAATTGGCATGCTCTGACATTATGTATTTTCTGCCTGAGAAAAATTGGGTAGTTTTAGGTGACAGATCACCTTTTATTTTGCAAGGGGGAAACTGGCACTTTCATGAGTTGTGTTAGGACCCATTTGTGCTTAATCTCAATGGAAGTCAATACTGAAAAGGAGGCCCGGGCTTCAGCTAAGATGTGAAATCCAAATTCTATGAAAATCAACAAATGCATTTGTTTTTTTAGGGAGAATTTTCCCAAAGGAATAGGAAGAAACAGTCTCTTATTTAACTGCTCAGAAAGGAGGCTTTAAAAAGATACTAGTTCCTTGGAGCCTGTCCTCTACAGATGAGAACCACTGCCTGGGAGGCAAGGAGAATTCTGAGGAGTTGCCAGACTCTAGTTCAGATACTGCCTCTAATCAGCCTGTGGCCAGGGGTGGGTTGACAGCCTCTTCTCAGGTATATCCTTTCCATCAAAAGTAGCCTGTTCTTTCCTCCCACTCCAACAGAGAAACTGCTTCCAACTAGTTCTGGGTCCAGACCTGTTTTCTAACCAGTAACTGCCTAGCTGGGAGGCTTAGCTCATACTGGAGACCACTTGTTTATTGTGAAAACAAGGCCAAGCTATTTGTCTAAGGCAAATCCCTTTGAGGGAGTTCTGGGGAGTAAATACAATTTATCTATGTCCATTGCTTCATTGGATGCTTGTCTTGCTTTACAGAGCTCTCTCTCCCAATAACTCAGCCCAGTCAAATTTTATCTCATATATTTATAAACAAGTTACAGAATGTTCTCTTGCAGCTGCCCTTGAATTGTCTTTTTACTTCAGGCTTAACTGATCCTCCCAAATGGATATCCAGAGCCAAGAAATACAATATTGAGATTATCAGGACCAAGACAAATCTGGCTGAGATGGCCATTTATTGCCATTCATCCATTGATTCATCAAACACATTGTTGAGCACCTACTAAAAGCTACTGCATTCTAGGCACTAGGTGCTGGATGCTAGAGCTACAGAGATGAAAGATGCAGTCCCTGCCCTCAAGCTGTGCACAGCCAAATAGGAGGCTTCATGATGTAGTGGGGAAAATCACAGACTTAAAGTCAGACAGATGTGTGTTCTAATCTTGATCCTGCCTCTTATTAACTATGTAAATGTATGCAAAACCTCTCTAAAGTTTATCTTCCACATCTATATGATGGAAATAATAGTCCTACTTCACAAGCTTGATGTGAGAATTAAAGACATATAGTACCTGGAACATAGTAAGCACTCAGCAGATGACATCTATGCTGTTGTTGTCATCATCATCCTGGGGACAGCCACATGAATTAACAATTACAATATTGCATGTGACATATGAGGATGGGAGAGGGTACTATAAGAACATAGTCTGCCATGGTGATGAGGAAGAAGACTTACAAGAGGAAGGGAATTGATACCAACTTGAGCCCAGAAGGATGAGTAGCAGAAAGTCAGGCCTGAGAAGGGCATTCTAAGAAGGCAGAACAATAGCACATACAAAAGCCTGGGGTGGGGAGGGAGAAACAGGCACTTTCAGGAAATTTCAAGTAGTTCATTGTCTCTGGATCCTGGGATATATGTAGGGAAGTGTTGGGAGGACTACCAAGGAAGGGAGGGACCATGCTGTCATCTTGGCAATGGCCACAGGGCCCTGCACTGCTGCTCTTTCTCTACTACCCTTCTGACCTAAATAACCAGATTGTTCCATGTCTCATAGAGACCATCTCTCTCCACCTTAGGCTTTACAGATATGGGCTGTTTATTTCCATTGTATGTTTCTTCCCATGCCAGCCACCATAGGTGTCATAAGGGAGGAGCAGGGCTCTTATGTATTCTTCAGGAGTTTCTGCCGAGAAGTGTGACCTGTACTCCAACGTCAGAGCAGGCTGTAAGTTTATTCAGCTTCATAAAGTGCTCTGTCAGGTAGGAGAGGGCTTTATGTCTAGTAAGAACGTGAAGAGAAAAATAAGTAACAACTGGTGTTCAACTACTGCAGAGTCTGTTTTCCTCAGTGATGGCTTTGACCTAGATACAGCTTGGAAGGAGAAGCTTTAAACTTGCTGCTGTGTCCGATAGGTAGGTTCAGTCAAATCAAGTTGACTGGCACTAATTGAGCATGTATCTTGTGTCTAGGACTCTGCCAGGCACTGCAGAGAAAGACTAAAGCAGTGGAGTGAGTCTCAAAGAGTTTACCTATTGAGTTCTGAATTCATGGTTACATAGCCAGTAGGCCCAGCAGAACTGGAAAGTGAGGTCTGCAGGACTCGAGTTCATACGCTTTCTGCTATGTTATGATGACCTTTTGGTATTAGGCACAGATAATTTGGTTCAGGGACAGCTAGGAAGTAAAGTACAAGCCATGGCCAATCACAACACTGTATGTCTTGTTCATTTAACATGAATGAGCCTGGCACAGTAGAAATCTTCATTCAATCAATGAAAGGAATATTGATTGGCCTTGCAAAGCATGAAGAGGTACAATATGACCAAGAATCTCTTGGCAAGCTCAGCTGACCCTGAAGGGGTCAAAGTTTGGGCTGTCATTCAACCCAGCTCTGGACATAGGAGAAACCTTAGTTAACCCTCACATTTGCCCTCAGAGTAAGTAAAATGGTCTCCAAGAAGCACTTGGGCAGGAAGTCCAGTCTGTTACAGTGGGCTGTGGAGAACCAAAGGCAAGAAGTAGCTTTAGTTGAGAAGGTTTGTGGGCCATTCTGTTGCCTTCACTAGATTTGGTCATTGGTATCTGCGATTATGTATCGTGCCTTATTGGTGTTGGGGTTGGAGGATGAGGCAGAAACAGCACTAAGAGAGAGATTAGTGAAATTCACAGGCAAAAAACTTTGATGGATTAATGGAATCAACCTATATTAGTCTAGAAATGTCAAAGTCTTCTAAAGGACATTGTACCTTTAGATACAAAGATTACATTTTAGGCATCAGTGAGTGATACCCGTAACATCAAAAGAGAATCTACAACCCATTTGCTTTACCAAGGGACGAAGTAGAGATATGGCTTTAAATTCAGTCACTTTTAATGGCTGGAAGAGATAAACATGTATAGAGTTACATAGAATGGAAACTGGGACCCTCTCTACACATTAACAAGGGAAATTGGCCTTAGAAAAGGTAGCCTAAATGGAATGACTGCACTTCAGACCAAGAACACCAGCTGGCTTACTACAGGGATGTGGAAATAAGATTCTCACTGCCTCTGTCTTTGTTTTACTACCTATGTAATGGGGATAATGATACTTCCCTTTACCTGTCTCACAGAATTGTTGAGAAGATGAATAATGCAGCATTTTAACATGCTTTGAGACCCTTGAGACATGGCTTTTGTAAGTGCTGGGTATGATATTACCATTATCATTATTACCTTATCACTTTATCTTTGCAGAAAATGATGCTTGGAAAAGCTTGCTGGTCATTTTGATATCAATTTCTGGCCAACTTCTTCTTCCCTAATTTCTTTCCATGCTGATGGACATTAAGCCAATTTAACCATCCACTTAATCTCTCTAGTGTATCATGCACATCCTGACCTTCGATTCTCTGCTCACATCTTGTCCCCTGCATGCTCTTCCTCTTCATATTTCTAAATCCAGCCCTTTTCTCAAGCACTTGGGGAAGCTGGGAAGGCAAGGACCGAGTCTCCGAGTGCATCCCATTCAGGCCCAGTCAGGTTGGCAACTGCTAGACTTTGCATCAGGTCATTTTAAAGGTCATCAAACTGAAATATAACTTGTACACTCTTCAACTTGATTTTGATAGAGAATTATTTCCTCTGTCTTGCTTCTCTGTGCAACAGTCAGAATTGAAACTGTATATAACATGTACATTATTGCGACAGTAATGGAGTGGCTTTGCAGTGACCAAACTTTAGAAGAATGGATGATCTTTTGGATGTGGGCAATAGCTGCTGCAAAGTGGAGAGGTTGTCTGAACTACCTTCTTCTTCCTGATGTTAGATAATACCTTGGTTTACAGTAACTCAATAAGTTTGCAAGAGCCCATTTTATTCCAATGTAACTAAATCTCAACTTGAATTTATGAGCAATAAAGTAATCACATTAATAGAATAAAAGTTATCTCCTCAAAGCTAGCTTTTCAGTTACTATCGATGGACTTACCCCAAAATATCCTCCAGATTTCTATTTGACCCCTTCTACATTACACAGGCTTCAGTATGCAAAGTGATTCCCAAACAGCACACTTCAGGGTCCTGAGCCTGAGCTAACTGTCATCACACTATCCTTTATAGGATTTGTTTTTGTTCTGGTTTCATGATTTGGAAACACGTACTCTGGCTATGTCCATGTGTCAATGACGCTTCTGCAGTTCATTGTCCTGCACACACTCTTGCTCCCTATGTTCCTTGTTCCCATGTGTTCCTTGTCCACATGGAGGGTGGAATAGTATGAGCTGCTGCAGGCAGGTTGGATGGTTTTTTTATTCCCTCAGAAGAAGTGACCTTTGAGTTAGTGTCCTAATGTTCTTATAAAAGGTGCCTTAAATTTGTCTATTGCATTTAGAGGAAACCTCCAGCCATTACCTAGAAGTGCTGAGAAAGGATCACTCAAGTCAGCTTTGTATTAAGGACAGATATAAAAGTGGTAGACCAGAATGAGACATGGAGAAGCTGGTCCTCTATCATGCTGTCCATCTGTTAAAATCCTACTCTTCTCCCAAGATCCTTATCATCCCTAACTAAACCGATTTCCCTCACCTCTGTATTTCTGTACACTTAATACTCTTCTTGTGACATTTACCAAATTAGCTGTGTCACCAATAATTTAGCATTATGTTAATAATCAAGAAAACTTTGCATTTACCTGATGTTTTAAGGTAGATGAAGTTTCACAACACGTACTATTTCATTTGACCCTTACAACTTCTTAGAAAAATTTGTTACCTCTAAAACTTATTTTCTTCCTCTGTAGAAAGGAGTTATTTCACTCTTTCTTAAAAGAATTAGAAAATGTGTTTATTTTGTCATTCTGGGAAAAAAAATACTTATTCAAATTAAGCCTTGCAAAATCACGTAATCAAATAGTGCTCTTAGGGTCATTGTGAGGAGTAAATGAGCTAAGGGATGTGAAAACTGATTTGTGAAATGCAAAGGCACATCCAGATGCAGAACCACAAAGGCCCTAAGGTTTCTGGTGTTTGCGACTGGGTGCCAAAACAGAGATTTGAAGCAATACATGACAGGGAGAAGATTTACCTGTTCGAAATCTTCTAGATTTAGAATCTAGAAGATAGCTGAACCCTAATCTATCAGAAGAGTATCGATATGGCATTTATCTGTATAACTGGTCAAGCTTAGGGGCTGGTGCTCAGGGAAAAATGTCAGTCCTAGTAGGTGTGAAAGTCAATGGAAGGTAGGCAGTAAGTGAAGGCAGGAGTGTGAATAACACCAATGGAAGAGAATGCAGTATGAGAAGAAGCCCAAGAGACCCCTTGGGATGGAGTCTCTTGGGAAAGGAAAGGAGCTGGCTGAGGAGAAGCTGAAATGGCAAGAAAAGCAAAGGAAGAAATTCCAAGTTGGATACTAGATGTCAAATGAAAGGAAATGAAATTTTGGATTAGAAGCTTAAGAGGCCATTGGGAACTTTCAATATTCTAGTGGGTTGAGGAGTGAAAGGGACATGAGAAAATGGAAACAGTTAGTGGAAAGTTTGCACTGCAGGCTGTCCTTTTGAAAAAATTGGTGACGAAAGGAAACAGAAGATTGGATAGTAGCTTTGGGAAGAAAGAAATAGGACCAAGGAAATGAAAGAAAGAATAATATATAAGGCTTAATAATTATTTATGTCAAATATCAAACACATATCACTTATAGTATGCCAGGCACTGTTCTAAGTAGTTTATGAAAATTAATTCCATCCTCATCACTACCCTATGAAACAGTTATTATTATTATCGCCATTTTACAGATGAGGAAACTGAGGCATAGAGTGGTTAAGTAAATTTCCCAAAGCCACATAGCAACAACAGAACTGGTAATTAAACTACAGGCAATCTAGTTCAAGAGTCCAGGTTTTAATTCATTTACCTTTCCTTTTATAATAATTTTGTAGTAGCCAAACCATTGAGGAAGACGTATCAAGACTTTTTCTTATTTTTAATGAGAAAGATTTCAACTCACTTGGATACTAAGAAGAAGCCAGCACCCTAAGAGATGAATAAGAATTTCTGGGTAATAAAGACAATAAGATCCCAGAGCATATGAGTGGCTATGGTGGGAAAGTGTAAATAAAGCAGTTAGTCTTGGGCAAGAATTAGTAATAATTCTCTCTTAAACAGGAGAAAGATGGTGAAAATAGAGATTTAATTCTGAGGTTTTGAGAAGGAAAGTTGAGCAAATTCATCCAAGATGGATGCTAGTAAAGTTTCTGCTGAGAGATATTGGAGGAGTGGTTCAGGGCTTGAGTAGAAAAAGCTGTAGCTTACTAAAATGGAATGAGGAGTCAGCTTTTACCAAATTGCACTGAGAGCTGACTGAGGCCACCTGGTATGATTACTAAACACCTCCTGTATTCAAAGCAATATGCTGGGATCTTAGCCTCCATTTGTCACAGCTTTTAATCAGTTGAGAAAGATATAGAAGAAGCATATAGAAGAAACAATGGAAGACAAGATCAAATATCACTTGTGTGGCTTAATGCTTTTCATGGAGCTCAGAGAAGGGAGCGGTCAGAGGAGTTGGGGAAAGGCTGTAGCTTGAGCTGGTCCTTAAAGATCAGGAGAATTTGGGGGATGGCATTGAAGGCACAATTTTTGGTGGTGGAGAAAGTGAGAGGAATAGAAGAATCGAAGGAAGAGAGGCAGGCATTAAGAGGTACTATTGGGGCCAGGCACAGTGGCCCAGGCTGTGAGGCAGCATTTTGGGAGGCCAAGGCAGGAGCATGGCTGGAGGCCAGGAGTTTGAGACCAGCCTGGGCAACATAGTGAGACCCCCATCTCTTATTTAATAAACAAAAGGAGGCACTCTTGGTAAAAGCACAGGGACTAGGGGCCAGGAGAGCAGTAATAATTCAGGCCAAAAGATAATCCTACCCCGTGACCCACACCTGATTTGGATCCCCTCAGACCCCACCATCAGTCTTCTTAGCTACTTCATCCCTGCCTTGCTTTTCTCCATAGCAATAATCACTTCCTAATACACCATATTAAAATTATGTTATTTATATTTCCTAGAATGTAGGCACTGTGAGGGCAGGAATAATTGTTTGAATCACTAGTGTATCTCCTAGCTCTACATCAAGTTTGACTTATAAAAGGCTCTCAGTAAAGATTTGCTTGAACAAATACAGCAGCAGTGTCAGGGGTTACCTGGGGTCCCTCCAGCATAGGCTCAGGGATTTTTGGCTCACAACGTGCTGTGAAGAAAAGCCTGACCTAGACAGAAGTGACAGCCTGCTTCTCAAACAGAAGCTCTTTAATACCCAGGTGACAATAAAGCTCTCAAAAATTAAAGGCAAGCAAGGATTCCCCTAGAACTGGGGACTGAGGAAGGCTTCCCTGAGGAAGTGGGGGAGAAAGTGTTTAAGAACTGGTAGATTTTAAGCTAATTGATCAGAATGATTTAAGTCCTTACTAAGGGCTTTACAGGGGCTGCATCAGCCCCGCTAAAAGGGACAGTTCGTTCCAGAGTCCTCTCGGGGAAGGAGCATTTCCTCAGATCTTGGTTCAGGTAACAAGGGCCCCTTGTATTTTTACCAGTTCTTAAAGACTGTCCAATAGGGAAAAAATAATTTTTGCTTCACACATTCAAGTTTAAAATTGGCCTCAAAGTAGGAAACAAAGCACATATTGCTCAGAGGCCAAGAGTTACACGTCTGAGCAGTGCCCAGTGATGGAGTTGATCCATGGTTGGTATTGCCATTGTTCAGAAAGCATTCACAGTGATCATGGGTCTGGGTCCTGTGCCCATCTCGAGCTGCCAGTTCCTTCAGGCATTAGCAGAGTCATATAAATGAATCAGCCCCTCTGTGAAGGGGTAATTCCATTTTCCTGTTTGGTAAAATGAGTATGAGAGTCCTCACTTCCTCTCCATAGCCCCACGTCTGCAGAAGGAAGGAGATCTGCTCTCACCTGTGAACACCTTGTGTTCCATAAAAAGAGAACATTTGCTGTTAGTCAGTGGTACTGCTGTTTTGAAAGCCTATTGGCTACTTGTCAGGAGAGGTCATTTGTCAGGAGAGGTGAGGTGGCAATTTTCTGAGAACCTTGGCATATGCCTGCAATTTCCTAGGGAGAGGCCTGTTGGCTTTTAATTTTCTTCCCCCAGAGAAAACCAGAAAGGTCCCCACCCCCCAACTTTGTAAAATACCCAGAAGGAAAGACTCAGTAAGAAGCCTCTGACTGCCTGCTAGGAAAAGGGTAGGCAGATGGGGAAAACCTGGTTATACCTGTCAACCCAGCCTCCTCAGCTGAAGTGGCAGTCATGAAGAGAAATGCCCCTCCCTCCAGCCAGAATACGCTTGGTGGCAATTTCCCATTGAGAAGAGAGGCAGCTGGGGCTTCAGCCAAACTCCCTGAAGCCAGGGCAGCTCTGCAAGAACTGGGTGCCTGCTTGAGCTCTAGTCTCAGTCAGGGTTGATATAACACAGTGCTGGAGGGCTAGACTTTGATACCTGTCTCAGGATGCTCCCTGGCAAAGGCTTGCATGTGTCATTGTCACCTGACTGATGAGTAAGGCGAAAGTGTCAAACTCCAGTCCAGAAGACTGATGTGGCAGTGTTTGGCTGAGGCAGCGCTGGAGAGTCAGTCTAGCCCCAGGATCAACAGAGGGACTTAGGTTTCTCACCCCATTCTCCTCCCACTCTCCCTCACTTCCTCACCTCCTGCAGTAGACACAAACTCTGCTGAAGAGGCAGAATTACATGGTGAGGACTGATCTATACAAACAATACCTGGGTTCCAACCAGCTCCACCACTTGGTAGCTGTTTGTTTTTTGGCAAATTACTTAACTTTTTTTTTTTTTTTGAGACAGAGTCTCACTCTGTCACCCAGGCTGGAGTGCAATGGCGCGATCTCGGCTCACTGTAACATCTGCCTCCTGGGTTCAAGTGATTCTCCTGTCTCAGCCTCCGGAGTAGCTGGGATTACAGGCACCTGCCACCAAGCCCGGCTAATTTTTTTATTTTTAGTAGAGATGGGGTTTCACCATGTTGGCTAGGCTGGTCTCGAACTCCTGACCTCAGGTGATCTGCCCGCCTCGGCCTCCCAATGTGCTGGGATTACAGGCATGAGCCACCGTGCCTGGCCTACTTAAGTTTTATGTGCTTTAATTTCCTTAAATCCATCTGTAATAGAAGGATGAAAATAATGATACCTACTCCAAGTTCTAAGAGAATTAAAACAATGAGCACATGCACAATGAATAGTGCCTGGCACAGGGGCTGTACTCAATAAATGGCAGTATTAGGTAATAACAATGATACTCCTTGCAGCTCTCTGAAGGTTGCAGCTGCAGGCTGAGCCTGGCGGAAGCAGCGTGGAATATCAAGTTGCTAAAGAAAGTTGTTTAGCAACTTTCATGGGCCAACCCTTCCCCTTCCTTGATCTTGAGAAAATTTTAGTACTTTTGTGTCTTTATAAAACTCAGAATTGTTCTCTGACATTGTAGCTATCTCACCTCACCTCACCCAGTTTATAAAGCTACAGTTGCCTTGGCCATACTGCTGCCCACCCCCACAACACACAGACAACACTCCCCAGGAGGCAGGATTCATTTGGTCGCTTTCCTTTTAGCTTCTCTGGCCCTTAAATTATATTTCCAGGGAATTTGGTGAAAAAAATCAATAACCACCCCAAAAACCCAGGTACCAAATCTGTTTTCTCCATCTGTGACTTAGCATCTCAGAAAACGGAGGCCTCCATATGATGTGGCCATGAGGCCAAAAGTTAATTCACATTTCCAGACTGCCCACATTTCTAATAATTCACATTTGCAGCCCTCTGCTGCAAGATTGCCCTGTACCAAGCCCTTTCAAAACCTCTATCACCAGCTTGGGTGAGGGATGGGTTGAAGAATATCATAAAGCAGTGGAAGCAACTTGAGAGCCATGTTCTGCTATGGAGGCTGGGTGCGTAGTAGATATAACAGTTAAAAGTCGACTCCAGTGCTTCTGGGATATCAGTGTGCCTCTAAATCCCCTGGAGAACGCTTTAAAACATAGTATCCTGGGTCTCACCCCAGAGTTGGAGATTCAGTAGATCTGGGATGTAGCCTGAGAAGTTGCATTTATAACAAGTTCCTAAGGAAATGGGGAGGATGCTGCCAGGGGGGCACATTTTGAGAACCACTCATTTACACAAACTCAAGGGGTTCCCCAGCTTCTCTCTAGCCACCCAAAGTCACTGGTTTCTTGTTACTCTTTAATTGTTTTGTGCAGCAGAGCAGCACAGCAAATAACGCTGCCATTAGGAGAGCAGGCTCTGGGGCCAAACTACCGGGGTTTGAATCTTGGCCTTATTTTACAAGCTGTGTGATCCTGGCCAAATTATTTAACCTCTCTGTGCTCCAGATTCCTCACAAAAACACATATTGATATTTTTTGACTGCTTACTATGCACTAGGCATAGTTCCAATGTATTTACTATTAATTTTTTGATTCCTATAAGACTAAGAGGTAGGTGCTATTATCCCCAATTTACAGATGAACGAATTGAGGCACATCGAGGGATAATAATAGTAAACACTTTATTATTGTGTAGATTAAATGATATAATCCATGCTAAATTTTAATTTGAGCTTGTAAGAATGTTATTTACACTTACTACGGAAGCAAAGATTGGAAGGTCCTCTCCTTTCTTTTGAAAACTTTAAGGATTTTTCTAAGAGGATGAACCATTGTACTTCCATCTGAGTCCTATGGACAGGATCTAGCAATCACATCTCATATCCTCTCCCCCATTTAAGTTCTCCCACAAGAGAAGGGTTTCTCCCTTGCAGACTTTCTGTCTCCAGAGAGCTGCCACAGTTCTAAGGGCCCCAGGGCATGTGTGGGTGGAGCAGTGGGAATTGGGGAGGCATCCAGGAGGAAGTCTGCTTGAAAGCAATCGTGTGTGTTTGCCTGGTTAAGCAGGGAGTCCTGTATGAGACCTGACAGGGGCAGCTCACAAGAATGCAGGCAGCTTGCAAGCTCACTAGACCAAAAGAGGAAAGAAGGAGAGGAGAGAAAATGCCCGGAGCCCCAGAGCTGCGCCAGCACATTCCAGCATGGTTGACACTTGCTGATGGCCTTTGTTTTTCTAGCAGAGCTAGCGAGTAGGGGATAGATACCCGGGCATTGCTTTTTCTGACCTTGACACATTTTAAGCTTTCTTTTCCAGATCAGGACAGAAGGCTTTCTAAAGTAAACCTAGGTTGAATGTGAATACTAACTGGTATTTAATCACCATCATTAAATACCATCAGAGGAGTGAAAAACTGCTGTTTAAATCTTTAGAACTTTCTAGCTATAAGTAAAACATTCTGATATGCAGAGAGTCATCATTCAATTCTAACCAGTTATGCTGGCTGCTGAACCTCCTGTCTGTTCCTACACCCTGCCATGTCCTGGGATTAACTAATATCTTCCATGCCCTTGGGATGTCACCTCCCCCAGATGGTTCTTTGATTCCCTTTCCCAACCTTATCTCTCACCGGGGCTGGATTAGGTGCTGATCCCAGATGCTCTAATAGCCCCTGTTCTTACCATATTATTTCATGATGGCTTGTTTAGTTGTCTGCTTCTTCTATTCAACAAGAAGTTGTAAGCTTCTTATTCATTTGATTTCCCAATGCCAAGCACAGTGCCAGGCAGATAATAGGCAACCACTAAATCTCCACTGATAACTATTTTGTGCATACTGTTCTGTAGCAGGACAAGCCACAGACAAAACTCCTCAGACACCAAGTTGAAGAAGGAAGGGGTTTATTTGGCTGGGGGCATCGACAAGACTCCTGTCTCAAGAGCTGAGCTCCCTGAGTGAGCAATTCCTGTCCCTTTTAAGGGCTCACAACTCTAAGGGGGTGCGTGTGAGAGGGTGGTGATCGATTGAGCAAGGAGGGGGTATGTGACTGGGGGCTGCATGCACCAGTAATTAGATCAGAACAAAACAGGATAGGGATTTTCACAGTGCTTTTCTGTACAATGTCTGTAATCTATAGATAACATAACCGATTAGGTCAGGGGTCAATCTTTAACTACCAGGCCCAGGGTGTGGCGCCGGGCTGTCTGCTTGTGGATTTCATTTGTGTCTTTTAGTTTTTACTTTTTCTTTCTCTGGAGGCAGAAATTGGGCATAAGACAATATGAGGGGTGGTCTCCTCCCTTACTCCCACCCAGCCTTTGCTATCCTGCTAAGTTCTGTGGACCCTCCATTCCTCAAAGACCTGATTCCCACACTCACAGAGAACAGTAAAAGCAGAAACTGTGAGGCATTCTGCTTAGTTAGTGGTAAAACCTGGGGTGACAAATGTTTGACATGTTCCAGCTTAAACTAGGGGTAAATGGATTGAGTGAACAAATGGGAGGTGACTGCCCAGTGTGAATTGGTCCAGAGTGATGGATAGATGAGAGGTGCGTCTAAGCAGAGACAGAAGAGCACAGGCTTACACAGAAGGCCTCAATAATCCACTTGATCCCTTTCTAGATACCTAGTTCCTCCCATGGTAACAATTCTGATGACAGAGCAGATGCTCTGGAAGACCAGCTTTCCAGCAAGCCTTTACCATACTGATGAGGGCATTAGCAATGCCATAGACTGGCTAAGCCTGGTGTTATAGGACTCGCCACCTCCAAGGGGTGAGTTATATTCTGGCCTAAATCTGAGCCTTAAAGATGTGGCTTGGATTCTGCTGGCAGACATACTTCTCTGTACCCACTGCTCAGTCCTCATCATTGCAGACTTTTCTTCTCTCATCAGTTAGTCCCAAATTATATCCTTGGTCATAAGGGAACCAGGAGGAAAAAGTATATGGGTGCAACTTGTTAATGAAGAACCAAATTATGTAAAATATTTTAAAGGGGTTTATTCTGAGTCAAAATGAGTGATGACTGCCCAGGGAGAAACACAAAGCCAAGAAGCCTTGAGTAAGTGGTCCCAAGGCAGTCAGATTACATTTTGGTTTTATATATTTCAGGGAGGCAGGAGTTAAAGGAAAGACATACATCAATACGTGGAAGAGATACATTAGTTCCATCTGAAAAGGCAAGATATCTTGAAGTGGGAAGGGGGGTGCTTATAGGTTACAGGTGAATTTAGAGATGCTTTAATTTATAATTGGTCAAAGGAGTAAGGTTCCATCTACAACTTGAAGTCAATAAAAAGGAATGTGTTAAGTTAAGATTAGGAAGCTCTGTAGCCAGATTGATAGTCTGTAGGCATGACTTAACCCTTGTCTTCTATGACCTTAGTCTTGTGTATACTTTGGTATCTTATTGCCAGCTTGTTTTGTTAGCCTTATGATCTCTGTTTTAACAGTAATGCTGGTCAGTTGTGCCTAAACTCCAAAAGGGAGGGAGCATAACAAGGTAGGTCCAACCTTTCTTGCTGTCATGGACAGGAACTAAGTTTTTAAGATTTCTCTGGGGTCCCCATGGCCAAGAGAGGGTTCAGTTGGTGGAGAACTTAGGATTTTAAGTTTACAAACTGGACGGATACCTCAAAAGGCATCTATTTATAGATCAGTAGGATCCCTTTTTGGTAGGAGACAGGCAATGAAGATAATGTTCAGGGTCTGGAAGGCCTATTAGTTTGCCCTGGGTAGGATACAGTTGGGGCTCAGAAAACAATACCCCAGAATGAAGGCCTCAGAAACAGCCTCAGGAGCCAAAGGTTTTCTTTGACCTGCTGCTGCCCTCTTGTCTCCCAGCCTGCTTTCTCCCCTGAGACTAATCATAGAAACCAGAATCCCTCTTCACCAAGGTGGGTCAGGGACACCAGAGGGCTTTTTCCCTAAAGCTAGCCATAAAAACTAAAAATATTACTCTAACTTTTCCTCTTTCTGCGTAAAAACTGTCCATAAAGAAATTGTCTGACTTACCTTGTTTGACTGTAGGTCATAAGACCCCCGATTGCAGAGAGGGCTCTGCCCCAAACTCAGAAGGAAGGAGTGCATGCTCAGAGGCTAAGAAGAATCAGGCAGAGAGGCCTTGCTGGTTTTCCCCACTCAGTCTGCTAGCATTAGATCATACCTATTTTGTCCAATCATATTTCTACACAGCTCTCCATACTTTGTTGAACTAAGCATAAAAATGAACCATTTCCCCTTTATCTTTCAGTCTTCAGTCTGAAGGCTCCTGAGTATACATGTTAAATAAGTTTACCTGCCTTTTCTCCAATTAATCTGCCTTTTGTGAGTTGATTTTTTTAGTGAATCTCTGGCCCCTACAGTACCTATGCGTACACCTGGTGCAGAGGACCCCATGATTTTAGTGCTGTCCTTGGTGACTGATTGCTGTCTGTCCATAGTTCAACATGTTTCAGATTCTGCCTTTGTTGCTTTTGTGTGCACGTAGTCTTCTTAACATGAATATAGGCTTTTGGTGCTTCCTTTGTATTTTAGCACAGTTATAGGAACTTGGGGTGAAAGGAGGAGGAGAGACAATGCTTATTGAAATTATATAAAAATCAAGAAAGGCATTGGGGACAGAGCTTCAGTCCCGTCTATTGCCTTTCCAATCTAAGACTAAATTTAGTGTTCTGATTTTACTGACTTTATAAACTTCTAAATGAACGTTTGTGCAAAACCTGTATGGTACAGAAACAGGCTACAACAAAAACATGAGTTGTAATCTATTATGAAAGCTCATACATTTTTCCTGAGGATGCTAGGAAGCTCAAGTGTCCACCATCAGGGAGAATCCCCTCTTACCCCCATGTCCCAAACACTCTAAGCCTACAAAGTTAAGCCAGACCAGAGCTACACCCTTATTTTGGAATAAAATTTGGCTCTACCCAAGCATCACCCTTCAGTGAGCAATGGAGGCCAGATTCAGCAAGACAGTACAAGGAAATCTCATCCCTGGGACAAGTTCTTTTTTTTCCCACAAACATTAAAACTAGCTGAGAGATCTGGCATAGCAAAGTGGGTGATCTTTCTAGCATTCAAGAAGAAATAACTAAAGGAAGATAGATTGGTTGTCTTCAAATATTTGAAAATTTGTTGTTACTGGAGGGGAGTGGCTGGCTCTGTATTATTACTACAGGGGAGAAGTAGAAGAGTGGAAGCATAAAGAGGTTGATTTCACCTAGGCATGAGAAACAACTTTCTTTATTTTATTTATTTATTTATTTATTTGAGATGGAGTTTTGTTCTTGTCACCCAGGCTAGAGTGCAATGGTGCAATCTCAGCTCATTGCAACCTCCACCTCCCAGGTTCAAGCAATTCTCCTGCCTCAGCCTCCCAAGTAGGTGGGATTACAGGTGCCCACAACCACGCCTGGCTAATTTTTATATTTTTAGTAGAGATGGGGTTTTGCCATGTTGGCCAGGCTGGTCTCAAACTCCTGACCTCAGGTGATTCACCCACCTTGACCTCCCAAAGTGCTGGGATTACAGACGTGAGCTGTACCCCACCCAGCCAAGAAACAACTTTCTGTCAATTCCAGCTATCTGAAATGCAACAGTCTGCTTTTGGGGGTAATGAGCTTCCTGACACTGAAGGCATTTTCAAAATATTTAATTTACTTTCTTAAATAAGTGATATATACAACACAATGATATTCAAAAGGAACAAAAAGTTATATTATGAAAATTTCACCTCCTTCCCACCTCTTTTTCCTAAACATTTCTTTTTCTTCTGAAGAGACAATCTTTATTACCTGGCATTTGGTCAAAGGCCAGACAACTCTCTGTGAAGAATATTATAAGTGGTCCTCGGCTTCTGGCATTGGACAAAATTACTTCTGGCAACCTTCCAACTCTTGAATCTCCTTCTTTAAATTTGCAGGCTATCATCCTTAAGGTTCTAGAACAAAATACAAATTCACTGTGCAAGGGTTGGGCTGAGGACTTATAACTTGACAGTGGTAATGTTGGGCTAGTTCTAGGCAGCCCTTATGGCAACAGGCAGCTTGCAACATGACACAAGACAAATATCTGAGAGAAAATGAATTTAGACCTCTGGGCAAAGCTTTTAGGAATCCTTTTGCCAAATGTAGTCCTCCCACCCACCCATTTGAAGTCAAAGACAGGAATAGAACTGCAGGGTGATTGGGAAGCAGGAACAAGAGTTGGAGAAGGAGTTTAGGAAGGAAGGGAGAAGACAGGATGGGGATGGAGTGGAATGGAACAGTGATGGTGCTGCCAGAGACTGCTGAAGGTTCTAACAGCGGTGACTGGACAATGGCCTTTCAGATTGCCCTTTGGAAAACCCCACGTGCTCTTCTTGTTCCTTATTCCTGGCTATCTCCTGCCTTCTCCAGATTTCTCAAATGCCTCTAAAGCCCTCTGTCATATTACCTATAAAGCATGATTTATTCCCCTGACACACAGAACCACATGTAACTTCATAAATGGAGTCTCTTTTTTATGTATCTTGGAAAATTCAAAGGCATTTTTTACCCTGGAGGTAATCTCAAGCCTCTGTTTCTGACAGATGAGTTTGGTTGCAGCCTTCAAGGGTATTCAGATCTCACAAATCCAGGTGGCATCTGTCCTATTTCAGGAGCTTGGCTACTTCCACAGCACAAATGGAGGAAAGTGAAAAGGAGAAGGGCTTTCAAGTAGGACTCAAGACTGACCTTCAATAGAAGGTACAAGAGGCCATCTTGCATAGCTCTGGTTCAGCTTTTTAGAGGGAAAACAAATAATAAAATCATTTTATTACCATGATTGTTTCAATGGCCATTATTCATTTTAAAGGCCAAGAAGTCAGTATTTATAAAATGTAAATTGAAGAAAAAAATGTCTAGACATATTTTTGTGTCAGCAATAACAAAGTACATGACAAGCAGAATCAAAAAGTCATGAAGGATTTTCTTATTCAAGACAGTTTTGCAAGATATCTCAAGGAACAGAGTGTTATAGAGTTCTATGCTTGGAAGTGGGTTTGGCGTGAGTTTTATAAGCATCTCCTCACCTGTAAAGCACTTATGAACACTCTGTTCAAGAACCTTGGCCAAGGAGATTTCTGGAAGTAGAGCTGGGCTGGGGCTGGAGTTGTGAGCATTATCCATGTCACTTGAGACAACATTGTGCCATAGAAACACCACGTCTACTGAAGACAATGGTGGTATCAAGGATAAAAGTAATGCTATGAAGAGCTAACATATTTAAGTACCTACCACAGAAACATTTGCTGGGTACTCAGCACATATGGTATGTTCTTAGTTTTGCCTCAACACTCATAAGATAAGGAATCATTGCAACCTTGTTTTGCAGATTAAGAAACTGAGGCTCAGAGAGGTCAAGCTACTTTCCCAAGGTCACATAGCCAGCAAGTGAAGGAGCCAAGGTACAAATGCAGACTTCTTGACTTCTCAGATGCTGCTAACTCCTATGGTAAACTATGAGGAGCCAACCTAGGAGAAAAGAAGAAAACACAATAGAATGATTTCACAGAATGAGCTTAGGTAAGAAGAAAGGGGACAATTAGAAAAGTGAATAGTAGGAAAAACAAGAGTGGGACCAAGTGACATGCAAAAAGTAGACTGTGGTGAGTGATGTGGAACTAAATGTGTAAATGGACAAATAGGCTGAGACCTGCCTTTTATTTGATGTTTGTGTGGTAGAGTCAGTATGAGCCTTAGAGGAACCCTGCTGGCATGGCTATCATCTCGTACCCCCAGCAAGGCTCCCCACTCCAGGACAGGGCAGACCTGGAGAAGGAAGTATATGTGCTTCACGGGTAACCTGGGCCCCAGGTTCAATCCTGCAACCTATAACCAGAACCCCGTGTGTCTGGCTCTGAATCTGTCCAGAGTGTATTGTGAAGAGGATGTATCGGCTTAAAGGAGTCACACTGGGCTGAAAATGTGTATCTCTAAGGAACGTATCACAGCATACTCATCTCAAGCATTCATGTATAGGAAACCCTATTAACTTAGCAGCATGAGAAGTGGAGAAACTTTTATCAAAAACTATGTGAATGATGTAAGTTGTGGGAGAATGGAAATAACTGTCTACTTGTCTTGGTGAACAATGCTTATTGCCAAACTTATGTAAACTAAAAATAAAATCCTAAACCACCCCCCTTCCCCACCAACTGAGCAGCTCCCCTCTTGGTCAAAGGGACCCCAGAGAAACCTTAAAAACTGGGAGTGCCTAAACTCCAAACTGTTGTGCCTAGATTCCAAAAGGGAGAGAGTATAAGGGAGAATCCAACGTGCCTGGTTCTACTCTCTCCCTTTTGGAGTTTAGGTACAACAACTGACCAGCATTAATGTTAAAATAAATATCATCAGACTGACAAAACAAACTGGTAATAAGATACCAAATTACAAACAAGACTAAGGCCATAGAAGGCAAGGGCTAAGTCATGCTTACAAACAATAAATGTTGCCAAACATATCATATTGTGGCTAACTCTGACGTAGCATTCATAACTTAATTCCTTTCTGCTAACTCCAAGCTTTTAGACAAATTTTTGTTCCTTTAATTGCAGATTATAGAATATCTGAATCCACCTATGACTTGTAAGCCCTTGCTTCAAGATATCCCACCTTTTCGGGCTGAACCAATATATACTTTCCAGGTATCGATTTATGCTTTTGCCTGTAACTCCTACTACCTCCTTGAAATGTATAAAACCAATCTGTAATTTAACCACCTCAGGACCAAACTTGTTGGGTTTGTGTTTTTCCTTGGGCTGTGGTCACTCATACTGGCTCAGAATTAATATTTTAAAAATATTTTACAGACTTTAGTTTTTCTATTAACACACACAAAAAGTATTCCTGGTGTATCACAAATAAGCATTTCAGTACAATGATTAGAAATAACCTTCTTTGATCTAATCTCCACTATTACAAAGATCTTAAATTGGTAACTGTGACTTGAGCACATTCAAACCTGGATTTGAGTTTTTCCCTTGTTCAGGAGAACCTCAGCCCTGTTGGAGAGGGTTTATGCATGCTAAGGTTTCTTTCTCCTTTGCTTAGAGGAAGAGGTGCAGCATGCAGAGGAAGGGTCTACATGTACTTCTTCAATTTTTCATACTAGGTTAGAGGCAGAAAATTATTTCAGCCCTTGGTAGTTCCCACAGGACATCACCTATATGCTTTTCTAAGCATGAAGCTTTATTACACTGTCAAATTTCTGTTCCCAAGCCAACTCTGAGTATCCCTACTTCCCTTTGAGGGCTAAATGCATTGAAACCACTCAGTACTGACTTGCTTTTGAATACAGAGAGCCAAGCTCTGGTGTGCTGGAGTTGATTCCTACTGGTTATGAAAGTGATGAAAGTGATTGTTAACTTTTCCAAAATTTTGTGAGTTGGTTGTTAAGCTGTTGGTAGCTTGAAATTGGTCATGCTGGAAGATTTATACCACAGAAATTGGTGAATGGTACAATTGAAGGCACTTAAAAAAAAAAAGGTAAGAGGCCATGATTTAGCTATGCGCAATGGCTCACACCTGTAATCCCAACACTTCGGGAGGCTGAGATGGGCAGATCACCTGAGGTCAGGAGTTTGAGACCAGCCGGGCCAACATTGTGAAACCCTGTCTGTACTAAAAATACAAAAATTAGCCAGGTGTGGTTGTGGGTGCCTGTAATCCCAGCTACTTGGGAGGCTGAGGAAGAAGAATTGCTTGAATCCAGGAGGTGGATGTTGTAGTGAGCCAAGATCACGCCATTGCACTCCAGCCTGGGCGACAAGAGTGAAACTGTCTCAAAAAACAAAAAAAAAACTTGTTGAGAATCTACTAAGCGACAGACCATATAGTAGGTATAAGAGCTATAGAGGTAGATATATGATCTTTGGACTTTGGACTAGAAGAGATTTCATTAACTTTGAAATGTTCCCTGACCATTCTTTTGCCTACTGCTGGGAAAGGTGAATAGCTTTGAAGTTATTCCCACTTGAGACTGAAATATTCTGAAGTCTCTCCCACTTGCCATGATCAAATATCCCAAGAAAGGCATTTCAGAAGTTTAAATCCAATTAGTCTCAAAGCAAAATCTTTAGAAATGGCAGAAGAAAATGATGGAAAAGTCCCTAACTCTTCAGACATCTTATTTCCCTCCTAATTCTTATTCTAGTTTTTTGGGGGTTTTTTCATGCCAAAGAAATGAACATCGGGTAATACCCTTGGCTAATTTAGGGCATTTTCTTTTGCTGCTGCCTTTCAGATTCCTGGGAATCAGTACACAGGGAATTTGTAAATGTTATTTATTATATGTTCATGCCACTTACCATTGTTCAATATATGACTTTCTCTTAAGCTTGCCCCCTCTCCCATTTTTGATTCCATAGTTCTGTGTCCAGAATGAAAAATGCCAAAGGGAAAAAGAGACTGACTTGGGTTATATGACCCTAGAACTACCCTGTTGGCTGGAACTGGAATCTGACCTCCTTGTTCTGCCACTGATCTGCTGAATGACCTTAGCTATCACTTTCAGAATCAATGTGTGATGGGATGGTATTTCCACTAAGAAGGGTATTTAAAGAATTAACTGGAGCCCTCTATCATACTTAGAAAAAGTAAAGGCAATTGGGTATTACGAATCAGGTGCTGAGCTAGTTCAATAGACAGGCTTCACATTGTGTAGATTATGGAAAGCCTTGGATCTCTTACCGCTAAGAACCATAATCAGCTTAAAAGGACCTGAATCAGTGAATGCTCAGAATTTCCTGTTGAGGATCAGAGTTGGTGCTGCGGTTGCTTGCAGGAAATAAAGCAGGATTAGGTAGCGGCATCAAAGACCTGGGTCACTGGAGACTGTGACTCCTGACATGTCTTTAAGCAGAACTTGAAACTGAAAAAAAGTGGAGTGAATCCCAGGCTTCAAATGTAAGGATTCAGGAGTGAGTTGAGAGGTGGGGGAATTGCAGATTTTTCTGTATTTATTTATTTTCTTTTGGGTTTTAATTCTTCCTTTGCTGATCCTTATAGGATAATTCATTTTAAAACCTCATTTTTAAGTCTGCTCATTTTTAAGCCTCCTTCTTTTAAATAGTTAGCCATTTTTAAAATTCCAAGCACTTTTTAGAATACCCGCTCTGTGATACAGGCTGGGGATACACTGGAGAAAAAGATGCCACATCTTCTCCCAAAGGAGCACATAGTCCACGGGGGAGGAAGAGAAGGAAAGTATGTCAGCAGAGCATGATAAGGAACATGATGCAGCAGATCACGGGAAAGTAAGAGCTTATGGGAAGAGTCCCTAAGCCAAGCTGATTATATTAGGGGGAGCTTCCTGGAAGAGCTGATATCTGGTCTATTTTAGGGACAAATTGATATCAGCCAGGTGAATGAGTGGGAAAGAATAGTTCAAGTAGAAGGAAGAATATGTACAGAGATATAAAAGAGGAAGGCAATTCAGAGAGCTCCAAGTAAAGCTGGAGCTTAGGGTTTGATCTGGGAGGAGTTGCAGGGGAAGAGTAAGCAGAGGCTAGCCCTGGAATGTACCTGTAGGCCATACTAAAGGACAGTTTATCCAGGGGGAAAATGAACAGCTATTCAAGTATTTTGAGCAGGACTTATTAGAATTGTGATTTAGAAAACATTTTTGAAAAATAATAGTATGATTAGTTAATATTTATTGAGTGCTTATATTCTAGGTATATTTTAAGCACTTTTCTTGATAAAATGCATTTCAGTCTCACAACAGCCTTGCTCAAAGCCATAAGGAAGCAGTAAGGTTTGGGCCAGGATACAAACCCAGTCAGGCTACAACCAGCGACCCTGCTTTTAGCCACTAAGCTGTAAATGTATCTTACCTTGTTGTTTCTCAGTGACAAATACTAATTCTCATTGCTTATCTTTTCCTTATTGTTTTTGAATTTTAAGCCAGTATACTCTAACAATTCTCATGTACAAAAAAGAGATCCGACTTTGTAAAAACCCCCAGATTTTATTGTAAAGCCTAGGGGGCTTATTAATTGGAAAGAATGAGCAGAAAATTCCATACTTACTGGACATTTGTTTTTGCCTTTCTGAGGCAGTTGTGTGGTCGCTCAATGAAGATAACTCTGAAAGGCACTTCTCTTTGTTTAATTCTGAGCTTCGCTTAGAATTTATAAGAATCCCTATTCTGGGTTCCGTTTCTGGATCCCAGAATGAATTGTTCCTCTTTTAGGAGCCTAGGAGAAAGAAAATTTATCTTCTGTATCTCATTTGGAGCCAGTTTTTTGGATTCAAATTCCCAGTTAACAAGGAGCCCAGCTGAGAAAAATCAAATCAGAGTTAAATGAGGGATAGTTAAAAAAATAAAAAGAAATATATCTTTCATTTATAGAGGACAAATCTTATGCCTTTAGGAAGTCCCAGATTGTGCAGCACTCCTGAGATATGTTCACAAACATCAAATCTTACTTTTATTCAGTCAATCAACTAAATATTATGAAACAGCTGTTATGTGCCAGCTATGAGATAGAGACGTAGAGATAGCAAACATGCTAACTAGAGATAAAGAAATGATTAAGTCATGGTTTCTCCCCTCAGGCCTAATGGAGGATCTCAGAATCGCTAATATTTCAATGCAGGTATTTGTCATCTTCATTTCTCTGTATACCTCCATCTCCCCCGTGACTCTCGCCACATGAATCCTTTGACTTGCAAGCAATCCTAAAACATTCCTACCCCTGAAATCCTGCAATTTTGGACAGCCATTCTCATCCAGGGAGAGGAAAGATGGCTCCTAACTTGGACCAGCTGGCTGAGCCAGTTTGTCACCAATCCGTCACTTCTTCCTACTTTCCCATTTGACTAACAAATGACTAGGCATACTTCAGCCTGTGTTGTTGTTGTAGGACTATTTGGGAGATATTGTACTGTGGCCATTTTCTAAAGGGAAATGGGAATGTTTTGATTTCAAGCCATCTGGAAAGAATTACTATTACTTTAAGCATTGAAAACAGAAATATCTCTAAAAGAAATATCATTCAAGGCCAGGCACAATTGCCCACATCTGTAATCCCAGCACTTCGGGAGTCTGAGGCAGGAGGCTTGCATGAGCCCAGGAATTTGAGACCAGCCTGGGCAACATAGTGAGACCTTATCTCTCAAAAAAAAAAAAAATCAAATTAGCCGGGTGTGGTGGTGTGCACCTGTAGTCCCAGGTGCTAGGGAGGCTGAGGTAGGAGGATTGCTTGAGTCTGGAAAATGGAGGCTGTGGGGAGCTATGATTGCACCACTGCACTCCAAACTCCAGCTTGGGCAACAAAGTGAGGGAAGGAAAGAAGGAAGGAAGGAAGGAAGGAAGGAAGGAAGGAAGGAAGGAAGGAAAGAAGGGAGGGAGGGAGGGAGGAGGAGGGAGAGAAAGAAAGAAAGAGAAAGAGAAAGAAGACAGAAAGAAGAAAGAAAGAAAGAGAGAGAGAGAGAGAAAGAAAGAAAGAAAGAAAGAAAGAAAGAAAGAAAGAAAGAAAAGAAACATCAATCCTTTAGAGAATTCTGAAAAGCCCAGCTCTTTGACCACAAGCCAACCCCATTCCTTCTCCAAACATACCAATTCCTCCTTAGGAAGGTGTAAGTTATGAGACCCCAAATGCAATGGGTGAAGATCAGTTATCATGGAAATGAAGCTAGGGTGTGAGTAGTTCATTCAGTCTCATAACCCCTTTCTAACCAGACATTGATCTAGGGAAAGAGCTGAGCAGACTGCCAAGGAGCTAAAGGAACAATCTGTGATCAGACAGTCCCAGATCAAAGAGCTTTGCCCTCTCAGTATTTTTCAGGAGAGCCTATCTTTCTCATTCTTGAATGACAGAGGAAATGGAGAACTATGAGGAAGTGAGGTTTGGAGTGAATTTTACATAAACTCCATTAACCACTTTCTCCTGTTTTTTTTCTTCTCTCTTTCTCTCTACCTACTCCTCTTGTTTCCTACTTCATACTGCCCATCTCCAATAATATCATGCCTCTTTTCCATACTCCCAAGAGTTGACAAACCAGTTACTCAACTATCATCCTCACTTCTGTAGTCATCACTAACCCCAAGTGACAGGTCAACCCTCTGAACTGGAGAGACAGGATGTGCCTTTTACAAAGAAAATTAGGGCAGTCTTCTCAAAGAGAGATGCCAATCTCAGCTGTTCCTAAATATACCATTGCATTCAAACTTCCTAAGGACATCATTGACAGCATTTTTGTGTAGTGCACCAGTTGATGACACCTTGATTTTACAGATATAAAGTTTAATCATATTTGTTTCACCTGTATTGGTACAACACAGTATCAGGCCATAATGAATGTATATGGTATTACTTGCTCAGCCCTACCCACTTACTTTGAAAACTATGTCTCTCCTTCCACAGTATTTCGTCCTTATGGAGTTCCTATTTAGTCCCATCTGAATGATTATAATCGATTACTTGATGGTAGGGCACACTTTCAAGTTGGGTCTGGTGCCTTCTAGATCTTTGGGCTTGAGATCACAAGCAGCCAAAAACTGTAAGGCATAAATCTTAGAAGATGTCCATAGTCTCATTTTTCTATGAGGAAATAGTCTGCAATAGGAGAAAGAAAAAGACAACATCTAAAGACAACAAAGAAAAAAGATGGAGATAGAATCCTCAGCATATTAGGTCCCTGGCTGCAATGGTTCCTGGGGTCTGCTGCATTCCTGCCCTTCTTGTGGGTTGGTTGCTCTGGGAGAGAAGCAGGATCCTTCAAGTTCACTTCCATTTTTTCTTGAAGTATTAAGGTATGAATTGAATTTCTGTCACTTGGAACCAAAAGGATTCTAACTATTTCCTGGTACATAGCAGGAACTTTGTAAATGTTTGCTGAATGATGAATGAGTGGTTTTTCAGTGTCCAAATGCAGAGTATCATAAGTCTAGAAGATGTTGGAAAAACCATTTGGTTTATTCCTCACTTCCAGGATGGATCCACAGGCACACCAGCCAACAAAAAAGTGTTCTTATCTTTAAAACCTTCCTGGAGGAAGATTTTATAACCTCCTTTGATTACTTAACATAGGAAATGAGAGGAACATAGACAATCATGACTTCTTGAATCTTTCCTTCTTCTTCCTTTAAAACTCTCCTGTCTTCCTTTCCCAGTATTGATGATTTTCCTTTCTCTCTCTCTCTCTCTCTCTCTGAGACAGGGTCTCACTCTGTCATCCAGGCTGGAGTTCAGTGGTGCAATCCTCCCACCTCAGCCTCCTGAGTAGCTGGTGCCACAGGCAGGTACCTCCATGCCCAGCTAATTTTTAATTTTTTTTTAGAGATGGGGGTCTCCCTATGTTGTCCAGGCTGGTCTTGACCTCCTGGGCTCAAGTGATCTTCCCACTTCAGTGCCCCCTTAAGTGCTGGGATTATGGGCATGAGCCACAACACCTGGCCCCACTTCTCATTTTTAAAATGTTATTTTAAATCTTTTAACTCTTTCATCTCTTTCAACGTTTCATATGATCTAAAATCTATTTCTATTTTTCTACCTCTTTTTGGTTAATATCATCACATATATCATTGTCTTCTAATGGTAAGCCTCATCAATTTCCAGAGAGTTGAAGAAGCTTATTATAAAGGGATATATCATGTGGATTCTTCCATCCAGCAAACATTTACTGAGAACTTTGTATATAGCAGACACAATGGTAAGGGCTGTAATACTGAAACATTACAGGTAGCTCCTCAGAGAAAATGAATCACTTAAAACCTAATCTAGGCCAGGCGCAGTGGCTCTTGCCTGTAATCTTAGCACTTGGGGAGGCTGAGGCGGGCGGATTGCCTCAGCTCAGGAGTTCGAGACCAACCTGAGCAACACAGTGAAACCCCATCTCTACTAAAATACAAAACAAAACAAACAAAACAAAACAAAACAAACAAAATCAGCCGGGCGTGGCGGCGTGTGCCTGTAGTCCCAGCTACTCAGGAGGCTGAGGCAGGAGAATTGCTTGAATCTGGGAGGCGGAGGTTGCAGTGAGCTGAGATTGCGCTGGATGCACCTGGATGACAGAGCAAGACTCCATCTCAGAAAAAAAAACAAAAAAAAAAAAACAAAACAAAAACCTAATCTAAACCTAACATCATTAAATTTCATTTGTTTGAAATTGAAATAATTAAGGCTGTCATCCTTATTTTCTTCACTGATTCATTCACTATTCACTCAATCAACATTTTTTTTTAGTTTCCATTTGGGGCCAGATGCTGCTCAACCTCTGGGTTTATAGAGCTGAGCAACGTTTCTGTCTTCTAGTGGGGGAAGACAGAAAAAGCAAGTTGATAATTAACTAATAGTTTCAGGCCATTTCAGAAAGTGATAATTGTTCTGACTAAAAGAAGCAAAAGAAGGGATTAAGCATCTTGGGATGTGGGTGGGCTATTATAAATGAGATAATCAATGGGGTCTTTCCTGAGGAGTGGCATTTAAACAGAAACCTGAGTTATGCAAAAAGATGAGCCATGCAAAGATCTGATAGGATAGTCCTGCCATATAGCCTGAGGAATTGGACTAGATGATCTCTGGTGTTCCTTCTAGATAGAAAAAGAAAAACTTAGAATTTTACCTTTCCCACCTAGTTCTTGTTTTACAATAGGTTTCATATTTCCCTTCAATACCTTTACCAGCATCTGCATTTCCAGTTACGGAGCCCAGAATTAGCTTAGGAGCTCTAGGGAGGTTTTGCCAATAATTAAGACTGATGTCTCCAGGCGCTGATACCCATTTCCATAGATGACAGCATGCTACTTAATAGAAGCTACCATCCAAGAAGGATGAGCCTAAGATGCCAGACACAGAGAAGCTCTGTTCTTTGAGGAAAAAGGATTGTCTAAATGAGCATCTCGGTGCCATGGTTAGTTTGCTATATAAGCCTTAATTTCTCCATCTGTAACTTTGAAGTGGTCACTATAGACAAAGTATTGCACTTAAAATTTAAACCCAGAGAATACCAGGGAGGGCAACACAGTGAGATCACATCTCTACAAAAAGTAAAAATAAAAGAATTAGCTGGACATGGTGGTGTACACCTGTAGTCCTAACTGCTCAGGAGGCTGAGGCAGGAGGACCACTTGTGCTGAAGAGTTCAAGTCTGCAGTGAGCCATGACTGTGCCACTTCCCTCCAGCCTGGTGACAGAGTGAGACCCTGTCTCAAAAATAAACATATAAATAAATAAATAAACTAACAGAATAGAGACTATAGTTTAAATCCCTACACAATGAAGTTGTTCAGGTGGCTATTATCTTTTGGTTGTATTAGAAATGACTAATTTTGCTTATTGCCAGAGTAAGTGAGCCATCTTTTGGGCATTGTGAACCTTGGTTCTGAGGGTTTACTTTTGCTTCTGCCAGTCACTTTGAGACCACTTCATATTAAATTCTGAGATTGGGGATATTTGGGCCACACTAGCAGTGTGAAGTTAGACCACCAGTAAGAGTACCAGCTTGTAGTTTAAATTCCCAGATGAGATGTTCTTCCCACTCTCTCCACTAAAGCCAAGACTGAGACATGTAAGATTTTTTTTCCTGTCTCACTCTGTGAGGTGAGTTCATTTCTTATTTACCTTTATATTAAGGGTATAGCTCTTTGGTGTCTCAGCTTTATGTAGGGGTCCCCTATTAAGTTTCTCTTATCATACATTTATTTAAAGTACCTACAACAGTGGTTCATCTTTTACCTGACGGCTTCCTAGATTGGACAATATATGCTAATTAGTGGAAAGCGTAGCATGTGGGGGATGTAGAATGCCAGAAAAGAATAAGAATGTTACTTGATTGATGGCATGCCCATTTGGAGTCTGAATGCCTGGGGGAGAGAGGTGACAGTAGTAGACTTTATGTCTTAGGGAACCACATCAAAGGGAGTGGCTCTGAGAGTTTATGAAGTGTAACTATCATTCAGTGTGAGTGCGTTCCTGTTCTTTTCCTGGAAGATAGGGCACCTGGGGGCCTTGCCCACCATTTGTTTATTGTTTTTCTCCTCTACTAAATGTAAATTCCATTAAGAACAGGGACTTTGATTTCCTTCTTCACCAATGTCTTCAAGTGCCTATAATAGTACCTGGCTCACAATAGGGGTTTAACAAATATATGTGCAATAAATGAATGTGTGGCAGGTCCTGGGGCCAGAGCCATGGCCATGACACCACAGGCCTCAGTTTGCAGTGCTGAGAAGGTTCTGTTCCCTGGCTCCAATAAACAGTTTGAAGCTCCAGAGATAGTAGAAGTGGGAGCCAAGTCATGAAGCCAAGTGGGTCAGGAAGGAGGGGAGCCGATGTGTGAGGAAGACTGGAGCAGGCAGAAGGTAGGATCCTGGAGGAGTGCCTGAGCTGGAGAGCAGGCTTCCTTTCATTCCTCCTGTAGTCCCTGCAGCCTCTGGTGTGGATATGCTGAGGGCGGGGAGAAAAGCCAGTGTAGAGTGAGCAGAGGGGTTTCAGGTAACACTCATGGGTGCAGTTTTTTTTGTTTTGTTTTTTTGTTTTTTTTGAGACGAAGTCTCCCTCTGTCGCCCAGGCTGGAGTGCAGTGGCGCAATCTCGGCTCAATGCAAGCTCCGCCTCCCGGGTTCTCGCCATTCTCCTGCCTCAGCCTCCGGAGTAGCTGGGACTACAGGCGCCCGCCACCAGGCCCGGCTAATTTTGTGTATTTTTAGTAGAGACGGGGTTTCACCGTGGTCTGGATCTCCTGACCTCGTGATCCGCCCGCCTCGGCCTCCCAAAGTGCTGGGATTACAGGCGTGAGCCACCGCGCCCGGTCGTGGGTGCAGTTTTTAAAAAAGCCTGCAAATGAGATCCTTACACCATAAAAAATATTTTACAATTTTTTTTTAATCTAAAAAACAACTCATAGACAGAAACAAAGCAGTAGAATGCTTAGGTGTCCACAGGCTTGGCTTCAAATATGTTCCTGTCTCTCCCTTATTAAGCATACCTTTTCTTCAACCTTGTCTCTCTTTCTTATCACCAAACTGCCTTTTTTCTTCAACTCATTGCAATCCAGCTTTGGTCCCTAATACTTTAACTATGACTACCCTAACTTTTTAATTGTGGAATCTGGTGACTTCTTTTTACTCGTTTCGTATTTAAATTCCCTATAGTATTTGGCACCATTGATAACTTCTTACTTTGTAAACTTCTTCCTCCCTAGGACAACAATTTTTGATTTCTTCTCCGTTTAATTTGCTGCCTTTTCTTTCTTACCTTGTCCTTTGCTGGTATTCTCCAGGCCTGCCCACTTGGACCCCTCTCCTCCCACACTACATCATGTCCTTGGGGTAGCTCATTGATATGCATAGCTTTAAATATCACCTTTAACCTGATGACTCCTAGAAATGCATCTGCAGTCCTGATCTCTTTCTGTATGGCCAGACAGTATATACAGCCAGAAACTTTCAAGATTACCAACCTTGCCTGGATTACTGCAAAGGCCTGATTTCTTTTTATCTCATCTGTCCTCTCCTGTCACTCGGTTTCCATTGTTTGTTCTTTCTCAGATCTGTTGTGATCATGCCTCTAGTTCTCTCCAGCCTATAAGTAAGTATTACACAGCCACCTAATATCATACTGGTATAATCTACCTTTTTAACCTAATCCCCTGTTAATCTTACACAATGCTTCTATGCTTTTTGCCATGAATACATCATTTTTGATCAATGCTTTGTTTCTCTACATAAACAATCTCCTCTTCTTGGAATTCTCCCATCCCACAGGTATCTGCTTGGGAAACTCTTATTAAAGACCTAACTAGAAGGTTACCTCCTTCAGGAAACCTTCCCAGATGTGCAGTCAGTGTTAGTCATTACAGCACTTGGGAGGGTTCCCCAAAGCATTTTGCACATACCTCTGTTATCACACTATCATATGGTATTGTGATTCTCTCTCTCTCTCTCTCTTAAGACTGTGAGTTTCTATGGAAAAGTATTATGTATAAATCATCTCTGTAAAGTTACCATAAATCATAGTACCTGGCATATATTAGGAACTAAAATATTGAAAAAATAAATACATAAATGAATGAGAGCAAATGTTGGGTTTGGCTGAGGTAGGTTTTCGTTAACCATGAACTCCCTTTGAAAACCAGCACTGCCACATTTCTAATTTATATGTCAATCCTTGATAGATCGCCCTCATTGACTCTTGTGTAATGCTCTACAAATGAAGAGTCAAAAACCTTAGACCAGCATTGGAAGAGAATGTCTAAACACAGAGAATACCCTAATTAAAAGTCCCCCGAATACAATTTCAGATCCATCAGGACATGTTGCATTTTATATTAATTAATAATTTATATTTATTGAGAGCTATGTGCTAAAGTGCTTTACATAATTACTACATTTACTTCTCACAGCAACCCTGTGAGGTAGGTACTACTGGGGCTGAGAACACAATATCCTGAAATGAAGGCCTCAGAAGCAGCATTAGAAGTAAATGTTTTTCTCTGACCTTCTGCTGCCCTCCTGTCTTGCAGCACCTTTCTCCCCTGAGGCTAGTCATAGAAACTAGAATTCCTCTTCTCTGTGGTGAGCCATAAAAACCAGAGCCCCCCTTCCCCAAAGACACTCTGCCCCACACCCAGAAGGAAGGAGTGCATGCTCAGAGACGCCAAGAAGAATTCAGACAGGCAGGTCTTGCTGGGTTTCCCCACTCAGTCTACTAGCATTTGATCACAACCTTTTTGTCCAATCATATTTCTACACAACTCTCCATACTTTTTTGAATCTAAGCATCAAAATGGGTAATTTCTCCCATATATTTAGGTCTTCATTCCAATGGCTCTTTTGTGTATACATTTAAAATAAATGAGTATGTCTTTTCTCCAATTAATCTGCCTTTTATGAGCTTATTTGTCAGTGAACCTTCATAGGGCCAAGAGGTTGGCCCCTGCAGTACCATCGTACCATCTTGATGTTATAGAGGAAGAAACCAAGGTCTAGAGAGGCAAGTTACTTGCCCAAGATTGTGCCATCTGTAATGGAACTCAGCCAACATGAGTACAGAGCCCAAACTTGTAGTCACTATGGTTCATCACTCTGCTAGAGAGACTGTCCCTTTGCACTAGATCCAGTGCCAAGTGCTCTTTAAAATTCATTTGTGGTCTAAGAAATTCTTTCTGCTCCTCCCCACCTTGAACTTGGGCCAGAGACTCCTCTTAGTGCCTTGTGTATACTTCTATCGTAGCACTTCTAAGATTTTGTTGTTGTTCTCTGTTAACCTACCTCTACTGCTTAATTAGATCACAAACTTCTCAAGGGCAGAAAATGGTTACATTCACTGTTGTACCCACAGCACTGTTGTACCCACAGCAATGCCTGTTGCTTAGTAGGTTTTTCACAAAGCGTCTTGCTTAGGTTTTTCAGTGAATGTTTATCGAATAAAATAAATGAAATAGAGATAAGCCCCAGGCTAACTTATTGCTCTTCTAGCACCAACATCTGCTCCCAAAACTTCTGTTTTCCCCTCTGTTCTCCAAGGATTTCTCAGTATTGAAACCAATATCCTCTTTTGTTTAACATAGAAATTTCACAACTCCCTTGAAAAATCACTACCCAAAAGGTAACAGTTTTTAGCTAGAGTTCATCTGCACATCCTCCTGGCTAAGATTTTTTTTCCAATTTGCTTTCATCATTTTGTATTATAAACACAAATATATTTTGTTTTAAAATACATGTATGTAAAATATTTCAATATTGAATGCAGTCTCTAACTGCATCTGTCTCCCCCATAAATCATGATACGGCCCCACTGAGAATCCCTGGGCTTCCTAATTTTGCTCTGGCCAGACTCCCTTCGCCAGACAGAATCTAGCCCCTTGAACTTTGTGTCAAGTGACTGAGCTTTACCACAGGTAAGAAGTGCCTTTGACACTTCCAAGTACCCTCTGACACACACACACACACACACCTATATTTGGTCTCTAATGGCTGACAAAAACCCCAGGACTGACTGGTGCTACATATGTTCACATGTTCAGACTTTCACATGCTCTTGGGCCTAGTCTGCCTTCCTACCCACCACCTCCCACCTCCCAAGCCTTGTCTATCCTGGTGGGCAAGTTTCATGCCAGGACGTGTCTCTCTCTGGCTCCTCCCTACCCTCCCATTCCAAAGACATGACACATTTCCAGTAAACCTGAATGTCTAACAGGTTGAGAGGAGAGAGGCCTCTGCCTGCAGCAAGTGTGTGGCATTTCCCACTCTGGGGAAACCCCAGAAGATAAGGCTTGGTTTTGTTTGGTTTGTAGCGAGATTTATCCCTCAGAAGATAGAAGATTTCAATGAGGGAATTGCTACTTCTAATTTAACTCTAACAAGGTTGTAGTGATTGGTAGATATAATATCTTAGATATTATATTGACCAAGGAGTGGGTATTATTCACAATCAGAGGAGCAGAGTAGGGAAGTTATAGGTGCTCCAGGTATGTATTCAAAAACACCTAAGTTCAATTAACAACTTAGTGTGAACCTGAGTGTGTCATTTAAACTTTGTGAGATCCAGTTTCCTCATCCATATTATAGGGATAGTGATACCTATCTTGTAGGGTTATTGTGAGGATGAAATGTGATCTCTCTAACAGTGTTGAATAGGTAGTGGGGAATCAATTGTACTCAACTAACCACCCTCTTTACCAGCACACAACATGGATTGGACAAATATTAGTTTAAAGTCAGCTTTCCAAATATTAAATGAAAACATGTGTTTGCTTCTATGATCAGAGATTCTAAATAGAAACTTTGCATGCTTATTGTATCAGTCCTTATAAGAACTGTATTACTGAGATAGATTCATTACAGAACACAGGAAAGACCCATAGATGTTAAGTAACTTGATCAATGTTATACCATTATAAAGGATCATAATTCTGAGTTTATCCTTGTGATCATGTCAACCCAAAGTGATAAGAGTGCTATTTCATGTTTACTAGGATCTCTAATTGGTAGTTACATACAAATTTGTTATTAAAAAGGAAAATTAACATTATTTAATAAATGACCTTTATTTGATAGCAGCATTTGTAATGAACAACATGAAGAGCCATATTATTTAAAGAGGTCTTTGGCTTCTACAAAACAATTATCTTTGTCTCTTCAATAGATCAACAGATCAATGTAATGAAAAAGGAAGTTGAGGTGGAGTTCTAGATGAAAGGAGGAAAAATGCAATATGTCACCCTTGATGTAACTTGGCTTTGAACAAACCTGCCGTAATTGTCATGTTGAGGACAAATGGGGAATTTGAATATAGACTAAGTGAATATAACAATGAGGAATTATTCATATTTTGTTAGGTGAGATAATGATGTTATGCGTTGAAGGACTGCAAGTTGAACTATATAGTGGTATAATGTCATGATATCTATTTTAAAATGGTTTGGCAAAACAATATATAGGTGAAGGAAATGTGGCAAAAATATTGACAATTGTGGACTCCAGAGGGAGGAGATATAGGTGTTTTTGTGCTGTTATTTCTACTTCTGTGTATATTTGAATGTTTTTACGATAAAATATAAAGAAGAGCCCCCTGGGAATCCTTGATCTAAAGAGACAGTTCTAAATTTATTCTATGGGGTCTGGTTCCTGGCTCTGTTCCTTTCAACACTTGTGTCAAATACCTAGAAGAAGAAGACGAGATTGTCAAATCTGGGAGGACTAGTCAATGATGGAATCTAGATTCAGAAAGATGGTAACTGGCTGGAAGCTAGCAGGAATAAACCCTAATAAGAAATAATATAGGGGCATGCATATAGGTGTAAAAAAATTTAGCAGCCTGAAGAAAGCTGTCAGAACAGTAATTCTCACTAGAAGGACAAAAAGTCTTTAGTTGGTAGCAAGTCAATGTGAAAGAATGAATGTGACTTAGCTGCTAGGAAGACTAAAGCCATAATAGTCTGTTTTTCAGGCAGTAGGAAATCCAGAACAAGAGAGGTTAAGATTCTCATAGCCACATTTGGCCAGGGCATTAGTAGAATTTTAGATTCTACTCTCTAGGTGCTGTAATTTGAGTGGCACTGGGGTGGATCCAGAGAGAATGACTGGGTCCATGTCATACTGCCCAAATAACCTGGGATCTTAAGAAGAAAAAAAAAAGATTTTTTTTGTTTTTTTTTTGTTTGTTTGTTTTTGTTTTTTGGTAAAAGTGCCCCAGGAAAGAATTGCATTTGCTAAATAGATAGAACTGTATGAAACATTGTTGCTTTTTTTAAACGGGGAGAACAATGGTAAATTTAATGCAAACAGAAAGGAAAAACAAGTGAAAGTGCTTTGAAAAGTTTAAAATGCTACATAAATGTTACTATTTGCCAGTAGAAGCCTCTCAGTGGCAAAACTTCCAAGGGCCAGAGACAAAGTTTATTCTTTAAACTGGAAACTTGTCCAAACCTTGTAAGTATTCAAGGACTATGTTGTTTGAGTATCAGGAAGACAAACAGTTATGTTAATAGCTTATCACCTAGATTATCCCTCTGGCAATTTTAAAAAGATTTTTTTGTTTGTTTCAGCTTGTTCTATTTTTGAGTCAGTGAAACATTCACATGGTTCAAAATTAAAAGAGCAAATATGGGTGTACTCTGAAAAATCCTCTTTCTTGGCCAATTTTTGTCCTCCAGCCACACAGTTCCATGCCTTGGAGCCAATTAATGTTACCAAATGTCTTTCTTGTTGTTTTTATGCATATCTTACTCTTCATGCATCTTTCTCAATGTGAGAATCCAGGAAGAAAGGGCTTCCTGACTCTGGCTATGTGACATCCCTACAGGATGATCCCCACTACACAGACTGAGTGGAGGACAATCCCAAGAGGTTTAAGAACAAGTTTTCCTTGAAACAGCAGACATCTGCCGGTACCTGATTCCACTATTCTGCATTTCACTGGCCAGACAGTTAAATGTCTTGCCAAAGACTTTGCAAAGAACAAGCGATAACTTCCCATGTGGGTGAATATGGCTATTTCCCCCTTCTGACCACTTTCTTGAGATGTTGACACAACTGCCTCTTTGTTCCTGTCTAGAGAGCTGGACGGTTGGTGATATGGAGAACTTTTTGCTGCAATCACTGAGTGTTTCTGTTTATAACTCATGCCTAATTTCATACTGACCTGCACATGTGTTCATTTGTGTGCATGTTTGTGTGTATATCTTATTCTACAATTGAAACTATTAGCTCCTCAAAGGCAGGATCCTAATACCTAAATACTTTATAGCCTTGCTGTCCCAAATTCAGGGATTTTACTTCATTTTTTTTTCCATATTGCTTGGTAAGCTTAGGAATAGATATTTTTTTTTTCATTTGAAATATCTCTCAAGTGTGTTCTGGGTAGCTCCTGCAGGGATATGGTGTCAGCATGAGATATTGTTCTTGTCCTCATTAAGTTATACATTTTTCTAGAGAGACAAGAATTACATGTATTAAACAGGTATAATATTTAATAAAGTGCTAAATTAAGATGTTTTTGAGAGGGAGATGGTTGAAACAGAATTGATCATCCCTGTTTTCTCTAAGGGTTAGTTAAATTTTATCCATTTCTAAATTTTCTAATTTCACCTTGACTCTTCAGAATTTATAGGTTTATTTATAGAAACAAGACCCACGCTTCCTCTTCTTCTTGAAACTCTTTCATACTCTGTTCAGTAATGCCTTTCTCATCCCTAAGACCTCCCTCAGCCTGAGTAACTACACCCAAATGGGACATTCTAAATAGGGCTTTCCTTAGGAGGACACAAGGCAGTTATTAAACTTGTTACACTTAGGCTACTTGAAGTTATGTATTCTTAGACATGTTCAGAACAATGGGCAGCTCCAATGTGTTCTACCACAAGGCCTGGGAGGTGATGGCTCCTGACAGGTCTCCCCTGAGCTTTGACAGTTTGGGGAAGGGAAAATACAAGTGATCCTGAACACAGCACATGGCAGTAGAGGCCTGTAGGATTTCCCAAGGTTAAACTGGGAACTAGATGTGACAACGAGTTAAATATTTGTTTTTAAAAGCTACAGCACGGCTTTTCCTAAATACAGCATTTCTCTCCATTCCTGGCAATAAAAGAATTTTGTAGATTGATTGGTTTTTTAAAATTCCCTGTTAGGGTGAGGAAAGATGAAAGAGTATATCTGACTCATGTCAGTGGACTTTTATTATAATAAGAGTCATTGTTTAAAAAAAAAACAGCAAAAGCAGGCTTTACCTTAAAACAACGACAAAAATCTACCCAAGATTATCCATTTTGCAAAATTAATCTGAAATGTATATTACTTTGAACTAGGAATAACATTACCAGTAGATTTTCATAGTGAAGAAATTACCATGGCCCATTTATGAGAGATCTTTTGGATGACGCTTAAAAACATGCAGCAGGTAAAATAACTGACAAGCTCAAGTTATAACCTCTAACGATCCAACTCAGTGCAGGAAAGGTTGGGCTAAGAGGGATGGCAGAGTCAAAACTTTGACTACCACAGGAAAAATAGAAGCAAAGTTGGTGTGAGTAAGAAGATTTATTTTAAATAATACTACTTGCAGAGAAAAATCACGCAGCATATATGCAAATCTCTTTGCAAGTTTAAATTGAAATGATAGCATTGGGTTAGTCCTGTGGAGGGGTATGTCAGAGTTGGACTTCCCAATTTAGGAAATTCTTCCCTCAGTCCCATTACTCTCAGGATTTTGTTGTAGGAGTAAACTGAAAAGGAAGTTCACCAGCTGGCTAACTATTCAATGAAGCTGCAGATGGAGTATTTCTAGTGTGCTGAGGCCACACTGGGTCCAGGTTTAGACCTCAGATTCTGGAAAATGAGTTCACACTAGCCCAAGCAAATTAACAATCATTCATATAGAGAAATGAGATTTCAAAGGGAACTAGACTTCTTGTGCTAACTGGTCAACCCACTATATTTGAGAAACCAAATGAAGTTTATAAAGTTTTTAAGTAGACAATCTGAGCAAAGGGAGGTAAATGATGCTAAAAAGTATCATCAGACTTTGAAAACCTGCTGTTGACTTTTCTCTGATATCTCTGTCGAGTGACTAGATTAACCAGATTAGTGAGTAAAAACGTCCTGACATCCCTTTCCCTAGAAGGCTAGAGACACAAGGATACATCATGTAGACTGGAAATTCACATAATCTGGGGACTCCTGGGAGTCTCTGAAGCCCTTCCAGAGTGTCTGTGAGTTACAATTGTTCGCATAATAATACTAAGATGTTATTTTCCTTTCTTATCCTTCTTCTCAAGAAGCCTCAAGTAGCCTCTGGAAAACTTCCTAAGTGTAGTGGAGTTTTCCAGAGGCTACATGACGTGTGATAATGTCATCACTCTGACAGCTGATTGGAAGTGTTTAAAAGGTTTCTCCATTTTAATTTCTAATATAATAAATAGTTCTTTAGTGTTTTCAATGTTTCAGAGTGTAAAATTTCCTAAGACCAAAAGTTTAAGAACCATTGATATAGATCAACCTTTTCTGTCATCATACTACTGAACAACATGATATTATTATTTTTTATTTTACAAGATTTTGGAAATGTCCCAGTACTATGGATGAAGCCATCTTGACTATATTTAGGAAGCATTCTATCTCACTAGTCACATAATATTCTGATTACCTCAAAAGCTCCAGATAATTGCAAATGGGGCATGTATCCTCTATAATGCATGGGTACAGTTACACCCAATCTTTTCACTGGATGTATTAATCTGCAACAACAACAAAAGAAGGAAACATTGTTACCTGTGATGTGTCTCTCCTTTGACAACTATCTGAAATGGGATCAGAATTCAAGGGCACTGTTTTTGGAGTTCTTAAACTCCAACTGAACTGAAACCAAGAATCATAGCCTACCAGGAATTCAGGACAATCAAGCAAGTTTTTCTGTTTTTGTTTGTCTTTTTTTTTTTTTCTTGTGCAGGAAGTGAGGCCAATTTAAGGACAAGGCCATTTGTTTGAGATTTTTGAAGTCCATTCTTCAAGTAAAGTCACAGACACTCTGCAAGGGCTTCAGAGACTCCCAGGGGTCCCCAGACTATGTGAATTCCCAGTCTCCATGATGTACCCTTGTGTCTCCAGCCCTCTAGGGAAAGGGATGTCAGGATGTTTTTACTCACTTATCTGGTTAATCTAGTCACTCGACAGAGGTATTAGAGAAAAGTCAACAGTAGGTGTTCAAAGTCTGATGATACTTTTAGCATTCTTCAGATACAGTCAGGCAGAGGTTGGTTCTCACATGTTGATCCAGTTTCCAGTTAGTCAGGATCTTGCGATAAGACAAGACCATTGCTTCTTAAATAACAGAGGTGTTCTTTTTATATATATACCCCCCCAATAAGCTGGACATGAAACATATGTGCCTATAAATATCATATTTGCCAGCCTAGAGTTTTCTTTTGTCTCCCTCACACTGCAGATGGACACACAGATTGGGACAAATCTGGATGCATACATCTTCCAACCAAAGTAATCAAACTACATAATACATGCACTAGGTATGGTTTTTATTAAGCCAGGATTAGCTGAACTTCTCACATATGAGAGGCACTAAAGGAAGTGACGTGAGAAGGGCAAGGCAAGGCACAGTTCCTGTGCTTCAGGGTTGCAACGACGAATGCCTTGCCATTTTCCAGTCATTGCATCACAGTATCCTCTGCCATCTACCAGAGTTAACAAACACAGATAAGGCTAGATGGCAACTTCTCTTTTTCTCCTTTATTCTTTTTTTTATTATTATTTACTTTTGTAGACATAGGGGTCTCCCTTTATTGCCCAGGCTGGTCTTGAACTCTTGACCTCAAGTGATCCTCCTGCCTCAGCCTCCCAAAGCACTGGGACTACAGGCTTGAGCCACTGTGCCCAGCCCCACATCTTTGTTCTTTTTTATATTTTTATTTTATTTTATTTTATTTTATTTGAGATAGAGTCTCACTCTGTTGCCCAGGCTGGAGTGCAGTGGTGTGATCTTGGCTCACTGCAACCCCTGTCTTCTGGGTTCAAGTGATTCTCCTGACTCAGCCTCCTGAGTAGCTGGGATTACAGGCACCTGCTACCAGCCACGGCCGGCTACTTTTTGTATTTTTAGTAGAGACAGGTTTTCGCCATGTTGACCAGGCTGGTCTTGAACACTTGACTTCAGGTGATCCACCCGCCTTGGCCTCCCAAAGTGCTGGGATTACAGGTATGAGCTACCGCACCTAGCCTATTCTTTTATTCTTAATAAGCTGAATTCATGAGGGATTTCATGGGGCCATCTCTGGCCCCTGTCCTGAAGAAAGAGCTGAAATAACTTTCATAGAAAACTTGTGACTTAAAAACAGAAGGATGTTTTCCACTTTAACATAGAGAGGAATCTTTAACAAAATAAAATGAGAGACAGTTACCATATTCCATTTTCATCAACAGATCTTTATAATCATGTAAATTAAACCACTTTGTCCACCCACCTTGGCCTCCCAAAGTGCTGGGATTACAGGTGTAAGCTACCACATCTAGCCTATTCCTTTATTCTTAATAAGCTGAATTCATGAGGGATTTCATGGAGCCATCTCTGGCCCCTGTCCTGAAGAAAGAGCTGAAATAACTTTCACAGAAAACTTGTGACTTAGAAACAGAAGGACATTTTCCACCTTAACGTAGAGAAGAACCTTTAAGAAAATAAAATGAGAGACAGTTACCATGTTCCATTTTCATAAACAGATCTTTATAATCATGTAAATTAAACAATTTTGTCTTTAGGAGACGTGAGAAAGAACATAGAGGTAAGAGCTAGAATACCAGCAATCTTAGGAAGGCAAAATTAAATCATCTTTTGGGAGAAGAGAGAAAATTGTGAGGAGAAGGTGCCAGTGTCAAAGATTGGCTTGGCGAGGTTATTTTCTCTCTGGGAGTCTGGGAGGTGATGAGCTCCTACCGCTCACTGCCTCGTTGTCTTGCCTATTGGTTCCTTTCTGGGCAAGGAAGAACGTTGTCTCTCTTTTAGAGTTTTGTAGGCCTCTGTCAGTAATCCGTGGAAGACAGCTGTCCTGGGGCCCAGAATGGGCAGTCTGTAGTGAATGCTTTCTGGATGACAGTACAAGAAGGAAAGAAGGATAAGGACTACTTAGATTCTATTCTTAAAGAAGCTCAAAATAACCACAGGCCAACAAAGACTTCTTCAACCTTATAAAACAGATTTAAAATTCACCTAATAATTTGATTTTCAAATCCACCTTTTATTTTTTCTTAAGAAAATGGAACAAAAAACTCACCTAAGAATTTCTTTTAATGAAATTGCCTTTTCCCCTCACAACATTTAAACTTTTACAAATCTTGTCAATGAGGCCAAAAGGAGTACCCAGAAACAAAACTCAAGTATTAGACGTCATTACCAATTAAATTAAAAATGAAGATAAAACATGTCTGGTGTTGTAATATGAGTGAAAGAGAAAAGAGGATTCAATTCTCAGGAGACTTTTCAGGGACACATATATAGTTCTGTTCTTTAAAAAAATAAAAATAAGGAATAAACATGATCTTATAAAAAGGCTACAGTAGGGACAGAAAGTACTTTTGTTTCAAAAGAAATCTGTATTTTGTGAAATAATTTATTTTAGGGTTATTTAAAATCCTTACCCTATCTCTTCTTCAAAATGATTTATTAAAAGTTGGTTAATATTCAATTTTTCCAGAAGACATATAACTTGAATGGGGGTAAACCAGTGCATGAAATAACATCTTCCCATTGGGAATCGCTGAGTGACTAAGAGAATTGGAACTCTGAATTCTCTGGAACAAGCTCCAGAGAACAAAGTCCAACTGAATGAGAGCTAGAGACGTTACAGGATCACAAACCTTGGATCCAGTTCAGTCTCATCACTGTAATTAAGAGGGAACAGCAGTCCAAGGTCACAGACACTAATGGACTAAGAACCAGAACCCAGACATTCTTAATCCTAACCCAGTGCTCTTTGTGCCATATCATACCACCATGCCAGGTGGTAGGCCCCTATGAGGTGGTTAGCATCTGTACTAATGTTTATTGAGATTAAGAGTCCGTGGGTGTCATGGGATTCTGGGATCAAGTCAAAGATTCATGAAGGAATCTGCATCACTTGTAAAGATAAGTTCTTTCTATTTCCTTAGTTGTCATTAAGAATTATTGATAATATGTAAGGATAAGCAGAATCCAGAAAAAAATGCTAGCAATCATTGTGACCAACAGTTGAGTTAGACAGTCATTGGCAGTAATGTTGTTCACTGGGATGAGTCAGTCACTTGGCATTTGTAGCAATCCACAGGGAACACAGCACAGGTGGAAGGTGGCTTCAGCAATAAGCAGCAAGTACCACAGTATGGACATGTCTAAGCTCTATAATCCAGTGGGGATGGGGCAGTGTCAGCAGTTTTCCTGGGTCAGTCAAAGGTGAAGACCACTTGTGCTGAAGGTCTAGCTTTCAGTGGGACAACATGCTACTCTGGTTTTACAGGTGGGAACACAGAGGCCAAGCCTATATAGCAAGACTAGGATTCCTACCGAGGTCTCATCGCTTCTAGCCTAGTGCCGTTTTCATGACCTCTAAGAGCACATACAAGAGCAGAGTCAGCTCAGAAGGGCCATGGCTATAATAAACAGTAGATCTACCAAGCTTCAGCTCCTAGCCAGTTTTACAACTATTCCCCCTGTAGTCCCACCTCTAAGATTACTGTTCTAGGATGAACTCTATGGACAAGAATCAGGGCCATCCAAGAACATAACATGCTGTTCCTGTGCACACAAAATCTAGCTCTTAAATTGCTAATTGAAGTATACTCCCAGAGATAATACATTGATGAAAGGCATCTTGTTACATTGTTCTCTAGGACCAAAAAATATATTCTTGCTGAGGGAAAGGCACACAATGATTGTGTGTGATTGTGTGTGTGTGTGTGTGTGTGTGTGTGTGTGTGTGTGTGTGTATGTGATTCATTCCTTTGCAATGCAGGTCTGAAAAAAGTCCAGGTCCAAAGGAAACGCAGAATGAGTGTGTGGCTGGCACAGATAACTATGAAATCAACTGCACATGCCTATCACCCATGTTCTCTTGGCTTCAAAAGAATGAGGTGATCATAGACCAGGGAACAGCAGATTGGGTAGCTTTCGTTGGGTAGGTACTCTTAGCTCCAGGCTCTTGGTTCCACTTTGGCTAAATGAGAGCCATGAACTAGGCCAATATTTTGGTATACATAAGAAGCGATTCATTAGGACTGGAAGACTTTCACTCCACTCGAGTGGATATCCCCAAACCTCAGCTGTAACCTGAGTTCTGGTCCTCCCTTTTGGCATCCCCTCAAGACATCCCTTCAATCCTCAAATTTCCTTTCTAGAAATCTTTTCAGTTCTGGCTCTAGTTCCCCTGCAACCTCTTAAGATAAAAGATTTTTCCATATGTATAGAGTGAGGAAAGTTATCCTGATTTTCTTTACTGTATGTATCAAATGAGAGAAAAATTCAAGTGGCTTCAGTCAATATGGGAGCAAATGAGAAAATGGACAAAGTCACTAAAGTGACAGCCTGTGCTGCAGTAAGCCCTTGAATTATATTACCCCAAATAATGGCTCACTCCATCTTCACCAGCCCAGTGTTGCCTTAACTAAAGCTGAGACTTAGGTCAATGCTGAAGCCTGAAATAGAGCTGCTTTCCTTGTTTCTATCAACAGCAAGTGAAGATAAGAATAGCACAGGCAGCTGCTGGGAGAAGGCAGGTATTTTAGGGAGCTGGTGGAGTGAAAGGTTCAGGGCCTTGGTGAGGCCGCTCTGAGGGTATAGAGATGCAGTTCCCTTCCCATTTTGATTGATACCATCAGGACTGCCAATAGGGGAACTTTTATTTTGTTTGTACCCCATCTCCATGGAAAGTCTTCAGCCATATGTTGTGGACAGATCCTGGGAAGGAACATGACATGTATAAGGGCAAGTGAGGCCTGAGGAGGGCACAGGTGGTGCTGGAGTGAAAGAAGGGCTGTGAACCAATTCCAGCAGGTCAAAAGACAATACGTGAAAGAGAAAGGGATAGAAAGTGAGGATTTGCTCAGGAAATTTAGAAATTATTTTAGGGATTAGACTGTCATTCTATGGCATTTTTTTCTAGTGTGTTTCACACTATAAGTACTCTAAAAGAAAGCAAACCTGTTGGGATGTCATCATGGAAAGGCTCAGGTGTAGTCTGGAATTTGGGTTGATGAAGACTCATTCTGATTGGAAGAAACAAGAAAACACATTAGTCAATTGGCTAGGGCTTGGTAGAAAGAAATGTGCCTTTATACATTTTTATTTTTATTTATTTATTATTATTTATTATTATTATTGAGATGGAGTTTTTGCGCTTGTTGCCCAGGCTGGAGTGCAGTGGTGCGATCTCGGCTCAGTGCAACCTCTGCCTCCCGGGTTCAAGTGGTTCTCCTGCCTCAGCCTCCTGAGTAGTTGGGATTACAGGCACACACCACCACACCTGGCTAATTTTAGTATTTTCAGTAGAGATGGGGTTTCACCATGTTGGCCAGGCTGGTCTAAAACTCCTGACTGCAGGTGATCTGCCCGCCTCAGCCTCCCAAAGTGCTGGGATTACAAGTGTGAGCCACCGCACTGGCCTCTTTATACATTTTTAAACACACGTAATCTCTTGAATCTACTACCGGTTAACCTGATGATAAGGCCACTTTCTAGCAATGTAAGATGATTGATCCAAGGACTACTAATTCTCAATCTCTTTTTGATTAGTGTTGTTTTCATGGATTTTTGATAAAACCTTCATTTTGAATGTTTTATTCCACTGTCAGAACATATGTGGTCTGAAAATAGGAGGAATAAAGGAAAGAGTTCTTCAATTTCCAGAAAAAAAAAAAAAACAGAACTCTTCCAGATCAATAATCTACCTTTAAAGAGTAAAGCTGAGAAAACATTTTGGTTAGAACCTTCCCATTTCACAGAAAATGCCCTGACCACATCCTATTTCTCCTGGTGGCCAAGGCTGTGGAGGTGACCCTTGAGGAAAATGCATATAAGCCAAAACCTCTTCTACATTAGTTTAAATTGCTTAATTTCTAAAGACTGACATATTTGTAAACTTTGATGGGCCATCTAAGGCTCTACATTCATTTCATGGTTTCTGCTTCCACAAAGATCTTCCGAGATTATTTTTGCTTTGCTACCAAAAATATAGTGAGTTAAGCCAGTTTGCTTTAATCAATTGTCACTGAGATTGAGAAAAAGAGAAAGCAAAACCCCTTCTATTATCCATTTTGTGCAAACAGGCAGATGGTATGTTCAGGACTGAATAGTTTAAGCTCTGTCTATTCTACAATTCAACAAATATGTATCTATCCTGCATCTTTTCTCCCTCTCTTCCTTTTTTCCTTCATTCTTTTCATTCAATAAGTATTATATTTTAATTCCTGCAATGGCTATAATTAAAGTCACTTTTTAAAAAACCACAATTTCAGTGAAGATAATTCCATTTGCCTATATATGCAGTGATACTTAAAAAGTATGAAAACAGAAACCAATATCTAGTGCTAGAAACAAATTTGGAAAAGTTAGAGGTAGAACCAGGCCCTTGCTTTATAGTCACTCTAGCTAAGTCTCACACAGAAGTGGTATGTTTTCCTCCATAACACTGAAAAACAGAATACAACAATCAATCTCATGATACGTCTGGTTGATGTTGACATGATTTTAGAACTGGTTTAATCCTTGGTCTTACTTTTAAAGGGATAAGAGCTATTTGTTTAAAATACAACTAATTAATGTTCTGGAATTTTGTATTTAAATAAAGTACAAAACTTGCAAGATAAGTAAAATGGGGCAACAAATTTCGAAAGGTTATTTCACAGAAGGGTGAAATTTTGCTCAGAAATCTCTGATTTTAGATGCTTCAGTTTTCCATTTAAAGTTCATAATGAATATTTACTAGAATTACTTTTATCATATAAGAGCTCTTTAAAAATGTAGAGTCAGTACAGGTAAATGTTATTAGTGATGGAGCTTGTACTGCTCAAATAGCCACTTCCTCCATAACTTTGTCTACCTTGGCCAGGAACTGGGTGCATGTTTTCAGTGTATCTGGGTCTATATTTGAGTCTGGAACAAATGGCCCTAAGGTCATAAAAGGAATCAGGACATGTACCATTGTGCAACATAAGGTTACAGAAAAACCTATTTATTTTTCCACATTATTGCTGACTGTATGAGGAAAAAATTAAAATGGGCATTAGATTACATATAGCTTTTTTGGTTAGTCATATGTAAAGGTGAGTGTATGTCTACTTTCCAACCATCTATTGCAATGCAAGTTGACCTGTGTTGATGTCCTGTTTAGAATGAGTCCATGTTTTGCATGTTGTAATAAAGTAAAAACAGAGTCCTTCTTCCCTGCCTAGTAGTTAAATATAGAAGAAAAAAACTCTTTGAAAAACTAGGTGGGGCATGGTGGCTCACACCTGTAATCACAGCAATTTGGGAGGCCGAGGCGGGCAGATCACCAGAGGTGGGGAGTTTGAGACCAGCCTGGCCAACATGGTGAAATCACATTTCCACTAAGAAGAAAAAAAAAAATTAGCCAGGCATGGTGGTGGACATCTGTAATCGCAGCTATTTGGGAAGTTGAGGCAAGAGAATTGCTTGAACCTGGGAGGTGGAGGTTGCAGTGAGCCAAGATTGCGCCACTGCACTGCAGCCTGGGCAACAGAGAGAGACTCCATCTCAAAAAGAAAAAACCAAACCAAACCAAACAAAACAAAACACACAAAAAAACTAATCATAATTCCAATTGGATTTTATATCTGTTATACTCGATCTTGATTTAAAAAAAGCTTTAAATAACAACCAAACAAACTGATAAAGAGGAATTTTAGTTACTAAAACGTAGCAGAGAACATCTTGGACTAAGGAAAGATTATGTGTAATCCCCCATATCTTGCAGATTAGATATGTCATCTACATGGAGAATTTGTATTTAGTTCCATCTGAATTATCAAAGAAATTTCCTATTCTGTTTCTTATATTGTTCTTGTGAAGGTGGAAAGGAAGATTATACTTTCTACAATAGTTTCAGTAGTTGTTCAAGCAAAAAGGTGAACTTTCTTTTTTGATCTAATAATTTGGTTTAACCTAAAAATAAAACCAGTCAAGAAGCCTGTTCCCTAAGCATTCCTTAAACATTCCTCTTACTAGGCTTCTCAATCCACTCTCCTGTGTCCTCAGACATAACAAGAATTAAGTCATGTCCTGATTTAAATTGTTGACTTACCTATAACTCATACAATTCTCAAAGGATGCTTTTGGATCATCTGGGATTTTCATTGTTCTTGGTTGTACCTCAAGAAGAAAGTCTCATTTAGAACGTTGCCTGTAACTGCATTTTGATTTAAATAAATAATGTACCACTTTAGTGAATTTGTGTTGTATTTGATGTCAAAGTCCTTCATACATCCTTTTGTGATGTGAATGACCAGAGGGTTTCACCCTTCCCTCAAGTCAGAGTCATTGTTTTTCCCTGGATATCAGTTGAAATTAGATACACAGATTTAGTAAATCTTTAAAATTGGTTGGTTTAGATGCCCCCACCCCCAATACACACATGTTCTTCAAGTCTCAGGTTAACTGTCATTTTATCACAGAGACTGCTGACTCCGGGACTACTGTTCGGTAGTCCTCCGCTCTATGTTCTTAGGGCCTCCTGGATCAAAATACTCATAACCTTTATATTGTATTTACTTGTGTAATGTCTGGGTTCCCTAATAGACTTTCAGCTTCATGAGGGCATAGACCTTGTCTCTATTTTTGTATTTCCAGCTGCTAACACGATGTCTGTTTAAGAAATATTTTTGATCAAATTAGTGAATGAATGAACCCACCTTGAAGCACACTGGAAATTTTAAAGGTGTCTTTCATATAGGCCTAAAATCAATGTACAGTTACAGTATTTTCGGTTAAGAAACATCACTTTCTTGAACTTTTCCAAATTTGTTCCTAGCACTAGATGTTGGTTTTCTTTTAAGAATGTTTTCACTAGGAAGCATTTTTCCGTTATTTCTCGAAAATTATTGTAGCTATAATAATAAAATGACAATTACAAAGATGTGGGTGCAGGTGTTCAACTACTCTACTCACTAAGTGACTTGTACCAAGTGACTCATGATTTAAGTTTATGACATAACAAAGTTACAAATTACAATGTATTAAGGACCTTTAGAGGTGCTTGAAAATAGCAAAAAAACTGAATGCAAAGGCTATACAAATGCCAAGAATGTACTATGTTTACTCAGCTTGTTCTCCTAACTCATTAGCTGAAGAAAGGATGGGAGAGGGAGAGGAAGGAGCTGATCTGGTAACAAAGAGCCTCTGGGCATAGTGGGGGCAGCCAAGGCTTTAGTAAGAACCTGAGGAGAGATTTCTAAACATAAAAGTGGCTGAGAATGTGCCAGAGACAGACTGCTTTATTCAAAAATTTATCTAAAGTTGACTCTGCTCCAAGGGAAGATGCAGGAAACTGTAACTCCTCCTGAATAGCATGATTGCTGTTCTAAATCCCCTAAATCCAGCTAGCGCTATTGTATGAATGAACTGTGCTACAGGGGCTGCATCAGAACAAAGCTGCCTGCCAAAGACAGGATTTTTGTTTTTGAGAAAAAGTGTACTGTGGGAGACTCCTATTCATTCTTGAAAACCCTGAATAGTCTTTTTCTTCAAGGAAGACTTCCTTGATATTTACTTTCACTGCCCCTTCACTCCCCATCAGATCTATTTCTGTTTATATTGATTACATTCTGTTGTCATTATTTATTTATTTGTTGACTCCTTAAAGACAGGTCTTATGTATTTCTTTTTTTTTCTTTGTAGTTTACCTAAGTACCTGGCCCATGGCAGACAATCAATCAATATTTGTTGAAATAAACTTAATTTATTTTGAAACTATTTTTTAATATATGTTAGAGAATATCTGTTTACAGTTGTCTAGCTTGATGGTCCTACTTTTAAGGGGCTTGAAGGTGTTAATTAGAGAGTAATGCAGATAACAGAAGGACTACAGAATAGGTGCATTAAGGGGAAGATGAGCTGTTTGGAGCAGAGACATGATGAAACACAGCCTAGATAAAACCAAGGCAAATATCACTGGTGATTCACAACCATAACTGTCAGCAGGTATTTCTTCTGCACTGAATGATTGAGCTTCTAGCCCAAGGTTACATAGGAATATGAGTAGTTACATAACCAGGTCCTATTTACATTTTTTTGAGATTCATCTATTTTGTGCTTTTATTTAGTGCTAATTTCTTTTTATCGGTGTTTATGATATCATGTATCATAAGTCACCATCTTAATGTGCAATTTAGTAGTTTTTAGTATATTCAGAAAGTTGTAAAACAACCACCATTGTTTATTCCTAGAACAGTTCATGACCCCAAAAAGAAACCACATACCTATTAGCAATTGCTTCTCACTCACTCCTCTCCCCAATCTTTGACAACCACTGTCTATTTTCTGTCTCTGAATTTTCCTATTTTGGACATTTCATATAAATGGAACCAGTATAATATGTGATCTTTTGCATCTGGTTTCTTTTACTTAGCAAAATGTTTTCAAGGTTCATCCATGTTATAGCATGTTTTAGTATTTCATTCTTTTTTATGATTAATATTCTATTATATAGATAGACAACGTTTTGTTTATCCATTAATCAAGCCCTAGGCATTTGGGTTATTTCCACTTTTCAGCTATTAAGATATGGCTGCTATGTGCATTCTTGTAGAATTTTGTGTGTGAATATGTTTTTAGTTCTCTTGGGTACATATCTAGGAATGGAATTGCTGGGTCATATGGTAACTCTGTGTCTAAGGTTTTGAGGAATTCCCAAACTGTTTTCCAAAGCAACTGTACTGTTTTACATTCCCATCAGCAATTTTTGAGGCTTCTAATTTCTCCACATCCTGGCCAACACTTGTTATTATCCACCGTTTTATTATTATTATTATTACAACCATCCTAGTGGATGGAAAGTGTGTCTCATTGTGGTTTTGATTTGCATTTGCTTTACAACAAATAATGTTGAGTATCTTTTCATGTGTTTATTGGTCATTTGTAGATCTTCTTTAGAGAATGTCTATTGAAACTTTTTGCTCACTTTTCAACTAGAGTGTTTGCCTTTTTATTGTTGAGTTTTAAGTGTTCCTTATATATTCCAGATACTAGTCCCTTATCTGACATAATCCTTCATCTGTTGATTTGCAAATATTTGGGTTGTCTTTTCGTGTTCTTGATGGTGTTCTTTGTGGAACAAAAGTTTAAAATTTTTATGAAGACTGATTTATCTATATCCTTTTGTTGTTTGTGCTTTGGGTGTCCTATCTTAGAAACCATTGCCTTATCCAAGGTCATGAAGCTTTATACCTATGTTTTCTTCTAAGAGTTTTATGGTTTTAGGTCTTACATTTAGCTCTTTGACCTATTTTGAGTTATTTTTGTACATGGTGTGAGGAAGAGGTACAAATTCATTCTTTTGCATGTATCTATGCAGCTGCCCCCGTACCACTTATTGAAAATACTATTCTTTCCTCATTGAACTGTCTTGGTGCCTTTGTCAAAAATCAATTGTTTATAAACATAAGAATTTACTTCTGAACTTTCAATTTTATTCCATTTATCTATTTGTCTATCTTTATGGCAGTACCACACAGTCCTGACCATAGCTTTGTAGTTAGTTTTAAAATCAAGAAGTATGAGACCTCCAACTTCGTTCTTCTTTTTAAAGATTGTTTGGCTATCCTGGATCTCTTGCATTTTAATATAAATTTTAAGATATGATTGCAAATTTCTATAAAAATGGCATCTGGGATTTTGAGGATTACATTAAATATGTAGATCAGTTTGGCGGAGTATATTCATCTTTACAATATTAAGTGTTCCAATCTATAAACATGGGGTTCTTTCCATTTATTTAGGCCTTTTAAATTTTCTTTCCACAATGTTTTATACTTTTCATTGTATAGCTCTTGTGCTTCTCGTGTTAAATTTATTCCTAAATAATTTTTGATGCTATTACAAATGGCATTGTTTTCTTCATTTTTGGGTTGTTCACTGCTATTAATAGAAATTAAGGTTTATATACTGATCTTGTATCCTCAACACTGCTGTACTCATTTATTAGCTCTAATAGTTTTCTGTGCATTCCTTAGGACTTTCGCTATATAAGAGCATATCATCTGCAAATAGACTAGTTGTACTTCTTTCTTTCTAATGTGGATGGATTTTATTTCTTTTTCTTATCTTTCTGGCTAGAATGTATAGTAAAATGTTGAGTAGAAGTGTCAGGAGCAGACATTGTTGCCCTGTTTCTAATCTTAGGGGAAAGTATCCAGTCTTTTACCATTAAGTAGGGTGTTAGCTGTTAGTTTTTCAAGCTGCTCTTTATTAGGTTGAGGAAGTTCCCTTCTATTCCTAGGAGTCTTTTTATATATTCCCCAGTATTTCTATTCAACTCACTGCTGAGAAAGAAGGGGTATCACAGTGACTACAGCAGACCTGCAGTCCCTCCCCTTGGGAGGACTTTGAGGTATTACTGCATAGAGTGAGGCAAGGATATTTCATGTTTATTTTCTAACTTTCTGTAGTTTATCACCAGGTTCTGACAGCAGTACAGAAGGGTCCCTGGGCACTTTTGTGTTTGAAGCCCTTCCTTTTAGAAGCTTCAATAAATGGTAAAATTGCAGCATGTGGCTCCACTTCTATCATTCCTGGACAAGGGCAAAGGTCAGAGAAGAGGTCTTGAGAAAGAGGATGGCTGCTGATGTCCCAAGTGTGCCAGCTGGCCAAGGCCAGCTTAGGCCTGGGGTTGGTGCATTCTAAATGTGGACACAAGGGATTCCAGGAATAAGACCAGGAGAAATCCCAATCCTAGTTTCCCAGACTCCAGCCAATGCTAATATTTAACACAGTGACCCTAATTATGTAGAAAATGAACATAGATGGCAACATCAAGGTGCAGCTTTGCCGGTAGCTTCAGTTAAATTTGTAAATCCCACATAAAAATTTCACAAAAGTGCCACTCTCTTTCACATCCGACTGGACCTAAGACTTGCCATGAACTCAGTGAAGGAGCTTTTCTTATATCTTCTATTTTTCTTCCATTCTTTTAAAGCACGTTTAGCCTACACATTTAGCCCCACCTTCCTCCCCAAGTCAAAGGAGAATTATAGGATATCAGAGTTGAAGAAACCCTTCTCCAGCTCGTACCTCAAACCTAACCATGTTGCTAAATTAACCCTTAACCAAAGCCTCTTCCTTACCCTGACGCTAACAACCATCCCAGCGCTAACTCTAATTCTTAAATTACCGAAGGCCTAACTCCAGCCTAGTCTAGCATCCTTCCTGAATCAGGCCTCTGATTCAGCAACTGTGATAGATGGCATGGCAGAAGTTTGTCTTTGTTCCCTCCACATCTCCCTTGCTTTCCTTCTTTCTTTTCCTAATATTCCTCCCCTACCACCATTCTCCACTATATGTTACAAATACCCAAAGCAGGTGACACCGCCCCTGACTACCTAGAAAGTACTGTAGACTCTCTCCCCAGTCTTTCTCTTGAGGTGCTACCTAAATTAACAGTAAACCCAAAGATGAAGCTGTTTGTCTCCTGATTGTAACGGTGGAGAAATGAGTGTGAGCCTATGTGTTGTGTGGGGGCTACATTAAGGAGGGAGAAGGAGCTCCATAATCCCCTAAGCCTCTGAGAGGCTGTAGTTACTTAGGAGCCCAAGGCGAAGTGTCTCATTGCATCTCTACTCTGGCCCATCTATCCTGGTTACCCTTTAGCTTGTTGAAACGGAGAAGGTTTATCATGTTCTGTCAGTCGATGCTGCTCCCAGGACCAACAGTTCCTCCTTGGCAGCCTTTATCTAGGCCCTCCTTGCAACGGGCCCCGTCACTATCTCTCCCCACAGGGCTTGGCTGGGAAGGGCAGTGCTGCACCCTGAGATGCCTGTGCCCATTTCTGTCTTCCCCCTTGCCTACCATTTTCATTTCTTGACATGTGGAGCACAGCTGTTGGTTTCTGAGCAGCATGGAGTCACACTGGTTCCTCCTGGCCTGAGGGGAAAGAGAGACAGAGAGAGGTGAGGAAATGGTGGGGCATGTAGGGCAGCAAAGATGTAGGAAAGCAGTGGAGGGGTGAGAGAGGTAACAGTTTTTCCTTCCGTAAAACAGAGATGGGCACTCTGGTCTCAGCCCCATCCAGGGTGGGTGTTGAATCTGGAGTGTGCTGCAGCTGGTAGGTACCGAGAGTTTAGGCAGGAGGGAGTGAGACATAGGCTAGGTGGTGGTCTTGAGGCTGCTGCATGCAGTGGTATACATGTAAAGACAGCTGGCAGAGATGGCTGGGGCCTGAAATTCAGTGGGGTCTCTACTTTCCAGCCTGAGCACCTGTGTCTGAGGGGTTGCATTCTCCTATAGGTGGGCCATTTTTTCCATTTCATAAAAAGGCTCCACCATATAGACTGAGGATCTCTGATGGCCTAAGAAAGAATGAAGAGAAGACTTCTCTTCTGCAAATCTTTTTTTCACGGGCCTTTCCTAAGCATCGCCTTCCTTTCTCATGCCTTAACTCTGGGCCAGAAACAGCTCTCATGCATCCATGGTCCAGCACCATTTGGCCCTTCTGTACCTCCTAAGCAGAATGATTGAAGCCACAAGCAGAACTCAAGCTTGTGTGTGAGTCCTGAGTCCCCTCAATCCTCTGGGAAAGAGAGGCTGTCTCAGTAGGTGAAGAAGCAATCAGTGGAGGAAGGGGAGGGGCACCGTGTCTGCTCACTGTAACCACTGGTTTTTATTCTGACTTCATTTCTGCAAAAGCATTAAAGAGAGGACTTTGGAGCATTTACACCTGGGTTCAGGAGGTTCTCATTTGCATCTCTGATAAAAGTTTGCTTAGGAAGCATATAGGAACTTGAGGCTAAACTTATGTTTGGGATTCTCTCTTAACCTTCCTCATTCACATTGACATCAGTCATGAGATATGGTCACAGAAAGTGCAGAATATGGGGAAGAGGAAAGCCACAGTGAGAAGACTATTGACTGAAGTCTTCTCTTTCCTTTGATCCGCTTGCTGGCCCATCACTACATGGTGTGCCTTGACCCATTCCTGTTGCCCTGGGAAGTGTGGGGAACAGAAAGAGGAGGAACAGAAAGTGAGGAGTTCCTGAGGTGTGCTCCTAGGATGACCTTTGCCAGATTGTTCTGCAAGTAGCTTCATCCTGTGAGAGACATATGGCACTTAGGTGATGCATCATGGGGGGTTTGAGGGCTAAAAACTGTTAACAAAGTTGGATTCTTTTGAGAAACATTTAAAATACACTTCATTTTTATAGGGCATTCTAAAAAGAATCAACTCAGTATTACAATGTTGTGGGTTGGTATGTCAAAGTATGTGTGTGAATAACTAGATTCATTCATTCAACAGTAAACATCTATTGTGAGGCTACCAAGTAAAGGGTGCTGTGACGGGGGTCATACCGACGAATAAAGCAAAGTTTCTGGAAGGAAGTTTCTAAGGAAGACAAAAGAAGAATACAAATTCATTCATTTACCCATTCATTAGGTACTGGAGACATTTAAATAAATAAGACATAGTTTGTGACCTCAAGCTGCTCACCATCCAGTAGCCTATACATCAAGAAGTATGATGGTGTTGAAGGTGCTACAACAGAAATATATCGAGGCTCCAGTGAAGCTGAAAGGGGTCATTGAGCTTAACTGGGGGTGGGGCAGAGAGGGAAGGGTCTGAGAAGGGTAAAAAAAAACAGGCAATGCTTGGGTAGGTGTTTGTGGAGTGAACAAGGATGGTGAGGGTGTTGCAAGCCCAGGAAACACTATACAACAACCTGGAAGAATAATCTAGCAAATCAGCTTCGGGTAAGTGAATGTAGGTTGGGATGGACAGGTTGTCTGGTGGGAGGTTGAATGGAGTGAGAAGAGAGACTAGAGAGGAAATGTCTGTGGATATTGACTCCTCTGCTTTGGGCTGATTCAACTTTCTACCATGTCTTCCTGATACCCCTGGGGGTGATATCCCCTGAAGCTCCAGCTCCTCCCTCCATCCCTCACATCTTTGAGGTATGAGAGTGAGGTACATTTCTGAAACTGCAATTAAGGTAGGACACACTAGATATCATACAAGAGGCACTAATACCTCTGTGCCTTCAGAAAACAGAGAGACCACTTCTGATTGGAGAAATCAGGAAAGGCTTCCTAGAAGTGGAATTTGTACTCAGTCTGAAGGGATGAGGAAGACCTGGACAAGGGGAGGCAGATATGGAAGAATTCTTGGGCAGGTTTGTTTTTAGTAGAGATATAAGTTCTTCACTGAAATTATTTCCTTCACCTTTTTCCAGACTTCTGGTTTCTGCTAAGACTACTATTAGACCCTATAGGAAGTGGAATCTCAGAGCTCATTGCAAATCAAGCAACAGATATTATTTGCAAGATCCCCAAAGTGCATTGCAAGATCTTGCTAGGTTAATGACAACTGTAAATGTGAGTACAGAGTCCCATAACATAATGACTGTCATCTCTTAGAATCTGAGGGATGAAATGCTTATATATTGTCCCACCTGGCCTTGATAGCTACTCATTTAAGACATAGTGTAGGTGTTACATCCTCAGAAAACCTTTCTCCTGGGCTGCTACCATTTCTCACCCTCCTAACCTCAGTTGGGTGCCTGCCTCTTTGATTGCATCATAAACTTGGTCTAGCTTTCTTTGTATTTGCACTATTCTTGATTTTAAATGTGTTTATTTCCTCCACCGGGCTGAGAGTTATTATATTTAAGAGCAAGAATCATGTTTTACACATCTTTGTATTCCTAGAACCTATGATAGAACCTGGCACACAGCAAGTATTCAACAAACATTGGGCAAATGAATGAGTCATTGTAAGCAATTTAAATTATGAGGTCTAAATATAGACACAATCAACCTAAATATATAAAACGAAAAATACATATATAAATGAAGATCACTATTGTAACACGGTCTTCAGGGAAACGTTACAGAACATTAGTGTTGTAGTACAACAAATTCATTCTATGTAATGCACTGGGGAAGAACACTGGCTAGACGCCCAAAAAGCTCTGTTCCAGTCCTGGCTCACAAACAACTTGGGTGACTTTTGTCAATCATATAAACTCTCCAAGTCTCCCTTCCCCTACCGATAATGGTCTTTGTGTTCAAAAAGACAGAGGCGGATGCTCTAATCCTGTCCCTTTACACTTTACATTTAAAGGTAAAAAGCAATCTTTGATCTGTGCTGTACTCTACCTCAGACTTGCTATCAGCTGAAGCCTGGCCTCCAAGAAGAGCTGCTCCATTTCTATCTGGAGAAGGGATGAGGGCATTGAAGAGTCGTGGAAGGCAGCTGTGACAGGCTACTTTAAAGGCGACGCAAACATTTGAGACGCCATGTCCTGCAGGCCTCATTTCCTCCATTCTGTCTTGCTTTCTTTCCCAGCCCTGAAACCCAGGTCTTTGGTCTTTTTCTTCTGTTGCATTCCCTTCTCACTCGGTTTCCTTACGACCAGCTCAGCAGCAATAACAGGAATGGAGAGGGAATTGTCCACATTCACAGTACAATGCTCTGGTTTTATCAGGTCTAGAGCCAGAGGCACTGGAATGTTAATGGGGCCCTCATTTCCCAAGCAGCTGTCCTCTGGATAGCAGATGGCAGTTGTGACAGGAGAGTGACAGCAACCTATGTGTAGCCTGGCCAAGGTATGATGCAGATTTCAGCCAGTCCCCAGAAGCCAAAAACACATTTGACAATTGGAAACATCCTCATACCCTAGGACAATATCTGCTGCGGTGTCTAAGGGCTGACTCATGGCCCAAGGCCATGGCCTTCTTGAACCCTTGGTAAAGAAACAGAGAAATATATTTCTCTCCATCTCCCTCTCCCTCTACTCTCCTTTCTTTCTCTCTTTCGCTCCCTTTCTTTCTCTCTCTTACACACCTGTTCACATAAAAAACAAAAATGTAAGCACCAGCTTGTGATTAAAACAGGCTTCACAAGCACCCTGTGAGGAGTACTGACACATTTGCCTCTGTCCTTTCCTTCAACACCTCTGTTTCTTTTCTCCTTCCCACTTGTAACTTAACTGAGAGAGACCTGATAGGACACTTGGTTCAAATCTTTCAATTTACCCAGGAGAAAGCTGTGACCCAGAAAGGTTAAGAGATTTGTCCAATACCACATCTATTGAACTTCAGTCGGCTAGAAAGTTTTTGGATAAAAAGGATTATGTTTCCTCAGGGGAAGAGTAAACTCTTAGAATCCATATAAAGGCCAGGCATGGTGGCTCATACTTGTAATCCCAGCACTTTAGGAGGCCAAGGCAGGCGGATCATGAGGTCAGGAGTTCGAGACCAGCCTGACCAACATGGTGAAACCCCCTCTCTACTAAAAATACAAAAATTAGCCAGGCGTGGTGGCATGCGCCTGTAATCCCAGCTACTCAGGAGGCTGAGGCAGGAGAATCACTTGAACCTGGGAGGCGGAGGTTGCAGTGAGCCAAGATCGTGCCATTGCACTCCAGCCTGGGGCAACAGAGTGAGATTCCGTCTCAAAAAAAAAAAAAAAAAAAAAAGAATCCATATAAAGGCAGAATTATTTCTACCACATAGAATCCCAAAAGTAGTGCTCAAAGAACAATTTCAATATTCAAAAAAAACCTTATGATATTACACATGTTCCTTCTATCTGAAAATATCAGCCATTTAAAAAAATAAAGCTGAATATACTTAAAAAAACCCAAAATGTATAAAAAATAATATCCATATCCCTACATTCAGACTTATTAAATTTGATTTTTATTACCATCACTATTTTAGGTCAATAGCATTTAATATTCTCTTTAAAAATTGTATTTGTAATTATATGCACTAGATCAACATAAGCAATATAAATATGAAAATGACTTAGGAGTATATGAGGTAGTTTCCTTGGTAGTTATGAGCTTTGAAAATTTAGTCAATGTGAGAGAAATAATAAAAAGAGAGTTCTTAGTGGTGAGAAAATAGAAAGTAAACATCCTATACATCTTCCCCAGCTATGCCTCTGCTACTGCACAGTCTTTTTAGCCAGGGCTTTTTGCCACAGGTCTGCTAAAAGCAAAATAAATAGTGTTCTTATCTTCACTCTGACTCATTAGACTGGAAGAACAAACCCAGATCAAAGTGAGTAGAGAGAGAGTGGGGGCAGGAATTGAGAGGGTGGAGTGGCATTTTATAATCTATTAGTAACTGAGGAGCTCTAGTTAATTTACACCCAGTACCAGCAAGTGGGCAAAGAGATTTCAGAGTCTCCAGCTGCAGTTTTCCGGGTCACCCCCACACACCTGCTGTTCCTTTGCCTTGGATCACTGAGTCAGTCACCTTTTGGCCCAGTTAGCCAACTATCATGATGCACCTTTCTGTTTCTCAGCATCTTGAGGAGTCGTGAGTGGATGCCTGCAAATGGCAGGAGAAAATGAAGAAGCTTCTCCACAGTAGATGTTTAAACGAGGAAATGTTTAGGCTTCATTTGTCTTCACTAAAAATCTTTCTTCTTTGACAGACCTGCCTCTCCTTTTGTCTTGTGTTTTTTGTCCCTCATCTCTGTGTGTGTGTTTCTATCTTGCTTTCTGTCTCCCTCTTCCTGTTATTGTGTCTCTGAGCCTGTCTCCCCTTTGTCTAGTCACTAGGAAATACTGCTCCAGGCACACGTGCACCTGCCTCAGGCACGGGGCTGCTCCGGGGCAGGGGAGGAGTAAGTGGGTGTTTAAAGTTCTGCCCTTTGACCTGTGACGGTGAAGAGGAACGCAGCCAGGTGGCAGGAGCTTTGCACCTCTGCACAGGGTCCGGGGTCTCCAGTTGGCCTCCGGATTGCCAGCAGCTTCTTGTCAGGTCCCTGATTTAGAGAATGAAGGAAGAGATCCTGTCCACAGTACATTCTACTCCCTTGAAACACAACAGTTTCTTTCCAGAAGGGAGCAGCTGCCAGCTGAATCCACGTTTACCTCATGGCACATACGTGCAGGCCTTCATACACGCAGTAGACTCTGGGAGCCAGATTCAAATTTGAGGACGTCTGTGTGACGGGAAAGAATATGACTGGAGGTACTGGCCTGGTGCCCCAACAGAGCAAGGATCCCGGGTTCCCTACTTGTGTTTCAATCTGCAGGGGTGACTCTTTCTCATGTGCAAATCAGTGGAGGGTCAGCCCCTAACAGGATGAGAGTGAGGGTGAGGCTGAGGGGCCTGTGTTCTCTCCCAATAAGAGCAACCTATTTGGGACTTCTCACGGGTCAGCCGGGAAACTGGCCTCCCAGGAGCCCTTTGGGCTGCGCAGCTGGAAGCTGTTGCTCTTAACTGTCATCTAGTGGCTAACTATGAATATTGCAGCCACAAAAACCGCTATACCCTGCTGGAGAATGGCCTCTCACTCCTACTGGTCGTTAGCATTGGCTTTCCTTCCCCATTCTCCACTCCAGCCAGGCTGGGGCCTGGTGTCCTAGTGCCCAGGTTGCCACAGTACAGAGACCCAGAACAAACCTGAGATGAGGAGGCATTCAGCGGCAGGTGAGACCTGTCTAAATAGGAAGTTCACAGCGACTTGATGACTGGAAGGCTTCTTGCTGGTTCTGCAGCAATTGCTAAGCCAGTCCTGCCTCCCCGCTCATCCCCCACCTCTACCCAGTGCACGTCATGGTGGCCATGTTACCTACTTGCCTGTCCAGGGTGTTAGGGGGACTAAGAGATGACTCTTAAGCAAAGCTTGGACCCTGAAACTCCGGTGTTGAAAACCTTCAATGTGTCCTCTCTGCTCTTGTCTGTTGGGCCCTGTGTGCATTAGCTGGGCCCAGCCGCGTCCTTGTTTCCCTTTCATGTATGCTCAGAATTCCTTGATATTCTTCAGGCATTTCCTCCTGCACACTCAGTCTCCACCTCTTTGCTGATAATCTTCTCTTCTCTTTCCAGTTCTTCCTCCACCCCTGGCTCTTCCCTCCACTTGAAAACAGTATCTTCTAGGTCCAGTGCAGATGCCACTTCCTCTTGAATCATTCCCTCACTTCCACTCTGCTTGCCCAACCTGGGGGTAACCTTTGCTCCCACCTTCTCTCACAAGTGCTGTGCCCTGTTTCTGAGACGCATTCTCAGTTGTGTCCCTGTCCTGTCTGCTCACTCATCTGTGTAGCTGCGGCTGACTCACTCATCTCTGATGTATTAAAGCAAATACAAAGGCCTCCGTAAACATATATTGACTGACACCAGGGCTCCTAATAATTGTGGCTCACATTCACTGAGCTCTTGCTCTGGGTGGGGCACCGTGTCGAGTGCCTTAGGACGCTGCTTCAGGCACTGCCTATGACAGCCCTGTGAGGAATGTGCAATTTTTCAGGTGAAAAAATTGCTTATCTCACCATATATTTTCTCTCTTTCTCCACCTCAGGGAGGTTCTGACTACCCAAGCACTGTAGCCTGTGTGCTTGCTCCACAGTGACACCGAGGGTCACCTGGCAGCCGGTCATGGTGGAGGGGAAATGAGGAGTTTTTAATGTAAAATTCCACAGGTGTAGGGAGTTGTAGGTGGGAGACATAAGCAATCCTTTGGGGGAGGCAGTAGAGACTCCAGATTGGTTCCAGTCACAGGCTGATAGGCATTCCCTGGAAGTCTTGGGGCAGATTCCTCCATACTAATTTTTAGTTTCCTGTTTTGTTGATTCTAACCTTATGCCTGTATTCTTAGTTCTAGTGGACTGGGACCCTAAGGCACTTGAGACATAGTGAGGGGGGTGGGGCCATTCATTTCATTTAACAAATATTTATTGAACATTGATGGTGTACCAAGCACAGGGCTGTGCTAAGGAGATGGGACATGTATTCATATTCTATGTCATTCTAGAACTGCTGTTGGTTTCATTTCAACAAAAATTTTTTAGTACCTTAGATAAAACATCTGGAACTTGAAACAAAATTGGCAAATTCATATTCTTCTTGGATGAAGTCAGAAAAGTCGCAGAGGTATGAGGATATCTAAGTAATTAAAACAAGAGAACGTTAGAACCGCAGTCCCATGTTTGAAGAGCCAGGCCCTTGGTTGTTTCTGAGAGAATACAAGGGACACCACAGGGAGCTATCTTCCACTCCAGTTCTGGAGCACTCAGGCCATTGGGGAGCTCCCAAAAGATGGATTTGCCCTCCTATGTCACTTTGGCTTTTCTGTCCCTTTTGTTTTGCACTAACCAATTTTGGATTGTCAGACACTGTACAAACAAGGCAGGATAAAGATTGTTCACAACAGTAGATGTGTAATGAGCGAAATGAATCCCAGGTTTCCTCTTTGAAAGGGTCTGCACTCAAGTTTTTGATGTTTAACCTGCACCTGTCCCCTTTCGTACCTGGGCTGACTTCTTGGAGTTTGTGTCCTTGCACCCTGAAACAATCCACCTGTTTCCTCCCACAGAATGTCTTCTCCCTTCACCCATTCTTTTCCTTTGGAACATTTTTTCTTTCTAGTTAGCAGTTGAAGCAGTGATGTTGCAAGAACACCAGTTCCTTTTACAGGGTGACCTGCCTGCGCTCTGTCTCACTTGGCACTGTGGTTCATTTCATTACAGTGTAAGGGGCCAAGGCCTGCAGGGGCCTGATAATCATAAACTGTGTGTGTTGCACCATTCATGCCCCTGGCATCCAAGAAATAGAAACTCAGAATGCTGGCAGTTTTGCCGGGAACACACCTCCTCTCTAATGAGGGAAGATTTCATTGTCCATTGTTTATTTAAAACAAAGGCATGTGAAAGGAGTTTGATGCTCATGAGACATTTCTTGCTTCATTTCTCCTCACACTTCCCTGGGCCCTGTAAGACCAGAGATGGTGGGTCTGACATGAGTGCCCTCGGGGTCTTTGTCTTTGATATGGGAATAGGCTCTCTTGGACTTGTCACCCAAATGCTGACCAGCAGAGACCAGGAGGCCAGTTTAGAACTCCTTCAGCATACAATAATCTTATATAAACATGACCTTAGTGTGACTTGAAGGGCTTTGGAGACTGACGATGAGTGTGGCTTTGAAATTGTCAGGCCTACCTGAGAGAGTCCTTGAAGGAAGTGGGTCAGTACAGGCACTTCTTATTACAGCCCAGCCTCACCTCCTCCAACCCTGTAGGTGTGTTTCCATTGCGCACACTTGGAATTACTCTGAGCATATTTGGCTAAATGTTCCTTTATCTTTTTTCAGACTGTTCTGCATTAGAACTCTTTGCTCAAGGGTATGTAATGCTTAAGGCACATTGAGAACTTTCTCCCAAAGTCTCAGTAAGGGGCTTTGCCAAAAATAAACAGCTTGGAACCCGGAGCTTTGGCCCACATGAGGAGCTTTTAATCCTTAAGATCTTTTGATACTTAAACCATCCTTTCAAAAGACTTTTCATTCCCGTCTTGTCCTCCTGAGAGCTCAGGGCACCTCAAAGGTGCTGTTCGGTCACCTTTGTTGTGAGGTAGGTATATTACATTTTTCTAAACAAGAATTAAGATTGCTACCCCAATCCTCCCAGAATAGCGATGAGTAGAGCTTCACTGCCTGCCTAAGGTAATTTCTCCTTGTGCCTAGCTTAGGTTTGGCTGGCTGGAGGAAAAACTGCCCACTCCCTTTCCAGTTGGCTGTCAACAGACTGTCTGCTCTGACCCTCCAGGACCTGGCTATGAAAGTGAACAGGTGCTGCCGATGCCCAGTTGTATTCTAGGCCTACCCTTCTCCCTGATCTCCACCCTCTGCCAAAGGCTTGTGTAATTAGAGACCAAGGGAGCTGGGGGCAAGAGAGCCATGCACAAGGATACTTTGCTCTTCGCTGCTGGGGCAGGTCTAATGGGCATGGGGGTAGTATGGGATGGTGGGATATTACCCTATTAGATCAAACACTAGCAATTTCACATAAAACATCCAGATTTCTAGTACTGTTAGAAGACCCAGTGGATCTGGCCTCTGGACTCACATGCCTGCAGGTAACACTGCTGGCGTGGGGGTGGGCTGAAGCGGGGAGGTGATTTCCCATTCATTGCAGTCCTGTTTGGCCAGCTTTACTCATTATGCCCCTCATCTGACTGTCATGGGCCTGTGAGTTTGTGTCCCACCCTCAATTAAAATATGCTAGACTGTCCTTACTCGTGCTGATCCATGCAGTGTTAACAACTCTTAATAAGCACTCTATCACTTAGTACTTTTGTTTCTTAAATAGGCCTTTGAGTTTATTGAACCTCTGATAATCTGCTTTCGTTATATTCAAAATTATGTAAAAATAACACAACTGAATAACGAGCACTTGAAAGCACTTGTGAATTTTGTTCTGAAAATACTAAAACCGTCTACCTATTTACTGAGAATGAGATTTTTTTTTAATGTACAGTAGACAAAGCAAAGGTACATGTTACTAAAGTGGGGATGTGGAGACAGTGATGGGAATTTGCTTATGAAGTCACTTATCCATGGGCAGGAGGGTACATGGTAGTTATCAACAGGAGGAGAAACTCTTTTTGGGGAGTCTGGCTTTTCTAACGAGCTGTTTCGAATGCCAAGGAGTCATTCCTTTTTAGTCTGTCGTGTGCCTTTGGAATGGCCTCTATGCCTGCCCTTTCTCTTTCTCTCTGCCCTCTTTCTGGTTTCTCTCATTCACCCCAACACTACCTCACACCTACCCTTCTGTCCATGTCCCCTTCCCAGAGTGGGGTTTATCACTACACTTAGGAACCATTTCATCAAAAATGGAGAAGGGACACGGTAACCCAATTATTTCAAGAGACAGTTGAAATGCTCCCTAGATATGTAATTCCTGCAATTTTGAAAAATAGATTTATGTGTCATATAGTAGTTTGTTTGGAAGGAGTAGGACTAACAGGAATGTAGGAGGGTGCCTCAAAGTTACATACAGAGTTACTATTCTATAAAGATGGGAACTTACTGTTCTAGACTTTTGATGGTAAAAATGTGAAAATTTCAGACTACAGCAGTGGAGAAAATGTGGGGTGAGAAAGAGGATGGAAGTGTTTTGAGAGACAGTGTCTAGGGGAAAAATTATCTTATACTGTTGAGTGGTAGTGGTGGAGAGGGAAAAATTTTGAGATCTCATCTCCTCTAGCCAGGCCTATACTCAGTGATCATTTTTTTCTGAGAAACCCGGATTATTTCTATTTTTAAAGCACTTGACTTGAGTTTCTCAATGGATCAAATGTGCCCTCTGATAATTGTCCCCATCCCTTAAGAAGAAATCATCTTCTGTGAGATGTTTCGTAAAACTTTTGCCCTCGGTGGCTGAGAGGTTACCTTCTGGGAAGGCTGAGCACTAATGGCTTGTTTACAAGGCTGGCCTCACTAAGCCAAGGAATCTTGTCAAATTTTGGAACAGAAGCCTAGAGGGAAATAGAGAACATTTTACAGAATATATCACACTTAAACATTGCTATCATTACGATGGCCAAAGTCAGCTAATAGCAGCCATATAGTGAACACTTTACAAACCATTTTTATATTTAACTCTTTAACCATCCTATAAAGTAGCCAAGTGCAAATAATGTCATCTCCATTTTACTGATGAAGAAATCAAAGCTCAGGTAGTGTGATTTGCCTTGAGTCACTGAGCTAGTAAATGGGTCATGTTTTCTGACTTTTATTTCCACTGTATCCTGTGTTTTACTACATCCCTTTGTTTCTTTATTACTTCCTTCTGTTTATATATCCTTTAATATTTCCATGAACTCAGTTTAATTAGCAATCTTGTCCTCACTTCTTTTAGGAGGTAAAGAGGAAAAAAACCAAGCTTTGAAGCTATAGACAACTGGATATTGATCTCTGTTCATCTACTTCCCAGGTGCCTGTCTTTGGACAAATACAACTTATCTGAGCCTTAGATTTGTCCTCTTTGAGGGGGGAGATGATATAATCAGTGTAAAGGTCAATGCACCAAAAAAGAGAGTTTCATGAGAGCAGCAATTTTTGTGTGTTTCATTCACGGCTGTATCATGAGCACCCCAAGCATGGCTTGTTACATGCAGGCATTCAATCAGTATCTGTGGAATGAACGCATGGATGCACGGGAAGTCCCAGCTGAGGGCCTGACTTAATAAAGGAGCGCAACAAAAGCGGCCATTATCTCTCACCTACTGGCCCAGCCTCTTTCCTTGTCCTCTCTTGCCTTACCCAGTCCTTCAGATGGCACATCCCATCTTTCAATAGGGGATTGCTGGGGATTTGCCTTCCTAGGCTCAGAGCATTCGGGTTTGGGCCAGTCTCCAGGAGAGGAGACCGGAGGTCCTTCGAGCAGCCAGGAGGGGGCAGCAGTCACGTCGCGATGGTTCCAGCCGGGGAAGGGTGCCCTCGCTAAGGAGATTGCGGCGGACCCGGAAGTGCTTGGCCACAGTCGCAGCCCCGGCGCCCCGAAGCGGGAAAAAGGCTGGGTGCCGCCGTCCCCCAGCTGCGCAACCCTAGGAACTCTCGGGTAGGTGGGTTCCGTGTAACGGTCAGTGTTTCCGGGGCTCCTTTTCCTCTGCTGCCTCCCGCAGACCCAAGGCTGAGTGAGGGGCGGCGGCGGAAGTGGGAGGCCCACCCAAAAAGCCAAATGGGGTGCCAGAAGAGTGAAGGCGCACCCTGGGGTCACCCTACCCTACCCCGTCCCCTCCCAGCCCCACTCTGCGGGCGGGCGCTGCCCTTTTGGGCGTCGCAGACCCTCCAACCCCGGCGGCGGCCTTAAGATTCCCGGGCTGGGATCCCTGCTGCAGAGGGGGTAACGGTGTCTGGCTTGCCAAGCAATATTTGTTGTGGTCTATCATGGAAGAAATAAAGTCGGGCAATATGAATTTTTTTTTTCTCAAATTTGCCGGATGGCTGTGGTGTTTCTGACTCTTAGTTTTCTCATTGTGAAAAAGGAATGATTATCTTCTTCGATCCTCTCAAGAGTTTCCTTGTTTTGAGTAGATTGATAGCTCTTTAAAGGATGCTAAGCTCAGCTAATGGAAGAAGAGTCTAGTTTCTTTGAGGCTTTGATTTTGGTTAAACTATAGAGCTCATACCTTTCTGTATGGTGCAGCTTACTATTGTCTTTGGATTGGTAACTTAAAAAATACAAATAACATGCCTTTGAGAACCAATAAAAACTATGGATATTATCCCTATAAATTTACACAAATCCAGATATAAGCATGCAATGTGATATACCTAAGGGATATGTGAACCACTGAGTTAAGAACTGCTTTAGAGGGAGATACAATGTGAGACACAGGCTTTGGGATAAGACTTTGGTTTGAATCCTGGCTCTGCTCTGTTACCTTAGGGCAAAGTTACTTAAGCATCTTGAATCTCAGCTTTTTTACCAAAGCAGGACTAATACTAACTTACAAGGTGGTGAGGATTAAGTGAAAGAAGATACATAAGGCACTTAGCACATAGTAGGTACTCAATAAGCGATAGCTAACAGATGTCTATTATTATTCAAGGAATTATAATTTTCAAATCTGAAATGCAGTTTTAATGTCCCATAAGGTGACTACCACATACATTTTTCTCAGACTTTTAGTAAACTGAGTTGATTTGACTTTATCTCAGTACTACTCTTGACCTTTCACAACTTTCGTAGGTTCACAGTCTCTCTTTTTCTAGGAACTTGGCTGTGTTGTCCTGCCTCAGAGACAAATTCATCTATTGTAGGCCTAGCCCCTGCCTTTGAAAACAAGGAAAGGTTGGTAGAACATCAACACAGCATGGAATTTCCAGGGAGGTCTCATTTCAAAACTTCATAAAGAACAAGAACCACCTGGACTTCTGTGAGGGCGATGATTAAACTGGCCTGAGTTTGAATGAAAGGATAATGTATGCTCAACCTGTGACTAACACCAAGGAGGTCAAGTGGCAGAAGGTCTTGTATGAGCGACAGCCCTTTCCTGATAACTATGTGGACCGGCGATTCCTGGAAGAGCTCCGGAAAAACATCCATGCTCGGAAATACCAATATTGGGCTGTGGTATTTGAGTCCAGTGTGGTGATCCAGCAGCTGTGCAGTGTTTGTGTTTTTGTGGTTATCTGGTGGTATATGGATGAGGGTCTTCTGGCCCCCCATTGGCTTTTAGGGACTGGTCTGGCTTCTTCACTGATTGGGTATGTTTTGTTTGATCTCATTGATGGAGGTGAAGGGCGGAAGAAGAGTGGGCAGACCCGGTGGGCTGACCTGAAGAGTGCCCTAGTCTTCATTACTTTCACTTATGGGTTTTCACCAGTGCTGAAGACCCTTACAGAGTCTGTCAGCACTGACACCATCTATGCCATGTCAGTCTTCATGCTGTTAGGCCATCTCATCTTTTTTGACTATGGTGCCAATGCTGCCATTGTATCCAGCACACTATCCTTGAACATGGCCATCTTTGCTTCTGTATGCTTGGCATCACGTCTTCCCCGGTCCCTGCATGCCTTCATCATGGTGACATTTGCCATTCAGATTTTTGCCCTGTGGCCCATGTTGCAGAAGAAACTAAAGGCATGTACTCCCCGGAGCTATGTGGGGGTCACACTGCTTTTTGCATTTTCAGCCGTGGGAGGCCTACTGTCCATTAGTGCTGTGGGAGCCGTACTCTTTGCCCTTCTGCTGATGTCTATCTCATGTCTGTGTCCATTCTACCTCATTCGCTTGCAGCTTTTTAAAGAAAACATTCATGGGCCTTGGGATGAAGCTGAAATCAAGGAAGACTTGTCCAGGTTCCTCAGTTAAATTAGGACATCCATTACATTATTAAAGCAAGCTGATAGATTAGCCTCCTAACTAGTATAGAACTTAAAGACAGAGTTCCATTCTGGAAGCAGCATGTCATTGTGGTAAGAGAATAGAGATCAAAACCAAAAAAAATGAACCAAAGGCTTGGGTGGTGAGGGTGCTTATCCTTTCTGTTATTTTGTAGATGAAAAAACTTTCTGGGGACCTCTTGAATTACATGCTGTAACATATGAAGTGATGTGGTTTCTATTAAAAAAATAACACATCCATCAAGTTGTCTCATGATTTTTCCATAAACAGGAGGCAGACAGAGGGGCATGAAGAGTGAAGTAAGTGTGTGTGTGTGTGTGTGTGTGTGTGTGTGTGTGTGTGTAAAGTCACTTCTTTCTACCCTTTTCAATGTGCTAATGCTCTTTTATTTATCTAGGGCTCAAATCTTAGAACACAGGGTGCTATGCTCAGTTTTGTTGCCCAAGATCACAGAATTGGTTACTTAACCTTGACTCAGAGTTTCTACCTTGTTCTTAGGGAAGCATATCACAACTAATTGCAAAGCAGAGTGTGATGTGTCACAATAAGCAGAATGCTAGGGGGAATTCAGAAGCTGGAGATAAATTTCAGCTGGAATAATTAGGAAATAAGAGAGGCGGTGACATTTAAGCTTAGTCTTGGAGGACAGGGGAGACTTAAATAGGCAAGAGATGGTTTTAGGGCATTGTGGTGAAGGCCTTTAGAAGCCAGGTCAGTAATGGAAGCGAGTGAAACTGGCATACTTTGTGTGACTGATGGCAACTGTGAACAACTATGGAGATGTCCAATGGAGACACCTGCTATTGTGCTGCATCTATTCACAGTTTGTGCCTAGCTTCAGACCTTTAGAATTCCAGATAGGATTCTAAAAGAAATCCCAATAACTGTATATCTGATTTTTAATATGAAATCTGACTTGTAAATTAATCCGTCTAAAAACACATTTGCAGGCAACATAAGACTACTACTGTGCCCATCTGTCCTTAGCATGGGCACAATGATGGGACAATATTTGATGGCCATTCAGGGTTATGGGGACTTTTGGGAGGGGATATTGGGAAAAAGTCAGAATGGGAGGTTGAGTAGCAATTTGAGGGCTATGAATTTGGGCTCCATACTGTAGGTAATGGGGAGCAATCCAGTTTGTCTAAGGCGGAAATAAATTATCAAATCTTGGGCCACAACTGTTCTATGTCTCAGTTTTCATCTGTAAAGTGGGAATAAAAGTATCTACCTCTAGAATTGTGGTAAATGGGATACATGCAAAGTGCTTTGAAGAATCCCTGATACGAAGCACTATGTATTAGCATCAGCACTATGTAATAGCTAGTACTAATGTATTAGATGTTGTTTAAGCTGACATGTAAGAAAACCTGAAGAGAGCAGAGACAAGGTGCCAAATGCAGCAGGCACCTCCCAAGATAGCTGGTTATTCCTGTGGTAATTCATTTGTGGCAAGTTTCTATACTGTCCTTTTATCACTAGGAATTAATTTCAAATCAGAAATTTTGTTAAGGGAGTCATATTCCAAAATATAATGTTTTTATTTCTTTGAACATAAATTTCTCAAGAATGTCTGGGACATGACTTTGAACTAGTGTCTTCAGCTCTTGTCATGTCACATTCTTTATCAGAGTTTTATTTGGACAGATGAATATTGTGTTTTGTGATAAAAAAAATTGGTGGTTTTCTGTAAGGTCAATTGGACTGCTTTCTATATCCAAGGACACTGGCCAATGAGGAGAAAAGGGTTTCAGGGACTAACCTCTGAAGCCCAAAGCATCTGTCCACTGCCTGCTCCTGGTTTGGGCTTGTGCCTCAATAGAGGCATGCCTCATAATTATTCTATAGTCCACATCAGGAACAGGGCTAGGTGTTGGTGGTTGAAGATAGTAAAGAGTTCTATGAAATTGTAGTTTTTGTTTATATGTATTAATACATTTGTATTATTTGAAGGCATTTGTGATTGTTAATTTTAGGGAACTCAGGTAGCAAACGTGCATATTGGTGACCAGAAAGTTTCTCAAACTTTCAAGAATAGTTTCTTGGTGGGATGACAATATGGCTGCACTATCATTTTCAGCTTTTCCCTGTCACACTGTATAGTATTTGGAGTCACTCAGTCCCTGATCTTACACAATTTGGTGGTTGTAGAAATTCATTGTGAAGGTGGTGGGAGACGGAGAGTTGCGGGATAGATGCAAGGATGAAGGGTGAGGCAGTAGACTTAATTTGGACAGAAAAGTGGTAGCTGTGGGGAGAAGGTTATTACAGCTAGAATGAACAGTATGTGCCAGAGTGCACAGGACCTGATGCATCCTGGCAGTGGAGAATAGCACAGGACAAATGGGCTGTAGTGAGGGACTGAAATCTGAGAGTGCTGAATACTTTGCATTATTGTATCCTGTAGTCAGTGGCAAGTTAAGGGGCTTTTGAAGAGAGATGTGATAAAACTAGATAGATAAATCATATATAAGTGTGTATATATAGACATGTACACACACACAAAGTGTGTATACCATTCACATATATGTGCACCAATATCTGTCTATATACAGGCATACTTTGGAGATACTGAGGTTCGGTTCCAGACCACTACAATAAAGCTAATATTACAATAAAACAAATCACATGAATTTTTTGGTTTTCCAGTGTGTATAAAATTTATGCTTACATTATAATAAAGTCTATAAAGTGTGCACTCTCATGTCTAAAAAATATGCATACCCTAATTTAAAAATGCTTTCTTGCTAAAAATGCGAACAATCATCTGAGCCTTCTGTGAATCAGAATCTTTTTGCTGATGAGGGTCTTGCCTTGATGTTGATGGCTGCTGACATAAGGGTGGTAGGTGCTGAAGGCTGAGGTGGCTGTGGCAATTTCATGAAATAAGACAATAATGAAGTTTGCTGCATCTATCAACTCTTCCTTTCAAGAAAGATTTCTCTGTAGCACATGATGCTGTTTGATAGCATTTTACTCACAGTAGAACATCTTTCAAAATTGGGTCAACCCTCTCAAACCCTGCCACTGCTTTATAACAATTTCATGTAATATTCTAAAAATTGTTATTTCAACAAAAACAATGTTCATGGCATCTTCATCAGAAGTAGATTTCATTTTGGGAAACCACTTTTCTTGCTACTCATAGTAATCAATTTCTTATCTCTTCAGTTCTATCATATGATTGTAGCAATTCAGTCACATCTTTACACACCACTTCTAGTTCTCTTGCTATTTCCACCACATCTGCAGTTATTTGCTCCGCTGAAGTCTCGAACCTCTCAGAGTAATTCATGAGGGTTGGAGTCAACATCTTCCAAACTCCTATTAATGTCGATATTTTGACCTCCTCTCACAAGTTACAAATGTTCTTAATGGCAATGCCTAGATCCATCAGAGGAATCACTATCTATGGCAGCTATAGCCTTACAAAATGTATTTCTTAATTAGACTTCAAAGTTAAAATTACTCTTTGATCCATGGACTTCAGAATGGATGCTGTGTTAGCAGGCATGGAAACAAATTTTAAATGAACAGTAATATTTTGAAAGGAATCTTTTTTTTTTCTGAGCAGTAGGCTCAACACTCGGCTTAAAATATTCAGTATATCATGCTGTAAACAGATGTGCTGCTATCCATGCTTTATTGTTTTACTCACAGAGCATGAGCAGAGTAGATTTCACGTAATTTTCAAGGGCCCTGGGATTTTCAGAATGGTAAATGAGCATCGATGTCAAGTCACCAACTACATTAGCCCCTAACAAGAGAGTCAGCCTGTCCTTTGAAGCCAGACATTGACTTCTCCTCTTTAGCTATGAAAATCCTAGATGGCACCTTCCAATAGAAGGCTTTTTTATCTACATTGAATATCTATTGTTGAGTGTAGCTACCTTTGTCAATATTTTTTTTTCTAGTAGAAATAAATCGTTTTGTTTATTATTATTATTATTATTATTATTATTATACTTTAAGTTCTAGGGTACATGTGCACAATGTGCAGGTTTGTTACATAGGTATACATTTGCCATGTTGGTTTGCTGTACCCATCAACTCGTCATTTACATTAGGTATTTATCCTAATGCTATCCCTCCCCCCTCCCCCCACCCCCCGGCAGGCCCCAGTGTGTGATGTTCCCCACCCTGTGTCAAAGTGTTCTCATTGTTCAATCCCACCTATGAGTGAGAACATGTGGTGTTCGGTTTTCTGTCCTTGTGATAGCTTGCTGAGAATGATGGTTTCCAGCTTTATCCGTGTCCCTGCAAAGGACATGAACTCATCCTTTTTTATGGCTGCATAGTATTCTATGGTGTATATGTACCACATTTTCATAATCCAGTCTGTCATTGATGGACATTTGGGTTGGTTCCAAGTCTTTGCTATTTTGAATAGTGCTGCAATAAACATACGTGTGCATGTGTCTTTATAGTAGCATGATTTATAATCCTTTGGGTATATACCCAGTAATGGGATGGCTGGGTCAAATGGTATTTCTAGCTCTAAATCCTTGAGGAATCGCCACACTGTCTTCCACAATGGTTGAACTAATTTACACTCCCACCAGCAGTGTAAAAGTGTTATTTCTCCACATCCTCTCCAGCATCTGTTGTTTCCTGACTTTTTAATGATTGCCATTCTAACTGGTGTGAGATGGTATCTCATTGTGATTTTGATTTGCATTTCTCTGATGACCAGTGATGATGAGCATTTTTTCATGTGTCTGTTGGCAGCACAGATGTCTTCTTCTGAGAAGTGTCTGTTCATATCCTTTGCCCACTTTTTGATGGGGTTGTTTTTTTCTTGTAAATTTGTTTAAGTTCTTTGTAGATTCTGGATATTTGCCCTCTGTCAGATGGGTAGATTGCAAAAATTTTCTCCCATTCTGTAGGTTGCCTGTTCACTCTGATGGTAGTTTCTTTTGCCATGCAGAAGCTCTTTAGTTTAATTAGATCCCATTTGTCTATTTTGGCTTTTGTTGCCATTGCTTTTGGTGTTTTAGTCATGAAGTCCTTGCCCATGCCTATATCCTGAATGGTATTACCTAGCTTTCTTCTAGGGTTTTTATGGTTTTAGATCTAACATTTGAGTCTTTAATCCATCTTGAATTAATTTTTGTGTAAGGTATAAGGAAGGGATCCAGTTTCAGCTTTCTACCTATGGCTAGCCAGTTTTCCCAGCACCATTTATTAAATCAGGATTCCTTTCCCCATTGCTTGTTTTGGTCAGGTTTGTCAAAGATCAGATGGTTGTAGATGTGTGGTGTTATTTCTGAGGCCTCTGTTCTGTTCCATTGGTCTATATCTCTGTTTTGGTATCAGTACCATGCTGTTTTGCTTACTGTAGCCTTGTAGTATAGTTTGAAGTCAGGTAGGGTGATGCCTCCAACTTTGTTCTTTTTACTTAGGATTGTCTTGGCAATGCATGCTCTTTTTTTGGTTCCATATGAACTTTAAAGTAGTTTTTTCCAATTCTGTGAAGAAAGTCATTGGTAGCTTCATGGAGATGGCATTGAATCTATAAATTACCTTGGGCGGTATGGCCATTTTCATGATACTGATTCTTCCTATCCATGAACATGGAATGTTCTTCCATTTGTTTGTGTCCTCTTTTATTTTGTTGAGCAGTGATTTGTAGTTCTTCTTGAAGAGGTCCTTCACATCCTTTGTAAGTTGGATTCCTAGGTGTTTTATTCTCTTTGTAGCAATTGTGAATGGGAGTTCACTCATGATTTGACTCTGTCTGTTATTGGTGTATAGGAATGCTTGTGATTTTTGCACATTGATTTTGTATCTTGAGACTTTGCTGAAGTTGCTTATCAGCTTAAGGAGATTTTGGGCTGAGATGATGGGGTTTTCTAAATATACAATCATGTCATCTGGAAACAGGGACAATTTGACTTCCTCTTTTCCTAATTGAATACCCTTTATTTCTTTCTCTTGGCTGATTGCCCTGGCGAGAACTTCCAACACTATGTTGAATAGGAGTGATGAGAGAGGGCATGCTTGTCTTGTGCTGGTTTTCAAAGGGAATGCTTCCAGTTTCTGCCCATTCAGTATGATATTGGTTATGGGTTTGTCATGAGTAGCTCTTATTATTTTGAGATACGTTCCATCAATACCTAGTTAATTGAGAGTTTTTAGCATGAAGGGCTGTTGAATTTTGTCAAAGACCTTTTCTGCATTTATTGAGATAATTTTGTGGTTTTTTTTGTTGGTTCTGTTTATGTGATGGATTACGTTTATTGATTTGCGTATGTTGAACCAGCCTTGCATCCCAGGGATGAAGCCAACTTGATCGTGGTGGATAAGCTTTTTGATGGGCTGCTGGATTCCATTTGCCAGTATTTTATTGAGGATTTTTGCATCGACATTCATCAGGGATATTGGCCTAAAGTTCTCTTTTTTGTGTGTCTTTGCCAGGCTTTGGTATCAGGATGATGCTGACCTCATAAAATGAGTTAGGGAGGATTCCTTCTTTTTCTATTGATTGGAATAGTTTCAGAAGGAATGGTACCAGCTCCTCTTTTTACCTCTGGTAGAATTCGGCTGTGAATCCATCTGGTCCTGGACTTTTTTTGGTTGGTAGGCTATTAATTATTTCTTCAATTTCAGAGCCTGTTATTGGTCTAGTCAGAGATTCAGCTCTTTCCTCGTTTAGTTGTGGGAGGGTGTATGTGTCCAGGAATTTATCCATTTCTTCTAGATTTTCTAGTTCATTTGCATAGAGGTGTTTATAGTATTCTCTGATGGTAGTTTGTATTTCTGTGGGATTGGTGGTGATATCCCCTTTATCATTTTTTATTGTGTCTATTTGATTCTTCTCTTTTCTTCTTTATTAGTCTTGCTAGCGGTCTATCAATTTTGTTGATCTTTTCAAAAAACCAGCTCCTGGATTCATTGATTTTTTGAAGGGTTTTTTATGTCTCTATCTCCTTCAGTTCTGCTCTGATCTTAGTTATTTCTTGCCTTCTGCTAGCTTTTGAATTTGCTTTTGCTTCTCTAGTTCTTTTAATTGTGATGTTAGAGTGTTGATTTTAGATCTTTCCTGCTTTTCTTGTGGGCATTTAGTGCTATAAATTTCCCTCTACACACTGCTTTAAATGCATCCCAGAGATTCTGGTATGTTGTGTCTTTGTTCTCATTGGTTTCAAAGAACATCTTTATTTCTGCCTTCATTTTGTTATGTACCCAGTAGTCATTCAGGAGCAGGTTGTTCAGTTTCCATGTAGTTGTGTGGCTTTAAGTGAGTTTCTTAATCCTGAGTTCTAATTTGATTGCACTGTGGTCTGAGAGACAGTTTGTTGTGATTTCTGTTCTTTTACATTTGCTGAGGAGTGCTTTACTTCCAACTATGTGGTCAATATTAGAATAAGTGCGATGTGCTGCTGAAAAGAATGTATATTTTGTTGATGTGGGGTGGAGAGTTTTGTAGATGTCTATTAGGTTTGCTTGGTGCAGAGCTGAGTTCAATCCTGGTTATCCTTGTTAACATTTTGTCTCGTTAATCTGTCTAATATTGACAGTGGGGTGTTAAAGTCTCCCATTATTATTGTGTTGGAGTCTAAGCCTCTTTGTAGGTCTCTAAGGACTTGCTTTATGAATCTGGGTGCTCCTTTATTGGGTGCATATATATTTAGGATAGTTAGCTCTTCTTGTTGAATTGATCCCCTTACCATTATGTAATGGCTTTCTTTGTCTCTTTTGATCTTTGTTGGTTTAAAGTCTGTTTTATCAGAGACTAGGATTGTAACCCCTGCTTTTTTTTGCTTTCCATTTGCTTGGTAGGTCTTCCTCCATCCTTTTATTTTGAGCCTATGTGTGTCTCTGCACGTGAGATGGGTCTCCTGAATACAGCACACTGATGGGTCTTGACTCTTTATCCAATTTGCCAGTCTGTGTCTTTTAATTGGGGCATTTAGACCATTTACATTTAAAGTTAATATTGTTATGTGTTAATTTGATCCTGCAATTGTGATGTTAGCTGGATATCTTGCCCGTTAATTGATGCAGTTTCTTCCTAGCATCGATAGTCTTTACAATTTGGCATATTTTCGCAGTGGCTGGTACCAGTTGTTCCTTCCCATGTTTAGTGCTTCCTTCAGCAGCTCTTGTAAGGCAGGCCTGGTGGTGACAACATCTCTCAGCATTTGTTTGTCCGTAAAGGATTTTATTTCTCCTTCACTTATGAAGCTTAGTTTGGCTGGATATGAAGTTCTGGGTTGAAAATTCTTTTGTTTAAGAATGTTGAATATTGGCCCCCACTCTCTTCTGGCTTGTAGGGTTTCTGCTGAGAGGTCTACTGTTAGTCTGATGTGCTTCCCTTTGTGGGTAACCTGACCTTTCTTTCTGGCTGCCCTTAACATTTTTTCCTTCATGTCAACCTTAGTGAATCTGACAGTTATGTGTCTTGGGGTTGCTCTTCTCAAGGGGTATCTTTGTGGTGTTCTGTGTATTTCCTGAATTTGAATGTTGGCCTGCCTTGCTAGGCTGGATAATATCCTGAAGAGTGTTTTCCAACTTGGTTCCATTCTCCCCATCACTTTCAGGTACACCAATCAAACGTAGATTTGGTCTTTTCACATAGTCCCATATTTCTTGGAGGCTTTGTTTGTTTCTTTTTACTCTTTTTTCTCTAAACTTGTCTTCTTGCTTTATTTCATTAATTTGATCTCAATCACTGATACCTTTTCTTCCACTTGATCAAATCGGCTATTGAAGCTTGTGTATGCATCACATAGTTCTCGTACCATGGTTTTCAGCTCCATCAGGTCATTTGAGGTCTTGTCTATGGTGTTTATTCTAGTTAGCCATTCATCTGTCCTTTTTTCAAGGTTTTTAACTTCCTTGCGATTGCTTAGAACATGCTTCTTTAGCTCAGAAAAGTTTGTTATTACTGACCTTCTGAAGCCTACTTCTGTCAACTCATTAAAGTCATTCTCTGTCCAGCTTTGTTCCATTGCTGGCGAGGAGCTGCGATCCTTTGGAGGAGAAGAGGCGCTCTGGTTTTTAGAATTTTCAGCTTTTCTTCTCTGGTTTCTCCCCATCTTTGTGGTTTTATTTACCTTTGGTGTTTGATGTTGGTGACCTACAGATAGGGTTTTGGTGTAGATGTCCTTTTTGTTGATGTTAATGCTATTCCTTTTTGTTTGTTAGTTTTCCTTCTAACAGTCGGGTCCCTCAGCTGCAGGTCTGTTGGAGTTTGCTGGAGGTCCACTCCAGACCCTGTTTGCCTGGTTATCACCAGCGGAGGCTGCAGAACAGCAAATATTGCAGAACAGCAAACATTGCTGCCTGATCCTTCCTCTGGAATCTTCGTCCCAGAGAGGCACCCACCTGTATGAGGTGTCAGTCGGCCCCTACTGGGAGGTGTCTCCCAGTTAGGCTACCTGGGGGTCAGGAACCCAATTGAGGAGGCAGTCTGTCTATTCTCAGAGTTCAAATGCTGTGCTGGGAGAACCACTGCTCTCTTCAGAGCTGTCACACAGGGACGTTTAAGTTTGCAGAAGTTGTCTGCTCACTTTTGTTCAGCTATGTCCTGCCTACAGAGGTGGAGTCTATTGAGGCGGTAGGCCTTGCTGAGCTGCAGTGGCCTCCACCCAGTTTGAGCTTCCCGGCTGCTTTGTTTACCTACTCAAGCCTCAGTGATGGAGGACGCCCCTCCCCCAGCCAGGCTGCTGCCTCACAGTTTGATTTCAGACTGCTGTGCTACAGTGAGCAAGGCCCCATGGGCATGGGACCCACCAAGCCAAGCACGAGAGAGAATCTCCTTGTCTGCCGGTTGCTAAGACCTTGGGAAAAGCACAGTGTTTGGGGCAGGAGTGTCCTGTTTTTCCAGGTGCAGTCTGTCACGGCTTCCCTTGGCTAGGAAAGGGAAATCCCCCAACCTCTTGAGCAATCCAGGTGAGGCGATGCCCCGCCCTGCTTTGGCTCACCCTCCATCGACTGTACTCACTGTCCAACCAGGCCCAGTGAGATGAACCAGATACCTCAGTTGGAAATGCAGAAATCACCTGTCTTCTGCATCGATCACGCCGGGAGCTGCAGACTGGAGCTGTTCCTATTTGGCCATCTTGGAATGGAAGCCTGCATCAATGTTCTTAGCTAGATCTTCTGGATAACTTGCAGCTTCCATATGAGCACTTGCTGCTTTAGTGTGCACTTTTATGTTACAGAGATGGCTGTTTTCCTTAAACCTCATGAATCAACCTCTCTTAGTTTCAAACCTTTCTTCTGCAGCTTCCTCTCCTCTCTCAGCCTTTGTTAAATTGAGAAGAGTTAGCGCCTTGTTGTGGTTTATGCTTTGGCCTAAAGGGAATGTTGTGACTGGTTTAGCCTTTTATACAGACCACTATAACTTTATCTGTATTAACAGTAAGGCTCTTTTAGTTTCTTATCATGGGAGTACCACTTTTAATTTCCTTCAATAACTTTTTATTTGCATTCACAACTTGGCTGTTTGTCACAAGAGGCCTGGCTTTCAGCCTGTCTCGGCTTTTGATATGCCTTCTTCACTAAGCTTAATCATTTCTACTTTTGATTTAAAATGAGAGATGTGCAACTCTTCATTTGAACAGTTAAAAGCCATTGCAGGGTTATTAATTGGCTTAATTTTGATACTGTTGTGTCTCAGGAAATAGGGAGGCCCAAGAAGAGGAAGAAAGACAGGGAAGAGCTGGTCAGTGGAGCAGTCAGAACACACACACATATCCACTAAGTTTGCCCTCTTATATGGGTATAGTTTGTGGTACCCCAAAACAATTGCAATGGTAACATCAAAGATCACTGATCACAGATCAGCATAACAGATATGATAATAAAGTTTGAAATATTGTCATAATTACCAAAATGTGACACAGGAACACAAAGTGAGCACATGCAATTGGAACAATGGCACTGACAGACTTGCTTAACACAAGGTTGCCACAAATCTTCAATTTGTAAAAAATGCTGTATCTGGCTGGGCGCAATGGCTCACACCTGCAATCTCAGCACTTTGGGAGGCTGAGGTGGGAAAATTGCTTGAACCCAGGAGTTTGAGACGAGCCTGGGCAACAAAGTGAGACTTCTGTCTCTACAAAAAATTTAAAAAATTAACTGGAGGTGGTGATGCGTGCCTGTGGTCCCAGCTGCACGAGAAGTTAAGGCAGGCAGATCTTGAGCCCAGGAGGTCGAGAATGCAGTGAGTTGTGTTCACATCACTGCACTCCAGCATGGGCAAAAAGCAAGACCCTGTCTCAAAAATAAATAAAAAAAGGTTTAAGAAAAATTGCAAATTAAAAATTCATTAAACGTTCTATTAAGAAAATGTCAAGCAATCCAGAGCCCTTAACTGCTGCCATCAGAAGGATGATGAGGCTCACCTGTGGCATGCCTCTTTGTGGGCTGCTGGCACAAGGATTCAGGCCTAGAAAACAATTGGTATAAAGTAGTATGACAGTTGTGGTGGGAAGTTACTCATCACTTAAATTCAGTGATCTAGTCAGTCTCTTATATTTAAACCACACTGAAAGGGTGCAAGTAGAATATGAATGATTTAGAGTTTTAGAGAATACTGTGGTGTGTGTGGGAAAGGGGGAAAGGTGAGGAGGAAAAGTTTACAGTAGCATTGGAATTAAATCCCAACCTGCCAAATATTTGCCAGCATAAGAAGCTGTCTGCCCTTCTCCCTCTACACCCCTTCCTCCCAGCTCTGCTTCTTATCACTCTAAGTTACAGGTAAGGCTGGAGGGTGGTGTGGCAAGTGAGATCAAGGACAGAGGAATGGGGAGGCAGCTTTGCTCACACTTCCAAAATGGTGCCAAGGATTAAGGATTAAAGTTGGTATGGGAGGGATTAAGAAGAAGTAGAGCAATAGGATGACAGGTGCACTTTATTTTGTGGCGTGATGCAGCTGATTTATGATTGGCATGTAACTAGAAGGCTTGTGCATCTGGCTGTAGCAACATGCCTGGTGTTCTGTGTGGAGATTGTATTGGTGTCAGTAAACTTTTGAGAAATACTTTGGGCAGCTGGGTTACATTGTGGATTTAATAATTCATACCAAGCATATAGAGGATGCATATTGAGCCATCATTTACATCCTCCAAGCCAAAGGCTCAAGGACAAGAAAAAGAAAACAAGTCAGCAGAGGGCATCAGTTACATAGTTATACAAAATTTCAAACCTGTTGTATTTAGGGAAACAGGGCTGGGACACAGTGCCATCTTGTGGAAGTGATTGATTTCCCTTTTTATAAGAGATGCAATTAGAGTCTTGAAATTCTTGCTGAATTGTGGTTTGGGAAATAACTACACCTGAATTAATGAGTCTGAGGTCTCCATAAATTCAGGAGGTAAATAGCATACTGGGGTTTGATAAATAATAGCACCTGTATTTTAGAGCACCCAATGCGTGCTAGGTAACGTGCTATGCACGTTGTGTGTGTATGTGTGTGTGTGTCTGTGTGTGTGTGTGTGTGTGTGTGTGTGTGTGTATATTTGTATTTACTTCTCACAGCAATCCTGTAAGAGGTTTTATTTCCATTTCACAGTTGAGACTGAGACTCAGAGTGGGTTAAGTATTGCCTAAGGCTATGTTACCAACTTGGGCTAATACTTTGCTTTTCTTACACAAAGCCTGTGCTTGTGCCTGAATGGAGCCCAGGACTGAAGGATAATGGTAGGCAGTTGCTTTTAATGCTTTGTCAAATTCCTCATCGTTCCCTTATCCCTTATTCTCTTCCCCCAGTATCCAACAGTATCCCCCAAAATCCAACAAAATATTTAGTATCTACATAAGCTTCCCTCTACTCACCTTCTACCATTCAGATTTTTATAGTGTGTGGCTTCAGGAATTTATTGTCAATAAATATTTTTTGAGTACTTACTGTATGACAAATACTGTTCTGTGTGCTTGGAATATATCTGTAAATAAAAAGGACAAAGGTTCTTGACCTAGTAGAGCTGACATTATAGCAGGAGGAGATAGATAATAAACATAAATGGAAGGTAGTAAGTGCTATGGAAAAAAGAAAAAAGTGGCATAGCATTAAATAAAGAGGTCAGAGTAGGTCTCATGGGAAAGGTAACATTTTACCAAAGACTTGAAGGAAGTGAGGGAGTAATTCAGATTCCCTGGGGAAGAGCATCCCAGTCAGAGGGAAGAGCTGCAGAGGAAAGAGCTGCTACAAAACCTTTGGGCAGAAGAATACCTGGCATGTGTGGGGAATAGCAAGGAGTGGCTGAAGTGGAGTGAGCAACAGAAGACGAAGTCGTAGAGGTAACGTGGGAAGCTAGATTATGTATGACATTGTAAGCTACTAGCTTAGGCTTTTACTCTGAGATAGGAGCCATTGGAGGGTCATGGAGAAAAAGAAGATACATATTTTGAAAGGCTCATTCTGGTTGCTGTAGGGCAAGAGTAGACACAGGAAGAAGCATTTGGAGGCTTTTGCAGTAATACAAGCAAGGGATAATGGTGGCTCAAAACAGAGGATGGCAGAGGAAGTGGCGGAAAATAGTCACGTTCTATATGTAATTTGAAAGTAAAGACAGTGGGGCTACCTGATGTATTAGATGTAGAGTGTGAAAGAAAGAGAAGAGTTATAAATTAAGGTTTTTCCCCTGAACAAACTGAAATATGGATATGTTGTTAACTGAGGTGGGGGCAGAGGGATGGTAACTGGAGATTTTGGGGAGGAAGATTAGGAGTTTAGTTTGGTGCACGTGGGATAGGAAATGTCTTGAAGACATTCAGCCTGAAATGTTGAAGGGAATATAGGAAATATGACCTTGGAGTTTGAGAGAGATGAAATTCAGATATAAATTCGGGATTTGTTGGCAATATAAATGATATTTAATGCTGTGAGACTGAATGAGATCACCAAGGAAATGGTTATAGACAGAAAAGGACCAAGAACTCCAAAGTAAAATGTTGAGGCGAAGAAGAAGCAAAAAGATTTGGACAGCAAAACCACTGAGGCAAGGGAAAAGCAAGAGAATTCTGTGTCCTGCAAACCAAGTGCTGAATGTGTCTCCAGAGAGAGTGGGTGATCAAATGTGATCAGATAAAAACATGATAAAGCAAGTAAGACAGCTGAAAATTGACCTTTACATTTAAAAGAGCAGGTTTTTGTTGGAGTGCTGGAATAAAAACCTGTTTGGTGTGGGTTTAAGAGAAAATAGAAGAGAAATTTAGCAGCAAGTATAGACAGCTTTATAGTTTTGCTTCAAAGGGGAGCCAGGAAATAGGACAGAAACTGAAAGGGAAAGTGAAGACCAAAAAAATGATAGCATGTTTGCACCCTGATTGAAATGAAATGGTAGAGAGTTGTTAGTTGATGGTGTGAGAGAGGGAAGAATTGCTGGGGAAATATTCTGGAGTACATAAGTGCACAAGTGCAAAGCCTGGCTTTCGACAAGGGCAGGGATGGTTGATCTATGGGAACAAGTGAGAAGACAGAGTAGATGAATACCGATATTAGTAAATGGGTAGATGAGGTGATGAGAGTCTTTGGGAGTTCTTTTCTGATTGCTTCAATTTTCTCAGGGAAGTTGGAGGCAAGGAATCAGCTGAGATTGAGGATAGGGGAGTGAGAGAAAAGGTGTGAAACAACTTAGGACATTGGGAGAGTGAATGAACAAGGGATGCTTAGTGTAACTGCTTGGCAGTATTAAGGGCTCACTTGAATATGGTGGTGATTAATTTAAAGTGAAACCAGTTATCCTGGCTTTGTTCTTTGCTTGTGTGTGTGCTTTCCAGACCATGTACAGTTACATGGGTGCAAACCAGAGTAGGTAGAGAGTTAGATTTACCCAGAATGGTGGTTTTAACAAATTGAGAGAAGGGCAAGGGAGACAGGTATATATGCATGGGCATGATGACAATGATTGACCATTCAATTTAAGTTGGGTAAGGAGAGTGAACCTCAAGAAGGGTGAAGGACAGAGGGCTGAGGGACAGCATAAAGGTGAATAGATTGGAGATCCAAGAGATTAAAACAATAGAAGTAGGCTAGAAAGATAGGATATAGAGATGAGAGAGTGGGGAAAGACAAGGTTTTAATTTTGGAAATGAGTAGCTGAGATAGAGTGGAGAGCAAGATCATTGCAAGATCTCACTACTTAGCACTCAAGTAGAAGAAAAAAAAAAAGACCATTGAAAGAGTGAAGTCAAGAAAATGAGAGGCAGGGTGAGGGTGGATTACCAAGAAGCGTATGAAAATCCCCAAGAATTAAAACAGGAGTATCACTGGAGGGAGTGACATTGAAACAGGAGCTAAAATCATCAAGAAATAAGGGAGAATGAATTGGGCATTGGTAGTTAAAAGCAACACATAGGGTCATGTAGATAGTGCTGTAATCTGATGCCATGAGGTTCAAAGCTGGGGGTTTTAGCGAGGAGGAAAGAAGAATGGTCTGAAAACAAAACAAAAAATGAGGATAACTACCCCACTTCAGGCTCAGCAGTGTGAGGGCTGTGGGAGACAAGCTGCCACCTTTGGAAAAGGATGCAGGGGAGGCAGTCCTTTCAGAGAAACTCTGGTTTGTTAGAGTAAGATTGTGAAGTGCATATCCAGAGAATAGGTTGAAGATACAGGGAATTTTGTTGATCATGGGCAGTGAATTATAGAGGAGACAGTGGAAGGGTTACAGAAATTTGGGAGAGATGGGAAGACAGAATAGGAACATACAGAACTGCATGGAAATTAGCGTGGAGAGTGGCCTAGAATCCAGGGGTTCTTGGATGATTGACACAGGCTGGGATAAAAGGTTAATGACATAAGTTCCAGTAAGTGTAAGGCAGATAGTAGTAGTGAGCGTGTGAGTGGGTGGGTAGGGAGGGGTGAATTTTGGGGGCTTCCTCTTCACCTTGAAGGAGATGTGTTCTCAGAATGTAGGCCTTTTCACATCCTCATGAGCATATTATTGCTCACTAATGGGATTAATGTGCTAGTTCTCTGGGTTATGTGCATTTTGACAAGGACCTTTTGGGGATAATATCACAAACCTCCTCAGAACAGTGCAAACTTCTAATAGCAAGCAGTGTCATTGTAGTGCTCTAAAAATTTTGATTTTGGGCAAAGTGATCAGAGCTTAGGTGAGAGCCAGGGTTTGACCAACATTCTGTGGAAGGTTGGGCCTGATAAGGCATACTCCTTTGGCCACCAAGAGGGCTCAGCTGCAGGGGAGAGGCAGATTAGAAACAGCTGAAGGCTTGTTGGGCCTGCTAGCTTAGACCACGCCTATACTTTTTGCTTTTTTTTCCTTTCGTAACTCACAGATGCCATCAATGTTGGTGTAACTTGACGAACAATAACCATCATCAAAAAATTAAAACATCATTTTCCTCCAGGTATATTACTGTGATTAATGAGATAATTCCCCAGAGGTGGGGTAGTCAGGAAGCAGCCATTTCCCAATTGGCTGGCATGTGCTCAGCACCACAAGTCTGGCAACACTATTTGGTGCTGCCTCCTTATGCCCATCAGGTAATGCTGGGGTAAAAGTACCCAAGGAAAGGGCTTAGAAAGACAAATGGCCTTTTCTGCCACCAAATGGAACCAACTGGCATTGAGAATCAAGTAACATCCAGTATGATCCTAAGGTCTTCTGTCCTAAACAGACTAGCTCTGTAATTCTTTGACCATAATACTACTAGGATGATGGAACAAATTGATTTTACCAATGCTGAGGTCCCTCAGGCTCCCACGAAACCTGGCTCAAGAGGAGCTGCTTCTACTTTACAAGCTCTGTTGGCTCACTGCTTGCCACTCCAGGCTGGCCCTGTGGCCTTGTGCTGGGCCCGAGTGACATTTGAACTCTGGTCAGTGAGAACACTGTGGGCCTCACACTCTTTTTAAGTTGCAAAATAAATAGATCTTTAAGACATTGAGCAGATTTTGTGGATGTAGCTGAGAATATTTTTGTCATTAAAAGAAAAAAAAAGAGGCAGAAGGAATCATCTCTTTGACTCTAACTTGCTCTCCATTGCCTTCTGAATGTACCCTCAGAGATAAGAACAAGGAGGCCGGGCACGGTGGCTCACACCTGTAAACCCAACACTTTGGGAGACTGAGGTGGGCAGATCACTTGAGGTCAGGAGTTTAAGACCAGCCTGGCCAACATTGTGAAACCCCATCTCTACTAAAAATACAAAAATTAGCCGGGTGTGGTGGCAGGCACCTGTAGTCCCAGCTACTCTGGAGGCTGAGGCATGAGAATCTCTCGAACCCGGGAGGCAGAGGTGGCAGTGAGCCGGGATCGTGCCACTGCACTCCAGCCTGGGTGACAGAGCAAGACTCCATCTCAAAAAACAAAATAAAAAAGAGAAGGGAATATAACCCCTAAAAGCCTGAGAGGCTAATTTTTTGATAATGTTATGTGGAACATCAAAATACTTTGTTAGTAGCTGTTTTGAGAGGCAGAACCCACATTAGTGACTTCTTGGTTACTGCCTTGCAGATCCTTAAGTCTCTTTGGTCTTCTGCGGCTTGCTTAGGCTTTCTTTATTATCTACCCATGGCTCATGTTCATGAGGTTCATTGAAGATGTGAACTGGGGCTGAAAATTGGGATGTGACATAATGTATGATAAAACTTGATTTGATTAAAAACCGAGGATGGGAGTAGGAGTTTATAGTGTTGACTCATCCAATAGCCTGCCACCTAGTCTGATCTTAATATGTTGACAGTATTTAGATTCAATAGTAACTTGTAGCATCAAAAACAATAACAAAAATATATAAAGATGGTCCCTGACATACAATGGTTCAACTTGGAATTATTCTTTTGTCCCCTCTATATATTTTCAAACAGCCTGGCTTCAAGCTCACTAATTCTTTCTTCTGCTTGATCAATTCTGCTAACAGCCTCTGATGGATGCATCCTTCAGTATGTCAATGGCATTTTTCAACTCCAGAATTTCTGCTTGATTCTTTTTAATTATTTCAATTTCTTTGTTAAATTTATTTGATAGAATTCTGAATTCTCCCTCTCTGTGTTATCTTGAATTTTTTTGAATTTCCTCAAAACAGCTATTTTGAATTCCTTGTCTGAAAGGTCACTATCTCTGTCTCTTCAGTATTGGTCACTGATGTCTTATTTAGTTTGTTTGGTAAGGGCATGTTTTCCTGGATGGTCCTGTGCTTGTGGATGCTTGTTAGTGTCTGGTCTGGGCTTGTTTGTACCTGTCCTTCTTCGGAATGTTTTCCAGGTATTTGAAGGGACTTGGGTGTTATGATCTAAGTTTTTGGCCACTGCAGCCATATCAGCATTAAGGGGTACCCCAAGCCCAGTAACGCTGTGGCTCTTGCAGACTCATAGAGGTACCACCTTGGTGGTCCTAGATAATATCCAGAATAATTCTCTGGATTACCAGGCAGAGACTCTTGTTCTCTTCCTTTACTTTTTCCCAAAGAAACAGAGTCTCTCTTCCTGTGCTGAGTTGACTGGAGCTAAGGGAGGGGTGATATAAGCACTCCTGTGGCCACCACTACTGGGACTGCCCTGGGTCAGACCTGAAGCCAGCATAGCACTGGGTCTTGCCCAAGGCCCACTGTAACTATTACGTGGCTACCATCTATGTTCGCTCAAGGCTCTAGGGCGCTACAATCAGCAGGTGGTAAAACCAGCAAGGCTGTGTCCTTTCCTTCAGGGAATCAAGTTCCCCTGGGCCCTGGGTGAGTCCAGAGACGCTGTCTGGGAGTCAGGGCCTGGAGTTGGAAACTTTAGAAATCTACCTGGTTTTGTATTCTACTGTGGCTGACCTGGCACCCGAACCACTGAAGTCCTTCCCACCCTTTCCTGCTCTTCCCCAGGCAAAGGAGTTTCTTCTCATGTCCAACACCACCACAGGCCCATGAGGAGTACTGCTGGGATACTGCCAATGTTCACTTAAGGCCCAAGGGCTCTTCTGCCAGCATGTGTTGGATGCTGCCAGGAAAGTGACTTACCCTTCAGGGCAGTGGGCTCCTCTCTGGCCTAGAATAGGTCCAGAGATGCCATCCAAGAGCCAAGGACTGGAATCAGGGACCCAAAGAGCTGGCTTGGTGCTCTTTCCCACTGTGGCTAAGCTGGTACCTAAGCTCAAGACGGAGTCCCCTTTATTCTTCCCTCTGTTCTTCTCAAGCAGAAGTGGTCTCTCCTCGTAGCCACCAGACCTGTGAATGTGCTGGGTCACATCTGAAGCCAGTGCATTTCGGAGTTTCAGCTGAGGCCCACGGTATGTAGTACTTGGCTACTGCTACTGATTTTTCAGGGTCCAAAGGCTCTTTATTCAGCATGTGATGAAATCTGCCAAGACTGGGTCCTTCCCTTCAAGGCAGTTCCCTTTTGGCCCAGGGTATATCTAGAAATGTCATCCAAGAGCTAGGGCCTGCAATGAGTGCCTCAGGATTTTGCCCAGTACCCTATCCTACTCTGGCTGAACTGGTATCCAAGTTGCAAGACAAAGTCCTTTTCACTCTTCCCTCTTCTCTCCTCAAGCAAAGGAAGGAGTCCCTTTTGGAGCCATAAGCTGTGTTGCCTGGGGTTGGGGGAGGGGTGCTGTAAGCACTTACTTAGCCATCCTGGCTGGTGTCTTACTAGATCGTGCGCTCCCCAGTCCACTGGCTCAGAGCCCAGCACAGCACTAGGACTTGCCTGGGTATTGCAGTTGTTGTGGCCCAGACAGGCTTTCAAGTTTATTTAGGACCTCAGAGCACTTTAGCCCATGGTGGTGGAGGTAGTCAAAACTCAGTTTCTGAAACCTGGGATGGGCAATTCTCCTCTGGCTAAGGGTGGTCTAAATGGTCCCTCCATTGGCAACAGCTAAGTTCTGCCCCGTATTGGCAGCACTGAATTCTAGAGTCCCACAATCGCTGTGCCCTCCCTCCAAGTGCACAGATTCTCTCTCCACACTATGTGGCTGCTGCCAGGGGATGGGGGAGGGGTGGTGTCAGCAATTCAAGATTGTCTTTCTTATCTTCCTCAGTGCTTCTTTCAACAATACGAAGTTAAAACCAGGTACTGTGATCACTTTGTGATCACTGATTTTTGGTTCTTATGAAGGTGCTTTTTTGTGTAGATAGTTGTTAAATTTGATGTTCGTGCATGGAGAACAATCAGTGAAGGCTTCTGTTTGGCCATCTTGCTCTGCGTCCTCCCCAACTTAGGATTTTTTTACTTTATCATGGGTTCATCAGGGTATTGCATGCATTTTTGACTTACAATATTTTCAACTTGTGGTGGTTTATTGAGATGTAACCCTATCATAAGTCAAGGAGCACCTGTACTATGGTAATAGAGACAGCTAGTATATCCCTTTAAATAGGAAACATACAGTGTCATAAGCTCAATGTGATTTATTCAGATTTAGACCCTAGTAATTATAAAAGTCTATACAAGTTTTTTTTTCTTTCTCAGCAATCTTAACTTCCTGTGACTGAGATTCATTGTTTTAAAGTGCATTCACAGTTGAGAAGGTTTACTTCAGAATCTCAGGGAACTGCACTAAAGAATCTGGTATCAATTTTCTGAGGATTTAAAAAAATCATACTTAAATGCTGAGTTATAAAAGATGTTGGCAAGTACAACATTTTTTCCAAACTATACGATAAAGAGCATTGAAATTTATCATGCCCCAAACCCATTAAAATTATCTTCACCTGTAACTGAACATCAGCTGTTATTTCCTTACCTTCTTTTGGCTTTCAACTTCTAGGATGTCTGTTGAAACACCCCTCAATGTTTATGTGGCCTCCAAGGCATACAAACATTTACCAGGGTAACCCCATAAGGAAAGAATTGGAAGTTTCATTTATTTTTTTCCTACCTTTAGTTCTCTTTTTTCCATCTTTCAGATCTTTAGATGTTCTGAGTTTTTCTAGCTGGAGACTGGGGAAACCTAGCTCCCCTCACTGTGGCCAGTGGAAGACTGCTGTGGAGAACCTGAATCCAAAGTGTTTTTTGTTAGGAGACGAAGTAAACAGGCCAGTTTACAGTTTCAATACCAGTATGCCTTTTTCTCTACCAACATCTGTGTGATTTACATCTTGAATCATATAATTCCATTCAGAATGAAAAGCTCAGTTTCTGATTGGCTGAAATGAGTTCTAGTATTCCTTTCTTTGTTAGAAGTCAAAATCACAATGTTCTGGAACATTAGCATGTGTTGGGTAAAGTTGATAACAGTATACTAAAACTCAGATAGCTGCTTCAGTACTGAAGTCAGAACAGTTCTCCCTGGAAAGACAACCAAACTTTTCTCTTATTGTAGCACTACATTGTAATTGCTTATTTAGCTATTTTGTAAGCTACTTTTATTCTGTTACTTCTCTGGTATTCCCAGGGTCCAGGACATTATCATGAATTCAAGAAATGTTTGATGCATAAATAAAGGAATGAAAATATATAAGGAATATTATGTTTACTAAAGGCATAATAGTTTGGCTCTTCCTGACTATCCTGAGTTATGATCAACTCTGAAAAAGGGAGTAATTTTTCAAGTCTATTAAACATAGCAGGGTGGAGGTGGAGGTAAGAAGAGTTGGGGAAAGGTATATTATGAAACATAGAAATACTATTTACTAAATACATATTAACAAATCTTAGCATAATTTAATTTTACTCCAGGCTGCCCCCCATCCCTTTCCCCTGCCCTCTTTTTTCTTGCCTATAGAATGTAAGGAAGGGAACACACTTCTTTGTTAAGGAAAACTGAGTAAGGTTGTCATTTCATTCTGTTATGACTGGAGTTTTTCCTTCTCATCATTCATCAGGTCAATTTAAGTTTTATACATCTAAACTGTGTAACACTGCATATAAAAATAAGTCCATGTTTAAGACAAAGTGGAAAAGTACCAAACACTTTTAAAAAATGAATTGAAGAAAACCTTCTCTTTGACAACTTCGGTTTTCATTTGGGGAGGTGGTATGAAATCATCTAGGTACATTTTTGTCTATTGGGATGAAGAATGCTATCCACTAAGAATATTGATTTAAAAATCAAATGCCTGGACTGGAGGGGAAGGAAAGGACAAAAGACTGCATGCTATGTGCTATTTTACATCAAGTCACCTCCTTCCTGCTATACATGAGCTTCAGTTGATGCCTTGGTTTGGAGCCTTTGAACTTTCTTAGTTATCACTGATTTTAAATGGTAGTCACTGGACCGGGGATACAATTAAAATAATGTAACATGCCATATGAACATTTTAAACCAAGAAACTGATTTTTCATTTTTGAGTGGAGAACTCAGTCCTTAAAAAAATTTGTGGTCCGAAGAAACAGCATTACTAATGAGGACTCTCCCTTTTACAACTGGGGGTTCCTGCCCACATCTTCCAAATACCTCCTTTGCCAGGGCTTGCCTAGGTCAGATGTGAAGTAAATAGAACTGATGAATGATTTTTTTGACTCTCTTGTCATGTAGTTTTCTGTCATCTTAATATGCTGAAGGGGAGCACATTCAGAAGTGATCTCATTTGAGAAGGACTACTTTCAAGTTCTATTTTAGGCCACATAAATTTTCAAAAAATAAAATTCTGAATTAAATCTTAAACCTTTGGGAAGGCTTCAGATCACATATTTGGTGGAATGTACTATATTACCTAAATAATAAACATTTTATTTGGATACATCTTTGGGATGCTTGTTAAAAAATTATAGATTAAAATTTTAGTGTTAGAATTACCATTTGAGGATAGAGGAATAAAAAGTTCTCTATTCCTTCAAACTTATATGGACTCCATTTTTCTAGTGCTTTACTGACATCATGAAGAGTCTTTCTTCTCAAGGTGGCAACATTTCCTTGCCTTGTACTTTTATTCTGAATGATGTGGTTTTTCGCCCTTACATTTGCCATATAGAATTTATGAGGTTTATGTGTTTTTGCTCTACAGTTTCTTCTATGATCTTACATTTTATCTCCCTTAAGAGTGTTTAGAAAAACAATAATAGGAAAAAATATTTTGGTGCAATAATAAGTAAAAATGGGATTCCTGGAGGTGGATTGGAATTATTTAGTCTTCTGTGTTTTTTCTAGACATCCATAAATTTTCTTTTTCTTTTTATTCTTCTATTGGACAGAAATTTCACTTGAAGGTAGATTATTAGTCTCTACCAAAGACCGTCTTAAATCACAATGCTTTAAGAACTTTTGAATTAAGCTTCTTAGAGGAACACATAATATATTCACCTTACCTTGTTTTAGTTGAAACAAATTCTTTTTTAAATTTAGGTCTTCTTTAAAAAAAGAAACAGAACACACTTCATTTTTATATAGAATAAACTTTGTTTTTATTATACACATGGATGAAAAATAAAAGTTTTTATGTACATACGACATATAGTGCAAATGAAAAGCTTTTAAATACCATGGATAGACATGTTGTTGGAAACAAAAGGAGATGAATGATGGGGGTTAGGATGGTCGTCCTGGAACTGCAGGAGGGGGTCGCCTAGTAAAAACAAAACAAAACAAAACAAAATAACAAAAAGAAAGACACAGATGCAGAGGAAGAAAACAATGTTTAAATTATAAAATAAACCCAAATAATAGCATGCAAAAATAGCTCACAAAAGTCAAATTCAAATCACACACAAAAACATGCAGACATGCAAAGGAAATGAAGGGACATCACATAGCTAAGTTAGCAGTTCCCAGGACTTTTCCTGGCTACTAGCAATGTTCTAGGTATGAGCCATTTGAGCTCACTCAAAAAGCTTCTTATTTTGCACCATGGAATGATAAATCCATGCACTCTTATTCAGGAGAACTGGGACTAGTCCCCGAGCCAAATACCTTTATAACTTGTATATTTGATTTTCAACCCTGATTTTGTGAAACTCAGTTATTTCCAAAGATTTCAATGAATGTTGTGAAATCTCCATAGGGGGAGAGGGAGTTGATGTAGCCAATGGCAGGTTAAATTTTTTTTAAGTGAGGTAAATTAGAAGGTGTCAAGAGATCAAATGAGCAATGTAATCACAATGCAGAGAATGCCAGAGGTTGATCTCAGAAAAAAAGGATTTGTAAATAAGAATTTGCTCCAGGTGAGTAGTCCTGGTGTGTAATAGCCTGGATTCAGGCCTAGGGAAACTAGGAGGCAAGGTCTGGTCCATGGCAACCCCAGGATTTTCTAGGATTTCCCTCTGTCTAAGAGCTAGGTATAACTGTATTTCTGATTTGTTCTGAAGTGGGCCCAAGGTAAATGAAATCTGGTCTGCTGGATCTTTCTCCATTTCCCTAGGCTGGCTTGCATTTCATCAGACCTATGGATAATGAAATGAGGGTCCAAGTTGTGCTTCATTTGACATCAGCCTTTCTTGTGTTCAGCAGGGAGATGATTTGCAGCTAGAGAAAATACAGTAAACCCTACATTGCAATGAACAGCTTTGTAAGTAGGAAAACAGCAGGCCAAATAAAGCTTTCCCTCTGGTTTTTGGCAGAAGTCTACACTTTAATTTCCCCTTTCTAACCAAACCATTAATGAACTCAACATTATAGGAAGCTGTAGAATGGTGAGATTATCTCAAGACCCTACTCTCTTTGACTTCTTATCCAGGTGTTCAACAACGCTCACTTCCATCTTATTCTTGTTACACATCTTATTCTTGCTTGTGAGTGGAGCAATGAAGTCTATAAAAAAAAAACAAAAACAAAAACAGAAAAACTTCTTTTTCATTTTCTATGAGATGTTAGTGGAGCCAAACTGACTGGTGTATTTCTGGGCAGTGGTAAAAAATGATCTTAGCTTCCCCAAAGTCCAAAATCAATTTTCCTTCAGTCCAGTTTAAGCTGACTACACTAAAGAGGCCTCCCATCCATTTAAATGATGGAGAACTTGTTATTGGTACCTAACCTTTCAACTTCAGGGCCGGGGCAGGGGCTAGGGGGTCTGCAAGGCTTTAGCTTTAGAGATCCAGGTAATGGGTATCCCTGGTGTTTTCATGAAGAAAGTGTAATTAAATTTCTGTCGAGCTCAATGAGATTTATCACCTGCCCAGAAAACAGAAACTATTTTCGAGTTCTGAAGGGGCTTTAGAACACTTTAATGACCTCAGCAGGGTGGGGAGGTGGGCCATTAAACTGAACAGCAAGTCCACAGTGCTGAAGCGACATTCTGTTAGCATATGCCAAAACACTTTCCTGTTTGAGCTAGTTTGGTGTTCTGATCCAGAAACAGGATCAGAAACTTTATGTCTTGGAATATATTCCACTGACAGCTAGAATGTTTGCTTGAAACATCAGGGTGACATTTATATCCTCAGACAGCTTTTTCTTTTCATCTTCACTTTACTGTATCTACCCTTCCTGTCATTGCTGAAAAAGCATTGTTGTTGATGATACCATTTACTGGGTCAAAATTAGTTCTTTTAAGGATATGGGCAGTTGGGGTTTTTGCTCTTTCTTTTGCATAATTTTTATATGACTTACACAGTGCCGAAATGCTTAAAGGCAAGTGCTGCAAATATTTGGGCTTTTTACATGTAGAGCTACAAAGGTACCTCATACAATTGCCACTCCCATATGAAAGTTGCAGTACTAAATTGGAATACTGAGTTGCTAACAAATTCTTAAGCTCACCATCCTAGTATTCAACATATAAGCAAATTTACCTAATCAAGACTATAATTTCAGGTTATATTTTCTTAAGCATTCTGAAAAATAACTTCAAAGCAGCATGTTTTGGCCAAATCAGGTAAAGGAGATTGGAAAGCTGTATCTGGAACATGGGTGTAATTTATATATAAAAGACTCAATTATTAACAAGAATGATGAATTACCCTCATTCTTTTGGCTCTATGTCAACGCTGAAATTTGGTCTTATGGTGACATTCCTCTGGCCAGATCTCTGAGGAGGTCTTCCTTATAGCTTTTTTCTTTTCTGTTAAAATCTCACAAAAAAGGCCAGGTGCAGTGGCTCATGCCTGTAATCCCAGCACTTTGGGAAGCTGAGGTGGGCGGATCACTTGAGGTCAGGAGTTCGAGACCAGCCTGGCCAATGTGGTGAAATGCCGTCTCTACTAAAAATGCAAAAATTAGCCAGGCATGGTGGCACACGCCTGTAATCCTAGCTACTGGGGAGGCTGAGGCATAAGAATCACTTGAACTTGGGAGGTGGAAGTTGCAGTGAGCCAAGATCACACCACTGCATTGCAGCCTGGGCAACAGAGTGAGACTCTGTCTCAAAAAAAAAAAAAAAAAAAAAAACTCACAAAAAATGCTCTGTTTGCTTTCTTTGCCCATCCTTTAGGTAAGTTAATAACCCAGAGCAGTGAGTGAGCCTGAAGGCTTGGGAAAGGGAGGAAAGAAAGGCAATAGGAATAGTCTTCAACATTCTTCTCTGATGATTAATCTTAGATCAACCTGGATGCCTTCCTTCACAATAATCTCATGGAGGTAATTTAAAGAATCCCTTTTTTGGAGAGTCAGAGAGAAAAGGTAAGGTATAAAATTATCTGAATCCTTCATAAGTCTCATTAAGACTCAATGCATGTATGTCTCTAAACTGCTTTTGTGCTACCTGTTCCAATGTGACTTTCCTCCTTAAGAGTCAGATACTCCTTTGACAAAGTACCAGAGCTCCAGATGAATTGCCCTTAGTTGAGAGCTCTTGTTGCTCTTACATTTGGTCTTTTTCTTTTTTAAGAGATGGTGGGGTCCCATTCCACTCCTCAGGCTGGAATGCAGTGGCACGATCACAGTTCACTGCAGTCTCAAACTCCTGGGCTCAAGTGATCCTCCTGCCTCAGCCTCTCCGGTAGCTGGAACTACAGGCATGAGCCACCATGTCCAGCTAATTAAAACAAACAACTTTTTTTTTTTTTTTTTTAGAGATGAGGTCTTGCTGTGTTGCCAATCCGGTCTCAAACTCTTGGGCTGAACTGATCCTCCTGCCTCAGCCTCTCCGGTAGCTGGAACTACAGGCATGAGCCACCATGCCCAGCTAATTAAAACAAACAACTTTTTTTTTTTTTTTTTTTAGAGATGAGGTCTTGCTGTGTTGCCAATCTGGTCTCAAACTCTTGGGCTGAACTGATCCTCCTGCCTCAGCCTCCTGAGTAGTACATTTGATTTTATCATCCAACTTTTTGTTAGTGAGAGTCTGTACTGAGGAAATCACACTCAATGTCTTTTCCTTTGGCTTAAAGCCACTGAAGCAGTTTCCTAAGGCATGTGCCTCAGGACACTAGATCTGTGAGATGTTCTATGGTCAAATAAGTCTGAGAAATATGTAGACATTACTCATCTCTTGGAGATTCACAATGCAGTCTGATTTTAAGGTTTCTGTGAAGTCTTTCAATAAAGAAACATTTGATTTTTAGTCATTATTTCTCAAGCATATTTGGCCAAAAAACCATTGGTGTATGTGTATGTAAAACTTATTAAGATTTCATGGAATGCACTTTGAGAAATTTTGAATTAAGGTTGTAGTTTTAGCCAATATCTCTTGTATGTATTCTAATTATTAGGCTGCCATAATATAAAATAATACTAGTAACAGGTCTGAAAAGTGGCTATGCCAGGTGTGTGTTGAAGTGCTTGGAAGCAAAGTTTGAGGTCACTCTAAACCAAATACTAAACACGTTTCTCAATATGAAATTTAAAGGTCCCATCAGAAAAACAAAAATCTTGGAAACAGATTGAGCATATGTTTACACCAATGCCAGAGCTATTTAAAACACCAATGGAAAATTGCCAAATAGTTACAATAAGTTTCTTTGTTTTTGGAAATTACCTTTAGAAACTATTCTGAATATATGATTAACATACTTCAAAATCATGCAGTTAAAACAAAACAAACAAACAGAACACAGGTATACAGCATGATTCGCATCCAGAATCTTTCTTCCAGTAAGAAGCTTCCTTTGAAGGTACAGATGTTCCACTCATGGAAAATGTATAGATATGAAAAAGAAATCCCACAGGAAAGAGTAAATTCACACAACAATCTGTCCAGTTCATCTTTTCACAATGAGCATGCCCTGATCGCAGAAAGAAAATAAATCAACATCTCTCTCCTCCTATCACCTTCTTGTCTTCTGCATTTAGATGGCACAATCTGGGAATATGTCAATTGATAAGGGACTTGTCATCAAAACTCTTGTAATAGAGAGTCTTCCTCTATTCTCTGGAAACTCAAAATTAGGACAAAGTTGTGTCATTCTTTCATTTTCTGAATACATTCTCTTAAAACTGGGGAAACTGGGCCGGGTGCGGTGGCTCACACCTGTAATCCCAGCACTTTGGGAAGCCGAGGCGGGCAGATCACGAGGTCAAGAGATCGAGACCATCCTGGCTAACATGGTGAAACCCCGTCTCTACTAAATTACAAAAAAAATTAGCCGGGCGTGGTGGCGGGCGCCTGTAGTCCCAGTTCCTCAGGAGGCTGAGGCAGGAGAATGGCGTGAACCCGGGAGGCGGAGCTTGCAGTGAGCCGAGATAGTGCCACTGCACTTCAGCCTGGGCAAGAGCGAAACTCCGTCTCAAAAACAAACAAACAAACAAAAAACTGGGGAAACTGAAAGGGGCAAATTGTCCTGTCTATGCCCAGTGAACAAATAACAGAGGCTAATTGTTGGGTCAGGAGCTAAAATATTTGCTATAAGAAATGCCTTCTGTGGACCTAACATTTGGGCACACCATCTTTCCTCCTTCCACTTCCCAGAATTTCTAAAATAAATGCTTCATTTTCAACAGCAAACTGTCATGGTGCTTCTTGGTAACTGTCACATCATACCCTCCTGCTAAGGTTTGTGTTCGTCAATCGATTCCAATAATGACATCAAATCAGAAACACAATGTCTCCCACTCTCCTGCCTTTGATTTATCCAATTTGTTCCCTTTAAAAATCCCATCTTTCTCCAAATTAATGACAGAAATGGAAAATGCTATCATTCTTTACTTTGGTAACTCTGGGACAATTTAATCAAAAGAGCTATAAATATTTAGAAGTCTCAGGTATTACTGAAAGGCATAGACATGACTCAAATATATACAAGAATGAGGAAAAGGGGTCCTTCAAATGTTATAATTTATTTCAGCTTCAGAAATACAGCTTCACATTTTCACAATAGGTACATGTGACCTTCAAGAACGATACAGGCTTTGAGATTTTTCTTCAAAAATTCCATTCTAAGAGTCCATATATCAGCATTAAGAAATCCTGAAAGTGCCAAGAAGACAGTGGAAAGTATCCGGCTCATATTAATTAAAGAATCAGCAGAGAAGACAAGATTTTACTTCTGTATATTCCTTCTTCAAACAAAGCAAAAGAAAAATTTGACCCAAAAAAGGGAAAGTAAAAATAGACAAGCAAGCAAAACAAAGGCTGTACATGTACATAGGAAATATAACACAAATCAAGTAGTACTGGTGGAATTACTGGTTGGGGGGAATAATTTTTAACAAACTGGTAGCAGACAAGGCAAGTGGTTAGACAGAGTAATTTTTGTCATAATTTTAAAACATTTCATAATGAGCGAAGTTTAAGGAATTCAAGAGTAAAAATTAAAAAGAGATTAATGACTTGAGTTGAGCCATATGTGAAACCTCCAACCAGAAGTGAGAAGTCTCACCAATATACCAGTATGAACAGGTCTTAAGACAAACACTCCTCTTTGAGTTTCCTCTCTCTTGCTCTCACACATACACACATTCTTACATATATACAAAGACACACACACACACACAAATAGCAGTGCATATATTACATATGCTTCAAAAATATTCTTAAAGTTTCACCTACACAGCACCACATAATTTTAAACATAGCAACCAGACAGGATGAGTAAGAGTATCTAGAAGACTCATTTGAGCTTTTTAGAATGTACAATGAGTGATCTGGTGAACGAATAATCATTTCTTCAAAATCATCTAGATTCATTTACATTAAACTCTGAGCTCACAGCTAGTAGTCTTCTAATTGAAATGATACAAAACTCATGGCTTAAGTCTCATACACTATCTTCTTTCATGAGTTCAACAGTTAGAGACCTAGTAGGCTTTATTCTTCATTCTGAGGAGATTCCTGTCACTTTCAAATAATTATGCCATTTGCCAAATGAAAAATGTTTACCTGAAAAAGTGGATGACCTACCTCCAAGGTATTAGATAGCTTCTCTCTTATATTTTCAGCAAATTTACTCAGAAAAATCCACTACTTTAATGTTGCTATGTCCTTTTTTTTTTTTTTTACTTCTACCATAGAGGAAAAATGACTATGTATATCAACTTGGCTTTTTAAGATTCAGCTCAGCAATCCAAAAATAATTTATAATTCCAATTAGAGATCTTAAAGATAGGTCTCCAGAGGTTTTACTTCTTACCGAAAAATATTGTCAAAGGTAATTCCTTCTTAGATTCAGATCTTCTTGTGGATTCAGATACAAATGTCTATGGACATTACCATGTTGTCATGGTAATTATGAGCTTTGTACCTCTCAAAATGACTACAATCTGGAGTTAGAAAATTTTGTATACCTCATATATGTTATGAGAAATGAACTATTGTTACCACATGTTATGGCAGATCATTCAAAGCTATCTGTTGTATTATCACAGTTTAAAAAATATCCTGATACCACACATACTAAGTACATGTATACATAGATATTTACAACCATACATATACATATATTTATATATATACACACAGTGCACATACAATCACACTCATGCTTGTGGCATTTTAACTAGTATTTTTAAAACCTACCTACCTACTCAAATGGACATAAAATACACATACTTACAGAAACATACTTACTAGGTATATGCCATATACACAGAGACACATGCATAGAAAATGTGTTTGTACACAGAAAACATCAACATTTATCACATACTGGTATTAGGTCCCATTTCATATTTGAGAATTATGGCTACAGTCTATACTAAAAAGTCACAAAATTAATCTATGTGACCACTTTTTAAGTCTAAGTCGAGAAGGCTTACAGTTACATCACAGGAACTGGTTTCATTAATATACTTTAGAATAAAGTGAGTTTGTATTGGAACAAATAGGAAATTTGCTAATAAACAGACCCTACTGCTCGTCTATGTTATAAAACACGGCTAAAAGCAATATTCAGACGAGTAACCTTGGTAGATGTTTTTTAGAAATGCAATATACTTTTTCTAAATCAATACTATTTCAATAAGCTGTCCATAATTGAGTAAATGGTTATTCCAATTAGTCAATATGCATGCAATATTTAGCATGTGACAATAAAACTATATTTACCTATCAAATAAACATTTACAGTTTATTTTCCCAAATCCTAAAAACACTGATTTTTTAAATTATGCTAGACATGATAGAGCTACATCTATTGTGTTTACAATATCAGAGCAATCAGTTAAGAGAAAATTACACAAAAGATTAGAAATGGTATGGGAAACAGAAAATCATTAAGCTACATTCCCATCTTAAGGCCTGGTGTGCATGCTGCACGTCAAACTATGCACATACTAGAGTTTCAGACTTCATTCAACATTGGCATCTCCTTTTAGCAGAATACAAACCCTTTGGGAAATGAGATTCATACTAATAATATGACATAGTACTGCAGCAAATTAAAAATATTCTCCAATGTCACTGCTGAAATTCTAGAGTAGGCTGGGTTCTATGAGAAATAACTTAGGAGTAAAGAACAAAAATGTACCCACAAAGGTAGACAATTGGGGCAGTGCAACTGTGGGACTATAATCTAAAAGCAAGTGCCAAAGATGACAAATGCCATTGTTTATTACTGCCTAAGATCAGTGGAAGGAAAATTGGAAAAAAATCTCCAATTTTTTTTGACATGGTTTGTGCTGATCTAAGAACACACCAGTGGTTATTCACAATATTTTCCTTTAACAGAAGGAAAATTTTGAAATACAGCAAAACACAAAACCACATTTAGCACAAAGCCAAACCCTGAAGTATATAATCCGTTAGCTGCCTATTTTAGAGAATTCAAAGGAAGAAGCAAAGGGAATCCTAAAAACAAGAAGTTTTATAAAAAGATCTCACTGAAGATTATTTGTTTTACTATGGATGTTTGCTTAACAGTTTTCCATTTAGCTGAGACACTATTTTAAAAATGCAGTATGTATCTTGCACATTGGTTCCATTCACAAAGAGTTAACTTTTTTTCCCCCAGTTTGGGGTTTGGGGTGAGATACGAGAGGATTTAGGATTGTGATGTTTTTATACAATCACTGGTAACCTTAAAAGTTGAAATGACCTTTATGTAAATCTTGTATTTTCTGATTTTTACCAATTATAAATGGGTTAGCATAAGCCTTTAGAATAAGTTCAATACAATGGCACTCAACATGGCAAGTTCTCTGTTTAATAATGGTTAAAAGTTTTTACTTTATACTTTATGAGTATCTGCTCTGGGTGTAAACTACACAGGAAATTAAAGTTAAGTTAACATACAAATCATGTTTGCTACTTTCAAAGGGAGACATTTCAGTTGGTGAAACCTGATTTACTTCTGTAGAATATGAAATAGTGTCATGGGACACCCCTACTCAGTGAATACTTGCTCTGCTGTCTGGGAACAGTTAGCACACAAAATTCCAGTTGGCTTCTGGCTGTTTCCTACATGTGAATCATCTGGTCCTTGGTAGTCCAAAACTTAGCCTCAAGACTTAACTATTAACCCCCAGGCTAAACTGTTCTGGTAAATTTTAGAAATCTTAAGAAATTGCAAATTTGCTTTAGATTTCAACGTTTCAATACCCTTTTCTGGAGTGACCTGGATAGGGACTTTGAAATACTGCAACTGTAAAAGTGTGAGCTCTGCTCTTATCCCATGCCATTTCTACTGACTTCATTTCAGGAACCATTCTTTAAATGTGATTATCCCATAGCCTCAAGATTTATTAAGAAAGCCTAGAATGGATATACAGTTACACTGAGCCTGTTTCAAGGGTAGGATAAATTCTTACAAAACAAGATTACAAATTAGCACGTAAAGAGTGAATTTTTTTTCCAACCAAAATAATAATAGTAAAACTGGAGTTAGTATCAAAGTGTAGTTAGCTATGCCAAATAGAAAAGTAAACATTCTCCATGTCAGCCTTCAATATAACCTACCATGAGGTGAATATAAGTAAAGAAAGAAATTATATTTTTCCCAACACTTCTAGAGATGTGATATTTTGCTTCTTCCTTGAACTCTGAAACTAATTAGCCAAATTTATTGACTGATTAACAAAAAAAGAAGCTTTTATTCACTGTTGCATATGCTTCTAGCATGAAGCAAAACACATTGGAATGAGGAGAAGCTCTTTAGAGCAAACAGTGCAGACTTTTCCTTTGCAAACTACCTCGTGCTTCTGGAAAAGTTTATTCTTAAGGAGTCCTAATTTTAAAAAATCACTTCCTAGCAGTCTTATGAAATAAAAAGGAAGAAAAGAGGAGCTAAATAGGCAATTATGGAGTAGGTAGTAGCATTAATGGTAGACAACAGAATTACTGTCATCCTAAACAGAATGTGGGAAAAGAAATATGTATGGCTTAGGTCTAAGCCCACTATCTCATATCTGAAGAATTACGTTTAATGAGCTACCTGGTAGATAGCCTAGAAAACTTGTCCAAAGCAATTTCAAATATATGCCATGGTAGGCAAATGATCCCCAAAGTATAGGGCTGCTATACAAACCTACCTTGGTCAGTACAACATATAAAGCCTCTAAAAGGTTAGCAGTTTCTGAGTCAAACCCCAAAGGTTTGACATACCATGAGCAATGAAGATGAGCGATGAATGCATTAGTAAAACTGGTTACTTGCCTACTGATGTCCACACATGCGACTACTCATGATTTACTGCAACGGTTATCAAATATGTTGCTTTCGCATAATTCATTAGTGATTAATTGCCATGCCAGACACTTCGTTTAGTCTAACAGGGAGGATTCTAGTGGGCGGATTATAGTGGGACGAGTTGGTGATGGGGGTGGTCTCCGGCTAGAAAGAGAAAAAGAGAAAGGTAAAGAAACAAGTAGAATATCTAGCAGAACATTGTTCCAAGGACACTGAGAAAGAGCCATTACACACATGCTCATGCACATACAGGCCAGCAGAAGTGGTTATGATCTGTAATGATTTTAACATTGTCACCTTTCATTTATCTAGTAGTTTTAATGAAAATTACGTCTTTTTTCATATGCAAATCTTTCTCAAAACTGAAGTCATTCCTTCCAATACTAATAAGAAATATGAAACTATTTGAAAGCCATCTGAAACGTACTGCACATATCTTAGCCAATAGAATATAATAATTACATAGAATGAACTCAGGAACTAATAAGGTATACTGTTTCAGACAATGATGGCTTTTGAATTTTTATTTCTCACATATAATTTTCCTTTTTCTTTCAGGATATTATTATCACTTCTCATTGCCTTTTTGACTTTCTCCAATTTGTTCTATATTATGCTTGTAATTTACAGAGCACTAAAAATCAGAAAAGCAAGTCTTTAGAGTTCTCTGTAGCAAGTGTAAATAGGCTCAGTGTTGAGTGCCTGTTTAAATTGCAGGAGCTCTAGTTCCTATTTTGGGTCTTAAAGACTTTAGTATTGGTATTAGTAGTATTACTCACTTTCTAGTTGGTAATGATGTTTCTGGTAGCTGAGTTTACTAAGCAAACGTACTTTAGATAATGAAATATTACTGTATTTGAGAGTCTCAACATTACCAAGTAATATTATTTATTACTTATTTATTCCTCAAGCTTCTACATTTATTTCCTAAATATATTAATAAGTTTTTTTAGTGTATTTGTGTACTTGACTTCATATATGGTATCTTGGGTAGTCATTTTTTTACCCCCCCAAATTTGACAAAGTCTACAAATTGAAATGTTTCTTTTTGATAAAACTCTGCAACTGATTTTTTCAGAAAGACTCCTTCTGGAATTATAGTCATAAATTTTTCTTCTGTATTAGAAACTCTATATTGATCAAATTGAATGTCCTTTCTCAGGTATGAAGAAGTGAAGTTAGAAAAATTTAAGAAAACTATTATGAAAAATAGTTTTGAAAAATAGTTTTGAAAAAAATAGTTGTTGAAAAATCATGGAACTATAAAATTAAATTACACGATCAAGGAAAAATCAAAGCAGGAGAGATATTGTTGATTAATGGTGAAAATATTAACTATTTAGGCACAAACTCATAGATATTAGTAGAATTCCTTTTACCTCATGCACTTGAAAAATGTGTAAGAGGCTTCAAAGGAAATCTTTCTTTGGGGAGGTACAAAGCACTGGAATTACAGGTGTGAGCCATGGTACCCAGCCTTATTTTCATTTAAAATGGCCATATATGTTTAACTTATGTCCTGAATCTTGAATCTGCATAATTTTCTTCTTTGATAGGAAGTTTCTGAAGGGCGCAGGTCACACCCACTTAACTTGTTTCATACAGTGTTTAGCATGGTGTTACATGCAATTACATTCTCAATGTCATTTTGGTCATCTTCTGAGACTACTAACTAATCATTTAAGACTTACTTCAGTGAAGCCTTCCCTGACCTGCCTTCCCCTCTCCTGATACAGTTGTTTGTATAGCATCTCAACAAATCTCTATTATTAGTCATCACACTGAACTCTAATTAGGCTTATATGTTATCTTCACTGATGAGAAATGAGCTGTCTCTTAATCATCTTCATGTAACTGTGGTATCTAGCTCACTGCTTGTCATTCAGTCACTGAATGTTTGATAACTGAATGAATGAAAGTTCCTCCTAGAATCAAGAAATAACTAATGAATGCTTGTGATATTCATTGGTCTTATAAATACAAGGATATTTGTGAGTAAATCATGGCCATGGCAAAAAAAAAAAAGTAGCTAAAGTGACATGTAGGATTGAGATCCTTGGTGACTCTAAAGTATCTAACTGCTCAGTTCTTTAGTAGATATTTGGAATAAATACCAAATAATAAGCCCCCTGCCCTCAGGGAGTTTGTCAAATAATCATGTAACCTATGGAAATGTATTCTTAGCAATTAACCAGTTGGCTGGTGGGAGGAGAGAACTGGCCAGAATTTGAGCTTTAAGGAGGGAAATTCTACCAGAAGTTTTGATAATGGAATTAATTAGGTGATTTCATTAAATAAAAAGTTGATTTTAGACTACAAATTCAGTGAGAAGTAGGATACAGCATGGCATGATGGATTGGAAATCGTTTCATGAATATGTGATAGCTTGGATCAAGGCTTGTAGCCAAGAGAGAAAGGAATGAAACTGACTTCTCTTGATCCTTTTGTTCTTGGCTTAACTGTTATTCCTCAGTCCTTCTGGACCATCCCATAGTTTTCCTGACTTCCTCTGCCTTCCCCTATGACTTCATGTTTGTGTCTCTCGTAGCACGTAACCCTACTTGTGATTATGTATTTATTTACTAGATTATTACCAGTGTCCCCCAAATAGATTCAAAATTCCTTGAGAAAAGAAACCACATATTTTGCATTTATTATGTGTATTCAGCATTTGGTACAATGTGATTAGAAAGCAGTGGTTAAGTATTTGTTGAATAATGGACAAATGAAGAAATGACTGAAAAGTGCCTAAACAAGATATTTAGCCAGGCTAGAGTTTAGGCTAGATCAAGGTGAGTAGGTCTAGCGAGGCCAAGGATGCTACACTTTTAAGGCATTTATCAGAAGCTTATATTTGAGATACTATGTTTACATAGAAAGAGTCCTGGATCAGAAGTTAGAAAATGTGGATTCTAGCTCCAGTTGCCAAATTGTACAATCAGACTAGATGATCTATGTCAAGACTTCCAGTTATATATTGCATAGATTATTTATTGAGCATCTAATATGTGGACTGCTTCATGCTACATGACTTTAAAGAGCTCAGCATCTATTCAGAATGGAAGATGAGTGGAATAAAACAAATATGAAAGTAGCTTTATTATAGTACTTCATTTTAAGTGGAAAAGTGGGGCAAAATTTTGTAATTCGGAGTCTGAGAATACACTCTGGGAAGTCTGAAAATACAATAATGTGGTCAAAGTGATGGCAAACATGATTGTAACTGCTGCATATAAAACTTGGAAGTAGGAATGTAGGTCTATAATGAGTGAAATTGGAACTTAAATGATGGCGATTGAAGGGAAAAATTCAATGGTGTGGATAGAGAATAGAAAGACTTAAGTACTCTTATGGCACAGTAAATTCTCATTAATATCTGCTTTAATCCTTGGACCATGTGGCTGGGACAAGAGCACAATAGTAGCAGGCAATTGCAGAAAGAAGTCAAGACAGGAGATGAGGAGAACATATGGTTCTGCTATGTGCCAGGTCTATTGTTAGTCTTATTCACTACCATATCCCATAACTTAGCATGGCCTGTGGTTCATAGTATTGTATTTTTTTCCAAATAAATCAGTCAATCAGGATAACTTATTCATTATGAGCTCTTTAAGGATGTCCCTAGGGACATGCATTTAATAGGCACTGCATAGCTAGATGGTGAATTAATAATTAAAATAATAAAAGATAAAATGTTCATGTTCTCTCAAAGTAACTATGATATCTTGGAAATATGCCTAGTTGCAGTTAAAGGAACCCAAATATGTACTTAGTCATTAAAAATCCTAAAGAGCTCCTCACTAAACCTTGCAGAAGAAATAAACATTTTATTTATTTTTTCTAAAACAGTAACAACAAAAATCTGTATATACAACTGTACTAGAAAGCAATTTAGGGTGAATTTTCTTAATATGCAATGCTAAAGATGTTTGCTAACTTCAACACCAGAAAACATTTAAAGTTTACTGTTAAAGTTCATTTCATTGGTCCAGTTCCTAACCATTCAAAGAGTTTCCAAAGGCATTCACCTCACAAGACAGTTTGTTTTGGGGAAAGCAAAGTTATTGTTTTGTACCAAATTTTCCTCAGTTGCTTTGTTTAGTAATGAGCTTCGTTAAGTAAGGCATTATATTGAAATGGAGCATCTTGTATCACTTAGTGTTTATTGAAACACTGTGTTGTATGTGGGCGGTTTATGGTTACATAGAAGAGCCATGTTTCTTCTTTCAAATCAAAGGGGAAGAAGTAATACTTGAAGTTGTATTTGTAGCTGCAGGGATGGACTGTTTGCAGTATTGTGGACAATGACAAATTTTGTAAGAAAGTCAAATGCTCATGCAGGGTGGGTGGCATTGTGGGGGAGAAACTGGCTTTACCGATAAGAGAGAAGAATGCATCATTGTTTTCTTGCCTTATTTTATTGTCTTTTAAGAACAGAAGAACTAAAATTTCATCTGCTCTTCTTTGGATTAGCTGGTCCTGAGTGTTCATGATATGAGGCCCATTTTAACAGGAGTTAAGGGAGACCTCAATAAGGGCAAACTGCTTTGGTGTATCAGTTTGTGGGGTGGGTGTGAAAACCACCTTTCCTCTAGCTTCTTGCTTCCAGCTAGCATAATACTGATTTGTGAAATGGATTGGCCTTTCTGTCCCTGCCCTTATTTCTCCATAGGATGGGAAGTAGGAATTATCTGACTGGTAAATTTTTAAGCCAGAATGGGCCTATGTAGTTCAGTCTTCTTCCTTTCCTGTGCTTGCACTAAGGTCTCATGACTTTCAGTGCAGAATTTTTTCTATTGGGCAGTTAGATTGATATGCTCTTGGCAATGGTTCTCAAATTGGACCTTGCATCAGAGTTCCCTGGAAGCCTTGTTAAAACACAGGTTGCTGGGTGCCACCCAACATTTCTAATGTGGTGGGATATTTCTAATAAGTTCCCAGATGCTGCTGGTCCTGGGACTATGCTTTGAAACCACTGTTCAGTAAAAAAAAGATTTTTACTTTGCTTTATTAGCAATTCAATTTACTTGCCAGATAAAGTAAAAACAAAAAGAGAAAGTGCTGGAAATCTTAAGAAGGATGAAGAAATGCTTGTAGAAACACTTTGATACCTTTAGGAATTAGACTTAAGCATGGGTGAAAGCAGTTTTAGCCTTATGTTATAAAGACCAAGATACTGGACTACAGTGTTTGTTGTCGTTGTTGTTAGTCATTATCAGAAGAATAACTACTACTTGCTTAGGGAAGCTTGTATTTGCTTATGAAAATAAATAGGTAAGCATCTCTGTGCATTCCAAATTCTAATCTTTGGAGAGGGTAGGATTGAAGTCCAGCATAAGTAGTTAGGTGGACCCAAATTAAAAGAAAGCCTTCAAAAAGATATACAAAGACTGACATTTTTAGAGAAGATATCTGCTTAAAAGGGTAGTTATTTGCATAAAAAGGATATGCAGTAGCTTCTTTTACATTGCAAGATTTACTTGTAAATTATAATTGAAAGTTTAAAATATAACTGTCTCAAAATTTAGTTTACATACATCTAGGATCATGAGAGAGTTATACATCCCAGGTTTCCAAGGGCCACTAGAATCTGATATCAACTTGCCCACCCTTTTTAAACTTATTTATGATAAAAAATGAAGGGTTTTATCTACAAAAACCATTTTCTATGTTTTCAGGAATTGAAATGCTTTACTTCTCAATGACCCTCTTGAATCATTTAATGCTTGCATCATTTTTTTTGAAGTTTGAGGCGTGCATGCATATCTTATCATCTGAACAACATTCAAAACCTTCTATGAACCAAGATTACTCCTACGCCTCTTGCAGCTTTCCACAGCACCTGCTGAGGGCAGTGTCCCAAGCGGTAGATCAATGAGTGTGAATGGGCCCAAAGATAAATCGGGTTGGAGCACACTTCTAGGTAAAATGGAAGGCAGCTGTGATGCAGGACCCCTACTTCTTCTTGTGAATGTCTGCTCTAAGAGAACAAATTTTGGGACACTGTATTTTAAATTTCAGCGATGTATTTGCACTCTACTTCTTATTTTGGGCATTTATTTAAAGTCAGAAAAATGCTATAACAGTCATGATTTTGTCCACATGGAAGATAATATTTTATAATTTACTGTAAGAAATACTATAGGGTGCTATTCAGCATATTTTTGGAATTTTTGGCTGTAGCAACAGAATGAGCCAATACTATCCAAGAATAGTTTACAGTAGATGCTGGAAAGAACACAGAACTTGGAGCCCACTTAAAGGATTTAAGGAATTCTCTAATATGATTCTTGCAGTGTATTAGAGCCAGCATTTCTTTCCCCTGTGAAAATGAACCCATGATTTTATAATGTATGTCATTGGGAAAATATGAATCAATTCATGGAATTTGAAATCAGAACATAGGGAGAAAAATAGTTCACAATTTTTTGATGATACAAACAGGTAATATCCTGTATAAATTAGCCTGTGACATAAATGGTAATATAATCTGCTTTGTCACACTTTCTTTACATTGTCCTACATATCTGACTTGGATTTCACCCATAGGCATGGTGCCTAATATACCCACTTCTGTGGTTGTGGCAAAAAAGCAGCTTAAAGGATGATTTACCCACATTAACTCTCCTCAGTTTATGATCTGTAAAAAGAATTTTACAACATTCACTCAGGCAAGCTTTTCAATAGAATAGAACAAGAAAGTGTGTTTAAGTTGGTTTTTAAAATAAGTATCGGGCTAGTTTCAAAATAAATTTTGATTGAGGCTTGCAAGTCAATTCATTTTATATTCCTTCATCCCCTCAGTAAGCCCTACTTATGTACTAGGTACTGTGTTAAGAGGTAGAGATACAGAAATAAAGAGTCACTGCCCTGAAGAAGTTTCTTGTTGAGATGGAGAGAGACAAGTTAACTATGACCACAGTAGGATTATGCTAAAATTTTTGCTTCAGGAGTTTCAGAAACATCTGGAGTCCTAGCTTAGAGTTGGAAGGAGGCTAGGAGGTTGGAAGGACTTCCAGAAAGTACGGAAAGTTAAGGGGACTAGCATTCCAGGAATAGGAAAGGTATGTGCAAAGGAAAGAAAGCCAGAAAGTACTGAAGTTTGAGAAATCAAGGGTTGTCTTATTCTTTATCACAAATACCAAATGACTTGTTTTGTCCCAAGTCCTAATAAAGTCATGAAACAGGTAACATGAAGGATTTTTAGTTGTATTAAAATATGATTTCTAAAAAGCATTACTTTCCGAGATTAACTTTTAAGTATTTTGGCCTTTGTACTATATCATTGAGATTATAAACTTGGGGGAGGAAAGAGCTAAAAGAAACGCAGAGAAGCAGAAGGCAAGAGGGATACAGTGTGAGAAAGCATGCAGAGAAAGGAAGTGGTTTTACAGAGATTTACAAGTGATTTTTTTTCCTTTGCTCCTTCCTTTCCTCCTTTTCTCCTGTCCTGCCCCTTCCCTCCTTCCCTCCTTTCCTGCCCCTTCCCTCCTTCCCTCCTTTCTTCCTATCTCCCTTCTATCCCCCCTCCTTTCTCTCTTATTCCTAAAGAGACCTCCAGAAACTTATGTGCTGTAGAAACCTACTCCCACTGATGGTGAATGGGGTAAACCTTTTTCTGACCCTTCTCGTCACTCCCACTTCAGGCACCAGGAGAGGGAGAGGCCAACTGCCACCATTTAGGGGAAGGAGGAGGCAGAAAGGAGGTGCTGAGAACTAGCTACTGGGCGAGGCAAGTGTCCGCTTCTGAGAAGGAGGAGGAAATCAGGAGGAAGAAGGAAAAAGAAGAAAGGATAGGGAGGAAAAAGGCAACACTTCGAATCTCTGTATGACTGCACAATTCATTTCTGCTTTGGGAAGATAGAAAAGACTTTTTGTCCCTTTCTGAGAGGGAGCAAGAACCTTTCAAGCATGGGGATGTGACTTGGGGTAACTATGTAACTAGAAATACTCACAGAAAAATAACCTTTCCTTTTCCTTTTTTTTTTTTTAACAACAGCAAAAAAAAAGAGCATGAGGAATTTGAAGACTGAGAGATGAGTTGTGTAGCACCAACATTTTCTTTCTGCCTGACCTTCATACCTGATGAATTAAAAGGTCAGTTTTAAGTGCACCACATGATAGGCTTCTGTCACTTCTATTAGCCCAGGTGGTAAATATGAAGAAAAAGAATTACCATTTATTAATCGTCCCAGTTATTTTTTTTTAAATCCAGCAGGAGGAGCTCTAACATGCTTTAGAGCTCAAATTTTAAAAACAAAATTTTTTAAAGCAAACAGAGAAAAACAGAGAGGCATTGTGCTTTGCAGGCTGCCATGTCAGTGAACAAATATGTGACTAAGTCCAATTAAATGCTTCGTGAGAAGCCAAGGAAGCCAAGCAATGACACTCGTGGAGACAGAACGGCCCACATTTCCTCCCTTCCACGAGCCTCCTCTTTCTGATGCAGTTAAGATGGGACTGGTCTGCAGTATTAGCTCTTACAAAAGAGGGAGCAAAAGGATGATTTCTGGGCAAGACTAGATGTAATTCTTTTCCTCTGAACATGTCATATTGTTTCTAAATGAGTCTTTGACACTGGCTCAAGAATTTGAAACGCCTTGAAAAACAGAATTTTCATTGTTGGTTGAAGGCACTATGAAACTCCTAAAGGTTCAGTCGCTTCTACTCAGCGGCTTGTCAGACGCTTTTTTTAAATGAGAGAAATGCTGTGTTTGTAAAAATTGGTGCTAAAAGGGTAAAGAATAATATGTCCCCTGGGCCATGTAAAGAGTCTGCAGAAAGAATTAGGGCTTTCTAACATACACACATAAACTGGAACACAAAGAATTTACTCAGGAACAGTGAGGAGTATATGAATTTAACAGTTATGGGATTTTTAGGGTAAGCCTTTCCATTTTGGACAGTGTTGTAGGGGTGGAATGGATGAGTAGGCATATAAGATGATCAGAATTACTTAACATGAAGGAAATTTTCAACCAATCCGTTTTAATCTCTTGCCAACAAGAAGTCAAACTTTTGTTTTACACCTTAATGGTACACCCACATTTTAAATTTTTATACAAGCTCCTACAGAAACTTTAACTAGACCAATTCAGACCAAAAGTCACTAAATAAAGCTAGTCTAGACGGAAAATCTATGAAAACCATATGTCTTTTAGGCATCTGTCTTACAAAAACTACCATCATCCTGGAGAAATTGTTCACAAAATATGCTTTTAGGAAAACACTGCTGTACTGACCATGGAGGCTGTACGTAAGAAGATGGCTGGACTTGGAAAGAGTAAAGCCAAAATGTTTATAAATGAAAGGCTCTCATTTTCACATACATCTAACTGCCTGTAAACATTACTGAAAGGATGGGCCAAGCAGATATCATTTACCTTACCATTATTCTAGAAGAGATCAAAAAAGTTTACAGTTTTGTTCCTCCTCACTACTACAGAACATTAGACCAGGGGATCTCAAAGCAACTCTGTTCTCACCCACAGAGAACTATTTTGAATAATGTTGTACGTGGATGAGGCCAATAAACCAGAACATTTTCTTCTGATTATTACCTCATCCTGCTGGCCTGCCAAACACAGCTAGCAGGCAAGTGTTTGATATAAGTAACTAGAGGAAGACTGTTCTGTATAATTGGGCGTAGGGATCATCTGAGAAACAAGGGAAATCAGAAGGACTAGAGTGCAATGACAATGCAGTAAAGAGGAATATTCTCAAATCTTGCTTTTCCAATTCAACATTGCTTTCTGAGCTAAAGACAATGGTCAGTGCTACCTTCAGTATTCTAGGTACATAATGTTTCACCTTAAAATGCATTTTAATTTTAATAAGTGGTAAGCAATCCACAGAAAAGAAATATAAATGCAAACTTTGCAATAAAAATAACATTCTAACTGAAAACTGTGAATATCAATGGAGCCTATGAAAGTATTTATGAACTGCAAAGATAACTTGTAATCCTCTAGAATATTTTACTGAAACTTATTTTTCTGCAGGAAGGGAGACTTTGGAACAATTCAGTAGCAATAATTATTGGCATGAGTAACTCCATGCGTTTTTCAGTCACCTAGAAGATCGTGACTGAACAATATACATCAAATAGCCACATATGGCAAAAAGGTCCTAAGTTAGAAGAGGAAAATACCAGGAAAAAAAAAATGAAATCTATAAGATGTAATCAGTTATACACCAAAGTTTTAAGCAAACACCAGAAACACTATTTCAATGGGTTTATTCAAAGATATTGTGCTTTAAAATGAATTTTCAATGTAAGTATGAGTTTTCATGCATTAATTATTAAGATAGTGATGGAGTAATTTAGAGTGTTTGAAATATTAAAATGAATCAAGCAATTATATCAATATCCTTCATTAAAGATTCCCGAACTGAACTGTAGAACACTTAAGTAAGCTAATCACAGTCTACTGATGAGTCACAGGGGTTTTTCTGGTCCATTCATCTTAGTCCTAAGTGGTACTATTGTTAGAGCTAAAACTATAAGTCTGCTTTCATACAAATCATACGCAGAGCACAGATTTTATTTTGACTTTAGACCCAGGTATTTGGCGGGAAATTACTGCAGTGGTTTTTCTGTTTAACACATTTACTAATGTTTCCTTAATTTTTCCACCCCAAAGGGCAATAATTAAGGTGGAATTTGCCTCACATGAAGTTTTATTATTTTAGTTATTAAAATAGTTTCCAACACTACTGAGAAGCAAAAAGCAATTCTCGTTGTTTTAAGAAGTAAGTAGACATTTTCCTCAGTTCTTACAGCTTTTCCTCAGTGAATGGTATTATAGCGAGAGCAGTGGGGCAGACTTTCTGGTGTAGGCCCTTGAGCATGATACTACTTAAGGGTAGATTTACTTAAGGGAACAATTTCATTCACTCTTAAAATTGGCTTTGAGAATAATGCTAATATAAACTTAAAAAAATACACATGGTACAGAATGTATCTTACATAAATACCCATTCCTGAGTGGAATAATTTCATTGCAGACTCTCTGGACTGCGAAATGCCTTTAAAAGTCTTTCTCATCTCCTATTCTCATAAGAGGTCTCATTCTAGATGAGATATATACTAATCTTTTGAGATAAATGAAATACTGCAAATGAATGTTATATATTTAAATATACAGACGAACAGTAAATTTAGATAATGTTACCTCATGAAAATCTGAAACTAAATACTGGTAATATTTACATGATGGAAGCAAGTGGTATATTTGATTGTAAAATAAGACCATTCCCAAGTCATATTTAAAGCAGCATAATGCCTTCTCATGCTGTCTTATTTTCTCTTAGTTTCAAAATTACCATAGAAGCTGAGGGATTCTCCTGTGGTGGTGTATTTAGTTGTGGCTATCCAGACTTTTAGCTTATTCTCTCTCTTAGTTAGTCCATTAGCCCTTCTACCAAAGAAGCAGGGAAGGAATGGGGCTTATTTCTAAATTTCATATCAACTTGCACATTTAAGAAGAGTGCTTATACCTTTTCCTGTTTTCTAATGTTTAAATTAATTCCCAATAGGAGAAAAAGTTGATTTTATGAACATTTGGAATTTTACATGTCTCTAAGCAACTGAAGTTAGGAAGACCCTACCTTGCTATGGATTATGAGTGACTGCGAATTTTGCTACTTGCCATTTTGACTTAACATATTTTCAGGTCCTTGGGTAGAATTTATTCTTTCTATGATTCACATGAGCTGATAACTTCGACCAGAAAACAGGAGTGGGCATTTCCTAGTGCTTATGGGAATAGTTAAAAAATAATTCAAGAAATTAGAGTGTTTGCTATTTGTGGTTTTGCCTATTGCGTGGCTGTGATGCCTGAAAAGCAGTCACAGGGCAAAAAGTGCCATGAGGAGACGGCGCAAATACCTAGCGGCTTTAGACTTCTTGCCTTGTGTAGGAATTCTTTCTTGGTCAGAGTTGCCATGGGATCTAAACTTGATGTAAATACTTAATGTGGCATCAATGCACATGTAAATTCTATCATCAAATCTAGTGCCTTTCAACACTGCCCTCCCATCCCCCACATTTAAAATACTGGCCACACCAACAGTGTAACAGTCTTTTGGCGACAGCATTTGGTAAGCCAGATGGATTTAATTTGGCAACTTAAGGGTGTAAATATATGTTTAGATTCAGGGGTTCCCCCCGACAACACTTACAATACATTGGCAATGGTAAGCTAAAGGATTTCAATGTCGAGTGTTTTAAAATTCTCCCTTTGAGCAGCAATGAAGTTATGACAGGCAAGCAAAAGCCATCAAACTCTCAGCTAAATCCTCAATGTTTTTCTTACATTGCTGGAGGTAGGCATTTAAGGCATGTTTCTGAGTGAAAGATGAAGCATTTACATTTTCATTTTTAATTTCCTGGCTCTTATTGGCTAAAGCAACTCTAGTAAACGTTATTTAAATTTTGCTTCTAGGCCTGGTGTGGTGGCTCATGGCTGTAATCCCAGCACTCTGGGAGGCTGTGGTGGGTGGATCACCTGAGGTCAGGAGTTTGAGACCAACCTGGGCAACATGGTGAAACCCTATCTCTACTCAAAATACAAAAATTAGCTGGATGTGGTGGTGCACGCCTGTAATCCCAGCTACTCAGGAGGCTGAGGCAGGAGAATCGCTTGAAGCCAGGAGGCAGGGGTTGCAGTGAGCCGAGACCACGCCACTGCACTCCAGCCTGGGTGATAGAGACTCCGCCTCAAAAAAAAAAAAAAAAAAATTGCTTCTGATCTTTCACAGAAAGAAGGAAGAAGTTCCCCAGCAGTCCTTTCTTCTAATTTGTTGCTTGGATAAAATTTAGAGGTGAAAGAGCTATGAGCAATGTCATGCCATGAATCGTTGACGTCGTTAAAACAAGAAATAACAAGAACTGTCTGAATGTGAAGGTTTCCCTGTAAAAATCATTCTTTTCTTACAAGTGAGGGAAACAACGAAGTGCAGTGATGAAATAGAAGTACTAGCTTGTGTGTCATCTACAAATCTGTATCTGCTTACACTGGGCAAAACTTTTTTTTTTAAACCCCCCTTTCTTTGAGCTAACATTAACTTGTATATAGGAATATTCAGCAGATTCCAACTGGTGACAATTTGCTACTGACTGGTTGCAGGAAGAATAATAATCCTCTACTGTGCATTTTTCACTGGCCAGTGGCTTCTCTGCCAGACTCCTGTCTTGGCTGTTTTCCTCTATCAGTCAGGTGAAACTCAGGGCAGGGCTTGGTCCCCTGAAACTCAGGAAGGCTTTCCCTGCAATGGCTGAAGCTTCAACAATTTAGAGCCCCAAAGAGAACAATGACAGAGCTATTTGCTATTATTTGTCATGGGATGTGGAAGCAGTTGTGTTTGGTTAGCTTAATGCCAGTTACCACTGGGCTAACAGCAGCATATTGTTATATTTACTGCTGCTGTCTGCATTTATGTTACTTGTACTTTGCCTTATGTAGATCCTTTCTTATTTTCCTTTTCCTTTTACCCTCTTACAGCATAGGATGTTTGGAAGAGTGAGATAGGGGACACATTGAAAACAGAGAGGCAATCTGAAGGCTACCTTGACGCATCTGCAAAGCTCCCAGATTCTGACTTTCACAAGACTTGCTTTCTGTTTCTGGGCCTCGCCTAAACAGACTGCCAGTCATCCGAACCGTGGCAGGATGGAGATGTTTGTGTAAGGTAGACTCAAGTTTGCAAGACTCAAGAAGGAAACCACCAAACTAATTTTACTTTCACTTAAACCAGATTGAAACCAAGACTTGAAGAATTAAAAACTTTGACATTAACCATTGATTCACTCCAATGAAATAATTGTGTTATAGCCAGAATCATGGTGAAATTGGAACAAGGCTTTTGATGGGATTTTTAATTGAGGGACTTATATTAAATTGGATATTTTCTTTAATGAACAGCATGTGGCCAAAATTCTATTTTCATTAAAGTATATTAAGCATCATGACAACTCATATTAAACCTGCAACAAATGATTAATGACATTTAGAGACTTCAAATGTCATGAGACACCTTAAATATTAAGAATCAAAAAGAACACCTCAAAGTTGTTTCTATTCTTAGTAATTATGCTTAAAAAAACATCTTTCCTTGCTTTGAAAGCCAGTTGCTAAAAATAAAAACTGTTCCATGAAAAATCACAATGCCCAATGATAAATTTATGTATTTGTTTTTTAAAGGGGGAGGATGGTGAGAAAAATAGAAAGCTCCTGGCTGACATCAGAGGTCACAAGATGAGTTCCTCATTTGTCCAAATGACATTCAGCTGCTAAAAGAAGTCAGACTTTTAGAGGGCTGTTGAAAAGACAGTAAGTCAGGAGGTTTTCAGTACATGACTGCAGGGGAATCAGACACAGGCTAGTCACTTAAGTTGCTTAATTGTCCGTGTACCCTTAGCCCACGACTTCAGGGCTCAGCAGCTTCATCCTTCATGGCACCAAACCTTGACGTAAGGGATTCAAAGACACACTCATAAGAATCGTGAATTTGTCCTCATGCAAAATTTGGGGGACTGGCTACAAAACCGAAACAAGGAGATCGTATCCCTAAGTGAAAGGGACTTTATATTAATTGTCAGTTATAACAATATGTAAAATACATAAAAGAGATAGAGCACTGCAGGCCATCAAGGTCAAACATTTGAAACAGAATTAAACTAAATTATAAGGAGGATTAAATGGCTTTTGTCTTTGTAAAGAAAAGAATATGCATGCATTGATTGCCTATGTAGAAGGATTAATAAATCTTTTGGCATGGTCGATTTGTAATAAATTACTGAAAATGTGGGATTACAATGAAACTCTTAAAGTGTGCCACATAAGTCAAGGAAGCCACCTAAGTCATGGGATGGGCATGAGTGAGACACTCTGGAATAATCTTGATGCTACTCTGGGACTGCCCTTGCAGGGTGGGACATCAGCTTCACTAAGGGGCTCACCAGAGACTCCTTCAAGGGAGCATTTCTTGGTTTCCATATTGTGTTTATGTCATTTTGATGAGCTGGAGTAAAACCCAAATCCTTTCGAATGATTCAGTTTTGTCTTTTTAAAGAGAAACCATCATACTTGGTGAACAAGGGTGGTCAAAAAAAGTACTTGAATATTGAGTGATGAGGTTAAAAAAAAAAGTTTCTTCTTGCTTGGTTGGAGACCCTTCCTCCCACCCTTATCCCCTTTTGACTATTGCAAAATAGCTTAGTCCAAGGAAAGGGAAGAAGACAAATGAGTGAAATAATGCCAGAGTTCATTATTGCCAGGAAAAACACACTCGGATTCAGTGAATTTGTTCCGTTAATGTCAAAGACTGTGATTCCCAATTAACTAATTTTAAGAAGCTATATCTGAAAATAGTTACATCAGCTCTAAAGTTAATGTCTGATGAAGATCAGGATCTTCAATTAAGAGAATAGGAACCCTAAAGAGGTGGTGATGTCTGTTTAAGATCATCTTGTTAAGTAAATAAATACACACTGGATTGGATTTTCAAACAGCATTTAGCCCCTTCAGAGAAGTTGAGTGGAGGTGAGAGGGGAGGTGACAATCCAGATATTCTGGCAATAGAAAATGTTCCACAAATCACTGATTTGTGTATACTCAAGTTACCAATGACAGAAGCATACATACTAGTGAATCTCTTTGGGATAGAGATGCTTCTCTAGTTCAAGTGGAATTAATTAAAACAGGCATGTAGTTTGCAATATTTCCAGCTCCCTAACTGAAAGGCTCCATGCACATAAACCAGAACAGCTTGAGCAGCTGAGAAAAGCTGGGCCAAAAATGACTCCACCACCTCTCTCCTTCCTCTCCTTTTATATTGGAATGGAAAGATACAATAATATATATTTTTTAAAAGCAGAACACTCATGGTTTCTGTACAATTGCAAGTGTGCTTTGATTACCTTTGAATGGCGTTAACATAAAAGTATATATGCTCTTAAAAGTCAAGATCATAACTTGCTAATGAAGTCGTGAATTATCCAGAAGAAAACTATGCACAAGCCCATGCTGAATGGCAGAATCTCTTGTCTCTAAAAGTTCAGTTATTGCCTTTGTAATATTAAAGCCCAACAGGGAGCTGGCGGGACACCTTTTGTGCTGTCTTGTCATGTTATAGGTTTCTGGTTTCAGATACAAGAGGAGAAAGGACCCTTAAGAAAGTAAAAAACTTGAAAAAAAAAATCAAACTTCCTTCTCTGAAAACAAAGGGTTGTTTTCCCAGAGATGATGGATAATGGCATTTCAACTTTCTAAGTTTTTGATAGAGAAAATGGAGGCAAAGCACAGAGGGGAAATAGAATATATTAAACAAACAGAATAAGGTGAAGTTTCAACAAGCGCTTCTCTCAATTTCTTTCTTTCTCTCGTTCTCTCTTCCTTTCTTTTTTTGAAATCTTAAACCCCATTTCTGGCTTGTATTTGGTAGGATTCCTGCTCTGGCTTTTATTAAAAACAGACTTTATGTGGTCAGAACTCTCCATCTAAAGCTGGATTTAACAGGCATGGGGATCCTGACAGAGTCTTTCTTGCCCTCTCTCAGGTGACCACCCCTCCCCCAGCCCCCTTCCCCGGGATTTCCCTCCCAAAGCGCTGAACCAGCACAGAAACTTGAAGGCTCAGCACAAAACAACAAACTTTCCTCTTTTACCCTGTACTTTCATTTCTGTTTTAAATTTGGGACTCTTTGCATGGCCAGATCAAGTAAAGTCTGGTTCTAACTTGAGAGTATTCTAGAAATTTCAAATAAGGCAACTGTCATCCTATAAATTCCCTAATGTAGTCTCATTAAGCCCTGCTGCCCATGTGCCGGCCATCCAGCTCGGGCTACTCATTCTCATCCGGCTGCCTTGTTCGTGCGAGCTGGAAAATACTAACGGCAACTCCACCCTGCTTAACAAGTCAGCTTAGCATTCAAAAGTTGATTTTTCTGAAGGGTACTGGCAAGCTAGCTCATCTGAAACCCACAGGTAAAGCAGTCAAGCAAGCAGGCAGAACATGCATGTTCATTCCCCAGGACAGGCACCACCAGTTTGCTCTGGTTTTTTCTCACAGCTAGACAGACAAAAGTAGCTCCTGCATGGCACTCCAGCCTTCCCACTCTCAACTCTTCCTCTTCCAATGGCCTCAATACCTTCCTGGTACAATGGCAGACACTTTCCTAGTCAATTTGAGGTTTTCTAAAATAATAAATTGGATCTTGCTTGTAGCAAGGCTCAATGCGGAAATTCATGGTTTTACATGGAAGGGAATTCTTTTGAATACTACAGTGCAGTGGTTCTCACGTGGAGAGGAATTTTACTCCCCTAAGGGACATTGGGAGTGTCTACAGATATTTTTAGTGGTCACAACTGGGGACTGCAACTGAAATCTAGAGGGTAGAGGGGAGGGATGCTGCTAAACATCTTACAATACACAGGACAGCCCTCCACAACAAAAACGTCAGTACTGATGAGGCTGAAAAACCCTGGGGTCATGGTCAGGAAATGGCTTTGGAAGCAGACTGCATGGGATTAAAGTCCAGCTCCACTAGGGACTGGCTGAGCAGCCTTGGGCAAGCTGTTTAACCTCACTGCCTCATCTGTAAAATGTGGATAACAACCTATTTGTTGTGAGCTTTAAACAAAAATGTATATACAAAGTTCTTAGGGCAATGCCTAGTAATATTGAGGGCACAATAAATGTTGGCTATTGCTAGTACTGCTATTACTAGAAATTTAGCACCATTCCAAATAATTTATAAGCCAAGTCTATTGAATTTAGAGAAAAAAAATTGGATTGAGAGTGTGTATATATCCTCTTTGCTTAGGACCAAAATGATAACAGTGGTAACAACTGTAGTCTTTACAGTGTATCAAACTCTTTCAAATACCTCATGTCATATGATCTGGGGAACAACCTTATTGAGTTCTCCCTGTTTCATAGATAAAGAACTCCCGTCTCAGAGTTAAATGAGTTGCCCAAGACCTTCAGTAACCCAGGTCTTCTGACTGCAAATCTCCTGCCTATTCTTGCTGTACCACCCTCTGTGTACTAGCTTAAGATCCCCCTTCTTCTCTTCTCTTCATTACGCTTAACAACTTGAAGATTAAAATAAAACGTAAGTGCCATAATCAGTTGGCAAGGTGGCTCAGGCTTCAGGGATGGGTAGAAGTCACATCTGTTTTTATGGTTCATATACAGTCAGATATTCCTTCATGGAGTATATAAATATTTTAATTCTCTGAATTGAATTTTTTAAAAATTAACTTTATATATGGGCTAATTTTCTTTCCTCTTTATATTTCTGATTTTGAGGGGGAAAAAAACCTTAGTACTTTATACCTTAAAAATCTCTGATTCTATTCATTGTGTATATTTTGACTGTAAGTATATGAAGGTGAGACTACAGCTCCAACTATGTGTGTTTCTAGGTCCATTATTTATTAGCTATATTGTTTCACAATTAAGCCTGAAAATCCACTTATAATTGTCAACACGTATTATTCAGATGTACAATGATCTATCTTATATATGATTAGTGACTGTATACAACAATCATGCCTATATTAAAATTTCTATGTGTAGTTTTTAAAAAAACAATTGCAGATCAATCAGCCAGATTTATTCAGCCTATATGAAAATTGGTAAAATTGAGTATAAGGATCACAGTTCAGAAGGCAGATGGATAAAATTCTCTAAGTCAGTGGTTTTCAAGAATTCTTTTGATAATGGAGAAGGCAAGACTTTAGTCCATGGAACTCTCATGACCTATAGAACACACAGCTTGCTACAATCCTCCATAGCTCTTTTGTTTCAAAGCCCTCAAATTCTCCCAATAGCTGCCAAAATGTCATTCATTGGGACGGAGTGTTCTTTAGTCCTATTTAGTCTGTGCCAATTGATAAATGAGAAATTTCAATGATCACAAGTGATTTTTAAATGGCATAACAGGGTTGGCAATTTTCCTATAGTCTCTGTTCATTGTGAAAACTGCAAACACGTACGATAAGATCTTTGCAATTTTCTCTTTCAAATAAATTTTGTCTGTCATTCTATGAGAAGAGAACCAAGGCGCACTACCCCCCCAATTTCTGCTCCATGCCTTACCTTGGGACACTGGGCGGGGCCCTCGTAGGCCTAGATGGAACTTGTGGAGGGGCTCCGAAGGAGTCACTGCTGCTGGGGAAAGGAGGTAATGGGCCTGGACGGAATGGGACTGGAGGAGCCCCAGAGTGGGGGCCAGGAGAGGGAATGGCAGGAGCTGGTCCTCGGCCGGATGTGGGCCTTGCGAGGGGAGCACTTAGTGTTGGCCTCCTTTGGGTTGTGGGGCTTGGAGGAGGTGACCTGAGGAAAAAGAGAAATCATAGTTTGCTCACTCCTCCTTTCTGTCTGAATTAATCTCTAAAAATGTTTTGTAACTTCCTGCTTTTTAAAAATTATTTTTTGACTGAATAAGTCCAATTCATGTCATGAAAGTCAAAGGGATAAAAGGGTAAATGGAGAAAAGTAAGTTTTCCTCTCCCTACCCCTTCACTCTGTTGAAACAACTATAGAAGTTTCTTGTGCATCCTTTTTAACTGTATTCTACATTTGTATAAGTATATATTTTCTCTCTCTATATATAAATTGCTTTTCTGTATACCATAGAACACAGTCTTCTACAACCTCCTTTTTTTTTTCTTTGAGGCGGAGTCTCGCTCTGTCACCCAGGCTGGAGTGCAGTGGCGTGATCTCGGCTCACTGCAACCTCTGACTCCTGAATTCAAGCGATTCTCCTGCCTCAGCCTCCCGAGTAGCTGGGATCACAGGTGTGCGCCACCACCCCCAGCTAATTTTTGTATTTTTAGTAGGGACAGGGTTTCACTATGTTGGCCAGCCTGGTCTCAAACTCCTGACCTTAGGTGATCCGCTTGCCTCGGCCTCCCAAAGTGCTGGGAATACAGGCGTGAGCCACCGCGCCTGGCATACAACCTCCCTTTTTTTTAAAGCTTCCCGTTAACTGGATTATCTTTTCATTTTAGGACTTAATAGAACTGTCTTGTTCTTTTTAGTGACTATATAACATTCCATTGTGAGGATGCACTGTGCTGCATTTTTAAGGGAGTTAGTATAATCTGATCCTTACTCCTGAATGTAAATATCTTTTCCCCTTTTTCTGTAGGTCCATCTTGGTTTAGGAAAGCACTCTCAGAAAATGATATTGGACAAGCGTGGCAGGGCTCAGGGGTTGTGGGTGGGTCCATCTTCTTTTTTTTTTTTGAGACGGAGTCTTGCTCTGTCACCCAGGCTGGAGTGCAGTGCACGATCTCGGCTCACTGCAAGCTCTGCCTCCCGGGTTCACACCATTCTCCTGCCTCAGCCTCCCGAGTAGCTGGGACTACAGGCACCCGCCACCACGCCCGGCTAATTTTTTTTATGTTTTTAGTAGAGACAGGGTTTCACTATGTTCGCCAGGATGGTCTCGATCTCCTGACCTCGTGATCCGCCCGCCTCGGCCTCTCAAAGTGCTGGGATTACAGGAGCGAGCCACCGCACCCGGCCGGGGCCATCTTCTTACCTGCGAGAGTGCTGTATCCAGGAGTCATCCACTGGAGGGGGTGCCGGAGTGGACACGGTGGCTGTGCTGATGTCCCCAATTATCCCAAGGGCTTCTTTCAGTGCTTGATACATTCGAAGCATCTCATCCCGGCGCTGAGCCTGCTCAGCAGATTCCTCCATCAGGGTATTTTGGTCCTCTGAAGAATACAACTGTGCTAGGAGCTCGGAATTTATGAAATCTTTAACCTGTCAGATCACCACAGAGAAATAAAAATGGGAATAAATGAGTGACTGAGTGGAGGTAGAAACATGGCTGTGGCAGTCAGAGTCTGGACAAAGTCCACCAAAGTCCACCAAAGTCCACCCTGGGAAAAGTGAAGCACCAAGCGTCTGTTTACTTTTGTTTTGTCTCTATCCCCAGTACTGGTGACAGTAACAGTTTCCCTCTGTCTTTTGGCTGTCCACACTGAAGGATGATAGAGATGAGTAGAAGAAGGCCAAACCCAGCCATCACCAGAACAGGGCCTGCTGGCTTTGTGAGCATTTCACAATATTGTCTGGAGCTGTTTGGCTTATAGAAGAGGGAAGGTACTATGAGGTAAGAAGCAGTATTTTCAACAGAAAACAGTGATGTGAAGAAACCTATGTAATCACACGTTTTCCATTCCTTGGCATTCGCAGTCCTTTCCCTAGCTTTTACCAAAATCACTGGAAAATTATTGAGATGCCAAGTTTCAGTGTCGTCTCAAAAGTGAAATTAGCACCAGTAAGTGAATATTTATTAAATACAGAATCTTATATAACTATGCAGGTTGATTTATAAACAAGTGAAAGAGATGCACTCTGTTTTCCAGAAGTTTACAATAGAAGTTAGTTAACAGTGATGGGGACTGACATGAGGTTGCATAGTTAGCTAATATATAAAAACAAACTAAAGTATGAACACTATGTGGGAGTCTCAGGGGGAGGGGCATTTTGTTGCAGGATGAAAATGGAGAGGATGAATATGGTGCACAACACTGAGAGTGGGAACGCCAGCTACTGTATCTCATCAACTCTAAGACACCAGTGATTTTAAGAAACACTACTATCATATGTGCTGACTATTCAGACAAAAAAAAAATACCATCAATCAAACTTTGACAGGATGTCAAGATGCCATTGAGTATAAGATGCATCTTCATTTCAGAAATATTAAATAAAAAGAAGTGAATGTGAGAATCGATGAAGTATGGTATATACCAAGTGGCTTCATAAGTTATATGACAATTCTTATCACACACTGAAGAAACATGTATTAGTATTCCAGTTTTATAGATACAGAAACAAGTTCCAAGAATTTAAGTATCTTGTGCTAGGTCACACAGCATTCAGTTGAATCCATAACCTTCTGACTTGAAGTCCGGTGCCCATTCCCTTACCCCATTATCTCACTGTGATTGAGTGCTTAAAAAAGTAAATTTTTGTTTAAGTATCATTATTTTACAGTAGTGCAGCAATTAACTTAAGCCTAGTAAAAATAAGCCGTTTGAATTTTTCAGTTTCTCTGTTACATGAGAAAGCTAACTCTTATCTAGACTCATGAATATCTTTAAGAAAGGCCAAACGCAAGTATATATTTAATTGTTAAAAAATCAGGCAGATAACAGAACAGCTGTCAGATGCTCCAAATTTCTAGGATATGGTTAAATTTGTAATTCAGAGATGACAAGAACCTAAAACACATAGCTTCATTATGTTTTAAAGGCATCAAAACATGTAAATAATTCTACTAATCAAAAAATTCAGCTAAATCAAAGGTTTATTGTGGTGAAATAAAGTGTTTTCTGTACATATTTTGTAAACCAAGAGTGATTCAAAGGTGAAAGTAATCTAATACACAAGATGTATTTAGGAAACCCTCTGTGGAGTAGAGGTTTATGCACGATAGTTGTGGAAGGTAAGTTTGGCCAGGAATCCTGAGGCAGATGCGAAGGCCTTGAATGCCAAGGAAAAGTGTTTGAACTTTATTTGCTTGGCAATGAGGGGCCAGCGAAAGCGTTTAAGCAAGTAAGTGAAACAATAAAAGAGAGTTTTAGGAAAATTAATCTGGCTAACATTGAAAAAGACTTTGCAAGGGTGGTAGTGAAAATAAAGAAATCTGTTAGAAGGCTATTGTAGATCGTTCATAAGATGGTAAATGTTTCATTTAATAACGCAGTAGTATAAAAAATGGATACATACAATGACATTATAAGGGAATAATGAACTGAACTTGGTGCTGTTGGGATGTGAAGGGCAAGGAAGAAAGGAACAACCAAAGACATCTCAAGCATTGACATTTGGATGAGTAGGAGAATAGAAACTCAAACATCAGAAAAGAAAGTCAGATTTAGAGGGAAGGCAGCAAATTTGGCTTTAGGAATATTTCATTCCCTTCCTTACAGACGCATTCACTTCTAAATGTACTTGCAGGTATGCAGGGAATCATGGATATTTGCACAAATCTCCCACTGTTGGGTATGTATATGCAGTTGGATGCATGGTGCAATTCAAAACTCAAAACCAGACAATTTTCCTGGCATTGACCATTGGTTGGGTTAAGCTCTTTAGAAACTTTACATATTACTGGAATATCACTTAGAATCTATTAAATACAATTTAAAAGAAGATTCTTCCAAGAATAGATTTAAAGCAGAGCTGAATTAAGAATCAACTGTCAAACCATGAAGCAAAATAAGGGCCTGTTTCAGCATTCTGACCAAAGATGTGCCTTGAATCTTCCACAGCAATTATGACACACTGGAACTTGCCTACTGTGCAATACAGTGGATTCAGAGCATAGGCTGTGGATTTAAGTTCTAGTTCTAACACTTACTGTTCTTGGGCAAATAATGTAAACTGTTTGAGTCTCAGGTTCCTCATCTGTGAAATGAGGGTAGAGCTACCTCAAGTATTGTGAGGATTAAAGGAAGGAATGAATACAAGTTGTCTAGCATGATGCCCAGCACACAGTTAGTGCCCCTTCCAAAAAATGCTGTGATTTTTACTGTCTATAGGCTACATTGGCATTAGGTACATCGAGACAGGAGAACAATAGACAGCTGTTGCAACAGTACAGGTATCAAGCGACATAGTTAAATAGGGCATAGAGGTTAACATTTTTTATTTTGCATTTAAGCAAAATTTTAGAGATACTCTTCTCTCCTTCTGCTAACCTAGCTTTGTGACACTAAAATTGGAGTTTGGAATGAAGGTAGGGGGACTTCCGGGAGTTTCCAGACACTTCAGGGACTTTCTGGGAAGTCTGTATGCCAGTGGTATACAGACATTTAAATCTGGTACAAATATTTAAATCAAGAATTCTGCATGACAATCAGGGGTCAAGTGAATCCCTTTTAGATGATAGCATTTAGAAAATACTTCACCTAACATAACAAAGTGATTATACTTAAATTTGAGATCTGAAATAATATTTATGTTTTTAATTATAACACCTTATAACCTATACATCTCTGTATGGTTTGTAAAAGTTCTCACACATGAAACCTCATTCCAGCTCAAACTCTCTAGGCTAGATAAACAGGCATTACTGCACCATGTCGCTCTGCTCAGTGTAAAGGAATGTGAGGTCATTAAAAATGTTCCACATGTTTTCCTCTCTTACTTTAACCCTTCTCTAGCAACCCGTAATATGTTTGGATCTTAAACCTTCTTTTCTATGACTGAGACCATTTTAAACCCTTCACAAATAGAAGAGACATTTCTAGGGTTTTCCTACAGTTTCCTACAGTTCAGTTACCAAGGAGACCATTTCCTTAAAATCTCTTTGTTTCTAGAATTGGAGGGTCACAGTACGGAACACGGTGATGCCTCTCATTCACACAATACATGTATTAAAATTCAATTGAGAAGTTTAATTTTGTTTAGTTTTGGGGAGGGGGCTTGGTTAGAATTTTGTGATCTTTGAGATCTCACAATTCTCTCACATCTGCTTAGTCCTCCTTTCCTTTTCCCAGGGATTTAATTCTGCTAAAGACCAAGGAAGTTTTCCTGCTTTAAAAAGTAACATCCTTTGACTCACAAATGTAATGTTAAGGAAAAGAAGTTAGACACAAAAGGCGTATAGTATATGATTCCCAAGTGCAAAAACAGGCAAAACTAATCTACAATTTAAGAAAGCAGAAGAGTGTTAGCCTTGGCGGGGAGCAATGATGGGAGGTGGGGGCAGGGGAGAAGAGAGTGGGACTTAGGGAGTCCTAGTCGTGATCTTTTTCTTGAGCAGTGTGCTGAATTCCTGGCTGGTGGAAACAAATCAGTGCTTTAAATGCCAGGATAAAGCTCTGGTATTTAAGATGTACTTTCCCCTAAAATAATGAACATTTAAAATAACACTTTACTTCATACGCATTAAAGTTACAGTAAGTTTTGAAACTAGGGCACATGTTACTAATTTTCCACCAAAATGCCAATGGCCAAGGAGAGTAAATGTGGACCTCCAGAGGGGTCCAGGGGCGCAGGCTACAGCACACACTCCAGTGTGAAATGGCTCTATGTTTCAAATTTGGTTTTTTTAAAAATTCCTAAGAACGTTTACATTCTCTTTTGTATTATCTGGGTTTGCTTAAATATGAGAAAGATTTCAAACATTGCTTCTCACCTTCAAACAAATCCTAATTAAATCTTCAAGTAAAATTAACTGTCTGGGAAAATAACTCATGAATACCCTGTGGGGGTAGGAGTCCTCTAGTTGGAGAGGGCTGACTTAGAGTTTCCTAACCCTGTCACGTGCATTATCCAATGTTCAAATGGTGAGAACATCAGACTATGAGTGAGAAGACTTGGATTTCAGTCTTAACTCTGCCACCCCCAGCTGTGTGATCTTGGGCAAGTCAATGTCTCAGAACCTCAATTTCTTCATTTATAAGCTGTGGAAAATAATGGGTATCCAACATGTGGTTGGCTGACAGGTTCAAACAGAATTATGTGCCACTTTGCCACACCGAACACATTTTTAGAATAAAGCTGGATCCACTTCATTCTTTGATGGAGAACTTCTGGTGGGGTGAGCTACAGAGAAGAGGCCATCCAAATGGGCTTACCATGGGGTGTTATGTGTGTGTTAGCTTTAAAGTCCTGAGCAAAACTCTGCTGCTTTGACTGTAGCCTGTCCAGAAAGACCGTCTGTCATAAACTTGCTATTTCTTTGTGCTGCTGTTACCTGGTATGTTTAAGTAATGAAACAGCTGCTGCATTTCAATAGACAAAGGCTTACAGTATGTCTGAGGCAAGGCATTTATTGCTAGGCTTTAAACTTCTTAAACAATTCCATATGGAGATTTGAGTGGCAGAACACTTAATGTAAACTTTCAAAGGAAACTGCCCACCAAATTCTGAACTTTATGAATGTTGGCTGAAACATATTCTTTTTCAGAAGGCCGAAACATATTCTTTTTCATTCCCATTTCAAAGAGGAAAGGCCAGAACACCGCTTTTGATAGACCAGGAAGAAATAGAGGACCGTGTTTTAGGCATTTATTGATTCTGGAGGAACAATTAGCTTTTTGATCCAAACTCATTTAAAGATGCAGCAGGGTTAAGTGAATAGAATTTAGAATTAGGAGTCAAAAGACTAGTTTTCTCGTTGTGATTTTATTATTAGTTCTTTCATTTGAAGATCTCTTCACTTTGAATCAAGTTAAAAAATCAATACATCTAGATGGCACAGTGCTGGGTGTTCACTGTTTCAGTTTCCTTGGACTCAACAGGTCACGTGTGGAATGAACAAAATAGGCTTGGGCATTCTGTACAATAAGATGCCACGACAATATGACTACATTAATAAAAGAGATATATATTTTTCATATATAGAATTATACATATATAATTTTAAAATATATGTATTATATATAAAACTATACCTTTTTATATATGTTTAAAAAGCACATAAAATAATACCCAAGAAAAGCAGTCATTCTAGATATGTAAAACTAACTTCTGGTAGATACAAAAAGTTAAATTTCAAACAAAGCCACAATTTCATAAGAATTCAGCACTACATGATACTTTCGCCTTCTCCACATTCCTATTAGTTTTTACTTCAAGATTTGACCTTGGTGATCAGATCTTAATTGAAGTCTCCTTTCTCACGACTCTTATGTGAGGTCTCTCTCAAGACAACTATCAGAACTTTACCTCCGAGGATAATATCCTGTAGGTGGAGGTTTAGCCATTTCATTAAAACAAGAAAACACACCAGTGAAGAGTGAGGGAAACTACCCCTGCATTTCTTTCTTTCTTTCTTTCAGTGTGTGTGTGTGTGTGTGTGCGCATATGTGTGTGCATGTGTGTATGTTTTTCTTGAGAAGGTGAAAGTAGGATAGATTTGCAATAGGGGTTTTTTGTTTTTTTTTTTTTTCCTTTTAGCTAATTTGTGTCAAGCTACTCCTCACAGCTATAGGCAGGAAGTGCTATTTCCTGTGCTGATGATTTAATATAGTGCAGAGCAAAGCAGCGTTTGAACTGATGGCAGCACTAATGACTCTCGGTGAAACAGTGAAAAGATAAATGATCCTTAATCAGGAAAATGTTTAAATAAGCAAGTGCCTGGATATACCACAGCAAAACAACCTGAATTCATTTAAGTAAATGAAGAAGGTAATTTTAAAAATACACAGACTATTTGTTTAGTACTTTATATTTTTCTAAATGGCTTATAGCCACTTTTATTATAATCTCTGATGGCTCTGTGAGGTACCTCACTGTAGTTTTAGAAGAAACTGACTTCAACTCAAAGGGGCGAAATGATTTGCTTTAGGTTACACAGAAAGCCATTGGTCAAAAGAATACAATTCATAGTTCCCACATTTCTAATTTATTGCTTACCTGTTGCTGATTCTTCAAAGCATCCAGCTAACCTTGTTTGAATACATACGTGTATGAAAATAGTGTTAGTTAAAAATAAGATTGTTCACATGAGTGCTTGGGGTTGCTTACAGTCAAGGAATGCAGAGATCATGGACAATGAACGGACTGTCGTATTTAGAAATAAAATTTTGAAATTAACCATGAAATATGAACAAGGGCTATTTACAGTTCTTAAATAGGCAGCCATATTAATTTCTTACAATTATATTTTTCACAGTACTTTCATTTGTACCATCTTCTGGAACAAATCCCTAAGTCAGATACACTTACTACAATTAGTATTTTACATATGGAGGAAACAGACACATGAAAGAGACTCACCTTAGGTCAACAGAGTCTGTAGCAGAACCAGATTTAGAACCCAGATTTCTCCTAAATTCTACTTTGGGGCTCTTTTTAGTACTTTGCCATCTAATTTTAATTTCTTACAAGTAATGCTCATAATTTATCATTGGATTAAATAAAAAGATGTCCTTAGAAGATAACTAGGAATAAAATTATTGGTGTCTCACTTGTCAAGATTCAGAAAAGCCCCCTATAAAACACCTCATTATAACCTATCTTATCTAAAAGACTATTTCTCAAATAACTTGTGGTATTATTTGTACTGTAAAAAGTTAACTACCAAAAGAACTAAATCAAACATAATTTAAGTATCATACTCTGACTACTATAAATAACCTTGAAAAGGTTATTTAGACCCATTGATGGCTAGTCAAGCAGGATTTTCAGATTTGAGGTTATAGCATCCTTACCTTAGAAAAATAAAATTCACTGAGTTTTTAATCCGAGGGAATAAAGCAAGAAGCCCTTTCCCAGGTTAAAATAGCATTCCATAGATTTTAGAAGCTGAAAATAATCATATTAACATATTTTATATATGTGTGTGCACATGCATGCACACGCATGGGCATAGGAACAAATATATCCTTTGCCTTTAGTCTCAAAGTCTAGGAGCCAGGGCATCTGGTTTCTTTGCTGGTTTTGCAATTAATTTACATGATGCCCAGGATTATGGTGTTTTTGTTTTGCTTTATTGTGAGCAAACTCACACTCTTCTAGAAGACAGCCAATGGGGAATACCTCAGTCCTATAGCTAGAAGTTTTAAGTTTTCTTCCCTAAGTTCTCTTTCACTGGTCAGTCACATATCACGTCTAATGGAAAATGATGAACCTGGGTAATATTATTTGAACTATCCAGAAAATACACAAAGAAGCTGAAGATAATATGTGCAACTTCCACACTCGGATGGGTTAGAAGTTAAATGGAGGTAGTTTATAATCACTTACGTTATTGATCATAAGGTGCATTATTGTTTTTGGAATTAGATCTCGGATACATTTGTTGATAATGGACATGTAGGAGTCTACGAGGTTGCGAATGGTCTCCACTTGCCTCTCCAATTGTGGGTCCATGGAAAAGTTTTCTGCTTGTCCATTCTCATCATTTTCAGCCTAAAAGAAGAGAAAACAAACCATGGATTATCTCATATTCACTCAGAAGAAAATAAAATGTCAGTCGTTATCAGATTATCAACTTCTGATTAGCATAGTTGGAGTTTATATCAGTAGATGGTAACATTTTTATCTTATGCATCCACTGGTTCTGAAAGGAGATGGGGGAACCTGCCGTTATTACTCAATTTTTAGCCTGCCACATTCTAGGGAAAGCAAGTAAGTATTCTAATTCTGAATGAAGGTTGAGATGAATAACCAAATAAACAGTGTACCTAACAACATACCTCCAGAGAACAATCTAATCTTAAGCCATTTGCAAGCTGGCCAAAGAATTGAATCCAAACATATGATGCAAATGTAAACCTCTGAGAGGAGTCTCCAGGGAAGCTATAGATTAGAAATAACCTTGGTATTGTTCTGGCACTTCTAGGTCTGCTCTGGGATGGATCAGCATTTGGATCCTCCCACATTCAAAGCTAAATTTTGTAGGGCTGCCTGAAGCCAAAATAAGAGATATAGAAGATAATTTATTCTTCCATGCACTTGCTGGAATTTGTTACGTAAATTCATGCTTCTGTCATCACTACTAAAGACTGGCTCCATTGTGAAAAACTTACAATTATTACTTCCAACTTGTTATTCTTTGAATAAAACAGAACACATCTATACACAAAGAATTTATTTGTGCAACATGAGAAAAGCATCTGTTTCCTATACTATGAGACTTGAGTTAATTAATGTTGGCTTATCCACCAGAGGCTGAGCTGGAATGGCTTCTTCATCATTAAGGGCTGACCTATTGGCTTGGCATTGAAATCAATTTAGAACAAATGGTCTCCATTTCAAGTCAGCTTGAACCATCTAAGCCCCAGAACATGACACAGGTATTATTGTTAGTGGTCTGGCTACTTTCTAGCATTTGGAAAGATTTAATTATGAATGTAAAATGGGGAAATAATTTATTGCTTCCATGTAGACACGAAGTGCTTTTCTTTGGAAATGTACATACTTTGATTTTCAATCATCCAATCAGTTCTAGGCATAGCACTGTGCTAAATAGCTTTACTGGATATTAAATGATAAGCCTTTCCTTTGAATCAATATGCTTGTGTGAAAAGCATATTGATGGGCCACAAAATCAACAATATTGATAGAATTGGTTCTAATCATTTATATAGGCTTCTGTCACTCAGAAATGTCTATTGTTCTAAAAAACACATTAAAATAATGCATGCTCAACTCATTTCCCAGTCCTGAGAGCATGACCTCATGATTTGGGACTACAGTATGAGGACATTTCTGAGGCTCCAGTGCATTTAGGGCCTCCAGGAAAGCCTACTTGTAAGAGAAAGCACAGACCAGAGAAATTCCAAGTTGAGGAGTTAGGAGCTACTACAACTTGATGATAATGAGGATGATAAAGTGATTATGAAATATATATATATATATATATATATATATGATATATATCAATGAGAGCAGATGATGACCTACAGCTTTCTGAAGAAAACATCTTCTATATAAAGAAATATAAGCCTCCATTAGGAATACAACACAATTCCATTTGTCTCTCTGATCTAAAACATTCTTGGATTTTAGATTTTGCCGTTGTGTTTAGCAGTACCAGGTAATGGCATTTCAGCATAAACCTACTACCACTTCCCAGGAACATTTATTGAGCAAATATTGTATTCCAGGTACTGTGCTATGTACTTTATATAGATCTGTAGCACAACCTTAGGACAGGGGTATCATCGTAATTGTCAACCCATATAAGAATATATTCAAGCTCTGAGAACTGAAATTTGTTCAATAAATGTTAGATAAATATTATTTTAAGTCAATTTTTTCCTTAGGTATTAAGAAACCAGAACATAAAGAGAGTTTCTAGAAAAATTCCTTAAAGTACTGATAGTTATAAAAAATAAATAATTGAGCTAAAGGAGAAAAGCAGAATAAATAACTTGTTACATTCACCTCGAGGAATATGAAACACCAGGAAAATTATATTAGCATCCACATTTTCATATAGAAACACTAAATTTCCCCATTTTACAGCTTTCTTAACATGTAACCATGCTTCACTTTTTTGCATATCAAAATAAGCAAAAGACACTGACTTTCACTTTTTGAAACCAGATGCAATTAGAAAACAAAGTGTCAGAGTGAATAGAGAACTCTGGTTTAATTCTTAGCATTAAAAAAAATTGAGAGGCTTTAGTAAATAATCAGTAAAACAATTTGAAATTCTTCTTAGCTTTTGGAAATACTTGCAGACATGTAGTGACATGCAAATCTTAACTATTCTGATAATACAGTGGACATGATGGGGAGTCACAGAGTTCAGTATGCAAATTTGATTTATTTCCTCATTTTAGAAAAAAAGAAGCAGTAAACTGCCCCTTCTACCAATGTCTAAGATGAACGGGAAAAATGCATATAAATGGAATTTTTCTTTTACGTGAGTAATTGCAGAGAGCAACACTTCCTTTTCTCTAACCCCAGTTCTAACCAAATTCTCCATTGTGCTCTTTTCTGTATGTATATTGTGTATGACTATATTTTTTCTTTGTTTAAATTATAGGATTGCAATAAGGTTCTTTGCAGTTGAAGCACTGAAATGACAGCTGTTTATCATTATCCTCATCAAGGAAATGTAAAATAAAAATAGTAATTTGTCTCTGATCTTTGAGGCAAAAAAGAATGGTCTGCAAACATTTAACCTTTTATGTGCAGGTTCAATGATGCTGTTTAAAAAACGTGAATAATATTGTAGAAACCAGCTTGTTTCTAAAAAATACAATAGACAGTCCTTCCTATTGCAGTTTTTAAAAATAGCTATTGAGAAATCTAATTTAACCAATAAAAACACCAGCATTGTAAATGTGAAGTCATTTATAAAAATTACCATAACTTACTTTCTCCGAAATTATTTGCATGGTATTTAAGAAACAGGCTGTTATATAAAGTTTTAAGTTATTTAAAACATATTTTTATAACTACTATTATTATTTTTGTTTTTAGAGACAGAGTCTTGCCCTGTCATCCAGGCTGAAGTGCAGTGGCGTGATCATAGCTCACTGCAGTCTCGAACCCCTGAACTCAAGGGATCCTCCCATATAGCTGTAACTACATGCCACGCCCAGCTAATTTTGCCTTTTTTTTTTTTTTAGAGATGGGGTTTTGTTATGTTTCCCAGGCTTATCTCAAATTCCTGGCTTTAAGCGATGGTCCCGCCTCAGCCTCCCAAGTAGCTGAAAATTTTAATTTAAAAGCTTTCTTTTAAAGGTTTACTACTTTAACAGGTGAGGGAATGAAAGTGTTGAATCAGAAATAATTCTCACCATACCTTGGGGCGTCTATTATAGAAGCACTGGGCTTGACTGGAATGTCTTTCAGGTGTTTTGTTTTTGTCTTTTCCCTTTCCTTAAATCTCTTATTTAATCATGTCATAGACTTATTTGAAGACTTTTTCTTAGTAAATCAGGTCATCACGATGAAAACACTGTTACCATGGTAACGTACCTGTGAATTTTTCCAGCCCTACATTATCAAGAATGGTTTCACTGAAAACCTCTCTCCACTGCCAATCATTCACTTCTAATTTGATGAGGCTGGAAGGGTATGGGTTAAGATAGTGTTGATGATGCTCACCCCACCACCAACAGTGGTCTACAAATACTGTGAGACAAAACATGTGTTTCCAAAAGCTACCAGGATGACCAAATATAGTCCTATGAGAAATGCCTTACAGACATAAAACAATTGTGCTATTGATCATGATGAAGGCTGTTTTTGACTCAGAGCGATTCCTCTGCTACTGTTAATTCTGTAACACCATCATCATCATGTTTACATACTCAAATAATGAAATACTATAATCACAAGAAAAACCCCCGTGGTTTCATTTATAAGAAGATAACACTTAAAGATTAGGGGGAAAATGACACAAGAGTAATCTATATTTTAGGAATTCTACTTCCATCACCTAAAAACTTGTAACTGTAAAGAAATTTTAAATTATTGTATCCTTTATACTATTTGTTTAACAGGCACTTTTAAAGCTCATTCAGTTTAGAATCAGGGTATTAAGGGATTATAAGGTCTACGCAATAAAGAACTAGGTCTGTTTACAAAGATTGAAAGATGGACAAAGGTATGAAACAAAAATCACAGATATTGTAAAGCAAAATCTGTCAATTGTTTTGTTCTTCAAAATCATTTACATGGATGAGTATAGATGCACTATATCAAAGTTAATAAAGTCCTAGAGAAAGCAGGGGCAATAAAATTCAAATAATATGAAAGCAGCATGGGCCGTCATAATAAACTACATAGCAAAATAATAGCATAGGTATGCAGTTGATCTTATTTACCTTTTCTTTACATTATGAGGAAGAAAATCTTTCAAAGTTCAATGTAAATACAATTACACTTGCTTTACATGTAAAAACTTCTTAGTAAAAACAAAATAATACAAAGCATTAAAGCAACCAAAAAAACCACACACAACTGTAAAATTCTGTGAGTAGAATCATTTCTTTCTGGAGTACAGAAGAAAAACGAAGCCGTTAAAAAAGCAGCTATAATCAGGGGTTTTAAGCTTCCCTGATGTTCACTGAATACTGTAGTTGATAAAGCTGTCACCTACATCCAACTACAGAACTCCCGAAAGGCCTGAAGATAACTTTTTCAACTATTCCTACACATGAATTACTGAGTGCACCTTCTCAGACATTCCCAGGGCCCAAGAGCCTTAGTAGATGATCAAGATTAAAAAAAGACCTGAAGGCTGTTTTAGGAAATTTAAGTTAATTTTTGTTGAAAGGAAAGATGAAAACAAAATCAGAAGAAATTTGCTAGGTTGAGCTGTTGCAAATTTCTTGTTTCCAATATTCAAAGATAGAACATTATGTGATAATAGCACCAGACCACAGCTGAGTCATCATACAGACAACACGTACATGTCCCAAAGTTGGGGAGCTACTTCCAAAGTTGCCAAAACCAGAACTTCTTCTGTCACTGTAAATGCTCATACCCAACTAAAAAATAAATTAAAATTTAAAGGAGCTTATCTCAATTTAGGCAAACCTTTAGTTTACAGAAAAATAACTTTGTGAAGATGATAAAAATATACTGAGAGTTCTATAACTACTAATATTCTGAAGAAGATTGCTTAGACAAAGATCTATATTCTTGGAGTAATAATCATTGGGTCTGGAGTTTTTTTTCTTTTGTTACTTCTCTCTCTCATTCTTCTGAAATTGAATGTGTGTATGTTGCCTGTTTGACAATCTGGAGGATGTAAAGTACAAAAAAACAAAACTATCTTTGCTTTACCCTAATTCTGGTATTTACCTTGGCTATCAGATTTGTCTACATTTTATAAAGTGGCAAAAACAAAGAGAGTCAAGATTGCTTAAAGATCAACAACTATGGCTGCATTTATAATAAAAATTAAAACTATTCTAAGGCAAATTTTATAGAAGGATGCAATTATTATTTGAAACAATTCTGTATTATTTTAAATTTTGTAGTGTATCAGATTGTCCTGAGTGCTTTATTAATAAGATTTGTAAGTATTACGTGAGGTGTAAGAGATAAAGCTGATGTTGGTTTTTAAAAGCTTTTTTCCTTAGACTATTTTTAAAGTAGTTTAGGAGAAGAAATCAGATTGCAACTGCTAGTAAACATTAATGAGTTTATAAGTCTAAATGACTTTTATGACTGGGATCAAGATGTTTCTTTACAAAGCAATAAGGTGACAGGAGACTAAAGATGCGAATTTTGCTAAGAAAGCATTATTACTGCATGTATTTACATTGTCCCTCAAATTTCTCTTTTTTTAACCATGGCTTCAAAATTTCTACAAATACTATTGTTAGTGAGTACTATGTTTTTTCCTCTGCCAATTGTTTATGTCTATTTAATCCATATAAACACTTTTAGAATAGACATAATGCTTTCTGAATTAAAGGTGTTTTAGTTAAATGAAATATTTGATAAAATGGCTTTTCTTAAAAATTCTCATCACAGGCCATGGTGGCTTGTGCCTGTAATCCTAACACTTTGGGAAGCCAAGGTGGGTAGATCACTTGAGCTCATGAATTTGAGACCAGCCTGGGCAACATGATGAAACCTGGTCTCTACAAAAAATTTAAAAATTAGCCAGGCATACTGGTGCATGCCCGTAGTTCCAGATACTCAGGAGGCAGAGGTAGGAGGATCACTTGAGCCTGGGAGGCAGAAGTGGGAGTGAGCCGAGATCACACCACTGCACTTCAGCCTGGGTGACAAAGCAAGACTCTCTTTCCAAAAAAAAAAAAAAAAAAAAAAAAAATTAATTACAAGATTTCATACTACATTGGGGGCCAAATGAATCAAAAGTGATATGGTAACATTATCTATCTAATTAAATATAATTTCTAGCAATATTCTTTAATCACTTATAAACTACCTGGCAATAAACATAAAATAGAAAGGGCATGACACATAGTTTTAGAGGGTTCATAAATGAATGCATATGGCTTAAGGTAGCATATAAGATAGCTTCACATAACATCAAGGTGGTATGTTTAAGATAAAAGATGAATTAAAAATAAATGAAATAATTCTGGATGGTAAATCTTGCTGTTTTAATAGAATTCTTGTCAAATTTAATTATATTTTTCATATTATTGTGAATACCATATTCTACCATCTGTAGGAGGATTACCAAATCACAGAAGCTATAAGAAAAACTGGATCATACACCTATTTGCAGAATTCATCAAATATAAGTTTGTAGGGACATGGATGAAATTGGAAATCATCATTCTCAGTAAACTATCGCAAGAACAAAAAACCAAACACCGCATATTCTCACTCCTAGGTGGGAATTGAACAATGAGATCACATGGACACAGGAAGGGGAACATCACACTCTGGGGACTGTTGTGGGGTGGGGGGAGGGGGGAGGGATAGCATTGGGAGATATACCTAATGCTAGATGACGAGTTAGTGGGTGCAGCACACCAGCATGGCACATGTATACGTATGTAACTAACCTGCACAATGTGCACATGTACCCTAAAACTTAAAGTATAATAATAAAAAATAAATAAATAAATAAATAAATAAATAAAAAAGTAAAAAAAATAAAAAATAAAAATAAAAATAAATAAAAATAAAAATAAAAATAAAAATATCTGCCTGACTTAGACAGAATACCCTGAATGCTCAATCCACTTTGGTTTGAGGGAAATGTGGAATAGTGATTAACAGTATGAACTACGGAATTAGATGACCTGTATTATATCTTGGCTCTGTCACTAATAAGCTTTGTGACTTTAGTGAGGTTAGTTAAGAAGTTACTCAACCTCTCTAAGCCTTAATTTCTGTGCTTATAAGTGGAGGTAATATATGCACATTATACATTTTATAGGACAGGGCAGGTGTGATATCACCAAGTGAGAATAATGCAGAAAAGGCACTTACCACAGTGTCAGACATATAGTAGTGCTCAAAAAAAGTGAACCATTTTTATTATTTGAGATAAATGATGTAAATGACATAAGCGACATCTCAGTTTACAATATTTATATATACGAGCTTGAATTAAAAAAAGAATTCAGAAGGTTCCTTGCAGACAGACTCTCCTTCTTTAAGCGTGTTTTCTAAATCAGAGAAATAAATCAGGCTACAATCTTACTAATGAACATTTGTGGGTTTATTATACCAAATGTGTCAGATTCTTTGCTACCTATCTGAATATGAGAACACTGACAATCTTCAGAAGCCCTTTCAGTTGTCAGCCCTGACATTTTGCAACTGGGAGAAAAGGAAAATGTATTTAAGTCAAAACTATTCCAAAATAGCAGGTATTTAAGGAGCACCAATTCACTGCAAGAATTCAAGAGAATTCTGCTAGACATGCTAGAAAAAGAATAGAGCATTAATGAATGAGAAAGTGGGCTAAAAGTGATGGCTTTTGAGAATTATTCCAAAGACTTTGTGATTCAGTAGTGTGTCAAACCCACAGATACAAACACTTCTATTCGTTCTGAAATTACCAGGCTGTAAAGAAAGATATATAGATTTGCTGGTCAAAAGACAAAAATAATAGCTTTCTCTGAAATGTTCCTAGGAAGGCAGACAAAGAAAATAATTAACAGTCATCAGTTTTCAAATGCCTTCACATATACCATCTCAGTAGATCCTCACAAATATCTTGTGAGACAGAAGTACAGGGAGAAATAAATGATATGGTATGGAGTTAGACCAGTTGCTTCTACCACTTACTAACTCTGGAGTCTTGGGCAGGTTAATTAATCTCTGTGTGCTTCAGTTTTCTCTCAAATAGAGTAATACTACTACCTAAAATCTTCAAAGGGTTGTTGTATGGATTAAATAAATTAGTAGTGTAGAAATTCAGAAGAGTACCTGGCACAAAATAATCACTCAACAAATGTAGGCTGTTATCCTCTCTTTTGTAGAAAGAAGAAATTAAAGAAAAGGTAAGGGCTATGCCTGAGATCATAAAGATAGTAAGATCAAAATAGAACTCTGGTCTAATTTTCTTTGTGCACATTTCATCTTCTTTATATAGCATCTCACTGCTTTTGCTTATTAGCAATACCAAAATAAAACTTAGTACTAAAAGGGAAATATAGTAGAAAATGGCAAATTATTTAAAATGAGAACTTTTTCTTATTCTTTCAACAGGTGATGATACAGTGTTTTGGTGTCCCAAAGAAATAAAATCCAGCACTGTCCAATTGAAGTATAATGCAAGCCACATTTCTAGTAGCCATATTTTAAAAAGTAACAATAAAGTGTTGAAATTTACCTTAATACTGCCTTTTTTAACCAAATAGGTCCAAAATATTATTATTTTGACAGGCATTATGAGTTGAGTTGTGTCCCCCACAAAATTCATGTTGAAGCCCTAACCAGCAGTACCACAGAATGTGACTATATTGAGAGATGGGGTTTTAAAAGAAGTAATTAAGTTAAAATGGTTTCATTAGGGTGGGCCCTAATCCAATATAACTGATGTTCTTATAACAAGAGGCAATATGGACATGGGCACACACAGAGGGAAGATCATGTGATGACATGAGTCAAGAAGAGAGGCCTCAGAAGAAACCAACCTGACAACACCTGGATCTCAGACTTCTACCTTCTAGAATTGTGAAAAATACATTTATCTTGCTTAACCCACCTAGTCTATGATAATTTGTTATGGCATCTCTAGCAAACTAATACAATATGTAATCAATTAATGAAAATAAAATGTATTAATAAGATATTTTGCATTCTTTTATTGTAGAAAGTATTGGAAATCTAATGTATATGTTACACTTACAGCACATCACAACTGGAACTAGCCACATTTCTTTCTCTTGCCAAATAGTACTGGCTAGAACTTCCAGTACTATGTTAAATAAGAGTAGAGAAAGTGGACATCATTGTCTTGTTCTAGTTCTTAGAGAAGGAGCTTCCAGATTTTCCTTGTTTAGTATGATGTTAGCTGTGGTTTTGTCATATAAGCCCTTTATTGTGTTGAGTTAAATTCCTTCTAATTTATTGAGAGTTTTTATCATGAAGTGATGTTGAATTTTGTAAAAATTTTTATCTGTATCTATTGAGATGATTATATTGTTTCTGTCCTTCATTCTGTTGATGTGATATACCACATTTATTGATTTGTATATGTTGAACCATCCTTGCATCCTTGAGATAAATCCCACTTGATTATGGTGTATAATCTTTTTGATATGCTGTAGTATTCAGTTTGCTAGTATCTTGTCAAGAGTTTTTGCATCTATGTTCATCAGGGATATTGGCCTGTAGTTTTCTTTTTTTTCTTGCATCCTTCTCTGGTTTGGCTTTGTAATGCTGGCCTCATGGAATGAGTTTGAAAAAATTCCCTTCCATTTTCTGAAATAGTTTGAGAAGAATTGGTGTTAATTCTTCTTTTAAGGTTTGGTAGAATTCAGCAGCAAAGCCATTTGGTCCTGGGCTTTTCTTTGTTGGGAGACTTTAATTACTGACTCAGTTTCGTTACCGAATTGTTGTTCTGTTCAAGTTTTCCATTTCTTCCTGGTTCAATCTTGGTAGCTTGTATGTGCCCAGGAATGTATCCATTTCTTCTAGGTTTTCCATTTTTTGGTATATAATTCTTCATAAAAGTCTCCAATAATCCTTTGTATTTCTGAAGTATCAGTTGTAATATTTCTTTTTTGTGGTATCAGTTGTAATGTTTCATTTTTTCATTATGGATTTTATTTATTTGGGTCTTTTTGTCTTAGTTTAGCTAATGGTTTGTCAATTCTGTTTATCTTTTCAGAAAACCAACTTTTTGTTCCCTTGATCTTTTGTATTGTTGTTTTAATCTCTGTTTCTGCGCTGATCTTTATTATTTCTTTCCTTCTAATTTTGGGTTTGGCTTATTCTTGCTTTTCTAGTTCCCTGAAGTGCATCATTAAGTTGTTTATTTGAAATCTTTCTACTTTTTTGATGTTGGTGTTTATTGCTATAAACTTTCTTCTTACTACTGCTTTTGCTGTATTGCGTAGGATTTGATATATTATGTTTATATTTTCATTTGTTTCAAGAAATTTTTTAATGTACTTCTTAATTTCTTAATTTACCCTTTGGTTGTTTTGGAGCATGTTGTTTAATTTACATGTAATTGTTCAGTTTCCAAAGTTCCACTTGATTTTGATTTCTAGTTTTATTCCATTGTGATAAGAAAATATATTTCATATGATTTTGATTTTTAAAAATTTGTTGAGACTTGTTTTGTAGCCTAACATATGATCTATCCGGGGGCATGTTCCATGTGCTAATGAGAAGAGCACATATTCTGTAGCTATTGCATAGAATGTTCTGTAAATGTCTGTTAGGGTCATTTGATTTATAGTACAGTTTGAATCCAATGTATCTTTGTTGATTTTATGCCTAGGTGATCTATGCAATGCTGAGAGTGGGGTATTGTAGGACGCAAATATGTCCCTCCTCACATGGCAGCAGCAAGAAGAATGAGAGCCAAGCAAAGGGGGATGCCCCTTATAAAACCGTCAGATCTTGTAAGAATTTACTCATTCTCATGAGAATAGCATGGGGGAAACCACCCCCATGATTCAATTACATTCTACCAGGTCCCTCCCAAGACATATGGGAATTATAAGAACTATAATTCAAGATGAGATTTGGGTGGGGACACAGTGAAACCATAGCAGTACTCCTGCTCATTTTGGGTTTCTGTTTGTATGGAATATATATTTTCATTCCTTCACTTTCAGTCTATGAGTATCTTCATAGGTAAAGTGAGTTTATTGTAGGCGGCATATAGTTTGGTCTTGATTTTTAACCATTCAGCCAGTTGTTTATATCTTTTAATTTGGGAATTTAATCTACTCATATTCAAGGTTATTATTGTTAGGAGAGGACTTAATCTTGTCATCTTTTTTGTCTTCTCATTGTTTTGTATATCCTTTGTTTCTGTTTTTCCTCTCTCATTATTTATCTTTGCAGTTTGGTGGTGTTCTGACATGATAAGATTAAATTCCTTTCCCTTAATCATTTGTGTATCTGCTCTATAAGTGAGTTTCACACTTTTGCATGTTTTTAGGACGGTAGAATTATCATCCTTTTGCTTCCATGTGTAGGACTTCTTTAATAATTTTTGTAATGCTGGTCTAGTGGTGATGAATTTCCTCAGTTTTTGTTTGTCTGGGAAAGACATTATTTCCCCTTCATTTCTGAAGTATAGATTTTGTAGGTATAGTATTCTTGGCTAACATCTTTTTTTTTTCTTTCAGTGCTTTGAATTTATCATCCCATTCTTTCCTAGCCTATAAGGTGTCTACTGAGAAATCTAATGTTAGCTTAATGGGGATTCCCTTATCTGTGACTTAACACTTTTCTCTTGCTATTGTTGGAATTCTTTGTCTTTGACTTTTGTTACTTTGACTATAATGTGATTTGGAGAGGACCTTTTTGAACTTAATATATTTGGGGTTTTGAGTTTCCTGGATCTAGATATCTATATTTCTATCAAGACACGCAAAGGTTTCAGCTATTATTTCATTAAATAGGTTTTCTATGCCTTTCCTGAAATTCTCATACTGTGAATATTTGCTCAGTGGTGTCCCAATAGGTCCTGTAGGTGTTCTTAATTCTTTTTTATTTTTCTTTTTTTCTGACTGGGTTATTTCAAAATAGTCACCTTCAAGTTTAAAAATTCTTTCTTTTGGTTGATCTGGTCTATTGCTGAATCTCTCAATTGTATTTTTTATTTCAATCATTGAATTTGTCAGCTCCAAGATTTCTGTTTAGTTCTTTTTTATAATATGTATCTCTTTATTAAATTTCTCATTCAGAAAAATACAAAATGCTTCCTGAATTTGCATGTCATTCTTGTGCAGGGGCTGTGTTAATCTTTTCTATATCTTTCCAATTTTAGTATATGTGCTACTAAAGTGAGCACCCATGAATGATTTTCTAACTTGTAGGTTTTCCAGACATTCAGCTAGGTTCTGATATTAACTTACTGGCCATTTGATTGCTCATGAATATTCTAATCACAGAGACAAGACTCTTCTTCCTGAAATCAGATAAATTTGCTAATAATCAACATTTCACTGAAAAGAAGTTTTTTGGAGGGCTAATACTAAATTTATGAATTAAATTGATATTGGGGAAAGCCTCTGGAGTTTTCTTTGTATTTGGTTGGTTTTGTTTTGTTTTTCAAAAGCAAGGAATACTTTAGCATGTTTATTTATTCATTTTTTACTTTTTTTAGAAAAAGGGCCTCGCTCTGTTGCCCAGGCTGCAGTCATGTAGTGTGATCATAGCTCACTTGAACTTCTGGGATCAACTAATGCTCCTACCTCAACTTCCCAAGTAGCAGGGTTACAGGTGAATGCCACCATGCCCAGCTAATTAATTAAAAAAATGTTTTAAGAGACAAGGTCTTGTGATGTTGCCCAGGCTGGTCTCAAACTCCTGTCCTCAAGCAATCCTCCTGCTTAAGCCTCTGAACTAGCTGAGATTACAGGCATTAGCCACTTTATCTGGCACTAGCATGTCTGAATGTATATCTATTGAAGGTTGATGTTACCTGGATTATAATCCAGTTTTTAAAGCCATTACTCTTAAGACAAATCCTGTATCTTTAAAGATTATGACTTCTCACGTACAGTGTTTGGTTATTTTTTACTCATCTCTTTGCGCTCATCTACAGGATGTGCAACTCACAGATTTGCTTGCTATGTAGTCTTTAGGTATAAACAGGCAAAACACAGAACAGGCTTTACATAACTGTCTAAAGTATTGTTTTCTCACCTTGAGGTTTATGGATGTCTTTCTGGGGATAAGAAATTTTTAAATGACAATTTAAACATTTTTTGCCTCATTTTATTATAATCTTTAAAAATGCAACGACATCAATGTCTACATTATTTTCATTTCATGCATGAATATTTCAGTTGGTATTTCTAAAAGATAAAAATTCCTTTTCAAAACTCATAACCACAGTGCCATTATCACATCAAAAATATTTAACAAGAATTTCTTAACATCAATGACTGACTACTTTAAAAATATTTTTATTTGAGAAATTTTAAATATATGTAAAAGTAGATAGAATAGAAAGAATAGTACAAATTAATCTCTCGTTACTCAACTTCAACAATTCACCACATGGCCAACCTTGTTCCGTCTATACTTCTCAACTATTTTGAGGCAAACTCAGATATCACATAATTTTATCTGTAAATATTTCAGTGTATAATCCTAAAAGATAAGAACCCTTAGAAAACATAAACACAATACTATTTTTATTATCTAAAACATTAATAATTTTTTAACATTATTATACATTTAGTATTCATATTACACTTCCCCAGTTGTCTTTAAAGAATGTTTTTAAGGTTATGTGTTTGAGTTTGAATCGAAATAAGTCCATATACTGTGTGTATTAGTTCATTCTTGTGTTGTTATAAAGAAATACCTGAGACTCAGTAATTTATAAAGAAAAGAGGTTTAATTGGCTCAGGACTCTGCAGGCTGTACAGAAAGCATGATACTAGCATCTGCCTGGCTTCTGGGGAGGCTTCAAGAAACTTACAATCATGGTGGAAGGTGAAGGGGGAACAAGCACTTCACATGGCCAGAGCAGTAGCAAGAGAGGGAGCAGGGAGGTGCCACATACTTTTAAATGACCAGATTTTATAAGAACTCACTCACTGTCACTAGGACAGTACCAAGGGGAGATGATGCTGAAACATTCATGAGAAATCCATCCCCATGATCCAGTCACTACCCACCAGGCCCCACCTCCTACATTGGGGATTACAATTGACATGAGATTTGGTGGGGATACAGATCCAAACCATGTCACTGTGATTGGTAGATATTTCTGTTATGGCTATTTTAATCTTCAGACTTCTCCATCTCTCTATTTCTTGCTCTTGCAATTTGTTATTAAAAATTTTTTTTTGTCCTATAGATTCTGTCCAATCCCCCAGTGTGGATTTGGCTGATTGCATCCCCTGCATATCATTTAATGTGCTCTTCCACTCCTTGTATTTCCTATAATTTGGTATTTAGATCTGGAGGCTCAATAATTACTCCTTAACTGCCTCTTTTTGAGTTAGAAAAAGGCATCTACTTCAAAACTGACATGCAGACTAGATACTAATGTTGTACAGCAGAAAATGACCCCCTTATACACAGTGTAAACATAAGTTTCTGTTGTACTTGTAGAGTCTATCTTGGTCTAAACCAGTTTATTGAAGCACAGATAATTATTACAACTAACCCAGGCTATATATTAAACATTTAATATATGATGAGACATGCACTAGGTTTCTTTGGAGATTAAAGGGAAAGTCACAGCACAGTTTCTGCACCTAAGAAGTTTACCCTGTATTTGGGGAGGAGCCCATTAACAGGCCAAAAACAATGTGTCATAAAGATAGCATGTAATATGAACTAAGTGGTATGGTATAGCCTCTAAGTGTAATTAGCCTTTCAAGAGAGAAGAGTTTTCTAGAGGTTTCAGGAGCCAGGCAAGGCTATGGAAAGAAAGTGAGTGAGACTTGGCCTGGTTGTACTGGGGCATGCAGACCTTTAGAAGGCATCTAGGTGAGGGAAACAAAGGGAATGGAGGTGGAAATTAGTTTGATGTGTTAGGGAAAATACTGGGGAGGACATGGTAACAAATATATTGAGAAGAAGAGTATATGGCTGAATTGCAAAATGAGTGGTCAGATTGTGGAGAACTTGGGTTAGGCTAAGGAGATGAGATGACATGTGGTGGGCTTGAAAGGTCACCAGAAAGGATGTGCTCAAGCAGTGGTTTAGGAAGATTAGTATGGCAACTGCAGGCTGAATTTATTTAAGGAGAGTGAGACTGGAAGCAGGGAGATCAATTATTGTCTTTAGTAAGAAACTATGTGTGAAGTCTGAATCAAGTGGGTTTCTATAAAAATGGAGAGGTAACCAGTAGATCATAAAGGCATTCTCAAGAAGAAATTATTGGAAAATTGTGACAGATTGGATACAAAATCTATTAAGAGTAAAATAATATGCTCAGATGTCCAGTCTTGAAGACTGATATGGTGACTTCATAGATTGGGGCAAATAAACTGAGGCAGAGAAATCGGTTTTTATGGAAAAAATGAGTTTATTTTTTAGTAAATTTTGTAGATGCAAAGGACATATCTGGTGGCAACTGGAATCACAGAATGAGCATTCAGAAGCCACAACAGAAAATGTAGATTTAGAAATCTTTCATACAAAATTGGAAGCTGGAGCCATAAGAATAGAAAACATTCTTAAAAGCAATGAGTGTACAGAAAAAAACAAATTTGTCTTTGTGTTTAGCAAAGTGCCTGGCCTAGTGTGAGTACTCAGTAAATGCTTTCAGAATGGAAGAATAAATAATGGAATGAAACAAGAAAGAGAGGGAGGAAAGTATTTGGGGATGAATATTCACAGTTAAGGAGGTGGAAGAAGTGCCAGCAAAGGAGACCATAAGGAGTTAAAAAAAAGGTGAGGAGGGTTCAAAGATCATGCATCATCCCAGGCTACTTTAGATAAAAAAGCTTTCAAGAAAAAGGCAGTCATTAACAGTGCCAGATATTGCTAAGAGGTTAAATAGAATGAGGGCTGGCAATGGCTTTGTCTGAATGATGGAAGAATCTTTAACAGAGCTTTTCTGTGGGGATGGGGGTTTGTGGATAGGATTAAAGGGGGGCCAGAAGCTGGATTAGGAGGGTGAGGTGCAGAATGTGGAAAGGGGGCTGAAAGAAAGTATAAGTCATACTGTGAAAGTTTGGCAGAAAAATGAAGGGAATGGCACGGTGTTTATCAAGATACCAGGGTTGGGTCAAAGATGTTTCTTTTAGGCCAGGGAAGACATGTGTATATATGAAGTTTAAAAAGAAGCCAGAAGGCAAAAGACTAAAGACACTAGAAATAACAACAAACAAATGAGATTCAGTATGCTGTACAGGAGAAATACTCGAAAAATTCACCTTTCATGCCATATTCCAGTTATACCAGACCTTTTGCTATTCCCAAATCAAACCATGCACATCACGACCTGGTGCCTTTAGCCATGTTGCCCCTTTGAATCTGAATGCCCTTTTGCCTGATATTTGATTGCTAAAATCTTTTCATTATTCAAGACCTGGCCCAAATGATCCCTCTTTCCTAGACACTCATAGCTTATTAAACATTTCTTATCGTTAAGGCTTTATATTCTTTTCATGTATTATTGTTAATTGCTTTCTAATAGGTCTTCTCCCCTGTATTTTAATGTATTACACACAGTTGGTACTCAATCATATTTAATAAGTGAAAGTGGAATTTTTCTTTTTAACAATTTAAAGGAAGAATAAGAAGAGAATGGTGGAAGAATGCTCAGCTGAGGTAAAGATAAAGGTATTGGGCAGCTTCTTCTGGTTGGCTTCTGTATTCTCTTAAGAGGTGACATTCTTGCCTACAGGAAAAGTGAGGGACAGATGTGATGGAAGATCATTTTTGGAGCAGGTGATTGGCTAGTCAACAAAGAGGTGAGTGAAAGGAGGGCAGGGTCTTATAAGTGTTGGGTATTTGCAATGGTCCAGATTTTGCAGCAAGTTTTCTTTTACTAAGCGTTCACGGTTGGAAGGACAGAAAAAGCATAAAGACCTAGCACTGATGACTTGTGTAGAAAGCTTCACCATAATCACTAATAAACATTTAACATAGAGAGGTGGCTATTGCAGAATGATGTCACAGACAACACTGAGATGCCAAACAGGGAGCTCAGGGTAAGGAGAGAACCTAACACTACTTGTCAGGTCAAGACTCTCAACTTGGCTGCTGGGAGAATTACCTGGGATGGCTTTAAAGACTATTGATACCTGGGCTCCACCCTCAAATATTATGATTTAATTGGTCTGGGGTGAAGCCAGGAGCATTTGCATTTTTTAAGTACTCCAGTTTGAGAACCCTGCAGTAAAGAGATATAAGTCTGGGAAAAGCAGGGGAGTTAAGTGATTGAAGGTTCTACTGAGGATAGAGTACAGGATGAAATAAAAATGCTATTTATGGTCTCAGGCCTGAAAATTCCCAGGAAAAAGAAGTGTCTGACTTAGCGTAAAAGAAAGTATCTATGTTTTAACATTCAAATGTGATCTCAGCTAGTTTCTACTAGACAGACATCACCATTCCCTGACCGTCATAATTGGCACTAAGGTAGGCAAATGGTTGAACGGGAAAGGAGAAGTTACGAAGCTTTCTTCTAGTCTCTACTTTAAAAAGAAAGTTGCCCCTCCCACATAAGCCTTACTGGTTCTTTCTGAGACCCAGTGAAACGAGAACAAGTGCAGAAGGGACACAGGATGCTCAGGAAATCCCATAGTGGGCCAGACCCAAGGTCAGCCACCCCAATAAGTCTCAAGAGTCATCCTGTGCGGGAGCTCAAAGCTGTTCTCTGACTTCTGTTGTAAAAGTCAGGTATAGCCCCAGTTTTCTTAGTAGCCATTTGTGGCTCTCATTCATAAATCTGGCTAAAAGATTTCTGAATTCATTTACATTTCCTGCCAGTCCCACCTTTTGGGACTAATGAGTTCCACAAGTTTATAACCTGCTATGTGAAGTAGATTTCCTTTCATTTGCCCTAAACTTACTGCACTCTGTTTTAAAGAGTGCCTTCCTTGTCCTAAGAAGAAAATGTAAACAGAATTATAAGATGAGGACAGATTGGCTAAAGTAAGCAGGGCAGAAAAAGAGCAAAGGTGTTACAAGCAACCGCAGACTACCTTAAATCCATAGTGTAGTTTTAAAAGGCAAACATGGCTGGAATGCATGATCCAGAGGGGAGCTGGGTGTGTTACACAACAATAGCTCCATTGTTCTTAGCACTTGTTAGACCCTTGCAGGGGCTCTGCATTTTGCCTGAGGCTCTACTGCTCAAATGAAAGGGAGAGCTTGAATATTTAGCAGATATTAAGAAAACGGATTAAAATACTGGAAGTAAAAGTAAACAAATTTGGATGTCTCAGGGTATACAAGAGAAAGTTATTCTATATAAAAATAGTAGGATACTATCTATAAAGTGAAAAATAGTTGTTTTACATTTGAATTAAAGCACAAAGAGGAGTCAAAATGCATCAGATGATGATTTAGCTTTGCTATAAGAAGGAACTTCCTGACACCTATTATTATATGTAAGACCAAGTGGAGATAGAAAACTTTGCATTTTATTTTGTTTTGAATGTTCATAATTCCAAATTGATTTGGGGTTCATCTTACCTTTGTACATCCCTCAGTGGATTATAAAGATAGCTAAATGAGTTATTTACCCAGAGGGATATGGTAATATTGAATTAGGCATCTTACAAAATAAATTTGTGATGAAAATACTAATATGTACACTTTTAAAAATTATAAGGAAACAACTAATTTTTTTAAAAAAATCAATTTTAGTGTGCTAAAGTAGACTAAATAGTAGACTAAACTATCTGTTGCATTTTTTTCCTCCAAGGTCATAGTATACAGTTGATTATAGGAAAGTCTTGTGTTTTAATGGAAAATAGGGCAAAGGTTATGTGCAACAGGAATCCAGTCATGTGGAGCTTGCAGAACGCAGGTTAGGCTCATAAAACTGCTCATTAAAATGCTGTGTTCTGAAGCAAAAGCAAATAAATGAGCTCAGGGAAAAGAGCCGCAGAAAATTGTCTAGAAATATTTCCATGAAAGACTGTGAAAATAGTCCTTCCCAGTCATAAGAAACGTGCAGATATTGCTTATACAAATAGCCCACACTTAAAAGACTTTTAAATACCTTCCCTGAAATGCTGGTTTTGACCTTCTGCCAAGAGCTACTTAAGGTTTTTTTTTTTTTATTTTTCTGAATAGACTGTATGATGAGTAAAAAATAAAAAGGCATATACACCAGAAGCTTTTAAAACAACATGAGAAGAACAGTTTGGTTATTACTCCCTACTCCAAATTGTAGTTTAAACTTAGCAAGTTCACAAGTTCTACAATGGTTTTAAATGCCAATCTCAAATTAAAGAAATTAAGACAAAAAAAATCTTCAAGATTTATAGGGCTCCCTGATTCTCTACATTTTACTATCTTACAGTAGAGAAAACATAGATTGAGGAATCTAAAAAAAAAGTAATAGTTATGGCTTGCTGGCAAAATAATGAACAGCAAGAAGATTTCTAAGAAGACAGCCCCAAAGCAATTCAGACAGACCATGCTTACACAACGGCTGGCTGGTCTATGCGGCCTCAAGCCAAAAACAACAGCCAGCAGCTCCCATCACTTAGAAAGGAAACTGCACTACTTGATGCTGATTAAATGTGTGTGTGTGTGTGTGTGTGTGTGTGTGTGTGTGTTTTGTGGGAGTTGTTCAGATGCCCATCTGATTTTCAGTATAAATTCAGTGATGCCCCAGGCCCCGTCTGAGCCACCAGAGGGGCAACCAGGTGAAATCTCACCATGCTAAGTGATTAACCAGAGTGAAGCCAGCTCACAGAAAACAGACTGCTCCAGAAAGAAGCACAAGTAATGAGTCATGTGGTCTGAAATCATACCGACTACTCTGTCTGTGGCTTTTTTTTCCTTGCACCATTTCCACAGTGTGTTAGAATCAGGAAGGGAGACCCGGAAAGGAGTCAAATATGAGCATGGAAATTTTATGTGCTTTTTATTATCTTAAGTAAAAAGAATTACCAGTGGCAACATTCCCTTTATACTTCTACAACTTATTTTATCTCAAGAAAAGCAGTCTGGAGCTGGCTTGTGAGAAGCAATGAATCAAACTGAGAGAGACTCCTTCTAAAAGCCAGGCTGGATCACAGCAGGCTTCTGGCCAACATTTACTCTGCTGTTTCAGTCAGGTTTCACTGCTGTTGTTGCTGTTTCATTCTGGTGGGGGAGGGAGCTGACTGAGAGTCTTGTAGAGATTTGGCTAAAATAAAAATAGAGCTATTTTACAAAGCTAAACCAACTCACATCCTGTGAGATAGCCTAGATGTTTGATAAACCACATCTTGGCAACAACAGCTCATCTCTGAGTTAGCTGTAAAAAGGGATTTTCCTAATTCATCCAGCTCTAAACAAAATAACCCGCTCTTCTTTCTTCCCACTGGTGTTTGACATACCTTATTCAGGAATAATTATTTCTTTTACTTTAGTAGATTTTAAAAGCTAGCATTGTTCTTTCCATAGTGGTCATTTACATTTTTACCTACGCACACACACATATACACACGCGCACATTCTTGCACAAGTTAGCAAGATTTAAAGCCTCTCATTTTTTATTCTTGAAGTCCCGAAAGGGAAACTGCTATTCATGTGCCAAAGAACACAGCCATTCATTATTATTTTTTCTTTATTTCTCTCTGTATACCCTCCCAATAGGATTAAAAGCGGTCTGGGATGTAGGGTATGAAGGCAGAAGAAGGAGAGGAGTGGGAGGTAGGAAAAGATGGCATTTTAATAGCCTCTACCACACTGATTCAGCACAGTAGGAACCTTGTGCTTCAGACTCAAACTGTTTCCTTCCTGTTCAGCATTGCACTTGGCCCACTTTTCCTGAAGCCATGCATTGATGTCTGTGGACAGAACTGGAGGTAACATATAAATGGCCTTTCTTAGAATATGGGAGGATGGAGAGGTCTAAGGAAGCTATCATTAACACTATCTTTGATTTGTAAAATAATTTTCATCTTGAAATAATTTGTCTTATTAAAAGGTTGAAAATTAATACAAAGAATTCCTGTACATCCTTCACCCAGATTCTTCGAATGTTAGTATCTTACAAAACTACACAACAATGATCAAGATAAGGAAATTGACATTGTAATACTATGACCCAGGATCTAATCCTCAATCATGTATTACATTTAGTTATGCCTCTTTAGTCTCCTTTAATTTGGAGCAATACCTCAGTCTTTTTTCATCTTTTATGACCCTAATAATTTTGTACAGTATTGACCAGTTATTTTGTACAGTGTCCTTCAATTTGATGTTTCCTCGTTATTAATTTCAGGTTGTGCATTTTTAGCAAAAACACGCCACATAAATGGTGTGTCTTTCTCAGTGCATTACATCAGGAGACATGTGATGTCGATCTGTCTCATTACTAGTGATGTTAACTTTGATCATTTGGTTAAGATGGTGTCTTCCAGGTTTCTCCACTGTAAAGTTTCTATTTTTTCTCCTTTGAAATTAATAAGTATCTTGCGGGTGATATTTGAGGCTATGTGAATATCCTGTTTCTCATCATACTTTTACCTACTCATTTTAACATCCATTGATGATTCTTAAGAGAAACTATTACTGTGATGTTTTGCAAATGGTGATTTTTAAATTTTGATCTTCTCTTCTAAATTAATTAATTATGAGGAACAGCTTTCCCTTCTCCTTCATATAATTACTCATTCAACTGTTTATTTATGTAAGTATGGATTCTTATTTTATTCTATGGATTATAATCCATTACTGTCATTATTTTATTTCTGAAATTGTCCCAGATTTAGTCATTGGGAGCCTCCTGTAATTTGCCTCTTGTATCTTTTTCACATATATCCCCATAAGGTTTTGAGCACTTCCTTACTTTCTAGCATCATGAGACATTCCAGGCTCATCTTGTACTTTCTCTGCCCCAGTCCTGGAATTTCTCCAAGGATCCTTGGCTCCATTTATTGAGAGATAGTATAAAGTAACCTTATCTTTTTCTGTGAGTCACAGTGAGTACATAACTCTCCTAGTGGTAAAAAGTCACCAGCATGTGGGTGGAGAGAAACAAAGGTCCTGTACTTCCAGTGTTGTGGGGGTACAGTTTTCATAACCATAAACTTTAATATAATAATGTCTTTCCCAGCTCAGCCTAAATTGGAAATCCTTGCTTAGGTAATGACCTGGAATCATAATAGAATGTGCAAGATCAACACAATTAAAAAAAAAATTCTGAGGAGTCTATGGCTCTTTCATTACAAATTTAAAACCCCGTCAAATTTTCAGTATGTTTAGCAAAGTGTAACTTGGATTAAAATAAGTAAATCTTATATAACAATGTTTACTGTTTTTTCCTGATTGTTTTATAAGTCAAAAATGAACAAAATATGGTTAAAACTTCTACATGGCAATGTAATTAAATTAAGTGCTGTTTAGTATTTGTGAGAAAATAAAACTGTTCAGATGGCTTTTAATCACCATACATTACTATTATTCTTGTTGTTTTAATATTGGCTTAGATTTACCTAAATGTTTACCCACTTCTTTGTCCATGTTCCTTCTGGATCATTTTCCTTCTTCCTAAAGTACATTTTTTCGTTTCGTTCCTTTTATCTTTGATGGCAAACTGTTTTTGCTGCCTGAAAGTGTCTTTATTAGGCCTCACTTTAAAATAATCCTTTAACTAGGTATTCAGCTGTAGCTTGGCAGTGTTTCCCTCTGTACTTTGAAGATGATTCCATTATTTCTGGTTTCCACTTTTGCTCTTAAGAAGTCTGAACTGTTGTTCTTTAGTAGTTGATATATTTTTTCTCTGGATGCTTTTATGGTTATCTCTTTGGCTTTGGTGCTCTGCAATTTCATTATAATGTATGTCTGGATGTTATCTGTGGTCTTCCTAGATCTTAGAATTCATGACTTTCATCAGTTCTGGAAACATTTTAGTCATTCTCCTATTCTCCTCTAGAATGATGATTAAACATATATTAGATCTTCACAGCCTGTCCTTCGTGTCCTATATACATTCCTATCTTTCCATCTTTCTGTGTTACATTCTAGGTAATTTATTCAGTTATATATCCAATCGTGTATAGGAGCTGGTTTATACCAGCTCATGAGAACCAACTGTACACGTCTCTTTCCAGTTCACTACGTCACATTGGTAGCTTAAAATTGACTACCAATGGTGGGAGCATTCACACCATGGAAATTAGCAAATGCTACAGAACAGGGCTTTCCCCCATCCTGGACAGCTACTTATTAAACATCTATCAGCACACCACTGTGTAGAACCTATTTTATGTAGTCTCTCTCCAGCTGTTTAATCTATTCATAAAATTTTAATTTCAATAACTGCACTTCATTTTTCAAGTTCTATTTGGCTATTTTAAAAATATGACTTGTCTTTAGAAAGTGTTCCTTTCTCAAATTTGTCATTTGCTCTTTTATTTCTTTAAATTTTTTAAATATAGTCCAAAATCTTTCCTACTGTTTGTTATTCTCTTGACTTACTCATGATGGCTTTGTGTGTGTGTGTGTGTCCTTTTAAATGTTGGATTGTGTATTCAAGTTTAGCTGGGCTTCTATTAGATCTGATTTGAGGGTGTGTTGCTCCAGAGAGTATTTATGTTTCTACAGGCTCCCAGAACTGCTTCCAACTTTGGTCCACTTTAATTTCTCAGCTTTGGTTCTGCTTGCGCATGTAAGTGATACATATTTGAATCTCAAATTACAGAATGAGGAACCTATACAAATGGATTCTCAAAGACTTTTCTCTCCTTCCATTCACAGTGCAAGCCGAGACAAATAACTTTCCTCATTTTCTCCTTTTAACGGCAAGCGGATTTTTCTTGATTCACCATTTTCACTGAAGGTGTAGCTTTTTAAGTGTCCTGGCTTACTGTAGGGGTCTTGGTTCCAATTCCCCAATTTTTTCGGGCTGAAGTATTTTCTCCTATCTCCATATGTCTAAGTACATCCAAAGCTCTTGTGTGCAGTGATAGCAAATGCCCCAAGGACAGCTGTGGCTTCACCATAGGCCCTCTGCTTTCCAGCTCCCTTTTTATTTTCTTACCCAGGAATTTCTCATCCTCCTGTGTGCTCAGTCAGGAATTTAAAAGAGCAATTGTCACATTGTCCTTAATATTCCTAGATATTTTGAAGTCAAGATAGCCAGTCTAAAAAAAACCACTAGAAATCAAACTCTACATGTCTTTGTGGACTTATTACAGGTTAGAATAATAAAGATTTGAGATTTCTCATTGTGATAGAAGCAGGAGGAAGATAAGGGGGAAAGTCCCCAGAGAATCTCCCACCAGCCTGAGCACTGAGAGGACAGGGTGCAGCCTTGGGAAGTTGGTGCTATTTGCAGTGGGGAGGAGCCTGGCCTCTCCTATTTCTGTGTGATAAACCAGGATTCAATCTGTGAAATGGGGGCCTGTTAACAGGAACCCCTCTCACTTTGCTGAGAATTTTTTCCTTTTCTCCCAATAAATTCTGTTCTCTCTCATCCTTCAGAGTGTCTGCGTGACTAACTCTTCCTGGTCAAGAGACAAGAACTCAAGAACCCGGTTTTTTCTACAACATTTTGTCCTTGGCCTTTTTTTTCTTCAGATATTCTTTAGCAAAAATGTCTTATTTCTCTCTCTCTCTCTCTCTCTCTCTCTCTCACACACACACACACACACACACACCCCAACACCTTTATGTCCTAAATACCTCCCAGTTAGCACTATTATTACCTATTTCGGAGAAGTTACTGATCCTTACAAAGCTCTCCGTGAACCACGAGTAAGTGGAATCAAAGGTTGAAACTGAAAGCAGTTTACATCCTAAGCACTCTTTTTGGCCAAATTTTATTTGGGCTCCATATACTGTAGACTTTTAGTTTTCTTTGATACTGATAATAATACTGTACACTAGTCATATAAATATGAATATATACTTTGTATGAATGTAGAGGCATACAGTTTTCAAGTTGTTTCACTTATATAGTTTGTTTTGAACTTTAGACCAGCTTCATGATATAAGTAGACTTATTATTTGCTTTTTCAAAAGCTAAGAGTCAAAAAGGTTTCATAATTTTTCCAAGGCCATACAATAAATTGAGAGCGTTCATAAAATGAAAATTCAAGTTTCCGAGCTCTAAGTTCAGTAATCAATAAGCACAAATCAATCAGGAAAAGTGGGACATTTTCTTATATCTGTGAGGAAGAAAGTTCTGTTGAAATAGAAGAATCTGTGATTAGGTCAGGGGGCCATATGAATACATTTCAGCTAGGGGCTCTTCTGTATATATTTTTACTTGTTTTCAACATTAGATACAAAAATGAATAAAAGCTCTGAAGAAAAACCCTTAGCTTTCTGAGTGCTTTTAATATGTGTCATATTATTTTATATCTACAAATCTTAATTTCATTATTAGTGAGACAGGGACAAGACTGGCATAAACCTTAGGACTATTGTGAAGAAAGATGACAAATTTGATTATAAACCAGTAACAGTCAAATCTATATATTCCATGGAATGCAGAAAGAATGTATCAGAGAGTGATCTGGGTTTTGATGGGTAGGAAGATGTTCATCCGGTATAGAATAAATGACAGCATCTTGCAGGCAGGAGGAACTACACATGCAAAGGTGCAGAAACAGGGCAGAGGATGGTGCACCTGTGGCCTGTGGATATGGCTGCTTGGTGGATGGAGCATCAGGGGTGTATGTGGGTGGCGGAAGTGTGAGGAGAATACCTTGAGGTGGGGATTTGAAAAAGAAGAGTAATCTCAGAGGTCCTCCTCCACTGTGCTGAATGGGGAAACAGAAAATTTAGGAAAGTGAAATGATCAGATCCCTATTGTGTTTGCTTGTGTCTATTGGAAAGGATTTTCAAGACCATTTGTTTTGCTCTTAATTTTTATTTACTTAAGTCCTCCAAAGGATCTGGATCACTCAGGATTCAGAGGGCAGGTGGTGCATATGGGTCTTCCAGAGAGCAGACATTAATATATTAGAAGCCAGAGGCCCAGGGTATTGATTGCTTTGAGCTGTATCTTCCAAATGTGCACCAGAATCACCAAAGGAAAGAGGTAACAACTTTTTCCTTACCACTGTAACTACTGGAGGTGAGTCACTTGGTATTTCTAAAACCACAGGTATACTCCAGATAGCCTTGAAAGACACACCCTTGTTGGTGAAAATACGTTAACTAAAGGGAAGCAAGTATACTAAGGTGCTCAGTAGCTCAATTTTAGTATAGTTTGTTTATACATTTTTGAGTTTTTATTTTCCCTGAGGCTTATGCTGTAGTGATTTAGGGACTCTATAGTTCAAATAAATTCTGTAACACAGACAGCTGACACAGAGGACTAGAATGTTAAAGTCCTGCTCATTCCTTGCCTATTTCCAGTTAACACTCATATAAAAAGAAAAAAAAAGTTCACTTTACAAATAGTCAACTAAAAGATATAAGAACTTTAGTCATTGAAATGACTTTTTTAGCCTTTAATGGAATGGCAATTTTAAGATACAATCTCTCTACCTTCATAGGCAAATCCTTGCAAATCAATAAATTGGAATTTCTTCATGAATTCTTAACACTCACAGTGAGATTTGTAGTGACAGCTCTAGGTTCAAAAGTGCATTCCTGTTGTAAGTGGACAACATGGGATCATCCAGTGGAATGAAGTCCAGTATTACACACACAGCTGTACTCTGAGATGTAATTTTAGACGTCAGGATAATGTATGTTGAAGCTGTGTAAAACCACAATCCACCAGTGGATCATGATGCCTTTTGGCAAACTGTTGTTTATTGTATTAGTCTCCTTTGGCTGTTCAATGATCTGGGAAGCTGACGGATCGGAATTTGTCACTTAAGCCATTCATCCTCAGCTGCCAGGAGGTGGGCACATTCTGACCTCTGGCATTAAAGCTGGGCAGAGTTCCATATGCCATTCTATGAAGAATGTAGTCACATAGCTCCAATAAAGACATCCTGTTTAGCAATACAGTGTGAAGAAAACTTCACAACAATTGTTTAGATATTTTCTGTCCATTTTAGTTGGGTAGAAGTCTGTTTTCCTTTCACCCATGTATAAAATAAAAGGGTGTCTTGAAATGGTGTATTAGAATGTGTTTCTCCTCTAGCACTAACTTGAAAACATCCAAACTTATTTTCCTGAAAACACATAAAAACTGCTAAGCTGAGACCTGATATATCAAGTTTCAGCCTGAAGAATTTTTTTGAGCCAATGGTTTATGCAGAAAATGCTGACAGATGTTGAACAGCCTCAGCAAAGCAATTTTTAAGGGAGTCCTGGGCAACAGACCATGTGGCTGCTTTGGAAGTGCTAAATTCTTATTGCTAAAAAAGTTTACTTTAAAAAATCCTAGTATTTATTATATTAAAATTTTAACAAATATTTGGAGAAAACCATCAATTATTCTATAGCAGAAGCTTTGGAACTCACTAGTTCCCATTTTGTGTATTCATTCTCTGGAACACAAAAATTTCTTAGATTTATCATTCTAAAAGGTCAGATAAGAGTCATACTTCTGGAATTATGACCTTTGAAGCAAAAGGTGTAATATCTAAATTTTTTTAATTGCCATGGGAAGTCTCAGAAACCAAGAGAATATAGATGGTAAACATTTGTGGCACTAAATTTTCCTTCCTAAGATACTAAAATATGAGTCAGGAGAACTACAAACAACACAGGTCTGATCAGAAACAACTGAATGTTTATAAGTGTTCTACAAGGGTTGCAGACTTTCCCAGGAGGGTAATAATTTAAAGGATGTCAGTGGATGCAAATGAATTTCAGCCATAGAAAGGAAGAAGAGGTGAATAGTACTTTTGTCTCTGGGAGACTTGGAATTTCAGACAGGCTCCATTTTGGATAATTCTATTTAGCCTGTCTACATTTTCTGATGTTGTTTCAGTTGGGAATGATAGAATGATATTCCTTATCCTGCATCCTGAACTGTTCAGCAGTGTCATGCTATGCTGTTAACAGCTGCCTGCCTCCATGTATATACAGATAGATGAGTTCCCTGCTGATATAAAAAGATTTTATGAATTGTGTCTTGTGTAAAAGAGAGCACTTTTAATGTGAGTGAGAACTGGAGCTTTTTTCTTCTCCCATGATTTCATTAGCATACCCCAGGCTCTGATATTCTAAAAGATTATCTAGATACTTTATTGCATTGCTAGGTTCCTTGAAGAATTGTTTTACGTTACGTTTTCTCCTAAACTAACTACAGAATTTCCTTTCTTCCTCTGTAGTGATACCACGACAGTTAAGTAATCTTTGAAAAGGCTGAATATCACCTAAATAATCAAATGGCACAAAAATATTGGTTTGCAAAAAAAATCCAGCTCTCTGTGTTCATCAGCATATTAAGTCACTAGCTGTAAGAATATTCCACATACAAGACACACAAACACACACACACACACACACACACACACAAGATAAAATGGAAGGGTATGAAAAATGTGAGCAACTTTGCAATGTTATTACTATGCCAAAAAGTCCTGAGGAAGGGCTGAAACTCCAAGTCAACTGCCACTAATCACCCAGAAGGTGACTTTCATTTATTATATTCTTTGTTGGAAAAAAATGATAACGTGATTAGTTAAAAGGATATATATGTATATGCCTAGTAGGCTTATCAGGATTGCATAATTTGAAAAAAGAACAGGCATTTTTATTTTCAGAAATCGATACCAATTTAGCATTTCCTATGTATTATGTGGGCACACATAGCACAGCATACATGTTTACCACTTTGGTATATTTCTTCTGACTCTCCTTCTGCTTCTTCTGGCCTTAGCATGAGTTTTCTATATACATGAGGGCTTGGTGCTTCTATGTTTTTAACCTCTTGCATTATAGTAATCCTCTTCACATATCATTGTATAAATAATATGATTTTTTACATAATCACTCAACCATATAATGACTTAATTCAGAATAATAAATCCTAAAGGCAAAAATAGTCTTTGGGCAAACTGATCCAATTAACATGTGGATTCTTTAGAAGCTTAGTGAACATTGTCTTCATTTATTTCATTCTAGTGAATTCAACTCAGGGGATGAAGTTTGGGAATTTTTAAAATCTCAATTTAGAAAATAGATATTTGATCATGTATTGCTATATTCACATTATCTTGAAATGAAATTCAGAACAGGATATTTTATAATTATTTTCTTATTAACATATGCTAAAATTAATAATAACTAGGTCCAAGACTATGTCAGATCACAATCAGTAGAATAAATAAAGATGGATCACTTATTCTTAGGCAAACTAGGAGACAAAATGAATTCCCTCTGACTATAAAAGCTGTCTCTGTACCTGCAAAGGATCTAATAATGGCAGCAGTAGTCACTTACTGAAAACTTTCAAGTGCCAGCGACTGAACTAATAGCTTTATGGATTTCATTTTCTCAGCTAATCATTTCGAGAATCCTCAAAAGGTGTGTTATTATCCCAGTTTACACATGAGGAAGTTGAGGTGCAAATGGATTTAGTAATTTTTCGAGTAAGTGTAATAGCAAGGATTCAAAACCCTAAAACCATTAGAAAATAGTCAGTATATAGCACTTTAAATGGATGAGCAAATGTGGTGTAGGAATCTGTAGAGCATCCAAGTGGGAAAGAAGCCTAGAGAAGTGCAAAGGAAAAACTAATATTCCTGGACATGTCTCTGAGGGCAATAACCCCTGACACTGGGGGTGGTGGTCTCAGAAGGTTGCCAGAGAAGGTGCTCTGTTTAGGACACCTTAGGTAATATAAATTACATTATTCGTTTACTGACAATGCTACTGGGAAGACGATGGGTCAGGTGGGACTGGCTGCACCTTTTCAGAATTTGAATTTACCATTTACTAACTTTTGAAATTGGGTAAATCATGTAATCTCTCCAAGCCTTAGTCTTTTCCACCACAAAATGGAAATAAGAACTCTAGCTCAGAAATATTTGTTATGATAACTGAATGAGATTTTTTTTAAAGCACCAGAACTATTCCTGGCACATATTTAGGAATTTAACAAATGCTAATTCCCTTGTCTCTTTTGTACCTAAATACATGTAAATTTTACCAAATTTTTCATATGTTAGGTAACACTAACTTTTCTTTTTATTGGGTTTCTTCTTTCCATTACTTTTTTGGTTTACATTTATTTCAGTACACAAAATACTCTGTACATAAATGTGTGAAAAATTTTGGTGGAGTATTAGAAGGAACATAGGCATAGGAATCAGAAGATATGGATCTGAATCCTGGCTCTACCACTCATCTGTTGAACGATATTGTACAGGTTAAACTAATCAGCAGTCCGTCTAATTCCACTCCTTTGTAGGTGACCTAGCTTTCTGGCTTCTTTTAGGATCTTTTTTTCTTTGGTGTTCTGTAGTTTCACTATGATGTGTCTTGTTGTTACTTATTATGTATCATTTCTTAAAAATCCTATTTGAGAATTGTTTTATTTCCTGATTCTAAGAATTGTTAGACTTCAACAATTTTAGAAAATTCTCAACCTCTCTCTCTCCTCCTACCTCCTCAATGTACTTTTAGTATACGGAATTGGATTAACTATAATCCTTGGTTCATGGCACACTTTCGTCTGCATCTGTTCATACAGTATCATGTAATACCATCTGCCAACTCAGCCCCCTGCCTCTCCCACTCAAAGTAACTATCAGTGAGAATAATTATCATTCCCTTACTTTCCTTTTATTATGGTTTTATTGCATCTATATTTAGTCTTAAAGAGTTATTTTTATCAGTTATTTTTAGTTTCATAAAAAAGAATATATTATATATAATTTTCTTTTACCTATATTGCCAATTCATGCATACCATTGAATGTACTGGAGTTCACTTGTTTGGGATGCTATATAATACTCCAATGTGTAAATATACTACAATTTACTAATTTGCCCTTCCACTAATGGCCATTTAGATTATTTCCAGGTTTTTCACTATTACAAACAGTGCTGTTATGAACGTTCTGTTAGTCGTCTTTGAATACTGTGTTTCCCCATTCTACTATTTCCTTCTAGAACTTTGATTAGAACATGTTAGAACTCATCTAACACAATCTGTGATCTCAATCCTTTTCTTTCGGATTTTATTCTGGCTTGGACTTTATTCTGGTCAGTGTATTCATATCACTACAGATTTTCCAGTTTACTAATTCTCTGTTCAGCTATATCTAATCTGATTCCTTGACACTTTTAATTGAATTTTTCATTGCAGTGATTATATTTTATTTCTAGAAGTCATTCCCCCAATCTGCTTGATCTTTTCTTCTCATACTTAAAGCCTCTTTATTTCTAAACATATTAAACAACTTTTTATTTCTGTACCTAGTAACTCCAAAATTGTAAATATCTCATCTCTGAAGGTCTGATTTCACAGCCTGTTGTTTCTCCTATTCTCAGTAGTGGTTTATTTCCTATGTCCTTCCTTCCTTTGTTCTTTGTAAGCTATTCATTTTCCTTAGAACTCTATCTTGGGGAGTTAAGGCCTGGGTCGAATTTGCATTTTTACAGAGAGGAAATAATTTTTTTTGGCGGGGGGGGCTTCTGCTAGTTCCTCTGAGGGTGGTACTAACCCAGGAAAATTAAATTCTGTACTTGAGGTTTGAGATGCTCAAACACACATGTAGTGTGAATTCAGACCTTACATTCAAATGGGGGCAAACTTGTGGCTATGCAGTTTAAAGGCAGATCACCACCCATCACTCCCCTTTTATTTAGTGCCAAGGTCAATACAATATAATTTCCTGGCTGCATTCTTCTGGACATTGGTTTTATTTTTAGTATATTCTTAGACCAGGATACAGTTTTTTCCAGTCCCAGCCTGTGTGACAGGCTCCTGTTAGGAGTCTTTGGAACTTGGAATGTACTAAGCTTTACACCTGTTTGCCAGGCATTATTTGGCCACCATGATGGAGGCACAAGATCTCAAAAATTTGGGTGAAATCCTCAGGATGGAAACCAGTGCTTTAGTTTCCTGCTTTCGTGTCATTTTCTGGCTTCTATGGATTCTTTCCTTTTAATTCATTTTGGTAGTGCATTTAATACAAATTTGATCTATTTTCTTCATCATTTAAACTATAAATATGTGTATATGTCCATGAGGGTGTCTGATTTGTCCTTCTGTTTAAAACAGAAGTCTGTCTATCCCAATTTCAACATTTATTACCTATTGCAACAGTATCTTAGTCGTCAGTCCTACATCCTAATATACTTACTCACTCCTAGTATAACACTCTTACTAAAATATAAAGATGATCCCATGTTTAAATGTCTTCACTGATTCCACAGTGCTCTTCAGATAAAGTCTTCCAGCCCTTGGCATACAAGGCCCAGCACGATTTGCTCTCTGTCTACCTCCCTGGCCCCTCAGTCTTCACTGTACACCTTCACATGCACTTCATGCAGCCATAGCTATGGACCTTCAGTTACGCCAATAAACTCTCATTTCTCTGAATTTTTACTTATACTGTTACTCTGTCTGGGATGCATTCTCTTTTCCATAGCTTTCTTCCTGATTCTTACTTTTGAAGTGACCATTCAAAAGTCACTTTCTCTTCAAAGCATTTGCTAATCTACATCTTTTTCTTTCTTTCTTTTTTTTTTTTTTTTTTTTGAGACGGAGTCTCGCTCTGTCGCCCAGGCTGGAATGCAGTGGCACGATCTCGGCTCACTGCAAGCTCCGCCTCCCAGGTTCACGCCATTCTCCTGCCTCAGCCTCCTGAGTAACTGGGACTACAACCACGCCCACAAGCACGCCCGGCTAATTTTTTTGTATTTTTAGTAGAGACTGGGTTTCACTGCGTTAGCCAGGACGGTCTCGATTTCCTGACCTCGTGATCCGCCCGGCTGCTAATCTACATCTTTGCTTGTTAGGAAAATGTAATTTAGGTACCTCTCATCTCCACCTCCTAACATAACGATGATAGCAGTTATGTTACAAGGTGATATGAAATTATTTTCTTATCAGTCTCCCCCTAAACTGGGAACCCTGGGAACAGGGACTATTTCATGCCCAGAATCAAGCATGATGCTGGACACATGGAAGGTGCTAACTAAATGTCTATATAATGAATAAGTAAATCAAGTGGCACAAATACACTTAAAAGTCAGGTATTTGATAAAGAAGACTTGTTCTAATGGATAACAGTGTGTGTGCATATGTGTATGTATGTATATGTATGTGTGATTTAGATTATCTGCTCTTTAAAATTATGCAGAATTTTTGACTTCACATCAATAAAAAGAATGAGAACTACTTTCCATTTTGATGTGCTTGACTTTGGAGCCAAATTAATAAGGAGAGAAGGGAGTAGTTCACTTAGGAAGCCCTTCATTCTCACTTGGCTGAGAACTGTTTTGTCTTCCAACATTATTGTCTCTAATATAATCAGTTTCCCTTTCTGAAGAAACCTCAAATAAGAAAGCAAGACACAGCTGAGAAAATATGTTTTGAGAACTAAATATTTTTAACTGTGATGAAACTAAAGCTTTTTGTTTAATTCCTTTCTATGAAATGAGAAACAGAAACTCTCAACTAACTGTTAGGGTTTCAGGCTAATGCCTCTGAACTTTCGAGAAAGACAATTCTTATTCCCTCTATGATTATAATTATGTTTTCTTTTCCAAGCTATATTTTAAAAGAATGCCAGTTTAGAGAAAAACTCTAGGCACATCTGATGTGGACATGAGACCCTACATATTAATGATCAACAGATAGAATAAAACTTTTATAAGGCTATAAAATATGAAGTATTCTGAAAGCTTTTGGTACTAGTATGCTTAATGGAATACAATTAATAGAATGCTTCTTTAGAAAAACACATTTTGTGATTTTTTTTGTGAGCACATGTACACATATACATGTATGTTGGTAATGGAATATAGAATTCTGATGGCTATTTTTCTTCAAAATTCAAATCAACCATTAATATTTTGAAGTGATTCCTCGTCTATTTCGAGTTTGAGCTGAGTCTCATCATAAAACACTGTGAGAAAGGAAACAAACTGCATAGATTCCATTTGGCAAATCAGAGGCCTGTAGATCTGACTGTGGTTCAGCCGCTGGCGCCATCAGTTCGGCTCCAAATCAAAAGCTGTGGAAGGAGGTAATTAGCAGGGACTCTAGACCACTCAGTTGGCAACAGCAGGCTTCTTATAGCCACTGGGAAAGTGGGTGGGAAGGGGTTCAGAAATATTCTGTAAAACAACATTTCTCCTTCAGAATAGAAGATTGCAATTATAGGGCCATTTTCGTGGGGAAAAAGCCAACTTTAACGCTTGTTTTAACACATTTGTGAAGGTGTCAATATTTAAAGAGAAAGTTCAGCCACTACCAAGGGAAATAATTACAGCCTCTAGTTCAATAAGAAGACGAGAATAGAAGACAATACCTTCTAACCCACTCACAACAGTAAAAGGGTAACATAACCTGGGCAGAGCAACCACTCACAATTCTTGGCAAAATATGGTTGCAATTCCTCATCCCATTAATTCCAGCAGAAATTAAACCAATGAGAGGCATTTTTTGCCAACGCAATGAAAATATAATTATGTAAGTCACTTTCAGAGGATGAAGTCCTCTGAATCTTGCCTGGCCGGGCTGTTGATTTTTCAAACTTGAGTGCTCAATGGAAAGAAATTGGCTACATTCGAGCTGCTCAATTTGGCTGTAGACGTGATCATTTACAGATGAAGGCAAAGCAGCCCTGAAGTGAACAGAAGATGAGAAGACTGCGTTCCAAATTGACCAGCTGAAGGAAAGTTTATATTTTAAAAAAACAATTACTTGGTCAGTGACTCATGGGGAAAGAATTCTTAAGCTTTCTTCAGGGAAACCCCAGTAAATAACATGTAAAAATAAAATGGAGATGGTGTTATCTGTTTGGTTGAGCCGTTCAGTTCACATAATAAACCTTTTGGCAAAAAAAAGGACCATTCTGAACACGATTATTCTCTCCGGGAAATCCCCAAACAGTAAGAACTACTGTGGCTTCCTTAAAATTTTACAGAATATTTTGTATCTCAGACTTGCATGTGAAATAAAAACTTGGAAGAAATATGGGAAAAAATCTGCTTTTTGTTATAGGGTTGAGGATTTTTCAGCTGGCTGCTTCTATGATTCACACTGCACTCGACTCCTCTGAAACTCAAAACCACATATCATAAAAAGCAACATGGGCTCGAGTTAGTCTTCCTGCTTTGTCCCTAGGAGAACTGACTGCTCTAAGTATGCCCCACAAGACACACAAGAGAAATGAATGAAAAGTTATCGGCCTGCATCAATTTACTGGAATATGGTGTAAATCATATACTTTAAAGGACAGCTGGAATTTTACTTTTTTTTTTTAAAGTGGATTTCACTGACATAATCTATAACAGTTTCAGTTCCTCTCTTTTTAATTAGTAAAAGCTTTTGGAATTTTGTTGTTTTTAGTCTCTAAGAACATCGCAAGAAAAAAAGGTTGAGAAAATATGTTATAAATGATTAAAGAAAGCCCTGCTTGCTGGTGCTAGGAATAGTTAAAGCTTCTCTATTCCCCAACCCCCTGCCCAGAATGCTTTGTTAAAGCCACACGGTGTCTAATCAGCATGTCTTTAGATTATTTTATGTTAATTGAAATTATGGTTAGTCTTAGAGGTTAATGTATACATGCACATGTGGCTTCAAAGCCTTCCCAAATTACTGGCTTAGCTCCTTCGCCTTAGGGAGGCCTGATCTGTGATAAAACTGACCGCATTAAACCAAGTTTATTGCTATGGAGTTTAACATAATGGAGAAAATATATTTTGCAGGTTTCTTTAAGAATTCCCCATTCTAAAACGCTCTCTTAGGATCCCTCAAAAAAGGTAAGAAAAAAAGAGGAAATGTAAAAGGGAAGGACAAAGAAACTGACTCATATCAGAAACAATAGCTTTACAGATTACTAAGAAGCAATGGAGAAGGCAAAGAACAAGACTGTCATAGATTGTGACTTCTACAACATGTTTACTTTTTTTTCCCTTTAACTTTTATTTTAGGTTCAGGGGTACACATGCAAGTTTGTTACATAGGTAAGCTCATGTCATGGGGGTTTGGTGTACCAACAATAGGTATTTTTCTGATCCTTTCTCTCCTCCCACTCTCCACCCTCAAATAGGCCCCAGTGTCTGTTGTTTCTCTCCTTGGGTCACTTGTTCTCATTATTTGACTCTCACTTATAAATGAAAACATGTAATATTTGGTTTTCTGTTCCTGTGTTCATTTGCTAACGATAATGGTCTCTAGCTTCATCCATGTTGCTGCAAAGGACATAATCTTGTTCTTTTTAATGGCCGCAGAGTATTTTATGGTGTATATATACTACATTTTCTTTATCTAGTCTACCACTGATGAGCATTTAGGTTAATTCCATATCTTTGCTATCATGAATAGTGCTGCAAGGAACATATGCATGCATGTGTCCTTATGGTAGAACAATTTATATTCCTTTGGGCCTGTAACCAATAATGGAATTGCTGGGTCAAATTGTAATTCTGTTTTTATTCTTTGAGGAAACGCCACACTGCTTTCCACAATGGTTGAACTAATTTACATTCCCACCATCAGTGTATGAACATTCCCTTTTCTCTGCAACCTCGCCACCATCTGCTATTTTTTTATTTTTTTAATAGTAGCCATACTGACTGGTATGAGATGCTATCTCATTTTGGTTTTGATTTGAATTTCTCTTCTCTAATGATTAGTGATGTTGAACATTTTTTCATATGCTTATTGGCTGGATGTATCTTCTTTTGAGAAGTGTCTGTGTGTGTCCTTTGTGTACTTTTTAATGGGATTGTTTGGTTTTTGCTTGTAAATTTGTTTAAGAAGTTCCTTATAGACACTGGTTTGGTTTTATTGCAATTGCTTTTGGCGTCTTCGTCAGGAAATATTTGCAAATTCCTATGTCCAGAATGGTATCGCCTAAGTTATCTTCCAGGGTTTTTATACTTATAGATTTTACATTTAGGTCTTTAATCCATCTTGAGTTAATTTTCGTTTATGGTGAAAGAAGGGGCCCAATTTCAATCTTCTGCATATAGCTAGCCAGTTATCCTAGGTCCAGTTAGGGAATAGGGAGTCCTTTCCCCAATGCTTTTATCAGCTTTGTTGAAAATTAGATGGCTGAAGGTGTGCAGCATTATTTCTGGGCTCTCTATTCTGTTCCATTAGTCTATACGTCTGTTTTTGTACCAGTACAATGCCGTTTTGATGACTGTAGCCCTGCAGTATAGCTTGAAGTTGGGTAACATGATGCATCCAGCTTTATTCTTTTTGCTTAGGATGGCCTTGGCTATTCAGGATCATTTTTGGTTTATCTGAATTTTATACTAGATTTTTCCAATTCTGTGAAGAATACTACTGGTAGTTTAATAGGAATAGCATTGAGTCTACAAATTGCTTTAGGCAGTATGGCCATTTTAATGATATTGATTATTCCTATCCATAAGTATGGAATTTGCTTCCATTTTCTTGTGTCATCTCTGATTCCTTTTAGCAGTGTTTTGTAATTCTCATTGTAGAGATCTTTCACCTCCCTGGTTAGTTGTATTCCTAGGTATTTTATTCTTTTTGTGGCAGCTGTGAATGGGATTGATTTCCTGATTTGGCTCTTGGCTTGGATGTTGTTGGTGTGGGAATACTGATTTTTGTATGTTGATTTTGTATCCTGAAACTTTGCTGAAGTTGCTTATCAGCTCAAGGAGCTTTTGGGCAGAGACTATGGGGTTTACTAGGCATTGATGGCACATATTTCAATAATAAGAGCCATCTCTGACCAACCCACAGTCAACAACATACTGAATGGACAAAAGCTGGAAGCACTTCCCTGAAAACCAGCAGAAGACAAGAATGCCCTCTCTCCCAACTCCTATTCAACACAGTATTGGAAGTCTTGGCCAGAGCTATCAGGCAAGAGAAAGAAATAAAAGATATCCAAATAGGAAGAGGAAGTCATACTGTCCCTGTTTGCAGATGACATAATTCTGAAAACCCCATAGTCTATCTAGAAAACACCATAGTCTCTGCTTCCCCCTTCCCCAACTGAAATGTCTCATTGCATTGATTTAGTGAAGGGAAATTCTACTCCATGAATCAATGAAATGTGCTTAACACAATTTATTCTAATTTATTCTTCACTTTGTGTCATGAAGATCGTAAAGTTCATAGTGAATGCACCATGTTTGTCAGTGACCCATCAGGAAAAGCTCCTAAGAATGGTCAGCATAAACCTCAATGGTGATCTTGTAAAGCAGACCAGTGGGAGCTAGGCAGGGGACCAGTATGGGAGACAGAAACTGAAGTTAGGACCAGCTATGCGGACCAAGTAGTGCTTCTCCTATGGAAACAGAAACTGAGACCAGCAATGGGGACAGAGCGGTGCTGCTTCCATGGAGTAGAGGCTGTCAACCTACATTTATAATACAAGGGAATATGTTGACCTACATCTGATTCTGATTACATCCTAAATTCCCAGAAGGAATCTAACCCAAAAGATTGGGAAGGGGCACAGTTTTCATTTGCATCATCATCTATTCCTTAAAACTCTCCTTGGTTCAGGTCCTTGCCACCTCTCTCCTTAAATACTATGACTCTCCTTGGCTCTCCTTAACTAGTACTACTTCTGGCTCCCACTAAATCCATTCTTCATACAGCTGCTAGATTGCACAATCTAAAACACCACTCTGACCTTTCATAGCTTCTTGATGGCACTGGATGAAGTATACTATCTTTAGTGATTGGACTCCTTGCCTATTGTCCAGGCATATGTCCCACCACACCTGACCTCACAAATCAGGTGTCATGCATTATGACCCAGTGAACCCTGAGCACACCTTTCTATCACCCTCTATTGTAAACTTCTGTTCTATAGTGAGCTCCTTAAGAACAGAAATCATGACTGACTTAGTAATCTTTTATTCTTAGCACCTAGCAGGTGCTCAATAAAAAATTGTTGAACAGAACTGATGTGAGGTGAGAGAAGCAATAAATGACATCAAACTCCAACAGGCAGGACAAGCAGGGAGGATATATGAAAGACGGTGGGCTTGTAGGCTTCTTTCACATATCAACTGGGAGGTGACTCAGGAAGATCTAGGCAGACACACTGAATCCCCAAGCTGGGGGAAGATTCGGAATCTGTTGCCCTAAAATATAGCTAAACACCAAGTGTTTGTTACACCTCTGGGTGCTTTGGCCCGTAAGCATAGCATGACAAAATCTATTTCAAACTGCACGATTTTGAGGAGCCCTTGGTTCCCAAACAGGTGACTGACTGGCTAATGCTGATAATGAGGCCAGGGCAAGGGCAAAGGTGTTTGACAGAGATGAGGTTGCTAAGGTGATATGAGCTAATGTGAATGTTCTAGAAACATATTGGTGAGAAAATAAACAGAAATAAAAAGGTAACACAGTTTGAAGTTGGGTAAAAATTTTCAAGAACAGCATTTTCATGGTGCTTCCTTCCCCCAAGTGTGGCAGATGCAAGCATTCAATACACTGAGAAGTCAGGAATGAAATTTAGTTAGAGGTAGACTGTAAAATAATCCCAAGAGGAAAAGCTTTTTACACATTGAAAAGCAACAACTTAACATATCAAAATACGACCAAATATTTCACAGTGAGATGTTCCCCCCAACTTTTCTTCAATAGTAATCAAACTTTCTTTTTTATTTAGAAAACCAAATGTCAATGAACATCATGATCAAGAGAAACTGTGAATACACCTTTGAACAAGTTAATATTATTTAGTAGAATAATTCTAAAAAGCAAGAATGTTAAAAGAAAGAAAACTAAAACTATACACCTGCACAAACAAACTTTCTACTATTTACGTGTGTCAAGTTCAGATGCACTTTCATTCTGGATTTAAAACCATAATGAAGGATTGATTATACACTTAGGTTCATCTGAAAAACTCCCTGAAAGTTTTCAGAGCTACTTAGCAGAAAAGTACAAAGAGATATGGTAATGACTTCTTTGAACAAACAAATATACAGAAAAGAGTGAGTTAATATGAGCTCTCAGGGCGCACCTGGTGGGCTGTGGCTGCTCTGATCCTGTGCCACAGAGAAATGCACTAGGCTTCTCTATATCATCCTTCCAGCCTGGGGATTGCCAACAGTCGTTTTCAATGAGGAAATGGAATGACTCCCCACCATCAGTGTTAAAGCTGTGAACAGAATCCATTCACAGGCTCCTAAGCTACTGGAAAAATGATTTGCTATTGCTCACAGCTGACAGGGACTTGGGAAGGATGTGATTCGAAAGCTGAATTTCTGGTAAACCCAGACTTAGGGCATGATTCTCACTATTACATCAATGTGCTTCACAGTAAAATCAAAGGCTATGGGTTTAAAAATTCTCCTCAATGGTAACGGAAGGAAAATAGTCATAGCTTTTGTAATTTACACTCTGGCTGCTGTTAGTACCTAGCACAGTAATTTCAAAACTTTAGAGGTTATCAAAATTACTCTGGCAGTTTGTTTAAAATGAATACTCCCAGGCGGGGTGCAGTGGCTCACGCCTGTAATCCCAGCACTTTGGGAGGCTGAGGCAGGTGGATCACCAGGTCAGGAGTTCGAGACCAGCCTGGCCAACATGATGAAACCCCGTCTCTACTAAAAATACAAAAATCAGCCGGGCTTGGTGGCGGGCGCCTGTGGTCCCAGCTACTTGGGAGGCTGAGGCATGAGAATCGCTTGAACCTGGGAGGTGGAGGTTGCAGTGAGCCAAGATTGCACCATTGCACTCCAGCCTAGGGGACAAAAGCCAGACTCTGTCTCAAAATAATAAAATAAAATAAAATAAAATAAAATAAAATAAAATAAAATAAAATAAAATAAAATAAAAATAAAATAAAATAAAATAAAATAAAATGAATACTCCCAAGCCATATTCCCAGATATTCCAATTCAGAAGACTTGGGATTAGCCCAGGAGTTTGCATTTTTAATTAGCAACTTGGCTATGTCTGATGCAAGGCAGATGGCCCACTTTGAGAAAACTTGAGCTAGTGGACACTCATGGTCTCTTCCCTATTCTTCAACAGTGTTCCCAACTGAACATTGATACTATTCTACAAGATGGTGACAGGTGTGATTTTCTTAAAAAGTGTGTTATTTGATCAAATAAATTCAGGAATTACGGTGTTAAAAACTTTTACATGTTTCTTTATCCCTGTTTTTCTCAAATACTTTAAAATGCTAATATACTTTGTGTATCACCAGAAGGGAGATGCAGAACACAATGTAACTTAAATGTTTTGGATAATGGAATCTTCTTCTCTTCTTTTTAAATAGTCTGAGCATACTTTGGGAAGCACTGCTATAGAGAATGTTCATCTAAGAAAATATAACAGCAGAGAACGACTGAGATGTGTAATCTGTAATCTCTGTGGAACTGGTTTAGTAGTAGGGTATATGAAAATACAGTGTTTAGGGAAGACTGGAATAAGATGCCAGGCCACAAACAAATTCTGAATGTAAAAGCCAGGCCATAAATAACTCAGCAATAGGTAGCCCTAATGATGCCTATCAGGGCCTTATTAAATAGTAAAGTCCTTGGTAAATGGTAAGCTTGGAAAAGGGGTGATATTTGGAGAATGAGGATAACATTGGGAGTCAGAAAAACTATTGGTTCCAGAATCACAGAAGGCACTTTGACAAAGATGAAAACATCATGCAAGTACAAAAAATAATGATAGCCGATACATTGGAAGATAGCCAATACATTTTGAGAATTAAGTTTGTTCCTTGCACTATTCTACATATTTCACAAATATTAACTCATTTAGTCCTCGTGAGGTAGATTGTCATCAAGCTCCATTTAATGAATGAGGAGAGAGGATCAGAGTCACTTGCACAAAGTCACCCAACTAGTTAGCAGCAGAGCTGGGATTTGAGCTCTGACTGGCACTTTAAAACTCTGCATTCCCTTATCCCTCTAATTAGAGTCAATAGGTGTGCAGTTGCAGTTAAAGAAGACTATCTGAGAGGAGGGACTTTTTTTTTTTTTTTTAAAGGTAAAGACACGATCAAACTGCCAAGGATTAAATAAGAAGGTAAAAGAAAACATTGTAGGCTGTGATTAGGTAAGATATCAGGAATGTGAACCAGCTCTAGATTTAAGGAAAGTAAACTGATGACATGAATCAAAACTTTATAATTTGTAGTAATAATTTTTAAAAATGTAATATATAAATTATAAAATTTATATATATAAATTATAATTATAGAAAACCTTTAATTGTGTATTTCCTGTGACACTTTTCTCTTCTATAAATCTACCCTAAGGAAATAATCAGAAATGTAGATGAGAAATTATGCATAAAGATGTTTATTCTAAATTTGTATACAATAATAAATTAGGTTGAAATTGAGTATAAACATTAGAAAGTGCATTAACGCTAGACTTAACCCTGGGTTTAATCAAATCCTGATGCGTTCACTTATTAGATGTGTGACCTTTGGCCAGTTTGCTAACTTTGCTAAGCTTCATGCTCTTTCTCTCTAAAATGGAGATTCTCAACAGCAGTACTACTGACATTTTAGACGGATCATTCTTTGTGTGGGGGGCTGTCCTGTGCCTTATAGGGTGTTTAGCAGCATCTCTGGCCTATACCCACTAGATAGTAGCACCCCCAACCCGGCTGTGACAATCAAATATGTCTTTAGACATTGCTAAATTCAAGCTAAAATGTGGATGTTTACCACTCTCAGATGTGATATTTGTATTCTCTTTCCCTTCTTTTTTTGACTTTTTGACTTCAACTTTTATTTTGGATTCAGGGGGTAAACGTGCAGGTTTGTTACATGAGTATATTATGTGATGCTGAGGTTTGGGGTCCAAATGATCCTGTCACCCAGGTACTGAGCATAGTACCCAAAAAGTAATTTTTCAGTCCACGTCCCCTCTTTCCCTCCCCTATCCAGTAGTCCCCAGTGTCTACTGTTGTCTTCTGTATATCCATGTGTACTCAGTGTTTAGCTCCCACTTATAAGTGAGAACATGTGGTATTTGGTTTTCTGTTTCTGTGTTAATTTGATTAGGATGATAGCCTCCAGCTGCATCCATGTTGCTGCAAAGGACATGATGTCACTCTTTTTTATGGCCACATGGTATTCCATGGCATATATGGACAAAGAAAATGTGGTATGCCATTGATAGGCACCTAGGTTGATTCCATATCTTCTTTCTATTTGTGAATAATGCTGCAATGAACATATGAAAGCATGTGTCTTGTATTCTATAAATAATATTATACATTTTATGCTTTTTTATACTTCTATAATTCATCATAATTATAACCCTCTCAGCACTTCACATGAATTGGAAATGTAAAATTTTTAATAGCTTTCATAAGACTTGGCTTCTATCATTGATTTCAGTAATTTTGTCATATTTGAAGAAAATCAAAGTGTAAAAGTTTATGCCTTTATCCCCGAAAAACTCTACCTCTAAATGGGCTGAGCAAATTGATGTGGATAGCTGAATCTTTGGGTTTAGCTTCGACTGTCTTATCTGTATAAAAGTGACTTTAAAAAAATCTTGATTGGCAGACAATTCATTGCATACCCTGGTCAAAAAAGTTTCTGCTTGACAATCCATGAGTCAAGTTATTGGGCCACATGGAAAGGAAAGAATTATGATTTTAAGGTTGGAAAATTAGAAAAGTTTTTCCTGATAAAGACTCAGATTTTAACTGTTCCTTACTGAGTCTATTTTTGTATCTTGTTCTCTTGCTCAAATACAGAAATATTTTACTTTTTTCTGTTTTTGTGGAATTCCAATTTTGAAACAGGCTTTTAGAGGAAGCACATAAAAGTTACCCAAATTTATAAAAATTAGTTTTTTTTTATTTAGTGAAAGACATATGTTCACAAAAAAGTGTGGGTTAAGGCAATTCTTTGTAACATGCACAGTCCTTGACCAAGTAGGCAAGCCCAAGTATGAAAATCTGTTTGGTTATTATCATACTTCCTAAGGCAAACCAGCAAATCAAAGGGCAGGGAATATATTTTTCATATGAAGCAGTTACTGCTGAAACATGGTGGAAAGTGTGGACTGCATGTAGCCAGAGTCTGCAGGCTGAACAGATTCCCCTTCTTCATCCAATCCTAAGTGAATTGGGCTCCATTAATGAAGGACACAGGTCCAAATCTTCATAGGCTGTTTGGGTATAGGAGTATCTTGTATACTTATTTTAAGTGAGATCAGGGTTTATCATTTTTGACACTATTGACACATTTGATGGGATAATTCTTTGTTGTAGAGGATGTCCTGTGCATCATAGGATGTTCAGCGGCACCTCTGGCTTCAACCCACTAAATGCCAGTTGTAACTTCCCATTCTGACAATCAAAAATGTCTTCAGACATTACCAAAAGTTCCCTGGAGAGAAAAATCACCCCTGGTTGAGAATCACTGGTCTATGTGGAAACAATATATAGACAGTCTCCAATTTATGATGGCTCCACTTAAATTTTTTGACTTTAAGATAGTATAAAAGTGGTATCCATTCAGTACACTCTCCTATTTATGATGGGTTTGTTGGGAAGTAACTGCATTATAAGTCAAGGTGAATCTGTGTATTTTTTCGGTTTCTTAATTGGGGGATTAATTGTGGTGACAGAACTATTTCGAAAAGCTGATCCTTTCTTAAGGCTCTATTTTGCTCTTTGATCTTTAGTTAAGATTTTATTTTTGACCTAATCCCTAGAAGTGTCACCAACTCTCTTTAAAGCCCTTGTGATATAAAATGAGAAAATTTATGAGACTAATGGCTAATTACGTCAAAGAAGAAAATTAAAATGTCTCAATCAGAACTTTTCTTCAATTCATAGTCAATAATATTTTATGTTGAAGAATGTGTGTTGTCATTATGCAAAGCTGGTCTTTAATATCCTTTTGTTTCACAATTAGATATCCCTAAATAATATTAGCCTTTTCTATTTTAGGGATAACTCAGTTAGTTGGGATGCAACTGAATATATTTTCTGAACCCTTATTTAAATATTATTGTTTTCTTTTTACAACTTTGTTTACTAGATTCTGCATATTCCAATAATTTAAAAAATTCCTTTTTACCTCTGGATTAAGATAATATGCATCAAGTTGAGGCATGATAAACAAAATGAAAATGCTTTAGAAACAACTACAGTTTTAAGTTAAAATGTGCTAGTTCTCTTTGCTTATAGTTTCTTTAAAAAATAGGGTCCTAAATAAGTGACTTATTTTGGGTTTTGTTCTGGGATATTTGTCTGCCTGCTCCATCTATTCAGATTGCTTAATTTTAATATGCAGGTGTACGGCTTCGATGCAATTATACTCATTACTAACTGGGTCTAGGCATATGCTCACCTGGTCTTCTAGCTTCCTACAAGTGCCTTATACTCACTTGTTCAGTCTACTTAAATGTTACTGCTCCCCGCCACCACCTTCCCACAAACACTTTTAGTGTAACAGTTTTGTCTTAACTTATTAGATTTCAAGTTAATAATACATGAACGCATTAACAAATGAATGTCTAAAAAATTCACAAGAATCCCTAATTCTTCAAACCCATTTTTATGCTTGTTTATATGCTCATATAAATACAGAAGCACTTGTACACACCACACATACACACACTCTCCTGTTCTTCTTCAGTCTATTTTGCTGGTTTCTCCTCTTCTAATATATTTTTAAAGGATAGATATTTTGTCCTCAGCTCTCTATTTTTGGTTTCTGCACTTTCTTCCTAGGTGCCAAGATTTTAAATACGTAACAACTTCTAAATCTCTGTCTGCAAACATCTTCCCTGAACTCTAGATTTACATATGTAACTGCCTAGAAGATGTCGCCATTTGGATAGTGAGAGTCATCCAAATATCTGGTTCTCCTTCAAGGCACTTAGCAGGATTGTACTTCCTGTCCATTTGAATTTAGGTGTAACCATGTGGCTTGCCTTAGACAATGAAAGGAGTGTGGAAATAACATGTTACTTTCAGTGTGAAGCATTAATAGCCAGTGTGTGATTCTCTACTCATTCATTTTGTCTGCCATAGTGATAGGCAATAATCCTACTGGCCTGGGTCCTGCAGTGAGAATAACAAAGAGAAAAGCCCCAGCTGGCCGGGCATGGTGGCTCATGCCTATAATCCTAGCACTTTGGGAGGCTAAGGTGGGCGATTGCCTGAGCTCAGGAGTTCGAGACCAGCCTGGAGAACAGAGTGAAACCCCATCTGTACTAAAATACAAAACATTAGCCGGATGTGGCAGCATGCACCTGTAGTCCCAGCTACTCAGGATGCTGGGGCAGGAGAATTGCTTTACCTCAGAAGGCAGAGGTTGCAGTGAGCTGAAATCACACTTCTGCACTCCAGCCTCAGTGACAGAGTGAGACTCCATCTCCAGAAAAAAGTAAAAAAAGAGGAGCCCCAGCCAACTTGATGATGAATGTTCAGATGAATATGCAGCTTGAGCAAGAAATAAATCTTGTAGTTTGAAGCTACTGAGATTTGAGGAGTTGTTTGTTACAGCATTGTAACTTACTCTATCCTGACTAGAAACTCATGTGTACTAGGCATCTCAAACTTTAGCATGGTTAAAACTAAATGTTCCATTCCACTTTCTCCTTTCCTTACATTATTAAATGGCACTAACATGTACCCATTGTCTAAGACCCAATAAGCTTTTTTTTTGATTTTGCCCTTTCTCTCATTTTTTCATATCAAATCCATCAGTAATTCAAAAGATTGGCTCTACAAAATATACCCTGAATCCAACTGCTTCTCACTATTTCTACTGCTGTGACCCTAACCCAAGCCATCATCATCTCTCCCCTGAACTGACACAGCAGCCTTCTGACTTTCCACCTAAACACCACTTCCCTGTTTTTTCTTTCCTTATTAATTTGTAAGAACTCATCAAACTTTGACAGTAGTAAAATAGTAACTTTTTTCTGTCATATGTATTCAAAATGTTCTCTTCAATTTTAATTTCTTTCTAAACTCTGTTTATTCTTTAGAGTCAGATTAAGTCACTGGCTTTTACTGCCATCAGCCTTAATCTGTTTGTGCTTAAATATACTACATAGGAACCAGACACTTTATACCTCTAAGCCTTTCTGCTCTTGTTTCACTGGAGGTGTCTGGTGGGGTGCCTAGCAAACGTATATTAAGTGCTGCTCATGGCTGAAATCAAAAGAAATAATTGTTTTTCCTAAAGGGAGCATTTCTTAGTGGGACTCTAATTCTGATCTTGGTATTTCAATTGTCATCATGCTTTTTCAACATTAAGAGTATACATTTAATTATATAAATAAATGGGTTCAAGGCAAATGAGTTGACTTTTACATTTAAATTTTACATAATTATTCTGCTAGCCTAATATTATATGTTATCTTTAAACCTCAATGAGATTTTTAAAACAGCAGAAAAATCAAGAGCCAGAAATTAGGTCATGAAATGGCTCACTGATAATCCTTAGACAGTATACATTATTTGTATATTACACACAACACAGTCATAGTAGTCAACAGCGCTGACAGGTAGGAAACTGGAATTTAAGGAAGAACGATTGGTCCAGGAAGATGGGGAGGCTTCATCTCATGGAATTTGAGCATTTGAAACAAAGACACTATTGAAAGCAATAGGCAATGAATGAGGGAATGTGAGCATTTGGAGACTCCTAATATAGTCCTTCAACAATATGCAATTCAGTGAGGAAAATAACATATTTGCACAGGCAGAGTAAACGGAAAAGAGGTAACAAAATCTGTATAATCACAACAAAAATAATCATAATAAACATGATTACATAATTATGTCAAGCTTGTAGGGTCTCAGATGCTTAGTTTCCACTTTAAAGTTAATTTCCACATGTATCTTTGACATTCATATAAAAGTTAATCTATTTTCTTGTAAAGTTTAATCTATTTCTTTTATGGTACATATTTCTCCTCCTAGATATTCTGTTTTCACCATTTTATACTTTTCTTTCTTTCTCACCATCCTCTATTTAAGTATCTTCCTCTTCATTTTTTTGTGTATTTCAAAACCTTTTTTTGAAAGTTACACAAAGGATGGTTATCACATAAAAATGAGAAAACAACACAGGACCACAAATTAATATTGCTCATGCTGTTAAAATTTTGGTGTAAATTCTGTACCAGAATTTCTTTATTTTTAAAATTTCAACTTTATTTTAGATACATGGGGTACATATGCAGGTTTGTTACATGGGTATTTTGTACCCTGGTAGTGAGCATAGTACACAATAGGTAGTTTCTATGTGCAAACATATATGTATATATCTCATCCTATGTAAAATTTTTTAAGTAAAATGGAATTATGCTACCTATGGCATGCACAATGTTTTGTTAATTTATCATGAAAATTTCTATATATATATCTTTATATTTTTAAAGATAAAAATGCTTTGCTTCATAGCATTTTGTTGAATCAATATACCATACTCTATTCAACCAATTTTCTATGATGGATATTGATGCTGTTTTAAAACATTGGTAATTATGAACAATGTTTCAAAATCATCTTTGAACAAATTTCTTTGCACAATTATGGAATCATTTGATAAAAATAAACTTTGAAGAGTGGAATTGCTGAGCCATAAGGTTTGCGCCTAACCAAGGCATTTAATGCAGAGTCTCAAGCTGGCCTCCAGGGAGGCTACATGCAGAGTCGGCAACATGTGTGGTACACAAGGAGGACGGCTTCCTCGTTACCACCTATCACACGACCTTCTTTCTCATATCTCCTAATCTGAAAGCCCAATCATGATGTCTGGCTGGCTGTTTTAATTTACACTTCTTGGTTCCTAGTGAAATTGAAACTTTTTGTCATATATTAATTAGTCCTTTTGCAGGGGCTAGGAGGGCTTCTAAATGCTCTATTGATTTGGCCCCCTTCCTTTTTTCCTAGTAGGTAGTGTTCTTTGCTTTGTTTTGCTTTTTTTGTTTTAGCTTTTTTAATAAACTGAATAGGGATAATTCTATTTTGAGAATATTTAATCCTTTGTCATATATGCTTCAGGTATTTTACTTGTTTGTCTTTTGCCTTTTAACTCTACTGTCTCATACGAAAGCTTTAAATTTGTATGTAGTTTAAGCTTTCTTGTTTTTCTTTTGCTATTTTCTAATTCATTAATTTTTACTTAATGAATTTCTTTCTTTCATCAGGTTGCAGTTGCTCTCTTTCCAATCTCCTAATTTTATTGACTTCCATTAAACAAATAATTCATTTTCAAATTAATTTTTCTCTTTGTATAGTATTGGTTGTAGCCTGTATAGTGTTTTCACTATTATTATATTCCAAATAGTCTGTAAGTTAAATACTAATTTCCATTGGATCTATTTTGGAATGTATTTTTTCACTTGTAAATAGATAGGTTTTTACATTTAAATTTTTCTATACAGCTCTAGTTTTCTGTATTTTACCAGACATTCAATATTCATATATCCTTTAAATATGCACATATATATCTTTTGAATCTCACTTATTTTTTATACCATTCACATCCTTTTTTATCTTGGTTTTTGCTCAGTTGATCTGCCAAAGATAGACAGAAGGCTTTAAAACCCTCCCTACTGCAATGATTCTGAATGATTTTACCATACAGTACCATAACCACATTAACATTAAAAACAAAAAAAAACACAAATTCTTAATTTTTAATAGAAATACTCTGTAAGGGTTTAAATTTCAAAACAATGCTTATCACAAGGTAACTTTTAAAATCAGCCAGGCATGATGGGTCACACCTGTAATCCCAGGACTTTGGGAGGCTGAGGCAGGAGGATTGCTTGAGCCCAGGAGTCCAAGACCAGCCTGGGAAACTTAGCGAGACCCTGTCTCTAAAAGTAAATAAATAAATAAATGAATAAACTCATACTTCATGATAAAATGTTTTCTTTTTGTTTAACTTTTATTTTAGGCTCAGGGGGTAGATATGCAGGTTTGTTATATAGGTTAATTGCATGACACAGGGTTTGGTGTGCAGATTATTTCATCACCCAGGTAATAACCATAGTACCTGATAGGAAATTTTTTGATCCTCGCCCTCCTCTCACACTCCACTCTCAAGTAGGCCCCGGTGTCTCTTGCTCCCTTCTTTGTGTCCATGTGATCTTAATGTTCAGCTCCCACTTACAAGTGAGAACCTGTGGTATTTGGTATTTGGTATTTGGTTTTCTGTTACTGCATTAATTCACTTAGAATAACGGCCTCCAGCTCCATCCATGTTGCTGTGAAGGACATGATCTCATTCTTTTTTATGGCTGCATAGTATTCCATGGTGTATATGTGCCACATTTTCATTATCCAGATATTATGCTTTCAAAACAGGCATGAACGACTCTTGTTTTGGAGCAGTGTTAAACCAGTTCCATTAAAAATATCATGAAGCATGCAGAAAGGAGATGTCTACAATATTGGGATGTGTACATTACAATATGTGAGAGCAAATATGTTGAAACAGCTATGAAGTCCTAAACATTATTTCCTATTAACTAGAGAGGTCACTTCATTTTCGACCCAACAGAGAAAATAAAAATATATAAACAAGCCCTAATGACCCTTAAGAAATCCCTGTATTATAATCTACTATAAGCTTTCTAAGCAGCAGCAGATCAATTCTTGCTTCTCTATAGAGTCTATTTAGCATGATCAATAAATTTGGGAACATAATATAGATTCCAATTTGCTTCTAGAAGTTTTCTACCCTCAATTAAACTGTTCCTTCTCCCAACAGTTTACTATTAAAGTGAGGGGATTCAAAAATAAGGCTTTAACAATGCTCTTTTAAGGCTGATTTGCCAAAAACAGAAGCAAAGGTTTACTGGTGATGCAATGATTGACAGACAATTTTTTTTTATATTCACATGGAACTAAAATAACACTTTGAGGCTAGGGAATTTTCATCCTTTCTTTTAACTCTAATGATGTCCTTATTGGGTTATGCATAAATTTAGTCAACCAGGTGGTGGGGGACGGTGTTCCTTAGACCCCAGGGCATGTATTGGCTTAAGTTTTCTAAGAAAATCAGGGAAAGCACACACATTATTGAAATAAAATAATTGAGCTGACCATACCTAAATTGCTTAGAGTGTTCTGACTTTTGGTCATGCATTTAATATTATACAAAGAAAATGTACATTATGACACTGTACTCTCTGCTCCTTTCATTCACCATGATTATAACACGCATCATCAGAAAGACATTTTCACATTGTGAGGATGAGTTTTCAGTGGCTATCTACTTTCTCTCACATACGACCAAGGACAATAATTTAGGAGTTGAGGGCTTGGTGTAAAGAGGCATAACTAATTAATATGGATTTAATATCTTTGCTCTTCAATATATATACTTTGGTGCCATTTGACTTGGTAAATTTTATCTTTGCAAATGAGTGCTAGAATCCAATGGATCACCAAAATAATCACTCCCAGTGATAACCACTTTTCCCACGAATGAAGGCTGACCTTGTCCACTGGCCTTGCTGAACGTGTTAGGAAATCACTAGACAAAGTGTTTCTTAAATGTTGTAAAAACAGTTATTCATCTAATTTTCCTTTCATTCTTCTTTTCTTAAATATCAAGGCCCTCCAATATGTATAAAATTTTTGCTTTTAACCTAACTAGAATTTAATTAGCAATTTTAAAATTCTGTTTTAGCATGTTTCTGTTCTATTTCTCCTTTAAAATGATCCTTCTCTCTAAGCAATACAGTCAGCCTTAAATTCTGTGGGGGAAAATATAAGAGTCCTTTAGTTTAACAATACTGAAGTTAAGTGATTATAAATTTCTTTTTTAAAAGCAACAAAGGATTCACAAGGCACGAGCTTACATGTGGCTTTTCCTTGTAACCTAAAACTTTTTGAAGCATTGATTTCTGAATCTAGGATTCATTTTAGTTTTCATTTGTGTATCTATACCAACATCGTTAAAAACTTTTAGGGCTTTTGATATATTTATATTCCTTACATGTTAAGATTTTCTCTACCTTTAACTTGCCTAATTTAATATCAAAAATATTTAACTGAAACGTCAAGTATTTAATAAAAAATTAAATTAAAAGTCTATGAAATTTCTAAAATTGTCCACCAAGAGAAGCCATCACATTCAAAAAGGAAATCAAATGGCTTGTGTCTAAGACACAACATGGAGGTTAATTTTTTACCTAAGGCCTCCATTCTGAAAATAACATTCTGATTTACATTTGTACTCAAGAAACAAGTTTAAAAAACAAAATAACCTCCCTGTTTCTGTACATATTTGTTCACATTCCCAGAACTGACTCAGGGTGTCCTGGATTCTGGTCTTTCTAATGAAGACATTGACTTGGAATCTGTGGTCCAGGGAAACCCATCTTAGGAGGAGATAGACTCTACCCTGAGCAATTTAGGAAATCACTATGCCAACACGAAAACATTTTCAAAGGGAAAAATAAGTAACAGGCCTGGAAGGAAAATTTTTCCTGAGCAACTGTGATCTCCTCACAAAAGGAAAATGTGCTTTTCAAGGAGAAATAACAACATACATATGATTGTGCAGGAAGAATGTGAACCTTGATGTTTTGTTCCGTCATGCATTCATAATGTGAATCTAAATGCACATCTATTGTAGAAGTTAGTTTTCTTGGAGTTTAGAGGATTAGCTCCCAAACTTTAAATATAGTCTAAAGATGGATGAAGCAGATCAATTTGGCTGTCTTTGAGAAAACAAATAGCAGGATTGTTCCATATACCCCAGGTTATATGTATATGTGCACATGTGTGTGCACTACTCTTAATGTATGTGGAAAGATGAATCTGTCCTGCTCATCTAAGGAAACATTAATTTGGGCAGACTTCATTTGCTCTAGAGTCTGGTTAATAGCATATATAATAAAATGCCATGCACTAGATAAACAATAAGCCTTTGCAAGTCTAAAATGAGTCACACTTTACAGCTGGCTCACGTATATGGCAGGCAACAATTCAGGTATGTTGCCTTGGGGACAACTCAGAACAAGCATTCCAGCATGGGAGGAAAAAAGGAATCTCATATTCTCCTTTTGAAGAATCCAGATCTATACTCCGGAGACAGCACAGCTTGTATTCCAGTATTTTCCATTTATACTGAAATTCTAAGCTACAGGAAAATAACATGCAGATGTGCTGTTTGTGATTTGAGGAGGCTTTTTTTTTATGCCAGAGTCTATGGTCAGTATAATGATCATATTTAAAAAGTATAAGCATTATATTTTCCACAAACTATCACTTATTCATAACAAACAATTAAAAATAAGGCATGGGGCAATAAATACTAGCACCTCCAAAGTGCTCACTCCTTAATTCGAAATCAAAACAGTAAGTACTTGCATCTTTGATACTCTTCAACTAACACTCGCCCTCTAAGGAGCACCCAAAGCTGTCCTCATAGCACATGCGCAAGCGTTCAGATACAGTTGGTGACCGAGGGCAGCTGGAGACCCTGAAGAGCCTTCTGCATCATCCTAGGGAAACCCTTAATGAGCCGTAATTTTAAATTTTTGAATTTTCTCATTGTATTTAGTGACTTGAAAATCAGTAAAATGTATTAAACTGAATATTTTTTGGATCCAGAAGAACTTAATCAAATATGACACAACAAATGGATGGCTTCTGGTAAGGAGAAGTGGGTTTCTTCTTGGTGTGTGTGTGGGGAGTGAATTTTACAAATGTTCTTAACTCATCGGTGAATCCACTAGTGAAAGAGACAAATCCTAAATGCTTCTTGAGTGGTCTGAGAGTTAGCACCTCCCCCAAAATGTCAGCAGCTGGCTCCCTGGTCTTCAGCATGCACAGGCTCCCTGTTAGCACACTCACAATTAGTCCAGGGTACTTTTTAAAGTTTTGTTTTGTTTTGTTTTGCTTGCAAATAAGAAATGCAGTACAAGAAATTTCATACAGAGACTCAGTGCAATGCAAGTGACCAGGATTCGACATACGTACTATTCAATAATTGAAGTATATTTTATGGTATAAGAACTAAAAATATTGGTTTTTATATTTTTTCCAAATGTCTTTTCAAAGAGTGGTGGAATTAGTTATAAATATTAGCCATTACTTTGTGGAAGAAATCTTTAATCAATTTCAAAAGTTACCTGCTGTTTTTAAAAATCATACTATAAGTCGACTGAGTTCACCTCTTTACTCCTTCACAAATGCCTGTCTTGTGCTTTTCTGGTAATACTTTATTATATATTATTACTTGGGTTATAAGCAGTTATATCAAGATATAAATTTATAAAGTGACACATTTTCAATACCAACCATGTATGTCAACTTATTCCATAATAGCACATTCCATCAGATTAAACTGCAAAAGATTTCCCACATTTGTTTTACATTCTATATGTATGGCTTATGAACAGAAATTTTGACGAATTCCAGCTGGTTTGAATATGCCGGCCAACTCTTATATAACAGATTCTTTTCAATTCTTATTGTATTCAATGAGGCCCGTTTTAAGTGGGCCACCTGGTAGGGTGAAGCACTAATGTATCTCCATAGAAAAAATAAGAAAACAAATCGCCCAACTAAACGTAAGACCATCTTCTCAAACTACATTACTATTACATTTCTAATATAAGTGAGAAATAGTTCTAATCTTTTGGAAAAGTTGAATTAAAATTTAAACAAACTAGCAACCCCATGAACTATTAAATTGCTCATTGATCTATTATAACAACAACATTAAAATAATTTCCACCATTCCTGTGTGTTGCCTGGTTTCACAAAGCTATCATACACATTTTGGCCACCCCCTGCATTCCCCACACCCTTCTGCTTCCATCCAGCTGGAAGACATCAAGGGCACAGAAGCCAAGTGAAATGTTGACCCCACCCTCCTCCATCCATTTTAAGGCACCTTCAAAGCCAGAACACTGATCTAGTTCAGTTTCGTCAACAAAGCCAGCCATACTGCTATTTAAGACTCCAGTTTGGGGTTTTTGTAACTGCACATTAACATAAGAGGTTTGATTTTTAGTCAAAAACTTCAGCTGCACTGAATTCCATCCTATTGCTGTACCCCTTCTGCAGAAGGGTCCTCATTATTAAATCTTCAAAATCTTTTCTTTTAGTGTGGGAGCTCTTTCCTTATAATGTCAACCTCTCTGAACTAGCCATTAGACCCTGAAGGATAGAATGTTTCCCTTCCCAAAAGTCAAAACGGAACAGCCATTATGGTAGTGCAAATGCACATTTTCCCCCAAATTTGCACACCCCATATAATTCGTGCACTGTAACAGATGACAGTCATTCCAGCATGCACAGGAACACTCTTGTCAAGACATGCAGGAGCGGAGCAGGGGCTGGGGGGACAGAAGAGCTGCAAGAGGACAAATAACTTACTTTGTTGTTCCCCTATGCATGTAGCCGCAAGGAAAAGAAAGAGAAATATGTTAAACAGAAATTTATTTTAAAATTATGAGGGTTTTTTCTTCTACTTTCTCTGGATATTAAAAAAAATAAAATGAGGTTTTTCTTGCTAGAGTGAAATCAAAACAAATGATTTAACTATTCACTGACATCTCATACATACACATACAGCATCCAGAGCTCATGGACAAGTCAAAGAATCCACATAGGTTACATGAAATCATACATTTATAACAGCAGAAACTTAGAACAGTTGCCCCCTTTCTTTCTATTTGGAATACCTGGGGTATGGGAACGTGGCCAGAAAGAATTGGTTTGAATCAGTAATAAGTGAACTGTTAGCGTGAAAGGCAGAGCATTTTGTGTGCCGGCTTGCCCTTTCCTGACAGCTCCTCCTCCAACATGCCAAGCAGTGGAAAATTTCATCAGCCAGTGCATTTTTAAACAAACACTGCATCCTTGGTTTCAAAGAAGGTGGAAAAAAAAAAAAAGAAGGAAAAGAGAGCAGAGGAAAGGAGTGGGTGGTTCTAGGGAGACAGGGTAAGCAGACCAAGTTACGACCTCCATCTGGACCATTCCTTTATTTTGTAAATTATGAGTTTTGCCTTAGGTTGGCATGGGAAGCAAGGACTGTATAGTGGGGATGCTGCCAAAACAAACATGAGTCCACACTCAAGAAATGGGTCTGGAAAGGTTAGTCACAAAAATGTAGTCATTTCTAAAAGCGACACTCTGGGTAAAGACACAGAACCGCCAGCAGCAGGCGGCAGGGCAAATGGCTCTCCTGTTTCAACCCTGAGCTGCAAGAGTATGATTTATATCAAACAATTTAACTCACATATGGCCTAAAAAAATAAGACGGTGATTCATTACTCCCGGGGCAGCCCAAGTCCTCACAAGGTCAGATCCTGTGGGGGAGACGTGATGGGATATGGGCCGGGAACAGATCTGAACTCTTCTCACAAGGGGCCCAGAAGGAATTTCTCGCTGAGACACAGGGTGGAAGAGAGCTGTGAGTAAAGTGTGTGCATCTGTGGAGACCTAGAACAGGGCGGAGTCACAGGTCTGGCTGTAGATTTGGCATTTAGTTTTAAGTTGAGGATGTGAAGGGGGAAATAATATATACAGATATTTTCTGGAGAGCGGAAAGGTAATGATCCCAGGAGAGTGTGTTTTCTGGAAAACAATGCCAATTCGTGACTCTAGGGAAATGCCTAATCCAGGGACCATCATATTTAATAAAGAAAACATAAATTTAAAGACACTGATAAAATAGTGAAGAGAAGTTTCTTGGCATTGTGAGTTGCCGTGATATAACCGTTAACACCCTGGCTTATCTGAGACATAAATAATGGCATAAGAACGAATGAAGGGAAAAAAAGAGTCCTTTTTAAAAATGATGCCAACTGTTCAATAAGGCAATAAAGATCCCCACTGGGAATTTTACCGGGAATAAAAGTCTTATTTTAGAGAATAATGGGACCCTGGTTCTCCCAAGTAGTGCAATATTGCTGAAAATACTTCAAACAGATGGAGTTTATTGCATTCCACAGCAGTGCAGCTTTTGATCTACCAAATAAGTTTCAGGAGTTCAACCAAGTATTTTTGCACATTAGGGAATGACTGGCTTCCCCACTCGATGGCAGATGGTTCTGTTTGTAGTGGCAACAATGATGTCACAGGGTAGGAGGCCTTAATCCTTAAATACAAGAAACACACAAGCGGAGGACGTGGTGTGGCTTGGCCATTTCTTGTTTCATTCAATCATTTCCCAACTGTCTATTCTGAGAGAGGCGTAACAGTCATGAATGGTGAAATGTAAATGCTTTATAATTCCCTTCACTACTCTGTGTGGCAGCAATTTATGTTTAGATCCCTGAAAGCACTTCATTGAAGAAAAACTAAGACTCTTCAGAATTGGCCATGTAGCTCTTCTAAGTTTTGCTGAAAATGCTAAGAACAAAGTTATGTGTTGGGGGCTAAGTACCAAGCATTTTAAGTCTTGTATTATTAGACTGCTGAAAAAATGCATATGAGGGGTCATCAGCACTTTAATAAATATGTATGCAGGTCTGTGGCTATTCCTCTTCTTCTCCTACAATAACGCAGAGACTTTTTCTCCTGTTATTTGACACAGAGAAAAATTCACTTTCAGAGTTTGTCCAAGAGGAATTTCTGAAGTTTCAAAAGGACTTCATTGTAAAGTGGTTTCAATCTGCAAAGCCGACCTAAAAACATCAGTTATGACTGGGACAGTCCTGAATTCAGAAGGAATAGTGAAGTTCCAGGGTGATTCACTTCCTGCCATCATTTTTAATCTCTTAAGAAAAATACACGATAGGGGAAGACCACTTATATATACAGCTAATAAAACCTCTTTAAAAACTCTGAGGTGTCAGACTTAGTAAATATGCAAAACTGGATTTGCACCAAATTTCTTTCCAGGACATTGTTTCAGACTTCCTACCAGTAGGCGCGCATCTGAGAGCAGGCTTGTGAATTCTCAGCTCCCGACAGCCTTTCTGCTCACTCCTGACTAACCGATGGAGGCTGGCCTATCCCCCCAGAGTGCATCAGATCTCCCTTTAAATAACTCGGCTTGCTTAGCCAATAGATGGGAAATTCTCCTTCACACACCCAAATCCCACTGATAGTTTCCTAAGAGAAGGGAAGTAATACTTAATTGGGAATTACAGCTTCATGGACACAATGATTTTAAATAATAAAAATATTATTGTTCAACTCCCTCTTATGAGTAAGAACATACAGTGTTTGGTTTTCTGTTGTTGTGTTAGTTTGCTGAGAATGAAGGTTTCCAGCTTCATCCATGTCCCTGCAAACGACATGAACTCATCCTTTTTTATGGCTGCAAAGTATTCCATGGTGTATATGTGCCACATTTTCTTTTTTTTTTTTCTTTTTTTTATTATTATTATACTTTAAGATTTAGGGTACCTGTGCACAATGTTCAGGTTAGTTACATATGTATACATGTGCCATGCTGGTGTGCTGCACCCATTAACTCGTCATTTAGCATTAGCTATATCTCCTAATGCTATCCCTCCCCCATCCCCCCACCCCACAACAGTCCCCAGAGTGTGATGTTCCCCTTCCTGTGTCCATGTGTTCTCATTGTTCAATTCCCATCTATGAGTGAGAACATGTGGTGTTTCGGTTTTTGTCCTTGCGATAGTTTACTGAGAATGGTGATTTCCAATTTCATCCATGTCCCTACAAAGGACATGAACTCATCATTTTTTATGGCTGCGTAGTATTCCATGGTGTATATGTGCCACATTTTCTTAATCCAGTCTATCATTGTTGGACATTTGGCTTGGTTCCAAGTCTTTGCTATTGTGAGTAGTGCTGCAATAAACATATGTGTGCATGTGTCTTTATAGCAGCATGATTTATACTCCTTTGGGTATATACCCAGTAATGGGATGGCTGGGTCAAATGGTATTTCTAGTTCTAGATCCCTGAGGAATCACCACACTGACTTCCACAATGGTTGAACTAGTTTACAGTCCCACCAACAGTGTAAAAGTGTTCCTATTTCTCCACATGCTCTCCAGCATCTGTTGTTTCCTGACTTTTTAATGATTGCCATTCTAACTGGTGTGAGATGGTATCTCATTGTGGTTTTGATTTGCATTTCTCTGATGGCCAGTGATGATGAGCATTTTTTCATGTGTCTTTTGGCTGCATAAATGTCTTCTTTTCAGAAGTGTCTGTTCATATCCTTTGCCCACTTTTTGATGAGGTTGTTTGTTTTTTTCTTGTAAATTTGTTTGAGTTCATTGTAGATTCTGGATATTAGCCCTTTGTCAGATGAGAAGGTTGCAAAAATTTTCTCCCATTTTGCCTGTTCACTCTGATGGTAGTTTCTTTTGCTGTGCAGAAACTCTTTAGTTTAATTAGATCTCATTTGTCAATTTTGGCTTTTGTTGCCATTGCTTTTGGTGTTTTAGACATGAAGTCCTTGCCCATGCCTATGTCCTGAATGGTAATGCCTAGGTTTTCTTCTAGGGTTTTTATGGTTTTAGGTCTAACATTTAAGTCTTTAATCCATCTTGAATTAATTTTTGTATAAGGTGTAAGGAAGGGATCCAGTTTCAGCTTTCTACATATGGCTAGCCAGTTTTCCCAGCACCATTTATTAAATAGGGAAACCTTTCCTCATTGCTTGTTTTTCTCAGGTTTGTCAAAGATCAGATAGTTGTAGATATGCGGCGTTATTTCTGAGGGCTCTGTTCTGTTCCATTGGTCTATATCTCTGTTTTGGTACCAGTACCATGCTGTTTTGGTTACTGTAGCCTTGTAGTATAGTTTGAAGTCAGGTAGCGTGATGCCTCCAGCTTTGTTCTTTTGGCTTAGGATTGACTTGGCGATGCAGGCTCTTTTTTGGTTCCACATGAACTTTAAAGTAGTTTTTTCCAAGTCTGTGAAGAAAGTCATTGGTAGCTTGATGGGGATGGCACTGAATCTATAAATTACCTTGGGCAGTATGGCCATTTTCATGATATTGATTCTTCCCACCCATGAGCATGGAATGTTCTTCCATTTGTTTGTGTCCTCTTTTATTTCATTGAGCAGTGGTTTGTAGTTCTCCTTGAAGAGGTCCTTCACGTCCCTTGTAAGCTGGATTCCTAGGTATTTTATTCTCTTTGAAGCAATTGTGAATGGTAGTTCACTCATGATTTGGCTCTCTGTTTGTCTGTTATTGGTGTATAAGAATGCTTGTGATTTTTGTACATTGATTGTATATCCTGAGACTTTGCTGAAGTTGCTTATCAGCTTAAGGAGATTTTGGGCTGAGACAATGGGGTTTTCTAGATATACAATCACGTCGTCTGCAAACAGGGACAATTTGGCTTCCTCTTTTCCTAATTGAATACCCTTTATTTCCTTCTCCTGCCTGATTGCCCTGGCCAGAACTTCCAACACTATGTTGAATAGGAGTGGTGAGAGAGGGCATCCCTGTCTTGTGCCAGTTTTCAAAGGGAATGCTTCCAGTTTTTGCCCATTCAGTATGATATTGGCTGTGGGTTTGTCATAGATAGCTCTTATTATTTTGAGATACGTCCCATCAATACCTAATTTATTGAGAGTTTATAGCCTGAAGGGCTGTTGAATTTTTTCAAGGGCCTTTTCTGCATCTATTGAAATAATCATGTGCTTTTGTCTTTGGTTCTGTTTATATGCTGGATTACATTTATTGATTTACATATATTGAACCAGCCTTGCATCCCAGGGATGAAGACCACTTGATCATGGTGGATAAGCTTTTTGATGTGCTGCTGGATTCAGTTTGCCAGTATTTTATTGAGGATTTTTGCATCAATGTTCATCAAGGATATTGGTCTAAAATTCTCTTTTTTGGTTGTGTCTCTGCCAGGCTTTGATATCAGGATGATGCTGGCCTCAAAATGAGTTAGGGAGGATTCCCTCTTTTTCTATTGATTGGAATAGTTTCAGAAGGAATGCTACCAGTTCCTCCTTGTACCTCTGGTAGAATTCGGCTGTGAATCCATCTGGTCCTGGACTCTTTTTGGTTGGTAAGCTATTGATTATTGCCACAATTTCAGAGCCTGTTACTGGTCTATTCAGAGATTCAACTTCTTCCTGGTTTAGTCTTGGGAGAGTGTATGTGTCGAGAAATTTATCCATTTCTTCTAGATTTTCTAGTTTATTTGCATAGAGGTGTTGGTAGTATTCTCTGATGGTAGTTTGTATTTCTGTGGGATCAGTGGTGATATCCCCTTTATCATTTTTTATTGCGTCTATTTGATTCTTCTCTCTTTTTTTCTTTATTAGTCTTGCTAGTGGTCTATCAATTTTGTTGATCCTTTCTAAAAACCAGGTTCTGGATTCATTAATTTTTTGAAGGATTTTTTTTGTCTCTATTTCCTTCAGTTCTGCTCTGATTTTAGTTATTTCTTGCCTTCTGCTAGCTTTTGAATGTGTTTGCTCTTGCTTTTCTAGTTCTTTTAATTGTGATGTTAGGGTGTCAATTTTGGATCTTTCCTGCTTTCTCTTATGGGCATTTAGTGCTATAAATTTCCCTCTACACACTGCTTTGAATGTGTCCCAGAGATTCTGGTATGTTGTGTCTTTGTTCTCGTTGGTTTCAAAGAACATCTTTATTTCTGCCTTCATTTCGTTATGTACCCAGTAGTCATTCAGGAGCAGGTTGTTCAGTTTCCATGTAGTTGAGCGGTTTTGAGTGAGTTTCTTAATCCTGAGTTCTAGTTTGATTGCACTGTGGTCTGAGAGACAGTTTGTTATAACTTCTGTTCTTTTAATTTGCTGAGGAGAGCTTTACTTCCCAGTATGTGGTCAATTTTGGAATAGGTGTGGTGCGGTGCTGAAAAAAATGTATATTCTATTGATTTGGGGTGGAGAGTTCTGTAGATGTCTATTAGGTCCGCTTGGTGCAGAGCTGAGTTCAATTCCTGGGTATCCTTGTTAATTTTCTGTCTCGTTGATCTGTCTAATGTTAACAGTGGGGTGTTAAAGTCTCCCATTATTATTGTGTGGGAGTCTAAGTCTCTTTGTAGGTCACTCAGGACTTGCTTTATGAATCTGGGTGCTCCTGTATTGGGTGCATATATATTTAGGATAGTTAGCTCTTCTTGTTGAATTGATCCATTTACCATTATGTAATAGCCTTCTTTGTCTCTTTTGATCTTTGTTGGTTTAAAGTCTGTTTTATCAGAGACTAGGATTGCAACCCCTGCCTTTTTTTGTTTTCCATTTGCTTGGTAGATCTTCCTCAATCCTTTTATTTTGAGCCTATGTGTGTCTCTGCACGTGAGATGGGTTTCCTGAATACAGCACACTGATGGGTCTTGATTCTTTATCCCATTTGCCAGTCTGTGTCTTTTAATTGGGATATTTAGTCCTTTTACATTTAAAGTTAATATTGTTATGTGTGAATTTGATCCTGTCAATATGATGTTAGCTGGTTATTTTGCTCAGTAGTTCATGCAGTTCCTTCCTAGTCTCGATGGTCTTTACATTTTGGCATGATTTTGCAGTGGCTGGTACCGGTTTTTCCTTTCCATGTTTAGTGCTTCCTTCAGGAGCTCTTTCAGGGCAGGCCTGGTGGTGACAAAATCTCTCAGCATTTGCTTGTCTGTGAAGTATTTTATTTCTCCTTCACTTATGAAGCTTAGTTTGGCTGGATATGAAATTCTGGGTTGAAAATTCTTTTCTTTAAGAATGTTGAATATTGGCTCCCACTCTCTTCTGGCTTGTAGAGTTTCTGCCGAGAGATCCGCCGTTAGTCTGATGGGCTTCCCTTTGTGGGTAACCCGACCTTTCTCTCTGGCTGCCCTTAACACTTTTTCCTTCATTTCAACTTTGGTGAATCTGACAATTATGTGTCTCGGAGTTGCTCTTCTCGAGGAGTATCTTTGTGGCGTTCTCTGTATTTCCTGAATCTGAACGTTGGCCTGCCTTGCTAGATTGGGGAAGTTCTCCTGGATAATATCCTGCAGAATGTTTTCTAACTTGGTTCCATTCTCCCCGTCACTGTCAGGTACACCAATCAGACGCAGATTTGGTCTTTTCACATAGTCCCATATTTCTTGGAGGCTTTGTTCGTTTCTTTTTATTCTTTTTTCTCTAAACTTCCCTTCTCACTTCATTTCATTCATTTCATCTTCCATCAGTGATACCCTTTCTTCCAGTTGATCGCATTGGTTCTTGAGGCTTCTGCATTCTTCACGTAGTTCTCGAGCGTTGGCTTTCAGCTCCATCAGCTCCTTTAAGCACTTCTCTGTATTGGTTATTCTAGTTATACATTTGTCTAAATTTTTTTCAAAGTTTTCAACTTCTTTGCCTTTGGTTTGAATTTCCTCCTGTAGCTCGGAGTAGTTTGATCGTCTGCAGCCTTCTTCTCTCAACTCGTCAAAGTAATTCTATGTCCAGCTTTGTTCCGTTGCTGGTGAGGAACTGCGTTCCTTTGGAGGAGAGGCACTCTGCTTTTTAGAGTTTCCAGTTTTTCTGCTCTGTTTTTTCCCCATCTTTGTGGTTTTATCTACTTTTGGTCTTTGATGATGGTGATGTACAGATGGGTTTTTGGTGTGGATGTCCTTTCTGTTTGTTAGTTTTCCTTTTAACAGACAGGACCCTCAGCTGCAGGTCTGTTGGACTTTGCTAGAGGTCCACTCCAGACCCTGTTTGCCTGGGTATCAGCAGCGGTGTCTGCAGAACCGTGGATTTTCATGAACCGCGAATGCTGCTGTCTGATTGTTCCTCTGGAAGTTTTGTCTCAGAGGAGTACCCGGCCGTGTGAGGTGTCAGTCTGCCCCTACTGGGGGGTGCCTCCCAGTTAGGCTGCTCGGGAGTCAGGGGTCAGGGACCCACTTGAGGAGGCAGTCTGCCTGTTCTCAGATCTCCAGCTGCGTGCTGGGAGAACCACTGCTCTCTTCAAAGCTGTCAGACAGGGACATTTAAGTCTGCAGAGGTTACTGCTGTCTTTTTGTTTGTCTGTGCCCTGCCCCCAGAGGTGGAGCCTACAGAGGCAGGCAGGCCTCCTTGAGCTGTGGTGGGCTCCAGCCAGTTGGAGCTTCCCGGCTGCTTTGTTTACCTAAGCAAGCCTGGGCAATGGCGGGCGCCCCTCCCTCAGCCTCGCTGCCACCTTGCAGTTTGATCTCAGACTGCTGTGCTAGCAATCAGCGAGACTCCGTGGGCGTAGGACCCTCTGAGCCAGGTGCGGGATATAATTCTCCTGGTGCACCGTTTCCTAAGCCCGTCAGAAAAGCACAGTATGCGGGTGGGAGTGACCTGATTTTCCAGGTGCCGTCTGTCACCCCTTTCCTTGACCAGGAAAGGGAACTCCTTGACCCCTTGCACTTCCTGAGTGAGGCAATGCCTCGCCCTGCTTCGGCTCGTGCACCGCGTGCTGCACCCACTGACCTGCACCCACTGTCTGGCACTCCCTAGTGAGATGAACCTGCTACCTCAGATGGAAATGCAGAAATCACCCGTCTTCTGCGTTGCTCACGCTGGGAGCTGTAGACCGGAGCTGTTCCTATTCGGCCATCTTGGCTCCTCCCCCTGTGCCACATTTTCTTTATCCAGTCTATCGTTGATGGGCATTTGGGTCCTAAGTCTTTGCTATTGTGAACAGTGCTGCAATAAACATACGTGTGCATGTGTCTTTATTGTAGAATTATTTATAATCCTTTGGGTATATGTCCAGTAATGGGATTGCTGAGTCAAACAGTATTTCTGGTTCTAGATCCTTGAGGAGTTGCCACACTACATTCCACAATGGTTGAACTAATTTACACTCCCACCAACAGTGTAAACAGGGAGGGGAACATCACACACTGGGGCCTGTCGGGGGGTAGGGGGCTAGGGGAGGGATAGCATTAGGAGAAATATGTAATGTAGATGACTGGTTGATGGGTGCAGCAAACCACCATGGCACACGTATACCTATGTAACAAACCTGCACATTCTGCACATGTATCCTAGAACTTAAAGTATAATAAAAATAAGTAAGTAAATAAATAAATAAATAAATAAATAAATGCTATGAGACATTGAACACATTCACCCAGTTGAAGGTACTGAACTAGTTGTGATGCAGAAGAACCTTCATTTAATCTTATAAAGTCACTCTGAGGAAGGCATTATTCTGAGTTTAGAGAAGAATCAACAATTGGAAGGTTAAGTAAGTTGCCTGAGCCACATGGCTAGTAAATGGCAGGCTCAGGATCCAACTGTGAGTGGATTTGACTTGAAGTCTACCTCATTCCATGGCACACATTATGTTTCAAGGAATTTAAATTCAGAATTCTTTCATGTTTTATGTAATTTAAATATTGTAAGCCAACAAAACTGTGCCAGAAAAGTCAGTTGTTTGTTATATCATGTTCTTTAGATATTAAATCAAATTCACATTTATTTATAATCACATATGTAGGAAAAATTTACGTACGTGTCAATAAAATAATCTTTTAAAAGTTGTCTAATCATAGCCTCTTACCACTGATACATACGCACACACAATACAGACTGATTGTATTTCAGTCTCATCAGTGAAAATAACAATTAATTACATTAGAGACATCTTTACTTTGAAACTGGATAAAGTCCTACATATTTAATGATATCAAATTTTACAATGGTTGTAATTTCAATTTAGTGACCATAGAAAATAGAAATGGAAAAAATAAAATTCTGCTAAATCCAAATTCAGATTTAAATATAGTTTTAAAATATTGTGGCTGCTCAGAAATATCAGGTGACTGGTAGAATGCTAAATCTGTGGCTCAAAGGAAGTTATGTGTAAATTCACAGAGTAAGTCAGTAGCCTGAATCCAGGACTCCTCCTTTCCATTTTAGAGCCATAGATGCCACTGCTCAGACAAAAATTCTACATTTTGCTTTGGATCCAGAAAGGTGAAAGAGAATAAAAGTAATTAGAAAATCCATATGGAAAAATAGTAGGGCTGTTGTATTTTATACAGATATCCACTGTAGATCTTATCATATTGTAGAGCATTTATTTGTGTCTTTCTCTTTCACTAGGCTTAGCATTCCTATTAAGTAGGAATTTCATCTTTTTAATCTTTGAATCTCTAGAGTCCACTTTAATAGTGATGGATGAAGGGAAAGAAAGAAGGGAGGAAAGAGGATGGAAGGGAAGGAAAGAAATAAAATTTTAGAAAACCCCAAGATAAATAACTTAAGAGACAAAAGAAACAGGGGAGCAGAAGATTTTGATATGAGTGACATAAAACCATTCCATCACTTGGACGTGATGGAAAAAAATATATAGTGAGAATGTATTTTAAAAAGTGAGCATATGTAACCTTACTAGAAAATAAAATCTGTCTAACACAGCATTTCATTCAAATTTGGGCTATGGCTGTTTATCTAATGATGTCAAACTTACACAATTTTTAAAAATGATCTATATAGAGATTTCTTTCCAGTCAAAATAGAGGTATCTTGTGCAGAAAGCAGAACTTTGTAAGTTTAGACTCATGTCCATGCATGACACATAAATGTTTCATTATTAGGGTAGCAATTGACTGATTTGTAGACTCAATGGTTTATTGACATGAAAGCAAAATCACACTACTTAGACATTCTAAAAATTTACACAGACGGAGGCATCTGTTATTAGGTTATTCTGACTTCATCAAGTCTTTCTAAATTAGGAATAACTACCTAAAAATAATTTCCTTCCCCCAAATATAAGTGAGTGTTCACAAAATAGAAACTTTAGATAAGCATTCTAGTTAATTTCATCAGTTAGCTGCCATTTAAATATCTGAAAGTCAAGCAATTATGTAATATGACCTGTAGGACTACATGGTGCATAAGAAATGCAAATATTGTTTATGATGAAAACTGAAAAAAGGCAATATCATCGCACACTGCTAAATTTAATTTCCTGTGTTGCCTTCGGTATGTACTAAAAATTCGTTTGTCTTGATCTTCTAAGCAATTGTACCAAATATGCATTGATAAACAAATAAAAATGATATAAAAAGAATCAAAACAGATTGTGTTGTGAGATTTGCTTAAAATTGAGTATTCTAATTAAAAATAGAAAATATTTCTTTGTCTTTTTGATGTAGAGCTATGGATACATAAAAATCCAGCCAGTTTACTGGGAGATGGATAACTTTGATTTTCTAGGACAGTTTTTCCCTCATAAGAGATTCATTGAAAGTTTTTGTTTTTGTTTCTGAGACAGGGTATCACTCTTTCACACAGGCTGGAGTGCGGTGGGACGAACACTGTAGCCTGGGCCTCCCAGGCTCAAGCAATCCTCCTGGCATCCCTTGTAGCTGGGATCACAGGTGTGTGCCACCGTGCCTGGCTAAGCATTATTTTTGTTTAAATGGCAAACTTGTCTAGTGCATTTGAAATAGGTTTAATTTACAAAATCATGACTTAACAAAACATTTTCACAAACATTATAGTTGCATGTTAAGGCAGACACACACACACACACACACACACACACACATTGATAAATAACCAAGCATACAAGCATATTTGGAAGATAGAAAATAACAAAGTATTTATAATCTCACTGGGCTGTATGATAATATTCACAGTATTTCAACCTTCCCCTAGCTGTTAAAGAAAGTAGTTTTGATGAAAATGTTCATAATAAGAATCATAATAATTATAATTATAAGTGAAAATATAGTGCTTACTTGTACCTGCCCTGTTCAATGCTTTCCCTGCATTATCTCATTCAATCCTATCAACCGCCCTATAAAAGACTACTGTTATCTTCATCTCAGAAATAAGAATCTTGAAATGTGAAAAGGCTAGGTAACCTGCCCAAGACCTCACAGCTTGGAAGTAAGCACCTGGAATGTAAATATAAGTGGTGTGACACAACAGCCCTGCTTGAACTCACATGCTTTACTACCTCTCATCATTCTCAACCATAATGAGCTTTTAAATATATAAATCGTCACTAAGTGACTTGAAACCTAGTAGTGGCTTCCATCTCACTTAGAATAAAATTCAAAAGGCTCGCCCCATCCTTCAAGGCCTACATCACCTGGTCCCTGACCTCTTTCCTTGTTAACCAACTACCACCTTTGTCTTCCCTCACAGTGTTCCAGACACACTGGCCTTGCTGCTCCTCTAAGACACTGAGCTTGGTTTTGCACTTGCTATCTTCTGCCAAGAATACTCTTCTTCAGACTTCCAGATCCTTTACTCCCTCCCTTCTTTGAAGAGCCTGCTCTAATGTCAACTCTTCAAAGAGGCCTTCCCTCATCACCTTGACAAAAATAAAGCTTGCCTGCCCCTTACTCTCACTGTCTGTCCCTTTAACTTACTTAACATTTTATAGAACTTATCACTATCTTAAATAATGGTGCACAATTATCGTTATTCACTCCCTTGTTTAATGTCTGCTCCAGTGGGGGCAGGACTTTATTGCTATTGTTCACCTCTGTATCACCAGGGCCTAGAATGGCAGCTGGCAAAAAGCATATGCTCCAAAGGTTTGTGTGGAATGAGTTAATAAAAAATTAGGTATGTGTGCATTTTTAATATAGAACATTTGTGAAATTAAACACACTACCATCAATGGATAGGGAAGAGTAATAAGTAATAGAGTTAAAAACAAAAGTAAAAGTGGTACTCTGATGTTTAATGACTTCTCACATGTAGTCTTTAGAGTGGTATATATCTATGCAAATATCTACGCATATAACAGGAGAACAACTCGACAACAATTATGAAAATCATATATGCGTGCTTCTGTACTCCTGGCTATTGACAGGAAAGCATCTAGTTTAACTTCCATTTGGAGGGCACAAAGCATATTGTGGGAGGTTCATTGTTTTAGGTGTCAGACAGGTATAGGATGACAAGTATAGCATGCAATGGCATAAAGAGGTCTATGTGTGAGTTAAAATAACAGCAGAGAGGACGACATTTTGGTGCAAGTCCTCAATCCTGTATTCCTGAAACTCTGTTACATTTTAGTATAACCCCAGAGATGTGGTCAGCCCTGAAACCCCCCTAGAAATACTTTAATTGTCCTATGTTTCACCCATATCTCAGACTTTCTCTTGAAAAGACTCTCTCCCTATTTTGAACCTAAAAAGGACCCAACTCATGCATGATCATTCCTATAAACTGATCGAGAGCCAAGTAGGCACCTCAGGAGTTAAGCTGAACTAAATCCCCAAGGCTTAGTCTCAGTACTTTAGTTCTGGGGAGAAACCTGGATAATCTAGATATACAGGAGGAAGCAGCAAGTGGAGAGGTCCACTCAGTGGCAGAGTCTGTTTAACGGTGGGTGCACATATGTTGGGTGAGACTTCTGTTTAAATTTAGACTAGTCTGTGTAATATTACATTTTCCAAAGAACACAAAGAAAAGGTCTGTTTATTAACTTGAATGAGAGAAGTGTCTTAAAGACACGTGAAGCATATTAATAAAGACAAGTGGAAATAGCAATATATTTCTTTTTGTTCTTTCACACTCATGAGGATATTAAACAGAGTTTGCACACAGATATACTTATGGATACAGGGAATATAGACATAATGAAAGGGGATAGATTTTTATTAAAATGAGTATATTTTAAGCAAGTCAAAATGCTGGTGTTATGATTGATGATATACTGATTGTATTAATACCATGATAAGTATGAAAAAGCATATAGAGAAAAATGAAATTTTGAAATAAAACAAACTTTGTCTTGAGCTGAGATTGCATATGTGTTTTATGGCTGAGTAGGACATTTTCTTTAACAAATATATTGTTTAACTTCTTCAAATAGAAATCTAACAGAGAAAAAGCATTGTTAAAAAATATAAAAAGAGTAAGCGAAGTATCAGCTAAAAGTGTAACTAATTAATTAAGTCAGTAAGAAAACTAGTTTCTCCAGCTTATGGTATGTAGGATTAATATTTTCTTAAGCATAGCTAATAATAATTTTTACATAAGAGATATATCCAACTTACTACAGATTTGTCAGGATAGACCCCAGCTCTTAGTAGAGATGCCTTCCAGCTGTCGACATCCTCCTGGGAATCACATGCCAGCTCAAGGAAGCGATAGTCTTTGTATACATTCCTGGAGTTAAAAAAAAAAAAAATCATGCTTTTAGTTTGAACCAAATTCAAAGTCATTTTATGTTGCTGTAGACGATGATGATGTAAGTGACAATCCAAATGGACAGTTTCTGACAGTCACTGAAGGAAAACAAAAACAACTCATACTTTAAAATAATTAGTGAATTTCTACATGTATTTACAATATAATTTTTTAAAAAATCACATTACAAAGCTCAGAGTTATCTGTACTGCTACAAAATTAAAAAGTAAATACAAATGTATTCAATATTATACACTGGGTGTGAACTGATTGGAACTTGTGCTGTGGGGAAGGAATTGCTATTGCTCAGCCGCTAGATCAATTCTCTGAAGATATTTTATGAGTCTAAATGACTAAATAGCTCATAAAACTTTAAGATGCACGGCAATAATCTTACAAACCTAAAAGACAATGCCAGATGCAAAACAGAAATGCTCATTAAATTGTGAAAAGGAAAGACTGATAACCAGTGTTTAATAGGGTGAGATGCCAATGAAGTGCATATTTATGATGGGGACAGTATTTTCCTTTTATATTTCTTTTCCTGATATTACATAAAATGCAATACATGCCCATTTTTAAATATTTGGAAAGTAGAGAAAAGAATTAAAGTGGTAACAATCATCCAGTTTCCACAGCCTAGAGATAACCTTCTTTTCTTTTTTTTATTTAAGATTTTTATTATTATTATACTTTAAGTTCTAGGGTACATGTGCACAGCGTGCAGGTTTGTTACATAGGTATACACATGCCATGTTGGTTTGCTGCACCCATTAACTCATCATTTACATTAGGTATTTCTCCTCATGCTATCCCTCCCCCAGCCCCCACCCTATGACAGGCCCTGGTGTGTAATGTTCCCCACCCTGTGTCCAAGTATTCCATTGTTCAGTTCCCACCTATGAGTGAGAACACGTGGTGTTTGGTTTTCTGTCCTTGTGATAATTTGCTCAGAATGATGGTTTCCAGCTTCATGCATGTCCCTGCAAAAGACATGAACTCATCCTTTTTATGGCTGCATAGTATTCCATGGTGTACATGTGCCACATTTTCTTAATCCAGTCTATCATTGATGGACATTTGGGTCAGTTCCAAGTCTTTGCTATTGTGAACAGTGCTGCAATAAACATACGTGTGCGTGTGTCTTTATAGTAGCATGATTTATGATCCTTCGGGTATATACTCAGTAATGGGATCACTGGGTCAAATGGTATTTCTAGTTCTAGATCCTTGAGGAATCACCACACTGTCTTCCACAATGGTTGAACTAGTTTACACTCCCACCAACCGTGTAAAAGCATTCCTATTTCTCCACATCCTCTCCAGCATCTGTTGTTTCCTGACTTTATTGATCGCCATTCTAACTGGTGTAAGATGTTATCTCATCGTGGTTTTTGATTTGCATTTCTCTGATGATCAGTGATGATGAGCATTTTTTCATGTGTCTGCATAAATGTTTTCTTTTGAGAAGTATCTGTTCATATGCTTTGCCCACTTTTTGATGGGGTTGTTTGTTTATTTTTTCTGGTAAAATTTGTTTAAGTTCTTTGTAGATTCTGGATATTAGCCCTTTGTCATATGGGTAGAATGCAAAATTTTTCTCCCACTCTGTAGGTTGCCTGTTCACTCTGATGGTAGTTTCTTTTGCTGTGCAGAAGCTCTTTAGTTTAATTAGATCCCATTTGTCAATTTTGGCTTTTGTTGTGGTTGCTTTTGGTGTTTTAGACATGAAGTCCTTGCCCATGCCTATGTCCTGAATGGTATTGCCTAGGTTTTCTTCTAGGGTTTTTATGGTTTTAGGTCTAACATTTAAGTATTTAATCCATTTTGAATTAATTTTTCTATAAGGTGTAAGGAAGGGATCCAGTTTCAGATTTCTACATATGGCTACCCAGTTTTCCCAGCACCATTTATTAAATAGGGAATCCTTTCCTCATTGCTTGTTTTGGTCAGGTTTGTCAAAGAGATGGTTGTAGATGTGTGGTGTTATTGCTGAGGCCTCTGTTCTGTCCCATTGGTCTATATCTCTGTTTTGGTACCAGTACCATGCTGTTTTGCTTACTGTAGCCTTGTAGTATAGTTTGAAGTCAGGTAGTGTGATGCCTCCAGCTTTGTTCTTTTTGCTTAGGATTGTCTTGGCAATGCGGGCTCTTTTTTGGTTCCATATGAACTTTAAAGTGGTTTTTTTCCAATTCTGTGAAGAAAGTCATTGTTAGCTTGATGGGGATGGCATTGAACCTATAAATTACCTTGGGCAGTATGGCCATTTTCAAAATATTGATTCTTCCTATCCATGAACATGGAATGTTCTTCCATTTGTTTGTGTCCTCTTTTATTTCGTTGAGCAGTGGTTTGTAGTTCTCCTTGAAGAGGTGCTTCACATGCCTTGTAAGCTGGATTCCTAGGTATTTTATTCTCTTTGCAGCAATTTTGAATGGGAGATCACTCATGATTTGGCTGTTTCTCTGTTACTGGTGTATAAGAATGCTTGTGATTTTTGCACATTGATTTTGTATCCTGAGACTTTGCTGAAGTTGCTTATCAGCTTAAGGAGATTTTGGGCTGAGATGATGGGGTTTTCTAAATACACAATCATGTCATCTACAAACAGGGACAACTTGACTTCCTCTTTTCCTAACTGAATACCCTTTATTTCTTTCTCTTGCCTGATTGCCCTGGCCAGAACTTCCAACACTATGTTGAATACGAGTGGTGAGAGAGGGCATCCCTGTCTTGTGCCAGTTTTCAAAGGGAACGCTTCCAGTTTTTGCCCATTCACTATGATACTGGCTGTGGGCTTGTCATAAATAGCTCTTATTATTTTGAGATACATTCCATCAGTACCTAGTTAATTGAGAGTTTTTAGTGTGAAGGCTGTTGAATTTAGTCAAAGGCCTTTTCTGCATCTATTGAGATAATCATGTGGTTTTTCTCTTCGGTTCTGTTTATGTGATGAATTATGTTTATTGATTTGTGTATGTTGAACCAGCCTTGCATCCCATGGTGAAGCCAACTTGATCGTGGTGAATAAGCTTTTTGATGTTCTGCTGGATTCGGTTTGCCAGTATTTTATTGAGGATTTTTGCATCGATGTTCATCACGGATATTGTTCTAAAATTCTCTTTTTTTTGTTGTGTCTCTGCCAGGCTTTGGTATCAGGATGATGCTGGACTCATGAAATGAGTTAGGGAGGATTCCCTCTTTTTCTATTGATTGGAATAGTTTCAGAAGGAATGCTACCAGTTCCTCCTTGTACCTCTGGTAGAATTCGGCTGTGAATCCGTCTGGTTTTGGACTTTTTTGGTTGGTAGGCTATTGATTATTGCCTCAATTTCAGAGCCTGTTATTGGTCTATTCAGAGATTCAACTTCTTCCTTGTTTAGTCTTAGGATGGTGTATGTGTCCAGGAATTTATCCATTTCTTCTAGATTTTCTAGTTTATTTGTGTAGATGTGTTTGTAGTATTCTCTGGTGGTAGTTTGTATTTCTGTGGGATCGGTGATGATATCCCCTTTATCATTTTTTATTGCATCTATTTGATTCTTCTCTCTTTTCTTCTTTATTAGTCTTGCTAGTGGTCTATCACTTTTGTTGATCTTTTCAAAAAATGAGCTCCTCGATTCACTGATTTTTTTGAAGGGTATTTGTGTCTCTATCGCCTTCAGTTCTGCTCTGATCTTAGTTATTTCTTGCCTTCTGCTAGCTTTTGAATTTGTTTGCTTTTGCGTCTCTAGTTCTTTTAATTGTGATGTTAGGGTGTCAATTTTGGATCTTTCCTGCTTTCTCTTGTGGGCATTTAGTGCTATAAATTTCCCTCTACACACTGCTTTAAATGCGTCCCAGAGATTCTGGTATGTTGTGTCTTTGTTCTCATTGGTTTCAAAGAACGTCTTTATTTCTGCCTTCATTTCATTATTAAACCCTTAGTCCTTCAGGAGCAGGTTGTTCAGTTTCATGTAGTTGAGCGGTTTTGAGTGAGTTTCTTAATCCTGAGTTCTAATTTGATTGCACTGTGGTCTGAGAGACAGTTTGTTGTGATTTCTGTTCTTTTACATTTGCTGAGGAGTGCTTTACTTCCAACTATGTGGTCAACTTTGGAATAAGTGGGATGTGGTGATGAGAAGAATGTGTATTCTCTTGATTTGGGATAGAGAGTTCTGTAGATGTCTATTAGGTCTTCTTGGTGCAGAGCTGAGTTCAATTCCTTGATATCCTTGTTAACCTTCTGTCTCGTTGATCTGTCTAATATTGACAGTGGGTGTTAAAATCTCCCCTTATTGTATGGGAGTCTAAGTCTCTTTGTAGGTCTCTAAGGACTTGCTTTATGAATCTGGGTGCTCCTGTATTGGGTGCATATATATTTAGGATAGTTAGCTCTACTTGTTGAATTGATCCCTTTACCATTATGTAATGGCCTTCTTTGTCTCTTTTGATCTTTGTTGGTTTAAAGTCTGTTTTATCAGAGACTAGGATTGCAACTCCTGTTTTTTTTTTTTTTTTGCTTTCCTTTTGCATGGTAGATATTCCTCCATCCCTTTATTTTGAGCCTATGTGTGTCTCTGCATGTGAGATGGGTCTCCTGAATACAGCACACTGATGGGTCTTGATTCTTTATCCAATTTGCCAGTCTGTGTCTTTTAATTGGGATATGTAGCCCATTTACATTTAAGGTTAATATTGTTATGTCTGACTCTGATCCTGACATTATGATGTTAGCTGGTTATTTTGCTGGTTAGTTGATGCAGTTTCTTCCTAGCATCAATGGTCTTTACAATTTGGCATGTTTTTGCAATGTCTGGTACCAGTTGTTCCTTTCCAAGTTTAGTGCTTCCTTCAGAAGCTCTTATAAGGCAGGTCTGGTGGTGACAAAATCTCTCAGCATTTGCTTGTCTGTAAAGGATTTTATTTCTCCTTCACTTATGAAGCTTAGTTTGGCTGGATATGAAATTCTGGGTTGAAAATTCTTTTCTTTAAGAATGTTGAATATTGGCTCCCACTCTCTTCTGGCTTGTAGGGTTTCTGCTGAGAGATCCGCTGTTAGTCTGATGTGCTTCCCTTTGTGGGTAACCCGACCTTTCTCTCTGGCTGCCCTTAACATTTTTTCCTTTATTTGAACTTTGGTGAATCTGACAGTTATGTGTCTTGGGGTTGCTCTTCTCAAGGAGTATCTTTGTGGTGTTCTCTGTATTTCCTGAATTTGAAAGTTGGCCTCCCTTGCTAGGTTGGAAGTTCTCCTGGATGATAGCCTGAAGAGTGTTTTCCAACCTGGTTCCATTCTCCCATCACTTTCAGGCACACCAATCAAATGTAGATTTGGTCTTTTCACACAGTCCTATATTTCTTTGATGCTTTGTTCATTTCTTTTTACTCTTTTTTCTCTAAAGTTCTCTTCTCGCTTTATTTCATTAATTTGATCTTCCATCACTGATACCCTTTCTTCCACTTGATTGAATTGGCTACTGAAGCTTGTGCATGCATCATGTAGTTCTCATGCCATGGTTTTCAGCTCCATCAGGTCATTTAAGGTCTTCTCTACACTCTTTATTCTAGTTATCCATTTGTCTAACCTTGTTTCAAGGTTTTTAGCTTCCTTGCAATGGGTTAGAACATGCTCCTTTTGCTTGGAGAAGTTTGTTATTACTGACCTTCTGAGGCCTACTTCTGTCAACTCATCAAAGTCATTCTCCATCCAGCTTTATTCCATTGCTGGTGATGAGCTGTGATCCTTTGGAGGAGAAAAAGTGCTCTGGTTTTTAGAATTTTCAGCTTTTCTTCTCTGGTTTCTCCCCAGCTTTGTGGTTTTATCTACCTGTGGTCTTTGATGTTGGTGACCTACAGATGGGGTTTTGGTGTGGATGTCCTTTTTGTTGATGTTGATGCTATTCCTTTCTGTTTGTCAGTTTTCTTTCTAACAGTCAGGTCCCTCAGGTGCAGGTCTGTTGGAGTTTGCTGGAGGTCCACTCCAGACCCTGTTTGCCTTGGTATCACCCGGCGGAGGCTGCAGAACAGCAAATATTGCTGTCTGACCCGTCCTCTGGAATCTTCATCCCAGAGGGGCACCTGCCTGTATGAGGTGTCAGTCAGCCCCTACTGGGAGGTGTCTCCCAGTTAGGCTACACAGGGGTCATGGACCCACTTGAGGAGGCAGTCTGTCCGTTCTCAGAGCTCAAACATCATGCTGGGAGAACCACTGCTCTCTTCAGAGCTGTCAGACAGGGACATTTAAGTCTGCAGAAGTTTCTGCTGCCTTTTGTTGAACTATGCCCTGTCCCCAGATGTGGAGTCCATAGAGGTAGCAGGCCTTGCTGAGCTGCAGTGGGCTGCGCCCACTTCAAGCTTCCCAGCTGCTCTGTTTACCTACTCAAGTTTCAGCAATGGGGGACACCCCTCCCCCTGCTAGGCTGCTGCCTGGCAAGTCAATCTCAGACTGCTGTACTAGCAGTGAGCAAGGCTCCGTGGGTGTGGGACCTGCTGAGCCAGGCGTGGGATATAATCTCCTGGTGTGCCATTTGCTAAGACCATTGGAAAAGCACAGTATTTAGTCGGGAATGTCCCATTTTTCCAGGTATAGTCTGTCACGGCTTCCCTTGGCTAGGAAAGGGAAATTCCCCAACCCCAGGTGAGGTGATGCCCTACCCTGCTTTGGCTCGTCCTCTGTGGGCTGCACTCACTGTCCAACTGGTCGCAGTGAGATAAACCAGGTACCTCAGTTGGAAAAGCAGAAATCACCCATCTTCTGAGTAGATCACGCTGGGAGCTGCAGACCAGAGCTGTTACTATTCGGTCATCTTGGAACGGGACCATAACCTTATTTTCTTATACCCTTTCATTGTACCTATTTTTCAGATAGTTGAGGTTCTATTTCTCTCCCTCCCACCCTCTATTCCTCTCTAGTTCTCTATTATCTTGTGTCATGCTTTTTCACTTACTGTTATATCATGGTCATTTACTTATACCATTAAATATTTATAAATGTCAGATTATAGTAGCATAATATTCATTCATATAAATGTATGATGATTTAACCTTCTCCTAATATTAGATAATTAAATAATTTTCCTTTTTGTTTTGCTATCATAAATAATACTTAAATAATTATTTTCATCCATGAGCACTTGTCACATTTACTACTATTATTTTCTGAAGATGGATTCCTATAAATAGAGTTACAGGATCTAAAGGTTTTTTGTTTTTGTTTTTTGTTAGAGACAGGATGTCTCTCTGTTGCCTGAGCTGGAGTGCAGTGGCACAGTCATAGCTCACTGTAGCCTCAAACTCCTGGGCTCAAGTGATCCTTCCACCTCAGCCTCCCATGTTGCTGGGACTACAGGCATGTGCCACCACACCCAAGTAATTTTTCTATTTTTAGTAGAGACAAGGTCTCACTGTGTTGCCCAAGCTGGTCATGAACTCCTGGGCTCAAGCTATCCTCCTGCCTCGACCTCCTAAAGTGCTGGAATTACAGGAGTGACCCACCATTCCCAGCCTAAAGTTATGATCATTCTTAAAACAATAAAAACTCCTAATTACCTTTCCAGAAAAGATAGTCCAATTTAGACACACTAGCAGTATACAAGATTAACAAGCTTTCTTCTCCCTTATTCTCTCCCAAGTTGTGCTTATTTATGCCTAAGAGCCTCCATCTCCACCTAAACTCAGAAGGCCCATGTGTTTATATCTCCTGTCTAGACCTTCCCCAGAGTCATACTGCCTATTGACTTCTGCTCTTGAGTATTGCCAAGGAATCTTGATGTGAAAAACTGAACAGGTGATTTACAACTTGGTCTTCTTCCAATGTTCCCATTTTAGTGGTGTAATTCAGATACTTTAGGGGTATTTTGGACACCTTTCACTCTTTATCACCTGTCTTCCATTTTACTACATAAAAGTGTCCTCTTTAAATTGTTATTATAATCACCTCTCTTTTGGACTATTATTATACAATAGCCTCCTCATTGGTCTCCCAGAATCCCATGGCCTCTTTTAACTTGCTGTCTGATTTTTATAGTTTTAGATCTTACATTTAAGTCTTTAATCCATCTTGAGTTAATTTTTTTATAAGGTGATAGGTAAATGTCCAGTTTCATTCTTTTGCATATGGCTAGCCAGTTATCCCAGTACCATCTATTGAATAGGGAGTCCTTTCCCCATTGCTTATTTTTGTCAACTTTGTCAAAGATCAGATGGTTGTAGGTGGGGAACTTCAGAAGAAAATCTAGAAAATACCTTCCTGGAATTGGTCTTGGCAAGAATTTATGACTAAATACTCAAAAGCAATTACAACAAAAATAAAAATTGACAAGAGGGACCTAATTAAACGAAAGATCTCCTAGACAGCAAAAAAGAAACTATCAATAGGGTAAACAGACAACCTACAGAACGGGAGAAAATATTTACAAATTATGCATCAAACAAAGGTCTAATATCCAGAATTTATAGGGAACTTAAATAATTCAGTAAGTGAAAAACAAATAACCCCATTAAAAAGTAGGCAAAGGACATGAACAGACACTTATCAAAAGAAGACATACAAGCAACAAAAAAAAACATGAAAAAATGCTCAACATTACTAATCATCAGAGTAATGCAAATCAAAACCATGATGAGGCACCATCTCACACCAGTTAGAATGGCTACTACTAAAAAGCCAAAAAATAACAGATGTTGGTGAGGCTGAGGAGAAAGGTGAACACTTATGTGATGTTGGTAGGAATGTAAATTAGTTTAGCCACTGTGGAAAGCAGTCTGTAGATTTCTCAAAGAACTAAAAGCAGAACTACCATTTGACCCAGCAATTCCATTACTGGGTATGTATACCCAAAGGAAAATAAATTGTTCTGCCAAAAACACACATGTGCCTGTATGTTCATTGCAGCATTCTTCATAATAGCAAAGACATTGAATCAACCTAGGTGTCTGTTAATAGTGGACTGGATAAAGAAAATGTGGCACATATACACTATGGAATACTATGCAGCCCATAAAAAGAACAAAGTTATGTCCTTTGCAACAACATGGATGGAGCTGGAAGCCATTATCCTAATAATATTAATGCACAAACAGAAAACCAAATACTGCATGTTCTCACTTATAAGTGGGAGCTAAACATTGGGCACATATAGACAAAGTTGGGAACAATAGACACTGGGGATTACTAGATGGGGAAGGAAAAAGGGAGGAAGGGTTGAAAAACCACCTACTGGGTACTATGCTCACCACATGGGTAATGGGATCATTTGTACACCAAACCTCAGCGTCATGTGATATACCCATGTAACAAACCTGCACATATAAAATAAAGTAAGTTGATATTAAATAAATAAGTAAATTTGTTATCTGCACTGAATCTTCATGATCTTCTGAAGTAAGACACTCCGATGGTTATGTGCTATTAGGAAAAAGGCCACACTCCCTATGATGGCCCACAAAGCCCCCAGGGTCTGGGCAGTCATTATGTTCCTCTCCAGTTTCTTTGAACACTTTGCTCTTTCTGTGCCAGCCACCTTGGACTTCTTTAGTTCCTCGTGTGTCAGATGTGCCACGCTTACTTCCAATGCTTTTGAATATGCTGCTCTCTGCCTGCAGCTGTCTTTCCATCTCTCTTTGCACAGTTAATTCCTACTCTATCTTGGGATTTCAACTCAGTCATCACTTCATCAGGCATCACTTCCCTGACAGTCCTACCAGGCCAGCTCCTCTGTCATACATTTTTCCCCTTTCTATTATATTTACCTTTCCTTTGTAGCACTCATCACAGTTGTGATTTCAGAATTATGCATCTGTTTTTCTTTTTATCCTTCTTTCTTTTCCTTTCTTTCTTTCTCTGTCTTTCTCTCTCTCTCTCTCTTTCTTTCTTTCTTCTTTCTGTCCTTCCTTTTTTTCTTTCTCTCTTGCTTTTATATTTAGTTATGTATTTTCATTAATGTCTACCTTCTCAACTAGCCCATAAACTCCAATGGAAAGAGAAATGTATCATTTTTATGTTCAACATTATATCCCCTGGGGATTCCGGGAAGATGATGGCTTAGGAGTGTTCCATTTCCTCTCCACTTCTTACTCAGTTCAAACAGGTCCTCTTTTCTCAAGTCAAGCAGATATTGGGAGTGGTACTCAGGTAGACAGGGTGTGAGCAAGACATCTGTTGTGGCACTTTCTAGCTTTAGGACAAGAACCAGCAAACATCAGATTCTTGGTCGAGCTGTCTTTGATGACTGCAGGACCTTTAAGTGGGCCTGACTCTCTGGTCCTAAGAAGGTGTGGAGGGGCTAAGTTTTTCTACTCTAATGCAGAAGGCTCCCCTGAGTCTCCCATAGCAGTGCCTATTACTGGCCCATGACAACTGAGACATCTGTGCCTTCCCACACTTGTGGGACCAGCCCACTTAAAGCGTCCAGCAGTTGGACTTGTGCCATGAAGAACAAATGAAAATGAAAGGATACCTAAAGAAGCTAACAGTCAGAGAGGGAAAGAATGAGGAAAGCAATCACAGCAGTCCATCAATGAAGGAGAACCTTTGGGGAAAGCAGAAGACAGAAGAAAATAAGGACTTGAAGAGGCACACGAACAGCATTAAAAAAGACTTCCTAGAACTAAAAAGTCAGATTTTTAAATTAAAAAAATTAAGTAGATAAATAGCAAGAAAGGCTGATCATTGTTGAGACTAGAATTAGCAGCTTTGAAGATCTAATAGAAGTGGAAAAATATAAAAGGACAGAAATGATGAGGGTGTGGAGGAAAGACCCAGAATGTCTAACTTGTGAACAAGAGGAGTTCCAGAAAAAAAGAAAAGGAAGATAGAAGGAGAAAAACAATTATAAAAGACATATTTTTTTAAAAAGAAGCTTTCCCTGAGATTTAGAAAGACACAAATATGTACATCAAAAGTACAATCAGGTGGAATTAATGAGAAAAGATACAACTGAGGCATATGAAGTTCTAATAAAAAAGTATAAAAGAAAAATGTGAGAAACATACTCCCAGATAAACCTTGTATGACAGAAGAAACCAAAAGTAAAAATTATTTAGAAAGCAATAAAGATATAAACGCTTCATATCCAAAGGAGCAAAGGCTGTAGGAAAATGTATAACCTTAAATATGCTCATCATTTAGAAAAGAAGGTTGGTATTCATCTAGATAAATTATAAAATGATTTTTAAAAAATAAAATAAACCAACAAAGAGAATTAACACAGATTAAGGCCAAAATTAAGGAAATAGGAAATATAAAAATAACAGAGGTTAAGGACATCCACAAGTATTTTCCCTTTACCAGTAGATAATACACTTACAATCCTAATTAAGGGGGGAAATGGGAGAAAACAAAAGTATACAAGATTGCAAATGAGAAACAATAGGATAATGACCACAAATATAGAAGAGGTTGAAAAAATTAAAATATTATATGCAACCCTATGGCAAAAAATTAAGAATCTAGAATAAATTAACAATACCTTTAAAAATACAAATTACCAAAATTAACTCAAGAAGAATTGAAAAATCCAAGTGTTAGTATTTAACAAAACACTACCAAAATTAATAAGATGCTATTTTTTTTTTTTTTTTTTGAGATGGAGTTTTGCTCTGTTGCCCCGGCTGGAGTGCAGTGGCATGATCTTGGCTCACTGGAGCCTCCGCCTCCCAGGTTCAAGCGATTCTCCTGCCTCAGCCTCCCAAGTAGCTGTGATTACAGGAACATGCCACAAGGCCCAGCTGAGTTTTGCATCTTTAGTCTAGATGGGATTTCACATTGTTGGCCAGGCTAGTCTCGAACTCCTGACCTCAGGTGATCAGTCCGCCTTGGCCTCCCAAAGTGCTAGGATTACAGGCGTGAGCCACTGTGCCCGGCCAAGATGCTATGTTTAAAAGGCTAACATTAACTGCAAGATGAAAATATACAAATCAATTGCTTTTCTCAGTACTACAAATAACTTAGGAAATGGGAAAAGACTCCATTCACATTAGGAGCAGAGCCTTTAAAATACATAGAAATGAATTTTTTTAAATTAAGGAAATGATAATATCTTATTGAATAGCACGAAACAAACCCTTATAATTGGAAAGGGAGGTGTGACATCACCAGGATGGTGGAAAAGAAGGTCACCTGCTAATATTCCCCTACAGCAACAAGAATTCCACATCCCTGTATAGTCAGAAGTCTCTTTCTGGGAGCCTCAGGATTCAGGTAGGAGTTTGTGAAACACTGATGAAGCCCTAGACATAGGAGGGTTGTTTTGAGAGTATCGAATGACACTGAGGTGGCTGATCCACCAAGCTTGCTCCCAGGTTCAAACCTGGAAATGACCCAGTCCCCCAAGGGCCTTGGCTACAGACCATTTGGCCTTTGAGCCTGCAATCAAAATCATCTGCCAAGGGGTCCAGAAGGAATCACACAACTAGTGCTTTGGTGGAGAGACTTGTCTGAATGCTGGCATCATCTTGGCAGTGAACTGAATGTTGCCCTGTGGCTCTGCTCCAACCCCTCTAATAAATTAAAAGGGATATTTGGATGACTTGATTTGATTACACTGTACCCCAAGGTCTCACAAAGTGACCAGCACTAGTAGGTATTCCATAGATATTTATTGAGTAATGAATCTCATACGCATAAATATTGACTGTCATCTTTAAAGTATGTTTGCTAATTTTATAACTTAAAAGTGATTCTCCATCAATGGTTGCTTGCTAAGGACTTTGAGTATTTTAGTATGTTTATAGAAATGAAGTTCTTTGTTCTGATTTCATTACAAAAATATAATACAATATTTTTGTATAGTATTTCAAAGTCTTTTCACTTATTCTTTGCATTTGCCTGACCTATCTTTGTTTCTTCTTTTATTTTTACATTTTTTTCCATTTGTTTTACTTTTTAAAAGTCCTATTATAAATGTCAACAGTATAATTGGGTTTTGGTTTTAATCTCAATCAGAAAATCATCATTTTTGATTAGGAAAGTTTCAATCATGTTTATATCTTGCCATGACTGTGTGCTTAGCCTTAGTTTTATCATTTTGAGATACAATTTGCTGTTTTTAAATGCTGACTGTTTCTTTTGTTTTGTTAACAAATAAGCTGGCTTTTTGGCTTCTATATTTTTCAGCAGTTATCTTTCAGTTTTTAAAATCATTCTTGAATTCACTTTTGTATATATATACGTATATTTTATATATACACATACAATTCAGGAATACAAAAATAATCTCTGACTTCTTGAAGAATTTAGAAGCTTTTACTTTCTGCTGCTTTCTTCATGACATTTGCTAATCTATCTAGAAATACTGACATATTATTTCTGAATTTTTTCACATCTTTTCCTTCTTTTAATTGTATTCAGTTTTGTTATATTTAAGCATTTATTAGATGGAACTCTACATGTTTATCTTGAATAAATATTTACCATCAGGCATCTTCTACCTGGACTTCCCCGTTGTAAATTCTTACTTGGATTCGTTTTTTGAGTTGGCCTTATAGTTCAAAGTTGCCTCTCTGGATTTCTGGTTGTCACAGTGCCCACGTTTCTCAAGTTGATGTAGTGAAGAAACATAGAGGCTTCTTTGGGTTGTCTTCTTGTTTGGCCTCATTTTTCTTAATCAGGGCAAAGCATTCACTGGTCACTGATAGATTTTCAATCCAGTTCAATCTATGAGTCTTGCAAACGTTGACTGACATCTCTACTTTTCTGTGTCTTTGAGGATTTCCATCTTTGTTGTGTATGACTTTTGGGGTATAGTAATAAATAATAAATAGAGAAGGGGGAAAGTGAAACTTATAACTTTTTACTTTTTTTTTTTTTTTTTTTGAGACAAAGTCTGGCTCTGTTGCCCAGGCTGTAGTGCAGTGGCGCGATCTTGGCTCACTGCCACCTCCACCTTTCAGGCTCAAACCATCCTTCCACCTCAGCTTCCCAAGTAGCCGGGACTACAGCCTTGCAGTCCCAGCCTGGCTAATTTTGGTATTTTTTGTAGAAATGGGGTTTCGCCAGATTGTCTAGGCTGGTCTCGAACTTGTGAGCTCAAACGATCCTCCTGTGTTGGCCTTCCAAAGTGCTGGGATTACAGGTTTGAGCCACTGCACCTGGCCTAACTTTTTACCATTTTAAAAGATAAATAATCTCATTTACTCTTTATAGCAATCCTGTAAAGTTGGTAGTAAAGCTGTTTCACAGATGAGGAAACTGAAATTCAGAGATATTAAAGGGTGTTCCCAAGATCACATAACTAATAAGTGGCATAATCTGGGTCTACCCCAATCCTTGGTTTATAGCCTCCATAAAACAAACACTTGTTGAATGAATAAGAAAATGGACAAATAAATGAATGAAAACACAATGGAATAAACTTGGACAGTGCTTATTTTTTAAACCACCTTTTTCATTTTTGACCAGATGCTAAACTTTTTATAGAAAACCTAAGATATTCAAGTTTAAAAGGATAAACCAAAACAAGCAGAATGAGTCATTTCAATTAAAAGAGGGACACATTTAAAAGAAATATATTCTCCAAGCATGAAAGTTTATTGTTGGAAATTTTCAAAAGTTGTATCTTTGCTTTAGAGCAGAAAGAGTGATGGATTATCTTGACAGAATCAAAATTCATCAGTTTTTGATTATCTAATTACCTTTCTACCATAGCTTTTAGCTATCAATTAGGTTTCCATTTGGAGGTCTTCCCACTGCACAGTATGAATTCCTTTACTATGTAAAGGTATGGGGAAGGTAGAACTGGACAAATGTCATGGGAGCGCGTGGCCAGCTGGAAGGCACAGAAAGCAGAGGGCACAGACTTTCCACATTCTCTGAATAGATCTGAAGAATTCAGCTTTGGCCCATTCTCACTGACCTTTCTCCAGAGTATTTTCTTTCAGGGGCTCTTCACTGGAAAATCTTAATTTTTTTTTCCTCTTAAAGGATAGCCAAATTCTTGAGAGGGAAAATAATTATCTGGTTGAAACATTAGAAGAGGGTCAAAGGCTTCTGGTGGCTTTGGCTGCTTCATTTTTACCCATTTTCGAAGCCTCATCTTAGGCTGTGTCTAGACATCCAAGGAGAGTTGGATACAGGTCTAAAACACTGAACTGAGCTGATTTACTGGAAGTCTCATAAATTCTGTCGATGAAGCTTCCAGGTTCTCACCACATGCTGTAGCTGTATAGATAACCCACAGCAATTTGTACTGACTGCATTTTTTTGTTTAGTCTATTTCAGCTGCAATCATGCAGATATGAGCTTCTGAATAATTCCACTATTACAACCAAGCTGAACTATGTGTTTTAGTTTAAAGAAATAAGTCACTTCAATGCTAAAAAAGAAGTATGAGAAATTTTATGCCTTAGGTAAAAGGCTTTTAAGCGTTACACTAAAGAGAACAGGACCTCATGATGAGACCATGTTTTGACTGTATGTGTAACTTTCATTAACATTTCATAAGAATACCTTTGGGTGTTAAAAATCCAAAGTTTAATTCCCTTACCTATGTCAGCTGTTCAAACATCTGAGCCTAAATAGTGAATGTTGGCAATTATAAACAATGTTTCAAAATCATCTTTGAACAAATTCCTTTGCACAATTATTGAATCATTTGATAAAAATAAACTTTTAGGAGTGGAATTTCTGGGCCACATGGTTTGCACCTAATTAAGGCATTTAATGCAGATTCCCAAACTGGCCTCCAGGGAGGCTACACGCACAGTCGGCCACATGTATTACATGAGGAGGACAGCTTCCTCATTACCACCTATCATGACCTTTCTCACGTCTCCTATTCTGAAAGCCCAATCATGATATCTGGATGGCTGTTTTATTTTACAATTTCTGGTTGCCAGTGAAATGAAAACTTTTTTTCATATGTTAATTAGTCATTTTTTGGGAGGGTCTTAAATGTATGTTTCCAACAGATGCATTCCACATTTTTTTAAATAGTAAACTTGTCTAGTGAATTTAAAATGGGTATAATTTATGAAACCATGACTTGATAAACATTTTCACAAACCACATATTAGGTTAATGCAAAAGTAATGGCAGTTTTTGCAAAAACCGCAATACTTTTGCACCAACTTAATAGTTGCGTGTAAGGAATATACGCACGCGCGTGTGTGTGTGTGTGTGTGTGTGAAGTCTTCTATTCTCTAAGCCAACCCTTCAGCCAATATTTTCAAGTGTTTCCCATATGAATAGGTTTCTAATTAATGCAACATCCTTTTAGCTCTCCTATGCATTTGTTCTATTTTAAAAGGATTTTCAGAAACTGAGATGCCAGCAGCTGATCACAAATCTCCAGATGCAAGAAAAGATATTGGTGGAACTTTTGCCTGTTTTCTGGACAATAAATATTTGCTAATGTAAGATGAGTAAAATTCAGGATATATTAAAGACCATGAACACCTGCTCAAATCCATTTTGTGCCATTTATTATCTTATGTGACACTGCCTGAGGCAACCTTTCTGAATCTGTTAACCTACCTATAAAATGGGGATTATAATATCAACTTGAGGCTTATTATAATGAAAAATGGATTATATATGTGAAGAGCTTGCTTAACACAATGCCAAAGATAAGGTAAATATATAAGAAAAATATACAAAATTCAAACACTTTTATCATTTATTATTTCCACTGCCTTTAGGTCCTGTGCACGTGACCTCCTATAAAACCAGGCCTCTCCTATACTGAATGCATATAGTCTTTTTAAAATATAAAAGTAAATTTTGTTTAGCATTATTATATTTCATTGTGTTAGTCTGGGCCCATCCTTCTAGTTTGCTCAGATGTCTGAATCCTGATTCTGGCAAAAAATATATTCATATTTCTTCCTGTTTTACATTATCTGCATATTCAGACTAACATCATAGTCCTATGTCATTACCAGTTTTATTAAAACTCCAGTCAAATTACTTTCTTACTCAGACCCTGTATCCAGATTGCCAAATCATGCAAGACCAAAACTATACAACTGTGCTGACTGCACTCACTTCAGATTTATAACTACAACTATCAAATGGGTACCCAGCCTTTCCAGACATCCTTACTACAATTCTGTAGTAAATATGCTTTCTCACTTTACCAGATGATTACTACTACATACATTTTCTTCCCTCAAATCTCTAATATACCCTTCACTCATACTTAATGGAGAATCTTGCTTCATACTTCACAGTGAAAAAATACATAATCAGATAAGAATAATCCATCTTCTTTCCAACAAATCCATGAGACTACCTACATTTGCAACCACAGATTCTGCCTTTATCTTGTATAATGGAAGGCCAAACCTTCAACTGAGACATGGGGTCCTGTCTCTCCTAAGGTCCGCATGAACTTCCACCCTGTGTTCATTCCTTTTATACAGTTTCTTCCTTTCAACTGCTTGGATCATTCATATTGTATACTAGCATGCCTTAAAAGCAGCCATCTGAAAACAGGCGTGCACACGTGTACACACGCACATGTATGCGTGTGCACACACACACACTTTCTCTAGACCTTTCTTCACTCCCAATAACTGCCCCATTTCTATTTGCCTTTATAGCAAAACTCCTTGAGTTATCTTGAATTATTTTTCCATTCTCTCCCTCTTTATTCTTTCCTCAGTCCACCCAAGTGAGGGCTGTAATCCTGCTACTCTATAGATACAGCGCTTTTCACGGTCATGTGATCTACATCTTGCCCAAACAAATTGTCAATTCCCTGTTTTCACATTACTTGGCTTTACTGTAGCATTTGTTGACCACTCCCCCTCTGTCCTCAAACACCTTCTCCTCCAGGCTTCTGTGATATCACACCCGCCTGACTCCCACACTGCTACCTCACTGACTACAGCTTCTTAATCTCTTTTTGTCTCGTCTTCCTCTTAAAGGCCTTTAAATTCTGGGGGTGTCCCAGGGTTCTCTCATGGCCTACTTCACTCTCAATTTCTCCAGTGGTAATCTTCCCAGTATGGTGGCCTTTCATATCATTTAAAGGTGGCTTAGTTCAGATCTCTCCCCTGACCTACAGATTCCCATATCCAAGTCACTATCTTCTCTCATTGGGATGATTATCACAACTTATAACATCTTCTTGATGGTTTTCTTGCTCCACTCGCCACAAAGAAGCCACAGAGATTGTATATTTTATCACCACCCTGTTTACTATCCTCCAGTCACTTCTCACGGCGAGTGGAAAAAGGTCTGGACTTCTTGCCCCCTCATTTTCCTCCTCTGTTTCAAATGTGCATTTTCATTCTTCCCATCCTCATTCTGCTCCAGCCACATTGGCCTTTTTATTTGCAGTTTCTTAAATATGCCAAGCATGTTTCTTCCTTGGGATTTTGCAGGCGCCAATCCTTTTGCTGGAAATGATATTCTATCTCATTCACATTGATAATCCACTAATATCCCCTAGAGAAGCCTCCCCTAACCCCTCTAGCTAAAATCCTGCCACCCTTCACCCATTCTTACTCTTTTCATTATTCCGTTTTCATCATAACAATTATCTGTATGTAAAATTAGGTATGTTAACTATCTGCTGCCTCATCTAACTACAGCACAAGTCCATTGATGGAGCTTTAAATGTTCACCAATATATTCCTAGCATTTATGTTATATAGTAGGTGCTCATTAATATTTGTTGACTGACTAGTCTCACCAGTATTTTCTCAGCATTCAAAGTTCTTCAAAGATTATTGACAATAAATTAATGACACAAAGATCTTACATTATCACAAATTAATCATCAAACCTATGATGTCAATAATATAAATTTAATAAATTAGGACTATAAATTGTCTTTTACCTTACAGATAATATTGCTGATTTCACATATCTACAGTTAAAGAAAACCCAACAGTACAATAAAACTACAAATTATGATAAAAGTTAAATAGGAAAGAACAACAAAACCACTTCAGATAAATTAAAACTCCATGCAAATTTTTGTCAAATAGTAACTCAAAAGTATAATTACACACTGTTTACTAAACAACCTTACACACAGTATTGAAACTTAGAACATGCAACCAAAACTCTATTCAGAGACAAAATCACAATCAGGTACACTTTATTATTAAAAAGAAACAAAAAATAGATTGTCAGCATTAAATTGAGCAAGTTGGAAAATTATAAAACGAAGCAAAGAAGAATATAATATTTTATAAAGTCAAGAATTAATGTGGAGAACCAAATATGTTATTGTTACATTTAGGAGTTTCTTCTCTAATGAATCAGACAATAAAACAGAATTCTGTAATATAAAAGATGAGAAAACAAAATTAGAAATGAGACGACATATAGTTAACAGACAAAAGATTAAATTATCTTAAGAGATTCTAAGTATGCTTTTATGATAGTAAATTTGTATCAATTATGGATGTTACATATAGGAAATATAACACCAAAATAATAAAATCCCATCTGACCAGTATCTACAGGATAAATTGGAAAAAAATTTAAAAATTTTCTCCACAATAGTTCTGGCTTCAGAGAGTTTTATATACCTTTTTCCCTAGATTTTAAGAGTAAGCTTCTTTTATTCAGAACCTCTCAGAAATTATAATAGTCTAATACATATTTTAAATCTCCAAGAAATGAATAGGCTATACAGGACTTCCCAAGCTTACTTCACCTTTGAATCTTTTTTTCCCCCTTGAGCTTCTCCTGGGGCTAGTATTAAAAGGAACAAACTTTTCAATATATCGCTTTAAACCAATCTCACTCATGAATAGAAATGTGAAACTCCTAAAAATATATATTAGGAAACGGAACTTAATGAAAAATTTAAAGACCCAGGCATTACTACCAGCTAGGATTTTTTCCTAAGATAACTTTCTATGAGAAATACTAAGAGACTACTTGCATTTAGTACTATATATAAACTGACCGCTAATAAATGCCAGACATCTCTGAGCTACAGTTGCTCTCTTGATATCTCAGATTTTGAAATCTGGATGTGCTCCCAAATCTTCTCTTCCCCTAAAGTTCCCTCCTACTAGTAAATGGCAGCTTCTTCCAAAGAGATGCTTGTGCCAGATGCCTAGGTGTCATTCACGACATCTCTTTCTCCCCTACCTCATTTCCAATCAGTCAGTTCTGTCAACGTAGCCAGTTAATAGCTCCCATTTATTCCTCTATTCCATCTTTCTAGTCCAGGATGTCATCACCTCTTATCTGTATTACAAAAACCCAACTCCTGCACTTGTTCCTCTCTACTCTCCATTCTGCAGCCAAACTGAACCACATTACTCCCCTTCAGTGGTTCCCTGCTGCATTAAAGACCAACAAAGCAACCCTAACATGGCCTGTAGGATCATAAATGATCTGGCCCCTGATTCTTGCCCATCAGGCTCCAGCTATCAGTTCCATGAACACACAAAGCTTCTCCCTACCTCAGGGTCTTGGCATATGCTGTTCACTCTGCCTGGAACAATCTCCCCTTCTCCCTTCACCTAATCTATTTCTATGCATTCTTCTAGTGTTAGTTTTGACCATTCCCTGAAATCCCCAAATGGACAGGTCACTGTATTATAAATTCTCACAGTAGTTGTAATTAGCAGTTGTGATTAAGTAATTACTGTTTGTTATCAGCCTCTCTCACTATACTGTGAATTCCATGAGAATAGGGGACATGTTCCTCTTAGAACCTAAGCACAGCGCTGGTGTTTGGTAATAATTTGCAATGAATGCATGACAGAATAAAGTGTTCGCCAATGGTTGAATTAGCTTAGTATCCCTCATTTATTTAAAATACTTTTCCTTGGTCAGACACAGTGGCTCATGTAATCCTATCACTTTGGGAGGCTGAGGCAGGAGGATGGCTTGAGCCCAGGAGTTAGAGGCTGCAAATAAGCTGTGATAGTGCCACTGTACCACAGCCTGGCAACAGAGCAAGATCTTGTCTCAAAAAATATATGTGTGTGTGTGTGTGTGTGTGTGTGCATGTGTATATATATATATATTTTATATATATTATAAATACTTTTTTCCTTATCTTTCTATAGCATCCTCAAAGATCAATGCAACAACCATTCAAATTGGAGGTTGACCGTTGCCTGTTGTCTCAAAGTACCATGATTCATTGCCAAAGGGACGAGTTTTTTGGACCTCAGTTGATTTGATATTTGATCTGTTATTTCCTTCTCTTGATATAGCAAAGAGCAAATGATAATAAAACATGAATAGAAAATTAAATAAGAATTAAAAATTTGTAGAAAATATTTTTAAATATAAGAGCATTGCAAAACACATTTACTGTAAGTGCAGCTGCAGAGTCAGCTGAGTCACCACTAGTCCTGACCTTCTCTGGCTGCCAATGGCCATGGTGCCAGGTCCTTGTCAGCATTAATCACAGTAACAAGTAATGAGCTGAAAGTGTGAATTTTGGTTATAACTGTGGGGGTCTTATTTATGGTGAAAAAGGTCATAAAGAAAATAGATTACAATTTAAATGGTAGAAACCTCTCACAATATAGGATGTTTAATATCTAACTATTTTTTCTCATCCCCAAATGCTAAAATAATTTGATGTCATATAAACAAAGAAAATATCTAAACAAAAATAGAAAATGCGGGAGTGATGAGTTAGTGGGAACTTGATCTCCTGGCCTCTTGAAGGGACTTCAGCTCTTGGCCCCTTTTCCTTAGCCTTCATTTTCTTCCCCTCAAAAGAGGAGGACTGGCTGATTTGACTGGTGAGCTATAAAGGAGAAATTGAGCAAGACGTGCCTGCAGGACACAGGCATTTCTCTCCTATTCCAAGATGTTCTGATGAGCTCTGCCCTCTGGTAGAGGTCTGTGGTTGCTCAGCTGTGGTTGTGATTACTGGGAGTTGAAGTATGAGCAAGACATTTGGCCACAGATCTGGATCTATTTGTTTCATGCCTTATCTGTTTGCTTTTTGTGTACTGCTTCTAAAAACAGCAACAGCAACAATTTTAACTAGACAGGGGAAGTAACTGGTATGATTAATTGGCCCCCTAAAACTCCAATAGTGAGGCATGGCTTTGAAAGGAGGGTGATGGTTTTGGTTCCAGATGGATTAAAGAGGAAGCGACAGAAGGCCCTCACAGTGAAAATGCCCAGTAGGCAGTTGGAGATGTGGGGCTGGTGTCTCAGGGTAATAAATAATAACCATGTTGCTTGTGGCTGTGATGCTGGGTGCCATGTGAATTTATTTTATTTTAGTACAACGTATTAGCTTCATTAAACTATTTTCCCATAGGGGGACAAGCCAAACAGCCACAGGTCATGTGTCTACTTGGGCATAACCAATACCAGGCAAATTAGCCAATATTACAATGTCATTTTTAAAAAGTTGTTGTTGCAATCCAAATTTCATTTAGCGCAAAGCAATGAAAGGAGTGGAATGGAATAAAAGGAACTGGTGAAGAAAGCAGAGAGAACCACAATTATTCTCAGTCTGTCTCATTTATTAGGTCAGAATATATGGTAATAGCCTGCTGAAACTCAGCATTTCTGAAATCAGAGGAATAAATAGAGAGAGAGGCCATTGGTCCACCCATGCCATGACTTTTCACATGACAGGAAAAATTGCTGCCCAGTCTGTGCTAGCTTGGCCTCTTCCTTCCATATTTACTATGTATAAAAATTACTCTGTGTGGGATCTTTCATTTGAGTTAATGACTAAATGATAATAGTATATATATATATATATAAATAACTCACTTTAAAAGTTCTAAAAAATAAGATCTTTGAGGAACTATCAATGCAAGGCAAGCAGCATCTTATCCCAGAAGGCATAACGTAGGTCAAGAAGCCAAAAAACAACAATCGTGAAATCATATGGACAGTTGCAGATTCATGTTATCCCACAAACACCCAGAGGGAGTTAGATGCGAGCTCTAAGAGCCTGGGACTGCGTTGGGGCTGTCTGTGTTAGTTTATCAACATTAAGATACTGTGAAACAGAAAAGGGTGGAGGAAAATTTCAGAAGAATGAGAGTGGTAGGATCATGGTGCCAATGGTTTTATGTAATGGTTCCCCACAAAACTCGGCTTTCAAATTATTTCTAAATTATTACCTCTTGGTATTATTATTGTTGTTATTTAAATTCATGTCAAGTCATATCAAAGTGAGTTCCTTGAACTGATTTTGAAAAGTTTTATATGAGCCTTTATTACATGGAAAAATAGGTCTTCATACTACTGCTCTGTCTGAGGCTTCAAAAAGATGTCTTGGATGCATCTGGGAAGTTTGGGCCTTTGCGGATAGGGTTGCCTAAGATGTGCTTGGGCCCAAGATGCTGTGTCCCCTGGCCCCACCCAGGGAAATCACCAACACCACCGCCACCTTCATTCAGACTCTGCAGCACCCCACTGCTAACATTCAGTGAGATTGGGATGGGGTGAGTTTTGCACAAAATTATTCATGGCCCAAAGTCTGGGCCACATAAGTAGTCTTGCTGCAAAAAGTTGGTAAAAACCTGGTCTCCATGAGGCTTGGCTATAGAGTGATTCGTTTGGGGAGGCTGTTTCAGGTGAACTGACAGTTTTTAAAATAATGGATATAACCGACTCTTCAAAGAAAAAATATCATTCTCAATTTTAAAAAATCATGCACTTCAGTGGCAGCCTGTGTTTTGCATGAGTGATATTTCAGCAGACAGATGATGACAGTGCTGGTGATGGTCCTGAGGTGAGGGACTGTATGGCATGCCCTTCATCCCTTTAAGACTTTTCATGCATTGTTGCCTCTATTCCCCTGACTGCTTCACCACCTGGTAAATTTCTACTCACCCTTACAGCCTCAACTGGAATATTCCTTCCTCTGAGTCTAGCCCACTTAGCAATAATTGCATAAATTATTCTCCCTCTGTATTCACTTAATGCCTTACTTATACATCCATTGAGTTGAACCATAACTCCCTTCTATTTGTGGGATTTATTGTCCTCAGAGGTGGTAAAAGTATAAACAATTTAGAGTTGATTTACATAAAAATCATGGATAAGAGAACCGTAATGGACTAGTAAAAACGGTAGCAATTTTTAGGCATATCTTCAACCTGAAAGTTTCTATTAAGGGAGACTTCCATGCCAAGTGTCTCTGTAGAAGAAAATGGAAGGACAAATGAATTATGTAACTGATTACATGAAAAGTCATTCTGTATAATGTTCCTATGGTATTCATTTCTTGATTTATTTGTTTGATAAACATGTCTTGAGAAGCTATGTGCCAGGCATTGTGCTAGGCCCTTAGGGGTACATAGCGATGAACAGAGATAAGGTTGCTATTCTCATGAAGCTTATATTCTGGCATTACAGAGAGAAAAAAAAGGATGGTAAATGGATTGCTAAGAAGGACACTAACAACCATTTATTCAGATTTCACTGTCAAGGTACCAAGTAAATCTCAATATCCCAATGACATTTTCCTCTTTCCCCTAAAAACAAAACAAAAAACAGACATCTGTTTTATTCCAGTAAGTTTCATCATTTTAACAATTACTCAAAAGGCTGAAAATAATTCATAACCCAGATAAAGAAAATATTTACAAAGCTCCTAGTGGTTTTTAAAAATTGTTGTTTAAAAATGTACTCTACAAAGGGGTCTTTGACCAGATGGCTGTTTCAAAGAACAATGATTTCATGTTTTAAAACTAACTTTAAAATGGAGGTGTCTTTGCCTTCCAGGAAAACGTAGCAGCTGTGAGATTATTTCACTTCTTTTTCTTCCACATTTTCCTGGATTTAATTGTAAGCAAAAACAATATATAAAAGAGAAAATTGTAGCAACACAGAACAAAACCTATTGCAAAACAAGCAATTGCACATTTTTAACCACAACGAAAACCCAAAGGCAACCTTTTATAAAAACTTAGCTGAGGAAGGAGACAACATAGCACTTTCCTAGGGAAATCTGCCTCTTCCCTGCTAAATTTAGAATATAACCCTCTTACATCTCAATAAAATCAACATTGACTTGGTTTTCTTTCTTTCTTTCTTTTTTTTTTTTTTTTTTTTTTTTGAGATGGAGTCTCACTCTATCACCCAGGCTGGAGTGCAGTGGCATGATCTCAGCTCACTGCAACCTCCGCCTCCTGGTTTCAAGCGATTTTCCTGCCTCAGCCTCCCGGGTAGCTGGGACTACAAGTGCCTGCCACCACGCCTGCCTAATTTTTGCATTTTTAGTAGAGACGGCGTTTCAGCATCTTGGCCAGGATGGTCTTGATCTCTTGACCTCATGATCTGCCCACCTTGGCCTCCCAAAGTGATGGGATTACAGGTGTGAGCCACCATGCCCAGCCTGACTTGGTTTTCTATAGGAATGAATATACTTGAGGAATGACTGAAAAGGCTTCAGGAAATGGCAATGGAGAAATTAGCCACAAGAAAGAATATAAGGTAACTGCTGTCTTGTGCCCTGTGTTGGTCAAGTCCTGCCAACCACTGTGTCCAGTTCTAGGAACTAAATAAAGAGGTGGGGCACAGTGGGAAGGAGCTGGAGAAAGCCTCCAAAGTGACTAAAGAGAAGAGAGATGAGGCTAAAAGGCCAAGGGAAGATATCTGCAAGATGACAGCAGCAGATGAAGTACTGTCTGAAGCAATATGGAGCCCCTGGCGTTTTAGCCATTGCCATTGAGGAAAAAAATGAGAAGAAACTGACAATGTGGCACAAGGATATGAAGGATAATTTTCTGATAATGCAAAGAAGCCTCTGACAATCAGATCTGCCTGATTGTCAGTAACTAGCAACGCTCTAAGATGGCTGGAACCTGGAAAGGAAGAAGTTCTGGAGTAAAACAGGTGCAAGTTGATGCGATGCTACTTGATGGAACTGTGTGGGCATAAAAATATGTCCCACCCAAAGGTAAAGCCTGAAGCCTAAGACAGTCACATAAGCTGTCCATGTGCCTGAACTGAAGGACTGTACTTTTCTTCTCTTATGAGGAACACATGTGGATGTCCACTGGGGTATAGTTGCCAAAGAAGACTGATGAACTATACTGACAAACAAGGAACCTAAGACTCTCTCCAAGTAGAGTTAAGCCCAGCATCACAGTGGTTTAACAAAAGGTGCTTCCTGACACAGATAAAGTCAGACTGACTTTTAAATATGTGGAGTAGATAAACAGAGATATCCCATCTGGAATATCCTTATCCCCTTATCAAATTTTTCACCAGCTAGTTAAGTAAGCTTCTGGAAATTTCATTTTTTTAAGTCTTGAGGGCTTTAGGTTTCTATAAGAATTAGTATGATGTGATGGAAGGAATGTAGACATTGCAATCAGATAGAGAAATTCAAACCCTGATACTTGTTAATTATGTGTGCTAGTCTGTGACTTTGAACCAAGTTACTTAAGTTCTCGGGGACTCAATTTCTTTGTTGTTAAATGGGGATAGTACTAAGAGGGTTGTTTTAAGAATTTGAAATAATGCATGCAAAGCATTTAGCATGGTGACTGGTAGTGATTATTATTAAAATGGAAATGTTCCTGGAGAAAGTGATTAGTTCACAAGGCCATATTTCCAGATGATGTAATTAACTGAGAAAGGAAGATCAAAGAAGGAGGTAGACAGAATGAGCGGCGAGGATGAGCAACGGACAAGACAAAACACAAACTTCAGCTCCTCCATAGCTCTGCCCTGAGTTTGGTGGAAACACTGGGCTAAGCAGTCTTAGAAGCAAGTACTGCAATAGCTTTTCATCTTGCTAATGTATTTTAGATATGGTCTTGCCTACAGGTGGGATATGACATCTCTTGGTCTCTTTCAATGCCAATGTTATATAATTTAGAAATTTCAGAGCAAAGAATTGGGAGGACCAAAAATTATATGTTAGATTTTTCTTTTTTAATTTTTGTAAATACATAAGAGTTATACATATTTATGGGGTACTGTGATATTTTGATACAAGTATTCAATGTATAATGATCAAATCAGTGTAACCGGACTATCCATCACCCAAAACATTTATTATCTCTTTTTGTTAGGAACATTTATCTCAGTGAGAAAGAAACAAGTATAATACTGCCAAACAAAGAAGCTAACATTTAAGAACAGAAGTCTATAATTATGGAGTGGGGTCTGCAAACCAGCTCGAGTCACTGAAAAAAAATCCTAAGATCAAGTTCATTGGTATATTTTAAAAAGTAACAATAATTACTTATATTAAATACGACAGCTATTAAGTAACTTATAGTACTAAATTATATATATCAATAATTTGGGCTCTAAGCTACTTTGTAGAGGCAAAGAGCTGATCCAGGAAATGTGTTTCCTTCTATTAGAGCTCCATATGGCTCAAGAATGCTTATGTTGGGGAAAATGGGGGTGTCAGCTCACAGATTACTTAATCTCCATTGGGGTAGGATTTTCCTGGTTACTCTCATCTTGAGATTGCCATTGTGATGATTCATTTGTGAACCATGGAGAAAGAAATCGATTTCAAGTGTAGAGTTCATCTGGAACTCTGTCATTTTTCCATCTCTTGAAACATTTCAGCAATCTCCTCAGTTCCTTTCCGTGTCTTACCTTACCTCCTTTCAATCCACTCTGTATTTCATTAAGTAGTATATCCTTCTCTATACTTCTGTCAGTTCTCTTCTGAAAATCTGGAGGAGTGTCTTGTTCTATAGCTTTAAAACTTCCCACAATTTAATTCTGCTATCACACTCTCTCCATTATCACACATACACACACACACACACACACACACAATATTATCACATTTAGTTTTTCATAACTTCCAGTTATAAAGAGTCTCTTTCCATCAAAGCAAAACTTGCTGTTCCTTGAACATAATTGTCTGTCTCTGACCATGACTTCCCATATTCCAATCTCCAGATGTGGAATGCCACTTTTATCTAGTCCTTTCACCCATTTACAATATTTCAGGATAACTTAATTATTGATGCTTGGCTTGAACCATTCCTTTCATCTCTCACTCTGTGTGTGCATGTATGCATGCATGTGTGTATTTCTAAAATCTGGATACTATTAATTTTCATGAATTTGAGTTTCAGTGATGCTCCTTATAAGATTTTCATAAATGTTTTTCTTTTTGTCTTTGTATTACTAGCCTGGAATTTCTTTGGATGATTTCTTAAACATTTAACACAATAAAACAATGTATGTAAAAGCAGAATGTAAAGTACAAAGTGCCATGTAATTATTCAGTACCATTTTTATATCCTCACAAAACATGTAGTTATCATTAAATAAATCGGTTGAAGCTTAAAACTGAGAGAAAAAATCCAGTAAGAAGTAAGCTGTAGCATATTCATAATCAAGACTAACATGTATTCACTCACATGCTCATTCATTCCTTCATTCCTGAATAACTACCATATGCTAGGCAGTGTTCTAGGCCCTCAGGATAGAGCAGTGAATAAATTTTTTAAAAAAGATTAAATTTTTGCCTTCACTGAACTTATACTAAAATGGAGAAGACAAAGCAAACAACAATGAATAAAAATATCAAAAAGTAATAAGTGTCATGAACAAAATAGAGCAGGATAAAAGAACAGAGTGATGAAGGTGCCTCTTTAGATAGGGTGGTCAGAAAATGAGGTGGTGGCATTTGAAAACAGACATGAACTGAGGGGGTGGGGCATGACTCACGGGAGTTTCTGGGAAAGAATATTCCTGGTGAATGCAAAGGCCCTCAGACAGGAACAAGCTCAACATATTCAAGAAGCAGTAAGGAGGCCAGTATCACTGGAGCAGGGTGAACAATGCGGAGACTCAGAAATGAGTTCAGAGAAGGAGCCAGAAGCCAGACAATGGAGGGGCTCATAGGCCATGATAAATTTGAATTTTTTTGTCAGCTTGATGGAAAAATACACGGACTTTAAGCAGAGGGGTCTGATAGGATCTGATCTATTTTTTAAAAAATACCACTCTGGTTGCTGCATGAAGAACACACTAACTGCAGGATGACAACAGCAAGGAGGAGGCTACTGCCAAAGTCAAAGAGATGACTAGGCCGATGAGGCCAAGGGGTAAGAAAGAAGAGGCTGAATTCTAAATATATATCCAAGGCAGAGCCATCATATGTTTCTGAGAAACTGGGTGCGGAAAGTGAAGGCAAGAGAAAAATCCAAGGTGATGTTTAAGTTTCCAGCATGAGCAACTGGGAGATTGGAGGAGCATGTCTGGGTGGAAAGACCAAGAGTTTAATTTTAAGCTGGGGTTGGTAGGAAGAAGCCTGGATATAGATTTGAAGCCCAGAAGAGTAATCAGAGTTGGATGTGTACCTTTAGGGTCAACAGCATATAGATGGAACAAGCGCACTTAACATTTTCACGATAAAATTCGTGACTAAGGTGTTCAGGATCTTGCTGGAAATCAAGATTGATGATATTGACAACAGCAATGTAAAAGAACCAAGCACATGCATTTGCTAATTAATTTGTGCCAATTTGGGAATTATTCAAGTGCAAACACCCATACACTAGTATTCTGTGCAAATGTATAGACATAAGAGACCCTTTTTGGGGTACAATAGTCCACTATCCAAATCTACTCAATTAAATAGTTTTCTAAAGTTTGTGTATTTCAAATGAATATGCTTTTACTATAAGAATCTGTGTATTAAAAGGAACTGAAAAATGCTTCCAATTATTTTTCAATCCAACATAAATTAATTATTCTCAAGCTTTCTCACAAAATAATTGCTCCCTCCAAAGGTGGCAAAGCATCAATCGTTTCCTCAACACACACACTCAATCATTTCCTACAATAAAGGGAGAAAAATGACATACAGTCTGGCAAGATTATGCTTATGAAACCAGTTTGCTAGTGAAAATAAGCAAAGTGAATTTCAGCAACAGAAAACTGGCCTAACTCCTCTGGGTTAAGCATGGGGAGACTGATCTTGTGTCCCGGGAAAAGTCGCAGTGATAATAGAAACTACCAGAGAAAGAACATTTTAACCTCCAAATTAAGTCAATCACTGTGGTCTGCTGGGGTTCTTCTCTAGTCAGCATGTGCTGGGGTTTGTTATGGAAATGCCACAGAACTTTAGAGGCAGTGAAGTAAATGGTACAATGAGACACTGGCTGAGTTTGTATACTTATGCAACAAGTCACATGCTGATATTCCTGATTTTTAACTGAAGGCAGGACACAGCAGGGATGTTTATGAGCTAAAGGGCTAGTGAATCACACACTTGCCTTCTCCCCAGTGGCATGGCAAAAAATGTATAGTGAGTGCTTCCCTGAAGGTGACTACATTTGTTACAATTCAAACTTGTCCAACCTGTGGCCCACGGCTGCATGAGGCCCAGGATGGCTTTGGATGTGGTCCAACATGAATTCGTAAACTTTCTTAAAACATTGTGAGGTTTTCTTGCAATTTTTTTTAGCTCATCAGCTATTGTTAGTTTTAGTGTATTTTATGTGTGGCCCAAGACAATTCTTCTTCCAATGTGGCCAGGGAAACCAAAAGATTGGGCACCCCTGCATTACATATTGTGAAACACTAATGGCCCTTTGAAGGGGCTATAAATGATGAGTTGTGACAGCATTAGTAAAGTAAGAAAATACTTGAAATATTGACTTTGGGCAGAAAAAAAACCATAGCTATTTATACACCTAAGGAAAATAGACTGGCGCATTCTTCATAAGTGCTTTGTCATTTTGATTCTCTTGTACCTTGAACAGAATACAAAAAAAGTAGAATTATGGGTCAAACCAAGTGTTCACTTCAACTGTATTTATATAACAGAAAACATCAGGAAAGGCAGAGAGGTTTTCCTTGCAATGAATCTCTGAGCTGAGAGATGCTTTCAGAGATGCTTTCCTTTAGGAACAGACTAATTTTTTATGCAGTCATAATTTTATATAAATTGTTTGGGAAGTATCTGTACCACCTCTCAGGGCTAATGTAATCTATTAGGAATATAATTGACAGAACTTCAGTGCAGCCTATATTTTTTTATTCAAGGCTTCTTATTCTAGTAGTTTTCAATTTGGGGGAAAATCACAGTCACATAATTCAATGACATTAACACTTGAAAACACATCTCATCTTTTCATAATGAAGAATCCTAATGCTTTCGCTATTTTCATAAAAGATAATTCTCTTACCTCATCAATTATTTTAATTATTATTTACAGAATCTTTTCTGGTTATATTACACCTTTTTTTGCAATTGACTGGCAACTTTTTAATATATAATGTGTTAGGTTATAAAACACCATAATTTTGTACATCAGTAGTGTGTTTTCTATTCTTGATGATGTCTACTTGACCACATCAACACATTGCATAGATACTTTCAGAACTAGTCTACAGAGACTCCTACACTCACTGCCTTTGATCAGACTCCAAGAATCTATGACTACAGTTTGGACCATTTTCCTCTAAATTTACATGACACCTCAGGTTTTTCCACATTTCAATTAGTCTGCCATTTTCCTGCTCACTACTAAAACGCTGTGAAATCCTCTAAAGATTGTCTTTTCACTACCCAAGTGAGCCTGATCTGCAAAATATGAGTTTTTGCAAAGTATTTCTGATTACTTATACAAACGTTAAGGCTGGTTAGAGTCCTAGAAATCTAGAAAATTAGGATCATGAGAAATCTCATTTGTTATACTATATCATTAACAGAAATATCCATCTCTTTCCAATACACTACTAGAGTCATGAATGCAGAGGACAAGGACCATTTTTGTACCCATTAGCTCCTACCTCAGAGCCTAATACATAACAGATGCTCAATAAAGCACTTATAGGTTGAATAATTTCTACCCTTAATCTTTCTCAGAGACAGTTTTCTAGCCACATATTTTTTTAAAGAAAACATAATGAACTTTTTTTGAATTCCACCATGATTCAGATTTTTGTCAATGGCTATTTGAAAGCTTAAATATGTACTTATTCATTCATTATTGTCACAAATACTTAACTTTCCAAACAACTCATAGAGTTGTAAGGCATGCTTTCCTCTCAAAGGAACTATCTTGCCTTTTGTCTAACTTATAATTCTCATACTCTTTATTGTAATTGACATCAGCTTATCGAATATGGAAGTGAGGTTCCCCATTTAGGATTCTGGGGATACTCTAACTCATAAGAAGAATCTCAGAAGCAGGTTGAAGGTATCAATAATAAACAGTGGTATCACACTCAAGACTGGTTTATAATTAACAAGAACACTCACTCAATAAGGCCAGCTGGAACATAGTCCTATACACACACACACACACACACACACACACATTAAGATTTTTTTTCTGTGATTATTACAAGCTAATTTGTGTTACAGGATTTAAAAGAATTATAACACAATTTACACATAAATCTTCCTAAACATAATTTAAAATCTAATCCTTAATAATGCATTTCAAACTTCTTCCTGTTTAGAGAATATTAGCAAAATAAGTTATCGGAAAAAGTTATGAGGAAATGGTAGTGCAGAAAATAGTCAAGTGAGTATATACTATAGGGGTCACCTAAGCCAAATTCCCCCATCAGGCAGGACTCTCTTCTATGACATCATTCACAGGTAGGATTTACCATTTGTTTCTTTTTGCCCAGACAGTCCCAGTTTATTGCCAAGTGCTGTCCCACACTAATTATTAATACTGTCCCCTTTTACTCTCAAGAGTGATGATAAATTAGGACACCCTACCAATAAGTTGTTATCTAGCTTCTGCTAAAGTGCTCTGGAAATGGGGGGAGGCTTGCTAACTCACAAGTTGCCCATTCTATTTTTAAAAAGCTATACTAAAAATATATACTATATATGTAATACATAAAATCTTAAGAGTATTAAAAACCTCTTCCTGATGATATGCTGATATCTTTTTCTGAGCCACTTTTACACATTACTAATTCAGTCCTCTGGAAAGACAACGCAGAATGCGAGTCCTTCAGTTCCATAAGGCAACTTTCATGCCTTCCTTAATTTTTGACAAGTTAAACATAAAACACTTCAGTAAGGAAATACTCTTCAAGGAGAAATTTCAAGGCAATAAAAATTATCTTTTAATAATAGATGATGTTACGGAACTATATTTCAGATGTTTTCATGGGAGCCAGGTTCTCCAAAGGAGTAGCAGCACCTGACAGTGTGCTTTCTCAGAACTTCTGGCTTGAGTACACTATGTGTGTTTCCATGGGCTGGAAACAAATATTTGTTTTCCAAGAGTGTCAGACCAGTTGAGCCATGTGAAAGAAAAAATTAATAATCATCTCTGGTGGGGAGAGGCAACAGAAGTTAGCAGGTAAGGTGGTTTTGAAAAGAGCAAGAAGGTTGAAATGTCAACAACTGTATCTTTCTCAAGTTTTTTTTTCTTCATTTATGATTCAGGTATTTGAAAGAAGGCACTATAAAGAAGCAGACATGCAGCATGCCAAAAAATCCAAATATTTTCCAGATTGTAGAAGAAAATTAGATTATGTTGAAAATAATTAATGATAAAATAACTTTAGTGACAAATATTGAGCCTGCATGTTCTTGTTCTGTATGTTCTATCATCTGTATATTCACACAGATGATAGCCTCTGTGTTAGAGGTATAGTTAATGGAAATTTGATCTATCCAATAATTTAATAAGTATCTGGACCATGTGTTCTAATCTATGAGATATAAGTGATATACACTTTGAATGGTTCTACCTGATGAGCCCACACTACCATAACTAATTCTACTTGTGCATCTAGCAACAGCTACACAGATGGCAAGTCATAGTTGTCTAGGAATAATTAACCTTGACTAGACAGTGCATGTGGCAAATTCAACCTTACATTTGTGATGGCCAATAACAGAGCATTGCTTCAGGTCCCAGAACTGCTTGTTTACTAGTGTATAATGACAAAAATACAGAAACAAAGAGTAAGCAGTTGGAAGCCCTTGTAGCAATTTGACACTGCTATGACATCCAAGCCCTGATCAGTGGACTAGTCTGTCTTGTTCAAGTGTTTAGACCAGTTTGAGTGCTGCTGAACTCATAAGGTGAGTCTCATGCCATGCAAGTTGCAAACTGCTCAGGCGTGCAATAGGACCTTGCATTGATCTGCAAGTAATTGAAAATTAAAAAAAAAAAAAAAACCTTCACTAGAGAAGGTTTAAAAACCAGTGTTTCAGGGAAATTCTCGGTTTTAAATTTCTCACCATTTTGATCCAAGATGAAGGATATTAAGCAAATAACCCTTGGCATACATAGCATTTAGTAAAAAAAATCCAACAGCTCAATATTTCTTGGCTTTCATCACTTCTCAGATCTATCACAGTGGAGGGGAAGGAAGGAAAGGTATGCATGATATCTTTACCCCAGACTAGAAAAGTGGCTCTCTCATTTGAGACTGAAGCCCTGTTCCTTTCCCTCTGGGGCAGAATTAAAGAGCAAGGGATATGCTTATGTTGTTGGTGATAAGGCTGTCCTCTTTAGTCACTTCTTCATTTCCACACATCCTTCTCAAACATCAACACATTTCTAGCATCTTCATCCCCTTTCAATCCTGAGCTAGTTGATGATTTCTCTCCCTGACACCATCTGCCCTGCATCATCACTCAGCAAAGAGCAATGGTAGTTAAAGGGAGTAAACAAATGCTCTGGAAATTCCATCACTGTTTCGGTTTTTATATTGGGGTTGAGTAGGAGGGGACTGAGTGACATGGCTTTCGATGCTAAGATAAATCTATCAATTTAGCTGACATGAGTTTGACTTTTCAGAGGTATTCTGTCTTTACCATCTGCTTTACGACAGTGTGTAGGGGACTTGAAAAATCAAATTTGGCAATCAATGTAATATTGATTCTTCACAAGTAAGAGAAACATCCAACAGACTTACTTATGCAATAAGCACACCCCCCATTGCATGAAAATACAGCTTAAGCTGATGTGACACCACTGAATCATTATATCACGTATTGCATAACTGCCATTTCACAATAGTCCTCAAAGTATTATCTGGGGACTACTGGGGTACACAGGACTCTTTCAGGAGTCCCCAAGATCCTTTCAGATGTTTCTCCAGATCAAAACCATTGTCATAATACTAGTTTGCTTTTTTCACTTTCATTCTGTTATGAATATACAGAGAAGTTTATCAAAAAGGGACATGATGTGATGATGTTATTACCTGGCAATTAATGGAAAGTAAAGTTGTGTACTAGAAATTTGAAAGAGAGTATGTGCATTTTCTGAGATTAACTCATTTGTTCTCAGTGCTTCTACCACACCCTTAATAATTATTTTTGTTTATGCTTGCTATAATCTTTGTTAACCTCATTATCATCCAATACATTGTGATTTTGAAATCCTAAAGTTTCCCTTGGGCCTATGTACAGACACAACAAGAAGTAAGTATATCTTTTTGTCTTGTTTTGCAATGCTTTAATTTACAAAACTTGTAGTTTTAAAATTTTTATCTAAAATGTATTATTTTAGGATTTAGTAGTTCTAAAATAAAAGAAAATGTATTTTCCTTATGTTTAAGGATGGCTCATTGGCTTAAAAAAGGGAGATTTGAAGAGAAACTTTCTCAACCCTAGCTGCAACAGCTACATCTAAAGATATTGAAGAAGATAAGACTGACATGTCAGAGTTAGTGCTCTGACTCCTAGAAGGAAGGCATCTAATGCAAAGAAACAGGACAAAACTATAAATAACAAAAAATTAAAACTACAAATAAAGCTTTCTCTTATTTTTTAACATATGTATATAATTTACCTATTGTCTTTTGCAATTGAACACTTGAATAGCATTTTAATGCCACTTAAGTTACAGCCTCATTTTGAGATGAATCATTGAACATTTAAAGAAAAAAGAATAAAATATTTTAGACATAGGTATGTTCTTTGTAAGCCCAATATTGTTTGTTAGGGCTTTTCAAACTAGAAGTGAAAAAGTCCTTGAAGCATTTTATAGGATAAATCATTGTGCTGCATTAGCTGGAGAAGTGCACACTAGCTGAGAGTCTAAAAGCTTTTGTACAGTTGGCATTGCTGAATGTCTACTGGATAACAGAAGTCAAGAAAAAGAAATGACTATAATTTTAAAATGACAGAGTTAATTTGTCTAATTAAATATTTAGTTGCTGCCATGAAACATGAGTTTAGAACTCTAATCTGCAGAATTATACTTTTGCCCTAAAATGGACAAGTCTAAAGAATGACACTTGTTTTGATTCTATTTGTCTGGTATCAGTACTAACTAATCCTCAAAGATATTCATTTAAATGAATTCTTATCAATGAACACAAGTATTACTGAAATAGCCAAAGTGTAGAATCACTTTAATTTCATGGTTTATGGAGCAACAAATATATTAACATTGCACTGATGGTGCAAAGGCAAGGGTGGGTGCCCTAGCATAAACCAAGGCAACATCACAATGAGGTACTGACTGATGGTCATTGTAGCCTTCACTGCTATGTCATCACAGTTTTAAAAAAAGCAAGTTTCACTTAAGGATATCCTGATGAAGCAGTTAAAAATATTAATTCTATTATATCCAAAGATTAAATTTTAATTTAGATTCATATATTCTAGATAATAATTATGTATTAATTATAAGTGAATATTTTCTAGAGATTAAATTTTAATATTCCATGTCACAAAATAAGAAGTACACACAAGCACTTCTGCTGTATCCTGAAGTGCTTGTCTCAAGCAAAGCAGTTGTAAGGTGAAGCAGATGCTGTTTTTCATGGGATTCCGTTTTTACTTGAAAAACTGGCTAACAATCTATCGTTACTAAAACTTCAGTTTTTGGCAGATATTTTCTCAAAAATAAACAAAATAAGCCTGTCATTTAAAGGAAAACAACTGACACTATTTGTGGCCAATGATAAATTTTTGTGTTAGAGTTTTGGAAAACTCATATCTATCACCATGGGCGTCATTGACACCTTCCCTTTTTCTGATAAGATTGGTGGATATTAATGAATGTGATTTTTAAGCATTGTAGAATGAAATGTATAAACATTTGGAAGATCTGTGTAAATCAGTGAACCAATGTTTTCCAAATGACAAATGTATGATGTTACAAAATCATTCATAAGTAAAAGATCCATTTAAAGTGCATGATAGACCAATGAATCAGTGTAGCAGAATATAGAAAGCTCATTGATATGATTTCAGATCCCTCATTGCAATTAACTTTTAAGAAACAATTACTTGTCGAGTTTTGGTGGAATATCAAAGAAGAAGATCCACAATTTTAAAAGGCTATTAAAATACTCTTCCATTTTCTACACATCTGTGTGAGGCCAGGTTTTCATCATTGATTTCAACCAAAACAACATATTGTAACAGATTGAAAGCAGAAGCAGATATGGGTATCCAGCTGTCTTCTGTTAAACTACACATTAAGAAGATTTGCAAAACTGTAAAAAAAAGCCACTCTTTTCAATAATTTTTAAAGTAAAACATATAATTTATGTTAACATAAAATGGGTTTATTAGGGTTAGTTTTAAATAAATGAATATTTTTAAAACCTCATTTTTAATTTCTAACAATAAATATAATTGGTGGTGTGCTGATAAAAGCTTATCAACAGACTTTCTAGAAAAAGGAGAAGCTATGATTTTAGCATTTGCTAGTTTTCTGGTATAAATACTCTCACTATGGCCAGTTTCAAACAACAATGTGAAGTCAACCAACTCACAATATTCCTGATATAATCCACACACAGTCCACATAAACAAAAGCTCTTTGTGGTCTTCAACAATTTTTAAGAGTGAAAAGGAGTCCTCCTTAGTACAGTGATGATAGAGCAACTTATTTATTTTCTGAAGCAAAATCATTTTATAATATTAAAAAGAGTTTAGGCTAATATCTGGTAGTATAACACATATCACTCATACTCTTACCTATAAAAGATTTCAGTGAGGTGTGGATTTAACACACACTGAGAGCAAAGGCAGTTACTTGTTTGAATAGTCAAAACTACTCTCTGCAACTGCATTTTTTGAAACTGTTCCTTTATACCCACAGTACTTTTTTTTTTCAGATTCTAAGAAATAAACACAGGCAGTTTCAAAATTAGAAAAAGAAAGAAAGGAGAAAAACTCGCTACAGTTAGACGTTGCAAATATTTTCTTCATGAAACTATGCATCTGCTCAGAGTTAGCTGCAGAGTGTGACTAACATTTTCTACCAAGGCTTGTACCATGTCGGTTCCCTTTGCTGAGGCTGTGTGTTAATTAAAATTAATTACACATGCCAGTAAATAGTTTCCCTTTGAATGCAGCAAGTTGAAGCAGAATAATATAATTTATGTGTAAGGAATATAATTCAAACCTTCACAGTATTTTTTTTCAGCAGGTATAGGTACTAAAGACATTCTTTATGGGTAAGTTGGTGTCACCATAAGTCAACTAAAGAAAACTGAAAATATATTAGACATGCAATGTTAAGTCACACAAAGATTCTTATTTGTAAATTGTTATTTTTAAAAGACAGGTTTATTATTAATATCTTGAGTGCATGATTGAAGTAGCTCAATTATCTTCATTTAGCATTATAGTTACAAGTGCTGTTTGGCTTAAAGGCTTTTTTTTTTTTTTCAAATTCAAGAACTCCTAGGCAAGGTGTTATTACTTTAGTAATGTCAGGATAGTATATGGTAACACTGCTAATAATAGAAAACACTTATGGCTGCCAGAGATGCCATTATTCAACTCTAACTGAATTGAAACAGCAATAGACTTGAAGAATAATCCTCTTTGGACTTTTTATGTTTATTCTACTATTTGACGTAAGTTTTTTTCTTACTATATTCTACATGTTATTGCTAAAAACCTGATTATTCCAATAGTCAATAAAACATGCCCTTAGTTTCCTTTATTTTTGTTCTTGGGAGGCCTCTAAGACGGCCAAAGAGATATTGGTATTTAAACATTTCCTTCAGGCTGGGCCCAGCTAGGGATATTTTCGCAATCCTGCTTATTCATTTCTGAAGAGCTCTGCTCCCTAGGTTGCTGACTGAAATACCTGAACACTTGCTGTCTCACTACTGGCTTCAGCCTGGGGGCCCCACGCTATCACAAATTCACAAAATCACCACCACACTGGCTAAAAGGAAGCTGCAGCACACAACTCACTTTAATTCCATCCTTAACATAAGTAACCAAAATATAAACTTATTCTTTGAAATAAAAGCCTGAAACAAGACAGATAATATCTTGAATCCAGTTCTTCAGAGTGACTAATAGCTTTCAAAAAGAAAAGCTAGTTTTTTTAACAAAGCCTAGCAATCATTTGTATCAATCTCTTTTAAGGTAGAATAGTGATCTATCAGTTCTCTTACAGCTTACCACTACAGTGTCTCATTTAAAGCATGTCTCTTAGAATTGATCATATTTTTTCTGTAGCATGTTTACAACTAGCGATTGGGTCCCCTATCATTAATGAATAGCAGCTGGGGTTGTTCTATGGTTTCCAAATGGAGGCACACTTCTGTCCCAAGCTGCAGTGTTTGTCTGACGAGGGTAGTGGGGAAAGCAAATACTTGTTCCGGAAAATAGGTGGAGAGAGGGCAATGTGTTTGCTCTGAAATCCTAGAAGAAAAGTAAACTTGCTGTGAAGGACATAATTTCTTTTTGTTCTTGAACTTTACATAGCCGTGTTGGGCTCATTCATCAACACAGTCTTTGGACAGAAACCTGAACATGAATGCCTCAAACACTTTGACCAAAATCCTTGCTGGCACTACTAATGGCTTCGGTTACAACTCCAGTTTAAATCCTTGGGAAGAGAGAAACTGAATCCTTGGGAAGAAAGCAACTGAAGTTGCTGATTCTATCCTATCAATCTATTTGTTTGAAATACGCAAAGGCTCCTGAAAAGTACGATGCCTGATTCCCCTAGAAAAATGAATCTAGACTTCACACAGGTGTTTTAAGCATGAAGAATTCCTCCAAAATCTTTTAATGACATTTAAAAACGTTGAAAAGCACTAACTTGCTATTTTTCTCCCTCAAAAAAGGCAGAAACAATCATCCAAGTAGGACGTCATACTCCTATTTCATTTCAGAGTTTCATTTGAAAAACAATAAAGAATTTAAATTGCTTGCTTTAAGTCACAGGCATTTCATACTCAAGAAATTATGTTGTCTTTCATGAGAATATATCTTAGCTGTGAATTCAATTGTCACAGACTTAGTTCATAAAAATATTACCAAATTATATTTGATTTCTGTCTGGGTGTGGTTGGTGAATCAAATAAACCAAATGGGCCGAGAATTTTGGTTCTCCAATCCATCCCTCTCCAGGCTCCCTTTAAAAATATTTTCCCCCTCCTCTCTGGTGTACCTAGGATTTCCTAATGATGCTATTTCACAACTAGAGGGACACTCTTAAAGGAAAAAGATGCAGTATTGAGAATTGGGAAACTTGTAACAAGCAGGATCAGAACCATATGACAACAAATATCTTTGCAATGAGGGACTAGAACAAAGGAAAAGAACAAACGCAAAAACAGAGATCTCTGTTTCCAAGATTTGGACTTGGAATCAACTTTCAAAATATACAATTTTTTTTTTTTTTTTTTACTGACTTGCTGAACACGTATTCCTATCCAGCCCCTTAACAGGGAAAGCACAGGGTTTATCTTTCCAGATTTATAATGACAAATAAACATTACCCTCATCTTGTGCAGTCACAATCAATAACTGTAAGAGTCCTCAAGTCTCTGTCTGAGCCCTGTGAACTTAATAGTTCTAGCAGAAAAAAGAAGTGAAAACTTATGAACAGAGAATTGAAATTGTCTTCTGGCTCTCCTCCTGCTTAACTTTTAAAACTAATAGAAAACCTGGCCAGGTGCCGTGGCTCATACCTGTAATCCCAGCACTTTGGGAGACCAAGGTGGGTGAATCACGAGGTCAGGAGATCGAGACCATCCTGGCTAACGTGGTGAAACCCCGTCTCTACTAAAAATACAAAAAATTAGCTGGGCTTGGTGGCGGGTGCCTGTAGTCCCAGCTACTTGGGAGGCTGAGGCAGGAGAATGGTGTGAACCCGGGAGGCGGAGCTTGCAGTGAGCAGAGATCTTGCCACTGCACTCCAGCCTGGGTGACAGAGTGAGACTCCATCTCTAAAAATAAAAAAAAAAGAAAACCTGAAATTTGTCAATACTTTGCTAGAACCAAGAAATAAAGATTTAGAATGCTTAGTGTAGCTATCTACAAAGCATTTTTGAATAATAAACGTTAAGATTATGAGAATGATGTTAAGACAATTTACAATAAAACATCTATGCTTTTTTTTTTCTTAAAGGACAATGTCATAGAATTCTATTTAGTTCAAACAGCACTCATTTATACAGTCTGTATATTACCGAGGTTATTACTTTCTAAATGAAATATTTCCTTTTGTCCTCAAACTATTTCCTCTGAGAGTCTGAATCTGTATTTCCATTTTCATCCCACTTGCATTTGAAGTTCTAGGCTTCTAGAGCTTACTTACTTTAAGAATGCCTTATATTAGCAATTGGCATTATTTCTATCTTCTCCATATAACAGAGGGGGAAAGTTTTGCATCCATGCATTCATTCCCTCATGCTATTGAGCTCACAAAAATGCCAGGCACTGTGTTAGGCCCTGGGGATACAGCAATGAATAAGAAAAACAGCCTCTCCCTCATGGAAAGCAGTCTCACAGTAGAGAAGTTATAGAATTGTTACATTTTAATTATTTAACTTATCATTGTGTTAAAACCAGAAGGAAGAATAAGGTATTAAAATGTTCACTTAACACACTCCATTTCTTAAACTCATTGTTCAGGTGATCCCCCTAGTAACACTACTCATGCCTGAGTGCCACCAGTTCACTTGTGTTTGCCTCTGGACAACAATATATCAGGTGTCAATTGGTCTCATATCTAGTGGGATTTTTTTTCTGACTAAGGATAAAGCATGGGGAAAACCAAATTTTTATATCACACGTAAAGTTACAGAAACAGTACAATGAACTCTAGGTCAATTGAGAATGATAAAGTGTTTCTACTCTCAAACTGATTTATTTTTTCCCTCCACCAGATACTCATAGAGGGTATTACACACACCTCTACTGGAAAGATGACCCACCTACACTCCAAGGGGGGTGTGGGTGGATAGGATAACATACATTTCATTTCTCTACTTGGGTTGGGACTGATTACTGACTGAATCATCTGACAAATAAAAACCTTCCTGAATCAGGGTATTTAGAAGACAAGCAATTCTCACTTAGCATTTTGTGAGGCAAGAAGTAATGTCTTAAACATTGTTTTGACAAAAGTGGGATAAAAATGAAATAAAATAATTTATCCTGGTGTCTTGTTTATGTTGCATAAACAAGCTTAATTGAATTGTGTTCCTTACACAGTATTTCATTCCCGAGTCCAGAATATTACATGCTTTTTACCTTACTGAAATTCTGATACATATGAGTCTCTGCCATCCCTATTTATGGAAGAGTAATTGTTCCTTTTTTAATGTAGATCCGACACTCAACCATATCCAATTGAGACATGATCTTTTAGACAAAGCATTGTATACCACCCAGAATATTCATTTAAACACTTTTTCAAACAAATTTAAACTCTGAGCATGTCTTAGTATAGAAATGTAGCCATAGAGGTATATAAATGAACAACCTGACTCTAATTTCTTTCCAGCTAACAAGTGGAAAAATATACCACTACTCAACAATGCAAATAAAGAGTCATTCTTTCAGAATGCCTAAAGAGCACACACTAACTATATTGCGGCATTATTTGACATTTATTGAGTGTCAGCAATATGCTGGGAACTAAGTGGAGTAGTGAAACATCCTAAAATCACTTTCTATAGGAAAAGGGGGAGGAGGTGAATTGGAACACTTGGTAATATTGATAAACCATATCCTGAATTGAAGCTACAAAGTAGAAAGAATGCCTTATTTTAAAAGAAAACAAGGCTCTACAACCCCAAGGAGTGCTCAGAAAATACCATGTGGCTGCCCTACAACCCCCTGGACAGAAACAGTTCTCTGTTGGCTACCAAAGCTGACATACCTTGAACCAAATGGGCCTTAGCATGACCTTAAAACTGAACGCCTGCCTGGGGAGAGCCGAGAGAAGCACAGTGAGGCCATTATCTAGACATACTTCTATCAGAGAAAACATGGCATTTCTAACAAAATCAAATAGAACAAAAACCTGGAGGAGCATTTGAATCCTTAGTTTAGACCATGCCACAGTGAACTTTAGGAGTCTGTTAACTAAAATTTAACTTTCAGTTTATAATTAGGTGAAGCAATTAATGTGAGAACAGAGTATCACAATGTTAGTCTCCCCAGATATCTATGATGCCATCTTTAAAAGAGCCAGAGGAAGGCTCAGGAATGGGTATTCTTACCGGGAGTTTATGTAGGCTAAACCAGTCTGAGTGTGAAATTCGCTCTCCTCAAGTGCTGAAGTCACTGCAACTAGCAACAAATCCTTTCATTTATAAATCTTAGCACTGAAACACTGTTTAAAATGGCTCAAAAATCTGGTCACCTGGCTTGTAAAGATTATATTAATTCACCAGGACACCGAAGCCTTTTTTTTTTTAAAGGATGTTAAATGTATTAATTCCCACACACCTGATGATGGGGGACTACAGAGTAACTCTTTTAAAGTTTATATAGTGGAAAGCTGAAATAGCAACTGAATGAGCTCTTAGGAATAATGTTGCCATACAAATAGCCATGACTAAAAGTTTGTCAGGAACTGTAGCAGGAGCAATGGTCAGTTCCATGCAGGGCTTTAAAAAATGAGACTAAAAGCATTCCATGGAAATTTGTATGATCTTACAGTAAACTGAAATCCCTACACAATAAGTTAAAAATCTCTTCATTGCTGATCTTTTAGGAGCAATTCCAGTTAAAGTCTTAGGCAGAATTCCTATTCCATAGTTAATCTCTAAACTACAGTATCAGAAACAGCCTTGAGTTAGGAGATATTAGACCTGGGTTGTAGTTCTGGTTCTCTCATTAACTGTTTTTGTGACATTAGGAAGGCATTTAACTGTTATAGATATAGCTCCTTAACCTGTGAGGTAAGAAAGACCGACGAGATTATCTATAAGGTTCTGGAAACCCCCGGAAAGCCATGATATTTTAAACTTGCATTGGTGTTCAAACAGAAACTCTTAGCTCCAAGTCAATGCATCTCATATAGGTCTGCTGAATGGATAAACAAATTGATCCAAAACACTGATGTGGAGGACAGGGATAAAAATTACAAAGTAATGGAGGCATTTAGAAAATCTATTCTAAATTAATCAAGCGTAACCTCATCTAAAGGCAAGGAATGAGAACACTTATTTTCTTATAAGGTCTTGTCTCAGAAGAGAAAACAAATTAGGAACATAACCTCAGAATCAATATAAGTGGTGAAAAGAATGTAATTTAAGAATAGTTGATAGAATCATGCTAAGCATATGGGCTTTTGAAAGATGCATGATTTTACCACAACACAGAGGATTAAAATACATAAACTGACATGGGTAAGTCCAGTTCAATAAATTCTATGGAAACAAAAAGGAATGTTTTTATTTTTGTCACTAGGGCTCATCTTGCCTTTGAAATTAGCTTCTTCTCATCAGAAGAGACTAGCAACAGATTAAATAACATTTCTTGCTATTGGCTTTGACTAATACTATTTCCCATTTGAAGTAGTCTTTTCTATGTCCTCTACATCAATTCATGCCATGACCTAATGAAAGTCACCTTCTATGATGCTAACTCTTTTGCTGTGGCTAAATACTATGCTGTCTGCTATTCTGACACTTCAGAACTGCAGTGGAATACCCTATCCTGTAATCTAGTTAGATGTTACCTTACACACTATAACTCATTAATTTCATGTATAATAATCTCACAACTAAACTTCATTTTCTTCTTTTCTAACATAGTCCTTCTGTTTTAAGTTCAATGAAAAATAAATGTATGACACTCACACTAGTGATTGCAAATGTTCTCAAAACAAGAAAACATCTTATATTTTAATTGGAGTATGATATGGTTTGGCTGTGTCCCCACCCAAATCTCATCTTGAATTGTAGCTCCCATAAATCCCACATGTCATGGGAGGGACCTAGTGGGAGGTAATTTAATCATGGAGGCTGATTTTTCCCATGCTGTTCTCATGATAGTGAATAAGTCTCACAAGATCTGATGATTTTATAAAGGGAAGTTCCCCTGCACATACTCTCTTGCCTGCCACCATGTAAGATGTGTCTTTTGCCTTCTGCCATGATTGTGAGGCCTCCCCAGCCATGTGGAACTATGAGTCCATGAAATCTCTTTTTCTTTATAAATTATCCAGTCTCAGATATGTCTTTATTAGCAGCATGAGAACAGAATAATACACAGTACCAATACTGACATTCAGGATAGATAATACATTTCATTGATACTTTGGAATGCATAACAGAATAAATTGGAATTTCATTCCAATTGATACTTTGGAACGGATACTTTGGAATGGATAACAGATACTTTGTTACTTTGATACTTTGGAATGGATAACAGAATAAATACTTGTTGAGAGAATAAATTATTGCTATTTCTCTCTAATCAGTTTGTAAAACTTTCATGTGTGTATACACACTGAATCAAAGGTTGACCTTCTAAGTTCACTATTATCACAGTCCTCACCCCTAGAAGAAATCAGGAACATAGTTTTTTGTTTCTACAATCTATTGATAATGAAAGGCCACTTCATTTCAGCCAAAACTGCAGGAAGAGAATAAAAACTATTTCCTATAAGACATATGAAAAACATTATTTTACATGCCAAAGCTCCAAAATAAAAGAATTATCAATTGCCTCCTCCCCGCAAAAGAGGAAATACATCTTTTCTAACTTTTGCCACTGGATGGCATCAGTTTCAGTAACCAAAAGGTTTTGATTTTAATGTCCACAAAATATAATAATAATAAGATCTTGGGTGAATCCAGGAACCTCCAAAGGTCACATCCTCAGAGAAAAGACAGACTAAAAAAAGTCTATCCACTAGCAAAGAAAAATGACACGCAAGTATATCATGGCCTGTTCAAATACAAAGAGGGGGCTTCAAGATGGCTGCCTAGATCAATCTGGTATTTGCCTCTTCCATGGAAAAGAACCAAAATAATGAGTGGATAATCATACTTTGAGTAGATAATCTAAGAGAGAACACTGGAATTCAACAGAGAAGTGACAGGAAGCACCAAAAGCAAGAAAGGAGAGGGAAACAGTTCAGCTGGATCAGCTGAGGGTCTGGAGTGGCTCCTTAATGTGGGGAAAGTGTGAATGAGAGACCCCCAGTAGACCATGTTTCTGCTGGAGATTCCTACAGTCCTAGCCATGAGAGAACACCTCAATCCTTACAAGTTCTGAGACTAACATAGAGAGCTGTCTGGAGACCACATGAAGGCACTGCTGCATACGCCATTTTGAGAGCACAGCCCCCACCCCACCAAGCTGCATTCTACTCCATTGCCAGGGCTAAGGCAGGAGCCACAGACAGTGATCCCATGCCCATCATACCTACCTGTGGCCCTCTGCAGAGGGGTAACTACACCTTTTCATATGCCCCCAAGGACAAATGCCACTGCCCACAACCACCACTGCTTTAAGCTGCTGCGGAGCCAAGACACAAATGAAGCCCATGTTCCCAGCCCCCAGCTTATGGCTCCACCCAGGGAAAGCAACCATAGGCTTCCCAGTAGAAGGGCTACAGATAGCCATTTCTGCTCTCACCTAAGCATTTTTCCAGTGGTCTGGGGATCACCCTACTTCTGCCTACCATAGCCAGTACCACTGAGGGGTCTGAGAGCAAGTCCACCTGGCTCAGCTCCACTCCTTCCCCCTTTACCTGAGCATACCATCCAGGGACACGGGCATCACTTATACACACCTTCCAGGGGCCTGAGCATCACCTGCATGTACTTTCCAGGGGCCTGAAGATCATCCAGGCCAGTTGACCACCTGTGGCACCTAAGCACTTCTCCCAGGGTCTGAGACCAGCCATATTCAACTTGCACTACCACCACAGCTGGCACCCAACCATACACACCACCTGAAAGTCTGTGGGCCAGCCCACCCAACCTCTTGCAGCCACTGCTACCACAGGGGTGGACCACTTGGGTCCCAGATGGATGTTCCACCATTGCTACTGCCATTGCCCATGCCACATCCACTGCCCAGGGGCTTAAGAACCTGTTCACTTGCCAGACCCACTGATGCCATTAGCAGCATCTGAGAAAGCAACCTGGAGGCACAAGAATTGGCCTTCCTGGACCCACCAACACCAGCACCAGTGCACACTGGCCTGGGGCCTAAAGACTAGCCCACCTAGTGTTATAGTACTCAGCAAAACTTTTTCATAGCCTCTACTAATAACAACTGCATTCTAAGCCACCAAGGTAGTCTCAGACACCACTGATGCTGTCTACAAATGAAGAAGTCATACAGAGACTACACCACTACGCATAGTCAGATTCAAAAGCAAAGTACCCTACCCAACCAATACCATAGATACATGTCAGAAAAGAGTTCTCCTTTTCAAAAGCAATTTCAAACAAATTAGAAGAAGCAACAGTTATACCAGATGTGTAGATATCAACATAAGAACACAGGAAAGATGAAAAAGCAAGAATATTTGACACCTTGAAAGGAACACAATAATTATCCAGCAACAGATCCCAATAAAAAGAAATTTACTAGTCAGACATAGTGGCATGTGCCTATAGTCCTAACTACACAGGAGGCTGAGTTGGGAGAATCACTTAAGCCCAGTGGTAGAGGCTGCTATGATCAAATCACTGCACGCCAGCATGGGTGACAGAGTGAAGCCCTGTCTCAAAAGAAGGAAGGAAGGAAGGAGAGGAAGGAAGAAAGGGAGGGAGGGGAAATTCATTAAATCCTAGGGAAAAATTAAAAATACTATCACTAAAGAAGCTCAGAGAGACACAAGAAGGGGCATCATGGAAATGTTGCATATCTTGTGTTAATGGCTGAACAACTGTACATATCTGTAAAACTCATTAAAGTATATATTTAAAATGGGTGAAAAAAAGAAGATTCTGAAAAACAATACAAAGAAATCAGAAAAACAATTCAGGATATGAATGAGAAATTTATCAAAGAGATATAATTTTTTAAAAAGCAGAAATTTTGGAACTGACGAATTCATTGAATAATATACAAAATACATTCAAAACCTTCAACAGTAAGACAGAACAAGCAGGAGAAAGAATCTCAGAACTTGAATACAGATCTTTTGAAATAACCCAGTCACACAAAAATAAAAACAACAACAACAAAAAGATTAAAACCTTCAAGACATATGGGACATCATAAAGCATCCAAATATTCAAATTTTGGTGTCCCAAGAAACAACGAAAAAAAATGAAAGAATTAGAAAACCTATTTAATAAAATAATAGGTTAAAAACTTCAAAACTTAGCAAAATATTTAGACATTCCTATATAGTCAAAGATCCCCAAATAAATACAATTTGAAAAGGTCTTCTTCATGGCATATTATAGCCAAACTCAAAAATCAAAGACAAAGAGAAAAAAAATTAAAAACAGCAAGAGAAAAGTATCTAGCCACCTATATAAAGGAACCCCATCAGACTAACAGCAGATTTCTCAGCAGAACCCTAACAAGACAGGAGAGAATGGGATGATATCTTCACAGTGCCAAAAGAAAAAATGTGCTAGCCAAAAATATTATGCCCAGCAAAATTATCCTTCCTAAATGAAAGAGATATAATGTCTTTCACAGATGAGCAAAAGCTAAGAGATACAGCACCACTAGACCACCCCTATAAGAAATACTTAAGGGAGACCTACACCCAAAAGCAAAAGAATAATAACTACCATTATGAAAACACATGCAAATATAAAAACCACTAGTGGAGCAAACACAGAAACAAGGAAGGGAAAATTCTTAAATGTAACCACTACAGAATGCCAACAAACCACAAAGATAAATTATGAGAGAAAAAGAAAGGAAAAAAGGATATAAAAAACAATAAGGAATCAAGTAATAAAATGATAAGAAGCCCTCACATGTCAGTAATAACCTTGAAGGTAAACAGATTAAACTTTGCACTTAAAAAATATAGACTGGCTGAATGAATTTTTGAAAATGATCTAACTATATGCTGCTTACAAGAAATTCTCACCTATAAAGACATATATAAACTGAAAATAAAGGAATGGAAAAAGATGTTCCATGTAAATGGTGCTCAAAAGTGAGTAGGAGTAGCTATACTTACAACAGATAAAACAGACTTTAAGTAATAAAAAGTGACAAAATTATTATATAATGAAAGAGGTGTCAGTTCATCAAGAGGATATAATGATTGTAATGATTGTATCCTCATGTGTGCTCCCAACACCAGAGCACCCAGATATATAAAGCAAATATTATTAGACCTGAAGGGAAAGACTCTAATACAGGAATAGTTGGGACTTCTACACTCCACTCTAAGCATAAGACAGATCATCTAGACTGAAAATTAACGAAGAAACATTGGATTTAAACTGCATATTAGACCAAATAGACCTAACAGACATTTACAAAACATTTCATCCAACAGCTAAAGAATAAACATTATTCTTAATCAGCACACAGAACATGTCTAGGGTAGACCATATAGTAGGACACAAAACAAATCTCAAAAAATTTTTAAAAATCAAAATCATATCAAGTATCTTTTCAGACAACAATAGAATAAAAACAGAAATCAATAACAAGAGATATTTTGGAAACAGTACAAATACATGGAAAGTGAAAAATATGCTCCTGAATCACAATTGAGTCAAGAGAAAAATTAAGGAGAAAATTTAAAAATTTCTTGAAAAAAACAGAAATCAAAACACAATGTACCAAAACCTATGAAATAAAGTGAAAACAGTGCTGATAAAGGTTTATAGCAATAATTGCCTACATCAAAAGAAATAGAAAGATTTTAAATAAACAATACAATGATGGATCTCAAGGAACTAGAGATGTAAGAACAAACAAAACCCAGAATTAATAGAAGGAAATAAATAATAAAGATAAGAGTGGAACTAAATGAAATGGAGATGAAAAAGACAATACAAAAGATCACCAAATGAAAAGTTGCATTTTTAAAAAGATAAATAAAATCAATAAGACAATCGTAAGACTAATCAGGAAGACAGAAGACTTAAACAAAATCAGAAATAAAAAAGATATTACAACTAATACAGAAATACAAAACATCAGAGCTTATTATGAAAAACTATGCACTAACAAACTAGAAAACCTAGAAGAAATGGATACATTCCTGGACAATACAACCTACGAAGATTGAATCAGAAAGAAATAAAAAACCTGAACCAACCAATAATGAGTAATGAGATTTAATCTGTTGATGGCGGTGAGGATGTGGAGAAAAGGGAACATACACTCTTGGTGGGAATGTAAATCAGCACAGCTATTATGGAAAACAGTATGGCAATTTCTAAAAATACTAAAACTAGAACTACTTCGTTACTGGGTATTCAGTCAAAGAAAAGGAAATCAGTATATCAAAGAGACACACGCGCTCCCATGTTTATTGTAGTACTATTTACAATAGCAAAGATATGGAATCAACCTAAATGTTCTAAATGGATGAATAGATAAAGAAAAGGTGGTATATTTACACAGTGGAATACTATCTGCCATAAAAAAAGAATAAAATCATGTCATTTGCAGCAACATGGATAGAACTGGAAATCACTATGTTAAGTCAAGTAAGCCAAACACAGGAAGACAAATATTGCATGTACTTGCTCATAAATAGGAGTTTAAAAAGTTTATCTCACGGAGGTAGTTAGTAGAATGATATATACCAGACGGTGGAAATAATGTTTGTGTGTGTGTGTTTGTGTGTGTGTCTGTTTGTCTGTGTGTGTGTGTGTGTGTGTGTGTGTGTTGGTGGGGGTTGGGGAGAGAGGATGAAGAAAGGTTGGCTAATGGGTACAAACATACAGTTAGATAGAAGGAATAAATTCTAATGTTCAATACTAGAGTATGGTGACTATAGTTAGCAACAATATATTGTATATTTCAAAATAGCTAGAAGTGAGGACTTGGAATGTTCTCAACACATAAATGATATACACTTGTGATGATGAATATCCTAAATACTCTGATTTGATAATTACATATGCTATGCGTGTAATAGAATATCACATGTACTCCATAAATACGTATAAATATTATGTATCAATAAAAAATATTAACCAAAAAGTTAGTGTAGCTATACTAACATAAGACAAAATAAATTTTAAGGCAAAGTGCATTATTAGGAATGAAGAGGGCTGTCACAAAATTATTTTTTAAGTCACCAGGAAAATACAATACTAAATTTGTATGAATCTAATAACATAGATTGGCCTCAAGCAAAAATTGGCAGGCTTATTCAAGCTCACAATCACAAAGCGACCTTTTTAATGCTCATGTGATAAAATAAGATTCTTTGTGAGTTTTTATTTGTCTCCCCGCCTGTTCCCCTTTCTAGATAGTATCTAAAATGTTTAATTGTCTTTGTCTATTTGATTCACAGGTGTATTTTAAGCATAGAACAGTATCTGGCACATAACAGCTGCCTAATATATACTTGCTGAATGTTGGAATTATTTGAGATGAAGAAAAGATAATGACTATAGACATTGCAAAATACAATTAACAAGCATAATCCAATCAGCTCTCATGGAACCTACACTTCCAAGCTAGTAAATGTACATTCTTCTCACGTATATGTGAAATATTTATTAACATCATGTACTAGACCATATTATTTGGTCACAATACAATTAAGTTAGAAATCAATGATACAAAACAATAAGATTCCCTGCATTCTAAAATGTAAAACACACTTTTAAATAGCTCAAAAAAAAAAAAACATGATGAAGAATAGGAAACAGAACTGAATGGTAATAAAATTGTTAAATTTCAAAAATTGTAGTAAGCAGCTAAACACTACCTGGCGAGAAATCTATAGATTTATATGCAGATATATAAGAAAAGGAAAGGATAAAAATTAATGAGCTACACATCTAAATTAAGAAGTTTGAAAAGACCTAAAATGTAAACACAAGAAAATACAAGGAAGGAAATAATTAAGAGAACAGAAATTATTGGAATAGAAAAAATATACACAATAGATGTTCAAAAGTGCCACAAACTGGTTCTCTGAAAAGACACAAAACTCTAGCAAGAGTGATCATAAAAAAAGATAAGGATTAATATTAGAAATAAAAATCAGTCAAATTTCAGATACAACAGAGACTTAGAAAAATAAAATATTAAGAAATAGTTGGTGCAATATATTTAAAGCAAAACAGAATGGACAATGTTCTAGAAAAAATACAATTATTCAAATGGATCCATGGAACAAACAGAAAACCTAAATAAATCTGAAATCATTAAATATATTCAATCACTAGTTAAAAGCCTACTTACCAAAAATACTTCCTAGGGCCAGATGATTTTACAGGTTACTTCCACCAAACAGTCAGCTAATAGTTAATCCCTACCTTTTATGAAGGGTTCCAAAGAACAATAAGGACTTATTCTCACCTCAATTTATGAAGCTAACAGAACCTTGATATTAAAACCAGGCAGAAATAATATAAAAAGGAAATTTATGGGCCAATCTAACTCATTTTAGCATTTGCTAAAATACTAGCAAACTTAAACCAAGAACTCATAATAAAGAATAGCACATTGTGACCTAACTAAATTTAATCCCAGGAGACAAAGGATGGTTTAACATCAGAAGGTCTATTAGTATATTTCACCACATGAACAGATTAAAGAAGAAGAATCATACAATCTTCCAGGTGGAGAGGTTGATAAAATTCAACTCCTAAGCATGATTTAAAAATGAAAACAGAAACCTTAGTAACTAGAAACACAAGAAATCTTCACCTGATATCAGACATCTATCAAAAGGTATTTCACTATACAATTTTTAAAATCATCCTTAAATTAGCCTTAAAATGAGAAATAAGACAAGGATTCCAGCTTGTGGTCAACATTGCACTGGAGGTCCTTGCCAGCACAAAAATGATTTAAAGGAATCAGCATTTCAAAGGAGAAGACAATGGCCAATGTGGGTACATCTATATACTCACTGAGGTCACTGAGAAGTGGCAGCAGAATTCAATACCTTTTTAGAACTCCAAGATCCCAAAATATCTAGATTTTTCAAAGTCCACAGTTTCCTTATTTCGGTGACTTTTGCTGTCTTTAAAATCCACAGTTGTATTTTATGAAAAATGATAGTCTACCATAGCCTTGTTTTTACCTTACACCCAGCTTTTTTATAACCTGAACTTTTCAGGTTGACCATGGATTCAATTTTGTTTGACTTCCTGTTTGGCAGTCACCTGTTCCACTCTGCATCTAGGCAAGAAGGCTGAGCACACCTCTGATGATTGCTTTAGAATCTCCTGAGTCTCTGCTGCTCTGATGAAGGCATGTAAACTAGTACTGAGCTTGGCTGCAGTGTGGCAGACTCACTACTATTCTCTCTAGAAAACCTTTTTATTCTTTATTATTTTCAGTGTGTTTTCATAAGCTGCTCTCAAATAATACTGTCTTCAAAAATCCCATTTGAATATTTGGTAGGGGAGTTAGTTGTACTTAATTTTCTTTCCTGTCGATTCTTTAAATGGCTTGCTTTGTGGTTTTACTAAGTATTTTTGTATTATGAGTCACTCTGAGCAACTGACTGGGAATGTAGGAAGACGTCTTCTTTTGCTATTTTAATTTACTGTGTGATTGACCCTGGGCCAGTCATTGAACCTAATCAAGTAACTTCATTCATTGCTAAATAAAGATAAAAGGCAGCCTCAAAAAATGGGTTAAAATTAGATTCTGTTACCTAATGACTTACTGTGTTAATAACTGACTCACACAAATTTTAATTAGCTTTTTCCTATAACATTTTCATTTGGAAAAACTCTCCTTTATTATCCTTTCCTAGTTGTACCCCTTTTATACTTCTCTAGTCCATCCTCTCTTACCTCTCCATTTGCTTATTTAACTTTACTGCTAAGTTTCAGTGAAGATCATGGCACTCTGTGATGGTCAGCTCAAAATACAGTTTTGATACTGCACATGAACAGCAGAACAAAATAAGCACACAATGGAAAATGAGTGGAAGGAAAAGTGTACTTAGAGGAAGTCCTAATACAAGTTCCAGCTCCCCCATGCACCAGTTTTATGACCTTAAGAAAGTGAGTTAGCATCCCTGAGCCTACGCTTTCTTATTTGTAACTGTATCCTTTTGATCTCAAAGGCAATTGTTACAAAAACCAATGACAATGAATGTAGAGAGCACTTTGAAAAACTGTAAAATACTATACATTTTTATTTGCCATAACTGAATAATTCTATTCCCTGAATTTAGTCATAGTATATGAAATTTGTCCGCTCTTCAAGAAGAGCTTAAGTGATATCCATTCATGTTAGACAGATACTTTAAAAATTATCATAGAGTAGTTTGTAAGTATGTAAACAATATATTGGGACAAGAAAGACTTTAAGGTAACAAAATGTAGCTTTAAGAACAGACAGACTGGGTGCAGTGGCTCATGCCTGTAATCCCAGCACTTTGGGAGGCCAAGGCAGGAGAATCTCTTGCACCCAGGTAGTTTGAGGTCAACTGCATACAAAACAATTTTTAAAACATTATCCAGACACAGTGGCATGCACGCAGTAGTCCCAGCTACTCTAGAGGGCTGAGGTAGGAGTATTGCTTGAGCCCAGGAGTTCGAGGCTGCAGTGAATCATAATCATAGCACTGTATTCCGGTCTGGATGACAAAGTGAGATCCCGTCTCAAAAAGAAAAAAAAAATGGATGAAGAATTATTTTCATGCCAGGTGGAAAAGCAAGAAATAATTAGTTAACACTTGAAGATCTTTTTTAGTCTGAGTTTTTATATTTTGAAGCCATAACCCATGGTGGAATTTAAAAATACAAAATAAATGAAAGGAAAACTGAAGAGCAGACAAATTTCAAGGTGTGACCAAAGGAACTATTTTCAAATATGATCTCTGAATCATGTAGAACTTCAAGGAAAAAAATCTGAAGACAGGAACTGTTTCAATTTCTTACCTTTGCTCTGTATTAAAGAGTGCAAAGATGTGCTTGCTAGACATAAAGCTCTTTTCCACATCCCGAACTTTCAGGTTGTCCAAGGGAAGCATGTACTTCTTTTCTTTTTCCTATTATAAGAGAGAGAAAGAAAAGAGGGAGAGGAGAGGAGAGGAGAGGAGAGGAGAGGAGAGGAGAGGAGAGGAGAGGAGAGACAGAAAATTGACTTTAATAAAAGATCTTGAGGCATGCCAATGGCAACACATCACCTGAGTTGGCTAACACTTGATTACACTATCTTGATAATATCATCACATGCCATTTTGATACCAGCTATTAAGGAATAAAAGTTATTAGAGATAGGAGGCCCCAGTGATTCTCAACATGTGGTTGGAAAAATGGCGGGGGGAATGGTGTACAGGAAGGGCTCTGAGATGAAGAAAACACATGGTCCTCCGTCCTTTCCCCCTCATGTGGGTCCTTTTAGATGTTTTTAAATGTTAGTTTGATATTAAGACTTTAGCCATCTGTTAATATTTAACAAAAATGTTCTGGTCCTAATTCAATGAGAAATGCCAGATGGATTTCATTTCTTGTTTTATTTGCAGCCTAAGCAGTTTTGATAGCCAGTGTTGGCAGGGGAGTGGAAGCACAGGACCCCAGTATGAAATACCCCCCATAAACTATGATAAAGCATAAAAAGTACTTGCTCATTTGGGTCTAGAATAAAATATGAATTCTGAAAAAGAATTATTCCATAAAATTGTTGAGCTCTTTGGGGAAAAATTCATTAGAAGTGGACTGATATTGACTAGAACAAACTCTCTTTCAAAATAAACAATTGTTTAGGAAGAATATGAACATTGAAGAGGTAAGGTCTGCAAATGCGACCAAATTAGTGTTAGTAAAACATTGGATGCCAAAAAATTATTGGAAACATTTACTTTTAGGGACTGGCCCACGGGCAATATTATTTACATGTAAAAATGCCTAACAACCAGTAGGAGAGAGCCAAATACTCAATTTAAGAAACCTAGTAAATACCTATTACCAGGGGTATAACAAGCGCTGCCCTTGTTAACCATGGTCCTCTGTATGGTCCCAGGTTACATCTCTGGTGTTACCCGTGAAAGAGAGCAGGGCTAAAGTCCAGAGCTGGAGAGAATGGAGACTTAGTCATAACTTTTAATAAACGACTATTAATGCCCATGGGAAATACGTGCATCATACAAATATGTCTGACATAAATCCTTTTGTTCCTACAGCATATAGACTACTTCCTTAAGAATTTGTAGCTCAGCTGCATAGCATAGAGCTCTTCTGTGCTCCCTAATCAGTTTGTGGGTAACATGTTGTATTGTAGGGAGTATCACCCACCTTTCCACTTCCTACTCCTAAATTAATCAGAAAAAAGTTGGGCAGAGCACATTAGAATAGCAAAAAGGTAGCATTCTACTTGGCTACAAAAATAAAGTCACGTGTGAACAGGTGACTGAAAACATTGAAGGAAGTCGCTTAGAGAACAAAATAGCTGTTCTGACAATGTCTCCAAAGAAAAGAAGAAACATAAAGGAAACTAAATAGGAGTGAGAGAGGCTCAACAATAAACATGAAAAAGTAAAGCACTGCAAAATTAGTCCAATATTTCTACAACAAAAGTTAAGAATATATTATCAAACACAAGAATATTCTAAACAGCAAATACATAATTTAATCGTAAATGAGATACCATAGTTGAGTCCAGCTTTCTCAAAACAGTTGTCAAACTATTTTAGGACAGAATTCTAAGAGGCAAAATTCTAGGCCTAATGAAAATCTATCCAATACATAATCAAATGAAAATGCTTGAGACCCAGGGAACATTTTTTTTATTGAATGTTTTTCAGTGCCCTAAATTTAAGCAGCTGGATTCTTTTAAACTACCATCCTATTCAACCTTTTGAAATGATAGATTTGCCTTTTAATGGGAAATCTGAATTTCATTGTAAAGATGGAACACAATGTCCTTGGCTTGTTTTCTATAGAAGTAGGCTCTCTTTTATACTGCATTCTTTAGCATATCGTGAAGACCAAAACTCCAGCAAGTTTATGCCAGATATTAAACATGAGAGAAATACACACACATATGCAGCCTGGGGAACATGAAAAATGGTCCTCATATCCAAAGTACTAAATGTCATTTATCCCAGGCTTTGAGGACACATTGCTAAATTATTTCATAATCAAAACTTTGAAGACTGACAAAGGAAGAAGAAAATGTATTCAGACATGTATTTATTAAAGTTGTAAGTCAAATGGAGAATTAAATGAGACAGCAGCAACTCTAGGCAATAAAAAAGTATATCATGGATATTTCTAAAAAGTCTTGGTGCTTTGGGGAAAGAATGATGTTCTGCTAAAAGAACATCATGAATCTAAAATAGCTAAAATAAACAAAAGAAATAGAGAAGGAGAAATAATATACAGAATTATAATTTCCAAAATACAGTCTTAGCATCATCTTAATCAAGAAGTGTGCTAAATCTTTTTTGTCAGTTCTATGACTGCCTAATAATGTGCTGCCCAATATGGTAGCCACTAGCCACAGGCAGTTACTGAGCACTTGAAATGTAGCTCAACTGGGATTAGCTAGAAATGCAAGATAGACCCCAGATCTCAAAAACTTAAAACGAGAATGTAAACTATATTGGTAATACTTTTTAATTGATTATATGTTGAAATAACATTTTGAATATATTGGGGGTAAACAAAGCATTATTAAACATAATTTCACCTGTTTTTTCTTACTGTTTTGAAGTTGGCTGTCAGACAATTTTAAATGACATATGTAGTTCCATTAAATTTCTACTGATAGCACTAAATACCCCATGTACTTAACTCTTTCCTTCCTCTCATCCATCCAAACAGTTTTTCCTTCTGACCTCCCTGTTTCTGCTATCAGGTTTATCCTTCATTCTCCCTGTCACCCCATCTGAAACCTCACTATCATTTCTGACCCATCGTCTTTTCTTGCCTCCTTTATTACTTCAAGACTTTGTCACATCGTGTTTGAAGAGTTTGTCCTAGTTCCCCTCCTTTGACATTCCCACAACATTATTCCAGGTCCCTGGCATCTCACAAGCATGTGGTCACAAATGGTCTCCTATCTAGTCTCTTGCCTTCCAATTTCTCTAACATCACCAGAGAAGATGATTTTTGAAAACGATTTTGTCAAATTCATTGCAATCCTTCAGAACTTTCAATAGCTTTCCATTGTTTATGGAAGAAAATCCACTAACCTCTTTAATGTGAAGAGGTTTAAAAACACTTACAAATTGGCTCAATCCTGATTGGCCAATGTCTTCTTTTCTCCTCCATAAGAAGTTTCTGTTTCAACCAAATACATCTTTTCCAAATACATCTTTTCCCAACTTGAGATATTCCTTCAATAGTTCCCTAACATAGCAATGTTTAGTATTCAGAGTTCAGTTCAAGTTCTACTTTCTGTGCAAAAGATTTTCTCAAACTTGTAACCATTTGTCTGTTTCTGTCACCTCCCATCTCTCTCCCTTATATTAATATAATAGGTATTATTTATTCTATTCATTTCAAACTATACGAGACAGCTTCAATTTATAAGTGCATTACATTTGAAAATTTATGTGAACGTTGCTCATTTGGAATTTAGAATGTTCAGTCAACTCTCTTGTTTAAGTAGCTTATATATTGTTTAAGCAGTTTATATAAGCTTACACAATATAGTTGTTTAAGTTGTTTTAATTTATTTTTAAAATATGTGATATTTGTTATAATTATTCCCTGGCTTGCTCTAACATTCTGAAAGATAACATTCTTTCTCAAGCTAATAAATAATCAGATTAGAAACAAGTTTCATGACAGACTAACAGATAATATTCTATGTTATGGAGAAAAACAAAAATTTACAGCATTTTTTTGTAATAAATAAGAAATGAAATTTGATATTTTAAACATTTTATCTTGAGTAGACATTTTGAAGGAAGCACTGGTAAACTTCTAGAGAAAGATTTTTTTAATAGAGATTCATAAAAGAACTTCTGCATACTTTCAAAGGCTTCAGAGGCTGAGGTCACTGATTCAACACCATTCTTTTCTTCATATTTAAATATAGTATCTTTCCTCAATACAGGAGGGTCGCCAGCAATATTTCTATGGGAGGCATCCAGGATGATAGAGATATTTTTGTTCAAAGAGAGAGGGAACATGAGAGCATCAGTGTAGTGTTCTTTCCCTGAATTCACTTGGCAAGAGTTAGAAGAAACGGAAGAAACAGATCAGGTCCAAAAAGGGTGCATCTTTGTGTGAAAGGGGTCTGAGGTGGAAGTAACTGAACAATGAGTAGTAAAAGGCAGAGGAACCAAGGTGGTAGAAGGTGGGAATTATGGGATGACTACAGTATGTGCTCGCTGACCTTGAAAGGAAACCAGAGAGTCAATGAGAGATAGGTATGGGCTTGGCAAGTGCGCAGTGATGGTCTCTAGCTGGCAGAGCACCATCAATATAACTTAGGCACTAGAAGGAGATACAATGGGTATGAGCAGAGGATCAGGTGTGTGGGGGAATAGCTCCTGCATATGCAAAGGACCTGCATATGCAAAGGACTGGGAGGACTTTATTCACGTGGCAATTTATACATAGGGAGTTTCATAACTTGAATTATTTGAGTAGCCTTGGTTTGATGACAGCTTTAATTATTGTATTTGTTCATACCTTTTCTTCTATTAAAGCAACAACATCTTCAAAGGTAAGACTATGAGTCCTTCCTTGTTTCTATATAATGCCTAGCATGATGCTAGGCATAAAAATTCTTACAGTGTATATTATAAATATTATTGAATTGATTTGAAAATGTCTGACAACCAAAGCCAGGTGTTGATTAAGATGTTTGATAGTCACATATATATGATAATCAAGTAAAAATTCTATGAAGAAAACTATATGAAATGCTTAACTGACAGACACTGCTTTTGACTACTAAATCTTTACAAAGTCTAGACTGATTGCCATGTTTATTTCTATCTCTGCCTTTGTGTTGTCTTCTATTTGCCAGGAACGCCTTCTCTGAAAGAAGGCAGGTTCTTGTGGCCTTGAAATTTATTTCAAGGCCACCTCCTGATTATAGCACATCATAGACCTTTTTCTTCTATAACTCTCAAATTTTCCACAATTTTTGTCATAGGCGATCTAGCATGGCAATCTTTATTTATGTTTAGCTTGCCTCTTCAAGCACAGATTGGAAGTTCCTTGAGGGTAAAGATTATGTCATCATTCTTTTGTGTTTACATGTAACAGTTATTACATTGGTGTATATACAGACATTGCTTAATAAACATTGACTGCTGATGATCCATAATAAATAAAACCCCAACATGCTGGGCCTACCTAGACCATTGTGTAAAAATTAACCAGAGGTGAATAAAAACACTTAGTTTTAATGCTTCAAAGATTGATTTTAAATTAACTTACAGTATTTTGCTTAGCATCATACAGTTTGTTAGATGAAGTTTTACTAACCTAAACCAATATCTCTGATTTGATTCATACAAACCTTTAACACATAAATGTACTGTGGTAATCCAATATACTTCAAAAGCATACAAAAAAAAGCATAGATTCTGCTCCTAGGAGATATGAACTGATGAAAAGTTTTCAAAAATGGTAGAACTTAAAAGAGATTATATTAGAATAAGAATAAGAATAAAGGCCAGGTATGGTGGCTCACACCTGTAATCCTAGCACTTTGGGAGGCTGAGGTGGGTGGATCACCTGAGGTCAGGAGTTTGAGACCACCTGGCCAACATGGTGAAACCCTGTTTCTACTAAAAATACAAAAATTAGCTGGGTGTGGTGGTGGATGCCTGTAATCCCAGCTACTTGGGAGGCTGAGGCAGGAGAATCACTTGAACCCAGGAGGCAGAAGTTGCAGTGAGCCGAGATCACGCCATTGCACTCCAGCCTGGGTGACAAGAGCGAAACTGTCTCAAAATAAACAAATAAATAAATAAATAAATAAATAAATAAATAAATAAGAAATAATAATAGAGTAATAAAGAGAAATATTAACATACGAAAAAGCCGCTAATGGCACCAAATATGTTTTTTAAATATGCACTAATGGCACCAAATTAATTTTTTAAATATGTGATATTTGTTAAATTCTTCACTTGCTTGCTCTAACATTCTGAAACATGACAATCTTTCTCAAGCTATCAAATAATCAAATTACAAACAGGTTCTATGACAGACTAACAGAATATTCTATGTTGCAGAGAGTACTTATGCTTCACTAGAACAAAGATTCCTAGTTTTTACCACCCCCTTCTTATACTCATATAACATTCCATGTGTGTTCTCTATTATTGTATTTGCCATATTTTATACTCCTAATTGTTGTCTTTTTCTCCTATTGAGAAACTGATATTTATTTGTCCTCTCTCAGTGCTACACTACTCTCCTGGCAATGAATGGAACATTTCTCTGACACATCCGCACCAAAAACGTGCGTAGACCACACGCGAAGTACCACTGTGCCAGCCAACAGAGGAGTAACAGAATGACTATGCCACCAAGAACTCAGTCCAAAGACAGGACAGTAGTGCATAGATATGTCCAAGTTAAAAAGATTCCTCACCCAGGGACGATAAATGTTTTTGCAGAATACTGAAAACTCATGAGATACCATGGAGTATTCAATTATTATAATTTGCTTGTTGCTCAAGAGATAATAATGTTGATCAATATTTTTCCTAACAAAGTCTCATTTTTTTCTTTGATGCATTGTGGCCAGAATGTTTGCAAGCAGGGAAACTGGAGACATTATCCTGGGTTTATGGGTAGGGACCAAAGCCAAGAAAAATGTGATGGCTCCATATATTAATCCAAGCCCTTCATGCTCTGAGTAACTGACACAGAGTTATGTAACCATACATATTCATCATGCTCCTCACCCACACCTCATTTTCTGAGACACTGGATTGCCCGCCAGAGTAAATTCAAACTCTTCACTGTACCCACTGCACCAGCCATGGGATTCCTGCTTCCCAGGAAAGTCCATGCATTTTCATTTTCCACACAGAACGTTTCTAATTGTATCTTCTCATCTTTGACTAAACTATCTCTTCCACTAGAAATACCTTTGCCTATTTGCCACTCTGCTTCTCTTTGCCTCAAAAGAGATTATCTAGCTCAGACTTAATTTACATTTTTTTCTAAAAGTATTATAGGTCTCATTTTCCAGCCTTCTTGTCTTTTCCCATCACAATTGCAGACTTATTTTTTTAATCAGTAGAATCCGTTGATTAAAAAAAAATTCTGACAAGTCCTATATATTAAATAGATTAAAAAGTGGAGCTCCTCTGATTGCAGCAAGTGGGGCTATGAGGAAACCTGTCCATTAAACTCATCTTCTCACCCTGGTATTGCCTCTAAGACACCCCTGGAATGCCCGTTGATAGGGTTTGGCTCTGTCTCCCCATGCAAATCTCATCTCTAGTTGTAATTCCCAATGTTGGAGGAAGGACCTGGTGAGAAGTGATCGGATCATGGGGGTGGATTTCCCCCTTGCTGTTCTTGTGGTAATGAGTGAATTCTCATGAGATCAGATGGTTTAAAAGTATATGTGGCACTTTCCCCTTAATTCTTTCTCTCTCCTGCCACCATGTGAAAGAGGTGCTTGCTCCCTCTTCACCTTTAGCCGTGACTGTAAATATCTTGAGGCCTCCCAGTCATGCTTCCTGTTCAGCCTGCAGAACTGTGAGTCAATTAAACCTTTTTTCTTCTTAAATTATCCAGTCTCAGGTAGTTCTTTATAGCAGTGTGAGAATGGACTAATACACCTGTGGATGACTAGAACACAGGCCTAAATTTCCAGATCCTTGTTCCCTAGCCGGTCCACCTGGCAGCCTTATCCTCCAAGTGTTCCCACAGTGGCAGGACTCTGCCCTGACCTCCGTCTGGCTGGAACCTTATGGTCTGCCCTCTGTCTTCAGGTGCTCTACATGGAGCAGCTCTATCTAGCTCCCTGTGACTTCTAACTGAGCAAACACGTCTCCCAGAAATGTGAGTGCAGTTCACTGAACCTTTCATTCAAACTACTCCTGTGATACCATGTCTACCCAACCAGGCACTTTGATGTGTCCACCAAATCTCAGTCAAGCCTGTGGTGCTCTAGAGCCATCAGAAGCTCCCACCATGGCCAGCATGGCAAGGGCCTCCTCCACCATTGCCAGGATTCCTCACATTCCCATCTGATCCCTTGTGCTTGGTTCCTCGCACCCTGGTCGGATACCCTGTGCTTGGTTTACACTGTCACTTTGTGCTTTTGTCTTACTTTCTAAGAGTCTATATGTTTCACCTAAGTGTGTCTATGCTCTGCCTTTCCAACTACAAGATAAACCCCTAAAGAAACAAGCAACTCCATTACTATTATTACCTTTATTTATTATCGTTGTTAATCATTCTATGTGTCTTGCTCCCCTGTTACTCTGTAGTTGTGTGCTGACTTTGCTACCAAACCATCAACTCTTTGAGGAAATAAATTATTTCCTTATTAGTTTTGGTTGCATCATAGACATTCAGCAAACACTTGCTGAATGAACATATGAACAGCCCCCTCCTGGGCTGGTATAGTGCTTTGCCTAGTTCAAGGACTCAGAGATGATGACTGACTCATACAATAATCAAAGTATCAAAGAATAATGAGAGGCTATGCAAATATTGAGAATACCAGAATAATATTTCCACATGCTGTTGAAAACTAAAATCTGGTGTTTATTGCTTTTAAGAAGTTATAACTTTATAGCAGCATGATTTATAGTCCTTTGGGTATATACCCAGTAATGGGATGGTTGGGTCAAATGGTATTTCCAGTTCTAGATCCCTGAGGAATCGCCACACTGACTTCCACAATGGCTGAACTAGTTTACAGTCCCACCAACAGTGTAAAAGTGTTCCTATTTCTCCACATCCTCTCCAGCACCTGTTGTTTCCTGACTTTTTAATGATTGCCATTCTAACTGGTGTGAGATGGTATCTCGTTGTGGTTTTGATTTGCATTTCTCTGATGGCCAGTGATGATGAACATTTTTTCATGTGTTTTTTGGCTGCATAAATGTCTTCTTTTGAGAAGTGTCTGTTCATGTCCTTTGCCCACTTTTTGATGGGGTTGTTTGTTTTTTTCTTGTAAATTTGTTTGAGTTCATTGTAGATTCTGGATATTAGCCCTTTGTCAGATGAGTAGGTTGCGAAAATTTTCTCCCATTTTGTAGGTTGCCTGTTCACTCTGATGCTAGTTTCTTTTGCTGTGCAGAAGCTCTTTAGTTTAATTAGATCCCATTTGTCAATTTTGTCACATGCACACGTATGTTTATTGCGGCATTATTCACGATAGCAAAGACTTGGAACCAACCCAAATGTCCAACAACGATAGACTGGATTAAGAAAATGTGGCACATATACACCATGGAATACTATGCAGCCATAAAAAATGATGAGTTCATGTCCTTTGTAGGGACATGGATGAAATTGGAAATCATCATTCTCAGTAAACTATCACAAGAACAAAAAACCAAACACCGCATATTCTCACTCATAGGTGGGAATTGAACAATGAGATCACACGGACACAGGAAGGGGAATATCACACTCTGGGGACTGTTGTGGGGTGAGGGGAGGGGGAAGGGATAGCATTGGGAGATATACCTAATGCTAGATGACGAGTTAGTGGGTGCAGCGCACCAGCATGGCACATGTATACATATGTAACTAACCTGCACAATGTGCACATGTACCCTAAAACTTAAAGTATAATAATAAAAAAAAAGAAGTTATAACTATAGAGATGTACAAGTATGAAACTCAAAGTATAAACTATGCATCTTTTTATTTGGATTTTAATTCCTTGCTTTAATCAGAATTATATTTTGAATAGTAAAGAGCATCTGTGAACCAGCAGGTTGCTCATCAACAGCACTTTTTAACCTTTTTCTCTTGAGCACTGTATAAACTCCCTGTGTTTGATGGACTGTTCTAGTAGTCTCAAGAAAACTCCACGGTCTTTAGACCACTGGCTTCATGGCTGCACCCTCGTACCTACTCAGATCCTGAAAGGGAGCTACACACTAGGATATCTCCACTTGGCAGGAGAAAGATAACCAGTCACACTTGACATTACCCCAGCTGGAGATCCTGCTCTCTTCCTGGTTCCTACCTCCTCTTCAGAGTCCAGCTCAATTTCCACCTCCTCCAGGAAGGCTTTCTGGCCTTACAAGCCCATGGGAGGGCTCCCTTTTCCATTCTCATGACATTCTTCGGCCATGTATTTTTTTCCTCACTTAGCATATATTGCCCTGTATTCTCAGATACAGCTAATATCCTTGAAATGCACATTCCCCTTTCCTCCCACTAAAAAAAGTACTTTATAATTTGAAAGTGAGAACATTAAGGATTTTGTTCTCATATATTTATATTTAATCTCTATATTCTTAAATTTAGAGAAATAGTCCTACATATTTGTACATATGAGATTGGTAATGTAATAATGATAAACACACTAAAGAATAAATTTAAAGGACTTATGACTAAAGATGGCAGATCGATCATATATATGTATCTCTTCTCCTTCTCCCAAACCTACTATGATATTATAATAGTAAAATAATTTAAAAAGATATTAATCCACAATAACAAAGAAATGGGAGAGGAAAAATAGTGAACAAAATATTTTCAAAAGCTTTCTAAGAGAGAAGAGACAAAGGAGGATTTGTTGACCTAGCATAAAGAAAAGGGTTATTCTCCAAATACCTACAGGGGGAAAGAATGGAGGAGAAACCACCTCATTTGGCTTCTTGTCCTTGGAGACACCTGGTACCCACATGCGTGGGTATGGTAGTGAGGTTGTGGCAGCGGGATCAGACAGAAGTCCATGTATAGAAGCATACAAAACAGGCCAGGTACAGGAGCTCATGCCTGTAATCCCAGTTGTTTGGGGAGCCAAGGCAGGAGGATCGCTTGAGCCCAAGAGTTTCAGACCAGCCTGGGCAAGATAGTGAGACCATGTCTCTCCAAAATTTTTTTTAAAAAACTAGCCACATGTGGTGGCGCCTATGATTCCAGATACTCAGGAGGCTGAGGTGGGAGGATCACTTGAGCCCAGGAGGCAGAGGTTGCAGTGAGCTGAGATCATGCCACTGAACTCCAGCCTAGATGACAGAGTGAGATCCTGTTTCAAAAAAACCAGAAGTACACAAGACAATTGTTGGCACAGGACTACCTTTTCTACTCACGGCAACTCATTCTTACCTTCAGCAGGAGACAAGAGGCTTTTTTCCTAGAGAAATTATACCAAAGAAGTTTCAGGCTGAGAGATACCAGGCAGGGTGAACAGCAAGGGGTGGGGTCAAAACCAGAGAGTTTAGTGAAAGTCTACATACTAAAATGTTGTCCTTCAGCCCATTTCTTGCCCTGCCCCAGAACGCCAGCAGCCAGATGGGCTTCCCTGTCCCTACCAGGAAAGATAGTGAACTCTTCTTCTCTGGGGACTCATAGATTCAGGGGAAATGCCCTGTACACCATGAGTTCAATGAAAAAGCCAGGCTGCTGACTGATCACCTTATAGGAAGATTCTGTATTCTGCACACTCCTCCAACAATTTTCAAGCAACTGAATGGCACAGAATCTTAATAGATTAGACAAGTCAAGGCTCTTAACTGGAGTGGATTCTGAAGATGGGCTATCTCAACACTTCTTCCAATGCCCTGTAATGTTTGAGTGCAATTCAAAATCCTCTCACCCTTCCCAATCTTGCTCTTACAGCCAGAGTTCCAGATGAGATATACTTTCTGCCAATCAGATGTAGTCATGCCAGACTTTGTTTCAAAAAATGAGTCAAATGAGAGACCGGCAGAGTGTGTGGCACCTGTTTTGTTGGCCTGAATCACAGCAGAGGTGATGGGGCTCTGGATCCAGAGGCTACAGTGGAACAGTGGCTTCCTGATTATGCAGCCTCCAGATTGGTGGAGACAACAGCTCCTTGGCAGTCCCAGGAAATTCTGTTTTGTGAGCCATTCCTGGAAACTCAGCCTAGTTCTGCAAGTTTGCCCTCCCAATGATTCTCAGAGTGATTTATCCCTCTTAATAAATTATTTTCTACTTAAACTAGCTAGAGTTGATTCTGTGGTTGACAATTAAGAACATTGAAAATAGTATAATAATATCTAGTCAACATATATTATTATGGCTTAGCAAAAATGAATAGCCAGTAAAGCAGAACAATGGCATTACCCTGCAATACTTCCCACATAATAAGAGTCAAAACTTACACAAATCAATTATTAATATGTATGTATGCCATACGTTTATGCAGTTTTGAAATTCCAGGACTTTTTGCTCAAAAAGAGCTTCTAACCAAGAAATACACACGTGCACACACACACACACACACACACACATCTATGTATATATACATATATATGATAAATACCATGCATGAAAAATTTTAAATTGAGAATTCAAGGTGTGAGTGAGAGAGATGGCATTTGAGCAACTTTGCAAGAAACTAAATAAGGCAACAGAAAATAGTAGAACAGAAAAAAAAATCCTGGTGGTTTGCATGTTCATAAACTTTTACAAACTACCTCTATAATAGCAGTACTACTATTCATGGGTTAAATTTTCTTTACTAGTGAGCTAAGTACAGATACTTAGTGTTTTATACTTTTTCAGTTACTAGGAAGGGAAAAATTTACTCAGCATGGCAAAACACGCTTCAAGCACTTCAAATTAGCCCATTTCAAATGCTTAATGGTTGAATTTTCCTATTTCTTTTTGTGCTCCAAGGCATTGCAATTTATATTTTTTAAAAAAAGAAACTTTCAAGTTTAGAATAGTGATTGCTTTACTTGAAAGTCCATGTAACATGCTATGGATTTCTATTATTAAAATGCAAAGACAAATGTCTTTCAACTCTGACTTATGTGGCTTCACATTAAATTACAAAGTAAATTTAAGACACTCCACAAACTGAAATTATGCTTACTGTGTAACAGCTTTTGAGTGCACATTAATCAAACATAATTCTACATGCTAGCCCTTTGGATGTACTTGCCTTAAATAACAGTGTTATTTTGGCTAAATATACCATATGTTTGTAAAAGTTCAACTTAATAAAAGTACCTTGTTTACAAATGCAGCATGATTTTTACTTCTCTGAGAAAATGGAGGTCAGAAAATCACTGTACAAATAAAATCCTCTGACAATTCCCAGAACTCAGTAGATGAATGGTTTAAATTTCCCCCCATCATTTGTCACCAAGCTGCAAACAAAAATCAAAGCTGAATGTTCCCCTCTCTCTCAAAAAGAGGCAAAGAAACACTCAAAAAGAGGCAGCACTAAGGAGAAAAGCAAAGGGCCTGAGCATTCAGCCAAATAACCAAATTAATGAAGGTTTCTGAAGCCCTTTGCATTGACTGTTGAACTGTTGTAGGTTTTGGTTTTTTCCTCCACTGACAGTAACGTGATTCTGTGAGGTGTATTCTGAGAGGAACATAGTTTCTTTGAAAAGCAGAGCTGGGCACCATGCCCTTTGTACTTTAGTTAAGAGCCCTTCTCCCTGTGTTCCAAGGAGTACAGGAGTCTGGGATAGAATAGGGAAAAGGGGGCCCCTTCCATGTGCCTTCTGAGACTCAGCCCTGTATTTAAGATGATATTTGGCTGGATCACTGCAAGCACAGCTGGTGGTCTGTGCACCACTACTGGCTCCAACACATCTCCATGCCGAAACTGGGCTTTGGACAGGGAAAAAATAAATGAACTGGAATAGTTCCCCTCCTCCATCAATCCTAATCATGCCTCCTAGCCTGCCCACTACAAAAAAAAAAAAAAAAAAAAGAGAAAAAAAAAGACAGGGCTGGAGAAAAGAAGAAGCGGAGGGGAGAGAGATAACCAAGAACCCAGAGAATGAACTGAGAAGGTATCATTAGAGAGAAATTAAAGCTGCCCAACCCAGAAGTGCTCTCTGTGTTCACTGCATGCTCAGGTGGCCCCATCTATCCTCAGCTTCTGGAGACAAAGACCATGGAAGAGGAATCCCATGAGGGGTAGTGCAGCAAGAGGAAATGACAAATGGTTTGGAGTTAACATAGAGGTTCACATAGGAGCTCTGACACTAGCTATGTGAACCTTCTGTAAGTTCCTCGATTTCTCTTCTCCCTGTATGGAGGTGATAATTCATGCCTCAGAGAGGGTATGGAGATTTGAGACCATGCAGATGACCGTGTATTCAGGGACTTCGGATACATGTTTATTTCCTTTTCCTTGGAAAAAATTTTCTAGCCATCTTCCCACCCATAAACACAGTATGGTGTTCTCTCTTCAATGTATTTACAACAGCAAGCTTTTATACTTGTAAGCTTTTGAACTGTGAGGGAAAAATAGAAAGTTAATTATGTACCTAGTAGAGAAACACACATTGAACATGAACAATAGCAAACCAGGAGGGTGTGAAGCAGCGAAACAATAGTGAGAGCCTATTTAAACTCTGCTTTCTTATTAAAGGCAGACATGCAAGAAATCCAGAATTCTGGGACTGCGTCCATAGCCATATAGAGAGAGGGAAGATGTGACTACAGGCTGAGAGGGGGTACTTATTTCTTCCCCTTGCACTCACAGTGGATTGTGCAGAAGAGGTCAAGGAAAGTACTTGGGGAAAAAGGCAAGTTCTGGAAGAAACTGAAAATTGAAAATTCCGCAATTAGAGAATCATTTGCCTTTTGTGGCAGAATGTTCTTCCACATTAAAAACTGAGCAAGGGTCTCAAGACTGGCTAGAAAACTGTAAAGTGGGAAAGGGTGTTTTTTTTTTTTCTTATCCTGAAGTCTTCCATTCAGGCAGCTTTGTTTTTCTGTTAGCTTCAAACAGAGATGGCCTGGGTCAGCTGCTATTGCTGCTGCCTAGTTTCTAGGTTTCTCCCTCTTATATCCCAACAAAGCTTCCCCTCTCGTTCCATTTGTTCTGTATTACCAACTGGATTTCAGGTACCATGAATGGGACTGCATGCTTACCTCTGCCGATCTCTGATACTAGCAGGTACTTAATACATGCTGACTTACGAAGATAACAAAACTCACCTATCCCATGTCTCATTCCCCTAGGCTTTGTTTCATGCATAATTAGAATAAATTAATGCCTGCTACAGAATAAACTCTTATTAATTATTCTTCCTGGGTAATATATTTGAATTTAAGTTGAGTCGTTCAGTCCTTCCATTTACAAGGAATGAATTATTCATGTACACTAGCAAATTAGTAGGGGTGAGGTTCTTGGCTTAGGTTGCCCTTAAGTCATCCCAGTGGGTAGCTGCTTAATCCAAGGTTGGACATGAAAACTCTTGACAGCTTCTCCCAGCCTTAAACCAGGAAGTGTAGGGCAGTATTTCTCCAACTGTAGTCCTCTGACCCCCAGAGTCTGTGAGTTCTTGTGAGAATTAAAAAGAAATCTTGTGTTGGTATCTAATAAAAATTAGTAAAAGAGATTTGCTGAACTGTCTGGGGCATGACTTTATAATTGGACACCACCATTCAATTTTAGTGCTTGTGTTTGCACCAAGTGGTAGTAATGTATTTATAGTATGGTAATGAAAAAAAGGGCAGAGGCAGACATCAATACATCAGTTATGTACTTTCCTCCAGTGACATCACAATGCCTTGAGTGGATGGAAGTTTCATTCCAACAGAATGAAAGTGGCAGCAGACTGGTGGGGTCACCCAGTACAGGGGAGCCTGAGAACGCCAGTCTCCAAAGAACCCATGCCTGAACACATTGCTTTTGATCAGCTAATTATGTTTCCTAAAAGAATATAATCTCTCACATTAATGTTGTTGATCAGCTAAAGTTTCTCAGTAATATGGTTCTACTTAAATTTAACCTGTAATTTTGGTTGGCTTTTTTGATGTAGAACAATAAGCATAATGTATGTATATGTTTGTGGATATGTAAAATAAAAGAATTTTCTGTTTGTAAATACTTAAGTAACATTGTGAGTAAAACAATTTGTGTCCATTCAGAATCCAAGAGGACTCATCCTTTAAAAGATATTTGTACATTACCCAAGTTTTAGAGATATTGATTTAGAAAAAGTGTATTTGGAATTCTCTCGAAAGGGTTGAAGTATTCAAAATAGGTACAAACAAATGGCCTTGACTTACAAATAATTTGGATCAGAGCTTAGAAATTGCTTTAGCTTCTAACTGCCCTCAGTAAGACCAGCAGAAAAGTGCAGATCTGGCCCTCAGAACCTGGGAGGCCCAGGCACGGCTGGAACATACACTGGGTGTCCTTGGGGAGATTGTTTTCCTGCTCTCTGCTTCAGTTTCACCATATGTAAAGCAGGGATAATAATACTAACCTCAATCCTTAAGTTCAAAAAAGAAAAAAAAATAAACCTAACTTTATGAGAACAAAGAGGCAATAGATACAAAAGCATTTTCATCTTTTCAGGGGGAAGAAGTACTATTTTAATAAGGAACTCTTGAAAATATCTCAGCAACATGCATCTAATTCATACTGACATATGTAATTGAACCTATGTTTAATTTCGCTGCAAATTATCTGCTTCCTTTAAGAAACTGGGTTGGTAAAATGCTGAGTTGTGTGGCGCAAACTAAAGAGCTGTAGAAGAATTAGAAATATTGGCGAAACGATACAATAATGTTCGGCCCTTAATAAAACAGGAGAGAATGAGTGAGATAGAGGAAGAGGAAGAGGAAGGGAGAACTGTAGACAAAGGTTCCAAGGGTAAGAAAAGCTGCTTCACATCCAGATATCCTCAAGAAGCTGACAGAAAGGAATAGCAAGGAAGTAGGGTAGTGGCAATTTTCACACCAGACCTCTTTAATGTCATAGAAAAAGTTTAGCACAGGCAAGACAAGACCAATGAAGAACCAGAGCAACACAAAGAGAGATAAACAATGTAAATGTAAATATTGAGTTTCATTCCACTTTAGTTAACAGAGTATGTATTCTCCTCTTCCTCCCTCTGTCCTCTTCTCTACCCCCTTCTTCTTCCCCTCCTTTTCCTTTCCTTTTCCTCCTCCTTCTCCTCCTTTCCTCACTTGCTCTAAGCTTAAATACTGAGTTATAATCCAGAATAATATCTCAATATGAAAACCCTAATGATTATATACAATGATAAATCGCAGATTCTTTTCTTATTTTTAACTACCAATGTTAACAAGTAACAGCATTCATTAAAATAAAACTAGAAGTGGTCAGAGCTATCCTGCCTTTCTAGAAATACCACCCCTTCTCTCTCTTTTCTCTCCATGAAAAAGTCTCAATTCTTGAAGTATAACAAAAACATCGTACTACATTATTTTTTATAGGTTCTTCTAGGAAGTTTTCCTTGACATGAGACATGGCACGTCTTATTTAAAAGAACACTTAGCTGCTCTGTGGAGCTATGGGTTGGAGGTAGGGGCAAGAGCAGGAAAACCAAAGAGTAGACTAACATGGTAGAGGAGGAAGGAGACAGAGATCCTTCTAAGTAATTTAGTAGTTGAGGACAGCAACAGTTAGGTTTGGGAACACATTTTGGAGTGGAGCACTGATTGGCAAACTATAGTCCCAAGAGCTAAATTTGGATTTGGCATACGCCTGTATGGCCCCAATAGCTAACAATGTTTTTTACTTATTTTTTTTTATACTTTAAGTTTTAGGGTACATGTGCACAACGTGCAGGTTTGTTACATATGTATACATGTGTCATGTTGGTGTGCTGCACCCATTAACTCGTCATGTAGCATTAGGTATATCTCCTAATGCTATCCCTCCCCACTCTCCCCACCCCAAAACAGGCCCCGGTGTGTTATGTTCCCCTTCCTGTATCCAAGTGTTCTCATTGTTCAATTCCCACCTATGAGTGAGAACATGCGGTGTTTGGTTTTTTGTCCTTGCGATAGTTTGCTGAGAATGATGGTTTCCAGCTTCATCCATGTCCCTACAAAGGACATGAACTCATCATTTTTTATGGGTTCATAGTATTCCATGGTGTATATGTGCCACATTTTCTTAATCCAGTCTATCATCGTTGGACATTTTGGTTGTTCCAAGTCTTTGCTATTGTGAATAGTGCCGCAATAAACATACGTCTGCCTGTGTCTTTACAGCAGCATGACTTATAATCCTTTGGGTATATATCCAGTAATGGGATTGCTGGGTCAAATGGTATTTCTAGTTCTAGATCCTGAGGAATCGCCACACTGACTTCCACAATGGTTGAACTAGTGTACAGTCCCACCAACAGTGTAAAAGTGTTCCTGTTTCTCCACATCCTCTCCAGCACCTGTTGTTTCCTGACTTTTTAATGATTGCCATTCTAACTGGTGTGAGATGGTATCTCATTGTGGTTTTGATTTGCATTTCTCTGATGACCAGTGATGATAAGCATTTTTTCACGTGTCTTTCGGCTGCATAAATGTCTTCTTTTGAGAAGTGTCTGCTCATATCCTTTGCCCACTTGTTGATGGGGTTGTTTTTTTCTTGTAAATTTGTTTGAGTTCTTTGTAGATTCTGGATATTAGCCCTTTGTCAGATGAGTAGATTGCAAAAATTTTCTCCCATTCTGTAGGTTGCCTGTTCACTCTGATGGTAGTTTCTTTTGCTGTGCAGAAGCTCTTTAGTTTAATTAGATCCCATTTGTCAGTTTTGGCTTTTGTTGCCATTGCTTTTGGTGTTTTAGTCATGAAGTCCTTGCCCATGCCTGTGTCCTGAATGGTACTGCCTAGGTTTTCTTCTAGGGTTTTTATGGTTTTAGGTCTAGCATTTAAGTCTTTAATCCATCTTGAATTAATTTTTGTATAAGGTGTAAGGAAGGGATCCAGTTTCAGCTTTCTACATATGGCTAGCCAGTTTTCCCAGCACCATTTATTAAATAGGTGTCGAAGATCAGATCGGTGTAGATCTGTGGCATTATTTCTGAGGGCTCTGTTCTGTTCCATTGGTCTATATCTCTGTTTTGGTACCAGTACCATGCTGTTTTGGTTACTGTAGCCTTGTAATATAGTTTGAAGTCAGGTAGCGTGATGCCTCCAGCTTTGTTCTTTTGGCTTAGGATTGACTTGGCAATGTGGGCTCTTTTTTGGTTGCATATGAACTTTAAAGTAGCTTTTTCCAATTCTGTGAAGAAAGTCATTGGTAGCTTGATGGGGATGGCATTGAATCTGTAAATTACCTTGGGCAGTATGGCCATTTTCATGATATTGATTCTTCCTATCCATGAGCATGGAATGTTCTTCCATTTGTATCCTCTTTTATTTCGTTGAGCAGTGGTTTGTAGTTCTCCTTGAAGACGTCCTTCACATCTTTTGTAAGTTGGATTCCTAGGTATTTTATTCTCTTTGAAGCAATTGTGAATGGGAGTTCACTCGTGATTTGGCTCTCTGTCTGTTATTGGTGTGTAAGAATGCTTGTGATTTTTGCACATTGATTTTATATCCTGAGACTTTGCTGAAGTTGCTTATCAGCTTAAGGAGATTTTGGGCTGAGACAATGAGGTTTTCTAGATATACAATCATGTCATCTGCAAACAGGGACAATTTGACTTCCTCTTTTCCTAATTGAATACCCTTTATTTCCTTCTCCTGCCTGATTGCCCTGGCCAGAACTTCCAACACTATGTTGAATAGGAGTGGTGAGAGAGGGCATCCCTGTCTTGTGCCAGTTTTCAAAAGGAATGCTTCCAGTTTTTGCCCATTCAGTATGATATTGACTGTGGGTTTATCATAAATAGCTCTTATTATTTTGAGATACGTCCCATCAATACCTAATTTATTGAGAGTTTTTAGCGTGAAGGGCTGTTGAATTTTGTCAAAGGCCTTTTCTGCATCTATTGAGATAATCATGTGGTTTTTGTCGTTGGTTCTGTTTATATGCTGGATTACATTTATTGATTTGCATATGTTGAACCAGCCTTGCATCCCAGGGATGAAGCCCACTTGATCATGGTGGATAAGCTTTTTGATGTGTTGCTGGATTCAGTTTGCCAGTATTTTATTGAGGATTTTTGCATCGATGTTCATCAGGGATATTGGTCTAAAATTCTCTTTTTTTGTTGTGTCTCTGCCAGGCTTTGGTATCAGGATGATGCTGGACTCATAAAATGAGTTAGGGAGGATTCCCTCTTTTTCTATTGATTGGAATAGTTTCAGAAGGAATGGTATCAGTTCCTCCTTGTACCTCTGGTAGAATTCGGTTGTGAATCTGTCTGGTCCTGGACTTTTTTTGGTTGGTAAGCTATTGATTATTGCCTCAATTTCAGAGCCTGTTATTGGTCTATTCAGAGATTCAACTTCTTCCTGGTTTAGTCTTCTGAGGGTGTATGTGTCCAGGAATTTATCCATTTCTTCTAGATTTTCTAGTTTATTTGTGTAGAGAGTTGTTTATAGTACTCTCTGATGGTAGTTTGTATTTCTGTGGGATTGCTGATGATATCCCCTTTATCATTTTTTATTGCATCTATTTGATTCTTCTCTGTTTTCTTCTTTATTAGTCTTGCTAGTGGTCTATCAATTTTGTTGATCTTTTCAAAAAACTAGGTTCTGGATTCACTGATTTTTTGAAGGGTTTTTGTGTCTCTATCTCCTTCAGTTCTGCTCTGATCTTAGTTATTTCTTGCCTTCTGCTAGCTTTTGAATGTGTTTGCTCTTGCTTCTCTAGTTCTTTTAATTGTGATGTTAGGGTGTCAATTTTAGATCTTTCCTGCTTTCTCTTGTGGGCATTTAGTGCTATAAATTTCCCTCTACACACTGCTTTAAATGTGTCCCAGAGATTCTGGTATGTTGTGCCTTTGTCCTCGTTGGTTTCAAAGAACATCTTTACTTCTGCCTTCATTTCATTATGTACCCAGTAGTCATTCAGGAGCAGGTTGTTCAGTTTCCATGTAGTTGAGCGGTTTTGAGTGAGTTTCTTAATCCTGAGTTCTAGCTTGATTGCACTGTGGTCTGAGAGACAGTTTGTTATAATTTCTGTTCTTTTACATTTGCTGAGAAGTGCTTTATTTCCAACTATGTGGTCGATTTTGGAACAAGTGTGGTGTGGTGCTGAGAAGAATGTATATTCTGTTGATTTGGGGTGGAGAGTCCTGTAGATGTCTATTAGGTCTGCTTGGTGCAGAGCGGAGTTCAGTTCCTGGATATCCTTGTTAACTTTCTGTCTCGTTGATCTGTCTTATGTTGACAGTGGGGTGTTAAAGTCTCCCATTATTATTGTATGGGAGTCTAATTCTCTTTGTAGGTCTCTCAGGACTTGCTTTATGAATCTGGGTGCTCCTGTATTGGGTGCACATATATTTAGGATAGTTAGCTCTTCTTGTTGAATTGATCCCTTTACCATTATGTAATGGCCTTCTTTGTCTCTTTGATCTTTGTTGGTTTAAAGTCTGTTTTATCAGAGATTAGGATTGAAACCCCTGCCTTTTTTTGTTTTCCATTTGCTTGGTAGATCTTCCTCCATCCCTTTATTTTGAGCCTATGTGTGTCTCTGCATGTGAGATGGGTTTCCTGATACAGCACACTGATGGGTCTTGACTCTTTATCCAATTTGCCAGTCTTTGTCTTTTAATTGGAGCATTTAGCCCATTTACATTTAAGGTTAATATTGTTATGGATAATATCTTGCAGAGTGTTTTCCAACTTGGTTCCATTCTCCCCGTCACTTTCAGGTACACCAGTCAGATGTAGATTTGGTCTTTTCACATAGTCCCATATTTCTTGGAGGCTTTGTTTGTTTCTTTCTATTCCTTTTTCTCTAAACTTCTCTTCTCGCTTCATTTCATTCATTTGATCTTCCATCACTGATACCCTTTCTTCCATTTGATCGAATTGGCTACTGAAGCTTGTGCATTCATCACATAGTTCTCGTGCCATGGTTTTCAGCTCCATCAAGTCTTTTAAGGACTTCTCTGCATTGGTTATTCTAGTTATCCATTTGCCTAATCTTTTTTAAGGTTTTTAATTTCTTTGCCATGGGTTCGAACTTCCTCCTTTAGCTCGCAGAAGTTTGATCATCTGAAGCCTTCTTCTCCCAACTTGTCAAAGTCATTCTCCATCCAGCTTTGTTCCATTGCTGGTGAGGAGCTGTGTTCCTTTGGAGGAGGAGAGGTGCTCTGATTTTTAGAATTTGCAGTTTTTCTGCTCTGTTTTTTCCCCATCTTTATGGTTTTATCTACCTTTGGTCTTTGATGATGGTGATGTACAGATGGGTTTTTGGTGTGGATGTCCTTTCTGTTTGTTAGTTTTCCTTCTAAGAGTCAGGACCCTCAGCTGAAGGTCTGTTGGAGTTTGCTGGAGGTCCACTCCAGACCCTGTTTGCCTGGGTATCAGCAGCAGAGGCTGCAGAACAGCAAATGTTGCTGCCTGATCGTTCCTCTGGAAGTTTTGTCTCAGAGGGGTACCAGGCCGTGTGAGGTGTCAGTCTGCCCCTACTGGGGGTGCCTCCCAGTTAGGCAGATTGCCTCCTCAAGTGGGTCCCTGACCGCCAAGTAGCCTAACTGGGAGGCACCCCCCAGTAGGGTAGTTGGATATCCAAGTTTGGAGTTCAGAGTTGGAGACATAACTATGGTAGTCACATAAATATGGCATATTGATGGTATTTAAATGAGATGAACTCATCTAGGAGCTGAACTCCTAGATGAGTTCAGCTAGAGAGGATGTATGAGGACAGAAAAGAGGAGAAGATCTATGTCATTTCAACATTTAGAGGTAAGAGAGAGGAAGGGCAAACTAGTCAAAGGGGACTAAGTAAGTAGAATGGGAAAAACCAGGAAAATGTAATGTTATGGAAGCCAAGAGGAGAATGTGTTCTAAGATGGAGGGAGAAGTTAGTTACATTTATTTCTAAGAAATGCAGCAGGATATGGCTAGAAAAGTAACCACTAGAACCACAATTTTGGTAGAGTGCTGGAAACAGAAGTGTGCTCGCAATGGGCTGAAGAGGGTCAAAGAGAATGAGTAAACAGAGGAAGTACTATACACCCATGAAACATTTAACATTCAAGCTGTAATAAAAAAAGAAACGGTAAGTAAGAAAATAACATTCATTTGAAGGAACATTCTAATTTTGTTAAAACACTGTTACTATATTTATTTTTTCTCATTTTCAAATAGCATGTGTCCTATATTGGGCATGAAGTAGTTAAACAAAGGATTCTTTCCTGAAATCAATAGAGCACCAAGTGTTCAGCAAAACAATCAATCCCCTACAAAAATATGCAAACTTTTACAAAACATACATATTGTAAGGAGGTAGGGAGAGTCCATAGCTTTAGTCAAATTCTCAAAATCAATTGAATAATTTAATTTATTAAATGCTGAGATGAGGAAGACAGAGTTATGATTTAGTGAAATTTCATGGGTGTGTTATCACATCCACAATTTTGTTCAATTGAAAAAACCCAGTTTTATAGTTTGTATCCTAATGAAGAGCTTTGTCCCCATGAAATAATAAATCTCGCTCATTCTCACATGGGGCAGAGCCAAGATACACAGAATTCTCAGAATATAGGCCAAACAAACAAACAAAAAACCATGACAACATGGCAAAGCCATCATCAGAGTTATAGGTTAAGCAGGAAGTAATAGTTTTGACTCCCCTAGTGAAAGAATTAAAAAATAAAACCCTTCAGTAACACTAGAGAGGGAGCTTTGAATAAAAGCAAGAGCAAAGGATAAGAGTTGTCTGTGCAGAGAAATAATGAACTTCTATGTCAATACACTGTCCTAGCAAAGACCAGCAGAAGAAGAGAACAGGGTGGCATACACAAAGAAGAATCAGCACAATTTGGACAGTGACAGAAGGAGCATTCTCCTCACCAGTTTCTCAGTGAGGAGAAGCTAGAAATTCTAGGACCCCAAGAAGCACACATGTATGTATGTGTGTGTGTGTGTGGCGTGCGTGTATGTTTTGTAGTATAATCTATGTTATTATAATATACATACATATCTATGTAATGAAAAGGATGTAGTTATTATTCCATGCCACGGACTCAATCATTCTCACAAAATATTAATCACTTGGGTTTTTAAATTCAAAAAGTTATTGCTAGAGTTAAACCTATGGATAGGATAGATCTAATGATTATTAAAGACAACATTTTCATATGTAGAGTGGGAAAAAGAGTTCACATCACATCCTGTAGAAACTGCTTTAGCTGGGCATGTGTCTGTCTGAGTGTGCTGTTCATTACAAATAAATGCTACTTAATTAGACACTTATATACATTCACCAGTTATTTAATTGCCATTTGATTGTGAGTTCTTACTGACTTTCTCAGATTGTTTTATAACATATATTTCAATTATTTGTTTTATACCTGTTTTTCCTATTACACAATAAGTCACTCCAGAGTAGAGAAATGTTTCTAGTTCTAGAATTCTGAACATACTAAGTCTCAATAATTGTTGGTTGGTTGAATGTGAATTAAGCATAATGGTTGGTTGACTGAATTTAGAGTGTTTATGAAGCCCAGTGAGTTCAAATACTCATTGATTTCCCAGATGTGTTTCTTCATTAAGTAAGACCAGAAAAATAATGAAAGCCTAACTCGTTGGATACTTTACAGCAAAATCTTGGCCAAACTAGCTTTTCATGGAAATAGCATATAGATAAGATGTTATTTAGAAATGACAGGATTCTGAGGTACAGCTTGCATTGAGCCACTTGGAAAAAGTGTGTTTCATAGTAGAAAGTGGCAAAAGAAGAGGTCTTTGGTGACAATGATTGATAAAAATTTTAAAAAATTTATTTTCACACTTTAGACTCAACTTGTGGGACTGCACTCCAAATCAACCATTAAATGAACGTAGGGTATCTACTAAAAAACATCTGGTCATAAACCTACCAGAAAATGTGCAGTCTTATATGAATACATTTATAAAATTATTCTGAGGGATATATAACAAAGCTGAAATAGAGAAACAGATCTTGGATAGAAATCTCAATATTTAAAGTTCTAAATTCTCCTTAAATTATACAGTGATATAATAAAATCTTAGGCAAAAAAACTTTGGAACAATTTTATGAGAGGTAACTTGACAAAATGATTGTAAATTTCATTTGAAGAACAGGCAGTTGCAAATAGCCAGGAAAATTCTAAACAATAACCAAAGAAAACAAAAGTAATCAGAGGGAAAATGCCCTTCAAATATTAAGATTTAAATTTAATATAAAAATTAGACAACAGAAGCCTGTGGTAAAAGTCCACTGGCAGGTCAGGTGAATAGAAGAGAGCGAAGAAAGAGTGAAACCGACCTGAGAAGTTAGTTTATGATAAAGGCGGCATTACAAACCAGACTTCTGAACAAATAATTTTAGGACAACTGGCTTCTCATCTACCCTTCCCCACAAAATAGAAATTTTAGATAGGTCAAATCTCAAAGCCCCAGAGTACAAAATAGATGACAATTTGGGAAGATTGAAGTTAAAAGAAAAAAAAAAGACATTTGGCATAAAACCTGAAACTATAAAAGACTCATAGCAATGACACACTTCTTCATGGCAAAATAATGAACAAAATTGAAAAACAGATGATAAATTGAGAAAAGTATTGGCAATATATATGAATAAAAGTTAATAGCCATAATACTCAGAGAGCCATTAAAAATCTGTTTAAAAAAATAAACACCCTAATAGAAAAGTGTCAAGGAGAGTATTAGTAGTTCTCAGATAATGAAAGACAAATGCTAAATAAAACATGTTACTAAACTTCAGTAATAACCAAAGAAATGCACATTAAAATTACACATGTGTGTGAACTTGTATATTAGACTAATAATATCCACTATGACCAGATGTGAGGAAATGGATATTTTTATACACCATTGGCTGGAATATTAACTGGCACAGCCTTTTGGAGGAGGGGTGGATGTGAAAACATCAAAATTCAAAATATATCTATCTTCATTTCTCAAAAGAAGATATACAAATGGCCAAAAAACATGAAAAAATGTTCAACATCACTAATCATCAAGGAAGTGCAAATTAAAACCACAATGAGATACCACCTTACCCCAGCCAGAATGGCCATTATTAAAAAGTCAAAAGACAATTGATGTTGGCATGGATGTGGTAAAAAGGAAACACTTATACACTGCTGGTTGGAATGTAAATTAGTACAGCCTCTATGGAAAACAGTATGGAGATCTCTCAAACAAAAGTATATCTACCATTCAATCCAGCAATTCCACTACTGGGTGTCTACATCTACCCAAAGGAGAAGTTACTGTATCAAAAAGACACTTGCATGTGTATGTTTATCATAGCATAATTCACAACCGCAAAGATATAGAACCAGCCTAAGTGGCCATCATCTGACGAGTGGATAAAGAAAATGTGATATATATATATATATATATATATATATATATATCACAAAATACTATCCAGCCATTAAAAAAAAAGAATGAAATGTTATTTGCAGCAACTTGGATGTAACTGGGGGGTGATTATTCTAAGTGAACTAACTCAGGAATGAAAAACCAAGTGCTGCATATTCTCACTTGTAAGTGAGAGCTAAGTTATGAGTATGCAAGGACATACAAAGTGGTATAATGGACATTGGAGACTCAGAGAGGGGGAGAGTGGGAGGGGAGTGAGGAATGAAAAACTACGTACTGGTACAGTGTATACTACATGGGAGATGGGTGCATTAAAATCCCCAACTTCACACTATACAATCCATGTGACCAAAAAACACTTGTACCTCCCCCCAGAGCTATTGAAATAAAAAAATTAAAAAATTTAAATGAAACAAAATGTGTCTTTATTTTGACCCAGTAAATCCATTTTTAATTTTTAGTAATATACCCTAAAGAAATGCTTTCACAAATGGACATATATGAAATATGACTTGCATCATTATCGCTGAAAAACTGAAAATAAATGCCCATCAAATGGGGACTAGCTAAAAAATTATGACACATATTAATAATAGTTAACATTGGTTGAGTGCTTATTGTACTAAGCATTTCCAATATATTTAGTCATTTAATTCTTCCAATAATGTTATGAAGTAGGTATTTATCATCGAAGTTTAAAAATGTAGAGAGTAGGGCACAGAGCGACTTACACTTAAGGTCATATGCCTGGTGGCAGGGAGCAGGCTCCAGGGTCCATGCTCTTAGCCACCACATTTTGCTTCCTTTCATCTGTGCATGAAATACTCTGCAGTCCAAAAAAGAAAAGAGCTAGTACAATATGTCCTGATGTGGAAATTTGGTCAGAATCCATTATTTGGTTTAAAAATAAGTTATAGTTAAGTATGTACTCTGTAATCTACTATCTTTTTTAAAAGTATCTATGTTTACAGTTTTATATTGAACTAAAGGTCTGAAGTCTATACCAGGTTTCTTTTGGAGACTGGCATAACAGCTAGGGGGTTGGAGGAGACTTTGATACTTGTCTGTGTTCTGTCTTGTTTTGTTTAAAGGTTTTGTTTACAATAAATATTAGAGATATTTTAATTTAAAATGAAGATATCTGTTGACCCAGCATTTTCTTTTCTATGAATTTATCCTGAGGTGATTATTGGATGCAATTATATGTGCATAGTGATGTTTATTACAGCATTAAAAAATAGTTACAAACTAGAAACTAAACTTATAGGATGCTGGTTAAATAAATTACAATAAATTCATACAAAAGTACACTGTGTAACTATAAAAGAGAGTAATAAATCTATATTTGGTGGAAAGAGCACCAAGAGTTTTCTTGACTGAAAGAATCAAATTGTAGAATGGCACAAATAGCATAATTCTATTTATGTATATAATATAATTCATATATATATCATATATATAATTCATGCATTTTCATTGAAAGACAGATGTTTAAAAGAGGTTTTCTCTGAATGGTGAGATAAGATGTTGGAATTTTTTATATTTATTTTTTGGGACAGGGTCTTTCTCTGTCACCAGGCTGAAGTGCAGTGGACAATCACACCTCACTGTAAACTCCATCTCCTGGGCTCAAGATGTTACCATGGTCAACATGTTACCAACTTGTTAATGCATTTTTATAGGGAAATATGGTAGTATCTTAAGAGATAGAGTTATGGCAAAAAAAAAATGGTCATTTGGTAATAGTTACTAAAGAGTTGAGAATAGAAGCTATCAAAATATTGATAGAAGTTCAGAAGGCCTTTTGGATCATATGTGCTGACACTGGGAAAAAGTAAAGACTAAATTGAGGTCATTAGAAGGAGGGACGGTCGGGTACGGTGGCTCATGCCTGTAATCCCAGCACTTTGGGAGGCCGAGGCAGGTGGATCATGAGGTCAAGAGATCGAGACCATCCTGGCCAACATGGTTAAACCCCGTCTCTACTAAAAATACAAAAATTAGCTGGGCGTGGTGGTGCGCCTGTAATCCCAGCTACTCGGGAGGCTGAGAAGGGAGAATCACTTGAATCTGGGAGACAGAAGTTGCAGTGAGCCAAGATAGTGCCACTGCACTCCAGCCTGGCGACACAGCAAGACTATCTCAAAAAAAAAAAAAAAAAAAAAAAAAGAGGAAGAAGAAACAGGAGGGACATGCCACCAAAGAAAATAGCAAAGAGGAATTGGAGGAGAATACTGCATTGCATGGCAGGAAACCTGAGTCCTAGTCCTGACTCTACCACTGGGCACATCATGTCGCTTCTCTGAACCTGTTTCCACTTGTAAGAAATGAGAGGGAAGACCAGATCCTTGGTTTTCAAACTGAGATCACCAGCCTTCTAGAGATTCTCTTGTTATGCTTCAGGGGCCACCATGGAAGCTAGAGAGCCCCAAGGCAAGAGGGCTGGATCCTGGGCTCGCACCCTGCTTTAACCAAGACAGCTCTGGTTTTATTTATTTTATACAATGGGATTTCATGGAAGATTTTGATTGAATAAAGTGTTCTAATGTTTAAAAACAGAAAAGGAGAGAAAAGTTTGAAAACCACAAACTATGCTGATGTCTGAGGTTCCTCCTAGCTTTAAATTCTTGTTTTGAAATTAATCTATGCCTCAAAATGTATGTAAGTAAGCAGTGAAAATGCAGTTTGCCCTGGAGAGAATTTCCAAGTCACTGAACATCAATCATGAGGTCTCGGTTGCTAACATGTGGCAAGTTGATTTTTTTTTGCTTCCCTCGGGTCAATTTACCATCCACCTCATCTTCATCAAAACATTAATTTCAGCTTAATCCTCTTTCTTCCTCTCTGGTGGTAAAAGGACCTGGATCACTTTGAAATAAAACAAATAGAGTACAGCTATGTTTTCATATGTGGGGTGGTTTCCATTTGATTTCCACAATACTAAAATGAATTCAGTAATTTAGCCTTTTCCTGAAACTCAAAGTCTAAAAACCTATTCAAATAAAATTAAAATGTACTAAAATTCATTAAGTGCATTGAGGATTCACTATATGAAAGGGGCAGTGCAAGGTGTGTCTGCTGATATAAATGTGATAAGACACTGCTCACAAGAAAGTTAAGTCTGTGTTGTGAGTTCTAATGGCAGAATAGCCTATCAGGCTGAATAGAGGTCAGGAAAAGCCACAGGAGTCTTGCATGTTGGGTAGGATTGGGGTAGGCATAGGTATAGGGAGAAGGTATTACTGGTCAAGAGAACACTAAACTAAGAAGTTTGGATTAAATTCAGTAAGCAGCAAAGCAGTTGGGAGACATGTACGCTTTATGGAGATTAAGCTGGTATAAAAATATAGTGTAGATAGAAGATGGCAGAGACTAAGGTAACTGGAGTGTTGGCTACTCCAATGGCCCAGACAAAGTGACACAATGGGACCGTGGCAGTGGGAATATCAAGGAAGTGATTGATGAGAGCTACACTTAGAGAAGACTTACAGAATGGCCAGAAGTAGACAGAACAAGTACGAAGCTCTTACAATAATCAAGGAAGAAGACAGTGGTTTCTTGGACTAAGGTGGTTGGAGAATAGAAGAGTATATGTATTTAAAAACTATTTAGTAGGTAAAACAGAGATTGAATGATGGATTGGACATAGAGGTGCTATTCACTGAAATAGGGAACAATAGATAAAGGCAAGTCATGGGTTCAGTGGGAGCCATGAGATTCAGTTTAGATGTTTTGATGCTGAGGAATCTGAGACATCCAAGAGGAGATGGAGTAATGGAGACAAAAGTACCCTCTATTTGAGATAGTTTTGAGGATATGATGCTCTCAGAGAAAAGTTATATTTCAACGAATGTAAAAAACTATAAAGACTAATGGTCAAAAATTTATAGTGATATATGGGATTTTTTTTATGACAGAATGGATATACAATGGTGCCTGCCAATTGGTGCCTGCCGATATGCCTGGAGAGGTGGTACCATTAAATGAGATAATTTGATGAGGTTCTGTTGATAGTAAAAAAAAAAAAAAAAGAAAAGAAAAAAGAAACTGATACCAGAGACTGGAGAGGTGGGGTTAGGGGCAGGATGGGAAGAGATCAACAGATACAAAGTTACAGTTAGACAGGAGGAATAAGTTTTGGTGCTCTATTGCACAGTATGGTGACTATAGTTAACAATATTGTACTGTATACTTAAAAATAGTTAGAGGATTTTGAATGTACCCACTATAAAGAAATGATAAATGTTTGAGGTGATGGATATACTAATTACCCCGATTTGAACATTATGCAATGTATACGTGTATGGAAACATCACATTACACCCCATAGTATATACAACTACTATGTGTAAAAAACAAAATAACACTTAAAAAATTTAAAAAGAAACTGATAATAGAGAAGGACAAGAATCATACATACATCTTTTTCTAGATTTTGTTTGTGTACAAGTTTTCGGTGAATGAGCAAGTTATATCTCTTCTGAGATCTTTGACTAGTGGAATTTTCCCTTCATCATATGTTTGAATGTTTAGAACTCTGTTAATGTTCTATTTAGTTCAAGTGGTTGTATGTTGGTTCTTTGGCGCCATTGTCAATAATAAAATTCAACAAAACAAACCCCTAAATATGGCTTTGTTTTTCTCTTTTTAAACATATCCAATTCTCAGCCCAAACCAGGATCCAATTTTTTCTTCTTATGTGGGAGACAAGTGTAAGTGACTGACCACCATTGAAATGACTTTACTAAGTAGACCCCTGTCCTCTTGCTAACCTTTCTCTTTATTCAGCCTCGGAAAATCCAGATGTTTCTTGTTCTCTATAATCACCTTCCTTGATGCAAACCTTGGCCTCTTCACCAACTTCTTGGTATATTCCCTTTCCTTTCCAGGGGCAAAGCCCCAGGGGATCTGTGTTTTTAACCAGTGTTCCAAGTAATTTTTGATATTAGGCAACTTTGAGAAAATCTGTTCAGAATTTCTTCAGGGACCACCTTGAGGAGGCAGGAGAAAAGCAAGAGCTTGGATCATATATCCATCGTGTACATTCTTTATGATGTGAATACCATAGTTTAGGTAGTGATTCTAGCTAAAGCAAGTGGCCATGTTTCTTTCACCTGTTTCACTTAGACCAAGTCTGCACTTAACTCTTCACATGTGGCTTCTACATGAGTTTTCGTCAGAAACAAAGATCCTGTTGCTCAAGATGTTTGAAAATCAGAATTGTGAATCCATTACTATCTCTGACTTTCCTAGTCTCCTTATCTATTCCCATTGAAATAATATACTCGCAATGAGTCTAGAATTCCTCAGCTACTTGATGATTAAGACTTGAACTCTGTTACTGAGGGCTTACTATGTGATAAACTCTATTCTATGCATTGAACAAACCCTACAAAGTCTTTGTCTTTATCTTAATTTCAAACGGGGGATTTAAATAATAAAATAAATAGGTAACTTTTTAGAATATTAGAAAGTATTTAGTGTTATTGGGAAAAATAAATCACAGAAAGAGGAATGGGGAGTCCCAGAATTGGAGAGAGAAAGAGAGATAGCAAGAGAGACAGTGTGGTGTGTGCATGCACATAATTTTAAATAGGAAAGAAGGAAGTCCTCACGAGATGACCACACAGTGAAGCCCTAAAGGAGGCAAGGGAATAAGCAATGTGGATATCTGGAAGAAATGCATTCCCAGGCATAGGAAATCACAGCAGATGTTTACTTAGTATTAGTAGAATGAATGGATAAAAATGTAGGAATTCCTTTACCAAGATAGTTTTCTGCTCTTGGAACCATCTCTCCCATCTCTTCCCTGTGGATTGTTAAAGTGAACGGCATTTGCTTGCATTAAGATCACCACCTAGACTATGGTATTCAAATAATTAAAACATATATATTACAGACATGATCTAAGCTCTTCTTCACAGTTGAAGAAACTGAGAGCCAAAGAGGGCATATGATTTGTCTGAAGTCATAGGGCTAATGAGGGATAGGGTAGAACTAGAGCTCAGGTTTTCTAAATGCCAGCCTCAAGTTGTTTTTGGTTGAGAAGATCTTTTATATATAGACCAGAAATCTAATTGAGTACTTTTCTTATGTAAATGTTTTCTTAGTGAATGTATACTTTTATAATAATAATGTGACCAAGTTTCTTAATAATACATTCTTTTTCTTTGAATACTGCGTCTGAGTTCCCATACCTCCATATGTCCCTATAAGGAGAAAAAATGAAGAAGGAAAAGGGGAGAAGGGAAGAGGGATTGATGAAGGAGAAAATTGAATGAAAAGTAACATGATGTGATACAAGCAACTCTCACGTAATCCCAAATCTTCCTAAACCTTAGTTCTTTCTAATGTTATAAGAATATTTCAACTTCTTAACAATTCTGAAATGGAACAATACATGTATTTTTAAATGAAAACTTTAATGTGCCTATTCTTTATGGCACGCTTTTATTAACAAATAAAGAAGTACTCATCATCGTTATCAATTAATGGAATCTCAACGGGTCAGATTGTGATAGCTTGGTGTTTACTGCTTTAACATGATATCCCCTAAAACTTCAAATCCAAATTCCACCTGGTCATTCTGTCTAGTTCTACTTAAACACACTGCTTTCCCTTCCCATCTTATTTGGTAATGCGATCTCCATTTCCTCTACCATTTAATCTTCCCTGAGAATCACTGCTGTTTCTGACATCTGTTCCTTTCCCATCCGCCTCTGTGAACTGAGATAAAGAGAAAATTTTCAAGAAATATAAAGCTCATCTGTCAACTTACTTCCCCTACCACCTGTCAGAGGCCTCACTGCCTCCCCCATGTGCACTCTTAACTCTACATGCACTTGAAGCATTGATTCTTGAGCTCTCTTTTTTGAGTTTTCCCCCATTCTCCATATTTTTAATATTAACTCTTTGTATATTGTATTTATTCACAATGTATCTGATCACTCCCCATTATAGCCAATTTGTATACAGCTCCTCTGTCATAATTTCTGTTATATCAGAAGGCTGGTATTTCAAGAAACTCCTATCTAGCCCTGAAACTCAAAGGCTCAACTTTAGGGTTTAACCTACAATCTGAGTGTTTGAAGAGATACCACAGCTGCTACAGCTGCCAAAATGGGTATGGAAGCAAACAACCCTTTCTCTTCAATGACATCATCATATTTGTTCATGTCCTTAAAATATTTAGGCTGGATTAATGCAATGAATTCTGGGTTTGCTCTCCTCGAAGACCTCCTGTGAGATTTAGTTAGCTTGCCTACTTTAGAACCCTGGCCAGATGAGCCATGTTTCCCTTACTCTACACAGCTTACTTGCAATCTAGAAAAAGCTGACTTTAAACTGAATTTCTTTTAAAAAATTCCCTGCTCATGTGTATTTTCTCAGGGTCTTCTATTTTGAGAGTAAAATTAAGATATAAATCTCCTATGTAAAATGTACCTTTCCCACCCTCTACTGTCACCCTTCAGGAAAAACAAAACAAAATATCCAAATAGCTTCTTGTTTGCTGGGGAAGGCAGATTTAAATTAAAGGAGCTACAGCCTGGTTTTCTCTAGCTACAAGGAGGGCATGGAAGAGTGCTCTCCATCAAGAACTTTTCTACATCTTCACCTTGTGTCTGTCTCCCTCTGACGCCTCTCAGATTGAGTCTTTTGCGTTCTAAAAAGGTCCAGCACCTCTGTGAAGGCTCCCTTGACTGACTTTCCTCTTCCCTCTCCTACAGTTCACCAGGCCCATTACCCTCATACACACCTAGATGTACACTCTCTTAGCTGGAAAATAGTAGTCACTGTCTTCTCTGTATATAATGCTATAAAAATGATCACTTTACTGTTTCATATCAAGCCTCATTGTTTACAAGTCTATTTTACATATTAGAACTCTTGAGAGCGTCTTCTTTTTTTTTTTTTTTTTTTTTTTTTGAGACAGGGTATTCCTCTGTCACCCAGGCTGGAGTGCAGTGATACTGCAGTGCAGTGATGCAATCTCAGCTCACTGCAGCCTTGACCTTCGGGGTTCAAGCGATCTTCTCACATCAGCTTCCTGAACAGCTGGGACCAGGGGTGCATGCCACCATGCCCAGCTAGTTTTCTTTTATTTTTTATTTTTTGTAGAGATGAGATCTTTCTATGTTGCCCAGGCTGGTCTTGAATTCCTGGGCTCAAGCAATTCTCCTACCTCAGCCTCCCAAAGCACTGCGATTACAGGCATGAGCCATTGTGCCCAGACAAAGGTTTCAATTTTCACGCTTCCAGATACCATGCCTAACACATTACATAAACTCAAGGCAAGTTTGTTGAAATAATTAATTTAATTTTTAAAACTAAAGTATTAATAATGCATGCACATGATAACAGTTCATAGTTTTGAAGAAGGTGTGATGAGAAGCAAGTCTCCCGCTCCAACCCTCTTTACCTCTACTTCAAAGAGAAATTTCTTTTAATTTCTCTTTAGATATTCTGATCCATAACACTATATTATATGCTTATACTTTTACTTCTCAACTTAACCACTTTAGACAACAGTTACTGACTCTTCTTATTAAAGAGGAGGTTATAGCTCACTCATAATACCTCTTAAAGTTTTCCTCCCAACAGTCAATAGATATGCAAGTCCACAATTCCTTATCTGAAGTCCTTGGAGCCACATATATTTCAGAATTCAGATTTTTTTTAGAATTTATAAAGGTAATATTTTGTATATATCATATACCACAAACCCCCACGTTTCTATAGTAAAATATGCAAATACTCACTTAAGTGGGATAAATATTGTAAATAACATCATATTAGTGCAAATCAGATATGCCAACAAAAAACTTGCCAAAAGTTGTCTTCTTCACCTTGTTACAGTGAAACCACAAATTACCTCAATTCCTCAGTCCTCCTTACCCTTACTCATTAATTTTAATGTTACCAGTGTAACAAAGAACAAAATTCTTTCACTTTAAAAAAAAAAATCTTCATGTACATAATCCAAACCCAAACCATCCAATTATTTAGTTTCTATTAATCTCACTATTTAATTCTCATTGGGCTACAGAGCTATTTTCTTATTAATTGCTTTTCTTAAGAGTCTGGCTCAACATGCCAGTGTTCTTCTTTTACTCTCTTCCTATTTGACTGTTCACTAAAGTACTCTCTGTAATGATATAACACTGAGATTATGTCTAGAGAATAGAATTAAATTCCACAAATGAAAAGGACACTTTTGAAACCCTCAAACATGTAGGAAACATTTTAAATAGCGGATAACCAGATTCTATAGACCATAATCTATTTTAGCAGGAATAAATATACTACAGAAATTTTTCCTACCTCATTATCTAAAATACGCTGAACAAATATAGAATGTTATTCACTATAAAACTAGCTTATAATAATTCAGGAAAGACACAGCTGTTAACCATTCTAGTTTAAAATATGATCATGAACATAAGAAGACAGGTAGTTTATGTATTTTTCCAAATGCACTCATTGTGATTTCCCTCCCACAACCATCCCATACATTTCTTTACAAAGTTTTGTCTATTCCTCTCAGTCTTTTTCCTGAGAGGAAGTCAACCATAGAATAAACTTTGGTTGATAGGCTGTAGTTAAAAAAGTAAGGAGAGAGTGGAGCACTGCCTGGTATATAGTAGATTGTAAGATACAGGCTAAATTTTCAGAAACAAAATTAGGAGAAGAAGAAAGAGAGTTTGAGAATAGAAACAACAAATGATCGAATAAGAGGCAGTGGGCACAAGAAAATAAAGTGTGAAGACAAAAGTCTATGAGGAAACACATCTCTAATGGAAAAGAGGCCTCCAGTCCATTTAGAGCCTTGTCCCATTGAATCTTCACTTACCGCTACACAAAAGGAGCCAGTAGGAGATTTTAAATATCTCTGAGAGTAAAGGACTGAACACAATTGGTTGGCAGGCCCCAGCCATACCAATACATGGCTTTCCACGAACCATGTTGTTTTTGGATCTCTGAAAGTAGCTTTTTAGTGCTGTTGCTCCTCAAAGGGACAGGGACCAGCAGCAAAATAAGAGTTAGTGGAAGTGCCCAAGCTCAGAAAGATTTCTCCACCTTTCCATATTTTAAGGGATAGTAGTGATGCTCTAAGAGTGAGGTGTAAGGAGGCTGAAGAAGGTGAGAGCATCTTAAATGCCACTATGTGGCTCATAGTGCTTGTGGACTATAATTATAGTGAGAACATTGTTTTATTAAGAAAGATTCCATTGATATTGTAACCAATAACTATAAATGTGTCACCCCAATTAATAAACTGAGATTCTTGCAAAGCTTTTAAATGACCTAATTTTTGAAAGATCAGAAATTTGGTTGGCTGGTAGTGAAATGAAATTTTAGTGTCATTTCCAGAATCCATTATGATAGTAAATATCTAGATACATATCCAATTACAGAGGGAAAATCTCTAGGTGGGAAAATTGGCTTATCTTGACTTTGAAATATGAACATAAACAAAGGTCACAGACATATTCAACAATTGCTTTGTGCTTTGTGTGGTTGCAGCATGTGTGTGTGTGTGTGTGTGTGCATGTGTGTGTGTGTATTCCCTCTACTCCCATTTCTTTTCTATGTTTATCCTAAAGAAACTTTAGCAATCACAGAAGTAAAAAGAACGTTACATTTGCCCAAGGAGTTAAATTCCATTTATAAGAAAGAAGCACTTACTAAAATGGATTAATCATTTTTCTCCAATTTGGCCTTGAGTGTTTCCAAGTAACCTTTTGAATTTAAGAGATCAACAAGTAGTTTTCGGCTTCAGACATAAACTGATAAATTGAAGTCTTTTATCTAGTCATGACTTTAGCATCCATCACAAATGACGAAGCCAGGTTTTTATTTCTGCTTATTTTTAAATGGGGAGGGAAAATTTTCAGGAATAAATAGATCAATACTCACTGGTTAATGGGCAGTGTAATCACTACTATGGTAGACCATGCCTCAGATAAAGTCACTAATAAGGAAGTCAAGTACTTCACATTTTACACAGACTTGTCTTTAAACATTTTTAGGGATAAACTGTATAAAATACATGTGAATCTTCCAAGGGAATTATACCTTCGATGGAGAAGCCACTCCTGAATATGATTTCCCAATAGATTATTATATTTGGATGAGATATGGAATGCTGCATCTAATTTTATAACTAAATGGTAAATTTCTTGATTCTGTTCAAGTTTTCTTATGCCTCTGATTTCCTTGACAGCAGGTTTGAAAAATATATGTCTGCAGCTTTGTTCTACCCCTGATCTGGTCCCTTACTTTTCTTTTTTTTTTTTTTAATTTTATTATTATTATACTTTAAGTTTTCTTTCTTTTTTTTTTAAAGAGAGTGTTAAGAATAAATTATAAATTGAATTATCAGATATTTTCAAGAAAATAACTCAAGGCTTTATAACTCTTTAGGATTTATAAGAGCCAAATCTGCTTAAAATTAGAATTAAGCCTCATGGCCTAAAGATTCACACAGTGGTTCAACAGCTAGGTTTCTGACGCATCAATTACCTGGCTCTGCCTTGTAAGCAGTCACAGGGACTAACTCTTAGTTAGTTCCAGTAAGAGAAGATGACTATTGAGTCCAACGAATATGTACAATTTCAAAAGAAAATTTATAGTTTTACCTTAAAAATTTGTTTTTGCTATTCCTCTCATTTTTTTATCTTCCAATTTTTGCTCTGATATCTTCCAAAGCTTTTATCTTCCAATTTTTTTCTCTGATAAAATTAACTGCCTCTGATTTCCCTGATTTTCAACCTTTGGATTGCTCCTTAATTTAAAACATACATACATAATAAAGACTGGAGCTTGAAAACTTCGCTAAGTTTATGTCATCCTCTTTGGGTTCTTATGCATTCAAAAATCATTCTATTTCCCAGCAAGCATACCTTATTTGATGCCCATAGAGATCTGTGCATGTGGACACCGGGGCATATGCACATACTACTTATAACCAAGAATTTAAGTTTGCACTCCAAAGAGAAGTTACCAAATGGCAGCATTTCTGGAGAACATTGTTATTTTATATGTTCCAGAAGCCAAGAGGATTCAAGTTGCTATTCAAAAGTGCAATAGACATGGTCTCTGCCCAATCAGCTTGGAAACAATGACTACTAAAAGAGTCTACACATATTGGCCAGGATTATTACAGTCAGAACCAATACTAAAATGTTCCACTGAAATATCCGAACACTCGTCTTTAGGTTTAAATGTGCTTACTTGATATTTGTTGAGCATCTATAATTGAAATTTCCAAATAGTTGCATATTGTTTATGAAATTGGTCTCAGTTTCCTAACAGTATTAACTTACGTTAACATATGTGAATATTTACTAGGTAAGGATCAATTACTTCGGCACTTTACACCATAGATCTGTTTTCTGCATTTTTGTCTATTTGGTCCTTTCTCTGATCAATATGCCCTCCACTGGCAGCTGTAAAAGGAAAGAAGGACTAATTTAAAATACACTAATTGCAGGTATTTTCTCATTCTCTCAGTGTTACTATTGAAAAAAAATGGCTGATTTATAAGTATTAATTTTTTCAGCGATCTTTCTATACCCACACTCCTATGCATTTACTTTTAAATTTATATCCTAGCTTGTTCCCAGTCATTTTTATAGCTGCAGGATATTAACTATAGTATATAATAATTAAGTTACTGTAAGATTCGAAAATACTTCTGACTTATCCCAAACATATCTAATTATGTTTAGTACAGCTTTAGTGGTAAAATATATTCACCGTATGCCAATTATTTGTGTGTGGGGGGGATGAGGTGTGTGTATGTGTATATATGTACATATGTATGTATATGTATCCAAACTTTTTTTTCTTTTTTTTTATTATACTTTAAGTTCTAGGGTACATGTGCACAACGTGCAGGTTTGTTACATATGTATACATGTGCCATGTTGGTGTGCTGCACCCATTAACTCGTAACATTTACATTAGGTATATCTCCTAATGCTATCCCTCCTAAACTTTTCTTTGTTAACAGCAATAGTTAAACAAGTAGGACAATATATTGCCCAGCCAGACCAACTTCTATGTTTTATTTTCCTCCATAAGGATTATGACAAGTTACCATGAAATTTTGAAATCAATTTCTCAAGTCCTTAGATATACAACACAAAGTCAAATGAAGAATAGAAAAAATGCTTTCTGTCAGCTGTAATTTAGAATAATTCCCATTGTCTAAAGATGTAAGAAGCATATAATAGCTTTTATTTTTAAGTGATTCCTTTGGCAGTTACACAGTATGAAGGAAGGCCACAGTATCAGGAAAACGTTTCTACCTGAAGGAGTGATTAAATTTGCTTTACAGTAAAACTCTTGCTATGCCAAATAATGATGGCTGTTTTTGTTTAAAATTTTGTTTAAAAATTGTTAAAATGTGCTTGCAGAATCATTTCTAGAGGTATTTAATTTCTCTGATGCCAATATGCTTTTTTTTTTTTTGAGACAGAGTCTTGCTCTCTTGCCCAGGCTGGAGTGCAGTGACATGATCTTGGTTCAGCACAACCTCTACCTCCCACGTTCAAGCTATGCTCCTGCCTCAGCCTCCCGATAGCTGGGATTACAGCCACCTGCCACCATGCCTCGCTAATTTTTTGCTTTTTCAGTAGAGACGGGGTTTCACTATGTTGGCCAGTCTGGTTCAAACTCCTGATCTCATGATCTACCTGCCTTGGCCTCCTGAAGCGCTAGGATTACAGGTGTGAGCCACTATGCCCGGCCACCAATAGGCTTTTTTTTTTTTTTTTTTTTTGTAACAATGGATTCTTAATTGTTCTGTAAGCTTTGTTTAACTTTTTGTTGAAATATCCAGAAATATACATCACATAATTTCCACAAACTGAATGTTCCCATGTAACCCACATCCAGATCAAGAAACAGAACATTACCAGCACCTGGAATGACACTCCCCTTGTGCCCTCTTCTAACAATGCTTTTTAATTAACCATGCCAACACAGTTTCTGCAAAGAAGTCATTTCTGAAGCACGTATAGAGGAGTAAAGCAAGATCAGCCTGTAATTTCTAGGTCTATTGGCCAGAAGCAAACTTGGTTTGTGTGCAAGGGGCCTCCTCTAAAAATCAGCTGTGGCCCGGACCTGATGGTGCTGGACTTATTACTGCTGCTGCTCTCCTGTTGTTCAGAGGAAGAGTTCAGTGGAAGAAACAGTGTGTGGAAAGAGAAGAAAGAACACTGGACTTAGAAGTTTGCAAACCAACTTCTTGAGATTCAGATTTTCTTCCTCCAAGTAGCTCTTTGACCTGGGCAACTTAGTTCACCTTTCCAGTCCTTAGTTTCCTTCATCTACAAAAAAAAGATGTTTGACTACACGACGATCTCTAAGGTTTGTTCCAGTGCTAAAAGACCATGATTTCACACCAAAAGACTCAGGTAAGGCGAGAGTACATCAGTCAAAAAGCACTCTCTCTCTCTTCCAGTACTGGTCCTACTATGGGAGCTTTCACCTTTCATCTTTACTGTTTCTGTTTCAAAATCACATGTTCAGCATGGATTAGAATTATCTGATCTTTCCTTGTGATATACCCAAATCAGTTTGTGGTATTTAAGAAATAATTTCTAAGAGCATAAGTTGAAACACTTATTTGCCTTGTTTTTAGTTCCTTGTGACAATACAAAGCGAAAGGTTTGGGCTTTTTAAATGACATATCACACCTTCTCCTGTGGTGACTGTGCACCATAAGATTAAGAAATGTGAAAAGCTCAGAAAATGTAATGCTTGTGAATGAGTTGGTAATTTTTGAAGGCAACGTTGTTTAAAGATAAGGAATAGGTTAATTTTTCTGCAAAGCTATTTTCCGTCATATGAAATATGTTCAGTGACTGCACCACAGTAAAAGACATACATCAACTTCTATTTCAGAACTTCAAAACTCCTGACAATTGGCTCATATGAATCATTGTCAGGAAGAAATCTTCCAGCAGCAGTGACTAGCCTCAGTGTCTAGCTGAGGTGTGATTGATACCAGGGACTGAGCAACTTTCCAGCTTCTAGCAAGAATATGGAAACTGCTACAAAATCAAGAATTAGAAATCTCATAATCGACATCCTTTCTGTTCTTTCTTTGCTATGATTGCAATTGCAATATATTCCCTGTATATCCTTTTTTTCTCATTTATCAGACTTTTTGTTTGACATTACAACAAGCCTGGTGACAGCTCTGCTACAATATTTCTATTAGGTGAATAAAAACCAAATTACTGCCTATTAGCTACAAATTCATTCCTTTGCTAAATACAACAAATAGATAACATTAAAGAGCTTGAACAATTTGATCTTGATTATGTAAAAGCATTACAACAAACCCTCCAACCCTCCTTCATCCTCATAAATGTCATTCTCATAAGGCAGACAGACACACTCACAAAACTCCAGGTTCCATTTTCTTTTCAATTTCCACCTGTTCCTTGAAAATCCATTTCTTCACATTTATTCTCTGATCTTATTTCAGTTTCTGCAGCAGGAAAACTGTGCAGAAACTCAAGTTTTAGTAATCAGTGTACAATTTTGTATGTGTAGTCTTCAAACATCCAGAGTTTTTCCTTTCGCTGTTCATCTAACCCATCAATGTAAAAAAATTGTTTTAAACTAGACATTATGTATCAGATTCAGACCGGTAACTTTCTCCAGTCACATTCAGTCCACATGAGATACTTAAGGATGTAATAAAACATAAGAAAAGCATATTCTAGCTGCTTGCTATTTTGAAAAGGGGAAAAAAATCCTTTCAGACAGTAATCAATTTCATTGTGGAGGAGATTTCTGCAAAATGCATTAAGAAGTTCACGCCTGTGGCAATGGTCACTGCACATATTTTGGAATGTCTCCCAGACTATAAGACTTTTTCCAGACATCCAGGAGAGACTTTAGCATGACAGGGATCCTGCGCTGGGCCTTAAAAAATTGTAGAAGGAAAACTTTAGACGGTTCAGTTTCAGCTGGATTTTGTTTCTTAGACAGCTGAGTTACCTAGGTTATGGAAAATACTAGTAATTACGGAGTGATGATAATCAGAAAAATCTCGCTCTCTGTCTTCTTTTTCTGAAGCCTTAATTAGTTAGTCAAGGTATTTGTTAAGCAATAATGCTACTTTGCTTCCTAAATATCTTTATAGATAGGGTTGATTCTATCCTACCTGAGATACTGAAATCACCAAAAGGAATTATGATAATATTTTTTAACTTTTGGAAACAAACTGTAAGATATATTTCCGTTTACTCAACTGCCCTTTGGCTGCAATAGCAATCATAAATTTCTTAAATTTGTCAGAATTTTTGTTTTGAGGGAGGGAAGGATGGCTGAAATCGCTGGATGTAAAAAATGCCCTTTATTTCCTTCTCTATCATGTTTATCTCTAAACTCTTCCCTCACACTTGGCTTTTGCTATCGCTAGGAATGAAATCTAAGTATAGAAACCAACACAATTTATACCTTAAAGGACATGCTGATGTATGTTGAAGCCTCGGATTTTCCACAGACATATGTTATCTGCTTTCTTCTGTCTCTCAAAGGCACAACTTTTCTTTTTGAACATATTTTGCCTTCTATAAATTGAATTCATCTTACAAATAAAAAAATGAAAGAAAAGGTTTTCTTAGTGTTTTGTTTCACATTATATCTTGGTTCCCTGTATAGGCTTTTTGATTTGTTCAGATGTAACTTTATACTTTATTATTCTTGTACTGGCTTAATAATCCCTTCTTGCTCTTTAGGCATCTTAAGTTCCAGCTCAGCTTCCTTCTGATCCCCAATCCATACAGCTCCTGGTGTTAGAAACATTGTGCTTCTTGGACTCCATTCTTCAACCTCAGTTCTTCCTGCAAGGGCTAAATGTTAGTGATCCTTTAGGGAGGCAAATGTCATTTTTCTCACCTTACTGAGTCCCACATTTCTTTGTTCAGAACGCAAACAGGCAAAAAAAAAAAAAAAAAAAAAAAAGCACGCTCTCTTACTCTTAATTACCTATATATTTGATGTCATTTATAAGAGAATTGTTTGCAAAAATCAGTAACTTAGGAATCTGAAGACTTAAATTATGCTTCAAACTCTGCCATTTACTAGAAGGGTAACCTTGATTTAAAAAAGTGAACTTTGCTAAGTCTCAACTTTCTCATCTGCAAAATGGGAATAATTCCTTCCTTACCTAACTCACATCTTTGTTACAAGAATTAAATGAGACAGTCTATGTCAACATATTTCAAATTTAACATCTTGTAATGAGGTTAGAATGGTGTTTGGCACACAGTAAACAGTAAGTGTTAGCTACAATATTATTATTATGTAATTATTACTATTAAAATGGAAAAGCATCAAAACAATAAAGAATCACTTGCTAGTGCATTTTGATGGTTGTATTATATCATCTTACAATTAATAATCTTTAAAATTATTTTAATTTTTTAAATTTTACAAATCTACTTAGCTATTTAAACCCAGACATCAGTAACTGCATTTTCCAGATGAGGAAAAAAATGGCCTGGGAAATATTAGACTGAAAAATCACTGGGCTGTTTGAAGTGCCCTGTAATGTATGGCTCACTGGTTATATGTGCTTACAAGCCATTTCTGGAGCTGCAGTTGTGGATCAGCATGGACCAAGGTAGGAGCACCGTCAGACACAGAAGTGCATTGCTATTGGGCCCTTGGGAGATATGGAAGAGTCTTCTCCTTGCTTAATGCAAATAGCAATAATCACCCTGGCCTCAGAGACCAGTCAGTGTAGTCTATCCAGGGTAGTTCTTGAGAACCACTCACTTGGCTCCTGGGTAAACAGAAATGTTTAATAAACCAGAATCATATCTAGTATAAGTAAAGTTGAAAAATGATCAATATTCACCCTTGGTGCCTGTATTATTTTGCTAGGGCTACCATAACAATACACCACAGACTGGGTGGATTAAACAATGTAAAATGATTTTCTCATGATTCTGAAGGCTAGAAGTCCAAGATCAAGGTGTCAGCAGGTTTGATTTCTCCTGAGGCCTCTCCCCTTGGCTTGCAGATAACTACCTTCTTGCTGTGCCCTCACAGGGTTTTTCCTCTGTGTGGGGACCTTGGTGTCTCATTGTATGTCAAAATTACTCTTCTTATAAGGATATCAGTCAAACTGGATTAGGGTCCCCTGTGATTACCTCATTTTAACTTAATCACCTGTTTAAAGACCTTATCTTCAAATACAGTAACATTCTGGCACTGAGGGTTAGAGCTTCACCATATGAATTTGGGGGTGGGGGACACACACAACTCAGCACATGACAGAGCTTTCCCAACCTTCTCTCTTCTGTTGCTTCTTCCACCAGTCGCTTCCTTTCTACCTGGATCCATGTATTTCAACAAATTTTATTTTCCCCATGGGTCCCTAGTCCTCACTCTTTCTGAATACTTCTACAGAAATAGTTGATCATGCACAAACGTGCAAGTGCTTTGAAATCTGCATTGTCATCTGAAAATGATACATTATTATGACTTCCAAGAGACTAAGCCTAGCAGTGTCAAGGAGTAGCGGAGAGGAAGGCAGCATCTTGTTCCTTGGGCTAACGTAAGACCAAATACATGGGCAAGCTTCCTGTACCCTATTGGAGCTTTCTAGAAAGCAAATAGGGTATGTAGAAATAGCTTATTTTAATGAATTTGCTCTCATGGTTATGGAGGCTGGGAAGTCCAAAATCTGCACAAAAGGATGAAAAGCCGGAGACCCAGAAAAGAGTTGATGCTGCAGCTTGAATCTGAAGGCAAATCCACTTTTCCTCGGAGATCTCAGACTTAGCCTTCAACTGATTGATAAACCCCACCTACATTATGGAGGGTAAACCTGCTTTACTCTAAATCTATTAATTTAAATGCTAATCTAATCTAAAAAATACCCTTACAGTGACATTTAGACTGGTGTTTGACCAAATTTCTGGGTATAGTGGCCTAGCCAAGTTGATGCATAAAATTAATCATCACATCAGCAAAACATGATCTAGATAAAAATACATGAGGACTGATTTTAGAAGTAGATCCTTACATTTAAAGAGCAAAGCCAAAAGTTCTGCTGTGTCTGTTTTCTGTCTTCTACTACTTGTGGTCTCCTCTCTTCTAAATCTTGCGGAAAAACTGCAATTTGTAGTTGAGATACTATCAGTCAAAATTCTCACTTGGGTTTATATAAACATCTTTGTGCTTGTTCTGTCTCATTCAAAAAATAGTAAACTCTTTGGACAAGCAAGGATTTTTTTTTTCACTTTCTACATAAAGCTATACAAACTTAGCATTGTTACTGTATAACTCAAAATGGAAGTAAAGGCAGTTTTTTAAAAAAGAAATATTACACTTAAAGAAGTACACACTTTCTTTGTATTCTCTAAAAAGCATGAAGCTAATATAAAGTTGAAAAATCAATGCTGAGATACTATGATATATTTTTGTAAATAATATATTAAGGTGATTTTTTAAATTCTAGAAGCCTTACTCTGAAACTCAGATTTCCAAAAACAAACTCAACACTGTTTTAAACACAGGAGGAGAAGGACATTTACAACTGAAATATCTACGACAACCTTTATAATCTAAGCATTCATTAATAAAGCATACACATAAAAACAAAGAAACAAGAAAACTCACTTAACTTCCAAATTTCAAAATACAGAAAATAAAAGCAGTATAAATCTGAGAACCAAATTCAATGCCTTTCTCCTGTTGCTCTCCCTGTTACTCTGCCTTGAAAGCAGAGTTCATGTCCTGCCTACCTTTGAATGCTGAGCACCTGACACATGGTAAATGCTAAACAAATGTTTCTAGAACAAAAATAAGAAATAAAACTTTAAAAAATATTCAATTAAGTTCCCATGAAAATTATATGAGAACTAGGAGATCCAAGGGCATCTTCAGTTAGGGTGGAGTTACCTAAAATGACCTTTTGACCTGTATCAAGGTTTGGACTAAAGAATACAGGGGAACTATTCACACACTTATTGAACAGTAGCTTTTTTGGTGCTATCTGCATTAGTGTCACAATGTCAATATAACACTGGAACCCTAGGCATCACGTCAGTGTTTTCTGATACCTGTGGAAGTAGCACTAAGGACATGTTGGTGAAATGTCCCTGCTTGCCTCAGAAAATTACTTGCCTCAGGCAGTAATTATTCTCCTTCTGACCTGTGTTAGACTTGGGGGAGAATAACAAAAGCCAGAATGTGTAATGAGTGGGTACAGGCTTCTGCTCCTTAAGAAATCCTGAGCATCTACCAGGCATTTGTGGGTGGTAGAGAAATAAAGCTCAGTCTGTAACAGGAGCACCTCATGGACAAAGAGAAATGTGATAGGGACTACAATATACAGAAACTCAGAGGAGTAGTGACAAATTAATCTGGGGAGCTTCAGTAAGCTTCACAAAGTATATAACATTTGAGCCTGATCTTTAGGTCTGAATACAAATTTTCCAAGTACGAAATAGGTTTAGAGAAGATACTTCAGGTCAGCAGTTCTCAAAGTATAAACAACAGCTCCTGGGTGTCAGCAAGATCTTTTTAGGGTACCCAGATAAAAGGCCCATAGGAAGACTATCTCATAATAATATTAACTTCTTATTTGCCTTTTCCACTATGTTGACGTTTGCACTGATGGTGCAGAAGAAAAGGTGGGTAAAACTGCTGGTGCCTTAGCACAAGACAGCAGTGGCACCAAATTGTACCTGCAGTGGTGTTCTTCAATGCCAGGTACTTGCAGTAAAAGAAAAAAAAAGCAGTATTATTTAGGCAAATCCTTGATACAACAGTAAAAATTATTAATTTTTAACAATCTTGACCTTTTAATATGTGACTTTTTAATATCTGTGCAAAGAAAAGAGGAAGTAGACATAAAACATTTCTTCTGCTTCCTGCAGTTCAATGCTTGTTTCAAGGAAAAACACTTGTGTGATTGTTTGAGTTGTGCTTTTTTCAAAAAACACTATATTTACTTGAAAGAATCACTGACAAACTACAGTAATTCAAATGTATCACAAGCTGTGGTTACTGTCCCATGAAACCTTAATTCAGTTGTATAACATGTCAAGGAAAACAGCTGATAGTATTGGATTCCAATCCTAAAATTACAGCCTGTAAGTAAAAATTCGAATTTTGCAAAACTTGTATCTGTCATAGTAAGCTTGAAAGCATCCCAATATTTAAAGACTTATTTGATGCAATCAGTGGTGATATAAACTAATGTAATTTTTTGATGTATAATGAAATGAGTGAAAATTTGGAAGATTTACATATTATTCAGGGAACCAATATGCTTCAAATGACCAACACATGATACTGCAAATTCATGCATGGGTAAAAGATCCATTCAAGGTGCAAAGGAGACTTATCAATAGATTTTAATGTCATGTACTGTGAAAAGTTAATTGGTAGGGTATCAGACTCATTGCAACTAATGTTTAAGGAACTATCACTTGTTGAGTTTTGGTGTAGTATTAAAGAAGAATATCTACAAAATAATCTGAAAAGGTTATCAAAATACTCATTCCTTTCCCGACTATATATTCATTACAGGCTGAATTTTCTTCATATCATTCAACCAAAACAACACATAGCAATAGAGTGAACACAGAAGCAGATATGGGAATCTGTCTTCTGTTAATTCAGACATTAAAGAGATGTGCAAAAATATAAAGCAATGTCACTCTTCTAATTTTGTTTTGTTTTGGAAAATACAGATTTTTTTCACAAAAATGTATCACTTAGGATAACATATAAGGGATTCATTATTATTTTTAATATTAATACATGTTTCTTAAAATTCTCCATTTTAATTTATGGTATGTTTCGTGTTGATAAATGTAGTTTATAGTCCACTTAAACAAAGCTCCTAAGGGGTATTCAATATTTTTAAGAGTTTAAACAGATCCTGAGACTAAAAAGTGTAAGAACTGGTAGTCCATTTAGACGAGCTAGCTTGAATAAAGGCAAAGTTCATGCCAGGGAAATATAGTGTGTTCTTGAAATGGAAATAGGAATAGGCTTCTCCAAGGAGGTGGCTAGAGATGATAGCAAAAGGTAACCTGGGAAGATTATAAAAGATTATGCCCTGATAAAAAGTTTGAATTTACCCTCTATTCTGATGGTTTTCAAACTTTCAAGACTATTACCCATGATCAGAAGTACATTTTACATCATGAAACAGTACCAAAACACATGCACGTTTATACAGAAAAATACAACTAGAACAGAGTTTCACAGAACAATGTCTTTACTAAATGTGATACACTCTACTATTTTCTTTTCCATTATATTTTAATAGCTGAATGTAATTCACTAATTTGAATTCACTACTTATTAAAAGCCTGCAACCTGTAACTTGTAAAACACTGTCCCATGTAGTGGACAATCAAGAGGCAGCAGATGTTTTGCCCAGGGAAGTGACATGATCACATCTGTGTTTTTATAATCACAATGTGGTGTGGAGGGTAGAACATTCAGGATGCCGCTGTAATGGCCCAGAGACATTATGGTAAGCATGTGGTCTGAGCCAGAAGATTGAGAGGAGGGACCGTATTTGAGAAAGAAAAGACCATCAGGATTTGAAGGCAAGTTTAATATACTGTTTTTTTAGAAGGAGAAAGATACACCCACAGGGACTCTGAGGACGTGTAGTTTGGGAGAAACGTGTGGCTGCTGAGGCCATTAGCAAAGATAGAACATGCAGAAGAGCAATAGGTTTGCAGGGCATGGAGGCAAAGGCAAAAAATAAACCAATTTAGTTTTGGTGAGTTTTGAGTGGGCTGAGTTTCAGAGGCCTGCAAGTTGTTCAAGTAGTGATGCTCAAGAGGGGAACAGAAATTTTATTCTATGGAAGTGGAAATAATTCAAGTCTGGAAATACAAAAATAATTGCTGTTAGGTCTCCACACTGCTATTTTAGGAGCACTGCACTAGTCCTCTTAGTCTTATATTAACACAATTAGGTGTATTTTTTGAGAACAAACAAATAATGCACTGCTTGTATCAGTTTATGCAAAATAGTTAAGGTTCTAGAAGACAATATCACTAAAAACAATAAAACATACCAAAAATATGCCAGTTTTAAGTTTCAAAATAAATTCACAAAGGCCATTATATTGTGATGTTTCCTTGACATGGCTCAATTATACAGAAGAAAAGTAGCACACCTGGTCTCTGTCAAAATATGCCATAGCACTGGGAGATGTTGCATACTGCTAAGAAAATCTTTTTCATGACAGTAAAAACCTCTGCCTGCAGAAGTATATGTTTAATAGCAATGACACCCTTGGTACCAGCCATTTTACATAAAAATATCAATAATCTTTTCACCTTTAAAAATGTGGCATACAGTTTTATCCACTTTATAGTGATGGAAATGAAGAATCAAGCTGGTTAAGTAGCCTTGCAAACCTTATACACAACATAAATAACCAATTTAACCATCAAACTTACATCAGAATTTATACATTATAACATTTAGCCTTTTTGCTGAGTGATTATACAAATTTTAGTCTGGTACCAACCCATATAGAACACACTATTTAATAATAAGAAGAAAACAAGGCTAAACATTATTTTAACACATAGAGTAATTTTCTTGTAAATAAATACACACACCCTATTATACAAAAGCTAACTTCACAGACTACAGGGAAGAAATACAGATAAATAATGTGATAAATTCTGAGAAATAACATGAGTCTACTTCACAAGGAAATCTGGTTGTTTACCATAATCATTACAAACCTCAAAAATAGATTCATATCATGTTAAAGATATGCAAAATGTCTGGGATCAGATATCATATAAACAACTTGCTGTTGCTGCTAAAATGCTGTTCCCTTAATAATCTGCTTGGGCAGTTCAGCGACCAAAAACCACTCTGCGACCCGGGTTTGTCAGCACAATGTTTATGCTTCGGTTTATCTGACCAAAAGAGGCGGAACACATCAATGAAATGCAACACCAATTCTCAGCGGATGCAGCACTTGAGGGCTCACAAGGAATCTAAACACAGCGTCTGGAAAGAGCAGCTTGTGGCTCAGCCTTTGGGGAACACGAGGTACCTCAATTAAACAATAGCAGTTAGCAGATCACAGCAGAGATTGAAGAGACCCTCCAGCTCATTCTTTGTCCTGAACATAATATTTAATTACAGCCAAAGACTAAGCAGAAGTTTAAATTACAAGTCTAACTTCCTGTTTTGTAATTTTTAATGATCCGTTAGCCCCAGTAGAGCCCCAGTTATATGGTTATTGTGTCTATTCAGGTGTGTTCTGTTTTATGCAACAGATAATTTCTAGAAATTTGGAAAAGGGTGAGTCACATTTTTATAATTCTAGTAATACTTCCTTCAATGATAAACATCATCACTTTGAATTAAACTCTTTAACTTCAGATATCCCTGATTCACTCTCAGTCAACCTTTTCTCAAGCAGTAAATTGTCTACAGTCCAACATTAAAATGCTACACAGAAACAAACCAGTTAAAAGAACTTGGTAGATTAAACCTTTATCAAATGTAAAATCTATAATATAAATAATAGTCTTATGTTCTTCTTCTTATATCTGTGGTGTTCTCAGACATAGTTCTCACGCCCAGTTGACAATCTGGAGAAATTCAGTTCATTTCAGTCAACATTGGTTGAAATGTCCAGTTACCGCGCTAAGTCTTAAGGAGGCAAAATTTAAAAACATGGTTTGTACCTTCAAGAACCCCACAATTTAGTAAAAGAAATACATATATAAAGTAATGAAGTGTGAAATATATCATATCAAAAGTATATATGGGTAATAAGTAGGATATTTGAAAGCGTGATTAACCAATTCCTTGAAAGACATAATCTAGTAAAACTCACATAAAGAGAAATAGATAATCTCAATAGGCCTAGATCTATTACATAAATTGATTCAATAACTAATAATCTTCAAAAAATAAAGCACCAGGCCTAGATGGTTTCACAGATGAATTGCACCAAACATTTAGAGAAGAAATTATACCAATTCTTTACAAACTCTTTTAAATAAAAACAGAAGGAACACTTCCTAACTCATCCTATGAGGCTAGTATTACTCTAAAATCAAAACCAGATAAAGCAAGATGGCTTACTAGAAGTAGCTAGTGTGCATGCCTCTCATGGAGAGGAATGAACAGGGCAAGTAAATACAACAACTTCAACTGAAACATCCAGGTACTCACATTGGGGCTAATCAAGAAAATAACTTGATCCACAGAGAATAAAGAAAAGCAAGACAGGACAATGGCCCACCCGGGAGCAACACGGAGCCAGGGGAACCTCCTTCTTGCAGGGAAGCACCTTCACTGGTGATACCCCCAGGTACAGGAAAATCCAAGGCAACTAGAAATTGGAGTGGAACCAAAGCATGCCACAGCAGCCCTATAGAAAAGTAGACAGACTGTTACATGGGTGTCCGTTCCCATATCTCCTCACTAGACAGGTCCTCCAGGCCTGGGCCTCCAGCCAACCCCTGCCAGAGCTATCGAGCCAGTAGCAATTCGGAAATTCCTTGGACCAGGCCCCCAGGGGCAACTGAAAGCCTCTCTGCCATTGCCTTTGCAGTGGAACTGCCCTTGCTACCCTTGCACTAATGAAGGAGTAAAAACCCTAAGTGCCTTATTCACACTACAACAAGCTGTAGTCAACCCAAGGAGAGGAGGCCAATCCATCTCCCATGGGTCCCACACATCCCCCACTGCTCATCACCACACAGGGAACCCCTGGCTTGGGCCCATAGCACAGACCCTCTATTCTGGGCTGATTGCACTGAGCAATTGTTGACCTGCATCTCTTTGGGGTGAAGGCCCCAGGAGTCAAGCAAACAACCCTAGACCATGACCACTACTAACTTCCCTTCCTCTGTTGTCTCCAAGTTGGGGAAGAAAGATAAACACAGATCACCCCAGAGCTGCAGTGGGCAGCCAAGGAGTACCAAGTCATGATCTACAGCCAGCACTCAAGGGGGAGAGGATCCCACACTTTCAGAGCATTGAGAGAGAACACGGCTGTAACTGTGAGGAAACATAGGGGAGCCACATGACTGAGCAAGAGTCTACCAACTGACCAATAAGCCTAAGTGCCACCTGCTGGATCACACCCTAAAGCTTCAACACCAAAAATACCTCACTAACATATCATCCTCTTAAACCAGAGACAAAAAGGCAGCTTCAAATAAAGACCTTGCACAAAGCCTCAGCCTGGTGAAAGCATCCAAAAAAGAAGTCTATTGACTGTACTCAATCTATACTGCCATTAAAAGGAACACCCACACACAGAGATGGGAAAGAACCAACACAAGAACTTTGTGGTAACTAAAATGGCCAGAGTGCCATATGTCCTCCAAATGGCCAGGCTGAACGGGCTGTAATGACAGAAATAAAATTCAGAATATGGACAGGAACAGAGATCATCAAGATTCTGGAGAATGACAAAACCCGATCCAAGAAAATAAGAATCACAATAAGGCAAAAAGGAGCTGAAGGACAAAATAGCCAGTATAAAAAGAATCTAATGAGTCTGACAGAAATGAGTAACACAATACAAGAATGCAGTCACAAGTATTAACTGCAGAATAAACCAAGCTGAGAAAAGTATCTCAGAACTTGAAGAATGGTTCTCTGAAATAAGACAATCAGAAAAAAATAAATTAAAGAATAAAAAGGGATGAACAAAACCTCCAAGAAATATGGGTTTATGTAAAGATGCCAAATCTACAAATCACTGGCATCCCTGAAAGGGAAGAGGAGATAGCAAATAACTTGGAAAACATATTTCAGGATATTGTCCATAAAAACTTCACCAACCTTGCTAGAGAGGCCAACAGTCAAATTCAGGAAATACAGAGAACTCCTGCAAGATTCTACCCAAGAAGATTATCCTAAGGCCATAACTGTCAGATTTTCCAAGGTCAAAATGAAAGAAAGAACTTCAAAGGCAACTAGAGAGACAGGGCAGGTCACCTACAAAGAAAACATCATCAGGATAACAGTGAACCTCCCAGCTGAAACCCTATAAGCCAGAAGAGATTGGGGGCCTATACTCAACATTCTTAAAGAAAAAATCTTCAACCAAGAATTTCATATACAGCCAAACTAAGCTTCGTAAGTGAAGGAGGAACAAGATAATTTTCAGATAAGAAAATGTTGAGGGAATTCATTACCACCAGATCTGCCTTAAAAGAGATCTTGACAGGAACATGAAATATAGAAAGGAAAGACCACTACCAGCTAAAACAAAAACACACTTAAACACATGGACCAGTGTCACTGTAAAGCAACCACACAAACAAGCCTATGTAATAACCAGCTAACAGCACAATAATAGGATCAAATCCACACATATCAATACTAACCTGGAATGTAAATGGACCAAATGTCCCACTCAACAAGGCACAGAGTGGCAAAGTGGATAAAAAAGCAAGAACTAATAGTATGCTGTCTTGTCATTACATGCTATCTCACATGTAATGACAATCATAGGCTCAAAATAAAGGGATAGAGGAAAATCTACCAAACAAATGGAAAACAGGCAAAAGCAGGGATAGCAATCCTAATTTCAGACAAAACAGATGTCAAACCAACAAATATCAAAAAAGACAAGAAGGGCATTACATAATGGTGAAGGATTCAATTCAACAAGAAGACTATCCTAAACATATATGCACCCAACACAGGAGCACCCAGATTCATAAAGGAAGTTCTTAGAGACTTACAAAGAGACATAGACTCCCACATGATAATAGGAAGAGACTTCAACACTCCCATGACAGTATTAGACAGATCAACAAGGTAGAAAATTAACAAAGATATTCAGAACCTAAACTCGACATGGACAAAATGGATCTGATAGACCCTTACAGAATTCTCCATCCAGAATCAACAAAATATACATTCTTCTCCTTGCTACAGGGCATGTACTCTAAAATAGACCATATAATTGGACATAAAATAATCCTCTACAAATGAAAAAGAACTGAAATAATACTAAACACAACCTTGAACCACACTACAATAAAAATAGAAGTTGACTATGAAAAATCACTCAAAAACCATGCAATTACATGGAAATTAAACAACATACTCCTGAATGACTTTTGGGTAAATAATAAAACTAAGGCAGAAATCAAGAAGTTCTTTGAAAATAATGAGAACACAGATACAACACACCAGAATCTCTGGGACACAGCCAAGCCTGCGTTAAGAGGGAAATTCATAGCACTTAATGCCTACATCAAAAAGTTGGAATGATCTCAAATTAACAACCTGAATTTACAACTGAAATAATTAGAGAAGCAAGAACAAATCAATCCCAAAGCTAGCAGAAGATGAGAAATATCAAAAATTAAAGCTTAACTGAAGGAAATTGAGACACAAAAGACCATTCAAAAGAACAATGAATCCAGGAGTTGATTTTTTGAAAAAATTAATAAGACAGGCCTCTAACTAGACTAATAGAAAGAAAAGAGAGAAGATCCAAATAAACACAATTAGAAATGCTAAAGGGAATGTTACTACTTAACCCACAGAAATAAAAACAACCATCAGAAACGACTACTAACACCTCTATGCACAAAAACTAGGAAACCTAGAGGAAATAGATAAATTCCTGGACACATACATCCTCTAATACTCAGTCAGGAAGAAATCGATTCTCCGAACAGACCAACAGCAAGCTCCAAAATTGAATCAGTAATAAATAGCCTACCAACCAAAAAAAAAGCCCAGGACCTGATGGATTCACAGTCAAATTCTATGAGATGTACAAAGAAAAACTGGTACCATTCCTACAGATACCATTCCAAAAAATTGAGAGAGGCTCCTCCCCAACTTAATCTATGAGGCCAGCATCATCTTGATACCAAAACCTGTCAGAGACACAACAAAAAAAGAAAACTTCAGGTCAATATCCTTGATGAACATCTGTGCAATAATTCAAACAAAATACTTGCAAACAGAATCCAGCAGCACATCAAAAAGCTAATCTAGCATGATCAAGTAGGCTTCATCCTCGGGATGCAAGGTAGGTTCAATATAAGCAGACTTGTTTTTATTTGCTAAATGTGATTCACCACATAAACAAAACTAGACAAAAACCACATGATTACCTCAACAGATGAAGAAAGGGCTTTACATAAAATTCAACACCCCTTCATGTTAAAAACTCTCAATAAACTAGGCATTGAAGGACATACCTCAAAACAATAAAAGCCATTTGTGACAAACCCACAGCTAACATTTTACTGAATGGGAAAAAGTTGGAAGCATTCCCCTTGAAAACTGGCACAGGACAAGGATGCCCTCTCTTACCACTTCACTCAACATAGTATTGGAAGTCCTAGCCAGAGCAATCAGGCAGGAGAAAGAAAAAAGCGCATCCAAATACAACGAGGGGAAATCAAACTGTCTCTATTGGCAGACAACATTATTCTATATCTAGAAAACCACAGAGTCTCAGCCCAAAAGCACTTCCAGCTGAGAAACAACTTCAGCAAATTTGCAGGATACAAAATCAATGTACAAAAATCACTAGCATTTCTATACATCAACAACAGCCAAAACAAGAGTCAAATCAGAAAGGCAATCCCATTCATAAGTGCCACAAAAAGAATAAAATACCTAGGAATACAGATAATCAGGGAGGTGAAAGATATCTATAATGAGGTTTACAAAACACTGCTCAAAGAAATCAGAGAAGACACAAACAAATGGAAAAAACATCCCATGCTCATGGATAGGAAGAATTGATATCATTAAAATGGTTATACTGCCCAAAGCAATTTACAGATTCAATGCTATTCCTATCAAACTACCAATGACATTCTTCACAGAACTAGAAAAAACTATTTTAAAATTCATGTGGAACCAAAAAAGACCCTGAGTAGCCAAGGCAATCCTAAGCAAAAAGAACAAAGCTGGAGGCATCATGTTACTCAACTTCAAACTATATTACAAGGCTACAGTAACCAAAACAGCATGGTACTGATACAAAAACAGGCACATAGACCAATGGAACAGAATAGAAAGCCAGGAAATAAGGCTACACATCTATAACAATCTGATCTTCGACAAAGCTGAAAAAAAGAAGCAATGGGGAAAAGACTCCCTATTCAATAAATGGTGCTGGGATAACTGGCTAGCCATATGCAGAAGACTGAAGCTGGACCCCTTCCTTACACCATATACAAAAATCAACTCAAGGTGGATTAAAGATTTAAATGTAAAACCCAAAACAATAAAAACTCTAGAATACAACCTAGGCAATGCTATCCTGGACATAGGAAAAGGCAAAGATTTTACAACTAAGACACCAAAAGCAATCACATCAAAAGCAAAAATTGACAAGTGGGATCTAATTAAACTTAAGAGCTTCTGCATAGCAAAAGAAAATATCAACAGAACAAATGGACAACCTACAGAATGGGAGAAAATATTTGCAAACTATGCATCTGACAAAGGTCTAATATCCAACATCTATAAGGAATTTAAACAAATTTACAAAAGAAAAACAAACAACCCCCATTTAAAAGTGGACAAAGGACATAAACAGAGACTTCTCAACAGAAGACATACATCTGGTCAATAAACATATAAAAAAAGGTGAATATCACTGATGACTAGAGAAATGCAAATCAAAATCACAATGAGATAACATCTCATGCCAGTCAGCATGGCTATTATTAAAAAGTCAAAAATAATAGATGCTGGCAAGGTTGTGGAGAAAAGGGAATGCTTATACACTGTTGGTGGGAATGTAAATTAGTTCAATCATTGTGGAAAGCAGTATGGTGATTCCTCAAAGAGCTAAAAGCAGAACTACCATTTGACCTAGCAATCCCATTACTGGGTATAAAACCAGAGGAATATAAATCATTCTACCATAAAGACACATGCACTCAAATGTTCACTGCAGCACTATACACAATAGCAAAGACACGGAATAAATCTATAGGCCTGTCAATGACAAATGATTGGTTAAACGAAATATGGTACATATACACCACGGAATACTATGCAGCCATAAAAAAGAATGAGATTGTCTTTTGAGGGAACATGGATGGAGCTGGAGGCTATCATCCTTAGCAAACTAATGCAAGAACAGAAAACCAAATACCATATGTTCTCACTTATCGGTGGGAGCTAAATATAATAATTTATGAACACAAAGACTGAAACAAGAGACACTGGGTCTACTTGAGGGTGGAGGGTGGGAAGAGGGAGATGAGCAAAAAAGATAACTATTGGGTACTGGGCTTAATAGCTGGGTGATGAAATAATATGTAAACAAACCCCTGTGACATGAGTTTACCTACGTAACAAACCTTCATATGTTCCCCCAAACCTAAAATAGAAGTTTAAATGAAAACAGATAGTTACTACAAAAAAGGAAAACTAAAAAAAAAATCCACTTAGTAACATAGATGCAGAAATCCTCAACAAAATATTACCAAATCAAGCCCAAAAATACATAAAAAGAATTACACATCATAACCAAGTGAGATTTATTCCAGGTATGCTAGGAGGGTTCAACATTTGAAAATCAATTAATTGAATCCTTCACATCAGCATATTAAAGAATAAAACAACATACTATCATATCGATAGATGCAGAAGAAAAGCATTTGACAACAACCATCATGATAAAAACTCACAGCAAACTAAGAATAGAAGGGAACTTCTTCAACTTGATAATGAACATCTACAAAAAAACTATAGAGCTAACATCATACTTAATGGTGAGACACTAGATGCTGTACCATGAGATGAGGAAGAGGGCAAGGATGTCCCCTCTCACAACTCCCATTCAATATCATATTGGAAATTCTAGCTGATGCCATAAGTCAAGAAAAGGAAATAAGAGAAATACAGATCAGAAAGGAAAAATAAAACTGTCTTTGTTTGAAGGTGCCATAATTGTGTATGTAGAAATTCTGAACAATTGTCCCAAAGTCTTTGAGAACTAACAAGTAATTAAAGCAAGGTTATAAGATTCAAGATTAATATACAAAAGTCAATCGCCTTCCTATATACCAGCAATGAATAATTTGATTTGAAATTAAAAATACAACATCATTGATATGGTTTGGATGTTTCTTCTCTCCAAATCTCATTTTGAAATGTGATTCCCTATCCAGCCAAACTAAGCTTCATAAGTGATGGAGAAATAAAATCCTTTACAGACAAACAAATGCTCAGAGATTTTGTCACCAACAGGCCTGCCTTACCAGACCTCCTGAAGGAAGCACTAAACATGGAAAGGAACAACTGGTACCAGCCACTAGAAAAACATGCCAAATGGTAGAGACCATCAATACTAGGAAGAAACTGCATCAACTAATGAGCAAAATAACCAGATAACATCATAATGACAGGATCAAATTCACACATATCAATATTAACCTTAAATGTAAATGGGCTAAAGACTCCAATTAAAAGACAAAGACTGGCAAATTGGATAAAGAGTCAAGACCCATCAGTGTGCTGTATTCAGGAGACTCATCTTACATGCAGAGACACACGTAGGATCAAAATAAAGGGATGGAGGAAGATCTACCAAGCAAATGGAAAATAAAAAAAAAGTAGGGGTTGCAATCCTAGTCTCTGATAAAGCAGACTTTAAACCAACAAAGATCGAAAGAGACAAAGAAGGTCATTACCTAATGGTACAGGGATCAATTCAACAAGAAGAGCTAACTATCCTAAATATATATGCACCCAATACAGGAGCACCCAGATTCATAAAGCAAGTCCTTAGAGACCTAAAAAGAGACTTAGACTCCCACATATAATAATGGGAGACTTTAACACCCCACTGTCAACATTAGACAGATCAATGAGACAAAAAGTTAACAAAGACATCCAGGAATTGAACTCCGCTCTGCACCAAGCAGACCTAATAGACATCTACAGGACTCTCCACCCCAAATCAACAGAATATACATTCTTCTCAGCACCACATCACACTTATTCCAAAATTGACCACATAGTTGGAAGTAAAGCACTCCTCAGCAAATGTAAAACAACAGACTTTATAACAAACTGTCTCTCAGACCACAGTGCAGTCAAACTAGAACTCAGGATTAAGAAACTCACTCAAAACCGCTCAACTACATGGAAACTGAACAACCTGCTCCTGAATGACTACCAGGTACATAATGAAATGAAGGCAGAATTAAAGATGTTCTTTGAAACCAATGAGAACAAAGACACAACATACCAGAATCTCTGGGACACATTTAAAGCAGTGTGTAGAGGGAAATTTATAGCACTAAATGCCCACAAGAGAAAGCAGGAGAGATCCAAAATTGACACCCTAACATCACAATTAAAAGAACTAGAGAAGCAAGAGCAAACACATTCAAAAGCTAGCAAAAGGCAAGAAATAACTAAGATCAGAGCAGAACTGAAGGAAACAGAGACACAAAAAATTCTTCAAAAAATCAATGAATCCAGGAGCTGGTTTTTTGAAAAGATTAACAAAATTGATAGACCGCTAGCAAGACTAATAAAGAAGAAAAGAGAGAAGAATCAAATAGATGCAACAAAAAATGATAAAGGGGATATCACCAGCAATCCCATAGAAATACAAACTACCATCAGATAATACCATAAACACCTCTACGCAAATAAACTAGAAAATCTAGAGGAAATGGATAAATTCCTCGACACATACACCCTCCCAAGACTAAACCAGGAGGAAGCTGAATCCCTGAATAGACCAATAACAAGTTCTGAAATTGAGGCAATAATTAATAGCCTACCAACCATAAAAAGTCCAGGACCAGATGGATTCACAGCCAAATTCTACCAGAGGTAGAAAGAGGAGCTGGTTCCATTCCTTCTGAAACTATTCCAATCAATAGAAAAAGAGGGAATCCTCCCTAATGCATTTTATGAGGCCAACATCATCCTAATACCAAAGCCTGGCAGGGACACAACAAAATAAGATAATTTTAGACCAATATCCCTGATGAACATCGATGCAAAAATCATCAATGAAATACTGGCAAACCAAATCCAGCAGCAAATCAAAAAGCTTATCCACCCCCACTTTTTGATGGGGCCAAGGACATGAACAGACAGTTCTCAAAAGAAGACATTTATGCAGCCAAAAAACACACGAAAAAATGCTCATCATCACTGGCCATCAGAGAAATGCAAATCAAAACCACAATGAGATACCATCTCACACCAGTTAGAATGGCAATCATTAAAAAGTCAGGAAACAACAGGTGCTGGAGAGGATGTAGAGAAATTGGAACACTTTTACACTGTTGGTGGGACTGTAAACTAGTTCAACCATTGTGGAAGTCAGTGTGGCGATTCCTCAGGGATCTAGAACTAGAAATACCATTTGACCCAGCCATCCCATTACTGGGTATATACCCAAAGGACTATAAATCATGCTGCTATAAAGACACATGCACACATATGTTTATTGCGACATTATTCACAATAGCAAAGACTTGGAACCAACCCAAATGTCCAACAATGATAGACTGGATTAAGAAAATGTGGCACATACACACCATGGAATACTATGCAGCCATAAAAAATGATGAGTTCATGTCCTTTGTAGGAACATGGATGAAATTGGAAATCATTGTTCTCAGTAAACTATCGCGAGAACAAAAAACCAAACACTGCACATTCTCACTCATAGGTGGGAATTGAACAATGAGAACACATGGACACAGGAAGGGGAACATCACACTCTGGGGACTGTTGTGGGGTGGGGGGAGGGGGGAGGGATAGCATTGGGAGATATACCTAATGCTAGATGACAAGTTAGTGGGTGCAGCGCACCAGCATGGCACATGTATACATATGTAACTAACCTGCACAATGTGCACATGTACCCTAAAACTTAAAGTATAATAATAAAAGAAAAAAAAAAAAAGCTTATCCACCATGATCAAGCTGGCTTCATCCCTGGGATGCAAGGCTGGTTCAACATATGCAAATCAATAAATGTAATCCATCATATAAACAGAACCAAAGACAAAAACCACATGATTATCTCAAGAGATGCAGAAAAGGCCTTTGACGAAATTCAACAGCCCTTCACGCTAAAAACTCTCAATTAACTAGGTATTGATGGAGTGTATCTCAAAATAATAAGAGCTATTTATGACAAACCCACAGCCAATATCATACTGAGTGGGCAAAAACTGGAAGCATTCCTTTTGAAAACTGGCACAAGACAGGGATGCCCTCTCTCACCACTCGTATTCAAGATAGTGTTGGAAGTTCTGGCCAGAGCAATCAGGCAGGAGAAAGAAATAAGGAGTATTCACTTAGGAAAAGTGCAGATGACATGATGGTATATTTAGAAAAACCCGTCATCTCAGCCCCAAATCTCCTTAAGCTGATAAGCAACTTCAGCAAAGTCTCAGGATACAAAATCAACGTGCAAAAACCACAAGCATTCCTATACACCAATAACAGACAAACAGAAAGCCAAATCATGAGTGAACTCCCATTCACAATTGCTTCAAAGAGAATAAAATACCTAGGAATCCAACTTACAAGGGATGTGAAGGACCTCTTCAAGGAGAACTACAAACCACTGCTCAACGAAATAAAAGAGGACACAAACAAATGGAAGAACACTCCATGCTCATGGATAGCAAGAACCAATATTGTGAAAATGGCCATACTGCCCAAGGTAATTTATAGATTCAATGCCATCCCTATCAAGCTACCAATGACTTTCTTCACAGAATTGGAAAAAACTACTTTCAAGTTCATATGGAACCAAAAAAAAGCCCGCATTGCCAAGACAATCCTAAGCCAAAAGAACAAAGCTGGAGGCATCATGCTACCTGACTTCAAACTATACTACAAGGCTACAGTAACCAAAACAGGATGGTACTGGTACCAAAACAGAGATATAGACCAATGGAACAGAATAGAGCCCTCAGAAATAATACCACATATCTACAATCATCTGATCTTTGACAAACCTCACAAAAACAAGAAATGGGGAAAGATTCCCTATTTAATAAATGGTGCTGTGAAAACTGGCTAGCCATAGGTAGAAAGCTGAAACTGGATCACTTCCTTACACCTTATACAAAAATCAATTCAAGATGGTTAAAAGACTTAAATGTTAGAACTAAAACCATAAAAACCCCAGAAAAAAACCTAGGCAATACCATTCAGGACATAGGCATGGGCAAGGACTTCATGACTAAAACAACAAAAGCAATGGCAACAAAAGCCAAAATTGACAAATGGGATCTAATTAAACTAAAGAGCTTCTGCACAGCAAAAGAAACTACCATCAGAGTGAACAGGCAACCTACAGAATGGGAGAAAATTTTTACAATCTACCTGTCTGACAAAAGGCTAATATCCAGAATCTACAAAGAACTTAAACAAATTTACGAGAAAAAATCAAACAATCCCATCAAAAAGTGGGCAAAGGATATGAACAGACACTTCTCAAAAGAAGACATTTGTGCCACCAACAGACACATGAAAAAATGCTCATCATCACTGGCCATCAGAGAAATGCAAATCAAAACCACAATGAGATACCATCTCACACCAGTTAGAATGGCAATCATTAAAAAGTCAGGAAACAACAGGTGCTGGAGAGCATGTGGAGAAATAGGAACACTTTTATACTGTTGGTGGGACTGTACACTAGTTTAACCATTGTGGAAGGCAGTGTGGCAATTCCTCAAGGATCTAGAACTAGAAATACCACCATTTGACCCAGCCATCCTATTACTGGGCATATACCCAAAAGATTATAAATCATGCTGCTATAAAGACACATGCAGACGTATGTTTATTGTGGCACTATTCACAATAGCAAAGACTTGGAACCAACCCAAATGTCCATCAATGATAGACTGGATTAAGAAAATGTGTCACATATACACCATGGAATACTATGCAGCCATAAAAAAGGATGAGTTCATGTCCTTTATAGGGACATGGATGGAGCTGGATACCATCATTCTGAGCAAACTATCGCAAGGACAGAAAACCAAACACCGCATGTTCTCAATCATAGGTGGGAATTGAACAATGAGAACACATGGACACAGGGTGGGGAACATCACACACTGGGGCCTGCCGGTGGGGGTGCAGGGAAAAGGGAGGGATAGCATTAGGAGATATACCTAATTTAAATGATGAGTCAATGGGTACAGCACACCAACATGGGACATGTATACATATGTAACAAACTGCACGTTGTGCACATGTACCCTAGAACTTAAAGTGAAAAAAAAAAAAAAAAAGAAATGTGATTCCCAATGTTGGAGGTGGGGCCTAATGGGAGGTCATTTGATTATGGTGATGGAACCCTCATGAATGGGTTAGCACTATCCTTTTGGTGATAAATAAGTTCTTGCTCAGTTAGTCCATGTGAGTTCTGGTTGTTTAAAGGAGTCTTGGACCTCCCCCTTCTCTCTTTCTTGCTCCCTCTCTCAACATGTCACAGCACCTGCTCCCCTTTCACCTTCTGCCATGGTGGTAAGCTTCCTGAGACCCTCACCAGAAGCAGATGCTGGAGCCACACTTGTACAGCCTGCAGAACTGTGAATTGATTAAATCTCTTTTCTTAGTAAGTTACCCAGCCTCAGGTATTTCTTTATAGTGACACAAAAATGGGCTAATATAGTCATCTACGTTAGCACCCCAAAAATAAATACATAAATACTTAGATATGCTTCTACTAACATATGAAAAAGATCTATATGAGGAAAATGAAACTCTAGTGAAATAAATCAAAGAAGACCTCAATAAATGGTGGGAAATTCCATGTTCATGAATAGGGAGACTCAATTACATTAACATGTCTATTTTCCTCAACTTGATCTATAGATTAAATGCAATCCCAATTAAAATAATAGCAAGTTATCTTGTAGATATTAACAAACTGCTTGTAAAACTTACATAGAAAAATAAAAGACTCAGAATAGCCAACATAATACTCAAGAAGAAGAATCAGAGACTGACACTACTCAAATTCAAGATTTACCATAAAGCTATAGTAATAAAGAGAGTATGGTATTGGTGAAAAACTAGGCAAACAGATCAACGGAACAACATAAGAGCCCAGAAACAGACCACACAAATCTAGTTAACTGATCTTGGACAAAGGGAAAAAGGCAATTCAATAGAGAAAGGATAGTCTTTTCAACAAAAGATGCTGAAAGAACTATAAGTCTACTCGAAAAAGAACTGCATGTACACAGTGACCTCACACTTTTTACAAAAATTAATTCAAAATGCATCACAGACTTAGACACAAAACACAAAATTATGAAACTCTTACAAAATAACATAGGAGAAAATCTAGGGGAACTTGGGTTTGGTGAAGAGTTTTAAGGTATAACATCAAAATCACAATCCATGAAGAAAAAAATAAGTTGGGCCTCCTTAAATTAAAAAACTTGACAATGCCAAATAGAGATAAACATGCAAAGGAACAGGAACTCATATTCGTTTCTGGAAGGAATGCAAAATGATGCAGCCACCTGTAAAGATAATTTGGTAGTTTCTTACAAAACTAAACGTAGTCTTACCATATGATGCAGCAATTATATATAATCCTAGGTATTCACCCAAATGAATTTAAAACATGTTCACACAAACACATGCATATAAATGTTTAGAGTAGCTTTTTTCATAATTGCCAAAAAACTGCAAACAGCCAAGATGTCCCTCTATGGGTGAATGGGTAAACAAACTGTGGTACAACCAGACAATGGAATATTATTTAGCAATAAAAAGAAACAGTGACAAGAGGGGCAGATTTTTAAAAAAGAAGAAATCTCCACCCTGTGGTCTAGTGGTTAGGAGTTGGTGCTTTCGTCATGACAGCCCAGGTTCAATTCCTGGTTAGAGAGCCAGTCCCATTTGTTGAAAATCCAGGCAAGGTGGTGCAAACCTGGATTCCCAGCTACTCAGGAGGCTGAAGCAGGAAAACCACCTGAGCCTAAGGAAAAGAAATCTGGAGACGTTAGTCTAACTCCTAATAGTTCTGCTACCTGAGATGTCATTTAGCCATCCTGGCCTCAGTTTCATTACTTGTGAAATAGGAGTAATATCAGAATTGCCAAGACAAATTGATGGATTTTCAAAGTGTATAAATACACAAAATAAAGAAACAAAATTTCTGGAAAGCAAATAAATTTGTCAGTTTAATCACATATTACATACATACACACACATACTTTTGGAATTCAAGGCATATTTTTTATTGAGTTTTGTTCTTAGTAGACATATATAGTGGGTTTGGGGTTTATATTAATTGTCTTTACCTTTTCATTGCTTACTTTATACTATTTGAATAAAGTTAAAGGTGACCTAAAGCAAGATTATTTCTCTAAAGCTGCAAATAAAGGAACTGAGAAACCAGGACAAAGAATCATTCCTGATATAAGGAAACAGGAGAAGTGAAGAGCAACAGGATATTCAGAGAAACATGAAATCTCATATGATCTGAATTTTCTTCTGTAGAAAGAAGAAAAATAGGAAAGGAGAAAAAGTGATTTTCTTAACATTTGTAACAATGCAAACCATCTTTGAGGGACAAGATGGAGAAGAACCTTAAAATGAGGAGGCACAAGTGCCACGCAACCCCACCTCCATGCATCTGCTGTCACATATTAAGGACCCCTGAGCACTGAAGACAAACAAAAACAAAAATAAGGCTACTATCCATTCTCAAGAAAATATAGTCTCATTGAATAGATCAGGTCTATACCCAGAAGAATAATTTTTAAAAGTAAAGGATGAACCACGTTTGGAAAGAACAGCACTTACTACCAGGGAGGGAAGAAAAGAAGGGCTCAGGGCAGAGGCAGTGAAGATCTTCACTGTGTAACTGTAATTACCATTCTAAAGAATCTGATGCAAGTATATTATAATGCTAAGATTGTATTAAAATGGGTGTTATTTCTATTCTCCATTTATATATGTATTAAAATATTTTATAGTAAAAATTAATTTACAAATAAACCAAAAGAGAGAAAAATGAATATCATATTGCTGATACAAAGCGTAAGTGGTGTGAAAAATCTGAGAGTGATCACTCTGGACTGCTGGTGGGAAAAGGCAGATGGGACAGACTCTCATGCAAAGAAAAGAGGGAGAAAAGAAAACCTTCCCAAACCTACAAGTGAGCCTTGGAAAAAGTAATGACATAAAGTTGTGAGGTTCCCTCCAGGGAGGTCTTCTGACACTTAAGAGGCAGGCAGAATAAGAAGAGAACAAATCATGTGCAAAGATATTTCCTTTCAACATTAAGGTGACTCGGCCATGGAGAGTAGCTTCTCAGAGAGGACAACCTGGATGGTGAGGTTTTCAGAGCTTAGAGACACAAACCCTCCATAGCTAGGGTTCACAACCCATGATCCATGAACAATCTTCAAGATGGGGGAGTCTTCAGAAATCAATCTGTGAATGTGTGCAATAGCCTAAGGAAAACATCTATAACTCCTACGATGTTCTTAAATGTTTACAGAACTTCAAAAAGTTAAAGAACAACTGGTAGAGATGAAAAATACTTCCAGGCTGGCAAATGATGCTCTCAAAACTTTCTATCACCAATTGATTCTGATTCCTTCAGTGAGAGGGGGCTGACCATCAATAGAGGGTGAGAAGTCCCTTGAAGAAGCAAGAAGTAGCAGCCTTTGTATCAAAAGAGGCAGATGCCTGGATTCTGGACCTCTCAAAAATAACCAAAACTTTGCTCTAAATCCATGTCATCTTCAAAAGGGGGGGACAGCATTGTCCTTCTAAATTATTTCCCCTTTTATATTATATCTCTTCTATATTATTTTACCCACGATTGGTACTACCTTAAGGTGGTCAGGAGAATGGAAACTGCATTTCATCATTACAAAGTTAAAAAAAAAAACAGCAACTGACACAGGGTTAACAACCAAGTCCACATTCCCAAACCCTTGTTCAGCTCTCTAGGTCATGTTGCCTTTCTGGGTTATATCTCCACATTTCTTGGAATTTGTAACCGACGTTTAAATTAACTTTTAAGCACTCTGCACTTTGAGGTAAAGTTGGTTGGTCGTAAGCAAAAATAACTTCAAAGTCTGAAGTCCTCACTCCCTTTTGGTCCCTAAGCACCCAAAAGATGTTCTGTCATCCCCCAAACTCTGGAATGTCTTCCCAGGAAGTGAGTTAAAATCACATTTCTCCTTATTCCCATTTTTATTGTAATTATTGATTAACAATAAATTGGTTTCTTGCTTCTCACATTTTTGCCTTTCTGCCTTGCAAATGAGTTTTATCATGCAGGAGACCAATTATAAAACAATGTAAAATATAACAACTGTTCATAATATGACTGCTTGGAATTAAAAAACAATTTTTATTTGAGGATGGGCCAAATTCGTCAGACAAAAAAGTCAAAATGTGGCTCCTAAGACATTTCTCCAGGCTTATTATGACAGTGGAACTAATCAATAAACCCTTCTATATTATTTTATTCCCAGTTTCAAAACCAGCTATGAAATAAACTTAGTTGACTTAGATTATTCAGCAGTTGTTCTTATCTAGCTATGAAGCAGTGTTTGCAATACATTTACAATAGAACTTCACAAAATGGATAAACAATTACCAAAGTCTAGAAAAATGATTCCTAAGTGCACAAACACATTAAAAATCTTCTGTTTAGGCCAGGTTGCTATATAATTCTGAATAGAGTGTGACCTTGCTTCCCTCAGAGGCTCTTTGGAATTTGGCTCTGATTTCAGCCTTTCCTCTGCCAAGCATATAGAATGAATTAGGTGAAGCTCTGTTACAAATGCACCCCACCCACAATGGTTTCCAATAGAGAGCTAAATGTTTTAAAACCACAGTTCAACTTAAATGTAAAAATGGTTCTGCTTTCAAAATTGAGTTTCACTTCCCTTTGTCTTGTGCTCACCCCTTTTTCTCTGCATTCCAATTCTACTCCCCAGTGAGAGAATAAAATTGGAACAAATGTAAACAGGAAACCTAAAGTAAACAGTCTAAATGCATATTTCTAGTCTTTAATTTCAGGTATTCACACACTGAAGGGGCCTCTTTCAATCTCACTGCCGATGCAAATAAAGGAGGCATTAGGAGCTTCCCTCAATTCCATCTTAGCTTTAGTACCCAGAGTCCGTCAAAGACCACTGAGGCAAAGAGCAAAACCTACTTATCTTCAGGACCCAGCATGAACACTGAGTGAGAGGAGCTGCCCCTATGTGTTGACTAAGTTTCCAGCCTCCCTTTTTTTTTCCAAATCACTTTACTTCTATTCCAGATGTTCGATGCTCTCTTAGTGTTCCAATTCTCAGCTGTTACAAAGACAGCATCTCATGAATTAATTTATTATATGGTATAGGGTGTGCAAAAGAAAGAACATGGGCTTGCTGGCAGACCAACTAGGGGATCAAATCTCAGCTACACAGTTCATTCCCTTAAGAGGGTGACAGGAAAGCGATGAACTTCTCTAATATTTGGATTCTACATTTGTAAAACCCCAAACCCAAGTCTGCAATGAGAATGCACATATCAAGTCCATGGGTCAGATTCCGTACTTAATAAACTCTAAGATGATTTTTCCTCCTTTCCCATTCCTGGGCTTACACATCCCAGAAGTATTTGTCTTTTAAAGTAGACAATATGAAGAGAGCAACATTCAACAGAAACAATGAATTTCTTAAAAAGGCAAGTTAGGCCCTGAGCACCTAGCCTGGGGACATATTCTGGGATATTACCATACCCTCCAGATTGTGCTGCTCATTACTGTGTTGAGGGTCATTGTTTAGAAGGGAGGATAAAATTTCTCAATTTCTAAAAAAAATTAATTTCAAATTCCTACTTTTCAATCACCAACTCCCAACTGCAGAAAAACTGCTGTGTCTCTGCAGATGGGTTTTATTTTATGTAGTGGGTATGTCTTACAAGAACTGTGCAATTTAAATGGTGGTCAATGTAATGATATTTTCCATGTTTATTTTGTGATAATTTTCTTTGCTTGTTTAACAGTTCAGGTTGTCTGATGCTATATTCAGACTACATATCTAAATTCTCCATCAGTGTGTCTGGGATTGTTTGAGTTCTTAGTAGGTTTTAACATCATTTAATGAGAAGATTTAGAAAACATTGCAACAATAAACCTAATGAACTTCACAACTTGTGAGGTGAGCAGGATAGGGATCCTCACGCTACTTTGCAGAAATAAAATTGAGATAAAGCAACTAATCCAAGGTCAAGCTATTACTTGAGTGTAACTGAGCCAAGAACATAGATTTTGCTATTATTGTTATGATTGCTGTTGTTTTGAGTACTAGAATATTAATTTCTATTACACTGCTGATTCTCTAGAAAAAAAAAAAAACTTTGAAGCCAGGTGTATTGGCTCATGCCTGTAATCCCAGCACTTTGGGAGGCTAAGGCAGAAGGAACACTTGAGCCCAGGAGTTCAAAATCAGCCTGGTGAAACCCTGTTTCTACAAAAAAAAAAAAAAAAAAAAAAAAAAAAAATTAGCTGGGCATGGTGGTGCAACCCTGTAGTCCTAGCTACTCAGGAGGCTGAGGTGGGAGCATTGCTTGGGCCCAGGAGGTGGAGGCTGCAGTAAGCCATGATTGCATCACTGCACTCCAGCCTGGGTGACAGGGTGAGACCCTATCACAAAAAATAAAAAAATTTAAAAAAGTTTGAATGTATTTACCAAAATAATTGGCAATAATTTTAAGCAACTAACATGTTTTATCATCTGCCAGACCAAGCACATTCCTTACTTTAAAAACTCCACAATGTTTCAGTGTATTTGGGTTTTGAAACCCAGAATCACTGTATTTTCCTTATACTGGTACACAGATAATTCTTAGTATTTATTTGCCAAGTCTTCACTTATGACATCAAAATTTAATTTGTGTTAAAAAAACTTTGTATAATATAGAATATTTTCAACATCATGATATTATATCCATAAAGTGTGTGAAACCAATATATTGAACTTTCCCAGAAATTATTTGTGTTTGAAACCAAAACTGGCTAAATAAAATATATCTCTATTGGGTAGTATGTGGAGACGATATGGAGAATAACAGGCATGATCTAGAGATGGTGCTGTATGTGCATATCTGTATTAATACTGAAACCAGTGATCTTCTCATCCCCTTTCCCTCTCTATGGCCATCACTTCCCACTAAACTTTTGGCGTCTGGGACAGGACAGTGCCTTTCTGTACCTAGCTCCCTTTAGTTAAAAAGTTGCCTTTTTACCAGTTCTTGGTAAAGGAACTAAGAAATTTTTTTTGATAGAAACTATACTCAGTTGTCATGATTATTAAAATTGGACTTTAAATAATTACCTGCACAATTGGAATGATACTACATTATCAATACTTACTCTCAAAATAAAGTGCTGATACTATTCTCATATTGAAGTCACCAATTGCAGGAAAACTGACGATTGGGGTCCTTAAGCCTTCCTGCAATGGTATAAAAGATTGGGTATTCAACTTTTTCTACTTTTGTTTTCTCTCTTTGAATAAAAACAGAAACACAATCTTAGGACTCTGTGCCTAATGAGGCCCAGAATTTGAATTTTCAGGCAGTCTCTGAGGACAATGCAGATAGAGGGAGGGGCATGCAGAGCAGAAGGCCTCTCTATGCTCCACTTTAGTGAGTACCTCTGAGCAGGTTCATTGCAATTCATTTCATCTTTATTTTTGTCCTTAAACAGAGTAGGAGAAAAGCAAGTCTGTGGAGAACATTTTATTGAAATGAGTTGGATTTATTGCTGGACTTGGTTATCTTGTTTTTGAGGAAATATTTGCATTTGAGGGAAAAAGTGTGTTTTATTACTTCATCTCTAGTACCATTTAAGGTATGTAATGATGGTTAGACATCAACCTGCAAAATATTTCTTCAGAGCACCCTGTCCTCTAGCTTCTCATATCCCAGTGATGCCAGATCCTAAATTAATTTCATGCACACAAACTCAACATTATTATCTCCATTTTTATGCTTTATCTAGTGAGTTAAGCATCTTAGAGAAATCGTTTTTTTGTTTGTTTGTTTCCCCTAACTGATCTTGGACAGACTGTTAAAAAAAAAAAAACTATAAAATGTTGTCACATTTTTTTCCTCTTGACCAGACTTCACGTCCCAGCTTGATGACCTTCACACTACAATAATGTTGCCTATTTCTAATAGTAAAAAGTTCCAGTTCGTTATAACCAAAAACTCAAAGAAATCGACTATCAGTCTTGAAACCCCTTACATATTATCTTTAAATAGAGTTCATAAAGTTGTGGCAACACCCACCAAAAACAGACATGAGGCAGATTGATTCATCAGCACCTAATGAGTTAATTAAGAAACAAAAATACAAGAACACACAGAATTATGGCCAGCCTGGCCTTGCTTATTCAGTTTTAGTCAGAGACCACAACTTCTTTCAAATAACCCCAGTTTATTTTCAAAAAAAAAAAAAAAAACCCTGTCTTCAGACAGGATATGGGGGAGGAGTTAAGTGGTGATGTTTTACACATGCACATCTGGATACAGTCCAATTATTTCCCTTAAACATTCCCCCAGTTGTTTTCATTTTGCTCCATGCTTTGGCATTCATAAATTTGTGAGATTAATTGTGTGTCAGCAGTCTGCAGGCCTGGAGCTGGGCACCAGTTTAGTAGCAATACGGCTACAAAACAACTCTGTAGAGAAATACGTTCACATATTTAAAAAGGAAAGCATAGTCACATAGTTCGTTTCTGTTTAATATCAGGCATTGACGTTATGCATAAAGAAGGTAGTGTAATCTTTCAGGGAATTGCCCTAATAGCAAGATATATATAGATATATATCTCCACGCCTACCAGAAATATGTGTGTGTGTGTGTGTGTGTGTGTGTGTGTGTGTGTGTAAACTCAAGTGTTTTAAAGCATAAGAAAGGATTCATCAAGAGGAAAAATGAAGAGTTCAGGGCTGGACATATTTGTGTTCCTTGTTTTCATCTGATTATTTTGAAGGGCGTGTCAACAGATTGCATTTCTTGTCTTGGAAATGTACTAACAATTAAAATCACCTTTGCCAAAAAGAACCAACTTATCTTAGAGATGGTGGAGAAGCATCTTTATTTTAAAAGATGTTTTGCAAAGCCTCTTATGCTTTCAAAATTACTATATGAAAAGTGAAACTAGAAGCTTTCTGCCCTGATGTGTAGGCCTCACAGTCCAGATTATGAGCTCAGCTAAGGAAGAGCTGTGTTCCCCAGAGCCCAGCGGAGTGGCGGCACTTGGTAAGTGCTCCGTACTTGCCAGTTGACAACAAAAGAACTATCATTTAAATGTTGGTAAACAGATATTTATTCTTGTTTAATGTTATTTTGCCTTATATCCATGAGTAGGAAATAAACTATTAGATATTGTGACATTTTTCACAAGTAAATGCCACATGCCAAAGTAAGGTAATAGGTAGGGCAAATTTTCATACATATACATAACAGAGGAGAGTGTTCCAGATTAAAGTTCTGAGATTTGCAACATCAGTATTGGGAGGAAACTGGCAGCTTCTCCTCTAACCCTCTACAGAAACACAAAACAGCTATTGGAAACATGTAGAGCATTCCTCTGGAAAATAATTAGGCTTCAAATAAATCATATGCTATTCCTGCAATAAAAGAAGGAAACTTTTTATGATCTTCTGTTTTCCCTCAAGTATGCTATATGTTGAGAAGTTTTACCTAAATCACACTGTATTCTAGCAGTAAGCTCTTAATTATATAAGAAATAAAATGCATTGCAGATATTACAATGAATCCACTTGTCCTTAGACTATTTATCTATCAGAATATTTTCTAGGCCAATATATTTGAAGGCTACTGAGAAAATCACACACTGTTCTTTGGCTTTAGTTTCCTTGTGAGTAAAATGAGGTGCATAATCTCAGCCCTATCTACGATACAGGGTAAAAGTCAGGATCTAACGAGTGAAATTGGTAAACCATAAAGAACAAACAAGTGTTGGTTAGCATGCAGTAAACATACAAACTCTCCTACTCATGGTTCTGTATTGAAAAACCGAAATACATAGTATCTTATTCTTTACATAAATTAATTTACTGATCTTGAGACCTAACTGAATCATGATAGTATATCCACATAGACTAGATTTGTTCCTACAGGGCAAACTGCCATGCATTCATGCTAAACTATACAAGAGCAGCCAGGTAACAGAAGGCAATGCTGCTTCAAAAACACTGCAAATTTGACTCAGAACTCAGAGACACGGTATGATATTTGTAACATATTTACAGATACAATTAGGCTTTACTGAAGCTAATTGATTTTCACCACCTGAGCTTATTATCTACTAATGGTAGGGTTCTAGTCGTCTAATCCCTGCTATGTACGCCATGGGCGAAAATCTAATTAACCTCTCAGAGCCTTAGTTTTTTAATACATAAAAAAGTAATAACACCTGCTCTGATGAAGCTATTGTGAAGATTAAAATGTGAGATATGAAGAAGTGCTTTTACAGAGTAGTCACCCAGTACTTATTGGTTATATCTAAAAATTATTGAATCTGTATTCCCAAAACTATGCTGGAAAATAAGTCCAGAATTAAATAAGGCCACAAATAATCCAAGCAGAAATGATCCGGCATAGCATCATTAAAATATACACACATATTTATAAATATTGCCTGTATACATTTTTCTTAGAAAGTCCATGTAAGTTATACAGAAGCTGAAATAAACCATAGCAAAAAAAACTTCTCCCCTCTTCTCAATGACATCTTGAATTTAGCAGTTCTTATTTTATTTTAGTAGAATAATACTTCTATTAAATCACTTTAATGATAATTATAATTAATACTTATATAATCCTTTAACTTTTCAAAGCACGTTCATACCAATTATTTTCTTTTGGTTTCCAAACAACATTATGAAAATATAATCTTGAATTTAATACCAGTTAAATACTAGTGGGAGTAACAAACTTTGTCAAAACTAAGATGCAATAACACTACTCAGAAAAGCTTTGCAACACAACCAGTGGCCAAATTCCACTTCATTACATGTAGATCACAGTCCACAAATGACAATCAGTCACCACTAATAATAAACAAAAAATTTTTGGATTCTAGTCCAGGCAGGAGAATGCTTTTCATGAATGCAAAATTAGAGGTGACATTCTGAAAGTAGGCTCCACAAAACAACTAGCTCAGCATTCTAAGTCCAGTTTCATTCAAAGTACACACAGATAACTACTATCACCGCCCTGGCTTTAGAGTATTAGCTCACCCAGCAGTTCAAAGCATTCCTTATATTTTAGACTAGAGGAGGATCACCATTTTTGCTCTATTTTATGGACTGAGACATAAAGCGATAGAGACATGCCCATGGAGCTGGAATAAGACTTATTCTATTTCATCTCCATAAGGTGACCCCTTAACCCCCTGCAATCTAGCTTCTGTCTTTACCATTGTATTGACAATGAAATCCTAAAGATCACTGATGATCAACTAATAATCAAACCCAGTGACTTACTCTTTCTTCCTTTCATTGATATCTCTGTAACATCAGCTTGAAGTTGAAGTAAACCAGGGTCCATTCTCTGTCTCTCTTTCTCTCTCTGTTTTGCTCTCTTGCTGTATCTCTTGCACACCCTTTCTCTCTGTCTCTCTCCCTCTCTTCATCATCACGGCATGCACTATCTTACTACCTTGCTTCTTTTAACTGCTTCATCTATGTTCATTCCTATCCCTTCCTTACTTGTGGATTCTCTGACTTACACATCAACCTCCTACTCCCCTCTCCAGTCATCTTCACTTCATATATGTAAAAAATTTACTACTGTACTCTCAGAATTATACAGACTCAAGTACATAATAAATACTCAATAAATATTTTTAAATAAATGAATAAATTACTCTCAATGGAAAAATCAATCTCTGGACACTTTCTTAAGATTTAAGTTTATTTTTTAACACCAGTGTGTTGGATGGATTGGAATTGGATTTTTTTCTTCTTCTTATTACAGCCATATGCCACATAACCACATTTTAGTTGAGAAGAGACCACACCTTCAATGACAGTGGTCTCATAAGATTATATGACAGTATTATTACTGTAGCTTTTCCTCTGTTTAGATATGTTTAGATACACTAATACTTAGCACAGTGTTACAATTGCCTACAGTATCCAGTACAGAAACAGGCTTTACAGGTTTGTAATCTAGGAACAAAACAAACAGCCTAGGCATGTAGTGGGCTAGACCATCTAGCTTTGTGTAAGAACACTCTATGATGTTTGGACAACAAAGAAAGCGCCTGATAACACAACTTTTAGAATATAATTATATCGTTAAGCAATGTATGACTGTATATTCATTGGGCACATTAAGGGAAAAAAACCCTATAAAATATAGTATTTACCACAGGATAATACTGAGGATGTGCATGACCTTTAGGAAGATCCAATGGAGACATTTCTCTCAGATTGTGTTTGTCTTATGGATACCAAAACCACATCACTGTTAGCATTTCCCCTGGGTTGGCTATAAGTCCACTCAGAGCCAAAGTGCTTTATAACACACAGTTAGGTATCTTTTAACATTACTTCCCTTACTCCTATTGTCTCATCCCTAACTCTTACTCTCATCCCGTAATTTTGTCTCTTAGTTATCTTACATTTCTAAGCCCCCACAAGGCAGGTAATGAAGTCCTTTATCCTAAACTTCTTTCTCAACATTTTCAATTATCCAACTTGGTTTTAGAAAGTACAGTAGCGCCCCCACTTCCCCTTATGTGTAGGGGATACATTCCAAGATCCACAGTGGATGTCCAAAACCTTGAATTGTAACAAACCCTAAATATACCATGTCTTTTTTCCCATACATACATAGCTATGATAAAGTCGAATTTATAAATTAGGCACTGTAAGAGATTGATAACAATAATTAATAATAAAATAGAACAATAATAACAATATACTATAATACAAGTTACGTGAATGTGGTGTCTCTCTCTCTCTCTCTCTATTCTTGTACAACACTCACCTATTTTCGGACCACAGTTGACCACAGGTAACTGAAACTGCAAAAGCAAAACCATGGATAAGAGAGGACTACTGCAAAAGAAACTTTGAAAAACTGGCTCTTACTGGAAAAAAATACATTTTCAGAATTATATCATTGTTCTCTCAAACTCAAAACACACCATCGCCAATTCCTCAGTTTCCCTTTGCGTTAAGCACCTTCAGTCACCAAGTCCTACTGAGTTTCTTTGTAGTTTGATCTATGTTCTTTCCTTTCCCTTCCTATATTCATAGCCCTAGAGCAGGCTTTCGTTACAATATCTAATATTATTATCTAAATTTACTACATCTATTTTTCCTCCCTCCAACCTCTTTTCTATAATATATCCAAATAGATCAATCTTGCTATTATTTTGAGTTGGTCACTTCACAGATTAAAAACTTTCTGGGGTTCCCCACTGAGAAGGCAATGAGTCTAGCATTCAAAACTGTACACAATCCCTCTCAACCTACCTTTTCACTCTGTACTAATTAGTTATCTTTTGCTGCATAACAAATTGCCCCCAAACTAAGATGTTTAAAACAGTAAACATTGATTATCTTACATTTCTGTGGGTCAGGAATCTGTAACTGGCTTAGCTAGGTGATTCTAGCTCAGGGACTCCCAGAGATTGCAGTCAAGCTCCTGACTGGAACTGTAATCATCTGAAGATCTGACCAGGGAAACATCCAAGCTCACTAACCTGGCTATTTACAGGCCCTAATTCCTGCCATATTCTGTTGGTCACGGCACTAGTTTCCTATTGCTGCAGTAACAAATTAACACAAACTTGGTGGCTTAATGCAATGCAAATTTATCACCTTACAGTTCTGGAGATCATAAGTCTAAAATGGGTCAGCAGAGCTGCATTCCTATGACCAGCTCTAGGGGAAAATGTTTCCTTCCTTTTCTGGCTTCTAGAAGCTACCTACATTCCTTAGTTCATAGCTTCTTTACTTTCAAAGCCAGAAAAATTGTATCTTCTCTCCTCTCTGACTTCTGCTTCCACCCTATATCTTCTCTTCAACTCTGAATCTACTGCCTCCCCCTTAAACAGACCCTATGATTACACTGGGTTTACCTAGATAATCCAAAATAATCTCTCCATCTCAAAATCCTTAACTTATTCACAAATCACGTGTGCAAAGTCACTTCTGCCATATAAGATAACATATTTACAGGTTCTACGGATTCAAATATGGACACCCTTGGGAGGGTTGGAGGGATTACTTAGCCTACCACAGTTACACAGACCAATCCTGAAACAACATGAGAGGGGATTATAAAGAATGTGTATAGAGACCACTGGAGCATGTCTACCACAAAATCTACCTTCTAACTTTTCCCACTCTTGAGCAAACTTTCATCCTTTTAGCTGGACCTGTCCAATTTCTACCTATCATTAAAATATATCAAATATGTGATAAAGCAAGTATAGTAAAATGTCAACAGTGTGGTAGAGAGCATACTAATATTCAATGTAAAATTCTTTCAACATTTGATCGTGTGAAATTTGTTATAATAAAATGTTTACCAAAAGTGCACCTTAGCTCCCATCTCCTTCACAAAATTTTATTTCTTGCTATTAGTTCTTGGAGGAATCTCCTTCCTCCAGTTTCTTATTTGTACTTATTATCTATACCACTTACTTAGCTTCAAAGAATATGGGATTTCTAACATCACTGAAATTAAATATATGAATGGATACTTCCATTTCTTACTGTCAGGTCTTTAAGAAATTAGGATCATACCTTACATTTTCTCTATTTTTCCCATGGCACAATCTACAACTATAGTAAGTATTCAATGATAACTAATGGATAAATCAATATTAACAGGTTTTGAGGCACTGAAATATATGATTTCCCTGCTATATCAGTTTACTTGTAATCACTTGTAAAAATTAAAGAAGAAAACAAAGGTTTATACATAATTAGTAAAAGAAGATTATTGTTTGCAAATAAAGATATTACTGATTCAGAGCCAGTGTGTGTGCTTTTCATTATTTTTCCAAAAGTAGGAATACATTTCTGCTGATCCAGTCATACTCATCTCCTTGTCTCCCGTGTGAACAACAGCAGTATTTTGTAAGGTGCCTGGCTAAAGTCAGGAGAGGGTATATGGCCATTAGATTGGTAAACTGTTGTTAGAAATAAAATTCCCTGGTACTTGTTTTGTTAGAATGCTGTATGCTTCAATGAACTAAATTTACTCCATATGAAATAAGATAATAATTTTTAAAAATCAGTATATCCACAACTTGATGCTGATCCCACTATTCGACTTTCTGTTCTTGAAAGATATAAAGCCACTTAGATAAATTATGGAAACTTTCTGAACCATTTTGTGATATCTTATTCAGAAAATATTTGTTAATATTCATAATGAATTCCTATTGTAGTTTCCCTCAATGTTAGAGAGTAAACCTGAAACAGCAATATCCTTCACCCATTTGTGAAAATATAAAACACAAAATGATCTACTTGCAGTCTACATACCATTCATAGGATAGTCTGCCAATCTTCCCTCAGTAGACATCATTACTAACACATATGTTGCATGCTTTTTCTGATATAAGGTAAATTAACAAGTGATATTAAAGAGTAAGAAGAGAAAACATCAAGCACAACACCAACTCTAACACTGAGACATTTGTTAAAAAATGTCAGCCAAGGAAGATAAATCAACAACGTGTAACTTGTCAGTCCCTTCTAAACCAAACAGCAAAAATCAAGAGTGGGTATCCAAGTCTCAGATGTAGCCAAGGAAAAAAGTGTTTTTTGGTCTGAAATCTTCCTCCATCATTTATGGACAAATTTATTTCAAAACAGAGCATATTCACGATGGATCCACAGTTCAGCAGGACAGGTCTCAAAACCTTGGATTTAAAATTTAAACTTAGGTTCCATTAATTTATATTTCCTTCCTAAGCTGATGGACTCAAGCCCAGGAAAAAAAGGAGAAAAAAAAATCATTCTATACTCAACCATCAAATTTGTTTCAGGTTCGGCTACTGTACTTTTAAGAAATATTTTCTAATATTCTAAAGCATAGTCTTCATTTTGCAGAGTGTATATTTTATAAAGAATAACATAATTTATATTTCTAGTCAATGAAATCAACAGAGCTAGTTTTTCTTATTAACATACTATTATGACATACTATTATTAACATACTATTTTCTTATTAACATACTACTATGGTATCACCAGTAACTCATCATAATTTCAAGTTTGGCATTCCAGAGTTATGGATTTCTAGTTTGGTATTCCTCTTAGGTATTTGGCTTTTAAATACTATTGTCCTGGCTTGGTCCTGGCCATATATGATCCAGAAGACTTAAGCTGCAGAGATCTCCAGTTAGGGATGAATATGCTTTATGTTCACCGCAAAATATAAAATTATAGGCCAAGCAAAATTAATGAATATTAAATCCTTGAAAGGCAAACATTAATGCTAAGAATTATCTCAACTATTAACCCTAAACTTCAATACTTTTAATGAGAAGTAAATCTAACCATAATTTTCTTTCCTTTTTAAATTTACCCTGAAATCATTCCTTGAAATTAGACTTCTCCCTGATTCATTTGGGGACTTCAAGCTCTCTTTTGAGCCTATAATCCCAGTGCTTTGGGAGGTTATAGTGGGAGGATTGCTTGATGTCAGGAGTTTGAGACCAGCTTAGGCAACACAGCAACATAGCAAGACCTTGTTTAAAAAAAAAAAAAAAGCTCTCTTTTGAGACTAAGTTTTGTATTTTCAATTGGATGTCTTCACCTGAATGACTTATATGTGTGTAAATCTCAGTATATCCAAAACTGAAATAATTATTACATTTAACATCCCCACCCCCTGCATCTTCTTCTAGATTCCCTATGTAGTTATTGACACTGCCACTCTGCTCACTTGCTTTAACAAAAACTTTGGCGTCATCCCTGACTCTTCTCTCTCTCAACTCCCTTAGCAACTGCTCATCAATTCTATTACTTTAACATCCCTCTTCCATCCCTGGCTCTCCATCTTCACCGTCAGTGCCTTAGTTCTAGCATCCATCATCTTTCACACATTGCAGTCACTTCTGAAATGTTTTCCCTTTCTCCAAGTTTTCCTCCTTCCAATCCATCCTTCACACCTCTACCAGAATAATCTCTCTAAAATACAAGCCTCATAAAATTGTTTCCTTGCTCAAACCCCTTCCAGAGCTATTCACCACCTGTAATGGTAGCTTACTATCTTTTTATGTGCATAGCACAAATGATAGATAGAATTACTAAAAGAGGTTAAAAGGCCAACAATGGTTAAAAATGCCAAGTTTGGAAAAACTGGAAATGAGTGTATACTCTTCCTTCAGTAGCTCTTCAGCACTGCATCACCGTTTGTTTAAGAAGAAATGTTTTCCCAACCACACATGCTGTCCTGCCTACTCGGGATGGGAAGTGCTTCAATAACTCACTAAATTCCGCAGTTTTTCTTTGGTGGTTGGCTTGGCATTACATCACATCTTGTGTCTTATCTTTATCTCTGATTTACATAGAACTGTACCCTTCTCTATTGGTCACATGACCCACCAACTCAGCATAAGGCTGATATCAATACAGTAGTAAGTATAGTAGTCCCCTTATTCATGGTTTTGCTTTCCCCAAGTTTTACTCTTTTGTGGTCAGCTGTGGTCCAAAAATATTAAATGAAAAATTTCAAAAATAAACAATTCATAAGTTATAAACTGTGCACCAATCTGAGTAGCATGATGAAATCTCCCATCATCCCACCTGGGATATGAATCATCCCTCTGTCCGACGTATCCATGCTGTCTTTGCTAACCACCTGTTAGTTATTTAGTAGCTGTCTCGGTTATCAGATGGAAAAAAAGCATAGTATGCATAGGATTCAGTACTATCTGTGGTTTTAGGCATCTATGCGGAGTCTTGGAATGTAGTCCCTGTGAATTAGGGGGGACTACTGTATTTGCAGATGTAACAAAAATGAATAAGTGAAGGCCTGGAGACACACCTATGAAGAACTTGGGCTTCCTCACTAGGCAGCAGCACCCAAGTTGTTAACTACTTACTGAGAAGATGGAGTTTCAGTTCTTTAGGGGGCTCTCTACCCTTTCCCTGTTACATCCCAGAGGGTTGTTTCCCATCATTCTTCTCACAGCACCCTGTTTACTCCATCAATAAATATTTATCAATTCAATAAGCAGCAAGCACCTCTTACTCAACAGGCACCAGGTGCTGTTCTCCAGTCCCATTCTTTGATGCTCCCAAACCTCCATACTGGAGATTTCTTGTGTCTGGAATATAATCCCCCATCCCCTTTTCTCAGCTTCCCTCTGCAATGAAGAGAATAAAGACTCAATAACTACTATTTACAGAAATTTTTTTGACACTGTCCTATTTACTTCTATCTATCTTGTGAGTACAGAAATTAGCACTACTGAAGATAACCACACGGTAAGTATTGGTTAAGTCAATTTTACAATCATTGTGAGAGATTGTCTTCAGCCTAACCCTTCTGTCTAAGGTTGATATCAACACATTTTCCAAAGCATGATTGTATCTCTTCACTCTACACCAAGGAGAAGCTGGCACTGAGGTCTTTCTGCACAGCAGTTGTAGACAGTATACAGCTACTCTACCTAACTGTTTTAAATGGAAAATGACAAGTAAATAACAAGTTTGGATAAAATGCACAGCTAACCTATTTTCTGTAGTAAATAGGTAGGTGCAGTCATACCTCTCCGAAATGTAACTTTTTACTCAGAGGAACTCATTCTTATATTCAACTCACATACTTTCTTCTGCCTTCTAATGCAAAAACTATTCATATACTTTTATCATACAGCATTCAATTCCATTTAAAAATATATATAATGAATTATTCAATAACATGATCATAATAACTAGAAAGAAAGCATTTTTATTGTTACATGTCCCCAAAAGTCAAAATAGTTGAACTTGAATAAAGAAGGTAATATAGAGTAAGTATAGGGAGGAAGAATCAAGATCAGTAGTTAATTCATACCAGCTACAAACCCTCTTCTGTTTGGAATTATGTGCTATTCCTCACATCTTCCTTTGGACTTATTAGAGCAATTGGAGGTATGTCCTTTGAGGCACAAAACTAATCAATCTCTATTTCTCAGAAGTTATGTTGAAAAGGAGCAAACAAACAAGACCAGCATACAGAAGAGATCATGAATTAAAGAATGGGCAGAAGTTAAAAACTCCAGGCTCATGAAAAATAACGTCACTATTTCTAACAGTATAGAAATATCACCTCAGCCAGATCTTTTTTCCCCTCTATTTTTTAGTTTAGTATAAAATGAAGACAGAGTTGGCATGACCCCTAGAAACTCAGAAATGCAATTTTTCTTCTCCATGATTTAGTTATAAAAAGGTGCAATGCACCAGTCAGTCTTCTTCAAACATGGACTGTGCAAGAATTTATGATGGGATTTGTGGGCAGACTAGAGAAGGTGAGATGTAGAGAATGCCTACTGAAATGCTCCCTGGCTCCTTCAGTCAGAAAAACAAAGCAAACAAAAAAACAGCATTGTGATATGCCATTCATAAATTCTAAACAGATTACCCTAAAATGACTGTCATTAACAAACAATTGTAATACTGACAACAGCAATTAACACTGAAGTTCTTACTATATTTCATTTCCCCATACTAGGAGCCTTACACACATTAACTCATTTAATCCTATTTTCATTCACATTCACATTTTATAGATATGAAACTGAAGAGACCCAGAGATTAAGAACCCAAGTTTCACAGCTAGTAAGTGGTGACCTGACTCCAGAGTGGGCCCCGTGCATCTTTACCCTCCTGCTTTGTTGTTAAATGCTTAAGTCTAGCACATCTGTGTTCACATAGCAGCTTCTCCATTTATTAGCCATGAGACATGAGGCAAGATATCTGACATCCCAAGCCTGTTTCCTTATCTACTAAATGGGAATATTAATGGCACCTCCACTTGATATTGAGAGGACTTAAAAATAAGTATTTAACATATATTAAAGTTCAATGTATATGAATTTAAAACATAAATAGAACAAAACAAAAAACTCTCTAGCTTATCTTCATGTGATATTCTTCTACTGCCTAATCCTTCCCTGCTGAAAACATTGATCTAGAAGCTAGTGCTTTGTAGTGCATAGATCTCTAGCTCCTTCCAAATCTGCTTCCTAAACATACTTAGAAAAAAATGCAACTAAGTTTATAAACAGAGCTTCAAGGGATTTCTTTGCACACTGTAAAACCCAACATTATGCTGTTAAGTTTTGCCCTTGGTTCCTTGATGTTAAAACTGAAAATCAAAATTCTTCAAAAGAAGAAAAAAGAAACAAAATTATGGATAGTTCATTTAAATATCACAACAAACCATTTTTTAGTTATTAGAAACTGATGTTCACATCAAATAACAGCTTAGCCTGACATCACTCAGCCAGTAAATGGAATAATATTAACCTATGTTCATGCCTACAAACATGCTTTCTAGTAAGTCAATCTTGTTCATGAAGTTTTCTTTTAAGTCACCCTAGATCTTTCTGGTTATTATTAATTCTAGTAATATTAATTTCTAGAATTAAATATTCTAGTTAATATAAGCCAAACTCAAAGGCTTATATTAACTACAATATTTTTAAGGGCAATTTGATCAAGGCTCAGTGGCATTAGTGGCCATGGCCTTAGAAGCCAAAAAGTCAGGCTCAACCATTTGAAAACCAAACACCCTTAGGCAAAATGTTGTTTTCCCTAAGACTAAATGCCCAATGATAGGATGAAAAGATTATGGGATTCTTCATGATTTCATGAAAATAACAGAATGAATCATTTTCTTCTGAGAAGCAGCAGTCACAGAGATGTAGCTAAAAAGACAGGACTTGGGGTAATTAGGAGCCCAAGTGGCAAATAAAGGAGTATTTGACCCATTCAAGCTCTGAGAGTACCCAAACTCAGCTCATTCAGGTTGATGGAGAATTGGTAGAGAGGCTTCTTCTTAAAAGTATCTGCAATGGAGGAATATCCCCTCAATATGGAATTTCATTCCAAACAAATTGCAGAAATAGGGAAGGATTCTGTCTTATAAAAAAAATTGCATGGTGATGATAACTGAGCAAGATATACTATGGTGAGCGCTCAAAAGAAAAAAGCTAATGTATATATCCAAAGACTACTACTATTTTCACCATCCCTGACTTATAATTATTTGCACCTTTGAAAATTCAAATGCAAAAGGACCATGTTCGTCTTAAAATGTATGCCAAGTTTCACCTCTTACAACATAGTAGAAACCCCTTCTTGATAATCTTTTACCAAGAAACCCCTTGATAATCTTCGGGTTTTGCAACTTGGCAATTTGGTGCAGCTTGATAATCTATGCCTAATTTTAAAATGTCTGAAAGTTCTCATCAGAGCAGGACTCTATAGGCAATAAGACCGTGTGAGGGGCCTGTCTCATGTGGAGTTGGCTGGGGACACCTTGCAAACCTAATGTCTGCATTTGGGCTTCCTGTATAGAGGTCTGCTGTGCATTTAATATTTCCAGTGAGGCAAAGAAAGCTAGAACAGGAAGAGAATACTTTCAACTAAGTCATGTCTCTCAGGATCCCATATACTTCAATTGCTTAGTGGAGACAAGCCAGAGCATTTGGTTGCTCATGAGCAATTCTAATCACTCCAAGCACCCTGTGGTAATCTGGACACATACTTGGAGCTTTTCCAGAGAGCTGTTCTCAATCAGGCAATTGTCTCGATAATAGAACAATTGCATACTCAGCCCTATTTAAAGCATTCACCCTGCTATGACCACTAAACCTTTTGTTAAAATATACAGGATTCTCCTTTATTCTCTGTGTTAACACATACAAGGAGAAATGATAGCCCATAGTGAGGAAATGGCAGGTGTGCTTTCTTGCTTTCCCAGTGTAGTTAATATTTTAAGAAAAGACAAAAAAAAAAGGGAGACCATATTTAATGATTAGTAATCTAAAGTAACTCATTAATCAAGTATTTACCTAACATCCTAGCACTGAAAGCTATTGCACAGTGAATTATGATATAGGTAGTTAAAGCCATAAGGAAATGTTTGTTTTATTCTGAAATAGGGCAAAGTTGTGCTAATGTTGAGGAAAATAGCATAACATCCATGAATGCTAAAGAGTATAATTACTCCCGGAGATGGTATGTTCATGTTTTCCCTTTGTAGTCTTTTATCTGAAGAACCCAAAACCTCAAAGCGTCAGGAATTAATCTCCACTTTGCAGGAAATTGCACTTAAAAAAAATCTTACTGTGGTAATATGAGTTATCAAGACACAGTTTAACAACTCGAAGTCTCTCTACTTCAAGTTCCTAATGTGATATTTTGGAGCAACATGAACTAAATAATTGTGACTGCATTTAAATTTTCAGTACACTGATTTTGATAATTCTATGAAGGCAAATTATGTACCTGTTTGTCCCAAGTAAATAAGTGAGGGCATCAATTATATGGAAAAAAAATGAGATTTCCTTTGTTAGTAAGAATCAGCAATTTTCAGTTAAGAATGCAATGCTTTAATCAAAACCACAATGAGATACCATCTCATACCAGTTAGAATGGTGATCATTAAAAAGTCAGGAAACAACAGGTGCTGGAGAGCATGTGGAGAAACAGGAACACTTTTACACTGTTGGTGGGACTGTAAACTAGTTCAACCATGGTGGAAGACAGTGTGGTGACTCCTCAAGGATCTAGAACTAGAAATACCATTTGACCCAGCCATCCCATTCCTGGGTATATACCCAGAGGATTATAAATCATGCTGCTATCAAGACACATGCACACGTATGTTTATGGTGGCACTATTCACAATAGCAAAGACTTGGAACCAACCCAAATGTCCAACAATGATAGACTGGATTAAGAAAATGTGGCACATATACACCATGGAATACTATGCAGCCATAAAAAAGGATGAGTGCATGTCCTTTGTAGGGACATGGATGAAGGTGGAAACCATCATTCTCAGCAAACTATCGCAAGGACAGAAAACCAAACACTGCATGTTCTCACTCACAGGTGGGAACTGAACAATGAGAACACTTGGACACAGGGTGAGGAACATCACACACCAGGGCCTGACATGGGGTGGGGAGATGGGGGAGGGATAGCATTAGGAGATATACCTAATGTAAATGACGAGTTAATGGGTGCAGCACACCAACATGGCACATGTATACATATGTAACAAACCTGCATGTTGTGCACATGTATCCTAGAACTTAAAGTATTAAAAAAAAAAAAGAATGCAATGCTTTGCCATTTATATAGATCTGAGAATGAACTTCTGGATGACATAAATCTTTGTTGCTCCTTTTTAGTCTCAAGCTCCCACTTTTGGCATTTTAGGATTTTAGAGCAAAAAGGCAGGAAGAGTAGTAGAAAATTAAAATGAGTAAGTTCTATTTTTTAGCAGCTTTGATAAAAAAATGAGATTAAAATGACTAGCAAAAAAATATGTTGGGTAGGATGGGGAAATGTAATTATTCATATAATTAATTCTGCAAACACTTTTTATTGTATACTATGTTCTAGGCACCTTGCTTGCGCTAGATACTTAGAATTCAAAAACAGATTAAAACCCACGTTGGATTACTTGTCTTCAGGGGATCCAGGTCTAATCCTAACTTGATACCTATAGCTAGAGATAATCAAATTGGCAGTGCACATTTGTTCCTGGAATTCAAAAAACTTGTATATATCTGTAGTACCTATATATGATGTGATCACTATGATGGCAAATGTATTCATATTACAGCATATATAAAACTTATGTCGTGAGGTACTTTAGTGATGATGATTAAAAATATACATTAATTGGAAGAGGAGAAAGAAAAGAAATCACAAGAATGTATTTTGTTTGAAAGCTAATCACCTATTTAATTGAGGGTATCAGCTATAATTATTCCACTAACCAACCACAACTTTCAGCTGCAGTTTCTCATTCAGCACACATATATTGAGCATTTCTACATTTTTATTCTGAGTTCAGGGGATATAATGAAAAAAGACCAAGTGTCTCTTCTTAAGGTGCTTGCATCCTGGAGGAAACAGACACATACTCCACAAACCATATGGTGCAATACCCCTGAGTATTAATAAGATAGTGATTAGGACAGGATGCAATGGGATCTCGGAAGAGAGACCCTCTAAGCTGGCCAGGGGGAAACAAGAAAGGCTTCCTTAAGAAATCTTTTTATTATGCTTTATATTCCAAGCACCCAGCACAGTGCCTGGCACAAAAAAGATAATTGATAAAAGTTTGTGGGATTCCTTAATTAATTAAGGTTTTAGGCAATGTGAAGAATTCAAAAAAATATATAAGGTCCTGACTTTGAATAGCTTAAAAATTCTAGTGGAGAGATGAGACATAAGCACATAACATGAATATTAAAAATAATATATTTTAAAGAAGCATTAAAGATTTCTATGCAACATTTGTCACAGAGGAATAAAGTATTACCTTGAGTTGGAGGTGATCCGGGAAGACTTCTTGAAGGAAGTAAGAATTTAAATGTTCCTTGCAGCGTTGGTTGCTGTAGATTTCATGAGGTAGAAGGGGAAATCCCTGCTGGAGGTCAGGGAGGAGCCCAGTTTGGCTAGGGATCTGGAGCAGGATAATAGTAACCTATAATGCTGGGAAGGTAGGCTGGGGCTCAATTTAAGAGACCTTTACATTCCAAGACTAACAAATTTGAACTGCAACCTATAAATTATAAGAAGTCACTAAGAGTTTTTGAGCAGTGTGGTATCATAAAAGCTGTATTTTGTGTATGCGTATAAATATTAAACATGCAGAAATATCTTTACTTCCTTAAAGTAAAATATCTTTACTCTGTTACTCTCACCTTTTTTTCCCCTGAAAGAGATTGTCATTTTGTTCTATCTTTTATTTTCCACTTTCTAAAAAAACTTTTTTGAGATAATTTTAGACTTACCAAAGCATTGGAAGAATAGTAGAGAGTTTCCATTTACACTTCACCCAGTAAAGCTGTATTTTTGAAAAAGGAATCAGGTTAAAGACCAGTTAGGTCTTTAACATGCACATACATGTAAGTGGATTTACTAAGATTGCTCCTTTAGATAGGCTGAAAATGGACAATTAATAACACTGGATCTCCAGACTACATTGTACTCTTGGTTAAAATGACCAGCTTGTGTTTGTGCCAAGTACTCAGCCTCAGGACAAAAAGGGTTACATGTGCCATTAGTATAAACAGGAGGCATGCTTGCTTTGGGCTTTGAAACAAATGACTAGAAGAACTGCAGTGTAGCCCAGCCACTTTTGACCACCCTAGGGTTACCATGTCTGATGCCCTTAGGAAAAAGGGTCCTTTAAAACCACTCCCACTACCTTCCTCATACACTGCCTCTGTCCTCCAGGAGCAGGAGTGGCTATGGTTTGGTAGATTGGGCCACCCTTGCTAAAGGGATTAACAGGAAAAGATCAGCACACACAGGCATAGCTGTCCCTCTGGTTTACACCGTCATGTGCTTGGCATCTTTAGGGTCAAGGCTGATGTCCTTTTATGTGTGGTTAGAATATGATAAGACGCAAAAACTTGGGTATGAACATTGGGATAGTAAAGGCCTCCTTTGATTTGAAGCTACCTATGCCTCACCACCTCAGGAGAAGTGGTTGCTCCAGATACATGGTCTGGCCTGGCTGGCCAGAGTTTTTTGCACTAAGATTTGGGGACAAATCCCCAGAAAATAACAAGGTGTTATTTTGCTTTTCTTTGCCATTATTGCATCCTCAGCAACCATAGGGGAAGTGATTGCTGTAGTCTCAGAGGACTTGGGTATTTCTGATCCTCTGGCTGTAATACTAAGTAATAGCACCCTAACCTGAACACAGACCTTAACACTGCCTGTCACCTTAGATTGTGTCATATTATTTTGGTTCATAGTAAGGCCTCAAAAAAAAAAAAAAAGAAAAGAAAAGAAAATAGAGAGAGAAAAGGAAAAAGACAAATAAAACACGAATTCTCTCCCCTTTTCCTTTATTACTTTAAGTAGGAAGCTACTGTTGTTTTCAACTGTACTTTCTTATTTGAAAAAGCTCAGTTAGTGGTTAGTTCATTATAAAGTCTCAACCCCACATTCATTGCAGCATTATCCACAATAGCCAAGATGTGGAAACAACTTAACAGATGAATGGATAAAAAAAAATGTGAGATGTGTGTGTGTGTGTGTGTGTGTGTGTGTGTATATATATGTATGCATGTGTATATATGCACATGCATATATACATATATACACATGTGCATATATACATATATACACATACATATACACATATGAAATACATACATATGAAATAATGAAATATTCAGCTTTAAAAATGAAAGAAATCTTGCCATTTGTGACCATGCGGATGAACCTAGAGGGCATCATGCTAAGTGAAATAAACCAGACACAGAAAGACAAATAGTGCATGATCTCACTTACAAGGAATCTAAAATAGTTGAACTCATAGAAAAAGAGAGTAGAAAATGTTGTTGCCAGAGGCCTGGGGGTGGTGGAGGAAATGGGGAAGTGTTGCTCAAAGGGTACAAACTTTCAGTAATACAACAAACTAAGTTCCGGAAACCTACTGTACAGCATGGTGACTATAGTTAAGAATATTGGCCAGGCACAGTGGCTCACGCCTGTAATCCTAGCACTTTGGGAGGCCAAGGGGGGCAGATCACGAGGTCAAGAGATTGAGACCATCCTGGCTAACATGGCGAAACCTCGTATCTACCAAAAATACAAAAAATTAACTGGGCATGGTGGCATGCACCTGTAGTCCCAGCTACTCAGGAGGCTAAGGCAGAAAAATGGCTTGAACCCAGGAGATGGAGGTTGCAGTGAGCCAAGATCACACCACTGCACTCCAGCCTGGGTGACGGAGTGACTCCGTCTCAAAAAAAAAAAAAAACAAAAAAAGAATATTGCACTGTAAACTTGAAATTTGCTAAGAGACTAGATCTCAATCTCAAGTGTTCCCACTGCACACACACACAAAAATAGTAATGATGTGAGGTGATGTACATGTTAATTAACTTGACTGTGGTCATCATTTCATAACATATATCAAAACATCACATTGTACACCTTAAATAGATATAATTTTTATTTGTCAAGTATACTTCAGTAAAGCTGTAAGAAAAATAAGTCTCAAGGATGCCTGCTTTCATGAATAGGCAGAATTCTACCAAAAACTGGCTTATGTAAGTGTCTTGAAAAGAATATATGCTTCTGTATTAAAGGAATATTTAAAAGATTTCACAAGTATTCATTCACAAAATATCTTTTGCATATATTATTCAAGTCACCTTATGCAAAGCCCTGAAAACAAAGAAAAGAGTAATACTCTCACATAATGATCTCAGTATAGATTAAAATAGATTGAAGTAAATTATTCTGGGAAATCTGATATTTTTTAATTCAAAAGAAAAATTTTTAAGAGATTTTATTTATAAAACAAAGCCAAAGTTTTGTTTTAAAATTTTAAAATATTATAATGTAACACTTTAAAATTAGCAATATATTCATATAGCTCAAAATTCAAAAAGTATAAAAAGGCATGCAAGGAAAAATTATCTTTCTTACCCCTTAGTGGAATACGTTTAAAGCAGGAGAAATACATAAGAAAGCTGTCAGCCATCTCTCTTTCTTTCTATTTTTTTTCTGCTTTCCATGTTTGTGTTTTTGAGTAATTGTCACCATGACAACATCATATATTAAGTAAACTACTTGACATTAATCAGGAGGTCAGAATTTACTGCCAAATGTTTGGAAAGCAGCCCTTATGTGTATGATTTGACCCAAAATGTTGTTTTTTTGAACTTATAAATCATGCATTCTCTAAGGAAAATCTCAAAGCTGATAATCAAGCAAAAGCAACAGATACGTCAATATATTATACTAAGTTTAAATTATCTCATTAGAAAAAACTGTATAAATAATCAAAAGCAGAGGTTAGGCAAGAAATTACACATTGTTTCTCAATGACAATAATAGCACATATTCCTATGTTTCCTACTATTATAAAAATATTTACTAACATAAGTCCATGTCTAATATATATTTGTTGAATGAATGCTTTAAAGTATGCAAATAACAAATTTAACCAAATGTCAGACAAAGCTCTTTTAATTCCTTGGCAAATACACTTTATCCAAAATATTGCCTTAGAGAATCACACTTTTAGAAAACGAGACAGCCAAATTACCCAACCCCAACGGATAAATCTCATTTTAAAAAGACAATCACTGAAAGAAAACCCACAACTTATCATGATGGTACCTCTCTTTGTTCAATAGCAGTCAATTTCATGGAGTTCATTCTTTTGCTCAATCTATGTCTCTGGTAGCAGTTTATACTAGTTTGTTTATTTTACCTCAGAAGATGAACTGTGGCTGAACATCCTTCTTACCCTGAAATCTAATTTATTTTGAGGCAGTTAAGTCGATATTAACCTTCTGTCCAAGTCAAAACAACACCTTTTCCCATAAAGTCCTCCTCAGGCCCCCACCAATTACATTACCAGATTGCAGTCCTGAATCATTTAGTTGCTCATTTGTGGTACCCCTCTCAAATTTTTCATATCTCTCTTAAAATGTAGGTATTAAATGGAGTCATGTCTCATTACCAATGTCAAGCAAAGGGGAAGCATTTTTCTTGATTGATTTTTATCTTCTCTTTATCCCATTCCAGCAACACTCTGTTGATTTATCTCATATCCCTATTATTTCACTCTAATACTGTGATAAACTTTTAAAAAATTCTTAATAAGTGTCTCATAATGCTGAAGTTAGGCTGAGAAACGGCCCATGATAACATTCGAGTGCTCTGTTGTCTTCCTTCCTAGTGCCATTCGTTTGTTCCTCCTGAACTGCTTTCTGTTCTTTATCCACTGTTTCACTGAATGGCAAGCACCACTTTGTATCTGGATCATATATATTATTATAAAATATATACATATATATAATAATAATATATAGGAGGTGAAAACCACGGCCTAATCCAGGGTCATCCAAAGACTAGCAAACTTATTCTGAAGTCTGTCATGAAAATCACTGAAGAAAAGAGTAAATAATCCAGCCATCGGACCAAAGTTAATAAACTGGTATTGATTTACACAGTGTGTTTCAGCCTATTAATAAGGTAATTCTTAGGATTTTAAGTCACTATCATGCAACACATAACATTTGAGTCAATGACAGACTGCATATACAATGGTGGTACCATAAAATTATAATGGAGCTGAAAAATTCCTATGGGTTCATAGCCATTGTAGTGCAACACATTACTCACATGTTTATACTGATGCTGGTGTAAACAAACTTACTGTGCTGCCAGTCTTATAAAAGTCTAGCACATACAATTATATACAGTATATAGTACTTAATAATGATAATAAGCAACTATGCTATTGAATTGTATATTTACTATACTATACATCTCTCATTATTTTAGAATGTACTCCTTCTACCTGTTTTTTGTCCTAAAGTTAACTGTAAAACAGTCATAGGCAGGTCCTGGAAAAGGCATTCCAGAGGAAGGTATTGTTAGCAAAGGAGATGACAGTTCCATGCATGTTACTGCCACCGAAGACCTTCCAGTAAGACAAGATGTGAAGGTGGAAAACAATGATATGGAGGATTCCAATCCTGTGTGGACCTGGGCTAATGTGTGTGTTTGTGTCTATATGTTTTAACAAAACAATTTAAAAAGTAAAAAATAAAAACATTTAAAAATCAAAAAAGAATATAGAATAAGGATATTAAAAAAGAAATTTTTTTTACAGTTGTTAAATGTCTGTGTTTCAAGCTGTATTACGAATAGTCAAGAAGTTTTTAAAAATTTGAAAGTTTATAAAGTAAAAATGTTACAGTAAGGTAAGGTTACTTTATTGTTGAAGAAAAAAATATTTGCATAAATTTAGAGTAGCCCAAGTGTACAGTGTTTCTAAAGTCTGCAGTAGCATACAGTAATTTCCTAGGCCTTCCCATTCACTCACCACTCACTCGCTAACTCACCCAGGGTAACTTCCAGTCCTGAAAGCTCGGTTGATAGTAAACGCCCTTTACAGGTGTACCTTTTTTTTTTTTTTTATCTTTTATGCTGTATTTTTACTGTAGTTTTTCTTTGTTAGGCACGTTTAGATACACAAATACCATTGTGTTACAACTGCCTACAGTATTCAGTAGAGTAACATGCTGTATGGGTTTATAGCCTAGGGGCAATGGGCTATATACCATATAGCCTAGGTATATAGCAGGCTCTACCACCTAGGTTTGTGTAAATACACTCTGATATTTCTACAAGGATGAAATCACCTAAGGATGCATTTCTCTAAATGTATTCCCATTGTTAAGTGATGCATGACTGTAATTCACATTTTACAGCACAAACAGAATTAATAATTTCGTGTAGCCTTTTAGTGAAAATCTATTGTGGCCATTAGCTGATATTTTGCATCTATTTCATGAAGACACTCAAGAAACTCAACAACAGAGGGAGCACACACATTGCCAAATTCCTGCTGCAAAATAAAAGGCAGGAATAGAATCAAAAGTTTCCTAACATTCTATCCTGTACACAATTGATAGTCACATCATCTACTTCTTAAGATAGATTTCATGAAAATCAACTTAGCACTGGATCTCATTCACATTTGAAAGCTAAAGAAACATGTTTATACACATGCTAAATTTCTGAGGAGGACCAATCCATATGAAAATAAGTTCAGTTCTAGGTGGAGCAGACTATATTTACCACGGCAGTCTTGGACAATAACTCAATGTGAGATGAACTTGCTGTAGCAGAAACACAAACTTATTTTCAAGTAAAAATGCTTTTTCTGAAGATAATACATTTAAAAAGTGTGAGGCAAAGAAGACAAAAGTCTGATGAATCTAGTAGGACTCACACACAGGTAATGCTTGTTCTTTTCCATAGACGGCTTTTTTCTCCAACCATAACTTTTTTGCATAGCTTGGCATTAAGTAGAATGTAAAAAGAGGCAGTAATTAATAAATAATGCCAATGGGTCTCAAGTTGCAAGATAATTTTCCAAAGGACGAATGTGACCATTTAGATGACTTGACTCACTGCCTCTCTCATTTTGCCCCTTATTTGTGAGTATGTGATCATACATACATAGCAGCAAGCAAAACAACGCTTAGGTTTAAAGCTTGATCATGTGCAGAAAGAAGAGAACAAGATCCCCAGCATGTTTTTATCAACACTAAGATTATTCATAAAGGATTATTATTTTAATAAAGTAACACCTAATTTATTAAGCCATAATGCTTATAACTGTAGCTCACATAGTAGAGTATTAGGGAATCTTTTATTTAATAGTAAACACTTTTTTTAAGTATCAAAACTTTTTCTCTATTTTACATCAAACCTATCAATAAAACTTTAAATTCTTTACTTGTCTCTGAAAACAAACCCAAACAGTATCTTTTAGCAAGAGAGAGTTAGTTTATATATTGATTTTAAATTTGGACTTTAGATTTTTTCATTGGTTTGCTTCTATTGACTAGAAACATCTTTCTAATCAGTAGAAACCAAAAGTCCTCTGCCTAGGTTTCAAGGCCTCCATCATCCATCTCACTCATTTATTCAACCTTGTTTCCCTCTCTTCTCACTGCACACTGTCTGTTCTGGACAGGCGATCCTGGATGTTCTCTAGGTCTGTCTTTTCCACTGCCTGTGCCTTTGCTCATGTTCTTCCCACTAGCAGGAATGTTCTCCTTTTTTCATATGCTTCTTCATGGTCTCTCTGTTTTCCAGATCTACCTTCTCCTCCAAGAAACCTTCACTGGTACATTCCTGATCCCCTCTCCATGCCCATCATTGTACCACTCAGATCTTAAGCAGGTCCCAGTTATCAACCTTATCTACTCCTATTCTTCCCCTCACCTTATTCTAGCTCCTCTGGCCTCCAGGCACACTCTTGCCTCAGGGTCTTTGCACATACTGTTCCCACCATTTGAAAGGCTCTTTCCTCAGTCATCCGCATGCTTACTTCCTCACTGCTTGCCAATATAATCTCAAATACCACCTTTCTTAACCATGCTACTTAACATTGCAACCCCATTCCCAGATTTTCTATTCTCTTTCCTTACTATATTGTTTGCACTTTATTATCATGCAGGCAGGATTTTTGTCTGTTAAATTTACTGCTGTATCCCCAGTGCCTAGAATACTGTATGGCACATAGTAAGTACTCTAAATACCTGCTGAATACATTAAGTGAATTTACTGAATGTTAACTACAGTTGTCTCTTGGTGTCTGTGAGGGATTGTTTCCAGGACCTACCATGGATGTCAAAATCCAAAGATACTCAAGTCCCTTATATAAAATGGCACCATATTTGCATACAACCTATGTACATCCTCCTGTATACCTTAAATCATCTTATTTAAAGATTGTAAGTAATCACTTATAATACCTAATGCAGTGTAAATGCTGTGTAAATAGTTGTTATATCATATTGTTTAGGGAATAATGACAAGAAGAAAGCCTGTACATGTTCAGTACAGACCCAATTTTTTTCAAATATTTTCAATCTGCAATTGGTTGAATCCACAGATGTGAAACCCATGGAATTCAGAGGGTCAACTGTATATCCTAAGTGCTTCATAAATACAATAAATTAAATGAATTTACTGAAATGTATGTCCTAAATGCTTGATAAGTATTATCTTGTTTAATCCTCACAATACTCTATGGCAGAGGTTCCCAACCCCTGAACCACGAACGCAGTACCAGTCCTTGGCCTGTTAAGAACCAGGCCATACATATTTATAGCTGCTCTCTATCACTTGAATTACCACCTGAGCTCTGCCTCCTGTCAGATCAGCAGCAGTATTAGATTCTCACAGGAGTGCAAACCCAATTGTGAACTGCACATGCAAGGGATCTAGGGTGTGTGTTCCTTATGAGAATCTAATGCCTGATGATCTGTCGCTGTCTCCCATCATCCCCAGATGATGGAAAACAAGCTCAGGGTTCCCCCTGATTCTACGTTATGATAAGTTGTATACATATTTCATTATATATTACAATGGAATAATAATAGAAATAAAGTGCACAATAAATTTAATGCACTTGAATCATCCCAAAACCATCCACCTCATCCTGATCTGTGGAAAAATTGTCTTCCATGAAACCAGTCCCCGGTGCCAAAAAGGTTGGGGGTCTCCTGCTCTATGAGAAAGGTTCTATTACTCCCAATTTTGCAGATGGAAAAATGTAACACAGAGTGAATTAACTACAGTTAAGTAACTAGCAAGTGGCAGTGTTGGGAATCAAGTCTTCTAACTTAAAAGGACAATGTCTTTTGCACTTTATATGTCCTTTAATGCTTTATATGTCCTAAATGCTCTTACATACATTCTATCCTTACTGCAAAAATAAAAAAATGAGCGATTACTGAAAAGAGTTAGTTTATTTATAGTATACAATCACTTTCTAAAAAAGAATTTAAGGCAATTAGCTTTAGATATAATTTTTCTCTTCCAGAAAAAAACAGGAGGAGGAGGAGGGAAAGGAGGAGAAAAAAATGAACACCTACATTATAACAATTACTTGCCAACATTAGGCGAAAAAAAGTAGGGAACCCAAGGCTTGGCTCTAGTGTCTTTCTAGGAATTATTAGGTAAGAAAAACATCCTGAATCGTCTGGAACATGAAATAAATCTATACTAAGTCTAGGTACTCAAAACTAAGAAGATTACAAAAATATAAATTGCAGGCACCTAGTAAGTCCACAGTCTGTTAGTACTACAGAGCCTGGTCCAGGAGCCATTGTCCATAGGATAGGATGGGGATGGAGCATGAGTTTTAAGTAGAAACAATAAAACTGATGAAGGCTAACTGAGCTGTTATCTATACCATAAACACTGGGGTGGTCATATTAGATTTTTACAGCCAACAGCAGTTCTTACTGGTTGATGCCCCTACTGTCTGGGTTGCTAAATATTTTGGAAATCATCCCTGAAGCTAACATTTTTTTAAGTGCTTAATATACACTGGACACTATGCTGAAAGCTTCCACAGATTAATCCATATAGTCCTCCAACATCCCTATGAAGTAGAAACACTTATTATCCTCGTTCTATGGATGAAAAAAGCCACAAATGATAAATAACATTCACCAAGTCACACAGCAAAGTAAGCAGTCAAGCTGGACGCACACCAAGGCCTTCTAGCTCCTTAGTCTCTCCCTCAGTCACTGCACTCTACTGCCTAACAACAACCAATGGTTTAGCATTGGCTAAACAGACCATATAATATTTTTAGATAAATCTAAACTTATGTGTAGATTTATATTTATCTGAAATACTAAAATCACTATCTTTCTTCTTAACAATTGTTTTTGCCCCTTAGTCATCCCAAGCAAACTCCTTGAAGGTATAAAGTTTGTATTTTCTACCTTAGTATCTCCAGGACAGAGTCTAACATCACAGGCGTCTGATAAATGTTCATGGAGTGAGTGAAAAAATAAAAGAATGACATAACTGGATGTTTACTTTTACATCTCACCTGAAAAATGGCACTTTCCATAGATATAAAGCCCCTTGGCTCTGAGTGTAGGCTTAGACAAATTATGTATTAATTATTAAGTGTAGCCAGCTAAAAAATCACCAGAGCAGAAGTTACAATAGTAAAACTAACAAAAATACAAACAAGCACCATATTAAATAAGAGTATATAAAATAAACCTTAATTAGCTTCTTTTCTCCACCATAAAGCAGGAGAGAAATTAAGCCATGGAATGAAAGTTTTAATTTACTTAAGTAAATGAACAATTTAATGTTATGATCTTCCTGATCTTATAAAAATATTACAGGTTTTTTTTTTTTTGCAAAGCACAAGGCCTACCAAGTTGAGAAATGCATGTTTATTACTCCTAAACATAGGTATGTATGATTTGGTCATGTTTATTAAAGGAAAATCACAATTGTATGGTTGGCCTTTATGTTTCAAATATTAACATTTTTATTAATCACAATACATTTTATCTTAACTGAGTGTGTTCCTCTTTAAATGGCAATCTCATAACATATTTAAACTGTATAAGGATCACTAAATAGAAAATTTAAAAGGAACCTCCAGAATATTTTTCTCAAAATAAAAACAGTTCAATCTTTTTCCTCTCATCTGCCTTACTCATATACCTTTTCATATACAGAGTTTTAAATAGCTATATTAAAACTTAGGATAAAATTCTCCTCTCCTTAAAAGGGGTGATCTTAAACTAACAGAAAAGAGCCTTTTCTTGCTTCCTTCCCTCTTCTCATTCTCAGAATAATGTCTGCCTACCAAAGACTAGAATGAGACTTTCGTTTTAATTTTAACTGAAGCACATGTCATAGTTGTATTACTACACTACATCAACAGGAAACAAAATTACTCATCCATTCCACTGAGATAGCTAATACTAGAAGACTCAACACATTTTCTCCCTTCTTAAAGGACCTATGTGATAGGATTAGGTTTTGCAAATTCCAAAATACATTTACGGGGTGGGATCTAAAAATGGAATTCCTTTGCCATTCACTTTAGTTTTAAACAGCTTGTTTATCTTCTTCCTGCTAGCACAAAATGCAGTACAGAAATGGAAACCAGATTTCTTTATGTAGTGAATTTCATGTGGTTTCCACATTTCTCCTGGTAGTAGATTCCCAGCAAACACACATCTAAATAAACTACTCCGTGAGTGAATTTTAAGTCAGATGGCATCTGTAGCATTTTGTGGCACTTCTAAACACACTCTCAAATGCTCCAAAAATGGCCTACACATTGTGGCATTCTTCAACTCAGTTTTAAAATCTTTATACAGGTAAATAAAGATTATATAATGTAAACTAGGAAGGTGATTTTTTAGTGGCCTTGATTCTTACTCAGAAGGAATCCTCTTTCTTTGACTCCTTCCATTCAAGAAAATCTCAGATTAATTAATATGTGTTTATTCACCTGATTCCATTTGGGAAACCATTGTAGAGCATACCTAGAAACTACAGGCATGGCCCTGGACCTCAAGATGCTTCTAATCAAGTTAGAAAGATAAGATATAAATGTCAGAATAAGTGAAACGACAGTTTAAGAAGAATCAGCAGGTCACAAGCAACGAATGAATGAACGAATGAATGGAACAGACGATAAGGTCTATATATGTTATTTGGAAATATTTGGTATGCAATATTCTTTGGAACCTTAGAAAACTGCTTTTAAATAAAAATATGATCAATCTGTAACTCCATCCTTCTTTCTCCACCCTTCTGAAGACACTTAATGTTTAAAAAATTCAAAAGCTACTGGCTCATAGAAAAATTACTTTAAAGGCCACATGGAAGTATCAAAGCAATTAGTTTGGGAGCTATTTGTTTTTAAGAATGCACACCTAGGGTTTAATTCATCTGACTGAAAATTTAAGGAGAAGAAACAAAATCTTATTAAATAACCTAACACATTTTTTTACCAATAACCTCAATTCCAACTTCATGTTCTAAAAAAGAAACAGGACGAATAGGGGCTGGAGAGAAGAGGAATACTCAGAGAAAGTTTCGTGCTGAATGGAGGAAAGATGGAAAGAAAAGATGAAATAGTGGAAAAGAGGAGGAGGAAGAAGGGCAAAAACTAATAAGCCTGTTTTACTGAATGCTTTCTGATCATGTGATTGATGCATATATTGAAGTATGGGAAATTAACACATATCACTGCCTTTTGATAAAATAACTAGTTTAATATTCTCTGCTCCTATTCTCTGTAAATGTTCAGGGACAACATAAAAGTCACCAAGGGTAGAAATGGTATTTGCTACAACACCATAACCACTTTCCCTAAGGCATTGCCATGGCAATCCTCCAAACTGTTGCCGTATGAACTTGTTGCAGAATGTTTTCAAAAGCATCCCAATTTATTTTATCCATATCATCGAATTAGGCCTCCCAACCACCTCTGAGGTAGGTATCTTTCTTTACACCATTTGACAAATGAGGAAATGGCACAGCTGAACTTGAACCAATCAATTCTAATGCTCCTTCTCTGATATCTCAGTTGAATCCAAAAAAGCAAAGGTTTCATTTAACTTCAAAGAAGTAGAATTTGTTAAAGAAAGATGAAATTTTGAAAGTAAATATAACTAATTAAATCTGTACAAACACTAAATCACCAAACAGTTTCTGCTCTGGGCGCCGAAACACTTGGCTTTAGTGTTTTCACTGTGAATGTTAATTCAAAGCTTTTATTTCACAATCACATTGTACATTGGTAAGCAAGTTATCTTACACAGTTATGTAAATTATCTTACATGGTTAAAAACCGTTTTTAACATGGCCCTTCTAAACAGTTTCTGTCCGCATGCACATACACAAAAAACTCACTAAAATTCCTCTATAATGAATGTGAAGGAGACACATACCGTGGGAATGGTAGCTTTAAGTGGGGAATTTGATATACTCAGAAATCCTCCCATATACATACACAGGACAAATGCACTGAAAATGATATAGTATGGGAATGCAACAGAAGTGGCATTCATCTAAATTTGTCTGAATCTACAACATGCAATCTAAAACAAAATCAAATTAAATAATAATAAAATAGTTACAGTTGACATTACCTCAAATCAGATCCAACCTAACCCGTATAAGAATCACAGGGTGAGCAATACTAATTATTTTATGATCTGAAGACAAAGATAGAACTAAAATTAAGGTTGATTTACGAAGTACATAGGGCAAAATTTACTGGAAAATCAACTCCCACTAGCTTTCTTGTTCTTTGTTAAAGATTAAAAAGAATGAGGGACTCAACTTTCCAAAAATTAACCAATTGAATTGTAGTACTAAAAACTTCTGGGTCTGGGATCACTGAAAAAAAAAAAAAAAGGAAGGGAAGTCCATTATCTTCAAACTGGCTTTACCACTAGCAGAAGGCAATTACTTCTGGCAAATTCAAAAGAATCCTTTTAGCCAGCACGGTGGCTTATGCCTGTAATCCCAACACATTGGGAGGCCAAGGTGGGAAGATCCCATGAGTCCAGGAGTTTGAGACCAGCCTGGGTAACACAGGGAGTCTCTTCTCTACAAAAAAATAAAAAAATTAAGATTAGCCAGGCATGGTGGTGCACACCTGTGGTCCCAGCTACTTGGGAGGCTGAGAGGTAGGAGTATCACTTGAGCCCAGGAGGTCGAGGCTGCAGTGCGCCATTACTGCACCACTGCACTCCAGCCTGAGTGGAAGAGTGTTTCAAACAAACAAACAAACAAAGACTCCTTTTATACCACTTATCCTCACTGTTTTCCTCTCTTCAGAAAACTTAAAAACAAACAAACAACAATTAGTGCACTTCTCAGTACTAACTTCATGAGACCCTGAAAATGCCTATGGATGCAAGTTGAACTCCAAGCACCTGCCCTAGTAGTTGACACACACACTGGCCAGGAAGCACCTGAGACCACCCCACATATTCTCAATGAAGTACAAATCCTTTAAAGAAAAAATGATTATTTAATAATCTACTAGCTTTTCAGCAAAACAAGACATTATTTCAAAAGCAATCATAATCCATTCTGGCCAATGAAAACAAAGGCTAGTTTTTTCTTGAAGAACCTGAGGAGAGATGGAAACAAAGTAAATTGTACCAGAGGAAAACATTTTGTTATAAGACAGAAGATTGGGAGTAAAGTGAGTGTTCCCCAAACAAAAATGAACCAATAGTACACAAAATGTGTGTGTAGTTTTAAAATGCATTCAGTGACAGCTCCACTCGAATAGAAACCAATAACTTGTTGCATTTGCAAAATTACAAAGGTATTTCTTACCCAGTATTTCCATGTTAACCTTTAACTATTGCTATGAAGCTCTGACAGGCAAAAGTTAAAACAATTAAAAAGACTGAAACGTCTATACACTAAAACTAACGTTTAAGATTACAAAAAAACACTGCACATGCGCTAGGCTTAAAATAATATTACCTTAAAAAGAGAAAAGAATTTATTTTGGTGTTAATAATTCTCACATAGAGATGATCTAGTTTAAATATATATACAAATACATACACACTTATATACATATTTACATATACTATATACACATATATATGCTCACATACATTTGTACACACAATTGCATATATATCTAGATCTATTTATCAGTCTACCTATCCATATATCTGTAATAAAACCAGATAAACTCAAGGGTGAGAAAGGTTATGATGGCTTTTCAAAAAGATTCTCCAAATGGTTATCTTAAGAAGTCAGCTTCCATTACAGTGTTTTTAAAACAATCCTGGGTGGCTGGTGTGTCCCGCAGCAGCCCTACCTGCATAAAGCTTAGCTCTGGGCCAGGCCCTGTTCTAAGCTCTTTTCAGAAAACCCTGTTTTAGAGATGAGAAAACCAGAGGTCAGAAAAGTTAAATAATTTGCCAAGGAAGCATCATAACAAGCTGTGAAGCCAGGATTCAAACCCATGCCAGCTGGCTCCAGAATACCCACACGACACTACCTCCTTGAGCTTCTGCTTCCTCATCTGTAACCATGGAGAGATCCTACCTTTCAGGATTGCTGGATTAAATTATATCACATGTGAAAGACACTAGCATGGACCCTGACATAAAATCAGTGCTCAAAACAAAATACTAACTAACTAAACAAAACAAACCTCTAAATTCAGAAAACAGTATATGTTATTGTCTCTATAGCTTTTGTAGTCTCCTCCTGAGTGGCAGTGAAATGGCACTGAATCTGATTCTGTGTGGCAAATGGAAATCATTTTTAGTTGATTAATACTAAAATAAGTGTTTATAAAGATATGTGATTAATACTCATTTGCAACCTGTAAATAACCTTTCAACATGAACCAATTTATATGCCAAGTACTTTTTTTGGTATGTAAAAGTAAAGCCAATTTCCATGATGGCATGAATAGAAGTATTCTAATATGGTCTCATATGTCCTTAGAAACTAGAGTAAATTCTCTGGAAACTGAACAGAATTGAGAAGGCTAGTTAAAGTATCTATAATGGACACAGCTAAACAGACTTATGTTGGATCAAACCCTTTTAGAAATTCATGTAATTTGGGTTTCCCCTTTTGTATATACTAGAAGATTAAAATCCTAAAATAAAGGCAATGTGCTATGTATTACGCAAGTATGCCTATCATTACTTAAAGACTTAGAGCTTCTAAAATGACCTACTGCATAATTGCAGGTATTCTGGGTAAAGCAGAAAGCTTCCCTTCACACACATGCTTCCTTGTAGCCATTATGCTTAACATGTATCCCCATCCACAGAAAGGGTACTTTCTCCACCCCTGCAAAAAAAAAAGTAGTTTCTGTGTCCTTATATTATGCACATACAGGTATTTTTTCCTTAGGATATCATGCATATTCATTTTTGAGTCACACTAAGGAAATAAAATACTGGTGATGCCAAAAGACATCAGGAGTCAATATTCTAAAATTGTCAGTGACCTGAGGACACCATGATTCTCTTGTCCAAGGGAACCAGCCCTCATTTTAAAGTCTGATTGTAACATGGAATTCAACGGGAGCTCATAGCACATAGCATTCAGATGATGCTTGTCAGCTTTTGAGGGTGTAAGCAGGCAGCAGACTACACTGCTAGTATGCTCTCACTTAAAATCTGCCTGAAAAGGCCAGCAACAATTTTCTAATCCCTTTAACTTGCCTTCCCCTAAAGATTTCAAGACAGTGCTTCCAATTTTATTGGAGTCATAAATCATATATTTACTTTCTTGCGACTGGTATCCAATAGAGCTAGAGTTTTTAAGGTTTGTCTGCTGGATGTATTATGCTACTGAAATATAAAAATGGCTGCTGTGCACGCCAGTGGTTAGTAAAATTCAAAGACGTAACATTATCTTTCTCAATTGATTTGAGGAAAGAATGTTCATAAAATATATACTGCTTTTGGTTAGGAGCTTATTTCTAAATAAACAGACTCAGCAATGGAAATTTTAGAGACGGGCAAAAACAAAACATGCGTCCGTAAATGTACGTTTTAAAATCAATTCTCTCACAATCTTTGTCTTTTGCAAACTTTCTGAAGACTGTAAAATCAGTTGCATTAAGTTTATGATTTATAGCTTTCTGATTTAACTTCTTTTTCAGTTGTTGAAGGAAAATCTCTTACTCCTCTGAAATATTTCTCCTTTATTTTACAGGCTGATGTTGCATCTCTGCCTAAGAAGGCACTTCACTGCAGTGATTTGAGGGAAGCCATTTGTTTGTGATTCAGGAAAGGGAAGAAAAGTGGAATGCTCTGCTACAACATATCTATTCCTTTGAGCCCTAACAAAATAGGAAATGCAGGAGATTAGGGGACTGCATTGCCTCCAATTAAAAAAAAAAGTGCTAATCTACACAACATAAAGCCAAACTAAGTGGGGCTATCTTCTCTAATTTGCAATGAACTAAGGTCAGCTAGATTTTTATCTTAGATACAAACTGGGAAGGAGAAAACAACAAGAAAGGAAACACTACAACTTGGTTAGATCCTGCTTTTCACACAAGATTATATCACTGGTAGCTGCACAGGATGCTTCCAGAACATTAGAAGGCCAAAAATAAGCAAGGAAATATGGTTGGTTCAATGTTTACATTTATTTCAAAAAGAATAGTTCAATCTGGTGCGTAGCTGCAGACACATATATAAATATTAAAAGCACACTATGTTTTTTATTTATGATTTTTTTAAGAGAGCTGTAATTCTTAAGTTATTATCATGACGAATATTTGACCAGAAACCACATGCATACCATATAGCTCTTTACTCATTCTTTTAACAGTTTACTAAATGGACTACCATCAGCCAGTCAAAAAAAAAAAAAATACAAATATATTGTTCCTGCCTTCAATTAGCTTATATTTTATCTAGGAAAAAAAAGTTTAAATACATAAAATAACAGTACAGGTAACGTCTTAGTACAAAACTGTGAAAGCGCAGCAGATAATTAATTGGCATTTTAACAACAGGAAATATAAGCACTATAAGAATTCGGTAGGGGAACAAGTTGTTTCTGTAGGTTGACAATATCCTTCTGAGCACAGAAAAAAACTGAGTTTTTCCATTTGTGGACTCTGATGAAATAATGTTTAAGCTCTCTGAGCTTTAATTTTATCATCAATAAAATGGGGATGATAATAATAGCTACACTATAGGATTATTATAAGAAACAAATACGTTGTACATGAATGGATTTTGTAATCTGTAAAGAAGCTGTAAAATGACCATTGAGAAAGTAGTCAAAGGAATCATGCCAAACAGTTACCATTAGTTTGGGAAGACAGAAAGGGTTAAGAAGTTGGAAGGGATAATGATGATTAAGAAGTTGGAATGGATAATGATGATTAATTTTTTTCTTGACATACCTCTCTATTGTTTGAACTTGTGCACTAATCTTGTAACAAAAAAAACTTAAGGCTATAAAATATTAGCTGAAGTACGCATATCTGGATATCACAAAATAATTGTAAACACTAGTAACCCTGCCCCTTTAGAGGTACACAGAAAGAAGCCTCAGTCCTGGTTTCAATTTGAGAATTTCCAAAGTCATAAAAATGTGCCAAGATTGGGAACAATAACTAACTGAAACAGCGTTTCCTTTTAATAACCCTTTATAATAGAGCAAATTTTGTAGTCACCCAAAACCATCTATTGATTCAATAATCACTTTGGTCAACAACTTTTGAAATAAGCAAATTAAATAACTTTAGTTCCTCAAAGTCAAGGATTTGTCATGTCCAACCTTGCTTTCTAGGGCCCAATACATTTTGGGTATTCAAGTGATAACTTTACAGACGTAAGAAAAGTTATTAAGGCATTTCCAAATCAATGCCAAGGACTTTTCAGAGCAGAATGACCAACTTTTTAAACTGCACTTGGTAACAGATGTGTATTCCTAACTTTTTATGTAAGTGTGAGCTTTTTGAGGGCAGGAGTCAGGTCTTAATCTTTGTATGCCCAGTTGCTGGTATTGTGACTAGCAGGTGAGTAGGCAAGAATAAATATTCGTTGAACTATTTGGAGGCAAGAGCACCCACAAACACTTCAGTTAACTGGAAACTCAAGGAGATGGACATATATTCTAAGGGGAACTCAATTTCTATAGCTGTCTCTGGAGAAAATTCCTTAAAATGTTTCACGAGTCATAATGATTAGTATAAAGTTAAGTCACTTGATGGAAATATTGTAAGATTCTATTTGGTGTAGGTAGTAGAACCATTTGAGGGCATATAGATGTACAGACTAAGGTGAAATCATGGTGCAGTCTGATCAAAACCACCTTTTGTTTGCCTTGACAAAAATTTCCAAGGCATGTCTTATGGACATAAATGAAAGTGGGCAGAAAAAAAGGCTTTCACTTTCTGTGGCAGAAGCAGGTCTACACCTGGAATACTGGCTGACTACTGGTTCAGTGGTTTATGGCTCCTCTATGAGGACTTCATGTGAGTAAACACACAGATACTTTGAAAAGAATGGAGTTGGTATCCACATATAATACAAGTATTAGATTGTATTTAGTCACACTTAGATCATTTCCAGTAATATGCAAGCAGTGACAGGGAAAAAAGGGAGGTGAGTCTTATGGGCTTGTGCAAGCACTATTGAATAGGTCCTAAAGACACAAATATGGAAGCAAAAGTACAGAGATATAAAGTCATTCCTCTGACTCCTATTGATGATATAAATATTTCTATGAATGGTGTACCCAGTGCTAACCTCTGTTCCATCCTAAGATGCCAGATAATTCATGTTTATCTTATTTAATCTTCCTCACAAGATAACAAGGGCTTGTCATAACTTTTGAACTCTTCAGTAGTGTGCTATTTAATGATTCAAAAGAGGCCATTTTATGAAAAGCAAATGCTTTAGGACAGTACTCACTTGAAGCTTTTTGAAATATACAATGCAGCGTATAAAAAAGAGATATATTTTTCTACTTCTAAAAAGTATTTCAGAAGGCCAGTGGAAATGAATTGCTTTGGCTGTACTTTCTTTAAAGAAGGCTAAGTTTCTTAGTCTGGTTGGTCAAATTAAATTTGGAAGCTACCTAGAAATTTTCTCACATTTTGATCTTCAGAAGGGCAATTAATCAAGCTCTTGTTTGAGGCGACTCTAGCTTTGATCAGAATCCTATGGAGGGAAAGTGAGAGAACTACATATTCAGAATATTCAAGAGTATATATAATTGAAAACAGCCACAACAGGGAAAGAAAAGTAGATGCCAGTGGGCTGATATCTTATAACCTTTGGTCAAGCGGTACTTGGCAAATTTCAACAGATTTAGTTAACCAGAGATAAAACTAAGCCACAGAATACCATGAAAACAAAACAAAAGTATCAAAACAGAATCAGGAATTACAAGTGAAAAACAATGCTATACCTAACAGCATGGATCTACCAGAGGCGATTTGTTAGAAGACCTGAGTCGTTGTTTCGTAGTGGATGCTTCAAACAAAAACTGTAACGTTTCTTTAGGTCAAACTATAGCACAGCATTCAGAGACCCAGCCAAAATAGCTGAGGGAAACTAGGAAGGCCACATGTGGAACTAATTACTCATGTAGAGGCCATGACAAAGAACATTTCTCCAGACTTTTCATGGGGGCTTCACTTTCAGGAAGTTGCTATAATTACTGTTCAAGTCTAGAGCAGCCTGCAAGCTGCTGACAGATTCAACAGACAGGAGAAGGAGGGAGAGAGAGAAGGAGAGAAAGAGAGAGAGAGCGGGAGGGAAGGAGGGAGGGAGGGAGAGAGAGGGAGGGAGAGGGGAAGAGGGGGAGAGAGAGAGAGAGAGAGAGACAGACAGACAGACAGACAGACAGAAACTTATCTGCCCTTTTTGACGAGTGAAATACCAGAAAATAAAGTGCCACAGGAAAGCTCAAAAAGGTTTCCAAATGAGCTCTGCCTTCCAGTGTTCAACTTTCTGTTTACTATTTCATCTACCCTCTATCTTCAAATTACTTCTCTAGCCTGGGTCAGACAGTAAATTTGTACTTCTACACTAACTCACTTTCAGTTGGCCACAGCCGAACTGTACATCTTGACTCTTTTTTTTTTACAGCTTTTCCATACTGGGGCCCACTTCCTGCCCAGTTGAGGAAAAAAATCTGGCCTGAAGATGAAATGACTGCTTAACGTTACACTAAAACATCTGGTACCATTTTATGCACAGACCCATGTCTGAGAGCAGGCGATTCTAGCGGTCTCTCCAGCGGCACAGCGCATACCCAAACCTCCCCAGGGTGACATCATCCCATATATGGACTCTCCAGCCCAGCCCTCCCCCTTTTCCTGGTCCTAAATTCATTGCCAGTTCCCCAGTCTGCAGCAAATGTGCCACGTCAAGACTGGAAATCACAGCCCTTGAGTGTGTCTCAGTCAGCGCAGCAGAATTCAGGGGGGAAAGCTGAATGCAACCCCTGGTGCAGGAAGGGAGGCTTTTCCTGAGGACCGGGAGAGGATTTTAAGTACATAGAAGGAAGCTTCTGGAGATCCTGCTCCGTCGCCCCAGTGTTCAGACTACCTGTTCAGGACAATGCCGTTGTACAGTAGTCTGCACATTGGTTAGACTGGGCAAGGGAGAGCAACGCCATGGACCGCTGGGGACAAAATGGGCTGTTTCCAAGGAGAAGACATTTGTTTGCTCCTTTTTTGAATCTCATATCCAGTGTTTTTCTTCACAGGTTTTGCACACTAGGGACCAAGAAGCCCTCGGGGACACTGCTGAGAAAAGACTGCCGAAGGGAAGACCAGCGGGTAAGGCCTTCTTGACTGCTCACCTGGTCTGTGACCAAGGGAACCTAGGTGGGGAGCCCATGATTTGTGTTAACATGCAAGGGAAACAGAGGTACATGTGTGATGGGTAGAGATGTATTTAATTTTAAAAGAGCAAAAGTGTGTGGTATATAGCGATTTACTGTTTTTTTTTTTTTTATTTCTGAAGATTGATAATTCAAGTGTTTTCTTAAAGGTTTTCCCACTTCAAAATGAAATATGAAAAAACTCATTCCAGACACTTAAGAATAGTTTAATGAGGCTACTTTTGAATTGTTTAATAATAATTCAAAGATTTAAAAACTTATATGGATGAAGGCTGTATGTATAACTTTTAACATCCCAGGACTGAAGTCATTTTTCCCCAAAGTAAAGAATACTTGCTGGTTTTTAAATGCTATATGGATAGTGCTTTTCTGAAGATTTCCTTCTGTAATATAAACAACAGGAATAATAGTACCTAACAATAAAAGAAGAACCTGCCAAGTCTTGCCTACCAGACAATGCAGATGGGATTTGCCCAGAGAAGAGCACCGACCCACAACTTATTGAGTCAGCAACTGAGTAAATCAGGGAATAAAAACCTCTATCTTTAGATACCCCTGTAAATATCTGTTTTACATTTTTTTTAAATCAAAGAGTGGTTAATAATTGCTGCTCAGCTGAGCCCTCTTGCCTATAGCTTACAATGCTTCCACTTCTCTGAGCATTTAAAATAAGGCACTTTGTCTAGAAACCCACTGATAAAAAAGGAATTTGTAAACGAAGGCAGAAGTTTTCTTTGGTCAGTTTCCAGCTGTCCTGGAGGTGAAAGAGGGTGGGAGAGGGGGAGGAAGGTGGGAGGGAAGAAAACCCTCAAGCTGAATGAAATCCTAATAGAGAAAATAATAGAGCAAGTCTGGATTGCAATGTGATCTGTGCTGAACTTTAGAGGTCGGCCCCTTAAAGAAAGTTCTGGAAAAATGTTATTGCCTCATCCCTAATTTTCTTAACCCCCATTAATTTCTATTCCGAAACAATTCTATATAATGAAAACATCTCTTCTACAGGGTTTGTGAAAAATAAACATAATCTCTTTTGTCCTCCTTTAAAGTTACAGTGGTTCCTGAACAAATTCTTTTCTAAGTTATACATTTTGCAACAATTCAAAAATTGACTCAAGTTCTCTTTAGCAAAATATTTTATTATAAAAGATTCCCTAAGTTTTCTTTTGTCAAAACAACTTACTTTAAAAATTACCCTTCTGATCACCCCAAAATGTGTATAAAGAAAACATTAAGTATTCTCATATATTCATGATTATTAGTTAAAATATAAACAGCAAGGAGAAATTTAGCTACTTTCACTTAGATGATATAGTAAAGTTATCCTTTCATTTTCTATTGTGACTTGGAGAGTTCCATATTAATTATTTTTAGTAGAACAAATGAGATGTTAAAAATCTATATAGTTTCTTTTACATAAGAAAACTAAAAAAAGTAACTTAGAGGAGCTCATTTTTTCAAGAAATATATTTTTTCTAATTGATACAATTACTGAAGAGGAAAAATAGCTAACAAGGTACTTTGGTAATGTTTTTCTCAAATTTTCTGGGTTTTTTTTTTTTTTTTACTCTAGAAATGATTACATTTCAAAATTTGCTTTCATTTAATGTATATTTAATTTCAATTTCTTTCTTCATGTTAAACGGTCTTTTTGTTTCAAAGAAATGAATCCCTATGGGTCCCTCACCTATTTTCTCCCTCAGGATGACTTTTAGTCTGGAGATAGAAGGGACATAAGGGTGCCTCTGGCATAAGTACAGGAGTAGAAATATAAGAATTACTTTGTAAAAGGATAACCAAGGAGTTCCTGCACATGCTTGATGTGGCTCTAGCGACTTATTTTCGAGGCAAAGTTTTAACAAATGAAAACGAATAGTACTTATTTTTCAATTATATGGGCTAAATTAAAGATCAAAGGTAAAAGCTCATTTTATAAAGCTCTGCTGAATGAAGGCAGGATTGTAGTTTATGCGCTGGTACACACGCCCACATTTATATACATTATAGCCATATCTATATCCAGGTAAATTAGAAAAATGTTTAATTTTATTTTCATATTACTTTATAAGGAGATATACAAATATTTTAGGGATCATGGAATCTATTCCAGAGGAAACTAACCAACAGTGAGCATCTTCAACTAAAACTACCCCTGGATGTAATAAGTGTAAGTATTAAAATTAAACATTATATGTGGTCATGAAGAGAAAATTGTTTCAGGGTCTGTCCAAACTACACTTCATAGAAATTTCATAATTATTTTTCATTTTAGCATGTGAATGATTGATAAATTGGACTAGGTACTGGGTTAAAAGGACTTTTCCACCATCTAAGAGAAAGGAAGTTCAGAGCCTTAGCTTCAACACCACAATTTCTTAACTGGAAAAGGATCAATCTAAAACGGTGGACTTAAATTTTCAAACTCATTTTTCTTTTAGGCCACAGATCTCAAAATCAAAGAAAGACTGTTTACTATAGGACAAAGTTTCACACTGATCACTTTCCTGTAGTTAGTCAATAGGCTTAATATCCTTCCTGCTTGGCATTCGGGCTTTCGGCCCAGATAATATGTTTATGTTTGTAAAAGACCAAAATATACTATCTACCCCCACCTCTCGCCTACAGACCACCCATGTATTTCACTCTGTGGGAAACAGTTTAGGCATAAAAATCCTAACGAAAGAATTCTCCCCACTTTTTTGGTTGAAGTCTTAAGCTGTTATAAGATATAAAAAGTACAACTTGGTAATGTGAAAAAATTCACTCATCCACAAGCATCCATGCTCGGTAAAGAGACGCCAAAGCTTTCACTTACTCTGTAAGGGATCTGCTCTTTATAAACAATGCACTTTACTCTGCTCTAAGGAGAATAGCCCACCCATCACAATAACGTCAAAATAATAACTAAGAGACCATCACTCAGAAATCCTGGCTTAAAATAACTAGAAGGTCAGGCTTTAACCTGAGACAGGAAATTCCTGAGTTAAGATAGAAACTTTCTTACTTCAAATCCCTTCTTACTTTCATGTTCTGTAAATTAAGTAGAAATAAATATTTACTCATTTTCAAAGGTCTCTTACAAATAATTTTTATCAGTTTTAATAGTTAGAGATAACGAAGTAAATTAGGAAAAATAATTAAATCTTCATTTTGAATTTTTTGACTTAGCGTGACAGCCAGTTTCCTGGAGTTGCTTTGGTTTAATTTCACTACAGAAGACTTAGAAGACAATTCTTTTCTTACATTTTTTTCCTTAAGAAATAAAAGACAAAAAGAAAACAAGGTGTAATAACCACACTAAAAATTACATGGTATGATAATAATACAAATAGCTCTTTTATGTTTTAGCTAGTATTTTAAGTAATAATAAACTAATATTCAACCTATAATTTGGGAGATTAAAAAAAGGTCAATATGGTTTTCAGTCTTTCATCTTTTTAACAAGTTTAGGGGCAGGTTCAACATAACAATGAAGTGTGCATATGTCACATAGTTACTGTAAGTGTGTTTTAAAAATCTATCAGAAACATAAATTGTCCAAAAGCCTTATGAATAGAACAATTGTTTTCAGCAAGATTTTTTTTTTCCCCTGAAAAACTGTTGTGGTTTTTCTGGCTCAAAAAATTTTTATATCTTGCCTTAATAAAACTGTTTTATATTAAAGCATAACATACAAACTCACAAATATTTCTTTTTATTTTTTCAGGTTGCATGCATCATTCCTTTAATTGAGCAGAGTTAACTGGATCAAATTATTTATGGGAGAGAGAGGAAAAGTTATAAAGAATTATAGTAATTTTTAATTTCCACCAATATACTCTTTGTAAGTGAATCACTCTATAATTACTTTCTGTTGCACTGAATGCAGCAACAATAACACAATAGTATTTTAAGGCACTGGTTTTTGGCATACTCTAACCTTGTAATTATTTAAATAACAGCCAAGTTTACTCATGTTTTTGATTCTGTCAAGAAAAAAAAAAAGTTCCTTTACTCGAAAGTGATGGCCGAAACAGAATCGGAAATTTGTTTTCTTGAAATTACATAAATACACAGAAAATGGCACTTATTAGCTTTTGTTAAAACATTACCTTACCTAATCACTGCATAAAAGTCCAGATTTGTAGAAAATTGTAATTTTCTCAGTATCTAAAACTATTTTGCTTTCCATTAAGTTTCTATTTGCTATTTTCTCAGAATTTTACAATTAAAGATAAATCACAAACTGTTTGTTTTTCTTAAAGTTCTTTGAGAAAATGTCTAATTATACAATCCTTGGACAATACTGTGTTTTTTTGGTGCTGTGTTTTTTAAGAAGTCCTACTTACTGGAATTTTGACTATTTGGATATTTTTGTTTTTAAAAGGGGAGGGGAATTTGCTTAATACTTCTAAAGATGTGAATTGATAATTGATATTAAAATAGAATTACTCTCAACTCACCAGAATTAAATTTTATATCTGCATATTTAACACTATTAGCTCATATAAATTATAAGAAAAATTTTCAAAGGATCTGGTTTTAATTTTTTGGATATGAAATGAATTTGCCTTTTCTGCCTTTTCTTAAGTACTATTTTGTAACTATATTGCACTAACTATATCCAAAACACATTCTGAGCATCACTGTGAGTAACAGCCTTCCAGTTTGTACCCTTTTGATTCACAGCATGGCCCTATAGTTAATTAAGAGGTGGATAACTTAAGCTCACAACTGCCTTTAATTTGATTTCACATCCACAGTTATAAACTTTGCATTTAAAAGGAAAATGAGACATTTAAATAGGTTCCTGTTGTTTCACATATAATTGGTAAAAACATATTCCCTTGTAGGATCCTATTATCAGAGCATCAAATACCAAAGTCAGCAACTTGGGTTGCCAAATAAATTAGGCTCATTAATTATTTTGAAAAGGGCTGCTGTTTCCATGTAAATGATAATTTTCTTTTTCATGGACAAGGTTATGGTACTTATCTACTAAAAGAAACATGCATAAACATAGTTTTTATCTTTAACTTCAGTATTAAAATATGCAGTTTTTTGCAAAGAGGAAAAACATCTGGTTCAATTACGCTGAACTCTGACTACATGTGGGCCAGTAATAATATGAATTGGACTTAAGAATAAACCTTGTGTTTAATCTCTTTTTTTCCTTAAAATTTTAATGTGAGTTTTCTGTTACGCAAATTATCCATGTTAGCACATTTGGAACAAATGTATAAATGTACTTTCTGAATAAAGTCAAAAGTCTAACTTGTTTTTAGTTCCATAATGTTTTAATGTTTAATTATATTGTGTATTTTTCTCCCTTTCCCCTTACTCTCCAAAATCACCAAATCTGGAAAACAGGCTGATTGTATCTGTCTATGAGCAAAGGAAACCTGAAGGAACCAAGGGCCTGGCTGGACAGAGTTGTCATGTGTCTGCCTGTCTACACTTGCTGTGCAGAACATCCGCTCACCTGTACAGCAGGCACAGACAGGCAGTCACATGACAACCCAGCCTGAATGACAACCAGCCATTGAAAGAAAGCAGCCCTCACACCATAGCATCTACACCAAGAGCTACAACCAAAATGAGGGGCTCGGGGGCCTGGGGTTTTAATCTGTTGGTTTAATACTTAACTCATGTATTATTTTATTTTGATTCAAGTATTAAAACCCACCAAAAGTAAAGTGAGTGGTGCCTATGAAATATAATAAAACCCATTTCTGAAAATGTTCCTGTGCATTCTATAGTTCTCTTTTCCTAATTGTTGTCAGCAAATCACTACCCTTGACCTTTATTGTACACAGCTTTGCAGCACCCTATATTGATATAAAAACTCAATATAACAAAACAATATAACTTCAGTCTGATGCTTAACAAAGAATAAATTATTCTAAGAATTCTTGTCCATAAACTAAGTATGGTTTTCTATGTCATGATTTTTTTTTTTTTTTTTTTTTTTTGGAAGGGGATAGGGTGGAAAGACAGAGAAAAGAAAAGGGAGAAAAAGAGTATTCCAAAGGATCAAGTGCTTTGAGTTAACTCTGCCAGTCTGGGTTAACTCTGCCAGTCTGGGTCTGGGCAAAACACAGTGAAAAGACTACTATTTCCAACTAGTGTTCAACTATATTAAAATAATAGTTTCTCCTCTTTTGACATATGGAAAGTTGAAATTTTTGATACTTCCACGCGTCATGGTATACATAAATTTATGACTGCGTCATTCTTTAATTAAGAAGGTGCTTATGCTACAGTTCTAGGAGTAGAATTTACAAGGCCAACACATTCACTTGCAACCTATGCTTCCATCACTATAAACTTTCAAGATCTTGAGATGTTCAGGCAATTCATTTATCTTCAGAAGCATAAGGAAAGTGGTTAATGCACTTGAAATGTATATTTTGACACATCTTTTGAGAAAATATCCAAACTTCAGTTTATGCACTGTTAACTGGAGTGAAATGATAAGGGATGGCTTTTGTCTATGAATACTTTAAATACTTAAGGGTAAAAGGTGGGAAGATGGATAAAATTAGAAATGTGTCAACTTTTATTTAGTTCATTAACATGTTTTAGCTTCAGTATTTGAAATTAATTTTCATCTTTCTTAGATTCTGGTCAAGCTTAAAAAATGTAACACAAGGCTACTCAAAACTTTTTTCACATTTAACAATTAAACACTTTATGTATGTATTCTTAACTAAAGCAAACTATTTTTCATTCAGCTATTTTATTTTTAAAATGAAAGTCTCAGTCTTAAAGCTAAGATCCCAGTGAGTTTCAAATTTTCTGACAATGATATTTTAACCAAACCTGACATTATAGTTTCTTTAATTAAAAAACTGAATGATGGGGCAAAACTACAAAGCACAAATATGATTAAAGTTAAATTTCTCTCATTTAAACAATCTTGTCTTATGGCAATATGTCATCTGCTAAAATTCATCTCTGCTTCTGCAAGATACATTGCACGATGCAGATTTTTGCCTTAAATAAAAGTCCCATTACTAGCAAATAAAGTCCTAAACAATACTTACAAAATGTAGAATATAAACAGGAAGACAATATAAAAATTACTCACAGAATATCGACATCGTTCTACCCAATCTTAAATGCCTTGTACCACCTGTTGCAAATGCTGCCTATGAGAGTTCACGTATGGAATTATTCTACTGGACCCTGCAAGGCTCAGGAGAGTGCTTGACAGCTCCCAGAATGAGACAATGACCTAGCCAGAACATTAAGGAGACTACACCCGTCCTTCAGACTCCAAAGGGAAAGCTAGGACGGCAGCAGAGTCATCCTAAGGTGAGGCACTCCAGGATAACATTTTCAATATTTTTCCTTAAAACATAAAGTTAACACCTTTTTTGTTAAACATTTTTTACTCAATTTTCAAAAAAAATGCTTGAAAGAATGTTTTGTATGTATTTTAAAGTCATTAAATGAGGCACATTTAAAAATTTTTCTCTTCTGGGAAAGGGTAATATAAAGGATAATATTGCTCTTCCAGGATAAACTTTTGAGTGGGACAAATAATGCATATAGGGGAGTGGGTTTGAATCTAAACTCATTTTTAATAAATTTGGAATAGGATTGGCCATTATGGTTTATTGAATAATACTCTTTTTTTCAAAATTATAAATCTTTAGATAATACCAGAACATGGAAATATTTGTATGAATAATCCTATATTAAAAAAGAATAACATCAGATAGTTTATGTATGTAAAAAAATATACAACTGTGATCATGCAGAATTTTAAGTAATATAAGTGGATTAGAGTTCAATATTTACTGGGACTTTTGTGAAAATATCTAAGTTTTGGCTAACTAAATAACTTAACGAAGGAGTGTGAACAGTGTTCACAGGGTCGACGCTGACCTTTTCCACCACAGGGAGTGTGCAGATCTGGTAGGAAATATGCACAATCTTAAAAGTATAAGTGAAACTAGAAAGAGAGCTGAATATTTCTATAACTTCTTGATCTCACAACTTTGATCATCCAGGGATATAACTGTCATTTTGTTTCCTATTTCTGAAGTTACATTTGTCATTTGTTATTGTTACAAAATGAAAACAATGCTAAGTAAATATCCCTATAAGGGAATTATATAATCTCCTTATCAAGTTATCCAAACACTTCAACCCACAAAAATGAGGCCTGTAATTTCTTAAGAGTCCAAAGAATGTCCTTATTTCAATGCAGATGTTGGGTTTTCCTCAATAGTATAAGGTTAGCAGATTTCCACTGGAAACGCCTATGTTGCATTATTCTGCTTGCCTAGGAGTAGCTCATTATGATTTAAATCTTTACACACTGGGCTATAGAAATAGAATAAATATTGACTAAGTGCTTTTATTATACATAAATTAACAGTCCTCTTTCTTCAGAGATTTGAATTATCTCTTAAAATTTACATATTTATGTATTTTTAAAACAAATTTCTCATTGGTTTTAAGAAAAATAAGGCTCTTTTCTCCTTGAATCAGGGTCTCCCATTCTCCTAAAATTCACATTTTAGACATAAGTTAAAGAAAAGCCATCATTTTTTTCAAGTCTGATTTTAAAGTATTAATGTAAAATTATCTAGATCAAAAATCCATTTCAAAAAACTTTTGAAATGACAGTTTCTGTTTTATTCTCACATCTTGCTTTTTACTAAATCCCTTTCCAAAAATGTACAACATATATGGGCAATGTATGAAAACAACATTGGGAAATTAATTTTCTGTTTAAATGATTTTCAATCCAGGAAGTCACATATATATAGTCAGAGGATAAAAAACAAACAAACAAACAAAAAACAAAAACAAAAACAAAAAAACACTAACCTTCAATGATGAAAATTAACAAAATTTAAGACAATTTAAGACAATCTACCTTTAGTGGTAATTTTATTCTGTAATTCAATAATTTAATTTTGACACTTGATATGCCAGGACGTGATTAATTATTATGCTGCATTTATTCATTCATTTGCTCAATGACACCTTCATTCAATCAATATTTAGTTAGTGTCTCCTATCAGTGCTATGTCCCCTGGTGGTAGGACAGGGAACAAACAATGTCTCCTGGTCTCAAGAGGCTTACAGTTTGCTGCAACTCTTAGCATGTGTGATGAGTTGTTCATGTCAATTTTCACCTTCCAAAAACATCTCTTAAATCCGTTCATTTTTATCAAATTCCAACAACTCATCCCAGCCCAAGCTACCATTATCTATGCAGACCACAATAGATGTAGAAAGCAATAGCTTTCTAGTAACTCCCCAGTCCAGTTTCGCCCTCTTCCAATCCATTCTCCACAAGGCAACCAAAGGAATCAGTAAAGAATTCAAATCTTATCATGTGACTCTCCAGCTTAAAAAACTTCTCATCATTCTTAATATCAAAATCCTCATCTTTAGAGTGCCTTTCTCTTTTTGCTCCAGTCACACTGGACTTAATTACCCTCCTTAAATTCATCAGGCTCAATCCTGCCTCAGAACATTAACACAAACCTTCTCTGACCATCCAATGTAAAGTACCCCCTACCTGTGTCCTCTATCCCAGACACTCTATGTCAACTCATCACTGGCTTTATTTTCTTCCTAGCCTGTAATCAGCATCTGCTAGGTTTTCCTATTTATTTGTATGTTTGCTTTATTGGGAAAGAGCCTTCATAAGAATAGGTACCATGAATTCCTTGCTAATCATTTTATCCTTAGTGATTAGGACAGTGCCTGGTACATAACAAGTGTTCAGAAAGTAATTGTTGGGAAATGTTCAGATGATTAAGAGCACAGCACTGACACTTAGCACCTGGCTAAGTTACTCACTCTCTTTTGAGCCTCAATTCTTTATCTCTAAAATGGAGAATGTAAATAATGTGCTCAGTGAACTATAAATACTCAATAACTATTAGCCATTATGGTGATGATCCTCCTCATTAAGATCATCATTGAGTTTGAGTTGTGGTTGCAAGTAGCATTCCCCCTAGTCATTATACCTGCTTAAATTCACGAAGGCCAGCTTTCAGTCTCAATGATGATCTTAATGATGAGAACTTCCTGTCTTGTTTCTTGAGAGTTCTGAATGAGTAACAGAAGCTAGTGACTCAATCATAGCTGTGTGTAGCCCATAATTTTGCTACCTTGAACTTAAGTGCTCCGCACCCTCACCACCAGCTACTACCCAGCCACCATCCTCTCTTGCCTGGACCATGGTCAGAGTTTCCAATCTGGTCTCCCTTCTTCCATGCTAGCCATCCCCGCTCCCTTCACGCATCCACCCCATACCACTTATTATGCACAATCCAGCAGCCAGGGCAATCTTTCTAAACCATCAATCCAATCATGTCACAACCTGTTGGAACACTCCAATCATTTTCAGTTATCCTTGTAATAAAATCCAAACCATTGGGTAGGGACTGATAAGGCCCCCATCTACTGGTACCTCTGATTTTATCTCCTTTCTCCCCCACTGTTCCTATGTTACAGCCACAGACTTCCTGTTGGATCCCATCTCCAGGGTTTTTATACTTACTGTTCCCTCTACCTGGAATATTCTTCAGCAAAATCTTCTGCACAGCTCATCATCTCAGTCTCTGCTCAAGTGGTACTTCCTTCCAATCACCCAAATCTAAAGACCCCTCCCCTATCACTTTCTAACTCAATGCCCCATTTTATTTTCTTCAGAGCATTTACTATCTGACATTTATTACTAGTCTATTTGCTTGTTAGCTCCATAGAACAGTAACTTTGTCATTTCCTCTTTTTTAAAATGATCTAAATGGATGAAACTACCCTTTCCTAGAATTTCTTCATCTAAATAATTCCATTTATTTCAAGGGTCATTTCCACTCTCACCTGCCCCCAACTACCCTCCATACCATACCTTGGTTATACACAGCACACAGAGCGGGAGTATTCATGGCACTTGGTTAATATTATAACTGTGCATATTTATTTTCCATTTGTTGTAATCAAGTACTCATAAGGAAGCTACAAGGGCAGTGATTTTGTAAAGAATTATCCTGAGTCTGGAGGAGAGGAGATGAGCCAATAACCAAGAGCTCACCAAGCCTTCAAAGCTTCTTCCTTCCCTACAGAGAGCATCCTATACCTTCCAATGGGCTTATTTTCAGGACTCACAGAGCCAGACTAATGCCACACTCCAACAGCAGTAGCTACTCCAGAGTCTTCAGTGTCTCTGCTGCTAACACCCAGGAACATGTCAATGCTGAGATGCCTGGAATTCATCTTCATAAGTCCTCTGTGGGATGAGGTTGGCTTGGACAACTCCAGGCATCTCTGGGATTCTTGCCTTTATTTGTGGTTGAAAGCATAGGCTCTGGAGCTCAACAGCCTGGGTTCAAATTTCTGCTTTGCCACCAACTAGCTGTGTGACTTTGGTAAGTTGGTTATCCTCGCCAAGACTAAATGTTCTGCAATAAGGAAAATAGTCCTGTAGAAAAGACTTTTTTAAAAAAAGGTTTTGTTTTATTTTTAGTTTTCTCATCAACAATAGGGATAGTAGTAGTTAAGGCTGAATATGGTTAAATGAGTTAATTAATACATATAAAACACTAGCCATCACTGTTATGATTCCTTAGTAAAATATTTTCTGCGGCCTTGTATAACTGAGAAAGGTCCCAAGGTTTACACGTATTTAAATGCACATAAATTATCATCTAAATCCTTGGAGGGAAAATATATCTAATAGAAATACCTTATTACAACTGAACAGCAAAGAAGATCATCTATTTAGTGATTTTTACATCTAGGGAAGTGTCTCTGAGCTCCTCAAACTATGTTAAAACTAGAGCTTCCCACAGAATGACAGAGATAGCTAAGCAGCCAGCACAGGAAAGAAACCACTGCTAACCCTCATACTATCACAGTGACCAAATCTACTTTTGACTATGGTCAATGACATAAAAATTTAAATACATTTCTATAGGATTTCATTTCCCTTATTGCAGAAAGTTTAGTGGCAATCAACCAATTATCCAATATTTTTCAACACACTATTACACACAGATCTCCTGAGAAATGAAAAGTGCTATATAAGACATGAAACTTTTCCTCCAAGGAATGACAAAGGCACCCGGTAATGCTTTCAAAAGATGTCAGGCCAAGATAGGAAAAACTTTTAACTTTGAACACATGCCCTTCGTGGCCACATGAAATTGAGAATCTCACCTGTACATAGTTTTGCTATCACAGAGTATCCTTATCTAATGTTTGCATGCCGCATTATAAGTACCAAAAGATTATCAGGTCAGACCAGGGCTATTAAAAATTTCAAGACATAGTTTAATTTCTATCTGTGCTCCCTCACATTTTAATGGTATCGATTTCTAGCACTTAAATGGTTCTGTAAGACTAATATAAGTTTTTTGTTTGCACTTTTATAGCTATCAAATTTAAATGAGTAGTAAGTCACAGGACCAAAATTATTAACATCTAACATGAACCAGAACACTATAATTACCATAATTCATGCTTTTACATAGATATCAAATTCTCAAAGAACAAAATTTGTATAAACAATGATCTGAGACTCACTTGAAGACTAGCGATGTGGACGTTCTTAAAAGCCTTTCATTTGAGACAGATGTCACAGGAACAATTCCAACATGCTTTATTAACTGTGCATCAATATTATTAATTTCACTCTTAAAATGTTCTATTACCTTGGGTCCTTCAACACTTTCTTTAACGAAAATTGTTTTCACTTTACCAGTACATTGACATGATTATAAAGAAGGAGGTTTTCAACTTTGATGCCTACCTCCATTTCTTCAGGTAAGCAAACATATGGTTACAGCAAAGAAATAAACAAAAAGAAAAAGAAATTTGGGCGAATATTGTAAACTTTAAAATCTATAAGAAAATAATAGTGCCTTTTTAAACAAACATTCCAAGCTTAATCTCACTGAAAGAGAACCACTGGTGTCTCAAAATTGCATAGTATAATAATATCAGTTAATTTAAAATGAGAAATACTTTAACAAGAAAACTTTATCACTCTCTGTGACTTACCTCATCATCTTTATACCAGGACAAGCTTTCCGCAGTAAGGACGAACCAGTATCCCTTCGAGCCGCCTTTCATGATGCCAATGTTGCTGATGGTGAGCCACCCCTTGCGAATCACCTACGAAAAAGCAGAAATCAGCAGAGGTGTTTAGTTTAACAAAAGCCACTGGAGATTAGATGTCTTGGACTAAGAAGTTAAAAACAAGATATTAATTGCAATAAAAATAGTATTTTCCCTCCAAACTCAACTTCCATTGAGTTATTCAAGAGAATTTATCTTCCAAAAGTGCAGATGAGTGAAGGGAAGTCTCTCCTGTCAATGAATGGAATAAAAATCTCAGACTCATCGATGGTTGAAGTGGAGTGACTGAAACAAGAATGAAGTGAGGCAAACTAATAGACTGTGTCAGGCCTACTTATGGCATTGTTGCTACAATTAAAACATATTTAGTTGACTGGATGAACAATAGACTCTCCATATCCACTGTCCCTTCCCCACTTCCAGCCTACTGGCCCATTTGTTTGCCTAGTTTGCAGCCCATTAGGATTTCCACCAGAGACCTGCCAGCAAATGACGAAAAGAAGAAACTCAATTCAATCAGTTAGCCCCTTGTTAGTCCTAAATAAGGCTGACTGAAGGAGAAAGATAAAATAATAAACTAAAATGAAAAGTTTGGAGTTTTTAATAGTCTTAATTTATAATTTGAACAGCATATTGTAAAATTTTAAACCTATGAAGTTTAAATCTTCTGGTTGTTCTCTACCATATTACAAAACATGTAGCATCTTCATAAAATTTTTTAAACAGGTTTTAAGTTTTAAAATATTAACAACTTGGATTATAGATTTAACAGAAATTATTTATAGATAAGTATTTATATAATTTAAGGAAAAATGTGAGGTTTTTTTCCCCTCAGAGTTATTGTGAAGTTAAATTCTGTTATCCAGAGGGCATCATTTACCATGTCCTCTATACAAGATAATTTTGTTGTCACAGAACTAGAAATGAAATGCTAAATGCAATTGGATGATATTGTTCTAAGGTCAAAAACTGTCCTACACTGAAATTCCTCAATATGTTGACATCCTGAAATGTTTAAAAATTACTTATTGAAAAACTAATGAATGTAAGTTACTAAAGGAAGATGAAAATACCCTAATAATCAGATTTCATTTTTATATTGCTATTAACTTTTCTAGTTGAAGAAGGAAGGCCAATCCCAGAGAAAATTATGGAATAGACCACGGTTCTCATCACTGTCTTCCAAGCCTCTCTCCATATTTCCAGCCCCTGTCACCCTTGATTCCCTGTTTCAGCATTGCCTTGGTGCCCAATTTCCATTTCAGTGTGCTGTTGCTTTTATAACCCCCATTTAGCATCCCTCTCCAGTCTGGGCTAATGCACTTTTCTCCACGGCTTTTTAACTCTCTACTTCACAAAGAACAGACTAATACTCAAAGTATAGTGATAGTATAGTATAGTGATATAGTTTAGCTATGTCCCCACCCAAATCTCATCTTAACTTTTAACTCCCACAATTCCCATGTGTCATGGGAGGAAACTGGTGGGAGGTAACTGAATTATGGGGGAAGATCTTTCCTGCACTGTTCTCGTGATAGTAAATGAGTCTCACAAGACCTGATGGAATAAAAATGGAAGTTTCCCTGCACAAGCTCTCTTTTTGTCTGCTGCCATCCATGTAAGACGTGACTTGTCTCTCTTTGCCTTCCACCATGATTGTGAGGCCTCCCCAGCCATGTGGAACTGTAAGTCCATTAAACCTCTTTTTCTTTTTCTTCCCAGTCTCGGGTATGTCTTTATCAGCAGCATGAAGACAGACTAATACAGTATGGTTTCTACCAGTTATATTACAATCATTCAAATGCTTTATAAAAATACAGATTCCTGGGCCACCTACCATTCCAAATGAATGAGAATGTATATATATGAAACCCAAAAATCTACATTTAAATATGTTGCCAAGGTGATTCTTATTCACAATGAAGCTTGAAGCCCGTGCATGCACACATACAATCAAACTTTATTTTCCATAGAGTAAATGATCACATCTATTTAATAGTTTTGAGTAAGAAGGAGCTGGTTAAATTATTTCACACTAAGACCATTACCCACCCTACCAGGGCTTACAAGTAGCATGCTAATCATACCACTCAATGAAAATATACTAGTTATTTCATTGTATCAGAGATGCAGAGCAAGGGTGCTGGCATCAGTATGTATAATAAATAAATATTAAATATGAATCTGAGCTTTCTTATTTTCTCGTTAAAACTACGTATCAGTAGATATCTTACTATAGTACCTGCGTTTCAATGGATCTTGCATGCTCCCTGGAACAGAGAAACTAGGTTATAAAACCCATTGCAATAACCCAAGTGAAATATGGCCAGGATATGAATTAAAGCCATGATGTATAAAGTTAAAAGGAAATGAACCTACTGAAGAAATATCTAGGAGGTAAAATCAACAGGATTTATGAGTGAATGAGAGTGGGATTAGTGAGGGGGAAAGACAGAAGTAGGTGATAGTGTAGCCGGTAGCCACTAACCACATATGGTGGTTGAGCCCTATTGACTAGTTTCCATTAAGATGTGCCATAAGTGTTCAAATAAACACTGAATTTTGAAAACTTAATACAAAAAATAATGTAAAATATCTCATTAATTTAAAACAATTATTGCATGTCAAAATGTATTTTACATATATTGGGCTAAATAAAATTCATTGTAAAAATTAATTTCATGTTTCCTTTTGTTTTTTAATGTGGCTATCAGAAATTTTTTAATTACATATGTAGCTTACATTATATTTTTATTGAACTGTGTGCTGTTTTAGAATGATTCTGAAACTATCGCAGCTACCAACTTTTAAAACCAACCATTCTAAAATTCAGAAGGAATAGAGGAAAAAGACCCAGTTTGGGAAACTGGAGGAGTTGACAAATTCAGCAAAGGCTATGCTGACTTTGAGGTAGCTGTAGGAAACACAGATGGAGTGTGATCTGACCTCTGAAGCAAAAGGAAGAGATTAGGATGGAGGTATAGACTTGCAAGTCCTCAGCACAAACACTGGTAGCGGTAAAACTCCAAGCAAAATAGCAGTGGTTCAAGATGGAATCCTCGGGGAAATATCAACATTTCAGAGGTAGTCACAAGAGTCTGTAAAGGAATGTCAGAGAAACAAAAGCAATAAGATCATGGAAGCCAAAGCCAAGGTGAATTTCAAGGAGTATGAGGTTGGAAGTGTCAAATTCAGCAAGAAAGGGATATGACAGTACAATGCAGACATCACAGTGTCTTTAGCTATGCCAGTGTGGTGGTGGGACAAGGAGTCAGAGTTCTTTGGGTCGAAAAGTGAATGGGAAACAAAAAATGGAGACAGTGACTGGGGAGAGCTCTTCCCAGAGGAAGACAGTTAAAACCAGAATAGGTCACAGGGTCAAAGGAGGTGATGGTAGTGATAGCTGTTTTGTTTTAGGTTTCTTTCTTTCTCTCTTTCCTTTCTTTCTTTCTTTAGCATGGGCAACAATTGAGCATGTTTATTGATTCATAATTAGTAGAGAGGGCCGAGCACGGTGCTGACACCTGTAATCCTAGCACTTTGGGAGGCTGAGGTGGGTGTATCACGAGGTCAGGGGATCGAGACCATCCTGGATAACATGGTGAAACCCTATCTCTACAAAAAATACAAAAAATTAGCCCAGCATGCTGGCGGGTGCCTGTAGTCCCAAGCTACTTGGGAGGCTGAGGTAGGAGAATCACTCGAACACAGGAGGCAGAGGTTGCAGTGAGCCAAGATCGCACCACTGTACTCCCGCCTGGGCAACAGAGAGAGACTCTGCCTCAATAATAATAATAATAATAATAATAATAATAATAATAATAAGTAGAGAGTAAGAGATTGGCGATACAATAAAGAGGATACAAGGACAAAGATAGGAGTGGATAACATGAACAGCAAAGAGAAGGGTCTAGCCTTGAATAGGAATAAAGCTGCCTCATCTTGTGAGGCCGGGGAGGTTGAGAGAGTAAGGGTGGACGTAAGTCCTTCGTGAGGAGCAGAGTAGGAAGTTTAGGAAGGTTATATTTGATCTTGCCATTTCTGTTGACAAAGCAGACAAAATTATCTGGGAGAGTGAGAGTATGAAGTTGGAAGGGAGGCTTGAAGGTAGTGATATTGAGGCAACCAGTAGTTGAGTGAGAGTGGGTACAACTAGAATTCATTTTCTTAAATGGCTGAAAGCTGAGAACAAAGAACAAACTTTCAGGGACACAATCAGCGTAATTGTGTTCTCTTTTCCAGCAGCACTTTGCACACGTGATGTAGAAAATAAGATGATAAATGGGAATTGATCCAGGGTTCTGAGTTTCTGAATCCGGGTGACCTAAGTACAGAAGTGTAACGATGTTGAAGGTTTTAGGCAAGAGAGTAATTCAGGTGATCATCCATTCAATCTAGGTCAAGCAGAGAAATAAGGTCAGGAGGTGCCACTGGAGAGGTAGAAAATGAGAAGATAAAAGGAATAAGAGTCCAATGAAGTCAAAAAAAAAAAGCAGGTACCGTGTAAACGAAGACAAGAATGGAGTTTTCAGAGTTTAAGCTGATGTGATGCTAAATAAATTGCCTGATCTTACTGGCACCATTAGATTCATTCCTCAAAGATGCACCACTATTTCTAGAAGCATTTAATGTAGCTGAAAAGGATATTTATTAAACATCATTTAGTCCAGTGGATTTAGTCAACTGAGCTACAGGACAATTATTTTGCTAATTTTAATTTAAAAATTTAAAAATTTTACTAATAACAGTTAAAATTTTCAAAGAATGGACATACAAATAATTAGAATATATTTAAGATTATCCCTATGACATTATATCACTTGCAATGCAATATGCTTTCTAATTTGAAGGGAAAAAGAAGATTACAGCTGCCATGTTGTGAAGAAACATGACCCACATCTCTTACCAGTTACCCATGGAAGTGAGTTCAGCACTGGATGTTGTCAGCAATTAAGCTGCCATCATAAAAAGGTTAAGAAGCAGTAGTCCAATCCCAGCCCTTTCTTTTACAATAAAGGAAGCACATTTTTCACAAATGGACTTGTTTTTCTGATAACAATCAGCTCAAAATAGGATTTTAGAAAGAACAATTCCTAATGTACTTTTCACTAAGGAATTGAGGGAAAGAAGCTGCAAAATCAAAGTAAAACAGTGGAATGAGATAAGAAAAGGCAGACATTCAGGAAAAATGGTCAGACCACAAGGAGTAAGACCAATAAGGGGAAATTAATAAAAAGAAAAGAAAAAGGAAAGTAAGTGGGAACAGAAGTCAAAGACTAAATAAAATTTGAAAAGAATGCCAAGACAAATAGGATTAGTGGTAGAAGCCCTTCACAGAGAAAGAGAAAATATAAAATGTTAATTTTATATTCAAATTTAAAACTGCCAAAATAAATCTATTAATGTCCACTACAACAGCCACTTACATCTTCTTAGTATTTGAATATCAAATTCTGTTTTGAGTATTCGAGTAAACAAGAACAAGCAAACCCATAATTACATGACTAGAAAGGACCTTGAGAGCTAAAAGGGCATGTTCTCATTTGTTCAGCAGGAGACAAACTGTTTTTTTTAAATTTATTGCCCATAAATATCACCCAAGCTTCTTTTGCCAAATAGGAAAACTTTGAAAGCAACTGCAAGACCAGCAATGGGAAGAGTGGAACAGCCCAGCCTCTTCTCTTGGTGATTAGCCTACCCTAAGAGAATATGTGTTCTGTTAGTTTCCTCCATGCTATGAGAAAACAGATTTTGTCAAGGTCAGCAAAACCTGTATGTTACGGGTAAGTTCAGACCCCAACATCTGGCTGACATACTGGATCATAAAATCAATACAGAGACAAGGAATAAAATCATGGGAAGACAAAAGTACATGTGGAAGACTTCTAGTGTGGCCAAGGTCTTGAACCCTGTGAGCAGGGGGTTTGACCTTGATCTCACTTATGGTCGACCATGCAAGTTTTTTTCAGCTATGCAGCTGTCTTTTTTTTTAACTGCTGCAGCCTAGATAAAGGTTATAATCCATGCACCGTTAGATAGTTTGATCTTGGTAGATTACAAAAGCTTATAACTAGGCTTTCTCAGTAGATAAGCAGCTGCTTCTATAAAGGTAGTTCACATACCTTGGAGCCTACCTGGCCAAATGCTGGGGAGCTGCATGGGCTCCTCGAAGGCAATGGACAGTCCAGTCACCCAGTTGGTTAGGAAAGATCTACCTTTGCGAGCACAGGCATCCTCAGGATACAGGTTACTTGTCCTTGAATTTGGCTAGCAGACTCGTTTCTAAGGCATGCCTGAGACAGGGATTTAACTATAGGGAAAAGAGTCTTCCCATTTACAGGCCTGGCAGGCCTCGAGAGGTGAACTAGATTTCCTAATTTTATACTATAAGGTAGCTGAGGTCTGTACATACCACAATGCACTCTATAGGTTCTAGTATTAACCTGTCAGAGCCAGGCCTAGGAAGGAAGGGTTAGATCAGCTGCCATCAGTGCCATTCCGTGCTCTGGGCCAGGGCAAGAAGGGAACTGTGGAGAGCTAACCTTAACTGGTGTGGCTTATTTACAGACTTAAGGGTCTCTCCCACCCCACTCACTCTTCTCCTAAGCACATGCTTTCCAGCTGGCTCTGGATTAATGAGATAGAGGGGAGAATGTCTCCTCAGGAAGCCTAGGCTTCTTAGACCAGTAAATTTTGTAACAGGAGGCAGGAGGAGAAATGCAAAGGAAAAAGGAAAGTAAAAATTAGGAGGTTTTGAATATGCTGTATGGAAAAGGAAGGCAACTAAAAAATATCCTGGTGGGTAACTGGAGCTGTGGTCCCTGCAAATTCCTGAATTTTGCAATAGACGGCCATGTTTCAAGTGTCCTTCTCCAAGAGTATGCACATAGATGGCTTTCCCCCTTGACGGTAAATGCATGGTGGCAAAGCTAACTTCTTAAAAACACCTTTGGGAATGTAATTCTTGAACTTTTGTATCTAGGAACTTCACAGTAGGAGAGGATTCATATTCACATTGAGGAGGGGGCTCACAAAATTCCCATGTCTAGTTTGTTGATATTTTATTATTAATGTATATTATTTCATTTGATCATTGCAGAATTTCTGATAAGCTATAGAAACAGCATGTCTGAACATAATTTGAAACAAGAAATAAGGAGCAAACGTGTAACCTTGTACATAGGCTGGCCTTGAAGTGGACTCTACAAATGCACTGCTTTGACCCCTCTCAGAACTTTCTGTCCACTAGTGGTGCTAAGAGGATGCCCATAGGAGCCATGATTAGCTTTGGGGGAGTGATATCAAGAAGGTAGAAGCAGAACTGATAGAGCTTTGACTTCTTACCTCAAAGAGGGATAGCCACAGCCCTGGTTGGCCACCAGAATAAGGATTAAACTCAATGGAATAAAAGGTGGGAGAAGATGGAGCAATACCGCTGAGGGTTGAGGAATGGAGAGGCACTCTTGTTGTTTCCTCACTCAGTCCTCCCCAGGAGGAGTAAAGTGACTTCTCACATTGATCTGGATGGACAAAAAGGGAAGTGTAGTCCTGGGCCTATCTTTCTGCCATTCTTGCCCCCATTCATCAAGGGAACTCGCCTGCCCACAGAGGGTGTATGCTCTAACAGTGGAAGGAAGGGGGTCATGCCTGCAGTTTTCAGGGACAAGTTCAATTCAGGAAAGTGTTCAAAAGTCTCTCTCACCTAAGACACTTATCAGTCAGTCATCCAGTATTTCCTGAATGCCTATGATGGATCAGGTACTGTGCCAGGTGCCCTGGCCCCAGAAACACAAGTGAGGGCCACCACAAATATGCCCAGGTGTGACTTGTAAGTGGCCAGCTATATGGTAGAAAATAGATTTTCACATCTGATGAACTAATGCTATGACAGAGATAAAGAAGTTGTGAAAACAAGAAAATAAGATGAAGTATATATGAAGGGATTTAAAGAATAGTGAAATTGAGACACAAAATAATCAAATATTTGATGAAAGATTGTTTTTCTTTGTTTTCAAGACTCTACAAGACTCTACAAAATCAATTGTTACTAATACGAATGAATTGGCTAAGTGACTTTTTTACATTTGGATGTTACTTCCTGGTTTTAACCTTCTAGGAAATGAGAGTTTCCTAAGTATCTAAAATAGGCAAAGAATATAATAATTTGACTCCATTTTTAGAAATTCAGGAATAGTAACAATGGCTAACATTTACTAAATATTACTCGGTGCCAAGCACTATGCTAAGAGCTTCACACACATTATTTCTTTTAATCCACATAATAATTCTGTGAGGGAAGGAACATTTTCCTCCCCGATAGGTGAGGAAAATGAGATTGTACTTCTATTTAACTGACAAATCCATGTTTGTAATAAACAGGTCTTCCTTGTAGGAGTTTCTGCACTGTTTGCCATTTTACTCCAATTTGCAGAGCACGCTTAGAGGATTCAGCAGTTGAATAAAATAAAACCTCTCTAGTGGACTGATTTCAGAGCCCCCACCCTTAACGCACACACATACAACGATGTTGGCTACAGTATGGCATCTAATGGCAAGCAATTGGAAGCAATCCATTTTCCTAACAGGAAACTGATTAACAGGTTGTGGCATAATCCTCTGATGTTAAATTAAGCTAAACAAAAATGCCTAGTACATGATGTGGGAAAAATATTTTTGCCAGGGTGTGCTAATAGTGGGCAGGACCCTAGAGTCAGACTACCTGGGATTGGCTCCTGGTTTCAATAGTTGCTGCCTGGGTGACATTGGGTCAGTTAAAAGGAACAAACTCCCTTTGCTTCAATTTCTTCATAGGTAACATGGAATAATAATAATACCTATAATGTAGAGTTGTTATGAGAATCATATGAGTTAATATATGTAAAGGATTTAGATTAGTACCTATTAGTATTATATGTATGCTATTATTTCAGTTATATTTGTTATTGTAAGGACAGGGAAAAAATTGTAATATATATCAAAATGTTACCTATGATTGAAACTTGATGGTAAAACACAAAGTTCTATTTATTTCCTCCTTCCATTTCCCTGTATTTTTCCTATTTTCCTATAATACTCATGTGATTAAAAAAGTAAGTTGGCATCACATTATTGCTTGTTTAAAAGAGGCAATTTCTTGAGATTCCCTTTAATGTATAATGAACACAGCATGTTTGAAAAAACTGAAACAGATTATAAGCAACCTAGTAGTGAAATAACCTAACAGCACAACATAAAAAGAAAGCATTCTGAAGTAGTATATGGGAAATCACTGTGATGAAAGAAGCCTGACTGTTTTAAATAAGGAACTGACTGGATTGACTGAAAACATTAATAGTGTTCAATAAAAACTGATTGAAAATAAGGAACCAATATTTAATATTCATATCAAACCCCCACTTTTTAAAATACAGCTGCCAAAAAATTAATAACTTTCTGTTTCCCTGGTTCCTCTGTAAATCCCAACCCCTACCTAATAACACAGGCATAAGTTTAAATTGTAACCAACTAACAAAGATTTTATAAATTAAACAGAACTCCAAGTTACTGTTTCGCAGAAGAACTTCATCATGCAACTGAAGGAGTCCCTTTCTCACTTTTTTCTGGACTTCCCAAGTCTACAATGACTATGTCTACAGTGCCTTCATCATCGTCTACTCATTCTGCCCTGCAAAAGCACCAGAAACCTCTTCTCACTGAGCTTCGCTTCCAAAACATTAGCCCATGCTCACATAATGAGGGCATTTTTTATGCCTCTGTGGCTTACTAGGCTTCCGCACTATCTTGATTCTTAAAATTATTTCTAAAGATGTTTTTCTCTTCTTATTGCTTCCCAGAATTTGCTCAAATGCCTGCATATGCATTATTTCTGCCACATGTACAGTTATTTCTAAGAGTTCACTAAGAGTGAGCTGTTTATTCTCAGAGTTTACTCACCTAAACCACTATAAGATCCAGGCCATTAACCATGATGAAAATCAGGGCTCTAGTTTTTTTCACTTTTTTCCTGTGTATCTTTCCCATGTGCAGAGCTTCCTTTGAAGTTAATAGGCCCTCCATGTGGAAGGGATTCCAAATGATACAAAACAGAATGAGAACTAAGCCTGTCATCTATTTCTCACATTCAAGGACAAAAATATGCACACATGAGGAAAAAATACCTCATAATTATCAAGGCCTGAATAAAATGTGGATGTTTACTAAAAATAATCCAGAGAGCTTATTTAACAGAGGAAGAAAAAAAACACCTTAGTAAATATTTATTAACGATTTAATAGAAAGTTAGTGAGCACCTTAGAGGTGTCAGAGGGCACACTGGAAATACAAGAATAAACCAAGGAAACAGTAACACACACACACAAAGGCACAGTCCCCAACCTCCATGGAGCTTATAGACAAGTGAGAGAATAGGCACTAAACAAAGTCTCACACAGATAAATGTAAAGTTATAACTCTGGTTGGTGCTGCCAAGAAGTGGTTCCTTACATGAACAGTGCTCTCACCTGCACCGGGTATAAGAAAAGGCATACTTATAGTATTCAGCACTTGAGCTGAAATCTAAAGGATGTGTGGGGCAGGAGTGGGAGAGGGAGAGGCAAACTCAGTGTGGCCACTCTACCTAAAGCAAGAGTGAGCCTCCTACCAGGCGTGCCTGGAGGAGCAAACAACACTTAGTCATGTAATTTATGTGAAGAAATTTGGTCCTTATCCTGAGAGAAATGGGAAGGCTTTCAAGTGTTTAAAGTAGGGTAACAATATGAGATTTTGACATGGTTTGGCTCTGTCCCCATGCAAATTTCATCTTGAATTGTAGCTCCCATAATTCCCACATGTCATGGGAGAGACTCAGTGGGAGGTAATTGAATCATGAGGGGTGGGTCTTTCCCATGCTGTTCTCCTGATAGTGAATAAGTCTCATGAGATCTGATGGTTTTATAAAGGGGAGGTCCCCTACACATGCTCTCTCTTGCCTGCCACCATGTGACTTTGAACCTCATTTGCCTTCTATCATGATTGTGAAGGCCTCCCCAGCCACGTAGAACATGAGTCCATTAAACCTCTTTTTCTTTGTAATTTACCAAGTCTCAGGTATATCTTTATTAGCAGTGTGAGAACAGACTAATACATATTTGCACATGAAAAGTTCTCTTCTAGCTCTGGGTTGGTGAAGAGATTCGAGAGAGGAAAAAGGATACAGGGTGATTGATAGTTGACTATTGCAGAATCCGACATTAAAAATGATGATAACTTTGACCAAAGTTTTAGAAATGAACATATGGAGAAGTGGACAGATTTGAAGAATATTTAGGAAGAGAAGTTAGTATGACAATGATAAATTGGATATGGAAGATGGGAGAGAAAGGGGTGTCGAAGATGACTCCCGAGGTCTACGTTTAAGAAACTAAACAGACTGTTGAGGCACATTCATGGACAGAGAGTAGGAGGACTATGTTTAGGGAGTGGAGGAGTCATAAGTTCAGTCTGGACATGTCAAGATGTGAACATGTGAAATAGATCATTGGCTGTAAAGATGTCTGGATCAGATGTGCAAATTTGTGAATTGTTGTTTGCAGGTGTAAATAAAACTGTGGGTGTGAAAAAAATGACTTAAAATGAGCATTTGGGTGAGAAGAGAAGAGGGCCCAGGACTGAGCGCTGAGGAAAGCCAACGTGCAATGTCTGGGAGGAGAGGATGGACCCATGAAGGAAACCGAGGCGGGGCTAGAAGAGAGAGAGAACAGAGAATACTACAAAAATGAATGAAAGAGAATGTCTCAATAAGGCGAAAGGATTGAAAGGTCAAACGTAAAGGTGAAAAGATTGAAAGGTCAAAGGTCAAATGCCACTGTAAGGTCAAACGTAAAATTTTTTTCACTGGTTTTAAGGTTACTGAAGAGAGAATATTAAAAATATTTAACAACTGGCCAGGTGTGGTGGCTCACACCTGTAATCCTAGCACTTTGGGAGACTGAGGCGGGCGGACCACCTGAAGTCAGGAGTTCGAGACCAGCCTCACCAATATGGATAAACCCCATCTCTACTAAAAATACAAAATTAACTGGGTGTGGTGGTGCATGCCTGTAATCCCAGCTACTCAGGAGGCTGAGGCAGAAGAATCGCTTGAACCCGGGAGGCGGAGGTTGTGGTGAGCCAAGATTGCTCCATTGTACTCCAGCCTGGGCAACAAGAGTGAAACTCTGTCTCAAAAAAAAAAAAAAAAATTAACAACTAGTATGACATCAGCCTGACCAATCCCCAAAGGTGATGGGGTCACAGTGCTAAAGCAGGGTACCAAAGGCTCCCTTCTGTGCCAGGCCTTTGTCTTTAATCTCTGGACAGAGGGGAGGATTGAGGGACTCAGAGAGGAGCTTCAGCATCTCTGATGAGAGATGGGCACTTGCAGGAGCAGCCAGCTGTGACTGGTTTGAAAGCATTAAATATGAGAAAAACCACTCTGGCTCTCCTGATGCCTGCTGGCTGGGAAACGTCACTAAGAGTTGTTGCTGTGGCTTGATGGAGATGGGGAGCTCGAGAGTGGAACGGGTGGGTGACAGAGGTGAAATTTTCCCATGTAAGTCTGATTTCATATGGTGAATCAATACTTTCTCAGCATCTTCCAGATGCAGAAAAAAAAAATCTTCCAAAATTGCAAAAGAAGAAAAAACAAAACAAAACAAGAATTGGCCAATGAAGAAAACATATCAAACAGAGAATCAGTTTTAAAAGACTTCCTGGAAATTTTGATCCCTAAAGGGAAGCAACAAGATGTGCTATCATTCAATCATTCAAATTAAAGCTATAGAGCAATTTGTCAATGTCAAGTAATGAGAATGGCTGACAAATTTTAAGGTTTTGGGTTCCTAAGACATTCTAGAAAAATTTATTTACCCTATCATACCTCTGAAAAAGAGTACCAATAGTATTACTAAGGAGATGCTCACACACTCAGGTATTAAATAAGTGTTAGTAGCCAATCCTTCATAGAGAACCCACTACCATAAATACTAATGTTCTAGGGAAAAATGCATGCATGTATCTAATGTGGAATCCTAGTTTTAAATCTCTTCCAATGTGAAGGAATCAAGGACCTTCCTTCCTCACCTTTGATTGTTCTGTGGATTTTGGCAGTGCAGGATGTGAGGATATAGACACCATTAAGCACATAGCTGTGGGTAACTGGGGCTTTCACCTTGTGCAAACCACAAACATACTTTCCTGTCAGTTTGGTTAGCCCTGTGCACTTTAGTCTTGAGGTCCCGAGGAGTGGCTTACCAACTCCCCTGTTCAGTGCCACAATCTCTTATGTATGACCCAGTTGTCTTTCTTCTTACCAAGCAAGAGAACACACTTCACAACTTCTAACTTGCCCTTATGTATCACTACCTTTTTCAGTGCTTCTAAGGATTTACCTGCTAGTAATTACTAGGGGTCAAAATAAAAGAGCTCATTCCTAAAAACAACCTCTTTCTCCTCTCTCCACTTCCAATACAATTCAGCTTTCAGAGAAAGATTAAAGATGATACTTGTGGGACCCTGATTCACTATTAGTCCATTTTCACACTGCTGATAAAAACATACCTAAGACTAGGACGAAAAAGAGGTTTAAATGGACTTACAGTTCCACATGGCTGGGAAGGCCTCAGAATCATGGTGGGAGATGAAAGGCACTTCTTACACGGTGGCTGCGAGAAAAAAATGAGGAAGAAGCAAAAGCAGAAACCCCTGATAAACCCATCAGATTTTGAGAGACTTACTCACTATCATGAGAATAGGACGGGAAAGACTGGCCCCAATGATTCAATTACCTCCCCCTGGGTCCCTCCCACCACACGTGGGAATTCTGAGAGATACAATTCAGGGTGAGATTTGCATGGAGACACAGTCAAACCATATCAGTCACAAAGACTAAATATAAGAGCCATGCACATTTTAAAAAAAAATGCCGCCATTCTGGTATTCTAAAATAGAGAGAAGGCTTAGGCCTCAGTGAAGACTTTTTTTTTTTTTTGAGATGGAGTTTTGCTCTTGTTGCCCAGGCTGGAGTGCAATGGCATGATCTCAGCTCACCACAACCTCTGCCTCCTAGGTTCAAGCAATTCTCCTGTCTCAGCCTCCCAAGTAGCTGGGATTACAAGCATGCACCACCATGCCTGGCTAATTTTGTATTTTTAGTAGAGACAGGGTTTCTCCATGTTGGTTAGGCTGGTCTCAAACTCCCAACCTCAGGTGATCCGCCCACCTCAGCCTCCCAAAGTGATGGGAATACAAGCGGGAACCACCACGTCCGGCCCAGTGAAGACTTTTAAGTAACTGATGGGGTTGAGGCAGGGTTTCTCAAAGTACGTTCTAAGAAATGCTATTTAAGAGAGACATTCCATGAAAAAAGTTTTCATGACTAAAAAAGTTATGAAATTCCTGCAATACCATACGGTCTTCTCTCACGTACACAATGCACATTCTTCTATTAAAAATGCTGAGAAGTATCAAGATAAACACACCTTTTAACTTTGCTTACCAACTCCAAGTTTGACCACAAAGCCCTATTTTAATATCCCAAAGTGTTCCAGATGTACTTCCAAAAACAGTTGGTTCATAGAGCTGAGGTGGCTACCCTTGAGAATACAGGGTCCTCAGCTATGGGAGAAAGAAGGGAATCTCCATTGGAGCTTTGCTTCTCCTCTGCCTTTCCCTGTTCCCCCTCCCCAACACCACCTGTCCACTCCATGCTGGACTGGCTTTGGATTCGCACCAAATGTGGAATGTGAGAAAAGAATACTGGATAGGGACTGTCTCAGAAAACAACCAGGTCTACAGCAGTGCAAGGAAATAGGGGGATGATGAGTGCAGAAGTCAGTGAACAAGGGAAGCAAAGAGCAGGCATGTGAGAACCTCCTGTGGGGTCTCTTTAGAATGATCATATGTGTGTGAAAAAGACACATCCATCCAGACAGAATGCCATCCACAGGCAGCACAATACAAGAACAAGATAATGACACAAATTGAAAAAGGGGAAGATGCATGTAGGTATGCTTCTTCCTACAGCTTCTGATATACACAATCCAACAAGAAAGAACTGATATTTCATTAATATTATCAGAACACTATTTACATAGCAAGTGCTACCTTTTTAGAGCCAAAGATAAGCTGAGTCTAAATATTAGCCAGAGATAGAAGATCCATCCATCCATCCATCCGTTGAATAGATGGTTATTGAATACTTACTACGTTAATTGAGTACCTATTTTTTTTTTATTCTAGGCACTAGAACCTATATTCTCCAGTTGGGGTAGAGTTGTGGTTAGAGTTCAGCAATAGACAATAACCATATAATTATATATCTGGAGATGATAAATACTGTGAAAAAACGAAGCAATCTAAGTGAGATAATGCATGCTCTTGGTTTATGTTGGAGAGAAAATGATGTTTTTCACTTAATCAGGAAAGGCCTCTTCAATAAAATAACATTTCAGCAGAGACCTGAAGGAATTTAAAGAGCATGTGGATTGTGTTGGTGTAACAGGATGGAGGAGGGGAATGAATTCCGGGAAGAGGGAACAGTGAATAAGTACAAAAGTCCTGAGGCAGGAACACCAAGGAAGCCAATTGCCTGATCCCAGTGAGCGAGAGGGGGAGGAGCCTTAGGAACTTGGATCAGAGAGGCTGGAGGAGACGGATCCCATAGACCTTAACAGTCATTGGAGACCTTTAGATTTGATTCTCAGTAGGATGGAAATCACTAGAGGGTTTTGAACAGGGAAGTAATATGATCTCACTGTTTTAAAGAATGCTTTCTGGCTGCTGAGGGGAGAGACTCACAAGAGAAAGAGGAGAAGCAGGAGGGAGGCCAATAACCCAGGTGAGAGATGATGGAGCTTTGAGCAGGGTGGTGGTAATGGGCAGAGAGAGAAGTGGTCAGATTCCAGATGACAGGATTTGCTATTGGAAAGGAGATGTGGTATGAGAGGGGAAAAAAGGAATGAGAGCTCTCTGCAGGACTAGATGCCATGCCCTTGGAGGACAGGAATATTATCTAACACCTTTCTATCTCCAGCACCAAATATACAACCTGCACTTTTTTTGTTACTGTGGTGTGGACAGACTCCCAGACAATGAAAAGACTGTATGTTTCATATGGATACAAATGTAAGGTAAACAATCTGTTTCTTTCCTTGGTATATTCTCTTGAGAAGATGAAGATAATTTTGATGGGGATAATTTTAGTGTCATTTCTTAATCAAATATTTTCATCCTGCCAACAACATTTTTAACATCTTTATCATAGTTACTAGATAGTACATGGCATGAAGATTATAAAAGATAAAATTTTGGACTGACTTCAAGATGCCCGTAGCCTCACATGTGGCATAAAACTTATGCATACTGTAAAATAAGCAACACTCCTAAGGAGGTAGCAAGTCTCCAGGGTCATCTACACCCAGCTCCATCCCTCTAGAGCATGATCCTTAACCTCTCGGAGCCTCAATCTTCCCATCCATAAATGAGGATAGTAGTACCTACTGTTGGAGGACAAATGAGAATGCACAGAGCACTAAACAGTACTTGTAACCATTACTCCAGAATATAGCATTATATAAGTAAGTGTTAGTACAGGGAACAAAAGGCACAAGTGCATGGAAGAGGAAAGGATCTCATTCATTAGATAAATTGGGATACCTTATTTCCTTTGTACTCTTGCCAAATTGCTGGGTAGGGCAGGTACATAAGTATATAGAGTCTTAGAGATTCTGTAATGGAAGAACCTTTATGAAGAGTACGAAACAGGTAGAAGTGATCACCTACATCTCAATATCCACACTAAAAACAGAAAGTGTCTTAGAACACCCAGCCTAATCTCTTTCCACTCTTTGCCACATGTTTCAGCCGCACTGGCTATCTTTTGGTTTCTACAACATGCAAGTTCTTTCTAGTCCTTGCTGTACCTTCTGGCAAGACTCTACCTTCTGACCTTTGCATGGTTAGCCACGACTTGTCATGCAGAACTCACCTTATACCATCCCTCTTCAGAGAGGTTCTCCTATTACCTCTCTCCACACTGCCCCTCCATCTTCACTTTTCCTCATAGCAACCAATTTTAATTCTCTACACTGAAAATATGTACAATTTCTTCTTGCTCATTTGTCTTTTTGTTGTTCATTTTCTATCTTTTCCACCACTAAAATATAAGCTTCATGAGAGAGTGAGAACTTAATCTGTCTTATTTACCACCCCACCCCCAGAAGAGTGTCTGGCATCGATTCAATACATAGGAAATTAAATCAGGAAATAATGTCAAAATCCCTTTTCTAGGCAGTAGGCAGTATTATTTGCCTCTTTGCATCAGATTATTTAAGAAGAAAAGACACTCACAATAAATTTGTGATTGAGATTGGCCTATCAGGGAATTAAAATGTGATTGACAACACAAAAGGGATAACTCACAGCTGATGCCACACGATGCAGGATGTGCTGTAAAATTTTGTGTAAACGCTTTGGGCACTTTTGTCAAGACCAATTTTTGATGCCAGGAAAGTAAAAATTTACGTTAAGAAAACATGGACTTCCTGAGTTGTTTTTTTTTTTTTTTTTTTTTTTTGAGACAGAGTTTTGCTCTTGTTGCCCAGGCTGGAGTGCAATGGTGCAATCTCAGCTCACCGCAACCTCCGCCCCCCAGGTTCAAGTGATTCTCCTGCCTCAGCCTCCCAAGTAGCTGGGATTACAGGCACCCGCCACCAGGCCCGACTAATTTTTTTGTATTTCTAGTAGAGATGGGGTTTCACCATGTCGGCCAGGCTGATCTCGAACTCCGACTTCCTGAGTTTCTTTGAGTACATCTGTTCCTCAATTGTAAAAAAGTGGGGGAGTGGCAGAAAGAGCTAATAATAGTATATCCCCTTATAGAATTGTGGTGAAAATTAAATGAGGGAATCCATAGAACAGGGCCTCACACATAGCAGGAAGTTAAGGAATGTTAACGTTACCAAGATAAAATTTAAAATAACAGTGGTCATTCTTGGAGTTTATTTTCTGAATATAATTTTTTACTTCTTTCCAATTTGACTTTCTTATCTCATCAAGACAAATCTTTCACTAAGGAAACCCTATTTACCTTTAATCATCAAACTATACTTTCAGTAAATACCCCACATTCAGTAAATAAATAAGGCATTAATTATAACCCTGAGGACTACTTTAAACTGCTAACGTTATTAAATTAGAGGAGCCATGAGAACTACTGGTTAAGTTAAAGTTTACTGGTACAATTCTGAGAATTCAAAAGGACAACTTTATTAATTGCAATAATAAAAATGGTTGCTAACCCTTAATGAATATTTACTATAAGCAGTGTGCACTTTACATGGATGTCTCACTAATCTTCTCAACAACCCTATGAGATTCACACTGCTCTTCCTCTTTTATCTTTGAACACTGTGAGGCATAGAGCGACTCAACCTTATGATGTGAATGATTCAGCTTACAAGTGGCAAGTGGGGCCCCAAACTCATCTCAAGCTCCAGGCCTATGCTATTAAATTCTCCCCTCTGTTTTCAGGGATAAAAAGACAGATATCACTACAGATTTTTATCACTGGAAAAAAAGCAATTCCTTTGACATTCAGGAATTGGTTATGTTTTCAGGAATGGCACATACTGGAAAATGGAAAGACTGAAGAGGTTCAGGGCCAGGGTCACTGTGATGAAAGAATCACTCAGATTTAAGAGTCAAAAGAGTACCAATGAGTGGAAAGGGCCAAGACTTTGTAGTTGATCCCTAGCTCCACCATATTAGTCACGTGGCCTTGGAGAAACCAGAGTGGAAGCAAACAATTGTGAGCCCCAGCTCTGGTGCTGGACTTCATGAGTTTAAATCCTAGCTCTACCACATACTACATGTGTCACCCCAGACAAGTTATCCAACCTCTCTGTGCCCCAGTTACCTCAGTCATGAAACCGTTGCTACCTAGACCATAAGGTCGTTGTGAAGATTAAGGAAAATAATGAATGTCAAGTGCTTACCACAAGGCTGGTATGTAAGAAATGCTTAATCATATCAGCTATTTTTATTATTATCCATCGAAATGAAGATAAGAGTATATGCTCTGCAAGGTTATTTTGAAGAACAAAGCACCTAACACACTGCCTGATATAAAACACCCATGCAATAAATTATAGCTATTATTATGATTATTAAAATATCAAATATTCCAGAGAATGACAGGTAGAAGTATAAATACGTAGAGCAGTTTCTGGGCAATCCTTCCAAAAGAATCTTCTGGTATGCAATATGGACATCATCACCAACAAAAGATCTCGTGACACCTTTGTAGTCAATGAAGTTTTATAATTTGTCCTTTGCAAAACCCTTAAATGGCTAAATTGAAAGTAACATTCTAAGATTAAAAAAAAAAAGGAGTCCATCTATTATACTATTTTAACAAATAAAGAAGCTCTGGTAGCCCATGTGGCTCTCTTTCTTCTATCTACTCTGTTCACTATCTGAGTTTAGCACTTACATCACCTTGTTTTGAATTACTCGCCACTGTGTTTGCTGTGCTCCCATTTTCCCAATAAGATTACAGCTTATTCGTTCAAAGCATAGACTTTCTGGGCTTTTAGGTCAGTTCTGCCATTTACTAGCTATGTGAACTTAGGCAACTTACTTAATATAGCCAAGCCTCATTTATTGTCAACTAAGAATTGGAACTAATAATCCTAAATTCAAATAGATTTTGTAAATACTAAGTGAGATGAATGTATATAAAGTACTCAATAGAATGTCTGGCATCAGTGAAGGGCTGATATTATTATCAAGTAGAGATCAACTGTGCTTTATACTCCTTTGGAATACCAAATACTTATACCTTCCCTAGATCACAGATTAGTCAATAAATTATTGGTACCATGGTTCTAAATCAAGGGCAATATCAACACCAAGGGCTACTGTAAACATGTAGCAGTCTTATTGTATTGTCACAATGTCTGGGAGGTCAAGGATGATAAAGGAAAATCTCTCCCATCTAAAGCAACAATAGCATCTGCTAGGGTTTTAATATAAGTCATAATTCAGTGGTTTGCTCTAATTGTTAATCAAGCTTAAATCAGTTTCTTTATTAGATTAGAATTTACTATGTTCAGAATCATATTTCAGAGCTACACGTATTTAATTTAATTTTATTTTTTTGAGACAAGGTCTCATTCTGTCACTCAGGCTGGAGTGCCCTGGCACAATTTCAGCTTACTGCAACCTCGATCTCCCCGGCTCAGGGGATCCTTCCACATTAGCCTCCTGAGTAGCTGACACTAAAGGCGCATGCCACCTTGTCCAGCTAATTTTTGTATCTTTCGTAGAGACAGGATTTTGTCATGTTGCCCAGGCTTGTCTCCAACTCCTGGGCTCAAGCAATCCACCTGCCTCACCCTTTCAAAGTGCTAGGATTACAGGCATGAGCAACTGCACCCAACCTACATGTAACAATTGTTGTGGTGACATATTTATTTAGATGGAAAACTGAAATAGTCACACCTGCAATGACAATTAAATTTAAAATACCTTTTTTCCTTTGAATGACAGAAAGTAATGTCCAAAATTAATAAGCAGCTTTAATATATTTTAGAGTCTCCCTTTTGGATGTTAATGTCACAGTTTGAGTCATTATTTTATAGAACATTTATGTAGCTGGTGATTTAATTCCAGATTTTAAAATATTTAATTCTTTCATTCAACAGTTACTTGTTGGATATTTATAAGCGGATTCTATGTTAGACACACAGAATATGGCAGTGAAAATGGCAACTACTGTCCCTGATCTAACTGAGCATATAGTCAAATTGGGGAGATGGACATTAAACAAGTAGATATACAAAACTGTGGTGAGAGGAGTATGTATTTCTATGGGAACATGCAGTTGAGGACTGAAAATAGTGTAGAAGTCCGGAAAAGTACTCCTAAGAAAGTGCTATTTAAACTGATAAATGAAATGATGTTTTGGCAATAATGGAAAAGAAGAACAGAGAAAGAGCCTGAGCTATTGAAGCTGACTGGAGACCTGGAACACAGAATTCAGGAGTGTCAGGGGCAAGAGAAGGAACAGGGAGAAAAGAGGGAATGAATAATGAATGTTAGAACTTTATCTTATATGTAAAGGAGTATTTCTGAATGGTTGAAAGCTGAGGAGTAACAGGTTCAGAATTTTTTTTGTTTGCACCAAAACAAAACAAAGAACAACACATTAACTGTTTGACTTGTTTGTAATTTCAGCAGAATGTCTCAGGGTAGAGTGTTGGAGCTCCTGGTTAAAGTCAGTCTTTTAATTATTTGTGGATTTTAATTACCCATATTCTTCCCAAGCTGCTTAATGATGGCTAACTGAAAATTGGCTGTAACTCAAGATACTCCAGGAGGAAACTTAATAAAGTAAAGTATGTAACAGATGAATTCCTGATTTCCATTGAAAACTAAAGAACATATAAGTAACAGGCATTCTGATTTCTGATGGGAAATGGAGAGGCCCTGGTAAATATCAGTCATCCAGAGCAGCTATTTTGTTAATCCCGTAAACTAGTTGCAGATGTTGGCTCAAACAGCGAGGCTTTGCATCTGTAATTTTAAAATTGTCTCATATTTCTAAAACCTGACTCTGCATGCACCGGAAATCAGTGACATGAATTATGAACTCCAGGAAGAGGAGACGCACAAGAAATGCCAGAAGTTATAGGAGATAATATTTGGAGCAGTGGTCAGGCTATGTGCACAGGATGAGTGAAGGATGACATGGTTCCTTCCTCCAGGACATGGATCCTGCGACCAGGCATTTGAAAATGAAATGCTGCAAGTGGATGTACCAAACAAGAGGAAGTCATTTATAGATAGTTGAGTTCCCAAAAACAAATCCTCCTTTTCCCTTTTCCTCCTCCACTTTTTACAGCAGGTCAACAGGAAGAACAGAGTTGCTGGAAAAGAAAGAGATGTTTGAAGAGAATAAAATATATATGCTAAAAATTCCATAGCTTTATTAAGAAAATCAGTTTTAGTAGACTAGGTAAGGAAACAATAAAATGACTCGATATTAAACTAAGGTTTTTGTTATAATCGTACTTTCTTATAAAAGACAAAAGTCAATTGAGACTCAAATTAAAACTTAGAAAAGGGGCTGGAGATGGCAAAACTCCATAAAGAATTCATATTATAGTGCAAACAAATAATAATTATAGGCATTAGAAATTGTTTAAATTATGATGACTATATTTAGTATTAATATTTTTATTTCCCAAGCTTATTTTATTTTTGTTCACCATTTCCAAAGTAGTTCTCCATCCAGGCAATACAAATGGTAGTACAGCTAATAATCTGCCCACAGGGGCCATCCATCACAGGCTAAGTGTGTAAATAACCTTACCAAGAATCAGGACAAAAACTTCAGCCAATTATTTGGTAAGGCAAGTGTACAGTGCAAAGCTTCAAGGAACTGAGGTTCAATTATAAAACCAGGGCACTCATTTCCTGGATAGGGAACATTCATCCCATATAATTCAGCCTGATGGAATTCCCTGGGGTGGGGAATGGATTGGTTGCTGAGTCAAAGAAATTTCATAGTAACTTTGGGAGTAAGACATTTCATTCCCTAATTAGTGAATGCTCCACATGTTTACATTTTTTCAAGAGATTATCTCTTAAATTTTACTTATTTTCTGCACTTACATAATTAGAAAATATATATTGCTAGGCAAATAAACCATTTTGCTCTTTCCAGAATTATTCAGATACATCTGAGACCTGCATTAACTCTTTCAAGCTACTAAGACTACTCCAATTAAATCACAATCTTGCTGTACCATGCAAATTACTCCCAAGGGAAAGTAAAAATGGTTCCACAGAAGCTATAAGAGACTTGGTCATTGCAAATGTCTGAGGGAAAAAAGAAAAGGAGGGACTTCACTAGGGGGTGGGGGATTTATGGCAAATGGAATTTTGAACTGACATGTAGAGCTACTATATGATAAATCTGAGACCCTAAGATTAGAAGACATATACATATCTGAGGAGGAAAAAAAAGTAAGATTGTTCTCGAATAGGATTATCCAATTACAAAACAAAATTTTAAAATTTATGATAAAATGTCCTGATATGCCCTGGCATTTAGGTACCTTGACACCGAGACTTAAGATACAGCAGAGTCCTGAGTGAGAATGGAGACCAGAAGGTTAACCACCGGGTACCTCCTGCCTGACTGCTCTGATCAACATAAGCTTTCTTTTTTATGAATACATAATACAGGACTCCTTGAAATACCTTAAGAATGTAAAGATGTCTCATATTTTGTGGAATATTCTGACTCAGGAAAAATTCTGTAATGTTATTGCACTGAATGTGAAAAGATTCGTGCTTTGGGGACAGAAACTGAAATTTGCCTTGGTCATGGTGAATTTGGGACATATTTATTTTCAGAGGATTTAATTTCAGTATGAGAAGCAATGAACAAAAATAACAAAAGAGCACTATTGGAAATATATACAAGAATGTCTCATCTATTTACTCTGATTTTCACTGTGATAATGAACTAGTGGCATCCTTCCAAAAGAACATTCTGGTCTGCAATATGGACATCATCACTAACAAAAGATCTCGTGACACCTTTATAGTCAATGAGGTTTTATAATTAGTCTTTTGCTAAACCCTTAAATGGCTAAATTGAAAGATCCAGAGTTCTCGCCGGATAATAAGAGAAGAAATTGACATCCCTGTGCAGCAGTCTCAGCCTGTGAACTGATGGTGATTCTCCCAGCTGGCCAACAGCTGAAAGCCCTTTTACTTTTTTTTTTTCCACATTCCACTTAGTAACTATATTGAGTTTCACCATCTTCTTAAGATGTCCATGTAAGTCCTACTCCCCTCACTCCCAACAGATGAACCAGCCTCTTGTTTTATTTAGCAAATTGAGATATGCAGGAATAAAGTACACAGTATTTTTTTCTCCCTAATTTTGGTGGCATTTCTCTTTCAACAGGGATTTTAATAGTAGTGCATATTCATTATTTTTTTATAAAGAATAATGTTACCGGCCGGGCGCGGTGGCTCACGCCTGTAATCCCAGCACTTTGGGAGGCCGAGGCGGGTGGATCATGAGGTCAGGAGATCGAGACCATCCTGGCTAACAAGGTGAAACCCCGTCTCTACTAAAAATACAAAAAATTAGCCGGGCGCGGTGGCGGGTGCCTGTAGTCCCAGCTACTCGGGAGGCTGAGGCAGGAGAATGGCGTGAACCCGGGAAGCGGAGCTTGCAGTGAGCCGAGATTGCGCCACTGCAGTCCGCGGTCCGGCCTGGGCGACAGAGCGAGACTCCGTCTCAAAAAAAAAAAAAAAAAAAAAAAAGAATAATGTTACCTTAAATTGAATAATAAGAAAATTCGTTCAATGGCAAACAATCACTCCCAATAACCAAATAAGTCTTATAGAATAAAAGCAAGAATGTTTTCTAAGTATATCAATATAACAAATTACATAATTTATTCAATATGTAAGACCATAATCACTTCAATGAAATTCAATGCCCATTTTTGATGGAGAATCTCAGATACAGAGGAATAGAAGAATTTACTTTTTTTGAAAATTTCTTTTTTTAAAAAAACTTTTAAGTTCCGGGGTACATGTGCAAGTTTGTTACATAGGGAAACTTGTGTCATGGGGGTTTGTTATATAGATTATTTCATCACCTAGGTACTAAACCTAGTACCCATTAGGTATCCTCTCCCTCCTCCCACCCACCTAAATTTCTTTCTTTCTTTCTCTCTTTCTCTCTCTTTCTTTGTCTTGCTCTGTCTCCCAGGCTGGAGTACAGTGGCACGATGTCGGCTCACAGCAACTTCCTTCTTCTGGGTTCAAGCAATTCTCCTGCCTCAGCCTCCTGAGTAAGTGGGATTACAGGTGCATGCCACCACATATGGCCAATTTTTGTATTTTTAGTAGAGACGGGGTTTTGCCATGTTGGTCAGGCTGGTCTCAAACTCCTGACCTCAAATGGTCTGCCTGCCTTGGCCTCCCAAAGTGATGGGATTACAGGCCCATATTTATTTCTTTATCATACTAAATATATTTTAAACAAAAATCCAACATTAAAACTGATGGTAAAAGACTAAAAAATTCCCACTAAAGTAAAAAGCAGCTTAGAAAATCCAGTACTATTTTATATTGTTCTGTAAGGAATAATATATGAAAATAGAAATAAAAGATGTAACTACACAGTTGAAATAAAAATTATAATTGAATTTTTAAAACTACTAGAGAATCCAGTAAACTCCAGTGATACAAAATAAATGCTTAAAAATCAATGGTTTTCATGTAGCAATAAATAATTAGAAGATATAATTGAAAAATCCTATTTAAAATTACAACATGAGTATTTCCAGTTATTTTATATTTTAACAAGATATATAAATTTACCTAAGTTAAGGGGGAAAACAGAAAATTATAATAAACAGAACAAGTAACTGTTTGGATGGGAAAACAGCAAGTGAAAAAATGAGACTTCATCTCATATTAATTTGTAAGCTTTACACATACCCAATCAACAAATAGAACTCTAGTTGGGATATGACAAGATTTTAATCTTCAATTGAAAGAATAAGTAATCTACAAAAGCAAAACTCATTTTTGAAAAAAGAATAATAAAAGGAAAAACCTAGCAGTTATTAAAACAGACTGCTGCAATAATTAAAAAGTGTGTCACTGTACAAAAATCAACAGATGGAGGGATAAGACAAATAACCCAGATATGGACTCTAGGTTAAGAGTTCATCCTTCACCAGGACTGAAGCCAGAATTCTGCCACTTATCCATTGTATGACCTAGGGTAAACTATTTAACTTTTCTAAGCTTCAGTACCATCATTTATAAAACAGGAAAACTACTGGACCCTGTTTCACAGGGTTGCTGTAGAACTGCATGAGTGGATGTAAGGAATACATTCAAGGCAATACCTAGCCATAGAGTAAACTTTAAAGGAATGTGAACTGCTATGATTATTATGCTATTATTGTTGACATTATTATACAATCACAGAAGTATTGCAAATCAATGGTGATAGTATGGACTGTTCATATGATTATATTTGTACATTAGCCCCTTTGGAATAAAATAATAATAGCCCATAGTAACTGAGTTGTTACAAAATACACAGTGCCTTATGTAAATTAATGTGTTTAATCTTCACAACAACTCTAAGAGGTAGATGCAATAATCATTCTCCTTTTGCAAATGAGGAAACAGAGAAACAGAGATATTAAGGAACTTGCCTTAATATGGCTGGCAAGTGGCAGAACTAGACTTTGCAGATTCTATGCTCTTAGCCTCTATACTCTGCTCTGTAAGTTAGTGCCTCACCTCCTACCATGTGCCATGACGAATCTCAGACAGGTTACAGGGAAAAATGTCAATAATGGATGCATTAAAATGCTACAAACATAAGGATGAATACTTAACTGCTCTTAAGGTAGGTACCACCTTTCTAAATGTAAATACAGTAGAAGAAATGAGAGAATAAAGAACAATAAACATTACTATCAAACATTTTTTAAAACTTTACCTCAAGAACCTTATAAATAAAATTAAATTCTATATAAGAAAAAGTTAAAAAATTGTTAATAAATATGATAAAAGGTCAATATAATTATTATATCAAAATTCTCTTATAAATCAGTAAAAGTTAAAAAATATCAAAGAGAATATAAACACCAGCATGAATGGCTCATTCTAAACAGAAGATACTAGTGGTCAATAAGCATGAAAAATATTTATCCTCGCCGGTAAGTTATAGACATAAGTAACTGTGGTTTAAGAAGACAGAAGTATATGATTATCAAACAAACAAACAAAAATTTAAATAGCTAAGTATAAAAATCCACAAAAATATTGGAAGAAAATATAAGATAAAAAATAAATGCCATAAAATGTTTAAAATATTCTAAGCCAAAATTATAACTTTTTGTTTTATAATATCCAGTAAAAAAACTGAAAGTCAAGAGATAGATAAGCAGAAAATATTTGTACTATATATAATACAAACAAAACTAATACCCAGACTATTTTTAAAATCCTAAAAATCAATAAGAAAATAATACAATGGTTCCCTAAAATGGGCAAAAGACACATCAGACATTTCATAGGAGAAGGGATACCAAAGTCTGTTAAATAGGTATAAGGCTGGTCTGTAACTTTTTTTTTGAGACGGAGTCTCGCTCTGTCACCCAGACTGAAGTGCAGTGGCACGATCTGGGCTCACTGCAACCTCCAACTCCCTGGTTCAAGTGATTCTCCTGCCTCAGCCTCCTGAGTAGCTGAAATTACAGGCATGCACCACCACGCCCAGCTAATTTTTGTATTTTTAGTAGAGATGGGGTTTCACTATGTTGGCCAGGATGGTCTCGATCTCCTGACCTCGTGATCCACCCTCCTTGGCACCCCAAAGTGCTGGGATTACAGGCGTGAGCCGCCGCGCCTGGCCTCTGTAACTTTCAATAAGTAAAATGCAAATCACAACAACAATATATTATTATTTCTGTTAGATTATCAAAAATTATATAAAATATAATTATCCAGTACTGGGGATTGAGGTACTTACATATATAGTTGTTGGGTCTATGAACTGGTTCAGGTGTTTTGGAAAAACTGGAAACAGCAGAAATACCTATCCTTAGGGAAATGTGAATTAAGTATGGCACATCCATACTGTAGAACACTATAATATTATGCCACAAAGAAGTTTTGTCATTTTATGTCTGCGAATTTACATGGAAAAATCCCTAAGACATATCATTAAATGAATAAAGTGAGGTCAACTTCACATATTTACTCAGCAGCTACCATACACCAGCTTTTAGACATTGTTAGGGATACATTAATAAGCAAAAGAGACAAAAATCCTTGCCTTGGTAGAGTTTACAATTTTAGAACAAAACATGTACAATATTTGTCTATTTTTATTTTTTTAAATCACAGTGTCTTTGTGTGTGGGTGGGTGTGTACCCATGTGCTTGTGTGTGTATATATGTGTATATATACTCCAAAATGATAACAGTGGTGGTAGCTATGGAGGTGAGTGGGATTGGGTGGGGGTCAAGGGTGTATTTATTTTATCTGCATTATTCAACTTTTTCACAGTAAAAATGTGTTCATATATTTATTGTTTAACTTGAAAATTATAGATTCAAAATTATGTACTTTGGATACAAGTAACAAATGGATACTTTATTGGCTCCATGGATACTTTGTGCTAAATAAGCTATACAGTGGTTAATAAAATAATATCTTTGGTGAGAAACATTAACATTTTTAAATGTTATCAAAATTCCAAGGAATTGGAATAATACAGGCATTTGCTTACTTGGAATCAAACACACCACACTTGTAAAACAGAGAGCATCAAAGAGGATAAAAGAGACAGAGGGAGGAAAAGAGGGAAGCAGGGAGGGAGAGAGAGGAGCTATGGGGCAGCCGGAGGGAGGCAGGAGGAGAGATGCCTTTGTTTCACCAGTTGTTCTTCCTCTGGTGAAACAAGACCATGCCTCTACTGTCCCAAAGTAAAAACATAGCAGAAAACCTAGATTCTGCCTATTGAAGGGGTATTTCAAAGTAATTTTGAGTAGATAAGATAATCTCTTCACTGGTTTTTATGCTCTAAACCCTCCATTAAGATGCAACTTGGCTGTAAAAATATGGAAAGAACATCTGCTTATTTTCTGGGGAAAAAACATAAGTGGCATACATTAAATACTATTCCAAATAAAACTCTAGATCTCAAAGACGCAGAACAAATTAACAGGCTGTATATTTGACAAAGTGTGGTTTTCATAAACTCTAATCTCTATTTTATTATAATAAAATAATGATTATTATATTTTACAAGCTATTGACTGGCCCCTTTGGAGATATTTTTATAGAATTAAAAAACAAAATGGCAACAAATTCAAATAGCCATTGTAGTTTTTTGGTTCATCAGATTAATTTCTATAAAGCCGAGCTCATTCTTTTCAGATCTAATGGCTTTATTTTAAGAAAAATTTTAAGTGGCCGGGCGTGGTGGCTCACACCTGTAATCCCAGCACTTTGAGAGGCCGAGGTGGGTAGATCACCTGAGGTAAGAGTTCAAGACCAGCCTGGCCAACATGGTGAAACCCCGTCTCTACTAAAAATACAAAAATTAGCCAGGCGTGGTGGCACACATCTGTAATTCCAGCTGCCCAGGAGGCTGAGGCAGGAGAATTGCTTGAACCTGGGAGGCAGAGATTGCGGTGAGCCGATATCACACCATTGCACTCCAGCCTGGGCAACAGAGAAAAACTGTCTCAAAAAAAAAAATTAAGTAATAAAAAAAGCAAATTAATGTAAATGATGAGACTATAAATAATTGAGACTACAAAATGAGATGCTTGATGAAATTTACAAACTATTAGAACTGTGGTTAAACACAGTGATTAGAACTGTGGTTAAACATGGTGATTAAGATTTGAATCCTGGTGCTATCATTTATGATCTGTGTGACTGGGCAAGTTACTTTGCCTCTCCATGCCTCAGTTTTCCCATCTGTAAAACTGAGATAATAGGGGTACCTACCTCATAGAGTTGTTGAGAGGAATTAATGAGCTAATGTGTGTAAAACACCCAACACCATACCTAAGTACCTAACTAGTATTATCACATTTAATACAAAAACCTTATGAAACAGTTACTATTATTATCAGCTTATTACAGATTAGAAAACTGAGGTACAGTAAGGTTTAATTAATTTGCTCATAGTGACACAGTGACTCTACTGTGTCAGCTCTGAAGAACCAAGGCACTATGTTGCTTCTCAACCTAACATAGTCAGTAGAATTATTTTTAAAAGGAAAGGGAGAGAAGGGGAAAGTCATGAATTGGAAAAATAATTAAATTTTATTAATAAATGAACCATAGGGTTTTAATGATGAGGTATTAACCATCTCATATTCCTTTAAAAAGACAACATACACAAAAATCCTAGTATCCAAATTAGATTGTTCTGAAGACAAATAATGCTCAGCAAGTACCTGCCTTCACCTGTGATGCACCTTCTCCAGCGTCTATCCTTTCTTCTTCCAGCAATAGCTCTTTCAGGGGGAGAGGCAGCCCATGTGTTCTGGTGAGGAACATCCCTTGTCCCATATGATGTGGCCTAAGTCAATCAGTATACCTCATTCTCTGGCCACAGTGAATAGTTCAGAAATAAGCACATGATCCACGCCAGTCCAATCAGACTGAACCTTAGAAGGTTTTCTGAAAATCCTGGGAGAAAGACTCTTATTTCTGCTGGATTCAAAGTAAGAAGACAATTCCCTGGAGACTGATGACAGTCATCTTGCAGTCCGTTGGGGCAAGAACAGAACCACAGCAAAAGAGCAGAACAAAAATATGGAAGGAAAAAAAACTAGTTCATGGTGACACTATTTGAGCTGTGGATTAAATAGTGCTCGATTCTATCCCTGAAGTGTTCATTCATGTAAACTAACAAATTCCCTTTTTTCCAGGGTCATTTGAGTTTTCTGAAATTTACATCTGAAAAAATCCTAACTGATAGAGATATCGGTACCAGGAAGTCAGGTAAGACTTGGAGTTAAGAGTGACAGACCCTAAAAGGTGGAATTAGCTGAGCGGAGAAAGGCGAGAGGACTGGAAGGATCTCTCTTAGGCTAGGATGTTGGCAATCTTTGTTATCCATCTGTTAAAGAACTGATTAAACTGTCACCTTTTTAACATTGGACTCAAAGCATGTACATACAGAGGTTGAAGAACTAGGGGACATGGCAGGAAAATTTCAGGATAGTGAGGTCCATTTATAATTTTCTGAGACCTGTGAGAGATCCTATGAAAAAGACTAGTGTCTACTAAAACTAGTTTTCAGAAAGTAGGGAGAGAAGAAACCCTGTTTGGAAGGAAACATCTTTTTCTGTTTGCAGCCTATAATACAAAAGGTTGATAATCCAGTTACCTGGAGACCTGTAGGTTTGAGAAGCCAAATTTCATATTCCAGTCTAAAGTTAGAACAATAGTGGGCACATGGATGGCAAACAAAACTGATAATAAGCTTGAGACTAAGAAGTACCCTAATATCTAGGCTCATGCAAGCACCTGCTCTACTTCCTGCTTAAAGAAAAAGTCTTTCCAGTTATACAATTGCAGTTGGATACATTCTCGGGCCAAGGAGCATGTCAACAATGCCTTCCTGCTAAGACTCTTGAGGACAAAGGAATGAATTATCAGTCATGTAAATGCCACATCAGTCCTCCTGGCCCCTAACATATTCCAACCAAGGACATTTCATCCCCATTTGTTTTCAGCTACTCACACCTTCCGAAGACAATGTTCCACAAATATTTTTAGTTATCACTTGTGCCCCTCCCTCCAGTGTCTGTTATCTCTTACTCCAATAACATCTCTGACTTTCAGGTGGCATGCTCTTTACTCTTAAACTTTCAAGTACAACATGCCACTCACTGACTTTAACCTCCCACCTCATAATTTCTTTTCCTTAATCCTAGCACAAACTTTTTCTGATTTTAGTAAAACCTCCAGTTCCCTGGTTTGCCCATTTCCTTTCAATTTTCAGTCAACATCATCTTTTTTTGTCTTTTTTTTTTTCCTGGGCACAAGCTCAGAGTATATTTTTCTATTTCCCACGCAGCTAGGTGAGCCCAAATGACCAAGTTCTGTTCAACGATATAGAAATGATGTGTGCCACTTATGGACTGGTTCTTAAAAACCTCCCTTGCCCAGGCTTCTGTCTCTTTCCCACCTGCTGCAAGAATGAAATTTGCAGGTTCTATGCAGGAGAAGGCAGAGAAGGGAGATTTTGGAATCTCTGGGATTCCAAAGCCCAGTCTGTTACTGACCATGTGAAGCAAGGTATCTCCCTGCATGTTGATGACCTTCATTGAATTATTATAGGAGGGTGAATTAAATTTGTATTATGCTAATCTACTGAAATCCTGAGGTTGCTTGTTACCTGGTTAATCTATCCTGATTAATACATCAATTAAAGCTACTCATGTGAGATTACACAGTCCTTTACCTCAACCTGTCTCTCTTAAAAACTCTAACTCATCTTCTCTCTTGACCTTCCATGCTGCCTCCCTAGAAAAACACCAGCTCAGAATATCAATTCATTTGTCTGTGTCCTCAGCTTTATGCCACCTTCCAACTGTAGAGCAGAAGAGCAATTTACAAGGCCAAGAGAATTCGTGCTATCACTGGACCCTCAGATAGTCCCTAACCTGCACAGGACCTTCCACAGTCCAACTATCTGACAACTTCCTCCAAGTTCCTTGAGCTCTTAGAAACATCTAACTATTGACTATTCCCTCCTTGAAACATTCTCTCCCTTTAGCTTTTGTTCTACCACTTGTTGCGGAAAGTCAGGGACCCCGAACGGAGGGACCAGCTGAAGCCATGGCAGAAGAACATAAATTGTGAAGATTTCATGGTCATTTATTAGTTCCCCAAATTAATACTTTTATAATTTCTTACACCTGTCTTTACTGCAGTCTTTGAACATAAATTGTGAAGATTTCATGGACACTTATCACTTCCCCAATCAATACCCTTGTGATTTCCTTTGCCTGTCTTTACTTTAATCTCTTAATCCCGTCATCTTCGTAAGCTGAGGAGGATGTATGTCACCTCAGGACCCTGTGATGATTGCGTTAACTGCACAAATTGTTTGTAGAGCATGTGTGTTTGAACAATATGAACTCTGGGCACCTTGAAAAAAGAACAGGATAACAGCAATGTTCAGGGAACAAGAGAGATAACCTTAAACTCTGACTGCCAGTGAGCCAGGCAGAACAGAGCCATATTTCTCTTCTTTCAAAAGCAAATGGGAGAAATATGGCTGAGTTCTTTTTCTCAGCAAGGAACATCCCTGAGAAAGAGAATGCGTCCCTGAGGGTAGGCCTCTAAAATGGCCGCTTCGGGGGTGGCTGTCTTTTACGGTCGAAGCTGTAGAGATGAAATAAGCCCTAGTCTCCCGTATCGCTCCCAGGCTTATTAGGACGAGGAAATTCCCACCTAATAAATTTTGGTCAGACCGGTTGTCTGCTCTCAAACCCTGTCTCCTGATGTTATCAATGACAATGCGTGCCTGAAATTTCATTAGCAATTTTAATTTCACCCTGGTCCTGTGGTCCTGTGATCTCACCCTGCCTCCATTTGCCTTGTGATATTCTATTACCTTGTGAAGCACGTGACCTCTGTGACCCAAACCCTATTCGTACACTCCCTCCCTTTTGAAAATCACTAATAAAAACTTGCTGGTTTTACGGCTCAGGGGGCATCACAGAACCTGCCAACACGTGACATCTCCCCTGGACACCCAGCTTTAAAATTTCTCTGTTTTGTACTCTGTCCCTTTATTTCTCAGACCAGCCAACATTTAGGGAAAATAGAAAAGAACCTATGTGAAATATTGGGGGTGAATTTTGCCCGATATCTGACTGAATTTCCCATGATAACCACTCTCCAAGTTTTCCTACCTCTCTCATCACTTCTTATTTGCCTTTTCAGTTCCCCATTCAGTTCCAGTTCTTCTTTCTCCATCATGCTTTAAGTCCTACATTCCTTTCTATGTTCTCATCCTTTGGAGGTGGTCTCATGTACTCCCACGGCTTCGGATACCATGTATTTATTGACAACAGTGAAACTTATGTCTCCAGTGTACATGAGTCCTGAACCTCAAACCCCAATGATATCTCCAATAAGCACAAACATATTCAAAATTGAAATCAGCACCTTCTTCTATTTTTTCTTTTTTTTTTTGAGACAGTCTTGCTTTGTCACCCAGGCTGGAGTGCAGTGGTGTGATCTTGGCTCACTGCAATCTCTGCCTCCTGAGTTCAAGTGATTCTCCTGCCTCAGCCTCCAGAGAAGCTTGGATTACAGGCACTCGCCACCATGCCTGGCTAATTTTTGTATTTTTAGTAGAGATGGGGTTTCACCATGTTGGCCAGAATGGTCTCAATCTCTTGACCTTGTGATCCACCCACCTCGGCCTCCCAAAGTGCTGGGATTACAGGCATAAGTCACCGTGCCCGGCCCTAAATCAGCACCTTCTGCTCTCATCTCCCCTTACACCTGCTCCCCCTTCTCCTGCACTCCCTTTGTCAGTGCATGCCCTTAGCCATAAGCCTAGGAGGATGACTTAACCCCCTGAGAACTCTTTATAACCCTTCCAATTCTACCCTCTGAATATATTTTGAATCTGTTCCTTCTGCTAAATACTACCTGCAACCAATGTTTCTCTCACCTGAATAATTTCAAAAGCATCCTCACCAATTCCCATATCTCTAGTTTGTCTCCTTCAAACTATTCCATTACAGACCTTTCTAATATAAAAATCAGTTGAGTTCCCTTCCCTATTGGAAATCCTTCCATGAGTCTCCAATACCTTTGGAAGAAAGAGTTCTCTGTCACTTCTGGACTTAAACACTTTTATCCACCTTCCTACTGGACATTTTTACTTCAAACTCCCACGGTGACTCATACTCAGAAAGCTAACTTTCATGACTCTGGATCCCAATCTGACTTTTTCACTATGCTCCTTTCTCTGTGAAGAGCAGCACCATCTTACTTGTACCTAAATCATAAATCTTGATGCATTGAAGACAACCTCCAGCCCTCTCTCCGACATCCAATTTATCACAGATTTTTTGGATTCTTCCTACTTAATATCTCTTGAATTCATCAGCTTTTCCTCAAATTCAGTACAAACACCCAAGCCCGGATCACCACAATTTTTCATCCACAACAGCCTTCTAACTAATCTCCTTTTTCCAGTCTTGTCTCACCTTCAAAGCCTTTCTCCACAAATGTTAATATGATTGTGCTTAAAACCTTACTATAATTCTGTACTGCTTTAAGCAACATAAAAATAGCTTTAATGGGTCTTACGTCCTAATGAAGGAAGACAAAAAATAATAAATAAGTGAATAAATAAGATTGTTTCAAATAATAAAATGTAATAGATAGTGAAAGACATTGGGAAGGGAGGGTGACTTTAAATCTGGTGACCAAGGCTGGCCTCTTGCAGAAGTGATGTTTCAGTAAGACCTGAAGGGTCAGCAGTAGCTAGCCTTGGAAAAGGAAGTGGACTTCAGTTTGCTTACTTACCATCATCCCCGCTGAGCTGTGGGCTTCCTGAGGGTGAGGCCTGTGATTGATGCATCATCATGCTTCTCTAAACACCCACCACACATTTTGACACAGATAGGTTTTGAATACATGAGTGGAAGGATGAATGAAGGTTAAATTTAAATTTTTGAGCAGTCCAGCTTTCGGTAAATTATGTGCTCACATTTTTTTGTACATTTGCTGACATCAACTTGTGAAACTATTACAATTTCTAGGCAGACATAAACAAAGCAAATTTAGACTTTAAAGAAGAGTTTTGCCCTTCTTAAATCCTTCTAAAATATTTCAGAACAGATGCTGCACAACAATCTTCTGCAACCAGGAGCCCTAAGAGGATAGCAGCATGGATGAATCACTTCCTAGGATGCTGCAGAGTGTTTCAGCCCCACCAACCAGAAAAGCCAGCATCAGTCGGAAGGGTGGGCCCCAAAACTCCCTGGATTTGAGCCTCTTAATAGGCAAAACTGTTTTCATATAAACCCCAATCAACATCATATGCTCAGATTCATAAAGAAAATTTCAAGTCATTATGGTTTATTTCTGCTAAGTAGGAAGAACTACTGAAGATCCTTTAAAATATATTGTATCATGTATACATTATTGGATTTGATTCTGGAAAATAATATATTCTAGTTCATAATCCCTTGCTTGCAAATTGAAAGCTTTTTTCTTAGCAAATTTGGCAGCAAAACCTGATCTGATGTGAGAGGATTTATCTTTTATTTAAAAGTTTACTTGGTGTAACTATTCCTTTGTTTCACTGCAGAAATAGAATATGTTTCATTATATGGTGCTGTCTCTAACTCCACAAAATGTAGGGTAATATATGATACAGTTAATAAAGTCCAAAAAATTCTGACCTTCAAGGCATGTCTGGCCCCAGAAGTTTTGGATAAGGAATCTATATTCCATTATAACACTCACCCAATTCTATTATCTTGAGATGTAATACTTCCATAATGTGTGGGCTTTGAAGTATCCAGCAAAAGCAAAGTCACAGAAACACAATTAGCATGATTTGAGCATTTGGAAGTAATATAACTGAAAGCTGTTCCAAGTTTCCTCTGATCTAAAGTATGCATATATGCTATTATACTATTGATTTTCCTACATGTACATACTTCTGTGAGCTAAGCGATGCTTCTGACTGTGAGGAAACTTTTACAGGTAAATCCTTTATATCATATCCAACCACAATCTGGGCATTGCAGGCATCAGAACAATTTCCATAGCTTCTAATTTTCCCAAGTGTTTTGTTGTTCTCATTTTATAAATTTTATAATCTTCTTGTACTTAAACTTTTTCTCCCAAGAGTTTGAAGAAACAGCACCTAACTTTTGGGAGTAATGTTTCTATTCTTTACAGGGCACATATCTGGTACTGGGCTGCAAACCTCATTATGTATATCATTTCTGAATCCCACCATCATCCTGAGAGATATTTTCTATTCCTCTCATCACACAGCTGAGCAAACTCAGGCACAATGTGTCCCAGGCCACATAGCTCTTAAGTGACAGAACAGAATTTGAACCCAGGAATGTCTAGGTCTAAAACCTGTGTCTTCCCAAAATATCATGGGGCAGATAATTGACCCATGCTCCAATCTCATTCTCAAACTGTGCATAGTTGGAAGAATAAGCCTGCTTTATCCGTGGTAGAAATTAGAGTTTAATTTTTTTTCTAAATGCTTATGACAATGTTTTTACACTTCCATAAAAGAAGACATAGTATCTGGTTTTCAAAGATTTAACTCTATAGCCATATAAAATGTCCATCACTATAACTTTGCTTTTCTGTTTTTTTAAATAAATGCAAATAATTGGTATTGGGTAGGCTTATCAACAAACACAGCAAAATCAGATACTCAATATTTACCCACCTTTTAGAAGCATCATCTACATTTATTGGAAATATTACCATACAAGGGGAAGAGAAAGGCTTACACCTCATAACAACATAGCATAAAAGGACAGAGATGAAGATCATTAATGATTTTAATTATTTTAAGGACCATTAAAATTAGAGAAATATCAAAGCACCCACAGTGTTAAGGGTTTATTATTACAGCATTTTAGAGTTTACTAGTTCATACCTTTCAATCACAGCAAGTTATTAGCAGTGAAGGGATGAACCCTCTTAAGAGGATTTTTATTTCAATGATAGGGTGTTACGGACAAGACAACCTAAGTTTAAAAAAAATTAGTAGCAAGCGCTAGTTGAGTTAATCAGTTAAAGACAAACTGTGCCCTTGGGAAGCTAAATGAAAAAGCAACAGTAAAGCTTACAGAACTTAGCTCGTACAATTTGCCTTGAAGGCGGAAGATTGGTTCCCTGAAATAGCAAAGAATTATATGCTTTAGTTCAGAAAAAAAGTTTTTAAAATAAAGTCTGTTATTACCTCTTCTCCTTTCAAAACAATGGGAAAAAAATCTAGAGCAGAGGTTTCAATTTGTTCAATAATTGTACCTCTGAAAGTTTTTTAAAAACTATAACACCATCATTGTTTTGACTTGAAAAGAAATAACAATGCAAATATTCATTATCACATAAAACATAAAAGACACAGCAAACTGTTGAGTTAATACAATCTCTGCAGAGCGCTATTAGTCAGAGACAGCTGGTCAGCCCAAAACACAAAAACTCAAAAGATCAGATCTTCTTAGGAATTAACATCTTCATTAACCAACAAGAATTTAGTGTGGCAGAGATTACATCCAACAACTGCGTTCTTCATGAGCTGTCCCTTCACTGATACCAAGCTGTGCAAATGTGTGAACTAGTTAGCAACCCCAGAAAGCTCATGCAACTACTCACCACATTTTAACCTTCAACTGACTCACAAACTCAATGTTAAATTAAACTTAGGGGTAACGTAAGCAAGCAAAATAGGACATGAGGAGTCAAATTTGAAATGCAGAGCAAGTAGCAGAAAGGTTATTTAAAATAAATCAATATGGTTAACTGCACAAAATAGCCAAAAAGAAATGCAATTCACTCCAAAAATTTTAAAAGCAAAAACAAATCAAAATGAAAGCTGCATTTCAAGCAAAATTTGCACGTGATTAATTTGCATTAAAAAAATAGTCAATCAAGCGATTTAGTTCAAATTCTTTGGGACATGCATACACTGATTCTCTTATGCAATTCCTACCTGATTTCCAACTGTGGTTTTCTTGTGAACCTGACTGCTCCTCTGCTGAGCACTGAGAAAAGCAAAGGAAAGCAGCACTGAAGAGACACATATAATTTTTTCCTAAACAAGTAACAAATACTAAAATTTATACAGGCTTTAAAAAAAAAATCAATGGAGACAGACCTAATACCAAAATTCCAGGTCAGTTTAATTCTGGAAGCAAAACCAACTCAATGGGACTCCTAATAGCACATAACTCCTAGTAGCATATAAACCAAAAATATAATAACACCACTTAAAGAAAAGCTGCATTGTAACATTAATAACATACGAGTTGACATATTTGCAGTGTCTCACAGGTACAGAGGAGAGTTGTAATGGAAATTAAGTTAATGATTATTGAGTATATGCCATGTTCTAAGTGCTTTATCGATATTAATCATTTTTATTCTCACAGCAACCCCATGAAGCAGTTACGATTATTCTTCTTGTTTCATAGATGAGGAGAGAAGCTAAGTGACTTTCCCAAAATCACTCAGCTAATAAGTGGTAGTACCAAGTAGCATGGCTCCGCATCACAAACTCTTTGTGATATTGTCCAGTCTCACTGCTTTGAATTCCAATATATTCTGACAACTCCTTTAATGCATCTCTGGTTTGGATCTGCCATGTAGATCCAAATATGTATGAGTCCCAACTCTGGACTTATTGATGTTTTTAACAACTTAACCTCATCACTTGGGTATTTAATGGGCATATCATTCTTAATATTTCAAAACTAAACTCCTGAAATCCCCCCTAAAATCTGTTCCACCCACAGTCTTCCTTCCTCCTCTTAACTAATGGCAATTCTATACCATACATTCAAGTTCCTTGGCCAAAATCTTTGTCTCCTCTTTCTCTCACAACCCATATCCGACCATCAGAAAATGCTGTCGACTACTTTCTTATAATAAATTTAACATTTAACCATCTTTTCATCACTTCCATTGGTCCCACCTTGGTCCAAGACACTGCCATCCCTCATCTGGATTACTGTAATCATTTATTCTCTGGTCTCTGCTTCCACACTTGTCTCCCTGAAGTCTATTCTTAACAGACACCAGAGTGATACTTTCAGAAGGACTATGTTAACTCTTCTGCTCGAAACCGTGTACTGCATCAACACCATTCCATTTAATGGTAAAAACCAAAGTCCATACAAGGGTCTACAAGGCCCTACTCAAGCAACCCCCACTACTGCCTCTTTGACTCATCTCCTCCTACCCTTCACCTTGTTCCCTGAAGAGTTCCAGCCACACTGGCATCTGCTCTTTTTCAAACCCACCCAATACACTCCCATTTAGAGCCTTCAGGCAAGCTAGCTCCCTAGGATGTACTTCCCGCTTTCATCTGCATGGTTCCCAACATCTCTTTCAAGTCTTCATTCAAATCCTTCTTTTCAGTTAGGACTACTCTGACCACCCTATTTATAACCGCATCCCTCCCTTCCTCCAAGACTATCATCCCCTTTACCCTGTTTGATTTTTCTGTCTGGCATTTCTCACCTTCCGATACACTACACGGTGTATTTATTTTTTGTGTTTGTCTGCCCTTTTCCATTAGACTGTAAGCTCCTAATGAGCAGGGGTTTGCGTCTGTTTTGTTCACTGCTATATCCCCAGGGCCTGCAAAGGACATGGCACATGGTTGGTTTCATGAAATATCTGTTCGATGAAAAGCCCAATGAAGTTGATGCCATTATAACCCTCATTTTAGACATAAGCACAGAGGGTTAAAAGCCAGAAAGGACTCCAACAACTTAACAACAGAGCCCACACGTTTCATCACTAGGTTACTCTATCCCTCAAAAGGACAAAGGCTTTCTTTTGGTGGATCCATGAATAAACACGTATCAATATAAGAAACACAACTCATTTTGGTTATTCTGGGAAGATCAGCAATACTCAGTATTCTTACAGATTGTTTAATAGTTTATGGAAGCTGTTTTGGAGATCAATGAAATGGTCTAAAATAGAGAAAAGGGAGACTAAAGCTCTCAGTCAACTGTTTAAAGTGATGGGATGTTGTGCTGCAGTAACAAGTTAGAAATCAACACCACACTTAGAACAGCTGATCAAAATAAGTTTTTAATAAACTCCTCTGATACATTTAAGCTGCTTTCCTTCACTCAAACTCATGAAAAAACACTGCATTCAACTGAAGGTGGGCAGGGGGTGGGTGGTGAAAGGCCATACTGTATTTGGTTGCTAAAAATATTTTGTGTATATATTTTTTTCCAATTTAAAATTTGCTAATTTCAACTTCTTCCTTCCTTGTTTTTTATTTTTCCAGCTTTCTGTTAAATGGTTAATCCTCTTAATTACGATGAAATTATTTCCTCTTTAACCATTTCTCTGAACAATCTAAATCTACATTATTCAGGTCTTGTAGGTGAGGCTGTGAAAGAGGTAACCAGGATCCAATGTGCCCACACCGCCCTCTGGCTGCCCTCATGCCCTGGCGCACACAGCGTCTTGAGTAGCACTCTCCTAAGGGCTTCGGATCTCCTCCTTACTTTCTTTTTCCACATTAAATGTCACTTTTCCAGCACCCTCCAGGCTTCCTGCTCTTCCAGGAATGCATGAGAAAACTACTATTATAATGAGATCATGACACCTTCATAGGTTATGTTTATCTCTTCCAAGCACCATAATTGTGTTTTAGGAGTAATGTTTTCACTGAAACACTGACTAGTGGTGAAAACCTGTGATAGACCCACAGGTGCTTCCTTTGAACAAATTATTGTAGACCCTAAAATTATGTATCAGTCCCCTTCAAATCACTTAAGGGAAAAGAAGTTGAATGTAAAGCAAAAGCCGCAAAGATCGTTAATGACTCCTTTGCTACCTTAGGTGAAAAGTTTGATCAAAATGGACTTCAGTCGCTCAGCTATAAAATGTGTATATGTGTGTCATAAAGGAGACAGACAGAAACAGAGACAGAGAGGAGGGCTAGAGGACTAAACAAGTTGTTTCTTAGGTTCCTTTTAGGTCCAATATTCCTTGAGATGCAAAATTACTCTCAGAAGCTTATAAGCTACACTAGATAAAGACAATGTCCATTGACAGTTTCCATCTGTGAAATAATGCATATTTAGGATCTACCACTTGTAAGAATATGCCAAAGGAAAAGTAGATTTACTTTATAAGCCAATCTCAAATATTAGAGTTAGAAAAAACACTAAGTTGCCTCTATTTTCCACCTAAAGAATCTTTTTGCAGCAATTGGCCCCATAAACTTAAACATTCTGTTGCTAATGATGTATTTAGCTACTTGAAGTTACTTCAAAAGCAACAACAACAAAAAAAGCTGCCTGCTTAGAATACATTCTTTCTCATAATTCTTCTGCATAATAATTGAACTGAGAGTATTTCAAAACATTTATTTAAAAATATGTTCCTTAAAAAACCTGTAAGGACTTGCAAGTTAACTTGAGCCCTTGGACATGTTCTTGGATATAGTTACTTAACCAATTAACTCTGAAATATTATAAAACATACCTATGTATGGTGTTTTAGTTTAACATAAATCAAAAACTATAGGGCACGAACTCCGTAGCATATAAAAATATGAATAAGGTATAGTTCTTGTTATCAAAAGCCTACAATTTGTCTGGTACAAGTAATGATATGCATACACAAAACAAAAATAACAAATAAAAAATAAAATCCATATTAATAAACATGTGAGGATGTAATAGAAAGCAAAAACAAAGTGCTTCTGTTTTAAATGTGGGATATAATTACCCATATCTTCTCATATGTGTGTGCGTGTGTGCACGCACATTTGTCGTTTGTCATATAAATTCCTACTACACACAAGTCACTGTGGAAGGCTTTGCCAGAACACTAAAACGTAGAACCAAATTGGTGTATGCTGAGACATAATGATTCTAAAAGTATATAACAAGAAGTTTAAACTTCTATAAAAATAAGAGTACATTAGAAGACAATCAGAGAACCCCTAATGTTATCTCTTGGCTCAAAACTTTTTTGCACAGTGTCCTATCCTTGTCTATGATGTGTGACCATTTATCAAATAAATCCTATACCATTGTAATTTCTCTGAATGTTCAGGGACAAGAAATATAATTTCAGATGATATGATCTGAACTGTTTGTAGCAAACTTGAAAAGAAGATAAACTTTAATAAAGGAAAACAAATGACTACGTTCCAAGAGAATAGACTGGTATTAGCAAAGCCAGGAAGTAGAAAGATGAGGCATATGGGGAAGTTGTGGAGAGTAAAACTATTATGGTAGAATTATCCAATCATAGACTGGGGTTTGTAAGTGATCTTAAAAGCCATCTAGTATAATAACTGTACGTTGGGGCCAGTTATGGAGAATTTGGCTGTTACTCTGAAGGCAGCAGAAAACATTCCATGTTTCTGTGCCAGCAAGTGACATGATCAAGGCAATGTTTTAGTACAAATTAGTTCCCTGAAATGCATAGTATTGACTCAAGCAGAGAAGACAGGAAGCAGTCAGCCCAGACCCCCTGTCTCTGACTATTGGAGTCCTGTCCAGTCTTAAAACTCCAATCAAGCATCATGCCTGAATTATGCCTTTTTAGAAACCTCCAGTTATCTCTCCTTTTCATGCACTCCCAAAGCCTTGGTCTGTGCCTGTATTTTATAAACAAGATTGTAAGTTGGGTTTCCAACAATGCCTGCTCCTTGATAGTCAAGAGCATCAATCTTGGTATTTCTACCTCTCTCATCACTGACATTACCTAGCAGAGGGTTTATGGTAGTATCTTAAGAAATACGTATGGAATTCTGTTTTGATGCCAGGGTTATTTACAACCAGACTATCAATGATCATCTGTACTAGGAAACCTAAATAATTTGAAGAAGCATATCATAGGCATGTGTTAAAGCAAAAGTATGGTACAGTTAGGGATCCCAAAGTGGTCAGACTGGCTGCAGCATGGACTTAGGGAGTAGAGTAGAAAGGAATAGTAACAATAGAATAGGCTGAAGAGGTAAACAAGATACAGATTATAGAGAGCCTTGGAAATTACATTAATAAGTTTAGACTTTATTCTGAAAGTAACAGAGAATCTCAGAAGGAATGAGAAAGAGGATGACAGGGGTACAGAGAGACTGTTGTAGTAACTCAAGTAAGAGAAGACTAACTTTAGTAGTGGCAATGATGATAGAAAGAAATAGATGAATTCAAAAAATATTATGGAGATAGAATCACATGAACTTGGTAAAGATGGATGGAGACAAAGATATGAGGGGAACAAGGAGCAAAGAATAGGACTGGGAGGTGCCATCCACAGAAAGTGGGAACAACATAGAAGTTAAAAATTATAAGAGCAGATGAGGAGTTTAGTTTGGGACTAGAAGGTTGAGGCTTCTCTAGGATATATAAGTAGAGATGTCCAATAGACATCTGAATATGGTACATAGTCCAGTGAAAAGTCTTGAAATGAAGATCTAGATTTGGAGTCATCAGATAAAGTTGGCAACTAAAACCATTGGAGTGGGTAAGATCCATTAGGAATAATGCAGTGAGTGAGAAAGAAGGGGGTCTAGGGTGGAAAATTGATTAAAGAATAGTTCTTAAGCCATGATCAGAAGATGAAGAGCTCCTAAAGACTGAGAAGTGGCTAGAGTGAAAAGAGGAAAACCAGGAGAGAGTGGAAGGTTATTGAAGCAAAGGAACAGATCTCTTCAAGAAGGAGTGATTAACGGTGGTGTCAAATGAAAGGCTCAGAATTGTCCATTGGATTAACTGTTTTGTCCTGGACAAAAGCAGTCTCAGTGGAGTGGAGTGGTAGAAACTAGATTGCAGTGGGCCGAAAAGTGAAAGGAAGATGAAAAAGAGAATGGAACACAGACTAAGGCCACTCAAAGAGGGCTCAGATGCATTAAGGAAATGGAGAGTCCCTTTGAGATGTAGATTCCATAGCAAATATCAGAGTGTGCCTCTACCTCTACCCACATTTCAACTGCTCAACAGCCACATACAGGTAGTAGCTTCTGTACTGAACAGCACAGATTATACGATAGTTCCATCATCTCAGAAACTTCTATTGTGCAACAGTGCTATAGAGTAAAGAAGCTCTTTTAGACTTGTTTAGTAGCAATTAAGAGGCTTCCTTGCTCTTTCTCTCAGTAGCTACCACCATAGGTCACCACTAAGCTGTCAATAAAGTAGGACCCACAGTGAAGGTCCCAGAGCCATCAGCCGGAGTCACTATACTGTAGGGCTCTGCCGTCCAATGCAGTAGCTGGTAGCCAGATTAAAACTTTAATTAGATTGAATTAAATTAAAAATTTATTGCCTTCATTGCACTACCCACATTTCAACTGCTCAATAGCCACATACAGCTAGTGGCTTCTGTATTGAACAGCACAGATTATACAATAGTTCCATCATCTCAGAAAGTTCTATTGTGCAATGGTGCTACAGAGTAAAGCAATTTTAGACTGTTCTTTTATATTATCCAAGAAAGATTATGAACACTTCACAAGAGTCCCAAGAGTGTAACTTATCACAGGTTACACTGTGATAGTCCAGGCTCCGTCCAATCAGACTGAAGCCAAAGGGAGAAGAAACAATGTCCGTTTCTCCTCCAGGATCTTTAATGAAGGCTCAGGCTATTATGCAAGAAAATCTTACAGAACTTGGGAGTCTGCAAAAGAAGAATCACTTACCTCCTAAGATTCATGTTAAGGATGAAGATGAAGTTTAAAATAACATATTTGAGGATGAAAGAGAAAACTGGAAGTCTACTTATTTTTAAAATGGTGCTTGGAACATTGGAATTTATAACTTATTTGAACAGGATATGTGAATGGTATCCTTTCAAGTTGCTCAATCCTGTATTTCTACTTGACAACAATCTCAGTAAGCAACCAAGCATTTAATTCCTAAATTTGCATATAAGTCAAAAAAAGGATCTTTTTATACTCCAATACCTAAGTTTTGATTCCACAAGAGAGAGAACATTCTCATGTAAGATTAGGAACTAGAAACATTATTACAATAGAATATAATTATGCATTAGGGAAAAATAAACTAAGAATGTAAAGGGAAAGACTAAGATTGCTCTGGAATTTAGTGGCAAGGTTGAAATGCACTGCCTTCAGTAAAACGGCAATAGAGGCATTCCAGAGGATCAGGAAAAAGATATAACAAATCTTAAGACCCATAGAATTTTCATGGTGCTCAAATAACAAGAACTGAAATCTGCACACTGTATCATTTCAACTGTGAGAAAACAGGTGTTGAGACCTACTGAGCAGATTGAAAAACAAACAGACCTTGGTCTGCTGCTTGCGGTGTATAGAGATATCACTCTAACGGCACATATCTATAGTCCCTCTTTCTCTTTAACCATTGGACTGCATAAATCCTAGTAACTCAGAAAGCAAATTGTGTCATGGAACAAATGAAGAAGAGCAGAGGAGTTTGAAATTTCACTTCCCAAGGCATTCCACTAACAAGATTGCCTTTTTGTTCAAAAGAGGATTACTGAGGACGAGGGGAAGTGAATGAAGGAACAATTGGGCCAGTTCTTATTTTCTTAAATAGCAAAAACTAGCTATATTATGTAAAAATATATGTAATTTAGGGTTTTTTTTTTTCTAAAGCAGAGAATGACAAATTAAAACCCTTAAGTCACAAAGAAATTTGACGTTTTCTTCTGAAATGCTGAACTTTCAGGCTCAGAAACTATATTATAGTTGAAAAAACATTTAGAAGCCAGGAAATTCCAAAGCAAGCCTAGAGCAGTGCTTATTTGGACACATTACACACGGTACATATTTTACAGGCCATGTCTAACAAATAACTAGAAGATGGAAAAAAAGTGTCACATATTAAACATGACAGTATAAATTCTATAACAGAAAGAAGAATTTTGAGATGTCCTGAATGCTACTCTGAAAGTAAATATTTTATTAATCCAATTTTAGCAATTCATTTTCATTTTTTAAAAAATTAGAACAAAAAGTCATCCAAGTTGAAAAAAATTACATGTGTAAAGTACTATGTACATCACCATCCTATAAATCTGGGAGGCAGTTCCTTCCCTTTTGGCAACTCTCTAAAAATCTCATGAAACAAATGCTTGTTTTCTTCAACCCCAGACCTTAATTTTCTGTCTTTGGAACTTAAAAATACTTACATAATTGTCTTCAAATATGGCTTGACTTTTCTTCCTTGATGGAAACAGCATTCTTGCCAACTTTAAAATTTATAGCTACAACCATATTTTTTTAATTTTTAAAAGCACAAAAAATACCACAACCCCTCAAAGTGATTTTGAAATGAACATTTCTTCATCTTCATAATCACTCCACGTCACCCCATGTCAATTCCAAGTCGACATACAAATGGAAAGGACATTTATCTCTGAGTCTTGGGGCAAAATATCACATTTAGAGATAATGATATTAGCAGCTAAAAAATATTCCAGTGACAATCATACTTAAGTCATTATAACTACATCATAAAGTAAAATGGTACATCTAGTAATCAAATGTGAGTGTATGTGTGTGTATGTGTGCACACGTGCATGTATGTGGAGAGAGTGAGAGACAGGGAGGATCTCTCACATTTATAGACTACACCATAGTTTTTTTTAAAGGATTTCCACATAACTTGATTAATTTGATCTTCTGACAATCCTGAAAGGTATACAAGACAAGGATTATTATTCCATTTGATACATCAGTAAACAGATAGAGAAAGGCTGAGCACCTTGCCAAAACCCAAAGCTCATCAGTGGCATATCCTGGAAAAACAACCTGGATTGTTGACTCCCAGATCAGTCCTTTAAAGAAGGTTTAAGTGTGCAATTTAAATTAGATGAGAAATGTGTAGAGTTGCTGGCTTTCTAAAGCAGTTTTACCTATGCTTCTTTTTTTCTCCCCAATATCATAAAGATTCATAGTCTATCTCACTGCTGGAAAAATAGGACCAGACACCTGGACCAGAAAAATAGGACCAGACACAGAGAGACTACGTCAAAAGATTGTGTTTGAAAGTCTTAAATTTGAAAAATCACCTGCCCTTGGAAACCTATAAATCAATATAATCAATATAAAACCATAGTCCAACAGCTTCTAAGGCAGCAAATATGGAAATTTATTGGAAAAGAAACTCTAGCTCATTTATCATAGAAAAAAAAAGTTTCAAGAAGATTATAAAGGTGAAATTTAAATTGAAGCACGGGTTATATAATATGTTTAAATTTGAACCTTTCTAAATGGATTATGACTTTTTCTACATTTTCCCCCTCTAATTGTGGTACCACAACAAGGCAGCATCCTTTTCACTTTTAAGTTATTGTGTCAAGTTTACATCGACATCTGCTACATTTTTGTAAGAACCTAACTGGCATTTGTAATCCATGAAAATCAACATTAAAGGCAGCATTCCTATTATTTTAAATGTCTCAAGGATTTGTTTGTCTTTTAAATTCCTCAGAGAAGCAGTGAGGAAAATGAAGAATGTGTCAGTTTAAATTTTTACTTGTGTGTCTCTATACTTTTCAATTATTTGGCAAGCTCCTAAAAGGCAAAAAGTTTTTTTCTTTTTCTACATTCCCCCCCCACCCACTATAGAAACTAGAGTAGAGCTTGGCACAGGCTCCCTAGAGTTCACTGACTGTGGAGGAAACCTGGAAAAAATTTCTGGACCTAGGGATAAGGATGTATGTTACAGTTTAGGTGAGTCTGCAGAAGGAAATGAACAGAACACATGGTGAGAGTCTTGGGGCTAAAAGAGAGGAGGGCAAGTCTGTGCGAAATGCCTGTGCAGCAAATACCTATCAAGAAGTGGGTGTGGGCAGGGTGGCTGCAAAGACAACTAGACTAGGGCACATATTTATCGTTGGGTTCTAACAAGAATACACGTATGCCACAGACAGAAAATGGTGGAAGAAATCTTATCTACCCTTCACTAGTAATCGTCATTGGATGCAAAAGATATTTACACAATTGGCTAGGACATCACAACCACAGCCAAGTTTAGGATGAGATAATTTTCAGTTGGATAATTGGGACTGTTCTCCCTAAAACATGCCTGTAAATTCCTCAGGCCACTGTTTAGTTTAGGTCACAGGGTCTGCATATCCATTTCTTCTAAGTCAGAATGTAATAAAATAAATTAATTTGACATTCTGTCATTTTTTTATTTGTCTCTGTTCTTGAATACTCAGTTTAAGTAAAAGTACATAGGCTCTTTTGTTTTACATTTTACATAAAATAGGCTATATTTTATATACTTGAAGTTGGAACCACTTAAATGCAAAAATATATTTTAGAGGTGATATCAAGATTATTTAAATCAAAAACTGGTTTCACTAATGGGCAGGAAAAGATAGTGCATTCAAGGTCTTCAAAATGTCACACAGTGAATAGCCAATCCTGAGTAACTAACCATAACGTTTGCATGATAACGTATATGAAAAATGGCAATATTTGTATACACACTTTACAGAAAATAAAATGTTCACCCCGACAGATTACATCTAATTTCGCAAAGTTTAAAAAAAAAAAAAAAACAGGCCTCTAGATTCTGACTTAGAAAAGTTGAAACATCTTTCATCCTGTAAATTACATGTGGTATTTCAAATTGATGTGAAAAACTGTTCCCCTCAAAATTTTAAACATGCATTAATTACTGTTTTTCTATAGGAGTTCAAGTACAAACTGCAGAACATCATCCAAAAATGATGAGATGATAAGTATGTAAGACATACATGACTTCATATGCTGCATAATAGAGCCAACTACTTTACTGAGAGAATAGTAAATATCCCTGCCCTACGACCATGGAGCTCAGACTTCCTAAGTAGGCACACTGAGAGTTAATCCTGGCACAGATTGTATTCTCAAAGGTGGTGAAACTGTAGTAAAAATTCACAATGTGTGTTTGAGACAAATCAACAGGAGGAATGCATGTGGCCATCAAGTGTTTCACGTACTTTGCGAAGCCAATGAAGTCTTCATGGTTGGTGTTGATGTAAGAGACTTGAATGTCAATCAATAGCAATACCTATAAGTCAAAGAGAAACACTTCAGTGAAAACCCATCTAAAAATTCTCAAACATTAAATTCAGTAATTGCCCACAAATTAATTACCTTCATATAATTTTTTAAAGGATACTTCAATTAGCATGAAAAGTAACCTTAACTTTTCTTTATTAGACTCATAATTTTGCACTCTAAATTCATAAGTTAAAAATCTACTAGAAAAGTAAATCTGAGCAGCAGATGAAGAGAATAGCATTATAACTTATAAGCATACACTATTTGCTACCTTAATACAGAATCTAGAATTATTTGATTTCTCTAAAATGTAGGCATACTGTTCAAAAGAAGGACAAGCACAAATAAGATGTGTGGCAGGAGGTCCCATGAGGGGTTGCGCTGAGCTTACTGTTCCTGTAGACATCATATATTAGCCACAAATTAGTAATTCACCTCTTTTTTTCTCTCTCCTCTTCTATCTTTAGCAGCTTAAAGAACCATCTCAAGACACTTTACACATTTCAGGAAAGCATTTGATCAGCCAACTCAAAAAGTCAATATACAAATAAATCATTGAATCCAAACATCAATCAGAAGCTGGGCATGGTGGTGTGTGCCTATAGTCCCAGCTACTCTGGAGGCTGAGGTGAGAGAATCTCTTGAGCCCAGGAGTTCAAAGCTGCAGTGAGTCATCATCAGGCCTGTGAATAGCCACTGCATTTCAGTCTGGGCAACATAGCAAGACCCCATCTCTTAATAATAATAGGTGGTGGCTGGTAAGATGGCTAAATAGGAACAGCTCCAGTATGCAGCTCCCAGTGAGATCAACACAGAAGCAGGTGATTTCTGCATTTCCAACTGTGGTACCTGGCTCATCTCACTGGGACTGGTTAGACAGTGGGTGCAGCCCATGGAGGGTGAGCTGAAGCAGGGTGGGGCATTGCCTCACCCAGGAAGCTTATGGGGTCAGGGAACTCCCTCCCCTAGCCAAGGGAAGCCATGACTGACTGTGCTGTGAGGAATGGTGCATTCTGGCCCAGATACTACGCTTTTCCCATGGTCTTCGCAACCTGCAGACCAGGAGATTCCCTTGGGTGCCTACACCACAAGGGCCCAGGGTTTCAAGCACAAAACTGGGGGGCTGTTTGGGCAGACACTGAGCTAGATGCAGAAGTTCTTTTTCCATACCCCAGTGGCACCTGGAATGCCAGCAAGACAGAACCGTTCACTCCCCTGGAAAGGGGGCTGAAGCCAGGGAGCCAAGTGGTCTAGGTCAGCGGATCCCACCCCCATGAAGCCCAGCAAGCTAAGATCTGCCATCTTGAAATTCTCACTGCCAGCACAGCAGTCTGAAGTTGGCCTAGGATGCTCTAGCTTGGTTGGGGGAGGGGCGTCTGCCATTACTGAGGCTTTAGTAGGCAGTTTTCCCCTCACAGTGTAAGCAAAGCTGCCAAGGAAGTTTGACCTGGGAGGACTCCACTACAGTTCAACAAAGCTGCTGTAGTCAGACTGCCTCCCTAGGTTCCTCCTCTCTGGGCAGGGCATCTCTGAAAGAAAGGCAGCAGCCCCAGTCAGGGGCTTATAGATAAAACTCCCATCTTCCTGGGACAGAGCACCTGGGGGAAGGGGCAGCTGTGGGTGCAACTTCAGCAGACTTAAATGTTCCTGCCTGCCAGCTCTGAAGAGAATGACGGATCTCCCAGCACAGTGCTCGAGCTCTGCTAAAGGACAGACTGCCTCCTCAAGTGGGTCCCTGACTTCCGTGCCTCCTGACTGGGAGACACCTTCCAGCAGGGATCAACAGACACCTCATACAGGAGACCCCCGGCTGGCATCTGGTGGGTGCCCCTCTGGGACAAAGCTTCCAGAGGAAGGAACAGGCAGCAATCTTTGCTGTTCTGCAGCCTCTGCTGGTGATACCCAGGCAAACAGGGTCTGGAGTGGAACTCTAGCAAACTCCAGCAGACCTGCAGCAGAGGGGCCTGACTGTTAGAAGGAAAACTAACAAACAGAAAGGAACAGCATCAGCATCAAAAAAAGGTGTCCACACAGAAACCCCATCTGAAGCTTACCAACATCAAAGACCAAAGGTAGATAAATCCACAAAGATGAGGAAAAAAACAGTGCAAAAAGGCTGAAAATTCCAAAAACCAGAACACCTCTTCTCTTCCAAAGGATCGCAACTCCTTGCCAGCAAGAAAACAAAATTGGACAAAGAATGAGTATGATTAATTGACAGAAGTAGGCTTCACAAGGTGGGTAATAACAAACTCCTCCAAGCTAAAGGAGCATGTTCTAACCCAATGCAAGGAAGCTAAGAACCTTGAAAAAATGTTAGAGAAATTGCTAACTAGAATAACCAGTTTAGAGAAGAATATAAATGACCTGATGGAGCTGAGAAACACAGCACAAGAACTTTGTGAAGCATACACAAGTATCAATAGGCAAATCGATCAAGCAGAAAAAAGGATATCAGAGATTGAAGATCAACTTAATGTAGTAAAGTGTAGAGACAAGATTACAGAAAAAAGAATGAAAAGGAAAGAACAAAGCCTCCAAGAAATATGGGACTATGTGAAAAGACCAAACTTATGTTTGATTGGTGTACCTGAAAGTGACGGGGAGAATGGAATGAAGTTGGAAAACACTCTTCAGGATATTATCCAGGAGAACTACTCCAACCTAGCAAGACAGGCCAACATTCAAATTCAGGAAATACAGAAAACACCACAAAGATACTCCTCAAGAAGAGCAACCCCAAGACACATAATCATCAGAATCACCAATGTTGAAATGAAGGAAAAAATGTTAAGGGCAGCAAGAGAGAAAGGCCAGGTTACCCACAAAGGGAAGCCCATCAGACTAACAGCGGATATATCTGCAGAAACTCTACAAGCCAGAAGAGAGTGAGAGCCAATATTCAACATTCTTAAAGAAATTTCAACGCAGAGTTTCATGTCCAGCTAAACTAAGCTTCATAAGTGAAGGAAAAATAAACTCTTTTACAGACTAGCAAATGCTGAGTGATTTTGTCACCACCAGTTCTGCCTTACAAGAGCTCCTGAATGAAGCACTAAATATGGAAAAGAAAAACCAGTACCAGCCACTGCAAAAACATACCAAACGGTAAAAAAAATCGACACTATAAAGAAACTGCATCAACTAATGGGCAAAATAACCAGCTAGCATCATAATGACAGGATCAAATTCACACATAACAATATTAACCTGAATTGTAAATGGACTAAATGCCCCAATTAAAAGATACAGACTGGCAAATTGAATAAAGAGTCAAGACCCATCAGTGTGCTGTAATTCGGGAGACCCATCTCATATGCAAAGACACACATAGGCTCAAAATAAAGGGATGGAGGAAGATTTACCAAGCAAATGGAAAGAAAAAAAAAAAAAGCAGGGTTGCAATCCTAGTTGCTGATAAAACCTACTTTAAACCAACAAAGACCCAGCCAGGTGCAGTGGCTCATGCCTGTAATCCCAGCACTTTGGGAGGCCAAGGCGGGCAGATCACAAGGTGAGGAGATAGAGAACATCCTGGCTAATATGATGAAACCCTATCTCTACTAAAAATACAAAAAATTAGCTGGGTGTGGTGGCAGGTGCCTGTAATCCCAGCTACCCAGGAGGCTGAGGCAGGAGAATGGCGTGAACCCAGGAGGCGGAGCTTGCAGTGAGCTGAGATTGCGCCACTGCACTGCAGCCTGGGTGACAGAGTGAGACTCCATCTAAAAAAACAATAACAACAACAAAAACCAACAAAGACCCAAAAAGACAAAGAAGGTAATTACATAATGGTAAAGGGATCAATGCAACAAGAAGAGCTAACTATCCTAAATATATATGCACCCAATACAGGAGCACCCAGATTCATAAAGCAAGTTCTTAGAGACCTACAAAGAGATTTAGACTTTCACACAATAATACTGGGAGACTTTAACACCCCACTGTCAATATTAGACAGATCAACGAGACAGAAGGTTAACAAGGATATACAGGACTTGAACTCAGCTCTGCACCAAGCAGACCTAATAGACATCTACAGAACTCTCCACCCCAAATCAACAGAATACACATTCTTCTCAGCACCACATCACACTTATTCCAAAACTGACCACATAAATACACTCCTCAGCAAATGCAAAAGAACAGAAATCATAACAAACAGTCTCTCAGACCACAGTGCAATCAAATTAGAACTCAGGATTAAGAAACTCAAAAGCGCACAACTACATGGAAACTGAACAACCTGCTCCTGAATGACCACTGAGTAAATAATGAAATTAAGGCAGAAATAAATAAGTTCTTTGCAACCAATGAGAGCAAAGACACAATGTACCAGAATCTCTGCGACACAGTTAAAGCAGTGTTTACAGGGAAATTTATAGCACTAAATGCCCACAGGAGAAAGCAGGAAAGATCCAAAATCGACACCCTAACATCACAATTAAAAGAACAAGAGAAGCAAGGGCAAACGCAAAAGGTAACAGAAGACAAGAAATAAATAAGATCAGATCAGAACTGAAGGAGACAGAGACACGAAAACCCCTTCAAAAAATCAATGAATCCAGGAGCTGTTTTTTTTGAAAAGATTAACAAAATAGATAGACTGCTAGCCAGATTAATAAAGAAGAAAAGAGAGAAGAATCAAATAGAAACAATAAAAAATGATAAAGGGGATATCACCTTTGACGGCAAAGAAATACAAACTGCCATCAGAGAATACTATAAACACCTCTATGCAAATAAACTAGAAAATCTAGAAAAAATGGATAAATTCCTGGATACATACACCCTCCCAAAACTAAACCAGGAAGAAGTTGAATCCCTGAATAGACCAATAACAAGTTCTGAAATTGAGGCAGTCATTAATAGCCTACCAACCAAAAAAAGCCCAGGACCAGATGGATTCACAGCTGAATTCTGTGATAGGTACAAAGAGGAGCTGGTACTATTCCTTCTGAAACTATTCCAAACAATAGAAAAAGAGGAACTCCTCCCTAACTCATTTTATGATGCCAACGTCATCCTAATACCAAAACCTGGCAGAGACACACACAAAAAAGAAAATTTCAGGCCAATATCCTGATGAACATCAATGTGAAAATCCTCAATAAAATACTGGCAAACTGAATCCGGCAGCACATCAAAAAGCTTCTCCACCATGATCAAGTCGGCTTCATCCCTGAGACTCAAGGCAGGTTCAACATATGCAAATCAATAAATGTAATCCATCACATAAACAGAATCAATGACGTAAACCACATGATTATCTCAATAGATGGAGAAAAAGCCTTCAATAAAATTCAACATCCCTTCATGCTAAAAACTCTCAATAAACTAGGTATTGATGGAATGTATCTCAAAATAATAAGAGCTATTTATGACACACTCATGGCCAATATCATACTGAATGGGCAAAAGCTGGAAGCATTCCCTTTGAAAACTGGCACAAGACAAGGATTCCCTCTCTCGCCATTCCTGTTCAACATAGTATTGGAAGTTTTGGCCAGGGCAATCAGGCAAGAGAAAGAAATAAAGGATATTCAAATAAAAAGAGAGGAAGTTAAATTGTCTCTCTTTGCAGATGACATGATTGTATATTTAGAAAACCCCATCGTCTCAGCCTGAAATCTCCTTAAGCTGATAAGCAACTTCAGCAAAGTCTCAGGATACAAAAATCAATGTGCAAAAATCACAAGCATTCCTATACACCAATAATAGACAAACAGAAAGCCAAATCATGAGCGAACTCCCATTAGCAATTGCTACAAAGAGAATAAAATACCTAGGAATACAACTTACAAGGGATGTGAAGGACCTCTTCAAAGAGAACTACAAACCACTGCTCAAGGAAATCAAAGAGGACACAAACAATTGGAAAAAACATCCCTTGCTCATGGATAGGAAGAATCAATATTGAAAAAATGGCAATACTGCCCAAAGTAATTTATAGATTCAATGCTATCCCCTCAAGCTACCATTGACTTTCTTCACAGATTTAGAAAAAACTACTTTAAATTTCATATGAAACCAAAAAAGAGCCCATATAGCCAAGACAAGCGTAGGCAAAAAGTACAAAGCTGGAGGCATCATGCTGCCTGACTTCAAACTATACTACAAAGCTTTGGTAACCACAACAGCATGGTACTGGTACCAAAACCGATATACAGACCAATGGAATAGGACAGAGGCCTCAGAAATAATGCCACACATCTACAACCAGCTGATCTTTGACAAATCTGACCAAAAAAAAGCAATGGGGAAAGGATTCCCTATTTAATAAATGGTGTTGGGAAAACTGGCTAGCCATATGCAGAAGACTGAAACTGGACACCTTCCTTACACCTTATACAAAAATTGACTCAGGATGGATTAAAGACTTAAACACAAGACCTAAAAGCATAAAAACCATAGAAGGAAACCTAGGCAATACCATTCAGGACATAGGCATGGAGAAAGACTTCATGACTAAAACACCAAAAGCAATGGCAACAAAAGCCAAAACTGACAAATGGGATCTAATTAAACTAAAGAGCTTCTGCACAGCAAAAGAAACTATCATCAGAGTGAAAAGGCAACCTATAGAATGGGAAAAAAATTTTTGCAATCTACCCATCTGACAAAGGGCTAATATCCAGAATTTACAAAGAACGTATACAAATTTACCAGAAAAAAAAAATCAAAAAGTGGGCAAAGGATATGAACAGACACTTCTCAAAAGAAGACATTTATGCAGCCAACAAACATATGAAAAAAAAGCTCATCATCACTGGTCATTAGAGAAATGCAAATCAAAACCACAATGAGGAGATACCATCTCACGCCAGTTAGAATAGAAATCATTAAAAAGTCAGGAAACAACAGATGCTGGAGAGGATGTGGAGAAATAGGAATGCTTTTACACTGTTGTTGGGAGTGTAAATTAGTTCAACCATTGTGGAAGACAGTGTGGCAATTCCTCAATGACCTAGAACCAGCAATACCATTTGACGCAGCAGTCCCATTACTGGGTACATACCCAAAGGATTATAAATCATTCTACTACAAAGACACATGTACACGCATGTTTATTGCACCACTGTTCATAATAGCAAAGACTTGGAACCAACCAAAATGCCATCAATGATACACTGGATAAAGAAAATGTGGCTCATATACACCATGGAATACTATGTAGCCATAAAAAAGGATGAGTTCATGTCCTTTGCAGGAACATGGATGAAGCTGGAAACCATCATTCTCAGCAAAATATCACAAGGACAGAAAACCAAACACTGCATGTTCTCACTCATAAGTGGGAGTTGAACAATGAGAACACGTGGACACAGGGAAGGGAGCATCACACACCAGGGCCTGTTGTGGGGGTGGGGGGCTAGGGGAGGGATAGCATTAGGAGAAATACCTAATATAGACAACAGGTTGATAGGTGCAGCAAACCACCATGGCGCGTGCATACCTATGTAACAAACCTGCACATTCTGCACATGTATCCCAGAACTTAAAGTATAATAAATTTAAATAATAATAATAATAATGTCAGATCTTTGCTAGAATATCACTCCTCAGAGGGATTTTCCTGCCCATTCTATTTAAACTAGCACTCTGGTTACTCTCTATTGTGTTACCCTGCCTTATTTTCTTTTGTAGCACTAACACTAGCTAACATGGCAAGTTTTTACATATTTCTTATATAGACCTCATCTGTTGTATCCACTGCTACATCTCCAGTGCCTAGAACAGTGCCTGAAACATCATGATAATTAAATGAAGATTTGTGATGGAGTAAACTGGATACATGTCCCAGGCAACATGAAAATATTCTAAATATAAGATACTTATAATCTCTAGGTCAGAGACTTGGGAGGTGCCTCTGTGAAAAATAGTATTCAATGGGGAGACGAGGAGGCTGACAGAAAACAAGAGAGAAGTGGAGCAACCAGAACCTGCAAAAAAGAAGGTATTATACCAGAGATATTCAAAACTGACTTCCTCTTTCTACGTTTCCTTGTGTTCTCCCAACTGAATCCTGTCTCTTTCCAGGATGCTGAGATTTGCTAAAAGGGAGAAATACGGTGCTTACAGATCTCTGCCTGAATATCTCCAGAGCTCTGCTCTTCAACTTTGTTGGATAAATTTTGGTGACTATTGTGAGTATTTGTTTGCTGCCTCCCTTCATTGAAGGTAGCATTTGAACGCATCAGAGTCCTCATGGCAACAGTTCATAGACATATTCTACATAATGCTCCCCAGTGGGTACTTCCTCAAGAAAGCCATCCATGATCCTTATCCCCTACCCAACCAAGACCAGGTTGGATTGTACTATTACTCTCAAATAGTCTATGTGCCATAATTATATACATACAGAAAATTATGTATATGTATAAAATTATGTATACGTAAAATTATGTATTCTATAAAATATAGGGTGCTATATACACATATATACCTATATGCATATATATGTTTCAATATGTACACATATGCATATATGTTCAAATATGTACACATATGCACATATGTTCAAATATGTACACATATACTTATATGTGTATATATACATATAAGCATATATACGTATATGTATGTATATATGTACATGTAAATACACACATATATACATACATACATATATGTACATGTATATATACACTATATATACATATATGTGTGTTTGTGTATGTGTGTGTATATCTATATAGCACCCTATACTTATTTGTGGCATTTACTACAAATGTAATTAATTATTAATTTTTTTTAATATTTCTCTTCTCTGCAAGAATGTACACTCCATAGAAGCTAGGATTATGTTTATCTTGTTCACCATTTTATCCTTAGAACTTAGAGCCTAGCATGATACACACAATAGGTGCCCAATAAACATTTGCGGCCTTATTTGTGTAACTATCTACCAGGCTTGAAGAACAGTTAACTCTTTTTTTTGTTGTTGTTTTTTGAGACAAGTCTCACTCTATTGCCCAGGCTGGAGTGCAATGGTGCAATCTCAGCTCACTGCAACCTCCGCCTCCTGGGTTCAAACAATTCTCCCGCCTCAGCCTCCCAAGTAGCTGGGATTACAGGCACCTGCCATCATGCCCAGTTAATTTTTGTACTTTTGTAGAGATGGGATTTCACCATGTTGGCCAGGCTGGTCTTGAACTCCTGACCTCAGGTGATCCACCCACCTTGGCCTCCCAAAGTGCTGGGATTACAGGCGTGAGCCACCGTGCCTGGCCAAGAACAGTTAACTTTCCAGGGAGTGATTTATTCTCACATATACATATATATAATTAGTACGTGGCCACTTGTTCTTGTTTTGTACTCAGTACCCAGTGCTATAGGCTGGAGGCTTTGTTTTTGTGGCTAATCTCAACCAGTCATCTGACCAATTCTTGCTGAGAGTCACAAGGGGACCTGTCAAAAAAAGATTTAAAAGATCACTCCAAATCTACTCCCACTACCAAAAATAAAGTCAAGGCATGGGGGCTATTAGGTCAATAACATCATACTTGTATGAAAAAAATTCATACAGTCAGAGTTTTGTTTCATATCTTGAAGAAAACTGAAACATTAGGAAGCGTGATCATTATTGGATTAGTTGTAGTTTTGCCTCTCTTCTCCCAACAATAAAGCCAGATTCAGTTAAATTGTATACTCCAAATCCATTTGGCCAAAAGTTTGTACCAATAAACTGTAATATTTGAACACAAATAAATTGTTGCCACTATAAGGAGCAAAATATCTACATAATTCTCAACATTGCCAAAGGCTGTCATGAATAGCTTTTGGACGTTCACACACATTAACTTGGACTGTAGTATAGGAAAAAAAGTGGAAAAAAAATAAAAGCTATGGCTGTTCTCATTATATTCCTGGAAACTGGGAGTCTGTGTTCACTCTAGGAAAAGAGCCAGGTCGCATGTGGGGGATGAAAAGAAAAATAATCCATTTTTTTCTCATTTTTTCACTTTCTCAGAGTTTCTCACTGCCTTTTTCATCCACAGTTATTGAATATTTAGTTGAAGCAAAGTAAAGCTACCCCTGGTAGCAGTAGTTGCCCAGAAAGTCCACTGCTTCAACATGCAGTGACATGTATGGAAGCACCAAGACTAACAGCTGGCACACTCAGACATTCAAAAAACCTTTGTTTAAGAAAAAGCTACAGACAGATTTATGGCTTTCCATATTCTTAATTTTGAAGATTTTTTTTTCCCACAAAGCTTCCAGAGCAGAAGTTGGTAGTAACTCTACTTTTTAAAGAAAGAAATAAAACTGCAAGAATGTCCCAGAGCTGTTCAGGCGCGGAGGCCTGAGGATATGGGTCACTCTGTCTAACTGGATACTTTAAAAGTACCACATGGTCCCAGGCAGCAGAGTCCAGAATTCAAATGCGAGATCCATCCAAAATGACATGTCCACACTACCAAAACCAGGCATGTTTCTGCTATGCCACACAAGTCCATATTAGAGGTGACCACTACCAGCTTTGACAGGCACTTGATAACTGTTGGACCACACCACCTGAGACTGTGACTTAGTAGGGAGATGCCTGCTCCATCCCTTATGTCCTACTTGAGGAATAAATTAACCACTGTAACTGAGTTGCAGATTGAAAACAATTTCCCTTGGAATCAGAAAAGGCAATTCTTCCTCGAATCTACCATGTGCCATAGCTCTTTGGGAATAACAACAAAAACAACTAAAATTAATTAAGAACTAAGATATATATATATATATATATATATATATATATATGCAGGGTCTTGCTCTGTCACCCAGGCTGGAGTGCAGTGGCATGACCATAGCTCACTGCAGCCTCAACCTCCCAGGCTCATGTGATCCTTCCACCTCAGCCTCCGAGTAGCTGGGACTACTGGTAGTGCAGGCCACCGTGCCCAGCTAATTGTTTAATATTTTGTAGAGAGAGGGTTTCACCATGTTTCCCAGCCTGGTCTCGAACTCCTGACCTCAAGCAATCTGCCTGCCTCAGCCTCCCAAAAGTGCTGGGATTACAGGTGTGAGCCACTACACCTGGCCTTGTATTTTGATTACTTCTTTCCATCCTCACAAAATGTCTGTGAGTTAACTACCACTATTGTCTCACTTTAAGATGCGAAAATTGAAGTGTAAAGATGTCAAATAACTTGTCACAAGTTACACAAAATGTTAACAACAGAGCTGAAATTCAAATTCAGGTAGTCTGAGCCCAGAGCCCACAATCTTAACAACATGGTGAAGTTTGAACATGCCATTTTACTAAAACAAAAACTCTGAAATATGAAGAAGCTAGCAACTGACATAGATATGATTACAAATATTTAAAATGCTTTAAATAATTATCCTATATTTTCTCCAATATTATTTTGACAGCGGATCCTAAAGAGTTAAGTAGGATTTATTATCATTTGAATATTATAGATGAAAACACTAAATTAAAACAGTTAGCTTATTTACTTAAGGTCAGGAGTACAGCTGATTCTTAAGAACTTAAGTTTTCTCAGCCCAGGAGGGGCCAAGACATTAGACATTAGGGAGAACCTCTGGCCCTAGGGCTCCATATCTGGCTCTAGGCTTGATTTCACTGACTCAGGAGTTAATACTGATTTGTTCATCTCAACTGAATCACAAAGCCTGTTTTCTCCTCTTTTGGCTATTGCAGCTATCCAAGACTGTGAAAGTTGGTAAACAAGTGAAAACTATAAATGGTGATTAATTAACTTTCAAAACACAATGATAAAAAGTAGTGACAATGAATCCACAGCTCAAGCAGAGACAAGGTGGTTACTGGAATCACTCACGAATGTCCCAATCTGCTGGGTCTCCATCCCTCTGTCCTTCCTTTTCTCCTTTCTCCTCCACCTGCTCCTCTTCCCCACGCACACTCTGTGTGCTGTGTGTGTCTCTCCCTGTGGTTTTTTCCTCTCTCTTTTATTTTGTCTTCTTCCTTTTCCCCATTTCTCCCTCACCTCCTTCCCACTCATCTGAGAATCACAAAATCCTGTAATACTAACTTACACAGGCTTTCAGAGAGCATATAGACCAATATATTAATGCTGTACATGAGAAAACAACAGTCCAAAGAAGTGATTTACACAAGAACATGATGTTATTTTGTGGCGAGCACATGGCCTAAGTCCAGTGTTCTCTCCACAACATCACACGTGCAGCTGTGTCATGGAATTCAAGGGTATGTAAAACCATTTGTATTTCCTGTTATAATATTTTATAAGTAACTAAGAAAAATCCATTTAAACCTAAGAAGATTTTTATTCTTTCCACGTAGTCCTTTACTTTTTTAAATGAATTATCCTCACTTGAAAATAATCTTTCCAAATTACAAAGCTAGGATTAGAAAACAATTTCAGGGTCACTCCTTACAAACCACATACATTCACAAAATAGAAATGTTTAAAAGAGTAGTTCTCAATTTTTTTTTCAATCATAGGTTGTATGGATAAGCTGATGAAAATCTAGGTCCACTCTCTCCTCAGAAAAAAATGAAAACACTGAGCATTTTGCATAATGTTTTAGGAGTTTGTGAATCTTCTGGAGTCCATCTGTGGGCCCAATAAAAGTTAAGAACCTCTGTCTTAAAGAGAAAATGTGGTATGTTTCTGGATTAGTGGTTTTCAAAGTAGGATGTATGCATGATCCATGGAGCATTGAGAAAAAAAATAATGAAACTCCTGTTACTGCTTTTGCATCTCATTCTTCTGAATGAAGTCTTTTTATTTGCTCATATTTTTAACATAAACAAGATATGAATATAGTATGTGTATAATTCATAAATAAGTAAAAATAAACATAATGTAGTTGTGTTCCACTATTTTTTTTTCCTTTAAGCGACAGGCTGACTGTTGGGAACTACCAGACAACCTTGCAGAGACCTTCGACCTCCCACAATCTCCCTGCCCACCAGGGAAGACCTCTCTTTACCTGGTCCTTTGTCTTCCCTTCTCGCTCACGAATGTGGTTAGCAACAATCCTTTCCGTTTCCTCGCAGAGTCTGGGGAAGTTTGCCAGCTGTCAAGAAAAGCAGATCTGAGTATTAATACTCAAAAAGTTACACTACCAAAAAAGAAGCAGAGATAAATTATGTTATTTTACAGAAGATATTCATTGCCATTCTGGAAGCAAAAATGAAATATCATCAACTCCTAAAGAAGGATGTCAAGGTGATGGGAGAGGCTTCACAAACTATCATCAGAAGTAACCTTGTTATGTTGAGGAAACACTTCAAAACCAGCAGAGCAATTCCTTAGGAAGAAAGCAGAACCCTAGATACCATCTAGCACTGTGCTCCTGCTGAGTTGGCACTTAATAAAATTCAAAGATGAAGAAGTCGGAAAACAGGACAAAGAAAAGGATAATGACTAACATTTTATATAGTGTCTACCACGTGTCAGGCGCTAAGAACTTCATGAATTACCTCTTTCACTATTCACAGCAATCAGAAAAGACAGATATAATTATTAACCTCATTTCTTTTTTATTTTATTTATTTATTTATTTTGAGACAGAGTTTTGCTCTTGTCACCCAGGCTGGAGTGCAATGGCGCAATCTCAGCTCACTGCAACCTCTGCCTCCTGGGTTCAAGCGATTCTCCTGTCTCAGCCTCCCGAGTAGCTGGGATTACAGGCACGTGCCACCAAGCTCAGCTAATTTTTGTATTTTTAGTAAAGACAGGGTTTCACCATGTTGGCCAGGCTGGTCTCTAACTTCTGACCTCAGGTGATCCACCTGCCTTGGTCTCCCAAAGTGCTGGGATTACAGGCGTGAGCCACCACGCCCGGCCAACCCCATTTAATAGAGGAGAAAAGTGAAGCACAGAGAGGTTAAGTAACTCATGCCCATGACTAAACAGCTCAAAAATGGTTGGTTCAGGATTCCAACCTAAGTCCTAGGACTCCAGAGCCCATGGTCTTGTCCATTACTCTTCGAGCATGATTCATCCCATGAAGCACAAAGAGACTCCTTTAACTTTTTAAATTCTCCCCCACAGAAAATATATGTGTATATGTACATTTTTTTTGCAAAACTATGGAAATTGTGTATGTCAATCACTTAACCCCATCTAAATTATGCAGGTAATTGTTCAAAACATAGTTTGCAAAAGTGAATACCTTAATTCAGTTGTTTTCAATATAAGGAAGAAAGAGAATGGGATGCTATGAAAATGTTTAAGGAGCCCTAATCCAGAAGGAAGACTTAGACAGGCAAAGGTGTGTGAGAATGGCCGTGGAGAAGATGAAGCTTGCCAGGAACAGGAACATGTGTGAAGGCATGGTGGAAGTGGGGGCAATTAGTGGCGATAAAAGTAAAAGAAAGTCCGTGCAGAAACTGAGGAGTATGATCCTCAGACAAAGCTAGAAAAGTAGAGAGGGGCCACATCAAGCAGATCCTTGCAATTCTATCAGGAATTTAGGCTACTGAAGCAATTCAGATGGAATGGAAATAATGGTGGCTTCTACTGGGATGACAGCAATGGAAATGGAGAAAAGTGGGCACATTCATGACTTAGGCCAGGCAAAATATTAATTCCAATGATGATTTTTAAAGTGCTTGCAAATTAATAAGATTAACAGATAGCTCAATAAAATAGGCAAAGAATATGATTTAATTTGTAAAAGACTTAATAGTCAATAAGCAGAAGGAAAAACAAACTGTACAAGTGATCTAATGCAAAGAAAAGAAATAACTATTATATTGGCAAATTGCTATTTTTTTATAAGACTTACTACAGGTGAGGGTATACTGAGATTAGCACAATTTAAACTTGCTGAGGGGTGTCAAGAAGAGAAATCTTTCTGGAAAGCAATTTGACATTATGTATCAAAAGTCTTGCACGCGCGCACACACACACAAACACACACACACACACACACACAAACACAGAGACAGAGAGAGAGATCTCAACCTAATAACCTCACAGAATTCTGAACTACAATGATAAGGACATTCATCACAGCATTAGTTGGAAAAGCAACAATAAGATAAACAAACTATAAACTACCTAGTATCTGATGATGTTAAATAAATGAAGGTAGATCCACTTACGTGATGTAATGTAGCCATTTTGAATAACAGTTTTAATAATAACTAATGACATGGTAAAGTATTTACAACACTATTTGAAGAAAATTAGGCTACTAAATATATAATGTGGTTATGCACAAGCATAATGTTTTGGTTTGGATATTTCTTTCCTCCAAATTCATGTTAAAATTCAATCCCCAATGTGGCTATATTGACAAGTGGGGCTTTTAAGAGGTGATTGGGCCATGAAGGCTCTGCCATCATGAGTGGATTAATCCATTCATGGACTAATGGATTAATAGGTTATGGGAGTGGGACTGGTAGCTTTATAAGAAGAGGACTAGCGACCTGAGCTAGCATGCTACCACACTCAGCACCCTTACAATATGATTGATACCCTGCACCAGCAAGAAGGCCCTTACCAGAGGCAGACCCTCAACACTGGGTCTTCCATAACTGTAAGAAATAAATACCTTTTCTGTATAAATTCCTTTTCTGTATAAAGAAATAAATTCCTTTTCTGTATACCCAGTTTCAGGTATTTTGTTATAAACTACAGAAAATGGACTAAGACACATCCACACACACATGCACACACACACAGAGTCACACACCACCATACACCCTTGACATTTTTCAAGGATATAGCCCAATCTTACAAATACCAACATTCTTGAGTAATATTATAGCATGTAATATTTCTCCAAACTCATAAGGAGTTAGATCTAGGCCTCCCTGAAATGGGGCTTCTGTATGGTCACCTGAGGTCACTGTGCACATTACCTTTATAGCATGCACAACATATATTAGTGTCTTAGCAAGTTAACAAACTGCAGTACTTCATGAAACCATCATAATCACGAGATCTCATATACATTAAATCTTCCATTGCTGCAAGTCTACTCTCTGTGCATAGAAAAAGATTTGCACAGATACTATAAAGTGTTAATAGCAATAACTCTTTGAATTATGCACACTTTTATTTATCTACATTTTCCAAATATTTCAACAGTGGATATAGATTATGTTCATAACATCATAAAACCATAGAAACCTGACTGCTTTGGTTACCACAAAAATCATCACCAGCGTCTCCATGAGGTCCTCGATTTCTCACCCTCTTATCTGAATCCTGAGATGCACGCTCACCTGGGGGCTTATTTCATGAATTACCGCAAGATACAAATGGAGCTCATACTTCCCATTTTGGAAACATTCTCCAGAAAAAGCTCTATTATACCAGAACCCCTCTTGACTCTCTGAAAGTCCTCCAAGTTATTTTTTGTGAGGCTTATAAAAGCCTTCAGAGTGGAAGAGATAGCTGATCAATTCCAGTCCTTCTTGACTAGTGCAAACCTGAGTGGTGTATCTGACACCAAACATTAGCCTGCCCTAGGTCACCAAGACAATCAATTCCGCCTGCACTCAGACAGCTTCCCAAGCTATTCAATGACAGCCACACTATTATAGAATCACATTGCCTCAGAGAAGTAACTACGCAAGCATTTGAGGTCTACCAAGGAAGAGTGAGATGGCTTTAACAGCATTTAGCAAATAGATTACAGCAGAAAGTTATTTTTAAAACCATCAAATAGTGGCAATATAAATATTTATTCAGATACTAAACACTTGATAGCTGAAGGACCCCAGGCCAGTATATGGCCATCATTAAGTCAGGGAAAGGCCAAAATGACAAGAATATCCCATGAAGTAGAGACATCTAAGAATGCCTCCAATCTACTGGCCTTGGCAGGAGCATTGATTTGTGTGCACGTGTGTGTCTCCTGATCTTTTCAAGCTTACTGCCCATGGGCTTAATTCTACCAGAAAAGGAATCTGTAAGAGCCACAATTTTGTACCTACAATTGAGACAACTGGAAGTCAATAAGCCTGAATTCTAAGTGGAACAAAAGAAACAGAGAACACACTAGAAGAACTACCATTATGGAGACAAAGGAGGAAAAACCTTGAAGAGACACTAAGCAATGTAGGATCTAGGCCCACCACTGAATGGCATTAATGAAACAACTGGTTTGGTTACTAGCTGGTTGATATTGAACTGATTGTGGGAGTATAAGAGTCAAAATCTTGGTTTTAACTGCTGGCTTTCAAATATAAAATATATAAATATATATAAATAGTCCCAAACATATAAATAGTCCCAATTCTTAAGATACATACATACAGAGGTTAAAAAATAAAGTCCTACTGACATTTCAATTGATTTCTGATTAGGCTTTCTACCACTCATTTCATTATCTCATTTAATCTCATAATGAGATTATTTCATGATCTCATTCAAACTGTGCCCTGCTCAGTTTGTGTCACCCTTTACTTAGCTTTAAAACATACTTAACTTTGATTGCTCAATTCAATCCCTCACCTCTCTTCTATGTCTCTTATTTAATGTGCAATCACCATTTCCTCAATCATTTATACCATTATAATTGTCAATCACTTTTGCACTTTTTTAATTTGAATGTCAAATTAAAAGCCTACAGTTGTAAGAATATGGGAGTTCTTATTTGTCAAAGTAATCAGAATATTAAGTATGTATGCCTAAATAATATTGATCTAGAAGATGTCTTTAGGCCTTTATTCCTCTAATGATTAATTAAATAACCTATAAATTGGTTTATAGAGAGTCAAGGGATGAAGGATTTGCTATTAGTTATAATAATTACATTCCTAAATTTATGTCACATCAGTCATTCATGGTGCAACTGCTACAGTCCAGCTCCATGCTCAGTTTATATCATAACACCTGATATTAGAAACCACATAGTCTTGAGTGGCAGGTTGCCTATACAGATAAATAGTCATACAAGAGAAATATTTTTTAAAAACCAATGGGAAATATGAAGAAATAAATGCATAAACCAGGTGTGAGAGGTCCTCTGAGGATTTGATGCTTATATTATAATAGTGAAACTTGCAGTCAAAGCTATACATTTATTATACAGCAAATTAGTTCTAAATAGCTTATAGTTCAAATTGCATTGAATATTCTTTTTTTTTTTTTTTTTTTTGACAAAGTCTCGCTCTGTTGCCCAGGCTGGAGTGCAGTGGTACATCTTGGCTCACTGCAACCTCCACCTCCTGGGTTCAAGCAATGCTCCTGTCTCAGCCTCCTGAGTAGTTGGAACTATAGGCGCCCACCACCAGTCCAGCCTGGGTAGAGTATTCTTAAATAATAAAGAAGATTCAATGGAGAAATAATATAATATACACGACTTTAGGAATCAAAACCTTCAATATTTAATTCAAGGAGAATATTTTAATTATACATGTTCTGAGAGAAAGCAGCAAAACATGTTTTAATAAGGTCCAATGTTGTAAGTGTTATTTAGGGTACTGATTAATTATTTTGGTGGAACCTCAATATAAAAATTTAATTTCAGTATGGATCACATTTTCCTAGAGAAAAAAAAAAACACTTGGGAGACATTTCTATCCAACAAAACAAAAATTATACACTTCCAAAATGTATTAACAGTTTATCAGACCATAAGATCTACGCTATGCTAGTACATTTTTCTCAAAATGGTCAAGAGACCAGGCAAGATTTCCATATCATCAAGAGGAACAAGTTTGATGCCTCTAGCAAAGACTGGAGTTATTAGGTAACCGTCTAAGAAAATAAATTCAGAACAAAATTTCTTCTATACATATCACTTGACTTGATTGATTTGGCTGACCTAAAGATAAGGGCTTTTATGAAAAAGCTATAAACCTTTAAATGCTGGCTGCTTGCTACAAACCAAATAGAAATAATGAATTTTAGCACTCATAAAAGCATACAATTTTTTAATTTCATTTTCTGTGAATTAACCACCCACCCAACCCAACAAAATCCCTAGCAATCCTTTGTTTTTATATAGCATAGTGTTGTATTTATTCAGGATATGAGAAGGCAGTCATCTGCGCACAACACATTTGCTATGAAAAAAATTTTTTAAACAGATGTATTTGTAGAAACATTTACAAAGGTGATTGAAGATAAGAAGCAATTCTAATATAAAGAGATCAAGAAATAGTGACTGTTTTCTAAGTTGTACAGGGGTTAATGGGAAAGTTCCTTATGGGGTGTTCTACATTGGCATATGAGTGGCATATGAGAAGTCAAAGAAGGTCAAAGTGAAGTTGGCAGGAAGGGAAAAGGAGTGCCAGATCCCAACTAGGTGAACTGGGACCAAGTGGGCTAGTGTTAGCCCACCTTCTCCAGGTGGGCAAATCCTTAATCCAGAAACCTCAAATATTTTCAACAAATAGCAGGAGAAGTGGTGAGGTATAAGATGGAAAAACTTTTAAACAGAGAAATGAAGAGAACTCTAGTGTTATTTATGAAATGCTAAGGAATAAAAACAAAAAAGTCCTCACCTAAGAAACAAGGAGAGTAGAAAAACAAAAACAAAAAGTCCAACCTTGAGTGAATAAAACTTGGGTGCCGCAGAGTAGTCAGAAGAGCCTCTTACTTAAGTAATTCAGAAAACATCCAAAAAGGAATCCAGGGTGGGTTGACATGGTGGCAAAACAACACCTGAAGATCATAACCAGATTTTTATCTCTCTCTTCCCAAGTTTATCTCTGGTAGACATATTAATGAGCAGTTAAAATGGAAAAAAACTTCACAACAGAAAGTGGGAGGAAAATCAGGGACCATGGTAAATTATAAATTAAGAACCAATTATAAAGATTGCAAATCCTTTAATGAGTTGTAAGATGAAAAGGTGAGATTCTATCCCATTAAAACCAAGTCCCAGGCCTGAATTTCCTATAATACCCAACAAAAGTTTCAGACTTTAATAACCAGTCTGATTCGAAGCCTGGGCACTAAAGCCTATTACATTAGACATGTATTACATGCAAAGCACAGCACAGAGTTTGACTGGATGGCAACCATTAGAGGGGGTGAAATGCAAGTATTTTCTTTTTTTTTAATTTTTTTCTTTCATTATTATACTTTAAGTTTTAGGGTACATGTGAACACTGTGCAGGTTAGTTACATATGTATACATGTGCCATGCTGGTGCGCTGCACCCACTAACTTGTCATCTAGCATTAGGTATATCTCCCAATGCTATCCCTCCCCCCTCCCCCCACCCCACCACAGTCCCCAGGGTGTGATGTTCCCCTTCCTGTGTCCATGTGATCTCATTGTTCAATTCCCACCTATGAGTGAGAATATGCAGTGTTTGGTTTTTTGTTCTTGAGATAGTTTACTGAGAATGATGATTTCCAATTTCATCCATGTCCCTACAAAGGACACGAACTCATCATTTTTTATGGCTGCATAGTATTCCATGGTGTATATATGCCACATTTTCTTAATCCAGTCTATCATTGTTGGACATTTGGGTTGGTTTCAAGTCTTTGCTATTGTGAATAGTGCTGCAATAAACATACATGTGCATATGTCTTTATAGCAGCATGATTTATAGTCCTTTGGGTACATACCCAGTAATGGGATGGCTGGGTCAAATGGTATCTCCAGTTCTAGATCCCTGAGGAATCGCCACACTGACTTCCACAATGGTTGAACTAGTTTACAGTCCCACCAACAGTGTAAAAGTGTTCCTATTTCTCCACATCTTCTCCAGCACCTGTTGTTTCCTGACTTTTTAATGATTGCCCTTCTAACTGGTGTGAGATGGTATCTCATTGTGGTTTTGATTTGCATTTCTCTGATGGCCAGTGATGATGAGCATTTTTTCATGTGTTTTTTGGCTGCATAAATGTCTTCTTTTGAGAAGTGTCTGTTCATGTCCTTTGCCCACTTTTTGATGGGGTTGTTTGTTTTTTTCTTGTAAATTTGTTTGAGTTCATTGTAGATTCTGGATATCAGCCCTTTGTCAGATGAGTAGGTTGCGAAAATTTTCTCCCATTTTGTAGGTTGCCTGTTCACTCTGATGGTAGTTTCTTTTGCTGTGCAGAAGCTCTTTAGTTTAATTAGATCCCATTTGTCAATTTTGGCTTTTGTTGCCATTGCTTTTGGTGTTTTAGACATGAAGTCCTTGCCCATGCCTATGTCCTGAATGGTAATGCCTAGGTTTTCTTCTAGGGTTTTTATGGTTTTAGGTCTAACATTTAAGTCTTTAATCCATCTTGAATTGATTTTTGTATAAGGTGTAAGGAAGGGATCCAGTTTCAGCTTTCTACATATGGCTAGCCAATTTTCCCAGCACCATTTATTAAATAGGGAATCCTTTCCCCATTGCTTGTTTTTCTCAGGTTTGTCAAAGATCAGATAGTTGTAGATATGCGGCGTTATTTCTGAGGGCTCTGTTCTGTTCCATTGATCTATATCTCTGTTTTGGTACCAGTACCATGCTGTTTTGGTTACTGTAGCCTTGTAGTATAGTTTGAAGTCAGGTAGTGTGATGCCTCCAGCTTTGTTCTTTTGGCTTAGGATTGACTTGGTGATGCGGGCTCTTTTTTGGTTCCATATGAACTTTAAAGTAGTTTTTTCCAATTCTGTGAAAAAAGGCATTGGTAGCTTGATGGGGATGGCATTGAATCTGTGAATTACCTTGGGCAGTATGGCCATTTTCACGATATTGATTCTTCCTACCCATGAGCATGGAATGTCCTTCCATTTGTTTGTATCCTCTTTTATTTCCTTGAGCAGTGGTTTGTAGTTCTCCTTGAAGAGGTCCTTCACATCCCTTGTAAGTTGGATTCCTAGGTATTTTATTCTCTTTGAAGCAATTGTGAATGGGAGTTCACTCATGATTTAGCTCTCTGTTTGTCGATTGTTGGTATATAAGAATGCTTGTGATTTCTGTACATTGATTTTGTATCCTGAGACTTTGCTGAAGTTGCTTATCAGCTTAAGGAGATTTTGGGCTGAGACAATGGGGTTTTCTAGATATACAATCATGTCGTCTGCAAACAGGGACAATTTGACTTCCTCTTTTCCTAACTGAATACCCTTTATTTCCTTCTCCTGCCTAATTGCCCTGGCCAGAACTTCCAACACTATGTTGAATAGGAGTGGTGAGAGAGGGCATCCCTGTCTTGTGACAGTTTTCAAAGGGAATGCTTCCAGTTTTTGCCCATTCAGTACGATATTGGCTGTGGGTTTGTCATAGATAGCTCTTATTATTTTGAAATACGTCCCATCAATACCTAATTTATTGAGAGTTTTTAGCATGAAGGGTTGTTGAATTTTGTCAAAGGCTTTTTCTGCATCTATTGAGATAATCATGTGGTTTTTGTCTTTGGTTCTGTTTATATGCTGGATTACATTTATTGATTTGCATATATTGAACCAGCCTTGCATCCCAGGGATGAAGCCCACTTGATCATGGTGGATAAGCTTTTTGATGTGCTGCTGGATTCAGTTTGCCAGTATTTTATTGAGGATTTTTGCATCAATGTTCATCAAGGATATTGGTCTAAAATTCTCTTTTTTGGTTGTGTCTCTGCCAGGCTTTGGTATCAGAATGATGCTGGCCTCATAAAATGAGTTAGGGAGGATTCCCTCTTTTTCTATTGATTGGAATAGTTTCAGAAGGAATGGTACCAGTTCCTCCTTGTACCTCTGGTAGAATTCGGCTGTGAATCCATCTGGTCCTGGACTCTTTTTGGTTGGTAAGCTATTGATTATTGCCACAATTTCAGAGCCTGTTATTGGTCTATTCAGAGATTCAACTTCTTCCTGGTTTAGTCTTGGGAGAGTGTATGTGTCAAGGAATTTATCCATTTCTTCTAGATTTTCTAGTTTATTTGCGTAGAGGTGTTTGTAGTATTCTCTGATGGTAGTTTTTATTTCTGTGTGATCTGTGGTGATATCCCCTTTATCATTTTTTATTGCGTCTATTTGATTCTTCTTTCTTTTCTCCTTTATTAGTCTTGCTAGCAGTCTATCAATTTTGTTGATCCTTTCAAAAAACCAGCTCCTGGATTCATTAATTTTTTAAGGGTTTTTTTTGTCTCTATTTCCTTCAGTTCTGCTATGATTTTAGTTATTTCTTGCCTTCTGCTAGCTTTTGAATGTGTTTGCTCTTGCTTTTCTAGTTCTTTTAATTGTGATGTTAGGGTGTCAATTTTGGATCTTTCCTGCTTTCTCTTGTGGGCATTTAGTGCTATAAATTTCCCTCTACACACTGCTTTAAATGCATCCCAGAGATTCTGGTATGTTGTGTCTTTGTCCTCCTTGGTTTCAAAGAACATCTTTATTTCTGCCTTCATTTCGTTATGTACCCAGTAGTCATTCAAGAGCAGGTTGTTCAGTTTCCATGTAGTTGAGGGGTTTTCAGTGAGATTCTTAATCCTGAGTTCTAATTTGATTGCACTGTGGTCTGAGAGATAGTTTGTTATAATTTCTGTTCTTTTACATTTGCTGAGGAGAGCTTTACTTCCAACTATGTGGTCAATTTTGGAATAGGTGTGGTGTGGTGCTGAAAAAAATGTATATTCTGTTGATTTGGGGTGGAGAGTTCTGTAGATGTCTATTAGGTCCACTTGGTGCAGAGCTGAGTTCAATTCCTGGGTATCCTTGTTGAGTTTCTGTCTCGTTGATCTGTCTAATGTTGACAGTGGGGTGTTAAAGTCTCCCATTATTAACGTGTGGGAGTCTAAGTCTCCTTGCAGGTCACTCAGGACTTGCTTTATGAATCTGGGTGCTCCTGTATTGGGTGCATATATATTTAAGATAGTTAGCTCTTCTTGTTGAGTTGATCCCTTTACCATTATGTAATGGCCTTCTTTGTCTCTTTTGATCTTTGTTGGTTTAAAGTCTGTTTTATCAGAGACTAGGATTGCAACCCCTGCCTTTTTTTGTTTTCCATTTGCTTGGTAGATCTTCCTCCATCCTTTCATGTTGAGCCTATGTGTGTCTCTGCACATGAGATGGGTTTCCTGAATACAGCACACTGATGGGTCTTGACTCTTTATCCAACTTGCCAGTCTGTGTCTTTTAATTGGAGCATTTAGTCCATTTACATTTAAAGTTAATATTTTTATGTGTGAATTTGATCCTGTCATTATGATGATAGCTGGTTATTTTGCTCGTTAGTTGATGCAGTTTCTTCCCAGTCTTGATGGTCTTTACATTTTGGCATGATTTTGCAGCGGCTGGTACCGGTTGTTCCTTTCCATGTTTAGTGCTTCCTTCAGGAGCTCTTTTAGGGCAGGCCTGGTGGTGACAAAATCTCTCAGCATTTGCTTGTCTGTAAAGTATTTTATTTCTCCTTCATTTATGAAGCTTAGTTTGGCTGGATATGAAATTCTGGGTTGAAAATTATTTTCTTCAAGAATGTTGAATATTGGCCCCCACTCTCTTCTGGCTTGTAGAGTTTCTGCTGAGAGATCCGCTGTTAGTCTGATGGGCTTCCCTTTGAGGGTAACTCGACCTTTCTCTCTGGCTGCCCTTAACATTTTTTCCTTCATTTCAACTTTGGTGAATCTGACAATTATGTGTCTTGGAGTTGCTCTTCTCGAGGAGTATCTTTGTGGCATTCTCTGTATTTCCTGAATCTGAGCGTTGGCCTGCCTTGCTAGATTGGGGAAGTTCTCCTGGATAATATCTTGCAGAGTGTTTTCCAACTTGGTTCCATTCTCCCCGTCACTTTCAGGTACACCAGTCAGATGTAGATTTGGTCTTTTCACATAGTCCCATATTTCTTGGAGGCTTTGCTCGTTTCTTTTTATTCTTTTTTCTCTAAACTTCCCTTCTCGCTTCATTTCATTCACTTCATCTTCCATTGCTGATACCCTTTCTTCCAGTTGATCACATCGGCTCCTGAGGCTTCTGAATTCTTCACGTAGTTCTCGAGCCTTGGTTTTCAGCTCCATCAGCTCCTTTAAGCACTTCTCTGTATTGGTTATTCTAGTTATACATTCGTCTAAATTTTTTTCAAAGTTTTCAACTTCTTTGCCTTTGGTTTGAATGTCCTCCCGTAGCTCAGAGTAATTTGATCATCTGAAGCCTTCTTCTCTCAGCTCGTCAAAGTCGTTCTCCGTCCAGCTTTGTTCCTTTGCTGGTGAGGAACTGTGTTCCTTTGGAGGAGGAGAGGCACTCTGCTTTTTTAGAGTTTCCAGTTTTTCTGTTCTGTTTTTTCCCCATCTTTGTGGTTTTATCTACTTTTGGTCTTTGATGATGGTGATGTACAGATGGGTTTTTGGTGTGGATGTCCTTTCTGTTTGTTAGTTTTCCTTCTAACAGACAGGACCCTCAGCTGCAGGTCTGTTGGAGTACCCTGCCGTGTGAGGTGTCAGTGTGCCCCTGCTTGGGGGTGCCTCCCAGTTAGGCTGCTCGGGGGTCAGGGGTCAGGGACCCACTTGAGGAGGCAGTCTGCCCGTTCTCAGATCTCCAGCTGCGTACTGGAAGAACCACTGCTCTCTTCAAAGCTGTCAGACAGGGACATTTAAGTCTGCAGAGGTTACTGCTGTCTTTTTCTTTGTCTGTGCCCTGCCCCCAGAGGTGGAGCCTACAGAGGCAGGCAGGCCTCCTTGAGCTGTGGTGGGCTCCACCCAGTTCGAGCTTCCCTGCTGCTTTGTTTACCTAAGCAAGCCTGGGCAATGTCGGGTGCCCCTCCCCCAGCCTCGCTGCCACCTTGCAGTTTGATCTCAGACTGCTGTGCTAGCAATCAGCGAGATTCCGTGGGCGTAGGACCCTCTGAGCCAGGTGCGGGATATAATCTCGTGGTGTGCCCTTTTTTAAGCCTGTCGGAAAAGCACAGTATTCAGGTGGGAGTGACCCGATTTTCCAGGTGCCGTCCGTCACCCCTTTCTTTGACTAGGAAAGGGAACTCCCTGACCCCTTGCACTTCCGGAGTGAGGCAATGCTTCACCCTGCTTCGGCTCGTGCACGGTGCACGCACCCACTGACCTGCGCCCACTGTCTGGCACTCCCTAGTGAGATGAACCCGGTACCTCAGATGGAAATGCAGAAATCACCAGTCTTCTGCGTCGCTCATGCTGGGAGCTGTAGACCGAAGCTGTTCCTATTTGGCCATCTTGGCTCCTCCCCGAAATGCAAGTATTTTCATACAGTGTAAAAACCATAGCACATCTATATAAACCTAAAAGAAAGTCCTAAATAGTATGATGCTTTGAAGCCATTTTCCTTCATCCTACTTCAGCCAAACTGACCGTCACCTGCTGAATCAATGAGACATAATTCATTTTTTAAATTATTCATTCAATAATCATTGTTGAAAACCAGGCTGTTTTAGGGGTGGAAAATAGAGCGATGAGCTTAATAAGCCAAGTTCTTATTCTCATGGAACTTGTATTCTCAAGGTCCCTTAATTATCTTATAACACAGCAACAGCAGACATAAATAATATAATTAATATATTAATAGTAATATATACTGCAAAGAAAAAGTTTGGTAAGTAGATTAACGATGGTGTGCATGTGTGGTGTGTGTGTGTGTGTGTATTTGTGGGAAGGCTATGCAACTGAAAATAGAAAAGTCGGAGAAAGACTCTGCTTTATGGGGCATTTGAATAGCAGAGGCCTGAAAGAAGCAATGGTTTGATCCATGCAGATATCTTGGGGCAGATCATTTCCCACATTAAGAATGAGAAGTGCAAAGGCTCTACAGACATGTTTCCTTGGCCTGCTAAATAAACAAGGAATCCAGTGCAGCTGGAGTGGACCAAGAGGAGGAGAGAAAGGGGAGAAGATGAGTTTAGAGATGAAAAGCAGGGGGCAAGATTGTCTAGGGCCTTGTAAGCCATGGTAAGGACTTGGATTCACTTGTTTAGTTATGTGTATTCAGAGCTAGATATTTACTTACCTAATAAGCCACAAAATTTGGCATTTCTTCTAACAGCACTTCTTAATGGAAAATCTTTCCCTGTATTTCTTTTTCTTTATTTGGGGGGGCGGGGGGGAAATGGAGTCTCGCTGTTGTTGCCTGGGCTGGAGTGCAATAGTGCAATCTCGGCTCACTGCAACCGCCGCTTCCCAGGTTCCAGCAATTCTCCTGCCTCAGCCTCCTGAGTAGCTGAGATTATAGGCACCCCCCACCATGATTGGCTAAGTTTTGTATTTTTAGTAGAGATGGGGTTTTACCATGTTGGCCAGGGTGGTCTCGAACTCCTGATCTCAGGTGATCCATCCGCCTCGGCCTCCCAAAGTGATGGGATTACAGGCATGAGCCACCTCGCCTGGCCCTTTCCCTGTATTTCTAATAGCTGACTAAGGTATTTTTTTTCTCCTTGCAAAACTTTTTTTTTCTAAACAAGAAAAAAATCAATTAATTAGTATAATAATGATCCAAGAATGTCGGTTCCCAAGAGGCCAGTAAATGGCACAGTTGCTAAACTGTGGTTAAAAAAAAAATCAAGATGTTCCTCTCAGTGCTTTCTGAAAAGACCTTCAGCACCCTGTGATGATGCACTGGTGAAGAGGAGGTAAAGGAAAGCAGCTGAAAAGAGATGCCCACCAAAATAATTTCAAAGTTGAGATGTCCCTGGCATGAAGCCAAATAGCTCATAAAGCTCTAATGTTCCTGTCTTATCCTCCAGTGCCCCAGAGACAACAGTGAGAAAGTATCTGGGAAGAAATGCATTTCCCCAGGTTAGGAGTCTAGCTTTGTGTTTTGTTGTTTGAACACACATAAATCACATATGTTTTTCACTGGTGTTTATTTATGCAGCTTAAGAAAAAAGCATTTAAGGTTTTTACACATGAGGCATCACATGAGGAGTTGTAAATGAAAACTGTATTTTATGTTTATATATGTATATATGCTATAACAGAAATATATATATAATTACAATATAGCTGGAATTACTTATTTTCACATTGCCTGAGGCAGTCTTTGTTTACTCCTATTACTCCAGTGAAAGTATTCATAGCACTCCCTTTAAGTCTCAAAAATGTCCTGCACTGAACAATAAATTATATAGTCACCTTATCTATGGCTCATGTTCAAAACGAGGCAAGTAATAAAGTCCCAGCAGACTCAACTCTAATTAGGATTATTTTGCTTTGCAAAATATTTTAATTAGACCAGTTTTTAAATAAAAGATATTGAAAGTATACCTAATAAGGCCAAAAATGAAAAACATCAAAATGCAGCATAAGGAAAAGGATAGATGTTTGAAAGAAAACCTGCCTAAATTTTATCATTTTAAAAGGAATGGCTAAAATACTATTTTAAAACCAAGTATATATATTTTTGACCACTGGATAACTTTAGAACATCTAAATTGTTAGTAAATATTTATAAAATGCCCCTATGTGGAGTTGGTCACTGTGTTACAGGCTAGAGAGAAGATAAAAAACACAGCGCCTTTTTTTTCAAAGGAGCTTACAATCAACAAGAGGAGATATGTAAACAAATACATACAAATAAATCTCAAGGCAGTATCATAAATGCTATGATATAAATACACATAGGGTATCAACAGAAGCACTAAAAAGGGAGTTGGGAGAGAGACCAGGAAGTGACTCACAGAGGCCCTTTAGGAAGATTTTAAGGAAAATAGGATGATTGAGCTGCCTCCCTAAAAATGAGAGGGGATGGCAGGTAAACACAGGAGGGAAAGTGAGACATTCTAGACAAAAGGAATCACTTATGCAAATGTCAAAAGAAGGAAAAATCTTTGAGGATAGTGCAAATCATCTAGAATGGCTGAAGCAAGCAGTGGGACCAAAGATATAGCTGGAGAAGTATTCAGAGATCAGACAGGGAACCTAAATACAACCCTAAATGATCTGAACTTTATTTTCAAGGCTCTGAGGAGTCGTTGAATAATTTTGAGGATATAGGCAAAAGGCATAGCTGTATTTTAGAAAAATCACTTTGACAGCAATGGCAAAGATGAATTTGAGGGTGACCAGGCTAGAAATAGATCAGTTAGGGGGCCACTGGAATAATTCAGGCTTAAAAGTAATGTTCAGGGCCTTAAGTAAGAAAAGAGAATAGTTGCAGTAGTCTGTAGACAGTTTCCATAAAGAGGCTTGAGCTAGAGGTACAGATTTGGGAATCACCAATATTTTAAGTGGTAGTTGAACTATTACAGACATGATCTGTCAAGGAGAAAATATAGTAAGAAGAGAATAAAACCAGGAGTAAGCTCTGTGGGATCGCAGTGTTTAGAGGCAAGCAAAAATGGATGAATGCTCAAAGGAGGTAGAGAAGGAATAAAGAGAAAGAGGGAAGAGAACCCATGAGAGAGGAGTGCCAGCTTTATAAAGAGAGTGGAATATAGTCTCAGGAATAAGAGCGTCCTTTAGGCTTGGCAATCAGGACTCTCACTGATCTTTGCAATAATTAACTCTATAGAGTAGTGGGGTAGAATCCAAATTTCAGTTGAGGAATTAACTGGAGATGACACAGTAAAGATGCAAAGCATAAACTACTTTTTTCCCAAGAAGGCTGACCATGAGAGGAGAAAAATAGGGCAGCAGGTGAGTGTTTGTCACTGTTTCTTTTTAAATTAGGACAGACATAGATATATTTATATGTTGATTTTTTAAAATGTGATGGAGAAGATGATGATTCAGGAAATAAAAGGCTAAAAAGAGTACATCCTCTAAGGAGGTGAGAGTACAGATAGGAAACCACCCCCCACCCCCTTGATCAGGAATACTATCTCAACAGAGACAAGGATAAGAAGGGGGTGTGGCTGTGAATACAGGTAAGTTTGAGGGATAGAAGGCAAGAATCAATGTTTCATAGTGCCCATTTATGGCCCCTATTTTTTCTGCGAAACCTTCATTGAAAGTGAGGATGAAAGTGATGAGTCAGGTCGCTTGAAGAGAGTGCTAAAAGTTTAACATCATTATCATGGAGAACACAGGAGGCTGCTAATTACTAAGACACTGAAGCACTATGGGGCAGCAGTTGAAATTGGACTAAGAAGAAGACCATGAATATATTGGGGCACCAGTTCACACAAATAGACAATTATCTCCAAGCTCTTCAGAAGCCTGGGGGAAAGGAAAATAAAGATAAGCAGTAAATTTTAGCAGTCCTGGAGTTTCAACAGGTGGCAAAGTTAATCCAAGTGGAACTGAAGTAATAGATAAAAAAACTAATGATGGATGTACATCTGCTCACCCATACACCTTGTGGGCTCTAAGGTTTAATGCTGGAAGGGGAAATAACAGGAGGCTCCCACTTTAGCAGCAAGGCCCAGACACATTTTCCAACCTAGATCTGTCAGCAGTGAAGTGGACACTAAATTTCAAACCTTCAAAATAGAGCTTTTCCATTAATTTCCCAATTGGCTTAAAATCTAAAGAGGATGAAGGGGGTGATCAGCATTCTGCAGGCCCTTTAAGGTTTACAATTTCCTAGTAAAACATTTTTTGATGACAACAAGAGCCAGAAGTCATGAAACTATGATGCTAGAGTGGACTGAATGGAGAGCAAAGATTTCAAAGAAAAGTAGCTTTTAGGCATTGGACATGATATCTACATGGACACTGAACACTTCCACGTTGAAGGTGAATTGGGTATGGAGAGGAAAAATGTAAGCCAGGTTCTAAAGATCCTGATGAATGCAAGGGAGTGACCTGGAACTTGGTGGTGACAGTGAATATAAGGAACAGGTACAGCTGGCACCACCTGGGCCTTAATGGAAGACTATGAGAAGGTGAAGGAATAATCTTTGGAAGCCACAAAAGGAAAAATGGCAAATGTCATACCCAATAAAGGCCCTCAGATTTTTCCAGTTTAGGCTGGAATAAATATCCTTCACTGAAGAAAGCTAAAGGGTAAATAGTAACCTCAGGGGAAAAGCTAGATTTTGTGTTTAACTAAGGCAAACTATAAAATGTTTTGAGAAGATAGTAAAAATGTATAGAAGACCAATCCAAGGAGCATAATGGAAAGGGTAGAGAGCAAGAATAGAAGCCAAAAAGTGTCTGGGAACAAGCTGTCTCATCCCATGCCATCAGAACTGACTGTTGGCTTTCCAGTAGGTTGGATAAAATGGGAAATGATAAAAAAAAAAGATTCATGCATACCATAAACACTTTATATAACTTAAAACATAAATGTCCACACATGTGCCAATCTTTTGATGTAAGGCCAAGATCTGTTCTCTGCATATGGATCTGCTGATTGGAGTTATGCATCTTCTGTCTTACATAAACCACATCCTTCATCTATGATTTCCAGTTTTGCTTTCTTTACAGTGGAGGGAGAACATGAAGATACTTGTGAAATAATTTGAATGCCAAACCTATCCAGATTTTTATAATCCCTCACACACACACATTCTTTTCATTACCTTGCCTACACCTAGTCAATAGCAGAGCTTTTGTAGCTAACAGTTATCAAGTCTTTTCATAGCATTCAGTTTAGTTTTCATAGAAACAAAACTCAAAGTCTTTTCTGCATTGGGTCAGTTTAATTACTCTCTTTATTTAAAGTATATTATTAAAATAAGTGCAACTGGCTAAATGGGTTTGGGAACAGACACAGCACAACTGTCCCTTGTAAAGAAGACAGGATAATTGGTGGGAGTAAGAGACATGGACAACCTAAAGAGAAGCCTCTGGCTAAACACATCTGTGTGCTGAGAGTGGCAATCCTTAGGGTTAGTAGGAAACTCAGTATCAGTTAATCTTGAAAGTCAGTAGAGAGATCAATTAAGAGAGCTTTAAATGTACAAGGGACACGATAGGTTGCATTCTGAAGAGTAGGTGAGGGCAGCAGGGATGAGGAGTGTTAGCAACTGACTTGAAGTTTCCAACTGGTGAGATGGTAGAAAGATTGATTTTTTTCAACTCCATGGGCATTCTTCTTTCTGTCCCTCAGTCCCTTAACTCCTGTGGCTCTTTCTTGTTTTGGAGAAGAGAAACCAGGAGTTTAGGAAATGAGGTGGAAGAGCAGTAGGAGCTCTAGAGAAGGGGTCTGAACCTCCCAGTCACCTCTGGGTCCTAAGCTAGTTCCATTTACTGCTTTTCTTTTAGCCTTCACATCTAGGAATTCAGCCCATTTGCCTCTTCTACTATGTACATCTGTTCTTTACCTGAGCCTTTCTGTCAGGTAACTGGGAACTAATATTCATATTCATTCTCATTCTCTGTCCCTCTCATTCTCTCTCTTTCTTCCCACTGGTTTTTCAGAAAGGTAACTGCTAGTAACCATCTATAAAGGGAAGGATAACAAAACTAACAAAAACAGAATTATCCATAGGTTGAAGAAATATTAAAAGCACAAGTGTTAACTGTCAGGGGGCTAGACCTACCCTACTGTAAATACCATCACTAATTCTCTTTTTGTGTTTTTCAATACAAGATATTCTTTTCATGAACCGAGGAATTCAGCACATGTTCTCCATATTCCTCAGTGAGGAGTCCTCCTACTTGGGAAGTCTTGCCCCAGCACTCTACAGCATAGATTTAATAGATATTCAGGGTAGAGAATACTGACTGCTGCTAAAATGGCAATTTATGGATCAGCCACCATTTATTGAGCACTTAAATTATGGTTAATCAGTGTGCTAGGTGTCCCATAGGTTTCAGGCATCATCTTGTTTAATCCTCACTAAGGTGGTATTACTATTATCATCATCATCCTCATTTCACAGATAAATTAACAAGACTAGAGAGGTTAAGCCCAAGGTCACACAGAAAGTATCAGAGCCAGGATTTCAATCTAGGTCATTGAAACCCCAAGGCTGGGTTCTTATCCACTACACTACACTGCCCCTTCCCAGAACAGCCAGACTCAAGTGGAATACATATTTGCAATTTAGAAGAATTTTCTTATTGATATATGTACTATCAGTGATTTCCTTCTCTAACAATTACCCTCATCCATGCACCACAGGAAAAATGAGCTTAGGGCATTTGCCTAATAGTTTGGAAATAATGTTTATTTGTTTAAGACAACATGGGGAAAATCAGCCAAAGAAATATACTCTTTCTAAACCACCGTATTAGGAATGATAGAAGACAGTATGTCTGCCCTTCATGAAAGCAATTCCCACTCAGTACTTTCCACAACCATTCCCTGTAGGCAAACACACAACATCTATAACAAAGTGAGGGTCAGGGAAAGAGAATCATGCAATGAGATAGGGAATGTTGATAAACCAAAGCCACGTACTGGAAAGTTAAATAATTCGAACTTACTTTTTTGGTACACTTCTTCACAGTGTTGATTAATTCTTGTATTACCAGATCCACACTCTTCAAGGAAGGCCCTTTCAACTTTACAATCTGTTTCTTGACTATCGCTTCAAATGCCATGTCTGGAGTAAACAACCCTGTCCTGAAGGTAAGAAAGCAAGCAGCCCATGAGATTTTTTTAATTGAGTAATATTCAAAAATCTTTTGAAAAATGTTTAAATTAACATTCCATTTAAATTAAGCATGTAATAGACCAAGTTTAAAAGTTACATAGTGCCCAAAATGTTTATGTGGCACATCATGTGACCTTTAACTAATATTTAACTGTAATTTGTCTTAACTTGCTGTTTCGCAGCAATAAAAAGAAATGCTACAATAGAAATGGTGTTCTCAATTTAGATTCCTATTTCTGAAAGATTCCAAAATCAATTCCTTGCCCTTTGTGGAGCAGCGAGTGAGCTTCACTTTTTATACACTAAAATAGTAGAGTTTCTAGATTATACAATTTATCCATTCCAGGACAACTATATTACAGATAGTTCCCAATCTGAGGGCCTGGGGTACTGGGAGTATAAGACAGTAAGGGGAGTTATGAATTAATTTTAATATTTCAAGATGCCTAAATAATGAATTTATAAAAATAACAAATGATAACCAAAATAACAAGTGTCTTCCTTTGGGCTCTAATTAATTCAAACTGGTGTTATAATAATGCTTTTCTCATGCTGAACAGGAGCTCAGGAAAGCAGATATATACATGTGCATGTGTATATGTGATTCATAAAAAATGAAAAATGATTACTCAAATTTAAACAAAAGGTCAGTAGAGAGAAGCTACAATAACAGGGGACTTTGAATCTTGGCCATGACTGAAGGCTGGCAGGCTCCAGGCTTTGGCACTGGGTCCTCCCCACTCCTAGGCCCTCTTCTCTCCCCTCCCCACCTATTCTTATTTAGTTAACTTCTCTTCCTGCAACTGAATTCTATGGTACCTCTTTTGGAAAATCTTTTCAACACTTCCCTTATACTATCTTGACTTGACGCCCCTTCTTATCATTTGCTTAGCACCCCATGCTCACCTCTATTTCTAACTGTAGTAATCATACTACATTATAATGGTAATTTCTCTGAACGAGGTACAGAATCAAATCCAAACTGTTTAGTACAATATTAAAATTTTTCCACTGTTTGACTCTAATCTTTCTTCACAGTTATTTTTCTCCTCACCTTTCACGTACCCTATGTTTCAGTCAATTTGCCTTTGCTTATATTGTATGTCTTTGCCTTTGTCTATGATGTTCATTTTACCCTGTTAACAATTTTGGCCTATTCAAATCCCACCTGTGCTTTAAAGCCCAGATGCAAAGCAAGCACTTATAGTTCCAGTCTTGCTGCTGAGACCTTCCTTCTTGGAAGCCCAGCATTCTATTTCACATTGCAGGATACACAGTAAGGAGAGTTGTTACCCTATTTATCTTGATTTGCTCCATAAGGACTGTCTCCCTCCCTTGCTCATAGTCAGCATTCAGTGTTAACAAAACAATGAAGAAAAACAAAGCATCTCTTCCATCAAGTCCTTCATGGGCAAAGAGGGCTTCTACTATTCAAATAGCCAATGGAATCAAATGGGAAAAAAAAATTGTCAAACCAAATATATATTTAAAGGCCTAAATAAGCATACCATGAGTATGTCTTATGCTCAGGACATTGTGCATTTCTTATCATCTTACAGGCATATAATAACCACCAACAATCCCCTGTTGGTAGGCATATAAATCAGAAATTGACAATTCTGAATTACTGAGATTTTGCAGTTATATTTGACAAAAGCTGTATATGGTAATGAGTTTTACAAGTGAAGTAAAAATACTGTATTTGGCTGATTTCAAATACTGTATGACCCCAAAAAATGTAATTTGGTTCCACTGCATTTATCAGATAAACATGTCCAAATACCAAATCTGCCCAGCTAAAAAGCAAAACAGTTTCTACACCAAATGTATTCTGGATTTGGTGGAGAAGAAATAGAATAGGGAGCTTAGAAATCCTATCGATGGTAAAAGAAAAAACGTTAGATTTGGTTATAGATGTTTTCTCCTCTTCACTTTGTAAACTCGTATCTGCCCATACTATTTGAGATTTGTGGAGCAGATTGTCTAAATTTTTTTTTCTCTTTTTTCTTTCTTTTTTTTATTATTATTATACTTTAAGTTTTAGGGTACATGTGCACAATGTGCAGGTTAGTTACATATGTATACATGTGCCATGCTGGTGTGCTGCACCCATTAACTCGTCATTTAGCATTAGGTATATCTCCTAATGCTATCCCTCCCCCCTACTCCCACCCAACAACAGTCCCCAGAGTGTGATGTTCCCCTTCCTGTGTCCATGTGTTCTCATTATTCAATTCCCATCTATGAGTGAGAACATGTGGTGTTTGGTTTTTTGTCCTTGAGATAGTTTACTGAGAATGATGGTTTCCAATTTCATCCATGTCCCTACAAAGGACATGAACTCATCATTTTTTATGGCTGCATAGTATTCCATGGTGTATATGTGCCACATTTTCTTAATCCAGTCTATCATTGTTGGACATTTGGGTTGGTTCCAAGTCTTTGCTATTGTGAATAGTGCTGCAATAAACATATGTGTGCATGTGTCTTTATAGCAGCGTGATTTATAGTCCTTTGGGTATATACTCAGTAATGGGATGGCTGGGTCAAATGGTATTTCTAGTTCTAGATCCCTGAGGAATCTCCACACTGACTTTCACAATGGTTGAACTAGTTTACAGTCCCACCAACAGATTGTCTAAATTTTAAAACAACAAATAACTCAAGCATCATAACTCCTTTGTAAAATCACCCATCACATGCAAACTCAGTGTCAAGCTTTGCCTTCTCAGGGCCTGTTCCCAGCACAGTCTCAACTTGGCCCTTTGGCAGAGGCTGAACCACAAATGACAACAGGCAGGGGCCACCTCCTTCGTATGAGGCAATCTATGTACTAGGCAACCTAAGTTTTATTTCCTTGAATTAAGGACACTGCAATTCAACATATGTTCATTAAGTTATGTTTAGCCTTCTGTACATGAAATGAATAAATATGTGCTTTAAAATCATTTGTTCTTATCATAGTTCTTTAAAGAAATTGTTGTGAACTGAATGTGTTCCCCTAAAACTTCATATGTTGAAACCATACCCTTCAATGTGATGGTAGTAGGAGGTAGGGCCTTTGGGAGGTAATTACATCATGAGGGCAGAACCCTCATGAATGGGATTAGTGCCCTTATAAGAAGAGGCCAGAGAGCTAACTAGCTTTCTCTCTGCCACATGAGGACAGAATAAGAAGACAGCACTGTGCAGGCCAGAAAAGGGATCTCACCAGAACCCGACCATGCTCACACCCTGACCTAGGATTTTCAAACTCCAGAACCGTGAGAAATAAATTTCTGTGGTTTATAAGCCACCCAGTCTGTAGTCATTTGTTACAGCAGTCCAAACAGACTAAGATGGAAGGTAATTTAGAATAATCTCACTTTAAACAAGGGGAAATTCAGACACAAGTTCTACCCCACCCCCAACCCCACCCAGCTCAGGTCCCTCTGCTCTCCTGACTGCATTCCTCAAGCCAGTCCCAATGCATATGCATGACTCTTGGCTCCATGGATATATACTGTGCCCGCTCACCTCTTTGCCTTTGGTCATCCCACCCCTTCCACCGGAAAGCCCTTTCTTTTATCCTCAACAACCTCCATTCCATCCTTCCATCCTCTCCTGTCTCATCACACTGCTGCCCACTTCATATGCACGCTCCCACATGTGCAAGCACACATGCACACACAACACCTCCTGGCCTGTTGAAACCATCCTCCCCACAGGAAAGGATAAACTTGAAAGTAACAACCTCCATTAATCTTTCCCAATCTTGCTCCACAACACTAGTCAAAATTAATCTGTCCCTTCTCTGGTGTAAGTAATGATTAATTATGAGCATGTCTGGCCTCCCTCATGAAAAATGAAGGCTCTGGAGAATGGGGTCTTGCTAATCTGCGAATCCCCTATTGTGCAGAGTACAGGCTGGAAATGCAGAAAATGTTTTTGCTTTTTCACTTGGAAAAAACTGACTACAGCAATACAGGAAGTTACCATTAAACCCCAAAGTAGGATTTCCTGTTTCTTACTCCCACCTCTGTATTCTACCCTATTCAATGATGAAAAGACGAGTTTCCTAGCCATTTATAAACATTAATTTTCTTTTGGTAGCTTGAACAGATGACAAGAAAAATGTGAATCACTTGCCTGATACCATGTATGTTTTTGATTGCATAGCTTATTTCTCTTCGCAATTCTTTCTCATTGAACTCCATCTGCAGATGCAAAATGAGCCATAGTTATGACACTTAATTCCTTTGAATAATATTGTTGAACATTACAGAATGAGAATAACTTGACTTCATTATTAATAAGTGGATACTCATGTCTTTCCTAACCTAAACCCAGATGGTCAAAACATCTGTTTATATAAATTTCAAGGCAACACAGAACACTAGGGATTTTGGGGAGCTTGGGGGCAGTGGATTTTAACTCTGTTATAGATATGGAGTGCTATGCATAAGGATGCCTTCTGGACATAAATCTAGCCATTCATTTGAAATGTATAATTCTTCATTCTTTTGCTGAATATGGTAAATTTGAGGGCACAGAAGAATGCATAAATGAGAGTTTCACCTGCTGTGCAGTAGCAGTACAGATGTCCTGAAATTAACAATGGCTGTCTTTTGTCCCTGGCCACTTAAATCATTTGAGTTAAAGGCCTCTTTGTAAAAGAAAATTAGTAATATTTTAAAAAGACAACACAGGATAGATTACAAATATTTCTCAGAAGCGCTAGGTACCATAAATCTATTTGGAAGTAGGACCAAAGTGTCACAGAGCTTAGACCTCGAAGGGATAGCCCAAGAACATTGAGTTCAACCCTGACCTCTGAGATTTGGCCTCTCCGGCTTCATTGTCTGTCCATTTCCTCCCCTCACAGCTTATGCCCTAGAATGACGAATTGTTCTAGGTCTCTACCCATAACTGATGGCTTCATAGCTCATTCCTCTCCTGTCTGGATCACCCCCTCCTGTAGCCTACCTCTTCCTGCTTAACTAGCTGCTCATCCTTCCAAACTCAGCTCAGAAGCCTGGCTCCCTTACACACTTGAGCTGGGATTCATGTCTGTGGGCTGTGTTTCCATAGTACCCTTTGCTGAAGTTTATCACTTTACTTAGCACATTTTTAATGAAATTATCTATTTACCCATTTGCCTCCCACACGAAGACATAAGCACTCACCTCTCTGTTTGAGACAAGTAGCATGGTCCCTAAAACTACTCAACTGCCTATTGGGCATTTTACGCTTAGCACATCCAAAACAGAACTCCTAATTCACTTCTCCATACAAACAGAGGTTTTCCTCCATTTCCCTCATCTGATGGGCACTACCACTCCCTCAGCTGTGAAAGCCAAAACCTTGGAAGTCATCTCAAAACTTCCCTTTCTTCCATTCCCCCATTTCAATCGAAGCCCTAGCAACTTTATCTCCAAAACCCCAAAGCCACCCATCTCTCTATCCTTTCTTGCTGGGGCACTTTTACTGGAAAGCTAAAGAAGTTTAATTCTCAGCATTTCCCCCTTGCACAAGCCTCTTCCAAGACCCTGGGCCTGTGTGTTTATAATTTTGTATTCTTCTTCAAGGGGGCCTGTAAAATTGTAGAAGCTTCAGACTCCACAGAAAATGAATCCACCCCTGGTCTGGCCTACTGTTCTCCTCACTCTCTTGGCTCTTTACAATCCAGCAGGCATACTATTCTTCTAAAATCATCAACAAATCAAGTCACATTACTGCTTAAAACCCTCCTGTAACTTCCCATTGTTAAGTATAAAGACTTTACCTCAACCTAGAAAGCTTTGTGTGAACTGGACACTTCCTCCCTCTCTGAATTCACTTCATGCCCCTCTCCTTCATCAGCCACATCTGTTCTTCACCTGTCATACTTTAGTGCCTTACCCGAGGTTGCTACTTCTGCCTTGAACAACCCCTTTCCCCCAGATCTTTACCCAGTTGACCTCTTCATGCCATTCTGGGCACAGTTTAAATGTCTCCTGCTCAGACAGAATTTGCCTGATTATTCCATTAAAAGTGGCTCACCCATCCCCTCTCTCATATCATGTTACATAAAAACATTTGAAACTTTCGTATTTTGTCTATTTGTTAATTTTCTGTCTTTCCCCACTAGACAAGCAAGGGTCTTCTCTGTCTTAATCACTGGCACCTAGAAATGTGGTGCATAGTACATGCTTAAGAAATATTTTTAAATTAATTAGACAACAAACTAGGAAACTCAATTAGTATTTGTGTTTGAAATGTAGTTAAATCTCATTAAATAAAATCAGAATCATCAGTAAGAACATATTCCTCTCCTGAATTTCATTACCTGAATATGGAGGTTTTGTTCAAAGAACTATGTTAGTTCTATACCACTCACACAATATTGTATTAAGTTGTATAAAACAGAATATGGAAGTGAAGTGAAACTAAGAAAAAAATAACGTTTGACACAAACCTTTACTATCTCAAAAGGAAAGCGTTCATGAAAAATACGATTGATTTTAGCACCACCTGAGAGTTCCAGGGTATCTACTTGATCCCCTGACCCTTCAATTCTCTTCTCAAAGTCCACAGCAAATTGCTGAACCATCCTGTAATTGTTAAAGAGAAATAGATTCAAGTCAAAGTTACAAGCCTTTGCACTCTTCATTTTCTTTTCCTATGATTATTCCTTAGAATCCTTTTCCAGGTGCTCTTAGTGGCACCTACTGGCAGAGTTAACATTGCACTCTATGTAGTACTCACAGTGTGATTATACAAAATACACATCATTAAGATTTTAGACATTTAATTAGAATAAATATTTAAATATAGTTGTCTTTCAATGCCTTCTGTTCATTTGATTGCAGTCATAAAATGGTATTTAAAGAACACTTGAAATAGAGAGTTAATCAATTAAACTTTATGTAGAATAATCAAATGGACCTGAACTCCTATGACATCACAACCACCTAGTGTCCCAAATGCTCCAGCTCTATTACTCCCCCAATGTCACAGCCTCAGTCTCTCCTCACATTCATCCCTAGGTGATCTCAAGGTTGCCATAGCTTCAAGGGCTATTGAGAAATAGTTTCTCCACACCTTCCGCTTTAGCCTATAACTCTCAGAAGAGTGAGTGGCCCATATGCTCAACTGTACTGGATGTTTATTTCCTCTTAGCTGCCTTGAACTCAACACACTTAAAACAACCTCTCAATTTCTTTCACTCCCAAACCTGCTGATCCTCCTGCATTCCCAAGTCTCTCCTCATGGTGGATGATACCACCCACCCCAGGCAGGGAATCTGGGGCATCCAGCATACCTCCCTTTCCCTCACCCAACAGTTGCAGGGAGCCACCAGTTGTAGGTAATTTCTTCTCCATTACAGCTCAGCTGGTTGAGCTCTTCCTCCTCACACCTACTGACACTGCCTTGGTTCAGCTCTCAGCAATGCCTCCCAGCATCACTGAAGGCTCCTCTAGATGATGATCCTGCTTTTGAGTTTATCTTTGTCAAAGTCAGACCTCACCCTATCAGAATAACATAGATTTGTGACCCCTCTAAACTAGCTCTAGCCTTGTTTTTCAATGGATCCCCACAATTCGATAATACAATCAAAACTCTTTAGCCCATCTCCCAGCATTTTATGGTCTGGCTTTGGCTGCCTCTTCAGCCCCATCTCTTACCACTCATCCAACTCACCTTCCAGCCAACCATAAGGAAGCCATTGCAGTTCCCCAAATGCACCATGTCCCTGTGCTTTTACACTTTTCTTTCTGCTCAGAACACCATTCTCTCTGTCCCTTGCTGCTTTGCCTGACTAATTTTTACGTGTTCTTTAAGACTCAGCTCAAGCATTGGTTCTTCCCAGAAACTTTTCATGATCCATGACTCTATCCGGCACCACTCCTCATCGCCCCTCCTCTGCATCTTCAGCGTGTTTCCTGCAGAGCATTTGGCACAGTACATTAACATTGCCATGTCTATTAGTCACTCTCCTAAGGGCAAGGAATGTGTGTTTTCTTTACCTTTCCCTGCTCAACATAATTGGGAGATTTAATAAATATTTGTCCCAGGAAAGAATGAATTACCTTACACTGGCTGCTTGAAAGAAAGAAAGAAAGAAACACGAAAAAAAAAAACCAACTATTTTCATTTGTGATTACCAGGTTTAGAAACTCCAATTTAAACATACTGGAACTACTTTCAAATTCAAAATCTAAAAGGGAAAAAATTCAAACTATCTAAAACTTGTATCTTTTCATTCCCTTCCATCAAAATCATGGATGAATGAAAAGTAGCTGCAAATTATTTAGGCCAAAGAAGCTAGACTGTAATTGGATTTAGTTATGTTCATGTATATGCTAATTTTATTTTTTAAAAACACCTGGAGAGGTATGACATACACACTGAAACATGAAAAATTTTTCAGAAAGTGTACTTCTAGCTGCTCCTTCCCTTAAACCCTATACCTCAGCCACCTGGCCCATTTACTAATCCGAGAACAAATGTTACCAAAGTTCTCATGATTCTCTTGCCCTCCTCCTTCCACATGACAAGGTCCTCTCCTACCACAGGCCCTCTGTTTTCTCTGCAAATTCACATCCTTCCTCACATGTAACTGCTTCCTCATCCGGGCTCCCTTAATATTTTACACTTACAGAAACATAGCATTTATTAGCTTTAACACAATTAATTGTGTTAAATTGTGTTAATTTTTATGTCTGTTTTTCCCTACTCTACTGGGACTTCTTGAGGGCAAGAATCTTATTATCATTCATTTCACAGAACCAGACACTGAGTGCATGAAGAGATTAGAGGAAGGAGGAAGAACAGAGAAAGGAAGGCAGGAGGGAAGGATAGAAGAGAGAAAAGAAATAGGTCAGAAAGAATAGGGCCATAAAGAAGGAGCTGAATCAGCCCTCTGCAAATCAAGAATCTAGCTGTGAAAAGTTCTGTAATCTGAGTCCAATAAAGTCACAGAGGCAAGACCCGGTATTTGCAAGCAGAATAGTTTTAGTTGGATATTAAGATAATGACCTAGGGCCTAAACAGAAATAGCTTTCTCTGTAACTTGAAGAGTTTTTGCAAGAGCTCAACAAAACCCAAGAACGAAAAGAAAGAATAAATTAGGAAAGAGTTATATCTGAAAAAAAAAAAACTCTTTCCTTTGTATAATATTTTTAATGAGGAAATATAGGATGAAGCAATTAATATTATATTTAAATATTTGAGCATTTGGGAATCTCCTCACAAAGAAAGAAATTATAGTGTGCACTTTGAATGCCAATTGAAGGATGCTTTGATTGCCACGCTGCTGGGGAGAAAAGTGCGCCATAAGAGGTGCCAAACATCATCTTCGGAGGTAGACCTTGGGTATCCTGCAGTGTGTGCTGGGCAGGGGAGCCTTCCTGTTGAGAGGGACTTGACACAAGTGGCAGCACAGGATAAAGGAACTGATGGAGACAGAAGGATTTGAAGGAGAGAAGAAAGTGTAAGATATAAAGAGCTAGGAATTCTCTAACAATTCTCTGCTATCCTACCCCAAGACACCACAGGAATAACTCTAGTAACCCAAAGATAAGATGGGAAGATCATGAAGGGGTGAAAAGATGCTTGGCAGTTTCACATTTACATTTTCAAAGGACTACATTAAAATCATTATGTAAAAGGAAAAAAAAAAACTACAGCCTTATTGTTAGAACTTTTAAATTAAACCCTTGGTTCTCATTCCACTGAAAAATGCACACAAATAAGTTACATGAAATAATTGGAATAAAGGATAATAAGTACAATTGACATCCATAGAAACAGCTGAAAAATACAAATGATATTTGCATCTGTATTTACCCACTTCTAAGACAAGGGACAAAAATTCCTGCTGGGTCATCCCTAATGGTTTTACTCACTTAATCCAGTTTTAAAAACACAATTTAAATGGGCATGAGGATGCTCAACTGGTAAGTTGATAATAACAGAATAATACCAATAATTCTTGTTCAACAAAGCATAAAAATTCAAGAGTTATCTTGTATCATATAGATAGCCTCATATAGTTTACTTGCTACCTAAGAAGCAACGTGACAAATAGACTAAGGCAATAGAAAACTAAAGAAATTAGATTAAAATGCTGAGCCAAGGAAGGGAAAGGTGACCTACTGCAGCAATGCTTTGGTCTTCCTTGTTGGGTCTTCTGGTTTGAAATTTTTGTAGGCTTCTACTTCATGTTCTATGGAGAGCAACTGTCCCTGTAGTTTGTTCCTGAAGTTTGGTAGGGTATCCCGAATGTGGTTGGTAAGTTGCTAAACAAAACAAAATGATACACACAGATTGAAGATTGAATCATATACACAGATTAAAGATTAACTCATGAGACAAAGATCCGCCTCCATTGTTTTTCTAATAATTCAAAATTTCAAACATTATGTCTGCATTTGACATTGACTATTATGTAGATAGGGAGAAGGAACACCAACTCCCTCCTCCACTGCCCTTCAGAGATGCTCAAAATTCCTTCATTTAGAGTCACTCACTTGAGCTATCTCTTTAAATCCAGGAAGACCCTGTTAAAATGCAGCTAATGTTACTAATGAGGCTGCCCAATAACACCTTAGCATGGATTGATTTACCAGGTCTCCTACCTTGTAGAAAGGAACCTTAAGTTAGAATGTGATAGAAATGAAGGAAGCTAGGAGTCACAGCTGCTACCCGGTGTTCTCAGGACTAAGTGGTTTACCACACTGATGAAGCTCAGGTAGCCAAGGTGCTAGAGGCACCTGTCAGCTGTTAATTTTCTCCACATTCTTCAGCTGAGGCAGAAACTTACTCATACTTCCATCTCTAGATCCCAGTGCAACTCCATGACTGAGTAAGGGAAAGCTCTCTCTGCTATTGAAGGCTTGACATAACCATCTACTTGGCATTTCCACTGAGATCAGCAGGCACCTCAAGCTCAGTACAATGAAAACTTTTCCAAGAACCTAAGAGTGCATGATTAATTAAGAACAAAGGTGAGATAAAAACCCAGATTGTTTAGGTCTTACAGCCTTTCTATTACAATGCAGTTAAAGAAAAGTCTGAATTAAAAGAAAAAACAGATAATCTTGAACTTCCTAAGTGATGAACTTGAAATCAATGAAAAGAATATAAACTTCCTAGAAATGCAGAAAAAAGAAAAAATATTAAAATTAAGGAGAATTTGTTAATCCAGTCTATCATTGTTGGACATTTGGGTTGGTTCCAAGTCTTTGCTATTGTGAATAGTGCTGCAATAAACATACGTGTGCATATGTATTTATAGCAGCATGATTTATAGTCCTTTGGGTATATACCCAGTAATGGGATGGCTGGGTCAAATGGTATTTCTAGTTCTAGATCCCTGAGGAATCAAGACACTGACTTCCACAAGGGTTGAACTAGTTTACAGTCCCACCAACAGTGTAAAAGTGTTCCTATTTCTCCACATCCTCTGCAGCACCTGTTGTTTCCTGACTTTTTAATGATTGCCATTCTAACTGGTGTGAGATGGTATCTCATTGTGGTTTTGATTTGCATTTCTCTGATGGCCAGTGATGGTGAGCATTTTTTCATGTTTTTTGGCTGCATAAATCTCTTCTTTTGAGAAGTGTCTGTTCATGTCCTTTGCCCACTTTTTGATGGAGTTGTTTTTTTCTTGTAAATTTGTTTGAGTTCATTGTAGATTCTGGATATTAGCCCTTTGTCAGATGAGTAGGTTGCGAAAATTTTCTCCCATTTTGTAGGTTGCCTGTTCACTCTGATGCTAGTTTCTTTTGCTGTGCAGAAGCTCTTTAGTTTAATTAGATCCCATTTGTCAATTTTGGCTTTTGTTGCCATTGCTTTTGGTGTTTTAGACATGAAGTCCTTGCCCATGCCTATGTCCTGAATGGTAATGTCTAGGTTTTCTTCTAGGGTTTTTATGGTTTTAGGTCTAACGTTTAAGTCTTTAATCCATCTTGAATTAATTTTTGTATAAGGTGTAAGGAAGGGATCCAGTTTCAGCTTTCTACCTATGGCTAGCCAGTTTTCCCAGCACCATTTATTAAATAGGGAATCCTTTCCCCATTGCTTGTTTTTCTCAGGTTTGTCAAAGATCAGACAGTTGTAGATATGCGGCGTTATTTCTGAGGGCTCTGTTCTGTTCCATTGATCTATATCTCTGTTTTGGTACCAGTACCATGCTGTTTTGGTTACTGTAGCCTTGTAGTATAGTTTGAAGTCAGGTAGCGTATACACCATGGAATACTATGCAGCCATAAAAAATGATGAGTTCATGTCCTTTGTAGGGACATGGATGAAATTGGAAATCATCATTCTCAGTAAACTATCGCAAGAACAAAAAACCAAACACCGCATGTTCTCACTCATAGGTGGGAATTGAACAATGAGAACACATGGACACAGGAATTGGAATATCACACTCTGGGGACTGTTGTGGGGTGGGGGGAGGGGGGAGGGATAGCTTTAGGAGATATACCTAATGCTAAATGACGAGTTAATGGGTGCAGCACACCAGCATGGCACATGTATACATATGTAACTAACCTGCAGATTGTGCACATGTACCCTAAAACTTAAAGTATAATAATACTAAAATAAAATAAAAAAAGAAAAAAAAAGTAAGGAGAATTAACATATCCAGATTGACTGAAGAAACTATTTTAAGTCATCTTTATGTTTATCTGAGGTTAGCTGAATATATTTATTAAATAAATCTAGAGTTATTTGTCAATAGTTTATAACTGTATTACCCCCTTGCTTGCAGTAATAAATTATTGTTAGCACCCTGGCATGCGTTGCTGTTCTAACTATGAAGCAGGCAACAAAAGAGCTGAGAGGACAGCATTCCCGACAGCAACGTCACAAGAGACAAGGACCCAAATCTAACAGAACCAGCAACCACAAGAAACCAGCAACCAACTGATTGCCATGTGAACTGGTAAATAATAAAAATACCTGATTTCCACCTTTTGCTTCTCAGACATCTCCAGAGCAAAGCAATACTGCGGCTTTCTAAAACACTTCTTCCCCTGGCTTCCATAATTCCAGCTCCTCTCATTTTTCTGCTATCCATTCTGGATGTATCTTCTCTATTTCCTTGGACAATTCACCCTCTTTGCCAGAAGAGTAATTATTGAAATTCCTCAAATCTGGGTCCAAGGCCTCTTTTTTATTTACTCTCTGTTCTCTCTTAAGGGAATCTCATTCCATCCTGGCTTCAATAAACATCCAAATACCTATAGCTGTAAGATGTTGTCTCCAAACAAGATTTATCTTTGCTGTGGCATGCATATTTGACCAGTTGATTGACTTCTCCTCTTGGATGTGTCAATGATATCTCAAGCTCAACATGTCCAAAATCAAGTATTTGATCTTCCCTTCAGGGTTCCCCATCTTGGTGACTTCATAAGAATCTGGAAACCTGAGACGTAACCTTGACTCTACCTCTCCCATTACCCAACAGCTCTAATCTACCACCTAGTCCTCAATTTTCCTGAACATTTCTCAAACCCGCCCCTTTTTTTACTCTCCACTGGCCCTTACCACAACCAAATTCCCATAATTTCTCATTTTTACTTCTAACTGGTCTACTCTTGGTCTTCTTGTCAATACCACATTCTTTTTTCACTCACGGATCTGATCTTGTTGTTCCTCTACTCAGGACCTTTAAATGACTCCTCATTGGTCTTAGGTAAGAGCCAAAATCCTCAATTTGGTCTAGAAACATTACAGGATTCAGCCACTGCCTACATCTCCAATATCATCTAATACAACTCACTACCTCTTTCTCTGCCTTCCCCCGACAGTGAAAATTTCATTCAATTTTTCAAAAACGTCATGTCATTTTCCAGCATTTTCCATATAAATTATCCCACAGGAGCAGAAGTATTGGTACACATACATAGCCATAGAATTATCTTAGTTTCAAACATAGTATAAATATTATTGAAGCAATAAAGAGAGAGTGATTATCCAGGAAAGGAGAAATCTTCAGTTAAAAAAAAAATCATTCAATTTTTAGTCAACGAGAATCCAATTGTGTCATAACTTGGGGGTCACCTGTAATAACCTAATAGTCAACCACCTCCTTTTGTTTTTCCAGTATTCAAAACCTAACTCATTTCCAGCTTTATCTTTCTAATCATATTAGTGAGTTTCCTCTGAGATTTTTTCAGTTTATTTGTATTTTTTGTAGGCAAATACAGCTGTTAAAGCAGTATTCTAAAGAGAGTTTTGACAGTGCAAAATATATTGGTAGAGTGTTAGCATTCTTGCATAACAATGCTCCTTCTCAAAAATATATTCATATTTTTAAATGATACAATCATAGTGATGTTTCCTAGTGTCCAAATGTTTATCTTTAATTAAAAAGTATAAACTTTACAATAGTCTGTATTGTACCTCTTAAAATGGAATTATAACATAATTTTTTATTTTCTAAAATTTCTTCTCAGTTGTTTTGCCTAAATGGTTCAGGTATAATGTCACATATTGTGACAGCTATTGATACTTTCCAGGAGCTAAGAATCAGAAATCTACTTGATTGATTGATTGCCTGATTAAGTTTGTATGTAACAGTTAAAGCATAACTTACAAGAATATTTGTGAGAAAGGCTGCTGATCACATTAAGTCAATATAATCAAAACTCAGGGAGGAGGCCCTGCATTCAATGACAATGATGCTTGTCGTAACACTTAACTCCAATAGGGGAAGGAATATCTGTAACCAAGTAAGAGCATTGAGGATTTACGGAAGAAGTGTGTGCATAGTGCATGGAGCGGGGTAGGCAGAAGGCCCAATTCTAAATTATTGTGGGAAAAGGGGTTATCTAGAAAAGCATCTTAGATGAGTGGAAATCAATGATTATTTAATTAGGATTTGTGATTCTGAAGATTTTAAATTAAGAAACAAATCAATTCTAAACAAAGCCATAAAAATAATTTAACAGAAAGTGTAACCTAGCCATTACAGACTGGTGCTTCAAAAACAGATCCCAAGAGATCAACTTTTCAAAGCTATAAAAATTTAACTTCTCAAGATAACTACATATTACAAGTGAGTATATGCTAAAATGTATATCCCTGTTCACTGTTCCTAAATAGGTATGTGTTTCTGCTTTGATAATTGTTCTTGCAATAATAGGAAGGTGAGTTCTATTCACTGAGAACGGTAATAGTGTGAATCTGAGGTACTAATATTCATTTTTAAAATCCCTATCATTGAAGCTGCATGTCTTGTTTTGGAAAAAAAAATAAACTTAAAAATAATAAATATGAATTCCAGCACCTACTTACATATTTCATAATTGTTCTTGTTGCTTGAAAGAACATTTTTACCTGATTAAGGACCTTCTGCAGGTGTGGGGTTCCCATTCGGTCAGCGATATGTCTGTAAGCCGGGTGGGAAAGGAAAAACTTCCTCTCTGCCAGCATGGCTGCCTTTATGTCCTTCTTCCCATCTATGTCCTTCTGGCTTCTGTTTACCACCCCCACGTAACCTGAAACAAAACACAAATCTATGGAGTTGGGGACACTTTTTGTGGCTTATTCTAGGGAGATTTCAAGGCTCTCACATAGGCAGAGTAAGAAAGGCAAAACTAGTTTTAGGCCTGAAGACTGAGTTCCTTTATAAAACTCAATGGGAAACATCAGTATTGAATACAGGCTGCTGATTGAGCCCACGATAATTTTTTAGCATCAGTACAATAATGCCTCTCACCCTCAAACTGTGTACATTTTAAGAGAGTGTGTATCTTAGCAGTTTTGTCATATAGCAGGCAAGTAAATACCAGGCTTACAATAGTATAAGTTTATGTAGCCTATGATGAATATTTATAACCTCCCTTCAAACTCCTTCCTTTTCCTGTTTTCTTATTCCTGTTATTTTAAGGAATAGTTCTCCCTTTGGATTATTTTCTAGTATATCATTTGGGAACATACAGCCATTCCAGAAAAGTATAACTAATAATAAATCCATTCCTTACAACTGAGAAGGCATTAAAACCAAACCTCCTAGTGGCTTCCCAATCATTTCTCTTCCATATAACAAAAAAAAAAAAAAAAAAAAAAAAAAAAAGTCTTGTATAGACCACAGTACATTACCCCTGCGAAGAGGCAACAGTTTGTTCTCTAGAACATCCCTGGCATCCGTTCCTTCATCCATAAGGTCCAGTTTGGTGATAACTCCAATGGTTCTCAGACCTGCATCATAAACAAACCCAACATTACACAATTTGCAGAAGACTAACAAATTTTAGACATATATGTCACAATGCTAAATGTAAAGCACATTTTCCTGGTCCTTTTCCCATTTCCTTCTGTCTTACTTTGTTTTCTAAGTGCTACTTGAGTTTGGTGATTTCAGTGTGATGAGGAGGACAGTTGCCAAACCACCCATCCAGAAGATAACCTTCAACCCAAGGGAGAAAAACAAATAGCTATAGCACAAAAATAATTTTGAAATATAAGAGTTTATTTTTGTACCACGCATATATGGAAATTATACATTTTCATTTTGCTCCTAAGTTCTCCACCTAATATGAATATTTGAAATTTTTATGTATTACATTATTAAAAGCAAATAAACAAATAAATAGGTTATGCATGGACCAATGATGAGAGTGCGTCATAAACCAAGGATTACTATTGATCCAGTTCTAGTCACTGAGGTCAAAAAAATTAAAAGAAGAAAAGCAGGTAAAGTGCCATCACCAAAAATAAACTTGTAAGCCACACAGCATTCACTATTCCTTAGAAAAGGAAATATGATTTAATGGAAAGAAGACTGTACTAGGAATTACAAAGCTTGGATTCTAGTCTCAAAGCAAGTCACCAAAACTCCCCAGGTCTCAGTTTTCCTCATCTGTCAAATAAAGAGTTAGAAACCATGATCTCCAAGGTTTCTTCCAGTAATAAATAATGTAAGAACCTAGACATTTTGTGTAGCACGTCATATACATGATATTTGTCATTTGTTTTCTTCATTAGATGAAATGGACAGTATTTGCCTAGTAATTTATATTGCTTTATGTTTTATTTTACTTTAAGTTCCAGGATACAAGTGCAGAATGTGTAGATCTGTTACATAGGTATACGAGTGCCGTGGTGGTTTGCTGCACCTATCAACCCATCATCTAGGTTTTAAGCCTCCCAATGCATTAGCTATTTGTCCTAATGCTCTCCCTCCTCTCATCCCCAACATCCTGACTGGCCCCAGTGTGTGTTGTTCCCCTCCCTGTGTCCATGTGTTCTCATTGTTCAACTCCCACTTATGAGTGAGAACATGTGGTGTTTGCTTTTCTGTCCTGTATTAGTTTGCTGAGAATAATGGCTTCCAGCTTCATTCATGTCCCTGCAAAGGACACGAACTCATTCCTTTTTATGGCTACATAGTATTCCATGGTGTGTATGTACCATATTTTCTTTAGCAGTCTATCACTGATGGCCATTTGGGTTGGTTCCAATTCTTTGCTACTATAAATAGTGCATCAATAAACATATGTATGCATGTGTCTTTATAGTAGAATAATTTATATTTCTTTGGGTATATACCCAGTAATGGAATTGCTAGATCAAATGGTATTTCTGGTTCTAGATCCTTGAGGGATTCCCATACTGTCTTCCGCAATGGTTGAACTAATTTACACTCCCACCAACAGTGTCAAAGCATTCCTATTTCTCCACATCCTCTCCAGCATCTGTTGTGTCTTGACTCTTTAATGATCGCCATTCTAACTGGCATGAGATGGTATCTCATTGTGGTTTTGATTTGCATTTCTCTAATGACCAGTGATGATGAGCTTTTTTTCATATGTTTGTTGGCTACATAAATGTCTTCATTCGAGAAGTGTCTGTTCATAACCTTTGCCCACTTTTTGATGGGGTTGTTTGTTTTTTTTCTTGTAAATTTGTTTATGTTCTTTGTAGATTCTGGATATTAGCCCTTTGTCAGATGGGTAGATTGCAAAAATTTTCTCCTATTCTGTAGGTTGCCTGTTCACTCTGATGATAGTTTCTTTTGCTGTGAAGAAGCTCTCTAGTTTAATTAGATCCCATTTGTCAATTTTGGCTTTTATTGCCATTGCTTTGGTGTTTTAGTCATGAAGTTTTTGCCCATGTCCTGAATGGTATTGCCTGGGTTTTCTTTTATGGTTTTTATGGTTTTGGGTCTTACATTTAAGTCTTTAATCCATCTTGGGTTAATTTTTGTATAAGGTGTAAGGAAGGGGTCCAGTTTCAGTTTTCTGCATATGGCTAGCCAGTTTTCCCAACACCATTTATTAAATAGGAAATCCTTTCCCCCTTGCTTGTTTTTGTCAGGTTTGTCAAAGATCAGATGGTTGTAGATGTCTGGCGTTATTTCTGAGGCCTCTGTTCTGTTTCATTGGTCTATATATCTGTTTTGGTACCAGTACCATGCTGTTTTGGTTACTGTAGCCTTGTAGTATAATTTGAAGTCAGGTAGTATGAGGCCTCCAGCTTTGTTCTTTTTGCTTAGGATTGTCTTGGCTACATGGGCTCTTTTTGGTTTCCATATGAAATTTAAAGTAGTTTTTTCTAATTCTTTGAAGAAAGTCAGTGGTAGCTTGATAGAGGTAGCACTGAATCTATAAATTACTTTGGACACTATGGCCATTTTCATGATATTGATTCTTCCTATCCAGGAGCATGGAATGTTTTTCCATTTATTTGTATCCTCTTTTATTTCCTTGAGCAGTAGTTTGTAGTTCTCCTTGAAGAGGTCCTTCACATGCCTTGTAAGTTGGATTCCTAGGTATTTTATTCTCTTTGTAGCAATCATGAATGGGAGTTCATGCATGATTTGGTTCTCTGTTTGTCTCTTATTGGTGTATAGGAATGCTTGTGATTTTTGCACATTGATTTTGTATCCTGAGACTTTGCTGAAGTTGCTTATCAGCTTAAGGAGATTTCAGGCTGAGACGATGGGGTTTTCTAAATATATAATCATGTCATCTGCAAACAGGGATAATTTCACTTCCTCTCTTCCTATTTAAATACGCTTTATTTCTTTCTCTTGCCTGATTGACCTGGCCAGAACTTCCAATGCTATGTTGAATAGGAGTGGTGAGAGAAGGCATCCTTGTTTTGTACCGGTTTTCAAAGGGAATTCTTCCAGCTTTTGCCCATTCAGTATGACATTGGCTGTGGGTTTGTCATAAATAGCTCTTATTATTTTGAGATACGTTCCATCAATACCTAGTTTATTGAGAGTTTTTAGCATGAAGGGATGTTGAATTTTGTAGGCCTTTCTGCATCTATTGGGATAATCATGTGGTTTTTGTCGTTGGTTCTGTTTATGTGATGGATTATGTTTATTGATTTGCATATGTTGAACCAGCCTTGCATCCCAGGGATGAAGCCAACTTAATTGTGGTGGATAAGCTGTTTGATGTGCTGCTGTATTAGATTTGCCAGTATTTTATTGAGGATTTTTGCATCAATGTTCATCAGGGATATTGGCCTGAAATTTTCTTTTTTTATTGTGTCTCCACCAGGTTTTGGTATCAGGATGATGCTGGCCTCATAAAATGAGTTAGGGAGGAGTCCCTCTTTTTATATTGATTGGAATAGTTTCAGAAGGAATGCTACCAGCTCCTCTTTGTACCTCTGGTAGAATTTGGCTGTGAATCTATCTGGTCCTGGGCTTTTTTTTGGTTGGTAGGCTATTAATTACTGCCTCAATTTCAGACTTGCTATTGGTCTATTCAGGGATTCAACTTCTTCCTGGTTTAGTTTTGGGAGGGTGTATGTGTCTAATAATTTTTCCATTTCTTGTAGATTTCCTAGTTTATTTGCATAGAGGTGTTTATAGTATTCTCTGATGGTAGTTTGTATTTCTGTGGGATCAGTGGTGATATCCCCTTTATCATTTTTTATTGTCTATTTGATTCTTCTCTCTTTTCTTCTTTATTAATCTGGCTAGCAGTCTATTTTGTTAATCTCAAAAAACCAGCTCCTGGATTCATTGATTTTTTGAAGGGGTTTTCGTGTTTCTATCTCCTTCAGTTCTGCTCTTATCCTAGTTATTTCTTCTCTTCCGCTAGTTTTTGAATTTGTTTGCTCTTGCTTCTCTAGTTCTTTTAATCGTGATGTTAGGGTGTCGATTTTAGATCTTTCATGCTTTCTCCTGTGGGCATTTAGTGCTATAACTTCCTCTATAAACACTGCTTTAGCTGTGTTCCAGAGATTCTGGTACGTTGTGTCTTTATTCTCATTGGTTTCAAAGAACTTATTTATTTCTGCCTTAATTTTGTTATTTACCCAGTAGTCATTCAGGAGCAGGTTGTTCAGTTTCCATGACGTTGTGTGGTTTTCGTGAGTTTCTTAATCCTGAGTTCTAATTTGATTGCACTGTGGTCAGAGAGACTGTTAGTTACGATTTCCATTCTTTTGCATTTGCTGAGGAGTGTTTTACTTCCAATTATGTGGTCAATTTTGGAGTAAGTGTGATGTGGTGCTGAGAAAAATGTATATTCTGTTGATTTGGGGTGGAGAGTTCTGTAGATGTCTTAGGTCCTCTTGGTCCAGAGCTGAATTCAAGTCTTGAATATCCTTGTTAATTTTCTGTCTCGTTGACCTAATATTGGCAGTAGGGTGTTAAAGTATCCCACTATTATTATGTGGAAGTCCAAGTCTCTTTGTAGGTCTCTAGGAACTTGCTTTATGAATTCTGGATGCTCCTGTATTGGGTGCATATATATTTAGGATAGTTAGCTCTTCTTGTTGCATTGATCCCTTTACCATTATGTAATGCCCTTCTTTGTCTTTTTTGATCTTTGTTGGCTTAAAGTCTGTTTTATCAGAGACTAGGATTGCAATCTCTGCTTTTTTTTGCTTTCCATTTCCTTGGTAAATATCCTTCCATCCCTTTATTTTGAGTCTATGTGTGTCTTTGCACATACGATGGATCTCCTGAATACAGCACATGGATGGGTCCTGACTCTGTATCCAATTTCTCTCTCTCTGTGTGTGTGTGTGTGTGTGTGTGTGTGTGTGTTTCTTGAGACAGAGTCTTGCTCTGTCACCCAGGCTGTAGTGCAGTGGCACAATCTCAGCTCACTGCCACCTCTGCCTCCCGGGTTCCAGCGATTCTCCTGCCTGAGCCTCCTGAGTAGCTGGGACTATGTGCGCATGCCACCACGCCCAGCTAATTTTTGTATTTTTTAGTAACAGGGTTTCACCATCTTGGCCAGGCTGGTCTCGAACTCCTGACCTCGTGATCCACCCACCTCGGCATCCTAAAGTGCTGGGATTACAGGTGTGAGCTACTGTGCCCAGCCCAGTCTGTGTTTTTTAATTGGGTGATTTAACCCTTTTATTACATTTAAGGTTAATATTGTTATGTGTGAATTTGATCCTGTCATTATGATGCTAGCTGGCTATTTTGCCTGTAATTTGATGCAGTTTCTTCATAGTGTCAATAGTCTTTACAATTTGGTATGTTTTTGCAGTGGCTGGTATCAGTTGTTCCTTTCCATATTTAGTGCTCCCTTCAGGAGCTCTTAAGAGTAAGGCAGTCCTGGTGATGACAAAATCTCTCAGCATTTGCTTGTCTGTAAAGGATTTTATTTCTCCTTCAATTATGAAGCTTAGTTTGGCTGGATATGAATTTCTGGGTTGAAAATTCTTTTCTTTAAGAATGTTGATCACACCTGTAATCCCAGCACTTTGGGAGGCTGAGGTGGGTGGATCACGAGGTCAGGAGATCGAGACCATCCTGGCTAACATGGTGAAACCCTGTCTCTACTAAAAATACAAAAAATTAGCCAGGCGTGGTAGCAGGTGCCTGTAGTCCCAGCTACTTGGGAGGCTGAGGCAGGAGAATGGCATGAACCCGGAGGCGGAGCTTGCAGTGAGCCAACATTGCACCACTGCACTCCAGCCTGGGTAACAAACCAAGATTCTGTCTCAAAAAAAAAAAAAGCATGTTGAATATTGGCCCCCACTCTCTTCTGGCTTGTAGGGTTTCTGTAGAGAGATCTGCTGTTAGTCTGATGGGCCTCTTTTCTGTGTAACCCGATCTTTCTCTCTGGCTACCCTTAACATTTTTTCCTTCATTTCAACTTTGGTGAGTCTGACGGTTATGTGTCTTGGGGTTGCTCTTCTCAAGGAGTATCTTTCTGGTGTTTTCTATATTTCCTGAATTTGACTGTTGGCCTGTCTTGCTAGGTTGGGGAAGTTCTCCTGGATAATATCCTGAAAAGTGTTTTCCAACTTGGTTCCATTCTTCCCATCACTTTCAGGTACACAATCACATGCAGGCTTGGTCTTTTCACATAGCCCCATATTTCTTGGAGGCTTTGTTCATTCCTTTGCATTCTTTTTTCTCTAATTTTGTCTTCATGCTTTATTTCATTAAGATGATCTTCAATCTCTGATATCCTTTCTTCCGCTTGATTGATTTGGCTATTGATACTTGTGTATGCTTCACGAAGTTCTCGTGCTGTGTTTTTCAGCTCCATCAGGTCATTTATGTTCTTCTCTAAACTGGTTTCTCTAGTTAGCAATTCCTCTAAAATTTTTTCAAGGTTCTTGGCTTCCTTGTATTGGGTTAAACCATCCTCCTTTAGCTCAGAGGAGTTTGTTATTACCCACCTTGTGAAGCCTATTTCTGTCAATTCATCAAACTCATTCTCCTTCCAGTTTTGTTCCCTTTCCGACGAGGAGTTGTGATCCTTTGGAGGAGAAGAGACATTCTGGTTTTTGGAATTTTCAGCCTTTTTGCACTGCTTTCTCCTCATCTTCATAGATTTATCTACCTTTGGTCTTTGAGGTTGGTGATCTTCAGATGGGGTTTCTGTGTGGATGTCCTTTTTGTTGACGTTGATGCTATTCTTTTCTGATTTGTTAGTTTTCCTTCTAACGGTCAGGCCCCTCTGCTGCAGGTCTGCTGGAGTTTGCTGGAGGTCCACTCCAGATCCTGTTTGCCTGGGTATCACCAGCGGAGGCTGCAGAACAGCAAAGACTGCTGTCTGTTCCTTCCTCTGGAAGTTTCGTCCCAGAGGGGCACCCACAAGATGCCAGCCGGAGCTCTCCCGTATGAGGTGTCTGTCAACCCCTGCTGGGAGGTGTCTCCCAGTCAGGAGGCACGGTGGTCAGGGACCCACTTAAGGAGACATTCTGTCCCTTAGCAGAGCTCGAATGCTGTGCTAAGAGATCCACTGCTCTCTTCAGAGCTGGCAGGCAGGAACATTTAAGTCTGCTGAAGCTGCACCCACAGCCGCCCCTTCCCCCAGGTGGTCTGTCCTAGGAAGATAGGAGTTTTATCTATAAGGCCCTGACTGGGGCTGCTGCCTTTCTTTCAGAGATGCCCTGCCCAGAGAGGAGGAATCTAAAGAGGCAATCCGGCTACAGCGGCTTTGCTGAGCTGCAGTGGGCTCCACCCAGTTGGAACTTCCCAGTGGCTTTGTTTACACTGTGAGGGGAAAACCACCTACTCCAGCCTCAGTAATGGCAGACGCCCCTCCCCAAACAAAGCTCAAGCGTCCCAGGTCAACTTCAGACTGCTGTGCTGGCAGTGAGAATTTCAAGCCAGTGGATCTTAGCTTGCTGAGCTCTGTGGGTGTGAGATCCGCTGAGCTAGACCACCTGGCTCCCTGGCTTCAGCCCCCTTTCCAGGGGAGTGAATTGTTCTGTCTAGCTGGTGTCCCAGGTGCCACTGGGGTATGAAAAAAAACTGCTGCAGCTAGCTCGGTGTCTGCCCAAACAGCCACCCAGTTTTGTGCTTGAAACCCCAGGCCCTGGTGGTGTAGGCACCCAAGGGAATCTCTTGCCTGTAGGTTGTGAAGACCGTGGGAAAAGCATAGTATCTGAGCTGGAATGCACCCTTCCTCTAGGCACAGTCCCTCCCAGCTTCTCTTTGCTAGGGCAGGGAGTTTCCCAACCCCATGCGCTTCCCAGGTGAGGCAACACCCCATCCTGCTTTGGCTTGCCCTCCATGGGCTGCACCCACTGTCTAACCAGTCCCAGTGAGACGAGCCAGGTACCTCAGTTGGATTACAGAAATCACCTGCCTTCTGCGTTGATCTCACTGGCAGCTGCACACCAGAGCTGTTCCTATTCAGCTTGCCAGCCTGAGACTATTATTACTCTTTATTCAGGAATTAGTACATACTGAATTAATTGCATAAACCACATTTGGTCATTATATAACCTCCTTATAAAATATAGCTGGATTTTTGAATAGGATATATAAATTTAGTTCAAAAAGGATCACGGTCTGTAAATTTCCCTTCTTGTAATGGCATTGTCAGATATGGATACCAAAATTTACCTATTCTTATAAAATTAACAGTTTTTTTACATGGTTTCTATTCTCTGAAGGATATTGAATCAATGGATATTATTACTTTTTTGAATGTTTATTGTTGGTCACAATAGAAACTTTTGTGAAAATTTAAAAAGAAAAGAAAAGAAAGAAGGAAAAGCCAAAAAGATTCTCAGAGACCAAAACAAATAAACATTGTAATATGAAACCTGAAGGAAAAAAAGATAATGTAAAATACAGAATACAACTTGATCATTTTTACTAATATTCTGAGAGAAAGGAGAACTTATTGCATTCATGGAACAAAATTAGAAGGCCATAAACAGAAACACCAGGCAAAAAATCTCAATAACTGAAAATAGGAGAGCAGAAATTAAAATGTTAGTAAAATGGTTGGAAGAAAAACTCAAGGAATTGTTCCAGAAAATGAAAGAAAAAAAAAAGAAGTAAACAAGGAAAAAAAAAAAAACCACATTGTTAAAACTAGAGAAATGGCCCAGAAGATTCGATATTTGAATAACTGACATTCCAAAGAGAGAAAATCAAACAGAAACAGTTTGGGGTTGGAGAGATCCTATTCAAGAAAATGTCCTATAAGTAAAAGATAGGAATTTATGGATTGAACAAACTCAACAAGTGCCAAACAGGAAATGAGCACACACACACATGCACATACACACAAAATGGCATATCAGTAAAATATTTCAAAATACTGGGAACTGATAAAAGATACTAAAAAGTTTCCAGAGAAGTTAAAGAAAAGACACAAAGAAAGGATTGGGAATCACTATAGCATCAGTCTTCCTAGCAGCAAACTGGAAACTAAAAAACAATAGAGCAATGTTTTTGAAATTCTGAGGGAAAAATCATTTCTAACCTAGAATTCTAAATTTTCAATAAACGTGACAGTAGGAAAAGATATTTCCAGACTTGCAAATCTCAAAATATTTTACCTCCCTTTCACCTTTTTAAGAACGCTGTTAAAGAACGTGTTCTACAAAACAAGGGAGCAAACTAATAAAGAGGAAGACATGAGATCCAGGAAGCAGGAATACAACCAAGAAAAGAAGGAAGTTTTCAGGATGGTATAGATCCCAGTATGAGACCAAGAGAGCAATTGATATCTATGGGAATGAGAGAACAGAGAGTCCTGAAGAGATTTCTTCCTCTACCAAGAAAATAAACATAAAACTACCTAATCCAGAATGTTTTTAAAGTACTGAGAGATTGAGACTTCTGTAGGGGAGATTGGGAATACGTTAGTGATAGATGTACAGAAAACTATGCAAACAAACCAAACAGAGATAATTATCAACCTCAAAAAAGACAATATCATGGAAGAAAGAATAACCAAAATTTACCACATAGCTCAGCTATGAATAACATTTTCAGGATTATAAAAATTTATTCAGCAAAATATGATTCTTTTAGTAGAATGTAGGAGGATAAGTGCATATGTGAGTGTGTGAGTATACATAAGTATAGGAGAAGGATATAAGACAGCTAAATCCTCCTTCTCTACAGTGAGAAGTCAAAAGAGAGTATCTAAAACTAAGAAAAATAAAAAATAGTAATATAAACAGATTACATAGAAATATGGAGGTAACTATCAAAATCAATAGCTAAAAGAATTGTAAGTGGTAGCCTCTGGAAATCAATAATCAAGAGTCAGGAGGGGTGGGCAAGGGACTGATTGTTTCTATTAAAAGCCTTTTGCACTGACTTTTTCTTTTAAGAAAGCTATATATATTTATAGCTCTAATAAAAATAAAAGTTGATTATAGAAGTATTTTCTTTACTACTCCCTTATATCTGAAAAGGAAGCTAGATCTATACTTAGTGATATACCAAAATGGCAAAGGGGACCATTTTCTTATCTATATTAAGTTACACAAATAGGCAGCTTAAAATAATCAATGAACTCCTGCTGGCAGACTCAATACCTACATTGATAGATCTTAAAAACCACTGTCAGAAAGGATTTTAAAGTCATCATGCTTTGAAAGCATTTCACTAGAAACCTAAAGATCCAGCTAAAATAAAGAGCCCTGATTATGTGCCAGGCTCATATAGGATTCAAAACAACCACCAAGAGATAGATACTATTATCTTCTCAAGCATACAGATGAGGAGAGTGAGACTTGGAGAGGAAAATCACACTTACCTAAGAGTCACAGACTGTGTGGCATGAAACTGGCATTCAAATCCAGCAACCTAATTCCATTTTTAATCACTAAATTTTTCTGCCTCCTAAGTCTTAGCTAAAATTTACAAGTGATTAGCTATGTTATTTCCAACTAAGTTATATCATCTAAGACTGTTTACAGAACTAAGTTTGACTAGATGTCTCTGGCAAGTACAGAATTCCAGGAAGGAGAAAAACTTGCAGATTTAGAAGAGGTTATATGCAGTAATAACTAAAGAATAATTTAACACAGTTCTTGCCCTCCTAATAAAAGGAAATTAAAAATAATAAATTAAGAGCTAATAAATCATTGTGACATTGTGTTTTAATTATGTGTCTCTTCAGGAAAGAACAACCACAATGATGAGTATTGATAGGTCCTAGTGAAGACTTTGAAAAGCTACACAAGGTACCCCAAAAGTGTGAGTGTGACATAATATAGAGATAAGTGCACTGACTCAGGGATCAGACTGCCTGGGTTCAAATCCCACCTATACCTCTTATTAGCTCTGAAATATTAGTTTCCTCATCAGTAGGCAACTGCATCAATACAGTAATCATACATTACAGTTTATGTTTTTTGTCCTGGGATAATTATTAAAAATAACCCCCTTTAACTCTCAAAAGACTTCCTTTTTTATTTTGCTGTTGTTTTGGTTTTGTTTTGTTTTTTTAGAGACAGAGTTTCACTCTGTTGCCAGGCTGGAGTGTAATGGCTCAGTCATAGCTCACTAGGCTCAAGCGATTCTCCTGCCTCAGCCTCCTGAGGAGCTGGGAGTACAAACATGCACCACCATACTTGGGTAATTAAAAAAAAAAAATTGTAGAGACAGCACCTTGCTATATTGCCCAGGCTGGTCTTGAACTCCTGGCCTCAAGCAATTCTCCTGCCTTGGCCTCCCAAAGTATTGAGATTACAGGCATGAGCCACTGTGCCCAGCCAAGGCTTCCTTTATGAAAGATAAAATTAAATAGCAGGACTCCTATCTGGCATGTAGGGAGCTTGGAAATCATTCCATCCCAACAAGTAAAAATCTGAACAAACTGAAAAACCAACCCTTCTTAGATCTGTCAGTGAAGTGAAATCACAGACAATTAGCTGTTCCCAAAATTTGGAGAGACAGGTGAATATAGAGAATCACAACTCAACAGAGCAGACACCCAAGAGCAGAAACCTCCATGGAAAACAATGCTGGGGCAGGAAAACTTAAACTGTAATCCATGAATCGCTTGAAGGCTCAGAGTGGATGAGCTTCAGGGACCTGAGTTTTGCCTTCAGAGGATTAAATAAATTCTCGCAGTAAATTAAAGAGAAAAATCCCCTTATGCTTCTGGTAGGGAAAGGAGGAAAGTGATCAACTGGAAATATCCCACAACATTCTGTTCTTTTTTTTTTTTTTTTTTTTTTTGACGGAGTCTCACACTGTCGCCCAGGCTGGAGTGCAGTGGCGTGATCTCGGCCCACTGCAAGCTCCACCTCCCGGGTTCACACCATTCTCCTGCCTCAGCCTCCCGAGTAGCTGGGAACTACAGGCGCCCGCCACCATGCCCGGCTAATTTTTTTTTGTATTTTTAGTAGAGATGGGGTTTCACCATGTTAGCCAGTATAGTCTCCATCTCCTGACCTAGTGATATGCCCGCCTCAGCCTCCCAAAGTGCTGGGATTACAGGCGTGAGCCACCGCGCGGGGTCCATTCTGTTCTTCTTATCAAGGTCTGACCTTAAGAGAAGTCATTTAACCAGAACCTATACTACTGAGGGTTTTCCAGAGCCTAACAGATTAGGGCAAAGGACATGTCTAACTCCAGCTTGCTCTAGCCTTCTATATAGGGGAAGAAAAATACACAACTCTAGTCCACTGTAGCCATCCGGTCCCACCTAAAGGGGTGGGGCAGGAACTAAGAAGCACTTGTGAGACTTGTGAGTCCAGAAGCACAGGCTCACTAAAAGACATGAGATCTAATCACAGGACTACAGCATGCTTCCTCTCGCTCCACATCTTACCACTACATGACTATAGCTTAGTAACCACAATGCCTTGTACCCAGTACATCATATAGCACCCAGTCTGCCTATCAAGAAAAAATTACAAGGCATATTAAAAGGCGAAGAAAAAAACCCCACAGTTTGAGGAGACAGAGCAAGCATCAGAACCAGACTCAGAACTCTAACTCTAATGTTAGAGTTATCAGACTGGGAATAAAAAAAAAACAAACTGTGATTAACATCCTAAGAGTTCTAGTAGATAAGATATACAGCCTACAAAAACAGATGGGCAATATAAGCAGAGATATGGAAATGCTAAGAAAGAATAAAAAGAAATGCTGGAGATCAAAAAGACTAATAGAAATGAAGAATGCCTTTGATTGGGTTCATTTGACTGGACTGGAAAAAGTTGAGGAAACAATCACCAAGCTTGAGCATATTTCAATAGAAACATCTAAAATCGAAAAGAAAAAAAAAATACTAGGGGGTAGGGTGGGAAACAGAACAGAATATCCAAGAATGGTGAGACAACTACAAAAGGTTTAACATATGCAGAAGAAGAGAGAGAGAAAGGAACAGATATTTAAAGAAATAATGACTGAGAATTCCCCCCAAATTAACATCAGATATCAAACCACAGGTTCAGGAAGCTCCGACAGCAAGTGGGATAAATGCCCCCCAAAAGCTATAACTAGGCATAGTATATTTAAAATACAAAAAAAAAAAGCAAAAATAAAAATCTTGAAAGAAGTAAAGGATTGCAAATATAAGAATTATGTCAGAATTTTCCTCACAAACCATGCACAAAAGAAAAGGTGGAAGTATTTAAAGTGCTGAGAAATAAAATATCAACTTAGAATTCTGTACCCTGCAAAATTATCTTTCAAAAGTGAAGGAGATCCTGGTGCACCAGTACTCATGAAATAAAAGAAAAGAAAAAAGAAAGGAAAAGGAAGGAAGGAAGGATAAAGAAGAAAAGAGAGAAGGAAAGAGAGAAAGAAAAGAGAGGACAGAGAGGAAGAAGGAGAGAGAGAAAGTAAAGAAGGAAGGAACAAAGGAAGAAAGGAAGAAAAAAGGAAAGAAGGGAGGGAAGAAAGGAGGAAGGGAGGGAGGAAGGGAGGGAGGAAGGGAGGGGGCGAAGGAAGGAGGGAGGGAAGGAAGGAGGGAGGGAGGGAAGGAAGGGGAAGGAAAAGTGAAGGAGTAATAGACTTTCTCAAATAAAGAAAAATTGGGGAAGTTTGTTGCCAGTGGAATTACTTCACAAGGAAACATTAAAAGAAATTCTTTAGAGAAAAGGAAAATAATATTAAGTCAGAAACTCAGATCTACATAAAGAAAGCAAGAGAATCAGAGAAGGAATAAGTAAGGTAACAATCCTTAATTGATCTAACAGATAACAGTTTGTTCAAAATAATAGCAACAATGTATTTTATTCCTATTCATATGCTTATATGTAAATAAAATATTTGACAGAAACAATACAAGGAACAGGATGAAAGAATTAAAATTATTTTGTTATTATCAGGTACTTGCACTACTCTTAAAGTGGTACAGATGCTCCTGTATTTACAATGGGGTTGTAATTGGGACATCACACCATAATAAGTCAAGAAGTGTACTGAATTTCTATCACTTTCTCACCATCATAAAGTCAAAAAATTGTAAGTTAAATAATCATAAGTCGGGGAGTGTATAGTGTTATTTGAAAGTAGACATGAATTGTTGTAAATGTATATAGCAAATTCTAGAGCAACCACTTAGAAGTTTTAGAAAAGTGCAACTTATATACTAAGAAAGAAGATAAAATGGAATCACATAAAATGCTCAACTAAAGGCACAAATGGCAGAAAAAGAGTGGGATACAAAAACAAGGAAAGAAAACAAGGGCAACAAATAGAAGTAGTAACAAATATAATAGATATTAATTCAACTGTGTCAGTAATCACCTTGAATGTCAATGGTCTAAATGCACCAATTAAAAGACAGAGATTGTTAGAGTGGATCAAACAACAAGATACAACTATATATTATCTACAAAAAATTCACTTTAAATATAAAAACACACAGATTAAAAGTAAATAGATGAGGAAAGATATACTATGCTAACACTAACCAAAAGAAACTGGGATTGGCTATATTAACATCCGACAGAATAGATTTAATAGCAAGGAAAGTTATTAAGAGAAAAGAGGGGCATTATATAATAATAAAAAGGTCATTTCTCTAAGAAGGCATAACAATTCTTAACATGTATGAATCTAACAGCAGAGCATAAAAATACCTGAGGAGAAACAGAAAGAACTGCAAAGAAACGGATGGATCCACTATTACAGTTACAGAATTTAACACTCCTCTATCAGAAATGGATAGATCCAGCAAGCAGAAAATCCGTAAGGAAGGACATAGTCGAACTAAAAAGCAACATAATCAACTGGATATAATGGACATTTATAGGCTACTACATCCAACAGGAGAATAAACATTTTTCTCTAGTTCACATGAACTTGACTAAGTTCATGGACACTCACGAAGATAGACACTAACAAACACACCCTAACAAATTTAAAAGAACAGAAATCATACAATGTCTGTTATCAGATCACAGTGAAATTAAAATAGAAATCAATAACAGAAAGATAGCTGGAAAACCTCAAAATGTTTGGAGATTAACCTATACACTTCTAAATAACATATGGGTAAAAAAAATCTTATGAGAAACTTAAAAAACAGTTTGAACTAAATGAAAATACAACTTACCAAATTTGTGGAATGCAACAAAAGCATTGCTTAGAAGGAAGTGTATAATATTGAATAAGATATTAGAAAAAAAGAAACATCTAAAATTAATAATCTAAGCTTCTACCTTAGAATACTAGAAAAAGAAGAGCAAATTAAATCCAAAGTAAGGAAATGAAAGAAATAATAAGAACTAGAGCAGAAAATAAAACTAAATCCTGTTTTTTTGAAAAGATTTATAAAATCAATAAGCCTCTAGCCAGACTAAGTAATCAAAAAGAGAGAGCATGCAAATTACTAATGTCAGATATGAAAGAAAGGACATGACTACAGGTCTCATGAATGGTAAAAGAATAATAAGAGAATATTATGAACAACTGTATACCCATAAATTTGAAAACCTAAATACAATGGACCAATTCCCAGGAGGCTGAGGTGAGAGGATTGCTTGAGCCCAGGAGTTTGAGGCTGCAATGAGCTATGATTGAAACACTGCACTCCAGCCTGGGTGACAGATTAAGATGGTTTTTTTTCAATAATTAATTAAAAATAAATTTAAAATGAACCAATTTCTTGAAAGACACAATTTTCCAAAATCACACCAGAAGAAATAGGTGATTGGAACAGGCTTATATTCATCAAATAAATTAAATTAATAATAACCTTCCAAAAAAGAAGGCACCAGGCCCAGATGGGTTCACTGATGAATTCTACCAAATATTTAAGAAAGAAATCATACCAATTTTCCACAATCTCTCCCAGAAGTTAGAATCAGAGGAAATACTAACTCTTTCTATAAAACCAGCATTACCCTAATACCAAAACCATATAAAGACATTCAAAGAAAACTACAGACCAATATCTCTTATGAATATAGGTTCAACAATCCTCAACAAAATGTTAGTAAGTCAAGTCCAACAATGTAGTGGGATTTATCCCAAGTATAGAAATACTGGGCCAGTTAAACATTTGAAAATCAATTAATGTAATCCACCACATCAATAGGATAAAGCAGGGGAAAAAATCACATGATCCTATTAATAAATGTAGAAAAACTTAAAAAGATGCAGAAAAAATTGACAAAATTCAATACCAATTCATAATTTTTTAAATCTCAGCAAACTAGAAATAGAGGGTAACTTTCTCAACTTGATAAAGAACATCTACATCTACAAAACACCTACAGTTAACATCATTCTTTTTTTTTTCTTTTTTTTTTTTTGAGATGGAGTCTCACTCTCTTGCCCAGACTGGAGTGCAGTGGCACAATCTTGGCTCACTGCAACCTCTGCATCCTGAGTTCAAGTGATTCTCCTGCCTCAGCCTCCCAAGTAGCTGGGATTACAGGCACCCAGCACCATGCCTGGCTAATTTTTTTTTTTTTTTTGTAATTTTAGTAGAGATGGGGTTTCACCATGTTGGCCACGCTGCTCTCAAACTCCTGACCTCAGGTGATCCACCCACCTTGGCCTCCCAAAGTGCTGGGATTACAGGCATGAGCCACTGTGCCCATCCAACATCATTCTTAATGGTGAAAACCTCAAAGCTTTCCCACTGACATCAGGAAAAAGGCAAAAATGTTCTCTCTCACCAGTGCTTTTCAGCATCATACTGGAAGTCCTAGCTAATGCAATAAGAAAAGAAAATGAAATAACTCTTTATAGATTGTAAAGGAAGAAATAAAAGTGTCTTTGCTCACAGATGACATAATTATGTATATAGAAAATCCAAAAGTATTGACAAAAACACTCCTGAAACTAATAAGCAATTATAGAGAGTTTACAGAATACAAGGTTAATATATAAAAGTCAATCATTTTCCTATATACCAGCAATAAACAAGCAGAATTTGAAATTAAAAGTACATTACTATTTACATTAGAACCCCCCAAAATGAAATATTTAAGTATAAATTTAACAAAATATATGCAAGATCCGTATGAGGAAAACTACAAAACTCTGATGAAAGATATTAAAGAAGAACTAAATAAATGAAGAGCTATTTACATGTTAACAAGTAGAAAGACTCAATATTGCAAAGATATTAGTTCTTCCCAACTTAATCTATAGATTCAATGAAATCTCAATCAAAATCCCAGTCAGTTATTTTGTGGATATCAACAAACTGATTCTAAGTTTTGTATGGAGAAGCAAAGAGCCCAGGATAGCCAACACAATATAAAAGAAGAACAAAGCTGGAGGACTGACACCTCTGACTTTAAGACTTACAATAAAGCTGCAGTAATCAACACAGTGTAGTACTAGTGAAAGAATAGACATGTAAAACAATAAAATAGAGCCCAGAAACAGACCCATATAAATACAGTCAACAGATCCTTGACAAAGATACAAAGGCAATATGGTGGAGCAAAGAGTTTTTTCAAAAAATTTTGCTGAAAAAACTGGACACCTACATGCTAAAAGATGAATATAGACACAAACCTCACACTCCTAATAAAAATTAACTCAAGGTGGGTAATAGACCCACAAAGCTGAAAAGACTCCTAAAAGTTAACATAGGATAAAAACCTACATCACCCTGGTACAGCAATAACTTTCTAGACACAACACCAAAGACATGATCCATGAAAGAAATAATCAATAAGGGGACTTTATTAAAACTTAAAAGCTCTGCTCAGAAAAAAAAATTAAAAAGTGAGAAAACAAGTCACAGACTAGAAGAAAACAATTGCAAAAGAAACCCCACATCTTATAAAGAACTGTTATCCAAAATACACAAAAATACTCTTAAAACTCAACAAGAAACAACTCAATTAAAAAATGAGAAAAATACCTGAACAGCCTTACCAAAGAGGATAAACAGATGACAAGTAAGCCTATGAAAAAGATGTTCAACATCATATTACATTAGGAAATTGCAACTTCAAACAACAATGAAATGCCACTACACACCTATTAGAATGGCTAAGATCCACAAAACTGACAATACCAAATTTGGTGAGGATGTGGAGCAACAGGAACTCTCATTCATGGCTGGAGGGAATGCAAAATGGTATAGCCACTTTGGAAGACAGTTTGCAAGTTTCTAACAAAACTAAATATATTATTACCATATGATTCAGTAATTGTCCTCCTTTGTATTTACCCAAATAGATTAAAATTTTATGTCTACATTCCTGAGTTACTTCATTTAGAATAACAGTCTCCAGTTCCATCCAGGTTGCTGCAAATGACATTAATTTGTTCCTTTTAATGGCTGAACAGTATTCCATCATATATATTTATACCACAATTTCTTTATCCACTCGATTGATGGGCATTTAGGCTGGTTCCATATTTTCACCGTTGCAAATCGTGCTGCTATAAACATGTGTGTTCAAGTGTCTGTGGGACAATTGATTACAATATACCACTCTGGTGTGGAATGCTGATAGTAGGGGAGGTTGCACACGGTGGGGATGAGGTTATATGGGAACTCTCTGTACTTGCTGCCTAATTTTGCTGAGTACTTAAAACTGCTCAAAATAATAAAGTGTATTAATTTAAATAATACCTGTAAAGTATGTGGTACATAAAAATCATTCAATAAGTAAAAGTTGTGATCTCACCAGCTTCATTTCTCAACAATATCTTCAACCTACTCCAATACTAAGCCTCAGTCAAACCCAATGACTTTTACTTCTTCACATGCCCCCCTCACCTTTATAATCCCATTCCCATCAGCTCCAAATACCCTTCTCTTTATTTTTTTGGTCAACTCCTACCTATCCTTCAAAATTTCTTTCAGACCTCATTAATGGGTCCTCAATCAGGATCCCACAAGCATAACTCAGAGCCCTTTCTTTGTGCCCTTAAATCTTCCTATGTACACTGAAATCATAGTTCTTATACAACACTAGGAGCCTGCTTATATTTCGATTTTCCCTACCGGGGCATAGTCTCTTCAAAAACAGGAACTACATATATATTCTAAGCTATTCACAGAGCTGCCAAACACAGAATAAGAACTCAGTAAATATTTATTAAGTGAATAAATTAATTTTAAAATAAGCTTATTCATTGTTTTAGGATCACCCAAGAATTGAAATACAAAATCCAGAGAAGATATATGATACCATTCTACCATGTTACCTAGATTTGTTGTCAGCACGGTGATTTTCCTATAAAAACACTGACATTTCTCCCATTTTTATGTAACTAAATTATAAGTGGGGTGTCATTTCATCTAATTAAGAAATGGGACGAAACATAGCCACAAACCACATCAGCAGTTGCCAGAAAAGTAATCTGGAACACTGCGTACACTGGAACAACAACAATGAAAAAAATCAATATAGAGTTAATATAAAAATGTATACAGCAAAATTAAAAACAGACTTAGGAAATTAGATGTCCTCCAGTTAATGCATTTTTTTTTGTTTTGGGTTTTGATGGGAGTTGTCAGGGAGGGTGATTTGAAATCAATGTTGTTACTTTCTGTCTGGCAAAGATTATGGAATATTTTAATTCTGAAAGCAAACGGTGATGAATAGGAAGAGTTTTGTCTTTTTTTCTCTAAGTTTTCCCTGAGTAGTAGTTTCTTGTTACTTTCAACAATTCTGAATAACCCAGTTTTTATTTTAAAAATCATCAGGTAATATTACTGTATATGATGCTAGGTAAAATATTAGGTAAATAATAGAAAACATAAAAATTACTGTCACTCCGCTGGCAGGGACTCTACCTTGCTTACCAACATAGTCCAGATTCTAGCAAAGTACTTGGAAGATTTAATATTTGTAGAAAAAAGAGACATGAAAAAGAGAGGGAAAAAGAAAAGGGAAAGAGGCAAGAGAAGAATTACCTCAAAAATAAGGAAATTTAGATGTGAAGTGGGTCTCTGAGAATTTGCACTCCAAAATAAACTGAGACATGAAGAAACAACAAAAAAAAGAATCCACATACACTTAAATCTTTCTGCTCTTTGTCTACCTGAATCTATTTTCTTCTTATCTTTGGCACACAGCTAAGTTACATTTGCAAATCCTTCTTACAATTGAATTACAATCTCCCTTAGGTTATACCTGTGATTGAATTCTAGCTAGTGGAATGTGAGATGTGATATGTGCCACTTTTAGAGTTGGTCCATATAACTTCCCACATGTGCTCCTGCATGCTGCTTTGCCTTCCCTTTGCTGAATCTAACTATAATAACTCCCTACGTCCCTAAGGGTGACAAGATGAAAGGATTCTGGATCTCTGCAAAACATCATGGAGAAGAAATACCACAGCACCCTGAACATTCACCTAGGACTATTGTTTGCACCATTACATGTTTGAGTCTACTTATTGTGGTGTTATTAGCAGAAACAATGGTACTGTGAAGAAGAGAGCTGACATAATGAAAAGCTGGCATACCAAAGTTAAATGGTAAGGAAACAAATGTTGCAAATTAGAAAGATGAAGATTCATGTTATGCAGTAGTTGCATATTTTGTAAACCTGCTGCATGTGATAACATTTAAGGTGGATTTGAAAGGAGAAGCTGTTGGAAAGGGTCAGAATGTCAATTTGTCTTGATTGTTCCTTGATGCTTAAAGCAGAGTATTTAAGAATGATATGAGTTCACATGAGAAATTTATCATTTTGCAAGTGGAAATAAAAAGGAATTAGAGAACATCTAAAAATTTGGATCTATTGGTTTTGAAAAAGCTAACCTGTTTTTGTGATACAAACAATAGAAGAAGAGACTGAAAAGGCTCTAAGCAACAAAGGTTCACTAAGAATTTTCAGTTAAACCCAGGGTTTGGAAATCTCTGTTTCTGAATATAAGAGAATAACAGAGTTCAGGCATATCTTTCTTCTGTAAACTACTAGAAAACTGGATACAATATATAAAACAGTCATTTTCAGACATTACTCACTTTCTGCTTGGAGGTAATTTCTGGGCCACAAGGCAAGGAGGAAAAATCCAAGGAGATAACCATCAATTAAACATTGGACATGCTAAATTGAGGAGACATCGATGGAGTTCATGGAGACCAAGGTACTAGACTTTGCAGGACAGTGTGCCAGATAAAAAGGAGGTCCAGAAATTTTCATAGGGGTCCCATTATGTCTTTTTTAAATCCATGCATGGTATACAGGTTACAAAAGGAGTAATTCTACATGCATGGCAGGGGAGAAAAGAACTTTCAGGAAGCTGTAAGCCAAATAATTCCCAGAGCTCACAAAGGGATGGGAATCATTTAAGTTCCCACCAGCTACAGTGGAAAGATCTTATTGAATATGTTGCATTTATTAGAGACACCAGAAAGGTTGATATCAGTAAACTCTACCATGGACCTATTCTTTAATAAATGAAAAAATGAACATCAAAAAATATGAAATTGATCTTCAAGTAAGATAGCTATCTGCTAAAACAAAATCCAACACATTTTTAAGGAATATTGTAGAATTCAGCACTCCCATAAAATTCAAAATATCCAGTATTCAACCAAAAACCACTAGATACATGAAGAATAAGGAAAGTATGACCTCTCGTCAGGGAAAAAATATCTGTCAATAGAATCCTACCTAGAAGCAATGGAATTCACAAATGACATTTAAACAGTTATTACAAATACGCACAAAATTCTTAAAAATATAAAATAAAACACGAACATGAGTAAATAAAAGGAATGAAAAGAAAAAATAATTGATGAAAACTACAAACTCACAGATTCTAAAGCTCAAAGAACATCAGCTACACACACACACACACACACACACACACACACACACACACAAAACATACCAAGGCACACCATAATTAAATTGCTGACACCAGTGACCAAAAAAAAAAAAAAAAAAAAAAATAGCCATAATAGCAGAGAGGGAAAAAAGAGAGACACACACAAAGAGATACTAATAACAGTAGACTTCTCATCAGAAACTATGAAAGCAAGAGGACATTAGAAGACATATTTAAAGTGCTAACAAAAAAAAAAAGATTATCACCTAAAATTCAATATCCAGTGAAAATATATTTTAAAAATAAAGGCAATAACTTTTTTAGACAAAGAAAAGCTGAGATAATTTGTTGTCAGAGACCTGTCCTACAAGAAATTGTAAGTTCTTCAAGCTGAAGGAAATACAAGTTGGTAACTGAAATCTACACAAAGGTATTTAAAAAAACCTTTGCAAATAATAAGTGTATGGATAAATGCAGAATATTTCTTTCTCATTTTTAACATCTTTGAAAGATAACCTAAAGCAAAAATAGTGTCAATGCTTTCCGGGTGTCATTTAAAACATATGCAGAAAACATAGCATGTGTTTTGTATATAGAAAGATTTATAATATAGGTAGAGGAAAAATTGCACAACTTCAGACTTAAATAAACTGATATTGATAATTACATTGAATGTAAATGGTCTAAATGCTACAATTAAAAGGCAGAGATTGAAAGTTTCATTTTTAAAAAGCACCTAAGCAAAAGTTAACAGAACTGAAGGAAGAAGTGAATAAATTCACAAATATAGTTAAGGATATAACATTCCTGTCTCAGTAATTCAAAGAACAAGTAAATAAAAAAATCAAGAGGTATACGAGATTTAAACAACACTATCAACAAACTTGACCTAAAATACATCTATAGAACACATCATCCAATAATAGTACTTCTACCGTTATACATTTAATAAAATATATGCAAAATATGTAAACTGAAATCTATAATATACTGCAGAGACTACTGAAATAAATGAAAAAAAAAAAGATGTTCATTGACTGGAGCATCCAATACTGTTAAGTCAGTTCTCTCCTAATCGGTCTACGATAGTGCTGTTTGACAGAACTTACTGCAATAATGGAAATGTACTGTATTGACTTTTCCAAGACATTGACCATATGTGGCTATTGAACACTTGACATATGGTAGTGTGAATGAGGAACCAATTATTAAGTTTTAATTTTAATTAATTAAATTTTAATTTAATTAATTTAAACCTTAATAGCCACATGTGGATAAAGGCTAGAATATTGGATAGTACATGCTACAGATGTAACATAATTCCAAGCAAAATCCCAGTAAGCTTTTTGCAGAAACTGACTAGCTGATTACAAATTCAAATAAAAAGATAAACTATTATTTTAAAAAACAATGATAAAAAATACACTATCTGATTTCAAAGCTTACTATAAAGCTATGGTAATTAAGATAGTACATTATTGGCATAGGGTTAGATACACACAGACACCAATGAAACAAAATAGTGAGTCCAGAATTATAAATATAGGTTTAATATATATTAATACATTATATAATATTATATATCATATAATATATATAATATAAATATATATATTATATGATATATAATATATAAATACATATAATATATGATATATAATATATAAATACATATAATATATTATATAATATATAAATATATATTGTATATATAAATAAGTACATGCATGTTATATATAAATAAGTATATGCATATGTTATAGGTTTAATATATAAATATATTAATATAATATATTTATTAATATTTAATTAATATAATATTTAATATGATATATTTATTAATATTTTAATATAATATATTAATATTATTTATATAGTAATATAATATAATATATTAATATATATTATATAATACATATTAATATTTATATATTATATATTATATATATTAATATATATTAAACCTATAACATATGCATAAACATACACATACGTAAACATACATAATTGGTTTCAGACAAAAGATGCCCATGTAATTCCATGGAGAAAGGACAGTCCATTCAAACTAAATGATGGTACTGGAGTAATTACATATCCATATGAAAAATAATGAACTTTGACTCTTACTTCACACCATATACAAAAAAAAAAAAATTGCAGACCTAAATTTAAGGCTAAAACTAGACCAATGGAACAAAATAGAGAACACAGAAATAAATCCACGCACAGCCAACTGATTTTTGACGAAGGCACAAAGAACACACATTGGAGAAGAGACAGTCTCTTCAATAAATGGTGCTGAAAAAACTAGCTTTCCACATCCAAAAGTATGAAATTAGACTCTGATCTCTCACCATATGCAAAAATCAATTCCAAATAGATTAAAGACTTAAATGTATACCCAAAATTATAAAAAACTACTCGAAGAAAACAGAGGAGAAACTCTTCGTGACATTGATCTAGATAAAGATTTTTTGGATAAGAATAAGAAAGTACAGGCAACAAAAGCAAAAACAGACAAATGAAATTACATCACACTAAAAAACTTCTGCATACCGGAGGAAACAACAGAGAAAGAGACAACCTACAAAATAGAAAAAAAAAATTTGCAAACTGTGCATCTGACAAGATGGTAATATCCAGAATATACAAGGAACTCAAACAACTCAATAGCTGACAAACAAACCATCTGACTTTAAAATGGGCAAAAGACCCGAATAGATGTTTCTCAAAAGAAGACGTACAAATAGCTAACTGATATATGAAAAAAATGCTCAACGTCAATAATTATCAGGGAAATGCAAATGAAAAACACATTGAAGCTGGCATGCACCTGGCCAGCTACTCAGGACTCTGAGATGGGAGAACCGCTTGAGCCCAAGAGGTTGAGGCTGCAGTGAGCCATGATTGCATCACTGCACTCCAGTATATGTAAAGAGCAATACCCTGTCTCAAATAAATAAATTAAACTTTTTTAAAACCTAAAACTACAAAATTTCTAGATAAAAGCATAAAAGAAAAAATCTCTGCAAACTTGGGTTAGGCAAAGTCTAATGTGATTATGGGCATAATCAAAAGAGCCATATAAAAACTTGATAAATTGGGCATAATCAAAAGTAAAATTTGCTCTTCAAAAGATACAGTTAAAGAATATGAGAAAATAAACTATAGATGAGAAAGCATTAGAAATATATAATGAAAGATTTGTATCAGAAATATTTTTAACTCATTACTTAATCCTAAGAAGACGAACACAACTCAATTTAAAATAGGCAAAAGATTTGAACAGACATTTCACAAAGCAGATATACAAACGGCCTATAAGGACGTGAACTGATGCTCAGCATCACCGCTAAGATGACACTCAGAGACATGCACATCAATGCTGCCTCACAGACATAACAATGAAAACAATGAAAATAAAACTAACAAGCACCAAGTGTTGGTGAGAATGTGGAGCAATTAAACACTCATATTGCTCTTGGGAATAAAAATTGTACAACCATTTTGGAGAACAGCTTAGTAGTTTTTAAAATTTTTTTAATATGTGCAATTCCTCTCTTAGGTATTTTCCTAAGTGAAATGAAACATATGAACATGGAAAACTTGTGCATTAATATTTACAGCAGCTTTATTTGCAATAGCCCAAAACTAGAAACGACCTAAAGATCCACTAACAGATAAATGGAAGACAGAATATGGTATATTCACAGAATGAGTTACAATTCACCTATTTAAAAAAATGAACTACTGAAAACATGCAGCAGCATGAATGATTCTCAAAAACATTATGCTGAGCAGAAGCCAGGCACAAAGAGTACTTAGTGTATGATTCCATTTACATGAAACTCTAGAAAAGACAAATCTAATTTATAGTGACAGAAAACAGTTCAATGGTTTCTTGGAGCCAGGAGTTGGATACTAGAATAGACACTGACTGGCAAGTGACACAAGGGAGATTTTATGGGTGATGAAAATGTTCTGGTACATGGGTTGACATTTGTCAAAGCTCATCAAACTTTACACTTAGAATGCATACTTCCCCACCCAAGCCTACTGTCTCAGGTAGCCTCAAGGTAACCACAATAAGTTGAAAGAGACAGAAGAAGGGGGTGGAGGGTATTGGCCACATGAAAAATAAATAAATAAAATAGATTTAAGATCTGTGTCTAGGAAAAATCATTGGGTACAGTTATTTGTACATGGAATTAACAAGAAGCAGATAGTAGAGAAGCTTACTGAGTTTTTAAAGTAACTAAATTCACAAAGAAACAAAAGGCCTGGCCTGAAAAAGCCTCTGAGTCTTAAAACAACTTTCATCACCCCAAGTTTTTACAAGAAGAAGGCAGGCTGTGAAAGCTGTGAATCTCTCAAGAAGGTCACAATCCCCCATTTCTTCTTCAGATATGTCAAAGAAGATAATGGACAAGGAAGAAACTTTCACAAGTTGAACACAGGAAGAATAATAGACAACAGACAAGAGCGTTCCTCCTAGAAAGCACAATTAGGATTTAATCAAGAAACCTCCCTCACTGCCAGCATAGAAAGACTTCATAATTGCCTGCCCTGTAGGCACCCACCACTGCTGTGGACTTGGGACTGTGAGGTATTTCCCAGTCTTGCTTTCTCATGGGAGTTTACATTTCAGGTAATAACTAATCAAGCTCCACACACAACCCTCAGCAATCTATTTGGAATCCTGAACACATACCTCATATTAGTGACTATTGACCACAAAATGTCCTGGGCTCAGAACACCATCCAGTGATTCTTATCAGCAACAGGAGGAAACTCTTTTAACTGGTTCCAGCTGGTTAACTTGTAAACAGTTAGTACCATCAGATCTTTCTCAGTCAATTTTGTCCTTCACTCACAAACCAAATCCAAGCTCCTCTGGTCATCTGTCCTCCATGATCAGGAATTTCTACTACAGCAAAAGTTTCCATTAAGTCAATTGGTTTTGTTGGGACCTACTAAATAGGAACGTGATTTTCATTATACAGACCTCTACAGGCACTGTTACTGAAAATTGTAATTTTCTGTTTTTCTTTTAATAATTGTAATTGTAATTGGCTTTTTAAAAAACAACCAGTGCGCACACACACACAATTGTGTAGGTAACACGGCTGCTTTTTGAAAGGGTGGCTCTGGCTTTGTGCATCATACTTGGTTATCACCTTTATAACCCATCAATGTGCAAGGAGCCTTAGACGAGTGATAGTGTCGGCAGCCCTAGGAGAAAAGGGAAAGAAGGAAGTGTAATGCAATGGTCAACATTGCTGAGTGAGATTTAAGTTTAACAGCTATATGCTTCCTAAAACTGCTAAAACTATTGGTTTTTTAAAGCCTTTATAACAATTCCTGATAGAAAAATAATTTTATAAGTCTGAAATCCATGAGCCACAAACTCGCTTTTTAACCAACTTAACAAATTATTTTTACGTAACACTTTTATATAGTTTATCAAGTGCCAGACACTGTACTAAGTACTTTGCAGACATTAACTCATTTAATATCAAAACAGTCCTAAAAGGAAGGTATTATTATTATTCCATTTTACAGAGGAGGAAACTGAGACACAGAGAAATTAAGAAATTTGTTCAAGGTCACACAACTAGTAAATGGTGGAGCCATGATTCAAATCAGACAGTTTGGCTCCAGAGTGGTGCTATTAACCACTGGGGGCTGTACTGTTTTAAAATGTAATTTTTATATGTTTATGGTTTTATTAATGCAAATTCTTATTAAAGCAAAATTTCTTCAGAATGTTTCTCTGTTACTTTAGCAGAACAGCTTGTACTTTCATTCCAACATGCTGCCTGCTTCCTCCTCTTGCTGCCTATTTGCCAATCCTTTTCACTGTGCCATCTGGAACCATCTTTATTGTCACCAAATTACTCCAACACACTCACACTCTTGTCTAAACAATAGCTCTCACTTCCTTGCCTTTATTTAAACTGAGTTCTCTTTTTTATGCCTTTCAGGTAGAGACTGTATATTCTCCCATGCTCCACAGAGCCCAGGGTTAGAGGAAAAGAGTAGAGATTAAAGAATTTTTCTTACTCCTTGGTGCTTCTCCAAACCCAAATCTTCCACCTTCACATTAAAACATTGCTTTGGAACCTGACATCGTCTGGGTAAAGCAGCTTCTATTCCCCCTTGTTGCTGTCTTCTACCAAATGTCTACAACACCCATTTTCAACACAAACACACACACACATTTTTTGAAGGTTTTAGCATCATCATGTTAGTCCTCACTCCCCTTAGTTCCGCCATTATCCAAGCAGCAGCAATGTGCATGAGGACGATGTATCCAGTCCGCTGGCTATTGAGTTCCTTGCCTGCTTCTATTCAATAATTTTTCAACTGCAGGCCATTTTAGCAATTTCCTCCCATGACCACATCCTGGACATTTATAACCTGGACTTGTTCCAGCTGTAAATCATAAACTCTAATATACATCTCTTTAACCACAAACTCCTATTCTCCCATTTTTCTTTCTTCTCTTTATAGGAACACATTGCTATTCTTCAATCTTGTCCAGAAGCCCATCCCTGAAACCATTTCATCTTCCTCAAAACATACAGATTCTTTTTTATTTCACTTTCTTCCAAGTATTTCACAGTCTGTCTTTCCAATTATTATTTTGCCAATATCCTCAACTCTTTTGCCCACTTTTATCTTCCATTCAACCCTCCCTGCAAAATCCTGATCTAAAAGCAACCCAAGTATTTGCCTCTTCAACCTCCCAGCTGCTGAGTGGTTTTGGGAATTACACAACCACTAAGCTTGGTGCAGATGCACTATGGCCTCAATAGAGTCCCCCAGTGCTGCCCACTTTCTCCTTCCATATTTCTCCACAGCAGCTGGTCAAAATACATTTCTCCCCAAATGTCTTACACAACCCCCTTCTCTCTTATCATCCTTACCTCACCCCCACCCCAGTTCTTCCTCAGCTGATAGCCTTGCTCCCCACTTACAGTGAAAAAATCTATGTCAATAGGCAATAAATTATTCAAATACCTCTCCAGATATCTACATATAGGCCTCATGTACACTTCCTTACTTCACTCTTATCTCAATGGAAAAAAATAGTTTTTCTTGTATTCAAGGTACCTGGCAGCCACTCAAGAAATGTTGGAGAGCAAGAAGGGGAGGGGGAAGAAATAGAGGAAAAAGAGGAAGGGGAGGGGGCAGGAGAGGAGGGAGGGGAAGATCCTAAAACTCAGCAATGAAAAATGGAGTTCTTACAGAACTTTAGAAGAATTTCGCTTTTTTTCATTGTCATATTTTATTTACACTGCCAACAAAATAACTGTATGAATCTAGTTTAATTATATATTCTGGGGATGGCTTGTAGAATATGTTTTTATAACAACTTTTAAAAGAGCTATTACATTAATGGAAATGTTAGAAACTCATGGTCACATCAGAATCCAGGAGTAAGATGTAATTGCATAGGAAACTATTAATTGTGTTTTAATGTCTTTGAAATAAGAAAGACATAAGAGCACAATTATTCTGTAACACTAAAGTCATCATTATTAAACACTTTTACCTTGAATAGCAATGCAACATCCATATATTAATATAAAGAGAATTTCTGAAAAAAATGAAGATTCATGTTACTAATTGGCAATTAAATTCAGAAAAAGAGAGAATATATTTATTATCTTCTTACTTTTTTAAGTCTTTTTCATGAACAGTGTTTCTTTTCTACATTAAATTTCTACATTCAAACTCCACAAAGAGCATCAGGGAAATTTTTAACTTCTTCAAGCAGCGTCTTTACAGTGACCCCCAGTGGCAAAAAAGGAATGAACGCATTAGAAATCCACGTTGAGGCCTTTTACATTGATGATAATAACAAGCTCTATTTTAACAGCACATTCACTTTATCATTGTGCCTTCACATTTTTCTTTTGTTCTTACTTTTTAAAAATCCAAATTTTACACTCACACATTCACATTCAAGTCCTAAAAATATTCTTCCTTTTTTTCACAGTAAATTTTATAATCATATCATTTTCCCAATTAAATCAGCATATCAAAGAATATATACTTTCATAAAAAGCTTTTTTAAGCCTATAAAGCTAATGTGTTTGTTGTCATATTTTCAAATCTAAATAAGACTCAATTTACTTTTTTAAAGCTTAAAATGAAAGTGTTCCTCTATACTTGGGCAAGCCCATTTCTCAACATGCAGATAAATGATCTACTCTTTGCAAACAAGCTGAATTATAACATGACTTAGCGTTTGTCTTGTTCAAGCCCAATGCATAGTAAATTCTCAATTTAAAAGAACAATGAATTGGATAGAACTTGTAAAACAAATTTTTCAAAGACTCCAAACCCTTCAGGTTTAGTCTTTGTTTCTATTTTATAATTGAGTTTATGGGTCTCAACCATATTATAAAAAGCTCAAAAACATATTCCTGAAGAAGTCAAAACATGGCTTCTATAAGCTACATATGAAGTCATTTTTTAATCTGATTTTTTCATACATATTAACTGATTCAATAAATATCAAGTAGCATTTGGGCGCTCAATGCAATTAATTAGCATCTATTACATTTGTTAAATTGGTCAAATAAGCAAAGAATTTTAAGGTAAAATGGAAATCTAATTGGGGTGAAGAACAGGTGCAGAGACAGATATAGTACCTGGAAAATAGGTTTCCTCCATGAATTGTTTTTATTTTTGCAGTTTATAAACATATTCTTTATATTCTGAGTGTTGACAATGCCTGGATGTTTGAAGCTTCTGCTCAACTAAGCAGCACCTCCACCATCTCTATGACCAGACAGCAGATTGGATATCTGCTAAATGTTGCCAAAGGTCAATGAATATCAGTTTACATCACCCATGGATTTTTAACATTTTCCAGATTTAAGAGGGAGATATCAAAAAGCAAACGCTGAAGGAGGTATGTAGGGACACACCCCCATAAGATGAATTTAAAAGTCTGCCACCAGCTGAGTAGTTAATTCTGGCCCAATTCACGAATTTCATCTCAAGAGAAGATGGTGCCCTCTTTCCCAGCCAGAGGTCTCACATTCCTCTTGGGATGGTTTTATACTCTAGGAAGACCTCTGGTCATGCTAGATTTAGAAATGAAATTCATTTGCTGTGAAATAAATCACCGTGAAAGGGATTTCCAGACACATTTGCCTCCCTAGCGAGGCCTTTGAACAGCCCTCTATTGTAGATGACAAACTGGATGGGTAATGCTAAAATACTGCTGTGCTCAGAAGATAAAAGGCACAGTTATAGTCTTCATGGGTAATGAACTCATGATCAAGTAATCAATCAACACCACCACTAACTCCTCTGCTTTCCATACAGGAAATGTGAATGTCTCTCAAGGGTGAACGGTTCAGCCAGGGTATAGCAATATCTATAAAACAAGCAGATGTCAGTGACACTGCTAGGCACCTTGAGCAGCAGTGTAAACATAATGTCTTTATTATACAATCATTAGAACTTACCAGGATAGGCAGATATTCAGCCATCATAAATAAACTCAATACGATCAAAAGCTATCTCCCCACTAATCAATTTATCAACTAACTTCATCTGTCTCCATGTCCTCTTCCTTTCCTATGATTAAAATGGAAAAATAATCCAATTCTCTTCAATCTATGGCCAGGACTCTCACAGGTGCCCTGTATCCCATCCTCATTCTCCTAAATCAAGGACATTTCTCACTCATTTTTCCTGCCTTTATCCCATTCTCCTGCATTTATCTCATCTCTATCCTCCATCACCAATTTAATTTCTCTTCTACATCATTTCCATCAAAACACAAACAAGTTATAATATCTCCCATCTTTCAGAAACATTCTTTTCATCTTACACTACTATTGTTAGTGTTTCATTTTTCTGTTTCCCTCTACAGTGGGCCTTGAAGAGCTGTCTATAATTCCTGTCTTCACTTCCTCACAGCCAAGTTTTCCTTGAACCCTCTCTAAGGAGACTTTCCTACCAAACCCTTCTTATCAAGGTCACCAGTGACCTTCAAGTGCCAGATCCAATGGTCAGTTCTCCACCCTTATCTCCATTGGGTGAAACATAAAAGTCTAGTTTTGATACAAAGATTGGAGGTGAGGATGATTTGGACCGAGTTCAAGGTTGTTTTCTTTCTGTTTACTACTGAATCTTCCAGCAGTGGATGGAAAGGAATCAGGAGCTAAGAATACAAGTGACTGAATGGATGCAGCTTCTCAGCATCTTCCTGGCTCCTCAGAGAGCAGCATTTTAAGTTTGAAGTCCAATACAGCCTGTGAGAACTGGGGAAAACTGACAAGCCAGAGGGACAAAGAAATATGGGTGCTCTGTCTTTGACGTCTTTAGGTTGGGAGCAATCTAGCTGTTACTGGGCTTCCTCACATTCCTAAGCAGTAGGCCTGGTTGACCTGCCACATCACCCTCCTCTATCTCTCAGCCACATTTGGCATGGCCAATTACATTGCCCTTCTTGAAGCCATTTTTCTCTTGTCCTCTGGAATGCCACAGTCACTTGATTCTCTACCGCTTCTTCATCACCTCTGCTATTTTCCCTCCTATTCACCACTGCTAAAATACTGGAGTGCCCCGGGGCTCTGTCTCTGGCCCTCTTCTCTTTTCTACCTACACTCATCTCCTAAGTAATCTCAATTCAACTAGTCTCAAAGCTGTAGACACCACCTGAATTAATTCCCTAGGGCTGTCATAACAAATTACCACAAACAAGTGACTTAAAACAACAGGAATTTGTTGTCTCACAGTTCTGCAAGCCAGACATCCAAAATCCAGCTGTCGGTAGTGTCATGCTGACTCCCTCCAAAGCCTCTACAGGAGGGTTCTTCCTTGCCTCTGCCAACTTCTGGTGACTCCTAGCATTCTTTGGCTGTGGCAACATAACTCCAATCTCTGCCTCCATCTTCACATGGCCTTCTATCTTGTCTCTCTCTGTCTTAAATCTCTCTCTTTTCTCTTATAAAGATATCAGTTATTGGATTTTAGGGTCTACCCTAAATCCAGGATTATCTCATCTCAAGATACTTAACTTAAAAACATCTGCAAAGACCTTATTTCCAAATATTCACAGGTATGGGATGGGGGAGAGTAGACTGTTGGGCTTTACATATATCTTTCTTGGAGGGGTGAGGAGCACAGTTTAAACCTGTATACCACTATAGACTGATAACTCAATGATTCATAACTCCAGCTTGAAACTCTGCTCTTGAACTGGATCCAGTCTCTTATATGTAATACCACCACTTAGGTGTTTAATGAGCATCTCAGATTTTACATATCCAAAATAGAGCTCTTGATCTCCCACAATATTTTCTTCTCTGAATATTCCTAATCTCAGTAAATGACACAACCACTTAACCTGTTCCTTTGGGTAAAACCCTTGGAGTCATCTTTGACTTCTTTCTTTCAAACACATGAAGCAAACCATTAGTAAAGTCTATCAGCTCTACTTTCACAGTGTACCTTGAATCAGACAACTTCTTCCCTCAGTACCATTCCTCTCTTATTCCAAAGCACATCACCTCACCCCCTACTGGACCTCTCTGATAGAATAACCTAACTGGTCTCCTTGCTTACATTCATGCCCGTCTTCAGTCTTTTCTTCTCACAGCAGCCACACTGACTATGAAAACATCAGTCAGATCTTGCCTCTCTACTCTTAAAACCCTCCACTGGCTGCTCAGCCCACTTTGAAAAAAATACAAAGCCTCTGTTGTGATCTACAAAACCCCACATGATCTGGGCCCTGCCTACCTCTCTGATTGCAGAACCAACCACACTTTTCTGCTGAGTTCCAGCCTCAACATCCTCCTTGCTGTTCCTCAACATGTCAAGCCAGTTCCACTCTCATTCCTTTGTGCTTACTGTCCCCTTTGCCTGGAACACTCTTCTTCCAGATGGTCACAGGGCTTATTCCCTCACTTCATCAGTTCTCTGCTTAAATGCTGCCTCCTTAGGCCGTCTGTCTAAGACAGCATTCCCAATCAATCTCTCTTCCCGTATTCTGTTTCATTTTTCTTTGCAGCACTTATTTTTCTTCATAACACCTGACATTATACTAATGGGTTTTCTGTTATCTGGCTGTTTCCCCCATTAGAATACAAGCTCTAGAAGGCCAAGAATTTTGTCTTCTTCACCACTGTATTCCTGATGATAAGAATGGTACTTGACACATAGTAAGTGAGCATTCATTATTTGTTAAATAAATGAACAAGCAACTAGAATAATCTTTTAAAATTAATTAAAGCAATGTAGCCACATTAAAAACTGATATGGAAAAGTGAAAATTACATTAAACCAATTGAAGACAATGCTCACTGAGTGCTTTGTGGATGTAATCAAGAAGCATTCATTTAGTAACATAAGTGTGAACTCCTAAACCAATTGTTTTTCCTGCATTCACAATATTTGATCTAGAAGTTTAGAGCAAACCACAGTGTAACTTTAACAGTGTTTCACCATATTTAGTATTGTAAAATTTCATATTTTGGCTTCTTTATATTTTTTAAGTCTAACATGTGTTCATGATTATCGCTGAATAAAGTGCTTATAACAGACAGAGATAGATGATATAATGGAAAGAATTACACTATTGGCATCTGAGACAGGCACTTTTATCATGCATCAGCCTCTTACCAGCTGCTTGACAGTGATCAACTTCCATGACCTCTCTAGCTCAATTCCACCTATAGAAAACTGGGGTGATGCCACCTGACTGGCATACTTTGGATTATAACATATGCACATGGTGTTATTACACAACTCATTTCACTTGAATTAATATATGCTGCAGGCCAAATCACATCCCCTAAAACATGAAAATGTTCATTTCATAAAGCTGATCATCCAGGGACTTCTGTGACTCTTCACACACAAGATGCCATGTAAACCAATAGCCTATTTTTTAGAATGGTGGAGAAACAAGAAGATAATCAGAAACACGTACTGAGCACCTGCTAGTCTAGTGTACTACCAGGTGATACAGCACATTGAACTTACACTACTGACCAGGAGCATTTTGCTGGCTCAACAGATGCCTGATAAATGTCTTTTAAGCAACAAATTAATAAACTAACAAAGGGAGTGACTGAATTGTTAGTGTATATGAGCACGACTGTAAATAGCTGAATGGTTCCTGTCCCATCTGGGGTGCCAATAAATAAATAAACAAAATAGCTGGAGGAAGTGCTCCTTTGAGAAAGCACTGAACGCTCTCTCTATGGCGAGACTGTGCTAGGAATCTTAGTCTGCTCCTTTACTCTAAATCCATGAGCAGCAGCTAGCATAGTCCTGAAGCAAATCAAGCCAAGCTCAGGATAATCCTCCTTCTATCCCACCCCAGCCCCAACCTACCTAAGACCTTCTTTCACCTATAGTTAATCTAGCCATTTGCAGATGAATCTGAAATTATGCTTATTGCATAACACATTACTAAAATATTCAAAATAATTCTATTACAATTCTATTTTTTAGTATTATCAAGCCTCATTAAATCATATGGGTGTGGGCAGTAGTTTGAATTATGAAATATAACTGATTGCTTTAAAGAAAAGCTTATTAAATTTATAAGTTCTATACAACAAATAAAATAACAAAGCCTGGTAAAGTTTCCTTTAATTATTTTCAAGAGGAAAATAACTGCTAGCATTTGGTTAGCTATTTCGACTAAGTGTTATCTTTTTTTTTTTGAGACAAGGTCTCACTCTGTCACCTAGGCTGGAGTGCAGTAGCGTGATCACAGCTCACCACAGCCTCAACCTCCTGGGCTCAGGTAATCCTCCCACTTTAGTCTCCCAAGTAGGTGGGACTACAGGCATGCGCCACCACATCCCACTAATTTTTTTTATATTTTTTGAACAGACGGGGTTTCACCATGTTGCCCAGGCTGGTCTTGAACTCCTGGGCTCAAGCAATCTGCCCACCTTGGCCTCCCAAAGTGTTAGAATTATAGGTGTGAGCCACCATGCCGAGCCAATTATTATCTTTATAATAATTTATCTTAATTATTATAGCAAACTTTTGAGGTAAGGGTTATGATAATTTCATTTCATTTTAGAGATTAAGTAATAAGGTTCAAAGAAGTTAAATAACTTGCCCAAGGACACACAATCAGGATGTGATGGATCTGCTTCCAAGCCCTGTGTTTATTTTTATCTACATCATTTAATAAGGCACCTAGCAGAGGAATGGTCTGATGAAGTGGAAAAAGTACTGGAGGAGGAGAGGAGGGGCTATACCATAAGCACATGGTGTGTTTACAGGTATGTTATTCAACCACTGTATATATTACCTAGAAAAACTTCCTTACCCCAAAATAGGATCTCACCCATACCAACCTCTAGTATTCTGGTGAAACTAAAGCAAAAGTAAGAGCACTTTGAAAAGTAAAGACCACTATACAGAGAAAAATATATTCAAAACATCATATAATTCTGATGGCTAGGAGTTTGACATTTCAAATTATATAGCCATTCCCCTTGAAATTATGCTAAAAACCCTCTTCTACTCAGTAAAACTATTTTTCACAAATGATGCAAAAGATGAGCTTGAACTTTGTCTAGCCACAAATTTGTGACATTCTACATATACTGAAAGAATAATTTCATGTGAAACTTAATATAAAATATATGTAAATACATCCCAACATTTAATAATACTTATTTTATAGAAGTTTTCAATCTGAATATTATTATGCAAATAATTTATAATTAACTTATCAAGATGAGCTGTCTTCCCAAGCATATATTCCAATATACTCAAATCCCGTTTAGGTGAAAATTGCCTGTCTATTGTCAAAAAGATTTAATTTAGTACAAAGTAGCTACTGCCTAAAATACACTACCTCTCAGAAGACGATAATTATGTACCTTGGTGGATAAGATTCTAATTCAGATAAATAAAGAATGAAGAATGGTCCTCTACTATCTAAATAGGTCATCCTGCTTAGCCAAGGGCAAAATATCAGGAAAGATGTACATTAAGTGGTGAGAACAGGCCACTTGCACAGTCAACCAAATCATTCCTGAAGACCAACAGGGTAACAGATGTCATAACCAGATTGCCCTCACCATCCCAACTCAAATGACTGTTATATGAAAAGTTTGTTGTTATTACAGTTGTATAGGACCAGAATGAGGAATATAAACGGGAATGCTGGAATAAGGACCTCTGAAAAGGCCACTTCTCCATAAAGGCAGTAAGAAAGAACACTGGCAAAAATTGTTAAAGCCAACTGTTTCAGAACTCTGGAAATTAACCAAAGGCTTACAACAATCTGAGGAGTAAATATTCAAAAAAAAAAACACCTGGATTTCTAGCTAGGCACAGTGGCTCACACCTGTAATCCCAACACTTTGGGAGGTCGAGGTGGGTGGATCTCTTGAGGTCAGGAGTACAAGACCAGCCTGAGCAACATGGTGAAACCCTGTCTCCACTAAATGCAAAAAATTAGCTGGATGTGGTGGCACATGCCTGTAATCCCAGCTACTTGGGAGGATGAGGCAGGAGAATCACTTGAACCCAGGAGGCAGAGGTTGCAGTGAGCCGAGACTGTGCCATTGCACTCCAGCCTGGGCAGCAAGAGCAAAAACTCCATCTCAAAAAAAAAAAAAAAAAAAAAAAAACCTGGATTTCAGTAAGAACAACAAGCCGTATGGTGTTTGAACTTGCCCTATGCCCATCCCCCTCTCATCTCTACAGTAGCCTTGAAAACAAAAACACCACAGTCATGATGAAAATCAGAACCCTAGAAACCCCTGGAGGGGACAGAATGGGGTTGGAGAGCATCAAAAATACAATTTTCAGACAATTGTAACTATTTAACCTGTCTAGCAGTTCCCTAAAAACCCCCATTCACAGGGCTTTTCTTTACTTGACCTGACTCAGAGCTTATTCAGTGTGAAAAGCCTCTTTCCCCAGAAAAAATTTGTCAAAAATAATCAGTGGCAATTGTTCAACATCACAGGTCTCAGGGAGCAATAACAATTGGGGCAAAAAAAAAAAGAAAGAAAGAAAAAACTAACCAAAAAACTTAAAAGGAAAACTTGGGAATGAGATGGCCACAAAGGCCATTGAAAATTTTGTATATATGTACAACCTAGAATCTAGAAAGCCACATGCATGTTTGGGGTTTTGTGCAAACACAGCAAAGACCTCAGAAGATCCTAAATTCTCACCTCTAGCTCACCTTGAGCTCTGCATAAGCAGGAAGTTAGGATTAAGGCAGAGTTGTAAACTGTCTGCCTGAGCATTGAAGCCATACCCCAAAATGCACATTGAGAGCTTTGGTAAATGTTTAGCGATTTACTGACTCTAGTATTTAAGAAGATCCCTGTCCTGACCACTAAAAAAAAATGCTGAGCAAAGACTTAAGTGGCCACACACGACAAAGAATATAGACTTGCAGAATTGGTTCATGAAAATTAGTAACCAAATAAATAGCACCTGCAGCAACAATAAACAGCAACAAAAACTGGAAGGGAGAGAGGAATCTGGTTTCTAGTGCTGCCACATCACATTATTTAAATATCTAATTTTCAACAAAAAAATTTTAAGATATGCAAAGAAAGTATGGCCCACCCAAAAGAAAATATACAGTCAATAGAAACTGTCCCTGAACAATCCCAGAAATTGAAATTACTAGACAAAGGCTTTAAATCATCTATTTTAAATATGTTTTAAAAACTAAAAAAAAATAATAATCTAAAGAACAAAAAGAATGTATGAGAATAATGTTTCACCAAATACAGAATATCAGTAAGGAGACAGAAATTTTTTTTTAAAAGAACCAAATAGAAAATCTGGAGATAAAATAACTGAAATAAAAAAATTCACTATAGAGATTTAATAGCAGATCTGAACAGGCAGAAAGAATCAGCAAACTTGAAGACAGATCAATTGAGATTGTTCCTCCCAGTCTAAGGAAAAGAAAGACAAAAGAAAGAATGAAGAAACATGAACAAAGTCTCAGAGATTGGTGAAAACATCTTACCAACATACATACCAACATACACATAATGTGATTCTCAGAAAGAGAAGAGGAGAGAAAGAGGAAGAAAGAATAGTTGAAGAAATAATGGCTGAAAATTTATCAAATTTGACTTAAAAAGCATTAATCTACACATCCAAGAAGGTCAACAAACTCCAAGTAGGATAAACTCAACAAGATCTGTACCTACAGATATCATAATCAAACTGCCAAAAGACAAAAAAAAAAAAAAAAGAATCTTGAAAGCAGCAGGAGAGAAGAAAATCATGTTCAAAGGATCCTCAATGAGATTGACAGCTGAATTTTGACCATGGAGGTCAGATGGTAGTGGGATGACATACTCAAATTGATGAAAGGAAAAAAACTTTAAGTAAAAATTATCCTTCAAAATTTAAGGAGAAATTAAGACATTCCAAGATAAACAAAAACCAAGAGAATCCCTTACTGACAGACATAGCCTACAAGAAATACTAATGAGAGCCTTTCAGGCAGAAAAAAAAGGACACTGGACAGTAACTCAAATACCCAGGAAAAACTGAAGAACACCAGTAAAGTTAACTACATAGTTAAATATAATAGACAATATAAATGTATTTTTGTTTGTAACTCTTTTTTCTCATATCTGATTTAAAAGATAATCATATAAAGCTATAATTATATTTCTGTGTTGATAGGCATGTAATGTAAAAGTTGTGATTTGTATGACAATAATAGCACATAGGAAGGGGAGGGAGTGGAGCTATATAGGAGCAAAATGCTGTGTATTATTGAAATTAAGTTGGTATTGATCCAAACTAGATTGCTATAAATTAAGATGTTAATTGTAATCCTATGGCAACCACTAAGAAAATAACAAAAAAGTAAAATAAATGACCAAGGAATTAAAATTATATACTAGAAAATAAATATTTAACACAAAAGGAGATAGTAGCAGAGAAATAGAGAAACAAAAAGACATAGGACATACACAAAAAGAATGGCAAAATAGCACACATAAATTCTATCTCATCAGTAATGACTCCTACCAAAACTTTCAAAAGTCTCCTCTTGGGACCACCATATATAGGATATAAAAACTGGGGGCAAGTAGGTCTGTAAATGGTGGAGCAGCAGTTCTAATGATCCACAAAAAAGGAGATTTATTTTAGGTAAGTTCATGAACATTTACATGACAATTTCTAAGTGGCACCTAATAAAAATGAGTTTGTAAATAAGCCAAGCCTATGATAGTTTTTTTTTAATCTCATTTAACTTTCTGGAGTAGATTTGTGGCATAAAATGACATACTCCTGACTGACAGTCAATGCTATATTTTCCTTACGCTATAACAACACATCGAATATACTGGGAATGACTTTGTGGATATTGATTCCTTTCTGGCAAACTGATGACTCCCTCCACAAACATTCATTGCTCTCACCTAATGATCTGTGATCACATGAGTTTATTTTAGGTCATAAATGAATCTTCTTCTGAAAAGCCTGAGAAATGAGATGTAGTTACTGCCCATTAATATTCCCTATGTGCACAACAGGGGTAAAATATAGCATGAATATGTTAAACCAATTTTAAGAAATCACTTTACAAGATTTATTAGTTGGCCAATTTTTTTAGTTTACATTTATTATAAAATTCATAATACACACAAATAAAATATTCTCCAATGGCTTTTCTTCTACTAGATTGGAAGTTGTGAGGATGTGAGACAGGATATCTATAGCCATCTTGTCACCCTTGAAAAGAATTTATCTTAAAAAAGAAACAATTTCAAAGAGGCTGAACCAAGGTAGGACGAAAGAGAAATCAGGGACTGAATGGTATCATTTGCAGTCCTCCATGAAGCTTCATCTGGATTGTCATATTGCGGTACGCATTTTTAGTCTTCTTCCCTATTCCCCAGCACACAACTACTAAAGTCCTTGGAATCTTCAAAGTGATAAGTATCTTTTTGCAGGCTAATGGGTTGGTAAGTGGCTGGCAGCTCCTGGATAGCTTCAGCAAGTGGACTGGTCACTAGAAAGAACAGATATGACCTCCTAGGAGGGATGAGGGGCTGAAGTTTAAGTTGATCACCAATAGCTAATGATTTAATCAATCATGCCTACATAATGAAGCTTCCATAAAAATCCAAAATGGGCTGGGTTTGGAGAGCTTCTGGATAGCTGGAGATGCAGAGGTTTCTAGAGGATGGTGTGCCCGGAGAGAACATGGAAGCTCCACATCGCTTCTCATACATTGCCCTATGCATCTCTTCATCTGTATCCCTTGTAATATTCTTTATAACAAAGAACTGTTTCTCCGAGTTTTGTGAGCCCCTCTAGCAAATTAATAGAACACAAGAAGAAGGTTGTAGAAACCCCAATTTATAGCCAGTCAGTCAGAGCACAGGGTAAACAACCTGGATCTTGTAACTGGCATCAGAAGTGGGGGTCATCTTGTGGGACTGAACCCTCAATCAGTGTGATCTGATGCTATTTCCAGGTAAATAGTATCAGAATAAAATTTAATCAGAGGATACCTAGCTGATGTCTGCTGCAGAAAAGAATTAATTGCTTGTTTGCAGTAGGGAGAAATCACCACACATCTGGAGTCAGAAGCGTGTTTGAGAATATAGTAGGAGAAGCTGAGTTTGTTTTTTCTACGTGGACTACGTGTGGACTCCTCAGGAATGTGACTGGGCTGAACTCACTAGAATTCACTGATGGTATGACTCTCTCTGTCCCAATCAGACAACCATGGCTCAATCTCCTATGGGAAAGAAGGCTGTAAGACAGGAATGGTTCAGCACCATTTTTATAACTAGATTCCAGTCCCAGTTTATAATCTGACTCTTCCAAGCCACTGACGCTGTAAAGGGAGTCCTGGTGATGGTCCTTACTTGTCATCTGGAGCCTCTACCTGCTTGTTACAAGCCCCAGTTTCAGGGATGGTGGAGGAAACCAAGAAGAAAAAAACAGTTACCATTGCAGAATTCTGGAAAGGCCTAAGAATTGGAGAACCAATGCTAGGGTATAGGAAGAGCTGAAAATAAAAGAATTGGCTGAAGGCTCCTAGAGGACACACCCACATAGCTACCCTTCCTCAACCTCAGCAGAGTACTGAAGACTTGCTTCAAAAGAGGTTGAACCAGAGGGACTCTGGACTCCAGAAGAATTTCAGGAATGCCATCATGAAAGCAGAGGAATTAATTAAAAGTGTACACACTGAATAGTGAGAACCATCCTCCTCCCACTCCATCCCCTGACCCACCAATTCTTGGCTCCAAGAACACTAGACATCAGGCTTATACCAGACCAGCTCAGGAGAAAATACTCATAGAACCTAACAGTTGAGGAAGTCTCCTAACAAAATGGTCAACTCTCAGCACAGTTACTCCATGGGAAAACCCACTGGTCAATGAATCCCTGTCATGTACATAAATCAGCTTTTTGGTGCTCCACTCTCATGCACGAACAAGCGGCAAAAGATCGACAAACATTTGAAAAAGGTCTCTAACATCAAAGACAGAGACAAAAACAAACAATCAGAAAACAATAGATTCAGACAATGTAGATTACAAAAGAAAACCTTCAAAAAGCTCTCACTAAAGTCCTTGGAGGAAGATATTGTATTTATGAAAACAAGAACATGATGCTATTTTAAAAAATAAAAATAAGATTCACAAAGTAAAAATATGCTTTTGGAACCTCTAAAATGAATCAGAAGAGCAGAAGATAAAGTTGATAAAATCTTGCAGAAAGTAGAACAAAAAGACAAAGAAATGATTATAGAAGAGAAAGATTGAAATAAAGGATTCATTTAGGAGTTCTAACATGCTAATAAGAACTACAGATAAAAAGAACAAAGAAATTGGGACAATTAATTATCAAAAAAGAAAAATTCCTAGAACTGAAGAACATGTATCTCCATATTGAAAGGGCACATCATTGAATGCCCTTCCACAATCACTTTAAACAGACACACACCAAGGCCAGCACTGAGGTCTCTGAAGATAAACTGTCGTTATTCAACTTAGAGAAGTAAAAAGTTTAAACATACGCATAAGAAAGGACCTTTTCTGGATATTGAGATGACAATACCAAATAAATCCCTGCTTATACGTACATTTTTTCTCAAATAATTATAAGCTAAATAATATCTTACATGCATTAGAGCTTCCTATTTTAAAGAAACAAGACAAAGTAAAAAACACAAAGGTTTTTCACTGGAAGCATATGCAGGTAACTCATAATAATTAGTAGATTGTCTGAATTCTGCTGTACCAGAAGTTTATTTTACCAACTTTTTAAAATATGCAGCCCATGAGGCTTAGAAATGCCTGTTTTCTTAGATCTCATTATTCTTAGATTTATATAGATTTTGACTATATAAATTTCATTATTTTAGTAAATCTTTACTAAAATTATTTATTATTTTTTAATATTAAATACTGAATTTTCTATTTAAAATACAAAAGGTTTAACAACATTAATAATGGCTAATTTATTTATAATGAAACCAAATCTTAAGAATTTATGTTACCTTTAAAGATACCAAAACTCCTGACACTTTAATTCCTTCTCATCTTAGTAGTCACACACTCACCTTGAGGATCAACTTCTTTAGCTAGCTTCAGCGCATCTGAGTTTGCAAGATCAGTGTTGGCTGGAGTAACAGCTAAAATCAGACAGTTCTCCCTCGTGATGAACTGCATAATCATTTCTCTGATCTGATACTCGATATCTGGTGGCTGATCTCCCACAGGCACTTTAGTTATTCCAGGTAGATCAATAAGGGTTAGATTTAACACTGTGTGGAAAGGATAAAGGAGTCTTACATACACCTTCAATGCTAAAAGATAACAATACAGAATCATTTGTCACTTAGCTCAGCCTTCTACTTTGTGTATCTGAACAACTCCAACCCATGTGTGTAGAATAAAGAGCATAAAATAAAAATGGTTTTGCTAGTTTTCTCTATTTTTATGATATGATTGTGCTATGCCAAATGATCACTTTAACATAATTTGAAAGGCACTGATTTGCATGCCTAACAGTTTGCTCAGAAAGCTGTCATATCTGTAACTAGGGGGTTATAATTAAAACACCAAATGAGAAATGCATATGCTATCTGCCAGTCTTATACATTGCCTTCAAGTGGTATAAAAACTCACAGGGTAAGACTGCCCTTTCCTTAAAAAGTATCATTTTTTTTTTTTAATAGAAAGTTAACCACTTAGCCTAGTAGAAAGCTGTTAGCCATTCGTGGTGCCCTGGGTTTACTGAATCAGCTGTACAAACAGAGTCAGTGACAACATGACTCTAGCCCAACCTCTCCATATAAACAATGTTGGCACCAAGTACCCTTGGGAAGTCATAATTGAGCTTATGTCATTTATATTCTGTTTTAAAAGCAATAGAGCTAAGTAGGGAATAAGAAATGAAAATTTGCCCACTAAAAATTTAGTCAGCATACAGGTTATTTCCCATCACACATTATGGATTGGTTATCTAATTTATAAGTTTCTACCGATAGTCTGGGGGAAAAAGTCAGAGCTGATTTCTCAGGAAGAAAATAAATAGGACTATATATGGCTGCAAGACATCCAATAGGGGAAGATGCAACCATAGTAACATGTACCTCTAAGATTTCAGCAAAGACTGAAAAATGGAAGTTTTCATATATACCCTTCTCAAATTCTAAAAGCTTATAATAAAAATGAAGAAAAAATTTGATGACTAACTCAATTCTGTTTTTATTAAAGTCATCTCCTACTGCCTCTCCTTAAATGTCTTAAGAGCTCTTTGAACCATAACATTAATGGGCAGTATCCAAAGGATACCCTAGAAACCCAGCACTATTTGTATCTTCTGTACAAATGATGTATGTTAATTAATGTAGTATAAATGTTTGAGGAGAAGAATTTGGAATTTTATTATTTTACTTACCGTGTGGGGAATAGACTCGTAAATTAATGGGTATGGAGGAAATGCCTTTATTCATTCCAGTCACGCGATCTGTTTCTGCTTCAATCTCAAGGCGAACTTCATCAAAATCTGTAAATTTCTTTCCTTTGCAATGTAGAAACTCGGCATATTCTACAAAAATAAAACCAAAATGACACAACTTAAATTCATGCATTTTTGCCATAATTATAAAAGTTTCTTTAATTATAAGTCAAAGTATCCAATATTCTCTCTTCTTCCTTCATGAACATCCCACAGAACACAGTAGTTACTAAGAATCACAATTAATACTTTAGAAATATTAAACATAGTACAAATGCTATAGATGCTAAATTTGCCAATTTTCAGATAAGCAATTAAATACTAAAACCAGTCCCTAAACCATCTAGCCTATTAAATAATTTAAAGAAAATTTTGGCTATCCAAATGATAAAGCAAACAACAGCACCTGATTGTTAAAGACATTAGATCTGGGATACCTCTGAGTTCTGTTAGCATTCCCCTCTTCAGTATCACCATTTCATCAGGATGGAATGCCAAGTTATATAAATATATCTTCAGAAGGCAAAATAAGTTAAGGGAAATCATTTAATTTGTTAAAAATAAATAATATATGGAATCCTTTAGCTTAAAAACACACTATTGAAAATACCACATCAACTTATACAAAGACAATTTCTCAAGGAAAAAAGTTATAGAGTATTATATCAAAGCAAATATTTACCTGTAATGTAAAATTTTAAAAAAATCCCTCAGCAGAGGGAAAAACACTAAAATAACTACATAAATAACAAAACTGGGTTTTTAAATTTTCAGTAACATCCTACAAGCTGGTGTATTATCAATTTCTGTACCTACTTTGAGAGAAATCAGGTATGTAAAAAACACCACAATTTAAAAGAAAAGCTAGTACAGTACTATTAGATTTTTTAAATGAGTATAAATCTAACAAAGAAACAAATCTCCACAAAGATTTTAGTTTATCTAATATCTCAATGAAGAATTGTACAACTAAACTTAGACTATGCCTAAGCATCTTGGACCCAAATGCCAGATAAGAGCCTGTGAGGTCGAGGCTGCAGTGAGCTGTGATCATGCCACTGCACTCCAGCCTGGGCAAGAAAGTGAGACCCCATCTCAAAAAAAAAAAAAAAGCCAGATGTGGCAATTATTGGTAGCTTTACTACCATTACCCATCATAAACATTTAATATTCACTCTTGAAGATGAAATGGCAAGGTCAATAGCAAGAGAGCTATTGTGGCTGATCTCCCACGGGCACTTTAGTTACTGCAGGTAGATCAACAAGGGTTAGATTTAACACTGTGTGGAAAGGATAAAAGAGTCTTACATACACCTTCAATGCTAAAAGATAACAATACAGAATCATTTGTCACTTAGCTCAGATGTGGTCCGTGTCTTCAAGCAGGTTAGCATTAACTCAAAAAGCTAAGGATTAGACCACTGAGAAAAAACATTAATGCAGGTAGCATAATGTAAATGCTAACCTGCTCTTAAAATGATAAGAAAGGTAGAGATAGAAAAGATGATTTTAAGCTGTGGTACCCAAAAAAGGAAGTGGGGTATGGACTGAATACTGAACAGTAGGGAGGATTTTTACATGTGCAGGGAGAAAGAGGTCTTCCAGAGAATCAGAGAACCTTCATAGGTTCAACAAATCTGGCAGGTTGTCATCCAGTCTCTGCTCGGACCCATCCACTATTGGGTAACAGAAACTTTGATCTCATTGGAAAAAGCTCTGATTGGAAAATATTTATGTTTGGTATGAAACCTGCTTTCTTGTCATATTCCACTAGTCCAACTTTTGTCCTCTGGTGCTACTCAGCTGTGAAAAGGCCGTGTGCATTAATGTGAGTGTCAGCACCCTAAGTTTGTCTCCTTCCTGGGCCTCACACCCTTATCTTGCTTTGTCACATCACCACTCAGGCCCTCTGGTGGCAAAGATTTCCCAGTACCAACCCCAGCCACTCTGGCTGGAAAGGTCACAAGCTCCCAAAGTGGACCAAAAAGTTTCTACTTTAATTTACCAAAGAATTGAAATGACCTAGCTTTTTGGATGTTAGAATGAGAATCAGAGACGGATTTAATTTCTGTCTTTCCTGACAACATGCATGGACATGAGTATTTCTCTTTCTATCTTAGTTTCTCCATATAATGTGCCACTTTCTGAAAAACAGCAAGCTAAGTCTCCCGAAAGCTCATTCCTCTAATGCTGGAAGTATATCCAACAGTAAAGCCTCAACAGGCTGCAGAAATCTGGCCTGAAGAGATCAGTTCATCAAGATAAGGCATGTTCTTCTATACTTACCCTCATAGGCACTGTCTTTATTAGAATATAAATTCCCAGAAGATAGAGCCTTTATTTTATTACCCATTCAAAGCCTAGGCCAGTACCATGTGAATGTAAGAGTATATAGATAAGTAGAGGACAAAACAATACGAAAAACAAAAGAACAAAAGAAGTCAAATCCCAGAAAACAAGCAAAAATTAAAAGGAAAAATTAGAAATAATTTAGAAGAAATGGAACTGTGTTTTTTTCAATGCCATATATTCCATGGAAAATGCACCCTTCAAGACTTATGGCTATCACAACTGTTCTGTCATAGAGTTCATAAGCTTCTGGATCAGGAACTACATTTTCAATCACTGCTAATCGATACATTCCAGTTAACACAAATGTGGATCTCCTTTGTTGCCACTAGATGGCACCTACTTGCTTTCTCTGCAGGAAACATGCCCTTCCGGAAGGGTGTAAAATCAATGCAATTTTCAAATTAGATTTAAATGAGTTCTCAAACTCTTGAAAATACTTTTATCTTGGAATCAAGAGATGATAATTGTTCAGGACCATCTCAAACCTTTGTGTATTTTTATTTATTTTGTCAACCCCTTGGTCAATTTGCAGTGTCTTGTTGAGAATAGTGTCCCCCAGACAGATTCAAGGATTCCTGTATTCATTTATTTATTTGATTAATATTTATTGAGATCACTCTACTTGCCAAGAACTGTTTTAGAAATTGGGATATAATTAAGGGGGGAAAATAAGTCTCTAGGCTCACGAAGCTTAAATTCTAATCAGGTAAAAGAGTAAACAATATGTGTGTGTGTGATGCTAAGTGCTATGGAGAAAATAAAATAGCAGGGGGATAGCAAATGCTCTGGGAAAGGGGTTGCTTGGTTATGTGGTATAGATAAGGAAGGCTTCCATGACAGGGTAAAGTGACCTTTGAGCAATGACTCAAGAAAGGAAGGCAGCAGGCCATGCTGTATGGAAGGGCATCCGGGCAGAGTGCCTAAAGCAGATGTGTGTTCGGCATGTTGAGGGACAGCCAGGTCCACGTGGCTGGAGCACCGGGCGGTGTGGAGGGGAGGGAGGTGGGAAACAAGGCCAGTGCTGTGGACAGGCCTGGATGTGGAGGGCCCGTGGACCATTTTAAGGACTTTGATTTTTCGCTGAGTGAGATGGCAGACCATCTGAAGGATTTGGGGTAGAGTAGAAACATGCTGTGACCTAGGTTTGAAACAACTGTGGATGCTGTGTTGAGGACAGACAATGATGAGCAAGAAAGGAAGCTTACTATTGAAATCATCCCGGGGAGAGCTGCTGAGGCTTAGACCAGGGTGGCAACAGTGGGGTGGTGATGAGTGGTTAAATTCTAATGTATTTTGAAAGAAAAAGCAACAGAATTTGCTGATGGATTTAAGCTGCGATATGAGAGAAAGAGAAGCATCAAGGATAACTTCAAAGGGTTTGACCTAAGCCACCAGAAAAAGTTTGAAATAGAAAAAGACTGAAGGGAAGAGGATGAGAAGGGATGGGATGGGATGGGATGTGGGTTGGGACCTACTAAGCTTGTGATGGCCATGACACACCCATCCAAGTTGAGAAAAAGCACTGCTACTAAGGTTGAGGACCACACAGCTGAAGGAGACACCATTCATATTCAGTCTTTGGATAGGTGTCTCTACTCTGAAAAATTTCCAGAAGATGGCAGTCATGTGCTTGAGGAAAGGGCAGCTTTTTCTAATTTGTACAAAAATATCTTCACGGCTAGATATATGCATCTTTTGTTCATGGAGAAGTCCAAGTGAGAGATATATATTTGGTAGTCATTCAAGTCAGGTAAGTGATGAGATCACTAAGCAAGAGTTAGACAGGGAAGAGGTCAGAGTACCAGGCCCTGGGTTTTCCAAAGTTTAGAGGTCAGGAGATGGAGACTTAGAAGGTAGGAGAAAACAGTAAGGGGAAAACAAAGCCAAGAAAAGAGGAGACGTCCATCAAACCCTGCCAACATGTCCAGTAACATGAGGACTAAGAATGGATCTTAGAATTTGGCAACTTGAGGATCCTTCAGGAGGAGGTTTAAGGCAGCCTCAACCTCCTGGGCTCAAGTGATCCTCCCACCCTAGCCTCCTGAGTAGCTGGGACTACAGGCAGTGTGCCACCACATCTGGCTAATTTTTATTTATTTTTTGTAGTGATGAGGTCTCACTGTGTTGCCTGGGCTGGTCTCGACCTCTTGGCCTCAAGTGATGTTCCCACCTTGGCTTCTGAAAGTGCTGGGATTATAGGAGTGAACCACTGTGCCCAGCCAACAGTTCTTTTAAGGAGTTTTGTTGTAAAGAAGAGGAGAGAAGGGAGAGGGCAGCTACAGAGGGATGTGAAGTCAAGAGAGAATTTTGTAAAGATGGCAAATTAATGGCATGCTCATAGGCTGAAATGGTAACACCCAGGATAAGGGAAGTGAGAAGGCACAGATGCTGAAGTGATGTCTGAGGGGAGGGAAATAGGAGGCCAGAAAGAAAGAAACAAACATGCCAGGGCATCCATAGGAACAGGAAAGAGGCAGAACAATGAGCATGGATGAGATGAATAGGTAGAACTGATGGTGGTGGGAACCTGTGAAATTCATCAGGGGACTGTAGAGATTGATCATATTTGTCTGAAGTCATTTTACATCTTTACTGGTTAACTATGTGGTTTACTTGTTAACCATTTAACCATCTCACTGGTTAAACTGTATAAGTACTATTATACAGTTTATATACTACTATAATACTGTATAAATACAAAATGCATTATACACACACACACACACACACAAACACACACATGCATGCAAAAAGTGATCCTAAATGAGTGACCTCAGAGTAATCACAGCAGGGATGACAATTTGGGTCTAATCTATGTCCATCACTGGGGTTCAGACCTGCCCAGCCTATCTGGAAAACCGATAGGGCAGGAACCACAAAGTACTTTTTTCTACGGAAACCAAAGAGCCTCCTGGAAAAGAATTCAACCTACAGGATGGAAAATTCAGCAAAACAAGCTGACCTGGCTTTTCAGGAAAGGGCTACCTGTAATCTGTCTTCTACCTAGCTCCAGAGACTCATAGATCTGTGTCCTCTTGTCTCTATGATGATAATTGTAGTTTGGGGATGAAGGAAATTCTAGCATCTAAGTCAAACTCTATAGAACGAGTTGTACTAGCTGATCAATAGCTGGATCTTTTAATAGCTGCTAAATGTGTGTCTTCTACTATAGTATACTATGGTAAACCATAGTATACCATAGTTTACCACGGTTTTATACTATGGTGAACTAACATGTCTGAAGGTTACACAATCTCATCTTATAGTTTTGAGATACATTCTTTCTTACAGAAAGGTACAATTTCCAGTGGCATGAGCTCTCTTGACATGTTCTCAGTATTCCTTTCATTCTAAATGCTTCATAGTTGGGCACATGAAATGGTCTTTTCCTCAAACAACTTGAGGCTTCAGCCCAGCATCAATGTGAGTAGTCAGTGCATTAAATCTCCTAGCCACAAAGTCATACAAAGGATGAAGGTTATGTGTACATAAGCATTGAAACCGTGATAACGCATCCGTGAAATTTTATTTTGTCGCAGTATAACCTGTCTTATTGAAATTTATTTCATTTTCACAAAATAAAATTTCTCTGTTTTCATTTTCACAAAATAAAACTCCTAGTTTTGATTATTTTCTGTTTTTACAATGTTAAAAATAGCCTACAATTGAAGCAAAGGTTAAGATACATTACTATATCAAAGAATGATTAGGAAGGAAAAAAGGAGAATATTTAAAAAATCAGAGCTATAATTCTATTTTATTTTTATTTCCTTTTAAAACATTTTAGCACTGTCATTTTTACTGGTCATGAAAAACAAATTATGCTAGGTTAAACAACTGACAAACTGTTTGGGGGAAGGATGAGATGCATTTATGCCTGGGCAATGTTCCAATCATCTGTGAAAAGCACAGCATGACTGTAAGAATTTAAATATTTCCAATATGCCCCTTCCATGAGTAAAAATATGTATATGTCTTAATTAATCAAGGTTAAGTAGAAAGGAATTATTATAGAGCACTAGGAAAAAATGATCTCTTGTCCATCTTTATTCTAAGAATCAAGGTTCCTCAAAATTTTAACTGGAGTTTTCTTATTTCTGAAATGTTTTAATAGCAATGTTTTGTGAGCACAGGGCTCCAGTGAAAACAGAGTACAGGGGTCATATACATAAGGGACTGTCTTCAGTGCAACAAGCTGAATTCACTGGCTGTATAAAGCATCTATGTATGACTATATTTAAAAACATATTTCCTCAAAGGCAGAGATACATTTTACTCTTCTGTGTTTCCCTAATGCCTATTATATTTAGAGTAAAGAACATCTGTAGGCCGGGCACGGTGGCTCACGCCTATAATCCCACCACTGAGGCTGAGGCGGGTGGATCACCTGAGGTCAGGAGTTCGAGACCAGACTGGCCAACTTGGTGACACCCTGTCTCTATGAAAAATACAAAAATTAGCCAGGTGTGATAGCAGGTGCCTGTTATCCCAGCTACTCAGGAGGCTGAGGCAGGAGAATCACCTGAATCTGAGACGTGGAGGTTGCAGTGAGCCTAGATCATGTCACTGCACTCCAGCCTGAGTGACAGAGTGAGACTCTGTCTCAAAAAAAAAAAAAAAAAAAAATCTGTAGATTTCTTTCTTCTTTAAAGCAGAATACTTTGGATATAACAATGCTTCCAATAAATACTCCATGTTCTTACTCACATATGAAAGCTAAAAAAGTTGATCTCATAGAATTAGAGAGTAGAATAGTGGTTACTAGAGACTGAGAAGTGTTGGGAGGCAAAGGAGATAGGGAGAGGTTGGGGAGCAGATACAAAAGTACAGCTAGATAGGAGTAGTAACTTCCAGAGTTCTGTAGCACTGAAGGGGAACTACAGTTAAGAATAATAAATTGTATATTTTCAAATAGCTAGATGAGAGGATTTTGAATGTTCCCAACACTAAGAAATGCTAAATGTCTGAAGTGATGGATATGCTGACTACCCTAATTTGATCATTACACATGGTATATATATACTGAAATATCATACTGTACTCCATAAATATGTACAATTATTATGTGTTAATTAAAAATAGTAATTTCTAAATGCTCCCATCAAGTCATTCCAAATTGAAGGCAAGATCCTAGAATTTTAGTTTAGTTATATATTAATTACATAGGACCCAGATATAAAACAGAACTCAACTGTATTGCTAAAATAAACAGGGAAAGTCTAGCAATCAAAAAAAAAAAAAAGGAAATCTAAAGAAGAAAACAATTAACCTCAGGGAGTCCTGCAGTGGGTAAAAGTTAGAGGTCTCAGTAGGAGAGTTAAGAACAATAGGGTGAGATGGGAGTAAGTGGAGGGTGCCAAGATTTCATAAAAGACAAAAAGCTGGTGCCAAGCAGGTATCAGACCGGAGACAGAGACCAGGGTTTAAGATCAGGGCTCTGGTACTCTCAAGGCAAAGTAGGAAATTAAAACAAAACTCCAAATGCAAACTAGGCAGAAAACCAAGATGCAAATTCAGTCATGGAATGGAAGGCAGAGCTGTTTTGTCAAGATACAAAGCCGAAGCCAGTTGAACAGTATTCAGGGTCAAGAGAGATTAATATTAATGCCATCTTGAAATTTACTGCTGAACAATAGCCTTTACAGTTTTCTTCTGCTTCTAAAGCCTGGATAAGGCTTAGCCAAGAGGTGAAGGTTAAGGGGCCCCAGGTAACTGGAATAGTGCTGGTGGACAAGACCAAGGCCAGCACTTACAGAAATACCCAGAGATGGGGGACTTTTACAGAATATTCTACCACAAGTATCCAAAACAACAATCAGAATCCAGCAGCTGTTGATACCTACATAGCTCAACTTAGTTCTATATTTTTTTCCAAAGGAGCTCAAAGAGTATAACAAAAATCAACTCTATTTTATACTCATAGTTTATTTCCACGTAAAACACAATCAAGAGATAAACTATATTCCAAATCTTAGCTATTGTGAACCATGCTACAACAAACATGGCAGTGCAGATATCTCTTCAATATACTCATTTCCTTTCTTTAGGGTATATCTACCTACTATGTACCCACAAAATTTTTTTATAAAAGATAAACTATATTCCAAATACAGAAAACAGGAAAGAAGCATTCTGAGCACTTGGCCAAAAGTTGCAAACTATATAATTATTATAATTATTCTATGTCTTGGCAGCATCTGACACGATTGTCCTCCTCTTCCCTGAAACACTCTTCTGATTGTTCTCCATCTTCACTGATTGCTCTTTCTCCATGGTTCTTTGCTGACTGTTCCTTCCCTTCTCTTCTACACTTCTAAATATTGGAGTACACCAGACTTGTTTCTAGACCTTCTTACCCTCTTTTTCATCTCTATCCTCTCTCTCTAAGTGATCTCATCTAATCTCATTGCCTTAAAATTTTATATATATATCCTCTAAATTCACATCTCAGACATTCACCTCTCCCTTGAATTCCAGATTTGTCTATATCTAATTCTAATGCTTAACTGACATTTCCACTCAGATGTCTAATAGATATCTCAAAATATACCTGTTCAAAGCTTCCTTTCCTCAGCTCTCTTCCAAACACCGTCTCACTGCCTCCACTATGGCCATGCTACTTCTAAGCCTGCTCCACCTCTAACCTGTACTACCATAAAAGTAGCCTAACTGGTCTTTCTGACTCCACTCTTGCTCCATTGAATCCATTCTCCACCCAGTAGCTGGAAAGATCTCCTTAAAACATACATCACATCATGCTTCTCCCCTGTTTAAAGCCTTTTATTGGTTTTCCAGTACATTTAGAAAAATCCAGATTCCTCACCCTGGCCTACTCTACAAAGTCCGATACAGTCTGCCACCCATCTGCCTCCAGTGCCATCTCTATCACTACCTCCATCCTACCTACTCAGTCGCTCTGCTTGCAATGGCCTCCCTTCTGCAGCTCAAGAGCACCAAGTCCCTTCCTACCTCAGGGCCTCTCTATAAGCTGCACCTCTTCTGGAATGTTTGTCCCTCTGATCTCTGCATGTGTGGCTCCTTCCTGTCATTTCCTCATCCAAAATATCATCTCTTTAGAGAGGTTTCCCTGACTGGACAAAGTAAGTAGCATCTCTTAATCACATCCTATTACATTGCCCAGTTTTTTTCTTCGGTGCACATGGTCACTGTCTGAAGTTTTTCGTATTTGTTTTTTATTGTCTGTCTTCATCCACTGGCATATAAGCACCATGAGAACAGGAGCATTATCTGTCTTACCCCTGCTGTATTTCCAGTAACTAAACCAGTTGCATATTTGTAGAATTGATGAATAAATAAATGAATGAGTAGATGACTGAAGGAATCAACAAATAAACCTTGGAGGAGGCTTGAGGTTTGTGGATAAGGGAAAAAAAATGATTATAAATATGGCTTTTGACATGCTGAGCTTGAAATACATTTGAAATATCCAAGTAGAGTTTCAAACAGTCAGTTAAAAATGAGTCTGGAGTTTAGCCCAGGAACTATACATGTGAGAGTTGTAATGTTCAGGTTGTAATTGAAGCCACCGTGTGGAAGAGATTGTCAAAAGAAGAATATGAAATGACAACCAAAAAGGAGCCTTGGGCAGATGCAACCTTAAAGGCCAGATAGAAGATAATGCATTGGCAAGGGAGCCTGAAAGAGTAAACAAAGAGATAGAAGGAAAACCAGGAATATTTTTCATATAAGCCAAAGACATAGAGTAAATTTCAAGAAAGAATTGATGTCAAAAGCTGTTGAAAGGGCAAGGTAAGTTAATTATAAGGATGTAGGAAACCGTATAGTAGATGCTCAATTTCTATCTAATTCCAATTGGATAGAAAATTTAAACACTTTTTATTATTTCAATGATTTGGGGCTATAGATTACTTTGTTTACTTAAAAAGTGTTTTATGTGCTATTTTATGCTTTTTTTCTCCCCTTGTGTCTCTTCCCTTGCTATCAAGTTTACAGTTGTCACTTCTTGCTGTTCGCAACACATCTGTTTTTAAGCCATATTCCCATTCTCACTTGTGGTTTTATATTTTACTCTAGACTGAGAAATCCAATAACCCAGTATGCATGGTCTGAGTTTAAAATAAGGCTGGAAAGGCCAGAATAAGGCTGGGACCCTGTAATGCATGAGATTTACATCAAAGACTTTGTGATATCAGTTGGGTACTCAAGGCTCTTTTTTGCTTCCTCTTGATAATCAGCTAAGTTTAGAAACTGAAAATATCAAAAAGAGTTTCTGAATAAGGAGTTATTCCAATGTTTTTTAAGAATAATTGAATGTACTAATTCTGAGACAGCAAATGTCAGTCCTTGTTTTAATAATGAAAAATAAGATGATCTGCCAAATAAAAATCTATAGAGTAATTAAAAGCAAAATGATGAGACTTTGTCATGAAAATTCAAATAATCAGATTTCAATACAAAAAAATACAATAGAAAGTCTAAGATTTACAAAATGAAAATACTGTTTCCCCACAGAATCTTGGCCACAAGGAACAAAATTTATAAATGAGATTTAAGTAGTAGTTGTATCAGAACTCTAAGTATATAAATACGTAACTAAAAAATTTTTAAAGAAAATATCAGAGCTACAATATGCATTGCTGGATACATTATAATATCTCAAAAAACCACAAAAAACTTTTTCTATGAGTATGTAATTTTATACACAAGTTGCCGCCAACATTATTTCATCTAAATATTTGAAGGAGATCTTTAGTGTGTTTTTGGTAAGCTCCTTAAATGTCAATGATATGGTTTGGCTGTGTCCCCACCCAAATCTCATCTTGAATTGTAGCTCCCATAATTCCCACATGTCATGGGAGGGACCCAGTGGGAGGTAATTGAATCATGGAGGTGGGTCTTTCCTATTCTGTTCTCATGATAGTGAATAAGTCTCACAAGAGCTGATGGTTTTATAAAAGGGAGTTCCCCTGCACATGTTCTCTTGCCTGCCGCCATATAAGATGTGACTTTTCTCCTCATTCACCTTCCACCATGAGTGTGAGGCCTCTTCAGCCATGTGGAACTGTAAGTCAGTTAAGCCTCTTTCTTTTATAAATTACCCAATCTCCAGTATGTCTTTACTAGCAGTATGAGAACAGTCATCATGACAAATTCCTGAAAGTTGTTAGCAGCTGGAAACAGCCAACTTAATTTTTGTGTATGGTGGAAGGTATTAATCAAAGTTTATTTTTTGCATGTAAATATCTATTTTTTTCCAGTAACCTTTGTTGGAAAGACTACCATTTCTCCACTGAATTGCCTTTGTACCTTTGTCTAAAATCCATTGTCTACATATGTGTAGATCCATTTTTTGAATCCATCCTGTTCCATTGATCTATTTGTCTCTTTATGCCAATGCCATATTATTGATTATTGTAACTTTATAAGCCCTCATTTTAAGAGATAGGGTCTTGCTAAGTTGCCCAGGCTGAAGTGCAATGGTTATTCACAGGCACAATTATAGCACTGTACAGCCTGAACTCCTGGGCTCAAGCAGTCTCTCTGCTGGCTAGGATTACAGGCACAAACCGTGGAACCTGTATAATAAGTCTCGAGATCAGATAATGTTAATTCTCCAACCTCAATGTTATTTTTCAAAGTTGTTTTGGCTATTCTGGGTTCTTTTATTTTCATATAAATTTTAGAATCAGCTTGTCAGTTTCTACAAAACAATCTATCTTTTGAATCTTTATCTGCAACATTGTAACATCATTCAGAAAAATTTTCCTCTTCTGGCTCAAGCTTGCACATATATAACCACAACATGTTTTGCTAAAAGCACAAGTATGTTCCCATGATGCTTGCTCTGATAAACGTATTAAACTTTAACAAAATCACAGATTCTTATAACTTGGAGTGATATCTATTCTAAACGCTTTACTAATAGAGAAGTCACTTAAGTATTGTTTGGGGTCCTACAAAAATATTTATTATCAATGATGTCCCAAGCAACATCGACCTAGTCAGTACAGTATAACTTGGTAATAAGAGTACATATTCTTACATTAAAAGGTCTAAACAAATAAAAATAAAGATTTTGTCTTGTAAATATCATGGAAATTCTTGGACATATGACAATTGGTTATATAAAACTAAAATGCCGAGCCAATTCATCTGATAAGACGCTTTTGCTTAGAAATGGTAGAAATAATTCTATGACTCAGGCAATAGAGTCAACCCAATCATTTCTTGAAAGTTTTTTAAAAAGCAAAACAATGGCCAGGTGCAGTAGCTCATGCCTATAATCCTACTGCTTTGGGAGGCCAAGACATGAGGATCACTTGAGGCCAGGAGGTCAAGACCAGCATGGGCAATATAGCAAGACTCCCTCTTAAAAAAAAAAAATCTTTTTTTCATTAGCTAGGCATGGTGGCATGCACGTGCAGTCTTTAGCTATTCGGTAAACTGAGACAGGAGGATTGCTTGAGTCCAGGAGTTCAAGGGTGCAGTGAGCCTTTAACTCCAGCCTGGGTGACAGACCAAGACCCCAACTCAAAAAAAAAAACAGTAGAAGAAGAAGAGGGGGAGAAGGAGGAGGAGAAAAAAGAAGAACCAAAGGTTGTCCTTAGTATGAAGAAAACTCAATTAATGGAACAGGTCAACTAGTGTATAAATTATCTAAATTGGGATAAACTTAAAATATTTAGAAGTTTCCCTTAGATAATTTTTGTTTTTAATCCCAGAGGATTCTTACAAGAATAGCCAGCACTCAGTAAAACCTAATGCATTATGCAGTCAGTTTAAATGATGCTAACAGAAATGCACCTATAAAGAAAACAAACTAAAGTTCGGATCCAAAACTTTGTATTATGGTTTTCTTTAACTCAATTTGTATGTAAATTAATACTTAGCTATGATAGTCACTAATTTTCTCAATGGGAACTTAATGGAAAACTCTCTCACAAGGACAACCACCCTCAAAAGAGAGAGCCCCTCAAAAGGGACTTAAATATGAAAAGTAATCAATTTCTTTTGCAAAATAGATAAAATTATGGGAGTGGAAAAATAGACAGTCATGAAAAATATATGAGAAAAAAACTATCTTACTTGAAAAGCAAGTGCACTCATTTTAGAGGGTCCTTAATATGAATAATATAGATCACAATGAAAACTGCAATTTCAATAACAGTGTAGTGACTACTCAGTGATCTGATTGTGTCATCATATGAAAAACTGATTTGAAATACTGCATTATTTAATAATACTTAGTAGTTTCATAAATTTAGAAGTCTATCCAAAATATCTGCAGCATCCCTCTCTCAACCTTTGAGTTTATATGTAAATTACTCCTGAAATAAAGTAAGTTTCTTCTTGTTAACCTCACAAGAGTCAGCCATGCCTACAGTATTCTGAAGTAAAAAACACTAGTGATTAAAAAAAAAACAAAAACACTAGTGATTAAGACTTTGGGCGACGAGTGGTGGCTCATGCCTATAATCTTAGCACGTTAGGAGGCCAAGGCGGGAGGATCACGTGAGCTCAGGAGTTCAAGACTAGCCTGGGCAACATGGTGAAATCCCGTCTCTACCAAAAATCCAAAAAATTAGCCAGGCATAATGGCACATGCCTGTAGACCCAACTATTTGGAAGGCTGAGGTGGGAGCATCACTTGAGCCCTGGAGGTTGAGGCTGCAGTAAGCCAAGATTATGCCCCAGCCTGGGTGACAGAGGGAGATCTTGTATCAAAAAAAAAAAAAAAAAGATTTTGGAGTCAGACCCATGTTTGAAGGGTCTGCAATTTCTTTATCACAAGACTGAGAAATTACTTAACTTCCCCAAGCCTCAGTTCCCTCCACTGCAAAATAGTGTCTCTTTCATAGGTTTCAGTGAGGGCAAGAGAATGAATTCTTCTGCTTCATTCACCAAAATTCTCCCAGTAACTAGGTATAGGGTCTCAACAAATTCATACTGTATCAAAGAATATATGAATGAAGGCATTTAACACATAGTAAACCCTTAATTAAAAAAAAAGAATTGAGTAAATATGTAACAATTAATCTAAATAGCAAAAGCCTTAGCCTCAAAGAGGTTAAACAAATTGCCTGAGGTTACACAGGTAGGAGATGCCAGTCAAAGATTTAAATCCAGACATTCTGACTCCCAGTTACAATCTGTTAGCCACCCCACATTAACTGTGTGTCACTACTTCAAGCTCTCCCCTCCAAGAGGCTTTGATTCCAATTCTTAGCTTTTAACATCTTCTTTGTTATCAACTGTTCATTCTTTCCACCAGCACCACTATCCCTCCTCCCCCGCCCCCTACATATGGGCATTTCCCAAAATATAGGAATCATATCTCCTACTCTTTATACTGCGGTTCTTGTTTCTGGGGTTATGACTACTTTAAGCATCTGAGAAAAGCCACGGAAACTTTCCCCATAAAAATGTACTAACTTACATATACACAGAATTGTGCAAATAACTTCAGGGTATTGAGAGAGAACTCTGCTCCACCCTCTTCCCCACAGGAATCTGGGGTTTTTGTTGTTGTTGTTGTTGTTGTTTTTGTTTTTTGTTTGTTTTTGAGATGGAGTTTTGCTCTTGTTGCCCAGGCTGGAGTGCAATGGTGCGATCTCAGCCCACTGCAACTTCCACCTCCCGAGTTCAAGCGATTCTCCTGCCTCATCCTCCCAAGTAGCTGGAATTAGAGGCATGCGCCACCACGCCCGGCTGATTTTGTATTTTCAGTAGAGACAGGGTTTCTCCATGTTGGTCAGGCTGGACTCAACCTCCCGATCTCAGGTGATCCGCCCACCTCGGCCTCTCAAAGTGCTGGGATTACAGGCATAAGCCACTGCGCCAAGCCTAGGAATCTGTATTTAAAGTGCCTCGCATACTGCCTTCTGCACAGCAAACACTCAATAACTGGTTTTATCACTATTATAGTATATGCCTATCAAAACAACCTAACAAGGCCCTCTTCAAATATCATTTCCACTAAGAAACTTCCCTTGATCTCTCCACTATAAGGAATGTGTTTCTCCTCTAAAGCTTTTCAAGATCTTGTGAATGTACTACTTACGTGATTTTGCATGTAGAAACAGCCTTAAAGATTTTCTACCAAAGCCAGTGCTTGCTCTTTACAGATAAAGAAACTAAATCCCAGAAGGCTAAGTAACACGTTCAAGAATATTCATATAACATGTATTACGCCTTCCACAGCGTAGTAACTAGTTGTTTGTGTTTTATCTCCAGTGCTACAAAGAAAGTGCTTAGAGAGTAGGACTATGTCTTCTACATCTTTGATTTAACATTCCTTAAGGATACAGAAATGATTACAAGAATAAATGAATGAATGATTCCAAGTCAAAACTGAACTACTATTTGCTGTTTTTCAAAGACTATGAGGTCTTGAATACCTCTTTCAGCATTTTAGAACTTCCAGTGTTCTTTTCCTCGTTCAGTATGAACCAACACTCTAGAGCAAAATCTCTCAGACTTTCCTTTTAGAAGCAGATCTTTTTATGAGCCATCTCCTCCCCTTCTGGTCTAATCAGTTATAGAGACTAACTCAGGATAAGACTCTCAAGAGTATGTTGTTGCTGTCTGGACTTCATTTTCGTATGAAGCTTAATACCATGAAAATATTATATTTTCAATTTCCCAAAACCTGTGTTGGCTTTTGTGATAAGGTTTTCTGGGTTTTTTGTTTTTGTTTTTGTTTTTTTAGCAAGCCTTCAATTACACATTGTGCTTCTTAGGTTGCAGAATTCAGACTATTTTGCTTCTTAGGTTACAAAGTTCAGATTATTTTCCATTCTGTAATATATCCTTTCAATTGGGAGTGGCGTTTTCTGGCCATATGAAAATCTGCTACTCATTAAAGAATTAAAGAACTACTACTATAGGGAAACAAAGTGTTAAGCTATATTTCATAATTGAAGAACTTACCAAAGTTGGAAAAGAAGACAAACTTGTGAAAATTAAGCAAAAGATTTAAATAAAATTTCAAGATAAGCAGCTTAATGAATAATTGTCAAATGAATGCTATGTAGATTTCACAAAGGGAGAGGTCTTTTTAGGGTAGAGTGATCTGTAAAGGATTTATAGAAAGGGTAGAATCTGAATTAGACTTAGGAGACTTCATATAATTGGGAAAAAACCAAGAGGAGAAAAGAGAATATTTAAAACTATAAACAAGTGATTAACAAAAGCACCAAAGAGAAAAAACAAAAGGAAATAGGAGATATACGGCTGGGCAAATAAGAACACATACCAAATTTTTAAAAATAAAAATGTGTGAAATTAACAAGTGAAAGCATAAAGCATTTATGAAGAAGTGTAAGAGATAGAATGCATTCCTCTTTGTGGTTAAATGTTAAATAAGATAATGCACAGAAAGAATTTAATACAATGCCCATTTCATACTAAGTATATTTAAAATGTAGGCTACTGTTATTATTTTTTTAAATGTTCAACATAAAGGTAATGCTGAAATTTGACAAGCACACCACTGGATTGTTATAACCTGTTAGGGAAAGAGATTTCCACAGAAAACAAAACTGAATTCTGATAATAGCTACTTGATTCTTCTTTGTTAACATCCTGAAAGAAGAAATTTTAAAAAAATCCAATTGAGACCCATTGAAAAACAGTGACCAGTAAAAAGTTAGAAGGAATGTTAGTTGTATACACAACATCATATATACAATATTGAGCTCAGTGGTCCTAATGATGATTCTTACTATACCCTATATTTGATTTAAAAGCTAATTTTAGAATACAGCGCTTACATAAGATGGAACTGCATTGCATATGAAAATTCATACTCATCCTAAAAATAATTTGGAGGATAATTATATATCTTAGCAAAAATATTTCTATCTATCACATTTAAAATAAAATTTGAATCCAAAAACACATTTTATATACTTATTCTTAACACACGCTTGTTACCTAAGTTAGTATGTAAATTAACACATATTAAGTACTGTTAATACCCCACAAAAGTTCTGGAAAATAGGTATTCTCCTGGCTAACCTGTAACTTCTCTGTGCTTCAATTTCTTCCTATGTAGAATGGAAATAATAATGATCATGATAATAATGATAATAATATTCCATAAAGCTAAAAAAAGTCAATTTCCCAAAAATGTTACCCTTAAAATGTTTAATATGTATTGTCTTACCTTTATTATTCTTCAGTAGTTCTGAGTTTGTTATTGGATTATTTTAAAAATTATTTCAAGATATAATGATTTTTCGTGCTTCAAAGTATTCCATCGATAAAATGAAAATAGCAGTAGGATGCAGAAGGAAGGAACTATCTATGCCAAATAAGAATAAGTGCTTATCTTTATCTGTTTCCGCCAAAACTTGTGGTTTTGCCCAATGAAAGCCCCAAAGTCACATGGACTTCTATATTTACTAACTCTTGACCCTTAGAGTAAATTAAAAATGACTGAGAATCTGCTGTACTACACACCAAGCTTTTAGTCACACACATTATTTCATGTTAATACTCCAAACAACCCTGACTGTTCTGGGTAAACTGTAACTTCTCTGTGCCTCAGTTTCCTCTATGTAAAATGGGGATAGTGTCACCTACCTCCTAGGATTGTTGTGAGGATTAGATAAGACCATATATTTATTAGGGCCCAGAGAGCAATACCTCAAAATACGGTGTTTTGACATGCTGAACTAAAGAAGCAGCCCCAAGGTCTCTCTCTGGCCTTCACTTGCCTATCTGTTTCTTTAATCTTTTTTTGCTGAAGCACATTGGGAGAGACCCTTTCTAGAATTTCCTTTATATGACCAAGAAAGCTTCTTTATCAAAGAAATGCAATTATTTTAAGACCCCCCGTTTCTAGGAATCCCAATGAAGAGACTAGGAGTCATCACCATGTCCAGACAGACTTCTCATCTATTGTTAGGGCAGCTCCAGAGATTACCTGGGAGATGCTATCTGCATAATAAGACAACTTTTGTTCACAGTGAAGTTCAGCCCCTCGTGTTCCCACTGCCTCCCTCAGAGCTCACAGGAACTTCATCCTGACTATGATTTATCATTGTTCTTTGTGCTCATTCATTCCCCCTAAAAACCAATTACTCCTACACCTCTACTTCTCTTAACCCAGTGAAGAGGGTACTTTAGCATCAACCATGTGGCCCTTCTTTGAGTTTTCCTATTTTTTATGGTTCCCATGCTTATACACATTAATAAATCATTATGCTTTTCTCTTGTTAACCTGTCATTTTTTTATAGGAGTGTCAGCCATGACCTTTATGATGAGGAGCAAAGGGATCACCTCCTTTCTCTCCCCACATTTGGAAAACACTTAGACAAGTGCCCAGAAAGCATGTACATGCTAAAGCTCGTGTAAATGTCATTATTAAAATAATGATAACAGTTATTATAGCTTTTCTAAGAAATAAAGTGTTTTTCCATCAAAGCTAAATAAGCCAATTGAAGGCAGAATCTGAGACATCTCTACGAGTTTCAGCTGTAACCACTAAAGTTCACACTTGAAGAACACAACAATAGCATAATTTTGCATTTGGTACTTGAAATGCACCTTTATATAGCAATCACTCATTTGTTCCAACAGAAAATTAAAAACAATATTTAAATTTAGTCCCATTTTTTTTCCCTTAGTATAGCTTAGTAAGCAAATGGGACAGAAGACTGGACTTTCGCTCCAACTATAATAATTCCTTAAGACCGTTATAGGAGGCCATCGGTTTGGACTGAGCTCCTGCACTAAGCCCAACACATACCAAGCCAAAATGGGGTCACTCAAGCTGAAGTTCCACACCACCAAGCCAACACTAAGTTATTTCTCTAACCTTCCATGATATCAGGAGAGAGATAATAGCCAAATTTCCAAACAAGCCAGTGCTAGCTGGCATGATAATGAAGTCCCCTCTGCTTTAACCTTTGCAAGAAAAGTAACCTTGAAACAACCCAGCCTTTTTTGGTTTTCCGTTTCTGCCTTCTTGGTCCATTTCTGTCTATTAAACCAACCTCTGCTCAATTCATTGGGAACACTCATTCTATTTTGTAAAATGAGGAGTTGCCTGATTCTAGAATCACAAATAAAAGCCAGTTAAGATCTTTAAGCTAAATTTGTTGTAATTTTGTCTTTTGACAAGATGGAAGTTTTCAGTATCAGAAGAAAAAAAAAGGTAAGCTTTTGAGTTTCTGTCATCACAGAATCATACTGATTAGAAGCCTCAATAGCAGAGAAAGTACTTTGAACTCACAACAGAGCATTTTCCGTGTGTTTAGCACATGTATACATTCAAAGCATCTTCATTTGCTCTATCTCATTCAATCTTCAAAACCATTTTATGGAAAGTGATCATCAAAGAGATTAAGTTGTAGTGGCAGAGGGAAGGCTTCCTCTGTGCCCACTGAAGGTTTGCTAAAAATAAGCTGACAAAAGGCAGTTTAGTAGGAGAAAAAGGCATACAAAATTTAATTTGCATAAACACAGAAGCAATATACAAAGTATGAGACTCAAAGAGGGTCCAGATGATTGAGGCTTCAAATCTCTCTTCACAGAGGAGAGACATAAGGACCTGTAAGGTATATATTATTTTGTAAATGATTGTCTTTGAAAGCTGGATGGAACAAGTTATGGGAAGGTAAGGGGTGGACAGAACTGCACAGAACAAAGGTTGTCTTATTATGCAAATAAATTTCCCCAGTTAATTTCTTGGAATTGCACTCAGAAGAACAGATGAAAAGTCTGTCTGGGCATAGTGACTTGGTGACGATTCCCAATCCCTTCTGTTTCTCTGAAGGTTGATTTTTCCTGGATATTTGATGAGATTTCTAGGGAGCGTGCTCTTAAAACAACTGCACTTCTTTGTGAAATACACTTTCTTAGATAAGGAAATTCCAGACAGAATCTCTCCCCCTCTTCTTCTTGGGAAAATAAGGAGGATGAGAGAGACAGAGGAAAGTCAGAACCTTGGTTCTGAGGCCTATTTCTAAGGCCTTTTCATTTTCAAAGCACTCAGCATGTCAACAAGCTAGATTTTGGGGAATTGTTTTCTACACCCCAACAAAGTAATTTCTTTATAAAGTCACAAACTAAAAAATGGTAGAAATACAAGAAGTCAGGTCATTTCACCACTGGTCCAGAGCTCACTTCACCATACCAAGTCACATCTTCATGAAAAGTGTTTTAGTTCCAGTGGAAATCTGTAAGTATGAGACTGCCACCATATGTAGAATTGACATAAAAAATGACTCAGAACTGATTTTTTACCTCTTAGGCCTGTGATCTGAGAGACCAAAATAGATTCCCTTTTGTCAACTAAGACAAACCCTAAGGTTAAGGAAACAAAAGTTACCTACAGGTCTAGGGTTCAGGGCTCAGCTGGCATGACAACTTCCTAAATTCCTAAGGCTACAAGAAAAACCACACCCTTGCTACACTCCATAACAATAGGAGCTATTCGACCACTCTTAACTCTGATTTACAACCCAGAAAACTACGACTCAATGACTGAACAGAAGGCTGGCTTTATAAACATTTTTCTCTGATAAGCAACTACAAACCTTAAGCCAATTTCAGCCAGGTTATAGAGGTTACACACAAACTGTCTTTGTGTCCTATAGTTTGCCCTTTGATTTAAAGAGCCAAATTCCACCTCATTTTAATGCTGAAACTCCACCCCAAAGTGAACATAGTGTGTATGTTACACATGGTACCCACTGCATATGCACTTGGCTCCTCTTGTAAATATGGATAGCTTTTCTCTCAAACTTCTGAATGTGTATGACTCTATTGTGTAATACAACTCTGTGGAGCATAAAATCCAACCTGCACCTTCCCACTTCAAAGGGAGAATACCCTGGGTCGATGCCAGAGACTCTCTTCCTGATTTGCAAACTGCTATTGCTAATAAAGCTCTTCTTTCTACTATTTAGCCATCCTGGTGGTCTTTTGGATGACAAGCCCCCTTAACACTTCTGAGAATATAATAATACAAGGATCAGGAGAAGTGGAGATCTGTGAACCCCACCCTCTGCCCATGAAGGGCAAGTGAGGAAGATGCCTTCTTCTGCCCTCATGCTTAGTGAGAGACCTTTCAGAGAGCTTGAGATCCTGCAGCTGAGGGAGAGGGAAGCTTCTGTGCCTGGCTTAGGCCAGAGAAAGCTCAAGCCTGTGGGAGTAGACTGGGCACCATCAGGGCAAAGGATAGAATATGTGAAAAATTCCCATAGAACAGATGTGGGCCACGTGGGAAAAGAAGCTGCCCAAAAGACATTTAAGTGTTGTTTGGGAGGGCCACCTGGGAGGGCAAGGGGACTTCAACAGGGAGTATCTCTATGGACCAAGTGGTGAATGCAACATAAGAAGAAATATATATTTGGTATCTGCCCATGGTTCCTGACACAGAGCTTCTAAAGCTCTTGGAATTTCCTGAGTCATGGGGATGACAGAAGTATCGTTTGTTATTCATAACAAATCCCTTTCAACCATACCTAAGTTTACGCTAATGGGGGGATTCTTCATTGACCCCTGTTGCCAGAGAATCCAACTACATGACTAGAAAGTTGGAATTCTCACTCCTACCCCCTAATCTCCAGGGAGGGGAGAGGAGCTGAATATAGATCACCAATGGCCAATGATTTAATCAATCACATCTATATAATGAACCTCCATAAAAACTCTCACTGAAGGGGTTCAGACAGCTTCAAGATTGTTAAATGCATCCACTTGCTGGGAGGGGGACACGCCTCAACTACATGGGGACAGAAGCGCTCATGCTTCAGACCCTTCTGGACCTCGCCCCATGTACTTCTTCTGGCTATTCATCTGTATCCTTTATAATATCCATCCCCCGCAACAACCCTTTTTTTTTTTTTTGAGACAGGGTCTAGCTCTGTTGTCCAGGCTTTACAGTGGAACAATCATGGCTCACTATAGCCTCAACCTCTTCAGGCTCAGGTAATCCTCCTACCTCAGCCTTTCAAGTAGCTGGGACTACAGACACATGTCACCATGCCCAGCTAATTTTTGTGTATTTTTTTTTTTTTTGTAGACACAGGGTCTTGCCATGTTGCATGGGCTGGTCTCAAACTCTTGGCCTCAAGCAATCCACCCACCTCAGACTCCCAAAGTGCTGGAATTACAGACATGAGCTACCATGCCCAGCCTACAATATCCTTTTTAATAAACCAGTAAACAAAAGTGTTTCCCTGAAATACATGAGCTGTTATAGCAAATTATTGAATCTGAGGAAGGGGTCATGTGAACCCTTAATTTGCATGTGAACCCCTAGTCAAATTGCACAGAAGTGTGGATTACCTGGGGACTCACTACTTGAGATTGGCATTTGAACTCGGGACAGTCTTGTGGGACTGAGACATCAACCTGTGGAGTCTGTGTTAACTGAATAGTTAGTGTCAGAATTGAATTAAATTGTAGGACACCCAGCTGGTGTCCACAGAGAATTGAGAAAACTGCTTGGTTAGAAAATCCACACATTCAGTGTTAGAAGTGTCATAAGCAGAGACACAGTTTTCCATCAGTTGGGAGAAAAAAAAAAAGGTGCCACAACGGAGGTTCCCAGGGAAGAGAAATCACTGAGGGGACCAAGCTAGACAAAGCCTTTTCGCCCCTCTTGTGTCCTGTTTATTCGACTTTCTGGTTATACTTAAACTAAAATACTATCAAAAATACAAAGTATAGTTTTTAATTATTTGGTAGAATACCATGAATCAAGGTATTCTCACTAAAGTTGCCAGTGAAAAGAGTCAAACTCTGTAAAATATTTTAAGAGATTTATTCTGAGCCAAATATGGGTGACCATTGCCCATGACACAGCCCCAGGAGATCCTGAGAACATGTGCCCAAGGTGGTTGGGCTGCAGCTTGGTTTTATGCATTTTAGGGAGTCATAAGACATCCATCGGTACATGTAAGATGTACATTGGTTTGGTCTGGAAAGGCAGGGGTGGAGGGGGTGGCTTCCAGCTCATATGGTGGATTCAAAGATTTCCTGACTGGCAATTGGTTGAAAGTTTATCTAAACACAGGAATCAACAGAAGGGAGTTTCTGGGTTATGATAAGAGGTTGTAGAGGCCGAGGTTCTTATTATGTAGGTGAAGCCTCCAGTAGCAGGCTTCAGAGAGAATAGACTGTAAATGTTTCTTATCAGACTTAAAAAGGTGCCAGACTCTTAATTCTCTCCTGGATCAGGAAAAAGACCTGGAAAGGGAACAGCATTCTTTACAGAATGTAGATTTTCCCCACAGGAGACAGCTTTGCAGGGCCATTTCAAAATATGTCAAAGAAATATATTTTGGGGTAAAATACTTTGATTTATTTTAGGGCCTGCTAACTGTCATGTTGGTATCTTATTGCAAAAATGGTCTGTTTTGTCAGCCTAAGGGTTCTGTTCTAATGTTAATGCTGGTCAGCTGTGCCTGAGTTTCAAGGGGAGGAATATATAATGAGACACCTCTGACCACCCATTCCTATCATGGCCTGAACTAGTATTTCAGGTTTTTTGAATGCCTTTGACAAGAGAGTCATCCATTCAGGTGGATGGGGGGCTTGGAATTTTATTTTTGGTTTACATGGTAAACAGCTTTGAAAACAATCTCTTAGGATTTTTTTTTGGCTGTGATTTTATATATATATATACGTTATCTATATAGAGATAATATATATAATATCTATATAGAGATAATATAATTATTTTCACCACTTTTTAAAAAAAAGACCATTTTTAGAGCAGCTTTAGGTTCACAGAGAAATTGACCAGAAAGTACAGAGTTCCCATATATCCCACCTCCTGCCCCTGCATATGCATTACCCCAATATCAACATGCATCACCAGAGTGGGACATTTGTTACAATAGATGAACTTATATTGATACATCATTATCACCCAAAGTCCATAGTTTACAGTAGGGGTCCCTCTTGGTGTTGTATATTCTATGGGTTTTGACAAATGTTGTATCCACCATATAGTATCATACAGAGTATTTTCATTGCCCTAAAAATCCTCTGAGATCCACCTATTCATCTCTCCCTCTCCCCTAACCCCAGGCAACCACTGATCTTTTTACTTTCTCCAGTTTTGTCTTTTCAGGAATGTCACATAGTTGGAATCATACAATATGTAGCTTTTTCAGATTGATACCTTTCACTAGTAATATGCATTAAGTTTTCTCCATGTCTCTTCAAGGCTCATTTCTTTTTAGCACTCAACAATATTCCATTGTCCGGGTATACCATAGTTTATTTACTATAAAGTAAATACTGAAGGACATCTTGGTTGCTTCCAAGTTTGGGCAATTATGAATACAGCTGTGATAAACCTTTATGTGCCAGTTTCTGTAGGGACACAAATTTTCATCGCACTTGAGTAAATGGCAAGGTAAGGATGCTGGATAATATGTTAAGGATATGTTTAGTTTCCTAAGAAACCGCTGAACTGTCTTCCAAAGTGGCTGTACTGTTTTTGCATTCCCACCAGCAACAAATGAGAATTCCTGCTGCTCCACATCCTTGCTAGCATTTAGTACTGTTAGTTTTTAGGTTTTCACCATTCTGATAGGTGTTCAATCAGTGACATTAAGTACATTCACAGTTTTATGTAACTGTTGTAGACTGAATGTTTGTGTCTCCCCAAAATTCATGTGTTGAAGCCCTAACCTTTAATGTAATCATATTGGGAGGAGGGGACTTGGGGAGGTAATTAGGTTTAGAAGAAATCAGGAGAGGGGAGTACTCATGAATCTTCTTATAGTGGTCTCTTCTTATAGCTCTTGCTTTCTCTCTACCACATGAGGTCATGGAATGAAGATGGCTATCTGTATGCCAGAAAGAGGGGCCTCACCAGGAACCGAATCAGCTAGCATCTTAATCTCCAGAACCGTGAGAAATAAATGTCTGTTGTTTAAGCTACCCAGTCTGTGATATTTTGTTATAGCAGCCCAAATTGACTAAGATAGTGACCATTACCACTGCTTACAGAAACTCTGTTCTCCTAAACAATAATTCTCTCTTCTGCCTTTCCTCCAACCCCTGGTAACCTCTATTCTATTTTCTGTCTCTAGGAATTTACCTACCTATTCTCAGTATTTCATATAGGTGGAATCATATAGTATCTGTCTATATGGTTTGAATGTGTCTATAAACTGAATGTGTTAGACACTTAATCCCTACTGCGGTAGCAGTGAAAGGAGCCTCTAAGAGTTGATTGGATCTTGAAAGCTCTGTCTTCATAAATTGATGATTACATTCTTGGATTAATGGATTCATGGGTTAACTAATGGGTTACCATGAGGATGAAACTAATGGTTTCATAAGAAGAGAAAGTGAAACCTGAGCAAATACATTAGCAAACTCTTCCCCCTAACCATGTGATACCCTCTGCCACCTCAGGACTCTGCAGAGAGCCCCCACCAGTAAGAAGGTCCTCACCAGATGCAATCCCTTGATCTTACACTTCTCAGCCTCCATAACTGTGAAAAATAAATTCCTTTTCTTTATAAATTATCCATTTTTGGGTATTCTATTATAGGCAGCAGATAATGAACCAAGGTACTGTCCTTTTGTGGCTGGCTTATTTTACTTAGCATAATGTTTTCAAGTTCATCCTGTTGCAGCAAATGTCAGAATTCCATTCCTTTTTATGGCTGAGTAATATTCCATTGTATGTATGTATCATACCTTGTTTATCCATTCATCTGTGGATGGACACAGTTTGTTTCAATTGTTTAGCTATTGTAAAAAATGCTGCTGTGAACATTGGTGGGCACATATCTGTTTGGGCCCCCGCTTTCCAATCTTTTGAGTATATACACAGAAGTAGAATTGCTGTATTATATTATAGTTAATTGTATGTTTAACTTTTTGAGATACCACCAAACTGTTTCATGCAATGGCTGTACCAATTTCCATTCCTACCAATAATGCATAAGAGTTCCAATTTCTCCACATCCTCATCAGCACTTATTATTTTCTATTGTACTTTAGTTCTGAGTACAGTATGGGATATTAAATGTTCACAGATGACAATGGCCATACCTTGTCAAAAACACATGGATTAAAAGTATGTTTCTAGCTGACCTCATGGCTGCTCTTGTCACTGTCACCATAAAGTCTTTCATGTCCTTCCGCCCTCTACCTCTTCCTTTCTACCCAGGCTGGAGTGCACTGCTGGTCATGAGCTCATTGTCTCACCAACATCCTCTTCTCTTCTTCCTTGTACCAACATCCCTCCATCGCATCCATCTTATAAAATCCCAACTCTAGGAGCCACTTTTCCTGCTGTAAACCTCAGGAATCTGAGCGCTGTCTGGAAACATCTCAGAACAGTGTAGTGCATCTTTAATACAAATCAATGGTTTCCAAACTCAGCTGAGACCTGGATGCCAACTGTCAATTATAGGTAGTCTCTGGTCAGCCTTCTGGTCTTGAACAACTATTCCAAACTTCCACTACTACTTCCAACTCAACTGCCTCCCTTACCCTCATCCTCAGCAGAAGAACTTATCTCTAAGAAAAATGAAGTCATCAAGGATGCACTTCCTTACTTCCTGCTCTCTTACCTACAATCTAACTACCACCTCACCCCATCCTGCTTTTTTTCTTCCAGTCACAGAGTACACTGTTTTCATTTTAAAACCGATGAACTCTGCCTGGGCCCCTGAGCTCATGGCTCTTGGGACTGCCAGGATTGTGCTCCACCAAGCATTCCCTATTTCTCCCTTATCTTTATCCTTTACTGCTCTCCTAATGTATCTGCTCAGGTTTCTCTTCCTCTTCTTATGAAATCATCAGTTCCACCCTCATAATAACCCATTAATTAACCCATTAATCCACTAACCCACGAAGGTATTAATCCATTCATGATGGCAGAGCCTTCAAGATCCAATCACCTCTTAAAGTCCGCACCTTTCAACACTGCCACTTTCTCTTGTTCTGCAAATGTACTAAGTCTCATCCATCCTATAAAAAGTGGAGCCCTCTCTTTACCTAATCACACACTAGTTATCATTCATTATATTTGTTTCCTGGGGCTGCTATAACAAAGTATGCCAAATGGGGTAACTTTAAACAACATAAATTTTATTATTTCACAGTCCTATAGCCTAGAAGCCTAAGTTGAAGTGTTGGCAGGGCCATCTAAAGGCTCTAGGGAAGCATCTGTTCCATGTCATTCTTAGCCTCAGGTGGTTGTCAGCAATGGCTTGGCTTATGGATGCACTACTCCAGTCTCTGCCTCTTATCACATTGTGTTCTCTCAGTGTGTCTGTGTCCAAATTTTTCTCATTTTATAAGTTCAGCAGTCATTGGATTTGAACCCATCCTAATCCAGTCTTCATTCCTGATTTTAACCCAATTACATTTGCAAAGATCCTATTTTTGAATAGAGTCCTATACTGAGGTTCCAGGAGAAAGAACTTGAATTTTGGGAGGGCACTATTCACCCCAGAACACTCATATTTCTACAAAGATTCCTCTACCCCCTCCACAGTACCCGCTGTCTGGCTCCCCAGACCCCTCTCCCCACTTCAGTTGGCTTCTGTCCCCACAGCTCTGAAACAGAGTTCGCTAAGGTCAGCACAAACCTCCTAACTCCAGACCTCACCGTAGTAAATGGCCTGGTGTATCTAACACTGATAATCACCCCTCCCTTCATAACACTTTACCTCCTTGGCTTCCTCCCTGATGCCACTCACTTTTCCTCCTATCTTTTGACCCCTTCCTTCTCTTTATGGACTTCTCTGTCTCCTGACACTTCAATGCTGGTGCTTCCCAGGATTACTTTCTTTTCACTTTTGTTGTTGTTGTTTTTAATTCTTCCGGGGCAATTTTATCCATTTTTTGGTTTGAAAGACAACTGTATATTTATGACTTACAAATCTGCATATGTAGCCTAGATTTTCCCCCACAAGCTGCAGGCTTGCATATCCATCTGTTTAGATGTGCTTCAAGAACCTTAGCTCATCATTGTTCCTGAATAAACCTCTAGTTGTCTCTATTTATTTGATATCATCACTGATCCCGTAACCCAAGCTAGAAACCTGAGGATATCTTGCCCTTATTTCTACTTATGTATCTGTTTTTCCCTTATTATCTTTTTAATATATCAAATAATACAAAATACTACATTTGACATATATATATAATGAAAAATAATAATAAAACCAGCACCCATGAACCCACCACTAATATAAGAATCAAAACTGTCCAATACCATTCCATTCACCCATATACTTCCCCCTTCTGTATTCATTCTCTCACCTTCTCCTCCATGAGAATTAACCATGATTTTTAATTTTATTTTATTATCTCCTTTTCCATATTGGTTTATTACATACCTGTGCATCTCTAACCAACACATTTTTCAGTTTTGTTTTTAAGCTTTATACAAATGAAGTCATTCATTTGGGACTTGCTTTATTCACTCAAGATTATGCTCCTAGACTTATTACTGTTGATGCACATGGCTGCAGTTCAATAGTTTTACTGCTACATAATATTCAACCATGAGAATTAATTCAAAACCATAATTTTTTAGAAATATGATTTGCAACATTAGCAGAAACTATGTGGTACTTAGAAACGAATGTAACAAAAGATATATAAGATAGGTATATCTATCTGACATTACTTTCTAAAAATTTATTGATCTCCCCCTCCCCAAATCACTATCACCAAGGCCAAGTGAGGGTAGTTCTATCACCTCTCATCTGGACAGCTTACTCCACAGTCACACCCCAAATCTTGCCATGTTCCATCTATCCTGCCCATTGTAATCACAGCAATCCACTCAGCATGTAAAGCTGACTATACCATCCCCTTGCTCCAACACCTTTGATGGATTCCCTTTGTCCACGAGCTCCTTGTGTATCCCACTCCAACCTAAACTCACACAGACACACTATATACTCCAGCAACCTCACAGTGTTTCTCACTTCCAAGCTTCTGTTCCAACTCACTTTCAGGAACATCACAGCCCTTTTCCTTGTTCTCCCAAACACACAGATGCCTCCACATACATACACATACACATAAAAATACAAGTACAAACACATACACACACATCATAACCTGTGATATGGTTTGGCTGCATCCCCACCCAAATCTCATCTTGAATTGTAACTCCCACAATTGCCACATGTCATGGCAGGGACCCAGTGGGAGATCATTGAATCATGAGGACAGGTCTTTCCCATGCTGTTCTTGTGATAGTGAATAAGTCTCATGAGATCTGATGGTTTTATAAAGGGGAGTTTCCCTGAACATGCTGTCTTCTCTTGTTTGCTGCCATGTGAGACGTGCCTTTCACCTTCTGCCACAGTTGTCAGGCCTCCCCAGCCACGTGGAACTATGAGTCCATTAAACCTCTTTCTTTTGTCAATTACCCAGCCTTGGGTATGTCTTTATCAGCAAAATGAAGACAGACTAATACAGTAAATTGGTACCGGTGGACTGCGGCACTGCTATAAAGATACCTGAAGATGTGGGAGCAACTTTGGAACTGGGTAACAGGCAGAGGTTAGAACAGTTTGGAGGGCTCAGAAGACAGGAAAATGTGGGAAAGTTTGGAACTTCCTAGCGACTTGTTGAATGGCTTTGACCAAAATGCAGACAATGAAATCCAGGCTGAGGTGGTCTCAGATGGAGGTGAGGAACTTGTTGGGAACTGGAGTAAAGGTGACTCTTGCTATGTTTTAGCAGAGACTGGCAGCATTTTGTCCCTGTCCTACAGATCTGTGGAACTTTGAACTTGAGAGAGATGATTTAGGGTACCTGGCGGGAGAAATTTCTAAGCAGTAAAGCATTCAAGAGATGACTTGGGTGCTATTAAAAGCATTCAGTTTTAAAAGGGAAACAGAGCATAAAAGTTTGGAAAATTTGCAGCCTGATGATGCAATAGAAAAGAAAAACACTGGGCCGGGCATAGTGGCTCACGCCTGTAATCCCAGCACTTTGGGAGGCTGAGGCAGGCAGATCACAAGGTCAGGAGATCGAGTCCATCCTAGCTAACATGGTGAAACTCCGTCTCTACTGAAAAATACAAAAAATTAGCCGAGTGTGGTGGCGGGCACCTGTAGTCCCAGCTACTCAGGAGGCTGAAGCAGGAGAATGGTGTGAACCTGGGAGGTGGAGCTTGCAGTGAGCAGAGATCACACCACTGCACTCCAGCCTGGGTGACAGTGCGAGACTCCGTCTCAAAAAAAAAAAAAAAAGAAAGAAAGAAAGAAAAGAAAAACACGTTTTCTGAGAAGAAATTCAAGCAGGCTGTAGAGATTTACATAAATAACAAGGAGCCTAATGTTAATTGCCAAGCCAGTGGGGGAAATGCCTACAGGGCATTTCAGAGGTCTTCACAGCAGCCCCCCAACCCCCATCACAGTTGTGAAGGCTGAAGAGGAAAAAATGCTTTTGTGGGCCCAGGATCCCCCTGCTCTGTGCAGCCTAGGGACTTGGTGCCCTATATCCCAGCCACTCCAGTCATGGTTAAAAGGGGGCAAGGTATGGCTTGGGCTGTTGCTTCTGAGGGTGCAAGTCCCAAGCCCTGGTAGCTTCCATGTGGTATTGAGTCTGCGGGGGCACAGAAGTCAAGAATTGAGGTTTGGGAACCTCTGTCTAGATTTCAGAGGATGTATGGAAATGCCTGGATGCCCAGGCAGAAGTTTGCTGCAGGGGCAGGGCCCTCATGGAGAACCTCTGCTGGGGCAGTGTGGAAGGGAAATGTGGAGTCAGAGCCCTCACACAGAGTCCCTTACTGGGGCACTGCCTAGTGAAGCTGTGAGAAGAGGGTCACCATCCACCAGACCCCAGAATGGTAGATCCACCGACAGCCTGCACTATGCACCTGGAAAAGCCACAGACACCCAATGCCAGCCCATGAAAGCAGCCAGGAGGGGGGCTATACCCTACAAAGCCACAGGGGCAGAGCTACCCAAGGCCATGGGAGCCCACTTGTATCAGTGTGACCTGGATGTGAGACATGGAGTCAAAGGAGATCATTTTGGAGCTTTAAGATTTGACTGCCCCACTGGATTTCAGACTTGCATGGGGCCTTTATCCCCTTGTTTTGGTCAATTTCTCCCATTTGGAATGGGTGTATTTATCCAGTGGGTACCCCCATTGTATCTAGGAAGTAACTAACTTACTTTTGATTTTACAGGCTCATAGGCAGAAGGGACTCGCCTTGTCTCAGATGAGACTTTCGACTGTGGACTTTTGAGTTAATGCTGACATGAGTTAAGACTTTAGGGGACTGTTGGGAAGGCATGATTGGTTTTGAAATGTGAGGACATGGGATTTGGGAGGGGCCAGGAGCAGAATGATATGTTTGGCTATGTCCCCACCCAAATCTCATCTTGAATTGTAGCTCCCACAACTCCCACATGTCATGGGAGGGACCTGGTGGGAGATAATTGAATTATGGGGGCGGATCTTTCTCATGCTGTTCTCGTGATAGTGAAGAAGCCTCATGAGATTGATCATTTTATAAAGGGGAGTTTCCCTGCACAACCTCTCTCCTCTTGTCTGCTGCCACGTAAGACATGACTTTCACCTTCTGCCATGATTGTCAGGCCTCCCCAGCCATGTGGAACTATGAGTCCATTAAACCTCTATCTTTTGTCAATTGCCCAGTCTCAGGTATGTCTTTATCAGCAGCATGAAAACAGACTAATACAGCCCAGTTAGCTTCTACTAATTAAGATTCAACTTAGGCATCTCTTCAACAGAAAATTTTCCTTTAATGCTACCTATGCCTCTCACCTATTAGGGCAGGTATCTCTCCTCCATATTCCCACAATAGACATGGTTATAGTTATGGGAATGGAAATATGTATGGTCATGTGTGTGGATATGTATAAAGATATAGATAATAGCTTTATCATTTTATTGACCACATTGTACCATTTAAGTCTTTGACTCCCCTTCTGGTCTATGGGCCAAAACTATCTCATATTCCTCTCTGATGCCCTTATATCTGCCACACAGCTGGAAACACACAGTGCACTTAATATATTGGAAAAAAGTGAGTTGATTTATCATTGTTTTGTGTAACCATAAAAGTTAAAATAACTATATTTTAGGGAATCATATTCTCTTTGAAATGATGAAATGTATTATCTTTTATAAGTGCACATTTATCAAATTTTCTAAAGTACAGTGGTGCATAGCTTTCCTACCATTAAGCAGTTCATTTAGCCAATGCAGCCATGCAAGCAGTAAACTTATGGCAACTATTCTATGGCTAAGGGATAACACTTATCCAGCAACTCACTTACTCATAAGAGAGTAAGAGCCAAGAGCCCACCTAGCTAGAACTACAAGGTAGAAGGTTGCTATCACTTAGCAGTACTGCCCACAGAAGTACTTCAAATTTTATTTTAACATGCTGAGCCAGGTGTTTAAAAAGGAGAATATTAATTTAATTCCAACAGAACTTCTCTACCTTCAAATTGTGCTGACATTTTATTAGTAAGTTAAATATTTTAATTAAAACAGAACTGCTTAGCATCAAATCACTACAATTCATTAATTCTCTGCTGAAAACATATTTTTAGCTTTCTCAGGAAAAATTGCATAACACAATGTTGCCCCAGTTTCCACAATTCTAGTTATTCTACTTGAAATGCCACACTGTGAAAATATGTTTTCATTAAAAATCCTCCATCTCCTGGTGGTGTTTTCCTTTGGTGTAATTTAGAATTTTCTAGACTTGTTACCAAGGACTAAACCTCCCCTTGCAGGAGTGAGCAGGCATGCTAAATTGAAATGGAAGGTGATCTGATGTAAAACGCCGCTGCCCACAGAGGGAACTGCGTATCAGCTGTGAGAGCACTAAGCAGCAAAGTGATTTAAGAGCATTACAGTTGACAGCCACTTTACTATCTTAAGAGGATTTCATTTTCCATTTTGTCAACAAGGAACAATATACTTTGCATCCAGAAATTAAAGAAGGGTAAGAATGTGTGAGGAAGAACAAGATGCTATTCCAGAAACTCCTTGACCCACTTCTAACAAGCATTATTTCCCCCAGGAATTTGGACGAGGTTAGATAGTAAGCTTATTATAACCACAAAGGAGAAACTGCAACCAAATTGGAAAAGAGAATCAGGACCCAAAATTATCTCACCAGGCTGGAATCATCAGTCAAATTTAGCAAAAGAGATTTACTATGATAATACATGCAAAGTACTGTTCTTAAATCAATGCTAATAGAGGATCCAGGCAAAGTGCAAAAAAGAAAAAAAATTTGGCAGTTACAATGGGCTGCAAGTTCACTATGAACCAGTAATAAAGTGTCCTGGCCCCAAAATTAATGTGATCTAAGACTGAGTTAATTGCAGGTTAATGTCCACAACAGAAGGGGCAGTAGTCCCTCTGAGTTATGTGCTAGGTTGAGCCCACAGGGATTGCATGCAGTATTGGATGTCATGCTTTAACAGCTTTACTGACAAACTGGAGTATATGAAAAAGGACAATGACCACAACGGTGAGGAAACTAAATCCCACATCCCATACTTTCCTACAACAAATTAAAACAAAAGCATAATGGGAATTCTATGCCATTTATTATAAAGGCATTTCTTTTAAAGCTAAACCTTCTTGGCAACTTTCCTGTCTACTAGAAATCCTTCAGTTAAAATTTTTTAAATGAGGTCAGAAAATGATGTATTGTAAATAAAATAAAGAATTGGGGTCAGGCATGGTGGCCTGTAATCCCAGCACTTTGGGAGGCTGAGGCGGGTAGATCACCTGAGGTCAGAAGTTCGAGACAAGCCTGGCCAATATGGTGAAACCCCATCTCTACTAAAAATACAAAAAATTAGCCAAGCATCATGGCATGTGCCTGTAATCCCAGCTACTCGGGAGGCTGAGGCAGGAGAATTGCTTGAACCCGGGAGGCAGAAGTTGCACTGGGCTGAGATCACGCCACTGCACTCCAGCCTGGGCAACAGAGCAAGATTCTATCTTGGGAGGAAAAAAAAAAAAAAAAAAAGAATTGCGCATGGGGCATGCTAAATGCTTCCCTAAGTTCTCATCTATTTAAAGGTCAGATAACTGATATCATGAAAAGTGCCAGATGACTTGACTAAACTAAAATCATAAATGTAATTATCTTAATTGAAGGTGTGCATATGGCATTTAATTACAAAGGAAAAAAATAGCAGCAAAGTTTGTGATAAGTAGGCGATAGCAAGCATCACATTCAGCTAGCATATGATGTTTGAAAGAAATAAATCTGCAAGAACTAGATATGAGTGTGAGGGCATAGATGTTAGTCCTCTAGATACCTTAGCAGATCATCTCTTATATGGCAATTTTTATTTAGTTGAAATTTGATTATTTTAAAGTTTTGAAGTCCTTCCTTCCAACAAAGGACTATCATGGAAATACCTAGAATTATCACTCATTTCTTACCAAAAGCCATGACATAATAACTAACTCTCTGAATTGAGAGAATAAAATAATGTAAAAAGGAGAGTGTTTTATTCATGTTGGCAGTAAAACTGGTTCTATTAATGATGAGAAATACAAATTATAACACTCTAAGAGAAAATAGTTATTTAAACATAGAGGTACTACCTGTCCCAGTCATAGAAAGTTATTTGGTTTCTATAGAAGCAAAGAAGCAATGATATAAGTTATTCATTGATTCATATTGCAAAATAACTCTCTTCAAAATAGCCAATAAATGTACTAGTCTTTCCATTTATAATAAATTCCATGTACTAAATTTTGTGTTATTAAATTTTCATGGAATACAAACTTCTACTGTATTTGCCCCTGTAAATCAAAAATAAAATCCTAAGCCTCCCCAACCGATTGAAATGGATCCCCTCTGGGCCAAGGGAACCCCAGAGAAACCTGAAAATTTGAATTCTCAGCCGTGATGGAAAGGGAGGTTGGACATGTCTTGTTACACCCCCTCCCTCTTAGAGTTTAGACACAACTGACTGACCAGCATTACCATTAAAACAGAGATCATTAAGACCGAAAAAACAAACTCTTTGTGGCAATAAGATACCAAATTCCAACCTGACTCATGTAGCATCACATGACAGATAGCAGATCCTAAAGAAAATCAAAATGTTTTATCTCCAAGTATATTTCTTTGACATATTTTGACATGGTCCTGCAAAGCCATCTTTTATGGAGGAAGTTTGCATTTGCAGATAATCTCCATTAATGCAGCCAGGCTTTTCCCAGGTTTAAGAAAGGATTAACTAAAAGTGTGACATTTTAAGGTCCCCAAAAAAGACATCTGCCATCTCTTCTCTCTGAAGGCTGTTACCTGGAGGCTTCATCTACATAACAAGAACCTTGGTCTCCACAACCTCCCTTATCTTAATTCAAGAATATTTTTCCACTGACTTGAGGTCTTCAGACAAAGCTTAACTCTTTCAACTGATTGCCAATCACAAAATCTTTGAATCTACCTATGACCTGTAACACCCCAACTCTCACTTCAAGATATTCTTCCTTTTTAGGCTGAACCAATGTACACCTGCTATGTATTGATTTATGATTTTACCTACAATTTGTATCTCCCTAAAATGTATAAAACCAATCTGTAACCACTTAAGCTCACTTTCTCAGGACTTCTTGAGGCTGTTTCCTGCGCTATAGTCATTAATATGGGCTCATAATAAACCTTTTGAAATGTTTTACAGAGCTTAGTTTTTTGTCAACACCTCCACTAAAGCTTAAACTGAGTAGGATTTCACAAGATCCCAAATTCAGTATTCAGTAAGGATGTTGGGGGAACACATTCATTCATTCAAGGAGCATTTATATAAATGCCTATAAATTTCCCAGGAGCTATAAGGAGGTGTTTAGAATACAACATAAATAAGGCATGGTCTTCACTCTCAAGATGCTCATTGACCACTAGAGAAAACAATTAGATAAACCCCTAAACTTTAGAGAATGAGAATGGTTTTGCCAAACATAAGCACAGTTAAAGAAGAGAAAATCAAGTAGATGACAAACGAAACTTTCATAATGCAAAACACCGCATGTAAAATATTTCAAAGTTTGGCTCCTATTTCAATAATTTTGTCACTTGATAACCAAGTAGGCACCAAGTCTTACATTTATTTGGAGAGTTCAGAATATGAGATTTGCATCTTCCCTACCTTGAGATCAAAGTGTGTGTTTTATCAAAGTAATCATCATGTCTTAGGTAAAAGAACAGGAGGGAATGTCAGTCACCAGGATCATTAGAACTGATAAAGCAACCACCAGGTTTTATTATTTGAAGTAAGTACTGAACAAATATGAGGCAAATAGAGTTTACAATATCTTAAAGAGAATTTAGCCTTTAAAAAAATGTATGTAATTAGTCATGTTGTCTTTATTACCTAATGTGTTTGGGAAACCCAGAGAACAGAAATCAAAGCATGACCAGACGACACAGCACACCCTCCTTTCCCCATCCAAAAAATGGAGGAGGAAGAGGAGGAGAAGGAGGAGGAGGAGGAAGAGGAAGATGAGGAGTTTTTGCATATGATTAAGCCACAAAATTAGAGCGATATGGCATATGGACACATATTTTCATAGCTTTATTGTGGTATAATTGATATACAATAAAGTACACATATTTAAAGTGAACAATTTGTAAGTACACACGTGTGTACCCCTGAGAAACCATCATTATAACCAAGTTAAAGAACATTTTCATCACCCCAAAAAGTTTAATCATGCTCCTTGGTAATTCCTTCTTCCTCACAGAACCATTTCCCATCCTCCACCAAAAACCACTAATGGGCTTTGTGTCACTATAGGTTAATTTGCATTTTCTATATTTTTATATAAATACAGATGCCCCTGACTTACAATGAAGTTATGTCCTAATAAATCCATCATAAGTTGAAAATATTTTAAGTCAAAAGTGCGTTTAATATGCTGAACCTACCAAGCCTAGCCTACTATAAATGCACTCAGAACACTTTCATTAGTGCACAATTGGGCAAAATCATCTAGTAACACAGTATGCTGAAGAATATCAGTGTTTACCTCATGATCTCATGGTTGACTGACTGCCAAGTATCCTACCACATATCACTAGACCAGAAAAGATAAAAATTTAAATTATAGTTTCTACCGAATGCATATTGCTTTCACACCATCATAAAGTCAACAATTTGTTAAGCTGAACCCTGTAAGTTGGAGACCATCTGCAGAATCATACTATATATACTCTTTTTTTTCTGGCTTCTTTCACGCTGCATCATTATTTTGAGATTCACCCCAGCCACTGAGCACATAATTCCTTTTTATTGCTAAGTTGTATTCCATTGTATGAATGTTCCCCCAGCCATTGAGCACATAATTCCTTTTTATTGCTAAGTTGTATTCCATTGCATGAATGTTCCACAATATGTTTGTCCATTCGCTTGTTGATGATCATTTGTGTTGTTTCCAGTTTCTGGCTATTTGTATTCAAGTTGTTGTGAGGACAAATGCATCCATTTCTCTTGGGTAAATACTGTACCTTGGAGTGGATTGGCTGGGTCATATGGTACATGTGTAACTTTTTGAGAAAGTGCAAAACTCTTTTCCAAAGTGGTTGTGCCATTTTACATTTGACACCAACAGTGTGTAAGAGTTCCAGTTCCTCCGCATCCTAGTCAACACTTTGTATGGTCAGTCTTTTTAATTTTAGACATACTAATAGGTGTATAATAATACATCATTGTGAGGCCAGGTGCAGTGGTTCACTCCTGTAATCCCAGCACTTTGGGAAACCAAGACAGGAGAACGGCTTGAGCCCAGGAGTTCAAGACCAACCCTGGCAACATGGCAAGACCTTGTCTCTACAAAAAAAAAAAAAAATTTCATTAGCCAGGCATGCTGGCATGTGCCTGTGGTCCCATATATTCAGGAGGCTGAGGTGGGAGGATTGCTCAAGCTTGGGAAGTCCAGGCTACAGTAAGCAATGATCATTTTACTGCACTCCAGCTTGGCTGACAGCAGGAGAGCCTGTCTCAAACGAACACAAAATAATACCTGGTTATGGTTTTAATTTTTATTTCCCTCAAGACTACTGATGTTGAGTATCTTTTCATGTGTTTATTTGCTACCCCTTCTTATGCCTGCACTTGCAATTCCACACTCCCCACCCTACCCTTGGTGGATTCTTGATCCTTGTCCTCAAAGGAAGAACCCAGGCCTAACATTTCTATTTATATACTGAGCTTAAACTAGAAGTAGGTATTGGTGGAGTAATATGTTTTTGTTAATGGTACAAAAATTAGTAATATTTTACTTATATTTAAAATATAATCGACAATTTCCCATATTAAAACAGTCTATGAATAGGGAAGTGATTTATCTCATGAAAATGATAAATTTCTGAGGTCTCTGTATGATAAGAAAAGATTTTATTTTTTAGTAACTTTATGCTTTTCTCTTTTAAAAAAATTGTAACAGATAAGAATATTCTTTTTCATATGAGAATCAAATAAAATGAGGCACTTCCTAAACAATCTATCTAAACAAATTACATAATTGAAGAAGTCACATAACACTGCATTTTTTCAGAACTCTTGAGTGCCTGAATACTAGGAAGAAGAATCATTTTCATAATTTAGTTGTAGTTTACAAATCTTGACCTTAGTACTTCCTCTAATGAAAACAGAATCCTGTGGATTCTGTTTTAACCACAGGAGTTGTTTAGTGTTTTGGTCAGATTACCATTCAGGAATTTGGCTCTTTCAGGAAACTGTTTGAGGAAGTATGTTAACAGGGTTCCAGTAGAACCAGTAACACATAGTAGTTGTTTTCCTTGGCAGCATTTCTTTCAATTACCCAAGTTATTCGTGAGGAGCTGCCATCCATTTTCTCTCTAAAGTGGTCATTAATGAGAAGCTCATTCAGGTGTAAGCTTATCTATATAATGTGGACATTTTCACCTTGGCATTGGCCATTTGACAGTTTACAATATCACCCTTCCATTCTCAAGCACCCAAAAACCTAAAAAATAAAAATGATGGTTTAACTTGGGCACTCAAATAAATAGAATTCTTAACCTGGATCATTCTTAAAACATTTCAGTATTAACTCCTCCTACTTTCCCTATCCATTATACATTAGTATCTTGATTAAAAATTTAGTGAGCCTGCTTAAATTGTGAGGTCTTAAACAATTTACCAATCAAAATTTTTATTTGTATAATGCATTAACACCTTTCCAGGTGCTTTCAAATGTTATTTTGCTTCTCTAAAATGTTGTATTTGTTTCATCAGCTGTCAAACAGATGTAATTGCTGTCTGTTTGCTACAAGTAGAGTGCTTTAAAGAACAGAAATAATTTATAAAGCACTCCGAACTTACTGAAGATGGAATTACCATTAGGTGCTAACCCTGGGTAGAAGCAGAGCTGTAGCCACATAGGTGGTGTAATTTTAAGAGCTTGAAAAAGCCCCTACAGATTAAAAGCAAACAAACAAGAAGAAAAGCAAAAGCAAAGCCCCCTCACTTTCCCAACAGAAAACTCCACTAGTAGAGATTGATCTCTGTAACATATACGGCCTCTCATTTTCTCTGCTAAAATTCAAAGACCTTTGCGATATTAAACACTTTAAAATGTATCAGTTACTTGTATCTGAGTGTAAATGAACTTATCAGATGCTCTTGCAAAGGCTTTCAAGGTGCTAGGAAGATATGAAAGTCCAGGCGCCTGGGAGAGAGGAGATGCGCAAAGAGTAAAAACATATAGAAATGGCAGGGTGGGGCCAAAGCAAACAAATTTACTTTGTTTAGCTAGTTTATTATCTTAACTTAGAGAAATTCTGAAATTCTACATAAATATTAAGGGAAGTTATTGTTATTAATATGCCTGAAATTATTCTTAATAAGCTCTTGAAAAGTAAATTCAAATATAACAGCTCCAGTATTTGCTGAGAAATACTGATTTTTTCAGGCTGTTATGATGAAATTTAAAACACTTAAACTATGAGTAACATTTTTAAAAAATATCTAAGCCTAGTCAAATTAGAAGCCTTGATGGATAATGCACATCCTTTTCTCCAACATACATACATGCTGTAAGAAATTCACATAAGAACAGCACGGCAGACAACACAAGTCCTATTACACCCATTTTGAAACTAGTGATAAGGCTAGAGACATAAAGGGAAAAAATGAAGCCTCAGTCCAAAGACAGCCCCCAACCCCCACTCACAAAAATCACAAACTCCACCTGCCTTCCACCATGCTGCCATTAAAGGAATAGCTATCTGTTCCCTGTTCCTCTTGTGTCACTTCTGATAGCTCCCACTGCAAGGTAATCCCACCACTGCACCAATTGAAATGAATATGTAACGGACAGTTCACCAAACTGCCTAGCATTGGGCATTGCTATGGTTTGCATATCGTTTGTTTGGTCCCACCAAGTCTCATGTTAAAATCTGATCCCCAGTGTTGGAGGTGGGGCCTAATGGGAGGTGTTTGGGTCATGAAGCAGATACCTCCTGAATGGCTTGGTGCTATCCTGGCAGTAATGAGTGAGTTCTCGCTGTATCAGTTCCCATGAGAGTTCCCCCAAGAGCTGGTTGTTAAAAAGAGCCTCATCCTTCTTTCCTTTCTCTCTTTCTCTCTTGCCTCCTGTCTTGACATATGTTCTGCACATGCTGGCTCCCCTTCATTTTCTGCCATGAATGGAAGCTTTCTAAGGGTCTCATCAGAAGCAGTTGCTGACACCATGCTTCTTGTACAGCCTTCAGAACCATGAGCCAAATAAACCTCTTTCCTTTATATATTATCCAGCCTCAGCATTCCTTTACAGCAACACAAATGGACTAAGACAGGAATATTCAAGCACATGCCTATCACAAGTTCACAATTACCTTATCTTCTAGCCAACAGCAAATAAGCAGAGAAAGAATGCCTGTCAATCAGCATTAGCTTAGCACAACTCCCCAGTCTCCCCAAATACCACACCACACCAAAATAGACATTGTCACAAAGCTATCATATCTCCCATGTTCTCCCAAAGGCCCACCTATCTTCCAAAAAAGTTGACTGCTTTCCAGTAAGTGCCCTTCTGTCCCTCCCCTTTCCCTATTAAGATAGTAGGTAAGTCCCAAATTCTAACCACCCCTTTGAGTCACATTTTTCTGTGAACTCTAGTACATACATGAATAAAAATATCTTTTTTCTTGCTAATCTGTCTTTTGTCAGTTTCATTTGCAGGCCCCAGGTAACTGAACTAAGAGAGCAGAGAAAAAGTTTTGCCTCCCCAACAAATGCTTCCTAACAATATGGTCTTTGAAACGCACAAAGAAATTTTAAAATGTAAATCAGAATATGATGGTCCTTGTCTTAAAACTCTTGAGAGACTTCCATTGCAATTAGAATAAAATTAAAACTGCAGGTCTTGCAAGATCTTCCCCTCCCTGTCTCTCCAGCTGCGCAAGGCACCACACTCCTACATTCTCACTATGATCCAGCCATGTCGGTCTTCTTTAGTTTCCTATAGCATGCTAAACTGCCTTACCGTGGGATTCCTGCACTTACCAAATCCTCCTGTTTAGAACATTCTCTCCCACTTTCCATATGTATCACTGCTAATCCTTAGAATCTTACCTGAAATGCCACCTCCTTAGAAAGTCCTTTTGATCACCCTATATGAAGTAGGTTATCCAACATCCCACGCCAATCCCCATTATTCCCAATCTTAGCCTCTTGTCTCTTGTTTCCGAGTGAGATAAAAATAAAAATCATTTTAGGAAGACACTTTTCAGTAATTTTCAAACCAAAAAAAAGGAAAAAACCTCTTAGACTACCAACTCAACTTCTACCTGTTCATCCTCTGCTTCTACGGTCAACTTCCTCCATTTCCCCCATTTCCTCATTGTTGAATGAGGATATGTAATGGATTTAAAATTTTTGAAATAACATCTCATAATTACTTGCTAAACAAGATTTTTAAGAAGTTGACTTCAATAACAAAGTGTGAATTGCAAAAATCCATTTTCTGAAATTCTCCTTTATGAAACATTTGAATTTGTCATCTTACTGGATTTAACACTTTTTCCAATGGTTAACTGTTCTGTTTCTGAACTCTTTACTATCCATGCATTTATATAACTGTGCTATATATTATCTATACAATAGTCTCTTAAATGAAACCCTGTGAACCAAAAATGCAAATAATTGGTTTCTCTAATTTTGCATCATTCTTTTCTTGGAAAAAAAAATGCAATGATGTAGGATACTCTCATAGAGGATTAAAACGTTAATATAGGCCAGGCACAGTAGCTCATACCTGTGATCCCAAAACTTTGGGAGGCTAAAGCAGTAGGATTACTTGAGCCCAGGAGTTCTAGACCAGCCTGGGCAACACAGCGAGGTCCCTTCACAAATAATAATTTTTAAAAAAAAATCAGTCAGGCATGGTGATGTGTTCCCATGGTTCCAGCTACTTGGGAGGCTGAAGCAGGAGGATCACCTGAGCCCAGAAGGTCAAGGCTTCAGTGAGACGTGATTTTGCCACTGCATTCTAGCCTGGGTGACAGAGTGAGACCCTGCCTCAAAAAAAAAAAAAAAAAAAAAAAAAAGGAAACACCAAAAAAAAAGAAAACAAAAAAAAACACTTTAATATGAACTCACACCAAGACAACTTATTTCCAATATTGTACAATAATAAGTGATTATTGGACCAACATTCCTTAGGCACTATAGAGTACTATATCATCTGAAAATTAACAAAAATTTAATTGTATTTTAAGTAAGGAATTGAGGCTGGGCATGGTGGCTCACACCTGTAATCCCAGCACTTTGGGAAGCCAAGGCAGGTGGATCGCTGAGCTCAGGAGTTTGATACCAGCCTGTGCAGCATGGTGAAACTCTGTCTCTACCAAAAATACAGAAAATTAGCTGGGCATGATGGCACACGCTTGTGGTCCCAGCCACTGCAGCGGGTAGTGGGAGGATAGCTTGAGCCTGGGAAGCAGAGGTTGCAGTGAGCTGAGATCCCGCCACTATACTCCAGCCTGGGTGACAGAGTGAGACCCCATCTATAAATAAACAAATAAATAAATAAATAAATAAATAAATAAATAAATAAATAAATACATTGTTTAAAAGTTGGCAAAATATGGCCTCTGAGCTAAATCCAACCCAATCTGATATCTGTTTTTGTACAGTCTCTAAACTAAGAATGGTTTTTATTGTTTTAAATGGCTGAAAAAAAATTTAAGAATAGTGTTTCCTGGCATGTGAAGACTGTATGAAATTCAAATATCAGAGACCATTAAGTTTATTGGAACAAAGCCAGACCCATTCATTTATATATTGTCTGTGGCTGCTTTCACAGTACAACAGCAGAGTTGAGTAGCTGCAACAGAGACACTATGTCCTGCAAAGCCTAAAATATCTGGCCCTTTACAGAAATAGATTGCTGACCCCTGTTTCAAACAACTTTTTTTTTCTTAAAATATACTTTATTGAATTTATTCTATCAAAAATCAATAATACATTCATAGGGGAAATGATTACTCCCTCTTAGCCAGACTAGTAATCAGCCAAGACATTCTAATCCTCACCCATTACATAAAAAAAGTTGATAAAAAGAGTCAAACTATAAAAAGTTTGAAGATATTTATTCTGAGCTAAATATGAGTGACCAATGGCCATGACACAGCCCTCAGGAGATCCTGAAAACATGTGCCCAAGGTGGTCAGGCTACACATGATTTATACAATTTCAGGACATAAGACATCAGTTAATACATATCAGATATAGATTGGTTTGGTCCAGAAAAATGAGACAATTGGAAGCAGGGGGCTTCCAGGTCATAGGTAGATTCAAAGATTTCCCCATTGGCAATTGATTGAAAGAGTTAAGTTATTGTCTAAAAACTTAGAATTAATAGAAAGGAATGTCTGGGTTAAGGTAAGAGTTGTGGAGACCAAGGTTTTATCATGTAGATGAAGCCTCCAGGTAGCAGGTTTTAGAGATAATAGATTGTAAATATTTCTTATCAGAGTTAAAGAGTCTGTTCTATTGGTAATTCCAAAACGGAGGTGGGTATAATGAGGCATGACTACCCTACCCCTCCCCATCATGTCCTGAACTAGTTTCTCAGGTTAACTTTGGAATGCCCTTGGCCAAGAAGAGGGGTCTATTCAAATGGTTGGTGGGCTTAGAATTTTATTTTTGGTTGACAAAAACAAGAATTTCCTATGCTACAGGCCACACTAGTCTCACTGCTTTTCCTCAGTAAGCCAGGCATGTGTCCACCTTAGGGCTTTGCACAGGCTTTTTCTTTTTCTTTTTTTATTTTTTATTTTTATTTTTTTTTGAGACAGTGTTTCACTCTGTTGCTCAGGCTGAGTACAGTGGCAGGATCACAGCTCACTGCAGCCTCAACCACCCAGGCTCAAGTGGTCCCCTGACCTCAGCCTCCTGAGCAGCTGGGACTACAGATGCATGCCACCTCACCTGGCTAATTTTTGACTGTTTGTAGAGATGAAGTCTTACTATGTTGCCCAGGCTAGTCTCAAACCTCCTGAACACAAGCAGTCCTCCTGCCTCAGCTTCCCAAAGTGCTGGGATTGGAGGCATGAGCCACTGCACCCAGCCTTGCACTGGCTCCTGCTTCTGCCTGGAATACTCTTCCTCAAGATAGCCACTTGGATCACCCTTTCAGCTCCAGGAAGACTTAGTGACATACAAAAACTCCATAAAACTGCAATCCAGTACTCCCAGTTCCCTTACCCTAAACTTTTTGCCTTCCATAGCATTTAACATTATCTAAAATACTACATAATTTACTTAGTTTTGTTTATTGCGTGTCTTGCCCCATAAATTCAAAATTGCCCACTTCGTTCAATATGTGTCTGGTACATAGAAGCTCCCAATAAATATTTGTGAAATGAATGAATGAATGAAATTTTCAATTAACATCTAATATTCACCTATTATTTCCCTTTGCACTGGTGTACCACTTACGTTCTTTTATTCCTTTGAGGTTGTGTTAGTTTAAATACATGTATTAGTTTTGCATATGCTTATTTCCTTACATAAAAGTTTGCTGTATATCTCTACAACTTTCATTTCAGCAACTTATAACTAGGACTTAACATATGGTTCCTTGGAATAGGCTTAACTCTGTGCCAGTATCTCAGAGAGCAGTAACTGAGGTCCAGACTCCAAGCAGAAAAAGAGTATCAGATCCCTTATTCCATAAAAAAAAAAAAAAAAAAAAAAATCAAGTGAGCAGCATTTAAAAACATTCTGGATCTAAGACATCAAATATCTTTCCCCAACAGCTTGCTCAATAAATACCCAAGCCACCTTTGCTAAGTCCACTCTGTACTAGTCTTGTGAATCATTTACCTAGCCATCCTCAATTCAAACATATGAACAAAAAATACAAACAGATTTTTATAACCGAAAATGCAAAGAAGTCACCCTCCAATATAAAAAATAGCAAAATATAAATCTTAGTATGTCATCCTTAATCACAAACCCCCTTGTGCAAAAAAGGCATATGGGTTTATATGTATTGATATCTGAGTGTTTTCCTTTAACCACAGAAACTCAGTTTTATTATATACATATTACAAGTTACTGCTGTTGGGCATAATTAGAAAATGATAGCACTGACACAGAAATGGGAAATATGTGTGGTTTGGTTAGGGGTTCATTCAATAAATTCACTTTCTTTCCTAATTAATATGTGGGGAAAACAATGAACCCATAAAGTAGGGATACTATGAACAAGGATATTAAGCTTTACACACTGGTCTCTGCCCTTGAGAAGCAAACATCCTGTTAGGATGAACACAAATATACCAGTCAATAGCACACCAAGATGGACTCTATGGTAGACATCTCAGTCCAGAAGTGGGGCGGCACAAAGAGGAAGAGGGCTGACTTTTCCTGAGGGGGAGTATTCTCCAGGCCTGACTTCTAAACATTCACCTCCACTATTCTTCCTCACTCTACAGTTGCAGTATGTATACCTTCCTCAGTCATATTATTTCTTCATATCACTCCTGTGGGTAACTCTGCTATTATAGTATCCAGGAAGTATTTAAGGATTTGGCTAAGCATTAAAAGGGTTATACTGTAGTGCCCAACAGGTGAGAATAAATACCCAAGCCACCTTTGCTAAATCCACCATGTATTTGTCTTGTAAATTTTTTTCCTAGCCATCCTCAATTTGAACATATGCTCACCATACCTGTTGGACACTATAGTATAACCCGCTTAGTGTAAGCACTTTGTCATATGTGTAGCTTTGTTTATCCTTCAGAAACCTAAAAAAATGCAGCTTTCACATGAGGAAAGGTAATCAATAAACATTTGTTAAGTATGTGTTCTTCATGAGTTTTTTTAATGAATACTCAAGTTTAATGATCTCAATAGCACAGATACAAAATAATTTAAAATTTTATTTTAAAGCAAACAACAATTTAGACAATAATAAACAATTGAGACCATTTTTAAAGATTACACCTACATTCTAAATCAAAATAAGCCAGTATCATATTTAAATATATTTATGTTTATTCTGAATTCTGCACTAGTACATGATCAATGAAATGCCTACATGGTATCTAATATAAATATTGGTAGACATGTACACAGAAAAATAAAAATGTTAAAATAGTACAATGATGAAAAGTCAGGTATATCATATACATGTCAAGAAAAAGGGTTTTGATAGGGAATGAGAGAAACAAGGGCAAATAGACATTTAAAATGGAAATTGTAGTTGATATGCCTTAGATTAAAGACTCTTCCAAGAACAGACTCTCAAGTTGCTTTCAACATGCCTTACAGAGATACATTCTTTCTAAGTCCAACTTTTTATAGTGCTTGTAAAGAATTGCATCACCCCAAATTGCAATGTAATGTAACAGTAAAAACTGAAGCTAACTGAGGGAAACAATCCCATCCAGTGTTTTAATTATGCAGAGGTTAAAAAGAAAAACTCAGGTCTCTTTAAATATTAGCCAAGATGAGAGTAACAGGAAAACAACTGAAACATGGTCTGCAAGACACAAACTGGCAACCTCTCTGTTGTGCAGCACACTGCAGGCATTCAAAATCCATTAATGAAGAGATGAATGAATAAATGAATGCAAAAACTTAAAGATAAAAATTTATGAAACAAATACACTTTGGGAAAATAATGAGAAAAAAATTCCACCAGGCTTGCAGGAGACTGTTAATATTAAACTAACACAATTATTTGAAAAGTACTTAATGAGAAGTTAGTTCACTTTGAAAAATAAACACCTAGAGTGAGTACAAAACCATCTTATAAATCAGCAGAATAACCCAATTATCGTCTGTTCTTAGCTGTTCAGACACCCTAACAACCAACTTCTTAAACTCACTGATCATATCATTCAGCAATAAATGAAATAACCTGTCCTTCTCTGCGTGGTCAGTGACTACTGATCAATAAGAGTATCATGGGGAGGAAGACAGGCTGTAGCAGCAGGAAGGATAAAGCATGCCCCCTGAGGAAGGGAAGACAGAGACAATGCCTTCCAGACTACTCCAACTCATCTAACAAATGCAAATACAGGGGCATCTGTGATCTATGATTTCTGTTGTTAGAGGCCCAAGGGGAAGCAATAAGAGTAAGAAGGCGTAGGTAAGTAACAATTATTATCAACTATAGACCCAGGCGTGATATAAAACAAGTCTATTCATTTTCTTACTTTAAAAAAATTATACTTCTTCCTCTCAGATTTAAACAGATATTAACAACTCTACAGTTTGTCTTTTAGTTCTCTTCAATATCAACTATTTCAAGACAACCTATTTTTTCTAAATGGGAATGAGGAAGGGAATAGAAAAAAGAAAAGTCCTAAAACTAAGGAACTTGTCTTTCTTCCATCCGATCTCTTTTAGCAGACATTAATTCTGGAGTAGACATTACATGGACCAAATGGAACTAAGTTCAGAGAAGTATAATCGTTGGTTTGGAAACTCAAGGCAGCTACAAACCTCCATATCTCCTCCAAAAATAGACAAGAGACAAATAAACCTAAAATAGAACAAATAAACACCAATTCAAAAATCACTTTAACCTCACAATCATGAGTGGTAATTCTACTGAAATATATTATTTCTTCATTTACTTCAAAGAGAAATATAATACCTTTGATTTAGTAATTTCCCTAATAAATGGAAATGTATGTGGTGTTAAAAGGCAGTGATTTAACTGTGAAGAAATAAAATTTGGATCAGTTGCTTTTCTCAAAATTTTGAGAATTGAGCAAAAATTGATCTCAATATTGGAAGGTACATAATTGACTACTAGAAATTTTGTCTATTAATAAATGTGTAATCAATGCTTAAGCCAAGGAAAAAAAGTAACAAAAGAAAGTGGGTTAAAAATAAGTTTTGGGGTGTTGTCAGTAAGGAAAAAAAAGGAAGAAAAAATTAACATAACCAGCAATTCACAGTGGTATCCCAATAACCAGGCATAAAATAAAGGTAAGTTGAATCTATTAAGCTATGCAAATATTAAAAGAACAGTGACCTGAAAAAACACAATCAAATAAGATTTAAAGTAGGTCTGAATGACAGTCCCAGATAGCACCAACTACCTTTTTTTCCCCTCAAAAACAAGGCTTATAAGATTTCAGAAAGTGAACCATTTTGACCTCTCAATGAAATAGGTTACAAATGTGGGAATATTTGGACCAAGTCCGACCTTAATATATGTATGATGTATCTGCATCTCTCTCCATCTAATAAGCATGTTTTTCCAACTGGGAACTTTGGAGATTCATTTATTTATTACATTGTGTCCAATATTCAAGGAAAAATATTACAAAGCATCTGCCCAAAAGGTAAATGCCTTTGAACACTTCTATTCCAGTGATCCTCAAACTTTTTAGAAAATTCATCATTCTCATTATCCAACTCCTCCACAAAATATATTTTAATTTATTTTGATAGTTACATTTTCCAGATTTAAAATTATGTGCTTGAGAACTGTCTGACACTCCATGGGGACCATGGAAATTCCTTGGCTTATCAGAAATCAAGGAGGAGATGCCAAGCTCCGAGGGACAAGTGTATATGCACCACTTGTTTGTACAGGGATTTCAGTAGGATAGTTTTTATCTCTGTTTATGCCTGGAAGGTGGGTTGGTTATGTAACAAACAAAAAAAAAACCTTGATGCTATTAGAATTTCAACCTCTGATAGTGAAAGGTCTTGAAACACCACAGCCAGGGGTGCTGGTGTCTGAGCTAGATGCCCAGGTGGCAAGAGAACACAGTTCAACATTGAATGAGTGCCTGGTTATGTTCAAAGCACTGTGCTTAGACTTCTATACAGATGCCATGACTGAACATTTAGAAAATCATAAAAAGAACGATTGCTCATTTCAAGAAAAAAAAAAAAACTCTATTAAAAGGAAGAAGGAAAGGTGTCTAGAGAAAGAAAACAATAGTGAGAGAATTTGATGAAACTGTTGAGAGTGTTTCTCAAAATGTGATTCAAAGACCAACAGCTTTAGAAGCAACTGATACTAGTCCTTGAAAATGCAGATCTGGCCAGGCATTGTGGCTCATACCTGTAATCCAAAAGCACTTTAGGAGGCTTGCTGGGATTGAAGCAGGAGGATTGCTTAAACCCAGGAGTTTGAGAGCAGCCTGGGCAACATGCTGAAACCCATCTCTGTACAAAAAATAGAAAAATTAGCTAAATGTGGTGGCACACCCCTGTGGTCCCAGCTACTCTGGAGTCTGAGGTAGGATAATAGGTTGAGCCTGGGAGATCAAGGTTGCAGTGAGCCATGATGGCACCACTCCACTCCAGCCTGAGTGACAGAGTGAGACCGTGTCTCAAATAAATAAATAAGTAAATAAAGCAGGTCTCTGGGCCCTACCTCAGACTTCATGAATCAAACCTCCCAGGGGTGATGTCCAGGAGTCTGCATCTATAAGAAGCCCACCCAGTGTATCTTGTGCACATTAAAATTTAAGAATAACAATATTAAAGAGATTTAAACTATGAATTCTGTAACCTGCACTTTAGCAGCAATAGGGAACCAGCAGTGAAGCAGAACAAGGTCAAAGCTGTAGTTTAAGAAGAAATGTTTTCAGAAGTACATTTATTACCATGAGGTTAATTTGTTACAATGGAAAAAAAAAAACATAAATCCTTTGCAAAAGCAGATTATCTTATTCTAAAATATCAATTTTAATTAAATTCAGACACTTAAATGTAAAACAAAGCGAGAAATGTAGTTTTAAAGTGTTTTCAATGTTGTTATTCAAAACAAGATTTGAATGTTTTTGCTATGTATCAGTCTAATTTATGAAACTAGAGAACAAGTCCTTGACATTGTACAGAAATCAAGACAAAGTCTAACTAATCTATAAACATCCTTAAAATATCTCATCGGTGAAAAGTTGACATTGTTCTCATATTAGTGACTCCTGAGTATTGTTGTAGGAATCCATCTCTTCCCTTTTGCTCAGTCTGCCTAGACTCACAGTGCTCTAAGGCTGCTCTAAACATGACCCCCATTGTGGAGCCCCTCTCCCAGAATGTGATGATTCATCATTGCTTACTTGGTGCCTCCAAACAAGTTTTCTGATTTCTGTTACTGGGTATCTTTCTTTATTAAAATAATTATTTATAGCAATTCCAGCCAAGGATCCCAAATACTCAATACTGATAATTATCTAATAAATTCCAAGTCATGTAAAAATTTTAAAACATGGACACCCTTTACATTATGTAATAGATACAATATAAAGGTGGTAAATTAAATGAATAATACATTTAACATCCATGAAAGGAAGAAATAGCAAGAAAACCTTCTACAAAAGAAAGAATACTTTGGTAATTTAAAGTTACCCTTAACTTATTTACTTTGTGATTTCTTATTTTAGTATCTTCCTTTCTTATACTAATGTCATTGAAATAAAGCAGAGTAAACAATATAGTAGCATTTAGAGAGATATTTTAACAGAAAAATTATCCAGGAGACAAAACCATTTGTCCTTAACCTTGACCCAGAGACTTTACTGTTATAACCCGCCAACAGTAACTTTCTTTCTTTCTTTTCTTTTTTTGAGACAGAGTCTCACTCTGTCACCTAGGCTGGAGTGTAGTGGTGTGATCTTGGGCTTGGCTCACTGCAACCTCTGCCTCCCGGGTTCAAGTGAGTCTCCTGCCTCAGCCTCCCAAGTAGCTGTATGTGCCACTATGCCCGGCTGTTTCGTGTTTTTAGTGGAGATGGGGTTTCACCATGTTGGCCAGGCTGGTCTCAAACTTCTGACCTCAAGTAATTTGCCCACCTTGGCCTCCCAAAGTGCTGGGATTATAGGTATGACCCATCGCTCCCAGCCTACAGTAACTTTTAATGCAAAGAGTGACTTGTATTCTGGTGTCTTAAAAAAAAAAAACACCTTCTTCAGGGGGCATATCAAATTCCAAATGGATTGTTTCTTAAATTAGCAACACTGTAATACGTTAAATGTGCTCAGGAGTTCATCAAATTACCCTCAGGCACATTTGCTTTCTCAGTTTGACACATGGCTTAACCAGTAAACAGTAAGATCAGGTATTGAGAAAGGAGGAATTAGTGGTGTCCTGGTAAATGCTTAACAACTGGCTCCCTAGAGGCAAAAAAAAAAAAAAAAAAAAAAAAAAAGTTTTGATTTGTAGTATTTGCCAATTTCTGAAGTGTAAATACTCCAACCATGACTAATTTCTAGCTACCATCATGATGTCACTGAATATGGACATGGAAAGAGAGGCACACAATCAGATCTTAGGAGCTGGCATAAGCCAGTTTCAACATGGCGCTGGAGGAAGCCACAACGCACTGAAACTGTCCCATTGTCTTACAAAGACCCTCTCCTGCTCCCTTGCTCATGACACTGCAGTCATCACCCAAGACCTCATCAATGTTTTGTACATCTCTTGTCCTCCCAAGCCACACCTTCAGAAATGTCCCTCTCTGAAACCAAATTACCTTGACCTAGCACTTAAAATTTTTACCTTTATTAATAAAAAAGAAGCCATGATTTTCCTCACCTTTCTCACAATACTACGTGATTTCCTGGAATGCTTTCCTGTACTAAGTACTAAATGTCCTATAACAAATTACACCGAATAAGGCTTAGGGCCTCTAATTTTTTGGCTCGGTTTGGCAACTAATACAACAGCAGATGGAGACAAGCAGTTAAATATTACTAAATAGGCATTGTGTTGGAAATTAGATAGTAATTCTGAATTAACCAAATAATATTTAATATTTATATATTTATTCTCCTTTACATTAAAAATATACTATAAAATATACAATATATTCTGCAAATATAAAAGCAAGCCGTAGGAGTTTTCTCTTTTAAAAATGCAATATTAGCAGTATCATACAGATACGAGTAAAATTCCCCACTCCTACCAACAGTGCGGCTTTGGATAAATTGCTTAAGTCTCTTTTTCTAAAATGGGTCTCTTATTCTAAAAGGAAATCATAATATCTATCCCAGAAGATTTTGTAAGGACTAAATGAAAATAGCATCAAAATGTGCAGTGCTGATAATGCTGATTATGCTCAAAAAATGGTAGCTACTCATCATTTTAGTTTCCCACATAGTATCTGTCCTGAGCCTGCCAATCTCTTTATAAGACTTTCTAGGGTTATGACAAAGTCACTGCATTGGACACTCAGTATCCACATGGTTTTGAATAGTCCCTGAGTGTCCTGACATCCCACACCTCCGGACCCAGGTGCCACCACATCCCCAGGTCTAACCTTGCCTAAGCTCTTACCACAGCTGCTAGTTCTGAAGCCCTGAGTCAAAGACATACACTTTGTAAAAAACAAGGCTAGTAGCGCTCCTTAATTGGAAAGAGAGACTAAAATGCATCCCTGGGCTTTTAAGAATTGCAAAAGCTAATAGAAGAAAGTAAAAGAGAAGCAGAGGGAGAGTTACTAACTTATTCTATGCTGACTAGTATAGCTTTGATTCAATAACTTGACAATAATAAATGTATACAGAGACAATGAAATGCAAATAACATAAATTAGTGGAATTACTTCAACAGTACAATAAAAGTATTAATTGCTATAATCAAGTATATCTTAGGAATGCAAGGATGCTTAAATAAGAAATCTATAAATGTAAGGGTAAACATGTCCAAGAGTTTTTTAAGTGATCATCTCAATAGATGCCAAAATGGCACTCAAGAAAATTACACACCTATTTGTTATGCTTTAAAATCTTTTTAAAATCTAAAATAAAATAATTCCTCACCAGGACAAATGAACAGTAAGTAATATATGCATAGTATAACACAAAAGGCATTTTCATCACAACTAGGAGAAAGGCATTGTTCTGAAGTCCTAGCCAACAGTAATAAAACTTTGAAGAGGAATGAGAGACAGAACTAATGGAAATGAGAAGAGAAAATGATTACTATCAGCAAATACTTTATCTTCTACTTCCTGGAGAGAATAAAGTCAGTAAATGAAGAATCCCTTAACTCTCTACCGCTAAAAGTACAGACATAACCACAGCTGCCCACATTTTCCTTTTTCCATTTGGTTGCAATAGAGGAGGCGTCCTCCCATCCTCCTTGTGTGTAAAGGAATTACCCTAGCTCACTCTCCAATATCTCAATCACACTATCCTTTATTTTACTTACAGTCAGTGGCCCCCACTTTCAGATGCTAATCCTTCTATCATGTTCCCTTTCATCATCCCTGGCTCACAAGACCCTCCCCAATCAGCTTTCTTGCTGTTGCAGCAACAGTAGCTCTCTTTACCCCATTTCCTACCACCCCGTCTCACTCATCCACCTCCAGCCCCACTTGCCTCCTTTCTAAACTTCAAACACATAAGCCGCTCCCATCTACAACCTTCTAACTTACCTCTGCCTACATAAATATCAGCGTGGCTTGAACACTCACTTTCTTTATCACCTAACATTCTGTGTATTTGTTTTGTTCATTGTTGGTTTCTCTCCACCTAGAATGTAAGCCCCATGATGACAGTAATATTTGCCTGGCACCTAGTAATCATTCAATAAATATTTGTTGAATAAATGAATGAATCAAAAGGAAGTCATACTTATATTATGTCCCAATTAAGATCTGAAGGCACAAGCAAACTGCATGAGCAGTGAACACACACCCCAGATCGCTTCTTTCCCCCATTTTATTAGCCCACCGTCAACCCAAGTCTACGGTCACATGAGATTTCTCTATGAACAAGTTCACTTAGGATGAAAATAAATTAGCCCAGTTTTCAGCTGACACCAGCCAGAGTGGAGTGCTGTAATGCAAAAACCCCATTTTGAGGTACCTGAAAGACTGTAGACAGAAAGTCTTCCCTGAAGAAACAATTTCTAGTCTATTTTGCCTGAAAAGTGAGGTGCTATGTGTGCTATGATCCTCACTGATTAACAGGAAAAAAAAAGAAGGAATGGTCAAGGACTTAGAAGACACGAGGCAAAAAGTTATGGGAAAGAAGCACGTTAGGCCTTCTTGAAGGAGCTCAATATGTAAGAATATTTTCCCATGTCTATACTCACCAAAAGGTCCCCACTGCAAAGAAACTTATTAATATTCTAGTCAATGTCTCTTTTCTCAGCCATTCCAGTATTTGCATGATGAGTATTTACTGAATAAATTAAGAAGTGCAAATGAAATGGCTGTATAACTAAAATACCCAAGAGAATAAATTTAAAATGCTTTAATCTACCAAATGTAGAATAAGATGGTTAATTAAAAAGTTTAAAATGCAACGGCTTTTAAGATCAGCAATAAGGAGTTTGAAAATATAACTGTAAAATAACCTAAACTAAAAGAACAATAAAAAATAAAGATGAATACCCTATCTAGAAAAGCATGAACACTATATAAAACCATCAAAAATTTTAATAGGATGCCTGAAGTGAGGGAAGGGAAAAATTTTTTTACTAAGAAATACAAAGAAAAAGGTAGGAGGTGGGTGGGGAGTGCAGTGGCTCATGCCTGTAATCCCAGCACTTTGAGAAGCCAAGGCAGGTAAATTGTTTTCGGAAGATCACTTGAGCCTAGGAGTTCAAGACCAGCCTGAGCAACATAGCAAGACCCCATCTCTACAAAAAAAAAATTAAAAATTAGCCTTGCCTGGTGGTGCATGCCCGTAGTCCTAGCTATTTGGGAGGTGGAGGCAGCAGGATCACTTTAGCTGAGGAGTTGGAGGTTACACTGAGCAATGATCATGCCACCGCACTCCAGCCTGGGTAACAGAGTGAGACCCTATCTCAAAAATGAGGAAAGAAGGAAAGAAAGAGAGAAAGAGAGAGGAAGGAAGGGAGGAAGGGAAGAAGGGAGGAAGGGAGGGAGGGAGGGAGGGAGGAATGGAGGGAGGGTGGGGGATGGGGAGAGGGAGAGGGAGGGAGGGAGGAAGGGAGGGAGGAAGGAAGGAAGGGAGGGAGGGAGGGAAGGAAAAGATACATTATGGTCCTTGGATTAAAAAAATAATAAATATTTTTAAGGTATCAGTTATTCCCTAGTAAATCTACTGGTTTAAAATAATTCTAGTGGCAATAGTTTCATCTTTACAAAATTTTTCTAGACTTTTCCACACAATTATAATAGAACCCCTAAATTTAAAAAAAGTAATGGGAGAGGACTACAGCCCTGCCAGGTGAGATATTTAAAGCAAATTATAAACCCACAAAAGTAAAACACTGTGGAATTGGTACAATAAAACAGAAAGATATTCAGAAATAGATGGTAGTAGTTACCACACTGTAATATAAGATAAAGGGAATTGGGGAAAAAATTGTTTCTGCATACATGAAAACAAATTTCAGATAAAGTAAAGAAATGTTTAAAATTTTTTACCTATGAAAGTGAAGAGCACTGTGCTAAATATTTACTTTTTAAAAATCTAAATGTACAGATTTCATAACCATAGAGTAAAACTTCTATATATTTAAAATAATAAATCCAGAATATAAATAACCAGAAGTACAGAAACTTTGTCCTAATCACTTTTATATCCTCAGGGCCACAAACAGTGTTACAAATAATTTACTTTTTTCAAATGACAGGACTTGAGCCTGTCCTTTGAATCAAACTTAATACAGATTTTATAACATTATAAAAATGGTTAAAATATCTATGATTTCTCCAGATATCAGCTGGGATTATGACAGGGATTGCATTGAATTTGTAGATCAGTTTTTAAGGCATTGCCATCTTAACACTGTTACGTCTTCCAGTCATTGAGCATGGAATATTTTTCCAAATATTTAGATCTTCTCTAATTTCTTTCAACAATAATTTATAGTTTTCATAGCATAAGTTTTTCATTTCTTTTGTTAAATTGATTCCTAAGTGGTATACTCTTTTTGTTATACAGATGAGGGCTTCCTATGTTGCCCAGGCTGGTCTCTAATGCCTGGCCTTACCTTCTTATGCGCCAGGACAACAGGTGTGAGCCACCACACCTCCCCCTAAGCGATATACTCTTTTTGATGCTATTATAAACTGAATTATTTTCTTAACTTCGTTTTTGGATTGTTCATCACAAATGTATAGAAATACAATTGATGAGAGGTGGCCAAGATGGCCGACTAGAATCAGCTAGCATGTGTGGCTCTCATGGAGAGGCACAGAAGGGGCAAGTAAATACAGCACGCTCAACTGAAACATCCAAGTACTTGCACTGGGACTAATCAAGGAAACAACTTGACCCGTGGAGAACGGAGAAAACTAAGACAGGACAATGGCCCACCTGGGATCAACACAGAGCCAGAGGAACATCCCCCACCCAGGGAAGCGGTGAGTAAATGAGGGACCCCAGGGATCCATGCTTCTCCCACGGATCTTTGCAACCCTCAGTTCAGGAGATTCCCTCATGAACCCACTCCACCACGGCATTCAGTCTGACACACAGAGCTTTGTGGAATCTCAGCAGAGCAGCCACTCAGGCACATGCAGAGACCAGGAGCCTTAGATACCCAGGCTTTCCAACAAAAGCAGCTGCAACTATGGCAAAGCAGGAGGATAGACCCCCATACATAACCCTAGGAAAGAGGCTGAATCCAGGGGGCTGAGAAGTGACTGTCTGCAGGCCCCAATTCCACGGCACCTCACAGGATATGACCCACTGGCTTGGAAATCCAGCCAGCCACTGGTAGCAGCATTGCACCTCCCTGGATAGAGCTCTGCGGGGAGGGGCAGGCCACCATCTTTGCTGTTGGGGTGACTTCGCCATTCCAGCCTTCAGACTTTGGAGAGTTCAAACTGACCAGGGGCAGAAGGGATCTCCCAGCACAGCATGGCTATTCTACAAAAACGTGGCCAGGTTGCTTTTCTAAGCAACCTGGTCCCTGATCCTGTTCCTATTTACCAGGTGGAACCTTTCAACCAGAGCCTGCAGACACCCACACCTGTATTCTCCAGCCCACAGAGATTTGAAACCTCACTGGGACAGAGCTCCCAGAGGGAGGGGTGGGCCACCATCTTTGCTATTTGGATGACTTAGCCATTCCAGACTTCAGCTTTGGAGAGTCCAAGCCAACTGGGGGGAAAAGCCGTCCTTCAGCACATCACAGCTGCTCTACGAAAATGTGGCCAGACCACTCTTTTAAGAGGATCCCCAATGCTGTTTCTCCTCCTCACTAGGCGGGACCTCCCAACTGGGGTCTTCTGCCACCTCAGCTGGTGTTTTCTGGCCAACAGAGACTTGAAACTTCCCTGGGATGGAGCTCCTAGAGGGAGGGCCAGGCTGCCATCTTTGCTGTTTGGGCAACTTAGCCATCCAGCCTTTGGGCTTTGGAGAATCCAAGCTGACTAGGGGTGGAAGCGGTCCCCCAGCACAGCATAGCTACTCTCCAAAAATGTGGCCAGACTGCTTTTTTAAGCAGGTCCCCAGTCCCCTTCCTCCTTACTGGGCAGGACCTCCCAACCAGGGTCTCCAGCCATCCTCACCAATGCTCTGTTTGGGTGACTTTGCTGTTCCAGCCTTCAAACTTTGGAAAGTCCAAGACAACCAGGGACTGAAGGGACCCCCAGCACAGCACAGCTGTCCTACAAAAACATGGCCAGACCGCTTTTTAAAATGTGTCCGCAATCCTGTTCCTCACCACCAGGTGCAACTTCCTAACCAGGGTCTCTAGCTATCCCCACTGGTGTTCTCTGGCTGACACAGGTTTCAAACCACCCTGGGACAGAGCTCCCAGAGGGAAAGTCAGGCTGCCATCTTTGCTGTTTGGGCAACATAACCATTCTAGCCTTCAGGCTTTGGAGTGTCTGAGGCAACCAGGGGCTAAAGCAGATGCCCCAACAGAGCACAGCTGCTCTATGAAAACATAGCCAGACCGCTTTTCTAAGCAGGTCTCCAATCCCATTCTTCCTTCCTGGAAGGGACGTCCCAACCAGGGTCTCCAGCCACCTCCTACAGTGTTTGGGCTGGCAACAGGTCTGTAACTCCCTGGGACGGAGCTCCCAGAGGGAGGGGCAGGCCGCCATCATGGCTGTTTTGCAGCCTTCACTGGTGATACCTCCAGGTACTAGAAAATTCAAAGTGACTAGGGACCAGAGCAGGCACCAAGCATACCACAAGAGCTCTATGAAAAAGCAGCCAGACTGTTAGATGGGTGCCCATTCCCATATCTCCTCACCGGGAAGGTCCTCCAGCCACCCTGCGCCAGAGCAATCAAGCCAGTAGCAGCTTGGCAATTCCCTGGACAAAGCCTCCGGGAGCAACTAAAAGCCTCTCTGCCACTGCCTCTGCAGTGGAACTACCCTTGCTACCCTCAGACTAATGAAGAAGCAAAGATCCTAAGTGCCTTATTCACACCTCCAGCAAGCTGCAGTTGACCTAAGGAGGAAGGCCAGACTGTCTCACATGGGTCCCACACACCCTCCAGTGCTCATCACCAGACAGGGAACCCCTGGCTTGGTCCCATAGCACAGACCCTCCACCCTGGGCTGATTGCACTAAGCAATTGCTGACCTGCATCTCTCTGGGGTGGAGCCCCCAGGAACCAAGCAAAAGACCCTTGGCCACAATCACTACTAAGGTCCCTTCCTCCACTGCCTCCAAGTGGAGGAGGGAACACAAGTACTGAGATCACACCAGAGTGGCAGTGAGAAGCCCAGGAATGCCAAGCCACAGTCTATAGCCAGCACTCAAGAGGGAGAAGAACCCACCCTTTCAGAGTGTTGAGAGGGAACAGAGCTGCAACTGTGAGGAAAAATAGGGGAGCCACATAACTGAGGAAAAGTCTACCAATTGATTAATTAGCCTAAGTGCCACCTACTGGATCACACCCCAAAGCTTCAACACCAAAAATACCTCACTAACATACCCCACCCTGAAGCCAGAGATAAGAAGTCAGCTTCAAAGAACAACCCTGCACAAAGCCTTGGCTTGCTGAAAACATCCAGAAAAGAAGTCTATCAACTGTATTCAATCTACACTGTAGTTAAAGGAACACCCACATGCAGAGATGAGAAAGAACCAAAGCAAGAACTCCAGTAACTCAAATGGCCAGAGTATTATATGTCCTCTAAACAATCACACCAGTTCTCCAACATGAGTTCTTAACCAGGCTAGGCTGGTTGAAATGACAGAAATAGAATTCAGAATATGGACACAAACAAAGATCATTGAGATTCAGGAGGATGGCAAAACCCAATCCAAGGAAACTAAGAATTACAATAACGGACAATATAGCCAGCTCCCTCCATATTCCTGCAAAAGACATTATCTTGTTCTTTTTTAAGGCCATATAGTATTCCATGGTGTATATGTACTATATTTTTTTAAATCTAATCTGTCATTCGTGGGCATTTAGGTAGATTTCATGTCTGCTATTGTGAATAGTGCTACAATGAACATTCACATATGTGTGTCTTTATGGAGGCTATATTGCCCTTGGCAAACTAACGCAGGAACAGAAAACCAAATATTGCATTTTCTCACTTATAAGTGGGAGCTAAATGATGATAATTTTTGAACACAAAGAAGGAAAAAGTAGACACTGGGGTCTACTTGAGGGTGGAGAGTGGGAAGAGGGAGAGGAGCAGAAAAGATAACTTGAGCACTGGGCTTACTGGACTTAAAACCTGGATGATGAAATAATCTGTACCACAAACCCCCATGACATGGGTTTATTTATGCGACAAACCTTCACATGCACCCCCAAACCTAAAATAAAAGTTTAAAAAATACAACTGATTGTTGTGTATTGATAGTGTATCCTGAAATCTTGCTAACATAGTTTAGTAGTTCTAACAGTTTTTTAGTGGACTCTTTAAGTTTTTCTATACATGTGATCACATCATCTTCAAATAGAGATAATTTTACATCTTCCTTTCCAGGGTAGATGCCTTTTATTTCTTTCTTTCCCCAGCTGTCCTGGTTAGAACCTACCGTACAATGTTGAATAAGAGTGACAAGAGCAGACATCCTTGTATTATTACTGATTTTAGACAGAAAGCATCCAGTCTGTCACCATTAAGTATGATGGTAGCTATGTGGTTTTCATATAAGCCCTTTACCAGGTTGAGGAAGTTCCTTCCCCTTTATTTACTAAGAGTTTTATCATGAATGCATGTTAGATTTTGTCAAATACTTTTTCTGAATCTATTGAGGTAATTCTGTGATTTTTTTTCATTCCACTGATATGATTTTCAGATGTTAAACCAATCTTACATTCCCGGGATAAAACAAGCTCATTCTGAAATTCATATTGAACTTCAAGAGACCCAGGATAGCCAAAACAATCCTGAAAAAAAATAAAGTAGAAGGACTTGCAATTCTCAATTTGAAACTTACCACAAAGCAAGGGTAATTAAGAGAGTATGCTATTGGCCCAAGGATAGACATAAATATCAGTCGAAAAGAACTGAGAGTCCCAAAATAAACCTGTATTTCTCTGGTCAACAGATTTTTGACAAAGGGGCCAAGATCCTACAGTGAGGAAAGAATAGTCTTTTCAACAAATTGTGCTGGGACTAGTGGATATCCACATGCAGAAAATAAAGTTTGACACTTAGTGCATAAAATTATTAACTCAAAATGGATCAAAGCACAAACAAATGGAAAAACATCCCATGCTCATGGATTGGAAGAATCAATATGGTTAAAATGACTATACTGCCCAAAGCAATCTACAGATTCTATGCAATTCCTATCAAATTACCAACATCATCTTTCACAGAATTAGAAAAAACAATACTAAAATTAATAGGGAACCAGAAGAGAGCCCAAATAGCCAAAGCAATCCTAAGCAAAAAGAACAAAGCCAGAGGCATCACATTACCCAACTTCAAACTACTCTATACTAAACTATACAAGGCTATAGTAACCAAAACAGCATGGTACTTGTATGAAAATAGACACATAGATCAATGTAAAAGAACAGAGAACTCAGAAGTAAAGCCACATATTTTCAACCAACACGTCTTCCACAAAGTCAACAAAAACAATGAGGAAAGAACATCCTACTCAATAAATGGTGTTGGGAAAACTGCCTAACCATATGCAGAAGAATATAACTGGACCCCTATCTCTCACCATATACAAAAATTAACTCATGATGGATTAAAGACTTAAATGTAAGTCCTCAAACTATAAAAATTCTAGAAGAAAACCTAGGAAAAACTTCTCCAGACATCAGCCTAGGAAAAGGACTTCTCACTAAGACCCCAAAAGCAATGCAACAAAAACAGAAATAGACAAACGGGACTTAACTAAACTAAAGACATTATGCACTGCAAAAGAAACTACCAACAGAGTAAACAGACGATCTACAGGATGAGAGAAAATTTTTGCAAACTATGCATCCAATAAAGGACTAATATCCAGAATCTATAAGAACTTTAAACAAATCAACAAGAAAAAAACAAATAACCCCATTAAAAAGTGGGCAAAGGCCAGGCACGGTGGCTCACACCTGTAATCCCAGCACTTTGGGAGGCCAAGGCAGGCAGATCACGAGGTCAGGAGATTGAGACCATCCTGGCTAACATGATGAAACCCCATCTCTACTAAAAATACAAAAAAAAATTAGCCAGGTGTGGTGGTGGGTACCTGCAATCCCAGCTACTCGGGAGGCTGAGGCAGGAGAATGGCATGAACCCAAGAGGCGGAGCTTGCAGTGAGCTGAGATCGCACCACTGCACTCCAGCCTGGGTGACAGAGCAAGACTCTGTCTCAAAAATAAAAATAAAATAAAAAGAATTTAAAAAAAGTGGGCAAAGGGCCGGGCATGGTGGCTCATGCCTGTAATCCCAACACTTTGGGAGACCGAGGTGGGTGAATCACCTGAGGTCAGGAGTTCAAGACCAGCCTGGCCAACATGGTGAAACCCCGTCTCTACTAAAAATACAAAAAATTAGCCGGGCGTGGTGGTGGGCACCTGTAATCCCAGCTACTCAGGAGGCTGAGGCAAGAGAATCACTTGAACCCAGGAGGCAGAGGTTGCAGCGAGCCGAGATCCCGCCACTGCACTCCAGCCTAGGCAAGAAGAGCGAGACTCCATCTCAAAAAGGGGGAAAAAAAAAAGTGGGCAAAGGACAGGAACAGACAATTCTCAAAAGAATACATAAAAGCAGCCAACAAACATAAGAAAACAATGCTCAACATCATTAATCATCAGAGAAATACGGATCAAAACTACAATAAGATATCATCTCATACCAGTCAGAATGGCTATTGATATGTTTAGGCTTTGTGTCCCCACCCAAATCTCATCTTGAATTGTAATCCCCATAATCTTCACAATCCCCACATGTCAAGGGAGAGACCAGGTGGAGGTAATTAATGGGGGGCAGTTTCCCCCATGCTGTTCTCATGATAGTGAGTTCTCATGAGATCTGATAGTTTTAAGGGGCTCCTCCCCTTTGCTTGGCTCTTCTCCTTCCTGCCACCTTGTGAAGAAGGTGCCTTGCTTCCCCTTTGCCTTCCACCATGATTGTAAGTTTCCTGAGACCTCCCCAGCCATGCTGAACTGTGAGTCAATGAAACCTCTTTCTTTTATAAAATACCCAGTCTTGGGCAGTTCTTCATAGCAGTGTGAAAATAGACTGATACAGCTATTGTTAAAAAGTCAAAAATAACCCATGATGGCAGGGCTGCAGAGAAAAGGGAACACTTATAAACTATTGGTGGGAATGTAAATTAGTTTAACCCCTATGGAAAACAGTATAGAGAATTCTCAAAGGACTAAAAATAGAACTACCATTTGACCCAGCAATCCCACTACTGGGTAGCTACCCAAAGGAAAAGAAATTATTATTTCAAAAAGATACCTATACTTGTATGTTTACTGCAGCACTATTCACAACAGCAAAATCATGGAATCAACCTAAGCCCACCAACAGTTGACTGGATAAAGAAAACAGGGGACACATACACCATAGAATACTATGCAGCCATAAAAAAGAATGAAATCATGTCCTTCACAGCAACATGGACTGAGCTGGAGGCCATTATTCTAAGAGAAATAACAGAAATAGGAAATAAAATACCACACATTCACACTTACAAGTGTGAACTAAACAGTGGGTAAACATGGACATAAAGATGGGAAAAACAGATGCAAAGAACTCCAAAAGGGGGAAGAGTGGAAGAGGGGTGAAGGTTGAAATTCTACCTATTGGGGACTGCGTTTACTATTTGGGTGATAGTTTCACTAGAAACCCAAACCTCAGCATTACACATTATGCAATATAACAAACCTGTACCTATCCCCAAATCTAAAATGAAATTTAAAATTTAAAAATTAGTAATTTTAAAAAATGGATCAAAGACCTAAGTGGAAGATCAAAGCTATAAATCTCCTAGAAGAAAACATAGAATAAAGTTTTATAACCTTGGTTTTGGCAAAGGATTCTTAGATATATACAAAAATAACGAGAAATGAAAGAAAAAAGTAGATAAATTGGACTTCACCAAAATAAAAAATCTTGTGCTTCAAAGGACACTGCCAAGAAAATGAAAAGGGCCTATAAAATAGAAAAAAAAAATGCAAATCAAATATCTGATATGGGACTTGTATTTAATATATATCTGTTACAATTCAGTAATACAAAGGCAAATAACCAAATTTAAAACTAGGCAAAGGAAATGAATACACATTTATCTAAATAATATATACAAATGATCATTAAGCACATGAAAAGATGCTCAGTATCTTTAGTCATTAGGAAAACGCAAGTCAAAACCACAGTGAGATATCACTTCTTACCCACAAGGGTTAGCAAGGATATAGAAAAACTGTAACCCTCATACACTGCCGGTAGGAATGTAAAATGGGGCAGCTGCTTTGAAAACAGTCTGTCAGTTCCTTAAACAATTAAACAGAGAGTTACTACATGGCCCAGCAATTATACTCAGGTATATTTCTAAGAGAAATGAAAACACATGTCCACACAGAAACATGTACATGAATGTTTATAGCAACATCATTCATAATAACCAAAGGGTGGAAACAACTCAAATGCTCCTCAGTTAACGAATGGACAAACAAAATGTGATCTATCCAGACAATGGAATATTATTAGGCCATAAAAAGAAATGAAGTTCTAATACATGCTACGACATGGATGAACCTTGAAAAGATTATGCCAAGCAAGAAAAGCCTATTACAAAAGACCACATATTAAATGATTCTATTCATATGACATGTCCAGAATAGGGAAATCCATAGAGACAGAACATAGGTTAGTAGTGCCTAGGCTGGAGTGGTGGGGAAAGGTGTTATGAAAAGAGGTGACAGCAGAAACATACAGGCTTTCTTTTGGGAGTGATCAAACAGTTCTAAAGCTGATTGTGGAGATGGTTGCACATATCTGTGAAAAGACTAAAATCTATTCAACTGTTAACTTCTATTGGTCAAGTTGTATGGTATGTAAACTGTATCTTTAACAAGCTATTAAAAATATTTGCAATTTATGATAGATGATTTTTATGAGGTGCTTCAGTCTTAAGCATTCAAAGAAATTGATAGGAAAACTAGTAAAATCCCCAAAAAGAAATGGGGAAAAAGAAAAATGGCCAATTCACGAGAGAAGAAATACAAATGGCAAATAAACATGAAAAAAAAATTCAACATCATCAGTTGCTGAAATAAAATGAAAATAAAAACAAAGCATCATTTACCTATCAAATTATCATGATGTAAGAGAGAGAAGGAAGCATAGCACAGTGTAAATATAGATACGCACATACACATCCATACAGATATTATATGGTTGTTGAATTTTATGAGTTAATCCCCAAGTGCATGTGCATGCACACATACGCACACACACACACACACACACACACACACACAAAGCATACCAAAGGAGTATTAGTGGTTGTGCTGTACTGTAAAATTATATAGATGGATTACAATGAGCAATAAAACATTTTTTTAAGTAGGTATTTTAAAAAAATCTATGAAAATATCCCCTTTAATGTAATCAAAGGAATGAAAAGAGCAATGAAGAAGGCAGCATTCTGGAGAGAAATGTGGGCAGCTGCCCACAGTGGGGCGATCACAAAAACGTTTCTATTTGTACAATCCCACACCTATGAAGGCAAAAGGGGCCACAGGATGTGCCCATCCATGCGGTAAACATCTTCATTCATTACCTGCTTTAGAAGTAACAAGCTGCAGCACAAGAGGTCGTCTTGTTACAATGCCCGACCCTCGAGGGAGAAAGTCCCTAAAAAAAGTAAGAAATACAGATTAAGGCATGAAGGAATTCTTATCACCTGTACATTCATAAACCAAGTTCCACAGCAATTCTCCTAATTCCCAACCTTTCAATGTATCGCTTATCCAAACAATGATAGGCCCATCTTAATAAAAGAAGCATTTTCAAATTTAAAAAAAAGGAGGAGGAGGGCCTTATATTGCACAGAAATCCATGTACATTATCATAATGACTTCACTGGAATATGTCATTCATTCATCTAGCTGAAACTGATAAAAGTTTGCCCTTAGTTTCTGTGTATTATCAATGAATTTTGATTTTCAGAGAATCAGCATTAAAGAAAATATGTGATACTGAAATTAATTCTTAAACTCTTTTTGATAATTAAAAAACCCAGTACGCTCTTTGGCCTCAAGATCAATATTAGCACCATCATATACCACTACTAAAGGCACATTAGATTGTATCCTCTAAATATACTGACACTTTTCTCCAATAAAAGGAAACAAGGCCGGGCACAGTGTTCCACACCTGTAATCCCAGCACTATGGGAGGCTGAGGCTGGTGAATTGCTTGAGTCCAGGAGTTCAAGACCAGCCTGGACAACATAGCAAAAACCCAGCGCTACAAAAAAAAAAAGAAAAAAAAAAACCCTACAAAAACTAGCCAGCCAGACGTGGTGGCGTGGGCCTCTAGTCCCAGCTACCCAGAAGGCTGAGGTGGGAGGATCGCTTGAGCCTGGGAGGCAGAGTTGCAGTGAGCCAATGTCGCACCACTGCACTCCAGCCTGTGCAACAGAGTGAGACTCTTGTCTAAAAAAAAGGACACATAAAATGTGGGATCAAGTAGAAATAAGTATTTTGTCTATAGAAATTAACAGCAGAAAACAAACATTGCAAATTGAGTTTTGTTTGTTCTCATTCCATTTGTTCTTATTCCTGATAAATGGACGTTTTGATAAAGATCATATTTTAAATGACATATTAATAAACACTAAGCTAATAAAACTGCAGCAAAGATAGTACTACATAATATTACATCTGCAATGCCACATAAATTATTGCTGATTCTGCAATGTCGAAGAATTCAAAAACATACCTATAGCACAGTTTTTAAACACATTTAGAATGTCTCACAACTTTTAGAGGAATCATCACAGAATTCCATTCAAAATAAACTTTTCACTCAGTGGCAGTTTTTCTCAAAATGTGGTTCCAGGCCCATCAGAAAGTATTATAACCACAGACACCCAGGACTCATCCTGAAGCTACAGATTCATCATATTCAGGGGAAGGCATGCAGCATTTGTACTCTTAACAAGCTCCCAGATGTTTCTGATGCTCACCAAGGTTTGAAAACCACTGGCCTCAAGTCAGGATATGTTACTCAACAATTCAGTGGGCAATAATGGCATGTGGCGTGCTATGAGTTTTGTAGGAAATTTGGCAGAACAGAGCTTCAACACAGATGGGATTTCAATGAACAGCAGCTTATAAAATAGGCAAAGGACAGTGAGAATGCTCCAAAACCCAAGTGTTTAGCTGCACTGATAGTTTGGAATGGAGAGTCAAAAAGATAAAATCAAGCCAAATTTCTCCTACTACAACTAATTTATTTGGCAAGTGCTACTGTGTGTTCTGACAGAGGAAATAGTACTGAACAACCTTAAGTTAATGACTTTTCTCATTGACTTCAAGGACCAAAGTTCATTTAGAATGTCAACGTATATGACTACAATAGAAAATAGTGAAATTACAAATTTGTATGTGCTTTTGAAAATGCGACTGAAATACCATTATTTATTCATCAAAAAAAATTCACTGAGAAATTAAGAAGTGCTAGGGAGATGCTGTGGGCATGGACTCATGCTGGGTAGACACCAGGAGTTCGGAACCTAATGGGAACAAAACATAGTCATGAAAACCATTAAAGAAGGGAAGATAAACTACATTGGAGTTCAGAAAAGAGAAAGAACAATACTCTCTTTATAATGATGTTTTGAATATATTTAAATACATATAACTAAATACACTTTTAATATTCTTCATGCGCTATATTAGAATAACTGCTAGTTTAGATGGCTTCAACAATCATTTAAAATTTAATCAAAATAAACAAAGCATCTACTTTGTTTTGTTTGTTTTATTTTTAACCAAAAAGGAACAGGTTAATTTGAGAATCAAAATGAATGCAGGGAGGGAAAAAAGCAAAACTCCAGAGTAAAGAGCTGGAGGGCACCATGGAATACTGTTCAGCCATAAAAAAGGATGAGTTTATGTCCTTTGCAGGGACATGGATAAAGCTGGAAACCATCATTCTCAGGAAACTAACACAAGAACAGAAAACCAAACACCGCATGTTCTCACTCATAAGTGGGAGTTGAACAATGAGAACACATGAACACAGGGAGGGGAACATCACACACCAGGGCCTGTCAGAGGGTGGGGGGCCAGGAGAGGGACAGCATTAGGAGAAATACCTAATGTAGATGACGGGTTGATGGGTGCAGCAAACCACCATGGCATGTGTATACCTATGTAACAAACCTGCATGTTCTGCATATGTATCCCAGAACTTTAAAGTATAATAATAAAAAAAATTTAAGTCAGGATATAAAAATAAAAAGAGCTGGAGGGCATCTGTTTGAGCCGTGAGGACCATGAGTGAAATTTTAGGATGTATAAAATGCCAAGGAAAAATGATGAATGGCCTGAATAATGCCATTTAACAAGTCAATAAAATATTTTCTTCAAGAAAAAAGGCAGAGAAGAAAGGACAGAGAGAAGAAAGAAGAAAAAAAGGTTTAGTCACTTTATATCTTCATGCTGAGACCTGTTTCAATTCATGCTTGTGACCATATATTTATATGTAGATTTAGTAACAATCCCTGTGAATGTTGTTAAAGCAAAATAGAATGTATCAAACATTATAAATAGCAAATAATTATGTGTTGACTAAAAATACACAGATACATCTAACATTTTTCTCTACATTTTTTTTATTAAGCAAACAGAACTTTGCATTAAGAGTAATAAATAGATTCCAGTATCCAACCCCCTTCTTATTAACTCACAGTTACTAGTTCCCTTCATGGCTCTCACCAGTCCTACCACTGACAGATATATTCTCACCAAAAGCCAAAAATTTTGATAATCAAATTTTACTATTTCGAAGTCTATCCTGTTTCACAGGCATCTCTGAAGTACAACAAAGTGCTAAAGAAAAGTTTCTCTCTTCTGAAGAATGAGCACCTAATCTGAACATCCTAAAGATATGTCTCCTTCTGATGGTCCAGCAAAATGAAAACCATATGCCCAGCACACTCTTGCTGTGTGAGCTCAGGAGATGAGTCCTCGAATGAGAAACACAGAACCTTCCTTTGAATATTAGCTCTACCACTGAATGGGCAAAATTCTCTCCGAACCTATTTCTTTTACTTCTAAACTGAGATAATGCTAACTATGGCCCAAGTTGTATGGATCAAAAGAAATGCAACAAACGCCAACCGTTTTAAAACCCAAGCACCACGGAAAAATGTTACTATTATTTTTGATATAACACAGCCACAGTGTGTTTTCCCTGATATTGTAGTATTCGCTTACCTTAAAAAACTAAGTGCCTACATACAATATTTTAACATTTTGCTAATGGAATTTGGAGATAGGAGCCACAGACCCCATTTGAACTATCCTCTTGGTGTTGATCACCTGCAAGGGTTTGGAAAGCACTTATGCCTGCCTTCAGCAACAGGGAGCCAAAGCACTGACACGAACAATATTGAATAGTTCATTAGCCACTGAGCACCACCATCCAATTGAATTGTATCATTTTCTGTGCAATAGGTTTTCTCCCGTAAGCATATTTTATGGGAAAACCTGTAAGCATGTTTTATGGGAAAACATTTTTTAAATAAATGCTGGAAAAATAATGACTATTCCTTTAGCATTACTTTGGATTTAGACTACATATTTTTAAATTTATTTTCTAATATATCTATATAAAAAGAAAATATGTATGCCATTTTTCCTGCAAAATGTACCTTCAAAAAGTAACCTGAAGACTCAGTGTTATTAAATTGATTCTGTTATATTGCCCAAATGCCTTATTTGTGGTTGAACTGTACAGATTTTCAGTCAGAGAGAGTGCTTCCCTCTGGATGCCACATGACAGCTACAAATCAAATGCCTTTCTTCTCTCTCAACCCATCTCAATAAAGCGTTAATCTTCAGTGTTAACAGCTGGTCTTCAGGCAGTAAGTTAATGCTCTTTCATGGCTTCCTGACTCCTAGACAAAAAAATAGAGTACAATTCCCACACTATAGTTTAAGAACCACCTTGATGACATTTCTTATTGGCTCTTCCAGTAACTGAGTTACCAGGAAATATAGTTATTGCTCCACTAGGAAAAGAATGATCTTTGGAAGCCTGAAAAAGAACACACTAGCTGTATCAAGAAAACTAAAAAAAATTCCCCCCGGCAGCAAATAAAGTAACTACAGAGATGGTTTCTTCAATATAGATGTAAATGATTGTTAACCAGATAATCTGTACAGTAAATAAATGTTTAACATCTGCCCTTAACTGAAGATGGGAGGCATAACTCATAGTTTCCTAGAAGTTGATTCATGGAGCCAATTTATTCAAAAATAAACAAGCTCAGCCTTGGAGGAGGACAACATGCAAATAAATAACTATAATAAGCATAACAGGTACTATGCTTAAGCTCCACCCAAGGTAGAGTATCAACATACAGCAAAGAATATCTATCCTGCTTGGAGGAGCTGCCAGAAACAATATCTGAGAAGAAATATGAGGTAGGAGGCATTCCACAGAAAATCAGATATACGAAGACATGGAAGACCAGAGTAGCACAAAACATCACAGAACTGTAAACATTAAAGAGAGATCAGAATGAGACAGAGAAGAGTCTACAGAAGGAAGCCAGAACAGACCTCAGAGGTCTTTACTGGTAGTTTGTGTTTGTCTATTTTCTGTGGGAACAGGAAGGCGCTATAGAGTTTTAAGTGATCAGATTTGCATTTCAGAATAATCACTGGGGATTATATAGAAAACGTTGAAGAAGAGAAAGATCAAAGACAGGGTGATGAGTCACTAGTCAGTAGCCGGTGTATGTCATTCAGAAAGAAGACAATAAATGTCAAGTCCAAGGCAGTAATGGTAGAGATGGAAAGAAGACAAATGGCAGGATTTAATGATTGCTTTGATGTGGAATCTCCTTCTGATGCCCCTCCTTCTGATGAATCTCCTTCTGATGTAGTGATATGGAAGAGTTAGGATAAATGTCACATTTCTGGTTTGGGTAGCTGGTTGAACAATGGTATCACTAACCAGGACAGGAAATAAAGGAAGATCTGATTAATATAGTGCTTACCATGTGCCAGCACCAATCTGATTGCTTTATATGCATTAACTTGTTTGATCTCATAACATCCTATGAGGAAGGTACTATTGTTATTCTTACTTTACAGATGAGAAAACAGAGGCACAAAAAAGTCAGATAATTTGCACAGGGTCACAAAGCTAGTAAGTGACATATGGGACTCAAATCTAGGGAGTCTAACTCTAGCATCTGTGCTCTTGACCATTTTTCTCTACATTGTAAAAGAAATGGGGGAAGAAAATGAGTGGTCCTTATTTGTACACATTTATCTTTACATGCCTGGGGAATATCTGATTGAAACAACATGTAGGCAGTTAGACTGAACAGTTGGCACTCAGGACAAAAGTCTTGTCTGGAGACAATAATTTGACAGTGAGCAACAGAGCAGGAAGTTGAAGCCAAAGGAACAGATGAGTAGGAATGGAGTGGAAACAAGTGATTAATATGGACTCTCAGAAATACCAACATTTAATGGGTACCTGAAAGAAGTGGAACTGAGAGAATAGAAACGAGCTACCAGAGAGGTAGCCAAACACTAGAACTCAAAATCACATTAACCTCTTAAACATCTCTACAACTCTTAACATCTCCACTAGGTGTCTGGAACCAAACATCTCTACAACTCATTACAATCACATTAACCTCTTAAACATCCCTACAACTCATTACAATCATATTAACCTCTTAAACATCTCCACTAGGTGTCTGGAACCAAACATCTCTACAGTTCATTACAATCTATCCAAATGTTTCTCCTCCTTCATTCCCAATCATAATCCACATCATCAGCATCCATAAATGTCCGCCAAGCCTAGCACCTGGGAATCATCCATCCTCCTTCTACCTCTATCCTCATGCTCCAAGTTGGTCACCATGTCCTGTTGATTCTATCTTAATATCTCTTAAATTCACCCTCTCTTGTCTATTTGGATCACCACTCCAGCTTCCACCAACTATCATATAAACTGCTACACTAATCTCACAACTAATTTCCCTGCATCTAATTTGAGCACCCTCCTATCCAACTTTAACAGTGATGTAAGTTCTATCACATCATTACCAGACTTTAAATCACTGAATGACTCCCCAGGATCTTTAGCATGAAATCCAAATCTTAGTATCACTTACAAAATATTTTATTTCTGAACATTCTCCAAGTGAAACCCTACATCAGAGGCATAGAACTTCTTACAATTAATTTAACCTATTAATTCAACAAATGTGCATTATGTGTCTACTACAAGCTAAATGAAGCCTTAGACACTGGAGATATAACAGTAAACAAAGCAGAAATAAAGCCTTGTCCTCTAGTGTAAGTCTCTGTGCGCATCTGTGCTCTTAGACTTCGTGTCTAGGCACATCCCTATCCCCCTAAATCTTCAACACTCAGCTGCATGTCATCTTCTCTGGGAGTCTTCTCGAGGTCCCCCCACCCCCACATGTCTCTACCTAAGCTCTCAACACACACTTGTCTGCTCCCTCACCCTTGTGTGTTCCCTCAGAGCCTCCTTCAGTGCCTAGGCACTAAATATTTTTTACACTTTCTACATACCCTTTCAAGAAGATTCGTCATTGTTCCATATAGTCATAACATAGAGAGAAAACAATCCTACATCTAATTCACAACTGGCAGACAGCTACAAGGCATTATATGGACCAAAAGAATAGGCAAGATGACTCTCAACTCACCAGTAATTTGCTGGGGTCATTTAAATTGATATTATGAACATTTAAGACCCAAATATATTCACCAAATTACAAAATACGGAATACTAGGTGGGCCAATATTATTGACTCTGTCTAATGACATGGAATAGAATTGGAAGAAAATAAAATTTAAAAAAAAATCCAGAACCAATATATTTTTAAAATTTTTTTCCTTAAAAACAGAGAAATCTCAGCCAGCTGTGGTGGCTCACGCCTGTAATCCCAGCACTTTGGGAGGCCGAGGCCGGCAGATCACCTGAGGTTGGGAGTTCAAGACAAGCCTGATCAACATGGAGAAACCCCATCTCTACCAAAAATACAAAATTAGCCAGGCGTGGTGGTGCATGCCTGTAATCCCAGCTACTCGGGAGGCTGAGATAGGAGAATCCCTTGAACCCAGGAGGCGGAGGTTGCGGTGAGCCGCGATCGCATCATTGCACTCCAGCCTGGGCGACAAGAGCAAAACTCCATCTCAAAAAAAACAAAACAAAAACAAAAACCAAAAAACAGAGAAATCTCTTTTAAAACTTAATTTTCAAAGTATTTAATACAATTTTCTGGCCATGCACAGTGGCTTACATCTGTAATTTTAATACTTTGGGAGGCCAAGGCAGGAGGATCACTTGAGCCTAGGAGTTCCAGACCAGCCTGAGCAACATGACAAGACTCCCTTCTCTACAAAAAATGTAAAAATTAGCTGGGCATGGTGGCTTGAGCCTGTAGTCCCAGCTACTCGGGAGCCTGAGGCAGGAGGATTGCTTGAACCCAGGAGGTCGAGGCTGCAGTGAGCCATGTTCATGCCACTGCACTTCAGCCTGGGTGACAGAGTGAAACTCTGTCTAAAAAAAAAATCTGTGCACCAAAATAATTCCTATAGGAGTACTATCTCACAATATTTCAATATACTGATCCAACAAAAAAAGAAACAAGGAAAGGGAAACAGGCAAAAGAAAGGAGATAGGAAGAGAAAGACAGACAAATCACACAAATACTGCCCACCCCCTGCTCCAAGAAGCACTGAGGTCAAGAATCCAGTTCCACACCCTGAACACAATGGTGCTATTAAAATAGCTCTGTACTTTCATGCCCAAATCCGGGAACTTTGCCAACCATTACAATGCAATTTTAATCGCTAGAGGAAGTAATTTTACCAAAATCTACAGATTTAATTGGAAATTTTCTACTGAAGTTTACTTTTTTTCTCTAAATTATTGGCATATATTAAGAATATTAGTACTTACAGATTTACAAAGAATCATATTTTGATGCTGTCAGCTACTCTATAATATGAAGTACTCAATACCATCATAATTTTATCTGAAAAACATATCTACAAATTCAATTGCAGGAAATACAATGCTTTTACTTATTTTTTGTTGACATCTTTAAGAATCCCAATATTTTGCTTTTATTCACAAAATTCAAAATTTCTAAACAACATATTTTCATGAAATCTAAATAATCAATAATTAATGGTTCCCACTGAAACATTTAGAATGCAAAAGTTTCTGAGTCAGGGATCTATAAACTGAACAAAGAAGTCAGTTCTCACTTTACAAATACTAAGTGTTCTCCCCACCAGGAAACATGCTGAAGAACTTAATGCCTTAATATTTAATCCATTTTATTTGCTTATGCACTAAGTCAGTCTGTTCAAGAATTTAAAGCACCAGATGAATGAGTCCTGGCATAAAATAAAGGCACTTAGCTTTCACTTTTTCCAAATCACAGATTATATTTTACCCAAGTTGGCTGCCAGGAAAACGAATGGCAAAAAGCACTAGTAAAAAGATCACTGGTTGCCTACCTAATATCTATTTTCCCTTTCTTATTAACAGAATCCCAATTTTGCTGGGAATGGCAATGTGCCCAACTTTAATAGACAAATCAATCTGCATTTCCCAGCCTCCCTTGCAAATGGGGTGTCCACATGACTAACTTCTACCCAGTAAGATGTAATTAGAGGTTTTGAGTGACATCAGAAGAGTTCCTTTAAAAGGTTCTGATTTCGTTAATGTGTAACTTTTACCCTTCCTCTTCTTTTGTCTCCCTGTCAGCTATATATGATAGTGGAGCTGCAACAACCACCTTAATACTACAAGGTAATTGTGCAGATGGAAGATCAGAAAAGAACAAAGAGTAGGATAGTGATGACATTATAGGTCACTGGAACCAGCCTTGTACTACCTAGGAAGGAGACAAAGAAAAAGAGAGAGACAGACAGACAGACAATGATTTAAGCCAGTGTTTCTCACCCTTCTTTTCATTATGGTTCCCCTAATGAAACTTATTTGATATTTTTCCCCATTAAATGTTCCCCTATTAAGTTTAATATCATAGATATACTATATACCAGTATATGTGCTCTACATACACCTGCGCTTTAAACATAAAAAGAGTAAGACTCTTTTTGTCCCCCAAGAACCAGTTTTTGCCCTGTTGGGGGCAATATCACCCCAACTGAGAATATGTATTATACATCAACAAAAAATAAAACTCAGGATGCTAAACATTCAGTTCTGTTAGCCACCCCTTCCTGCAGAGTTTCTAAAAGAAATGCATGTGGAAAGGACAAACTGAGCTGGGTTTTGCTGCAAACTTCAATGTATTCCCTTTCCAATCCTGGAAACATGGGCTGGACCACATGAAATCCTCATTTGGCCTAGGTAAGAGGTAGCCCTAAGGCCTGGTACCAAAGAGGCTCAAAGGCCTCCCTTGCCCCTCTCCACGAAGCCCATACATGAATCTCAGACTTTTCTTTGACACGACAGTGACTAGAAAAGTTTGTCTTCCACCTGTGGAAGACAAACCAGCCAGTGAGAAGAAGCAACAGCAAGAGAACACTTACCCGCTGACCAGGGCAGTTCTGGTCTAGACAGCTCACGTCAACCCCTCCCCTGCTAAGGCTTCAGATGAAGAAATGGGGCCCAATTACTGTCCTTGGTCCTGAATATACATTACCAGCTCCTTGGCAGGAGGCTGGAAAAGAAGAGCGTGGATAGGGTAGAAGTGAGCTTCTCCAGCCAATAGTGTACTCTTTTGTTTTCACTATTTTAAGATGCTAGAGGCCAGGCACAGTGGCTCACACCTGTAATCCCAGCACTTCGGGAGGCCGAGGCGGGCGGATCACCTGAGGTTGGGAGTTCGAGACCAGCTTGGCCAAAATGGCGAAACCCCGTCTATACTAAAAATACAAAAATTAGCCGGGCGTGGTGTCACGCACTTGTAATATCCCAGCTATTCAGGAGGCTGAGGCAGGAGAATCACTTGAACCCGGGAGGTGGAGGTTGCAGTGAGCCGAGATTGCACCACTGCACTCCAGCCTGGGTGACAAGAGTGAAACTCTTTATCAAAAAAAAAAAAAAAAAAAAAAAAGATGTTGGGGTAAAGTGAGGTATTTAATTGGAAGCCAAAAAAGTGTAGGTTGCTTTCTCCACTAAAACAGAATGGAGCACTACCATGGTCACATCCTGTTTATTTAAAAAGAATGGAATCTGATTTTCCAATTAACCAGGAAGGATTTAAGTGGATTCCTGGATCCAGCTTCTCTCTCACTCTCTAGAAGCCACATCCATGATTCCCCCACGCAAACTTTTTATTCCCAGAACAGCTGGCTCCCAAGGGATTCTACACTAATTTCACACTTCAGTGTTGACTCCTTAACCACAGAAGCCTTTGTCTAATGCCTCTTTCTTTATTGAGGAATGAACTCACTCTTAAAGACATGTTGATGCAGCCTCCTGTGGGAAGCATTTCCTGATATGCCGGCATATTTAGATGCCCCTCCTGTTTTTTCCAAAAGTACCAGGAGCCCAAGTCAAATCCTCTCCTATGTAGCCTCTCTTAGGACAGGACAACCTTGCTCATTTCTATAAGGCACAGACTTACAGGCTCATAGTAAGTAGTCAAATATATTAGCTGCTATTATCCTTATCATCATCATTACTATCATTGTCATCATTTTTAGTATTGGTAAGTTATTCTGGAATTCATTCATTATTTACCTAAATTCGTTTCTGAAGCTAATATATCACCATATCAACAAGTAGTGATTATCTCTTGCTAGCCACAGGTAAGCATGTAGCTTTAGGGAGGGCTACATCCAATTTGTCACACTGTTCAGTAGCTCCCCCTTACCTGCAGGGGATATGTCCCAAGACCCCCAGTGGATGCCTGAAACCACAGATAGTACCTGACTCTATAATACTAACAGGCAGATAGTGTATACCATGTGGATATGCTAGACAAAGAGATAATTTACATTCCATGTGGGACAAAGCAGAATGGTAAGAGATTTAACTAACTACTCAGAATGACATGCAATTTAAAACATAAATTGTGTATTTCTGGAATTTTCCATTGAGTCTTTTCAGACCGCAATTGACCATGGGTAACTGAAACAGCAGAGTGCAAAACTTCAGATAAGGGAAGACTATTGTATCTAGATTTTAGGGTGTTATGAAAAGGAAAATATATCAACATAAACACTTACAACTTTAACCTTTTCATCTGTTTCTTGGAAAGTCATCAGCTACCTAAAGACTTCATTCTCTAAGAGCTCTCACTATTCTGTCTTCCATGAGAAAAGGTTAATGCAAAACATGGAATGAATGCTTAAATCAACAAAAGAATCAACACACATTCCAACCGCAGTGTGCTCAATTCAAATACAGAATAAAATGAACCCCCTGGCATCCAGAGTATTCCACAAGCGTGTGGCAAGTGTTATTTCTAGCCACTTAAAAGCACCAGTGAAAAGAGCTCAAATACATAGAGAAGAAAAGATCTCCGTTCCCATGAGGAGAGGCATTTATTAGCACTTAATGGCCTTCTTTCATTGCCTTTCCACTGACGCATCTCTAATTGTTCCAATTATAATTTCAAGTAACAAAACCAATAACGGTAACAGTCTATGGTTGAGTGTGTGCATTTTGAAAAGAGGTCTTTGACAGCACAAACTACATACAAAAATATATGACAACATGGGATCTGGGCAGGCAATGTGATAGTCAAGAGAGAAGAGGTGGTATGGAAAGAGCACTAGTCAAGAAACCAGCTTGGGTTTCAGCTGTAACCTCACCACATCATTTAATCTATAAGAGACTCAGTTTCTACATCTTTAAAATACGAAGACTAAAGAGTGTCTTCTGATGCCTCTTCTAATTCTTCACAGAATCTGATTCCACCTCTGACTTTTTTTTTTTTTTTTTTAAGACAGAGTCTCACTCTGTTGCCCAGGCTGGAGTGCAGTGGCACAATCTCGGCGCGGCTCACTGAAACCTCTGCCTCCCAGACTCAAGCAATTCTCCCACCTCAGCCTCCCAAGTAGCTGGGATTACAGGCATGCAGCACCACACCTGGCTAATTTTTGTATTTTTAGTAGAGACGCTATGTTGGCCAGGCTGGCCTTGAACTCCTGACCTCAAGTGATCCACCCAGCTCGGCCTCCCAAAGTGCTGACATTACAGGCGTGAGCCACAATGCCCAGCCACCACCTCTGACTTTCTAAATAATCTTAAAGCTTTCTGTTTTCACTTTCATAACTGGGACTGTTAGTATCCAGTTTAAGTTCAGAGACAGCAAAGACTATGTCATTTATTTTCTTCCCACTACTACACATGGCACATAGCAGGTGTTCAAAAATATTAGTTAAAAGGAAGGAAAAAAGGGAGGGAGGAAGAAAAGGAAGGAGGCAGAAAGGCAGGAGGAAGGAAAGATGGAAGGAAGGGAAGTAGGGAAGGAGGGAGGGACAGGCCACATTTAATATGGCTATAGCATTACATGTAAGAGGACAATGGTAAAAGATAAGCTTGGAATATATATCTCCTACTTTTAAGAAAGATTACATTAGGAAATTTCAAATTTAGAGAATACACCATATTAGAGAATATTATAGAGGTATCTGTTAATGTTTTCAGTGCGAAGAAATTAAGATACTAATAAACAAATGTACAATAAGCTATGTAGGGTTATATGTTAATTATTATTATTATTCATTTAAAATACTTTAAAATGAAGCACAAATTTTTATTATTGAATATTATTCTTCACTGTCAGTATCTAATATCAATAAAGATAGGAAAATAAGCACCAATCCATCAAAAATTAAAATACTGAAATTTGGAAATTAGGGGGGAAAAAAGATAGAAATCTCCTGATCCACTGGATGGAAAAAACCACTTCTAATATAAGAGTTCTACCATTAGCAAATAATATTGACAAAATATAAGCACTTATAATTATTTAATTACATATTTATGCAACCTAATCTATATTACTTTTGTTAATCTGAGCATGAATATGCAAAATGCAGTAATAGCTACATGCCAATAACTCAAAAGTATAAGTGACTTTTCAATCATCACCCTCTGCAGTGTATGTTTTCAAGAAGTTAATGCAAAAAATTCATATCTTATCTCCTGCATTAATGGGATTTGAAGAATAGCCCAATATTTTTAAGCTATAGGTTGTAACCAATAAATGAGTTGTGAAATAAATTTTGTAGAACTTGACCAACATATTTTCATAATGGAAAAGAAAGGAATGGAATTCAACAGAAACTATATGAGTGTAACACACAGAAATGCTAAGTATTTTATAAAACTTTTATTTCCATTTTATATAGATACACGAGGTCACAATAAAATGTATTTCTTACAATGAGATACAGTCAACGATTAGAAAACATTATGTGTATCTTTACTATTCTACTTATAAGTATATGTTTTTGGTGTTTTAGATATATTCCAATTCTGTATGTCAACATGAAAAAGTAGTTATCATTGAACATAGCAGAGAATTTTATATATTTAAAGCATATAATCAAAATCCTGAAAATCACAAATTTTTGCATCTTAAGTCCCACTGGAGTTACAGTTTTAAATAGTGGATCAAAGTAAGCCTCATTGTGAAAGTGAGAGTTTAGTAACGACTTGAAGGGGTAAGTGAATTAGCCATGCAGACATGTGCCTGGCATGCTAGAGAGGAATGAGCAAGGGGAAGAAGTCAGATATTAGGTCAGAGAGAAAGAAAGGGGCGCCAGATCACCTCAGCCATTGTAGGAACTCTGTATTTTCTCCATGTGAAATGGGGAGTGATGGAAGAATTTTGAGCAGAGGAGTAACATGACCTGACTTACTTCTTTTTTTTTTTTTTCTGTGACGGAGTCTCACTCTTGCTGCCCAGGCTGGGGTGCAATGGCGCAATCTTGGCTCACCGCAACCTCCGCCTCCCAGGTTCAAGTGATTCTCCTGCCTCAGCCTCCCCAGTAGCTGGGATTACAGGCATGCACCACCTTGCCCGGCTAATTTTGTATTTTTAGTAGAGACGGGGTTTCTCCATGTTGGTCAGGCTGATCTTGAACTCCCAACCTCAGGTGATCTGCCCGCCTCAGCCTCCCAGAGTGCTGGGATTACAAGCATGAGCCACTGCGCCCGGCCTGACTTACGTTTTTAAAGGATTGCATTAGCCATTAAAAATCAACTGTGGGGATCAAAGAGAGAAGCAGGGAAAACAATTAGGAGATGTTACAGTAATAGAGGCAAAACATCAGGGAAGCCTAGACCAGAATGGCAGCAGTGGAGACAGTTAGAGGTGGTCCATTTCTGGCTATAAATAAAAACAGAGCCAGGATGGAATTATTTTTTCCCTGGAATGAAATGTGGTGAGAATCAAATTTTGTTTCCAAAAAGACTTGGGTTCAAATCTCAGCTCCACCTCTGACTGAGACTGTATTATCTTGGCTATATTTTACATCGTCTCTCTAAATCTCATGATCCACATCTATAAAATAAAAATAGTATCACTTACTTGAAAAGTTTTTGAAAGGACTATATAACATGCATAAAGCACATAGCAGGACTGCAATAAATGTAACCTCTTTTCCTTCGTGATGATTATTTGTTAGAGATATATTTAAAATACAAAAAAAACAGGAAATCCTAAGCAGTGGACATTCTGTAAGTTAAGAATTTTTTATGAAAATAACATATAGCTTCCAAAATAAATTGGGTATCTTAAAAAATGTAAATGATTAATGCATTTTCATTAAAAAACAAAAATAGTAGACTCAAGATTATTTCATACTCTTCAAGTTAAAGTACATTATCAGTGAGATTCTGTGCAAACATTTCTTGTCCAAGTTATTTAAAAAGAAACTATTATAAGGAAGGAATCAAAAGTTTTGTTGCTGGGGGTCGGGCAAAAAAAAAAAAGTTTTGTTGGTAGGGCGTGGTGGCTCACACCTATAATCTCAGGAGTTTGAGAGGCTGAGACAGGAGGATCCCTTGGGTCCAGGAGTTCAAGACTAGCCTGGGAAAGATGGTAAGACTCCATCTATACAAAAAATTTAAAACTTAGCCAGGTGTGGTGGCACGTGCCTTTGGTCCCAACTATACGGGAGGCTGAGATGGGAGAATCGCTTGAGCCCAGGAAGTCGAGGCCGCAATGAGCCATGTTCACACCACTGCACTCCAGCCTGGGTGACAGAAGGAGACCCTATCTCAAAAAAAAAAAAAAAAAATGCAATTGAACTACAGCTAGAAATATCTTACTAATACTTGACAAGCCATTTCATTCATTTCTTCAGCAAACCTTTGAAAGCAACAATATTACAAGCATGTGAAGAGGCTAAACAATCTAGTAACTGCCTCTTCCCTCTGGGAAATGAGTCTGGTACATCCATCCTTCACATACTAAATCACAGTCTGCTTACATCAGTAGAGGGCCACCTCCTGGAATTAAAAACTCTTTACTTCCAAAATAGCCCATTTTTTTTTTGTCTTGAGACAATACTTTTAAGCCTACTCATGGTTTTCACCCTCACAATCTACTAGTCTCCATGATGATTTTCCCATCTGTCCAGCTCTTTCACTCTTCAATAAAACTAATTTTGTGTACCATTTCCAAAAATCTATTCAAAATACCTCCCTTGTCTATTGAGAAGTTGTCTCCTTTTAACCACCTCATTATGTTAAAAGTCCTCTTCCTGAGTTTTAATATTCTCCCCTAAATCTAGTCTTACATGAAGTAAATATTTTTTAGCTATTTTCCTCCCCACCACATATACCGAAAAAGAAAAATCCTCAGCTACCTTGAGACAGGTCTCCCTCAGGCCCTCTCCCCATGCATATCAAATTTCTCCACACCATGCTTTTGCTACTTGGACTCTCCCACCCTTAGCTACTTTCTGTCTCTTTAAGGTAAGTCATTTCATTCAATTCTCATAACCAGCTGTGATTTAAGCAAGGCAGGCAATATCTCTATATCACAAATTAAGAAGCCAAGAATTATTTTTAGACTCCTTACTCCCTGCATACTCAGAAAGGAAGACTGATATTTGACATGAATTTTGAATGATGAGTTAGCATTTTCTAGGTTGTCAGATGAGGATGACGACATTTCAGGATGGATATGTAAAGACCACAGGGGTATTAAAGAGAAGTATGCAGTATACAGTAACATATGCATGTGTATATGAATGAATGTACGCACATAAAGCTATGAACTGCTCCACAAGACTCAAGAAACAAAAAATGTCACATCTTTTCATTTTTCAAATTCAAATCAGTTCAGACTTCAAAGCTAAGAGTCAGCCACATCAGTAAGAAATCTAAATATCAGATATGCCTAAGAGCTCTTCTCTCACCCCTTGAGTGGTGTAAGGACCTCAAAGATGATGCAATGAAGGAAAATTAGGCAAGGCCTGTAGTCACTTGTCCAGCGCAATCCCCCTGGAGAAATTCATTGTCTAAACCCCGTGGTTCTGTTGAAGGTAACTTCTTTCCACTGGCAGCATTCACTGCTTACCCTCCATGCCACCCTCCCTCAGCCTCCGTACCAAGTTATCTATAAGGACCTTCACCATGGATATCAAAGTCATGGTCTCAGTGCTCAGTCATCCCCAACACCCACATAGCCATACCTACCATAAGGACCTCCAAGACACTGCTTCAGTAAAGCACCAGCTTCAACTACCCGCAAAAAAAACAGGCCATCTTTGACTTCCTGTCTCTGGGAAATGTCCTTCTTTCCTGAGAGAAACTGGCCAGTCTTCTAAAGAAAACCCTCATGTCTTTCCTAATATCTTTCAACAGCATTAGGGTTTGGTTGTTCTCCCAAGGGCTTTAGGTGCAGGATGATCCTAAAAGCCTGGGCCATGAATTCTAGGACCATCCAAGAGCCTATTTACCTTCCTTGGGAATAAGGAGGATTTATTATTTAGGAATGCAGTGGACAGTCTCCCATCCCCAAGGATGGATTGTATGCTTCTCTTAATGCTGTAGAACAAACAATAAAGTTGCATTTTCCCATCAAGTTATGGTAATTTTTATTTTTTCTTTTGAGACAGGGTCTTACTCTGCCGCACAGGCTGGAATGCAGTGGCACAATCTCAGCTCACTGCAACCTCTATCTCCTGGGCTCAGGTGATCCACCTCAGCCTCCCGAGTAGCTGGGACTACAGGTGCGTGACACCACGCTGGCTTTTTTTTTTTTTCTATTTTTTGAGGAGACGGGGTTTCACCATGTTGCCCAGGATGGTCTTAAACTCCTGGGCTCAAGAGATCCACCCACCACAGCCTCCCAAAGTGCTGAGATTACAGCTGTGAGCCACTGCGCCCAGCCTAGTAAATTCTTAATAAGCTGCCTTGTTACATATATAAGTAACTTAAGTCTTCCTTCTTTCCCAATTATACTTCTACTGAACACTAGTTGGTTACAATGAATGTAGTGCCCATGTATAGTAGAGAATGAATTCTAGCTCTGTGATTATCTTGGCTATAATAGAACATTTTAAGCAGTTTTTAAGCAAAATTTTAAAATGTTCAAGGTCTATGTAAAATTTCCAGCCCTTAATGTCTTTCCAGTTTAGGTTACTTAAGCCCCCTTTTTCAGGAGTAAAATGTCTACAAGTTAAATTTTCAAGTTCAAAGTTCAATTAAACTTCCAACAAAAATGTCTTTATCAATTTCCACATTAATAATGTGCTATGATTAAAAGACAATGAAGTACAAGTAAGAAAGAGTTTAGTCTTGACACTAGCTACAGGACCTTAAACAAGTTACTGAACTCTCTTTTACCTGTACTTTCCTTTGTAAAATAACAATAGTATACTTACCTTCCCCAGTGTACTTGAATCACATATTAATAAATAAGATAGCCCTTGGGAAATGTCTCTAAAAATTGTAACGTGGAAAAAGAAAGTAAGGTGGTATTACTGTTAACTTCCATCTTGGAGCATAAATTTAAATGGAAAAAAATACATACAGAAAAATAAAATTCAAAATGGTATCCAAGTACAAAGGAAAGATCTATGATAAAGTTACAGTATTTGCCACTGTCTAGTCTATGACAGCAAACTATATACATACAACATTTTTTAAGAATGACACTTTTATCTTATTTCTCTCAATTAGAATTTTTCCTTATGCTTCTACCTCATTTTCACCCCTAATTAAACCCTTTATTTTTATTTATTTATTTATATATATTTTTTGAGACAGGGTCTCGCTCTGTCACCCAGGCTTAAGTATAGTGGCACGATCTCAGCTTACCTCAGCGTTGACCTCCTGGGCTCAAGCAATCCTCCCACCCCATCCTCCCAAATAGCTGGGACTATTTGGCAGTCCACCACCATGCCTGGATACTTTGTTTATTTTCTGTAGAGACGAGGTCCCACTATGCTGCCCAGGCTGGTCTTGAACTCATGGACTAAAGCGATCTTCCCGCCTGAGCCTCCCAAAGTGCTGGGATTACAGACATGAGAGTTCAACCCTTTAACAAGCATTTTTTAACATAGATGCTATAGAAATTTTTCACTCATAGCACAGAAGAATACAAGTAGTTTTTAACCAGTAACCATTCTTTTACGTGGCAAATTGGAATTTCCAATCCTTGATAAACACCTAACAACATGTCATAACATGTCATCACCAACAGATAAGTCAATCACTAAAGTATGTTGCTTCTGAATTTCAACATAAAAGACGGTAGGTAACACTGACTGAACCAAATGTTAGTTTAAAAAAAAAAAGATTTAAGCCTTTGATCAATTAAAAAAAATACTCCCTCCTTTTGGCAAAGATTATCACTCCTCAACACATTTCTGTAGAGTCAACAACAAACATTCCAGGTCACTACTTTGATTTTAAGCCATTGTCTAGATTTCAGACTCTTGATTATAAAAGACAAAAACATTTCTCACATCAGAAACTTTGGATCTCAGGAGGTTTCAAGGCTTATCCTTCCTGAATATCAACAGGGCTACCACAATTCAATCATGAGCATTTTTACTTTCATTTTACAAAAGTCTGATTTTGTTCATTGGCAGTTCTCAAAGAACAATTAAAATACTTATTTCTTGTAACTGGTTAAAGAAATTTAATGGACCTTTCATAATTGATTTTTAATAGTTTCTACTATAGGTTACTATTTCAATTAAATGGATTAAAAGGGCAAACTATAGTTTAGAATTAAAAGAGGAATATTTGTTACTTAAAAGCTAATAAAGTTAATGTGTTTTCCAGGTTTCAGAATAGAATGGGGTTATTAATTCTTGAAAAATTCTATTTATTAACCTTTTTATGATTTCACAGGGCAATACAGATTGAAAATTATTATTTTTTTAAATGTGCTATGGAAATGTAAACTTGAACTAATATAGCTTCCTGGGCATTCTTTTCATCTATAACCAGGTTTTCTGTACCTTCTACACATCACAGCTCTATCTCTCATCAATTTATGTAAGAAGCACTAAGCCTTGGATGCCCTACAAATAGTAACAGAGTGAGACCCTTTAGGAAAGGTCCCAGCTAGCACTTTAATTGCCAAAATTTTATTTTAATGTCAAACTATAAAATGCAGTTGGCATTTTCTTGTTCACGTTCTTAAAACATAGTATACCGAGTATTTAAACATTTCTTGATGGAGCATTCATTTGAAATACCAATTATTGCTACTATGTTAAAACATAGTGATGCCTTCAGTTGCTATTACAGAGGGGTCTGGTAACCCTGCACAAGTTGTGAGCTTTTATTGGCATTATTATTCCTTTTGGAGGCATTTTCTGACATGTCTGTCCCTCCTTCGTTATCAGCATATTGACTACCACTTCTCCCGGGCATCAGTGTGCCTGCCCTCACCCACGCGGCTCCTCCTTGCTCCTCCTCTGTAATGGGTGTAGATGTCAGACAAGCTGACTGGTGAGAGTTGTGTGGAGCTGAGTGGGCTCTGTGCAAGGGCCTGAATTGTTCACTGGTGAGTAATCTAGAGGAACTTTGCTCCACCACCTCAGCTGCTCAGGGCCTATTTCATTCACCTCTTGTCTCTCCGTGCTGTCTTCTTTCGGGATTATATGGAAAAATCAAGAGTGCGAAAATGCTGTATAAGACATCATAGATGATTTTTTTTTCTGTCACAATTACAAAACAATAAATTTTTGGATTTCTCAATTCCGGCAGGTGGGGTATGACTACAAGACTGTCATCTTTCCTAGGTGCTGAACTTCATAGATTTCTTTCTTTTTTTTTTTTTTTTTTTGAGACAGAGTCTCGCTCTGTCGCCCATGCTGGAGTGCAGTGGCGCGCTCTCGGCTCACTGCAAGCTCCACCTCCCGGGTTCACGCCATTCTCCTGCCTCAGCCTCCCGAGCAGCTGGGACTACAGGCGCCCGCCACCACGCCCGGCTAATTTTTTCTATTTTTTTTTTAGTAGAGACTGGGTTTCACCGTGTTGGCCAGGATGGTCTCGATCTCCTGACCTCGTGATCCGCCCGCCTCGGCCTCCCTAAATGCTAGGATTATAGGCGGAGCCACCGCGCCCGGCCTCATACATTTCAAAGTATCAATAATATGCATATTTTATCGGCATTAGTATAAAAATGTTCCAGCTTTTTAACCTTGGGGAAAAAGACAAGTAAACCATCATCTCTCTCCATCCTGTTTCATACAGTCCTAGATCTGCTATCATTCCTCACTCCTTCCTCCACAGACAAGCTTCTTAAAGGAAAATTCTTAAATCACGCCACCCTGACTGCTGCCCTGCTGAAATTCAGGTCAGTTTCCTACTTCACCCTGGAAGCCGCCCTCACCAAGATCACCAATGGCCTCATTCCTAAAAGTGGTGAAAATTTATCTGATTTCTTCTTTCAGAAAAACTTGATACTGCTGACCTCTGTCTCCTCGCCTGTCTTCTGTGCTTTTCCTCCAACTCCTTGCCTCCTTCTCAGTATCTTTGGTTGTCCGCTCCTTCTTGGGGTTTTTTCCAGCCATCTTTTCACTCTGCATGTTCTCCCCCTCGGTGGTTTCATCCACCCCCTGCTAATGGCTACCACCCGTGAATCTGCAGCCCCAATCTCTCTTCTGAGCCCCAGATTTCTACTTGTTATATCGATATATCACAAGTACCCCAAACGCATCGTGTCCTAATTTGAATACGCTATTGTCCTCTTTGAATCTGTCCCTCCTTGTTTATTTTCTGCAATGAAAACATACAGTGCGAATAGCACTACCAACCAAGTAAAAATCTGGGGGTTGTCCTTGATTTTCTCCACGTCCCTTACTGTCTTAAGCCCTCGTAAATTACTTCTTGCCAATCCTCCCCCACTGTGCAGTCTCTCTTTTGCTGTACACTGAACTCCTTGCAGTGCCTGGATATTCCAGCTTCCTTCTTGCATCCTTGCCTTTGCACATGCAGTTTCTTCTATCTGGTGTACCTTCTCCCTTGCCCATTTGTCCTTCAAGTCTCATCTCAGGTGTCAACCCCTAGGAAAAGACTTTTCTTAACCTGCCTAGTCTGGACTATGATACTTCCATGTTATTTGTAGAAACCTTTACTATAGAACCCACTATATATGTTTTGTCTATTTTCCATCTTCCCAACCAGACTGTCAACCCGTAAAAAGCAGGAACCATGTCTAATTAATTCTTGGGTATCCAAAGTCTAGTATAACTCCTGGTATAGCATAGGCCCTCAACTAATGTTTTATGGATGAGTACATAAACAAACCCTTAGTAACTACCATTATCCACATTTCTGTGTTTCCTGCCACCCATTATTATTCTTTATCACCTCATTCAAATATTATTTCATTTAGGAAATCTTCCCTGATTCCCACTCTCACTCTCTCATTTCCCACCTCTCCCGTGGTGATTAACTATAATGCAAAGTAGGCAAGGAAATCTGAGTACTTACTTTCCTATTTTACTACCGTTCCACCATAGGAAGCATGGAGGAAAGGATAATTTAATTCATTTTTAGTCACTTCAAAACTAGTGCTTTCCTTACCTAGGATTCTTTAGAGGAAGGCACATCCACATTTGAAAGAAACCAAAAGTGGCACACTAGCAAAAATCTCCCCTCCACTGAAACGCAGCAGCATCTCACAATAGAGCTTTCAAAAGGAGTTACAGATCCAGTGTGTAGTGCTGCTTACGAGCCATCACATGGCAGCAGCGGGGAAAACACACCAGCACCAAATCCAGACAAAGGGTAGAGATGAAGCCTGCTCTGTTCCTGCTGACGTTACTAAGGCCACTGCTCTTGCAGCTGGGCTAACAACAAACAGGCCTCAGCCTGCCTCAGCCCAGCTAGGCAAGCGTCCGGAGGGGCTAAGAGGAACAATGCCCCAGAGCAATAGCTCCCAACATCCGGAGGACACTACGGCCCTACAAACTCACGTTAGTTTCAAATACTACTCATCACCCCTTTCTTGTAAAAAGTCAAATGCATAACCTCCTGTAGAACTAACAACAGTTAAAATGAAATTGTTATCAGAAATAATATAAACATCCAAAAAGAGAGGATTTATCACCCACTGTAGACTAAGTAATCATTAAGAATGAGGTAACAGAATAGTAAATATGAAAAAAAAAATTCACTCTCTACTATTAAGTGAAAAAGAAAGCTAACAAGCCCAAATGTACAATATGATTTCTCTCTCTCTCTCTATATATATATATGTATATACACACACACTTTTAAATCATATAACAGTATAATACAATATAGCATAAGATAAATCTGTACCGAATGTTAAAAGTGGCTAATTTCCAAGTAACTGGATTATAGGTGATTTTTATTTTCTTTTAGTTTTATCTGTTTTTAAAATATCCTTTAATGAACATGTATTTTCTTTAATAAGAAGAAAAAATAGGTTTTAAAAATGAAATAATCTCTCGATTAAATTTTATAAATCTCTAAATCTTCATAAATATAATCACTTGTATCTGTATCCTGAAGATTTAAAATAAATTTTATTGTATCAGTCTTGTTGATTCTTACAAATGGTATAGGACTTGTAGAATCACTAGGTCAGCAAAGGGACATACTGGATGCTCAGTAAAAATGCTTACTTGTGAAATTAGGTTCAAAATGAAAATGGTAATAAGAAATGTACTAATTTTAAACAAATTTCTTATTAAGAAAAAGTCTAAGACCATGAAAACCAAGGTTAAATTTTACCACTGGCCAATTAGGGCAAAGATCCCATTTTTATTATTTCCATCCATAAAATGTAGAAAATGCCAGATTGTTAAAAGTAAATGAAGTTCTTGCCAAATACAACACAATTCTAAGGTATGGTCTACATGCCACAGCATCATAATCTGACCTATACATATCCTGAATAGGAAAATCCCTCTCCTAATTAAATCCTGAAAATGTTATAGACAAGAGTAATAAACTCCAAAGAAAAGGTTCTGTACAAATACAAGTATTAGTCAAAAAAAAAAATGAACCGCAGACCTAGAAACTTGATTAGTCCTTTTTGATAGCATTTATCAAACAAAAGCCATTTGATCAAAAGTAATTTAAACATTTAACTGTATTTTTCTAGTTGGTCTAATTGATTTCACAAGCAAATGTTAACACAGATTGTATGAAAAATCCATACAAAAAGAAGAGAATTTGTTATAGAATTATTTAAGAAAGTTCAATGTTATCAACATGCTAGATTTTATATCTTCATGTCAATGAATAAGAATTTGGGAAGATTCTTTTTTTTATTTATTTGGCATGTATTCATTAAGCATTCACTATGGCATAGCATGTACTAATCTAGGTTTTCAACAAAAGAAACAATTCTCCACAGCATTTCCCTCACTTAAAATCAAAAGATTGACAAGAGATAGACATGATTATTCACTACTGTCAAATCCCTGACATCTGTTCTACTCATTAAAGGTCTATCCTTGACATTTGTGGAGTAGAGGATAATAGCTGAAGAGTTTAAGAATAATCCACTTCAAATAAAAATGGAATAGGGAAAAATATGTAAAATATTCTAATTAGAAAAAAGTACATAGTATAAATTTTAAATTAGACATTTGGAAGGAGCAAAACAAATCCAACCTAGTGAAAACTTTGTTTGGTGTTCATTTGCTATGACCTGATTTGACAAAAATAAAAAGGTGGCAACTCTACACTAATTGCCATTTTTTAAAACTGATTCGTGAAATTCAGCAGTCTGGAAGCCACTGCTTCCAAGTGCATTTTAGCTACCCAGAAGGTGGCTGATCTACAATTTGGAATTCTGCCCCTAACGCAATGTTACACATGAAGAAGATGCTAAAAAATATATATATATATGTGTTGAATGAAGAAATATAACCCTGTTTCATGTAGAAGATGTGGCTTGGGATCACTTTAAGATGGTCCAAAAGACTTAAATCTTTCAGAAAATGAAATGAGAGAAGCAGTAGTATGTAAAGAACAATTAAGGGAGCAAATTTTTCCCTTTAGAAAGCAAAATTTCCCCACACTGCCTAAAAGTTTTTAATTCATTGTTAACTCTGCCTAAAATCCTCACACTGGGTAGGATATATTCGAATTAGTATCTACTCTTCTTTGAAAGCGTACATATTTGGAGAGGATGAAGGAATATAACCATTTAACATGACTATTTTATCAGAAAAAAATTGCAAGTGTTTTGTCATAGTTTATTTACTAACTAAATAAAAATATAACTATGTAAGTGTTGGAAGTTCTGGCCAGGGCTATCAGGCAAGAGAAAGAAATAAAGGGTATTCAATTAGGAAAAGAGGAAGTCAAATTGTCCCTGCTTACAGATGACATGATTGTATATTTAGAAAACCCCATCGTGTCAGCCCAAAATCTCCTTAAGCTGATAAGCAACTTCAGCAAAGTCTCAGGATACAAAATATACAAAATCGATGTGCAAAAATCACAAGCATTCCTATACACCAATAATAGACAAACAGAGAGCCAAATCATGAGTGAACTCCCATTCACAATTGCTTCAAAGAGAATAAAATACCCAGGAATCCAACTTACAAGGAATGTGAAGGACCTCTTCAAGGAGAACTACAAACCACTGCTCAATGAAATAAAAGAGGACACAAACAAATGGAAGAACATTCCATGCTCATGGATAGGAAGAATCAATATTGTGAAAATGGCCATACTGCCCAAGGTAATTTATAGATTCAATGCCATCCCCATCAAGCTACCAATGACTTCCTTCACAGAATTGGAAAAAACTACTTTAAAGTTCATATGGAACCAAAAAGGAGCCCGCATTGCCAAGACAATCCTAAGCAAAAAGAACAAAGTTGGAGGCATCACGCTACCTGACTTCAAACTATACTACAAGGCTACGGTAACCAAAACAGCATGGTACTGGTACCAAAACAGAGATATAGATCAATGGAACAGAACAGAGGCCTCAGAAATAACACCACCCATCTACAACCATCTGATCTTTGACAAACCTGACAAAAACAAGAAATGGGGAAAGGATTCCCTATTTAATAAATGGTGCTGGGAAAACTGGCTAGCCATATGTAGAAAGCTGAAACTGGATCCCTTCCTTACATCTTATACAAAAATTAATTCAAGATGGATTAAAGACTTAAATGTTAGACCTAAAACCATAAAAACCCTAGAAGAAAACCTAGGCAATACCATTCAGGACATAGGCATGGGCAAGGACTTCATGACTAAAACACCAAAAGCAATGGCAACAAAAGCCAAAATTGACAAATGGGATCTAATTAAACTAAAGAGCTTCTGCACAGCAAAAGAAACTACCATCAGAGTGAACAGGCAACCTACAAAATGGGAGAAAAATTTTGCAATCTACCCATCTGACAAAGGGCTAATATCCAGAATCTACAAAGAACTTAAACAAATTTACAAGAAAAAAATCAAAAAATCCCATCAAAAAGTGGGCAAAGGATATGAACAGACACTTCTCAAAAGAAGACATTTATGCAGCCAACAGACACATGAATAAATGCTCATCATCACTAGTCATCAGAGAAATGCAAATCAAAACCACAATGAGATACCATCTCACACCAGTTAGAATGGCAATCATTAAAAAGTCAGGAAACAACAGATGCTGGAGAGAATGTGGAGAAAGAGGAACACTTTTACACTGTTGGTGGGAGTGTACATTAGTTCAACCACTGTGGAAGACAGTGGGCAATTCCTCAAGGATCTAGAACTAGAAATGCCATTTCACCCAGTGATCCCATTACTGGGTATATACCCAAAGGATTATAAATCATACTACTATAAAGACACATGCACACGTATATTTATTGCAGCACTATTCACAATAGCAAAGACTTGGAACCAACCCAAATGTCCATCAATGATAGACTGGATTAAGAAAATGTGGCACATATACACGATGGAATACTATGCAGCCATATAAAACGATGAGTTCATGTCCTTTGCAGGCACATAGATAAAGCTGGAAACCATCATTCTCAGAAAACTATCACAAGGGCAGAATGGATGAAGCTGGAAACCATCATTCTCAGAAAACTATCACAAGGACAGAAAACCAAACACTGCATGTTCTCACTCATAGGTGGGAAATTGAACAACGAGAACACTTGGACACAGGGCAGGGAACATCATACACCAGGGCCTGCTGGGGGAGTCGGGGGCTGGGAGAGGGATAGCATTAGGAGAAATACCTAATGTAAATGACGAGTTGATGGGTGCAACAAACCAACATGGCACATGCATACCTATGTAACAAACCTGCACATTGTGCACATGTACCCTAGAACTTTAAGCATAATAAAAATTAATCAATCAATACAAACAAATTAGCCAGGCATGGTGGTGGGCACCTGTAATCCCAGCTACTCAGGAGGCTGAGGCAGGAGAATTGCATCAACCTGGGAAGTGGAGGTTGCAGTGAGCCGAGATCATGCCACTGCACTCCAGCCTGGGAGACACAGAGAGATTCTGTATCAAAAAAATAAATAAAATAAAATAAAATAAGTAAAAATAAAGCAAATAGCTTTTGAGGAAAGACCAGAGCTTTCCGGTTTTCCAGTGGCAAAGAAGATCCTGACTGTCTTTTCACAACTTTCCCTGCTCAAGGACAGTGGGAGGAATCACAGACAGGAAAGGTGGGGGCCAGGTGTGGTGGCTCGTGCCTGTAATCCCAGCACTTTGGGAGGCCAAGGTGGGCGGGTCACTTGAGATCAGGAGCTCCAGACCAGCCTGGCCAACATGGTAAAACCCCGGCTCTATTAAAAATACAAAAATTGGGCCAGGCGCTGTGGCTCACGCCTGTAATCCCAGCACTTTGGGAGGCCGAGGTGGGCAGATCATGAGGTCAGGAGATGGAGACCATCCTGGCCGACATGGTGAAATCCCATCTCTACTAAAAATACAAAAATTAGCTTGGTGTGGCAGTGCGTGCCTATAATCCCAACTACTCAGGAGGCTGAGGCAGGAGAAAAAATATATATATATAACTATGTAGTTAAGATTATGAGATATCTTTATGATAACAATACTTACTCAAAAGTTTTAGCTATTTCATGTAACTGCATGTAAATAATAGATTGGCTTAAATTTCAACTTATATTGGATTGAACCACTCAAAATTGCCGGTCCAAAAAAAGTGGTCAAGGCTGGGCACAGTGGCTCATGCCTGTAATCCCAGCACTTTGGGAAGCCAAGGCAGGAGGATCACTTGAGCCCAGGAGTTTGAGACCAACCTGGGTGATATAATGAGACCTCATCTCTACAAAAAAATTGTTTAATTAGTTCGGTGTGTTGGTGTGCATCTGTGGTCCTAGTTATTTGGGAGGCTGAGGTGGAAGGATTGCTTGAGCTCAGGAAATCAAGGCTGCAGTGAACTGTGATCAAGCCACTGCACTCCAGCCTGGGTGAAAGAGTGAGACCCTGTCTCAAAAGACAAAAAAAAAAAGTCAAATATTAAATAATTGAAAATAGTTTGGACTATTTCAAAACCTTACTTTATAGGTTTTGACAATGCATTGTACTAGTAAATAACATAAAATAATACAATATAATAATATAAAATTAAATAGCTCAAACTATCTTAGTATGTATTGGCAAATACATGGCACAAGGCATTGTCAAAACCTATGAAACTTTACAGCACAAAAAGTAAACCTTAGTCCATGCAATTTAAACAAAAATAATTAAGGACATCAAAGGATCCCAGAATAGAATGCAGAATGTGACAAAACAGACAGTCTAACTCTATTGCAAATGTATGAAACAACCTCACTGAAGGGGTAAGGGGAGAGGGTAGTTGACCTAAGTAACTTTGGAAATGAGTGGAGTCTGCAAGACTAAAGGGAAAAGGAACCACACATAACCACTGTACTCTAGTTCAGGGGTCCCCAACTCTTGCGCCACAGACCAACACCTATCCATGGCCTGTTAGGAACTGGGCCGCACAGCAGGAGGTGACCCGTGGGCAACAGCATTACCACCTGAGCTCCGCTTCCTGTCTGATCAGTGGTGGCAATAGATTCTCATAACAGTGTAAACCCTATCATGAACTGCTTATGCAAGGGATCTAGGTTGCATGCGCCTTAGGTCAACTAAGTGACACATGGGCAGTTTCATCCCAAAACACTCCCTGCCAGAGCCAGCCATAGAAAAATTGTCTTCCACAAAACCAGCCCCTGGTGCCAAAAAGGCTGGGAACTGCTGCTGTAGTTGATAAAGTTCTTGCCTCTGGGGATACCAGTTAATTCTGATACTGTTATACATGTATACATAAATGAACAATTAAGTGGATGGATGGCAACCAAGTTTCTGACTGTTAGAATGGGAAGTTATAGGTAAGCAAGAGGAGGAGGCTAGAATTATCCATGTGGTGATGAATTAGAATTGGAGACATCAGTCTAAACTCATATTTAGCTTAACATAGATACAGATGATTACATACAGAAATATTTGTAGATATGTGTATATACACAGGTTGGTATATGCAAATACATTCCCTTGCTCTGTCAGCTGAGAGAGCCTAAAAGCAGCTACAATCCAATAACAATGAGTACACCTAGTGCCTAGATTTTGGTTTCTAACACCATTTCCAAACAAAAGAACCAGGGCTCCTTGGAAAAATAGTCAATTATAGAACTGGGGGAGGATATATAGATGATGATCCAGGAGCATCTTGTAGTGACAGAAAATTAGGAAGTATTCAAAACACATAGACACACACACACGCACACACACACAATTACGAGACTATGTCAAACGGACATAGAACCAACTGAAAGAGCTCCCACGGGAACAGTTTGAGCAAATAAATAAATAAAGTAGCATTGGATTATAACCTAAAGTATAAACTATTCATGAGTCCATACTGATATAAATTATTGAATAAATAAACAAATGGAGAATAATAGACAAAACTCCCACGCAGATGAGTTCCAAATAATTTATGTAGATAATACAATACACTCTCTGGAGATGGAGCATAACTCCCCACTCCTTAAGTGTGGGTTATGCACAGTGACTTCCTTACAAAGAATACAGGATAGAAAGGGAAAGCCTGACAACCATAACCAGAGCCAGGTGATGATGGACAACATCAACAGTGCTAAGTCACTAACAGTATGCTCCTTTGATATGATGTGATAAGATGGTAATTTCCCTCTGTGATCTTTCTCCCAAAAACACATAACTCCGTGAGAAAAACATCAGAGAAATCTCAATTAAGAGGTATTTTATAAAATACCTAATGAGTACTCCTCAAAACTGTCAAGGTCATAAGAAATAAAGTCTGAGAAATTGTCACATCTAAGAAGAGCCTAGAGACATGATGATGAAATGTAATGTGGTATCCTGGATATGATCCTGGATAGAAAAAGGCAAGCAGGCTAAAAACAACAAAAATCTGAATAAAATATGGATTTTAATTAATAATATTGTAAAAGTAGTGGTTCATTAATTGCAACAAACATACCATACTAATGTAAGATATTAATAAATGCAAAAACAAGTGTGGCATATATGGGTACTCTTTGTAATTTTTCTGTTTTTTTTTTTTAGCACTTGCCCATGTAATTTTTTCTATTAATCTAAAACTCTTCTTAAAGAAAACGTTCATTTGAAAAAAATAATTTGGAAAAAGCTGTGATGTTTACTGTATAGGACGACTGCCAAATCTATACCTGCAGCCCCATCTCTAATGCCGTAATTTGCATCACCTGCCTCCTTCACCTTCCTTATATAGGAGACTGTATTGGTCATTGCAGCCTTTTCACTTTGATGCTCTTCCTCTCTCAGGTAGACTATGGGTCCTTCCAGCACAATTTAGTTGCAAAACAATATGAAGTCAATTATATGAGAAGATTTTCAGAAACCAACTATTTTTAAGACAAGACTTTTCAATAGCCATGTGGAGTGACTTTTAGAAACTATGTCCCAGTTGGGTGCCAGTGGCTCACATCTGTAATCCCAGTGCTTTGGGAGGCCAAGGTGGGAGGATTACTTGAGGCCAGGAGTTCAAGAAACCATGTCCAGTATTATTTTTACCTTTCATTCAGGATGCATAACTGTTTTTGTTTGGTTCTTTGTTTGTTTGTTTTGTTTTTTGCTGCTGTGATTGGTCTCTAATAATCATCACAAAAATAATCCTCCTAAATAGACGTATACATATTTCCCATGCCCCATACACACAGAATTGAAGGTTATTATTAGTAGTATTCTAACATAAACTATGCCACCTTTATAATTCTCAAATACATTTTTCAGGAACAGTATCAACAAAAAAAAACAACTTAATGATATCTTTTCCCAGTGGAAGTTGGTTATAAGTTAATTCAACTGACACCTAAAACTTTATATGAATACTTTTTCATTCAGTGAGTCAGGGAGTAAGTAGCTAGTTAGAACTTTGAAATATGGTTTGTTAAATGCATATTTTAAAGTCAGTTTTACACAAGGAAGTCACCAACTCAATTTTAAATAAACTCGGTTATGCTTTATCTCTAGGAAGGCATCTGGTAGTTTTCTAGGAAAATGAACCAACTAGTTGGTTTTTCTGCTTGGCCAGAAATGCTACTTCTATATAAATTCACAGAATGAGTACTTCCAAACAAGGATGGAGAAAACTTTAAAAAGCCAAGTCTTAAAATAAAACCAGAAAGCAGATTTACTATGAATATTATTTTTAGTTCCCAATTAGCATTCTAATTGGTAGATCCCACACTGTTTGAGAACAGATATCTGAAGAACTATACCCAAGATCATTGTTTGATTCATTCATCATACTCTAAATAATGAGAAATGGTTCGGAGAATAAAGGCGGATATACTTGTAGTTTTTCTCTTCGAATTTTCCTCTTATCCTAGTTCTCAGCACTTGATATCACTACAAATCTGTAAAATATGGCTGGTAAATCTTGGTGAGAGCAACACAAAATGAAGCTTAAACTCAAATCAGGACAGCTACAACACACCTAGATGTCCATGTAAGCATGTCAGCTATACTATATGTATTAAATATTAATGGGTGAAATAAAGATACTTAAAGCCCAACTTTCACCTTCTGCAATTATCCCAGATGACTGTTCAGTCGGTCTCTGCTAATACATTTCCGGTAAAGAATAGCTTTAAAGAGCCTTTTCCATCTTCCCTAATCAATGGCTTTCTCTCTTCCGACTTCTAGATAAACAACAAAAAAAATTCTTTCTCCTGTCTTTAACCCATTTTTGTTTTTGTTTTTGCCTTAACCTTTTCAAAAACTTTGGCCAATTCTCAGTTTTAGCCTCTCTGACGCTATCATACCTAAACCTTCATGCAAATTCTTTCTGTCAAGAGTGAGGGAGTAGCTAGTAGACATTCTTTTAACTTTGAAGTATGTTCTGTTAAATGCATAGTTTAATTAAAGCCAATTCTACTACTGGAAAGTCACCAGCTCCATTTTAATTAAAAGCCACTTATGTATTTTTCCTTCGTATATGCCCCTACCTTGATTTTTTTAATATTATTCACATACTTTATGGCTAGAGAATATATAAATATAGTCCATGGTTTTTTGTTGTTGTCGTTTTGTTTTGTTTTATTTTTAATAAATCACCTTGTCCATACGCCTCTCTCTCCTATTTAAATTCACGGCCAAGCACAGTGGCTCACACGTGTAATCTCAGAACTTTGGGAGGCCATGGTGGGAGGATTGCTTGAGCCTAGGAGTTGCAGACCAACCCAGGCAACATAGCAAGACCCTGTCTCTACAAAAACAAAAAAATTAGCCGGGCATGGTGGTCCATGCCTGTGGCCCCAGCTACTCAGGAGGCTGAGGTGAGAGGATCACTTGAGCCAGGCAGGTTGAGGCTACAGTGTGCCGTGATTGCACCACTGCAATCCAGCCTGAGTGAGAGACAGAGAGAGGCCCTGTCTCAAAAAGAAACCAAAAAATCATTCGTAAGTAAATAATCAGAATTTCATTTTCTTCTTACGTACCATCCTCATGAGTCACAATCCCTTCTAAAATATCTACTTTGTTTCTAAGCTTCTTAAAATCTACTTTTAAAAAAATGATACCCAATGCTGCCTTGCTTTGATATTATAAACTCTTATATGGTCACCTTTTCCCAGAATTTCTTTAAGACCTTATGACCAAGATATCTTTGTTAGTTATTTCAAGATATAGAATTGCAATTCTCCCCACTGCTTTGTCCACCTTCAAAGAGATGACACCACTGCTGGCAAGATAAAACAAGAATGCATCAGATGCTCTGGCTTCATGCTAACACATCCACACAGCACTGTTGTATTATCATATTTGACCCTCATAATAACCTTAGAAGTTTAGAAAAACAGGTATTATCATCCCGAGACTGAAAACAGTTAAATTATTTACTCGAGGTCAGGAGGCCAAGCAAATGGAGATTGAGACCTATTTCTGCATCCTTTCCTCTATACTGCAGAATTACACTCCCAGTTGACATTAGGATGCTATTATTTTTAAATCTATGCCAGTTTTATAATCCATATTAAAAATTCTTTTAAATGTTTCTAATAGCTACAGAGTATGTTCTCTGGGGAAATGACATTATTCCCCCCCTACTCTAAGTGAGAATGAATTTCATTTGACCTTGGTTTTATTCCCAGCTCCACTATCCTTTAACTGTATAGCCTTGAGATCTGGCTTCAAAACTCTACTACAAATATAACATTACCCTTTTTTCACACTTCACAAGCAAATGATTTTTCTAATGATAAAGAAAAATTTCTGTTACTTAACTCCTAGATTCTTAATATATAATTGTCAAAACATGCTGATTTCTAACTATAAGAGAATAGAAGAAAAAAAAAGACTAAAAAAAAAAAAGAAGAAAGCTTCAGTAGGATATAACCAAGAACTGTTTGACCATATGGGTATTCAAATACAAGACAGGTTTCAGAGAACATAATAGAATCAAAATCCTTTTTGACTTTCAAAAATCAATTAGATTTTCACCTATAAGGATTGTTTTACATACATCCTGAAGGTCCCATTCATCCCTATTGAGAAAAAAAAAGACAGTGGAAAAAAAACATATTAGATGATGCCTTAAAATAATTTACCAACTTGATTACAATAAATTAATAATGAATTAAATAAATCCCCAGATTTTCTCAAATCTACAGATATGCATATACATTGACACATATTTAAGTTACACAAAAGTGTTTAGAGATTATCAAAGAAATGTTAAAATACAGCAGAGATTTTTTTGAACCACGTGAAAGAATTTTATCCAGTCAACAAAGTAAACAAAAAAAAATAAATTAATTAAAGGTTTATCTTAAGTTTCCCATAAATCATCAGAAAAAGATCTATAAAGAATGGAGTTATTTTGCTACACTGAGATACCCTGGCAATAACAAAGTCAAACCAAAGAACTTATAAACAGGCCAAGAATTTGGCTTTATAGTTTATGCATCCATGAAAACTATGGAAAATCTTTTAAATAGTATACAGAAGACATTTTTTAAGAAAGACCCTGCCCTCAAAATATATACTCTATGGACCAAGAACAGATATTGTCTGTATTTCGAAGTAACAGTCCCTAGTTCAGGGGAACAGTCTTGGGTTCTGGCCCCAGTCACTGACTGCAGTGTGGCCTTGGACATGGGACCTTTCACCTCAATATCCTTACTTTTAAAGTGAGGATAGTAGATTAGATGATTTCTAAAATTCCTCTATTTCTATAATTCTTGATTCTATTAATAATAGCAGAAGACTTCTACAAGCCTGAAGCTAATCAATTTTAGATCCCCATCAGGAAATAGGAAGCTCTTTGTCCACAGCCCACAGGTAATTGAGTTTTCTCTCACAGCAATAGCATCTCTAGTAATTCAATTACCTAATAAATCTACCTTCTCCTGCCCTTGTATTTGACGATTTTACGTTATTATCAAATCACATCACATTAAAATACAATTTTACTATAACCAAAGGGAAATAACTTTCTTCTAAGGAATTGTATAATGACTCTTTCAAAACATTAAACCAGAAACGATGACAAATCTGTGCCAACTCACAAAAAAAAAGTTGGCTTTAAGAGAGCTGTGTGCATTGGAAATAATGTTTATAGTGTAGTCATTAATCAAATGCCTTATAAATGAAATTACTAGACACTTGTTCACTACTAATGACTTCTTAACCTAATCTTCAGGTTAGAAAGATTAAAACTTGTATTTTTGCCTTTCTTATTTCAAATTCAAGCCATAGCCTGGAAACAATAAGCTTTGATTCTCACTCTTCTATTACAGACTCTCATATCATTCTAAAATTCCTAAAAGCATAATGTAAATAACAAAGGCAATTTTTCAAGCAAGCAGTGATTGGCCATAGATTCTTTAAAAAAAAAATGGGTTGGGGAAGTGGGAACCAGAAAAGCATCATTAAAATTTGTTCCAGCCACAGTGATACCAGTATCCCCTTGTTTTTTGTGTTCCCTTTGCCTCAAACTTTCCCTCTCTGAATCTTCTTAAAACAATTTTAAATGCCTCAGTATGAACCTCTATTACCATCCCTTCTATTATATACCCATTAAGTGGCCATCTGATTTATAGACAAACGCTAAAGTCACATGTACTTGGTACTGACTGGATCTACTATCTGTGAGGCTGTATAGACAAATCACTTAGATCACAAATAAAAGAGGAAAAGGAGCTTAACAATTTGACAGGTTTCCTAAAAGAGAAATTCTAATCTCACGCCTTTACCATGTATTTACAAGAACCAACATTTCAGGTTTAGCTCATTATATCTCAGAAGCCATTCTTATTTTAGCAAAATTCCCAGAATTTAAGTTGAGACAAATCTGACTATTGCTCCCATGGAAGATTCCACTCCTGTCAACAGCCTTATGAGATCCCTAATCAGGCCACCCCCAATCTTGACAGTCCGGTCAAAGTGGTCCCTAGCCTAAGGCCCGTCAACATCTCATCCTACTCTCAGTTTCATCCTGTACCCTCAGGGGTCTCCAAAGCAAGGTTATAAGCACCCCAAACCAAAGTCCAAGATCTATCCACCCCCTAACCCTCACTGTGCAAACAGCTACCCTTGGCCACCCCTTGGGCCTAGAAAGGGTATACACTGGTAGAGTCTGCCTTTAGGAGAAAAGCAAAGGAGCCCACACAGGTCCTGAAAGCAGCTTGAGCCCATTTAGGCAGAGAATTTTAGAGTCCCAGTTTCCTGCTACATGGGTTAGAAGGTAGAAGGGTTCAAGCTCTAGGTGGGCATATCCCCTGTCACATCTTTGACACCCCAATACTAGCAAGATGGGGATAGGCAACGCCAGAAAAAACAGCAAGGCCCTCTAAAATTTTAGGCCTAAGAAAGCAGCCCGCATCACATAGGTTTAAGGATGATTCTATTCCTGGTTATTCAAACTTTCAAAAAATTTTTCAGAGGCCTTGACTCTGAGAATATGGGGCCCAGGTCAAACATGGCTATGTACTCTCTCCCTAGTTATTCACAAAATAAAGCCAGATTAAATTAACATGAGGAACATTCTTTGAAAGAAAAATAAAAGTACAACATAAGTATGTATGTTTTGATGTTTTGCTTAGGAGGTAAAAAATTTTACTTTTCCGTAAAAAATAAAATTTTGATGTTTTGATGTTTTGCTTAGGAGGTAAGAAATTTTATTTTTCCGTAAAACAATCTCCCGATTTTTTTTTACCAAGTGCCATACCCATTTTCTCTCCATAGACTTTCCTCATCAAAAGCCAGCTGCAAAAACTCCCTTAAAGCTCAGCATCTAAGAACATTGCCTAATGCCCTCCTTGTGCCCTGGAGTTTACCCAAGTTTGAGGGGATGCTAAACGGACTAGATAACTGTATAGATCAATTCACCATTCCCCAAGCAACTACCTTGTGCCAAGCAACATGATAGGATCTAGAGATGAAAAGATGGTTGAGATGTAACCCTGACATCAAGGAACATGTAGTGGACTGATTGCAGTAATGCCCCATTTGCTCACACATCCCTGTATTCACACCCTTTTGTAGTGCTCTCACACAATAACTCTGGGCTTAGCCATGTGACTTGTTCTGGACAGTGGGACAGAAGCAAATGTATCAGAAGCAGAAATTTGAAAGTTCTTGTACATTAAAGGATATGCTCTGTTGATGCTTTTGGGAACCCTGTTGACATCATGTGAACAAGTCTGAACTAGCCCGTTGAAGGATGGGAAACCACAAGAGAATAAGTGAGGTATCCCAGTCATCAATCAGCCAGCCCCCAGCCAACCATATGAGTGAGTCCCATCAGAAAGCAGCTGAGCCCTACTGAGCCCAGACCAACCTGCTGATTCCACAGAATCATGAGCTAAATTAATGGCTATTGTTCTAAGCCACTAAGTTTTGGGGTGGCTTATTGCAGGGCAAATGGATCTAATGCATATAAAACCCAGTGCCTCATAGGGAAGCTAGACTTATATACAATTAGTTGTAAGACAGTGCGAAGGCTGTAGCAGACCTAAAGATAACATATATGGGTAACTCAAAGGAGAAGGTGATTAATCCTAATGGGTCCAGCATGGAAGATGAACAGGAGTGTCAGGAAAAAGTTCATAGAGGAGATGATGCCTAGTCTTTATTCTGATAAAAAGAACCACTTCAGGAGGCAACAGACTTAACCAACCTTTCCTTTTTTTCATCACTGATACAAATCTCCAAAGAGAACACCAGAACCAAATCAGAAACCACGTGCTTCTGTTTCCACTAACAAACTATAGGATATTACTTCAACTAGAAACTTTCTCTTTCTCTCAGGGCCCTAGAAGTTTCGTCAGGGCTGGAACCAGACAAAACTTTGAAGATGCAGCCATGCTGAACATCTGTTTAACTCAGCGGCACTCAGCTCCCTGTGATCTCCCAGCAGTCAGACCAAGAGAATGACAATACATTGTCACCACAGATAGTGTGGCAAGCACACTGAGCAGACGATACATTATGGGAAAGCAAACCCTTATAAGAGAGAGGCCCCAAAAATCAGACTGGGAAATGTTTTGCATTTCTGCACACATCAAGACTTTAATTACTGGTTTATGAGTAAGTCCACTATGAAAAGTCATTTGTTTAATATACATGTGCTTAAGTAATTTTAGGAAAAAGAGGAATCAGGGGCTGGGTGCGGTGGCTCATGCCTGTAATCCCAGCACTTTGGGAGGCCGAGGAGGGCAGATCACAAGGTGAGGAGTTCGAGACCAGCCTGACCAACATGGTAAAACCCTGTCTCTACTAAAAATACAAAAATTAGCCAGGTGTGGTGGTGTGTGCCTGTAATCTCAGCTACTCAGGAGGCTGTGGCAGGAGAATCACTTGAACCCGGGAGGCGGAAGTTGCAGTGAGCCGAGATCGCGCTATTACACTCCAGCCTTAGCAACAGAGTGAGACTCCATCTCAAAAAAAAAAAGAAAGAAAAAAGAAAAAGAGGAATCAAATGCAGTTTATAGATTGATGGTATTCATTCTGACAGGGTGTGTGTGTGTGTGTGTGTGTGTGTGTGTGTGTGTGTGTGTGTGTGTGTGGTCCTTTTTTGTTTTTTTAGAGATGGAGTCTCACTCTGTTGTCCAGGCTAATCTCAAACCTCTAGCATTAAATGATCCTTCCACCTCAGCCTCCTGACTATCAGGGATTATACAGGTGAGCCACTGCATGCAGTCACAGTGTTTTTGTAATAAGAAAAATAGAAACAATTTAAATATCCAATGATAAGAGAGTATTTACATAAATGATAGTGTAACTGTAATAAAGAACATTAGGGAGCCAGGAAAATATGCTTTCAAAGAGCATTTAATGAGATGGAAAAATACTCATAAAATCAGATACAAAATTGAACATACAGAATAATCCCATATTTTTATACATATTAATATGTATACACTATACATATTTTATACGTATTAATATGTATAAAATATGGGATTATTCTGTATGTTCAATTTTGTAACTGATTTTATGAGTCATAGGAAAAATGGAAGTATGTCTAAATGTCAGAAGTATCCTTGGACAGCAGGATCAAGGGTGAATGTTTTCTTCCTTATATATTTCCATGTTTTTCAAATTAAAGTATAAAGTCATTGATAAAAAATATTGAATCAGACAAATCAAAATAAAGGATTGGTCTATAAAACAAGTGGCATATACCCTTCAAAAATATCAATGTCATGAAAGAAAATGGAGTTACGAGATTATTCCAGATTAAAAATTTAAAAGACATGACAACTAAAGGTAATATGTAGTCATGACTTATTTGGCCAAGAGGAAATATGCTCTAAAAAATATTATTGGGATAATAGGCAAATTTTGAATATGGGCTGTATATCTATGTGGTTATATAAGAGAATGTCCTTGTTCTTAAGAAATACATGCTGAAATGTTTAGGAGTAAAGGGGTGTGATATTGACCATTAACTCTTAAATGGTGCGTGTGTGTGTGTGTGTGTGTGTGTGTGTGTGTGTATAGAGAGAGACAGAGACAAAACGAGATAAAGCAAATGTGGCAAAGCATTCATAGTTGTTATGCAAAAGGGCTTTTTTTTTTTTTTTGAGACGGAGTTTCGCTCTTGTTGCCCAGACTGGAGTGCAATGGCGCGATCTCGGCTCACCGCAACCTCCGCCTCCCAGGTTCAAGCAATTCTCCTGCCTCAGCCTCCTGAGTAGCTGGGATTACAGGCATGCACCACCACGCCCAGCTAATTTTGTATTTTTAGTAGAGATGGGGTTTCTCCATGTTGAGGCTGGTCTCGAACTCCTGACCTCAGGTGATCCGCCCACCTCGGCCTCCTAAAGTGCTGGGATTACAGGTGTGAGCCACCATGCCCGGCCACAAGAGGGTTTTAATACTCTTCTTGCAACTCTTCTACAAGTTTGAAATTATTTCAAAATAAAGTTAAAATAACTCTAGATCTGAAAAAATAATTTTAAAGAAAAAATCTTTGATAATTATTGTAAATGTACTATTTTAAAAGAAATTCTAGGATTTAGTTCCTAAAATGTTATGCAACGTTTTCACGCCAATTAATAAAACCCTCTCCTTAAGTAAACTGAGGTAAGAGAGGGACAAATCCCTTCATTAATCCTGTTCCTCTGCTAACAGACATCTTTGCTGAATCTGGAATCTCTCCAATTCAGTCAGCACCCACTGGAGGCCAAAGGTGCTTGGCAGCACATCAAAGTCAGACACTCTGGGTGTTAGCATTTGCATATCTATACTGTACCGAGAGGTCTGCCATTTCAGCAGAATGCCCAGAATTATATTTTACCCATGACCTTCATCCTGACTCTCCAGCTCCCTGACCCTGGCTCTATGGAGCTGCTTGTGGCTCAGCCTGGCCCTCTGCCTGGAGACCCCTATGATCTCATTTGAGAATTTCCCACTCCTATAAATTTTCCCAAGTGTAACTGACAACCACACCCTTTAGGCCCTCTGCTTAGGCCTAACATGAAAAGACAAAACGTCACAGGAGAATTTTCATAATTAAATAGCATCATACATTGCCCATTTCCTTAAATTTTAATTTCCTGAAAGAAGGGCCAATATCATAAGTATATTCTACATTATACTTAATGTATACTAAATAACATAATCACAAAATTAAAGAATTTTAACTATGTCCTAAAAAGGCCACATCATTAAGAATTAATTCCATTTTATCTATGAATGGTAATTTGTGGTTGATTTGATATCTTAGTAAACAAATGTTTCATACGGAATTAACTGAAAAAGTAAATAGATCAATATAATGTGAATACAACTTATTATTATACAATTATTAGGAAAAGTGACAAGATGGTATCATAACTGCCTTCAATAAAATAAATAATTTATGATTATGACCTGAGACTTGGGGAGATATCAACAAAAGACATTGTATTCCCAACCAAAAAACAATTTCCAATAAATTAGCCACAAAATAATTAAAGTCTATCACATGTACCCATTCAAAGTTAGCAGAGAAATAAAAGACACATAGGTTTTTTTTTTACTTTACTATTTATTCTGCCTATGTATTTTGAATAGAACTCCTGGTTGATAAAACTCACAGAAGAACTTTTTGGAATCATTTTCTGATAAGATGATGTGCTCATGGGATTAAATGTTTTTAATATAAACAAACCAAAAAATCTATTCTAATTCACAGTAATCAATATAAATATTTTCTCTTAGACCATCCTAGACATTTTTACACATATATTTTTCATGAAAATATTGCAGGAAACACTCTACATATTGTTTTCTATCTAACCTTGGGTTAGACTAGTTATCTTGACAGTATGTAGCATGGAAAGGAAAAATTACTTCATAGAACATTCCAGAGTATGCTATTTAACCTTCATAGACTCTTTAAATTCATTATTTATTCAACTAACGTTGCTTATGCTCCATTTGCTCTAATTAATGATCGCTGTGCCAAAAAATAATCCCAATTAAATGCACTAGCATAATCACCAGTGGAAAAAAGCTTAATTTCAAAAGATGGCTAAGTTCTAAACAGAAGACATACAGGATTCAAGCTACAAATACATAGAGATACCTGAATCATTCCACCTGGCACATCTGACTATGTAATTACTGATTACTGGATGCTCTTCTGGATTCTCAGATAATGCAAACAAAAAAATATATTTTAAAAATCTACTTGGAGACTGTAATATACAAGGTTTACATCTGAAAATTGTTTCCTTACTCAATCAGCCAGATTCTAAGTTTGTTTTCTAGCCATCACAGGAAATAACACAAAAGCATCTGTGGCTGATACAGCACATTGGCCAGCTCAACTTCTGTTCCAATCTCCATATTTGCCTTCTTACACTGCAGATGCCAGAAAACTAAAAACCTCATTTCCCAGACTCCCTTGTAACTAGCATTCTCAACACAATTTAGGTTTCACCATTAAGATGCACTTCCATAAGACTTGAATTCCAATTTGGGTTTCACCATGAGCGCCACTTCCATAAAACTTGAATTCAGAGTTAAGCGGAAGAGAAGAAGCACCCAAGGTTTTGTCTTGCTTGTGCAAATCTAACAGGCAGCAGACAGCTCTGAAGCTAACAATGCTGGTAGCAGTCTGATCCCTGAATCACAGCTAAAGTAGAATATCCCAGAAGACAACAGTTGCTTCGTGACTCCTGGTTGTGGCTAGGGTGCTGTGATTTGAAACCAGCAGTTGACATGCAGGCTTTTTTAGTTCCTAGCTTCCTAGGAGTAATAATGGAAGCAATGCCCCTGGCACGCAGTCCACTGTGCCTTTCTGGAAGCCATTCTTAGAGGCCCAGTCTAGAGTCCAATGATTAGATTAGTAAGCACCTAATTCCTTATGGTAAATGCTTTTGTTTTTATTATTCTATTTTTTTCTTAAATAGTTAGAATTATTTCCATTATCTGTAACTGACTTCTAAGTGATAAAATATTAAGACAACTACTTGGAAACATTCAACTGTGAACACTTTCATGCTTTCAAACATTCAAAATAATGTAAAGTGGTGTGGATTTTCAGTAGACAGCACTAATCAAAGTACATCATATAATCTTTAATTCTTCTCTCTGAGCAACAACAAAAAGAACCCTAGACTTTTAAAACATAGCTACTCAATACATTAAATTATTTTTCACTCAAACTTGTGATGATTTGATATTTGAAAGCAATAGCAAAGGAAGAACAGTCTAACTTCTTCCAGCCCTTGCTTCTTTGAACAACTAAAACAGCACCTTTCATATGGCAGACCCTGAAGATATGTTAGTTTTACTGAGTGTGAGCAGAATAATATAAATGATTCAAACTAGTACATAAGCCAAAAGCATATTAGTTTTGATTTGGGAGCAGCAGATTGAATCATGAGGATGTTCCATAAAATTAAGTGCACTTGCATAACTACATACACTCTGACAGAAAACATAGGGGACTCCATGTGGGGATTTTAGGAAATTTCTACAGGTTGGAATAATGTAATAATTTCCCACAATGACAAAGGATCTAATCAGATGGATCATTCATTCCCACTGGTTATTTCCATTTGTTCATATACTTTTGTTTCATATATTAAAAAAAAAAGAAAGCTTGAGCCTGAAAAGTCAGAAATACATTCATTGAAGTAGTTGGAATCTGCTTGATGAAGGTCCCAACAGTACCCAAGTACCACTAGGGATTAAAACGATATGATTATTCCTTAAGGGTACTAATGGTATGTCTTTTCACATAAAAATATGATATAAAAGAAAATAAAGTTATGGCCACCTGGCTCTCCACTGGGTAGCAAATCAAACAATCTGAGTTCACGCCCATGCAGAAAAAGAAGGGAATAGATTAGGGCTTGCTTTCTCTCTGTCACTTAACACAAATCTCTCCAATTCATGAGGGAAACAGAGGTAGTCCAGCAGATCCTTCTACAGAAACATGCTTGGTATCTGAGAGAGGTAAGTTTCAGCTACAATAATTTTTTATGAATAAATTTCCAAAAATCCAATTTCTCAACAGATTTGAGGTTTTCCAAATTTCTAAAAAAAAAAAAAGAAAGGAATTTTAATATTTTCTGTCTCTTCAATTTGTACAAAGTACCTTATTAACTGCCATGGAGAGATACAACAGAATAGGAAACAAGGTCCCTATCCCCAAGGAATTATGATCTATAGAGAAAAATGATCTCACATGGTTTTTTTCAATCTGTGTTAAAAATAATTTCATTAAAGCTTCTGCAAGCTGTTAGTAATTTTACTTTTGGGGAGTTGGAAGTCTTATCTTTAATACCTACTCTTTCATTTTTCTTAAATTATTTCATGTGTTATATTTTTAAATAAAAATTTTACTTTACTTTTAAATTATCTCAGAATCACTTTTGTCAGCCAAAGATAGCATGATAGGCCACAATGACTGTGCTGAGAATCATTGTCCTAAGTACTATAGAAACTCTAAATGAGTCAACGAAGCAATACAGCTGAGCAAGTACAGATCTTCACAAAGGAACACCCACTCTCACTTACAGCCTGTTCATAATCAGACACCCGGTCTAAGTCTTAACCACGATTCAAACCTTGTAGATATGAATGAGGCAATTCACATCTTGTGAATTTGAATTCTTCAGTGTAATAGCCAAAGGTCAAGGAATTGGGTTAATGAGAACATGCCACTGGGGTGGTAACAGAGCAGCAAGTGGAGAAAAATCAAAAGCAGAGTTTTTTTTTAACTCTCCATTGCAAGTGAGAAAGTCATGGCAATAATGCCTTCAGGCAATATAACCCCATTCTTGAATTTGATTATTTAGTTTATAGATTACCTATGTTCTTTGGCACTTTTTGCTCTTAGTATCAGTTTTAAACTATTTCACTTATAATTAGCACCTCCATTGAGGATGGAAATAGAAAGGAGGCCGAAGTGAAACTCAAGGTAGCCCAATTTCACTACTTGACTTCCATCGAAGTTCAACAAAAATGATTTGTTGTGGAGAAGAGACTAAAATGAATGAAGTATTCACCTTAGATAAGTTCAACTGATAAACAAGCAAACTTGCAAAACATTTAAATGAGAGGTTAAGGAGAATTCTTTGCTCTAAAATAGTCTTTGCTTTATAAAATCATTTCATTTAAGAATATGTTTAATAGATATAAAATCCTTGGGTTTAAAATATTCTTTAACTTACCAACAGGTGTTTTACATATGGTGTTTTAAGAACATGCCTAAAGAAAAGCTTATCTATGTTATGAGGGAGGGGAGGATGGCTAAAATTATAATTTATTCCCATGGTTTCAGGACGTATCCTAAAGCAAAACAAAGTTCTGTGATTTAGGTTTTCATTGTTAACTTTTTCCAGTTTCATACTAGACTCTTCTCTGCATCATTTAAGTCAGTAAATAGAAAAAATAATGTGGGCCCACAGATGAAAAAAATCTTACTTTCCATAACCATAAAATAGAACACAAGTATTTCACATGTTCAGATTCTCAACATGCCAGAATTAGAAGGACATATTTGTAACTTTGCTAATCGCCTGGAACAACATTAACTTCCTAAATGAAGTCTTTGAAAAGAATAAAAAGAAATGCCCCCAAATAGCAAAAACATTTTAATATAAAGCCACAGGTATTCCTATTTCAAACTACCACTAAAAAATTCGAATAACAACCTTTCATCCCCAAACACAGTACTTTAGTAGTAATTGTGACACACAAAATAATTGCTTTTGCTCTTTCTAGATTATAGTCAATAAATGTCATTTTTTCAACAAAGGTTTGATGGGCACCTACTGTGAGAAAGGTATCTGCCCTGGAAGTCACTAACATGATCCTAATCCACTTGGAGGTTAGCCTGGAAGAAGGAAAAGACACTCAGGAATAAATACAAAGCCACAACATGTATAGGTGCTCAAGAAGAGTCCAGGGGGCTGCATGAGTCAGAAGAGAAGAGATGAGATGTGGCTGGGGTTATCAAGGAGGCTTCACAACAGGTAGCATTTGAACTATACCCCAAAAGACAGGAATGATATGCCAGATTTAGGGGAGAAAAAGAAAAGAAAAAAAAGGAAAGAACATTGGAAGAAGTGAACTGTCCTTTTTTTGTTTTGACTTTTTATTTGGAAAATTTCAAGCTTACATAAAGTAGGCCTAGTAGTATAATAAATCCTATATTCCACTTCAATGGTTATCAGCCCATGAGCCATCTTGATCCACCTACTGTCTCACCACTTCATGTCCCACTCTCTGACCAGATTACTTTCAAACAAATCTAAGACATCCCATCATTTCATCAATAAAGATGTAAGTACGTATCTTTAAAAGATAACTCTTTTTGGCCAGGCGCAGTGGCTCACGCCTGTAATCCCAGGACTTTGCGAGGCCGAGGGGGGCGGATCACAAGGTCAAGAGATCGAGACCATCCTGGACAACATGGTAAAACTCCGTCTCTACTAAAAATACAAAAATTAGCTGGGCATGGTGGCACGCGCCTGTAGTCCCAGTTACTTGGGAGGCTGAGGCACAAGAATCACTTGAACCCAGGAGGCGGAGGCTGCAGTGAGCCCAGATCGCACCACTGCACTCCAGCCTGGCGACAGAACGATACTCCATCTCAAAAAAAAAAAAAAAAGAGAGACAACTCTTTTTTTAGACTTGCTGGGGTATTTATTTATATCTATTTAATAAACACTGTACTAAGTGCTTTACAAATAGCAACTCACTTAATTCTTAAAACAATGCAGTAAGGTAGGTACTACTATTTTTATAATTTCGCAGATGAGGAAAGTAAAGCCTAGAAGGCTAATTAACTTCCCCAAGGTTGTCCAGGTAGTAAGTGGCAAGGTGAGATTTGAACCCAGGTATTCAGGCTCATTCCAATGCTCTCAAATGCTATGGCACACTCTATTGCCAGTAAATATTTGGTTTACTCCTTCAGATGCCAAATCTAACTTATGTGTCATTTTTACATACTATATTCCAACTCATCTTAAAAAGACAAAGAAAAAAAGGTACAACAGCACAATGAGTTCAATGAAATAATACTGGCTTTTTAAGTAACTTTGGTACAAACAATTCAGACAAAGTAATAATGAACTCTAGAAGTGGCTGAATAAGATGCTGGCAAGCCTGCAGAGGAAAGGGAAGGCTTATACACTGTTGGTGGGAATGTAAATTAGTTCAGCCACTGTGGAAAGCAGTTTGGATATTTCTCAAAGAACTTAAAACAGAACTACCATTCGGCCCAGCAATCCCATTACTGGGCATATACCCAAAGGAAAATAAATTGCTCTACCAAAAAGACACATGCACTCATATGTTCATCGCAGCACTGTTCACAGTAACAAAGACATGGAATCAACCTGGGTGCCCATCAACAGTAAATTGGATAAAGAAAACATGATAGCTACACACCATGGAATACTATGCAGCCATAAAAAGAACAAAATCGTGTCCTTTGCAGCAACATGGACAGAGCTGGAGGCCATTATCCTAAGTGAATTAACACAGGAACAGCAAACCAAATACTGCACGTTCCCACTTATAAGTGGGAGCTAAACATTGGGTACTCATGAACATAAAGATGACAATAGCCACTGGGGGCTACTAGATGGGGAAGTAAAGGAAGGGAGAAGGGCTGAAAAACTACCTACTGGATACTATGGGTACTATGTTCACTACCGGGGTGACAGGATAATTCATACTCCAAACCTCAGCATCATGCAATCTACCCATGTAACAAACGTGCATATATGCCCCCTGATCTAAAATAAAAGTTGACATTATGTTTTAAGGTGGCTGAATAAGTACAAGAGTAGCAAGGCTACTAATCCAGGCTCACTAATCATACATGTGCATTTGCCATGTAATGAACTATATGAATATTATATTTTGATGATAAAAGCATAATAGCCTCAAATACGTCTATAAAAATACAATTTCATCAACTCTACCACTGGATACTTTGTCACTGCAATATCTAAGCCTAAGACTATCACAGATACTACCACTACCAAAACACTGAATTATTTTGACTTGTACCAATGCCACAATTAATTTCATTTCAAGGAATATTTAACTATAAAAACTGCTGGTTTCCCCAATTCTTTGAAATAATTAAGAAATTAATTAAGAGATAATTAACCTAATCAACTAAACTATGCATATGTGTATATCTACACATATCCACATATGTATATATAGATGCATATACATATATGCATATTAGTGACATCCCATTTTAATATCTGAGAAATTTATGTGTGTTTGTATATATGTACATGGATGTGATATCCAATTTTAAAATACAGAAAAACTACCATCTCTAATTAGGAATTGAAAAAACTTAGTTCACATTACAATAAATGTTCAAATGAGTTTCAAGGAAAGAACTGTCTACCGTTTACTAAATAATGTACTCTAATATATACTTCAGCTGTGGCAAGAGGTCTTCTCACATTCCTTTCCTGTGTTCAAGCAACACTTAGAAGAAAAATAGAAACCACTCACTGTAATAATGTCATATCAGAAAAGACTCAAAATGTGCTTCTGGTTTGGATTAGAGCTAAATCCATTAGGAAGTAAAGGAAACAGCTTCTAAAAAGGATTTGATAATATCATCAGGGATACTTATTTTATTGTCATTGAGGGGAAAAAGAAAGGGACAGTATTTTCTTACTTCGTGGAGAACGAGAAAAGAAAAAGCGTACAGTTTTTCGTATGGTTTAAGTCTAATAGTTAAGAACATCAGGCATTTTTACAGTCATTTATCTTGCCATTTGAAACATCAACTCTTGACTGAGGAGATGAGACACAATTAATGCTGTCACCTCCCTCAAGTCCTTGCTTAAATCTCACCTCTTCTTCTTGGACATGCCTGATCCCCCTTACCCTGCTTTGCCTTTCCTTTGGTCCATGGCCCTAATAATCTTGTAATCTGCCACATAATTTACTTATTTACTTTGGGTATTGCTTATCCATCTCCCCAGTTAAAACCTGAGTTCCTCAAGCACAGGAATCTTTGTTTGCTTTATGGCTTTTTTCTAGCTCTTAAAACAGTGCCTGACACACAGTAGGTGTTCAATAAATGTCTGCTGAATTCAGGGTTTTAAATAACCTTTTAAATAATAGTAATATTTTATAGCTAACATTTATGGACCACCTACTACAGGTCAGGCACCATGCTGTACCCTTCAAACCCACTAAAGGAACTCTTCAACACCCTGGGAAATACAGATCATTTTTCTGATGAGAAATGTGTCACTTATAGAGATTGGACAACTTCACAGCTAGTGAAGCTCCCTTCAAGATCTCTTTATCTTATATGATTCAACTTGACTTCTTAAAGAATAGACACCTTTATATCTTACAAATATCCAAATCCATCTGATAACTACAATAACAAAATGTGAGTTAAAGCTAATCAAACACAAGACTCAGACCCCCAGGAGTAATTATGGGATGATTCTGCTCCTCCTTCAATCTTAATAACAACAAAAGAATAACAATTTCTGTAATACTTTACAGTTCATGTTTTTACAAATATTATCAAGTTTGATCTAAACTCTTGAAATACTTTTCACCTGTTATCTTGCTCTTCAACTGACTCGAAAAAGCAAGAGTATCTTGTCCAAATTGGACCTGAATTAAAAAAAAACAAACATTTCTTCAGAAAGAAGGACCTTCTGAGTGGAAATTTCTATAACTTCCAGAGCAAACATCGACTTTCCACATTTTCTCTTACCTACAGATAGGGACTAGGAGAAAAGCAATGTGATTCTGTGGACTCAGACAGAGCACAACCAGGGTCTGGCCAGCATGCCGAGAGACTAGCGGGGACATCCTCTTGGTGTCCTCATTACTAACATCCTGACTTCACTTTCCTAGGAAATGCTAATACAAAAAGAATAAACAAACAATTTGCGCCTAAGAATAGCTTATTCATTCCTACGTACATTATTTTGAAAATATCTAAGGTCCAATATGCCTAGCACTACAGGAGATCCAGTAAAGTATATGGCACAGTTTCTATCCTCATAAACTCTTTAGGAAGACCAGATCTAAATATGAAAAAACAAATGATGGAGAACTGCAAAAAGGAAAAAAAAAGGAAAAACTATTTTGGGGTGGGAGATAACAAAGAAGCTTTTTCATCTCAAAATATACCATTTGGTAATTCACTGCAAAGCCTATATAATGAATAGGATTTGAGAGTCATTTCAAATTCAACTTTCTGTTATAAAGAAGTACACTCTTAAATCCTGTTAAAATTATTCTTTAAGCACTAACTCAAATGTGATGATCTCTGTCATTTTCCCTGATCTTCCCTCAACCCTCTACAATGCTTTGTCATCTCTCAAATTCTCCCTACACACCTTATCACATTCCTTTCCTGATGGGTTATCAGCTAGCTCTGTGAGCTCAATGGCCATAGCTCGTCTGCATGGAGGCTGGCAGTCGGTAGAGGCTTAGCAATTGTTGGCTAAATTGAAAAAAAAAAAAATTACTACCTCTTAACCCACTGAATCTATCTTTCTAGAGAAAATACACTTTGAATATTCTATTTAGCAAAAAAAAAAAAACAAGACAACAACTAAAATTTTAACAGAAAAAGAGAAATTAGGATATGTAACTTATATAGTAACCAATAAAGAAATAATTTACTACCTCTTAAACCCACAGAATCTAACATTCCAGAGAAAATACATTTTAAATATTCTATTTAGCAAGTAAAAACAAATAAAGCAACAATTAAAATTTTAACCAAAAAAGGCAAATTAGGGTATGTAACTTATATGGTCACTAATATAGAAATAAAGCAATAGTTACTAGGGGGAAGGTGACCAATTAAAAAATTTGTGAGGATGTTTCACGGTGTTCATAGGACCAGCAATGTTAAACATCCTACAGTTCTTGCGAGAATCCTATGCACTGAACAATGATCCCACATCCTACATGATTTTTCAGTCTTTTGCTGCACATTCAGGTAGGTGAAATTATCTGGGCTGGATCCTAATCCTGTTTTATCCAGAAACACCAAAGATTTAGGCAATGCATTGAATTTTCCGGAAATGCAACTATCATGTAAATTGAGAGAAGACTATACTTTGTTTTGTTGGGAACTTTATAAAGAATTGTTTAGTGTTTTGAAAAATCAGGTCCCTGACAGCAATGCTTCCTGTCAATTTGAGTTGCCAAAATAACACCCTCTGTATCCTGGGGCTCTGGGCGTTGAGTATAGAGTGGTGAGCACATACATAATTGCACATCATGTCACTTATTTCTCGACAACATGTACTGATCCCTTCCTGATCTCCCTCTCCAGCCCAATATTTCTGACGATGTCCATTGCAAACTTTTGATTTTTACCATTTGAGATCTTTTGGAATCTTGCCTCTTTAGCACATCTTGCCTCTTTAGCCTCTTTAGTCAACCCTCTGCCCAAGCTATTCCCTGAAAATTTCAGAATCTCTCATGTCTTCAAGTGTTTATTCATGCCATTCTTTCTCCAGACACATCTTCCACCTTTTTCTCTGTCTTCTCAAATTCTGTCGTACTCTGGGGCCCATCTCAAATGATACTTCTTTCATAAACTCTTCCTGGGTACTACCTTTCAACACAGATTATTCCCCTTTGGACTTCACATTACAAATACAGGCAGTTTGGGTACCTGATTGTGTTCAGTTTCGCATTTTATTTTATTTTTCTAGCCTTATGCTGTTTTTTTATTGTTTTGTGTCATATCTTTCCTCAGAAGAATATAATTTTGAGCTCAAGAACTACTCTAAACCTCCTTTTGATACATAATCTAATTTGCAAAGTGATAGGCACATAATAAGCATTCAAAAGACTCTTACTGAAGATCAATTCCTCACTTTTTATTTCAGGGAATTAGGGCCAACGTTTTGCAGAACACAGAATAGTGCATGAGAGACTTCAGAGGGTTTTTTTTTGTTTGTTTGTTTGTTTTTGTTTTGTTTTGTTTTGTTTGTTTTTTTGTTTTTGAGATGGAGGGAGTCTTACTCTGTCGCCCAGGCTGCAGAGGTTTTTAACTGATTAAAAGACTCCTGGTCTTCAGCTAGATCACAATGACTATATAACTGCATTAGTCTGTAATTGGTCCCACCTAAAATTTATCTTCAGTAATGCCTTCTTAATGAGAACAGAGTGAGAGTCTATAAAAATCATATGTTACCCCAATTTTACTTTAAATCAGTAAGGAATATAAAAGGCAATTCATGTCAAACGGATATTGTTATTTAATAATTTTTTCAGAATAATGGAAAATGTAATAGCAAACGTGCTAGTATTTAAATAGGTCCTGAAGCAAGCCACCAGACCTAGTTAAGGCTAGTTCTTCCCTGAGCAAGGATAGTTCTTCCATGGCTAGTTCTTCAATGGACATTTATATCTTCCTAGACACTATATCTGCACTTCTGCACTCTGTCTAATGAGCCTAACTATAGCTTTACAACCCAAATGATTAGTGAAGAAAACTGAGGGTCAGATATGAGCTACTGTAATTAAAATTACAGGAATCATCAGAACTTCCCTAATCTAAAAATTATCTTGAGTTCATGTAAAAGTTTTCAGTCTCCACTTTTAACTAGATGAAGGTTAAATTAAACTGAAAGTCATTGGTCAGGATTCAATTTCTGTCCTGAGGTAGCATGAGATATTGATTGCCTATAAGCATTACTTTACATTTTCAAACAATAACAATAAGGCAGGGCAGTGAAATATTTTACCAGCAATAACTCAGCATCATATGTCAGTGAGAACTAATGATTACCCTTCATGACACGAATCCATTTGTAATTAAGTAAGTGGAAAAAGGAGAAATGAACAGCCAGAAAAATTCAGGTCAAGAGCTTAAGTTTCTATATGGATATTAGTACAGGAAAAACTTGGTTAGTATAACTGGAGAAGAGGATTTCTCGGGTAAAACAGCACAATTCTACAGCTAATTGTAACTGACAGATATAACTACCTTCTTTCCTTATGAGGAAATGCTGCTGGAGAGACACACTTAGCAAGAGTGAAAATCACACACTGGAGATCTTGGAGAAATTTGAACTCTTCCAAGATCCTATGTGGCTGAGCTGTAAGCAAGCAGCCCACAGCTCCTCAGGCATGGGGAGGGCAGCACCAGATGGGGAGGGCAAAGGAAACAGTGCCTGGGCTCTGTGCCAGGTGTTTTCACATACCTTAATTCAGAGTGGAAAGCAATTATTTGTATCCAAAAGCATTCACAAAATGGTTTTCTCCAAAAAAAAACCAACCACATGATGTTTAGGTACACAGCCTTAAAAAAGCACATGCAAGAATAATTAGCTCTGCAATTGTAGTTTAAGAAATTGTACAAGCCAGGCACAGTGGCTAACGCCTGTAATCCCAGCACTTTGGGAGGCTGAGGCAGGCGGATCACCTGAGGTCAGGAGGTCGAGACCAGCCTGACCAACATGGAGAAACCCTGTCTCTACTAAAAGTACAAAATTAGCCGGGTGTGGTGGCGCATGCCTGTAATCCCAGCTACTTGGGAGGCTGAGGCAGGAGAATCGCTTGAACCCGGGAGGCAGATGTTGCAGTGAGCCAAGATTGCGCCACTGCACTCCAGCCTGGGTGACAAAGCGAGACTCCGTCTCAAAAAAAAAAAAGAAATTGTACAAAGGACACCAGAAGCATCTTTGTTCCTTCTCACACCACAACTGCTCAATCAATGTAAGAGGGTACACAAAAATTAAGTTTTTAAATAGAGAGAGGCTCATCCTTGCTTGATAAAACAAGCCAGAGTTGCCAGAAGGTACTAACTTAGAAGAGAGCCAATTCTTTCTTCCTGCCTGAAAAATTGTCTAAGTTGTGACATCTCTAACTCAATTATGCATGGCTGTGAAGATGCCATTAAATAGGTGGTTTGAACATTTCAAATAGAACTGGCATGAAGCTATTTCTTGCTCGAAAATTTCCACTTATTCACGCAATGCGCAGATTGCAGTGTCAAGGTTGAAAACAGGAAAAATCACTTGGCTGGGTACCAAGTATTTGAGGGCAGTTCAGTTTCTGCCTCTTGGCCTGAGCAGACCACAGAGAAGATGAATGCCTGGCATGCCAGGAGCTGTGTGCAGGACACCTCTTGTCACCCTCATCAGGGAGGGTAGGACCCAGGGCTTGACCAAGGAATTCCCAAACTGATTACCCCTAAGAGATCCTGTCTCTTAGAAAATAACACTCACTCAAGCAAGAAGCAGCCTTTTAAGAAATGCTTCACCACCAATACTCTTAGTAGCATGGGGGATGACACTGGGTAGAAAAACACAGATAACAATTTTGAGCTGAAGGAAGATCCATAAAGAGTTGGACTCAATGTGAAGAAATTTTTAGAGTAATTTACCAATGTATTTCATTTATATCTTATAGTTTATATACCTATAAGAGTGGCATATGATAAAAATCTTTCTACAACCCAAGATATTTTCCATTAACTATAAAACAAAAATGTTAAGTGATAAGAAAGTATCTTAGTTTAATTAACAATGATTTTCTTTTTCTTTCTTAGCTGTATATAAAATAATGCTACATCTTAAGTGTGTGACATCTTTGATGAATAAAATATGGTGGGTTATGGTAAATACAGAACCTATATATGTGATATATGACCAACGGTACCACTGAAGTAAAACCCACAAATACCAAATACTAGGATGATGGGGATGTTCTTTGACACTCAGTCATGTGAGTTTGGAACCCATTAAAAATGTCCAAAGTGGATAATAAATATGATGAAAACATTATTCCACAAAGAGATATTTAAATAAAAGTAGATCCAAAGGAAGTATGGAAAAATTTATGAGTGACAATACCATAAATATACAAAAACCAGTTTGGGTGCCTCTAACCTTAGCATAGAGTTAATATCTGAAAGAAAAACAATGTGTCCTGCATCTCCCCATGGAATGCCACTTGGCTATTAGCAGAAGAATCATGGACTGGATAAACCAGGGATGCAGCCTACTGGAGCCTAGCGCAGATGTGACTTCATATTCCAAATATGTGAGGTTTGAAGCACGAACAGCCATATTAAAATACAAATTTTTAGTGAAATAAAGCAATCACAGAGGCACAGGAAGCACAGTATTCCTCAACTACTTAACCAGTAGCCATTTTCACAATGGATTAGCCAGAATTATATCAAATTTCAAAAGCAATCACCTCTAACATAGACACTAGTTTTCTTCAAATCAGTTCAAAGCCTGACCTTCAGCTCCTTTATCCTTTAGGGAGCCCTGCCCTAAAGGCCACACTCCTACCCCCTTCCTAAGTGTTCCAGGATCTTCTCTACATGCTGTGTGGAGTTCCTGCTGACTTCAAAGGCTGAACTCCATGTGTGGTTACACACGTCACTTAAAAGTTTAAAAACATTTAGCCTTTGTTGGAACCTTAGGTGCACCTAAACTTTTAAAATACGACCTAAAAGCAGCTTTTAAAGCAAGACCCTAAAAGTACAACTGAGTGTGACTGCTTTGACAGTGATACCTACATGATCTATGTCATCTCAGCACATTCACCAGGTACACAACCTTGCAAAAAATTACTGAACACCTACTATGTGAGAATTATAATGTGGCATGCCTAAAGACCTAAGGACCCAGATAACATGATGCCATAGAAGCTTATAATAAAATGGGGCATATGAAATAATTTATATTTAAAACATACACACATTCTATTTGAAAAGTACAAGTCAGTGTTATTTAAAAAAAAGAAAAGCATATGAAAAAAAGAAAAATTAATTTAAACTTGAAAATTAGGAAAGCTTTATAGAGGAAGCAATATGTCAACTTCAATTTACCAATTCTTCTACATAAGTCTGTGAGATCTTTGAGGGAAAGGATAATTATCCTCATCTTTGGAACCAAAGTAGTTGGTACAATCCTTAGGCATGTAGCAAACACTCAGTACAGATTTGCTGGATTCAACTGAAATGGGAGGAATAGAAGGAGCAAAAGCATTCTAGATGGAGGGAATGGTATGAGTGATGACACAAAGGAGAGAAAGTACAAGGACGGTTTCAGAGAATGGCTACCTATGATGTACAAAAGAAATGGAAAATTATGCTGGGAAGTAGTTGGTAGCCAGATCATTAAAAGCTTTTAAAGTTATGCCAAGAAGTTAGGATTCTATTGTGTAGGGAAAGGGAGCGATTAGAGTAGTGCTTTAAGAGAATTCTGTCAAGAGTATTTAGAATGACTAAGGTGGGGGTTGACACTGGAAGAACTGATGCTATTAAATAAGTTATTAGGATAAATCAGGCAAGAGGAAAGTAAGCTCTGAGCTGGGACAACAGCAACAGAAATGAAAGGGCACCAACGAGAACAAAGGCACTACTCAAGTAGAATGTACAAAATTTAGTATATGTGGGGAAAGGAAAGATGAAGGCAATATGAAAGCTTCAAGGTTTGTTGATTAAGAGAATACACAGAGGACATGACCTCTCTGGGGAAGATGCTGAATCTATTAGTAAAAGTATGAGTATTTACATTGAAATCTCAACATGGATCTGAAAATGTAGGAAAGGGATACAGACTCAAGATCCAAAGTTGCCCACCCAGCTAAACCCTGATGAGAAGTGAGATCACAGAGAAAGGAAGCTACTGTATTTGCTGTTATAAAATATGAGAAATTGTTTTTTACTCACCTCTAGAGGAATATGTATGAATAAAAATGTTTCTTAATCCTCGAAGATAACAAAACTGTCTAAGTGATCATATTTCACTTTTTCCCCTAATGGGGTGTTTACATGTGTTTAATCCCATTATTAGGTCAATATTTAGGTTTGGGAATTTTTCATTCTCCATTTCTTGGTTTTATCTTACCTTGGTCCTGCCTCTTCAGTTCTTTTTTCATTCTTTTTTTTTTTTTTTTTTTTTTTTTGAGACAGGATCTTGCTCTGTCACCCAGGCTGGAGTGCAGTGGCAGGATCATGGCTCACCGCAGCCTCGACCTCCCAGTCTCAAGAGATCCTCCAGTCTCAGCCTCTCAAGCACTGGGACTACAGGCATGCACCACTATACCTGGCTAATTCTTGTATTTTTTTGTAGAGATGAGGTTTCACCACGTTGCCCAGGCTTGTCTAGAACTCCCGGGCTCAAGCGATTTGCCTGCCTCAGCCTCCCAGAGTGCTGGGGTTACAGGCATAAGCTACCACGCCCAGCCCTGCCTCTTCACTTCTATTTGACTTTAATGTTTTATTTTAAATGTCTAATAATTCCATAAATAGTTATAGAAAAGAATGAATAAATAAATGAATATAGTTTGTAGGAAGCCACCTCAATTCCTTTGCAGAAAAGCAAGACATAAATAAATTTAAATTTTAAAATAATTTCATTTGGAGAGAAGATAAATAACTTCTTATGAATTACAAGAATGTCTCTCCGTCCAATTAAGAAAACCCACTAGATTTTAAATAAGTCTGTATTTTAAGAGGCAAATTAATGAGTGATTAATTTCATTACAAAACAATTTAGCCTCACAAAAAGATTCTCATTCTAAATTTGGAACTCCAAGCTATACAATTAGTTTTTTTTTTTATTTAAGCAAGAATTAGAAAATTTTTGGCAAGCAAAACTGAAAATTAAAGCATTACTAACATAATAATGTAAATCAATAATAAAACACTATTTACAAATATTCAATCTATATAAAAATTTTTAAGGAGGGAATTTATTGAAAAAAGCAAGCCACACAATGACAATCCCACAATAAGTGTTGTGCCTCCTTCCAAACAGAGGTGTCTGTTGCATATTTATAAACTATGATCTCTTTGTGCTTCTCTTGGTTCCTGCCTAATAGGAAAGCCCCTTTTTCTAAGCTCAGGGGCCTCCACTTAACACACTATGCTCCCACAAGTCCTGTCTGTTCTATAGACAACTGGCAGTTTGTCCTCTAGGCTGGCAAGCCTTATCATGAGCTCTGTTAGCTTCTTTTAACCAGTTACCAGGTCTTGTCCTCCTTACTGGCACAGCTCCTTAATGTTCAGGCAGCTGGAGACCTTAATGGAAAATATGCAGGGTAGATCAGAATATATACATATTTTCCTTCTACACCAAATGTGTTCTTCCACTCACTACCCACAGGTCCAAACCAGGAAACGTACCTTTTGGAAAAACAGGCTTCAGTTATAGGTTTTTGTAATTTGTCTTAAATGGTATGCCAAGAAAATGCAGCATTTTAAATACAGCAGGTGTCCTTGCAATCCCTGCAATGAAAGCAATCTCTCAGTCACGTTTTGCTACATGCAAATCTTTGCTTAAGTACTATTTTTTAAACTATCATTTATTGACGAGTATATTAGACATTTAAAACCCACTTTTTAGACTCTGCAAAGGGAATTGAGATAATGTTTATTATCTCCATTCTGCAGATGAGTAAATAAACCAAGAAAGCCACATAAGTTTTAAAGTCCTTGGCGTTTTGCACATACAGCCCAGACTCTGGATAATTCTTCTGTGTTCAAAGAGCTCATTCATTCAATAAGGCTCATACTAAGTATCTCCAGTCTTTCAACACACACTTAGTAAATACCTTCTACCTGTGGGCTTAGTGAAGGCTTTCAAGAAGAGGTGATAACTAGTTCTTGTAAGTAGAGTTATCCTGGCAATATGGAAACCGAAGAGCCTTCCAGGTAGAGGGGAACATGTGTAACGCTATGGAGACATGAAAGGGCTTGCTGCATTCTAGGAACCTTAGTCGTTCAGCAGGACTGCACACCCCAGTGCATAGAAGGAGAAGGAGAGAACGGACATAAAGACAGATGGCAGACCATGAAGGAAACTCTACAGCATGCTTAGAAGCTGGGTAACAGGGATTTTAGCAGTAGAGTGGTTTGATAAAACATGCATTTTAGAAAATTCATGTAACTGTTATTGGCTTATGAAAAGGGAAATTTCATAAATATTTTGAATATATTTCTCTACTAAGCTCACATTCCCATTTCCTCAAATAGTCTTTGTATACTTTTTTCCTGTCTTTCTGCCCCTCCCTCTGCTTCCTACCCTACCATCAGCTGATGCTATCACTTCATTAAACTGGAGCTTCCCTACATTCCCCACCAAATCTATACACCCTTCTTGTCTGCACCAGCTTCTTTACCTTTCAGTTACAGTGGATAAGATATCCCTACTCCTCTGTGGGATGCCCATCTCACCATACTTTCTCAAGCATGTCCTGCCTCTCTCTTCTGCTTTTCTGTACTTTGTCATCTATATCTTCTTCTGGGTCTTACCTTACTTCTTGGATCTTACTTCTGGGTCATTCCTACTAGCAAACAAAAATGCTCTAATATCTCCCATCAAAAAAAGCATCCCCTTTGAATGTTATGTATTGTCTTTAAAAAAAAAAAAAAGCACACCCTCCTTTGCCCTAGACTCTCTTCCAACTTCTCAGAAGAGTTATCTACACACTGTGTCCCCATTTATTCACCTCTCATTTTCTCAACCACTCCAGTAAGGCTTCCCAACTCCTACCACTCCAACAAAACTACTCTTTTCTCTCAGTTCTAAAGAGTCTCTAGATTTTCTTTCTAGTTCTTTGGCCTCTCCTTCTTGGGCTTCCTTGCAGGGCCCTTCTGTTGCTGCTTCTCTTTTCCTTCTTTCATATACTCTCCCTCAAAGTGATTTATCTCTGTCCTAAGGTTTTCTTTTAATTGAGATATAATTTAAAGATCATAAAAGTCACCCTTTGGAAGTATAATTTGGTGATTTTTTAGTATATTCATGATATTATAAAACACCATCTCTATTTAATTCCAGAATATTTTTATCACCCAAGAAAAACTCCATACCCATTAGTAGTCATTCTCCATTCCTTCCTCTCCCTAGGCCCTGGCAAACACCAATCTGCTTTCTGTCTCTACTCTATACATTTCATATAAATGGAATCATATACTATTGGCCTTTTGCGTTGACTTCTTTCACTTAGTGTAATGTTTTTAAGATTTATCCATGTTGTAGCATGCCTGTATCAGTACTTAATTCCTTTTTATGGCTCAATAATACTCCATTGTATTCAATGTATGTCACATTTTGTTTATTCATTGATCAATTGGTGGGCATTTGGGTGTTTCCACCTTTTGGCTATTATGAACAATGCTACTATAAACATTTATGCACAAGTTTTTGCATGTACATATTTGTGTTTTAATTTGTCTTCAGCATGAATCTAGGAGTTGAATTGTTTCGTATAACATTATGATAACTATGTTTAACTTTTGAGGAATTTGCCAAACTGTTTTCCAAAGTGTCTGTACAATCTGACACTCCCACCAGTAATGGATGAGTGTTCCAATTTCTCCACATCCTCACCAGCAGTTGTTAGTATCCCTCCTTTTTATCATAGCTGTCCTAGTGAGATACCTGGTGGCATATCATTGTATTTTAATTTGCTTCTCTACTGACTACTGATGTTGAGCATCTTTCTATGTGCATATTAGCTATTTATACATTCTTTAGAAAATCAAGTCTTCTGCCTAATTTTTAATTGGGTTATTTGTCTTTTTATTGTTGTGTTATAAGAGTTCCTTTTGTATTCAGGATGCTAGTTCCCTATCACATATATAATTTGCAAAAATTTCCCCCCATTCTCTGGGTTATCTTTTCATACCCTTAATAGTGTCCCTTGAAGCACAAAAGTTTTTAATTTTGATGTTGTTCACTTTAACTATTTTTTATTTTGTCACTTATGCTTTGGGTATCGTAGCTAAGAAACTACTGTCTAATCTAAAATCACCAAGATTTATACTTGTGTTTTCTTCTAAAAATTTTGTAGCTTTAGCTCTTACATTTAGGTCTTTGATCCATTTTGAGTTAATCTGTATATATGATGTGAGGTAGGGGCCCCAATGTATTCTTTTGCACATGGATATACTGCTGTCCCAGTACCATTTGTTGAAAAGGCTACTCTTTCCTCCATTGAATTATCTTGGTACTTTTGTTAAAAATCAATTGACCACGAATGTAACAGTTTATTTCTGGACTCTCAAGTCTATTCCATTCATTTAGTATGTGTATATTTACACCAGTATTACACTGATTTGTAGTAAGTTTTAGAACTGGGAAGTGTGAGTCCTTCAACTTGTTTTGTTTTGCTTTCAACATTGTTTTGGCCATTCTGAATCCTATGCAACTCCATAAAAATTTTAAGATCAGTTTGTCAATTTCTGCACAAAAATGGCATCTGGAATTTTGATAGGAATTTCATTAAGTCTGCAGATTGATTTGAGGTGTGTTGCCATTTTAACACTTAAGTCTTCAAGTTCATGAACATAGGATATCTTTCCATTTTAGTTGGTCTTCTTTAATTTCTTTCAATGATGTTGTATAGTTTTTGGTGTGCAGTCTTAAGGTTTTAAATATCAATGATATATTGACAAGTACTGATTAATATCTTCAGTTAAACTCTCCTCTGTGCCCCAGGCTCTTATATCCAACCACCTGCATACCTTACAGGCTCTAACATGCCCAAATCCATACCTTAGATGTTCAACTCCCAACTTTTTTCTCAGTCTTCCCACTACAGGAAATGGCAACACTGCAATCCAGTCACAAGTCAAAAACTTGAGAGTCGTTTTTTCATTCTTCCCTTCCCCATCTAGTCCATCAGCAAGTCATTATGACTCTACTTCCAAAATATTTGTAGACTCTTTATACTTCTTTCCATTTCCACTGCCACTCCCTAATCAAAGATACCATTATCACCCACCTAGACAACTGCAAAAGATTCCTAACCCATCTCTCTGCTGCTACTTTGCCTGCCTCCAATCCATTATCATCACAGCATCTAGTGCAATGCAAGTCTAATGGAAATATAATATGAGCCATGTAAATAACTTTAAATGTTCTAATAGCCACATTACAAAAAGTAAAAAGAAGCAAGTAAAATTAAACAATACATTTTATTTAGCCCAATTTCTCCAACTTATAATCCTTTCAATATGTATTAATAATCAATATAAAATCATTAATAAGGCAGTTTGTATTCTTTTCCATAGCAAATCTTTGAAATTTCATGTGTATTTTACACTTAGAGCACATCTCAACTTGGATGCTAAATTTTTATCAGAAATACCTGATCTATATTTAAAGTTCACAAAATTTATAGTTGAAAAAGTAGCTTCATGTACCAAAACATACTTAACTGAATTCGTTATATTTTTAAAAGTAGATTTAAAGTAACTAAAATTAAACTGGAAATTCAATTTCTCAGTAGCATTAGTTATAATAGCTACATGGGGTAGTGACTATTGTCTTGAAAAGCACTGACCTAGAGTAATCTTTCTCTAATGTAAATCAGATTACATAACTAACCTGATTAAAATCCTTCCTTCAGTCACTTACCATAGCACTCTGGATAAAATCTATTTTTGGCAACAACAGAGCCTACCTGAACTTCCCTCTGCTATCTTTCCTTGCTATATTTCTCCCTCTCGACTGAGCTCTGGAGACACTGACTTACCTTAAGTTCCTCCAACACACAGACTTCTGTGACCCCTCGAAGTCTTAGCACATACTGTTCCTTCTGCAAGGAATGCTTTTTCCTGGCTCTTCTTATGACTGATTCCTTGTCCTTCAGCTGAAATGTCATCTGATCAGACTGGCTTCCCTGACCAACTGATAAATATGTCACTCTCTGTCATGTTCTATCACTATCCTGATCATTCCTGTCATGGCATCCATACTGATTTATAATTATACATTTTTATTTGTTTATTATATGCCTCTTCATTAGACTGCAAGCTCCAAAATGACAAGGAATGTGCTTTTTCACTTATTACTGTCTTTCTGGTGCTTAAGACAGTGCCTGGCACACAGTGGATGTTCAATAAAAGGCATCACATGTTGCAGATAAATCAGGTATGAAAAAGGCTGAAAGCTCTCCATTATATTTGTAGATTAATGCATTGAATAATTATTCAGAAATTACCATATGCTAGAAGTGAAGATAAACAAATAAAAGAGACCCTGCCCTCGAGAGGCTCACAATTTAGTGATAGAAGCAAATAAGATAATTTAACACAATGTGGTAAGTATAACATGAGAGAAATGCTCAGAGAATTATGTATACCCAGAAGAGGGACAAGAAACCTAGGAGACATGAGGAAGTGGGAGGCAGTTGGGGTATCCCAGAGGAAAGGAGACCCAAATTCAAGATAATAATAGTGGGGTGAAGAACAATAACAACGTGAACAAAGGCAATGAAACAGCGTGGTGGGTGTCTAGGGGGTATGCTACACAGCCAGGTAAAAGAATAACAACACATAACCTGGAGAAGCTGGGCTACACAGGGCCTTGTATGACATCCCAAGAAGCTTTGATGATTTTATGCTGTTGGCATTAGGAACTGAAAAATTTTAACTATGACAGTGATGTGATTTAATTTGAATTCCATATCAATTATGCTATGGCTGTGTGAAAGTCAGATTGGAAGGTTACAAATGGGGAAAGTATTATGAGTCTATTGTTATAGTCCAGAAGATGAATGATGACAACTTGTACTCAGTCAGTGGTTGTAGGAATTAAGCACAGATGATCAGTTTCAGACATATTTGGAAAGTAAATTAAGCTGTCTGGAGATCGTTGGTGACCTTGGGAAGGGCGGTTTCAGTGTACTGATGGGGAAGGAAGACACACTGCATTCGTTATCCTCAGCTGCAGAAATAATGGGAATTGTGGAAGTGGTGATTAATAGCTCCCATATCTGGCTGCTTATCAGGAGCATGAGGAGAGCTTCTGAAAAATACCGATTACCATGGCTTACCTCCAGACCCACTGAGTGGGCCTCCATTAGTGGAGCTTAGGAACCTTTATTTCATAAGTTCCTCAGGTAAATCTTACACAGATATCCATATACTTGCTTTGGGAGATGCTGGGATGGACCAATCTTTTCAGTATCATAATCCTTTTTTTCAAATCCATTTGGTTCCTGCATTTAGACAGTGAGAGTTGTGTGATGGTTATCGGGTAGGAAAGCTAAGTCAGCAGCTGAAGAGGGCAAAGGTTGAGATGGGAGACTCACAAGTAGTTTACATCATTAAGAAAATGAAGAGAGAAGTACAGGTGAAAGAATGGATACCTCAAAAACTGAGGCACATGGGCTAAGGACACTAGCTTATCAAGCTAAGAATATTAGTGCATCAGTGAATTTTTTCTCATAAATGTAAAAATAAATCTCTTACTTAAACACATGATCCTCACTCTCAGTACCAACCCATCTAAGTCAGATCAACAATTTAATTAGCAAAAACTCAATACAAGTTAAGTACTTTTATTAGTCTGCTCAGGCTACCATAACAAAATACCACATGCTGGGTCACTTAAATAAAAGAGATTTATTTATTAAAGTTCTGGAAGCTAGAAGCCCAAAATTAAGATTCAGCTGGTTCAGGTTCTGGTGTGGGCTGTCTTCCTGACTTGATGATGGTTGCCTTCTCTCTGTATCCACATGGCCTCTTCTTTTTGTGCAGAGGAAGAGAGAGAGAGAGCTCTCCAGTGCCTCTTTTTATAAGGACACTAATCCTATTTGATCAGGGCCTCACCCTTATGACCTCTTTAATCTTAATTACCTCCTAATTGGCCCTATCTCCAAATATCGTTATATTTGGGGTTTGGGCTTCAACATGAATTTGTGGAGGAGATACAAACGTTCAGTCCATAATGGTACCTAAAACACTATCATTCAAGATACTGTGGGGAATACTAATTAAGGGTTTGCAGTCTGTCCCAGAAGCAAAAGCTAATGTTAATGAAACAGTCAGAAATATTCAAGTTTTAAACAGTTTTGAACCATAAGTCATCAGGACATCTGAGAAGGTCAAAATCAGCATAGACAGAGTGTTCAAACGGGATGTTCCATGGATAACCCTGAGCTTGATGGTAGAATGGAAGATCTGACCAGTTGCAAGTAGAGAGAGAATGCATTCCTTCCCTCTCTAAACTTATTTACTTCTATGAATTTTACTATCCTTCCTCCAGGGATCTACTCAAAGTTTGAAATTATTTTTTATTCCCTCTCTGCCTTTCTGTCACTCACCATTTGTAATCACAGCCTCTGTCTCTGAAATGACCTGTATCCATTTCCACCAGTAAACATACTTTTTCAAGCCCTATTACCATTCAATCATTAATTCCCCACTGGTACCTCAGATGTCTCCCTCCATCTATGTATCCTCCAGTTAATATGTGGCCAACTTAATCTTCCTAAAGCCTGACTCCAGGCACACTGCAATGTCTCTTACAAATCATTAACAGCTCCTCATTGCTTCCTAAATTCAGTACCAATTCCTCATCTTAGCAATCCTCCATAGGGCCCCAATTCACTCTGCCAGCTCTATCTCCCACCACTCCTCTTCTAGACACATAGGTCACATAGAAAATTCTCTGTTCCCTAAACACATCCTTATTTCTGTGCGTCTGGCTTCATCTCGATCTATCAAATTCTTACTATTTAATGCCCATTTCAAATTCTACTAGTTTACATGAAATCTTTCTTGGACTCTCCAAAGAAAAATTGAAAGACTGCTTCTTCAGGCAAGAGAAAGAAATAAATGGCATCCAAATAGAAAGAAATGAAGTCAAACTATCCCTGTTTGCAGAGATGACATGATTTGATATCTAGAAAACCCCATAGTGTCATCCAGCTGATAAACAACTTCATCAAGGTTTCAGGATAGAAAAATCCGTGTACAAAAATCACTATCATTTCTATATACCAACAACACCCAAGCTGAGAGCCAAATCAGGAACACAATCTCATTCACAATTGCCACAAAAAGAATAAAATACCTAGGAACACAGCTAACCAGGGAGGTGGAAGATCTCTACAATGAGAACTACAAAATACTGCTCAAAGAAATCAGAGATGACACAAACAAATGGAAAAACATCCCATGCTTATGGATAGGAAGAATCAATATCATTAAAATGGCCATATTGCCCAAAGCAATTTATAGATTCAATATTATTCCTATCAAACTACCAATGTCATTCCTCACAGACCTAGAAAAAAACTATTTTAAAATTCAAATGGAACCAAAAAACAGCCAAGTAGCCAAGGCAATGCTAAGCAAAAAGAACACAGCTAAACTAATTATACTACCTGACTTCAAACTATACTACAGGGCTACAGTAACCAAACAGCATGGTACTGGTACAAAAACAAACACATAGACTGATGGGACAGAATACAGAATAGAGAGCCCAGAAATAAGGCCACACACCTACGACTATCTGATCTTCAACAAAGCTGACAAAAACAAGCAATGGGGAAAGGACTACCTATTCAATAAATAGTGCTGGGATAACTGGCTAGCCATATGCAGAAGATTGAAGCTGGACCCCTTCCTTACACCATATATAAAAATCAACTCAAGATAGATTACGGACTTAAATGTAAAACCCAAAATTATAAAAACCCTGGAAGACAACTTAGGCAATACCATCTGAGACGTAGGAATGGGCAGACTTCATAACAAAGACACCAAAAGCAATAACAACAAAAGCAAAAATTGACAAGAGGGATTCTAATTAAACTTAAGAGCTTCTGCAAAAGAAACTATCAATAGAGTAAACAGACCACCTACAGAATGGGAGAAAATTTTTGCAAACTATGCATCTGACAAAGGTCTAATATCCAGCATCTGTAAGTAACTTAAACAAATTTACAAGAAAAAAGTGGGCAAAGGACATGAACAGACATTTTTCAAAAGAAGACATACAGATGGCCAACAGGGATATGAGAAGAAAAAAATAAAAAAGCTCAACATCACTGATCATCAGAAAAATGCAAATCAAAACCACAATGAAGATACCATCTCACACCAGTCAGCATGGCTATTATATAAAAGTCAAAAAACAACAGATGCTGACAAAGATATGGAGAAATGGTAACACTTATACACTGTTGGTGAGAGTGTAAATTAGTTCAACCATTGCGGAAAGGAGTATGGTGATTCCTCAAAGAACTAAAAGCAGAAGTACCATTCAATCCAACAATCCCATTACTGGGTATATACCCAGAGAAACATAACTCATTCTACCATAAGGACACATGCATGTGAATGTTCACTGCAGCACTATTCACAATAGCAAGGACATGGAATCAACCTAAATGCCCATCAGTGACAGATTGGATAAAGAAAATATGGTACATATATACCATGGAATACTATGCAGCCTTGAAGGAATGAGATCATGTTCTTTGCAGGAACACGGACGGAGCTGGAGACCATTAAGTTTAGCAAACTAACACAGGAACAGACAACCAAATGTTGCCTGTTCTCACTCATTAGTGGGAGCTAAATGATGAGAATTCATAAACACAAAGGAAACAATAGACACTGGGGCCTCCTTGAGGGTGAAGGGTGGGAGAAGGGAGAGTATCAGAAAAAATAACTATTAGGTACTCGATTTAGTACCTGGGTGAAGAAATAATCTGTACAACAAGCCCCCATGACACAAGTTTACCTATAAAACAAACCTGCACATGTGCCCCTGAACCTAAAATAATAATTTTTAAAAAAGGAAAAATTGGGCCAGGCACAGTGGCTCACACCTGTAATCCCAGCACTTTGGGAGGTGGAGGCTGGCGAATCACCTGAGGTCAGGAGTTTGAGACCAGCCTGGTGAAACCCCGTCTCCACAAAAAAAAAAAAATTAGCCTGGCATGCTGGTGGGGGCCTGTAATCCCAGCTCTTCAGGAGGCTGAGGCAGGAGAATCACTTGAATCTGGGAGGCAGAGGTCTTTCAATTTTTCTTTGGGAGAGTCCAAGAAAGATTTCATGTAAACCAGTAGGATTTTAAATGGGCATTAAATAGTAAGAATTTGATAGATTGAGCTGAGATCCCGCCACTGCACTCCAGCCTGGGCGACAAGAGCGAGACTTTGTCTCAGAAAAAAAGGAAAAATTGCTCTTTTCCTTTGATCATCCAGAACACTGCACCTCTAAAGGCACCCAAATTCTGTCTAAACTTCCATCCCCAGTAATAATAATCATAAACAGGTAACTATGTTACCATGTGACAGACACTCTCCTAAGTGTTTTACATGTATTAATTTAATTTTTACAACCACCACATGAGGAGGGTACTACTATTGTCCCATTGTACCAATGAGGAAGCTGAGGCACAGGCAGGTTAAGTGATTGCCTTCGATCACAGAACTATTAAGTGGCAGAACTACGATGTGAACCCAGGGAGTCAGGCTCCACAGAATACATGTTCTTTACCTCAACACTCTGTAAGTTCTGACTACACTCTATGCTAGTCTACACTAGTTTCTGTTAAGGGCAAATATTTTTTTTTCCATCCCAAAACAGTGTCTTTCACAAAGTAGCAACTCAAGTATAGGTTGATTGTTTGAACCCATTTTGGTCATAAAATATGCTCTACTCAAGCTATTCATGTTCTTAAGTCATCAGAAATTGCCATTGCATACACAGAAAAGATGAAAAAAATGAGGTGAATACCTCTGGGAGGAGTGGAAAACAAAGCTGAATGGTCAGAAAGTTTTGAAAACCAAGTAGAGATTTTTAAAGGGGAGGGAGGGGACTGCAGGTTACTGAGGACAGAGATATTAAACTTGTGTTTTGGAAGATTAACCTGAGAGCAGCAATATTTACATGGAATAGATGAATAAGAAATGGAGAGAGTGAGAGGGCAGGATGCTGTCAGAGTTATCCCACATGCGAAAGGAGGACAGCTGAGACTCTGATGGTCAGAATGAGAATAAAGAGGAAAAGGCTGACCAAAAAGATGTTTTGAATAAAGAAATTACAAGATGTGTTAGATATAGGAAGATTTTAAAAATAAAAAAAGGAAACTAAACTATGTTTATTTTTTAAGTTTCTAGACTAGTATACCACTGAAAGAAATTGGGTCAATTAGAAAAGCAGATTTTAAAATTAAGCTTTTTTAAAAAATAAATAAATACAGACCAGGCACAGTGGTTCATGCCTGTAATGCCACCACTTTGGGAGGCCAAGGCAGGAGAAATACTTGAGCCCAGGAGTTCAAGACCAGCCTGGACAACATAGGGAGACCCTGTGTCTACAAAAAATAATTTAAAAATTAGCTGAGCATGGTGGTGCGGACTTGTGGTCTCAGCTACTCGGAAGGCTGAGGTGGGAGGATCTCATCAGCCAGGGATATCAAGGCTGCAGTGAGCAGTTTTCATGCCATTGCCCTCCAGCCTGGGTGACAGAGCTAGAGCCTGTCTCAAAAAAAAAAAGAATAAATACAGTTTACCTCTAAAACACCCTTAACCACAGCTGCTTCATGGAATTAGCCATTCCAGGAGAGAGTCCAGCTTCTTTACATCCATACAATGACAGGCATAATGATTTTTTGAAGGTCTAGACCCAGAGAGGTCTTAACTCTTTTATAAGTCTGTCATTTCTTATCTACCTACAGATAACCTATAGAAAACACACATTTTTTTAAAGCCAGGTTTCTCTCTGACATCCATCAAGCCAAATCGTAGACTGTTTAAAACAAACAAACAAACAAACAAACAAAAAACCTTCAAAGTCCTTTTGTTCAACCCCTCTCCTGACTACACCATGCCAAGCAGCCAGCAAGTCATCAATCGCCAGTCTCTACACTTATGGGGATGGAATACTTACTGTTTCACAGGCAATCCATTCCATTTTTTAAAGTGTTCTATTGAACAGTCTCCTCTACGTTAAGTTTAAGTCTATCTGCCTGTAACATTCACCCATTTGTTCTAATTATGTCTTCTGGGGAGATAACTGAGTCAGTCTAATCCTTTTCCAAGTAACAGCTCCTCAAATATTTAGAGACAGTATCATGAACTCACCAACTATTCTCTGACAAATGGCTCTCATAAGAATTGTTAGCCTGGGTATCCTGACAGTGCAGTGCATAGCAATCCTGTACCCACTGGATCACCAAGCTCTTTGAAGGAGCTGTTGCATACCAGAGCCTCACACAATTCCTGGCATATTGTGGACTCTCAACATATGATTCTTTGTAAATGACTCAGTAAATGGACAAATCCATCTGCTAAAAGAATTTTCAAACATGTCCTTTCTTAACTGGTTGTATCATCTACTTACAAACAAGTTTATTAAATTCTCTCTGTCCTCAAAACTCAAATAAATTTCATATAAAGAAAATATAAATTCAGAAGTAATCTGGAAGATAGGCAGGTAAATGAAACATCTTACTAAGAAACCTCAATAGGGGAAAGGGATTTATGTGGTATAAATATAATGTATTTTGGAATGTCTGAATTTGTATTACATGTACATATCACTTTTTCAATTAAAAGACAGCTTTTTTAAATTAATAAAGTTATTTCCATTTTAATTCATCCTAGTGGAATAGTAATGGTATAGTGTGAATTGTGTCTTCTCTAATAAAAAGATATGTCCTGCCATTTAAATAGAAAATAACCAAATAAATGACTAGAAGTAATATTAGATTTAATCTAGATCAGAGGCATTCAACAATTTTGAGGATAACCCATAGTAAGAAATACATTTTACATTGCAGCCTAGTATGCATATACAAATATGCAACTAATACAAAACTTTCACAAAGTGGTACTTATAACTACCTTGGATGTAGTCTGATACTTCGCTTAACACTGTCACACACCATCTACTAAACTGATATCATGGCCCACTATTAGGTCACAATCTACAGTTTAAAAAGCACTGTTCAGGTCGGGTGCAGTGGCTCACGCCTATAATCCCAGCATTTTGGGAGGCAGAGGCGGGCAAATCACCTGAGGTCAGGAGTTCAAGGCCAGCCTGGCCAACATAGCGAAACCCCGTCTCTACTAAAAATATGAAAATTAGCCAGGTGTGGTGGCGCACTCCTGTAGTCCCAGCTACTCAGGTGGCTGAGGCATGAGAATTGCTTGCACCTGGGAGGCAGAGGTTGCAGTGAGCTGAGATCATGCCACTCACTGCACTTCAGCCGGGACGACAGAGCGAGACTCTGTCTCAAAAAACAACAACCGTTCTAATCCAAGCCCACTCAACTATTCTCAACCAATTTATTGATGACAAAGGTATGTTTCAGCTTAGATAAATGGCTTGTACAGAGTCAAGTAGCTGATTCATTCAGTTAGCTCCTGCCATATGCCGGCACTGCACTACGGAAAATGATAAAGGAGACACAGCTCCTGGCTTCGTGGAAGCTGCAAATAGTTGAGCAGACAGAGGAGGCAACCAACTGTTCGGTAGATTCCTGTGCAGTGAAATATTAACAAGGGCCACCAAGGAGGGGCCTCTAAATCAGACAGATAGAGCTGAGAAGACCAGCAGATGACAGCAGAGGCCAGACTAAACCCAGCTCTCACTGTTCTTGGCATGCTACCTTGCTTACCTGTGGCACACTTTGAACAAATATGCAGGGACCACCTGCCACAGGGAGCAGGAGAGAACCAAAGCCACCCCAGACTAACTCATTCACAAATACTCCTAATTCTCACAGTGGTTGAACCTTACCAGTCTTTTCTCTTCGTATGTCCCTACAATCTGGTGGACACTCACAAAAGCATTGCTTCCTCCTTCTCATCTCCCCACTTACTCTGCAAGCAAGGAACTCATGATCCTTCTGCCACTTCCCTTCTTAACTTACTCTGAGGAAAAAAAAAAAAAAACAAAGCCCTAAGAGAATATGTAACTTTCAAAGTACATAATTCAAATCAAGTACCCACACATACACATTTTACATGATATGTTTTTAGGATTAAATAAACAGGCTAAAGTTTCTTAAGTTGAATTTACAAGGACTTCAGTATGCAGGTCGTTCTATCGGTATTTAGATGAGAATGCAGAAATCTCACCACACAATTGTTGCTGTCCTGGTAGTAGGACTCAGAACCATGAATGCTAGGATCTATAAAAATAATTGCAAGCCTTTGCCCCTCTTTTCAAAATATGAAGAGAATGGGTCTTAGTTTTATTAACCAGAAAACATAAACAGACACACATATACAGGGTTCTAAACCTCCACTAGATAAGAAACCCAAAGCTATTCTTTTCAAAGCTTCTGAGGTATATCTAGTAACTTAAAAATAATGTAATTCCAAACAGAACCAGCTGACTAGCTCAGAGCTAAAACTGATGGTTAACAAGTTATGGGAATGTCAATCAAATCAGAATATGAATCTTTCCACTGGAAAAAAGAGTGATTTGGTATTATTTCAACATCTACTACAAAAATGTTGGTACTTCTTTTAAGATCTAATTACACCTTACCTCCTGAACACTTGGTTGTAGATGGTTTCCTTGGGCTCAGACCATACTCTTGCTAAGTAGTCCTGCTTCGCCAACTAGACTTCCTCAATTGTTTTTCCCCCTTCTACACCATCTTTGCCTGCAATTTCATCTAACATTTCCAAAAGAAAAGGAATATGCTAAGAATGGTTTACTTTATATCACAGCATCAAATATCTTCCTTAAAATATATTCTCTAGGAGAAAACTAAAAATAATGTCAGAAAAATTCATTTTAATTCTATTATCTGTTATTAAGTCTATTTTGTTCATTAATTTCTAGTACTCACCATGTGACCCCAGTATGTCACCCAACTTTTTTCCAGCTTAATCTTTTTTATTTCTAAATTAAAGTAAACAAAACATGCTTTTGCTATCTTCTCACAGAAATTCGAAGGATTAATGAAATGATAAAAACTGCTTTGGAACTCTTGGAAGGGAAGAGTATACAAACTGGGTTCACTTTGTATATATTGGTTTAAAAAAAAAAGAACACATTGTGATAATGCATTTAACGAATGTGGGCAATGCTTTCTTTAAAGAAGGCTCAAATATATTCTATTAGCCTTATCTACAAGTAAGTATTTTGATGCAACTGTAATTTTCCAACATTCACGAAAAGAATTTGCAAATACGCATTACCATCTGCCTCAACTTACTTTTGTTTTTAAAACACTCAAAAAATGTCCAGTCTAAATAAAAGATTTAAATTAAGAGCAATCAGTTATTGAATGCATACTATGGACCAGGCACTTGATACCATCTTACTCAGAACTCACACACAGATTAAAAGGTGAAGTCTGCAATCCCTATTTTGCAGATGAAGGAACTGAGGCCAAGTGAGGCTAGATTCCGTAATGAGGAGCCATGCTACCAGTGAGAGTCAGAGGCAGGACTCAAGAGCTGCCAGCAAAGCCTGCACTCCATCACCATGCTGTGATGACTCCTCTTCAAATACTCACTTTTGAGAAATCTAAAAAAATAAGCACCATAAACAAGTTTAGTCACCCATCAAATTACTTATCAAATAGATTAGTCTTTCAATTCCAAGCCACTGGAAGGATAAACAATGAGGTCCTTCAGGATACCTAGCTACTGCTATCATGTATATATATGCTATTCATGGGTATATCATGACCTTGAAGCAGTGGGAAATAAAAATGACACACTGTCACAAAGAAGCACTGAGGTACATTTTAAACCCTTGGAAATAGAGGACTTGCAGCAGGGATATTAGAGAAAAACAAGATCTAAAGCAATCCTGTATCATTCATATAATTCCGGAATTAAATGTATCATCATTTTCCTCAACAACTGCTCTGTTTTTGTTATCAATTAACACTAAAGACAATGCAATATTAATGCTTGTTGAAAAATTGTTAAAATAATCTCTATAACATTAATGGACCTCAATGTCACTCAATGCACTCTAAGAATGCAAACACACACACAAAAAGAATAGAAAACAGGCAAACTGAAGGATGCAGATTTGCTACACAAATACATCTTTATTTTACCTAAAAGTTCACCCACTTGTTTAAATAATAACATTTCCATTTAGATTATTTATTTACATACAACTTTTCAGAAGCTCGTGTTGGTTTAAGCAAGGCCTATTGATGACCATCTCAGGCATATCTTTCTAGCTAATGCCCACCTGGTGGATAAATATTAATAATGTGTAAAAACATCCAATATCTTATTTAGTCTTTTCCTGGGCCCATCTGTTCCCTAAAAGTCACGCTTTACTCACGAGTATACTATTTCAGTCAAATTAACTTGCCTAAGTCTGAGAAAAATTCTGCTCCCTGTCTCCACTATTCTGTATGGGAAAAAAAAGGTAATAAAATGCAATGTCACTGCTGGTCAACTATCAAGAAGAGTAATGAAAGAGAGTATCACGGAAGAGAAAAAGGCTGGCCCAATGCAAAGGGATGGGAAAAGGAGGAGGCAGGGTGAGGGTTGGAGGGAGGTGCTCTAAAACAATAACAGGAGGAAGAGAAGATGATGAACTGGCACAGGCCTCCCAGTTCCTAACATTAAGTTCCAAACCTAGCTCTGATTTCTTCTGACCTTGGGCAAATCTCTGGTTTCTCTGTATCCTACTGTGCTCCAGGAAGTTAGAGAAAATCAAGCCAGAGAAAAGCTTCTTATAATAATGTCATCAAATGCCAGTCTTGCTACTATTAAAGGAAGAAAAGCTAAGCTACCTATGATCACACACACACACACACACACACACACACACACACAGAGAGAGAGAGAGAGAGTAATTAATATGGTATTAATGAACCCTCTAATTTGTTGGAAATGATTTTTAATTCATGAAATGCAAATCATTTAGTGTCAACTCCTTTACCCTCCTCCCATTCTAAACAATTCATTCCATTTTCAGGTTTGCCTTTAGGACATTTTCCCTGACATTTGTGTCTTTGACTTATTCTACTCCTTTAACTAAATGACTTATTCTTTAAAAGGAAAATAGAATTCACCTCCCTTAAGTATTAGTGCCTTGGAAGTCCTTATAAAATACTTGATCTGATCCATCCCACTCTCAATTAACCTTCACTGCATCCAGTTATATTTTTAATCTCTCCAATCTCTTTTTTTTTCCTTGCTGCTCTTCTCTAGGGCCCTCTCCAATATACAGTATCTCTTTGTGATAAAGTCACAGTCTAAATTCAATGCCTTGTTGTCAACTCAGAAACTGAGACACAGATCACCACCTTCCTGCTTTGACATAGATACTTCAGTACATGCAGGCTTGAGCTAAAATGATATGGGCTGCCAGATGACACTGGAAATGCATATATTGTCTACTTTCCACTTATATTCAGTTCAATTTCAGAACTGTAGTTTTTCAGGGATTTTTGTAAAAATAAATTGACATACTATAATTTTTTATCCTGATTAGTTTGCATTATATCTGACTACCTTCATTTTACATGTGCATTTGAAAGTTGTCTCATACTTTATCCTGTCAGTTCTCTTTTTATACATACATAAGCTTCTATGTATTCATATTTTCTTGTATATTCTTACCCAGTAAACTTAGAACTCAATAAATACATGTTCATTGGTTTTATGTGTCCATATTTCTCAAGAGTTCCAGGAGGAGTCATACTGAATCCCAGCTTGGCTGCTTGCTAGCTATACGATCCTGGGTGAATGACTTGTCTCTCCAACCCTGAATTTTCTCCCCTATTGACATGGGGATATGGAAACAGGTAAGGAATAGAAGGTATGAAAAGTATCTAGCAGAATCCATGTCTGCTACCCCATAATGGCTAAGCAAATGTTGGCCCCTTTTTTCCGTCTACTTTATAAAATGTATTTAGTATGACATAATCCATAAGAATTTTTAAATCAATGCAGAGAGTGTGAGAAACTGCAATGCAAACTTGGACTAGGATAAATTGCAAAACTTTGGCCATGCAGAAAATTAAATTGGATCATTCTATATAGCATATGAGCTTGGGACTCTCTTGACTTGGCTCTGGTAGCAGAGGAAAAAAATAATCTATTTCTTTCTAGATACTTGAAGTCCCTCTAAAATAAATGACAATAATAAATAAAACTTCATAATTTAACTTACTAGCCATAGCAAAAGGTACTACCTAAGAAGAATACCTAACACTCTAAATGTATACTCCATTGATAGAGAACCCAATAGCCTACCCTCTAATCCAGCTAAACATTAAGTTTCCATTCCTCCAAGGTTCTGGGTGACTGCCCAACTTCATTCTTAAAGAAGTTAAATCAAGTGCATTTTTGGATAACTGTTAATCATAAGTAAATTCCAAAACAGAGATATCCTATCCAGTCTAGTTATCTTAGTTATATTGCTCTCAGACATTACTAATAAAAAAGGAATTCATTTGATGGTAGTAATTAAGTACCACCAACTGTGAATTTGTGATAACCTAAAAGTATATTATATAATGTTAATTCAGCAAAAATATTTTTGTGATTTCAAGTTCTACCAATTCATTGTTGCATGAAGAAAAGTTCATGTTTTGACACTTTATTTATAGACCTTGGGAACTATGAAGTATGGTTCTCAATAATTATGACATTTTAATTGTAAGCACCATTTATCTAATAACTATAATACTTAGAAGCAATTTCTTGAAAAATATCAGCATAATCACTTTTTAAAAATATTTTATTTCGTCCCCATTAATCAAAAAACTTTTTCTATTTGTGCAGAATTGAGAGTCTATTTACCACTCAGACTAGAATAAAATAATGTGGACTCTTCTGCCTATATAATTAGCATTGAAAAACTAATATTTCTAACAAGCGTGTCATTTTAAAACATCTGCGTATTAGCAACTAGTACAGTTTTCACTTAACACCTCTATAAATGAGTTATATGCACTCTAAAAACATACTTAAATAAACAATCCAATTACATTTTAAAACTCTCTTCAAGAATGTCTAATATAGCAAAGAAAAATACTTATCTTTTAATAAATGTTGCTTCTGCCTAAGGGGTCACCTCAAATCTTCTGTGAAATGAGGCAAGGTAAACATATGTAAATAAATATTAATAAAATCATTAACATAGTAGCTTCTTGTTTATTATTATTATTTGAGACAGAGTCTTGCTCTATCAGCCATGCCGGAGTGCAGTGGCACAATCATGGCTCACTTACAGCTTTGACCTCCTGGACTCAAGTGATCCTCCTACCTCAGCCTCCCAAGTAGTTGGCACTACAGGCATGCTCCACCATACCTGGCTAATTATTTTTTGGTTTTTCTGTAGAGACAAGATCTCACTACGTTGCCCAGACTGGTCTCAAACTCCTGGGCTCAAGCAATCCTCCCGCCTTGGCCTCCCCAAATACTGGGGTTATAAGCATGAGTACTGTGCCTGGCCAGCTTCTTATTAATATAGGTAACATTTATATAGGGAGCAAGACAGAAGTTAAAAGTATTTATCAGAGGAAATGGTAAACCTCAACATGGAGGATGCAATATGGCACAGAGGTTCTAGAGCATGGGTTATGGTCATCAACACCTCTAGTTGAATCTTAGCTCCACTGTTTTTATATTAAATTAAATTATCCTTGAGTGAGTTACTCAAACTCTCTAAATCTTGATTTCCTCTTCTGTAAAATGGAAATCATAAGAGTACCTACCTCTTTGGGGTTGTATGAGGACTAAATGAGATTATTCATATAAAAGCACCCAGAATAGTACCTACACATAACAGGCACTCTATAAATGTTAACCATTATTATCATCACCACTGCACTATAAATATATGTATACGTATAATGAAAATAGTTGAATAAATTCAATTCTTCTGTATACAAATCAGACCAGTAGGCAGACCCAAGCCAGCTAGTAAACCCCTATGTTCAGATTATAGGTCTCAAATTCTATTCATTAGATCTTAAGCTGCCTCTCATTGCCAGCATATATCTCATCCTGCACCACCAAAAGAACAATCTGGTTACTCATGCTATATCACATTAATATGCAAGTTCATCACTTCAGCAAGAAAATCACAAACAAGTGGTTCATTCATGACTCATTTTATTCATAACAATCTCAAACCTGTCACCCAAAAATCAGCTTTTACAGCAACCGCTAAATGAAGTAAACATATTCACATCCGAATTCATTCATTGGTGTCCAAAAAAACTCAATATAAACAAACTGAGAGAAGATACAGTTAGTCCACTAAATGAGGATTGTTGAGAAAATGCATCATTATTTTGTAGAGAAGAAGCTTGAGTCAAGAGCAAACACAATGAATTTACACAAGTGATGACCCTTGGTTTTTATGGCTGCATTCAATAACTGCACATTAGATCGAGTCTTAAAATGAAAACTGTTTCGTGTAAAAGAGGAAAGTTGCATCCTTAGGAAAGAAACTGTTTTTATTGCAAAATTCCTGGATAATGACAAGAAAATGCTAAGATGTTACAGTAGAAAATGGATACAATTTTTTCCACCTAGGCTGAATAACTTATCAAAATAGAAAACTCCATTTTCCCTAAGGTTGGTTTATAATTAGAAATTAGATTCCTCAATAATTCAATGACCGAAATCTTTATTAAAGTCAAATGACCTTCCTAATTAAATTTTCTCCTTAATATGTAAGCTCTGCTAGGCAGGTGTTATCTCTACATATAATTAAGACTTTACATATGAATTAAATGACCTTTTTCCTCTATGGTCATCCTTTTCTTTGATTTGGCGTTCTAACAGTCAATTAGTGGTAAAACTTTTTAAAGTACAACAAATTACTAATGCATTCTGGTACGTGCTCTGATTTTTATACTTGTCCCTATTTTTTATTCCATCTTGAAAAATATTCAAACTTAAATATTTTACTCTTCTACATTTCTTTTTTCAAATTATTCCAAAAGAACATAGCTAGTGTGGGGAGATGTGTACAATTTTATTATAACATTAGGAAGAATGTTAGAATTTCAAAACCTAGAATGTAGAATTGTGGTATGTGCATACAACTGACATTAAGTTCAAAAGCTCTGACCACAAACAATGCACTTGCATACAATATAGGCTCATCCAAGTAAATATATGGGAGATGCATAAAAATATGGTAATTTCATTTGAAATACTTACAGTTTTAATCTTTAAGTATTTGTTTAAAAAACAAAAATAGTTAAATAACTCTTAAGGTGTCATGACAAAAATGCCCTGGCTTTGGAAAGCCAAAAATATGTTACCAAAACTCACTCTTTGGATGCCACTTTATATCTCGTAAATTTCATTGGCAACAAATCAAAGAAAGTAACTGTTATATGTTTGAAATCCATCACTTCACCAAAAGTCTAAGATGACGTAGGCAAAATGCTTTACCTTCACTTTGTTCATTAATCAAAAAAAATATAAAAATGAGGTGTAGTGATTAAGTGAATTACTCAAGGATACAAGCCAATTGTCAGCAATTTTACTTTGTTAGGCTTCTTATCTTTCTAGTTCATACAGGAAAAAAAATATCATCTGAGAGATGGAATATCATTTGAGAGAAAGGAATATGTACTTTATGAACACTAACATTTCCAAAGGAAATGTGGGAATATTCAGCTCTAAATTCTACACATCACCAAGCACTAACAAAAAAAGAAAAAAGGAACAGAAACAGGAACCTTCTGCATCCCAAGTCACGAATGAGCCAAATAAAAAGAATAAAGTACAATCTCGCCAGCATTTTTTCTTGGATACTGTACATTTCTACCTGGTTTTCTATTACTAGGAAACAGATTTCAGTTTTCATAATGCTTTTAAATGGGCTTTTCTTAGCAAATGTCTGCACTCTTCAGGCAAGGCCATTAAGGTAACTTAATCCCTCATGAATTGCTCAGTGGAAGAAATGCTGATTCCTAATTCGAAAATTAATTCCTTAGCTGTTTCTGTATTAAGAGTCATGAGGAAAACCACAGCTACAATTTAGATTCAGAATGTTGTCTTGAAGGCTAGCAAGACAAATAGGAGCTTAGAGAACGGAAGATGATGCTGGGGGAGGGGGCGCAGAGAGAGTGCGAGAAAGATGCTGGTCAGTTCCGAGATGATGCAGGAATGACATGGCACCTGGACAACATAAGTCCACGTCCACCCCCTGCCAAGTCTGTGCCTCGGGCTCTCTCACAATTGCCTGAAGCTGTGAATAGGTGCACACGCAAACACACCACCTTTTATTCTTCGACTCTCCGGGAGGAGAATGGTGGGGAAGCGTCTCTGGATAAAGCTTCACCACAACAAACGACGTCTTTCTCCTCGCACCCCGCCTCCCCAGCTAGAGGCAGGCAACAGTAGACAGCTGAGAGGAACGAGAACCCTGGCGAGAAGGAAAGCATCTCCACCTAAGGGAGGGGGCTCGGGGGATAAAGCCCCACAGCCTCACAGGGAGCCTCACGGAGGGCGACAGGAAAAGGAGGGGGGTGTTGAGCTGGGAAAACAGGAGAGGGGCACTGGGAAGCTTTCGGCGCGCTACGCAGGGAGGCTGCCCGGGGCTGGCGCGCACCGAGGGGGTGGGGGTCGAGCCCGGGGCGGACCCCTCCCCCGACTCCCCGACTGGAGGACAGGGAGGAAATGGCTTTGTATCGCACGATGAAAGGCAGGCAGGAGGGCCACCAGGCGGGGGGTGGCAGGGGACGGAGGATGCCCAGAGCTGGAGGACCCCGCCCGCCCCACGGACACCGCCACTCTGCCCCCCATTCCACTCTGCCCCCCATTCCACCGCAGCGCCTGGTCCATCCACCCTCTGGCTCCCGCTGCCCGTCCACGTTCCAACGGCCCGCAGCGGGGTCGCCCCACTGCCGCATCCTTACTCCGCGCCCTGCGCGCTTACCTGCCCACGAAGTTCTCGAGCACCGAGCTCTTGCCGGCGCTCTGGCCGCCCACCACGGCGATCTGCGGCAGCTCCAGCAGGCAGCTCTGTCCCAGCGCCGAAAACGCGTCCTGCAGACGGTTCACCAGCGGGATCAGCTCCTCCATCTCCCGGTTCCCCATCTTGCCCGAGGGGCCGGCGACCAGCTGGTCCCTGCTCGCCTCTACGACCTGACAGGGAGTAGGGGCCGCGCTGCCCTGGCTGCTGCTGCTGCGCCGGGCTCAGCCAGCCAGGTCCTGGCGCAGACGTCGGAGCCCGCCGCCAGCCCGCCGCTTGGCTCTGACAGCTAACGACCCGCAGCGCGCCTGCGCGGGCGGGCAGGGGCGTGGCCTATCTCCGCGACGCCCCGCCCCCGCCCCGCGGCTGCCCCGCCCCGGGCTTCCCATCGGACCACCAGGCCAGGCGCGCACGCACTGCAGCCCAGCTGCGGCCAGATGCCACGGCCTCTGCGTTCTGTGGCCAAGGCTCAGAGGCCAAGTTACAGCGCCGGGTCAGGAAATGGCATGAAATCAGCAGCAGCGGCAGCGTTGTTCTCTTTCAGCGGCTACCAAGCCAAAGCCCAGTGGAAAGCACTATCGCCGCTAACACCACCACACGATCACCAGCAACAGCAGCACCGCCGCCGCCACCACCGGGGCACCGCTGCCAGACTACACTTCCCGAAAGGAAATCTCCTCTGTCACGCCCTTCTCCAGAATCCGCGATGACTCCTCCCAGGGTGGCAGGCCTGTTGGAGTCTAAATTCTTCAATGTGACATCCATCTAAGGCCCTGAGTGGTCTGACCTTACTTAATTCTTCATCTGTAATGACTCGTCCTCCCCAGCCCCGCATAAGCACAGGTAGAGTCTGTAGGGTTTACCGCCCCGATACACCCCTTTAATCACTCTGGCCTGTGAGACTCCTCATGCCATTTGCCCTCCCGGTCTATCTCCTTCTACCGGATCTATCCAGAACCAGGTACCCTGGACGCATTCTGTGAAATTTAGCACATTGAGAAGTGACTGTGTGTGGGGTCCTGTGCCTGATGATCGGGACACAAAGATAAATGGCCATGCTTCTCTTAGCCTCCACAGACGGTTCCTTTTTAGTCTGCTCCTCAAATACTGATGCTTCGCAGGGTTTCATATATGGGCATTTTCTTGTCTAATGTTTGTCCTCTGCCTGAGGACTTTCCCATAGCTTTAACTCTGAATCAAGGCTGGCGACTACAGAAATTTACATTGCTAGACCCTGTCTCTCTTCTGCAACTTAGACTGTACTCCAAGAGGAGCCCAGAATACTACCTGAGTGTCCTACAAGTACTACAGACTCAATTTATTCAAAACTGAAGTCATCTTTTGTAATCTCAGCATTTAATGTACAGTTCCTTCTAACTCTAAAAAGACATATTAAAATGTTCATAATGTCAAAAAACCTGAAAACAACCCAAATGTCTATCAACAGGTGAATGAATAAACAAACGTGGTATATATATATAGTGAAATAATCTCTGCCACAAAAAAGACTTTTGATATAGCAACAATCTCAGATACATTATGTAGAATGAAAAAGGCCAAAGACCATATTGGTTTGATTTCATGTATGTGAAGTTCTACAACCAGCAAAGCTATTCTATGGTAATAGAAATCGGAACTGTGGTTGTCTTTGAGGAGTGGAGATTGACTGTAGGAGGCATGAGGAAACTTTCTGGAGTGATGGAAATGTCCCATGTCTTGACTGGGATGTGGGCATACATTTGTCAAAACTCCTCAAACTAAACTTTTAAGTGATGTGCATTTTACTGTACATTACATCTCAACTTTTTTTTAAAGCAGCAGAAAAAGACAAATAAAACTGAATGCATCTCCACTGAAGTGGATCTCTATTAGAATGTCTGCCCAGGAAACCTTTTCTAAGAAACACTCCATCCAATGCATGGTTGTAGCCAGAGCAGTCATGAAGATAGAAAGGCATGAAGAAAAACTGAGCCCTGGCCATAGCTGTGTGCACCAGATTGGGCACCTGACTTGAGCTTTACCAATCAAAGCCTTTTCCCAGGAGTATGCAATTGAGAGAGAGATTGGCCTTTGTCTGAGTGACTGAACTATAAGTGAGGAATAACATTGGCAACTATGGTTAGTAAGATTTCACCAGTAGAAGGGAAGTGCTCATCTTCAGAGAAAGAGAAAAGTGAAAAGACACAAGGAGAGGAGCACAGGGAAAGAAGAGGGAAGATCCGGATAGTACCTGTATCCTCAATCTTGTTCATGTCTGATGTCCAACTGTAATCCTGTCCTCAGTTCCTTGTACAACCTCCCCGCCAATAAACTTATAATAAATTCTCCTCTTTGCCTAACCTAATTCAACTCATATTTCTTTTACTTGCAGTCAAAGAATCCTATAAATACATTCTCACACTAGAGATAGTGTGCTCCCTATCTCAGGGACAAGCCTGCCCAATCCCAATCCAGAATCTGGAAGTCATTCTCACTTCATTTTTCCCTCTCTCTCCTTCATCCCCTACACCAAATTGGTACCCAAATAATACCCATTCTACCTTCCTAGAAGCCATTTTCTGTCCATCCTTGCTGCCAGTGCCTCAGTTACAACCATCATTTCTCAAACAACCGTTTTCCTCTATGCTTTTCATATATACACATATATACATATATATATGTACCCTGAATAGATTTTCATTCTTGCCCTTGGCATATTGCATTAAGTCACTAATTTACATGTCCCTCTCTTTCACTATAATGCCCTTCCCAAAGATGTCCACATTTTAATCCCTGGAACCTGTGAATGTTTCCTGAAGTGGCAAATGGGCCTTTGTAGATATAATTAAGGACCTTGGGATGGGAAGATTATTCTAGATTATCTAAGTGGATGCACTCTACTCACATGAATTCTTAAGAGCAGAGAACATTTCCAATCTGCATCAGAGGGAGATATAACTGGGGAAGGGTCCCCGAGATGCATGGAGAAAGGGGACCATGAGCCAAGAAATGCAGGCAGCCTCTAGAAAGTGGAAAAGGCAGGAAACACATTCTCCCTCAGAGCCTCCAAAAAAAATTTTTTTTTTTTTTTTGAGATGCAGTCTCGCTTTGTCGTCCAGGCTGGAGTGCAATGGCACAATCTCAGCTCACTGCAACCTCCGCCTCCTGGGTTCAAGCAATTCTCTCACCTCCGACTCCCAAGTAGCTGGGACTACAGGCGTGCACCACCACATCTAGCTATTTTTTTTTTGTTTCGTATTTTTAGTAGAAACGGGGTTTCACCATGTTGGCCAGGCTGATCTCAAACTCCTGACCTCAAGTGATCCATCTGCCTCGGCCTCCCAAAGTGCTGGAATTACAGGCTTGAGCCACCATGACCAACCCTGCATCAGACTTCTAATGCACGGCACTGTAAGATAATAAATCTGTGTTGTTTGAAAACACTAAGTATGTGGTAACTTGTTACAGTAGCAATAGAAAATTAATACAACTCCTTGAGGGCAGGATCCATCTTTGTGATTCTCAATGTCCGGCACAGTGCATAGCACGTGAGAAGACCACAGTCCACTGGCAGCAGACATAAACAAATTGTTACAACACACATAATATGTTCCAGGGTACAATAGGCTGAACTGTGCCTCCCCCAAATTCATATGTTGATACCCTGAACCCCAGTGTGGCTATATTTGGAGAAAGTAATTGTATTAGTCCGTTCTCACAACGCTATGAAGAAATACCTGAGACCGCGTAATTTATAAAGGAAAGAAGTTTAATAGACTCACAGTTCCACATTCCTCAGGAAGCTTACAATCATGGTGAAAGGTACCTTTTCATGGGGTGGCAGGACTGAGTGAGTGGAAGCAGGGGAAATGCCAGACACTTATAAAACCATCAGATCTCATGAGAACTCACTCACTATCACGAGAACAGCATGCAGTAAACCACCTCCATGATTGAATCACCTCCACCTGGTCCCACCCTTGACACATGGGGATTATGGGGATTACAATTCAAGATGAGATTTTGAGTGAGGACACAGCCAAACTATATTAGCAATTAAGGTTAAATGAAGTCATAAGGAGGAAACCCTGATTCAATAGGATTAGTGGCCTTGTAAGAGGAGACATCAGAGAGCTCTCATGCTGGCTGGCTCCCCCCACCCCTCCCATCTCTCTGTCTCTCTCTTCCCCCTCCACTGCCCTCCTCATCATGTGAGGACACAGCAGGAAGGTGGCCATCTACAAGGCAGGAGAGTCCTCATCAGGAACAGAATCAATGAGTACCTTGATCTTAAACATCTCAGCTTCCAGAACTATGAGAAATAAATATCTGTTGTTTAAGCTACCCAGTCCTTGGTATTTTGTTACAGCAGCCCATGCTGACCAAGACATAGAGTTTGCTTAAAGAAACGTGATGAAACCCGAGGAGTAACAACTCTGTCAGGAGAGAGTCATGGAAAGCTTAGCTGGGCCTTGATAAGTACATCCTGCACTCTGCTACATGCTGTAAGGTACAAAGGATCAGGAGAACTAGCCCTTGCCCTAAGTATTTTGCATTCTAATGTAGAAGACAATGCTACCATGCATTAGACAAAAAATGTATAGCCATTATACAAATGTAAAGTTCACGTGCACTGAAGCAATGCCTGTCATCTCTATGCTCCAGAATTTAGTTCAAATTAGTTTCACCCACCTACTTTAAGAAACCATCCTAAACACTCTTGCCAATTGCTTTCCTTCTTTACTTTCCATTTCTAGAATCAATACTGTGATGACACGGAATTAAGAGAAATCTAACACACACAAAAACACTCAACTCAAGGTCTTTCAGTGATGTAGACCTTTTCTTATAAGCTAATATGGATAAAAGAAATAGCAAAAGAAAACCTAAAGGGAAAAAGCAGAGGGAAAATTTTGACAAAAACAAACTTTCACCTTTAAGGGTGATATGGTATGGCTGTGTTCCCACCCAAATCTAATCTTGAATTGTAGCTCCCATAATTCCCGTATGTTGTGGGAGAGACACAGTGGGAGATAATTGAATCATGGGGATGGTTTCCCCCATACTGCTCTCGTGGTAGTGAATAAGACTCACAAGATATGATGGTTTTATAAGGGGAAACCTCTTTCATTTGGTTCTCATTTCTCTCTTGTTGGCTGCCATGTAAGACATGGCTTTTGCCTTCTGCCATGATTGTGAGGCCTCCTTACCCACGTGGAACTGTGAGTTCATTAAACCTCTTTTTCTTTATAAATTACCCAGTCTCTGGTATGTCCCTATCAGCAGTATGAAAATGGACTAATACAGAGGGTATGTGTGAAATCGAAGAGGGGAGCCCAGTCAGCCACCTGGCTTCCTAACCTACCACACAATCACCACAGCCCTATTTCGGCACCATGTAATCGATGCCAGCTCCTGCTCTCAGGCTCTCATGTTTGTTTCCACACCACTTTCCTAGCAAGCAAAAAGTTCATAGCCTTTTCTAGGTGTGGCTCTATACACAGAGTTAGAACTTTTAATAAACACATCAGAACACATATCTAAATGAGTATTTTCCTTCATGTTCATTTGAAAAGCAACAAACTTATTGTAATAATGCTGCTTTTTCACACAATACAAGTGGAATTCCTCCTTTGAAAGTGAAAAGCCTTACCAAGTCTGAAAAAAATCAGACTCAGTAATCTACAGTCATACTTCATTTTAGATAGAGTATTACTCATCTTGATTTCCCACCTCATTCATAAGACTAACACTAAATAACACCTACTAGTTACAAAACTTAAATCTATATTACATATATATATACACACACACACATAGATACATATTATATACATAAATTTTTAAATACACTGCAGGTTGAAGGCAAGCTCTAAGAGAGGAGTTAGAATTTTTTTTTTTTTTTTTTTTTTTTTTTTTGTGACAGAGTCTCACTCTTTCGCCCAGGCTGGAGTGCAGTGGCATGATCTTAGCTCACTGCAGCCTCTGCCTGCTGGGTTCAAGCAATTCTCATGTCTCAGTCTCCCAAGTAGCTGAGATTATAGGTGCGCACCACCACACCCGGCTAATTTTTGTATTTTTAATAGAGATGGTGTTTCACCGTGTTGGCCAGGCTGATCTCTAACTCCTGGCCTCTAACTCCTGATCTGCCTGCCTCAGCCTCCCAAAGTGCTGGAATTACAGGTGTGAGCCACCACACCCAGCCTTAGAAAGTTTTTGAGTAGTAAAAATACCTCTGGAAAAATATTTAAAATCTCTAAGAAGAGCCCATAATCAAATATGTGAATTTAGGAATCCGTGTTTTTAAAAAATCAGTCCCATTACTGCAGAGTCACATCTCATGTATTTCACACAGTGGCCAGCTCAATAAATATTTATGAAGCAGAACCGAACCGAATTTTTAAGCATTTTTCATGTCCATTGTATCACTGGGAAAGTAACATTGTTACTCCATATACAATTTAGGACCTATTCAGGTCCTTCAGTTCTTTCTCCAAAGGTTTTCTCTTGGATGTATTTGAGATCTTACTGCAAATCAGCCTATCTGCAGGTGTCTTTTGAGTTCCATTAAGCTCAGTGAACATCCAATGCAGACACACAGACTTTCAATACTGTAGCCATTATGGTTGACACTTATGTCTTTCAAGGCTACTCTCCTTCAGAAGGCAAAGACTCCGAACTTTATTGCCCATATTCTTCATCAGCTACCATCAGGAAGTAACATAACTCTGGTCTCCTATCCCAATCACTTCTGTCCATTTGACATTCGACAGATGGAAACTCAGCAGTAGTCTCACTGAAGTATGAATAAATCAGCACACATGCAGGGTAGAAAATTCCAGTAGGCAACTTAAGGTGTTAAGAAAAAAGGGTTAGGAAGAACCCTCTTAGCAGCCAGTTTGTGCATTTTTTCTATCAAGTAGGTATAGCTGTGTTCTGTTGTAAGCATAATCCATACATACTGATGGAAAACAAGACCCATACAGGGTCCCTTTAAAGGGAACATCTCTAGTGCTTTATAAATCTCATTTTTTTGAACAATGAAACCCTCTTTCTATATCAATCTATATCTCTATCTCTATATCTATATATTAGGCAAACTATAAATGCCCATTTAAAATTATGTTCATGAAGTTTTCAATGACATGGAACTGAAGTAAGTAAAATAGTAAATGAGAAAAGAGTACAAAATTGTATACATAGTATTATCATAGCTATATAAAAAACTGTCTAGAAAAAAAAAACCTAGAAATAAATGTACCAAGAAATTAAATGTTATTCTCTATGAGATAATATGGAAAAAGATTTATTGTGCTTTTCCTTTTATTTCCCAACTTTCTACAATAAGTATGTATTATTTCTATAATTTAAAAAATAAAATAAATGCCATTTGATTGAATCAAATTGGTTCATATACATGCCAGCTTATCAGCAACAAAAATGTTATGTAGTATAAGGTTAAAATAATTTTGCAAATAGAAACAGAGGAGTCCACAAACTCCCATATCCCTAAACCTTTGCCACTAACTGGTAGCTGATAACTGTCTAAAGATAACCAAGATTTGGCCGGGCAGTGGCTCAGGCCTATAATCCCAGCACTTTGGGAGGCCAAGGTGGGCGGATCACTTGACATTAGGAGTTCAAGACCAGCCTGACCAACATGGTGAAACCCCACCTTTACTAAAAACACAAAAATTAGCCAGGCCTGGTGACACGTGACTGTAGTCCCAGCTACTCAGGAGGCTGAGGCACAAGAATCGCTTGAACCCAGGAGCTGGAGGCTGCAGCCAGCCAAGATCATACCACTGCACTCCAGCCTAGGTGACAGACCAGACGTCATCTCAAAAAAAAAGAAAAAAAAAAGACATCCAAGATTTTTTAATTGGAAACATTTCTTTCTGACTTGAACAGCAGAATGCCACACACCCAGGCTACCATGGTCACATGGACTATTGTTAGCCAAGTATGCATTCAGTATACTAAACTGCAGATTCTCTGTAAATGTATAGTTCATACAGGGAGTAGGTACACGAGATGAATTTTGTTTGCTTAAAGCCTATGTCATAATCTATGGCACAATAAGCAAGACACAAAATATTACAAATTGTATGAATCCATCTATACGACATTCCAGAGAAAGCAGAACTAATCTATAATGACAGAAAGCAGCTGGGCCAAGGGTGGGGACAGAGGATTGATTGTAAGGAGGCATGTGGAAACTCTTATCTTGTCTGTGGTACTGGTTATATGGTTGGGTATGTTTGTCCAAACTCATCAAACTGTACATTGTTTTAAATGGTGCATTTTATATTATGTATATTACACTTTAATAAAAATAACCTTTGGGATTTATGATACACTCTCATATGGCATGTAATGATAATACAGAGTATGACAGTCTCAATCTGGGGAGAATCTTGGTAATAGGCAGCCATAATCAGGCTACGTTTTGAGAGTTCAAAACAAAAATATTCCCACCCACTCCAAGAAGCTTCCAATGACTCCACAATTCTACTAATGTAGAGTCATTTTTATGGAATCTCTGAGTATTATGTTGATGGGAAAACATCACTTGAAGAAGAGGAGAGTAAGACTTCAAGCCTAGCCAGGCATAGCAGCTAACACTTGTAATCCCAGCACCTTGGGAGGCCAAGGTGGGTGGATCGCTTGAGTCCAGGAGTTCAAGGCCACCCTAGGCAACATGGCAAAATCTCCCTCTACAAAAAAATACAAAAATTAACCAGGTGTGGTGGTACATGCCTGTAGTTCCAGTTATCTTGAGGGGCTGAGGCTGGAGGTTCTCTTGAGGCCAGGAAGTCAAGGCTGTAGTGAGCTGATCACGCCACTGCACTCCAGTTTGGAAGACAGAGCGAGAGTCTGCCTTGTAAAAAAAAAAAAAAAAAACCTCAAATCACTATCAACTATCTCTTAGAAAAAGTTACTTTCCAGGCTGACCACGGTGGTTCACGCCTTTAATCCCAGCACTTTGGGAGGCCGAGGCGGGCGGATCACTTGAGGCCAGGAGTTTGAGACCAGCCTGGCCAACATGGTGAAACCCCACCTCTACTAAAAATACAAAAATTAGCTGAACATGGTAGCGGGCACCCGGCTAATTTTAATCCCAGCTACTTGGGAGGCTGAGGCATGAGAATCACTTGAACCCGAAAGGCAGAGGTTGCAGTGAACCAAGATCATGTCACTGCACTCCAGCCAGGCAACAGAGTGAGACTCCATCAAAAAAAAAAAAAAAAAAAAAAAGACAGAAAGAAAGAAAGGAAAGAAAGAAAGAAAGAAAGAAAGAAAGAAAGAAAGAAAGAAAGAAAAAGAAAGAAAAGAACTATCCAGCAGTATCAGCTATGGAAGGAAGTTCTAGGAGTGGGGCAGAGAGAGACAAGAGTGGAGAGGGTCTGAGAGACACCCCAGAGAGTGTTCTAAGACAAATTTTGCCTATTTCACATAGTCTCCTCTCTTTCATTTTTACAGGAGAAATATAAACCTTAGAAAAACTCATCCCCTAAGTATGCACATGAAGCCCAGTTGAATCCCACTTTCCTCCCTCCTAGACCTTTTGTCCAAGATGGTTGTGATGAGCAACATCCCCAGCTCCTGAATACTTCCTTCCATCCACAAACTATTTTCACATCAGTTATTTCATTAGATCAACTCAACTTCCTTTGAAGTAATGACTAACAGGTAGGTAGCAGTAGCATTCCTATTCTACACTTAAGAAAACTGAGACAAATCAGAGCTATTCATGGACTTAACCAATGCCCTACAGGTAAGAGCTACCAGAACTGCTCCCTAATGTGCTCCAATAGGCCATACTTGGATCGTCCTCACAAAACCTTCAACCCGGTAACATATACTATCAACCTTTGCCAACCTAATATGGAGATTGGAAAATGCATGGTAAATGATTGCCCTGAACATGCTTATGAACAAAAGCAGGTTTTATCTTTACATAAATTATTTCAATTTCCATGGCTTAGACTCAGCAGACTGGGATTCAAATTCCTACTGGCTGTAAGATTCACCATCCTAGGCCTTAATTTCATCAGTAAAATGAGCATATTAATGTCTGTTCTTATTCATAGAACTTTTGTGAAATCAAATAAATAATGAACACTAAAATATTCTGTGAACTGCATGCATGGCACTGAATGACTATTAGATGTTTTACTTATAACTATTCAAACCTAAATAGAGATTGTAAATACATTTTGTTAATTACCAAAGGGTGTTTTCTAGATTAACTGTAATTTTAAAATGAATTATGTGATAAAGATCTAGGTAATAAAAATATTTTCAGATAACTTACTACTCATGTATATCATCAATTTTAGGATTCCTTTCATCTGATAAATTAGGATTGTGGAATATTTTGCTCTCAGGAAGAGCCCAGAAATAACCAGAGTGTGCCATTGAAAGTAACAATTCAGCAGAAATCAAACATGATACTGTAATGGAAAGCAAGATAAGTTTTCACAAATATGTGATGACATCCAGGAAGCAGTAAGCTACAAAGAGGCAAAAACGGGCTAAGATTGGCTTTGATGGAGAAAATACAATTAAGCTTAATTCCTTTATAACTTTTGTTGTTCTTCTTATACTGCTGAAAAGGGCTTAAAATAGATCACAGTAGCCAGGGACAAGTCTAATTTCCAGATTCTCAAGCAAAACTATGCAAAGGAATCCAATATTTCTGCAGCCAAGGATTCCCCAAAATGCCCCCTTCCTGTAGAGGCCTCTTGTTTAGACTTTCCTTAGTATCTGTCTCAGCAGAGTTCCTATCCTGTGTCTTCAGCCTGCTGACCTTCCTCCTGGCTATCTTTCTCATTTGACTTTGAAAAGTATTTGCAGATCTGAAAACTAGTTCTTCATCAAATCTGTCAAAGACCAACTCTTTGTGAAAAGTCAATATCCCAAAGCCCCATAGCTGAACCTGGAAAAAACGTCAAACTACAGACCCTAGATGTTACCACTACACTAGTCATGCACTAGTCACTCTGATAAAAGTCTCCATGCTTCCCTTGATGACCCTCGAAATCTCCTCATTCTCAAGTAACATGAGGAAATTTTCTTTTCTCTTTTTCTTCTGTCACAACATAATTTGACTTTAGGAGTGTAAATGTTGGCAGATACATGCTGAGAAAATAGAAAGAGAAAATTCAAATAGTAATAGGCAGGCTTGAAGCCATCTTCCTCTTACACAATTTTATTTTTTAAAATTGGTGAAAGTTGCCAGAAAACAGGTTATTGCTGAAGAAATATGTTCTGAAAAACAAAAATTGAACTGAGAAGACTGAGCTCTAATTCTAGTGGATATGATGTCTCTGATTCCATTAAGACATGCGCTACTTATTCCCTGCTACAGAATGAGAATTTCCGACACACACACGAGCACTGAGAGTCCCCTGTAAGCCATTGACATCGGCAAAATGACATCTCCACCAAGGAGGCCATGACAGGAGCCAGAAAACAATTCTGTTTCCTGTGAGTACGCACAAGTTTCAGAAGAGCCATTTATCATCGCTCCTAGTAGAAATTCATTTTCTTTCTTTCTTTTTTACTTTTTAAAACCAATCTTCATTGATAGCTGGTTAGAGAAGAGTCTGGCTGGTGGAGTGTTGGTGATGATCCTCCATCCACTGACACAATTTCTCTCACAATCCAAAGGGGCTAACACTGCAGTGAGATGGGACAGTTTTCCAGCGCCAAGTCTCCTGCAGTTAAAATGGGCCTGTCAAAGATTTTTCTTTCCTACTCCAAAAGTACCCCAGTACCTCCACCCAAACAGAGGGAGAAAATCAGAGTCCCCCTTCAGGGCAGTTGGCTAGAGAGTAGGCTAAGGGCTATGTCTAATTCTGCAGTATTCGTTGACTGAGGGCCCCTTTATTATCTGCTTTCCCTTTCTGTTCCAGGAGCTGGCTCCATTTTACAGAGCAAAGAACTGGTACACACTACTTGCCGCAGGCAGAGACCTGGTTTGTGGAAAACAGTAATAGTTAGAAGAAAGTGAGGGAAAGAATTTTCTCACACCATCATTAATAATCAGTATCTTACATACGAAAATGCCATTATTTTCATCAGGCTCCACCGAGGGTCTGTCATAAAGGTATGTCTCTTCTTTCTCCAGTCCCCAACTCTTGAAACCCTTCCATTGTGCACTCTGCACCCTACAGTCCATTAGCAGTAAAACCTCTATATTCTCAACTTTTCTGCAAACTCAGTAACAGAAACCTGGTTCTCCCCTGAGAATTCCGTTTCTACTGGAGTAGTCTCAAGTGGTCACTTCCATCTCTCTCATGCCTCCTAAACTCCTAGGCTTAAACACAGGGAAGGAATACTTCATGTTCCACATTGCTGCTTTTTGTTTGTTTGTTTGTTTGTTTTTTTGTTTTGTTTTGAGACGGAGTCCCGCTCTGTCTCCCAGGCTGGAGTGTAGTGGCACGATCTCGGCCCACTGCAAGCTCCGCCTCCCGGGTTCACGCCATTCTCCTGCCTCAGCCTCCCGAGTAGCTGGGACTACAGGCGCCCCCCAGCTTGCCCGGCTAATTTTTTTTCTTTGTATTTTTTTAGTAGAGACGGGGTTTCACTGTGTTAGCCAGGATGGTCTCGATCTGCTGACCTTGTGATCCGCCCGCCTCGGCCTCCCAAAGTGCTGAGATTACAGGCGTGAGCCACCGCATCCGGCCCCACGTTGCTGCTTTTATACCATTCTCTCTCCCTTTCTCTAAAGTTTTCCAGCTTTGAATCTATATAACCAGTCTATCATCATCACTTCCTCTTTTTTTTCTGTAGACATCTATCAACTTCTTGGTCATTCGTCCTCATGTGTCAAAGATTTTAGCTCATGACTCACTGCCACTTTCTAACAATACGCTTGTTTTCATTCTCGGTAATTTCAATTCCATATTGATGTTACTTTCAACACTGCCCTCATTGCTCTTTGATCTTCTCCAGTGATTTTATTCTTTACCTCTAGCTGTCTTCCAAGGGTCAATCCCTAGTCCTTATTATTACCAAAATCTACAACCACCCATCATAGCAAATTTGAACCCTCTACTCAGACCTCCATCCACTCTCTTTTCAATCCACTCCCTATTGTGCCCATCTACAACAATCCTTCAGCTCCTCTATGGAATATAATCCATTAATTGTACCATCTGTTCACTGTCCCTCCCCACTTCATGTCCTCACTTCCTTGATTCCGTTTAAATGCCATACTCTATCATTACGAAAACTCTCTTGCGTACACCCTCCACCCTCTTGCTTCTCTCTCTTATTATACTTGCTTAGAAAACTTTAGGTCTGGGAAAATACAACTCTTCTCCCACTGTGTGCCTGCACCCATGTAGCTGAACAAGGCTATAGAAAAATGCACTACCATGCTAATATGATTTGGCTCTGTGTCGCCACCCAAATCTCACCTCAAATTGTAATCCCCATAATCCCCAGGTGTTGAGAGTGGGACCAGGTGGAAGTAATTGTATCACGGGAGTTGTTTCCCCCATGCTGTTCTCATGATAGTGAGTCTCACAAGATCTGATGGTTTTATAAGTGCCTGGTATTTCCCCTGCTTGCACTCATTATCTCGCCTGCTGCCCCATGAAGAGGTGCCTTCTGCCATGATTGTAAGTTTCCAGAGGCCTCCTTAGCAATGTGGAACTATGAGTTAATTAAACCTCTTTTCTTTATAAATTACCCAGTCTCCAGTATTTCTTCATAGCAGCATGAGAACAGACTAATATAGTAAATTGGTACCAGGAGTAGTGGGGTGCTGCTGTAAAGATACCCAAAAATATTAAAATGACTTTGGAACTGGGTAACAGGCAGAGGTTCAAAGAGTATGGAGGGCTTAGAAGACAGGAAGATACAGGAAAGTTTGGAACTTCCTAGAGACTCGTGGAATGGTTTTGACCAAAATGCTGATAGTGATATGGACAATGCAGTCCAGGCTGAGGAGGTCTTAGATGGAGATGAGGAACTTTTGGGGAACTGGAGTAAAGGTGACTCTTGCTATGCTTTAGCAAAGAGACTGGTGGCCCCCTAGAGATCTGTGGAACTTTGAACTTGAGAGAGATGATTTAAGGTATCTGACAGAAGACATTTCTAGGTGACAAAGCATTCAAGAGGGAGCAAAACATAAAAGTTTGAAAAATTTGCAGCCTGATGATGGGCTAGAAAAGAGAAATCCATTTTCTGGGGGAGAAATTCAAGTCCACTACAGAAATTTACATAAGTAAAGAGGAGCCAAAATGTTAATCACCAAGACAATGGGGAAAATGTCTTCAGGACGTGTCAGAGACCTTTGTGGCAGCCCCTCCCATCACAGACTAGGAGGCCTAGGAAGGAAAAATGGTTTTGTGGGCCACCCCCAGGGCTCCCTGCTCTGTGCAGCCTCAGGACATGGTGCCCAGTGTCCCAACTGCTTCAGCTCCAGCCATGGCTAAGACAGGCCAAGGTACAGCTCAGGCCATTGCCTCAAAGGATGCAAACCCCAAGACTTGGTGGCTTCTATGTGGTGTTGAGCCTGTGGATGCAGAGAAGTCAAGAATTGAGGTTTAAGAACCTCCACCTAGATTTCAGAGGATACATGGAAATGCCTGGATGTCCAGGCAGAAGTTTGCTGCAGGGGTGTAGCCCTCATGGAGAACCTCTGCTAAGGCAGTGCAGAAGGGAAATGAGGGGTGGGAACCCCCACACAGAGTCCCCACTGGGGCACTACCTAGTGAAGCTGTGAGAAGAGGGTCACCATCCTCCAGACACCAGAACGGTAGATCCACCAACATCTTGCACTGTGGGCCTGGAAAAGCTGCAGACACTCAACACCAGACCTTGAAAGCAACCTGGAGGGAGGCTGTACCCTGCAAAGCCACAGAGGCAGAGCTGCCCAAGGCCATCAGAGCCTACCTCTTGCATCCTGGATGTGAGACATGGAGTCAAAGGAGATCATTTTGGAACTTTAAGGTTTAATGACTGCCCTATTGGATTTTGGAAATGCATGGGGCCTATAGACCCTTTGTTTTGGCCAATTTATCCCGTTTGGAATGGGTGTATTTACCCAATGCTGGTACCCTCATTGTACCTAGGAAGTAACTAACTTGCTTTTGATTTTATGGGCTCATAGATGAAAGGGACTTGCCTTGACTCAGAGGAGACTTTGGACTTGGACTTTTGGGTTAATGCTGTAATGAGTTAAGACTTTGGGGGACTGTTGGAAGGGCATGATTGTGTTTTGAAATGTGAGAACATGAGATTTGGGAGAGGCCAGGGGCAGAATAATATGATTTGGCTCTGTTCCCCACCCAAATCTCACCTTGCATTATAATCCCCATGTGTCAAGGGTGGGACCAGGTGGAGGTAATTGGATCATGGGGCAGTTTCCCCCATGCTGTTCTCATGATAGTGAGTAAGTGTCATGAGATCTGATGGTTTTATAAGCATCTGGAATTTCCCCTGCTTGCACTCATTCTCTCTTGTGCCATCCTGTGAAGAGGTGCCTTCCACCATATTGTAAGTTTCCTGAGGCCTCCCCAGCCATGTGGAACTGTAAGTCAATTAAACCTCTTTTCTTTATAAATTACCCAGTCTTGGGTATTTCTTCATAGCAGTGTGAGAATGGACTAATATGCATGCTGACAGGAATCATTTTTCATTAATGACTTTGAATCTCAAATGAACCCAGTAATACTACTGCCTTTCCATGGTTCATTCACTTTCTTACCCTTCTAGATGACAATTTCATACTTCTCTCCTCTCTCCTGAGACCTCCCATGCTTCTTCCCACATCCTTATTCTCAAATGACAAATTGTATCATATTTCACTGAGAAAATAGAAACAATCAAAAGAGAAATTCTGCCAGTTCCCATTATCTCAATGCAAACTCACCAGCTTATGTACCATATACTCTTCCTTCCCTAGTGCTTCTGTAGATGGACCATCCAAATCTCTGCCTATGACTATCTCCATATATGCACTAGATTCTACTTTCATTATTTGATTACAGATATTCTCTCTTCTTTACTGCATCGTTAATTTTTTCCTCTCTGTTGGATCATTCCAACAGCATTCAAACATGCTATTTTTCTAGTCAGCATTTGATCTGTCATTTCTCTGACCTATCCCAATTAATGAAAACTCTACCTTTTGAGTTGCTCCAGCAAAAAGCATGGTCATTCTTGACTTCTCTTTTTCTCACACCGTATATCCAGTCCATCAAGAAATCCCACTGACTCTACCTTCAAAAACTGGTTACTTCTCAGCATTTCTTCTATTATGCCCTGGTCTAAGCAAGCATTTACTGTCTAGATTATTACCATGGCTTCCTAGCTGGCCTCCCTAATTTTATCCTTACCCTCCTACTATTCCCAGTGCAACAGCCAAAGTAATCCTTGTCCTGTAACCCCTCTACGCAAAGCTCTCCAATGACTTCCCATCTGACTCAGACCAAAAGCCTGAGTAAGTCCTTACAAAGACCTAAAGAGCCTTTGCTATTTGTTCCCCACTCTCCTGTTCCCACTTTGACTTTGCCTCGAATTCTGCCCTTCACTCACTTTGCTATAGCCATACTGACTTTCTTGTTTCTTGAAAATACCCAATACATCTCTTCATGAGGGTTTTCTCACATGTTCTTTCCTCTGCTTGAAACGCTCTTTTTCCAATGGTCATGAAGCTCATCCTCTCCCCTCCTTTTAAAGTCTTTTCTCAAATGTTACTTTCTCAGGAACATTTTATTTGACCACTGTTCTTGAAATTGTCCTCTCCTCTGCTGCCGCCAAGGTTCTGCACCCTTCCCAGGAAGCTAAGTCCACATGGGGGTGAGGGGCTCGCCCACACCATGGCCTCAATCTCCCAGCTTGCCTGCATCTATTTGGTCTTCATTCTGTATGAGGATGAAGTGACTGTCAGGGAGGATAAGATCAATGACCTCATTAAAGCAGCTGGTGTAAATGTTAAATTTTTTTGGCCTGGCTTGTTTGCAAAGGCCCTGGTCAATGTCTGCATCAGGAGCCTCATCTGCACTGAAGGGGCCAGTGGACCTGCTCCAGCAGCTGGTGCTGCACCAGCAGGAGGTCCTGCCCCCTCCACCACCACTGCCTCAACGAAGGAGAATAAAGCAGAAGCAAATAAAGAATCTGAGGAGTATGTTGAGGACAAGAGCTTTGGTCTTTTACGACATGTTCAATAAAAAGCTGAATTCCGTTGGCTACAGTGGCTCAAGCCTGTAGTCCTAGCTACTCTGGAGGCTTGGGCAGGACGATCCCTTGAGCCCAGGAGTTTGAGGCTGCAGTGAACAAAGACTGTGCAACTGCACTCCAGCCTGAGTGACAGAGCAAGTCTCTAAAAAACAAAACAAAACAAAAATACAAAAAAACAACTAAACTCAGAAAAATAGTTTTAATTACACTCTGTCGGACACACTTTCTATTCTCCCTGTTTTGCTTGTCTTCATGGCACTTATCATCTTCTAATATCCCATATAATTAACTGTTTTATTGGTTGTTGTTGTATTTTTCCTGTTTGACACACAGACTCCTGAAAGTAAGCTCCACGAAGTAAGACTTCTTGTTGGTTTGTTTGGTTGGTTCACAGCTATACACCCAGCACCTAGTAGAATGCCTGCCACATTGTAGATGCTTACATATTTGCTAAAGGAATGATTTTAACATCTTAACTATGTGTTCTGTATTATTTTGTACCTATTCAAGTGTGCAAGTCTAGCAGTATTGTAAGCCTCTTGATGGCCAGAATTATGCCACTTACTTTGCGGCTTCCCTCCACGGCACATATTATAAAGATTGGCTTCCACATTAAACGCCTGTTGAATTGAACTGCACAATAAATATCTTGATCAGCATTCAGCTGAGTCCTTCCCAAATTCCTAAGACAGATAATAAAATGGTTGTTGTTTTAAAACACTTTTTTAAAGGTTTTAAAGCTTTTAGTTTCGGGGAATGGGGGGGTACATGTGCAAGTTTGTTATTTGGGTATATTGCATGACGCTGTGGTTTGGTCTTCTAATGATCCCATAGCCCAAGTAGCTGACATAGTGCCCAATAAGTAGATTTTCAACCCTTTCTCCCCTCCCTACCTCTCTCCTTTTGGAATCCTCAGAAAACAATAAGTTTCAGAGTCATCTATTACACAATAGAAGCCTAGTGAGACAATTTTGTAGCATTGCTTTTGGAAATTATGGATAATTCCCATATTATCAAGTTAGCTGTTCCATGTTAAGTTTTCTCCTAATCTAGTAATTTACTTACCAACAAAATGGCTTAACCAACTGCATATCTTTATTGGTTAAGTAGGCCATTTATGCAACAAGTGTAATAGATCCCAAAATGTACAAGAGCCCAACAACAATAAAAAAATTATCTTTTGCTCGCGTAACAGTACAGGCAACGTGGACAGGGTGAGGAGGTCTACCTCCATGCAGTCAAGTCTAATAGAACCTCTGTTTTCTTCAACATGTAGCTTCCAAAGTCACCCTAGAAGTTTTCTCCATCCTAACCAAACACAATTGGAAAGAACATGCAGGAGCACACATGGGAGGTTTTTGTGGGCCAGTCTTAGAAGTGGCCCATCACATCTACAAAAATTTCACTGGTAGAACTCAGTCACATGGCCACATCCACTGGGAAGTATAGTTTAGCTAAGTGCTCAGGAGGTAGTGTTGCCAGATTTAGGGAATATACAAAATAAAACAAAATACCTTGTATTTATCTGGCTATTCTACAAGGAAAAAAAAAAAGAACATTTCGGTCAAACAGATAATATCCAAATAAGAATGTAGTAATGAGATCCCACTATATATTCTTAATATTTCCTGGCCCTTTGATGGCATCTATCTCAGAATGCACAAGACCAGTTTCTAACAACTCAAAATCAGTGTGATTACAGATGGCACTTACGAACTCACAGAAGTTTTCACTTACGAAAACACAGAGGTAAGAAACTACAAAGAAAAGGAAATAAAGACATCTCTAGTACTGCTAAAGATAATGGCCACATTTGGAAAGACCTTATAACTCATCTGTAAAAAAAAAAAATCTAAAACTTCTAAAGTAGATTTATCCAATGACTATCTATTGGCCTCATTTATTTCTGTGGCAAAAAATGTTTGACCTTATATGTTGCTAACAGGAGATGGTGGAAAGGAGACAACATATTTTAGGAACCTTCTCATGACCTTCCGTCTGGAGATCATCAACCCTTCTTAGCTGTTTTCTCCCACTACCAAGTAGTCATTTTAACATAAGTTTACCTCCAGGAAAAACAGTTACTCTGACAATTTTTATTCAGGTATGTGCCACCAAGCCTACAAACGGACCCCAGGTAGGACCCTACTAACTAGGTGATCAGCTCAGGAAAAGCTGAGTATGATTGGCAGGGTGAGAGAAGTATTATTCTTCAGAGTGACACTGAAATTTTTTAATTTCCTAAAGATTTAGTCTCAGCTCTCAATTTAAAACATCTTAGAATGTTTTTAATTATTAGAAGAAATTTTAAGTATTAGGGAAGGGAGGTTGACTACTAGTAGTAGGAAAAATAAATTACTACCAAGAAGAGCCTGATTGCAGACATCACTCCAATACCTGGGCCAATGCCAGGTCAGTTGAGAAGATGGGTGCTAAATTATATAGTTTCTGAACTCATCTAAACTTAACAATTCTAGAGAGTTAGCCTACTTATTAAGAAAGGTAGCACACAGTATGGTTTCTATTTTCATATCATTTTCCACGTTTCTCTGTTTTAGTATAAATCTATTTTTGCAGATAAAAAACCTAACTGTGATGTGAGACTATTCTTGGGATGTTCAATTTTCTCCTGCTCACATGGGACACACATTACCTTGTCCATTTGCCTCAAGAAATGTGCATCAGAAAGAGATGATGGCCAAGTGAAGGAGAAATCCAGTCCAAGCCAGAGATGTTGAAATCGATGGCTCACATGAAAAGATCCTCAACACCTCACTATAATTAAGTTTATCTGTGGGTCTCCCACAAGACTTTGCAAGAGCTCATCATCCTCTACATGTGAACTGATGAAAAGTGAAGCATAGAGGGATATCTTAACATTAAATACAAGTTGGAAGTCTTGCCAAAAATCAGAGATTACTCAGAGTTTCCATGGGTTTTGGTTGCTCCACTTTAAGAAATGCTCAAGCCCACCAAGTGAGGGTTTGCTATTTGATCCATTTGTCTTTCTAGGGCATATTTTAAAATAAAACTTCAATGCAAAAAAAAATGTTCCATTAATAGCACAGTTTTAATAAATATTGCCTCTGAGAAAGTCCTTCATCTGTTTCCATATCCACACCATCACCTAGGAATGTTTGTTAGGCTCTATTTGCAAATGGTAGCCTGCTCCATGTGACTCAAAGAGAGCTGAATAAAATATACATGTGAGAATATGCCATCTAAATCCTGCTACAGATCTACTCAAGAGAAAAAAAGATACATATTTAAAATAGTTTGGTTGAGTTAAAATGCAACAGGGAATGAAAAGATGTTCAACATCATTAGTCACCAGGAAAAGCAAGTCAAAATCACAATGAGAAACTACTTCATATGCACTAGGATAACTAAAATTTTTTAAATGGGAAATAAATGTTGGCAAAGATGTGGAGAAATTAGGACCATCACACATTGCTAGTGGGAATGTAAAATGGTGCTGTTACTGTGGAAAACAGTTGGTGGCTCCTCAATAAGTTAAACTAGAATTATTATGTGACCTAGCAATTCCACTTGTAGGTATATACCCAAAGTAATTGAAAACAGGTATTTAAAAAAATCTTGTACACAAATATTTGTAGCAGCACTATTCACAATAGCCATAAGGTAGAAATAACCCAAATTTCCATCAACTGATAAAAGATAAACAAAATGTGGTACATCCACACAGTGGAATATTATTCAGCCAAAAAATGTGTCGGATGAAGCACCAACATGTTACAACATGGATGAACCTTGGAAACATTATGCTAGGTGAAAAAAGACAGACACAAAAGATCATATTTTGTATTATTCAATTTATATGAAACATCCAGAATAGATAAATCCCTAGAGACAAATCAGATTGGTGGTTACCAGAAATTGGATTGGGAGGAGAATGGGAAGCAACTACTTAATGTATATTGCATTTCCTTTTGGGGTGACGAAAATAATATGTCTTGGAGCTAGATAGTGATGATGGTTGCACAACTCAGTGAATTTACTAAATGCCACCGAATTGTATACTTTTAAATGATTCTGTGTTATGTGAATGTTACCTGAATTTAAACAATCAACAGAGAGGGCCCATCTATACATATAAACCCTGTATCATCCACAGCCCTTGATCAGGGCTTGACAGCCTTGTTTTAAGGTTGGGATGTGGCACAGTTTTTCTTTGGTCATTGGAAGCCTGATTTCAGCCTTGCATGCCTGCAGCCTGGAGACTAGGGAAGAGAGCAGAGCTGGAAAAAAACATGACTTTGAATGGGCCATGTTCTCTTCTTTCTTCTGCAGGGAGCTAATAGTAGGTGCAGGCTGTGCTTTTCCCCCCACAGCCTTCAGACAATCCCAAGAGCTCCTAAGAGTTATCAACTTATCCAAAGACCAAGAAGCATTGGCCTCGCTGCAGAGCTCTGTTCTCTGGGCTGTGCCCCATGGGCTCAGAGCCAGTGCTTTCTGCATCCACAGCAGTGATTCTGAATAGTCCCACACCAGTATCATTTCCACTTACATTTGCCTAGAAACGTTTAGATGGTGTTACTTTAACTTTCCCTTTCATTACCACACCCTGAATCCTAGACTATTAATACTTATGCAAAGGTATTTGAGTGCTAAACACTATTTTTGTTTTGTTTTGTTTTTGTTTGTTTGTTTGTTTTCAAGCCCATGGCAGAAAAGGAACACTATTTTTAAGCTTTACAATAACCTGACAACCATATGAGGAAACTATCACCACCCTCACTCAACTTCTCTTTCTACTGAGCTCCAGAAGCATGGGTAGGACATGCATGTCTGGCATGCCATAGGCTCTTAATAAACATCTTCCAAAAAGCAGTCATTTTCTGTCTTGAAATTTTGAGATTGCATCTATGCACACATTAATCTTACACAAATCACTTACCTAAAGCATATGCTAAGCTCAGTCACTGTGTCCTCTTTGGCCTCAGTGGTACAGTATTTCAAACAGCACTGGAAGAATTCTCATAGAGACCACGCTATAGGCAGGCGTTGTTATTATATGTATTTTCTTCTCTCATTTAATAAAGTAGCATAAATACCTTTTTTGTTAACTGATTCATTTAATAAACACTTCTTGAGGGCCTTTAGAATACTGTGCCAAGCATTGGAGATAAAAAGAATAATAAACAAATACATAAACTCAAAAAATTTAAATACTTTACTCTCTTTCTTTAAAAGTCTACTTCTAAACCTGGATGGACAATAACATCCCCAACAGGTCAGTAGGTTGGCACTTCAAGACCTAATTTCCAATGCAAAACTCTATTCTTCTGAACACCCTTTTTTTATTGTTCCTATCCAGTTCTAATTATTTATATATGTATTGTTCCATTTTGCATATGTGGTTGCATTACTTTGTGTAGATGGATGGATGGATGAATGGATGATTACACAGATAGATAATTACCTTCATATCTTTCCATGCATTTCATACATTGATATAGGAATACATACACACATACACACACACACACACACACACACACACTACACACCTATTTATATCTTTCTTTGTAACTATATTATAGGCTATTGACGGAGCATTGGCTATGTCTTATAACTGTCATCACATTTTTTTATAGCCCACCCATCTTTGTTCCCCATGCTCACTCCTGGCATCCAGTATGCGCTACATGAAAGTAAGATCTCAAGAAGGGGTGGTGAACTAACCAGGAGGGAAGGAATTTACTTGAGTAACATAGTATTTCCCTTCTCTGTGAAAAGTAGCAGCTATAGAGCAACTTCTTACTCAACATTTGCAGAGCGCTTCAGGGCCTTTCAAATCCTTTTATCTAACTCCACTCTCACAACACTGCCAAAAAGGTAGAGTGATTTTCCCATTTCACCGATGATTAAAACTGAGACCCACATGAGGTAACTGGCTTGTCTAGCTAGTGACTTGTGCTAGATATTTTCTGCATCCCCCCAGAGCCACTCTCCAGCTTCTCCACCCTGCTCTCTTCCTCAGGAGCTGGCCTGCGTGGCCAACGTCAACAACTCCCTTCTCTCTGGCTTTCAGTAAGATGTGGCCAATATAAGGGTCTCCAATGGGAGAGTGGGAGGAGAGTGAAGTGGGTATGTATAACCCTGACTCCATCCCTGTTGGTTCACTGTAAGTTGACTGTGGCCTTAAGATGATGGCCACTGCTCCTCTCAGGTGACTTTCTCCAACTTCTACTCCCCCGTGCTCCAATAGCCACTCTCCCCACTCATGCTTCTTCAGCCAAGTAATGGCTCCCCACACTTGCTTTCTCTGAGACCCTGCACCATCCCTTGCTGGTTTCCCTGAACCCTGCTCACACCCTTGTGAATAGTCTCTCTACCCAGCACCCTTCAATTGCCTACTGTGAATATGCCATATGTCTTACTGGGTTCCTGGGTGATATATGTTAGTCCTGTTCCCACCTTCTAACTCTTGCTCAATCCTCTGAGCTCTAATTCTAAACAGTTGCTTCTCTTGATACCAAATCAAAGGAAAGAGCATCATCATATCACATCAAGCAGCTCCCACTGCCTGTTACCCGTGAGGACCTTCCAGGAGTGCAAAAGCTCCTCACATCCACACTGCTTGGCTCTGCTGGTAAGTTCTGGAGTACAAATGTCTGTACCTGCAGACAGCTGTAGCTTTCTCTCAGTAAACAAATTGGCCCCAGCCACGGAGACATTAGTGGAAACAAGACAGTGACTCATCAGAGAAGCTACAGTCACTTGACCCCCTGTGACTCAGACACATTGTGTTGTCAACAGGGCACTGAGCTGAATAAAAGCTGAATAAACCAATGCTTTGCCTCACCCAGGCTCCTGGCAATCAATGAGTTAAAAAGCACTGAGAATATTAGTCTATTTGCTCCTCCCCTCAAATATCTCTCCTGTGTATCTTCCAACCTTTCTCTGTCATCCCTCCTCTTTCTTCCCCACCCACAAAAAAAAAAAAAAAATTGTTGAAAATGAATCAGATACAGGACACAAGGGTTGCACTTCCAAGATAACAAGCACACGGCCACCAGCCAGCACTGCACTTTGCTTTAATCATTTAGTGGTGCTTGGTATCCACAATTCCAAAAGCCCTGCTTCTCCTGTCTTCCAATTTTAGTCTTAACAAAAGAACACAATTTGAAAAGCCAGTACCCTTAGCTGCCTGGCTTCTGATCCAGTCTCTCTTCCCTAATTATTTCCTTTCTTGGTTGCAACTCCTTCAGCTTTTATAATTTTAAGACCTGTGCCTTTGGCCTGGCCTTGCAAAACTTTGCATATATTAGCTAGATAACTTGTTGAGCATAACATGTTCAATGAAATAACAATAAGCAAGTACCAAGTGTTCAGCATGTACTAAGGCCTTTACTTAGGTTATCCCATTTAATTATTTTAATAACCATGGGAGACTGTGTGTGTGTGTGTGTGTGTGTGTGTGTGTGTTTTACAAATGAGGACAGGCTCAGATGAGTTAAGTGGTTTAGCTATGGCCATGCAGTTACAGTTAATGATGAAAAAAGAATATGAATTTGAATCCAGGTCTATCTATCCCTCGATTCCATAATTTTTACCATTTTCCTACTTCTGTATAGATTTAATTTTCAAAATACAGAGTTCTTCAACTTCAGACAAAAATTCTCAAGAGAAGGCAAAATATGCCATGTTAATTTTTGTAATTAAGTTTAGCACTCATTTATTGAGCACATACTAGGTAACAGGCCATGTGCAATATACCAGAGGCACAAAGGTGGAAAAGATGCCATCTCTGCTTTGAAAGAGCTCACAGTCTACGTATAGAAGAGACACAGCTTCTAAATTTCTTTTAAGTCCCCTGGTTTCCCTTCAGCCCTGGGATTATATAAAAATAATTTTTTGCCTTTGTTTGTGTCAACATCAGAGCTGAAAGATTTCTACTTCTTACTCAGCAACTACAATTAAGACCAGAATAGATGAGCACATTTATGTGTATTTTAGAAAAAGGAAGAAAGGAAAAAGAAAGAAAAAAAAGAAGGGAAGGAGGGAAGGAGGGAGGGAGGAGGGGAGGGGAAGGGAAGGGAGTAGGGAGAAAAGGAAGAATCAGTACATTGGCCTGATTAGTGCTTAAGGAAACAAAGGAACAAATGCTTGAAATCGAAGCTGTCTCCAGAATTCCATGGTATAAGGTCCCTACACCTACATGGCAGGATTCATTCAATAAAAATTTCTTGAACATTTATTATAAGCTATGAATAGAGGCAAAGCGTTCATAGTCAAATGGGTAGAAGGACAAGTTAATCAATAATTACAGCCCAATGTGAGAAAAATCACAGCAGCAGTTCTCATAACACCCCGTGAGAAAACAGGAGAGGAGAATCTAAAGCACACAGGATAGCAGAGAAAGTGAGGATACGGGAAGAAAGTGATATTTGAGCCAAGACCTGAGGTGAAGTGGGAGTTAGCCAAGAGAAAAAGTTGGGAAGAAAACTCCGGAAAGTACACGGGTTAAGCAAAAAACAATGGGGGTAAAAGAACCCCAGGCCTTTTGGTGAGAACCATTGAACACTTGCCTGAAATTCACACCATTAAAGTCACCCCAAATTTTATGTTTTAATTTTTATATGTTTTATTTTATTTATTTAATAATTTTACTTTAAGTTCTGGGATACTTGTGCTGAACGTGCAGGTTTGATAAGTAGGTATACATGTGCCATGGTGGTTTGCTGCACCCATCAACCTTATTTTCATATTTTTAAATAGGTGATACAACCATGGCTCAAAAATTAAAACAATGTGAAAGAGAACCTACTGAAAAACCTTGTTACTGTGCCTGTCTTCGTCCTCCCCATCCTCCCCAGCCCATGCACCTGTCCCCATCCCTTAAGTAACTATTATGAAATAGTCCTTTGTATGTCTTTCCACTGCTTCTTTATGCAAATACAAGTCAATACGACTATATATATGTACATAATTCAAGACTTTCTGAAGGCATATGCGTTTTTTACTACGCTAAAGCATTGTATTACTTGGAGAAAGTAAAATACATATTTTAACGTTCAAAATAATGATTTTCTTGGATTGTTATTGTTGGTAGTCTTCATGGATGGAGTGCCCCCTACATACCATTACAGCTAAGGTCACAACTTCATTTTATAGATGAAGAGAAATGAGACTTAGAAACGTCAAGTAACGTGTCAGGTGCAGACAGCTAGTGAGTGGCAGAACTGGGGTCAGCAGAGGGAGGTGGTGCCCCCTCCTCCAGAATCCTATTTCAGAGAAATGGCCCTACCATTCACCTAATCACTAGAGCCAGAAACCTGAGTCCTTCTCAGCTCACATGAGGTCAATCACCAAGTCCTATTGATCTGAGCCTGTTATTATCTTTCAAATCCATTCCCTCCTCTCCACCCCATCATTGTCTCTCACCTGGTCAAGACCTAGATTTCTGACTGGTCTTTCTCCTCTAGACTGATGTTGCCTCCAATGTAGCCTCCATTCTGCTGCTGGAGTGATCTTTATAACACATAAATCTGATGGTATCTCTCTGCCTCAAAATCCTTCCAAGGCTCCCAGTTGCTAAGAGTATGAAACCTAACTCCTTTGCATGGCATAGTTGAGCCCTACTCACATTTCCTGACATTCCCACCACAAACCTAATGCTTCAGAAAAACCAAACCACTTCAAGTTTCTAGAATCCTCCAGATGTCTTCTGTTTTGGGTCTTTGCCCAGCCAAGTCCTCTGCCTAAACCACTCTTCTCACCCTTGGCAAACTCCCCATCCTTCAGCTCATGCAGTATATTTTCTGGAAGCCACCCACGTCTCCCCTAAGCAGAGTGGCACAGTCTTTGCCTGTGTTTTTGTTCATACCGATATGAAAGCAGTCACTTTGTGGTCATGAATGGTTTTTGTGTGTTTCTCCACATTAATCTTCACATTCTTTCAAACTAAGAACAACAGTAATTTACTTCTAATTTTATTTTATTTTATTTTTAGTGTAGTCAAATGAAGCAGTGGGAACAGAGCAGGAACAAAGGAACAAAGAAATCTGTTACTGGTTGTGATCGATTGGTTGTAAACACCACCGCATCACTGCATTGCACCACTACATCAGCCCCTTTTTTTTTTTTTTTTTTTAGATGGAGTCCCACTCTGTCGCCCAGGCTGGAGTGCAGTGGCGCAATCTCAGCTCACTGCAACCTCCACCTTTCAGGTTCAAGTGATTCTCCTGCCTCAGCCTCCCAAGTAGCCAGGATTACAGGTGCACACCACCACTACTAATTTTTGTATTTTTAGTAGAGATGGGGTTTCACCATGTTGGCCAGGCAGGTCTCAAACTCCTGACCTCAAGGAATCCTCCTACCTCAGCCTCCCAAAATGTTGGAATTACAGGCGTGAGCCGCCACACCTGGCCTGCACCAGCCACTTCTAATTTTAGATTCACAGTGCCTAAGATGGTGCCTGTCACATAAAAAGGCTTCCGTATGTATTTTTAGGTGTTTGTTATATGAATAATTCCCAAACCAGGCTCTTTTCATTCATTACCCAGACTGTCTCCCTCAGTAGTTCATTATTACCACAGGGGTGGTTTTACCTGGTACACAGATTTGAAGGAAATCTCTTGGATTATGGGCACATGATCCAATCTCAATAGAGAGCAGTAGTAGGACTGAAGAGTCTTGCAGAACACTGAATTCTTTTGAAGCCATGGTGAGCCTGCAGGAGGAGGAGGATCTGGTGACCCTGAAACAAGGAAACAAAGATCAAAAAGATAAATCTTACCTACTTTCTAATTTTACTTTTGGCAGGTCTAGAGTCAATCAGATGTATTTGAGGTTCAGGCTTAATAACCTTGAATACTAATCATGAGTTTATCAGTGTTATGCTACTACATGCAGCTAGGAAAGAATCTAAATATTAAGGGCTCATAATTCTATAAAAATTAGCACCATGACTCTTAGGAATAGAAAAAGAAATTCCTCTAATAATTGATTCTAAAACTTGGGTTAACGTAAGAATCATCTCAGCAGGTTTTTAAGTTTTCAAGGTCCCATCATAGAGCCACTGATTCAGGGGGGCCTGGAAGTTTTTTTTTTCCAACAAGCAACCCAAGTGATAATAATGTAAACAATGCTTAAAGTGGTCTCCAAAGCTTTTTTTTATTATACATCCCATATATTTAATTTTTTATTCATAAATTATACTCTGTTTCTGTACCTATACATAGAACATCCTCAGAATTAAAATATTTAAAAGATAAAATGAAGATAAATCTAAATAGAATTTTTAATATTATCTTTCCACCCAACAACAGATCATCCCAAGTATGTATCAATGTGCATCCCAAGAGCAAGGCTGCCCCTCAATAAAATCAGCATCTATTTTAATGGTCTCAAGGGCCTCATTTAGGGACATGTCCAACTACACAGTTTTTTTAATCTGTTGAGGTTCTTCTGTGTACCAGGGACTGTGCTAGACCATTTCACTCCAGATTATCTCATGTAATCCACCTAGTAACCCTGCAAGATAGGTATTATTAATAACAATTACATATTTGGAGACTGAAATTCAGTGAGATCCATGTAGGTTGCCTAATGTCTCATAGATAACAAATAATGAAAAAGGAATTTGAATCCAGGTTTCTAATGTTTTCCACTATATTATGTATATATGTCAGTTAAGAGTGTATTTAGCTGCAAGGGAACAGAAATTCAGTTACAATGATTTAACTAGATAGTGGTTTATTTTTTCTGTAACAAAAAGTCCCCGTGTATGGAATCCAGGCTGGTAAAGAGGTTCTATAATGACACCAGGTACACAGGTTTTTTCTCTCTTTCTGTCCTGCCATCTTTAGTAAGTAGTTTTTATCACAAAATAGATATTTCTACCTCCAGGCATCACAGCTCTATTCCTACAAGAAAATAAAAATGGGAGAAAGGACAAAAGACAAAAGATAAAAGCTAAAAAGGCCCTTACTCAGCCCCATTTAATAAGCTTTCCCAGGAGCCCCACCTGGTAACTCGATCTTGAATCTCATTGGCCAGAATTGTGCCACAAACCCACCTATAGCCGCAAGCTGTGTACAAGCTGTGTACAAGCTGTGTACTTTAAGCTGGGCATAGTTGGGACAAAATTGGATTTCTCCTAATTAAGAAGCAGAGATTGAATTTAGTGGATGCAACCAGGAATATCTGCCACATTACTTCTGTCTTAACCCCAAAACTACCACTGCATTGTAGCTACTACAGAAACTAATACAGTCTAAGCATCCCAGGAAGAGAATCTTTTCAAGTCATGTAGTCCATATCCCCATCTAATGCTAGGATCCAGTATACTCTATCATGACCAAGAGATCATCCAGCATCTGCTCGAAACTCCTAGGATGGGAAAGCTTACAACTTTACTCTGAAATCTCTTCTACTTGTGAGAGGCTTTAATTGTTGGAATTTCTATTCTAGTAAAAATCACAATGTATCATATTTACATTTTTACACTGGCGTCTTAGGACCGGGGGCTGTTATTTATTCATCTCTGTACCCGGTACAGTTGTCATAAAGAGGTGACTCAAGAAAAGATTCAAGGAATAAATGGAGAAATCTTTTTTTTATACTGAGATTAAATGATTCTTCTAACCACTTAAAAAAAAAAAAACACCTCTTTTTTTTCTCCCAGGCCCATTCCATTCAACTGCACTGTCATGTTCAGTTAATAAGCAATATGAAGAGTGATATATTAGGGTCACATCCCAGGAGCTGGTCAGGATGTATAAGAGGCCCTGCAGAGCTCTGGAAATAAGCTCTGATCAGGAAGAAGTGAATGTGCTTTAGAGAACAGCTTGTGATCTGGACCCACACACCACTGAGAAGAAATGGGGTTCCTGGAGGGAAGACCCCAAACCAAAATTCACCACTCTTTTCCTGGTCTCTGCCAATCTGAGTTTCCATCACTGCTTGGTAAATTTTCCACTACAACACAGGGAATCAAGGAAAATGATGCACATGCATGTGCACGTGTGTGTGTGTGTGTGTGTGTGTGTGTGTTTTCAAACAAGTTTCTCTCTGGGATTACGGCCCTTCCCACTCTTTCTCTTCCAAGAGCACAATCACTGCATCCTCTGGTGTGCTCATATGCATAAGTAGTTTTTACTCCAAAGTAAATGGAGGAGACAAACTAAGTGGAGATGTAAGTTCACAAGGTTCAAGTGATTGAAAGCTAAGATCTCCAGCTAGGCAGGACAAGATCTGATCTTATGATGACTTAACTTCTCTAAGCTCCTGTTTCCTCATCAGTGAAGCAGGAATAGCAATATCACCACCTCAAATGTTGTTGTGCAGATTAAATGAGATACAGCCTGTAAAACACTTACCACAATGTCTGGTACATATAGTGCTTGGTAAGTATCAGCCTATCATTGTCAACATCATTCTACTTAGCCCATGAGTTTGGCACAGGTTCTTCTCCTTTTGCAGGCTCTTTCCCTAGCCCTGACCTTCAAGATAATTCCTAGGCCAGGTGCAGTGGCTCATGCCTGTAATCCCAGCACTTTGAGAAGACAAGGCTGGAGAATCGCTTGAGGCCAGGAGTTTGAGACCAGCCTGAGTAACATAGCAAGACCCTGTCTTTACAAAAAACAAACAAAAAAATCTTTAATTAGCTGGGCGTGGTGGTGCCTGCCTGTAGTCCCAGCTATCCAGCAGGCTGAGGAGGGAGAATCCCTTTAGCCCAGAAGGTTGAGCCTGCATTGAGCTGTGATTACACCTCTGCACTCCAGCCTGAATAACAGAGTAATACCCTGTCTCAAAAAAAAAAAAAAATTCACCCCACATGCCCAAGCCATATGTAGCTCCCTCAGTACTATAGGCCTATGGAAAAGGAAACCCTTTTTCTAACTGGGCTCCTTCTTTGCACCTGGCTCATAGACTTGCTAGTAATTCCCAGGTTTCCTTCCCAGAAATAGTCTCATCCACCTTTCTTGATGACAAACCAGCACAATTTGGATGCCCCCAAGTTAGCTCTCTTTTCATTTCCTTCCCTTTACTCTTTGCCTTTTTCAAATAGTAGTAACAAGCACATAAATCCTAAATCCTTCAATCCTTCTTCTTATTTTTTTTAAGAGACGGGGTCTCATTTTGTTGCCCAGACTGGAGGGTAGTAACTATTCACAGACATGATCATGGCACACACTACAGCCTCATATTCCGGGGCTCAAGAGATCATCTCACCTCAGCCGCTCAAACAGCTGGGACTATAGGCATGCACCACCACTCCTGGCTCCCCAAATCTTTCTTAATAAAAATAATTTTTGAAAACATTTTACAATACACGATCATTTATTAAACACTCCCACTTAATACATCTCATTTTAACTTTACAATAGCATTGTGAAGGAATATTATTCCCATTTTGAAGATGAGAAAACAGATTCAGAGAGCTGACAACACCCGCCCAAGGACCCAAAGGGAGTTAGAATGAATCTGAGACTCCATTTCTGATGCTCTGAAATTCGTGATTTGGTCTCTGCCACCTTGACTTAGCACATGAGTCACTATATGTTGAGCAACTGGGGAAGAGATACATTACCAACATTTCCTGTCATTCTAGATACAGGTGTGCTGGGACATAGGGAAGGCTGCCTTCCATCCTCTCACTCTCTCTGTGATAGGAGCTAGACATGCTGGTACAAGCCAATGGCACTGGAATAACCTGGCTTCTGCTGTCTATGTCCATGACCACTAGAATTACCTCCAAAAGAATCTAAGCCATCTCACTCCATCAAATATTTATTGTATACCTAGAATGTATTCAACACCATAGAATATATTGTGATCTAAGACCTTGTCTAATGGCCCCCCAAAAGCTTCCAATCTAGTCAGGGACTGAGACTAAGAATATAAAATAATACATAATTAACTTTAAATTGGACAGAAGAGACCATAGATGCTGAAGTAGTTCAGAGAAAAGGTAGATTCATGAGGTCTGAAATAATAAAGAGATTTTATGAAGGAAAAGCTTCAGCTAAAATGAGAGGATGCATCATGAAAGAAATGAGGACCTTATGGCTACTCATAGATCCCCCAGTGTATTTAGTGTACCAGGCACATTTACTCATAATCACTCAGAATCCCCAAAGCAACAACCCAGGAGTCCTCACTTAATAGGTAAAGAAATTGAAGGTCAGAGAGGTTAAGTAGTTTGCCCAAAGTCACAAGTCTTTTAAGTGATAAATCCAGAATTCAAAGTAAGCTTTATCTGATGCTAAAGTTGGTGCTTTTTCTGCTACCTTGTTGCTTACTACTGACAGGTAAATCCAAGAGCTAAAACAAATGTTATTGGTCCATAAAGAGCCTATTGAGAGAAAGGGGTATAGTGAGAAGAGCACTGGAACTAGAATCAGCAGGCCAAATTTGTAATTAAGTTTTCATTTCTAGTGTATTTGGTAAGTCCTCCCTTGACTTTCCCTTGCCTTATCTGAGGTAAATGGAGAAAATGCTAGCATCTCTTTCAAATAACTATAATAACGATTAAATGATAAACATACAGATATAACTAAAACATTAAACACCCACTTTTACATGTGAATTTTAATAAAATAAAAATACAAATTAAAGTACTTATACATTTCACTGGATTTACCTAATCACATTCTATTAAATAACCACCATAGCATCTTCAAGACCTAGGTAGGTGTTAGTTGGACAGGCTAGATAACCTTTTTGGCACTTCTAAAACTAACAGGGGCTCTTAAGCTATCAGGGTTATCAATCTCCCTCCAAAGCTGACCCTTCTAGGCCCCCATGTATTAGCTCTGAGTGTTCTGGCCTCAGACTGAGGAGTTAAGGAGTGGGACCTCCACCCAACAGGAAGCCAAAGACCACTTCTATAAGAGCACCAAGCTGAGTGCATGGCAAATGCTTCATAAATAGGGGGTAAACTGAACTGAATTCCGAAGGGTCCTGGATTTCCTAAAGGGCAGCCTCTAAGACTTACCATTTTGTGGAATCAAGCAACGGATGGAGATGCAACCATGCTTGTAAGATACAGACACGTGTGTGGGATTGGGACAGAACTTTTCAATCTGGTCCCTCCCCTTTGTTCCATAGCCCACTGGGCTACAAAGGACCTCCTAGGAAGAATGTGCTCAGCTTTCTTTGCAATGACTGGGCATGCCAGAAACAGAGGCTTTGAATCATCTCATCACCTGGTCAGCAGGAGCTATTTATGCCAGAAATGTCTTAGAAAGAAAAGTGTCCTTTTATTAATTTCATGGCTTTCTTGCTAACATTTACAGTCCAAAACAAGTACAATCTGAATTTCAGACTTAGGTTTCTGACTTGAGGAAAAGAACAAAGAAAGTACTGCCTTCAATTCACATAGCTATAATTAGTGCCTTGTTCCCCCCAACAGTTCAATGTACTTGGTAGTTCTTCCTTTGTGAATTCTTATAAACTCAGAAATACTGTTAGGGCATAGGGGAGGGAGTCTCAACAAAGCTAGAGATCCTGGTTGAGCTAGTGGGGCCAGACAACGGACCACTGATGCTAATGGGATTTCACTGGCATGCAGGGATTGCAGAGGCCTGAGAACTCCTTCTGTGGTCGTTGGGAGAAGGCAAGGAAGGAGACTGCACCTGACTTACTCTATAGCCAATTATGTATGCACTCATTTATTTATTCGTTCACCTGTCACTTATTGAGAACCTTTTTGCATGCCCGGCACTGCACTAAGCACTTGGGGGAAAAAGAAGTTTTAAAGGAGAACAACTTTATAGAATAGGGTTATCTTCTGAAAGAGAACGGGAAACCAGGCTGAAATTATGGGGCCTGTAAAAAGAGGAAGAAAAGACAGCCATGGCCTAAAGAGTAGCCCTGGGGCAGAGCAACTCAAAGTTCTCTTGGGTTCTGTGGCATAGAAAATTTACATGACTTAACTAAGATCATACAGATCTTTGAAGTCAGAGACTGGCCTAAAACCCAGCCTGAGTGCCTTTCAGATGACCCCATGAACCTAGTACAGTGAAAAGAACTCAGACCTCAGAAAGAAAAACGCCTTGATTTAAACTCTGCTTTTACCTTCAGTTACTTTAGAACTAAACCTGTCTGAGCTATAGTATCTCATGTAAAAAATAGTGATAAAAAATACTTATTGTAAAATGAGGTTACTATAGGATTAAAATACATGCTGTGATTTCTGCTACAAGAAAGATGGAGTAGTAGAGTCCACATTTTCTTTCCCAGTTGATACAAGACAAAATACATGAAACAATGGTTTCTTTTTTTTTTTTTTTTTTTTTTTCCTGAGACAGAGTCTCATTCTGTAGCCCAGGCTGGAGTGCAGTGGTGCCATCACTGCTCACTGCAACCTCTGCCTCCCAGGTTCAAGTGATTCTCTGTCTCAGCCTCCCAAGTAGCTGGGATTACAGACAAGTGCCACCACATCTGGCTAATTTTTGTATTTTTAGTAGAGACAGTGTTTCACCATGTTGGCCAGGCTGGTCTCGAACTCCTGATCTCAAGTGATCTGCCTGCCTCAGCCTCCCAAATTGCTGGGATCACAGGCGTGAGCCACCACGTCCAGCCTGAAACAATGGTTTTCAAGACATTGGACATCAGGCAATAAAAAACAATAATCCCTGAGAGAAGGGAAACAAGTGAGATGAGCCCTATGATTGAGACAAGTTCCTGCCTTGAGAGAGTTCCCAGGTCATGGCCCAAAGAGTGAAAACTGACATACAGCCTTAGAAGACTCCATGAGTTGTAAAGACACAGCTGAAAGTCCAGAGAGACCTACCAATCTCTGCCTGAAAGAAAGAAAGAAATAAAGAAAGAAAGAAAGAGAGAGAGAAAGAAAGAGAAAGAAAGGAAGGGAAGGGAAGGGGAGAAAGGAAAGAAAGAAAAAGAGAAAGAGGAAGGAAGGAAGAAAGGAAGGAAGGGAGGGAGGGAGGGAAAGTAGTCAAGCAAAAAAGAGTATATACTATATGATTTCATTAATGTAAAATTCTGGAAAATGTAAACAAATTTGTAGTGACAGGAAGCCGACCACTGGTTGTCTAAGGACAAGACTTGGGGTGGGAAAAGTGGGATGAAGGAATTACAAGGAGCATAAGGTAACTTTGTGGAGTGATGGGCATGTATATACATATCATATATATATTCATCATATATATATATATTTTAGAGGCAGAGTCTCTCTGTCACCCAGGCTGGAGTGCAGTGGCACCATCTTGGGTCACTGCAGCCTAAACTCCAGTGGCTCAAACAATCCTCCCACCTCAGCTTCCCAAGCAGCTGGGACTACAGGTATGTGCCACCATACCTGGCTAATCATTATCAGGATTCTGGTGATGGTTTCATGGGCATATACAAATATGAAAACTTATTAAGTGGTATGATTTAAACATGTGCAGTTTGTTATATGTCAGTCACACCTCAATAAAGCTGCTTTTAAAATTTCCTGATATTTCTATGGTACCTCTAACATAGTAAGTCCTTAGTAAATGTTAGTTCTCTTTCTTTTAACAACTATGCTTTACAACTAGGAACTAATAGGATCATAATTCCTGACTAAGGAACTCTTTTTCTCACCAGAAAAGTGTAGGAACTATTTTTGAAAGGCTGAACGGCTTGGTCATCTTTGCTTTCGGTTTTACTAAGGCTGGCAGCTCTCTGTACCAGCAACGCCCCCAAAGAGCCAGGCAAAGTGAGTGAGGTCAGCCTAGCTTTGCTTCTCTCCACCTTCACTCCTCAGAGCCATCACCTTGGCAACATAATCCAATTTGATGGCTTATCAAAACACAAGATTCTTGATGTTTGTACCCCCATTGCCCCAGCATAGTGTTTGGTGTGTGGCTAGAGCTTAACAAAGGATCAGGGAGAACGAGTGAAGGAAAAGAGGAAAGCTTCCATCCCTGTGCCTGTGTGCCTGCATGGTGACCTCCAGGTCTTCGTGTAGTGCAGGTCTCAGCTAAGTCTCAATAAAGGAAATTCTCTGCTCTGGCTGAGGCGCTAGACCACTGCAGCTCTGGGTCTTGATAACACCCACAGCTTTCACACCAATGCCTTTCCACAACTACTTCACTTATTGGGTCTACTGAGCACTCTGCTAGGACATCACAACCATTCTCGGTCCATCGATCTTGATTGGATAGCAAAACAGATTACATTTTAACATCTTCATGTTGCTAGGGTTCTCAACTTTTGCGTTCAAAGAGACAAGATGGTTATCATAGTGGCAAGCACTGAACTGGAAACCTAGAGACATGTAGCTAGTCCTGGCTCTGCCCTCTCATCAATGAATGACCTGGAATCAACCCAGTCTATACTTGTAACTCATTGGCCAGCCTTCCTTACCATAACTGTGCTATTCCAGGAGAGGCAAAATGTTTAAGAGTCACATCACCAGCCTTGGGTTGGGGTAAGTCCTAGATCTGCCACGTGATAACTAGAAAATGGGTTGAGTGGCCTAGCCCATCCAGAGGGCCCTTTGTAGGAAATTTTTCTGTGGTCCATTTTTCAAATGGCCTGGGGCTTATTTATTCTCCTATAGGGAAGTAGATGCTGTGGTAGCCATGAGAAAATAGCTCTTCTGGTAAGGAGAGCGCTAGGTATGCAAACATTCAGTCAGCGGTACCCCTGAAATTTAACTTGAAAATTGCACCTAAAGGCTTCTGCAAATTAATAGCATTCAATGGGGGCTCAGCCTTCTTTCTCTGCAGGACATGCTAATATAGGAGCCTTAAAAATTAATAAATATAGTCTACATAACAGTCATACTTCGTACGAAAAGCACCTGCCACACATTAATGAAGCTGTCCTTTCATTTTTCTTCATTAAGTATAAGGCTTATGAACAAGGACATTTATTACTTTATTCATTACAGTACTCCTAGTGCGATAGAAAGGTGCCTGATACATAGTAGGCACTCCAACAAATGTTTATTGAATAAAAGAATCATTTAATAAAGTCCTTATGAGTTGAATCTGTATGCAATGCTTTGTAGTATTAAATGTATTGTAACCTTCCTTAACCAAAATAACAGCAACTTCATTTCCCCTAACAACTTTCTTTAAATACCCTCACAATTTCCTTCTTCCTTCCTGGGTAGTCTATTAGCATCCTCAGAAGACTGGTAGAGATCCAAGCTTTATTTTTGAGAATAAAAGCTGGAAATCATTATTTCCAGCTTTTTTCAGAGTTATAGATTAAATCTCAACAGAACCCAGGTGGGCTATAGGATTTGTTGACATGCTAAAGGGGCCCTGCAGAGTGCTGTACCATGTTGTAGGCATAGTACTGGTTCAGCTGAGATTTAATCTACAACTCTGAAATAACTATTTCCAGCTTTTATGAGAATAAACAGAGAAGATGGGCTATAGGACTTGTTTATGTGCTGAAGGGGCCCTGCAGAGTATTGTACCATCTTGCCTAGATAAATAAAAGATATCACTATATTGATTAGGTGTTTGTTTTATGCCTTCATTAAAGAACCAATCTTGGTTTGCCACTCTTGGTTTGTAGATAGAAACCAAGTTTCTTGGTTTCATAAATAGAACGAATCTGACTAATTAAAACCCTTAGCTCCACAAAATATTGCAATCATTCACATTTCCATGAGAAAAGACATTTTGTTATTTATTTATTTATTTAAGAAGTGTGTGTGCCTTTACTGGCTGAGCAGAATCCTTGAGGGTGGTGAAGCAGGAAGAGTGGGTGGCTCTGATGCCTGGCCGGGCAGTGCTTCACGAGCTTGTAGGTGATCGAGGTAATGGCCAATCCTCTCGGGCTTGCCCTCCACTTGGTTGAAGGCCTTGCCATTGTAGACGCCCACCATGCTACCCACCGTCTTGTCTCCCATCTCGGGCAGGATGATCATATCCTGCAGGTGCGCGTTCACCACCTCCAGCTTCTGCATAGGCAGTGCCCACTTCTTGCCCTTGCGCAGGCGCTTCAGCAGCGAGTGCTGCTTCTGCCACAGGCCACGGTGCAGCTTCATTCGCTGCTCGCATGACAAGTCCAGCAGTGGGTCGGGGTGCACGCCACAGGAGGTGAACTTGCAGAAGGTCTGCTTCTTCTGCTTTGCTGCTTTTTCTGCTCCACTTCTGCCATCTTGACTTTTTTTTAAAACAACATGCCTCAAAGATCTCCAGTGAAAGAAAAACCCAAACTGCCTCCCTTTTCAGTGCTAAAAGATAATATCCTATGGCAGCTATTTCTAGGCCTGTTTATTATCAGAATTGCTTGAGAGTTTTAAAAATGCAGATTCCTTGGCTCTACCTCTGTCCTACTCCATCACTCCCCCACCCCACCCCACACACACACACACCCAAGATTCTGACATAGTAGGTCTGGGATATGGTCCAGAATCAGTATATAGGAAATGGACCCCAGATGGTTTTGTTGTGCAACCGGATTTTGAAACCACCTTCTAAGCTGTGCTGCTATATAACAAAAAACGCCCAGAACTACTGACTACAAAACCAGGGACTCCTTTCCCCTTGTTCTAAAGAAGGGACTGTGTCTCCCAGCCTACCTGTCCTGCTAAATATGTAGGAGCTACAAGCTCAAATGCCTGCAGGACCAGGCATGTAACATAAATGCAGGAAACACACAGATGAGAGCAGTGGGGACTGTGGCAAACACCACCCATCCACAAGGCAAAGATGCTTGCCAGTTCCAGCCAAGTATGAACATGGGCCTGTCATCACAGGAGCTTCTAAATTCTCAAAAGAATCCAGAAATTTTATAGATTTTGTATAAAACGATTTTCTAATCGATAGATTTTATTTAAAATGTCTGGTGAAGGTTAAACACATCTGGGGTAGCATGTGGCCCAGAGCCCATGCACTTTGGGAGGCCAAACTCCTCACACTACTGCCATCCACTCAAAGGGCAAGGAGCTAAGGTGTGGGCTAGTGTGAAGGTGGGAGGGGAATATACTCCAATTACCAAGTGACTGCTGATGTTTGCATTTCAGAGCTAAGCCAGCAGTCATTAATGAGACTAGCATTAATGGTTCTCTGGTTCTGTGGGGTGGCACAAACAAAGCCCTTTTCGGCTATATATTCATTCCCCAAGGCTGCTGAAACAAATTACCACAAACTTGATGGCTTAAGACAACTGACATTTATTCTCTCACAACTGTAAAGGCCAGAAGTCTGCAAAGTGTCAGGAGGTGGGTCCCTCTGGAGGCTCTGAGGGAGAATCATTCCTTGCCTCTTTCCTAGCTTCTGGTAGCTGCTAGCAATCCTTGCTGTTCTTTGGCTTGCGGGGATGTCTCGCCAATCTGCCTCTGTCTTCATATGTCCTTCTCCCATCTCCCTTGTCTCATTTCCCCTTCCATTCTAAGTCCTTATCATTGGATTTAAGGTCCACTCCAATCCAATATAATCTCAGCTTGAGATTCTTAATTACATCTGCAAAGGCCCTTTTTCCAAATAAGCTCACATTCATAGGTTCTGGAGTTTAAGACTTAGATATTTCTTTTTAGAGCCACTATTCAACCCACTACAGACAGGTTTGCATTAAAAAATCCATTATTTCAATCAAATTTTACTTCTACCAACATTTATCTACCAATTTACTACTATGATAAAAATGACTTACATCTTGGCAGAAAACTTGAAGACATACCAGCTCAGGCCCAGATGCATGTTGTTACATTTTTTTCTTCTTATGTGCCACGAGCTTCATGTCTTACTAGCATTATTCCATTGCTGTATTTCCTGCCATTACTTCTAAAATCAGGGATGTAGGGGTAAAAGGATCTCTGCCTTATACAGGCTTCCACCACTGGAGAAAATGGTGCTGTCTCCATGTGCATGGACAGGAAACAGGTGATGGTGGAAGAGCAGAGGGCATAGGGTACTAGGTGAAGCAAGAGAACAACAAGTAAAGTAGAAGTCTGTCTTCATTGACCAGAGAAAGACACAGGAAATACGGCTCAGGTGAAAGAGCCCCTGGAAGTGCCAGGTTCCCAAGAATTTTTTACAGCCACCCAAGCACTTAAATGTGATTTCTAGTGCCATCTAGTGGGAAGCACAGGAACCAAGTGAGACGTGGGCTAGAAAAACAAAACCATGAGTCCAGCCTTCAGTCACTTTAAGGGGGCAGTTTTTATTGAGGCTGGATTTTTTTGTCTGCCTAGCAAGAGGATCTAAGAAGACTCTAAGCAAACATCTGACCATCTTGTATGCTGCCCTTACACTTTATGCACAGGTGGTTGCTGAAGTCATCCACGTGCTGTGTAATTTGTTCTCCCCAGCTAGTTGGTGAGCAGAAGCTATCTTTCCTCTTTTTATCAACACAAGCACAGTGTCTGGCACAGAACAACCTCTCCAAAAAAATGCCAGTTGGGTATATAAAAAAGAAAAATCCAACTTAATGGTTTTTATTATCGACCATTTAGCTGTTAACAAATCTGCAGGAATCAAATGGCAAGACAAGCCACAAGAGGGAAACTGTATGACTTATGGTTTACTAGACTTTGAGCTTTATTAAGCAGTCCTTAGGAGGTACACTCAGGGCCCAATTATAGCAGGGAGTGAGGCTGCTGTGCCCCATGGAGGAAATCGTCCAATGCAACAAGCTGACTCCTCACACTACTGCCATCACTCAAAGGGCAAAGAGCTAAGGTGTGGGCTAATGTGAAGGTCGGAGGGGAGTATGTTCCAATTACCAAGTGACTGCTGATGTTTGCATTTCAGAGCTAAGCCAGCAGTCATTAATGAGACTAGCTGGCAATTCCTTCCTCCTTACCTTGTGACATATCCATCCACAGAACCTCTTCTCCAGGGGTCCTCAATTTTGGCTGCAAAACAGCATCCATCACCTGGAAAGCTTTTTTAAAATTCTTATGCACAGGCTGCACCCCAGACCAATTAAATCAGAGTCTGTGGGGGTGGGGCCAGGCCTAGGCATTTTTTTAAAGCTTCCCAGATATATTCAATTTCTATGGCTGCTGTAAAGTTACTACAAATTTAGCGGCTTAAAACAACACAAATTCTTATCTTATAGTTCCGTATCAGGAGTCCAAAATGGGTCTCACTGAGCTACATTGAAGGTATTGGTAGAGTTGCACTCCCTGCTGGAAGCTCTAGGGAAGCTCTAGTTTTCTTACCTTCTCCAGCTTCTAGAGGCTGCCCATGTTCCTTAGCTAGTGGCCTATGGTCTTCAAAGCCAGCAATGACTGGTGAGTCTTCCTCACATTGCTTCACTCTTGACACTGAGTCTTCTGCCTGCCTCTTCCACATTTTAAGACCCTTGAGATTACGTGGAGTCCACCCAGTGTCTGTATCTGATTACTCAGAATAATCTCCCTATTTTAAAGACAGCTCATTAGCAACATCAAATCCATCTGCTACATTAATTTCCCTTTGTTGTGTAGTGTAACATAACATTCATAGGTTGCAAGGATTAGGACATGGACATCTTTGGGAGAACATTATTCTGCTTACCATATCCAATGACTCCAATGTGCAGCTGAGAATAACTGCTGGTTCTGCCAGGCACTGTGGCTCATATCTGTAATCCTAGCACTTTGGGAGGCCAAGGCAGGCAGATTGCTTGAGCCCAGCAGTTCGAGACCAGCCTGGACAACATGGTGAAACCCTGTCACTACCAATAACACAAAAATGAGCTGGGCATGGTGGTGTGCGCCTATAGTCCCAGCTACTCAGGAGGCTGAGGCAAGAGGACTGCTTGAGCCTGGGAGGCAGAGGTGGCAGTGAGCCAAAATCATACCACTTCACTCCAGTCTGGACAACAGAGTGAGACCCTGTCTCAAAAAAAAAAAAAAAATAACTACTGGTCTACCCAATCCATAAGAAGACAGACTTAGAGAAGAGGCCCAGTTAGCAGGCAGCCATGACAGAAGACTGGAGGCACACACTGAAAAATTGGTGAGGGACAAGGGCAAAAAGGCAGAGAAGGGCAATAGGCAGGCTTACCAATTTTACATTGTCACAGAACTTTTTTAGGATGGGGGGAGGGGCGAGGGCACAAACTGTCATGTGATTTATTCTCATTCAGTTCTCTGATAGTCCTGGGAAGCTAAATTGTACACTCTCCCAAGGATGATGGGACCATCCCCACTCAGCTGTAGCCATTAAAGAAAATTGAGGTCATAGATAAGACTTTTCCAGACTTTTGTAACTCATTGCTATCAGCTTGCTCCTTGTTTTGTACTCAGAAGCTGGGTGCATGCCAGATTCTCAGGAATTCCATAGGCTATCTCCCCTATAATCTCTCTATGCAAAATAGATTATAACTTGAAAATGTATACTGATTGGCCAACATTTTAATGTCAACACACACACACACACACACACACACACACGCACACACGCACGAGATTTCTGGCTTCTCTTAAAGACCTAGCTATGCTAAGACAGTGCTCCTGCAAGACAGCTCAGCTGGGACAGCCGCTGCCTTTAGAGGGGATATTTATTCTCTGGTTTGCCACAGGTCTCATCCTAGCCTTTTTGTTTTATACCTGGCTCACTCACTCCACATATTTGTTACTTGCTTGGTCTGGTAGGCATTGAAGCTTCTAACCCTCCCCCCTCCTCTAGAGCGCTCACCCCTAAAGTTAGGCAAAATTCCCATAAGGAACCATTTGCTTGTCATTAAGGCAAAAGTGAAAAGCTCTCCAGTGGAAAAGATGGGATTCAGGCCAATGGCTGTCTGTACACACACCACTTTCCTCACAATCCAGCAAGCTCCAGAGGGGAGTCAGACTAGGGTTTGAGTAAGCAGGCTGCAGCCACCAAGTGTTCTGGTGAACACACTGGTCTTCGTTGGTACAAATTTCATTTGTAGGAAATTAAGCCGAAAACTGCCTCACTTCTGTCCCTTGGTCTTTCTCCAGCCTTCAGCACATAACCAATTTCCTTCTTCTTTTATACTTAAGTCTTGATAATCATCACCCATGAGTGTCTCTTCCCACCTCCAAATGTGGGAAGCGACATGTAAATTCGTGCCTCTGTAGACCATTGCCCCTAAGATTTAACTGAGACCTTATTCTGATAACGCCTAGAGCTTGGCCATGCCACCCAAATGTGCTGCTCCAAACTCTGCACAGCATGAGGGTGATCTGACCAAGGACAGGCAGATGAGCTCCTCTGACTCAGACCCTGGGCCTCCATAACCCATCCTGACACTGCACAAGCTCAAGAGAAAAAAAAAAAATAGAGTGGCCAGGCACAGTGGCTCATGCCTGTAATCTCAACACTTTGGGAGGCCAAGGCAGGTGGATGTCTCTACAAAAAATGAGCCAGGTATGGTGGTACATGCTGTAGTCCCAGCTACCTGGAAGGCTGAGAGTTGGGAGGATCATCTGAGCCCAAAAGGTCAAGGCTGCGGTGAGCCGTGATGGTGCCAATGCACTCCAGCCTGGGTGACAGAGACCTTGTCTCAAAAACAAGGAAGAAAAAAGAAAGGACTTGCCAAGTAAGGTCCTCTGGGGTACACAGACCTGACATGAGGGATAATCTTCCCGTTACGGGGTTCCAGGGGAAGATCCCCTCCTAAAGAAAGAGAACCAAGTATTTCTAATGGGTAAGATCTAAAAACACTTCTCTGCACTCCCTCCTCTCCTTAACAGACTGACACTACTTTCTAAGGATGACAACCTAACTGAAATACAGACAGTCTCTGACTTACAATTTTTCAAGTTTACAATGGGTTATCAGGGTATTAAATGCATTTTCTACTTATGATGGATTTATCAGGATATAACCCCATCGTAGGCTGAAGAGCATCTGTATGCTTCAACTGAAAGGTCAGGGTCCATTTTTAAAGGGCCTGTGGAAAGAAGAGCCAGGTGGTGAATGGTGACAATGCCTATTTTCCATGGCACTGCTCATTAAGTCAACCTCGGTATAATTAGGAAAGACAAAATTCAAGCCAGTCTTGGAATCATTGGTTTAATGGTTCTGAATAAATGGTTAAGATTGATGTTTCCAGCCAAGTGAGATTTGGGTTTAGATATAGTTTGGGCTTAAGTATCCTTTATCTCAGATTAAATGAGACAGTGCATGTAAACCACTTAGAAGAATGCCTGGAACACATTAACTTTCATTACTAATGTTTTTGGTCATTCTTAAACATTTTCACTTCTGCCACCACCCTTTATGCAGTCTGGCACATAGCTGTCACTCAGCAAATGTGAGCAAACAAACACTAGAGACTTTAGTCTGCCAGGTCTCTAACATGCAAAGCCATGGGGCCAGGTCCATACACTCCCTCCACTGAGAAAAAGACAAATGGCTTAGGCTACAAGGTTTGGGTCACCAAGGAAAGCTGTCAAATAATGAAGTGGGTAAGCAGATTCCTAAAAATTGGAACCATTTCAGCAGCAGTTTCATCCACAGGGAGACAGAGTAAATGCTCTCTCAAATCTGTCTCACATCTATAGAAACCTTACTCTATTTATGGTCTTTTGGCATCTTGCTCTGCTATCTCACTTGAGATCACTCCTATAGAACTAATAGAGGAATAAATCAAAAGCAAACCAGTATAAGTAGAGACGCAATAAAATTTGGATGTCTTGAGTTCTGAGGGGCTTGCACACACTTGTTAAGGCATGCAGTGTGTGCTAGGGGCTTCAGCAGGGAACTCCACTCAAGGACGTGGTGTAGGAAGCAAAGACAAACCAACCCAAGTGGTACTGAAGAGGACAAGATGGGAAGGACATTTTTATTTTCCCTAATCTTCAGGCAACCTCACCAAGCTGGAGGTCACATGTAGCTGAGTGTGAAACCAAGAAAAATACGAAGCTTCAAAAGTACTGTGCGTTGTATTTCTTCATTCTCTGGCAGGCTGGGAGTCCAAGGTCAGTCTAGGCAGGAGGGCTGCTTGGCCTAAGCAGTCACACAATTTTCACCGTCTTGAGCATATCTGACAAGACATACGTGTCATCCCAACCCCTCCCAGGCTTCCTCAGGGTCCGCTCCAAAGCCTGGGCTGTTTCTAGGAGCTCTGGTGTGGCAAGTTTTTGCTCAGGGTGCAGCTGACAGAACAGGATCTCATTCACTTCACCCTCAATTCGCCGGACATATAGGAGGGGGAACACTGCCTTGAGCCCAGCCAGCACTGAGTCTTTTAGCCCCAAGTCTCGGCACACAAGGTTGAGAATAAAAACACCTATAGGGTAGGAAGAAAAGTCAGAATGACCTCACATCAGGAGACATATGAAAGACAAGGATCGGCTTTGAGGAAAATACCAATTCCTGTCCCAGGGAGACTGGTGGACTAAAACACACGGTGGTGATGAGTTTGCAGAGAATACACAGCATAGAAAGGCAGATGGAGAAAAGCATGGGGAGCATGTGAGCCATAAACAAACTCCAGCCTTATTTCTTGCTCTTCTGTGCTGCTCACATGTTATTTTACCATTCTCCAAGCCTCAGTTTCCCAAATAGCTTCTCAAAGAATAGCTTTGAGAAAGAAGTGATTCCCAGCTGGGCACGGTGGCTCATGTCTATGATCCCATCACTTTGGGAGGCTGAGGCAGGCGGATCACTCGAAGTCAGGAGTTTGAGACCAGCCTGGCCAAAATGGTGAAACCCCGGCTCTACTAAAAATATAAAAATTAGCTGGGCATGGTGGTGGACGCCTGTAATCCCAGCTGCTAGGGAGGCTGAGGCAGGAGCTGCTAGTGGGGCTGAGGCAGGAGAATCTCTTGAACCCAGGAGGCAGAGGTTGCAGTGAGCCAAAATCCAGCCTGGGTGACGGAATGAGACTTTGTCTCAATCAATCAATAGAAAGTGATTCCCTACGAAAGTAAAATTTACCAACTCCACAGGGATATTACATTCTTGGCATACACACCATAGAGTATTAACCAGTGACAGGGCCGAGGTTATCTTGACTTCTGACAATTAAGATTCCAAATCAAGCCAGTTACCACAGTGCCTTACACCAAATCAAAAATACCTAGAGGGTTGTTAACATAGGGATTAAAGGCTCCAGTTTTGAGGTGACAAGGCACTGACTTTGAGCCCCAACTGTTACCTTGCGTCACCTTGGCAAATCTTCAACCTCAGTTTCCTCATCCAAAAAGTGGACTGCTATGAAGATTAAATAACACACTGCCTAGTAGAGCACGTGTAGGAAGCATCATGTAGTAGCTAGCATCACCATGCTGGTGGGAGTGTGAACTGCTACAACCACTTTGTAAAACTGTGTGGTAGCATCTACAAAAGCCAAAAACATACCCATAACCTATGATCCAGCAATTACAACCCTGTGTATATACCCAAGAGATCTGAAAACATAATTCATCAAAAGGCATATACTAGAATGTTAATGGCAGCACCACTTATAATAGACCCACACAGGAAACAAACCAAATACGAACAGTAGAATGGATAAGCGAATTGTGTTAAGTTACATGATATAACACAGCAATAAAAATAAGCCATGTAAACACAACACTGTGAATGAGTCTCACAAACATCATGTTGAGTGAAAGAAAATGGACACTTAAAGAGTACATTCAGCCAAGTTCAGTGGCTCATGCCTGTAATCCCAGCACTTTGGGAGGCCAAGGTAGGAGGATCGCTTGAGGCTAGGAGTTTGAGACCAGCCTGGGCAACATGTTGAGATCCTATCTCTACAAAAAATAAAAATAAAAAAATTAGCCAGGCATGGTGGCATCCACCTGTAGTCCCAGCTACTCAGGTGACTGAGGTGGGAGGATTCCTTGAGACCAGGAGTTTGAGGCTACAGTGAGCCATGATCAGGCCACTGCACTCCAGCCTGGGAAACAAAGCAAAACCCTGTCTCAAAAAAAAAAAAGGGAACATTCCAACATTCCATATGATTCCATTTATATAAAGAACAAGAACAGGCAAAATTAAGCTGGGTGGACAAATGTTAAGACAGTGATTACTCTTGCGAGGACAAGTTACTGAAAGGGGATAAGAGATACGACTTTCTGGCAAGCTGGAAATTTTCTGTGTCTAGTGCTAGTAAATGGGTGTATTAAATTTGGAAAAATTGATCGAGCTCGCACTTCTGTGCATTTTTCATTAAAAAGATAATTTTTGTTAATGGTCCCTTCTCTCCTCCCTCTCCCACCTTTTGTTCTCCATACCTTCAGGAGTCAAGATGCTTTTAACCTTCTGTAGAAAAGATTGCTCCACAAATGCTGGGGGCGGACAACTCATTCCCAGTGTTGGGTCCTTACTGTCAACATCAAACATTATGACATCGTAGCAAGGCCGTGCTGGGAAAAAGAAGGAAACAAGTCCTTGTCTTTGCTGGATAAAATAATACCATTTACATTCCAACACTATACCTCCTCTTTACCAGTGGTGGGCATGGTGACTAAGTTAGAAGGATGACACAGAGGATGTGGTTTGCCTGTAAGGGCACTGATGTCATGGCCCAGGGGAGTCTTTGTCATCAGGGTTCAGAGTGTCCCATAGTAAAGATGGAACCTTCTTCCACATTTAAAAGCACCTTCCAAAGGCAAAAACATTACTGGGGTCCCCTTTGCATGAATATTTCTCGGTTAAGAGTCTATCAACACCAGTGGCTTTTGACTGTGGCAGAACATTACAATCACCTTGGGAAGCTTCTAATGTGTACTACACGCCAACCAACAGAATAAAATATCCTGGGGTAGTAGGGGGCAGATGGGAGGAGAGATGGGAAGCCTCTGGTATTTTTCTTGAGCTTTCCAGGTAATTCTAAATACAGTCAGAGTTGAGAACCACTGATCTAGACAAAGCAGCTGACTAAGCCTTTAAGGGCTGACCCAGCAAATGGTAACTTTTAACTCTGAAAACAGCACATTTTGCCTCATAGGAGAAAATGTTCTGAAATTTCAGTTAGTGTTATCTTTGCAGTTCCATGAACAAGAGCTGACTCAAGAAAGAAATGATTTTGCTAAATGGGTGAGAAAGAACTGATGAAGAAATGGATCTGCTCCTTACTATAATGTTAAATTGTTTTTATAAGGGGTAGGTCTGCAATGCCACTGACAGGTTTTTAGAAAATTTTGAGACTGTGGTCATAATTATTCAATAATTAATAAGTATTTAATTAGGACTGCTGCATGCTTATCATTGTTCATAGCACAGATCTGATTTTGGTTTCTTACAAAGAGAACATGTTGGCTCATCAAAGTCCAAGGAAAACAATAGCCTGCATTTGCAGCCTTGAGCCCTCCAGTAATCTGAAACATTTTGGTGTTACAGAAGATGGGCAGAGCCATTGAAAACTGATCTATAGATAACAACAGCAGTAACATCATGGATTAAGTACTTACCATGTGCATGGCACTGTTGTAAATACTTCACCGTATTAGCTATCTGGGCTTGGGCACCTAAACTAACCCTAGCCTCAGAGAGGGAACCTACGAAACTGTTACAATTCAATTCAGTTTGCAATTAAAATTAAGATAGCATCTGTTCAATACTTGTCCCAGGCCTCCTAGTTTGCCACACCCTTACTGGAAAATATTCTAATCTAGTGAGACCAGAGTATCTGTTATGGAATGAGCAGACCAGCAGTCCTGAACAGAACTGAACCAACCTAACTGCCTTCTCCCCGAAGGACTCGAGCTCCAGAAAGTACTAAACTCACCAGCAGCCTATCTGTATAATAGCAGAGTTACTGTCCCTAGTATTTTACAGAAAATTATTATGCTTATGGTTTTTGTCCTAAATCTGGGATGCAAATTACTAGAGCAAATGGAACCTTAATTCTAGTTGCAGAAGGCCTATCAAAATTCCCACAGAGTACCATCTGCATCAAGGTTTCTCCACCTGAGCACTGTGGAAATTCTGGGCCAGATAATTCTGTCATCAGTGCCCGTCCTGAACATTGTAAGATGTTTACTAGCATCCTAGACCTCTACCGTTTAGATGTCAGTAGCAACATCCCCCACCCCGATTTGTGACAATGAAAAATTGTCTCCATACATTACCAAATGTCAGACCCTGAGGTTGTATACCACTGATCTTACATGAATACTGTTTTGCTCTATTTCTGGCTTTACCTCCAGTTGAAATATTTACAAAAATACCTCCCAACACACATTCCACCTTTTCTTCTCTGTTTCTTTGCCCAGTTAGACTTCAGGTTTCTTAAGATGGTGAGGAAATGACAAGGTTACAGGTCAGAAAAAAGCCCACTGGTCTGTTAGCACCATAAGGGCAGGAATGGCCTGTTTTACTTATTGCTTTACATTCACACCTAACACAGTGCTAAGCATATAGCTGGTACTCTAGTGAATAAGTATATCAACAAATGAACAGGCTGAAGACTGGAACGATACTCATGCCACTCTCTTAGAGATAAACTGTAGAGGCCCTTGCGGGCCTGACAATGTCGCATCAATCATCCCTCAACACCCCTTCAAATGCTCCAAGAGCAGTACCTTCTCCTCCTCCTGCCAAGCTGGCGATATAGTCCAGGCCATCTGCAATGTGGACCTTCATTCGGTCACTCTGGGAGAAGCCAAACCACTGGGTGGCCACTTCCAACATGGAGGGATCGATCTCCACAGCATCAATGCAGGACTTTGGAAAATGATCGTGGACAAAGAGGGGGAGGCTGCCCCCGCCCAGGCCTACCACCAACAATGCCAGTGGGATCTCTGTAAGAAAAGAATAGAGCATCACATTGCCACCTGTTCACTGGAAAATTCTGTACCAGCCTCAGGGAAGGCAAAAGGGAAAGTCAGCTCACTGTCTCCATTCAGGGGATACAAGATTTAGAGGTCTCCCTGTCTCATTTCAGAAATCTAGGAGTGAATTTGACATCTGATAACTGAATCCTGGATTCATGATGACTAGATCCAGAAGATGAACTAGTGTGTTATTATTATTGTCTCTTAAAGATCTCAAAGTGGCCAGGGGCAGTGGCTCACACCTGTAATCCCAGCACTTTGGGAGGCCGAGGTGGGCAGATTACTTGAGCTCAGGAGTTCGAGACCAGCCTGGGCAACATGGCAAAATCCTGTCTATAGAAAGTAGAAAAATTAACTGGGCATGGTGACACACACCTGTGGTACCAGCTACACGGTAAGCTGACGTGGGAGCCTAAGGAGGTCAAGGCTGCAGTAAGCTGCGATCATACCACTGCACTCCAGCCTGGGCAAGAGTAAATCCCTGTCTCAAAAAAAAAGACTTCTTCACTATAAGAATTATTAGACCCTCTCTAGGAAAGGGAAGAAGAGTGGCCAAACAATCTTGCTCATGATTACAAGGCAGCAGAGGTGCAATGTCCCTTGCCCTTGACTCAAAAGGCCACACCGTCTTCTCAGACACCCTCACCAAGTAAGGGTAAGCCATTCAAGTTCCACAAATCACAGGAAAACAAAGGCCCAACTCCTACTCCTAAGCACAGAGCACAGCCACCACAGGGGGATCAAAGGAAGACAACAAAAGTCACCCGAAGGAGACAGACCCTGAGAATTAAATCTAAGAACTGAGATTCTAGTGACATACATCAACACTAAGATAGGACAAAAGTATAGGGTATTCCAAGAAGGCACATTCAGGGACTTCAGGTGAAAACGGTTACAATCACAGACAAAACATGAACAATTTCACTAATGCAGTCAGATCCAAACCTGCTATTAGCGATAAGGCTATGACTGCATTAACTATAATATGAATCTTTTCAGAAAGTAGAAATTCAAGATAGAATTGCATCTTTTGTTCAAATAATGCATTACAGAAAAGCTGAACAATTAAAATCTGTGTATTTTTACATATCTCATTGAATACATGATATACCTTAATTTTAAAAAGAAATGAACAGAAAAAATACCACTTAGACTCTAACATATTTCAATACAATTTCAATATAACAGGTTGAGTTTGAGGCAACAGTTAATTAGAATGCTCATTAACTTATAACATGGTTGAGATGAAGAAAGATACATTGTCAGCTTGTAATTGCTGTTCTTCAACTACAATGCAAGTGACACCAATTGTTTAGGTCTGTAATCTTTATGCTCCCTTCTGTGGAAGGCAGTGGCATCTCTCTCACCTAGGAGTAGCTCTGGGTTTCTCAGCAGGGCAAGGCCAGCGATCATGGCTTTGTGGTGTTCACAACACAGGTAACTCTTATCAATGGACTGCCCCGGGGCTGCAGGGAGGTCCTCCGCATCAGCAGGCCGCTGCTTCTTCCTGTCCTTTTTCCGCTTCTTCTGGGCTAAACAAGAGATATGAAGCCCTATGCTTAGTACACTAGTCCTCAGGAAGCAAGGGTTACTGGCAGCAGTGTGCTCCAGATGGCTTGAACACTCAAAAGACCCAATCGTTAAAATTTTGCAAACTGGTTGACATCATGTTGATAGCTTGAAACTGGCCGTAGTGAAATCATCTGGATGTTTGTCCCCTACAAATCTCACGTTGAAATGTGATCCCCAATGTCGGAGCCACCATGCTGGTCACGGGGGCAGATCCCTCATGAATGGCTGGGTGCCTTCCCCATGGTATTGAGTGAGTTCTCACTCTAGAGCTGTTGTTGAAAAAAGCCTGGCATCTCTTTTGCTCCCTCTCTTGCTATGTGATGTACCTGGTCTCCCTTCACCTTCTGTGATAATTGTAAGCTTCCTGAAGCCTCACCAAATGCAGAAGTTGGTACCATGCTTCTTGTACAGTCTGCAGAACCATAAGCCAAAATAAAAGTCTTTTCTTTACAAATTATCCAGTCTCAGGTATTCCTTTATAAGCAACGTAAAACAAACAAATACAGTGGTGGTATTTATACTAGAGAACTGATAAACACTATAAATTAGGATGTGCCCCCCCTACCCCGCCCCACAAAGACATAGTCATTAAACATTTAACATATACAATGGATACAAGGAAGCTGGAAAAGGAAATGGCAAATGCACACTCAAAAACCTGGGAAAACTCAACTGAGGAGCCCTGGTACCTCCCGTCTAAGAAATGTAAGGCCACTAACAGGAGAAAAGATTACTCATAAAGTCTTTTAAAGAAAGGTAAAGTTACTAATCACCTGCTATGTGCCAATTACTATACCGTAACTTTTATTTTTTTAGCTCTTCTAACAACCTTATCATTCCAATTCTTGGCACATGAACACACTAAGCCACTGAAGTGTTAAGTAAATAGGGAATCAGCAGATGGTAGAGATAGGAGTTGATCCTCGGACTGCCTGTCTCCATCACCTATCATCTTTCTGCTATGCCACACAGGTAGCACTACCAACCTTTGCTGAAGAAGGAAATCACAAGTATTCAAAAAAGGAAATAAATCCTAAAAAGCCACTCCACTTTCCCTCTCACCACTCCCTTCCCTGCTCCAGGGTATCATACTAAACGGATGGCTGTGTCTTCATAGGGATCAGCTGCATTCCCCAGCAGTAAAAAGTGCTGATGAGTGGAGTCGGGGTGCTTTTCAGATATATTAAATCACTTTTTAATATGCTCTCCTTCTTGCTCACCAATACTCCCATGAGGGAGAACGTTCTTTCCATGAGAACAAAGTGCTACCAAGAAATCAAGGAACATGACAATGGTGAAAAAACCTGAAACCCAAACTGAAAGGGGCAAAATGTTCTTTTAAGCAATTTTACTGAGATTTTAGTGAGATGAAACTGGACCAACCTGCAGCCACAGTGACCAAACAATAGGGCAGAAACCCAACAATCTTGGGTGCTCTTGGCCAGGGAAAACCCCTAAAGAAAAATACCATTTCGCTGGGTAACTTGATTCTAGGCTCAGAGCCAGTCTATGACCTCAAGCATCTGAATTCTCTGTCTCCACCCTCCTCCCAGATGGCCTTGCTATGAGGGCAGGCCAGTCAGGCAAAGGGAACAACTGGGAATCAGGAGAGCCATTTCAGCTTCCATCCTTGAATCTCTGCGCCTCAGACAGGGAAGATGCACTGGAGACGGAGAGGTGAGGGGCATTCACTTTTCGCGGTCTATATTTGACTTTTGAAGTGATTTCAATGAACAAGTATCACTTTTAAAATACAAACTAACACAGGTAAAACAAACTATTGATTCCCCATCGGGGGAGTTTCTGAGTGACAGCTGGGAGACCACTTAAAGGGATCCTAGAAGAGATGGTTTAGATCTACACTGTCCAATACTAGCCACTAGCCCCCTATGGCTGTTGAAATATAAATGTAAATTAATTAGAATTAAAGAAAATTAAAATTCAGTTCCTCAGTTACACTAGCCACATTCCAAACGCTCAGCACTACATATGGCTAGTCGCGACCACATTAGAAACTCAGGAACTAAACATCTCCTTCATCACAGGCAGTTTTACTGAACAGTGGTATACTAGAAGGCCTCTAAGTCACCCGCCAATCCAAAACCCTCTGAAACAGGTGAGTCACACTATGGAGGGCAGGGCTCACCTGCAACTTCCATAGTTCTGGCTCACCTCACAGAGGCCTATTGAAACAATACACAGATGTATATGGAGCACCTGCAAAACAGATGCCTTTAAACCGAAGACATTAATGTGATTATCACTGTATTTGGTTTCACTACTCACGTCCCCTATCACTTCAGAGCCAGGCTCTGCTCAAGAACAGAATGTACTCTGCTTATAGCTATTCACACCCTAAGAGTCCAGATGGTTAAGAACCTACAGACACCCAGGTCCATCCTACATCTCGGCCAAGCTCCCAAGAAATCTAGTCCATGCCACGGCCACTTGGGTCCCACCACTGTGCCTATGACACCTCACCTTTGTGAGACACATCCTTCAGCAACCTGGCTTCGGACTGCACCACATTCCTGTTGCTGAGGAAGATCAGTCGACGGAAGTATCGCTTGTCATCCCCTTGCACATCCTCAATGACATAGTCACCGCTCAAGGGGCTGCAGTCTTGGTGCTGAACGGTCCGGACCCCAATGTCCCCACCCACAGACAGAAAGGGGACCTGAAGGTACAACCAGAGATGTGGTCAAAACAGCAGCTCATTTAAGAAATAAGAGAAATTATAACCCCTTCCCTTTTGTGTGTATATATCCCCATACCACGGTTCTAGACAACAACTACTCCACAGATTTGCCATTCTATTAAAGTACTTTTCTGGAGCCTTTGAACTGATCTCAAAGGTTTAATTCATCTTTTGAAAATCAACTGGACACATAAAGATCTCCCAAACAACTAGTGAGATGCAGCTGATTCTCCCCAAGTTCTTTTAGGGGTTTTTCTCATCAGTAACCCCTAAAAGAACTCTCAATAGTCCAGGATAACAAAAGCTAGAGGGAACCCTCAGGAAGGGGCTGTGATTATGAGAAGGAATCTACACAAGAATAAAGATAACAAAATCCATGGGAGAAACAACCACTCCAAATCTAGAGAGATATTCCTTTCCCCTGATTATTCTCATCTATTTTTCCCCCACTTTTCTGAACCTTAGGAGAAAAATATACTTTCCCCCTAAACTTTCCCACTCCTTCCCCCTATCTTTATTTCTTTTTTTAAAGACCTATAAGACTAGTTAATAATCACCAATATCTCCTGACCCTGCAGACTCAGGCACTGGTGAGAGGCCACAAATGAAGCTCCTCAGAGGATCTGGGCTTCCTTGAAATAGGGGTCATCAACCCCAAAGTTGGCCAGGAAGAATCAAACTTACATTCATCTGTAAACACGAGTCAGCCTAGTGGGCAAAACCACAGGCCAGGAACCCAGGAGCCTGGGTTCTTTTTTTTCAGATCTGTTACTATTTGCACCAAGCCTCTAGATACCTTTGCTTTCCCACCTATCAAGAAGGATCAAAGCTTGGGCAACATAGGGAGACCCTGTCTCTACAAAAAATGTAAAAAAAAAACTAGCCAGGTATGGTGGCTTGCACCTATAGTCCCAGCTACTACCAAAGGCTGAGGTGGGAGGATGGTTTGAACCCAGGAGGTTGAGGCTGAGGCTGCAGTGAGCCGTGATCACACCACTGAACTCCAGTCCAGCCTGGGCAACAGAGCAAGACCCTATCTCAAAAAAGAAAAAAAAGGATCAACTCCTCATCATGAAGTTCTTTTAGTAAAATCACTTGTTCGTTACCCATGGTGACCAGGATAGCACAAGACAGTTGGTGTTAACTGATAATACCATATCACCACTTAGGCAAAAACCTTCGGTTTCCTTCCCAGTAAAACACCTGACCAGCAATGTGAATACCTGGATAACTGTGCTGAGCTGTTTTGGCCCTCTTCCATTTATACCCTCAGATAATGATAGTTCTAAGAAGCAAAATGACCAAGAAAGTCCAGTGTGGAAGGAGAAATCCACAGTCAGAGCAACTCAAATTAGGAAGAACTGAAGCCCGCAATGAGTAGAGCATTTCCATCCTGCCATGTCTATGGACTCTGAGAGGCTCCCCCAGACACAGACGCTACTGTGCTCACTTTCCTCTCATTGCCTGGGGCAAAGGACAGTTTCCCTGCCATTTAACCCTTAGCTGCTGATACCCCTCCAGGATTAGATGAAGAGTCACAGACTCTAGTCCTAGCTCCTGCCAAGGCTCCCTCTGCCTCCCTGGCTGCTAACATGACTTCAGAGACCCATGAAAGCCGTACGAAAGCTTTGTTACCTGCTGCTGGGTGGGCATCCCAGCTGGGGCCAGCTCCATGACTCTAGCCGACAGCTCAGCTTGGATGTGGTCCATGCTTTCATACTGCTGACCTCGGTGAAGGGCCACTGTAATCAACCTCCTGAAGCCAGCACTGGCCGCCAGCTGTTTCCGGCCCTCATCCATGCCAAAGAGCCACTCGGTCTCCCGGCCCTGAGGGACTAGAAAAAAGAACTTGGTTACAGGGAGTCCTGGAAAGTGATCAAGCCCACAACCAATATGGCCCAAACGGCAGGGAGCCAGTCCCTGTCCAAGACCAGCATCTTCCCCAACTGTGACCCACTGAGGAGCTAACAATTCTCTAGTTCACAACATCTAGGGCAAAGCAGCCCATCAGACATAAGGCAGGACCAAGGGTGGAGAAGAAGTGTGGGCATGTCCGTAGGGGAAGGAGGCAGACACCTACCACAAGAAAAACAGCAGTAATGCCAACACAAATAAGCCATGCCAGGCATGACTCCAAGCTGTTGACAAATATATATTAATGGAATCCTCCAACAGTCCAAGATGCAGGTAGTAGTATTATTCCCATTTTTACATATGAGGAAACTGAGAAACAGAAGTTACACTATTTGCCCAACTTCGCACAATAAGTAAATGGTGAAGCTGGGACTCAAACCCAGGCAGTCTAGCCCCAGACTCTACCCACGCTTGTATTCACTGCACTATTTATTTCCACACATGGACAGACAGAATTATAGAATACTTGAAAAACTAGCTCAGTCACCAGGAAACAAATTACCGTAACACCAAGACCATAAACACTTTGCATTTGTCTACAATGTTCCACTTTTGAAAGCACTTCCTCCTACTATCTTTTTTATCCTTATTAAGATAAATCTGATATAACTTACTGCTTTCAGTAATAATGGCTAACATTTACACAGCACTTCCAAGGCCAGGTACCATTTCTAAGAGCTTTTATACTTCTCACAACTACACCAGAGTTACAATCCCATCAAGGCAGAGAAAGAAAAGTAACCTGTCTAATGTCACACCATCAGGAAATGACTGAGCCAAAACTGAAACCCAAACAGTCTGGTTCCAGAGCTCACTTTTTTAGCTGCTACCCTATGCTGCCTCTCCAAATTTTGCAGAGAAGCACAGCAACTTCCCCAGGTCCTGCAGCTCACAGGCTACAGCTGGGACTAGAACCTATGTCTTAGACTTGCTAGTCCAGCATTACTTCCATTACTCCATGCTACAAAGTAACTAGCATCTCTATATCATATGTGACCTCCTAAATTTATCTCTATTCTCTCTCTTCCCTACCAACCCCATTCTCACACTTCATCAAGCCTTTGCAATGGCAGATGAAAAGGAATAGGTCTCAACTCCAAGTAGGTTGCTAGAGAGCTATTACTCTCCTTTCATCATGCCTTGGGTAGTCTAATCCTCTGGAAGTACAAACCCCTGCAAGACAAAAAACAGTCCAGAATCCCACCAAAGCCCCAGCCCAGCCTCAGCCCCAGCCCCAGCCCAAGCCCCAGCCCCTGTAAGCCAGCCCCTCCAGGGAAGAGAGGGAGCAATCCCAACTCACTGATGAAAATCGCAAAATGATTGTCCCGCGATGGTTTCACAGTGGGGCTGTCCACCACGTGGAGGGTGTAGCGTGGCTCCCCCGTGTCCCCATCGCACAAGTCCAGAGACACACTCCCCAGCCTGGCCTTGCGGCGCAGCTGGCTGCACAGCCAGGCATACTGCTGTCGCTCCTGCACCGCCTCGGCCAGCCGCTCGGCACTCTCCAGCCGCACAGGCTTGCGCTGCTCCTGAGCACACAGCTCAAAGATCTGAAGGGCAGAGCCAGGGACTGGCCTGAACTTGGTCATGATGAAGGCAAAGACAGGCAAGGAGAACTGAGGCTCTGCTTCCAACACCTGGTCCTGGCTGTTGGCCACTTGGTGCACCCTCACCATCCACCCCTCCCGGGAGAAGTGGCCCACTGCTTTCTTCAGGATGTGAGCCTGAGCCAGGGAGATGCAGAGATAGCGACCGCCCACCTGCAGGACACGGCCAACCTCAGCCAGCATCCTGTCCACCTGTTGTAAGGTCTTCTCTTCCTCATCTGTCAGGACAGCATCCAGGGTGCCCTTGTCCAACACCACCTGGAACGAGGCATCAGGAAACTCCATCTGCGTCATGTCCATCTTCAAGAAGCTCATCTGGGGCCGTCGGGTGGCATTACATTCCTTCATTTGCTTGATGACAACCTCACTGATGTCGATGTTCACTATATCCCGATAGCCCACATCATACAGTTGCTCACTCAGTTCTGAGTTGCCACACCCAATCACCAGCACCTGGAGAAAAAATTCACAGACAAGAGGGAGGTAATCAAAGCAAAGGACTGTACTTCAGGTACTTCAAGGAATCAAGTCTCACCTTGGCTGAGTCACATTTTCAGAAGGTGGAGACGCTACTGCCAGAGAAAGAGCGACATTGTAGAGTTGATGCTAGACTCTATCTTGAAACACCACATATACTTGCTAGTGAAAACCACATTCAGCTACAATACAGGTTATATGAGAATGGGCTTTGTGTTGCAGAAACAAATTAATCATAACTGTTCTTTTCTCTAAATCATGCACTTATTACTCAGGAATTAATAGGAAGTCAGAGAATCCAAATATAGAGTTACAGTTGAAATCCTAGGCCAGGAATAACCCTATTTCCTCACTCTACTCATGCCTTTGGCTCCTTTAGACAATAAAGTACACTTTGTGAGGATTCAAATCTTACTTCCATCACGGATTCCATCTCATGATATTTGGCTATCTTCTGAAGCCGAACTTAAAATTCAGATTGTTGTCTCCCTCTCCAGGGAGCAATCTCCCATTCAAACTTAGAAATTCTGATATTGCCATCTTTGGAAAAGCATGGTACAAAGAGATGTGCATATGCTCTGGAGCCAGACAGGCCTGAGTTTAAATCCCCACATGACCACCTGGACATGATCTTGGGCAAAAAAAAAAAAAAAAGTGGCTCTCGGGGCCTCAGTTTCCTCATCTGTAAAATGTATGCATGGCCACTCACCTGAATTTATGATGAGAATTCAAAGATTGCACATGCACATACACAGCACCCAACATAAGGCTTGGCACATAAAGCTTCCCCACAAATGTTAAGTTTTCTACCTTCCTCCTTCCCTACCTCCAGTACAATCTCACCTATACCAAACCCATTGTTGTACTTATCACGTTTCACTTCTGGAACATGTGCAGGGTTTACGTCTTAATGCTCTTATAGTTTAAGGACTGAGCAGTGCCTGAAACTTGGGGCGCACTCAACGACTATTTGAAAAACAAATTCATACACAAAGTCACACCTGCTGCAGGTTGCACAGGAATGCACAGTGACAGAAGAACATACTTTCAAGATGGGAAGTCACTCTTCAAGTAGGGTTATTAATCCAAGAATGAGCTGGGGTGGGAGGTCTATTATCTGAAAACCTTTAAAGAAATGTTTTTTTTTTTAGACAGGGTCTCACTCTGTCACCCAGGCTGGAGTGCAGTGGCGTGATCATGGCTCACTGCAGCCTCGACCTCCTGGGCTCAAGCGATCCTCCCGCCTAAGCCTCCCGAGTAGCTGGAAATACAGATGCGCGCCACCACGCCCGGCTAATTTTTTCATTTTTTGTAGAGACGAGGTCTCATGTTCCCCAGGCTGGTCTTTAACTCCAGGGCTCAAGCGATCCTCCCACCTCGGTCTCCCAAAGTGTTCGGATTACAGGTGTGAGCCACTGCGCCCGGCCTGAAAGAATATTCTAGTTTGTCTTTTAGCAGGAACAATGCAGGAAATGCTGAAATATGCGTCCAACTAGGGTCCTCCCGCCTGTCACTGTCCACCAAGTGCAAGATTCCTGTTACCAGTTCCCACCTTCCGGAGCACGTACGAAGGGCTACCAACCCGCGCTCCTCACCTTTTCCCTGGGCTTGATATATTTATGTAGCACCCCGCACAGTTCCAGGTAGGTTCCATACCACTCGAAAGCTTTCTTTCCTCGCTGCTGGAAGAACTTCTCCCAATAGTCAACGGAGCCAAACTCCCTGGAACTTTTAGGTAAGAGGTTCATGTTCCTACTGCCGAAGCTGCGTTTTCAAGACTCCCCTATTCCCTGTGAGATACCATTTGAGGAGCTTGCCCACCACACGCAGGCTCCGGGACACTGCAGTGGGAATTCTTTCCACGGAAAAACAGCCACATTGATTTGTTCCCCCACTCCAAACCCCAGGAATGACCCTTACACGACAAACGCACGCATGGACCACTGAATCTCACACACGCTTGCCCCCTCCTCCGCGCCTGCTGTTCCTTCCCCACGTGAAGAGCCCCTCACACTTTTCCCGAACTAGATTTCCGAGCCCATAACCATATCCGGGTGCGAAGCCTCGTGATTCGTCGGCCGGCCCAGCCCAACTCAGCTAGTCATTGGTCGCTGCTTTGCGTTTCTATCACCTCATTGGCTGCGACGTGCTTGCCTTTCTCCGGAGGCTCCGTCGCAGACACCTAAACGCTTTTTTGACCTGAGGCCGGCCGACCATTCACGGAACGGGGCGGGACCGCGGGCCGGAGTTGTGGCGGAAGAGGCCGGGCCTCTGTGAGAACTAGGTCACGTCCGGGTGAGGAGTGAGCGCGGCTGTGCTGTGGTTGGGCCCTCCCTCCAGGCGGGGCGGAGAGCGCGCTTGCTTCCTGGGCTCGGCCTCCGCTTTGTCTTGGAGCCGGCTTAATCACTGACTCCGATCGTGCGCCGCACAAGGGCGGAGCGCGGCAGGCGGGAGCGTACTGGTAGAGGAGGACGAAAAGAAAAACCTATACAGATAGGAGAGAAGTGAGGCAGGAAATGAGTAAAGCCAGTCCGTCGTAAAAACGCTGCACATTCTAACCTTGTCAGCTTCTGCGCACCAGCACCCCCCGCCTTATTTTGCCACCTCTGCACCAAAATATAGGATTCTGCTATCAAAAGTGTAATAACATGAAAACTCCCTCTTCCTTCTCTCCGCAAAGCACAGCATGCAAAACTAGCCTTTCATTTTGATAATTGGCCTCCTTGTGTTATTCTGACGTTATTTATAACTGCTTATTTTATGTGTTTGATAAACATACTGTACTTTCACATGCTCATGCTAATACCCTGAGGAAGCTTCTGTGAAGGGCACTTTTTTTTCAGACAGGGTCTGTCTCTGTCGCCCAGACTGGAGTGCAGTGGTGCAGTCATGGCTCACTGCAGTCTCCACTTTCCAGGGGTCAGGGGATCCTCCCACCTCAGCCTCCCAAGTAGCACGCCACTACCGCTGGCTAATTTTTTTTTTTTTTTTGTAGAAATGGGGTTTCGCCATGTTGTCCGGGCTGTTCTCAAACTCCTGAGCTCAAATGATCATCTCGCCTCACCCTACCAAAGTGCTGGGATGACTGGTGTGAGCCACTATGCTGGCAGGCACTATTTGAAAATGACCAAATATGTGTATCACTGGGCCTTTCATACCATGATAAATTGCAGGAGGAATATACTGATTGCGGAGAGCAGATAGGCTTGGAATTGAGCATGTGTGCTGTGGGCTGTTACATACTACACTACCACAGGTAGATAGCCAGGTAGACTGTTAATAGTTAAGTAGGTTAGATTGGACTTAAACATTGGTTTAAAAAAGTGATTCTCAAACTGGCATGCGTCAGAATCACCTGGAGGACTTGTTAAAACACAGAATTCCCCAGTCCAACCCCTGTTCTAAGTCATTAGTTCAGTGGTGAGGCCCAAGGATTTGTGTTTCTAACAAGTTCCCACGATGCTGATGATGTTGGTCCCGGAACCACACTTTTTTGAGAACCACTGTTTTAAAATACAATTAAGTCAAAATGGATATGGTTCAAAATTCGCAATTTTCAATGATAAATCTAAAAGCTTTCTACAAGTAACATAAGAGAAAATCTGTTTTCATGATCCCTTTGCTGAGTTCACATTGTTCCTCTCTACCCAAGATAAAGAGAAGGAGTCCTTGAAGTAGTAACTTCAGCTACTACACCATGCAAGGTTCTGAATGGGTGAAATGTGAGTTCTTTAGGAAGCACTTATTGAGAGCGGAGGACATCACTTGTACTGAATGTGCTACACGATACCAAAGAAGCAAAACAGCATAGCAGCCAGGCGCGGTGGCTCACGCCTGTAATCCTACCACTTTGGTAGGCCGAGGCGGGCGGATCACTTGAGATCAGGAGTTTGAGATCAGCCTGGCCAACATGGTGAAACCATGTCTCTAATAAAAATACAAAAATTAGCCGAGCGTGGTTGTGTGTGCCTGTGGTCCCAGCTACTCAGGAGGCTGAGGCAGGAGAATCGCTTGAACCCGGGAGGCGGAGGTTGCAGTGAGCCAAGAGATTGCGCCACCGCACTCCATCCTGGCCAACAGAAGGAGACTCCCTCTCAAAAACGACAACAACAAAAACAAACAAAAACCATAGCAGCTGCTCTGTGCCCCCCAAAGCTTTATTCAATTCAGTTCAACAAATATTTTAATTGTCTAATAGGGGCCAATCACTGTGGTAGAAGCTAAGGATGCAGTGGTAAGCATGGTAATCACGTGGAGGGCACATTAAACAATTACAAAAATAGTCTGTAATGGGAGTTATAAGTGCTGTGAAGGAGAACCATACCATTCCATGATAGTATATCTTTGTGACCTCTACTGATCTAAGGGGTAACCAGAGAAGGCTTCCCTGAGGAAGGGACAAAAATACTATATAATCTGACTGCTTAATATCAGCATGACATAGGTGAAAAACCAAAAAGCATGGTTCACCTTCTGGAACCTTTACAAGAATTTCTGGCTGCTGCTTTTCCCTCTGTCTCCATTGTCTGTTCTGTTAAGGTCATGTTATTAGAAAAGACGAAGTTATTTCTATCACAGCCCAGGCTCCAGCCCCGTATTTGATGCTCTAAAAGTATGATTACTGTTTGCAGTGTTTTTCAGACCAAAAGGGTAAGTAACTTACGTTTTTCCATCTGTGCCTGCCTCCCTTCTGTGAGCCTAAAAAAGTGATAACAACCAGAACATTTTAAGCTTAAACATACTAGAGATTTTCTAAAATTGTAAGATTAACACAGAAATATTTTAGATATATTGTAACATTAGACCCTAGCATTAACCTTTCAAAATACTTATTTGAAGCTTATTTCTCTCAAGATTTAACTATGAAATATAATTGATAGGTATGTGTTATCATTAGTATACTTAGTTAATTTAAACCAATAAGATGTTAAAATGCTTTGTGTTTTATTAGGATCCCCAGAGTGGTTAAAAATATGATTTAAAATGCAAGCTAAATTTAGATAAAGCCATTCAGTATTGTGGAGTTTTTTCCTAAAAATATAAATCCAGACCTCTGGATATATAATTTACAGTCAAACTTACTTAATTGAAACATTCTCATAATTGTGGTAATATTCAATTGATTGTTACTACGATTAATTGTAAAATAATAAAGAGGGAATAAAAAGCATCTCTGACAATTTGGGAGGCAGAGGATGAGAGAGGCAAAATAATGCTCCCCTAAAGATGTCTACCTCCTAATCCCCTGAACCGAAACTGTGAAGGTAACAGGTTACAAGGCAAAGAAGAATTAAGGTTGTAGATGCAATTAAGGATGCTAATCAGCTGACATAGCAAGATTATCTAACTGAGCTCAATGTAATCACAGGGTCCTTTTTCATTTTCTTTCTTTTTTTTTTTTTTTTTTTTTGAGACGGAGTCTTACTCTGTTGCCCAGTCTGGAGTGCAGTGGCACGATCTTGGCTCACTGCAACCTCCGCCTCCCAGGTTCAAGCAATTCTCCTGCCTCAGCCTCTTGAGTAGCTACGGATTACAGGCGTGCACACACCCAGCTGATTTTTGTATTTTTAGTAGTCTCACCATGTTGGCCAGGCTGGGCCACAAGGGTCTTTTAAAGTAGAAGAGGGAGAGACAGAAGGGCTTGGCCCAATGTTTCTGGCTTTGAAGATGAAGGAAAGCAGCCATGAACCAAGGAAAGGCGGTGACCTCTAGAACCTGGAAAAGGAAAAGAAATGAATTCTCCTGTAGAGCCTCCAGAAGAAATACGGCCCTATTGACACCTTGATTTTAATTTATTGAGACTTGTCAGACTTCTGACTGATCCAACTGTAAGATAATAAATTTGTATTGCATATAGTACTAGTTTTTGGTAATTTGTTACAGTAGTGATAGGAAACTAATACGGAACATAAACAGAAGAGAGAAAGAGAGAGAGAGAGTATGTGTGGTTGGGGCAGAAGGTCACAGTGGGGAGAAAGCAGCAGAAGATACAACTAGAGGCTGAGGTAAAGGGCAGGTTTTGAGGAGTCTTCTATTCCACATATTTAGCTTCAGCCTGTCAGGCCACAGGAAGTCAACAGAGAAGCAGAGTCATGACAGAAAGACCTGATCTGAGAGATGTTCTCAGGAAAGACTGAGGCACTTGATGACTGATTGAATAGGGGGAATAAAAGACTGAGGGACTCATAAATGACTCCTACATCGGCCTCTGGATGACTGAAGAAATAGTCTGTAGAAAGAAACGGGGAAGGAGAAAGGGGTATTATTTGTAGAACTGTTGCTAGAAAAGAATTTAGAGGTTATCACTCCAGTAAAAACCAGAGCCAGAGCTAAAAGCCAGTCTCCCCACCCTGCATGCCTACCCCAGGGCTCATACCCTTCTCACTTCCTGTCAGTGGTATCCAGTTGGAGTTGGTAGGTCCAACACATGAAAATGTTTCACGAGTGGGATATAAAATTAAGTAAAGGGAATGTCTCTTTGGTGTACAGGGAGTGGCTCATATAATGCTGGAAACTATTTCAAATTGGAAATCATCTTAGCAAATGGGTTTGTTTTCCACATTTGAGAAGTTTAAAAATGAATGTTCTCCTGTATCTTGGGATAATAGAAGGCAGACACAATAACATCCTAGGGTAACATTCTGCCATTTTATTAGCTGAGTGTCAACACTTTTCTTGACGATATTGTTGACCTGAAAAGTGACTATCAAGCTGATATTGGATTCCTAAGATTGGGATGATGATAATAGCTACTTATTTATTTATTTATTTGTTTGTTTGTTTGTTTATATAAGACAGGGTCTCACTGTGTCACCCAGGCTGGAGTGCAGTGGTGCAGTCACAGCTTACTGCAGCCTCGACTTCATGGGCTCAAGTGATCCTTCCACCTCAGTCTCCCAAGTAGCTGGGACTACAGGTACGAGCCTCCATGCCTGGCTAATTTAAAAAAATATATATTTTTGTAGAGACAGGCTCTCCCTATGTTGCCCAGGCTGGTCTCAAACTGCTGACTTCAAGGGATCCTCCCACCTCAGTCTCTCAAAGCGGTAGGATTACAGGTGTAAGCCACCATGCCCAGTGCATCATAGTATTTTTTAGTTTGTATAGCACTTGTGATTGGCCAAGAATTTTTCTCATACACTGAATCCATGGGAAGGAGAGGCTCAGAGCTACAGAGTTAATTTTCACATTGGCAGAGAATCCCTTTGGGTGAATGTGCCAGCCTTGTACAAGATTAACAAATTCGTTTCAACATAGATGATTACACACTGCTTTCTTAAATATATATACCTATACATATATAATTAAGGCAAAATTCCAATTGATTACAAGTAAGTGAAAAAAAAAAGTTATATATGACTGAGCGAATTGAGCCGTGACTGCCTCTGGTATTGTATTTGATTCCCAGGATTTTCTTTGTGCAGTAGTTTCCTACTCTGTCACTAAGGGCGTCTGTTGATGGATTGGTTTCCTCATATGCATGGACTGCAAGGCATTAATATAGGGCATATTATACATTGCAAGTTGTTTGCCTTTGGGGCCAGTAGGCAATAACATTTTGAAAGCTGCAAGACTGGGGAGATGAAGGAATGATGCCAAGGTTAACAGGCTGTGCATGAATACATTTGACCCCTATATGAGGGGGCTCACAAAGCCTCCTTTTGACTGTCTTTGTTTTCTACAGCCTGGATACTGGGAAAAACCACAAGGGTAAGCTATTAGACTGTTTTCTTCATAATTTTATTCCAAACTTCAGTTTCTTTGCAGGAAAAGAAAAACTTGAAAAACATTTTGTTTTTCTCCTACACTCTAGCACTCTAACCCATGACCATCTCATGTATCCCATTTTTATAGATGCTCTCTGTCCTCAGCCCATAACAATATTTTTCTACCACTAAGGGAATGGATTTTAAAACAGCATTTAATAAATAAAATTCACTTGAGTACTCCACCCAGAGGATTTTTTAACGTTCAGATCCAGAGTCCTCAAAGAAACCAGAAAAACAAAACTCCCTTTAGTCCAACAAAAAAGTTATAGTATGTAATACTTCTCTAAAACTAAAACTGTTTTCTTGCCATGGGGCTGCACGAATGACCTTTTCCTAAGAAGAATCACAAATTATGGTGCCAAAACATTTTACTGTTCTTAATTCATCTCATCTTTGAATAGTATATCTTCATCCTCACTGCTGACATACAGTAGAAAAAAAATTTCCACGTGTCAAAATTTCATCCAAGCAGCAGCTCTGATGTTTTTCATTTTTTTAATTTTTAAAAAATTTTAAACAGTTCATCATGTAAGCTCTGGTGTTTGAAGACTCAAAAGAGAAATGTCCTCAGAGAATATGGTATATTTCTGAAGACAGCTGACAGAAGAGGGAACCCTTAGCTAGAAACTATATAGCACAGAAGTTAAGGTTGGGATTTGGAATCAGAATGATCTAGACATGAGCTACCATGCTGGGCTGATTTTTTTTTAATAAGATTTTTTGAACTGAGATATGCTTCACATAAAATTCACCATCTAAAAGTGTACACTGGGCAGGCATGGTGGCTCACACCTGTAATCCCAGATCTTTGGGAGGCTGAAGCAGGAGGATTACTTGAAGCCAGGAGTTCAAAACCAGCCTGGGTAACATAGGGAGACCCTGTCTCTACAAAACAATTTAAAAATTAGCAGGGCATGATGGTGTATGCATATGATCCCAGCTACTTGGGAAGTTGAGGTGGGAGAATCACCAGAGCCTGGGGCTGGCAGGGTTGGGGGTGGGAGTGGCTCAAAACTGCAGTGAGCTGTGATTGTACCGCTACACTCCAGCCTGGGTGACAGAGTGAGACCCTGTCTCAAAACATAAAAAATAAAAAAGTATGCACTTTTGTGTTTTCTAGTACATTCACAATGCTGTGCAATCATTACCACTGTCTAATTCCAGAACATTTCCATCATCCCTACCTCTTAGCAATTAGTCCTATTTTCCCCTCCTTCCTGTTGAAACTGCTTACCTATTTTCTGTCTTTAATAGATGTGCCTATTCTGGATGTTTCGCATGAACAGAATTATATATTATGTGGTCTTTTGTGTCTGACTTCTTCTACTTAGTATAATGTTTTCAAGGTTCATCTTTGTCATAGCATACAACAGTATATATATATTCCATTTTATGACTGATAATATTCCATTGTGTAGATAAATGTGGTATATCTATTTATCCATAGAGGGAGTTTGGGTTGTTTCCACTATTTGGCTATTATGAGTAGTCTTGCTATGAACATTAATGTACAAGAATTTGTGTGAAAAGTGTGTTTTTAGTTATTTAGAATATATAGGAGTAGAACTGCTGGATCACATGGTAATTCTATGTTTAACTTTTTGAGGAACACAATGATCATTTAAAAGTATAAATCTGTCCATGTCACTCTCCGGTAGCTTCCCAATGCATTGAGAAAGAAATCTAGAATCTTAGCATACCCTTTCATGATCCAACTTTATCTTCTATCATTCTCCTTGTTCACCAAGCTCCAGACACACTAACCTGCCCCTTCCTTCTCAAAAATGCCAATTCCCTTGGTGTTGGGAAAACTGGATATCTGCATGCAAAAGAATGAAGTTGGACCCTTACCCTACACCATATACAAAAACTAACTAAAAACGATAACACTGTGAAGCTTCTAGAGGAAAACTTAGGGGGAAAGCTTCAAAACATTAGATTTGGTAATGACTTTTTGGCTACGACACCAAAAGTATAGGTAACAAAAGCAAAAATAGACAAATGGGACTACATTAAACTTAAAATCTCCTGTGCATCAAAGGAAACAATCAGCAGAGTGAAAAGGCAACCTATGGGATGGAAGAAAATACTTACAAATCATATATCTGATAAGTTGTTAATATCTAGAATACACAAACACAAGCAACAACAACAACAACAGCAAATTTTTATAAAGGGCAAAGGACTTGACATTTCTCCAAAGAAGATATACAAATAGCCAACAGCATATGAAAAGGTGTTCAACATCACTAATCATTAAAGAAATGCAAATTAAAAAAAATGAGATAGCATCTCACACCCATTAGAATGGCCATCAAAAAAAAAAAAACAGAAAACAAGTATTGAGGATGTGGAGAAACTGGAACCCTGTGAACTATTGGTAGGAATATAAAATAATGCAGTTACTGTGGAAAACAGTATGGAAGTTCCTCAAAATTTAAAAAGAGAATTACCACATGATCTGGCAAACCCACCACTGGGTATATATTCAAAATAATTTAAAGCAGACTCTTGAAAAGATATTCACATACCCATGTTCATTGCAGCATTATTCACAATAGCCAAGAGCTAGAAGCAACCCAAATGTCCATTGACAGATGAATGGATAAACAATGTGGTATATACGTGCAGTGGAATATTATTCTGCTTAAAAAAGAGAGAAATCCAGTCACATGATACAATATGGATAAACCTTGAGGACATTATGCTAAGTGACATAAACCAGTCACAGAAAAGATAAATACTGAAAGATTCCACTTACATGAGGTATCTAAAGTAGTCAAATGATAGAAGCAGAAAGTAGAATTGTAGTTGCCAAGGGCTTGGGGGCCAGGAATGAGGAGTTGTTTTTCAATAGGTATAGATTTCAGAATTGTAAGACAAGGAAGTTCTAGACATCTATTGCACAACAATGTGAATGTAGTTAACACCACTGAACTGTACACTTAGAAATGGTTAAGATGGTAAATTGTTTTTTTTGTTTTGTTTTGTTTGAGATGGAGTCTCACTCTGTCGCCCAGGCTGGAGTGCAGTGGTGCAATCTTGGCTCACTGAAACCTTCACCTCCTGGGTTGAAGTAATTCTTATGCTTCGGCCTCCCAAGTAGCTGGGACTACAGGGGTGTGCCACCACGCCCAGCTAATTTTTTGTATTGTTTTGGTAGAGACTGGGTTTCACCATGTTGGCCAGGCTAGTCTTCAACTCCTGGCCTCAAGCGATCATCTCTCCTCTGCCTCCCAAAGTGCTGGGATTACAGGTGTGTACCACTGAGCCCGGCTTAAGATGGTAAATTGTTTGTGATGTTTTTTACCACACTTTTTAAAATAATACATTTTTTTAAAATACCAAACTCTTTCCTGCCTAACAGGCTTTGCTCTTGCTGTCCTTTCTGCCTGGGACACTCTTGCTTTTTGCATGATTGGTTTCTTTTCATACTTCTAGTTTCAGCGTAAATGTTACTTCCTCAGAGATATCTCCCTTGACAATCCTATTCTTTTAAATAGGTCCCCCATGAATCTCAGTCTCAACAGCTTGTTTGTTCTTTTTAAAAGACTTATCACAATTTGTAATTATATAATTTATATATTTTTGTCTGTCCTACTAGAATATGAAGTCTATTAGGACAGCAGCTATGTCTATATTTTATTCTTTATCATTATTATTATTATTATTATTATTATTATTATTATTATTATTGAAATAGGCTCTCACTCTATCAGCGAGGCTGGAGTGCAGTGGCGTGGTCTCACCTTTCTTGTAGCCTTGACCTCCCAGGCTCCAGTGATCCTTCTGCTGCAGCCTCCTGAGTAGCCAGGACTACAGACGCATGCCACCATGCCTGGCTAATTTTTGTGTCTTTAGGGTTTTTTTTTGTTTGTTTGTTTTGGAAAGATGGAGTTTCACCATGTTGCCCACACTGGTCTCAAACTCTTGGGCTCAAGCGATCTGCCCAAATCAGACTCTCAAAGTGCTAAGATTACAGGCGTCAGCCATCGTGACTGGCCTATGTCTGAATTTTAAACCACACACCTACCTTAGTAATGGATACACAATAGATAAAACATATTTTTCTTTCTGAATGAACAAATGAGTCTATGTAAACTGGGAAGAATAACATCTACCTCATGGAGTTGCTGTGACAGTCAGGTGCGGTAACATGTATAGCTCAGGGCCTGCCTCATGGCAAAAACTCAACCATTTTTTTCGGGGAAGGATATGTTGATTGTACCAGATGATTTTTAAATGTCAATCCAACCCCAAGGTTCTCAGGAATGGTGCAAGGGTACTGGGCAAGCAGGGCTATATGCAGACTAGCAAGCAGAACACCTGCATTCTAGTCAGGAAGTGCAACCCTGCCAGCAAGTAAGATCTTTCATGCCTGGGCCCTACAGGTGCAGAAGTCATTGTTCTTTGCTGAGAACTTCCCAGTATTCTCAAAGTTGTCCACACCTTGTGGAAAAGGATGAAATACTTAAAGTAGGAGTTCCAAACCTAGGGAGCCTTGAGGAATCATGGAGAGAATTCAGAAGGTCTGTGAACTTGGATGGGGAACAAATGACATCTTTATTTCCATTCACTTCTAACAGAAAGTCAGTATTTCTTTTATTATAAATGTTGCCCTCCTCAAAAAATCGAAATCCTCAGTAGTACTAGCTGTACCTGCGATTTTGTTACCAATACAAATCACTAAGATTGTCCTACCTTACAAACATAACTGTCTTGAAATAGTTTATGCTCATTACTAATTCAAAATTATGACAAACATTAGGCCTGCCATTAGATTTTGTTATTTAATAAGTTAAAAAGCATAGATATTAATATTTCACAAATTTTACCTTTAAAATATGTGATAACATTATTTCAATATCATGGGATTACTCTGTAATTCTGTGTATTTTATTTTGATATATCTGGAAACATTCTAAGTGGTCCATTAATTTCACCAGATTGCCAAAAGGGTTCTTGGTACATTTATATGTTAATTATGCACAGAGCCTGTTATGAGAAAAACTTGGGACTATAAGCCCTGCCACCCTGCTCCCCATTCAAATTAGGAAGGTGCCGAGAGAACAAAGAATGACTCGGACGTCCAACTCGACAAGTAGATGAGTTTATTAGGACTTACATGCAGGGCACTCCTGAATGGCTGCAGGAGAGCTCTAGAGATTCACAACTACCACCTGTCTTTAAGCTCCTTCTAAGCTAATTTTCTGGCTCTTTGCCTCCTGCATTTGAGCAATGAGACTTTTTCTTGGTAGGTTCTCAGGGATACCTGCTTCTTGGCTGGGCACCATAGCCGTGGCTCACCACCCAGGCTTCAGGGTTCAGACAGTAGACATATACCCTTAAATAACCTGATGACCTGGCTGGGCATGGTGGCTCACGCCTGTAATTCCAACACTTTGGGAGGCTGAGGCAGGCAGATCACTTGAGATCAGGAGTTTGAGACCAGCCAGGCCAACATAGTGAAACCCCATCTCTACTCAAAATATAAAAATTAGCCAAGTATGATGGTTCATGCCTGTAGTCCCAGGTACTTGAGAGACTGAGGCAATAGAATCGCTTGAACCTGGGAGGCAGAGATTGCAGTGAGTCAAGATCACGCCACTGCACTCCAGCCTGGGCGACAGAACAAGACTCCATTTCAAAACAACAAAAAAAACAACAAGATATCTGAGGACCCATCACATTACACAATTCCTCTCACACAATAGAAGATCCATGAATGATTCCTCATGATCATAAGAATTTATATTCTCATACTTTGTGTTCTACCTTGACTCTGTAATCATGTAAAGAATAAATTAGAAAGGCCAGTTTGGTTCTTAGGGAAACTATGTTTTTTTAAAAATCTTGTGAGCAAAAGACTTGTTGTTTCTCTTCAATTTTTCACCATGTGAAGAAAGTCTGAAATGTATCTGTTTAAGGTATTTTGCTGACATCATTCCATTCCTTCTAAATAACTACTCATATACCACTTGTGACTATAGCACCTAAGGCAAGGAAATATAATGGAGCCTCTGTGATTTGTGATGTCGTTTTAACTCAGTGAAGCATAACTATGACTGAGACCAACTTTTCATGGATTTTGTTTTAATGCTTCAAATGAATGTCAGCAGAGGATGTAGAATCTCCTCTGCTTATAAAAGAGTAAAAATTGAGAACATAAAAACATTCTCAACTCTAATAAAGGGAAACTGCAATGCTGAATACTCAAACTAATGCTGAATTATTTTATACTCAATATTTTATACTCAGTATTTAATACTGAAGAAATATCCAAACTTATTATGCTAAAAGACAGAGTCATATGATCAAAAGCCGAGAAAAAATAGACAATAGAAAGTAACCCACAGGTAATCAGTGTATTAGATTAGCAAACAAGGACTGACTAAAATGTTCAAGAAAATAGACAAAAAGATATAGAAATTCACCAGAGAATTAGAATCTATTTTTAACATAAGTTATGGAACCAAAAAAATTTACAATAACTGAAATTAAGAGGAGCCAGGAAAATCAAGGGCATATGGCAACAGCAACCACAGAGCAGATGGGGAAATGTCGTTATGCACATGGATGCTGACGCTGACTCAGCACATGTTTCAGCTGCATCTCTGGAACCCTGTGTCAGGCCGGAACCCTGAAATCTAATGCAGACTCAAAAAACTTGTGCACCCATTTTAAAAAAGAAAACTTTAAAAATGTAAACTCTGACATGTATATTCAAGAGTATCCTCCTAGTACTACATTGCAGTTAGTAGGTACCAAAACAAAGTTCTTTGTCAAGAGCAATTCTTCAAGAAGCACATGCCTGTGGTCCCAGCTGCTCAGGAGGCTGAGATGAGAGGATGCCTTGAGCCCAGGGGTCCAAGGCTGCAGTGAGCCATGATCACGCCACTGTACTCCAACCTGGGTATGGAGTAAGATCCAGTCTCCCCGCCCCCCACAGAAAAAATGTCAAAATGATTCTAAACCCAAGTACATTTTAAAATTTTCTATCATGACATTTTAAAAAATAGTTGGACAATTAGCTATTGCTCTATTTATAAAGGATTAGGGAAAAAATGATGGCACAGCAATTGCCAAAAAGCTTCCTTTAAAATTATTGCATAAGGGTGGCTGATACCGTTTGGCTCTGTGTCCCTTCCAAATCCCATGTTGAACTGTAATTCCCAGTGTTGGGGGAGGGACCTGGTGGGAGGTGACTGGATCTTGAGAGCAGATTTTCCTCTTGCTATTCTCATGGCAGTGAGTTCTCACAAGATCCGATGGTTTAAAAGTGTGTGGCACTCCCTGCTTCACTCTTTTCCTCCTGAAGACATGTTTGCTTCCCCTTTGCCCTTGTGCCATTATTGTAAGTTTCCTGAGGCCTCCCGGCCATGCTTTCTGTACAGCCTGTGGAACCATGAGTCAATTAAACTTCTTTTATTTATAAATTACCCAGTCTCAGGTAGTTCCTCATAGCAATGTGAGAACAAACTAATACAGTGACTATCACTGGGGCTGCGGCCAGATTTCCTACAGTTAATTTTATAATCGATACTTCAGACTTGGACCTGCCTAACATTAAAGCATACATTATAACCAATATTATGAATTCAGAGTCACAGAAAAGATGCTAGGGAGTTTTTTGGTTAAATAATTCCCTTTAAAAGTGGGGAGGGATTGGTCTTACACAAAATAACAACAAACCCAGAGCCAGAAGGAAAACTGCCTTATTATTGTTATTATTATTATTATTATTATTATTATTTCTTTTTTCTTTCTTTTCACATGTTTGCGGCAGGAAAACAAGGCAGCTCAGCTCATGGCAGTCCTGATGATGATCCCTGAGGGCTGATCTTGGCCTCTAGCCTTGGCTGAGGAGAAAAGGGGTGGCTTCTTATTAATGATCAAAAATACACATGTGATCTACCTCAGCATAGGGAAACTTGGACAGGTGACTTGGCAAGCCATGGATGATATTTAGAAAGCTATTGTTTGGTTAACTTTTAAAAAGAATCATTTTGCTTATTTATACTTTATGAGTAAAATACAAAGAGAAACTGTCTCCTGGAAATTGATCATGAAATTAAAATGCAACTTCAAGTGTACTGATGAGGTAGAATAATTGCATGAAATTCCAAGAGATATTTAAAGACAATGATATTGACTGGTAGGTTGAAAGTAACAAACATCCTCTCCTTTCATTTTTCTGTTTTATTTTTGTCACAAATTTTCATTGCTCATATTCTTATTTCCCCTTCTATTGTCTAGAAATCAATGTCAACAGGCCAAACTTTTGCTAACCAATCTATAATAATAAACAGCCTAGAGAAGAGAAGCAAATCTATAAAAATGAGGAAACTAAATATTTTCTTGTCTATAAGGCAACCAAGAGTATGCAAATATTATTTTACTAAGAGCTTATGATATTCTTGGAAGACAATAAGGAGGCAGAGATTATTTCCCCTGTTTTGCCTGGGAAATGAAGCCAGTATTGAAAAGGTGACTTGGTAAAGGTCATTAAACAAGCAAAGTGCTTCTGAGATTCCCATGCCCTGGGAAAGCTGAAACACTCTCCTGCTTTCACTTTCCTTGTTTTCTTTTTTTCTCTTGTCTTTTCCTCTCATTCAAAAGCAAACTTTAAAAAATTAGCATCAATTCAACAATATTTAGTGTGTGCTTGTTCGATACAAAGTATCATACAGGACAAAAAACGGTCTAAGACAGTCCTTGATTTAAAGGAGTAGTTAAAAATCACTGTTCTAGCCTGGATCTTCATAGCTGCTCAGCCGCTTGTTTACCATTTACCATGCATATTTATCTGCTAAGATAACTGTTTCAAAACTCCTTTTTCTTAAAGCTCCCAACTTCAACACTGCTCCTTTGACTCTTGACCTTGCTTGCCTTTTTTTTTTTTTTTTTTTTTTTTTTCAGATGGAGTCTTGCTCTGTCTCCCAGGCTGGAGTGCAATGGTGCAATCTTGGCTCACTGCAATCTCTGCCTCCCTGGTTCAAGCAATTCTCCTGCCTCAGCCTCCTGAGTAGCTGGGATTACAGGCGCCTGCCACCACACCCAGCTAATTTTATATTTTTAGTAGAGACGGGGTTTTGCCATGTTGGCCAGGCTGGCCTGGAACTCTTGAACTCAGGTGACCCACCCTCCTTAGCCTCCCAAAGTGCTGGGATTACAGGCGTGAGCCACCATGCCCGGCCTTGCTTGCCTTTTTTACTGAATATTTTGAAGCTACCTTAGGAGTTTTCTTAACTTCTCTATTTTCAAAATCTCTTTTACTTCCTTCCCTCTTTTCCCCAAGAAAGGATCCTCTAATCATCTTGCTAGAACTCATCTCCTATAGTCTCAAACACTGATTGTCCCACATTTGCAGGGTATCACCCCACCATTATTTCTTCCTCAATTTGCATTTTCAATCCTACTCTCCCAGTGGCCTCTTCTTCTCCATTAGTAAATATAAGTTGGTTATTTCTGATGTATTTCTGATGGTACCTGCCCCCAGTACCACTTCAAGCTGCAATGTACTGTGTCTTTTCCCTTACAATTAAATTTCTTGGAAAAGGAATCTGTAATCTGTAATTTCACTAACAAATAAACTTTTATAATATGGCTTTTGCTTCCATAATGTTACTGAAATACTTCGTGAAGAAAAATAAAAGCATGTGAGTCAACAAATCTAATAGCTTTTTCTAGTCTTTGTTCTCACCCTTCCCGGTTTCTCTGAAGTTTTTGATGCAATGACTACTCTTTCTTCATCTTCTTTTATACTGCCTTATCTTCATTGTTTTTCTCTCTACCACTCTGACCATTTCCCATTGACTGCTCTTCATCTTCCCACTGCTAAATACAGACATTCCTCTAGCTTTTGCCTTTTTCCTTACATACACTCTTTCTTAGATTCCTCTTCATAGAGATGATAACTGAAGCTGAGGATTCTCTTGCTCTGAGAATTCCAACAATCTCTCCAAAGAAAGTACATGTAAAGAAAAGGGCAGTATATTCTCACTTATAAGTGGGAACTAAGCTATGGGTACGCAAAGGCCTACAGAGTGGTATAATGGACATCGGAGACTCAAAAGCAGGGAAAGTGGAAGGGGAGTGAGGAATAAAAAAACTACGTATTGAGTACAATGTATACTACTCTGGTGACAGGTGCACTAAAACCTCAGATTTCACCACTATATAATTCATCCATATAACAGAAAACCACTTGTATCCCAAAAGGTGTTGAAATATATATATGTTATAGCTTTATATATATATGTATTATATATAATTTAAAAAATAAAGGGCAGACATTTTAAAATGTTTTTAATTGACACATAATAATTTTACATATTTATGGGGCACAGTGTGATGTTTCGATAAATGTATACGTTGTGTAAAAATCAACAAATCAAATCAGGATATTAGCATACCCATCACCTCATTTATCATTTCTTTCTTTCTTTTCTCTTTTTCTTTTTTTTTGAGATGGAGTGTCACTCTGTTGCCCATGCTGGAGTGCAGTGGCCCCATCTCAGCTCACTGCAACTGCTGCCTCCAGGTTCATGTGATGATCATGCCTCAGCCTCCCAAGTAGCTGGGATTACAGGTGCCCACCACCACTACTAATTTTTGTATTTTTAGTAGAGATGGGGTTTCACCATGTTGGCCAGGCTGGTCTTGAACTCCTGACCTCAAGTGATCTGCCCACTTTAGCCTCCCAAAGGGCTGGGATTACAGCCGTGAGCCGCCGCGCCCGGCCACATTTATCATTTCTTTGTGGTGAGAACATTCAAAATTCTCTCTTCTAGCTTTTTTGAAATATACAATATTGTTAACCATGGTCACCCTACTGTGACTAGAACACCAGAACTTACTCCTTCTAACTGTCACTTTGTACTTTTTGACTAATTGCTTCCTATGCCCCCATTCCCTTTCCCCTCCTCAGCCTCTGGTAACCACTATTCTATTCTCTACTTCTGTGAGATAAACTTTTTTAGATTCCATACATGATTGAAATCATGTTTGTCTTTCTGTATCTGGCTTATTCCACTTAGCATAGTGTCCTCCAGGTTCATCCATGTTGCCACAAATCCACTACTGGGTATATATCCAAATGAAATGAAATCAGTATGTGCAAGAGACATCTGTGCTCCCATGTTTATTGCAGCATTATTCACAAGCAGCATTATTCACAACAGCGTATAGAAGCAACCTAAGTGTCCATCAACAGATGAATGGATAAAGAAAATGTAGTACTTATACACAAAGAAATACTATTCAGCCTGTGAGGAGGAGAAGAGCTCCAGTTCCTTCAGGACCCTCCTGAGGGAGCACCATGGCAGCTTCAGGAGGACCTGGGGCAACATCCCGGGGAAGAAACAGCTCCTGTCTGTGGGCGCAGATGCTGAGGAGGAAACTTTGGTGTGGATTCTCTGGGGCATTTTTCCTACCTCGTCCATACATGTTGCTGTAATGACATGATTTCATGAATTTTTAAGGCTGAAGAGCATTCCATTATGTATATATACTGCATTTTCTTTATCCTTTCCTCTCTTCATGGACAGAATCTTGCCTCAAGAATATGAAAATGTTGTGGAGTCCTGATAAGTAAGCAACAATGAGGAAGGGGCCTCGGGTGGGGAAGGGCCCCAGGTGGGGAAGAACAATGAACAACTGTTCTGAGAGATGACCTCTATGTGCAGCCCCCTCTAGCACAACCCTATAAAACTTCCCTCCAGCCCCTGCCTTTTTGCAGACAGCCCTTCTCTGCTGTGCTACCTGTTGCAATCTTGCAATGTATTTTCATATTTTCTCTAATAAATCTGCCTTTCTTTACCTACAACTATCTTGGTAAATTCCTTTACCACCTGCGACACCAGCCCAGCCCCAGATAGTCACACCTGTGATGTTTTGGTGGCCCGTACAGGGACTGTTCGGGGACCTCTTCCCCTACTCACTCCCTTTCCTGTCCTCCAACTCTGACCTCTTGGTGACAGCATCCAAGCACCGAGACAGCTGAAGGTCCCCAGCCGGGGCCACTCCTCGGCAGACCAGAAAGTCCCTGTGAAAAGATGTCTGACCACCACTGCCTGATCAGGTAAGAGTTCAGAGTTTGCTTTCCTTTCCTGCCTTCCAGCAGACAAACTCTAGCATCCCTCTGGCAATTGATCACAACTGGCCAGGCCCACACCTTGGTGTAGCCTGAAGGCCAGAGGGTGAAAGACTTTGGCTGCCTTACCCAGAAGGGAGGAAGACCCTCTCCTATCCTTTCTGGTTAAAAGTCCCCAATCCCTTTGTGTGGCACAATTGGCACACATGTTTTGGGGAACTCAGACTCCCTCTTTCTCACTCTAAATTCTAAATTCTCCCATGAAGACAGCCAGACATCCTGCTCTGGATGTTCCCAAATCAGGTGATCTCAAGTGGCCTCAGAGCAGTGAGTGTCCCCATTCCTGTTCCTTCTCCAGGGCTGGCAGCAGGCTGTCTTTCTCTCTTTACCCTTTTTCCTCATGCCTGGGCTGATCACCCAGCATAAGGTGCCAGCGCTGAAAGGTCCTTTCTAATGGGGGTGGGATGCCCCTTTAGAAAGTGTACTTGTATCCCTCTGCAATGTAAGTGGAACCCTTTTCCTCAGCAGGATGCCCCTAAAGAAAGTGTGGTTCGTGTCCCCAGCAGACATTACCCTCCAGTGGCTCATTGTTTTCCAGTTCCAACATGGACAAACCCCATCTATTTATTCAGACTCACCTCTGGGCTACATCCTAAAACATTAAGACAAATTTAACTCTCAGACTCTCAAAAAGAAACACCTAATTTTTTTTTCTGGTTTCAACTTTTTAATAAGCTCTGTGAAGGACATCCTAAGCACTATATGAGACAAAACAATATTTTTTCTTCCAGTATTACAAAAAGACATTTGCAAACATTTTAAAGCGGCTCTTCTATATAATCAGTTTGGTTATCTGAATTAGAGAAAACCCCTAGATAATCATGTTCTTGATGCAGATTTCTTCTAGGTATATTTGGAAATTGCTTCCTAACCACAATAAACACTGTGTACAGGTTTTTTAAATGTCCCTGGATACACACTAATTTTCAAAAACCAGTCTGGTCAAATGTCAGAACCAATTATTGCTAGATCCAATAATCCTGACAGCTCAAACTAAAAAACTGGCAAAAAGAAAAATACTCCGACCCTACAAATGTTCCATAATTTGTCTTTAAATAGGAGAAAAAATTTTAAACAAAGATGGAGCTGTCTAAAAGATCTTTAACTAGCTACCTTGGGAGCTCAATTTAAAAACAAGAGGTTGATATACTATAAAATAAGATGTTTCAGTACAGCTCCAAAAACCTTTATAAATACAGCCATTTGGAAGGACAATCCTGGATCAGAAGAGCTATTCCTTGTGTATATTATGTGCACATGTCACATTTCAGTTGTCATAATTGCTTCTGTAATTTCCTTCTGAGTAGCAGTCATAACTACCCTGGCTTCTGACATTATAGTCTCTGGACTGTCCATATCCATATCTATACCCTCCAGGTCAACTGTCATACCTGCCACTCCCATAGTCCTGGTTCCCACCACCTCTAGAGTAGCTGTGACCACGCCCATGGGCCCCAAAGTCACCTCCTCTGGTTCCCCAGCAGACTTGCCTGCATGATCCACGCGGATCTGGTGACCATCCAGGGACTCTCTGTTCATGGCTCTCATGGCGTCTGGGTTGGTGATGGTGATGAAACCAAAACCCCTGGACCACTGAGTCTCCTTGACAATGACCACCTCAGAGACAGGCCCGAAGCTGCTGAAGTCGTCTTCCAGCACCTGCTCGTCGGTGTTAATGTTGAGCCCTCCCACGAAGATCTTTCCTTCTTTAGTGGACATGGCAGCGAGTTCAAGTCCTGGAAATTAAAACTTAAAAAAGCCAGACAGACAGTAAGCTCAGAGGTGCAGAAAAAATAGGGCACATCTAATTTTCTTGTGTCATATATTAACAGCATGGCCCCTTTGCAGGAAATTCTCAAATTAGCCTCCTCAGTCTTTTATAACTGAGAGCAGAATAAAAAGGACAGGGCTAACGGGAAAGAAAAACACAGAAAACACAAGGAGAAAAGGCAGGCTCAACTGCTGGCTGCTTTATGAGCCCCCAGCCCAGTCTGGGTTGCCCTCAGAATATCCTCCAGGTAACTGCCATCAGTGCAGAAGGCCAGGCCACTGAAAGGCAAACTGTCCCAATGGGACAAATGGGGAAAAGCCTTACACAGTTTGCCCCCTCGGCCACAAGCTTGGCCACTGGAAATGGGACTGCCCTAAGGGCTGAAGGGCCCCCAGGACAGAATCCCATCAGACACCCCTGATGGCCTTCTGCTGGGGTAGGGGTCTCTGCTCCAGCTGGCTTCCAAATCAAACATCATTATCAATAAAACAAAGCCAAGGGCAACTCTGGAGGCAGCAAGTAAAATTATAAATTTCCCTTTTGAGTTCAAAAGCTGTCTGTCATGGAGACACCTCCTCTACCCCTTTCTGGAAATAACCTTTTGCTTATATGGTAAAAACCTGGAAAATTACTATCTGGATGTTAACAGCCTTTTAGATTGGGTCACTATTGGAACTGGGTAGACCAATAAAAGAAAAAGGTTAAATTAAAAGAAGGATGCATAACAACAACATGGCTAGTCTCAGAAAGTTATCTTGAGCAGTTAAAATCCTTTGCAAGCTTGAAAATGCTTTAAACTCCTTCTGGAAAAAACAGCAGTCACCTTGTGCTGTAGATAAGTGGCTAAGGCTTTGCCCTCTCACAATGCGTTCAATTCTTGTCTTTCAATGTGAGTCCTTTGTGGTTTAATACTTGTGGTATTTTTGCCCTTTATTGATTCTTTTCCCCTCCATGAACAGCTTCTGATTTCCTGTCTTGAAATTTTCTTTTCTCTGAATTACCTTTGGGGCAATTCTAGATCTTGTAAATCACTGACCGTCTCTTTGGAGACAGCTCATGTGTCTGTGTTTAAGTCTTCTTCTGCGCCGGGCGCGGTGGCTCACGCCTGTAATCCCAGCACTTTGGGAGGCCGAGGCGGGCGGATCAAGAGGTCAGGAGATCGAGACCACGATGAAACCCCGTCTCTACTAAAAATACAAAAAAATTTAGCCGGGCGCGGTGGCGGGCGCCTGTAGTCCCAGCTGCTGGGGAGGCTAAGGCAGGAGAATGGCGTGAACCTGGGAGGCGGAGGTTGCAGTGAGCCCAGATAGCGCCACTGCACTCCAGCCTGGGCGACAGAGCGACACTCCGTCTCAAAAAAAAAAAAAAAAAAGGCTTCTTCTTAGTTAAGGCTTACTAATATCATGTTATAAATTACCTTTAGTAAAAGATTCAAAAGCCAGAAATACTAGCCATTTGTCCTGACTGAAATCTGGTAATAGTTAGAAATCAACTTAAAGCTTATATTTGGTCTGCATGTGTACAGATATTGGTTTTTAAAGCCCCTGCTTTTGCTCTAAAAACTTCTCAGTTGATAGAATTTTGTCTTAATTCTCCATTTCTGTCTGTGTATTTTTATGTGTTTATATAAAAGAATTCTAATTGGCTTAAAGAAAAATAAGCACTTAAACATATTGTCAGAAAAATAAAAATTTAATGCCTTTTAGGTCACGTGACTCTAATACGACTCTTTTAAAAAGCCAGTTTAAAGATTATTGGTAAGGTAAATAAAAGATGTCTTCAAAGTTCACACACTTAAACTAAATTAGGCAGTCAGATACTGTTTGTCAGATGCTTTAAGGCCATAAACTGCTTCTATGACTTTTAATAATTGACTTGTTTGTTTTATAGCCATTAGATTCTAGGTAAGGCCTGGGGACATATGGTGTTAGCCTGGTCCCCTGGCTAGTCTGGAAAGAGTCAGACATTATCTGCAGCTTGTCCTGAGTTCTGCAATCTTATACATGGTTAAAATTACTCATGAGGGCCAGGCACCGTGGCTCATGCTTGTAATCCCAGCACTTTGGGAGGCTGAGGTAGGGGGATCACGAGGTTAGGAGTTTGAGACCAGCCTGGTTAACACAGTGAAACCCTGTCTCTACTAAAAATACAAAAATTAACTGGGCGTGGTGGCGGGCACCTGTAATCCCAGCTACTTTGGGGGCCTAGGCAGGAGAATTGCTTGGACCAAGGAGGTGGAGGTTGCAGTGAGCCGAGATTGTGCCATCGCACTCCAGCCTGGATGACAGAGCTAGACTCCGTCTCAAAAAAAAAAAAAAAAAAATTACTCATCAGGTTTTTCACCAAAAATAAAAGTTGCTGAGAGTTAACATTGTAACATGTACTTGAGACTGCTGGAGAAACAGTTTACATGAAAAGTATAGAAGGAAAGTAGAATATGTTTTTGGTGGGAGGTTATAAGGAGGCATGGAAATAGGCCGGGCATGGTGGCTCACACCTGTAATCCCAGCACTTTGGGATGCCGAGGTGGGTGGATCACGAGGTCAGGAGATCTAGACCATTCTGGTTAACATGGCGAAACCCCGTCTCTACTAAAAATACAAAAAATTAGCCAGGCGTGGTGGCAGGCGCCTGTAGTCCCAGCTACTTGGGAGGCTGAGGCAGGAGAATGGCGTGAAGCCTGAAGGCAGAGCTTGCAGTGAGCCGAGATTGCGCCGCTGCATTCCAGCCTGGGCGACAGAGAGCGACTCCATCAAAAAAAAAAAAAAAAAAAAAGAAGGCATGGAAATATGGCTTTTGTTAAAGGGAATGTAATTTTGTCTTGCTCAGAGGTTTTAAGGATTGGCCTAACCTACAGGAGTAATGGAATAAAACTGAAGGTTTAAGCAAGTTAGATAGTAAGTTGTGGAGGGCTGATCTTGTAAAAAGGTCTGTGGGTATAAAAAAGCTGGCTAAGATTTGAAGGGAATTATTCAGTTTTCCCATAGGTTGAAAATTGAAATAAAAGCACACTAATGCAGGTCCAGAATCTGGGCCCGTGTGTCCAGATAATAGTTTTCTTAGATAATTAATCTGCTGTTTAACAGAAAACGATAAAGGGTTATAAGAGGTTTATGGAAATCTTACCCTATGGTCAAGCTAATAAAGATTGGACAGATTTGTTTATAAGGTTTTGCTAAGAATTGGATTTAACATTAATAGAAAACTAGTACAAAGATGCAATTTGGCTTTCTCTTTTAGACAAGATTTTCATGTAATATAAACAAAAATGAAAGAATTTTGTTTTCCTTTTAAATGAATGACAGAAAAAGGAGGGAAGAAAAAGGAGACAGATTCAGTTGTCCTCATGCTGTCTTTATTGCAGCCTGTTTTGAAAGCTAAGTCTCCCCTCTATCAGCGAGTAAAGATTTTTGCCTTTTAAAAATTTTGGACTTATCATTTTGGCTAAATGACTTATAGTGACTCTGTACTAATCTCCTTCTCTAAACAACTCTCCTCCAAATCCTGTTGGGTAATGGGAACAAGCGGCACCCTCTCCCTCCAAAAGAAAAAGTCACACCCCTTTATACTATGTAAGGGATCAGTTACCATTTTCCCTCCATGCCCTGGTAATATCTAAATACCCCACACTCCTTTGGGGCAAAAACATACTTTCCAAGATGTGTGCCTGCTTAATATTTGCCCAGCCTCTGAATTCACCTTTCCTTCTAGTAGCCCCATTTCTCCTGGGAAAGCTACCTAAATCTTTAACAAATAACTTCAACCTAGATAGTCTTATCTCAGGGGTTTAAAATAGCCCATACTTATTCAGACATGCCCTAGCAAGAAAGCTAACTGAGTAATCTCTTGATGGAACAACTTCTACAATATATAAATAACCTCCTCATTTGCTTCCCTTCCACAGAACTCACACAGCAACACATAGTATAAACCATAAACTCCTAAAAAAAGGAAAATGACTTTTGTCTAATTCAAAGGATAATGGTTATATATAAAACAAGATAAAAGGAACCAGGAAATAAGAGAAACATAAAGAAAGTTATAAAGGTAAAGAGGTATTTTTGGTAATGAAGGTTATGAAGATTTTGCACGAGAAAGGATTTTGTACCATAAATTCTTGTCCTAAAGTAAAATGACTGCTTGTTTAAGAATGAGGGATGTTTAGGACAAGTCAGAAAGTCTGGGCACATCATAGATGGTCTGTGTAAATCATGAGAAAATTTGTGAAATTCATAAAAGGAACACTATATGTAATTAAGATATAATAGTCTTTCTAAAATTGGCTCCCTATGCTGTGTCAAATTAAATTCAAACACTTTTTCATCAAGTGCAACTTCCAAGTTATCTAAATGGGCTTCCAATAAGGAAAAACAGTCATACTACAGAAGGGTTTTCTTTGCCTTTTTGGTAACTGGCTCAAGAAACAAAATTTTATCTTCTAGAATTCAGTAGTTTCACCTTCAAATGGTGCTATGAACAGGATATTGGTATCTCCTCAATGATACCTGCTACCTTTAGGAGTCTCCCACTCAGCTGGAGGCCAGTTTTGCCTAGACATGCTCCCCTTCTCCGATGAATGCTTTCCTTCAGCATGATCCAATATCCTAGGTCCTACAGCCCAGGACAATGGCTCACAGGGTCTCCTGACAGACCAAAACCATAGGTTGGGTCAACTCTATGCCCCTGGTCAGCAGGAAGCAGTTGGAGATGAGACCTCTACCCTAATGCCAAAGATTTGTCATTGCTATTCTGTCATGGGGGAATGTGGATTCCTGATAAGTAAGCAAAAATGAGGAAGGGGCCTCAGGTGGGGAAGGGCTCCAGGTGGGGAAGAATAATAAATAATTGTTCTGAGAGATGACCTCATTCCACACAATGACCTCGTTCTGCACATAACCCCATCCAGTACGACCCTATAAAACTTCCCTTCCACCTCTGCCTCTTTGCAGACAGCCCCTTCTCTGCTGTGCTGCCCATTGCAATCTTGCAACACATTTTCATACTTTCTTTAACAAACCTGCCTTTCTTTACCTACAACTGTCTTGGTAAATTCCTCTACTCCCTGTGACACTAGCCACAGATAGTCGCATCTGGGAGAAACATATCTTCAGTGGTCCAGAAGATATGCTGCCTGCCCCAAGCAGCGGGTCAAAACAATCTGGCCACATAACAGAGTACACACTGGGGAGCAATTCATTGAAGCTTCTGCTGAAGACCTGGTAGGGGATTTTCCAAGTGACAGGTCAGAGAAGGAGGCCTCATCTGTGGTCAGCGTGGACTGAAAAGCAAATGAAAATCTTTCTGTTGAGGACATTCTGAAGCAGCTTCCTTATTACAGGGCATTGGAGAGGGTTCCATGGAAGACCAAGACAGCCTCAAGAACATGGAATACAATTCTCCTCTGGACATCATTTATGAAGGTAGCTATAAGGATGAAGACTCTTCAGCTGCTCCTGAAAGATCTCAGCATAACATCTGGCAAATCAATGGATAAGGAAGAAGATGGTTCCCATACGTCAACTTCATGTAATCTTGAGTGGTTTCTGGAGAATCTCAGCAGTGATGAGGATGATGCTTCAGCTTCCCCTAAGGACCATGTGCACAGTGACCTCATTCTGCACATTCTACAGATCTGAAAAGAAGATGCTGGCAATATATCATCAACTTCAGGGGAAAGTAAGTGGATTCTGAAGAGGATAAGTGATAAGGAGGACTCTCCTGCTCCCTGACCACCTTCACATCACCAGCACTCTCTTCAGTGTGAACCTCTACACCAAGGTCCCTGAGCAGACATCAGAATGAGAGAAAGAGAGATGGAGCTCCTTACAGCTAGAAAGTTATTTCTCATCCTGATAACTCTCATTGCATCATATGGGTCCCATTAGTACAGATATCTCCAAATGGGCCACTCTTCTGTTACATAGAATAAATTGTTCATTACCTTGAGACTCTAATTATAGATTACAGTCCTCCTTGCCATCTACTGTAAAAGAGTCAATCAACAGTGGGCTCCAGGGTCTCACTGAACTTGTGGTCAGCCTTATTCATAGGATCACAGAGTTTACCTATAGAACAGAGAACTGCTTGATGTTTGGTGACTGTCCTAAATAAATAAGTGGAGTGCACTATCTGAGCTTTACCATTTTTGTCTCTTTCATTCTTTTATCCATCCTGGCTAGCCTGGGAATCCCTCTGTTCACTAAACCCATTCCTGTTGTACCTACTGTCAAAACTGTTCAATGTGAATGACATCTTGTGCTGATGAAGATGAGGAGACACCGTCACTCTCCAAAGCTGTTGGAAAGAACCTATGTAAAGGACCAGTGGGACAATTTATCTGCTTTGTTGCTGTTTCATTAATTCACTATGAGGCTATGTGCTTGGGCACCATGCTCTCTGCCTGAGCCCAGGGCACCAGGAGAGGAGCTAAGAGGCCATCTGTGGGGCCGGCCCAGGCCTCTCAGAACAATGGTGATGGTGACACTTGGCTGGAACGCTCCTTGCCCCAGGCTGGCCGCCAGGCCAATAGCTGGGATCATTGACACCTCTGCCTCCCAGCACAAGCCCCAGGCAGGGACCAGTGGACTCCAGAGCACTCACTGCCCAGGGGCCACAGACGTTTGACCTAGCAGGGGTACCTCTTGGCCGAGTCCCTGGTTCCCCCTTGTATGAACCAGCCTGGGGAACTAAGAGCTCCACAGCTGTGGGTATAATATAGTGCCCAGGTCCAGGATTTGAGGTGGGGTAGTGGTGTTGGGGACAGGAGACTGGGGCAAGTTGCCTGTGGACTTCTGAAAGTGAAAAGAAGTCAGGGGAAATGTTTATCTCTGTCCTTGGCCTAATGCCAGCAGTGTAAGCCACAGGCTAGGGATTCCTTTTAAAGCCCATAGTATTCCCCCACCTAAGTCCTAGTATAACCATCATTTCCTTGAGTTCACTTGCAACAGCTGCTGTGCCAAGCACCATGTTTGTATTTGATCTTCACAAACTACTACTGCCTTAAGGCAGTAGTTAGTAGCATTATCCCATTTCACCGCCAAGGAATCTGAGGCTGCGGAATAAATAACGCCCATGGTGAGTGGAGAAGCTAGGACTGGAATCAGCATCTGCTTTTCTCTAGAGCCTGGGATGTTCACCCTGAAGTTGCTCTCCTGCCTTCTCTGTGGTTGGTACTTTCCAGTTACTGTTTGTGCTTTACCAAGAGGAGTTGGCCCTGTTGCCTTCCTCGCCTCTTCCCTTCCTTACTCTGGTGACTGCCTATGGCCAAGAAGAGGGTCTGCAAGACTGTCTCTCTACTTCATGTAAAATGACTGGAATCTTGTGGAGAAATTGTGAAGTGGACTTGGGAACACGCTAAAGAAGCCTATGTTGGGAGCTTGGGGAAAAAGAGTACCCGGAGACACGTACTCCAGTGGAAGCTCTGCCTTCACTGTGAGAACATGCCAGGGCTAGCCTGCTGGAGGGAGACATTTGGAGCAGAACTAAGTCACCCCAGCCAACCTCCAGACCTAGGAGGCACCAGCTGATAGCCAGCTGTTCCCCAGTCCCGTGAGTGAGCCTAGCTGAGACCTGAAGAGCTGCCCAGGCTGAATCACCAACCTACAGATTTGTGAGCTGAAAGGAGAAATGATGAAGAAAGTATTCTTGGAATTCACTTCTGGCAGAGTCTCGTGAGCTTTGCTTTCATTTGTTAATGAAATGCTTGACATCTTTCCTTCACTTTATAAACATTATGTGCACATTATTCAGAATTCTAATAGAAAGTAATTTCCCATTAATGCAGGCTGTAAAATGCCATTTTACTTGAAACCATGCCTCAGGAACAAACAGTACAGGACACATTTACACTTGCAAATTCCACTCACAAATCAAGGAAGCCCCGTGTTGGTGGGACAGAGACTTAGAGCCACTGACAAAGGAAATTTAGAAGAGCAGCCTAGGACAGGCATAGGCAAATAGCATAGTGGCACACAGTTTGCAGCAGTGGAGAATCCAATTATGGGACACTGAATTTTTTTTAAAGCCAACTTTTGCATATCTGTGATCTCTGGCTGACCAGCACCCTTCTAAGAACTTCATCTGCCTAGACACTGAGCTACTGACCAACAAGGGGACAGAAGCACTGACATGCATGGCCTGGATGAGGAAGCCAAAGAATTCACTGTCTTATCGGTGTTTTTCCTTCCAGGTCGAATATATACAGTGTACTTCCTTTGTGACCATTTGCTGACCACACAATGTCTGCAATCATGAATTCTGGAAATAAATAATTCCCAATGATCTTAAAAAAATACACTATGATCTGTGAACTTTAGAAACTGACTTAAAGTAGCAGTAGTTATTTTAGAGAAGGTCATGAATACCATTATGGACCTAGTCCAGCGGTCCAGTAAAGAGAAATATCATGACAGATTTTTAGCAGAAATAAATAGTACCTGATTCAAGTTACAAAAGAATTTCAAGAAGCCCTGAAAGAGTGCTTTCCCTTTTTAAAAAATAAAAGTGGATTTAGTAGAAGAAATGCGATGATTAAGAAACTTTAGAACCTATTATTAGCAATGTTAGTGAGAAGGTGAAATTGTATGTTATTAATAACTGTTACCCTGAAGAAAAAGAAAAAAATAAAAGAAAATACAAAAAAAATTTTTTAAGAGAAAAAAGTTTTAAAAATTTCAAAAAGAAATTGTATGTTAGTTATATCAACAACAAATTTTAAAAGGCAATTACAAATTCTAAAAAAAAATAAATCTGTGCAATAAAACAAGGGCTAAGTATAAAGTTAATTACGATGAACATTACTTTGAGAATATAAGAGATTATAAACATTAAAAAATGATACTTGGCCAGGCATGGTGGCTCACACCTGTAATCCCAGCACTTTGGGAGGCCAAGGTGGCAGGATCACTTGAGTGCAGGAGGTTGAGGCTGCAGTGAGTCATGATTGCACCACTGCACTTAACCTGGGCAACAGAAAGAAACCCTGTCTCAAAAAAAAAAAAAAAATAGTATTTATTTTAAAAAATGATACCCAAAAATATTACCTTGGAACTTCCCAGATGTGATTTTTATTCACTGTGGTCACTCACATGTATGTCTTGGATCTATGGAGAAAGAAATTTACACAATCTTAATAGCAAAAATTCTATTAAATCAATATAGAAACAAAGTATGGACAACTTAATTACAATTACAGAGAACCATTTAAACTCTATGAAAATTAGCCATTTAAAAACAATGTTAGAGTTGGCTAGGTGTGATGGCTCATGCCTGTAATCCCAGCACTTTGGGAGCCCAAGGCAGGTGGATCACCTGAGGTGAAGAGTTTGAGACCAGCCTGACCAGCGTGGCAAAACCTCATCTCTATTAAAAAGTACAAAAATTAGCCGGGAGTGGTGGCATGCACCTGTAGTCCCAGCTACTTGGGAGGCTGAGGCAGGAGAATCACTTGAACCCGGGAGGCAAAGGTTGCAGTGAGCCAAGATCACGCCACTGCACTCCAGCCTGGATGAGAGAGCAAGACTCCATCTCAAAAAAAAAAAGAAAAAAAAAGTTACAGTTGACAGAATTTGGGAGTGGGTTGTGTAAAAAACACGTAAGGATTCCAATTGTTATGGGACCTTGTGAATATTAAGTACATAGATACATAAACATGATAGACCCAGAAATAGAGCTTGAGAAAGCACTTTAAAAGTTACAAACGTAACCACTAGACAAAAGGAAAATAATAATGAGAAATAAGAGTTGGGTAGCACAGGCAAGTAAAATGATTTTGTAATGAACCAAAAATTTTATTTTTTTGAAATTGCGAGTCCCAAAGGAAAAGTTTTAAGTGTATTTTTAGAACTTTGCAGGAAAATACCAAAACTATTATAAGCAGAAACAAAAACTGGAAATCTGTAGCTGAGTAGGTGTGCTGTATTGCCTGTGCTGGGCTCCTTAGAACAGTACAGGGGAACAAATCAATTTACATGCAGAAAAGACAGGATGAAGTAATTTTGGTACTGTGTTATTGCCCGGCACTTCCTATCAAGCATGGAGAAGTATTTTAAGAAGGCTGCCTGCATTCTCTGTGGCCACCTGAAGCTGCTGCCCATGTTTCTCAGGGGGAGGCCAGGGATGATCAGCCCTGATTTGTACAGCCTTCCCAATTGGCCAAGAGAGAAACTGCTATTCTCCCCTTCACATGGAATCCCCTCTGCTTCACAGTTCCTACATTGAGTGGGATAGACTGGGCACCTAGGCCTAAAGGTTACCATCCTCATAACTCTGAACCACATTGTTTGGGTTTCATTGGTACAGATATCTCCAAATGGGTCACTCTTCCATTACGCAGAGTCAATGGCTAGTTACTTTGGGCCTCCATTTTTAGCTATTTTTCTGCGTGTCATCTACTGGAAAAGAGTCAATGAGCAGGAGCCTCTGGGGAATCACTGGATTGTTTTCAGTCCCATTCAGATGATCAGGGAATTCCTTGGTGGCTGGTGACTGTTCTGAGATGGAGTGTGCTGCCTGTACTTCATCATTATGGTCCTTTTTGTGTTCATCCTATTCTGAGAATTTCCCTGTTCACCAAACCCTTTCTTGCTATACATGTGAGCCATGACTCATAAGTAAATGTTAAAGCATGTTCATTTCTAAGAGAAAAGGAAAGAAGGCTGCGTGCGGTGGCTCACGTCTGTAATGCCACTACTTTGGGAGGCCGAGGCGGGTGGATCACAAGGTCAAGAGATCGAGACCATCCTAGCTAACATGGTGAAACCCCATCTCTACTAAAAATACAAAAAATTAGCTGGACATGGTGGCACGCACCTGTAGTCCCAGCTACTCGGGAGGCTGAGGCAGGAGAATCACTTGAACCTGGGAGGCAGAGGTTGCAGTGAGCCAAGATTGCACCACTGCACTCCAGCCTGGTGACAGGGTGAGACTCGGTCTCAAAAAAAAAAAAAAAAAAAAAAAGGAAATACTATTCAGCCATTAAAAATTATGAAATCGACTGGGTGTGGTGGCTCATGCCTGTAATCCCAGCACTTTGGGAGGCCAAGGTGGGCGGATCACATGAGGTCAGGAGTTTGAGACCAGCCCGTCCAACATGGTAAAACCCCATCTCTACTAAATACACAAAATTAGCCGGTTGTGGTGGCAGGTGTCTGTAGTCCCAGCACTTTGGGAGGCAGAGGCAGGCAGACCATCTGAGGTCAGGAGTTTGAGACCAGCCTGTCCAACATGATGAAATACAAAATTTTGAAATACAAAGTTAGTCAGGTGTGGTGATTGGTGCCTGTAGCCCCAGCTACTTGGGAGGTTGAGGCAGAAGAATTGCTTGAAATCAGGGGGTGGGGCCAGTTGGGGGAGGATGCAGTGAGCCGAGATCACACCATGGCACTCTAGCCTGGGCAACAGACTGAAACTCTGTCTCAAAAAAAAAAAAAAAAAAAAAAAAGGATGGAATCCTGTCATTTGCCATTTGTAACAACATGGATAAACCCGGAGGTCAGGTTTCTGGGAAGAGAAATAGGTCAGGGCTGGGTTAGCAATGTCTGCATTCCTCTATTGGACAGCCCATCTCCTACAACTATGGTTCTTGCCTTTTTCTATTGACCCTTCTTGTGACTGTTTATGCCTATGAATAGTCGTGGCTTCCTCCTATTGCTATTCCTGAGGTATAGCAGCATCCCTATTTGTTTCCATTTGTGATCTTAATTTATTGTTAAACAACAATTTAATATTACAGATCACCTTAGACAATTTTATTTGCTAAGGTATTCATGTACCTGTGTATATGTATAAATTATATATATACTCCATTGTTCATTTGACTCTGTAATTTACTTCAGTTTTCAATACAGTCATGTGTCACTTGACAACAGGCATATGTCTTGTGAAATGGATTGTTAGGCGATTTAGTCCTCATGTAAACATCAGAGTGTACGCACGCAAGCCTAGATGGTATAGCCTACTACACATCTAGGCTATATGGTATAGCCTATTGCTCCTAGGCTACAAGCCTGTCTAGCATGTTACTGTATTGAATACTGTAGGCAATTGTAAATAACAAGTATTTGTTTAGATACACATAGAAAAGGCACAATAAAAATATGGTATAAAAGGTTTAAAGATGATACACTTGTATATGGCACTTCATGAATGAAGTTTGCAGGACTGGAAGTTGCTCTGGCAAGTCAGTGAGTGAGTGGTGAGTGAACCTGAAGACCTAGGACATTACTGTACACCACTGTATACTTGATAAACACTGTATACTTAGGCTACACTAAATATATTTTTTAAAACTTTTTCTCCAATAAATTAACCTTAGCTTACTATAATTTTTCACTCTATAAACTTTTAAACTTTTTGACTCATAATAACACTTAGCTTAAAACACAAATACATTGTATAGCTGTACAAAAATATTTTCTATTTTCACTCTATAAGCTTTTACTTTTTTTTTTTTTTTTTTTTTTTTTTGAGGCAGAGTCTTGCTCTGCCACCAGGCTAGAGGGCAGCAGCACAATCAGGGCCCACTGCAGACTCGACCTCCCAGGATCAAGCAATCCTCCTACCTCAGCCTCCTGAGTAGCTGGAACTACAGGTGTGTGCCACCATGCCTGGCTACTTTTTAAATTTTTTGCAGAGATGGGGTCTCACTGTGTTCCCCAGGCTAGTCTCAAACTCCTGGGCTCAAGCAATCCACCTGCCTCGGCCTCCCAAAGTGCTGTGATTACAGGCATGAGCCACCACACCTGGACCATTTTTTACTATTTTAAAAATTTTTTATTGTATATATTTTTACTTTCTAAACTTTTTTGTTAAAAACTAATGCACAGTCACACCCATTAGTCTAGGTCTACACAGGGTCAGGATCACCAATATTGCTGTTTTCCTCCACATCTTGTCCCACTGGAAGGTCTTCAGGAACAATAACACACACTATTTTAACACACACTAATTTAACAACGTTTTCTTCTGGAATACTTCCCAAAGGACCTGCCTGAGGCTGTTTGACAGTAAACTTTTTGTATAAGTAGAAGGAATATACTCTAAAATAATGATATATAGTATAATAAATAAACTGGTAAGAGTCATTTATGATCAAGTATCACAGACTGTACATAATTGTATATGCTACACTTCTGTAAGATTGGCAGTGCAGGTTTGTTCACACCAACATCACCACAAACTCATGAGTAATCCATTGCACAACAGCAACAACATCGTTAGGTGGAATTTTTCAGATCAATTATAATGTTATATATATGCAGTCCTTCGTTGACTGAAACGTCCTTCTGTGGCACATGGCTGTAGTTGCCTAGTCTTGTTTTTCTGTGCAAGATTGTAAGTTTTTAAGAGGACAGTAACACTGTTTGCCATTTTTGTATCCCCAGACTTTAACAGAATACCTGTCACACATATCTGATGGACAAATTGATTCACTTTGATATAGCACCCAAGATTAACAAACTATAGATCATTTCTATAGTTTGTTATAGAACTATAACACAGTTCTATGTTATAGTTTGTTGTACCCTGAAAGTACAGTCTTCACTCAAGATAAATATTACCATCTTCAGCAAGAAATTACAGTTGTATTTTACCTTAAGCAGACTAAAGCCTCTTGAATCAAGTGCGATCATAACAAGACATTATGCTTGATGGATTCTCCGTCTAAAGATGGAGTCTCCCTCTGTCGCCCAGGTGCAGTGTCACGATTTTGGCTTACTGCAACCTCTACCTCTCAGGTTGAAGCGATTCTCCTGCCTCAGCCTCCCGAGTAGCTGGGACTACAGGTGTGTGCCACCACGCCGGGCTAATTTTTTCATATTTTTAGTAGAGATGGAGTTTCACTGTGTTAGCCAGGCTGGTCTCAAACTCCTGACCTCAGGCAATCCGCCCGCCTCGGCCTCCCAAAGTGCTGGGATTACAGGCACGAGCCACCGCGCCCAGCCGCCTAATCTCTATTATAAGGGAAAAGCATGTGATTCATTTAGAGAAAATATTTATCTCAATTTAAGCTTATTGCTCTGCGATATTTTCTAGTGTTCTCAGTTGTACCATTCTCTAACCTTGGACAAATCACACGTCATCTCAGAACCTTGAGGTCTAAATGATAAAATGAGGAAAATGACACTTGATATCAGAGAGGATTTGTGCAGAAACATATGCTAATCATTAAGCATAGTTCTTAAGAAAACAGGCATGAAACCAAGAAAATAAATGGTAACCATTTTTAACTTTCAGAGTAGTAAAATAAATTTGTAACACAATTAGAGCATATTATTATGCAGGTTCTTCTAATGTTGCCATCTTTGTGGGAGGTAATTTCTCCAAGATAAAATTCTTGCAACATGTCACTACCTCAATAAACAAGAACAGTTAGAAGAGAAACAAAGCACCTCCCTGAGACCATCTTATAATGTCACATCTAAAGTTTCATGAGGAAGGCATCAGGGCATTTCCCATATTATTATATATATTAAAAATAATTAAACTATAGTTGAACTTATCTTTAAAAACTAAATTCCTCTTGCTTTGTTACTCATTACTATTTTCTCTGTAGACTATACTCACATTGCAAAGGACATAACTGAGACGGCTGGCAAACTTTGATATGGATGCTTTGATAGAAAATAATATTGTATCAATGTTAAATTTTCTGAATTTGACAACTGAATTACAGTTATGAAGACAATGTTCTTGTTCTTAGGAGATATCTAATGAAGTATTTAGGGGTAAAGAGGCATGATAGCTATAACTAATTTTCAAATAATGCATGCCGAGGGGAGATATAAATTTAAAGAGAAGTAATAAAGCAAACTTAGTGAAATGTTAACAAACCACGTAAACTCTCTGGCACTCTGTTTCTTCATCTACCTGGAGACAAAAAGAGGGCTGAACTATTTTGTTTTTATTCACACTGTCATGAAATCCATTTAGGAGTTGAGGTCAGCATTAGAAAAGCGTTATTAATGAATCTGGATAGAGGATTTAAAAGCATTCAAAATCAAAACTAAAATAAACTAATATCATATTTATATAACACCAAGGCACTCTAAGCATGAAAAGCTTATGGTTAACTACATGATATCTGTATACTTCTTCTCCAAACTAATTGAGTTACATGCTTACAAGAGTCAATTTGCATTTGTACTCCAAAGTATTTATGCCTATTATACTTATAGAATATATTTAAATATGTAAACTAATGAAATACAAATAGAAAGTTATTTTCTATAAAAACTAAATTGATAAACATGAACAACAAACAAAAATTACTATAGAACTAGGCACAGGTAAGACAAACCTGTAAAACTTTGGAGAAAAAATTGTACAAAAATCTAGACTGACTGGGCATTCAAATTGCTTGAAAGGTGTCTTTAACTTCTTATTCCACTTTGAAGAAAATGAAACTGTAAACTGTAAACAATGCAACTTGTAACAAAGACAAAGCAGGTGTTCCAACCAGCAAATTCATGCTCAGATAAAAGGTCTTGGGCCTACTACCAAGACTGGTGAGTGAACATATACATTTGAGTCAAAATAAAATGACTAAAGTATATATTTGCCATTTTTAAATATGTACCACTGTAACTGACTTTTTAAATTAACTGGTCCAGTGGTCCCAATTTTAGGGGAAGAGAGTGCCTCTACCATTGTTTTAATTGAAAAACTGATATACATGGTAAAGATATTCCAATAGTACAAAACACTACACATCAAGAAAGTTTCCCTTCTGTATTAGTCTTCTAGGGCTGCTATAATGAAATACCATGGACTAGGTGGCTTAACTACAGAAATTTATTTTCTCACAGTCCTAGAGGCTAAAAGTCCAGGATCAAGGAGTCATCAGGGTTGGCTTATGGTGTGGCCTCTCTTTCTGGACTGCAAATGGCCATCTTCTGTGTTCTCATATGGCCTCTTCTCTGTGCCCATGCACTCAGACACTAGCCCTACAGGATTAGGGTTTTGCCTTTTTGATTTCATTTAACCTTAATTATTGTCCTAAAGGCCCTATCTCCAAATCTAGTCACACTGGAAGTTAAGACTTCAACATATGAATTTTGAGGGGACATAATTCAGTCCATAACACTTTCCATGCCAGATTCACAGTCCTCCTGGTGTGTGTGTGTGTGTGTGTGTGTGTGTGTGTGTGATGCTCAAATGGAAGTAGAGTCTACACACTATTTTGCACCTTACTTTTCTCACCTTATAGCATCATAGAGGTATTCCATGTCAGCACATATAGATCTATCTAGTTCATTTTAATGGCTGCATACTATTCTATTGAATGGCTAGACTATGACTCATTTCAGCAATTTCCTATTGCTGAACATTTAGAGTTTTTTTTTTCACTCTGTTACAAAAATCCTGTAACAGATATTTTTATAGAATACTTTTATATACAACCTGTATACCCATGGGATAAATTTTAGAAGTAAAATTATTAGATCAAAAAGAACTTCATATAAAATTTTGATACATATAATTACCATGAAATTTTTAAAAATGCACCAATTTTTATACTCTTACTGTTTAAGAATGCTTGTTCCTCCCACGCTGCTCCCATACCACACATACACACACCCAATATTGTAGTATCAAATTTTTTTTATTTTTGCTATTGAGCTAACACAAAAGATCAAACTGTCAAATCAGGCTCAAATCAGAGATTTTACTCAGTATCAAGCTTTACTAATAGTTTCAAGGATACCAGTAATCCCCAGGTCCTTTCTTCTTGCTTTGGATGCATCCTGGCCCAGGACAGTAGATGTGGTTTCTAAATCAAGTGTACAGTCACCCCACTTACACAGAAGGAGCCAAATCAGTTACAAAACACTTCCATTTTATGCTACGTTACATAACTTCCGCGGTATTTTCCAGTTAATCATACCCCTGAAATCCGCATTGATTCTTTTTTGTTTTGTGAGAGGGAGTCTCATTCTGTTGACCAGGATGGAGGGCGGTGGCGCGATCTCTGCTCACTGCAACCTCCGCATCTCCAGTGCAAGCTATTCTTCTGCCTCAGCCTCCTGAGTAGCTGGTGTTACAAGTGTACACCACCACACTCAGCTAATTTTTGTAGTTTTGGTAGAGACGGGGTTTTGCCATGTTGGCCAGGCTGGTAACTCCTGACCTCAAGTGATCCACCTGCCTCAGCCTCCCAAAGTGCTGGAATTACCACATCGATTCTTAATGTGTTTACCATAAACAATCCCAGCCCTGGGACATCCTGTTAGAGGAATTCCGTAAATATGGACTCTCTTGCTAGCAAATGCCATTAGTTTGTTTGCCAGGAGGTCTGTAATTAGTATATACTTTATATTTTATAAAAATCACATGCTTTTTTGCTTGCTTTAACCTTGCTTTCCTGAGAGTATTTCCCTACGAAGGGAGAGACTGGATTGCAGATCTTCTGCTCAACTCCTTCTTTCTCAGTCACTGATAGATGAAAAATGGTATTTCCTTGTTCACTTTTACATTTTAAGTAATGTTGAACATTTAGCAACAAAATATTGAAAGCTAGAAGGGAGATGAATCAAGATGCAATTGCCTTAGCAGACTTGAAAAGTAGGAATCCCAAGCAGGCCATGAAGCAACCTGATACACACAGTGAAACCCTGTATAAGGCTCAGGAATTGGAAACACCACGTAAAGCTGAAGAGAGCATGATGTGAGCTATAAATACAGGCGGAATGGTATAAAGTCTGTTTAAGAATGAATCAGATGCTGAGATTCCCTTTGCTATCCCATCAAAAACCCAGAGATTTAGTCCTGAAAGACAGCAAAACGCTGATTCTCTAGCTAGGAGGACAGCAGGCCCTCTTAAGGATGAAGGTGTCATGTTGAAAAAGGGGAAAAGAAAATTAGAGGACTAACATCTGAATAACTGAAGCTCACTAAAAAGAAAATGGAGGAAATAAGTAACTCAAGTTGCTTGGAGTTCTGACTCTAAGCTCAGTGCTATTATAATCTTTTAGGCTTACTGGTATATTTGATTCATGTTAACTGTAAAATGACATTTTCTAAGTTTCACAAATATTGGGGTTAGTCAAAGGGACTTTGTTCAGGTGATTAAGGGTGGGGCTTGCATTACCCCTCTCCTAAGCGATCATTCCAAAATGACTGGCAGGACTAAAGAATTATGTTTAAAAAACAAAAAAACCCAAAGAATGGATTATCTGTAAAAGCTATGCAATGACGTGCCTGTTAGAGCTCACTGACCACACCTTAAGTTGTCTAAGAGATGAGGCTATAACTAGCTAAACTCTAATTGGCTAAGGCACCAAAGCCAGAAAATAGCCCATAACATGCAAATATACAGACATAAAATCAACTGTAAGTGCTGGGCACAGCTGCTCATGCCTGTAATCCCAGCTACTTGGGAGGCAGAGGCAGGAAGATCACTTTAGCTCAGGAGTTCAGAGCTGCTGTGCGCTATGATTGTGTCACTGCACTCCAGCCTGGGGGAAGAAGTGAGACTTCATCTCAAAAAAAAAAAAAAGATCAGCTGTAGAAGAAAAAATAATGTCAGGGTTACCTGTGGAGTCTGGGGGTAGACCCACTATCACACCTAGACAGGGATACAAACCATGAGAGGCTTCTCTTCTAAGTGGGCCGTTTCAGTCCAAGTTGCTGACTTGGACAGCAACTTGGACTGAATAAACACAGGCAACTGAGTTTAGCATTAAGCTTTCAGAACCTTCAACTGACAACTCAACGGCTGTTTCTAAATCTCAGAACATTTAAATCAGAATCTAGGTAGCACGTGGGCACCTACGTAGTTTTAAAAGCTTTCCAAGTGATTCAACTCCAAGTGAATCAGAGTGGAGCATCGTTGCCTTAGTCATGGCATCTTTCAAATTCGTTAGTACATTTTTACATAAAAATAAACATCAAACAAAAGAAGAACAACTTTTTGGTAAGAGGGTGTCTATTCTTTCCTTTCCTTTAGTGTCCGCAGATCTTTCCTCCTGCTGTTTTCTTGTCTACTCTTGTTCTTGAACACCCCCTCTTATTTTTATGTCTTTAGAAAGTGCCTGGCACAGTATTTCAGACAGTTAAAATACTGTATCAACAAAGGACCCATAGATACTGTATTAATTTTAAAAGATGTGTAGTGAATATGATTCAATGAGTAAAATAATCCAGCTGGGGCGTGGGAGGAACGGATAATAAAACAAATAAGAGAACGGAAAAACAAAATTAGGAATTGTTTCTGGTAGACAGCTACTGCGGGCGTGGAGATCTAAACATGATACCAAATTGGGCGGAGGGGGAGGGAGTGAGGAAGGAATGGGCAGAGTGGCGGAATGGCCTGGCGAGGGCGATTTCCTGAAGGCTTTCAGGTTACAACTAAGGGATACCGGGAAAAGAACACCGAGCCCTCGTCCCGTATCTATCTAAACTAGCCGTGTTAACTTTAAGTCAATCTCCTCTCTGAACCAGATATTCCTCCTATCTAAAGGGAGGAGCCTGGCCTTAACATCTCTTTCCAAGTCTAGCTCTAATTCTGTAAACAGGGGATCAAACAGATCTCCTTTCTTCAGAAAAGGCCCCAGACGAACCCGAAGCAGGTCCTCGAGCTGCGAGCCACTCTCCACTTGCCACTCAACGTAGTCAGCCAGAGGGACGGATGTGCCACCAAGCACCACCTTCTTTCTAACGCCTCATCACCCCAGCCACGCACTCCGGCGCGGCGCCCAGTCCCGAGCGGTTCTCGGAAGTTTCCCACTCCTCCCCTAATCGCCCTCCACGCACGCCGGATCACGACCGGAACGTGGACAACCAGTGGTTGTTCCTCCCCTAAAGCACAGCATAAATTTGGAGAGATGCATCTAAACTGCGTGTGGGTTCGGGCTCTTTTAGGTGAATAGGGCTCGGCGGATCGACTTCCTCGATTATCTCCGTGCCCTGGACCCGCCCCCTCCGCCTGGCGCCAGGCCGCCGAGCGCCGATCGGCTCGATGAGCGGAGGCGCTGCTGCGGCGCTGCGGCCGACGCCGGGTCCGCACCAACTGTCTCCCCCTCCCAGCTTCTTACCTCGGCTTCCTACTCCTTCCCCCGCCCGCCCAGCACCGCCAGCCCGGGAGAGCTGCCGGGAGTTCCCCGGGAGCCTCAGGTACTGGCGCTGGCCTGTTCGCAGCGGGAGGGGCTGGTGTGAGGAGGAAGGAAACGAAGAAGACGCCCCTGCCTTGCCGCCCCCCGACGTCCTAGTCGGGCTGGTCGGCGGGCCTCGGGGATCTAGGAAGGGACCCCGGAGTGGGAAAAGGTTGGGGCCGGGGGTGCCGTGAGGAAGGAAGACGAGGACAGGGGTATGCGGACGAGGAGCAGTTGAGGGAGAGAAGAATTGGAATTGAGGGGTACTCTGGGGTGATGGGAAGAGAACAGTACCATGGATGGGGAAGGTTTGTTAAGAGTGGGATGTAGTGAGGAATTCCAGGGGGTACAATGGGGCAGGAAGGGCCAGCGTTAGGAGCAGATATATCGTGGGACGTGGCCTGGTGTGACAGATTGGGTGTGGGGGGTGAACGGAGCTGCCTGAAATTGTGTATTTAAAGGGCCCGGGGGAAAGAGCGCCAACCCTGCTGTGTTTATAATGACCGGAAGGTGGGGGTGAATCGTTACACTTGACAGGTTTTGCAAATAATATCTCCGGTCTGTGTCCATCCAAGTCACTTTATTTCTGTGAAACTGCATCAAGCAAGAAGGCTGATGACAGACAAGGAAGACGAATCAGAAAGAGAATGGAGGCTGGGAAAAGGAGAGCCTTTGCCCAGATTCAAAGCTATTGACTAGATAACGTACTACTTACAAAAACGCACACATAGACATTTAAGTATATGCTGATGTATAAGAAGCATACGGTGATGTGACTCATTTGAGTGAATTGTATAGTGGTGGTCTATCCTCAATGTGGAAGTACATGATGGCTCTCTTATTTACATGTATACCTAGTCACAAACAGCTGAATTCACATGTCTTTTTTTGTAGGAGAAATCTTAGGCAGACTATATCCTAGTCTACTTTCTGAGCATGATTTATTTCTACTAGTTGTTTGATACACATATCAGTTACTAATAATCAGTTGCAAATAACATCAAAGTTCATCAAGGTAGCTAATTAATCTGCCTACTGCTTTGCTGATGGGCTATTTGTTGCACATGGTTTCTTGGGATTAAGAGACCTGAATATGGTGTTTGCTCATCCTTAAGATTGTAGTTTTACTGTATGTCTTATAAAGGCATTATATAAGTCTGCCCGTTGTTTGCTTTGGGATGTTGAGGCAGCCTCATTGCAGGGGTTAAAATCTAAATACAGATAATAGTTAAAAGCACAAGTTCTTCAGTAATTTGCCTTGTCATCTGTTTTTCCATGCATTCTGTTACATTTCTGCATGAATGAAGTATTCTGACATCAAAGTATGAGGAATAAAAGGGCCAGATGTATGTGACAGAAATATTGTGGAACCAAGAACTCAAGAGCTGTTACTCAGGCAGCAAGAATTTGGTTTTTGTTACAAGTGAATAATTTCTGATTTGGAAGCATTTCTTATCAAAGAAAAGTGTGTCCTTTGGTTTTGACAAGCAGCTGACTTAAAACATTACTTTTATTTGGTTCGTGAAGCCAGATCCTGGGATTATTCTTTTTTAAGTGTATATCATTAACAAACAAACTGATGTCTAACTATACCTAATTTAAAGGTCTAAGTGTTTCTTCTTATGGAAAAGGAAGCAGGACTATTGGGTTGTTAGCAGGAAGTGAGTCTTTCTAGAACAGAATTCTGTAAACCTGATGGGCAACTAATTGAACAAATGATTAAAACTGATAATGCACAGCCATTGATTAATTTAGGCCTGTATCTCTGCTGTTTCAATGAATGTAGTGACTAACGTTATCGTTACTAAACTTTAGTTTTCTCCTAGTTTCTTGGTGCCTACTTTAAAGAAGCATCATAAAGAGTAAAAGAAAATGCATGTGTATCACTGAGCACCGTGCCTAGCACATAGTAAAACATTCAGTATTTCTGAGCTATCCTGAATTGATGGGTATTCATCTACCATCTAGTCAAAAATACTGAAAATTCATTATTTGCATAGAAGAACTTTTTCGCAAAAAAAAATTTTAGTATGTTGCATACACAAGCATTTTCCTGGAAAGTCACAATGCATATTAGCATATAACAGGATGTGAGTCATTCTGTAGCAAAGAAAACTAGCTTTGTTTAATCCAGTTGTTTTGATAGAAAAAAATTGAGTTTCTCCTATTCTCTCTCAACACAGACCCCCAAAAGATTTCTCCTCACAAGCAAGGAGGAAATTCTGCAGCAGATTCTCCAGCTGGGTGTCCTCTAATTCAATTCTGATACTGTATACCTAGAGATAGCATCAGATCCTGCAGGTTGAGGGCTTAATCCTACAAGATTCCCCCCACTTCAGGTGCCAATCACAAGTTCCAGGTTGTTTTACCTGTGTTTCCAACTGACTGGCTATAAATCAGAGTTCCCACAATCCCTTCCTTGTGTTCAGTTTATTTGCTAGAGTGGCTTACAGAATTAAGAGAAACACTTTGTTTACTGGTTTATTATAAAGGATAGAGATCAACAGCCAGATGGAAGAGGTGCATAGGGCAAGGGGTACAGAGCTTCTGTGCCCTCTCCAGGTGTGCCACCGTCCAGGAACTCTCTACTTGTTCAGCTTTTGGGAAGCTCTCTGAACCCTGTCCTTTTTGGGTTTTATGGAGTCTTCCTTAGTAGGCATGATTGATTACATCATTGGCTATTAGAAATCAGTTCAACCTTGAGCCCTCCTCCCCTTCCAGGAAGCTAGGGGGTGGGGCTGTAAAGTCCCAGTCTTCTAATCATGCCTAGGTTTTTCTGTGACCAGCCTCCATCTGGAATCTATCTGGGGGCTAAGCTACCAGTCATCTTATTAGCATACACAAGACACATCACTGCAGCGATTCCAAGGATATGTCAGGAAATGGGGATTAAGACCAAATGAGTATATTTTGTAAATCACGATATCACACCAGTACTTACCAAACTTACCCCTTTTCATGGAGTACCAATGGGACATTATAGTTTGCAGAATATTTTTGCATGTATTATCCAATTTGACCGTCCCAACTCTGCAGAAGCCTGAAAATCAGTATTTTACACCTGAGGAAACTGAATCATTGCTTAAGCAACCAACTAAAAGTGAGAGAAATAGGCATGTTCTCCTGTCTTCTGACTCCAACTTTAAATTGTAAAGCATTTAATGTCTCAGTGAGACGTCCTCCCTCTACTCTCTGCTCTTTCATTTTATAAAAATCTTAAATCACTCATATCCTACACATGTTCTCTTAGGGCAATTACATCCATTTTCTCATAATTTTAACTATTTCTTAGGTGTTGAGGTCTAGCATGGAGGCCCCAGTCACTGGAGTGGAACAAGTGAGAGGGCAGGAATTGAAGTCAGAAAAATGAGGGAGTCCCTGTCATACAGGGTTTCATGTACACTGTTTTAAGTACATTAGCTTATGCCCCAAAGTCTCAAATCTGATGAAATTTATTTTCTCTTTAAGGTGGTGACTATCCTGTTGAGAAGCAAAAGATACTTTGCAAGTAAAAAATATGCCTCCCAAGTTTAAGCGCCACCTCAATGATGATGATGTCACAGGTTCTGTGAAAAGTGAAAGGGTAAGTTCGGAATCTTAAGCTTTAAAAACAAAAGATTCAAAATATGTTTTCATTCCCTTTGTGAATAATAGAAGAAAAACCATCCGGGCGTGGTTGCTCATGCCTGCAATCGCCGCACTTGGGACGCTGAAGCAGAATAGCTTGAGCCCAGAAGTTCAAGACTGTCTTGGACAACCCAGGGAGACCCTGTCTCTATAAATAATTTTTAAAAAATTAATGGGGCATGGTAGCACATGCCTATGGTTCCAGCTATTCAAGAGGCTAAGGCAGGAGGATCACCTGAGCCTGGGAGATGAAGGCTGTGGTGAACTGTGATCTGCACTCCAGCCTGAGCAACAGAGCAAGACCCTGTCTCAAAAATTAATTAACTAATAATAATAACAACAGAAAAATCAAAAGCTTATGACTATATTCTAATCCTAATTGTTTTCTTCATAGCAAATGTATTTAAAAACATGTTACTTAGATTGGTGACAACTGAATTCTACTTCCATTATTGATCAAATCATTATTCTCATAGCTTCTTTCTAGTTTTTGAAAGGGAGTTTTATACAAATACACAATATCTTATTCAGAACTTTGAATGTATTTGGAATTTTTCAGATTTTAGAAAGTTAAGAACATATTATGTAACAGCATTTTTGGGGCCTGGACCAGTGCCTCCAAAAATATTAATATTTCTCAGTGAAGTCTATATTTAGTTATATCTAACTAACTATGTAAATAAAGTGTGTAAATAAACTAGCTAACATCAGTTCAGGTCAAATTTTCCTCCAAAACTTTTTGATTTTCAGAAGCTTTTAGATTTTGGAATTGCAAATAAAGGTCCCCAGACCTGTAATTATCTTATGTTCCAGAGTATCTTTTATATAATGCTTCAATTTCTAGTTTATTCCAGAACATTCTATGCAAATATATATAAATCTAGAAATTATGCCGCATTTAAAAGACAACATTTTATATGAATGTTGTAGGCAGATTACTTTTAGAATAAGTACTCAATACATATTTATTGGGGGAAATAATTCACGTTCTTATTTTTTTAATGCACCATTCTGAAGCCCTCCTTCCTTTCCTTCTTGTCTTGATTCATTCAACAAATATGTATTGACCACCTCCTATGTGCTAGGCACTGGGCTAAAAATTGGAAGACATAGTCTGTGCCCTTGCAAAGCTTTTAGTCTGCTTTGTTTTACATGCTCTTTTTGGACAACCTCAGAACTTCATATTATCCACTCTGTCCACCATCTTATGACTTTTAGTCATAAGTTTCTTTTAGTACAACACAGGAAACATTTTCTTCCCCTTATTCTAACCCTTTGTACAGCTTTTGCGGTTTTGTGTGTTTCTGATGGTTTGTTTTTATTTTTTGAGACCAGGGTCTCGCTCTGTCATTGAGGCTGAAGTGCAGTGGTGCAATCACAGCTCACTGCAGCCTCCACCTTTTGGGCCCAAGCTATCCTCCCACCCCAGCCTCCTGAGTAGCAAAGACTACAGGTGCATGATATCATGCCCAGCTAGTTTTTGTTTTTCTCGTAAAGATGGGGTTTTGCCGTGTTGCCCAGGCTGGTCTCAAATTCCTGAGCTCAAGTAATCCACCTGCCTTGGCCTCCCAAAGTGCTGGGATTACAGACATTTGACACTGCACTCGGCCTGTTTTGTTTTGTTTTGTTTTGTTTTGTTTTGTTTTGTTTTGTTTTTTAATGGGGAAATAGAATCCACCAATAGATTAATTGCTAGCAAGCTTTTACTAATAAACTTTAAGGAGTCACCAATGATTTCCATGTTGCCAAATCCAGTTACTCCTTCTTTGCCATAATTTCAACTGCTTACTAGCATTTGGTGCAGTTTCAACCATTTTGGTCACCTATCTTTTCCTCCATGCCATGGTGAAACTCTTAGTGTCTGCTTGAGCTAGTTCCCCATGCAAGGAATTGAGAAATGCCTTGAAATATACCAAGTCTGGGTGAACCCGGAAGGCTCTGGCCGAGAGAAGGCAGAGGATGATCAGGGATTGAGAAATCACTCAGGGATAATCCAGGGTCTCTTTCTTTAATGTAATATCTTTCAAGATAAACCTCCAAGAAAAAGTGATTCAGAAAATTTGATATACCTGTGCTGGAATTCCATACACTGAAGATTTACTATCAAAAGCATGTCTTGGCCAGGCGTGGTGGCTCGCGCCTGTAATCCCAGCACTTTGGGAGGCCGAGGCGGGCAGATCACTTGAGGTCAGGAATTCAAGACCAGTCTGGCCAACATAGTGAAACCCCATCTCTAGCAGAAGTACAAAAATTAGCCAGGTGCGGTGGTGCACACCTGTAATCCCAGCTACCTGGGAGGCTGAGGCAGGAGAATTGCTTGAATCTGGGAGGCAGAGGTTGCAGTGAGCCGAGATTGTGCCATTGCACTCCAGCTTGGGTGACAGAGTGAAATTCCATCTCAGAAAGAAAAAAAAAGCATGTCTTTACAAAGCAGAAGGTTTGGCGAAATACTAAACCCATTCAGAGAATAAATGTCAATTTGTTAAAGTAAATGATACCAATTGTGAACCTATAAAGGAACCCAGTGTAAAACAACACAGACTTGATATGCATCCAGTAAAAGCTGACTGAAAGCTCCTGATGAATATTCAGTGATCAGCGTGCACAAAGCATGCTGAAATATTTTTTAAATCATCGGTTAGAAGAATCTGAGCCTCTTTCCTATTGCCCCAAGGAAATCTTTAGTCACTTACCCAGAGATGCTTGCAAAGCATTAATATCCTGGAAGATGATCAATAAATGCTGACAGTTGATTGACTGATATCTGAGATATGTCAGGTAAATACCTCAGTCCTGGACAGAGAGCCCCTAAGTCACATCTGCCTTTGTGTAAGATGAAGACTGAAGTATGGAAATGTATGTAGTAAAATCACCTCTCGGAACTTGTTTGTAATTCATACAATCTATGTCAATTTTGAAAAATGTATGTAAAGCAGAGAAGGTTGTAGCCAAATTCAATGTATAGTATGCAAGAGTATATTATTTAATAATTTTTAATTGATGCAAATCCCATTAATTTTATAGTTTTATTTTTACATGATTTTAAACTGAAACTATTTATATTTCCTAAGTTCCCCTGTGTTTCTTTCTCACAATCACTGCTGAACGTAAATTTGTTGTTCACTTAATGGAATCACTGTTAAGGACACAGTCACTTGAATATGATTGCTTTTTAAAAATCAAGTCCAGGCGTGATATACTAGGATCACAGTTTCATGGCATGTTGGTCATAATCCTGAGAAAATAGTGACAAAATTATTATTTGTAGATATTAAATACCAGTTTAATAATATGTGTGGAAATCAGATTAAATAGTACATAAAGCCCACCCTAATAACAAGGGCAGGAAAAATTACTTCAAGAAAAACAATAGTAAACCTTAAATTAAAAATAATACAAATAAATAAGCTTTATGAATACATTTTTAAATTTAAAATGTATTGTCTCAATAAATTCCACTGCTGAGACTGTAATTGTATCACTTTCTCCTTATATTCTTCATTGATTATTAGTATATTAGACACCAGAACTGAATAAAATTGACTGTTTCAAGAGAACTCCTTTTTGATGTTTATTATATTATGAAGTTTGATAACTGATTGGTTAGAATAATATATAAATTACTTTTAAAATCTTTTAAAAGTTTTGTTCCTCTTTCCTATTATACTTTTTTGGTAATAGCTTTATTGAGATAAAAGTCACGTACCATACAATTCACCCACTTAAAGTGTACAATTCAGTGAGTTTTATTATATTCACAGAGTTGTGCAACAATCACCACAATCAATTTTAGGATATTTTCATTAGCCCAAAAAGAAATGCTGTGCCCTTTTGCAGTCATCTCCCATTTTCTTTATCCCCTCAGCCTCTAAGCAACTGCACTCCTATAGATTTGTCTATTCTGGACGTTTTCTGTAAATGGAATCATATAACATATAGCCTTTTGTGACTGGCTTCTTTGACTTAGCATAATGTTTTTAAGATTCCTCAACGTTATAGTGCATATCAGTGCTTCATTTTTTTTTTTTTTTTTTTTTGAGACGGAGTCTCCCTCTGTTGCCCAGGCTGGAGTCCAATGGTGCGATCTCGGCTCACTGCAACCTCCACCTCCTGGGTTCAAGTGATTTTCGTGCCTCAGCCTCCCAAGTAGCTGGGATTACAGGCGTACACCACCACGCCCAGCTAATTTTTGTATTTTTAGTAGAGATGGGGTTCCACCATGTTGGCCAGGCTAGTCTCGAACTCCTGACCTCAGGTGATTCACCCACCTCGGCCTCCCAAAGTGCTGGGAGATCTTCATTCCTTTTTATTGCTAATAATATTCCCTTATATTGATATAACACATTTGGTTTGCCCATTTATCAGTTCATAGATGTTTGGGTTTTTTTCTACTTTTGGCTATTTTAAATACTACTGCTATGAGCATTAGCATACCAGTTTTTGTTTGAGCATGTTTTTATTTCTCTTTGGTGTATACCTAAAGGTAGAATTGCTGAGTATTGTAGTAACTCTCTGTTCAGCCTTCTGAAGAACTGCCCAGCTGTTTTCCAAAGTGGTTGTACAATTTTTACATTCTCACCGGCAATGTATGATGATTCTAATTTCTCCACATCCTCACCAACACTTAATATTATCTGCCTAGTGGGTATGAAATATTATCTCATTGTGTCCTATTATTCTTTTTTGACACTGTATCCCTAGCACTTGTGTTTATTCAATTAATATATGAAAAAGCATTGGTTTTCATGTGTGTTTCTCAGTGTACAATTATAGTAAACATATCTTTAGTATCATTATCCTCTAAACCAAATAAATTATTACTATTACTATTATCATTATTATTTTGAGACAGGGTCTGGCTTTGTCACCCAGGCTGGAATGCAGTGGCACGATCAGGGTTCTGCAGCCTCCTCCTGGGCTCAAGCAATCCCCCCAAGTAGCCTTCAGAGTAGCTGGTATTACAGGCATACACCACCACGCCTAATTTTTTTTTTTTTTTTTTTTTTTTTTGTAGAGATGGGGTTTCACCGTATTGCCCAGGCTGGTTTCGAACTCCGGGGCTCAAGTGATCCTCCCTCCTCATCTTCCCAAAGTGCCAGGGTTACAGGCGTGAGCCACCATGCCCGGCCATAAACCAAATACATTATATTATAAATGTAATGCTTGTCTGTTACTTGTTAGCTAGAATATTACTCAAGAAATATTTATTTAAAAAATGACCTAATGCATTTCCTTGAATATTAATTGGTTTTGAACATTTCATGTGGTCATTGGCCATTTCTTCTATTGGGAATTATCTATTTCTATTCTTTGTTTTTCTATAATGTCTCTTTTTCTTACTAGTTTGTCAAAGCTTTTTATATAATACAGACATCAGGTCTTTTGTCTTAAAGGATACTGCAGATGTTTTTTCCCAGTCTGTTGCTTGTTTTTTAACCTTGTTTTTGATGTCTTATGTTCAAGTTTTAAATTTTTATATAATCAAATATGTTAATCTTTTTCTTTCAGACTTCTGGAGTTGTGTGTTGTTTAGGAATAACTTACCCATCTTAAGAGTTAACTATTTATATATTTTCAATCTTTGTGATTTCATAACAAAATATGTCTAAGGTCCCATTTTCCTTTAAGTACTGCTGTGGCCATACTCTTCAGATTTTGACCTGTGATCTTCCCAGTGTCTTTCATTTCAAAATAGTCTAATCACCTTTATTTACATTTAACATAAAAGTTAATGAGAAGGATGTTTTTTGTTTTTTGTGAGGTTTTTTGCTACAGGGTCTCCTTTTGTCACCCAGGTTGGAGTGCAGTGGCATGATCATAGCTCACTCTAACCTCAAATTCCTGGGCTTAAAAGATCCTCCCATATCAGCCTGCTGAATAGCTAGGACTACAGGCATGAGCCACCATGCCTGGCTAATTAAATTTTTTTTTTTTTTTTTTTTTTCCCATAGAGACACGGTCTTGCTATGTTGCCAGTGCTGGTCTTGAACTCCTGGGCTCAAGTGATCCCCCCACTTTGGCCTCCCAAAGTGCTGGGATTACAGGTGTGAGCCACTGCACCCAGCTGAGAAGAGTATTTTAAAACTTCCTTTTTCCATCGCATTATGGTCAGAGAATATGACTTGTGTAATTTCTATTTTTTGGAATTTATTAAATGTCCTTTGTGGCTTACCCATAAAGGAAAATAAAATAAAATTTGCTGTCTAGTTTCAAAGTTCTAGATTTTTTTGTGTGTTTGGCTTCTCCATCTCTGAAGGGTATGTTAAATCCTCCCTATGATTTTGATGTAACTGTTTCTCATAATTTGCGCAGCTTCTGTAAGATACTTTAAGCTATATTATTAGGTATTTAAACATTCGTTGCTATTAAATCTTCTTGATGGATTGTATATTTTATTATTGTAAAATCATCTTATTTGATTGTTTAATACTTTGTCCTAAAATTCCTCTTTATATTGCTAACTGTAACATTCTTTTTGTTAGAATTTGCTGATGTTTCTTTTCTACCCCTGCTTTTCCCCATCCTTTATTTGGTATTTGTTTTAGGTGAATTTCTTGCAAACAGATATTGGCTAGAATTTTTTTGAACCCTAATCACATATAGTTTTTGTTATTAAATAGGGACATTCAAACCAGTCACATTTATTGTGAATAACTAATACACTTGGACTTTTTCTGTGCCAGCCATCTAGTCCTGCAGCAATGAATGCTCTTCACCCTGATCTTTGGCTGGCTCTTTGTTATTTGGATCTCAGCTTAAATTTCACCTCTTCAGAGTGATTTTTTATGACAGCCTAATCTCATGTAGTCACCCCATCACTTTCTGTCCCATCACTGTTTTAATTCTCTGCATAGCATTTGTTGCAATCCTGTTTTTTTTATTATTATTATTATACTTTAAGTTTTAGGGTACGTGTGCACAACGTGCAGGTTAGTTACATATGTATACATGTGCCATGTTGGTGTGCTGCACCCATTAACTTGTCATTTAACATTAGGTATATCTCCTAATGCTATCACTCCCCCTTCTCCCCACCCCACAACAGGCCCCGGTGTGTGATGTTCCCCTTCCTGTGTCCATGTGTTCTCATTGTTCAATTGCAATCCTGTTTTTCTGTGAGAGCTCAGATTTGTTTTGTTCAAAACCGCTGCTTAGTACTTAGAACAGTGCACATAGAAGCACGTAAAAGATACACAAAAATACTTGTTAAATGAATATTGAATACATCCTTCTTCTTCTTCTTTTTTTGTTTTTTTGTATTTTTAGTAGAGACAGAGTTTCACCATGTTAGCCAGGATGGTCTCGATCTCCTAACCTCGTGATCCACCCGCCTGGGCCTCCCAAAGTGCTGGGATTACAGGCGTGAGCCACTGCGCCCAGCCGAATACATCCTTCTTTCATTTTTTTACTCTTTAGTATATGTCATATATTATACATAGATATAGTGATATTCATTGTATTTCTTATATTTTCCTTTTCCCTTATGCCTTTTCTTATGGTAGATTCCCTTATGCCTTCCCTTATGCTAGATTGATTATTTTTACTCATCTCCCTCCTTGCCCCCAGAACCACCATATCTAAACCACAGTTTAGATACTTTACTCCCTTCCCCCTCCTTCCCTCTCTCTTTTGTTACTAACTTTATATTTTAATGGTAGTGTTAATCTGTGTTCTCTGTCAACATACCAAAAACTAAGGCCCTTCCATTGTTTTACTTTTTAATTCTAGTCCTGTTCCCCCTTCCTCCATTCCACTCCTCATCAAGATGAGCATATTGGCAATGCTTTCACTTCTTCACTTCACTCTCCCACTCCCAGCTTCTGGGCTTTGTTGGAAAAGTTTTAGATTCTTTTTAAGCTTTTCTATATAATATGTATTTTTTTCAAAAGCTTTAACTTATTGTTTACAGTCACATTATCATCAACTATTTAGATTTGACCACACATTGTATTAGATTCATTGATTGTATCATCCATCTCAGTCTTAAGGTCTTTGTTTTGATTTCATTTTCTTTTTGGCTGGTGTAATTCCTTGAGGAATTTCCTCAGGAAAAGTACATGGGTAGTGTATTAGTTTCCCATTGCTACTGCTACAAATTACCACACACTTAAAACAACACAAATTTATTGTCTTATGGTTCTGGTGACCAGAAGTCTAAAATGAGCTTATAGGGCTAAAATCAAGGTGCCAGTAGGGCTATGTTCTTTCTGGAGGCTTTAGGGAAGAAACTGTTTTCTTGCTTTTCCTAGCTCCTAGAGGCTGTTTACCTTTTTAGGCTCATACCCCTTCCTGTGTCTTCAAAACCATTAGTGTAATGTCTGTCTGTCTCTGTCTGTCTGTCTCTCTCTCTCTCCCTCACTCTGCATGGGGCCCATATGAATAATTCATAATGATCTTTTCTTCTCAAGATCCGTGATCACATCTGCAAAGTCCCTTTTACCATGCAAGGTAACACATTCACAGGTTTTGGTGACTGTATTAGCCAGGTGTGGTGGCATGCGCCTGTAGTCCCAGCTACTTAGGAGGCTAAGGCGGGAGAATCACTTGAACCCGGGAGGTGGAGGTTGCAGTGAGCCGAGATTGCACCACTGCACTCCAGCCTGTGCAGCAGAGCAAGACTCCATCTCAAACCAAACAAACAAAAAACAGGTTTTTGTGATTAGGAAATGAACATCTTTGGGGAGCTATTATTCTGCCTATAGCAAGTGGTACAGTTTGAGCATCCCTAATCTGAAAATCCAAAATGCTCCCAAATCTGAAACTTTTTTAAGTACCAGCATGATGCCACAATGGAAAATTCCACACCTGACCTCATGTTGCAGTCAAAACGCAGTCAAAACTTTGTTTCATGCACAAAGGTATTAAAAAATATTGTGTGAAATTACCCTTAGGCTATGTATATAAGCTATATTTGAAACTCAAGGTCTTTATGAAGCATAATGAATTTTGTGTTGAGACTTCGGTCCCATCCCCAAGATGTTTCCTTATATATATGCAAATATTCTAAAATCCAAAATTTGAAATACTTCTGGTCCCAAGCATTTAGGATAAGGGATTCTTAACTTGTATACTGTTTGAGTTCTTGTGTGTCTGAAAAGGTCTGGGTTTTGCTCTTCTTTAGTCACCTTTTGGACTTTATACCCACCCCTTTTGGGGAGAAGGTGAGACTGTCCTCATTTTAAGGAAAATTGTTGTATGTTATAAAAGTCTAAAGTTGCTTTTGTTTGGAAGTTCAAATTTGTTTAGGGGGCTGTTTGTGGGTAGAGTAGCTAAAAAGTAGAACATGCCCATTTTTAAGCCCTTGTCCTCAGCTCCAAACTCCCTCTATACTCTTCTCTGATGCTGCAGTTGGAATCCACAAACTGTATTTCTTCTTTCCACCTGGTTCCCTAAGTTCTGCCAGTAGACAGACACTGGCAGTCAGAAGGAAGGAGAGGGGACTTGCTCCCTCCTGACTACCTGCAGTTCCTCACTCCCATACCAGCTTCAGTGACCTTTCTACCTTTTTTAGTCAGTTATAGGATTCTATAATTATGAGCATTTTCTTTGCAAAGTCTATAAATGTTGTCCCACATCTTTTAGCTTCCAGTGAAGGATATGTAATTACTTTTCCCTCTTTATGGACACCTGGAGTTAAGAAATTTCACTAGTATAGGACTTATTTCATTACTCCTCTGTGACATTTTATAAGCCCTCTGAATCTGAAAACTCAAGTCTTTTTCTTTTTTTGACAGAGAAATCTTTTGGAAGATGATTCAGATGAAGAAGAGGACTTTTTTCTGTAAGTTTTTTTTTACAGCTTTATTAGGGTGTAATTGACATACAATACATGCATATATCTAAAATATACTGTATACATTTTGACAGATATGCAGTAGTCTCCCTTATACGTGAGAGATGCCTTCCAAGATCCCCCAGTGGATATGTGAAAACACAGAGAGTAGCACGTTGTGACATAACGTTAGGTACTATTGACCTCTGATGATATGTCAGAAGGAGAATCATCTATTTCAGGTGACCTTGGATCATGAAGCCAAGAAGATGTTGATAACTAAAGGGCTGGGTAGTATATACAATGTGGATATGCAGGACAAAGGGGTGATTCACATTTCAGGTGGGACAAAGCGGGGCAATGTGAGGTTTCATCATGCTACTCAGAATGGTGCACAATTTAAAACTTATGAATTGTTTATTTCTGGAATTTTCCATTTAATATTTTCAGACCGCAGTTGACCATGGGTAACTGAAACTGTGGAAAGCAAAACCATGGGTGAGAGAGAGCTTACTGTACCGTGTACCTGTGACATCATCACCAAAATCAAATAATGAACCATCTGTCGCCCTGCAAGTTTCCTCATAACCCTTGATAATCCATTGCTCTCCCAGTCCCTAGGCAACCAGTGCTCTGCTTTCTGTCACTGTAGTTTGTATTTCTAAAATTTTTTATAAATGAAATCATGCAGTATGCCCCCTTTTTAAAACCTGGCTTTATTCAGCATGGTTTTTGAGATTCATCCATGTGTTAATAGTTGGGTTTTTTAATTTTCTGAGTAGTATTCCATTGTATGATGCTGCAGTTCGTTTATGCATTCACTTATGTGTGGATTTTTGGGTTGTTTCTACTTTTTGGCTTTTACATATAAAGCTGTTATAAACATTTGTGTGCAGGTTTTTGTGTGGATATATGCTATTATTTCTCTTGGAAATAAAAATACCTAGGAGTAGAATGGTTGGTGTAAGTTTACAATTGTTTTCCAAAGTGGTTGCACCATTTTATATTGTCACCAGCATTGTATGAGAATTCCAGTTGCTCCATATCCTCGTCATTACATATGGTCAGTCTTTTTCAGCCTCTTTCATTCTAGCCATTCTAGTGGATGTGTAGTGGTATCTTGTTGTGGTTTTAATTTGCATTTCCTTAATGACATATGATGTTGAACATCTAGTAGTGTGCTTATTTTTCGTCCTCTTACCTTCTTTGGTGAAGTATGTGTTCAAATCTTGCCCATTTTAAAATTTTTCTCATTGAGTTGTGTTTTTTTGGCTTTTTTTTTTTTTTTTTTTGAGACAAGGTATTACTTTTGCCCAGGTTGGTAGAGTGTCCTGGCGCAGTCTTGGCTCACCACAGCTTCAAACTACTGGGCTCAAATGATCTTCTCGCCTCAGCCTCCCAAGTAGCTGGGACTACGGGTGTGTGCCATCACACCCAACTAATTATTATATTTATTTATATTTTGCAGAGATGAGGTCTCACTTTGTTTCCCAGGCTGGTCTCAAACTCCTGGCCTCAACTGATCCTCCCACCTCAGCCTTCCAAAGTGCTGGGATTACAAGGATGAGCCACTGTGCCTGGCCAAGAGTTTTTATATATTCAAGATACAAGTTTTCTGTCAGATATGTGTTCTGAAAATATTTACTACAAATCTATAACTTAACCCTTTCATTTTGTAATAATATCTTTTGAAGATTAAAATTTTGATTTTGATGGCATCAGTTTATTGAATTTTTTTTCCTATTGTTTTTGCTATTTTTTTCATATATAAGAAATCTTTCCCAAACTCAAGGTCACTAAGATTTTTACCTGTACTTTCTTCTAGGAGTTTTATAGTTTTGACTTTTATATTTAGGCCTACAATCCCTTTTTAAGTTAATTTTTGTATATATTTGAGGTAAGGATGAAACTGGGGGAATATGGCCATCCAACTGTTTCATTGTAATTTGATAAAAAGATCATCCTTTCCCCACTGAATTACCTTGGTATCTCATAAAAAATTAGTTGACCTGATCAATCCTTTGTAGTTATGATTAGAAAGAGCTCTCAGACAGGTCTAGGTTTATATTTGGCAAGTCAGGAAGGACAACATTGTTGTGGGAGTTTTCTCTGGGGATTGATGTAGAAGGTTATATGCCTGAGAGGAAACATTTACCTCTTACCTTGTTAAAATACTGTGACTTGGCTGGGTGCAGTGGCTCACGCCTGTAATCCCACCTCTTTGGGAGGCCGAGGCGGGCGGATCACAAGGTCAGGAGTTCAAGACCAGCCTGGCCAACATAGTGAAACCCCGTCTCCACTAAAAATACAAAAATTAGCCAGGCATGGTGGCACATGCCTATAGACCCAGCTACTTGGGAGACTGAGGCAGGAGAATCGCTTGAACCCAGGAGTTGGAGGTTGCAGTGAGCCAAGATTGCACCACTGCACTCCAGCTTGGGCAACAGAGTGATACTTCGCCCCCCCCAAAAAAAAATGTGACTTTTTTTGTTGAGGCTGGGTTTTTTTCCAAGTGAAAACATTTTATAAAAATTAACGGAAACCTGGCCAGGCACAGTGGCTCACGCCTGTAATCCCAGCACTTTGGGAGACCGAGGCAGGTGGATCACCTGAGGTCAGGAGTTCGAGACCAGCCTGGCCAACACAGTGAAACGTCTCTGCTGAAAATACAAAAATTAGCCAGTCCTGGTGGTGTGCACCTGTAATCCCAGCAACTCAGGGGGTTAAGGCAGGAGAAACACTTGAACCTGGGAGGCGGAGGTTGCAGTGAGCCAAGATCACGCCACTGCATTCTAGCCTGGGCGACAGAGAAAGACTCCATCTAAAAAAAAAAAAAATTAATGGAAACCCGAGAAGCAGTGAAGAAAGAGCTTACAGGATAGATAGCAGCAAATCCAGTAACAGAAAATAGTATCATTTTTGGCAGAATGTCAGATAATGTGGGGAGATAATTTTCTATGGGTGACAAGATTGCTATAGAGTCACAAAGTGAATTGCCTACAATGCTACTTGTGGTGAAAAGCCTTAGACTAGAGCAATAGCTACCCCTCAAAAAGGAACTCATTTTTTTTAATTGTTTGCTGATTGATTGATTGACTGAGACAGGGTCTCATTATGTTGGCCAGGCTGGTCTTGAACTCCTGACCTCAAGTGATTCTCCTGCCTCAGGTCCCCTACCAGAGTAGCTAGAATTAATAGCACAAGCCTCTACACCCAGGAACTCACTATTGAATACATAAATGGAATTTATTCAGCCTTAAAAAGTTTGGAAGGAAATTCTGACATATGCTAAAACATGGATGAACCTTGAAGACTTTATGATAAGTAAAAGAAGCCAGTCATAAAAGGAAAAATATTGCATGATTCCACTTATATGAGGTACCTAGAGTAGTCAATTTCATAGAAACACAAAATAGAATGGTGTTTGCCAGGGCTTTTGAGGAAAAGGGAATGACAAGTTAGGGGACAGAGTTTCAGTTTTGAAAGATGAAAAAGTTCTAGAGATGAATGGTGATGACAGTTCATTAAGTGAATTACTTAATGCCACAGAACTGTATGCTTAAAAACGGTTAAAATAGTAAATATATGTTATATATATTTACCACAATAAAAATTTATTGACTATATATGTGTGGCTCTATTTCTGGACTCTATGTGTCTTTCTTACATCAATACCATAGTAATCACTATCCTGAGTACTACGACTTTATAGTAAGTTGTGAGGTAGTGTAGTGTATATCCTTCAACTTTGCACTGCCTTTTGAAAGTTCTTTTGGCTATTGGAGGCTCTAAGCATTTTCATATAAATTTTAGAATCATCTTGTCAGTTTCCAGCAAGCCTGCTAGAATTTTGGTTGAGATTATATTGAACCTATAGATGAATTTGGGGATAATTAACATCTTAACAATATTTGGTTTTCTGACCCATGAGCATAGTATATCTTTTTATTTATTTGGGTACTTAATTTCTCTCAGCAGTGTTTTGTAGTTTTCAGTGTCCAGATGTTGTATTTTTTTCTTTGTCAAATTGATCCTTAAGTATTTTCTTTTATTTTTTATTATTATACTTTAAGTTCTAGGGTACATGTGCACAGTGTGCAGGTTTGTTACATATGTATGCATGTGCCATGTTGGTGTGCTGCACCAGTTAACTCATCATTTACATTAGATATATCTCCTAATGCTATCCCTCCTCCCTCCCCCCACCCCATGACAGGACCCGGTGTGTGATGTTCCCCACCCTGTGTCCAAGTGTTCTCATTGTTCAGTTCCCACCTATGAGTGAGAACATGCGGTGTTTGGTTGTCTGTCTTTGCGATAGTTTGCTCAGAATGATGGTTTCCAGCTTCATCCATGTCCCTACAAAGGACATGAACTCATCCTTTTTTATGGCTGCGTAGTATTCCATGGTGTATATGTGCCACATTTTCTTAATCCAGTCTGTCACTGATGGACATTTGGGTTGGTTCCAAGTCTTTGCTATTGTGAATAGTGCCACAATAAACATATGTGTGCATGTGTCTTTATAGCAGCATGATTTATAATCCGTTGTGGGAAGTCAGCGACCCCGAATGGAGGGACTGGCTGAAGCCATGGCAGAAGAGCATAAATTGTGAAGATTTCATGGACATTTATTGGTTCCCCAATTTAATACTTTTATAATTTCTTACACCTGTCTTTATTGCAATCTCTGAACATAAATTGTGAAGATTTCATGGACATTTATCACTTCCCCAGTCAATACTCTTGTGATTTCCTGTGCCTGTCTTTACTTTAATCTCTTAATCCCGTCATCTTCGTAAGCTGAGGATGTATGTCGCCTCAGGACCCTGTGATGATTGCATTAACTGCACAAATTGTTTGTAAAGCATGTGTGTTTAAACAATATGAAATCTGGTCACCTTGAAAAAAGAACAGGATAACAGCGATGTTCAGGGAACAAGGGAGATAACCATTAGGTCTGACTGCCTGAAAGCTGGGCAGAACAGAGCCATATTTCTCTTCTTACAAAAGCAAATAGGAGAAATATCACTGAATTCTTTTTCTCAGCAAGGAACAGTCCTGAGAAAGAGAATGCATTCCTAGGGGAGGTTTCTAAAATGGCTGCTCTGGGAATGTGTGTCTTATATGTTGCAGATAAGGGATGAAATAAGCCCTGGTCTCCCAGGCCTATTAGAACGAGGAAATTCCTGCCCAGTAAATTTTAGTCAGACCAGTTGTCTGCTCTCAAACCCTGTCTCCTGATAAGATGTTATCAATGACAGTGCGTGCCCGAAACTTCATTAGCAATTTTAATTTTGCCCCAGTCGTGTGATCTTGCTCTGCCCCCATTTGCCTTGTGATATTTTATTGCCTTGTGAAGCATGTGATCTCTATAATCCACACCCTATTAGTACACTCCCTCCCCTTTGAAAATCACAACAAAATCTTGCTGGTTTTGCGGCGTAGGGGGGCATCACAGAACCTGCCGACACGTGATGTCTCCCCCAGACACACAGTTTTAAAATTTCTCTCTTTTGTAGTCTTTCCCTTTATTACTCAGACCAGCCGACACTTAGGGAAAATAGAAAAGGTCCTATGTTGAATTATCGGGGGTGGTTCCCTTGATATAATCCTTTGGGTATATGCCCAGTAATGGGATGGCTGGGTCAAATGGTATTTCTAGTTCTAGATCCCTGAGGAATCGCACACTGACTTCCACAATGGTTGAACTAGTTTACACTCCCATCAACAGTGTAAAAGCGTTCCTGTTTCTCCACATCCTCTCCAGCACCTGTTGTTTCCTGACTTTTTAATGATCGCCATTCTAACTGGTGTGAGATGGTATCTTATTGTGGTTTTGATTTGCATTTCTCTGATGGTCAGTGATGATGAGCATTTTTTCATGTGTCTGTTGGCTGCATAAATGTCTTCTTTTGAGAAGTGTCTGTTCATATCCTTCGCCCACTTTTTGATGGGGTTGTTTGATTTTTTCTTGTAAATTTCTTTACGTTCTTTGTAGATTCTGGATACTAGCCCTTTGTCAGATGGGTAGATTGTAAAAATTTTCTCCCATTCTGTAGGTTGCCTGTTCACTCTGATGGTAGTTTCTTTTGCTGTGCAGAAGCTCTTTAGTTTAATGAGATCCCATTTGTCAATTTTGGCTTTTGTTGACATTGCTTTTGGTGTTTTATTCATGAAATCCTTGCCCATGCCTATGTCCTGAATGATATTGCCTAGGTTTTCTTCTAGGGTTTTTATGGTTTTAGGTTTAACATTTAAGTCTTTAATCCATCTTGAATTAATTTTTGTATAAGGTGTAAGGAAGGGATCCAGTTTCAGCTTTCTACATATGGCTAGCCAGTTTTCCCAGCACCATTTATTAAATAGGGATTCCTTTCCCTATTTCTTGTTTTTGTCAGGTTTGTCAAAGATCAGATGGTTGTAGATGTCTGGTATTATTTCTGAGGGCACTATTCTGTTCCATTGGTCTATATCTCTGTTTTGGTACCAGTACCATGCTGTTTTGGTTACTGTAGCCTTGTAGTATAGTTTGAAGTCAGGTAGCGTGACGCCTCCAACTTTGTTCTTTTGGCTTAGGATTGTCTTGGCAATGTGGGCTCTTTTTTGGTTCCATATGAACTTTAAAGTAGTTTTTTCCAATTCTGTGAAGAAAGTCATTGGTAGCTTGATGGGGATGGCACTGAATCTATAAATTACCTTGGGCAGTATGGCCATTTTCACAATATTGATTCTTCCTATCCATGAGCATGGAATGTTCTTCCATTTGTTTGTGTCCTCTTTTATTTCGTTGAGCAGTGGTTTGTAGTTCTCCTTGAAGAGGTCCTTCACATCCATTGTAAGTTGGATGCCTAGGTATTTTATTCTCTTTGAAGCAATTGTGAATGGGAGTTCACTCATGATTTGGCTTTCTGTTTGTCTGTTATTGGTGTATAGGAATGCTTGTGATTTTTGCACATTGATTTTCATAATTTCTGATGCTACTAAAAATGACATTTCAGATGGTGTTTCAAAATTTTAAAATGTCATACTTATTGCTAGTATAAATATCATTTTGTAAATTAACCTTGTATTCTACAATCTTGCCAAACCCACTTAGTTTTAGTAGTGTTTTTATATATCCTACTGGATTTTCAACATAGAACAATTATGCTTTCTGCAAATAAAGACAGTTTTATTTCCTCCTCGTCTATGTTTGCCTTTTATTTTTTATTAGCTTATTGCTCTGATTAGAACATCCAGCACAATATTGAGTAGAGGTGGTGAGAGGGAATATCCTTGCTTTGTTCCTGATCTCCTTTAGGGGAAGCATTCATCTTTCATATTATGTTTCATTTTCATTGCATGTTGTTACTGTTGTTGTGTGTAGATTTATCAGGTTGAAGAAGTTTCCTCCTATTCCTAGTTTGTGAAGAGTTTTTATCATTAGCTGACGTTGGATTTTGTCAAGCATTTATTTTGTATCTATTGAGATGATCATTTTTTTTGGTCTGTGAATGTGTTGAATTATGTTGATTTTGAAATTTTAAACCGTCGTTGCATTTGTGATATGAACCCTACTTGGTCATCATGTATTATTCTTTTAAAACATTGTTAGAATCAATTTGTTAAGAGTTTGTTAAGAATTTTTGCATCTATGTTCATTAGAGGTATTGGTTGGTTGATAGTTATGTCTTTTTCTTGTTGTGTCTTTATCTGGTTTTCGTGGTAGGTTCATACTGGCCCTGGATAATGAGTTGGGAAAGTTCTGTCTTTTTTAGTTTTCCAGAATAGTTTGCATAGAATTCTTATTTTTTCTTCATTAAATGTTTGGTAGAATTGACAACTGAACAAATCTAGTCCTGGAATTTTCTTTGGGGGATTTTTTAAAAATAATTTTAGACCCACAGAAGGGTTGCATAGATAGTATAGAGAGTTCCTATCTACGCTTCACTTAGCTTCTGTTAATAAATCTTATATAACCATGGTACATTTGTCTGTAGTGATGTTCACTCTTCCATTCCTGTTACTAATTTATGCCTTCTTTCTTTTTTTCCTAATCAGTCTGGCTAGAAGTTTATCAAGTTTTAATTTTCAAAGAACCAGCTTTTCATTTTGTGTTTTTCTATAAGTATTTTGAAGTCTCATGTTACTTGATAGATGAAACAGACATAGCTCCTGCTTTTTTTTTAACCTGTAGTGGGGATCATTTTAATTCAGTACTTTTCAGATTCTATTTCACTTTATAGTTTCCTCATTTAATGACTGCTTTTCTTTGTTTTTCGGTTGACCAGCTCTTGTAAGTTCTTGCCTAGTTTTTAGGAATGGCCTCTGGTTCAGAATATTAGTTTTCTCTATGAAATTCAATGTTTAACATCACTTTGGAATGGAATACTGTTCCAGTATTCTGAGGCTTAGTTGGAGCTTAAAAGACTTTAAGGAAAAAGCTTAGAGGAACTAAGGCAAGATGATATATTCACACTTATACATTATGTTAAATAAGTTTCAGTAAACAGTTTTTTTTTCCAAAATTTTTTTATCAATTGCTGTATTTTTTCACCTCCTTTAGAAATTGCCATGTCTAGAAATCTAAGAACCTGGTTTCTTTTGAGTTTTGTAGTTTATGTCTTATTTATTCTGTATCTCCGGAAGAATCATGATTACTTTAAATAACCAAATGTTTTCATTTCAAGAATATTAAAATGGATTGGTTAAGGTGTGATATACACTCAACTACAATAAGGAGATAATAATCTGAGTAATGTTAAAATTTTCTTAATATCTTGCATTTCCCTTTTGCTATGTTGATAAGTTTAAGATGAATAATCAAAAACATACTTAAAATTGTTAGTGTCTTCAATGAATTTTTCTCTATATCCATCTTTGTCAATCGGCAGTTCACTTTGTAGTTTCCTCATTTCATTATAGTCTAAATTCAAGATGAATTGCGCTTTTAGTTCTACAGTTGACCATAAAGATATTAATATTCACTAGCAGTTAAGTAGTTAGGATATTTCAGAGTTTAATGATCAGAACAAATTCTGTGTAAGTTTGTTATATAAGATAATATAAACCCTAATTTCTCTGAAAGTTTTAACATGCAGAAGAATTAGCTTAATTGTGGCTAGTAATAAGTGCCAATGAAGTAAAGACATGATTACCTATTATTCAGTTTCACCAGTATCAGTAAAATGTGGTCCCTTATGATAAATAACTGATCCATGTTTAGAGTTCAGCTTGATTGTTTGTATTTGTGTATACTTTCTATCTTTTTTTTGTTTTGTTTTAATCCTGTCACTACTAATATGTACTTGGTATGTACTTGTTTTCAGAAGGGGACCATCTGGACCAAGATTTGGACCTAGAAATGATAAAATTAAGCAGTAAGTTTTGTTCATTTGTTTAAATGATAATCATATTTCTGTGTAGACTAGAGATTGGCAAACTGCAGCCTGTGAGCCAAATCTGGCTGCAGCCTGTTTTTGTAAATAAAGTTTTATTGGAACATAGCCATGCCCATTTGTTTTCATATTATCGATAGGTACTTTCAAGCTACAATGGCAAAGTTGAGTAGTTGTGACAAAGCTGTGTCACATTTTATGGCCCACAAAATCTAAAATATCTGCTGAGTGTCTGGTCCTTTACAGAAAAAGTTGTTGACCCCTGATGAAGACTAAATATAACTGCTGGGTTATAAAAACCTAATTCATTTTATTTTCTCAGAATTATAGCTAAGGAAATGCAGGATTGTTGGTTTTTTTATGACTTGATTACCTTATGTCAAATCCATTTATTTAGCATAGTCTGAAGGTCTATTTTGGTTTTAAATCTGTAGCTTGATTCCTATTTTCAGAATGATAACAAAGGTAATATAATAGCTTTAATTTGTTGATGTACTGCATGTTTTTATCTACTTCCAGAATTTTTTCATATCTCTTATTTATCATAACCCATATATTGAACTAAGTTTTATGGCTAATTTGTGGTTTAAAACCTTTGAGGTATATATTATTTGGTGATAGATGAGTATAATATGCTGTAATCAATGTGTCTGATATCGGAAAGATATGAGTCCTGACTGGAGGGGAGAAGGAATAGACAGAGCAGTGAGTCACTTGAGGGAAGGCTCTGGAAACTGACCAAGCTGTAAAGACTAACTGTGGAATGTGAACTGCATGGCCCAGGTTCAAGACCTAAGGAGGGATAATAGTCACTACCCTAAGCCTGGGTATAGATGGCACATTGTGGGAAGGGTTCTATAATGAAGTATCTAGTTATTGGTGAGATACTTGGGCTTTACTCAGGTAGCTGTTGGTGTGAAGAAATATTTCCATACTTAGCCTAATTCTAACTAATGGATTTTGAGATATGGAACCAAAGAACCAATAAATGATTACAGGTACTAGACTGGGTGTATTAGTTTTCTATTGCCATGTAACAAATTACCATAAACTTAGCAGCTTAAAACAACACACATTTATCATCTCACAGTTTCCTTGGGTCAGGAGTTCAGGCACTTCTTAGGTGAGCCTTTTGCTCAGGTTTAACAAGATGGCAATCAGGGTATCACCAGGTATGACCAACTCAGGAAGTTATCAGAATTTATTTCCTGCAGCTATAGATGTCATGGTGCTTCTTTGAGGCCAGTAGAAGAGAGAATCTGTACTGTTTCAAGTCTCTTATTTGACTAAAGATACAACAAGCCACTTTTAGATGCAATTTATTACTTATATAGTAAAAGGAAGAGTAGCCAAAGTTAGTAGCTCTCAGGGTCATTGTCCTGCACACCAAAAATAATGATACAGCTGGGTGCAGTGTTTCACGCCTGTAATCCCAGCACTTTGGGATTCTCCTTCAAAGGAGGATTGTTTGAAGCCAAAAGTTTTGAGACCAGCCTGAGCAACAAAGTGAAACCCCCTTCTCTTAAAAAAAAAAGGGGAGGTCAATGGCTGCAGTACAAATTGTGGGATACTCTATTGCAAAGGAGCTATTTCTAGGCTGTGGTTTTTATAGTCTGCACATAGAGCCTGCAGAAAGTTTATACCGCATCAGAACCTGGGAGGTGATAAGAAACTGCCTTATGATAGTCTCATAAGGGAAACAGGGAGGTGGATGGAAGAAGACCTCATGAGCCACTCATTCTCTCATGTTCCAGGGAGATCACAAGCATTCTACCAGGACTCAAATTAGCTGTAGTTCAAGCCTGTGTGGCATATGTGGATGCCAATGTGTAATGTCTGAACCATTCTCCTGCACTGAGCCAGAATGACTTCTTTATCCACTCACATGTTCTCTTTTGCCTAAGCTGCCACTGGAGAAGAGGCCTCCACTGATGACACACCTATTTTTTGTCCTGCCAGTATGCTCTGTTTCCTGTCTGATATCCTTCTGAAGAGTGAACCTAGTAAGGGATGTTGCCGATTGGGGTCTTTTGAGTATGATTTTCCAGCTGAATCCCCAAACCACCACCAGTTGTACAGAGTAGGCATTAAAGAATATATGTCTATGTTAATGAATGCCAAACATACACACATGAATTTGTATATTTATGTATTACACTATTAATATCACAATAACTTTGGTGATCACAGAATTTTAGAATAGTAAGGGATTGTTAAGTATAGCGTTTTTTACTCTAGAGCTGAAAGCTTGCTGGATTTAGTTAGAATAAGGTCGTTCATCAAGCATGCATTAAACCTTGATTAATGCTTATCTAAGCAGGGCATGACTCACCAGTGTGCCCAAGATGGAGGAGCACAACTTGCCACACAACTTACCCAATGACAAATCCCTGGCGTTATTTTAGTACCCAAAATTGCTAGCACTGGTCAGTTTCTTTACTTAAGCTGTTATCACCACTTAATTTATAACATTTCAATACAGAGTGTTTCCTACTGCATAGATTAGCAACATCATTGCTTTCTTTGAACTTCATTAGCCACATTTATTAGTGTTGATAACAGATTAATCCTACAAAAAATACTTGACATCACTTCTTAGGAAAGACTCTTTTTGAGGACAATTTTTAAATATTCATATGTCTACATAAAATTTATGCTTCTCTTTGGAATGTTTCCTTTGCTTTTTAAATTTTGTTTTGTTTTTAAAGAGAGTTTGTTCAAACATAAATTATGAGGATGGACCACCTGGAAATACCAGCTCCAAAGGAATGGAGTCAGCATTCCAGAGTAGAGAAGTTAAGGTTTCATTTATATAAGCAGACAGGAACTTTTAGCAGGATTACATTTCCTTTGCCTTTAAATTAAACAATAGCATTATAAATGCCACTGTAGTGAATTGTAGACATTCTGTGTTAGGAGTAGGGAATCTCCCAATTATAGTCTTGGTCAGACCAGCTTAACTTTTATGAGATTCCCTCCCCGACACCCCAGGGAATGTTCCATGGTGTAACAGCAATATATATGTAGTTGCAAAAATACAGCTTAACTTTAAAACTTCTTTTGTCAGCAGTACCTTAAAAGACCAGAAGATGGGGATATTAACTATGAAAATAAATATTTTCTTTCAGGGATTTTTGCTTTGTTTGTTTTTTGAAACAGGGTTTTGCTCCATCACCCAGGCTAGAGTGCAGTGGCACAGTCACAGCTCACTGCAGCCTCAAAATCCTGGGCTCAATTGATCCTTCCACCTCAGCTCCTGAGTAACTGGAAACTTCAGGCACGTGCCACCATGCTTGGCTAATTTCTTATAGAGACGGGGTTTCCCTATGTTGCCCAGACTGGTCTCAAACTCCTGGACTCAAGGGATCCTCCCACTTCAGTCTCCCAGAATGCTAGGATTGCAGGTGTGAGCCACTGCACCTGGCCAGTGTTTTCTTTATAAAATAAGGGGTGCGTATTGCAGAGCATGAATTTGTTTCTTAATCGAAGGGCACTGACATTTATCAAGTATGTGCTATGTGTTGGGCACTATGCTAAGTGTTTGAATAACACTATCTCATTTAATTCTCACAAGTAAAGTAGAGATTATCAGCTGCATTTTAAAGGTGAGAAAATGTTAGGCTAAAACAGGCTTCCAAGGTGAATTCCAAAGTCACATACGTAGTAAGGGATAAAGTTGTATTGCAAACCCAGGTTTGTCTGAATACAGAACCCAGGGGCTCTACATTATACCATACAGCTTCTCTGTTGGTAATTAGAATAGAGCCATTTCAGAAATACAGGTGCCGTCAGACTCTAAGAGGATTTAAAACAGTATTGGAAATGTCTTTTCCTCATTGTGTTCTCTCTCATGTCTTTTATTATCTTATATGAATAGCCTTTAACTGGCCATGATATAAAAATCTCCACCCTTCCTTCAGAAACTAGCTTTTCCTTTGCGTTCTTAATTTTTTATTTTAGTTAATAGCCATCGTCTACTACCAGTTAATTGCTCAAATTATAAATCTAGGAGTTGTCTACTCTTTTCCCAATTCCTTCACCCACATCCAGTTAATCTCCTAGTTCTTAAAATATTACCTCCTCTGACATATATTTCCTTATCCTAGAACTTTCTCACCATCCACTGCCTCTTTTACTCTGCCTGATTAACTCTTGACTCCTCAAAACTCAGCACAGGGGTCTTGATGTCATCTCTGGTCCAGGCTGAATTCATCAAGGCTACATGACTGATACTATGGGCTTCCTTCTATTATATCCCTTAACACATGGTAGTATATGGATATCAGTTTTCCCTACTGGAGTATAATCTTTCTAAATACCAGGCTCATAACCTTCATGATGATAACCTTGATGAATAGCATAATAATAACTTTTTTTTTCTTAGACACAGGTTCTCACTCTTGTCACCCAGGCTGGAGTGCAGTGGTATAGTCTTGGCTCACTGTAGCCTCCACCTCCCGGAGGAGGATCCTCCCACCTCAGCTTCCTGAGCAGCTGAGACTACAGGTGCACACCACCATGCTCGGCTAATTTTTGTATTTTTTGTAGAGACAGGGTTTTGCCATGTTGGCGAGTCTGGTCTCAAACTCCTGGGCTCAAGCGATCCTCCTGCCTCAGCCTCCCAAAGTGCTGGGATTACAGCCCTGAGCCACCACACCTAGCCATAACTTTTTAATGTTTTTTGAATGAATGATATATTTAATTCAGATTTGAAAATATTTGTTAAATGCTTACTTTGTACCAGCCACATTTCACTTGACCTGGGAAATTAAAGAATAAGTGGGTTAGTCTCTGTTTTTAAGGCATTTATAGTATAACAATGGGGACAAGACCAATGTGAAATACAAATAGAAATCAAAGGACTATAACTATTGTGAAAATGTAAAAGATCATGGGGAAGTATGTTATCACTTGCTTTGTAAACCAAACTATCTCCATATTAAAGTAAATAAGCAGATCATTTTCTTTCTTCTACAAAAATTGTGTTCTGGGTAGGGAAACATCCTGAAACACAAAAACAATCATGAGATTTTACATCATTGAGTGAAGGTTACATAGTAGCTGGATTCAGAGTGTTACACCAGCAGATAATTAATGTGTGAAGGACAAAGCAGCAATAACTCACTAATAGTGTAGCAGAAAAATTAAAATATTTGCGGTTTCCATTATCAATAGTGATTTATTACATGTGTGCCATGTTGTTGAGGGAATACTTGTAGGTTTATGATACTCTAGTAAGAATCTAGAATTTTATTGGTTCTGTCCCAATTAATCTGCCTATATCCATGGAATCTTATCCTTAAAGGGTTATGTTTTTTTTCCTTTGAGACAGATCTCTATTGCTAAGGCTGAAGTGCAGTGGTGCAATCACAGTTCACTGCACCTTAACCTCCTGGGCTCAAGGAAATCTCCCACCGCAGCCTCCCAAGTGGCTAGGACCACAGGCACATGCCACCATAACCAGCTTATTTTTAAATTTTTTTGTAAAGACAAGGGCTCACTCTGTTGCCTAGCCTGGTCTCAAACTCCCAGGCTCAGGGGATCCTTCCACCTTGGCCTCCCAAAGTGTTGAGATTACAGGCATGAACCACCAGGCCTGGCCTTTAAAGAGATTCTGGGACCATAATTATTTTATTAGCTTTTTGTTTTCATTTTAAAAGTATATATAATGTCTACGGCCATACCACCCTGAATGCGCCCGATCTCGTCTAAGAGTACGTATAGTATACATATATTAATATCCATAATAGCTATAATCTGATCGTGTATAGGAGCCTTAGTACATTTTATTCATTCCCTTCCTGCTATAGCACCCTACTTTAAGCCATTAATTATCGTCACTTGCATATGACAAAAAAAAAAAGCTGGCTGGGAATTTCAAAATTGATCCTTGATGAACAGTAGCTTTGCTTTTGTTTGTAGTTAAATGGAGGGCTCTACAGTCACTGCTTTATATCTCCTCCTCAAGTAGCTGGATATGCTTTATAGGATTTATACTCAAACTGTTCATTTATTTAGCAAATATTTATTGAATGGCCACTCTGCCCCATGCACCACTATAGGTACTGGACTTACAAAAGTGAACAAAATAGGCAAGGTCACTGCATTCATTGAGCTTACCTTCTAGTGGGGAGAGGCAGAAAATAAGCATGTAAATAAGTAAATAGGTACAATTACTATTACTTTATATTTGCTTACATGCTATAAATAAAATAGAGTAATGGGGTAAAGCATGCTGTTTCACAGCTATAAGGTTAATACAGTGCATTCAACATAATATGTTCCATAAGGGCTGGGATTATCATCTGTTTTGTTCAATGTTATTTCCTCAGTACCTAAAACAGTACATAGTAGGTTCTCATTATTTGCTGAATAAATTGATTAGTTGTGTATTTGTGCCATTGTTCTTAAATAGGATGAACACCTTTAACTCTCTACTTAGGGGATTAGGAGTTGCAACAAGATGTCTTAGAGATTTAGGGGTTCTTTCAGATTTGTTTGGGCAGAAGAGAATTCTGCATGCCCAACTTTGTTGAGCTTCAGTCTTATATCCTCCAGTGGAATAATGTGTGGGAAGCACAGAACTCTGGGATGCTGTGAAAAATCTTGAAGTTTATGTGTGGGTAATCAGTGGGTGTACATAATGCTTTTAACATGGGAGGGAAGTGACTGTCATCAAGCTTAGTAATTGCTACTTGAATCTGAGAGTACTTCTGAATCCACCTATGTCTAAGTGGGCCTTCATTTTGTTTTTATAGCAAACTTTTTGAAGAACTAGCTCAGTGATCGGAAAGGATAGAACTCTTTCAAAATTAAACATGACTGTGCCTCACCCCTCACTTACTACATTAGTTTGGGGAGTTGTGTGGGGTAGAGGGCGGAGACCATATTTGTGTATTGTAAAAAATTTTTAAAGCCCCCTACACACTTCTTCCTTTTCCAAGTAGAAACACAATTGCATATCTACATCTATTTAAATATATATACATTTAATGTTTATAACCATCATGGACCCTTAATGACAGGCTATGTTTGGAGAAATGCATCATTAAGCAGTTTCATTGTGTGAACATCATAGAGTAGTATACTTACACAAACCTACATGGTGTAGTCTGCTACACACCTAGGCTATATGGTATGGCTTATAGCTCCTAAGCTACAAACCCGTACAGCATGTGACTGCACTGAATACTGTAGGTAATTATAACACAATGGTAAATATCTGTATGTCTAAACATATCTAAACGTAGAAAACATGCAGTAAAAATATGGTATTATAACTTATGGGACCAGTGTTGTAAAAGTGCTTTGTCATTAACCAAAATGTTATGCAGTACATGTCTGTAGTCGCTAGTAATCCAATGCACTTTAAACAGTGTTTAGTATGAGGACCATGGATTTGCTTTATTTCTCCTTTTAAATATTTCATTGTTGTGACTTATTTCGTAAAGTAATTTAAAATAATTTTTGTGGTTAGAGCAACAGAGGAGAATAAGACACTTAAAATAATTAAACATGTCCATGTTTGTATACTCTGGAGGTAACTCCTGAATGAGAGTAGATAGCTGAGGACAGTTATTACAATTTTAAGTTTAGGTTAAGTCTTTATTGAACAGCCTGAAATTTGGTTAAAACAGGCCCCCATCATCTAATATAAAGGATGAACAAACAATCGAAAAACAGAAAACAATTTTTTCCTTTTTGCTTCCTGGTGGGTACTTCAAAATATTCCCAGGTGTCCCCAGTTGTCTTATATCCTGTTTAAGAAAAATCTGATGAGCAGTGAAGAATTCTACCCATTGAGCATCAGTATCTCTTAGAATATGCCCTACATTTCCATTTTGGAAACTAGGTATGTTTCATAAGCCTTTACCTTACCTGAGCAAAAGGTATGTTAAAAAGTATGTTAAGGTACCTCCTTTGTTAGCCTTCATGTATGAAATATATGGCAAAAGTAGGCTACAGCGGTGTCTATGTGCTGCCTCAATAGCCTGTTGAAAAGAAAAACTGATTATTTTTAGTGAAGCTGTTTAACTAAATTCTGTACTTAACGGGCATGCTGACAGTACATTTAACTTGCTTATGAGTTACAAGTCAGAAGCAGGGCTAAAAGTAAGCTATCTTTAAATATTACTTTAATTTATATCATATTGTCTTTCATTATCTGAGTACTGAAGCCCACAAATGGAAGAACATTGCTACAAAGTCTTAAATTTAAATTTTATAGTTGAATAATTCTCTGAGAATTTGCTATTCTTTATTATGTCTAATGAAAGTTTTAAAAATTGTAAGCATTCTCAAAAGAAGGATAAATAATTGTGTATCTTTTTTAAACTAGTGTTCAGAATCAAGTGGATGAAGTTATTGATGTCATGCAAGAAAATATTACAAAGGTAATTGAGAGAGGGGAGAGACTAGATGAACTACAGGACAAATCAGGTACAGATCTTCATGTATTTCTTGATATTACTAATCTGTTTGCTAGTTTTTGTCTTCTACTTGTCTAGCCAACGTTTACAAATCTTGGCTTAGGAAATTGGCATTTGGTTCTTAAGTATATGATTTTAATGGTTTAATTTTAACTCCTTTACTTTGAGTCATCTTATTGTTTCATTATTTTTTAATTGTTCAGTGGAGAATGAAGAATTTAAAATTTCATTGTTGAAGAGTGAAGAGTAGAGCTGTTTTTTCTTTTGCCCTGTGATATTGATGAACTTTGTGTTTCTCATGATCTCAGGGCCTAAAGACCTACTCACTTTTCAACACTTGTTTCAAACTTATCTGCTATTTTTATTTTATGTTTTATTTGGTAACTTAGTCACCTTTCTTTACTTTCAGTCATTACACCTATAACCTATACCTATACCTATACCTATACCTGGCACGTACTTGCCACTCAAATATTGTTTGGTGAATGGCTGAATACCTGATTAATCTTTGACAGACTTTAGAAAAAAAAAAAACACCTCGCTTAGTCACATTTAAAATGTATATTGTTTTCCTTTAAAATCAGTCACTTTTGATATCTTCTAAGAAGCTAACTTCTCAACATGTAATTTTTTTTCTAGAGGTGTGCCAAGTATTTGAATTTTTAAAGAGTATTTTTCTTACTAGATTTCCTAAGTTTATTTATAAGCATTAAGGCCCTAAAAAGACTTTTCTTAATTTTATAATAAAAAAGAAGTGAGCAAACTGATCTGCAAGCTGTTTTTTGCTTTTTGTTTTCATTTTTTTAATAATGTAGAATGCCAGAGTTTGTGGGTGGAAAAAAGGGAGAATGCTGTTTTCATGCTTAAAAGGGAATAAATTTGCAGAAGTAGAAATTAATATTTTCTTATCTTTGTGTGACTAGATAAAAGAATCCTGTTATGTCGTTTAATCCTTCTCTCCATCCTCTATGTGATATAGAAAGCTTATCGGATAATGCAACAGCTTTTAGCAACAGATCCAAACAACTTCGAAGGCAAATGTGGTGGCGTGGATGCAAAGTAAGTAAATCAGAAGCTACTGGATAGACTGGTCAGCATCTGAAGTGGTATTCAAACACATGAAGAAAAAAGGGCCTCTAGAGCATAACCTCTGTGAGAACAGGGCCTATAACTGTCCTGAGACATGGTAGAAATTCAGTAAATACTTGTTAACTTAATTGCTTTTGGGATAGGGATAACTAAATAAATCAGTATGCCTAAAAGGATGTTTTCATAGATTTTTTTAATGAAAGTAATCCACATTTTATTAATATTTGACTACCTCTAAACTTATTAACTTAAAACAAATATACATTTTTTCTTGAAATTTACTATTAATACTTTTTTGGAGCAACCTCTATAGCATTATGTAGAGATATCAAAAGTAGGAGCTAGAGAAAAATATGACTTTCGGTTGAAAGGGTAAAAAATAAAAGCTTACATATCCGAATCTGTTAAGACAAATGGAGTTAAGAAAAAACTCCACTTCCCTCATTATTCCAGAAAAATAAAAAGTAAAAGAAATTTTTACCATTTTTAACAAGGTAAACATTGGAATCACTACATACTAATATATACTCCTGCAAAACATTGTATAGAAATACATTTACTTCTTAAATCCACTGTGGCTACTAATCATTAACAGAAAATGTTTTTCACGTTATATGAGCAAATCTTTTTTTTTTTTCTCCTGATTCTAGTTATAATTTTTGGCTTTGTTTAAAATTTAGACATGAACTCACTGTTTTTAGTCTCTCATTTTCAATTTCAAGTTTAGCAATAACTCTCCTTTTTTTTTTTTTTTTTTTCTTTGAGATAGAGTTTTGCTCTTGTTGTCCAGGCTGATCTCGGCTCACCACAATATCACCGCAACCTCTGCCTCCAGGGTTCAAGCGATTCTTCTGCCTCAGCCTCCTGAGTAGCTGGAATTACAGACATGTGCCACCATGCCCAGCTAATTTTGTTTTTTTTGTTTTTTTTTTTTTTAGTAGAGACGGGGTTTCTCCATGTTGGTCAGGCTGGTCTTGAACTCCTGACCTCAGGTGATCCACCTGCCTTGGCCTCCCAAAGTGCTGGGATTACAGGCATGAGCCACTGCACCAGCCAGCAATAACTTTCTAAACCTGACTTAGCCATATGCTGAGGATTTTTTCCAAGAGTTACCTTGGATTTATTTATTTTTATTTGTCTACCTATTGAATCGTCCTACTTTCAGAAGTGGAACTGAGGGAAGAAATATGTTTCATTTCTCCCCTTGTTCAGAATTTAAATTTTCTATTCTATTTTAAGTTATTTATTCTTTAAAGAATAAATTTATTTTCTTTAAAGTCTTTTTTTTTTTTTTTTTGTGGCACTCTTGCTGTGTCTCTGAGGCTGGAGTGCAGTGGCACAATCTTGGCTCACTGCAACCTCTGCCTCCTAGGTTCAAGTGATTCTCATGCCTCAGCCTCCTAAGTAGCCCAGGTTCAAGCGATTCTCCTGCCTTAGTCTCCCGAGTAGCTGGAATTACAGGCATGCACCACCACACCTGGCTAATTTTTGTATTTTTAGTAGAGACGGGGTTTCACTATGTTGGCCAGGCTGGTCTTGAACTTCTGGCCTCGAGCAATCTGCCCACCTCAGCCTCCCAAAGTGCTGGATTACAGGCATGAGCCACCACACTTTGCCTAAAGCTTCTATATCTATAGAAATTTTCTATTCTGTGGGCTAATTTAGAAAAACAAAAAGTCCATGAGCCACTCACCCCTTCTCTCTCCCAAACTCATGTACCCTATTCATGTATCCACAAAAAGATGGTCATAATGTACATTTTGCCTAGCTTTTTTTTTAACCATTGCTAAAAATGTTTGCTTTGTACTTTATGGGGTTTGGGTCAGAGGAATAGCGTGCTTTTAAGGAGGAAAAACATTGAGTCATATTTTTAAATAGTCATCACCTTGAGAACCTCTGGGGACCATGAATAGCATCGACCATGTAATGAAAATCATTGTTCCATAATGTAACAAACACCATTTACAGTAGCGAGTATTCTTCATTTATTATTTTCTAATGCTTAGCTTCCTTCAGTTTTACTGTGCCCCATTAATACTTCATTGTGCTACTGTTCATCTGGGGCAGCCTCCCTGTGCCTGCCATTTTCTAGATTGACTTCCATAATGGTAATTTCAGAAGGGTTTTAAGAAAAAGGATATAAGGGCAGAACGCAGATCAGGAGTTGCCAGTGGCTAAGGGGGATGTCGTGCAGTTGGAGACTCACAACAGGTCATGAGGAAACTTGTTAAGGGTGTTGGTGGAAATGTCCTATATTTGATTGTGGTCATGTTTATTAACAGCTGGATATATTTGTCAAAACCTATCAAAAGTATTTTAAGAGGATAAGTTTTATTCTTTGTAAAGTGTATCTCAATATACCTGGCTTTAAAAATAAATGAGTTAATAAAATTATCCATAGGTGGGGAAAGAGAATCGCTAACACCTCTCTTAATATATCTGGGGGCTGTGAAACTCTTATATGTTTAATGACAAACAGATTTTTGTTCATGTTATTTGGAATAAGAGAGCTTTGGACTTGCATGAATACAATACTGCCATTTGGAGCTGTAAACATTTTCTGCCCAGTGTTAGAAACCCAAGGAAGAAAACTCTATTCATTGAGGTGTTTTAAAATTGATATTGATGTTTTCATTCAAATCTTCTTAAGTAAAGCCAAACACACGTTTAACAGGGCAAATTAATGTACATTTCAGGTAAAGTTGAAAAACTACCGTAGAAATTCCAAATTGTTTTAGAAATGCTTCAGATTAATAAAAAAGGCTTAAAGTACTTTATCATATAAACTGAACCTCTATGATTTGATGGGCTTATTACTAATGTGAGACCAGAGAAAATGTACAGTATTTTAGCAACTCTGTTCAAGTGTCAAGATATGATGAATAACATAGGCCATGCAATTCAAATGGTTCAATACATCGAAGGTAGCAGTTTATAGCACTTTTTTTCAAAGTATATGAGAATTCTGTTAGTTTTTTCTCCCCTTACTTTCTTCTTTGCATTTTTATCTCCATTTTGAGGAATATATTTTAGATTCTTTATGAATAGCCTCATGTAATAAGCAACTTTGCCTAAGAGCATTCTGTGTCAGTTTTGTAGTTAAGAAACCTTAAGGTGATGAGATGATTTAGTATGATGCAGTAAATAGAACAACAAATAGTCTTGACTTTATTAACAAGTCAAATATTAATATATATGCCCTTTTGTGTGTTGTAGATAAAAGCCATCATGGCTTTGGTTGCTGCTATCCTTTTGCTAGTGATTATCAGTAAGTATTTATTGGATTATTACTTCCTAGGGTATCATTTATTTTGGAGTTCATTTTAATTCCCTTTTATTTTCAGTTGACCTAGTATGTCTGAAGTCAGGATTGAATAATGACTTCTGACCTGTCTCAGGAGCTCTTAGAATCTATTGATCTCTGAAAATGCTCTTAAGTAATATGTAAAATTTTATGTGAATATGTATATGTACATTTTTATGGAGAGAGGGTCTATATCTTTTGTCAGATTCTCAAAGGGAACTCCTGTTCTGCCCCCAACCCTCACCCCCAAATCCAGGGCTAAGTGATTTGTTCAAGGCCAAATCTGGTTCCTATTACACTAAGGTCTAAAATACTCATTTTCTATTTATTATTAACTCTCAGGAATGGCAGTTTGCATTTTGTAATATTGTTTTGGAAGTATAAATCCAAATACGTTCTCCAGATGATTTTTTTTTGTTTGGTTTTTGTTTTGTTCTGTAGTTGAGCATAATTTCCATCATTAAAGCATGACTCCTTCCCGTCCTTTTTCCCTTAATGTTCTTTTAAAAATCAGATCATTTTAAATATCTCTTTTTCTTCAAGGCCTCTGCCTATGTTTACAGAGAGGTTTTATGACGCTTTGGAAAGTATCTAAAAATAATCATTTGAAAAATTATATTATGCTGTTATATTTTTAAACAGAAAAAAATGTTTTGTTACAAAGAAATACAGTCAGTCCTCATTATTCATAGATTCCGTGTTTGCAAATCCAGTTACCAGGTAAAATTTATTTGTAACCCCAAAATCAGTACTCATGGTGCTTTCACAGTCATTTACAGACATTTTCAGAGTAACAAAAAATTGTAAGTCCCCCAACCCACACATCCCTAGCTGAGGTTAAACAAAGCCATTTCTGCCTTTTTATTTCAGCACTCATAACATAAACATTCTTTTTGTAGTCTATTTAGTACCACATTTTCTGCATTGTTGTGCTTTTTGTTGGTGATTTCACTGTTTAAAATGGTCCCCACACGTGGTGCTGAAGTGCTGTCTAGTGTTGCTCAGTACAAGAGAGCTGTGATGTGTCTTCATGGAAAAAATACACATTAGGCAAACTTTTGTTCAGGCATGAATTATAGTGCTGTTGGCCTTGAGCACAGTGTTACTGAATCAATAATACATATTAAATAAAGTGTCTTTAAACAGAAACACATATAAACCAAGGTTATGCATTGATTGACAAAAATGTAGTAGCCAGAGACTCACAGGAACTTAACCCTATATTTTCCCTAGAAGCAGTGGTTCCATATTCACTAATTTAGTGTTTGTAGTGACCTTATAGAAAATAATTACCTCAGAAACCAAGAATCAATCATGTATATATAGTGAGCAATTGGAAAATGTGAAATATTAATAACAAAAAGAAGAAAAATTCAACTATAATCTTACAATTAGTAGAGATAGCTACTAATATAACTATTATATATACTTCTCTTTTCCTATTAATATACAAGCATGTTTTTTAAAAAACTAAGACTATATTATATGTACTTTCTAATAAATATATTGTGACTATTATCCCAGGTTATCAAAATTTTTAGTAATATTTTAACAGCAGATACAAGCTATGGCTATGCCATTATTTATTTAAGATGCCAATGTTAGACATTTAGGTTGTTTTATGATATTTTTTGCTTCTCCTTTCCCATTGATTATTTATTACCTCAGATAAAAGTTCAGTCAATCCTCATTACCCATTTCTAAAAGTAGACACAACTACATTTAGGAATATTGCTTCAAACATAGCATATATATCTGATGTTGATATATTGCTTTTTTCATGTTTTCTCTTACAGTTCTTATAGTCATGAAATACCGTACTTGATTTGATGACAGAGATCTTCATTAAACAAGATCTGGGACAGTAATAAAAGATTGCTGCATAATTTAAATGAAACCTATGTGTATATAACTTTCAAAACTTCTTTTTCAAGAAACTAAGAGGCAAGTATCACTTCAAATTGGAACGTTGAGAATGTCCAATTATCTTCTCCCTTTCTAACAAAATGTTCTTTTAATAATTATGTTTAAGGCAAAGAGAACTAGCCTCTATTTTTCCATATTTCAAGGATCTAATTTGAAACTAGATACTTGCCAGTTCATTATTTGTGTATATAAACACTGATTATAATATTTCATATTAATATTTTAATGGCATAAGGACTTGCATTATTGCATTAGGGAGCGGGTCATGCTGGGGGTCAGGAAGCCTGTGTAGAGTACCAAATTATATGCTGAAAGAGATGCATAACCATTCTGTCAATATTTGCAGAAATATAGTTCCTTTCATATTACAGTTGTTTTGCAAGCAATTTCCACATTTATAGGTGTAACAAAAGCTAAATGTTGTAAATGTTGTTGCCCTCAGGTATAACTAAAAACATTCCAGTAAATATATTTTTGACTGTGTAAGAGAATGTGTAGTAATTTTTTTGGCATTGGATTATGGAAATGGAAATTTTTAAACAGTGTGAAAAAACATGGTATGGCATCATAAAACTGGAGATAATAAAGTTATTGAAGAGTGTCATTGGAGTATTTGAAAATGACCAATATATAGCTGCCAGTCATGGTCCAGTCTGTTTTCTGTTAAACTCCAATAAAGAGAGACCAGTCAGTCCTAATGTGAGTAAATGAAATTTACAGGTAACTTACTTACTCCTTAATTTTATTTTAGTTAATAGCCTCTAACTTCCAACTATCTCATTTACCAAAAGTACAAAAAGTAGCAAAACCATCTATTAATACTTTGAATTTTATATCTTTGCATTTCCTGTTCATCCTTGAGGAGATGTATGTTGCACAATCAAATTTTGCATCAGCCAACAGTAATGAGTAGTAGAAAGTCAGGAACCTATGTGTATATATATATATATATATATATATATATATATATATATATATACACACAAACACACACACACACACACACACACACGCACACATATGATAATCAGTCAGTCGGTAACCAAATGCTAGAGAGTGACCATTAACCTAAGCCTGTTTTTATAATGAAAAAATGTGTTAACTTTAAAATATGCCAACCTCCTTGTGTCTTTTAAACAAGTCAGAGTGAAAATACATTGTCCCCTAAGGTGTGGGGAGAGGAAGCTTTATAATAAAATTAGTGATTCTGCAGAAACTTGTGCACTGGATATCTTGACAATATGAATATAAAACTCCCTAAATTAAAAATAGGGTTAATAGAAATTATCAGTATTTAAATAGGGAAAAATGATTTTATGTTTATTTTATTTAGGTTTTATTTCTTTGGTCATCTTAATGCAAAATGAATAAAGCATAGAATCTGGGTTTGGTGTTTTTTTGTCTGTTTTTAAAATTCTACAGGATTATTACTAGGAGGCAAAAAATGCTGTTTAGAATGGAAAAAATTTGAAGAGAGAAAGCAGACTGAGACACTCAAGACACCTGCAAGTTATCTAAGAAGATCTAAATAGAATTACTAAATTTTATAGTTTGCTTAGAGCATTTAGAAGGAGATAAAGGTCTTACATACTATAGTGTATATTGTCTTTGGTCTCTATGCTCTTTGTAAATGTCAATTAATATAAACAGCATCTGAACAGCTAATAAATCTTTTAAGTTAAGATACCCAGAAAAATGAGCATTTTTAGAATTTCAGTAGCTAATAATTCAGGAATGGAAATATTTTAACTGAATGGACAGAATCAGTCCTAACATTTGTATGTATGTCCTTTATTTGAATTGGAACTAGGCTCATAAGTGGTTAATTTTCCATTAGTTGATGTAGAAATCTGGTTTCTCCATAATATCTACAAGTGAAGATGAAGATTACTTCTCAAAAAGTATCCATATTTCCAGTGTTCCTTTTAATAAAATATGCCACTTTTAAATAAATAATTACAAAATGTAAAATTATAAAATTTTTAAATTTAAATAATAAGTAACAGTAAAATTTTTTGACAATATATATGTCACTGTCTTTGTAATTTAAACATATTGCTGCCTGGGATATGGGTAACAGAATTATCACTCATGGAACTTTGTAGTAGTGATGGCTTGGTTTGTAATTCATCATTTCATCTTTCTTGGTCTTGATTAATCCTGAAATCCTTAAAATGGCTGGCATGGTTATGACTTTATTGTGGTAACCTTGGAGATATAAGCCCTCTTACGATCAAAAACAGAAGAAAAAAATATATTGTTCAAACTGATGCCAGGCCTACCTTTATTCCCTCCCTTAATTACTTTTTTTCTCATTCAGCTCAGATCATCCTGCACTTGAAAAATGAAGTTTTACCACCATCAAAACTATCATTATTTAACAACAAGTGAAGATCAACAGAAAAATTCAAGTAGCTTTGCAAATACTAGTTGATACTCAGTGAAATCACGTCACTATTTTGATGCCTGAATCCATACCTTTGTGATTTATGTTTAATTACAGAAGCCTATTGCCTTGCAGCAATTTTGTTGTTATAATACTGATTAATTGGTTACTCCTTCTTATTATAACTCAGTAATACCTGTGGTCATTTGGTTCCTCTATCCTGACAAAGTTCACTGGAAATTGCCCTCAGATTTTATAAACTGGGGGATTTCTTAATTAGATAAAAGTTCATTACTGAAGATGGAATATTATATAAGATGGAGGAAGGGTAATTAATAGACATGAGATATAGAAATACTTTGTTAGCCCTGCTATAGATTGCCTATTGTAGTCTTTCTGTGCATTTCAATAGTCTGTATTAGGAAATTATAACTTCAGCACTTTTGATAGCAAAAATTGGCATCTTTCAATTCTGTATAGTATGTGACTATCCTGTAAATGATAATATGTGTACAGACTGAGAAGGCAGGAATATAAAGTAATTGAAATCTCTCATTGCCGGTATACTCTAAAACATGCTTGATGCCTTGTCAGCATCATTGCACACATTGACTCTGTATTTACATCTGTATATACACTATGATTAGAAAATATGCAAGAAATTGTTTTTCCATGTTAAGAACAAATGCCATTAGAAGATGTCCCCTTAATTGTATTGTCAGAGTATTACTATGTCAAGGATGACTGTTCTGTTAACCTAATTTTGTGTTTTCACATGGAAATGTGATTGGACTCCATTTTTCTGTGAGTTGAGAGTAAGAGCATAAGTCAGTTTGAAAGCATTTACAAGTTTGTTTTAGAATGTAGTAAGGGCTGAAAGGTGCTCTACTTCTTAACTTGTTTTTTCCATGTTGTAGACAAATGAAATTTGTCTAAATGCTTTTGTCTAAAAATGCATTTGTCTAAATGCTTTAGATTGATGTAGGGTTTAGATCCTCTTTAATACTTTGAGATAGTCTTATTCTGATTTTTTTTTTCTTCTGGAAACCAAGTAGAATTAGGGATGGGAATACAAATGCATTTATTCTGGCTTCTGTTTTATTCCAAGAAGCTTCTTGGAACAAATCAGTAGGAATTGAAAAGAAAGCATGACCAACCCAATTACAGGGGATAAATGTAAGCTTGTTAAAGTAAGCACCACACCATGTTTCTGTCTCCCCAGCACCCAGCACAGTGCTGTGAACCTTGGCAGATGCTAGATAAATGTGTGTTGAATGAATGTGCCTATGAAGCCACAAAGATGCCACATGTTAGTATATCAGTGAGAGGTGACTCCACAGTGCTCTCTGGAGAAGCAATATGAGTGACTGAAGAGTGGGGCCTTTTGCTTTTGCCTGGATATAGGGGTGCTCTTCTACTGTAATTGGGTGTGGAAAAACTCTGGCTTTATGGTATTCCATTAGGTTCTTTTCATTTAAAGTAGTCTTAAAATCAAAGTATCCAATATTTTAAAGCCACAAAGTAGATTACATAATTAGCAGAGATTTTAGTCAGTAAAATGTTAGAAATCAAACTATAAGAAAATTCAAGTCCTTTATTTTGTGTCTTGGGTATATGTCATTATTTTAAATTCCACACTCCCTTATTTAATCACTTTGGTAAGTGCCTTTGATGTTTTGAAATGTATAGTGGGAGATGAGCAAATGTAAATGTCATGTGCCCTGTTCCCTAGCTTCTCAATTCCTCATAACCATTTTTACCAGTGTTGCAAAGTTTAGACCTTTGTGTTAATATCAGAAGTGTATTTGTAGCCCCTCCATAGTGAACAATGAAATAAACTATTTCATAGAAAACAAAAATTAAGCACTTTGGCTTATTCAATATGTGTTACCTGTTGCCTTAACTTCAAAGCATAGCTTATTTAACAATAACATCTGGATAATCACCCCTGATTTAATCTATCCTATTTTCCCAATAAAGTGCATGGAGGAAAAATAAGAAAAAGAAAAGGCATTCTTTCACCAAAAATTATGCCTGATACTGACAAAATCTAAGAAGAATTTCTTAGTGATTTTTAACTCAGTAAAGCAATGTCTTTACCTCAGTCCACAGTGTCTGTAGGAGAGGAAGGCAGGCAGTTTTCTCTTAAACTTACATGTCCCAATCAGAAAACCTGATCCTGTCCCTCAGCTGCCTGGTGCTTTAGGCAACCAGAGTAATGTTCATTCTCTCTAGCCTCCCTCCACCCACACACTAAACTGTGTCTTTTTGTTTTTGTTTCTGAGACAGGATCTTGTTCTGTCTCCCAGGCTGAAGTGCAGTGGTGCGATCACAACTCACTGCAGTCTCAGACTGCTGGGCTCAAGCAATCCTTCCACCTCAGTTCTCCCAAGTGGCTGGGACTACAGGCATGTACCACCATGCCCAGCTAATTTTTAAATTTTTTTTATAGACGGGGTCTTACTGTGTTACCCAGACTGGTCTCAAATTCCTAGACTCATGCTATCCTGCCTCAGCGTCCCAAAGTGCTACGATTACAGGTGTGAACCACCATACCAGGCCTTTATTGTCTTAATACTACAAAAAGCCATGGGAGGGGAGATGACATTGGAGGCACGTTGTACCCTGAGATAGTCTTCACAAATAAAGTGCTGTTGTTAGAAATGGAGACAGGAAGCAACCTGGTAAGGGCACTCTGAGAATGATGGTGTTTAATACAATCCACCATTCAACAGATGAGAGAACCGGGCAGGAAGATCAGATACTACCTAAATCCAACAGAGTCATACTTAGTGTGTGCCCATCGAACACTAAAAACTGCTGTGGAGCAGTGACTATCAGCCTGCTTTTCAGCTGTCAGTGTAAGAAGGGATTCTGACTAGTAAGCAAAGTTACAGCTGAGCAGTCAGTGATAGTGCACTTACCCTATTTATTGAGTAATTGGGCCAGATCTCATCTGAGGATGTCTAAAAAGATGCACATGGACCTATGAGTAACATTGTAAAAACACAGAAAAGAGAACATCCTCCTGATCATTCCCAGCAACATACTAACTCTGTCTTCCTTAAAAAAACTCCATGTCATTTCTCCACTCCCCCCCGCCAAATTCCACTATATACATGTGTATGTGTATATATATATATAAAATATATGTATATATGTGTGTATATATATAAAATATATGTAAATATGTATATATATAAAATATATGTAAATATGTATATATATAAAATATATGTATATGTGTATATAAAATATATGTATATATATGCGTATATCTATATACACACACATCTACACATCCATCTTTTTTTTTTTTTTTTTTTAGAGGCAAGGTCTTGCTCCGTCATGTAAGCTGGAGTGCAGTGGCACAATCATAGCCCACTGAAGCCTTGAACTCCCAAGCCATCCTCCTGCCTCAGCCTCCCGAGTAGATGGGATTACAGGCATGAGCCAACATGACCAGCCCTCATTGCTATACATTTTTGATAATTGTCCTCTTCCTGACATATACTTTCCTGTGGCAGAATTTAGAGAGGCAGAATAGTATATGAGTTGTATAGTAGAAATAACATGGATGTGCCGGGCACGGTGGCTCACGTCTGTAATCCCAGCACTTTGGGAGGCCAAGGTGGGCGGATCACAAGGTCAGGAGATTGAGACCATCCTGGCTAACGCAGTGAAACCCCATCTCTACTAAAAATACAAAAAATTAGCCGGGCGTGGTGGCAGGCGCCTGTAGTCCCAGCTACTCTGGAGGCTGAGGCAGGAGAATGGTGTAACCCGGGAGGTGGAGCTTGCAGTGAGCTGAGATTGCGCCACTGCACTCCAGCATGGGTGACAGCAAGACTTCGCCTCAAAAAAAAAAAAAAAAAAAAAAAAAAAAAGAACATGGGTGCTGAAATCATGGGCTCTGGGTTTTTGTTTGTTTTTAGAGACGGGTTCTCACTATGTTGCCCAGGCTGGTCTTGAACTCCTGGGCTCAAGTGGTCCTCCCACCTTGGCCTCCCAAAGTGCTGGGATTACAGGAGTAAACTACCATGCCTGGCTGCAGAGGATTTTTTGTTTTGTTTTTGAGACAGGGTCTCACTCTGTCACCCAAGCTGGAGTACAGTGGCACAATCATAGCTCACTGCAGCCTTGAACTCCTGGGCTCAAGCAATCCTCCTGTCTCCTGTCTCAGTCTCACTTGTAGCTAGGATTACAAGTGCATGCCACCACGCCTGGCTCCACTCCGTATCTTTACTCCTCTTTATAGTAATAGTCCTTGACAGATTTCACTATACTTGCTATTTCCATTTTTTTTTTTTATTCTCCTCAACACTTTAGTCAAGATTTTGCCTCCATACTCCACCAGCCTTACTCTTGGGAGGTGCCCAGTGACCTATGTATTGCTAAATCCAGTGGTCCATTGTCAGTCCTGATCTCTGTGCAACAGCAGCATTTGATGCAGTTGATTACTCTCTTCTCCTTCATACATGCTTCCAGGGCTTTGTTTCTTCTTACCCTTATGGTTGTTCCTCCTGTTCTCCTCAACTCTTAATATTGGAGTATCCAGGATTCAGCTCTTGGTCCAGTGTTTACACACATTCTCTTAGAAATCTTACCTAATCTTGTCATTTGAAATCACATCTTTGTGCTGACAAATCTCAAGTTGTTGTCTCCCACTTGACTTCCCTTGAATTTGGAGTCATCTGGTACTCTTTTTGACGTCTTCATTATTTCAAGTTGAGCATGTCCCAAACGCATTCCAGTCTGCTTTCACAGACCTCCTCCACATGCATTCTGTCCCATCTCAGTTGATGGCAACTGAATCCTTCCAATTAGGCCAAAAACTGTAGAGTCATACTGACTCCATAACTTCTCTCTCAACTCACCTCTAATTCATCAGGAAATACTCTGGTGCTACCTTTAAGATATCTTTAGAATCTGACCAGTTCACACTGCCTCCATCGTGACCACCTGGTCCTCTCCTACCATCATCTCTTACCTGGAATACTGCAGTAGCTTTCTAACTGGTCTCAGGCTTCTACCATTCCCCCTCTTCCCAGAGTCTGTTCTCAACAGAATAGTGAAAAATTCTTTCAAAATGTAATCAGATCATGCCATTGCTTTGCTGAAAACTCTTCAGTGGCTTCCCATCTTCCTTGGAGTGAAAGCCAAAATTCTTTCCGTGGCCTACAGGGTCTCGTGATGCATCCCCAAGTCACCTTGCTGACCTCTGCCCTTGTCTTTGCCTTCCTTGCTGTGCTGCAGCCACACCAGCCTCTTTGCTGTTCCTCAGACACACCAGGTGTGCTCCTGCCATAGGCCTTGGACTTGCTGTTTCTCCTGCCAGAAAAGCCCTTCCTCCTCCTCAACCACTGTATGAAAGTCATTCTCTTGAATGACTTTCTCAAAATCTCCCCGAGTACACCATCCAATCCCTTTACCCTCTGTTTTTCCAGAGCATTCTAACATTCCAGAATTTTCTCTGATATATCCCAAACCACTCACTACAACAGCAATTGTCACAGTGAGTGCTCACATAATTACTGAATGTATTAATTATGTTGAAGATGTGAAGGAAGATGGTAGTTTTGAAAATGATGTACCAGGAGGGAGGAGCCAAGATGGCCGAATAGGAACAGCTCCAGTCTATAGCTCCCAGTGTGAGCGACGCAGAAGACGGGTGATTTCTGCATTTCCATCTGAGGTACCGGGTTCATCTCACTAGGGAGTGCCAGACAATGGGTGCAGGTCAGTGGGTGCGCGCACCGTGCACGAGCCGAAGCAGGGCGAGGCATTGCCTCACTTGGGAAGCGCAAGGGGTCAGGGAGTTCCCTTTCCTAGTCAAAGAAACGGGTGACAGATGGCACCTGGAAAATCGGGTCATCCCACCCGAATACTGTGCTTTTCCGACGGGCTTAAAAAATGGGGCACCAGGAGATTATATCCCGCACATGGCTCGGAGGGTCCTATGCCCACGGAGTCTCACTGATTGCTAGCACAGCAGTCTGAGATCAAACTGCAAGGCGGCAGCGAGGCTGGGGGAGGGGCGCCTGCCATTGCCCAGGCTGGCTTAGGTAAACAAAGCAGCCGGGAAGCTCGAACTGGGTGGAGCCCACCACAGCTCAAGGAGGCCTGCCTGCCTCTGTAGGCTCCACCTCTGGGGGCAGGGCACAGACAAACAAAAAGCAGTAACCTCTGCAGACTTAAATGTCCCTGTCTGACAGCTTTGAAGAGAGCAGTGGTTCTCCCGGTACGCAGCTGGAGATCTGAGAAAGGGCAGACTGCCTCCTCAAGTGGGTCCCTGACCCCTGACCCCCGAGCAGCCTAACTGGGAGGCACCCCCCAGCAGGGGCAGACTGACACCTCACACGGCCGGGTACTCCAACAGACCTGCAGCTGAGGGTCCTGTCTGTTAGAAGGAAAACTAATAAACAGAAAGGACATCCACACCAAAAACCCAACTGTACATCACCATCATCAAAGACCAAAAGTAGATAAAACCACAAAGATGGGGAAAAAACAGAGCAGAAAAACTGGAAACTCTTAAAAAGCAGAGCGCCTCTCCTCCTCCAAAGGAATGCAGTTCCTCACCAGCAAAGGAACAAAGCTGGATGGAGAATGACTTTGACGAGCTGAGAGAAGAAGGCTTCAGACGATCAAATTACTCTGAGCTACGGGAGGAAATTCAAACCAAAGGCAAATAAGTTGAAAACTTTGAAAAAAATTTAGAAGAATGTATAACTAGAATAACCAATACAGAGAAGTGCTTAAAGGAGCTGATGGAGCTGAAAACCAAGGCTCAAGAACTACGTGAAGAATGCGGAAGCCTCAGGAGCCTATGCGGTCAACTGGAAGAAAGGGTATCAGCGATGGAAGATGAAGTGAATGAAATGAAGCGAGAAGGGAAGTTTAGAGAAAAAAGAATAAAAAGAAACGAGCAAAGCCTCCAAGAAATATGGGACTATGTGAAAAGACCAAATCTACATCTGACTGGTGTACCTGAAAGTGACGGGGAGAATGGAACCAAGTTGGAAAACACTCTGCAAGATATTATCCAGGAGAACTTCCCCAATCTAGCAAGGCAGGCCAACATTCAGATTCAGGAAATACAGAGAATGCCACAAAGATACTCCTCGAGAGGAGCAACTCCAAGACACATAATTGTCAGATTCACCAAAGTTGAAATGAAGGAAAAAATGTTAAGGGCAGCCAGAGAGAAAGGTCGGGTTACCCACAAAGGGAAGCCCATCAGACTAACGGCGGATCTCTCGGCAGAAACTCTACAAGCCAGAAGAGAGTGGGGGCCAATATTCAACATTCTTAAAGAAAGGAATTTTCGCTCTCCCTCTCCCTCTCCCTCTCCCCACGGTCTCCCTCTCCCTCTCTTTCCACGGTCTCCCTCTGATGCCGAGCCGAAGCTGGACTGTACTGCCGCCATCTCTGCTCACTGCAACCTCCCTGCCTGATTCTCCTGCCTCAATGCCTGACTGGTTTTCATATTTTTTTGGTGGAGACGGGGTTTCGCTGTGTTGGCCGGGCTGGTCTCCAGCTCCTAACCAGGAGTGATCTGCCAGCCTCGGCCTCCCGAGGTGCCGGGATTGCAGATGGAGTCTCGTTCACTCAGTGCTCAATGGTGCCCAGGCTGGAGTGCAGTGGCATGATCTCAGCTCGCTGCAACCTCCGCCTCCCAGCCACCTGCCTTGGCCTCCCAAAGTGCCGAGATTGCAGCCTCTGCCCGGCCGCCACCCCGTCTGGGAAGTGAGGAGCGTCTCTGCCTGGCCACCCATCGTCTGGGATGTGAGGAGCCCCTCTGCCCGGCTGCCCAGTCTGGGAAGTGAGGAGCGCCTCTTCCCGGCCGCCATCCCGTCTAGGAAGTGAGGAGCATCTCTGTCCGGCCGCCCATCGTCTGAGATGTGGGGAGCGCCTCTGCCCTGCTGCCCCGTCTGGGATGTGAGGAGCACCTCTGCCCGGCCGCGACCCCGTCTGGGAGGGGAGGAGGGTTTTTGCCCGGCCGCCCCGTCTGAGAAGGGAGGAGCCCCTCCGCTTGGCAGCTGCCCCGTCTGAGAAGGGGGGAGGGTTTCTGCTTGGCAGCCGCCCCGTCCGGGAGGGAGGTGGGGGGTCAGCCCCCGCCCGGCCAGCCGCCCCGTCCGGGAGGGAGGTGGGGGGTCAGCCCCCGCCCGGCCAGCCGCCCCATCCGGGAGGGAGGTGGGGGGTCAGCCCCCGCCTGGCCAGCCGCCCAGTCCGGGAGGGAGGTGGGGGCCAGCCTCTGCCCTGCCGCCGCCCTGTCCGGGAGGTGGGGGGTGCCTCTGCCCGGCCGCCCCTTCTGGGAAGTGAGGAGCCCCTCTGCCCGGCCACCACCCCATCTGGGAGGTGTACCCAACAGCTCATTGAGAATGGGCCATGATGACGATGGCGGTTTTGTTGAATAGAAAAGGGGGAAATGGGGGGAAAAGATAGAGAAATCAGATTGTTGCTGTGTCTGTGTAGAAAGAAGTAGACATAGGAGACTCCATTTTGTTCTGTACTAAGAAAAATTCTTCTGCCTTGGGATGCTGTTGATCTATGACCTTACCCCCAACCCGGTGCTCTCTGAAACATGTGCTGTGTCCACTCAGGGTTAAATGGATTAAGGGCAGTGCAAGATGTGCTTTGTTAAACAGATGCTTGAAGGCAGCATGCTCGTTAAGAGTCATCACCACTCCCTAATCTCAAGTACCCAGGGACACAAACACTGCGGAAGGCCCCAGGGTCCTCTGCCTAGGAAAACCAGAGACCTTTGTTCACTTGTTTATCTGCTGACCTTCCTTCCACTATTGTCCTATGACCCTGCCAAATCCCCCTCTGCGAGAAACACCCAAGAATGATCAATTAAAAAAAAAAAAGAAAGAAAAGAATTTTCAACCCAGAATTTCATATCCAGCCAAACTAAGCTTCATAAGTGAAGGAGAAATAAAATACTTTACAGACAAGCAAATGCTGAGAGATTTTGTCACAACCAGGCCTGCCCTAAAAGAGCTCCTGAAGGAAGCGCTAAACATGGAAAGGAACAACCGGTACCAGCCACTGCAAAATCATGCCAAAATGTAAAGACCATCAAGACTAGGAAGAAACTGCATCAACTAACAAGCAAAATAACCAGCTAACATCATAATGACAGGATCAAATTCACACATAACAATATTAACTTTAAATGTAAATGGACTAAATGCTCCAATTAAAAGACACAGACTGGCAAATTGGATGAAGAGTCAAGACCCATCAGTGTGCTGTATTCGGGAAACCCATCTCACATGCAGAGACACACATAGGCTTAAAATAAACGGATGGAGGAAGATCTACCAAGCAAATGGAAAACAAAAAACGGCAGGGGTTGCAATCCTAGTCTCTGATAAAACAGACTTTAAACCAACAAAGATCAAAAGAGACAAAGAAGGCCATTACATAATGGTAAAGGGATCAATTCAACAGGAAGAGCTAACTATCCTAAATATATATGCACCCAATACAGGAGCACCCAGTTTCATAAAGCAAGTCCTGAGTGACCTACAAAGAGACTTAGACTCCCACACATTAATAATAGGAGACTTTAACACCCCACTGTCAACATTAGACATATCAACAAGACAGAAAGTCAACAAGGATACCCAGGAATTGAACTCTGCTCCGCACCAAGCAGACCTAATAGACATCTACAGAACTGTCCACCCCAAATCAACAGAATATACATTTTTTTCAGCACCACACCACACCTATTCCAAAATTGACCACATACTTGGAAGTAAAGCTCTCCTCAGCAAATGTAAAAGAACAGAAATTATAACAAACTATGTCTCAGACCACAGTGCAATCAAACTAGAACTCAGGATTAAGAATCTCACTCAGAACCACTCAACTACATGGAAACTGAACAATCTGCTCCTGAATGACTACTGGGTACATAACGAAATGAAGGCAGAAATAAAGATGTTCTTTGAAACCAATGAGGACAAAAACACAACATACCAGAATCTCTGGGACTCATTCAAAGCAGTGTGTAGAGGGAAATTTATAGCGCTAAATGCCCACAAGAGAAAGCAGGAAAGATCCAAAATTGACACCCTAACATCACAATTAAAAGAACTAGAAAAGCAAGAGCAAACACATTCAAAAGCTAGCAGAAGGCAAGAAATAACTAAAATCAGAGTAGAACTGAAGGAAATAGAGACACAAAAAACCCTTCAAAAAATTAATGAATCCAGGAGCTGGTTTTTTGAAAGGATCAACAAAATTGATAGACCGCTAGCAAGACTAACAAAGAAAAAAAGACAGAAGAATGAAATAGATGCAATAAAAAATGATAAAGGGGATATCACCACCGATCCCACAGAAATACAAACTACCATCACAGAATACTACAAACACCTCTACGCAAATAAACTAGAAAATCTAGAAGAAATGGATAAATTCCTCGACACATACACTCTCCCAAGACTAAACCAGGAAGAAGTTGAATCTCTGAATAGACCAATAACAGGATCTGAAATTGTGGCAATAATCAATAGCTTACCAACCAAAAAGAGTCCAGGACCAGATGGATTCACAGCCGAATTCTACCAGAGGTACAAGGAGGAACTGGTACCATTCCTTCTGAAACTATTCCAATCAATAGAAAAACAGGGAATCCTCCCTAACTCATTTTATGAGGCTAGCATCATCCTGATACCAAAGCCGGGCAAAGACACAACCAAAAAAGAGAACTTTAGACCAATATCCTTGATGAACATTGATGCAAAAATCCTCAATAAAATACTGGCAAACTGAATCCAGCAGCACATCAAAAAGCTTATCCACCATGATCAAGTGGGCTTCATCCCTGGGATGCAAGGCTGGTTCAATATATGCAAATCAATAAATATAATCCAGCATATAAACAGAACCAAAGACAAAAACCACATGATTATCTCAAGAGATGCAGAAAAGGCCTTTGACAAAATTCAACAACCCTGCAAGCTAAAAACTCTCAATAAATTAGGTATTGACGGGACGTATCTCAAAATAATAAGAGCTATCTATGGCAAACCCACAGCCAATATCATACTGAATGGGCAAAAACTGGAAGCATTCCCTTTGAAAACTGGCACAAGACAGGGATGCCCTCTCTCACCACTCCTATTCAACATAGTGTTGGAAGTTCTGGCCAGGGCAATTAGGCAGGAGAAGGAAATAAAGGGTATTCAATTAGGAAAAGAGGAAGTCAAATTGTCCCTGTTTGCAGATGACATGATTGTATATCTAGAAAACCCCATTGTCTCAGCCCAAAATCTCCTTAAGCTGATAAGCAACTTCAGCAAAGTCTCAGGATACAAAATCAATGTACAAAAATCACAAGCATTCCTATACACCAACAACAGACAAACAGAGAGCCAAATCATGAGTGAACTCCCATTCACAATTGCTTCAAAGAGAATAAAATACCTAGGAATCCAACTTACAAGGGATGTGAAGGACCTCTTCAAGGAGAACTACAAACCACTGCTCAAGGAAATAAAAGAGGATACAAACAAATGGAAGAACATTCCATGCTCATGGGTAGGAAGAATCAATATCGTGAAAATGGCCATACTGCCCAAGGTAATTTACAGATTTAATGCCATCCCCATCAAGCTACCAAAGACTTTCTTCACAGAATTGGAAAAAACTACTTTAAAGTTCATATGGAACCAAAAAAGAGCCCGCATCGCCAAGTCAATCCTAAGCCAAAAGAACAAAGCTGGAGGCATCACACTACCTGACTTCAAACTATACTACAAGGCTACAGTAACCAAAACAGCATGGTACTGGTACCAAAACAGACATATAGATCAATGGAACAGAACAGAGCCCTCAGAAATAACGCCGCATATCTACAACTATCTGATCTTTGACAAACCTGACAAAAACAAGCAATGGGGAAAGGATTCCCTATTTAATAAATGGTGCTGGGAAAACTGGCTAGCCATATGTAGAAAGCTGAAATGATCCCTTCCTTACACCTTATACAAAAATCAATTTAAGATGGATTAAAGACTTAAATGTTAGACCTAAAACCATAAAAACCCTAGAAGAAAACCTAGGCATTACCATTCAGGACATAGGCATGGACAAGGACTTCATGTCTAAAACACCAAAAGCAATGACAACTAAAGCCAAAACTGACAGATGGGACCTAATTAAACTAAAGAGCTTCTGCACAGCAAAAGAAACTACCATCAGAGTGAACAGGCAACCTACAAAATGGGAGAAAATTTTCGCAACCTACTCATCTGACAAAGGGCTAATATCCAGAATCTACAATGAACTCAAACAAATTTACAAGAAAAAAACAAACAACCCCATCAAAAAGTGGGCAAAGGACATGAACAGACACTTCTCAAAAGAAGACATTTATGCAGCCAAAAAACACATGAAAAAATCCTCACCATCACTGGCCATCAGAGAAATGCAAATCAAAACCACAATGAGATACCATCTCACACCATTTAGAATGGCAATCATTAAAAAGTCAGGAAACAACAGGTGCTGGAGAGGATGTGGAGAAATTGGAACACTTTTACACTGTTGGTGGGACTGTAAACTAGTTCAACCATTGTGGAAGTCAGTGTGGCAATTCCTCAGGGATCTAGAACTAGAAATACTATTTGACCCAGCCATCCCATTACTGGGTATATACCCAAAGGACTATAAATCATGCTGCTATAAAGACACATGGACATGTATGTTTATTGCAGCATTATTCACAATAGCAAAGACTTGGAACCAACCCAAATGTCCAACAATGATAGATTGGATTAAGAAAATGTGGCACATATACACCATGGAATACTATGCAGCCATAAAAAATGATGAGTTCATGTCCTTTGTAGGGACATGGATGAAATTGGAAATCATCATTCTCAGTAAACTATCGCAAGAACAAAAAACCAAACACCGCATATTCTCACTCATAGGTGGGAATTGAACAGTGAGAACACATGGACACAGGAAAGGGAACATCACACTCAAGGGACTGTTGTGGGGTTGGGGGAGAGGGGAGGGATAGCATTGGGAGATATATCTAATGCTAGATGACGAGTTAGTGGGTGCAGCGCACCAGCATGGCACATGTATACATATGTAGCTAACCTGCACATTGTGCACATGTACCCTAAAACTTAAAGTGTAATAATAATAAAGAAAAAAAAGGAAAAAAAAAAAAGAAAGAGATGCGTGTGTACAAAAAAAAAAAATGATGTACCACAAGAACTAAATTGATTTTGAGCACCTCAGCATCTGCAACAGGATGAAACCGATGCTTTTGGAATTCAGAAAGTCATAAAGAGAGAAAAGGCAAGAAAAGAAGTACAATTAAATGTGTTATGTATACAGTTAGGTCAGCCAAAAGGGGAGCAAGTTAAAATAATTTGCCAGGAAACAAATTGCAACACAAACATTAAGCCCTTCACTGAAGCAGTGAGGAGTAGAATTGATTGAAGAAAATCAGTGATGCAGAAGAGAGGTTCAAGAAGCTGCCACTGAACACAGAGGAAAAACATCAAAACTGTAAATGGACAGTGTGATGTTAGATCTAGGAGACCAAAAAAAAAGGCCTACTAAGAATTACATAGTGTTCCTGTGGAAGAAATCCAAAAAGAGTGAAACAGAGCAATCATCAGAAACATTATTCTTTGATGTATTCTTTAATGAAAACTTAAGTTTTAATAAAGTCCTTCAGGAGAAAAAAAAATTATCAAAAGACACATTAAGTTACCTTGTAGTAGAGTATATGAATAGTAAGATTAAAGGGGTAAATTCTATAAGCATTGAGACCTGAAAAATGTGTTACCTACAAGGAAGCAAAAATTAAGCTTGCCTCCATCTTTTCTGCCACTGAATTATAGAATACTAAAACAGCATCTGTAGATTTTTGAGAGGATACAGCTGTGACTCAAGAATTTTTATACCAAACCAGTTGTCACTTAAGAATGAAAACCAGGCCAGGCACGGTGACTCAAGCCTGTAATCCCAGCACTTTGGGAGGCCAAAGCAGACGGATCACGAGGTCAGGAGATCGAGACCATCCTGGCTAACACGGTGAAACCCCATCTCTACTAAAAATACAAAAAAAAAAAAAAATTAGCCAGGTGTGGTGGAGGGCACCTGTAGTCCCAGCTACTCAGGAGGCTGAGGAAGGAGAATGGCGTGAACCCGGGAGGTGGAGCTTGCAGTGAGCCGATATCGTGCCACTGCACTCCAGCCTGGGCGACAGAGCCAGACTCCATCTCAAAAAAAAAAAAAAAAAAAAAGAAGAATGAAAACCATTGAGGATTCTATGGACCATTGGAAAATTTTTTAAAAAGAATGCAAACCAGGCTGGGCTCAGTGGCTCTCACCCGTAATTCCAATACTTTAGGAGGCTGAAGCAGGAGGATCACTTGAGCCCAGGAGTTTGAGACCAGCCTGGGCAACACAGTGAGAACCTGTCTCTACAAAAACTAAAAAAAGTAGCCAAGCATGGTGGCGCATGCCTGGAGTCCCAGCTACTCAGGAGGCTGAGGTGGGAGAATCATTTGAGCTCTGGAGGTCAAGGTTGCAGTAAGCCATGATGGCACCACTGCATTCCAGCCTGGGTGACAGAGCAAGACCCTGTCTTTAAAAAGAAAAAAAATGAAAACCACAAACACAATATTCTTAAAAATATGAGAGTTCAGAAAACATAACGTCCTTGTCTCTTTTCTTGATAAAAATTACTGGAAAATTTACATTATACTGGCAGCTAAGGGAGAAATCAAAATTGAGAGTTCAAAAACAGATAATTCTTCTACTTGAAACCCTTTGATGAAGTCTCATTGCACTTACAGTGAAAACTGAACTGCTTACCTTCCTTGATCTCATCAGTTGCTGCCAGGGTAGCATTCTGTTTTACATCACAGCACACTCAAAATAATTCAAGGAGAATTTAATAAAGGTAAATTTATAAAGGTAGTAGGGCTTAAAGAAACTACAAAGGATAGTACACCTTGAAGGGTTGAGGGAAGGCAGAGGTTACTAAAACCTGGAAGGACAAAGTCACATGCAGAGGGCTACCTTGACTTTTGGCCAGGGGATGCAGCCAGCCTAAGGTGATCTTACAGGGAGGATGCCAGGGGAATAAATACCCTGGCCTAGTTGTTGTTTTATTCCCTGTGACCTGATGCTAGGACTCCGCTTTTTTTTTTTTTTTTTTTTTTTTGAGACAAAGTCTCACTCTGTCGCTCAGGCTGGAGTGCAGTGGTGCAATCTTGGCTCACTGCAAACTCCGCCTCCCAGGTTCAAGCGATTCTCCCACTTCAGCCTCCTGAGTAGCTGGAATTACAGGCACGTGCCACCACACCAGGCTAATTTTTGTATTTTTAGTAGAGATGGAGTTTCAACATATTGGCTGGCCAGCCCAGTCTCAAACTCTTGACCTCAAGTGATCCCACCTCGCCCTCCCAAAGTGCTGGGATAACAGGCATGAGCCACCACACCCAGCCAGACTCCCCTATTTTTGAACCCCATTGAAAAACAAAGGGCAAGGAATCCTAGCGGTGTAAGCCACACCGGTCACCATCCTGAAAGGAGGGTAGAAAGTGCATCTGATGCCCAGATTCCATTCCCCAGCTATTATTGTGGATGTTGTTAACGTTGGCTGCCAATGGCTCACATTTGCCCCCTTCTCTGGAGAACTGCTGTCAGCCAATGGGAGCCACCTCACCTCTGAATTATGTCCCATTCCTGGAGGTACCTTGGAGCCAATGGTAGACTGATATTGGGGTCAAAAAGGCTGAACCCCTTATCTGAAGGTGGGACAACTCCATGTTGTGATATATGCTTCAGATGCCACACACACCCTTGAATCTGGCCAAGGCTAGACTTTACCTGAGACCATTTTTGCTTGGCCCTTTCCCTTCATTGTCTTGCATCTCTTAGTCTCTTAGATAGTTGAACACTCCTTCAATAAATCACATGTACCTGAATCCCTGTAGCCAACTGTTTCTAAAGAGCCCAACTGAAGAGGGTTAGTACCAGTATTGGTCCCAGAAAACAGGTTCTAAGGATGGGATTCTGGAATTAGATCACCCACTGAAGAGAGAGCAATAAGGATCACATCACTGGTGGTAGGTGGGGTAAGTACTGATATCAGTAGTCTCTGACATGCAGTAGCAGTGCCATTCATTGCTAAAGTGTTCACCTCTGGTGAAGTGAGAGGGATACAAGTAGAGGGGAATGTGAAAGTCATGCCATCTCTGGCATTTGAGAGGAACAGGAGATACGGTCATTTTAAGGATTTTGACATGGAGCGGCTGCTGCTAAACTCCATTCTTAGCTTGGAAAAAAAGAAAACGACAGATGTGACAGATGCAGGGCAATCAATTGTGAATTTAAAGCAAGATATGAGAATCAGAGATCTCTAATTCTCTAATGGAGAGTAGTTAAAGAGACCTTTATTTCCTGAAGCTGAAGAGCAGAGAGAGTTGAAGACCAGGCCCAGAATTAGTTTTAAGGTGGCAGAATTTCAAAGAAGGATGAATTTTCGGCCTCAGCAAGTTTCCTATGCCAAAGTCAGGATCTTGTTAGGGAAAGAACAGGGCCTAGAGACTTGGGATGGGATATCTGGGTAGTCGCCCCTAAGGGTCTTTCTTTTCCTTTTTTTTTTTTTTTTTTTTGAGACAGGATTTCACTCTGTTGCCTAGGCCGGAATGCAGTGGCACCATCACAGCTCACTGCAGCCTCAACATCCTGTGTTCAAGCAATCCTCCTGCCTCAGCCTCCTGAGTAGTCAGGTCTACAGGCACATGCCACCATGCCCAGCTAATTGTTTTGTTTTTTATTGAGATGAGGTCTTGCTATGTTACTTAGGCTGATCTCAAACTCCTGGGCTCAAACAATCCTTCTGCCTCAGCTTCCCAAAGTGCTGAGATTACAGACATGAGTCACTGCACTCAGCCTACTTGAGGATCTTGAATGCTCAGATTCCCCAGAACTCCCTGGACCTGCAGAAGTGGCCCAGTCCCCCTTGTTGAAACATAAAACCCCATTTCCCCCTTCACTCTTGCTTGCTTGAAAGCTATTCAGTAGCCTCAAAACAAGGCAAGTAACTTCCAGGAGGATGCTGGCCCATCTCAGGATCTGCCCTCTACTACCTACCTGGCCACCAGACCCATAACCCCTCTGGAATCAAGGCTCAAGAGAGAAGTTTAATGATTTGCCCGGCACTTACACAGGTGATGTGTGACAGAGGCGAGGCTGTAATCCAAAGTGGAACAAGTGATCAGATTCTTTACGGGAAGCTGCAGACACTAAGGCAGTTTTCCTTTCTAAATAAATCTCTCAGACTTTCACTGAGTCAATAGAGATGGGAAACAGGTGATAAACAAGTATCATACACTCAGATTATTAAGTTACTACCCAGTCCATTTTTTTCATTAACCTTCTTTCCCATATGTAAGGCTGGCTACATAATTTCCAGGACCCAACGCAAAATTAAAATGTGGGGCACATTTTTAAAAGCACAGAGAACTTTGCCTGTGGCAACAGCCATGGTGAGAGGAGCGTGGCTCTCTCCTCTCCACCATGGCATGTGCTCGCCTACTAATATCGGTGTACTCTGAAAGTGGGGAGTCATCTGGCAAAAATGTCACTTTGCCTGCTGTATTCAAGGCTCCTATTCGACCAGATATTGTGAACTTTGTTCACACCAACTTGCACAAAAACAACAGACAGCCCTATGCTGTCAGTGAATTAGCAGGTCGTCAGACCAGTGCTGAATCTTGGGGTACCGGCAGAGCTGTGGCTCAAATTCCCAGAGTTCAAGGTGTTATGGGACTCACCATTCTGGCCAGGGTGCTTCTGGAAACATGTGTTGTGGAGGCCGAATGTTGGCACCAACCAAAACCTGATGCCGTTAGGATCATAGAGTGAACACAACCCAAAAATGATATGCCGTCTGTTCTGCCCTGGCTGCCTCAGCCTTATCAGCACTGGTCATGTCTAAAGGTCATAGTATTGAGGAAGTTCCTGAACTTCCTTTGGTAGTCGAAGATAAAGTTGAAGGGTACAAGAAGACCAAGGAGGCTGTTTCGCTTCTTAAGAAATTTAAAGCCTGGAATGATATCAAAAAGGACTATGCCTCTCAGCGAATGAGAGCTGGCAAGGGCAAAATGAGAAACCGTCATTGTATCCAGTGCACAGGCCCCTACATCATCTATAATGAGGATAATGGTATCATCAAGGCCTTCAGAAACATCCCTGGAATTACTCTGCTTAATGTAAGCAAACTGAACATTTTGAAGCTTGCTCCTGGTGGGCATGTGGGACTTTTCTGCATTTGGACCAAAAGTGCTTTCCAGAAGTTAGATGAATTTAATGGCACTTGGCGTAAAGCTTCTTCTCTCAAGAGTAACTACAATCTTCCCATCCATAAGATGATCAATACAGATCTTAGCAGAATCTTGAAAAGCCCAGAAATCCAAAGAGCCCTTTGAGCACCACGCAACAAGATTCATCGCAGAGTCCTAAAGAAGAACCCACTGAAAAACCTGAGAATCATGTTGAAGCTAAACCTACATGCAAAGACCATGCATGTGTCAGAACACCATTCTTCGCCAGGCCAGGAATCACAAGCTCTGGGTGGATAAGGCAGCAGCAGCAGCTGAAGCACTAGAAGCCAAATCGGATGAGAAGGGGGTTGCAGGCAAGAAGCCTGTGGTAGGTAAGAAAGGAAAGAAGATTGCTGTTGGTGTTAAGAAGCAGAAGAAACCTCTGGTGGGAAAAAAGGCAGCAGCTACCAAGAAACCAGTCCCTGAAAAGAAGCCAGCAGAAAAGAAACCTACTACAGAGGAAAGAAGCCTGCTGCATAAACTCTTAAATTTGATTATTCCATAAAGGTCAAATCATTTTGGACAGCTTCTTTTGAATAAAGACCTGATCAAAGAGGCAGTGAGAAAAAAAGAGCATGGAAAAAATGATGTTAAAGTACCAACATATAAGACATTTTCCTTTAAAAATGTTTTTATTAATTACAAAGCATAATAGGGTCAACATCAATAATTATTAGGGAAATCAAAATCAAAATCACAATGAAATACTACCTCATGCCGGGCATGGTGACTCATGCCTGTAATCCCAGCACTTTGAGAGGCTGAGGCAGGCTGATCACTTGAGGTCAGGAGATGGAGACCAGCCTTGCCAACATGGTGAAAACCCATCTCTACTAAAAATACAAAAATTAGCCAGGTGTAGGGGTACGCCCCTGTAGTCCCAGCTACTCATGAGGCCAAGGCAGGAGAATCGGCTACTCATGAGGCTGAGGCTTGAACCCAGGAAGTGGAGTTTGCAGTGAGCCGAGATCACGCCAGCCTGGGCAACAGAGTAAGACTGTCAAAAAGAAAGGAAAGGAAAGGAAAGGAAAGGAAAGGAAAAGAAAGGAAAGGGAGGGGAGGGGGAGGGGAGGGGGAGGGAAGGTGGAGGGGGAGGGGAAGGGAAGGGAACCACCTCACACTTATTAGAATGGATACTATAAAAAAAAAACAGAACATAAGTGTTGGCGAGGATGTGGGAAAATTGGAACCCTTGTGCACTGTTGTTGGGAATGTAAATTGGTATAGACTTTAGAGAAAACAGTGTGACAGTTGCTCAAAAAACTAAAAATAGAAGTACCATATGATCCTGCAATTCCACTCTGGGTATATACCCAAAATAATTGAAAGCAGAGGCTCGAACAGATACTTCTATACTCATGTTCATAGCAGCACCATTCACAATAACCAAGGAGTAGAAGCAACCCAGTGTCCACTGACAGATGAATGGATAGCAAAATGTGGAATGTACATACAATGGAATATTACGCAGCTTTAAAAAGGAAGGGAATTCTGACAATTCTAAAAGATGGATGAATTTTGAGGATATTATATAAAGTAGAATACGCCAGTCACAAAAGGACAAATATTTTACGATTCCACTTCTATGAGGTATCTAGAGTAGTCAAATTCAGTAGTCAAAATAGAATGGTGGTTGGCAGGGGCTGGAGAGAGGGGAGAATGAGGAGTTAATATTTAATAGGTACAGAATTTCAGTTTTGCAAGATAAAAAAATTCTGGAGTTAGATGGTGGTGATCATTGCACAACAATGTGAATGTACTTAATGTCACCAAACTGTACACTTAAAAATGGTTAAGATAGTAAATTTTATGTTATATGTATTTTACCACATTTAAAAATAATGTTTTTTAAGTGTAATAGAAGTATTCTAAATTTTAAAGTTTAAATTTAATTATTAGAATGAATTTTACCATTCATCTTATTTTATGCAATGCCAGTTTTAAATAGAAATTACGAGAGCTTTTATCTTATATGTGGAATCACTAAAATTTCACAATTTGCATTTTAGAGCTCATAAATATAAATTGTTTCATTCTTATCAGAACAATGATAATACTGCATAAAACTTTTTATTTTATTTCTTGATATGTTCACATTCTACCAACACTCTACCTTTGGATCACTGATGAATAAGAAAGAACTTATTCCTGGCTGGGTGCAGTGTCTCCCACCTGTAATCCCAGCACTTTGAAAGGTCAAGGCAGGCAGATCACCTGAGGTCAGGAACTTGAGACCAGCCTGGCCAACATGGCAAAACCCTGTCTCTACCAAAAATACAAAAATTAGCTGGGCCTGGTGGCACATGCCTGTAGTCCCAGCTACTTGTCAGGCTGAGGCAGGAGAATTGCTTGAACCTGGGAGGCAGAGGTTGCAGCGAGCCAAGATCATACCACTGTACTCCAGCCTGGTCAACAGAGAGAGACTGTGTCTTAAAGAAAGAAAGGAAGGAAGGAAGGAAGGAAGGAAGGAAGGAAGGAAGGAAGGAAGGAAGAAAGAAGGAAAGAACTTATTCCTTATAATATGGCAACTATGGATGGACCTATTTCCCCTTTCCTTCTATGTCAACATTTTTAACATAAGTGATTGGGTCATACAGGAAATAATGCAAGTAAAAATGTATATGATAGAGGCCGGGCTTAGTGGCTCATGCCTGTAACCCCAGCACTTTGGGAGGGCGAGGTGGGTGGATCACCTGAGGCCAGGAGTTTGAGACCAGCCTGGCCAACATGGCTAAACCCCGTCTCTACTAAAAAATACAAAAATTAGCTGAATATGGTGGCACATGCCTGTAATCTTAGCTACTCAGGAGGCTGAGGCAAGAGAATCCCTTAAACCTGAAAGGCAGAGGTTGCAGTGATCCGAGATCACGCCACTGCACTCAAGCCTGGGTAACAGAGCAACGCTCTGTCTCAAAAAAAAAAAAAAAACTGTATATGATAGGGTTCCTAGGTCATTCTTATTTCTCTGAATACCATTACCTTCTTTCTGCATTGGAAACAAGTTCCAGTTCTAATGGAAAGGATGGCTTCTTGGGGCTATCAGCACCTCTGCTATTGTAGACGTGTTGGTCTGGGCACATGTTGATACATGTGGAGCACATGACAGTATGAGCATCTGCTGATATGAGGTGTGAGACATGAGCACAGAATTCTGGTGGACCCACATACATAGGAGGTGGGCAAGACTCAAAGCAAGTACAAGCAAGTAGACACACTTCTTGTGTGTCATGGAAGCAGGGTAGCAATCCTGAATGTTTTGCAAATGGATCTGCAGGCATGAGGGAAACCAGCACGCATGTATCTCCTCTGCTTACGCGCATGCTCCACTGTCCCATTGGACTTCACTCACAGAACACAAATTCAAAGATAAAATATTAAGAATTTCAAGATGACACAGCTTTTAACCACCAAGTGCAGTGCCCTTCTGAGAGTGGCCTGCTGGGACTGCGCTTGTTGTATGCCCATGAAGTCAGCCCTGCTTATGGCTACTCTCTTGGAGCATTTACGCATTCTCAACATTGTCTTAAAAGGTGGGGCCCATACTGAGTGTCAGTTTAGTAAGGCTGGGTAGAGTGGGAGAAGGATCTCATAAAGCTTGGTGGTTTTACTTCTACTAATACCAGTATCATGTTAACTTCTTTTTCTTTTTAATACCAGAACTTCCTCTGGCCCATCAATTCCTTGCTGCATACATTTCTCATTTCTCAACCTTATATTTTTCTTCTAAATTAATTAATAGTCTTTGGTAAGACCATGTTTGATTCCACTTTGTATCCTAGCCCAAACCTAACACAGAGCAGGTGCTTTACACTTGTTGCATTGACTGACTATCTTATTCAGTGCTCAGAAACAAATATTCTGTGGTGGCACTTCTACTGTCATCCAGTCATGTATTCAACTATTTATTCAGTTACAAATATTTCTGGTACATCTATACCATGCCAGGCCCTCTCTCCTTCCCTTTCAGGCCTCTTTCTCATTTCTCTCACCTTTCTAGTTAGAACAAAGATGAGGAATATTGATGATTATCATCAACGTCAAGGTGCAGAGAGATTGCTGCTATATTTTCATCCCACTTCTCTAAAATTTCTTCCCATTTTTACTAACCATATACTCCTTATGATTGTCAAATTTGTCCTCTTAATATTCTACCCTCCTTAGTGTGACCTGCAAGCTCAATGAAATATGTTTTTTATAGAACTTAGTTATTAGCTAAAAGCATTAAAAGCACTAGCCCAAAGCAGGGTGATACTCAAAATATTTTTTAATTGGTACTGTACGACAAGGAGTTGGGAGGACTGGGCCCAGGGCTCAGGGTAGGAGCACTCAGGGGCTCAGGAAAGCAACTGTCTACCAAAGAGAAAGAAGTAGTTCAATAATTTAAAACTAGTATAGCTGACCAGGCATGGTGGCTCACTCCTATAATCCCAGAATTCTGAGAAGCTGAGGCAGGAGGATCACTTGAAGTCAGGAGTTCAAGACTAGCCTGGGTAACTTAGTGACACCTGTCTGTACAAAAAATAACTAGCCAGACACTAAAGCCTGCCTGTAGTCCCAGCTACTTAGGAGGCTGAGGCAGGAGGATCACTTGAGCACAGGAGGTCAAGGCTGCAGTGAGTCATGATCACACCACTGCACTCTAGCTTGGGCAACAGAGTGAGACCTCCATCTAAACAAACAAACAAACAAAACTAGTATAGCTGTACTCACATATACCCACTGGCTGATATCAGGCGGGCACTACAGTAGGCTTCTATTGACACCCCTGAGGGTTCTTCTTGCTCTCTGCAATGGTACAAAACCAATAAGAAATCTCTATTAGAACTATTTGGCTGGGCATGATGGCTCACACCTGTAATCTCAGCACTTTGGGAGCCCGAGGCGGGTGGATCACCAGAGGTCAGGAATTCGAGACCAGCCTGACCAACATGGTGAAACCCTGTCTCTACTTTAAAAATACAAAATTTAGCCAGGTGTGGTTGTGGGTGCCTGTATTCCCAGTTATTCAGGAGGCTGAGGCAGGAGAATCACTTGAACCCAGGAGGCGGAGGTGGCAGTAAGCCGAGATTGTGCCATTGCACTCCAGCCTGGGTGACAAGAGCAAAACTCTGTCTCAAAAACAAACAAACAAACAAACAAACAAACTACCTGAATGGTGGTGGAATGCCATCCACAACAACGTCTTTAACTCTGGCTCCCTTCAGCAGCATAAGCGAGCAGCAGGGTGTTACTGACAGGCCTAAGGAATGGAAGAGGGAGATGGAGGAAAAGAGACAAGAAAGAGAAAAAAGGTATGCGGAGAAGAAAATAAGCCATCTGCCATTTCTCAGGAGCATCATGGTTTGCCCACGTTCAGCTGTAGGCATATGAGTTTATGAAGAGCAGCCGTGGGGTGGCAGAAAGGGCCACAGCCTGAGGGAAGAAAGACCTGTGCTCACGTGTCAGAATAACTTGAGAGTTATCCTGGGCAACTGCTTATCTTTCTGAGTCTCGTATCCTCCCCTTAAATGTGTAGAACATTTACCTCCCAAGACCCTTGCTAGTATTCACTGCAGTAAAGTTAATACCAGTGCATGCAATTAGCATTTATTAGTGCGTCACATGCATTAAACATTTATGGGATCTATACACAAAATGAGTGTGAACTTAAGTAAATATAAATGTAATATGAGGAAGTTTAATGCCTTAATGAATCAAGTAATGTAACATCTACTTTCTCTAATCTGCCCTGGAAATAAATCCTACTTGTTTGATGGGTGTGTATTTTTCTTTTCTTTTTTTTGAGACAGAGTCTTGCTCTGTCGCCCAGGCTGGAGTGCAGTGGTGCGATCTCGGCTCACTGCAAGCTCCGCCTCCCGGGTTCACGCCATTCTCCTGCTTCAGCCTCCTGAGTAGCTGGGACTACAGGCGCCCGCCACCACACCTGGCTAATTTTTTGTATTTTTAGTAGAGACGGGGTTTCACCATATTAGCCAGAATGGTCTCGATCTCCTGACCTCGTGATCCACTTGTCTTGGCCTCCCAAAGTGCTGGGATTACAGGTATGAGCCACTGCGTCCGGCCAATGGGTGTGTATTTTTCTAAAGCCAAGTCGATATTAATTTGTACCAGAAAATGCCTTGCGTGTAAGGAAGTTAAGTCCTAGAGATAATTGTAACAAGAAAACACAATATTTTGAATGAAAAACCCATCCAATTCTTTTTTTTTTTTTTTTTCTGAGACAGAATCTTGCTCTGTCACCCAGGCTGGACTGCAGTGGTGTGATCTTGGCTCACTGCAACCTCCGCCTCCCAGGTTCAAGCAATTCTCCTGCCTCAGCCTCCCAAGTAGCTGGGATTACAGGCGTGTGCCACCATGCCTGGCTAATTTTTGTATTTTTAGTAGAGACGGAGTTTCACCATGTTGGCCAGACTGGTCTTGAACTCCTGACCTCAGGTGATCCACCTGCCTCAGCCTCCCAAAGTACTGGAATTACAGGAGTGAGCCACTGCGCCCGGCCAAACCCATCCAATTCTTTTACCCCCCACCTGACTGTTCCCCTCTCCTCTGCCTCCTCTCTGCTCACCAGCTCTGATCTGGTGCCAAGTGAGAATCAGAATTAGCTGACTACACATTTCCAAGCAAAGAGAGTATAATATATGCCTGTGCTCATCCTCTCACTCATTTCCTTTCTCCTCCTCTTCTCTGTCCCTCCTCTCCTTCCTTCCCCCTTTCCATCACCTTCAGAGCCATCATTATCATCACTAATATTTTTAAGTACTGGAGTGGTGCCAGGCACAGTCTAGGTTCTTTATATGCATTATCTCAACTCCAATTACTTTGTCACAAGCACACTATTGTTGAGGATATTAACTAAACAAGCTTACTTTATTGCTACTGTCATTAGAAAGTGAATCCTAAGTAGCGTATCTTAACACTATTAAAATAAACCAGTGGTTCACAACCGGAGATGATTTTGCCCTTTAGAGAACATCTGTCATTATCTGGAAACATTTTTGGTTCTCATAGCTAGAGGGGATGCTCTAGTTAGGGGAGGCCCTAAACATCCTTCAATGCACAGAACAGCCCCCGACTTCAAAGAAATATCTGGCCCAAAATGTTAAGAGTGCTGAGGGTGATAAACCCTGAGATAAGCTAATTTTTATAGGGATTAGAAAAAAATGCACCACTAAGAAAAATTTAGATTGCCATTAACTCTTTTACATCAAATCATACAGTTTTTAATACAATTTTCACACCTTGCTGCAGTCATGAGAACTATATTTCTTTTTTTTCTTTCTTTTTTTTTTTTTTTTTGATTAGAAGTCTCACTCTGTTGCCCAGGCTGGGGTGAAGTGGCATAATCTCAACTCACTGTAGCCTCCGCCTCCCAAGTTCAAACAATTCTGCTGTCTCAGCCTCCTGAGTAACTGGGATCACAGGCATGCACCACTACACCTGGCTAATCTTTATATTTTTAGTAGAGACAGTGTTTCACCATGTTGGCCAGGCTGGTCTTGAACTCCTGACCTCAGGTGATCTGCCCACCTTGGCCTCCCAAAGTGCTGGGATTATAGACACTGCCACCATGCCTACTGGCTAGGCATGGTAGCTCACACCTCTAATCCCAGCTACTCAGGAGGCTAAGGCAGGAGAATCGCTTGAACCCAGGGGACAGAGGTTGCAGTGAGCTGATATGGCGCCACTTCAATCCAGCCTGGGCAAAAGAATGAAACTCTGTCTCAAAAAACAAACAAACAAACAAAAAACATAAAACAACTACAAGTCAAAGCACTTTTTATCTCCACAAAGGGAAGAGCAAAAAAGTAGGGCTGTTAGCCTTATAAAAATATAATTTTCTTAATGAAAAAAATGTTACTAGCTCAGTGAACAATGGCTTCTTTTATAAGGAAACTGGGAAAATATCATTGTTTTCCAACTTTTTCCCTTTAACTTTCAATCTTTCTGGCGATCCTTAAACTAAACCTGTTTATTATCCTGTAAGGTGAAACTTTTATTTCCCATCTTGAGTCAAGAGGTTTCTTCAACATTGTCAAGGTAGATTTAAAACAAAAGTTTAAAATCCTCTATTTCAGACAAAGATCAGCCAACAACAATGAAAAGCCAACCATTTACTTAGTTTTGTTTCATTTCTGATACTTAACCTTATATTCTTCTATCTAATTTATTCAATGGAGCATTTTCCCCATACTATGTCTTTCCTTCAAGTAGTGTCCATTGTTTCCTAGCGTTCCTAAAAAGCTTGTTGTCCCCAAAAGTTTATGTTATGCTGCTTTCCCCAAAAGCTTACATTGTCTTCTAAGACCAATCTCTGTAAACACAGCCCAAATCCCAGTTCTTGATGGCTTTCACACTGAGCTGTTTTCAGGTCCACCACCAGTTCTAGGCTCAGCCAAGTTGGCTCAGTATTATATGTGCCTAAAGTTGCCTGGAGACATACTGGTGCCAGGAACAAACTTCAGGCATTTCAAACTTCACTGTTTATTTTTAAAGTCCATATTCCTTTTATTTAAGAACTCCTCTTCCTCTCTCTTCTCCCAAAAAATCATTCAGCTTTCAAAACAGGGCTCATTCTAGAGCCACAAAGTCTTGTTTACCCTAGAAACTTGGCCAGCAGGTTTTGAATTCTGAACAGTATGCCCTACTTAATGGAAGAGGGTAGAAGGAGAGAAAAATCACTTTCCCAGAAGTATGCAGCTAAAATTCTAACTAATCTACTTTTAAAATTTGAAGTGATTTCTTCCTTCCTTATTTTATTATAAGAAAGGCTGAAGGCCATTGGTGATGACTTTCTAAAGCAGTCCAGGCCTGTTTTTGTAAACACATTGTCTCTTGCTGAAGGCATTCTCCTCTCTCTAGTCTTCAGTGCTTCCTGCTTTTGTCCATTCACCAGTAGTTCATATTATATTTGAAAGGAAATTTTGATGAGATACTTGCTGTACTGTATTAATTGGAAGTATAAGTCAGCTCTGAAGAGACTGATGATTTCCTTCTTGGCATTCTGCTTTTTGATTGCAGATGATATTACCAAGTAAATATTGGATCCCTGCATTTGGCCACAGCCCCCAGTTGTAAACTTACTCCAGATGTGATTGAAATAATCCGAAGTATGATCTAACAATGAAGTTTAAATATGAATGTAACTTTCCCCACAACGACTTTGCTTAATATAAATAAATACTTTTAGAAAGACTTAAAGAAATACATTCACCCCAGATACAATCTAGGCTCTCTTTTTCCATGAAACTCAAGCATTAAGTATCACCATTTAATTCTTATTTCTCCAATTTTTCCATAAAGATGTTTAAAAACTTCTTCCACTTGGAGTTTATCAGATGCCTAAACAGTTCTGTCTGTTCCAACCATATCTGCCTTCATAACAATTATATTCTGCAGTTTGTCATCTTGCTATTAATTCTAATTCTCTAATAAAATACCCTTTCTTGAGGTTTTATCTTGATATATAATATCTAAAGTTCAGATTCCTTAAGATTTTTCTTTGTGTAATTTTCTTTATCAGCTCAGAAAATGGAGAAAGCTAAAGAACTTCTTGCCCTGTAATAGCCTCTTTCTATCAAAAAAACTGCTGAAGAGCCACATCTTAAAAGAGCATGTCAATCATCCCCCAAGCACCTTCTTTTCTGTCATATTTTCTCTCTTTAGTTCTCTGTGGTGCAATCTTGACAACATATTTTATCTTTTTCAAAAATTTCAAATCTGCCTGTTCTTTTTTTTTCATAATGTCATATTATTTTCTTAGGATTTTAAGTATTTATGTCAAGTCTTCAATTATTTTTCCATGTCTGTTTTGAGTTCTCTTTGATATTATTGTTGCAGCAATATTATGAAGTTCTTGGGTTCTAATCCCCCTGTTGCAATGCCTGCTGGTTCTTGCTGGTGGTAAATGGTTTCTGGGGCCACCACAACATATATACACTGCAAGGGCTCTGTTATCATCATCCTGCATGTGCCCTTGCTGTGTGAAACACACAAGCTAAGAAGACATCTATGGTGTGCCTAATGGATTCTGCCTTGTTTTATACATTTTTATCAGTAATTTTTCTTTAATAGGGGTATTTTTTCCTGTGGGAATCTCAATAGAAATTGCTCCCCTGTTTTACATAAATTCTGCCAAGCATTCAAAGGGGATTATCAGGTATCAATTTTTTTTATTTTTTTATTTTTTTTTTTGAGATAGAGTCTCAGTCTGTCTGGCCCAGGCTGGAGTGCAGTGGTGCAAATCTCAGCTCACTGCAGTTTCCGCCTCCGGGGTTCAAGTGATTCTCCTGTCTCAGCCTCCTGAGTAACTGGGACCACAGGCATCTGCCACCACACCCTGCTAATTTTGTATTTTTAGTAGAGATGGGGTTTCACCATGTTGGCCAGGCTGGTCTCGAACTCCTGACATCGGGTGATCCACCCACCTTGGCCTCCCAAAGGGCTGGGATTACAGGTATGAGTGACCATGCCTGGGCCAGGTATCAATTTTTAAATGATTATTTCTTTTAAACAATGGAGGTTTCTGGACCCCTCAGGTGTTATCAATTCAATCCTCAAATCTGTGCAAGGAGCAAGGCAGTTTCAGTTTTTCAAGAGACCTCTCAGGAGAGACTCAAGCTTCCTTTTCATTTTCTTAAGTTGGTAAATGGTTGTGTTCCTTCTGCCATTCTTTCACTGAAAGCGTACCCCCTCAGGGGTTCCTACTTTATATTGAGTCTCAGCCACAATCAGCAACCATTAAGTGAACCCAAGACTCCTCTCCTGTGCTCACAATGTTGTTTACTCCAAGTCCTTAGGTCAGTAGAAACTTTATACCCCGATCCTTGCCCGCACGAAAAAATACAGGCAGCTACCTGTATTGGTCCATATACTCAATACTGCTTTCAGATCCCTTCTCATTTTTTGCACATGAAATTTCCTTGTTTTTTTTTATAAACCAAGCTTTGCATTAAAAGTAGTTTTTGTTTTATTTTATCTAGTATATCTGGTGCTACACATACAAAAGATGTGTACAGACACTTTATGAAAGGAAAGATACAGATGATAAATCACATCATGTCATCTTTCCAGAACCAAAAATGTTATATTGTTGAAATTTTAAGAAAAAATACTCCATACCACATATAAAACAACACAAAATGAACCATAGGTCTAAATGTGAAACGTAAAATCATAAAATGTTTAGAAGAAGACAAGAGAAAAATCTCTGTGATGTTGACTTAGGCAAATTTCTTAGATAAGACACAAAAAGCATGAACAAAAATTTTAAAAGAAGATAAAATTGACTTTATCAAAATGAAAATTTTCTGCTTTTCAAGACATTCTTAAGAAAATGAAAAGATTCTCTATTTTTCTTAGAAAGGAAAAAAAAAAGGAAATGAAAAGACAAGCTACAGACTGAGTGAAAATATTTACAAATCACATGTTTGCCAAAGGACTCGTATCCAGAATATACAATATATATAAGACATATATATGTAGTGAGTCTCATGACTCAGTAAAAAGAAAGTAATCTAATTTTTAAAATGGGCAAAAGATGTGTACAGTATCACTTTGTTGAAAGTTTCACTTTGTCAGTGAAAATATACAGATGATAAATAACATCATTAGTCTTCAGGGATGTGAAATTAAAGCCTCAGGGAGATACTACCACCCACTTGTCAGAATGACTACAATTTTTAAAACCTGACAATACCAAATGTTGACAAAGATGTAGAGCAACAGGAACTTTTATACACTGCTGGTAGGAATATGAAATAGTACAGCCATCCTGGAAAACAGTTTGGCAGTTTCTTATAAAGTTAAACATACAATTACCATATGATCCAGCAATTCTATTCCTATGTATTTACCCAAGAGAAATGAAAATATATGACTATACAAAGACTTATACACAAACGCTTACAGCAGCTTTACTATTTGTTATGGGTTGAATTGCCCCCTGTCCCCCAATTAATATGTTGAAGTCCTAACCCCAGTACCTCAGAATGTGACCTTATTTGGAAATAGGGTGGTTACGGATATAATTAATTAACATGAAACCATATTGGAGTAGAGTGGGACTTTAATCCAGTATGACCGGAGTCTTTTTTTTTTTTTTTTTTTTTTGAGATGGAGTCTCGCTCTGTCCCCCAGCCTGGAGTGCAGTGGTGCCATCTCGGCTCACTGCAAGCTCCGCCTCCCGGGTTCACGCCATTCCCCTGCCTCAGCCTCCCGAGTAGCTGGGACTACAGGCGCCCGCCACCACGCTCGGCTAATTTTTTGTATTTTTAGTAGAGACGGGATTTCACCGCGTTAGCCAGGATGGGCTCGATCTCCTGACCTCATAATCCGCCCATCTCGGCCTCCCAAAGTGCTGGGATTACAGGCGTGAGCCACTGAGCTCGGCAACTGGAGTCTTTTTAAAAGGAGAAATGTGAACACAGGCGCAGATACAGGGAGCATGCTATGTAAACATAAAGATAGCCAAAGAGACAGAACGGGAAGAGATCCTTCCCTCATGACCCTCAGAAGGAACAAACAGGTAGTGGTACAAGGCTGCTGCACAGCGAGCAGAGCCACGGTCCAGACGGCAGCGCGTGCCCCGAGCTCTCCGCTTCCCACCGCCCGCCAGCCCAGGCAGCCCGAGCCCAGCCCGCTGCCCCAGCAGCAGCGCCATGGCCGGGTGGACGCCTACATTGACAACATCATGACCATGGCCGGGTGGACACCGACATCGACAACCTTATGGCGGACGGGACCTGTCAGGACGTGGCCATCGTGGGCTACAAGGACTCGCCCTCCATCTGGGCCGCCGTCCCCGGGAAAACCTTCGCCAACATCGCGCCAGCTGAGGTTGGTGTCCTGGCTGGCAAAGACAGGTCAAGTTTTTTTGTGAATGGGCTGACACTTGGGGGCCAGAAATGTTCGGTGATCCGGGACTCACTGCTGCAGGATGGGGAATTTTGCATGGATCTTCGTATACCAAGAGTACCGGTGGAGCCCCCACCTTCAATGTCACTGTCACCAAGACTGACAAGACGCTAGTCCTGCTGATGGGCAAAGAAGGTGTCCACGGTGGTTTGATCAACAAGAAATGTTATGAAATGGCCTCCCACCTTCGGCGTTCCCAGTACTGACCTCGTCTGTCCCTTGCCCTTCACCGCTCCCCACAGCTTTGTATCCCTTCCCTCCCCATACACCATTTTATTTTGGGGGCCATTACCCCACACCCCTTATTGCTGCCAAAACCACATGGGCTGGGGTACAGGGCTGATGGCCAGACACCTTCCCCTACCCATACCCCTCCTCTGTGTGGTTGTAAAACTTTTTTGGGAGGATTGTTTTATTTTTTCTGAATAAAAAAGATTCTACAAAAAAAAAAAAAAAAGGGAACAAACCTTGCTGGAACCTTGATTTTGGATTTGTAGCCTTTGGAACTGTTGGACAGTATATTTCTGTTGTTTAAGCTACCCAGTTTGTGGTACTTAGTTATGGCAGCACTAGCAAGCTGATGTAAGTAGTCCAAAATTGAAGACAACCCAATGTCCACTAACCCATGAAAGGATAAGGATAACATATTATGGTACATCCATGCTGTGAAATACGGCTCATTAATACAAAGAAACGAACTACTTGTAAATACAACAACATGGCTGACTCTCAAAAGCACTCATGCCAACTGATATAAGCCAAAAACAAAAGGCTACAGTCTATATGTTTTTATTTATATGACATTCCAGAAAAGGCAAAACTGTCAAGACTAAAATAAGATCAGTGGTTGCCAAGGGCCGGTGACTAGGGAGAAGGAATTGGCTACAAAAAGGCACAAAGGAACTTTTAGGGACAAAGGAAATATTCTGTATTTTGATTACGGTAGTGGATACATTATTGTACATATTAGTCAAAACACATACACCTAAAACGGGTGAATTTTACTACATGTAAATAACCCTTCAATAAACCTGACTCCTAAAAATTATATTACAAAAAATACAAAGATGGAAGCCAAAATATCATATATTCTCATTATCTAAATATAATCACTATGAACATTTTGCTATATTTATATCTAGCTTTTATATAGATAATATATATTTAAAAGTGTAGGGTGGCATTGCATATCTAGTTTTATAATTTACTTATTTCATTTAACAAAATATTGTAAATAACAATATTATTCTGAAATTTTACGTCTATTTATTTCATAGGATATGGGTATGCTACAGTTTCTTCAACCAATACCCTGTTGTTGAAAACTGTGGGTTGCTAGGTTCAGTGGGTCACATCTGTAATCCCAGCACTTTGGGAAGCAAAGGCGGAAGAATTGCTTGAGCTCAGGAGTTCAAGACCAGCTTGGGCAACAGAGAGAGACCTTGTCCCTACTAAAACTTTAAAAAACAAAATCAGCCAGGTATGGTGGCACACACCTGTAGTCCCAACTACTTGGGATGCTAAAGTGGGAGGATCACTTGAGCTCAGGATGTCGAGGCTGCAATGAGCCATGATCCCACCACTGCACTCCAGCCTAGGCGACAGAGTGAGACTCTGTCTCAAACAAACAAACAAACAAACAAACAAACAAACACCTGTGGGTTTCCCTGCAGTGTTTTGCAATAATAATGCTTCAATCAATCTCTTTAAAGCTTAGGTGTTAATCTATAAAAATGGAATCATTATTTTTGTTAAACAACAATAGAGATATCATACATTAATATAAAATTATTAATTTAAAAAGTGATCCATTTCTTAATAGAATGTATCCCATTGCTATACTTTTTTTTTTTTTTTTCAGAGACAGGGTCTTAATTTGTAACCCAAGTTAGAGTGCAGTGGCCGGATCATAGCTCACTGCAGCATCAAACTTGAACTCCTGGGCTCAAACGATCCTCCTGCCTCAGCCTCCCATGTAGCTGGAACTACAGGCGCATGAACCACTGCCCCCGGCCCCCATTACTATATATTTTTGAGAGTTGTCCTCCTTTTGACATATACTTTCCTGTGGCAGAATTTAGAGAGGCTGAGTAGTATAGTGAAATAACACAGGTGCGGGAATCCTAGGACTTGGGTTTGTGCTGAGTAATGAGAAAGCACACTAGCTGTCTCATCTGTAAATATGTGAGCTTCTCTCTTGCCTATCTCCACTACAGACAGGCTGTAAATGCTGAATAACTGCTTTATCATTCTCCTTTAAAGTAAGGATGGCCAGGTAACACAGTTCTGGCCAATGAAAGGTCTGTTGAGAGGGCCAGGTGTGGTGGCTCACGCCTGTAGTCCCAGCACTTTGGGAAGCCAAGGCAGTAGGATTGCGTGAACCCAGTAGTTTGAGACCAGCCTTGGCAATATAGCAAGACCCCATCTCTACAAAAAAATTTTTTTAAATTTAGCTGGGCATGGTGGCATGTTTCTAAAGTCCCAGATACTCAGGAGGCTGAGGCGGGAGGATCACTTGAGCTCAGGAGTCCGAGGCTGCAGTGAGCTATGATCACACCACTCCACACCAGCCTGGGTGACAGAGTGAAGCCCTGTCTCTAAAAAAAAATATTAAAAAAAGAAAGTCTGTTGGGAAAGCTTTTGCCTTCTAATAAAAGCAAAGATGTCCTGGTGCCTGCTCCTTCCCTTCCTCCTTCTTCCAGTCGTGAACACAAGTGTAACATCTGGAGCAGCTGTCCTGCAACCATGAGGTGACATTCATGAGGGTAAGTGGCTAACGTGGTAAGAGTGGTGACGTGGAAGGTCTAAGAGGCCTGGATCCTTGAAGACACTGTTGGTCCTCCCACACCAGTCCCAGAATGCCACCTCCAGGCCTCTTTTGAATGAGGAAAACAACCTCCATCTGTTTAAATCAGGTTTTCTGTTACTTGTAGATGAAAGCATTTCCAGCTAATATACCAATTGTTGTGAAGGCAAATGAAGTATATAGAGGACAGTGCTTTATAAAATGGGAACCAACATGTACATTGCTGATCAACTAAATATAAAATTAATAGCATGCTGACTGGCTGGGCACAGTGGCTCACACCTATAATCCCAGCACTTTGGGAGGCTGAGGCAGGAAGGTCACTTGAGCCCAGGAATTTGAGACCAGCCTAGGCAACAGAGTGAAACTCCATCTCTATAAATTTAAAAAAAATAATAATTTTTTAAAAATGCTGTCTTTCTACTTGTGATCTGTTTTTTCTCTCCAAGCTTCTCATTCATCTAGCTTATATTACATTTCCTATACTCTTTCAACATTATTTTCAATTGTATAATACTGAGTGATTATTTTTTAAATGCATATAATTAAACCAGAATATTCGGTCATAATAGTTTTAAAAAATACAAAAATTTAGTTGTCTTATTCAGTGAGATGTTTTGTAAAACGGTACCATGCCTTTATCATTAAAGTGGGAGTAAGCGTTACACTGTCGGAAGCAAATTAGTTGTCTTATTCAGTGAGATGTGTTGTAAAACGGTACCATACCTTTATCATAAAGTGGGACTAAACGTTACACTGTCGGAAGCAAAGGTACAGTTGCCAGATCCACAAGAGTAAAGTCAAGCCTCTTCAGAAGAGTCAAATATCCCAAGTGACTGCTTCCAAGTGCATCATTTTCCTGAGCTAGGAATTCTCATTCCAATTCACTAGATGAGAAGTGTTAGAAACAAAGGTTGATAATGTTTTCAGGATACAGACCCCCACATATATTATAATTCATGTTAAACATGAAAAAGACTTGGAGCAAGTAACTAGCCCCTGAATCTTGGTTTTCTTACTTTTAAAAAGGGGATGTATACAGACTTACCCGAAAGGATACTATAAACATCATTAATTAATGTCAATAAAGCACTTGGGTGTTGTATTTACTGGGTGCTGGTCACACAGAAGCCTGGCTTCCACACCAGAAAGGCGTCTACCTCTTCATTGCTAGGCACAGCAGTTCAGACGCCCCATTTTTAAATTACCACCCATTGCATGAGCTTGGATAAAGCTCACTTTCTCATCTGTAAAATATTATGATAATAATAGTACCTACTTTATAAGAGTGTTATGAAAGATTAGTGAAGTAATCCTGGTAAAGTGCTCAGCATGGCTCCTGGCACAGGGATGTGCCTAATAAATGTCAGCTATTATTAGCATCATAACTTGCACCTCTTCTGCTCTGTTGGCTCTTTCCCTCTAGCATATAAACACCTTAAGTTTTTTCCATCTAAAATAAATAATATCCCTTAGATATTACCTTTTATTTTTTCTCCTTTGATTTATTTTTCTCTGGTCATATCCTCCATTTTGGCTTTGGCCACATACACATAGCCAATGTCAATGACTAAGGAGTCTGTAATATACACCTGACCAAGGTGCAGGAGCAAGGAAAGCATGTGGCATAGAAGAGGCGCATGAGGTCATGAGCCAGGGTGTCATCTGTTTAAATCTTGGCTCCGCAACTTTCTAGGTGTGTGACCTTGGGCAAATTTCTTGTCATCTCTGAAACTCAGCTTTCTCACCAATAAGCTAGAGATAAAAACATCTGCCTTGCAGGACTGCAGTGAGGTTAAAACGCATAATGCACATAAAGTACACAGCGCAATGAAAGGCACGGTAAGAAATAATTATCACCCAAAATATAAAGTTCATTGCAACTTGCAATCCTGTTGAGGTGAAAAGACTGATGCATGAAAAATGATTCAAGAGCAAGTTGAGAGGTGTCTGCCACCGTCTTTAAGAACAAAGACAGAGTGTGTGTTGAAGCCTTTGACTTCACTCAAAAAAATAAGTCATTAAAAAAACAACTTTGGGCCGGGCGTGGTGGCTTATGCCCAGGGTCTCCCAGCAGTTTGGGAGGGCAAGGCGGGGCAGATCACCTGAGGTCGGGAGTTCAAGACCAGCCTGGCCAACATGGTAAAAACCCACCTCTATTAAAAATACAAAAATTAGCCAGGTGTGCTGGCACATGCCTGTAGTCCCAGCTACTTGGGAGGCTGAGGCAGGAGAATCACTTGAACCTGGGAGGCAGAGGTTGTAGTGAGCAGAGATCGTGCCACTGCACTCCAGCCTTGGCAACAGAGCAAGACTCAGTCTCAAAAAAAATAAAATAACTTTGGATGCATTGAAAAAAGACTGAGCTGAACTCTGAAGAGTAAGTAGGCACCAGAAGTGGGAGGAAAGTGAGAAGCTGGAGAGCAGCATGAGGAAGATGGGCTTGTTTGGAGTCAAGGCTATTGTTTCAGGGAATCTTATTACCTTTCCAGGCTTCTAATTATATGGTGGGGGTGGAGGTGGTGATGGTGATAAGTGCCTCAAGTAGCAATTGGAGTAGTGATTTTGCATTCATTCTCTCATTTGAACCCTCTAACAACCCTATGTGGTAAACAGTGAGGTGATTATGACCCCTCTCACAGACAGAAAAAAATGAGATTCAGAAAGGGTAAATAGATTAAGGTTCTCCAGCTTACCCAAGTGGCAGAGCTGTGACTCACAGCTAGGTCTTCTGACTTTGAGGCCAGATGCCTTTCAATGAACCAGGGTTAGGATTCCATTCTCTAAACAATAGGGATCCACCCTATTGGGTTTTTTAAGCAGACAACTGAGAGGGAAAGCAGGGCATGGAGAAGATTAGCCTGGCAGCAGAGAGCAGAACTGAGGAGAGCCTCTGGGAGGCTGGGGGAGAAATGTGCTTGAGGTAGGAAATGCTGGGAGACATTCTGAAGGCAAAAACATCCAAACTCAGCAGCTGCTTATACATGAGGGCAAAGGAGAGGCAAGTCAACGACACTGGCTCTATGACCAGGGGTAAGATAATGCCATTAAAGGAGGTAGGGTACCTGAGAGGAGAAGTAGGTTTGGAAAGGATGTAAATAGAGCCGTTGGGGATGGGAGATGATCTGAGAAGAAGATACTGGCTTTGTGTTGAGCAGGACATTCAGACGGTGTTGAATCCTGAATTGGAATGCAAGTGAAGAATCCAAAGCCAGAAAATTAAATTTGGAGGTTGTAGTGGATGACATGAGAATAGGTGATGTGTTTTATCTATTCCTATATAACAGATTACACCCCAAACTTAGCAGATTAAAACAACAAGCATTCACTACCTCACAATGTCTATAGGCCAGGAGTCCTGCAGCAGCATAGCTGGGTGGTTGTGGCCCAGGGTCTCTCATGAGGTTACAGTCAAGGTACCTGGGCTGCAGGGGCCACTTCCGAGCCCACTCATGCTAATGTTGGCAGGAGGCCTTGGTTCCTTATCAGGAGGGCCTTTCCATGGGCTGTTTACAATGTGGCTTCCCCTCCAGTCAGTGATCCATCATAGGGAGAAAAGCCTGCGCAGCCCAAGAAGGAAGCCACAGTCTTTTAATCTAATCCCAGAAGTGGCAAGCTGTCACTTCTGCCAATGCCATTGGTAATACAGACCAACCCTGGTGTGATGTGGGAAGAGACTCACAGAAGAGTGTGAGTGCCAGGGTGTGGGATCTCTGAGAGCCAACTTGGAGGCTGTATACCACAGATGAGCTCTCAAGAAATTGCATACATTGTGAGAAAAGGAGGGATCTGTAGAAAGAGCACTAGGGCACCCACAGATGTGGATTAGAAAGAAGAAAAGAAGTCAGCTAAGACAGAGGACGAGCAATCAGAGGAGTGACTGGAAACCCAGGAATGACAGTGTTGCCACAACAAGAGGGAAGCAAGATTCCTGAAAGAGTGTGGAATCAACACTAAATGCTGCAGTGAGAGAAAAGCATATAAACTATTTTTAAAAATTTAATCCAAAGTTATATTTAACTTGGATCACATTATGTTCTTCGTTTATTTGTTTGTTTTTGTTTTTAGCAGATTTACCTTTTCAATTCAGTCTTGCTGGTGCTAATAGCAAAAATTATTCTGAATTTCCTGAGCACAGGCTGGCTAGATTCTGGGAGACGAGGAGCTCGGTAGGGAGCTAGCTGGACCAGAACTATAACCACAGATAATCTGCAATGCACACAGTTCCCAGGAGGATGCTCAGGGGCCACTGACATGAAGACATCTCCTGATTTTCCACATCGGATGTTATTTCACTTTTACGTAGGCCAAAGAGCCACAGAGAAGATAGCTCTTTCTGTTGAGATGATCCCCTCCCCTGCCCTGAGAATTGGATCTAACCTACCCGAACTGGATTTTTTAAAGGACACACTGTTCTCACGTAAAGCCAAATTGCTGACTTTGAGTGAGTGTGTGTGCTTGCCTCCTTGGCTGTCTCTCATCATTTAATTTTGCTAGTGGGAGATCACAGTTCCATCTTCAAAAACAAATTATATTGTAATGCTTTCTTAATTAAAAATCCTTTGAGTCATGCTTACTGAAATCTGTTACATGGATTTAACTGATCTGCAGGGAAGAGATTTTCTGTTCTCTGTGGAATTAAAGAACTCAGAAAGGAAATGAATAGATGAAAATGTTCCAGTCATGAAATCCCTCCCTTTAATAATACGTGTCACAATGAAGTATTATCTACTGGTAAGTTTACTTAACTTCAGTCAAATCAGAAGAAGTAACCAATTGCTCAGAGATCCCAGGCCCTGGGAAAAAGTTGGGTTCATACCCAGCTCCTATAGTTACCAACATTTTTCTTTGAGATGGAGAAACTGAATTTCCTTAACAGTAACGTGGAGAAAAATATGAACCATATAGTTGGGTGGTTGAAAGAATGATGGATATTATATGTGTCTTCACATGTGAACATATGTTTTAGGAACAAAAGACTATTCAATAAGGTAAAGCAATATTTTATCTATTTGTGAACTTTTCCAAAAGCCAAAAGGTTTTGCTTGTATGTCTTCACACTCCCAAAACCAGTCCACATTTCTGGCTAGGGACACTTTCCAACATATTACTCTTCGACATGGCACTCTCTGAGCCTCTGACTACCCCTCCACTGAGTACTGACCACTTAAATAATGATAGATTGAAAATAGTCTTGATTCCATACCAAAGATAGCAAGTGGATTATGCTTGGTCAGTAATTTATAAACTTTTAATGTATGAGAAGCTATTGTAAACATCAAAATATTTTACAGAACCCCTCTGGAGTACCTGTTAGGCTTTTAATATGTATCAATTGAAAAAATTTACGGCCGGACATGGTGGCTCATGCCTGTAATCCCAGCACTTTGGGAGGCCGAGGTGGGTGGATTACCCGAGGTCAGGGGTTCAAAACCAGCCGGAGAAACCCTATCTCTACTAAAAATACAAAACTAGCCAGACATAGTGGTGTATGCCTGTAATCCCAGCTACTTGGGAGGCTGAGGCAGGATAATCACTTGAACTTGGGAGGCAGAGGTTGCAGTGAGCCGAAATAGCACCATTGTACTCCAGCCTGGGCAACACGAGTGAAAGTCTGTCTCAAAAAAAAAAAAAAAAGAAAAGAAAAAGAAAAAAATGTATATTCACGCATGACCTGGGCAATAAAGGCTCCAGGCTCTAACACCTGCCCAAACGGAACGACTGTTCATCTTTTCTTCTCCCATCGGCCCCTGCAAATATAGTCTTTGAGTGCATTTAAGAAAGAAGTATATTTTTCTTTTTTGACACAAGCCATGAGAACTATTTTCTCATAGAAAAGTGTAAATGGTAAGGAGAATCCCAGAAAAAAAACCCATAAAAGCCTATTTTACCTATGCTATTGCTATATGGTCACCATGTACACTATTATTTTTCCTATATGTGAGTGAGAAGCGAAGCCCAAGTCATCAGGAAGTTGTCTCCATCTTCCCTTTAGCTCTTTTCACCCCACAACCTTTACCAACGACCTTGGAAATATCTTTTCCATGCCTAGCACAGTGTCAGGCACACAGAAGGCCCAAGCATGTTATTGAATGTCCCACACTTTTTACCTCCATGGTAAGAAACATACCGACTAAACATAGTGAGGAACAGATTACTTTTAGGCACTGAACTACAATTGCTGATTATCCTTTGCCTACCCACATCTCCTTCTAAGGGATTCTTCTTTGCCCATAGATCTTTCTGCTCTAAACAGGCCCTCATCCCCCTCCATAAAACATAATTTCATGCATCAAAGTTGAGTTTCTGTCCCAGGCCAGTGCTTCAGTTGCCTACTGGACAACTTCCTGCTGGTATGGTCACTTGAAAGAAGGAGCTCAGCCAATCAGCTCTCTTCTAAGAAGGGGTTTGGGAAACACAGAGGCTGGGTCAGTTAACAGAGGAAATGAGCTGAAAGGTCACATGCGGGGAGGTAGGCTCAGGGCTGGGGCAGCCATCAGGGACTACAGCTGAAGTCAGCAGCTAGATATTGGTGAAGAGGAGAATGAAGTTGATGCCGAGAAACATTCTGTAAACCAAAAATAAAATTCTAAGCCCCACAACTGGCTGAATGGGACCACGCGGATTCCAAAGAAACCTGAAAAACTAGTTCAGACCACAGGAAGGAGAGTCAGACATGCTTTATTATACCCTCCTCCCTTTAGAATTTAGACACAATTGACCAACATTAAAACAGATCTTAAGACCGACCAAATGAACTCTTTCTTTAACAATAAGATACCAAAATCCAACCTGACTCTAGTATAGCATCACATGACCAATAAAGAAGGAAATCAAAATATTTTACCCCAAAATATGTTTCTTTCCCATATTTTGAAATGACTATTTGCATCTGTAAAGAATCTCAATTAATGTAACTAGGTATTTGCCCTTCCAGGCCCTCTCAACCCCAAAGAGATTAACTAAATCTGGCACCATTTAAGGTCTGAAAAGAGATATTTATTATCCATTATCTCTTAAGCCTGCTACCTGGAGGCTTCATCTATAACAAGAACCTTGGCTTCCACAACCCCCCTTATCTTAACCCCAAGTATTTCTTTCTGCTGACTTCAACTTTAGGGAAAGCTTAACTCTTTTAACTAATTGCCAATCAGGAAATCTTTTAACTCTACCTACGACCTGAAAGCCAACCCAGTGTGTACCTCACACGTATAGATTGATGTCTTCTATCTCCCTAAAATGTATAAAACCAATCTGTTACCCAACTACCTTGGGCAAATGTTCTCAGGACCTCTTGAGGCCGTGTCATGGGTCATGGTACTCACATTTGGCTCAGAATAAATCTCTTCAAATATTTTATAGAGTATGGATTTTCTTGTCAACAAGAACCATGATGAGTGAGACTCTGCAGCTCCTAAGAGACAGGGAAAATAGTGGACTTGACCTTTTTTGAAAGGCCAGTTTCTGTTTTGGTTTTGGAGAATACTTACTATATTACACAAGGAGGTGTTTGGGTCATGGGTGTGGATCCCTCATGGCTTGGTGCTCTTAGGGATAGTGAGTTCTCACATGATCTGGTCATTTAAAGTGTGTGGCACCTCCCCCCAACCCACTCTCTCTCTCACTCCTGCTCCTGCCATGTGAGATTCCTGCTCCCTCTTTGCCTTCTGCCATGAGTGTAAGCCTCCTGAGGCCTCCCCAGAAGCAGAGGCTGGCGCTGTGCTTCCTGTGCAGCCTACAGAACTGTGAGCCAATTAAACCTCTTTTCTTTATAAATTATCCAGCCTCAGGCATTTCTTTATAGTAATGCAACAGTGGACTAAAGCCCCCTCCCCCGTCACACTCTTTCCCATTTCTCTAAAGAAACTTGAAACATTTCCCTAAAGAAACTCTGTACCTTGGAAGTAAGGTGGGAGAAGCTCTGTGCTGCACCTAAAGGAGATTACTGCCAGCAGCCTTCACAAAGACTCAGAATGAGTCTGTAGCTGCCCTCAGGTTGGCCCAAGACTCCACTAGCACCGGGTCTCCCCACAGCTGCTCATGGTTTCCACTCTGGTCCTGTACAGCATAGGACACATAATCCCACACCACAGGGCAAGCCCAAGGCAGATGTCCTGCATATGTTTGGGCAAATCTAGTCCTCAAGTTGCTAGTAAATAGATTGGGTGAAAGAAAAATATCTGAAGAGCCTCCATAAATTTTTTTTTTTTTTTTTTGAGACGGAGTCTCATTCTGTCGCCCAGGCTGGAGTGCAGTGGTGCCATCTTGGCTCTCTGCAACCTCCACCTCCTGGGTTCAAATGATTCTCCTGCCTCAGCCTCCTGAGTAGTTGGGATTACAGGCACCCGCCACCATGTCTGGCTAATTTTTGTATTTTTAGTAGAGTTGGGGTTTTGCCATGTTGGCCAGGCTGCTCTCAAACTCCTGACTTCAGGTGATCTGCCTGCCTTGACCTCCCAGAGTGCTAGGATCACAGGCATGAGCCACCACGCCCGGTCTAAAGTTCATTCTATTTTTTTTTTTTTTTTTTTTTAGATGGGAGTCTTGCTCTGCCACCAAGGCTGGAGTACAGTGGCACAATCTTGGCTCACTGCAACCTCCGCCTCCCAGGTTCAAATGATTCTCCTGCCTCAGCCTCCCAAGTAGCTGGCATTATAGGTGCACGTCACCACGCCCAGCTAATTTTTGTATTTTTACTAAAGACAGGGTTTCACCATGTTGGTCAGGCTGGTCTCAAACTCCTGACCTCAGGTGATCCACTCACCTTGGCCTCCCAAAGTGCTGGGATTACAGGCGTGAGCCACCACGCCCGGCCTAAAGTTCATACTTGAGGGCTTTCCTACAACAGCATAATATTTAGAAATTAGATGGCATTAGAAGGCTGTATTTCAGCTATATGATCGGCTATATATATAGTTACTGGGAAAATTGTCAGTACCAAAATGGAGTCACCTATATCAAATCCTAACAAAATAGAGTCAAGAGGCCTGGCGCGGTGGCTCACGCCTGTAATCCCAGCACTTTGGGAGGCTGAGGCAGGTGGATCACGAGGTCAGGAGATCGAGACCATCCTGGCTAACACGATGAAACCCCGTCTCTACTAAAAATACAAAAAATTAGCCAGGCATGCTGGCGGGCACCTGTAGTCCCAGCTACTTGGGAGGCTGAGGCAGGAGAATGGTGTGAACCTGGGAGGCGGCTTGCAGTGAGCTGAGATCGCACCACTGCACTCCAGCCTGGGCGAAAGAGCAAGACTCCGTCTCAAAAAAACAAACAAACAACCAAAAAACAAAATAGAGTCAACAGGCCAAGAAAATAGAGTCAAAAGGCCCTCACACATATATACCCTATAACAGGAACTGTGACAAAAGACTTTTCCAACTGAACTTTCCTGTTAAGCCACTTCTATGAAGACCCTTTCGTAGCCATAGCCAGTACCACCAATGAACAAACGTCACCACCTGCAATAAGTCCCTGTAACCAATAGTATTTGTTTCAAAACAGTTTATGTGGACTTCTCCTTTTTGCCTTTAAAATCTTGCCCTTGCCCAAACCCCTCAGATGCACCTGGGGTTTGCCACAGCACACATATCCTGAATCGCAATCCCTTGCTATTCCTGAATAAACTCTTTGTTTTGGGGAGTTGGTCACTCTGTAGCTCATTTTAGGTTGACTGACTCTCTGTCTCTGTCTCTGTCTCTCTCTCTCTCTCTCTCTCTCTCTCTCTCTCTCTCTCTATATATATATATATATATATATATATATGTATATTCATATATATAGTATATATGTGCGTATGTATATAGAGAGAGATATATAGTTTGTGTATATATCTATACACACACACACACACACACACACACACACACACACACATACACATAGCTATATGGACTATCTATGTGACCTTAAATAAATCAGTTAATTATTCTGATCCACAGTTTCTCCACTTGTAAAGGAAGAATTCTGATCTTTGTTCAGTTTACCTCAGGGCTATTATGAAATGAAATGAGATAACCAATGTGAAAGTCCTATAAACTGTATAGCCTCCATTCGGATGTATGTCTTTGGCAGGATGATAAAGAATCAGGAAGAAGGAGTATCCACGTTAGCCAAGTGTCCAGGCTGTGTCTGCTCTTATTTTAGTGACAGATGTTGCTCCTGACAGAAGCTATTCTTCAGGAAACATCACATCCAATATGGTAAATCCATCAAACAGGAGCTAAGAAACAGGAATGAGATGGGCACTTGCCCAAGGAAAAATGCCAGGAGAGCAAATAATGATGAAAAATAAACTTTTCCCTTTGTTTTTAATTTCAGGAAAAAATGATGAGGACCAAAATCAATGAATAAGGAAAACAGCTCAGAAAAAAGATGTTTCCAAATTGGTAATTAAGTATTTGTTCCTTGGGAAGAGACCTCCATGTGAGCTTGATGGGAAAATGGGAAAAACGTCAAAAGCATGATCTGATCAGATCCCAAAGTGGATTATTATTTTAAAAACCAGATGGCATCACTCTGGGGAGGCAAGTTCAGGAAGGTCATGTTAGCAAAGGACATAACAATAACAGCAAAATCAAAATTCCGCAAATGCAGGAGGAAAATGGGGACTGGGAAAGCTTTCATAACAGTGATTAGGCAGTTGACCATGTTCGCAACACCTCCCCGTCTATACCAGGGAACACAAAAATTGACTGGGCTAAGCCTGGACTTTCAAGGGAAATATGAAAAACTGAGAGCAAAACAAAAGACATGGTTAAAAGGCAACCAGAACATTGTGAGCCTTCAAAGCAGCAGTGCCCCTCAGCAGGGACCCTGAGGCATTTGCCTTTAGGAAGGCCAGTTTTCTTAAGGAATCTTAAGAAACTCTTGAAAGATCATGAATTTTAACCATTTTAAGTATAAAACAAATATGCGATGCATAATCAGTTTAGACATGGGTCCCAATTTTATAAAGTCAGGCATACAAGGATAACGTGTCCCAGCTCCGGATAGGTCAGAAATCATTAGAAATCACTGTGTCCCCATCCTAACTTTTTCAGAATGATCTGTCATAGCCCTCACACACAGGCCCGATGTGTCTGACCTACAACCACATCTACAACCCAAGTGCCTCAACCATTGTTAACGTGTCATCTCAGTAGGTCCCATTACAAATGCCACCTCCCCTGTGCAGCCCATCCCGCTCCACAGGAAGTCTCCCCACTCTAGACTTCTGCATCACGATGTTACAGCCAGAAGCTCCGTGAGGGTGAGGGTCTGTGTCTTACACCTACCTGTATGCTCTACACCTGAGCTCACTGCAACCTCTGCCTCCCAGGTTCAAGCAATTCTCCTGTCTCAGCCTCCCGCGTAGCTGGGACTACAGGCGCACGCCCGGCTAATTTTTGTATTGTTAGTAGAGATGGGGTTTCACCATATTAGCCCGGCTGGTCTTGAACTCCTGACCTCAGGTGATCCACCCACCTCAGCCTCCTAAAGTGCTGGGATTACAGGCATGAGTCACCGCGCCCGGCCAAGGGTCAGTGTTTAATAAGGAATAACTTGAATGGTTTACTAAACCAACAGGGAAACAGACAAAAGCTGTGATAATTTCAGGGATTCTTGGGATGGGGAATGGTGCCATGAGCTGCCTGCCTAGTCCCAGACCACTGGTCCTCATCACTTTCTTCCCTCATCCTCATTTTCAGGCTAAGTTACCATTTTATTCACCATGCTTTTGTGGTAAGCCTCCACATCGTTACTGAAATAAGAGTATACATAAACTAGTTCCATTTGGGGCCATCTGTGTGTGTGTATAGGGGAGGAGGGCATACCCCAGAGACTCCTTGAAGCCCCCGGCAGAGGTTTCCTCTCCAGCTGGGGGAGCCCTGCAAGCACCCGGGGTCCTGGGTGTCCTGAGCAACCTGCCAGCCCGTGCCACTGGTTGTTTTGTTATCACTCTCTAGGGACCTGTTGCTTTCTATTTCTGTGTGACTCGTTCATTCATCCAGGCATTCATTGACAATTTATTGAGTACTTATATCTGCCAGACACCAGAGACAAAATGGTGAGCAAAGCAGTCACTGCCCTACCTTCGTGGAGGTGACAGTTTCTCATGGAAGACGTGCAGAAGAAAATTAATAGCCAGCCAACTTAAACCCAGTGCTGAAAGAAAGGAAATAAACACCATCTTGAAGAATTGTGCGCAGCATCCCTTAACAAGGCCACCTCCCTAGCGCCCCCTGCTGCCTCCATCGTGCCCGGAGGCCCCCAAGCCCGAGTCTTCCAAGCCTCCTCCTCCATCAGTCACAGCGCTGCAGCTGGCCTGCCTCGCTTCCCGTGAATCGTCCTGGTGCATCTGAGCTGGAGACTCCTTGGCTCCAGGCTCCAGAAAGGAAATGGAGAGGGAAACTAGTCTAACGGAGAATCTGGAGGGGACAGTGTTTCCTCAGAGGGAAAGGGGCCTCCACGTCCAGGAGAATTCCAGGAGGTGGGGACTGCAGGGAGTGGGGACGCTGGGGCTGAGCGGGTGCTGAAAGGCAGGAAGGTGAAAAGGGCAAGGCTGAAGCTGCCCAGATGTTCAGTGTTGTTCACGGGGCTGGGAGTTTTCCGTTGCTTCCTGTGAGCCTTTTTATCTTTTCTCTGCTTGGAGGAGAAGAAGTCTATTTCATGAAGGGATGCAGTTTCATAAAGTCAGCTGTTAAAATTCCAGGGTGTGCATGGGTTTTCCTTCACGAAGGCCTTTATTTAATGGGAATATAGGAAGCGAGCTCATTTCCTAGGCCGTTAATTCACGGAAGAAGTGACTGGAGTCTTTTCTTTCATGTCTTCTGGGCAACTACTCAGCCCTGTGGTGGACTTGGCTTATGCAAGACGGTCGAAAACCTTGGAATCAGGAGACTCGGTTTTCTTTCTGGTTCTGCCATTGGTTGGCTGTGCGACCGTGGGCAAGTGTCTCTCCTTCCCTGGGCCATAGTCTTCTCTGCTATAAAGACCCTTGCAGCTCTCGTGTTCTGTGAACACTTCCCTGTGATTCTCTGTGAGGGGGGATGTTGAGAGGGGAAGGAGGCAGAGCTGGAGCAGCTGAGCCACAGGGGAGGTGGAGGGGGACAGGAAGGCAGGCAGAAGCTGGGTGCTCCATCAGTCCTCACTGATCACGTCAGACTCCAGGACCGAGAGCCACAATGCTTCAGGAAAGCTCAATGAACCCAACAGCCACATTTTCCTTCCCTAAGCATAGACAATGGCATTTGCCAATAACCAAAAAGAATGCAGAGACTAACTGGTGGTAGCTTTTGCCTGGCATTCAAAAACTGGGCCAGAGCAAGTGGAAAATGCCAGAGATTGTTAAACTTTTCACCCTGACCAGCACCCCACGCAGCTCAGCAGTGACTGCTGACAGCACGGAGTGACCTGCAGCGCAGGGGAGGAGAAGAAAAAGAGAGGGATAGTGTATGAGCAAGAAAGACAGATTCATTCAAGGGCAGTGGGAATTGACCACAGGGATTATAGTCCACGTGATCCTGGGTTCTAGGAGGCAGGGCTATATTGTGGGGGGAAAAAATCAGTTCAAGGGAAGTCGGGAGACCTGATTTCTAATACTATATTTTTCCTTTACAAGCTGAGTAATTCTGAGCAAGTCACAAGGTAGTAACTGAGGCTGTAAGATTACTTAGTTTCTCCTTATTAGGAACTCTTTTTCTCTGTGGAGTTAGCAGCACAAGGGCAATCCCGTTTCTTTTAACAGGAAGAAAACATTCCTAAGAGTAAAGCCAAACAGATTCAAGCCTAGGTCTTGCTGACTATATGATTGGTTTTTTGAAAAATCATTTCAGCGATGTTTACTATCTGATTCAGAAAATGAGACTAGTACCCTTTGGTCAGCTGTAAACAAACACCCATTTGTAAATGTCTCAAGTTCAGGCTTAACTGCAGAACCAATCAAATAAGAATAGAATCTTTAGAGCAAACTGTGTTTCTCCACTCTGGAGGTGAGTCTGCCAGGGCAGTTTGGAAATATTTACTTCACAAGTATTGACACTGTTGTTGGTATTAACAACATAAAGTTGCTCAAAGGCAATCATTATTTCAAGTGGCTTAAAGTTACTTCTGACAGTTTTGGTATATTTATTGGCTATTGCCATTTGCTTTTTGTTTTTTCTCTTTGGGTTTATTAATGTAAAGCAGGGATTATTAACCTACAGTCCAGAAAGCCTGTGAATTTGAATGAGGAAAAAATTACATTTTTGTTTTTACCACCTTCTAACTAAATTTAACATTTTATTCCATTGCGAATAGAGCCATAAACTCAAAGTGGTAATAACAGTACCTGTGATTTTGTCATTACCAATAGAAATCACAGACATTTTATACTATATTACAGTTGTTGCAGATACGTTGTAAGTGAAATATTTATACTCAAAACTACTTTGAAATTAGACCTCCTGCTGGATCTTGTTTTTAACATATTAATAAAACATGTTTAAAATTTTGATATTTTGATAATCATATTTCATTATCATTTGTTTCCTTTGTAATCTATATTTTATATATTTGAAAACATCTTTCTGAGAAGAGTTCCCCAGATTTCACCAATGAGGTTCTTGGCATGCACACACACAGAGTAAGAACTGATTTAGAGGCTAACATTGACATTGGTGCCTGAGATGCAAGACTGAAATTAGAAAGTTCTCCCAAAGATACACAGTTGTTTTAAAGCTAGGGGTGAGGGGGGAAATCTGCCGCTTCTATAGGAATGCTCTCCCTGGAGCCTGGTAGGGTGCTGTCCTTGTGTTCTGGCTGGCTGTTATTTTTCTCTGTCCCTGCTACGTCTTAAAGGACTTGTTTGGATCTCCAGTTCCTAGCATAGTGCCTGGCACAGTGCAGGTTCTCAATGAGTTTGCAGAGTGAATGGAAATATAAACTAGAAATATATCCTTGTTGAAATCAGCACACCAGTAGTCCTGGTGTAAGTGTGTGTACGTGTGTGTGTGTGTGTGTGTGTGTGTAAAACCAGGTGGAGATATAGGAACTATTATTGGGGTATGGGTGCATAAATTGGGATGTTCTTTTTAAAAAGAAACTCCAAACAGACTTCTGGAAGGTTATTTTCTAAGAATCTTGCTGGCAGCGTGAAGGCAACCCCCCTGTGCACAGCCCCACCCAGCCTCACGTGGCCACCTCTGTCTTCCCCCATGAAGGGCTGGCTCCCCAGTATATATAAACCTCTCTGGAGCTCGGGCATGAGCCAGCAAGGCCACCCATCCAGGCACCTCTCAGCACAGCAGAGCTTTCCAGAGGAAGCCTCACCAAGCCTCTGCAATGAGGTTCTTCTGTGCACGTTGCTGCAGCTTTGGGCCTGAGATGCCAGCTGTCCAGCTGCTGCTTCTGGCCTGCCTGGTGTGGGATGTGGGGGCCAGGACAGCTCAGCTCAGGAAGGCCAATGACCAGAGTGGCCGATGCCAGTATACCTTCAGTGTGGCCAGTCCCAATGAATCCAGCTGCCCAGAGCAGAGCCAGGCCATGTCAGTCATCCATAACTTACAGAGAGACAGCAGCACCCAACGCTTAGACCTGGAGGCCACCAAAGCTCGACTCAGCTCCCTGGAGAGCCTCCTCCACCAATTGACCTTGGACCAGGCTGCCAGGCCCCAGGAGACCCAGGAGGGGCTGCAGAGGGAGCTGGGCACCCTGAGGCGGGAGCGGGACCAGCTGGAAACCCAAACCAGAGAGTTGGAGACTGCCTACAGCAACCTCCTCCGAGACAAGTCAGTTCTGGAGGAAGAGAAGAAGCGACTAAGGCAAGAAAATGAGAATCTGGCCAGGAGGTTGGAAAGCAGCAGCCAGGAGGTAGCAAGGCTGAGAAGGGGCCAGTGTCCCCAGACCCGAGACACTGCTCGGGCTGTGCCACCAGGCTCCAGAGAAGGTAAGAATGCAGAGTGGGGGGACTCTGAGTTCAGCAGGTGATATGGCTCGTAGTGACCTGCTACAGGCGCTCCAGGCCTCCCTGCCTGCCCTTTCTCCTAGAGACTGCACAGCTAGCACAAGACAGATGAATTAAGGAAAGCACAGCGATCACCTTCAAGTATTACTAGTAATTTAGCTCCTGAGAGCTTCATTTAGATTAGTGGTTCAGAGTTCTTGTGCCCCTCCATGTCAGTTTTCACAGTCCATAGCAAAAGGAGAAATAAAAGGACCGGGTGAGATGTGTCTGCATATGAGCAGTAGAAAGTTGTCAATTGTCCCTTTTGAAAAACTATCCTTTTTTGAACCTTTGCTCAGATTGTTATTTGTACCTTTTGATGTTAAAATGACCTTTATTTATGAAATTACAATAGATTTGGGAAATGATAATAAGTGGTAAGTTTTTGTTTATTTTTAAATGTTCTTCCCTGGCAAAATAAAGAGATGGCACCTCTCTGTCAGTTTTCTTAATATGTTGTTCTGAAAGTTTTCTTACTCAGTCCAATCTGAGAACCTCTGCTTTTAAGTCATCAGACAAATTCTTGAGATGGCTTTTTCTGAGAGGCTCTTCTGTTCATCCTGGTCCCTTCTTGCCTAAAGGTGAGTCTGTGTGTGTGTGGGGGGGGTGCGGGGGTGAGGTGTTGGGGGAGGTCTTCTTATTAGCTGGGAAGATGGTATTTGTGTCACTTTTTGTGAAAGTGGGCTCCCAAATATTCCCTGTTGAGGAAGTGTTCTAATCATGAGGAAATAAGCAAGCAAATCCAGTTGTTGGACAATTAGTTTGGACTGGTCAAAGATGTCAGTGCCAAGGAAGAAAGAAAAAAGGGGTGGGGAAGGGCTTGTTCTATATTAAAGAGACTAAAGAAATGTGTTAACCAAATGTAGTGCATGAGTCTTGATTGGTGTCTTCATCCAAGGGGGAAAAAGGCTATGAGGAACAGGTTTGGGATAACTGAGGCAATTTGACTGCTCATTATTATGTTACTGTATTAATGTTCAGTTTCTTGGTGAGATAATGATACTGTGGTTGCGAAGGATAAAATCTTTGTTCTATGGAGATACATGCTTAAGTACCCAGGGTGAGGCGTCAGGATGTCTGCAATTTGCTCTCAAATGGTTGAAGAAAGACTGCAAATATATAGATAATGAGAGAAAGAAAGGTAAAACAACTGTGGCAAAATATTAATAACTGGTGAATTACAAACTGGTGAATCTAAGTATATGGGGAGCTTATTGTACTATTCTTTCAGTTTTTCTATAGGCTTGAAAAGCTTTAAAATTATGAGAAAATATTTCCTAAAAAGAGCCTTCTACGTGAAAGGCAAGCTCTTCATAGCTATGGGGTTAGAAAACCTAAGAGCCAGAGCCTGGGGATGACCTTGGGCAAGTTATTGAACCCTCTGCATCTTCATTTCTTGTCCATAACATAACAAAGAAAATTCCTGCTGTGAATAATTTTTGTGGGGTTCACATGAAATACCTATAAGATGTAAAGGATTTTTAAAAAATGTTTAGATTGTTAGAATTAGAAGAGATCCAATTCTGAATTTTACAACCAAGGAAAGTGAAGTCCTAAGATGCTAAGGGGCCAAGGTTGCCCAGCTGGTCAGTGGTAGAGCTTGAGACTTGAATCTGTGGAGACAATTGAAAGAATCATCATTACCAGAAGTGTGATGAGGCATTACTTATTTCAGACTGTTGAATGAAGTTACATTCTCAATAAAAACTCCTGCATGTGTGTATGTGGGTGTGGGTGGTGTGTGTGTGTGTGTACAAAAATAGTGGCAATGTTTTGCCTTTTTTTTTCTTTTGTGGTCATTTAACAAGTCTTTGGGGATTTATTAGATGTGTTTCCTAATTTTATATTTTTTCTTGATCTTTCCAGCTACTCCACTTTTGAAATAAGGGCAACATCCCATTATATTGAACACCAAACATGGAAGTTCTTTTCTAGTAGTAGATGTTTTTCATGAGCAGGAAATTACATTAGTACAAGAATGTGGAACTGGAAAGGGACCTAATGAGCATCCGGTACCGCTGGCTGATTTTTGCAGATATGGAAACTGAGGCCCAGAGAGGTTATTCAGCTTGTCCATGGCCATCTACCAGTTAGTGGCAAAGCTCGAATTCTGGCCTCTTCCTCTGAAGTTCAGTGACTTTCTTTCTTTTTTTTTGAGACAGAGTTTCACTCTTGTTGCCCAGGCTAGAGTGTAATGGCACGATCTTGGCTCACTGAAACCTCTGCCTCCCGGGTTCAAGCAATTCTCCTACCTCAGCCTCCTGAGTAGCTGGGATTATAGGCATGTGCCACCATGCCCGGCTAATTTTGTATTTTTAGTAGAGACAGGGTTTCACCATGTTGGTCAGGCTAGTCTCGAACTCCTGACCTCAGGTGATCTGCCGACCTCGGCCTTCCAAAGCACTGGGATTACAGGTGTGAGCCCTCCCTGTACATGGCCATGAGGTTCATTGACTTTCAAGACCTTCAGCTGACCTCTGGTTTATAGACCCTAAAGGTAAAAGACAGAAAGGTACAGGAATGCTTGGAACAAAAGATCTGTTTCAAGGCCAGATCTAGGGAAAAGGGGGCATTCTGGAGGCTGGAATATAAGTCTAGGTATGCTTTTTTGCAGGAGTGGCAAGAACTAGGTGTGAAGGTTTGGGTAGAGAAGCTTAGTGAGGCTGAGTGGACAAAGGTAAGGCCTGAGAAGGCAGCCTTTCTGTATTCCACCTGCAACTCAAATTGTTACCACCACTTTCTTGATCATGTATTAATAGTTGTTATGTAGAAAAAAATTCCTTATAATCATAGAAATCACTTGTTTATACATACACATAATATGACATATTTTACTACATAACTATTACTACAAAGTTATATATAACTTTTTCTTCTCTGGGCTTATATAAATTTTCATATATATACATATATAAATTTTATGTATATATAATAGTTTTTGAAAAGTAGAAAAAAAATACAATTAGCCAAGTGTGGTGGCTCACACCTGTAACCTTAGCACTTTGGGAGGCCGAGGTGGACAGATCACTTGAGGTCAGGAGTTTAAGACCAGCCTGGCCACTGTGGTGAAAACTTGTCTCTACTAAAAATACAAAAATTAGCCGGGTGTGGTGGCGGGCACCTGTAATCCAGTTACTCCAGAGGCTGAGGCAGGAGAATCGCTTGAACCTGGGAGGCAGACGTTGCAGTGAGCCAAGATCACGCTACTGCACTCCAGCCTGGGTGACAGAGCGAGACTCCATCTCAAAAAAATATATATATTACATATAATACATATAAATATATATAATTATATATATAAATTTATTATATATATAATAAAATACATATATAATTTACTAGAAGATAAATTAGAGTTGGTTATTACTGTCACAAGAGAAGGACTGCTTTGTTTGTTATTTAGCCCCTGCTTTGGACTGGTCTCCTGTTGAACAGAGCCTGGAAGAGGGCTTGTGTGCAGTTGGTTTATATGGACCATGATCCTAGAGAAGAGAAGTTGAGACAGGGGAAAGTGAGACAGGGAAGGCAGGAAAGCCACAAAATGGGGGCCTTCTCCAGCTAGTCACCACAGTGGGCAATGGAGGCTCAATCCCATCAAGCCCTTCAGAGGGGCTGTGTAGACTGCAACAGAAGAGGGGAGGTTTACGCATGGATCTGATACCCTCTTGGCCAAGGGCTATCCCATGGAGTATATTGCGCTTCCCTGATACTCAGATGTGGGGACGAGGTTTGTTCTTGCAGACTGATTTTTTTTTTTTTTTTAAGATGGAGTCTTTCTCTGTCCCCCAGGCTGGAGTGCGGTGGCACGATCTTGGCTCACTGCAACCTCCGCCTCCTGGGTTCAAGCAATTCTCCTGCCTCAGCCTCCCGAGTAGCTGGGATTACAGGTGCACACTACCACGCCCAGCTAACTTTTGTATTTTTTTTTTTTTCCAGTACAGACAGGGTTTCACCATGTTGGCCAGGCTGGTCTTGAACTCCTGACCTCAAGTATCCACCCATCTTGACCTCCCAAAGTGCTGGGATTACAGGCATGAGCCACGGCGCCTGGCCTGTTCTTGTAGACTTTCTATGCAGAAAGTCAGAGAAGCTGGGCCACGGTGGCTGAGGCGAGGTCCCCGCAGGTGATAACTGCAAGAGGCAGGTTGCCTCAGCAATGACTGCAAAAAAGTGGGCAGGATGTGAGGGGAGGGTGAGGGGAGAAACCTGAGGTGTTCAACACAAGTGCTGCAGATTCCCTTTCCTCACCTAGAATAGGATGGGGATGAGAATCCCTCATGGGAGTCATCATGCAAATTAGCAGTCACACAGGGAAGCACCCAGTGCAGCGCTGAGCAGTGGCCACCCAGTGAATAAAATATAACTAGAAAGGCTTATTTTACTTGAGTTCCACTATTGTTTTTGTTTTTTGTTTTGTTTTGTTTTTTGAAGATGGAGTCTCGCTCTATCACCAGGCTGGAGTGCAGTGGCGTGGTCTTGGCTCACTGCAACCTCCACCTCCTGGATTCAAGCAATTCTCCTGCCTCAGCCTCCCAAGTAGCTGGGATTACAGGCACACGCCACCATGCCCGGCTAATTTTTGTATTTTTAGTGGAGATGGGGTTTCACCATGTTGGCCAGGCTGGTCTTGAACTCCCGACCTCGTGATCCACCCGCCTCAGCCTCCCAAAGTGCTGGGATTACAGGCATGAGCCACTGCACCTGGCCAGGGTTCCACTATTGTTTTAAAGCATCATTCAATAATCAATATGTCAACATGTGCATAACATTTTAATAACATGCGTTGATTCTAGAGACAGTACAAGTTAGAGCAGTACTCAGGACAATAGTCTATTAGCTAGTCTTCACTTTCCTAAGATGTTTCTGACAACCTGTAGATAATTAGGCATAGCTTGTTTTACTTCATTCCTTTCATTTATGTAATATGGACTGAACTTTCCAGTGATAGAAAATATCTATGAAAATTATTACAATGCCTATGTCTACAGGCAAACGAGTTAATAAATTCAGTTTCCGGGTTGAGGTCTCTAAAATGCCAAGTCTATAAAGAAGCGACGGCAGAGAACACAGAACATTTCCAGAATTTTGTAATAGACATGAACCTTTAAACCACAGAAGGACTGAATTTAACATTTTAAAAAACCTAGAAAAAAAACAGCTGGGCGTGGTGGCTCACGCCTGTAATCCCAGCACTTTGGGAGGCTGAGGCAGGCGGATCACGAGGTCAGGAGTTCGTGACCAGCCTGGCCAATATGGTAAAACCCTGTCTCTACTAAAAATACAAAAATTAGCCAGGCGTGGTGGCAGGCACCTGTAGTCCCAGCTACTCAGGAGGCTGAGGCAGAAGAATCACTTGAACCCAGGAGGCAGAGGTTGCAATGAGCTGAGATCATGCCACTGTACTCCAGCCTGGGTGACAGAGCGAGACCCTGTCTCAAAAAAAAAAAAACAAAAAAAAAAACCTTAAAAAATAAAAGCCCCAAAAATGCTAACTATCTGACACAGTACAGCCCTTAATATTTTCACAGTCTCTTTTTGGTTTTCCTCCACATTCACAATGAAATGTTAGTGATTTTAAAACATTCCAGAGAAATTTTAGTGTTGACACATCTTTATTGAGGGCCATTTCATTTATAGTTACTTATGTAATCATCCAAACAATTCAGCTCAGCATACTGGGGCTCAGAGAGGTGGAGTCATTTACCCAAAGTCACACAGCTGGGACATGGCAGAGCTGAACTAGGAGCTATGACTTCCGGCTTAGGTCCAGGCCCCTTTACGAGATTGTTTCCCTGCCTTTGGGTTTTGCATCCTCTATTCTGGGCTTCCACCCGCATGCCAGATGGCTCTATTCCTGGAGTCTGACCATTGCCAGATGCTCCTGGCTGACATGACCTAGAAGAAGCCAGCAGGCTCATAACTTAACCATCGCCCCTGCCAAATGGGAACTGGCCTTGCCGTCATCCTGGAAGCCATTCCCTGACATTTTGTTTTATTGCAGTTCATGTTTATTCCAGCTAATGCACATAAGGAGTGGTTCCTGCAAGGCACAATCTGAAGGGCTCCTTGCTCAGAGCCGTAAGGGCCATGGTGGGATTCAGCAGGGAACTTGGCACCAGCCAGGCACTTTTGCTGCCTCTTCTTTGCCAGTGAGGGTAGAAGAACTGATAAGAGGATTGAGTGCACAGCCCAGGAGCTGAGAGTTTACAAGGCAACCCACTGGGACCTGAGCTCAGCCCCAGGAGTGGGTCACCCCACAAAGTGCTGAGCAGCATCTTTGAGACTCTTCTGAAGCCTCCAGTAGCCATCTGGGTCCAGTCGGGAGATAGAAATCACACAGTGGGTTAAGCTGGGGAAGTTTACTTTAAAGAATTACTAACCGTGATGAAAGAGCAACTATAGATAGACGTGAACTCCATAGGCACCTAGGGCTGAGGGAGGGTGCCGGACAAGCTTGGAAGGGGAAGGTGAGGTTCAGCACATCAGCTTGCAGAGAAGGTGGCTAAGGTGTGCAGGCCTCAGCTGGTCTGCAGCTGCAATAGGCCGCCTCCCAGTGCAGGTGAGGAGGGCAACCTGCAACGTGTGGCAAGGGCATGGTGGGAGTCAGGGCAGGCACAGGCAGGAGGCCTCCAGAGCACTGAGGTCCGTGTGCAGGGACTCTGGGTTCCTTGTTGGGAGGGCTGTGGAAAGGTTATGGCCAGGCTGTGGCTGTGAGGTCACAGAAGAACTTCGCTCTGGGTCCGTGGCTGGGGTAGGACTCCAACAAATGTCCTCACAGTCATACCACCTATGGACGCAGGACAGGAAAACTGCAGACCTTTTTCCTCCCACGATGTCCCTCCAGCGCCCTCTACTGAGATAGTTCAACATCGCGCTCACTTCAAAGCTCTTGTTCTTCAGACAGCATACATGGGAGGGTGCATTCAGCTCTGAGAGGCAATGCGTTTATAACTGACACACCTCCTCAGCACAGGATGGAAGAGTTCGCAGCTGCCATGGCCTCGGAAGACATGGGTTCAAGTCCCAGCGATACCACTTAGCTGTGTGACCTTGGGCATGTTACTTAACCTCTCTGAACCTCGGTTTCCTCATTTGCAAAAGGGGATATTAATGTTCACTTTCAGGACCATTATTTGAAAGTAGTGAGTAGCAAGCACCCAGCACAGTACTGGCTCATAAGAGACACTTAATAAGTAGTAGCGATAGTTCAACTTTATCAGGCGCTATCTGCAGTCCTAAAGCCTTTCTCTATTTCTCTGAAACTTTGAAGGCACCAGATCACATTTAAAAATTACATAAAAATTACTTGAAATGGGCAAAGAGCTATAAATGCCGACAAACCATCTTGTTTCACAAAAAAAAAAAAAAAAAAAGCTGTTTTTTAGAGTTGCAAAGCCAGTACATACTTTAGCTATCCACAAGGAAGTCATCTGTGAAAATGCCTGACTTTTTTGGGTTTCACTTTCTTCCTTCCCTCTATAGCAAAAGGGGCATTTCTTTCTTAATTTTCTCCCCACTGACTGGTAGGTAGGTACCCCTACTTTTCTTAGTATACATCTTTTCTCGGTAAGTTGTTAAATTAAATAACCAGCATAAAATACATCATTTTGTATGTGTAAAGGGGCCAGATGCAGGGGAGGGATGGCTCGCCTGAATTTAATATTTTTTTAAAAACCTAAAAAAAAAAGCCCTAAAAATGTTAACGATCTGTCACAATATAGCCCTTAATATTTTCATAATCTCTTTTTGGTTTTCTTCCACATTCAGAATGAAATGTTAGTGATTTTGAAACATTCCAGAGAAATTTTAGTATTGACACATTTATTAAGGGACCCTCCCATGGCAACTGTGGATGGCATAGCTGAAGTGTAGGGACAAGGTTGGGGCAGTCCTCCAGACTTTGTGTACAGATGGCATGCAGTATTTCTCTCTCCTCACATTGCCTGAAACCAACTCCTTTTTTTTTTTTTTTTTTTTTTTTTGAGACAGAGTCTCTCTGTCACCCAGGCTGGAGTCCAATGGCACAATCTCAGCTCACTGCAACCTTTGCCTCCCAGGTTCAAACGATTCTCCTGACTTAGCCTCCCTAGTTGCTGAGATTACAGGCATGTGCCACTATGCCCGGCTAATTTTTGTATTTTTAGTAGAGACAGGGTTTCAGCATGTTGGTCAGGCTGGTCTCGAACTCCTGACCTCATGATCCACCCACCTCAGCCTCCCAAAGTGCTGGAATTACAGGCGTGAGCCACCATGCCCAGCAACTCTTATATTCTGAGAGTTGAGACAATGAAAGAAAAGAAATTTGAGTTGTCCTGAGGCAGAGTCTGCAGTGATCCAAGAAGAGGTACAGATGAAAGGAAACCAGCTCAATTCAAGGAACTTGCTTAATGCCCTGATTTTGAAAAATTGTCCTGGCAAGACTTTGCCACATCGAATGAGCCTCTGCACATTGCAGGAGGCTGGCAGGGCCAGGGAGCGGTGGGCTGCTCCTAACAGCCTGGGTGTGTGTTCTGGGCCTAAGAGAGAAGGCATGGCAATCGGCGAGGCAGCATCAGAGAGGAAGGTTACAGATGGTTCTGCCACCTGTGTACAGGAAGGCGGTCACTCTCTCTTACCTCTCCCTGGCAGCACAGAAGAACAGGGAACCTCGGGCACCCTGTCCCTCTCCCCCATAGGCAGCACCAAGTCCCTGCCGGAGGTGTGTGTTGCCTGCACAGGGGGAGAAGGGAAGCAGCTGGTACTGGTCTCAGGTCGATCTAAGGAAACTCCATTTGACCTAGTGAATCAGTCCCTGCCCTGGATACCCTCCTAGGCCAATGCAACCTTTAGAATGAAGAACAAAGGGGTTTCCTCACCCCTGCACAACCTCAGATAGGGAGAAGGAGACGCAGGGAATGAAATAAAAGTTTCCAGGACTCTCCAGGAGCCATTCAGATTGTCCAAGAAACTGGTTTCCGCAGCAGCCTGGAATAAACCCATTTTCCTTCTCGGGTATGAGGACTTTGCCAGATTATGATTTCCTTAAGGGCATGGACTGATTGTGTCTTTTTTTTTTTTTTTTTAAACATAGACTAGCCTATTAGACAAACTTGTGTCTTAGACACCTTTTTTTCTTGAGCACCTAGCACAGCCTTGCACTCAATAGGTGCTCCAATGATGTGACTAAAAGGATGGATAAATAGCTCTGTGGATTTGAGGCTAGGAATAATGAAGGCCTGCCATGTCCCGGGGGGTACTCCCAATTGCCCCTGGAGTTTGGAATGCACATTGAGGATGTCCTCAGTTACATATACATTTTGGCTTATGAGTCTTTCTTTTTTTAATTTTTTTTTTTTTTAAGACAGGGTCTCACTCTGTCACCCAGACTGGAGTGCAGTGGCATGATCATGGCTCACTGCAGCCTTGCCCTCTTGGACTCAAGAGTCATCTTCCTGCCTCAGCCTCCCGAGTAGCTGAGACCACAGACTGCACCACCACACCCAGCTAACTCTTTAATTTTTTGTAAAGATGGGGTCTCGCTATGTTGCCCAGCCTGGTCCCAAACTCTTGGCCTCATGCAATCCTGCCACCTCGGCCTCCCAAAGTGCTGGGTTTACAGGCATGAGCCACTGCGCCTGGCCAGCTTATGGGTTTTAACTACTTACATGGTGCACTCTAGACTGAGGGATATCCCAGGGATGGAGGACCCACCCACCTCCAGGGCATTAACACTTTTAGGGAGGCTAACAACTGCAGCCACACAGAGGCAGGGGTGGAGAGGAGAGAAGGGTAGCTGGGATCAGGGGCAGGCAGCTGCAGCAGCTACTGAGCTGGCTCACTGTGGGCAGCATGGCTGTCTGGCCCAGCCTGCACCTGAGAGCTAGCTGAATGTTTTCTTCACCTCCTTCCAGGGAGAAATTTTTTCCAGTACTATAATTTGTTGAAGCTGAACCCCAGCAACTCAAACAAGGTACCCTGACTCTGGAGATGTGAAAATGTAAAATAATGTGTGGCTTTGATGAAATGTGGTAGAACCAGAGGATTAAGACTTCTGTGGTGATCCTCTCTGCCTGAAATCTAAATTTAGGAGAGCTGAGCAAACAAATGATCAAAGGCAGAACATGTCTTCCCGACCCTCTCGGCTGTGTAGGCGCTCCGGCCTCAGGGGATGCACTGACTTTCCTCCCACTGTCCTGAACACCTGAGAATCCTGAGCGGGGAACAAGTTGCTCAAAGGGCAGAGAAGTGACTCAGAGGTTCAGCAAGAGAAAAGCCCAGTGTATTAAGCATGTCTTTTTATTCTGATGCTTTGCTGTCTGGGCCTTGCAAACGTGAGAGGGACTGCCCCTCCCAGGGGTAGCCAGTTCCTACGGTTAGCAAAGGACTCACCTGGGAGGACAGCTTTCATATGCAAACCAACCAATCCAGAGCCCACACCCTGTGACCACCTCCATCTGGCTCAAACTCAAGGCCACTGTCCCCCTGACCTAATCACCCAGGGCCTGGTACCAGACAATTAGAGATAACTCCTGTGACCCCAGATCCTGCTGAAATTATTCAAACTCCCCAATCCTAAACCTGCTTACCCTGCCTCCCCTTTCTTTCCTTCCCATGGAAAGAATAAAGGCGCTTTCCCACATTTTCCCCTGGTGCCCTCTTCTGGAGCAACCCTGGTGCTTCCCCAGGTGGCCTCCTGGGCTTAGTGTGCCCCCTTCCTCTTGGGCTCTGTGAGTACAACAACTTGTAAAGATAATTTTTTTTTAGAGCAGTTTTATGTTCACAGCCAAATTGAGAGAAAAGTACAAACAGTTCCCAGATACTACTGGCCCCCACACATGCACAGCCTCCCCGATTATCATCATCTCCCGCCACAGCAGTTGTTACAACTGATGAACCTGCATCAGCACGCACAACACCCAAGGTCCACGGTTTAAATTAGGGTTCATTTTTGGTGTTGCGCCTTCTATGGGTTTAGACAAATGCATAGTGACATGTGTCCACCATTATAGTATCATACACAGTATTCATTGCCCTAAAAATCGTCTGTGCCTCACCTAGTCATCCCTTCCTCACCCAACAACTGCTGATCTTTTTACTGTCTCCATAATTTTGCTTTAACTTGCTTTTCAGTGACAATTGCCTCCTGGGATGTTGGCCTTGCCACACCTGAATAATCATCAAACCTGCATTTTATTTGTTTTTATGTGTATGTGATGGGTTTTTTGGGAGGTTGGAGGGGAGGACAGGGTCTCACTCTACGCCAGGGCTGGAGTGCAGAGGTACGATCACTGCTCACCACAGCCTTGACCTCCCGGTCTCAAGTGATCCTCCCACCTCAGCCTCCCAAGTAGCTGGGACTGCAGGTACACATCACCACCCAGGCTAACTTTTTGTAGTTTTTGTAGAGATGGGATTTCACCATGTTGCCCAGGTTTGTCTTGAACTCCTGGGCTCCAGTGATCTGTCTACCTTGGCTTCCCAAAGTGCTGGGATTACAGGTATGAGCCACTGGGCCTGGCCAAACTGCATTTTAAAATAGCCAAGCCTGTTCCTTGTGACTATTGCCTCATCCTTGTATTCAAGACTGCTGTAAGATCATAATCCTAAGCAAGAGTAGAGACATGTAGCACACCATGATCACTTACTGTCTAACCAATGCTGCCCACCCGCTTCCCTTCTGTATGGCTCACCACCCCCACCCCAAACTCCTATAGGAACTCTGCACACACTCCCTCTCCATTATGCAAAACTGGTCTCAGAAAGGAATCAGACAGAATATTTCTACTGAAAGTATAAAGCTTAATATGTTACTTCTTACAAGAATATTTGCATATAACAAGGGAAAAAACCTTAAGTCATGCAGTAAACTTTTATCTTTTTTTTTTTTTTAACAGGAGTCTCCCTATGTTGCCCAAGCTGGTCTTGAACACCTGGGCTCAAGTACTCCTCCTGTCTTGGCCTCCCAAAGTGCTGGGATTACAGACATGAGCCACACTTCTTTTTTTTTTTTTTTTTTTTTTTTTTTCTTGAGACAGAGTCTTGCTCTGTTGCCCAGACTGGAGTACAGTTGCACAATCCCGGCTCCCTGCAACCTTTGCCTCCTGGGTTCAAGTGATCCTCAACCTCCTGAGTATCTGGAACTACAGGCATGTGCCACCACACCCTGCTAATTCTTGTATTTCTAGTAAAGATGGAATTTCACCACGCTGGCCAGGCTAGTCTTGAACTCCTGGCCTTAAGTGATCCGCCTGCCTCGGCCTCCCAAAGTGCTGGGATTTCAGTGTGAGCCACTGTGCCCGGTCTCTTTTTTTTTTTTTTTGAGACCTTGAGACCGGGCCTTGCTCTGTTACCCAAGCTGGAGTGCAGTGGCAGGATCATAGCTCACTGCAGCCTTGAACTTCTGGGCTCAAGCAATCCTCCCACATCAGCCTCCCAAGTACCTAGGACTGCAGATGCTTACCACCATGCCCAGCTAATTTTTCATGAATTTTTAATTATTGAAATTCAGACATCTAAGAAGATGCTGAGGACTGTCTCCATATTCCTGAAATTACGACTCACCTATTCACAAACCAGCCCTTCTAGTGGAATTAAAATATTATTTGATTTTGAATACCCTACTCTAAGGTAGGCACATTGCCCTGCAATTTATTATTTATGAGGTTTTTAATTATGGAATTGTTCAAATATTCACAAAAGTAGAGAGACTACAATGAACTCCAATGTAGCCATCACTCAGGCCCAACTGTTATCAGCACAGTCCAATCATGTTTTATCTTCCCTTCTCTGACCCCCAACCCATCCCCAGTCCTTATCTAAAATCAAATCTCAAACACCATATCTTTGGGAGCCTATTTATTTAGTTAGTTAGTTTTCAGACAGAGTTTCTTTCTTGTTGCCCAAGCTGGAGTACAATAGTGTAGTCTCGGCTCACAGCAATCTCCCCCTCCTTGGTTCAAGCAATTCTCCTGCCTCAGTCTCCCAAGAAGCTGGGATTATAGGCACCTGCCACCACATCCAGCTAATTCTTTTGTGTTTTTAGCAAAGACAGGGTTTCACCATGTTGGCCAGGCTGGTCTCGAACTCCTGACCTCAGGTGATCCGCCTGCCTCGGCCTCCCAAAGTGCTGGGATTACAGGCATGAGCCACCACGCCTGGCCGGCAGCCTATTTAAATGTCATCCTCAACATAGTCAATCCTTGGGCCATTTTTTCTTACAGTAAAATTTTGTCTCTTTCTTTTAATGCAGTTTCTACGTGGAATTTGGACACTTTGGCCTTCCAGGAACTGAAGTCCGAGCTAACTGAAGTTCCTGCTTCCCGAATTTTGAAGGAGAGCCCATCTGGCTATCTCAGGAGTGGAGAGGGAGACACCGGTATGAAGTTAAGTTTCTTCCCTTTTGTGCCCACGTGGTCTTTATTCATGTCTAGTGCTGTGTTCAGAGAATCAGTATAGGGTAAATGCCCACCCAAGGGGGAAATTAACTTCCCTGGGAGCAGAGGGAGGGGAGGAGAAGAGGAACAGAACTCTCTCTCTCTCTCTGTTCCCTTGTCAGAGCAGGTCTGCAGGAGTCAGCCTTTCCCTAACAAAGCCCTCTATCCTATCACCCACACTTGGGAGGCTGGGCTGGGCTGCACAGGGCAAGATGAGAGATGTGTTGATTTCATCCACTTGATTGTCATGTAGAATTAGATATACTTGAGAAGTTACATTTTTCAGTAGCGCCTTCATATCTTTATTTTAGGGACAGGTATACACCAAGCACCATCTCAGCCACAATCTGTTACTAACAGTATGTTTTCTGAACTTTGGCCACTTAGGAAAAGTACAGTTTGGCTCTCTCCAAAGTGTTCCCTGAAAGTCCAACTTTATGACTAATACTGTGATTTCCAGAAACTTTGACTATCCATGTTATTGACAATGATTACTAGCACTGAAGGGCATGCATGCAAGTAGGGGTTATGAAATATTTAAAACACGGTTCTCTAAGATATGAGCAGCAAAGTGTTTCTACCTTCTATGAGGGAACCGAAGGTGCCATTAAAAGTAGAGAAATCTGGACCAGGCATGGTGGCTCATGCCTGTAATCCCAGCACTTTGGGAGGCTGAGGCGGGCGGATCACTTGAGGTCAGGAGTTCAAGACCAGCCTGGCCAACATGGTGAAACACTGTCTCTACTAAAAATACAAAAATTAGCCAGGCATGGTGGCAGTCATCTGTAATCCCAGCTACTTGGGAGGCTGAGGCAGGAAAATTGCTTGAACCCAGGAGGCAGAGGTTGCAGTGAGCCGAGATCACACCACTGCCCTCCAGCCTGGGCGACAGAGTGAGACTCTGTCTCAAAAAAAAAAAAAATACAGACATCTGTTGTGATTCTGGTAACTCTAAATTTTCAACCGTCTCTTCACTACATTTAAAAAATTATTTTCTAAACCAAATTAGCCAGGTGTGGTAGCAGGCACCTGTAGTCCCAGCAACTCAGGAGGCTGAGATGGGAGGGGTGCTTGAGCCTGGAAGGTCGAGGCTGCAGTGCACTGTGATTGCACCACTGCACTCCAGCCTAGGTAACAGTGCAAGACCCTGTCTCAAAAAATAATTATTTTCATGTTTATTATATTAAAATGATGTATGAAATATGTGACTCATCAGGGCTTGAAAAACTTTGTTGTATGGAGATTATTCTTATGAGTTGATTTTTCTCTCTCCTACCTTATAGTAATGAAATAAACCAGGCATGAAAGTCACAATAAGTAATACAATGAACACCCATGGGTCCCTGCCCAGCTTAAGTAGAATATTACAAATGCAGTTGAAGCCCTCTGTGCAACTTTCATCCTTACAACTGATACTGAGTGAATTGTACTTTAAATATTTTATAGCTCCCACTCCCATGCATGCCCCTCAGTGATAGCAATAATTGTCAATAACATGAAACACAGATTGATCATATAGCATTTACCATATATTTACTCTATACCAAGCACTTAACATATATAATTACATTTAAAATTTACAACAGCCCTACTACCCAAAACACTATTAGTATCCCCTTTTACAAATGCGATAACTGAGGCGTAGAGAGCTAAGTAACTTACTGAAAGTCACACAGCCAGCGGGTGGTAGAGCCTAGCTTTAAACCCAGACGATTTGTCTCCAGGGCTGTCACATCTACTGGCTCTGCCAAGCTTCCGCATGATCATTGTCTGTGTTTGGAAAGATTATGGATTAAGTGGTGCTTCGTTTTCTTTTCTGAATTTACCAGGATGTGGAGAACTAGTTTGGGTAGGAGAGCCTCTCACGCTGAGAACAGCAGAAACAATTACTGGCAAGTATGGTGTGTGGATGCGAGACCCCAAGCCCACCTACCCCTACACCCAGGAGACCACGTGGAGAATCGACACAGTTGGCACGGATGTCCGCCAGGTTTTTGAGTATGACCTCATCAGCCAGTTTATGCAGGGCTACCCTTCTAAGGTTCACATACTGCCTAGGCCACTGGAAAGCACGGGTGCTGTGGTGTACTCGGGGAGCCTCTATTTCCAGGGCGCTGAGTCCAGAACTGTCATAAGATATGAGCTGAATACCGAGACAGTGAAGGCTGAGAAGGAAATCCCTGGAGCTGGCTACCACGGACAGTTCCCGTATTCTTGGGGTGGCTACACGGACATTGACTTGGCTGTGGATGAAGCAGGCCTCTGGGTCATTTACAGCACCGATGAGGCCAAAGGTGCCATTGTCCTCTCCAAACTGAACCCAGAGAATCTGGAACTCGAACAAACCTGGGAGACAAACATCCGTAAGCAGTCAGTCGCCAATGCCTTCATCATCTGTGGCACCTTGTACACCGTCAGCAGCTACACCTCAGCAGATGCTACCGTCAACTTTGCTTATGACACAGGCACAGGTATCAGCAAGACCCTGACCATCCCATTCAAGAACCGCTATAAGTACAGCAGCATGATTGACTACAACCCCCTGGAGAAGAAGCTCTTTGCCTGGGACAACTTGAACATGGTCACTTATGACATCAAGCTCTCCAAGATGTGAAAAGCCTCCAAGCTGTACAGGCAATGGCAGAAGGAGATGCTCAGGGCTCCTGGGGGGAGCAGGCTGAAGGGAGAGCCAGCCAGCCAGGGCCCAGGCAGCTTTGACTGCTTTCCAAGTTTTCATTAATCCAGAAGGATGAACATGGTCACCATCTAACTATTCAGGAATTGTAGTCTGAGGGCGTAGACAATTTCATATAATAAATATCCTTTATCTTCTGTCAGCATTTATGGGATGTTTAATGACATAGTTCAAGTTTTCTTGTGATTTGGGGCAAAAGCTGTAAGGCATAATAGTTTCTTCCTGAAAACCATTGCTCTTGCATGTTACATGGTTACCACAAGCCACAATAAAAAGCATAACTTCTAAAGGAAGCAGAATAGCTCCTCTGGCCAGCATCGAATATAAGTAAGATGCATTTACTACAGTTGGCTTCTAATGCTTCAGATAGAATACAGTTGGGTCTCACATAACCCTTTACATTGTGAAATAAAATTTTCTTACCCAACGTTCTCTTCCTTGAACTTTGTGGGAATCTTTGCTTAAGAGAAGGATATAGATTCCAACCATCAGGTAATTCCTTCAGGTTGGGAGATGTGATTGCAGGATGTTAAAGGTGGTGTGTGTGTGTGTGTGTGTGTGTGTAACTGAGAGGCTTGTGCCTGGTTTTGAGGTGCTGCCCAGGATGACGCCAAGCAAATAGCAGCATCCACACTTTCCCACCTCCATCTCCTGGTGCTCTCGGCACTACCGGAGCAATCTTTCCATCTCTCCCCTGAACCCACCCTCTATTCACCCTAACTCCACTTCAGTTTGCTTTTGATTTTTTTTTTTTTTTTTTTTTTTTTTTGAGATGGAGTCTCGCTCTGTCACCCAGGCTGGAGTGCAGTGGCACGATCTCGGCTCACTGCAAGTTCCGCCTCCCAGGTTCACACCATTCTCCTGCCTCAGCCTCCCAAGTAGCTGGGACTACAGGCGCCTGCCACCACGCCTGGCTAATTTTTTTTTTTTCCAGTGAAGATGGGGTTTCACCATGTTAGCCAGGATGGTCTCGATCTCCTGACCTTGTCATCCACCCACCTTGGCCTCCCAAAGTGCTGGGATTACAGGCGTGAGCCACCACGCCCAGCCCCTCCACTTCAGTTTTTATCTGTCATCAGGGGTATGAATTTTATAAGCCACAACCTCAGGTGGAGAAAGCTTATAGCATAGTTTTGTTCTTCCAACTCTTAAAACTGCAGTAAAATATAACAAAATTTACCATCCCAGGATTTATAAAGGCACAGTTCAGTAGTGTTAAACACATTCATATTATTGGGCAACCATCACGACCATCATCTCCAGAACATTAATAACTCAAGTTATTAATGTACCAGGGGAAAAGAAAAGTCAGGGCTAGTGCGGTGACTTTACGGTTATTAATACACCCATTAATAACTCCATTATCCTCAGCCCTTATAGCAATATTATTATTTTCTAAATTTTTTTGTAGAGACAGGATTGTACTATGTTGACCAACTTGTCTCAAACTCCTGGCCTCAAGTAATCCTCCCATCTCGGCCTCCAGAGTGCTGGGATTACAGGCATGAGCCACCACACCTAGCTGCATTATTTTTTAATAACAAACTTAATTTCCCTCTTCAGTTGCCATTGTACCTAATGGTAGAACACTTCATTTGCCAGTTCAGCTTGGATTCCATCACATCAATGTGTTGTCAGCCAATTCAGGCTTTTCCTCTCCCCATGTCTTTGAGGTGGCATCTATGCTTGAGACAAGTGAGATTGAGGGCGCACTGGCACTCAGGGGGAAGAACCCAGGCAGAGTGTCTCACACCTGATTTTAGCCATCAGGCAGATTCCAGCTTTGCTGCTGGCATCCACATCTCTGTATCCAGTTACAGATTTGGGGTCCTCTGAGTTCCAATGGCCAGACCCATGAGGCAGCCTTTTTTTTTTTGAGGAGTCTCACTTTGTCACCCAGGCTAGAGTGCAGTGGCATGATCTCAGCTTGTGGCAACCTCTGCCTCCCGGGTTCAAGCGATTCTCCTGCCTCAGCCTCTTGAGTAGCTGGGATTACAGGCACCTACCACCACGCCCTGCTAATTTTTGTATTTTTACTAGAGACAGGGGTTTCACCATGGTGGTCAGGCTGGTCTCAAACTCCTGACCTCATGATCCACCTTCCTCAGCCTCCCAAAGTGCTGGGATTACAGGCGTGAGCCACCATGCCTGGCCAAGGCAGCTTTTTTCCAGCCTGTTGTGTGTACCACCAAGGATATGAGGACACAGTGGGAGCTGTCCTGCAGGGTAGGAACACAGGTTCCCTTTTGCTCTCCTGCTGTGCCCCTGCTGGGTCAGGGCCACTTCTCCTAGAAGTCTGCCACCCCATAGGCTTCACCTGGAAATGAGCACAAGTCTCCTCTGCTTTCTCTTGCCCCAACCTATCTGGTACATGAAGTCCTATCAGGAAACCTCCAGAATCTAAGTTTTTTCTCTCTCTTTTTTTTCTGAGGCAGAGTCTTGCTTTGTCACCCAGGCTGGAGTGCAGTGGTGCTATCTCGGCTCACTGCAACCTCTGCCTCCTGGGTTCAAACGATTCTCCTGCCTCAGCCTCCCGAGTAGCTGGGATTACAGGCGCCCACCACCAGGCCTGGCTAATTTCTAAGCTCTCTTTCTCTCTCTGAAGTTCCCTTATTCTTCCAGACTTTATTCAGACTGTAGAGATGGAATACTCTTCACCTATCTTCTCAGGTTGTTGTTCATGGGACCAGAGCTCAGCCTTTTGATTTCCAAGAGAATCAGCTCTTAAAAGTCAAAGCCTTGGCTTTAAGACAATTCTTCCTATCCTGAGTTCTAAAGACTATACTTTGGAAAGCAAAGCGAAAAATCTGACTTTTTTTTTTTTTTTTTTTGAGACAGAGTCTCACTCTGTCACCCAGGCTGGAGTGCAGTGGTGCTATCTCGGCTCACTGCAACCTCCGCCTCCGGGGTTCAATTGATTCTCCTGCCTCAGCCTCCCATGTAGCTGGGATTACAGGAATGTGCCACCATGCCTAACTAATTTTCGTATTTTTGGCAGAGACAGGGGTTTCACCATGTTGGCCAGGCTGGTCTCAAACTCCTGACCTCAGGTAATCTGCTGGCCTCAGCAGCCCAAAGTGCTGGGATTGCAGGCGTGAGCCACCATACCAAGCCTGACTTTTCTTTTCCCCTGGGAGTTTATTCTCATTAAGATTACACATGCCATGAGTGAGAAGGGAGAGGATGAGATCTCAAAATGGCTCTCCACTGGTGTATTAATATACTTGAACTCCCATAACAAATACCACTGACAGAGTGGCTTTGTGAACCCCAAAGAGCTGAGACAAGTCTCAGTTAATTTAGAAAGTTTATTTTGCCAAGGTTGAGGGCACCGTGACAGAGCCTCAGGAGGTCCTAATGACATGTGTCCAAGGTGGTTGGGGCACAGCTTGGTTTTATACATTTTAGGGAGACATGAGACACCAATCAATATATGTAAGATGTACATTGGTTCTGTCCAAAAGGTGGGACAACTCAAGTAGGGAGGGGGCTTCCAGGTCACGGGTAGGTGAGAGACAAACAGTTGCATTCTTCTGAGTTTCTGATTAGCCTCTCCAAAAGAGACAATCAGATATGCATTTATCTCGGTGAGCAGAGGGGTGACTTTGAATAGAATGGGAGGCAGGTTTACCCTAAGTAGTTTCCAGCTTGACTTTTCCCTTTAGCTTAGTGATTTTGGGACCCCAAGATTTATTTTCCTTTCATAGCTTAAACAACAGAAATTAATTTTCTTACAATTCTGGAGGCTGGAAGTCCAAGATCAAGGTGTCAGCAGGGTTGGTTCTCCTGAGGCCTCTCTCCTTGGCTTATAGATGGATGGCTGTTCTCTACATCTTCACATTATCTTCCCTCTGTACATGTCTGTGTCCCGATCTCCTCTTTTTCACCCTAATGACCTAAGCTTAGCTTAATCACCTCTTTGAAGGCCTTATCTCCAAAGACAGTTACATTCTAAAGTATTAGGATTAGGGCTAGGTGTGGTGGCTCATACCTGTAGTCCCAGTACTTTGGGGGGCCAAGGCAGGAGGATCACTTGAGGTCAGGGGTTCAAGACCAGCCTGGCAACGTAGTGAAACCCCGTCTCTACTAAAAATATAAAAATTAGCCGGGTGTGGTAGTGCACACCTGTAATCCCAGCTACTTGACAGGCTGAGGCAGGAGAATCGCTTGAACCTGGGAGGCGAAGGCTGCAGTGAGCCGAGATCATGCCACCACACTCCAGCCTGGGCAACAGAGCAAGACTCTGTCTAAAAAAACTAAAAGTTAAAAACAAAGTATTAGGATTAGGACTTTCAGATATGAATTTGGGGGTGGGGACACCATTCAGCCCATAACATCTGGGTGTCAACCACTCTCCCCCACTGACAGCTGACTCTTAAAAACTGAAAAGCCCAGAAATCGGAATGCATGAGCTCATTCATCCTACTAAGCACCTCTACCTGCCAGGTGTTTGAATGAAAAGTGGAAGGTGGAAAGTAACTGAGATGCTGAGATGAGCCAATCCTGTTTGTGCAGCCCTCCCCATGGCTCCTGTTCTTTCTCTCCATAACCTGCTGCATCAGGCTTTGGGATGGAAGAAGAGGGTGGAGGAAGAAGAAACAAAGGGAAGAAAAACTTTTCCTTCATGAAGCTTTCAGAATGTTAGACTCCTCCTCCATCTTTGACTGTTCCTTCTTTGTTTCTTTTGCTGGTTCCGCCCTTTAATCCCGACCTCTTTTTACTTTTTATTTTTTTTGAGATGAAGTCTCGCTCTTGTTGCCCGGACTGGAATGCGATGGCATGATCTCAGCTCACTGCAACCTCTGCCTCCCAGTTTCAACCGATTCTCCTGCCTCAGCCTCCCGAGTAGCTGGGATTACAGGCGCCTGCCACCATGCCCAGCTAATTTTTGTATTTTTAGTAGAGACGGAGTTTCACCAGGTTGGTCAGGCTAGTCTTGAACTCCTGACCTCAGGCAATCCACCTGCCTCAGCCTCCCAAAGTGCTGAGATTACAGGCTAGCTCCCTCTTAAGATTGAAGCACCCCAGGGCTCAGTTTAGGGTCTCTTCTTATCTACTTACTCCTTTGGGCATCTCATCTAATATCAGGGCTTTAAATTCCAACTCACATATGCTAATGAACCTCATGTTTATATCTCCAACCTAGTCATTACTCCTGAACTCCAGATTCATATATCACCTGCCCCCTTGGCATCTCCATTTAGATGTCTATTAGGCATGTCAAACTAGCAGGTTGAACATCTGACCTTCTCTTTCTTCATCAGACACACCAAATCTGCTCTTTTATTTTTATTTTTTTTGAGACAAGGTCTCACTCTATCACCCAGGCTGGAGGGCAGTGGCAAATTACAGCTCACTGTAGCCTCAAACTCCTGGGCTCAAGCAAGAAGCAGCTTGAACCTCCCAAGTAGGTGGGACTACAGGTTTGAGCCACTGTGCTTGGTTTTTTTTTGTTTTTGTTTTTTGTAGAGACAGGGTCTCCCTATGTTGATGAGGCTGGTCTCAAACTCCTGGCCTCAAACAATCCTCCTGCCTCAGCCTCCACAAGCATGAACCATTGCACCCAGGTAAATCTGCTCTTCTTTTGGCTGAGGAAACTCAATCCCTCTAGTTGCTTGGGCCAAAAATCTTAGAGTTATCCTTTACCCGCCTGTCTATCATACCCCATATCCAATGCATCAGCAGCTTTTGTAGGTTTCATCTTCAAACACGTAGATCCAGAATCTTCCCATATTTCTCATCACTACAACTGTAATCGGTCTAAATGACTATCGTCTTGTTCCTGGATTACTACAATAGCAGATGACCTGCTTCTGTTCCCTCTACCCATGCAGCCTACTCTCAACACTGTAGCCAGAACAATCCCATTAAAACACAAGCCAGATCATGCCTCTTTTTCTGAAAACCTCTATGGCTTCTGCTTCCCATCTCATTCAAAGTCAAAGTCAGAGTTCTTACAAAACCCCACATCGTCGGCCTCCTTCCTCCACCACTGTGCCTTCATCCCACAAATGTCCCTGATCCACTCTACTCAAGCTTCCTCGCTCTCCTTGAATGCACCAGGCACACTTCTACCTTTGAACCTTTGCACTAGTTCTTCCCTCTGTCCCAAATGTCCACACACCTAACTTCATCACTGGCTTCAAGTCTTTGCTCAAATGCCACCTTCCTAAAGAGGTCCTACAGACCTGGAGTCAAAGGAGATCATTTTGGAGCTTTAAAATTTGAACTGCCCAGCTGGATTTCAGACTTGCATGGGCCCTGTAACCCCTTTGTTTTGGCCAGTTTCTCTTATTTGGAATGGCTGTATTTACAAAATACCTGTACCCTCCTGTATCCAGGAAGTAACTAGCTTGCTTTTGATTTTACAGACTCATAGGTGGAAGGGACTTGCCTTGTCTCAGATGAGACTTTGGACCATGGACTTTTAGGTTAATGCTGAAATGAGTTAAGACTTTGGGGGACTGCTGGGAAGGCATTATTAATTTTGAAATGTGAGGACATGAGATTTTGAGGGGCCAGGGATGGAACGATATGTTTTGGTTGTGTCCTCACCCAAATCTCAACTTGAATTATATTCCCATAATTCCCACATATTGTGGGAGGAACCTGGTGAGAGATAATTTGAATCACGGGGACAGCTTCCCTCATACTGTTCTCATGGTAGTGAATAAGTCTCATGAGATCTGATGGTTTTATTAGGGGTTTCTGCTTTTGCATCTTCCTCATTTTCTCTTGCTGCCACCATGTAAGAGGTGCCTTTTACACTCCGCCATGATTCTGAGGACTCCCCTCAGAATCATGTAGAACTGTAAGTCCAATGAAACCTCTTATTCTTCCCAGTCTCGGGTATGCCTTTATCAGTGGCATTAAAATGGAGTCATACACCTACCCAGACCACCCTGTTTAACACTACAACCAACCTGCACTTCTAATCTCCCTTACCCTGTTTCACTGCTTTAACACATCTTTTCCATTATACTCATCGCCTCCTGATGTATAATTCACTGTTTTTTCATTGTGTATTTGTTTTGTTTTTGAGAGAGGGTCTCACTCTGTCACCCAGGCTGAAGTGCAGTGGCATAATCTCAGCTTATGGCAACCTCCACCTCCCAGGCTCAAGTGATCCTTGCACCTCAGCCTCCCAAGTAGCTGGGACTACAGGAGCCCACCACCACGCCCAGCTAAATTTTTTTTGTATGTTTTTGTAGATATGAGGTTGCTACATTGTCCAGGCTGGTCTCAAACTCCTGAGCTGAAGTGATCTGCCCACCTTGGCCTCCCATAGCACTGGGACTAGAGGGGTGAGCCACTGCACCTGGACTTACATTGTGTATGTTTTTTGTTAGTCTTTCCCCATTGGAATGTAAACTCCATGGGGTAGGGATTGATTGTTTTGTACAGTGATATATCCCTAGAACAGTGCCGTGCTTACATAGTGGGTACTCAACATTTGCTGAACAAAGGAACAGAGAGAACATCCTAGAATGTGTTCAGAAACCAAATGGAAGTAAAACACAAGAATTATTCTTTCCCAGCCTGACCTCTCTTTGATTCTATTTCTAACTGGCGGTGTGTCCTTGGACATGTTTAACCTCTGCCCCATCACTGTTTAATGGAATTTATTTATTTTTTTTTTTTTGAGATGGAGTCTCACTCTGTTGCCTAGGCTGAAGCACAGGGTGCAATCTCAGTTCACCACAACTTCCGCCTCCCGAGTTCAAGCGATTCTCCTGCCTCAGCCTCCCAAGTAGCTAGGATCACAGGTGTACACCACCACACCCAGCTAATTTTTATATTTTTAGTAGAGACAGCGTTTCTCCATGTTGGCCAGGCTGGTCTCAAACTCCTGACCTCAGGTGATCCACCCACCTCTGCCTCCCAGAGTGCTGGGATTACAGGGGTGAGCCACCATGCCCGGCCTCATAGAATTATCTTTAATGGCAGTCACATTCTACAACTGCAACATCCCATAGGGTAGCCACTGGCTGCACAAATCTACTAAGCACTTGAAATATGACTAGCATGACTGAAGAACTGAATTTATTTCATTTTTAATGAATTTAAATTGAAATAGTCACAAGTGGCCAGTGGTTGTCCTATTGGACAGCGCAGGCCCATTCTTCACCAGACTGAGGAGAGGGAGATGTGTATGTCCAGCATCCAGCTGGCAATGGCAGACACTCAGTGCAGGCTCCTTCCCTGCCCCATGCTGCTGAAGGCCACAGGTAAGGAGTCCGACTTCCACACCAATGGCACAGCCAACTACTATGGGGGTAGAAGAACCGGAGCACTTTTTACTTTTAAAGAAGGAACATTGGTTTTATTAAATGCATGGGATCAGGGGAGATCACAGAGTGTTTACCCTGACTCCACAATGGTGTACAGAAGCTTTGACTCCTTTCTCATAGGGGAGCCGAGCACATTTACAAGGGCAGGCCTGGAGACAGAACACCTACAAGGACTCTAAGAAGCAGCAGACGAAATAAAGGATGACATGTGGGGATATTTTTTATATGTATATGTATGCCAGAATTATCACATTTTTGATGCCTTCGAACAATTCAGAAGAGCCCCGGAAGTCCTTAGAGGTGCACTGGGGCCCGTCAAGGAGCTTGGAGAGGACTCAAGCAATGGACTTCTCCACAACAGAACCACTCTACACTTGGCTGCTTTTCAGGGTAGAGTTTTCTGTTACAGAGTTTGAAAATCACTTCAAATCTCCCAGAAACAAACTTTAAAAACACTGTCAATAAATGTGAAACTCAACCACCTTAGCCCCAGCACACGGCATGGGAATGCAGCTCCAAAATATAGGGCCACACAACTGTAGTGTCTCAGGTTGCGTTTTGAAAATCCAGCTACCTCAGGGTTCCCAGGACCTGAGATCTTTAAACTCTAGACTTTAAAAGGCCTAGACTTTTCACTGATTCAGATTTAGTAATAAACAACAAGGCCTGATAACTGTTTATTAATTTAAATACAACTGACTACAGCAACAGTTCTATAGCATAACATAAAGATCAAAATATATGCATATCATATCAGAGACTTGGATTAAAAAACCAAAAATGACTAAGTCTATTAGCAAGGGTAAACCATGCTCTATGGTGGTTCTAGGTGAAGAAAAATAGGAAAGAACAAAGATCTTCAAGAGTCTTCTAAGACAAACCTCAAGAATGCCACTGAAACTGTTTTCTGGAGTTCTGTGTAAGAATTCACTTCAAAATAAGTTTTACATCTTAGGAGACCGTGGGATCCTCAGCTGGAGAAGGAGGTGGGGCAGGAGGTACTGTGAGGTAGGTCCTGTGAGGGGGAGGGGCTTGCTCCAAATCCAAGTGGGAGAGCATCTCCTTAGCTTCATCACTTTTCTGGGTAATTATCTCTTTTCTAGGAAGAAAGGCACATTGAATGCCATTTGAATAAAGATAGGGTTTTAAATAAACAGAGGAAAAGGAAACAGACTGGGCATGGTGGTTCATGCCTGTAATCCCAGCACTTTGGGAGGCTGAGGTGGAAGGATCACTTGAGCCCAGGAGTTCAAGACCAGCCTGGACAACATAGGGAGACCCCCTTTCCACAAGAAAATAAAAATTAGCCAGGCATGGTAGCATGCACCTGTGGTCCCAGCTACTTGGGAGGCCAAGGTGGGAGGATCACTTGAGCCTGGGAGATCGAGGCTACAGTGAGCTATGATTGCACCACTGCACGCTAGCTTGGGTGACAGAGTGAGACCCTGTCTCAAAACAACAAAAAAGAAGGAACAAAAGAAATACCCCAGATGCCAGCATCTAAAAAGAATAGTTAACATTTCAGAGGACATCTTTCCAAGCTCCTCCACCCATACTCACCTTGCAGAAATGAGATATACTTTAATTGTCAGTCAGCTCTCCTCAGAGTGAGCTCAGCTGTCCCCGTTGGTGCCATGGACCCAACAGAGTTAGAGTCTGCACCCTCACTCCTCCATCCCCATCCTCCAAGGGTATCTTAGGATTAGAGCAGTAGTTCTTCCCATCAATTAGCTTTCTCCATCCCCTACTGGCCAGCTCTCTGTACATTTCAGCCTGGGACAGGCTGTGTCTAAACGTTTCATTTGCATTCCAGCTATTCACAGGGCCAGTCCAGCCTCAGTTTCACTTCACAGCTCCCTTTGGCCTAACTTGCCCCCATCCCCAGGCTGTGGGGTTCGCCTCCCCTTCTGCTGGAGTATACCAGAGTCTCCCCATCCTCCTCAGGGCTGGGCAAACCTTGCCTTCAAGGGCATAGGACTAGCCTGTCAAGCTTTTACAGGTTCAGATTTAATTGTTCCCTGAACATTTACTATGTTCCAGGGACTAGAAATTACCTAGAAACTAACCACATGTAGAATCTCAGCCCCCACATTAAATCTTTCAGCTGAGCAAGCTGAGACAGAAGGTGATTACCCAGATCATGTGACCAGTAGAAGGCAGAACTGGAATCCAAATTTAAATTTCAATCTGGCCACAAGTTCACTGCTCCCATCTCCCAATCAAAGCTGATCCCTAATGTTGCTGAGAGGATGTGGGATGATGGGAAGGGAATTGTTTGGTGGCTAGGACAGGCCACAGAATTATGCCATCTCGTCCTTGGATGGACATTAGAGCACAGGGACCACACTTCCTGCAGACAATGCCCACTCTCACGGTCTAAACCCGTGGTATCAAATTGGCTGTGCACCACTATCAACAAAGATTTGACATTCCCATATATGGTAACTAAGAAATGGCACCTAATTCCTATCAATTTGCTGGAATCTTACATCCCAATAAACTCTAAGGTCAAAGGGCATTGTAAACAACATTAGATGGAAGTCTGTATTTTCTATTTCAAATCAATAATTTTGATTTTTTTGACCAACTTCTTATCAGATTTAGTAAGATTATTATTTTTAATCTCATAACATACCCGACAAAGAGCTCAAGCTAGAGGTGTCATCTTGGGCCAGGCACAGTGGCTCTCATCTGTAATCCCAGCACCTTGGGATGCTGAGGCAGGTGGACCACTTGAGCCCAGGAGTTTGAGACCAGCCTGGGCAACATGGCAAAACCCTGTTTCTATTAAAAATACAAAAAAACTGGCCGGGCACAGTCGCTCACGCCTGTAATCCCAGCACTTTGGGAGGCCGAGGCGGGCAGATCACAAGGTCAGGAGATTTAGACCATCCTGTGAATGGTGAAACCCCGTCTCTACTAAAAAAAAACACACACACACACAAAATATTAGCCGGGCGTCGTGGCGGGCGCCTGTGGTCCCAGCTACTCAGAAGGCTGAGGTGGGAGAATGCCGTGAACCCGGGAGGCGGAGCTTGCAGTGAGCCAAGATTGCTCCAGCCTGGGCGACAGAGAGAGACTCCGTCTCAATATAATAATAATAATAATAATAATAATTAACCAGACGTGGTGGCACATGGCTGTAGTCCCAGCTACTTGGGAGGCTGAGGTGGGAGGATTGCTTAAGCCCCAGGAGCTTGAGGCTGAGGCTACAGTGAGCTGTGATTGCACCACTGAACTCCAGCCCAGGTGACAGAGCGAGACCCTGTCTCAAAAAAACAAAACCAAACCAAACAAAGTGATCCCCACTCCCCACTCTCTATCAAGAGCCACGACCACCCACGCAGTGAACATACACAAATGGGTGTCATCACCCCTTGAAGGGCCATGTGGGAAAAGTCTGTTTTCCACAATGGATGACAAAGCAGTTTCCTTTTCTGTGAAATGTGTCTTGCAGCAGCATTAAATACATTTAAATAAACCAGTGCCAGCTACAGTTTCAGGCACTTGCTGGGGCTCAGTGTTATGCTCCGTCCCAACCCCACAAGCGATCCAGAGGAAAGATTTTGGGTACCTTGTGATCATGGTGACTCGGCGCCTGGTTACCTCGGAGGTCAAGTCCTTGTAGGGGAGATTAATGCTGTTGTTTGCAAGGCTTTTCTGAGCCATGGCCTTGCACTCAGGGGATTTGAGGAATTTAAAGTTACTGCACCTGTGAATGCAAAACACAAGAGCTGGCACACATGCTTCAGGGGTCAGGAATGCTCCAGCTAGGTCCAGAATGGCGCAGTTTGCAGAGAACATTCACTGCCTTACTCTCAGTTGGTCCTCCCTACAGCCTGGCCTTCATCCCCCTTCCCCCCAAGGTCAAGAGGCAGATATTTCCTCAAATACCTATTATGAGGAGTGGGCGGCTAAGAGTAAAGTACTTGTTGGTTGTTTATATAGAACAAATGTGATTATTCCAATCATGCAGTGGGCAGCTATCATTACCCCCAGATAACACTGAGGGAATGGAGGCACAGATAGGTGAACTGAATCTCCCCAGGTTGCACGGCAGCCCTGTCTCATGCTGGTTCCTCTCTAATGGCGCCATTCCAGAGGAGCCCTTTTCTCACAGGGCTGTTTGACCTCACTGACATGTGCAAAGCTTTCTTCCTGGAACACTTACCCCTTAAAGAACAGGAAAGGGACATAAATAAGGCTGCAGCTGGGAGCCATGCTACTTGTCCAGATATGCACATGGCATAGAGACTGGAGGGTTGATTTTGATAACAGAGATAGCGGCCACCCATTTACTGCCGGTCACCTTGGGATGTCCTTTTACTTTGTTGCCCCCCACCCCCTTTTCTTTTTGAAACAGGGTCTGGCTCTGTCACCAAGGCTGGAGTGTAGCAGAGCTGTCTCGGTTCACTGCAGTCTCAGCCTCCCAAGTAGCTGAGACTACAGGTGCATGCCACCATGCCCAGCTAATTTTTGTATTTTTTGTAGAGATGGGGTTTCACCATGTTGCTCAGGTTGGTCTCAAACTCATGAGCTCAAGAAATCTGCCCTCCTTGGCCTTCCAAAGTGCTGGGATTGCAGGCATGAGCCACCATGCCTGGCCCTTTTGCTTCATCTTATTTGATAACCACCGTAAACCCACATGGTAAGTATTATGATCCTCATTCAACGAATGGGGAAACTGAGCAGTAGAGAAATTAGGTAGCTTTTCAGGAGTCACAGAGCTAGAATTTGAAGCTAGGTCTGTTTGACTTCAAAGACTATATTATCTCCATTACAGAGCCAAGTCATCTCCCAAGAAACAGAAGAGGAATTAGAGTAATTCCCATTCCTAGACACCAGGTCACACTCACGTGGTGACTGCCATTCTAGAGCATGAGTTGCAACAGCCAGAGCTCGCCAGCTTGATCTTTTGGCTGGAAAGGTTTGTTCTTATAAGGATGCCCAACTGACTTACCTTTTAGTCCCAGGTCAGCTTAGCATATAACTGCTTTTACGCACCAACTCATGGATTTGCTAAGAAATATCCTTATGACATACTCTGTACCCACATACCAGCTACTTCATCTCTTTGAAAAGAGAAAAGGCGAAAAAAGGACCACCAACGTCAACTTCCTCCCCTTTAGTCTTTTAACCTCCTGTAGTCAGTCTCTCTCAGGAACTTGGGTTAATAAGATTGATTTGCGCCCTTAGAAAGCAGCAGCTGAAACAAATTACCCCTGGAGCCGTGTCCTTGAGAAATCTCCACAGATGTCGCAGGGAGAGGATGGGTCTTGGGGGCAGAGCAGGGGAAGAGCTTTCTGTCATGTGAGCAATGGGGAAGCGCTATCTCAGATGCTAGTAAACACATTGTGACCTAGTCTCTTTATTGACTACTTTTTAAAAAGCTAATTCACGTACGCCCCTCCTCCCAGTGCCATCAATAATCACTGATCCCACCTCTTCCTGATAATTCACAGCACTTCTTCTATGCTGGCAGGTGTTTCAGCTCTGAAATTAAAGGAGTTGATTGTGCAACTCCCACTTTTGATCTGAGTGATCTCGGGCAAGTAATTTAACCTCTAGAAGCCTTGGTTTTCTTACTTGTAAAAGAGGAGTAATAGTATCTTCTAGGGCAGTTGTGAGGGTTGAGAAAATGTTTGCAAACAATCCTTAATTTTGCCTTTCTTGCATTTTTTTAATTTTTAAAATGTATTATTACTATTGTAATTATTGAGACAGGGTCTCACTCTGTCACCCAGGCTGAAGTGCAGTGGTGAGATCATAGCTCACTGCTGCCTTGAACTCCTGGCCTCAAGTGATCCTCCCACCAGGCTGAGGCCAGGAATTCAAGGCGGCAGTCTATTTCTTTACATGATAATAAAACCACAACAGAGGCCAGGCGCGGTGGCTCATGCCTGCAATCCCAACACTTTAGGAGGCCGAGGCGGGCGGATCACGAGGTCAGGAGATTGAGACCATCCTGGCTAACACGGCGAAACCCCGTCTCTACTAAAAATACAAAAAATTAGCCAGGCGTGGTGGCGGGTGCCTGTAGTCCCAGCTACTCAGGAGGCTGAGGCAGGAGAATGGCGTGAACCCGGGAGGCGGAGCTTGCAGTGAGCCGAGATCGCGCCACTGCACTCTAGCCTGGTTGACAGAGTGAGACTACGTCTCAAAAAAAAAAAAAAAAAAACCCACCATAGAAGAAATTTGCTGCTTGGGAAGATAAGGTGTAATGAAGCTGGGATTAAAAACAAGGTCTACACAAGGTCTATATATACGTAGATAAATACAGCTATTTCCCTTTGTCAACGAAAACAGTCAAACTCTGTAAAATATTTGAAGAGATTCTGAACCAAATATGAGTGACCATGACCTGTGACAAAGCCCTCAGGAGGTCCTGAGAACACGTGCCCAAGTTGGTCGGGGTGCAGCTTGGTTTTATACATTTTAGAGAGGCATGAGACATCAGTCAAATACATTTAAGAAATACATTGGTAGGCCGGGCACGGTGGCTCGTGCCTGTAATCCCAGCACTTTGGGAGGCCGAGGCGGGCAGATCACGAGGTCAGGAGATCGAGACCATCCTGGCCAACAAGGTGAAACCCCGTCTCTACTAAAAATACAAAAATTAGCCCGGCGTGGTGGCACTCGCCTGTAATCCCAGCTACTCGGGAGGCTGAGGCAGGAGAATCGCTTGAACCCGGGAGTCAGAGGTTGCAGTGAGCCAAGATCGCCACTGCACTCCAGCTTGGCAACAGAACGAGACTCCGTCTCAAAAAAAAAAAAAAAAAGAAAGAAAAAGAAAGAAATACATTGGTTTGCCCAGAAAGACAGGACAACTCAAAGTGCAGTGGAGGGGGAGCTTCCAGGCTACAGGTGAATTTAAAATTTTTCTTTTTTACAATTGGTTGAGTTTTCTAAGGACCTGGGATTGATGGAAAGGGAATGTTCAGGTTAAGATAAAAGATGGTGGAGGCCAAAGTTCTTTCAAAGTCTTATAGTGGCTGCCCTTAGAGACAATAGATGACAAATGTTTCCTATTCAGATCTCAGTTAATCTCTTTAGGATTGGGAGGGTCTGGAAGAAAAATATCTAGCTATGTTAATTGAGATTCTTTACAGATGCAAATTTGCCCCCAAAAAGAACAGCTTTGCATGACCATTTCAAAATATGGCAAAGAAACATGTTTTGGGGTAAAATATTTTGATTTTCTTTCTTGTCTCATAATATTATGCCAGAGTCAGGTTGGAGAGTAAGTCACGATTAATGTTAAATAAAACCCATCTGATGAGAATTTATGATTTGTAGGACACGATGCCCCAGACACCTTAGATAGGAATTTGGGCAGCATAAAAATCAGAGTTCAGTCCTCACCTTCATATAATGGAATGAAGGTAAGCCCTGTCCTCCTGTATTAGGGTTCTCTAGAGAGACAGAACTAATAGGAGATATATATATATATATTTTATATATAGGTTATATATATATATATATATGTAAAGGGGAGTTTATTAAATATTAACTCACATGATCACAAGGTCCCACAGGCTGTCTGCAAGCTGAGGAGTAAGAAATGCCAGTCTGAATCCCAAAACTGAAGAACTTGGAGTCTGATGTTGGAGGGGCTTCTTACATATTTTGAATATGTCAGAAGCAATTATTGTATGCAAATTTCAGAAGATATACAGCCACTGTAATGATTTCTTTTCCTTTTCTTTTCTTTTTTTTTTTTTTGAGATGGAGTCTTGCTCTGTTGCCTAGGCTGGAATGCAGCGGTGTCGGCTCACTGCAATCTCCACCTCCCGGGTTCAAATGATTATGTGCCTCAGCCTCCTGAGTAGCTGGGACCACAGGTGCCTGCCACATTTTTGTATTTTTAGTAGAGATGGGGTTCAACCATATTGGCCAGGCTGGTCTTGAACTCCTGACCTTAAGTGATCTGTCCATCTTAGCTTCCCAAAATGTTGGGATTACAAGCATGAACCACTGTGCTCGGCCTTGATTTATTTAAATAATCTGTTTTGTGTGTGTTTGTTTGTTGCTGTTTTAGTTCAATGGCTTTTGAAACAAAATCTGAGCTTTAGCCAGGAACCCTCAGGGAGTCTGTTGTAGTTCAGATACGTCGAAAGTGATTGACAACAGTACAATCCAGGAAAAATCACTATTTCCCACACTAGCCATCCTTTAGGATGTGTCATGCTTAGCTGAAACATGTTCCTGAATCCTGACCTCTAAACATGAAGCTTACATTTCATACAAGGAGAAGTCCTAGTAATAAAGCAGTTGAACAATAAAAGAGTCTATTTCTTTACATTGATGATAATGAAACCACAATAGAAGAAATTCGCTATTTGGGAGGATAAGATGTAATGAGCTATGATTCAAAACAAGGTCTGCTTGATACCAAAGTCCATACATTTAACAACCACATTTTCCACTCACCAAATACATATATGGGTAAAATAAAGGAAGAAAATGCATACTTTAGAAGCAATAGAAAAATATCCAACTACAAGATGTCGTTACTAATTTTAAAACAAATTGGGGGCACCAAAAGCTCTCTTAGATTCTTACTTGAAAAATAGTTTGAAATTATCTCAAACGATAGGGGCTGGTTGTGAGGATACTCATGTCAAAAGATACTCATGTCAAAAAAGGGGGATACTCATGGCAAAAAAGGAGATAGTGAGTCCAGACATGGTGGTTCATGCCTGTAATCTCCGAACTTTGAGAGGCCAAGGCGGGCAGATCACCCAAGGTCAGGAGTTTGAGACCAGCCTGGCCAACATGGTGAAACCCCGTCTCTACTAAAAATACAAAAATTATCTGGGCGTGGTGGCCCACACCTGTAATCCCAGCTACTCGGGAGGCAGAGACAGGAGAATTGCTTGAACCCAGGAGGCGGAGGTTGCAGTGAGCTGAGATCATGCCACTGCACTCCAGCCTGGGTGACAGAGCAAGACACCATCTCAAAAAACAAACAAACAAACAAACAAACAAACAAAAAGGAGATAGTGATCCTCTTGAAAGAATAGGATGGGTGACCCTCATGGGCCTTACAGGAAGAATTGAACTGGAACCCCAAAGGCACATGTAGGAACTAGATTACCTTGTCATCCCCACAACAGCAAAGCTATTGCACTAGCTCGCTATCACGAATGTGACTCGGTTATTCTCAGTCTCTGCAAAATGTCTAAGGCCAATATAATTTTTTCTAGACATATATGCATATATGAGATAAAGGAGAGTCAGCACTAAGGTGGGGTTATGAGTCCATCAAGTGTACTATCAGCTCCCTTGACCAGCTCTTGAGTCTCTGAACTTGGTTGGTTGAGTGCCAACCCAGGTGACATTCACTTCTCTACCCACTCAGCACCTGCACCTGTGCAGCTGTATGTGGCTAATGGAAAACATACAACCCTGATAGCCAGTCTTCCTTTAAATTCATGACTGCAGCTGTAAGTGTGTGCTCATCCTAGGCCTAGATACCTTCTCTTCTGTCCTCAAACCTCCAACACATCTTCCCAATTCTCATTCTTAGCTGAGGACAATGGAAGCAATCATAAGAGAATTCCACATTCACCACACCTACCCACCTTCCAGCCTTTGTGCCCGTGTTCTCTGTCTCCTCTCACCTTACTCTAGATGAACTATTGGCACTCTTTTCAGGGGCCAACCCTTCCACTCCAGCACTAGATTCCATTCCCTCTCATCTACTCGAGGTCTTCGTTTGAACAATTCTCCCGTCTCTTTATTATCAAATTATCCCTCTCTGTTCGATCTTTCTCATCAGTGAACAAACATGTTATTTCTCCCATCTTAAAACCTTCTCTTGTTCCCACTTTTCCCCACCACAAAACAAAGACACAAAAATTGCTTGTGAAAGATTTGTCTATATTCACTGCCTCCAATTCCTTTCCTTCAATTCTCTGTCAAATCCACTTTAAAAAACATGTCTCGTATCACTCAGTCACCAAACTGGCTATCAAGGTTGTATGTTTTCTACCAGTTAGTTGAAACAGGAAATAACTCACTCCTCCTTGAAGCATTGTCTTCATTGATTTCCAGGTCACCACCCTCTCGCTTGGTCCAAAGTCACTGGCAACTCTTTCTCAGACCCCTCTGCTTGTTTCCTCTTATTTTCCTATACTCATAACAGCAGAGCATCCAAGCCTCAGCCCTTGAATCTCTTCTATTCTCTACACTCATTTCCCTGTTAATTGCATCTAGTCTCATCACTTAATCGCGTGTCAGGTTCATAACTACACCACTTATCATGCTCAGGGTCAGGTTCCAGTCCATGCTGAGGTCTGAAGGGAGTGGGTGGATGAGCAGCAAGAACACTTGGGAGGCTATAGGCAGGTGAAAGATGATTTTATTCAGCAGCAGCTCTCATCAAGAACTTTCTCACACTGTCTGCCCTGTCTCAGCTGCTTAGTCCAGTGGCTCCCACACAGCTGTGTGGCCAGCTCTCCCCTGCCTCAGGGTCAGCAGCTTAACTCTTTCTCTCTCTGGGCACAAGCTGAGCCATGCTGTGCCCTGGCTTCCTGCTGTCTGTCTGCAAAATGGACAGCTTTGGTTCTCTTTCTCTAGGTGCCAGCATGCCTGTACAGTGTCAGCAGGGCAATTATACCTTTTACAGACAACAGTGGCTTAGAACCAAATGATGAACCTTCCCATGTTATGGCTACATGGCTGTGATAACAAGTGGAGTTATATGCCTGTGCTCTAAACTCACTGAGTCGCTCTGGATGTTTACCTCAGCCTATCCTTGACCAAAGCACAGCCATGTTCCTTACAATGCCATCTATAGGATATGACATTCATCAATCTGTCTCTCCAGCCCAGATCTCTCTCCTGAACTCAACCAATATATCAGCTGCTGACTTGACACCTCAATATAAACAATAAACATGTAAACTCGACATGTCCAAGACTGAACTCCTGATCACCTCCTTCAAACCTGTTCCAGCAGCTGTCTCCCTCATCTCTGTTTTGTTGTTGTTGTTGTTATTTATTTATTTGAGACAGAGTCTCACTCTGTCACCCAGGCTGGAGTGCAATGGCATGGTCTCGGCTCACTACAACCCCTGCCTCCCTGGGTTCAAGTGATTCTCCTGCCTCAGCCTCCCCAGTAGCTGGGATTACAGGTGTGCACCACCACACTGGGCTAATTTTTGTATTTTTAATAGAGACAGAGTTTTGCCATGTTGGCCAGGCTGGTCTCAAACTCCTGACCTCATGTGATCCACCTGTCTTGGCTTCCCAAAGTGCTGAGATTACAGGCGTGAGCCACTGCGCCCAGCCCTTTGTTTTTTTGTTTGTTTGTTTGTTTGTTTTTTGTTTTGAGATGGAGTTTCGCTCTTGTCACCCAGGCTGGAGTGCAGTGGCACGATCTTGGCTCACTGCAACCTCTGCCTCTGGGGTTCAAGCGATTCTCCTGCTTCAGCTTCACAAGTAGCTGGGATTACAAGCATGTGCCACCATGCCTGGCAAATTTTTGTATTTTTAGTAGAGACAGGTTTCACCACGTTGGCCAGGCTGGTCTTGAACTCCTGACCTCAAGTGATCCACCTGCCTCGGCCTCCCAAAGCCCTGGGATTACAGGCATGAGCTACTGTGCCTGGCCCCTCATTTCTGTTAATGGCAACCCCATCCTTTTGTAGCAGGACGAGCCACAGACAAAACCTCTCAGACACTGAGTTGTAGAAGGAAGGGCTTTATTCAGCTGGGAGCATCGGCAAGCTACTGCCTTAAAATCCGAGCTCCCCGAATGCACAACTTCTGTCCCTTTTAAGGGCTCACATCACTAAAGATTTCACATGAAAAGGTCGTGATTGATTTGAGCAAGCAGGCGGTACGTGACAGGGGCTGCATGCACCGGTGGTCAGAGAGAAACAGAACAGGGCAGGGAGTTTCACAATGTTCTTCTATACAATGTCTAGAATCTATGAATAACATCGGTTTCTAAGTTATGAGTTGATTTTTAACTACTGGGTTTAGGCCAGGCAGGCCCAGGCCTGGTTTCAGGCCTGGCACCGGGCTGCCTGTCTTTGATTTTACTTCCTTGTTGTTTTTTCTTAAAACAGGTACTGAGTATAAAACAATATGAGAGGGACTCTCTCTTCCCTCACTTTCAGCAGCACAAGCGCCAAATCTAGAAGTCATCTTTGTCTTATCTCTTTCACTCTCTCTCAAACTAACATTCAATCCATCAGCAGTGGATTTTCAGCTCTACTCTTCAGTTATACTTAGAATCCAGCCACTTCTTATCACCTCCACTGTTACCATCCTGGTCCAACTCACCGTTATCTTTGGCATAGATTAAGCCTATCTGGTCCCCTGCTTTCATCCTGGTCACTCTTTCAATCTATCTGCAACACGCAGCCAGAGCACTCTTTTAAAAACATGTCATGTTACCACTCTGCTCCAAACTCGCCATGGCTTTTTATTTCACAGAGTAAAAGCCAAAAACCTTACAATGGCCTTCAAGGTCTGATACAATCTGCCTTCTTCCCCCCACCCTGATTTCTTTGATCTGTCAGCTCCTACTACTCACCTTTTTCTCAGCTGGTTTCAACCATCTGGCCTCCTTACTGTTCCTTGAACACCCAGAGATATTCTCCCTTCAGGTCAGGTCTTTGCATTTGCTCAGACCTCTGCCTGGAATATGCTTTTCCCAAATATCTTGATATCTTGTTCCCTTTCTTCCTTCAAGTCTTTGCTCAGTGTTGTCTGCACAGCGAGGCCTTCCTTGACTACTCCGTCTAAAATGTAGAAAAAAAGCACAAATTTTTGTCTACCACGTTCACTGCCGTATCTCAACACCTAAAATAATGCATGTTGCAGTGGATGCTATGGTGCTCCCATCCACATCCCCTTTCCAGCTGAGGCAGTTGTTCCCCCACTGCTGGGAGTGTTGGTGGTGATGACTCTCAGCTGAGTGCCTCTCCAGGCATTGCTCTCAGCTGAAGAGAGTTGCCTTAGCCACGTTTCTGCCCCTCTCCTAAGAGATAAAGGCTAGCCTGCAACAAATGACTTGCCCACAACTGGGGATATGAAGGCTCAGCCCCCTTGCTTCAACTTGGGATGACTCTAAAGGTTCATCCCCAGCTGCAGAGGTGCCAGTAGGGTCAGCTGAGGCCTTTATTGTGACTGTGCCACAGTTCAACTGATCCCTCTGCCCAAACCTACTTACTTAATTCTCCCACAGATATTGATGCAGAGGGCACTCCCTCAATGAACTTTCTGCACATAAATCTTGATTTCAGTGTCTTTTCCCAGTATTCTGTTAGAAACTTGACCTAACACCATTTGTATCAGTAGGGGATAGAGGAATTAAACTCTAAAAAGACTTTTGGCACTGGATTACCAGGCAATGTGGACCTCATAACTGGCAGTAATGGAACATTAATATCCCTTGGCAAACTGTAATGGCACAATTGTTAAATTTTTGCCTGGTGTTGAATTGGGAGGGGATACTGTTGGAAGGGAATAAATTGGCAGGTGCATTATCTCAAGATTTTGAGAGATTCAGGGGAACTACTAATTATAAGGACAATGCCTCTTCCTGGGTGCTATTGATGAATTTGAGAAAGAAGATGAAAGACTGGACTGCCAATCAGCCATTGCAGGTGAAGTGATAAAGTCAGAGGCCTCTTTGGCAGCATATAAAGAGGCTTTCATTTCCCACAGCCAAAGGGCAGTAAAAGCTGAGGATAAGGCTGAGGATTTAGGTGTGGTGGCTCACACCTCTAATCCTAGCACTTTGGGAGGATTGCTTGAGCTCAGGAGTTCAAGACCAACCGGGGCAACATAGTGAGACCCTATAGCTACAAAAAATTAAAAAGTTAGCCAGGTGTGATGGCATGTGCCTGCAGTCCCAGCTACTCAGGAAGCTGAGGTGGGAGGATCACTTGAGCCCAGGAGTTCAAGGTTGCAGCAAGCTATGATCACGCCACTGCACTCCAACCTGGGTGACAGAGCAAGACCCTGTCTTGCCAAAAACAAAAAAAAAATGCATCACAGAGAATGTTGAATTCTCAGTCCCAGCAAGCCAAGAGAAAGTGAGATCCTGAGACTGAAATGAAGTCTTTAATGGGCTAACATACTTGGAAACCTCAAAACCCAGATCCTCCTGAACCCTCCAGGCCTGCAGAAATGGTTTGGTCCTCTCTGTTGGAGACTAGAACTCAACTTGGCTTGAAGATGCTGCAGAGGCTTCTACCTTGTAAGGCAACACATGTTTTCCTTGGGACCTCCCTTTGTGCAACCAGATGAATATCTAGGGTCACCATCCCTTGTTCAGTTTCTGGACTCAGAACCCACTGAGTAAAAGATAAATCGGGTCCTCAGGAGGAAGGATCTTATAATACCATGGCAAGTGTATAGTAATGATTTCCCACAGAGATCTAGGGACATTTAGTCAAGGAACCATACACTGGAGACAGAGGAATATCCACACATTTTGAAGATTGTGGAATACAACATTCAAGATGACACTGGTATTCAAAGTGTAAACATGGACCCTCCATCAGAGTTAAAGACACATGAAGGCTAGAAATAAATAGAGTGAGTTCTGGCCCAGCTCTAACTCACAGTGAGCCCACTTGGTCCATGTCCTACCAAGTGGTCATTTCCTTGCTCTTTGAATGTATAATTGGAATGGACATATTTGGAAATTGATAGTACTCCCACAATAGGTTTTTTGTTGTTGTTTTGTTTTGTTTTTTTTGAGATGGAGTTTCACTCTTGTCGCCCAGGTTGGAGTGCAATGGCACGATATTGGCTCACTGCAACCTCCGCCTCCCAGGTTCAAGCAATTCTCCTGCCTCAGCCTCCCAAGTAGCTGGGATTACAGGCATGCGCCACCACGGCCGGCTAATTTTTTTTTGTATTTTTAGTAGAGATGGTGTTTCACCGTGTTGGTCAGGCTGGTCTCGAACTCCTGACCTCAAGTGATCCACCCACCTCGGCCTCCCAAAGTGCTGGGATTATAGGCATGAGCCACCATGCCTGGACACACATTAGTTTTTGATCTGAGGTAGGAATTATTGTAGTGGGAAATGCTAAGTTACTAAGTGAAAGTCTTTCTGCTTCCCCCCAAGTCAATGTAGTAAAAAAAATGTCATGTGATGGGTAGGAATAACCCTGATTGGTGACACCCTTAGAAACCTAGAGGGTACAGGCCAGGCGCAGTGGCTCACACCTGTAATCCCAGCACTTTGGGAGTCCTAGGCAGTTGGATCATCTGAGGTCAGGAGTTCGAGACCAGCCGGGCCAACATGATGAAACCCCGTCTCTACTAAAAATACAAAAATTAGCCAGGCATGGTGGCAGATGCCTGTAACCCCAGCTACTCAGGGGGCTGTGAGGCAGGAGAATCGCTTGAATCTGGGAGACAGAGGTTGCAGTGAGCCGAGATTGCACCACTGCACTGCACTCCAGCCTGGGCTATAGAACGAGACTCCATCTCAAAGAAAAGAAAAGAAAAGAAAAGAAACCTAAAGGGTACAGGGCCAGCAGTTCTCATAATATCCCTGTTGAATTTATTTCTCTGGCCCCTACAAAAACCAGTCTGAAGACTACCATGAATTCAACCAAGTTGTAGCTGTAATTGTAATTGCTGAGACAGAAGTAATATATTTGTTAGGGTAGATTAATGTCAGTTTACCCATCAGTCAGATTTTTTTTTAGGGATCCAGAGGTCTGGGGCATGATTTTCCATCCCCTGCAAATTAAAGGACAAAATATTGCACCTTGTACCTCCCACCACTAAGAAAGAAGCACAATGCCTGGTAGGCCTCTTTGGATGCTGAGGTAGCATATTCCATACTTAGGAATACTGCTGCAACCCATATACTGACTAACATGAAAGTCTGCTGACTTTGAGCAGATATTAGAGCAGGAAAGGACCCTGCAGGTCCAGGCAGTGGGGCAAGTGGCCCCACAGCCACTTGGTTGATACTAAGCAGAAGACCTTCTGGTAAGAGGTATTGGTGACTCACAAAGATGTTTTGTGGCAAGCTCCAATAGGAGAATTACAATGTAAGTTCATCTGCAATGAAGTTTTACACAAAGTTCCTGGGAGGTGACCAAATGAGTAATAGAACTACTTGAAATAGCCCATTTCGAGTAGTTCTATTAGATCCTGAAAGTCATGAGTTTGAGCAGGCCCAGCAGCAATCTACAAGATGGAAGTGGTACGTTGAGAATTGTGCACAAGTAGGGCCTAAGGGAACAAGCAGGTAGCCCAGACCCCCATATTATTCACTAATATTGCACCAGCACCTCTCCCTGAATTTATCCCTATGTTTGTCCAAGGAGTCTCTTATAGTCAGCTTAAAGAGAAAAAAAGAAAACCCTCAAGTTTGGTTTTGTCAATTCAGTAGGTAAGTGCAAGCAGGAATTGCAAAACTGCTGCTCTGCAGCTCTTCTCAGGGTGGCCCTAAATGATAGCAGCAAGGGAAATTGGTCCCAGTGGGCAGTTTCAGGCAATGCATTTGATCATCTACTTTGTGTGGAAAGAGAAGTGGCCCAAGAGAAGAATACATACAAACTCATGAATGATGGTAAATGGCTTGGATGATTGGTCAGAGGCTTCTAAGGAAAACAACTGGAAAACCACCCAACCACTGGATGACTAGAATTGACATGTATTGTATATAAAATAGGGCAAGACCTAAACTAGCACCACTATCAGAGGGCTTAAAGTGTTTGTTTTACCTTCATGGGATCCTGCATAATATCTCATTAGACCAAGGTACCCACATTACATCAAAGGTGATTTGGCAGTGAGTGAATGCTATGGTTTGAATGTGTCCCCACAGAATTCATGCATTGGAAATGTAATCCCTAATGCAACAGTGTTGAGAGGTAGGGACTTTAAGAGGTGATTAAGAGGTGAATGGATCAATGTCATTGTTGCAGAAATGGGTTACTTATCGCAAGAGTGGGCTTGTTACACAAGCAGCTCTCTCTCTCTCTCTCTTCCTCTTTCTCATGCTCACTTGTCCTTCTGCCATGTTATGACTCAGCAAGAAAGCCCTCTTCAAATGCTGGCACCATGCTCCTGGACTTCCCAGCCTCCGGAACTCTAAATAAAGTTTTCTTTATAAATTATCCAGTCTGTGGTATTCTGCCTTAGCAACATAAAACAGACTAAGACAGATACTAAGCATGGGTATCTAGTGGTATTATCACACTCTGTAACATCTAGAAGCTGCCAGTCTGATAGCATAATGGAATGACCTTTGAAGATACAATTGAGGTACCAACTTGGAGATGATACCCTGCAAACATGGTGGGACAGGCAGCCTCTAAGATGAGACTCAATGATCCCTGACTCCTGTTATTCACATCTTTGTGTAATCTCTGCTCCTTGAGTGTGAACTTATTGACTGACTTATAATAAACAGAATATGGTAGAAGTGATAGGCTGTCCCTTCTAACACTAAATTATAAGACTTGTTTTAGATGCTTTCTTTTTCACTGTCTTTTGGCTTGCTTGCTTGCTTGGAAGCCAGATGTCATAACGTGAGGCATCCCTGTGGAGAGACCCATGTGAAGGGGGGCTGAGGCCTACTAACAACCATGTGAGTGATCTTGGAAAATAATTTTCTCTCATTTGAGCCTTACAATGCGACTGCAGTCTTGGTCAAACAACCTGACAGCAAATTCATGAAAGATCTTGAGCCACAGGGATCTAGTTAAGCTGCACCTGCATTCCTGACCCATAGGAACTGTGCAATAACAAATACTTGTTGGCCGGGTGCAGTGGCTCATGCCTATAATCCCAGCACTTTGGGAGGCTGAGGAGGGAGGATCACTTGAGGCCAAGAGTTGGAGACCAGACTGGGCAACATTGATATACCCTGTGTCTACAAACAAACACAGACACAAAAAAGAAAGAAATACATGCTGTCTTAAGCTACTAAGTTTTGGGGTAATATGCTACACAGCAATAGATAATAATAGGTTGCCCTTCATGGAACTAAGTGTGGAAATAAGTGTCTCACCATCATTCCCAGTGACCCACTTGGGGGATTTGTGTTTCTCATCCTTGCCAACTCTGAGACCTGGATGTTTAGAGGTTCCCATTTGCAGGAGGGGAATACATCCACCAGAGACACAGGAAGAGACCCATTCACCTTTACACTATAGCTTCCACCTAGTCACTTTGAGCTTATCTTGTCAAGAGACCAGTAGTTAAGGAAAGAAGTTATACAGCAGGGATACTTGACTCTAGTCTCAAGGAGGAGATAGGGCCAAGGAAGAATACATTTGGCTCCCAGGTTATTTGTGATGGATCTTTTAGTACATGCTTGTCCAGTTTTGACAGTAAATAAACAAGTGTAGCTTCCAGTCATAGAAAGGCAAAGTGACCAAGGGCTTAGACCCTCTCAGATATTAGGGCCTGTGTAAGCCATCAAGGGCAGTAGAGGTGCTAGCTGAGGGTGAGGGAAATCTAGAATGGGTAGGAGAGGAGGACATCAGCTGTGGCTGAGACCAGCTGTAATGGCAGGGTGTATACTTAACCCACTAATCTTCTTCAGGTTTCCCAGGAAGAGACCAATCCTAATCTGGAGGAGATATTTCCAGAGCTTATCACTGAGCAGTGAAAGGTGAACTATAGTGGAGGCTATGTGCACCACCTAGATCCTCTTCTGGACTCAGGGACTCATTTCCCCAGCTGCTGGGAGTGTAGGCTCTGGTTCTGAGCACAATCCTTTCTGGGAATTGCCCTCGGCAGAGAATGCCTCATCCAAGATCATGCATTCCCTTCCTACATCCCCATCCTTGGGCAATAACTGGACAATGTGAGGGTATAAAAGTCTGGTTCCCTAGCCGGGCGTGGTGGCTCACGCCTGTAATCCCAGCCCTTTGGGAGGCCGAGGCGGGCAGATCATGAGGTCAGGAGATCGAGACCATCCTGGCTAACACGGTGAAACCCCATCTCTACTAAAAATACAAAAACAAAACTAGTGAGGCATGGTAGCAGGTGCCTGTAGTCCCAGCTACTCGGGAGGCTGAGGCTGGAGAATGGTGTGAACTCGGGAGGCGGAGCTTGCAGGGAGCCGAGATCGCGCCACTGCACTCCAGCCTGGGCAACACAGCAAGGCTCCATCTCAAAAAAAAAAAAAAAAAAAAAAAAAAAGTCTGGTTCCCTGGACTCAAGGCCAGATAATTTTAAAGGAGCATCTTATTTCCAGAACTTATCACAAGATTTACTAAGGCATTTTTTTGCATTAGCATCTCAGGTGAACGTCTCCCTCTGCCAATCCAATTTTATACTCCACTATGGTTTGATCTCAAGGGCAGGCCTAATAAACTTTCTGTGCACATCTCTTTTGCAGTGTATCCTGTAAGCCCTGACTGATATGGTTTGGCCGTGTCCCCACCCAAATCTCATCTTGAATTGTATCTCCCATAATTCCCACTTGTTGTGGGAGGGACCCGGTGGGAGATAATTGAATCATAAGGGCAGTTTCCCCCATACTGCTGTCGTGGTAGCGAATAAGTCTCATGAGATCTGACGATTTTATAAGGGGTTTCCCCTTTCACTTGGCTCTCATTTCTCTCTTGTCTGATGCCATGTAAGATGTGCCTTTTGCCTTCTGCCATGATTGTGAGGCTTCCCCGGCCACATGGAACTGCGAGTCCAATAAACCTCTTTGTCTTTATAAATTACCCAGTCTTGGGTATGTCTTTATTAGCAGCATGAGAATAGACTTGTGAACACAGACTGCACTGTTTTCTGTACACCCTGGCCAAAGATAAATATGGAATTGCTGAACAAACAAATAAATGATTACAATTTGGAGTTGAGGAATATCATGCTGCCTTAACCCATATGGACAGAAGGGCCTAAGAACTACCAGAGACCTACAGGTATTGGAATGGCAGGGAAAAATCCAGAGCTCACTTTGGGCACATGCCAACATCTTAGAATGAGAATAGAAATCATAGAATAAGAAAGGATGTCAATGGTCTTAAGCATCGTTTTTTTTAGAGAACCACATTTTAGAAGTTCAGTCTTCCATGGTACCTTAATACACAGATGAAAATGGTGAGAGGGCTTACATTTATTTACCAACTTGGGTTTTCTCATACCTTGAGACACCTCTGAGGACTCTAGGACCTCTCAGCATAATTTGAAGTGGGAGAGAGAAACAATGGCCTAAATTTTGTATTTACAGAAGTTATTTCACTCTGGAAAAATCCAGCTTTCTGATAAGTACAGATGCTGGTTTAGACTTAGATGTGTATATTTAACAAGGCAATTAAGTAATCATCTTATTGTAACCTACTAACCTACCAAACAACAAGCATTGTATATTTCTAAAAAACCCTTTATTTCATTTAATCAAAACTCTGCAAGGAAGATAGAATCATCTCCATTTTAGAGGTGGAAAAACAGACATATGAAGGTTGGATGATTTTTGCTTGCTTTTTTTTTTTTTTTTTTTTTTGAGACAGAGTCTCACTCTCTTGCCCAGGCTGGAGTGCAGTGGTGTGATCTCTGCTCAGTGCAACCTCTGCCTCCCAGGTTCAAGAAATTCTCCTGCCTCAGCCTCCCAAGTAGCTGGGATTACAGGCACCTGCCACCACACCCAGCTTATTTTTTTGTATTTTTAGTAGAGATGGGGTTTCACCCTCTTGGTCAGGCTGGTCTTAGACTCCAGACCTCGTGATCCACCCGCCTTCGCCTCCCAAAATGCTGAGATTACAGGCATGAGCTGTAGCAGGACAAGCCGCAGAGAAAACCTCTGAGACACCGAGTTGTAGAAAGAAGGGCTTTATTCAGCTGGGAGCATTGGCAAGCTACTGCCTTAAAATCTGAGCTCCTCGAGTGCACAATTTCTGTCCTTTTTAAGGGCTTACAACTCTGAAGATTTCACATGAAAGGGTCGTGATTGATTGAGCAATCTAGGGGATAAGTGACAGGGGTTTCGTGCACTGGTAGTCAGAATGAAACAGAACAGAGCAGGGAGTTCCACAATGTTCTTTTATACAATGCCTGAAATCTGTGGGTAACATCGGATTCTAAGTCAGGAGTTGATTTTTAACTACTGGGTTTAGGCCAGGCAGGCCAGGCCTGGGGCCTGGTGCCGGGCTGCCTGTCTTTGGTTTTACTTCCTTGTTGTTTTTTCTTTTTTTCTTAAAACAGGTACTGAGTATAAAACAATATGAGAAGGTTTCTCTCTTCCCTCATTTCCTCCTTTTGAGACTCTTACTTTTTATTAGTGGGAGTTCTCACTTTTATTTTTGCTACTTATGTCTTTTTGTGCAATAGTTTGATAGTGATTTATATAGTACACTTGTGCTGAAGCATTTTGGTGAACTAAGGTAGCGATGAAGCTTTTTTATCATTTAAAGAAGTACAGGTAGCCAACAAGGGAGCAGTAAGCAGGTTTCTATTACTATTATAACTCCTATTATAAGAGTTTTAAATCCTCTTAGTGCTGGGAAATACCTTTTAAACATGGCTTCAGGGTCGAATCCGTGCTACACTTTTACGGGCACATGTGTCAGTTTTGTCATATTTTTAACTATGTCTTTAACTACTTGCCTTTGATTATTTATGTTTAGACAACAATTAGTAAGGTTAAATTCAGCTGCTAGCAAGTAGTCAAGAGCTGGTCTATTTTGATAGATAGCATTTCTCTTCAGAGTCTCTTGCCGGGCAAGAACAGTCAAGGCTTGACCGGTTTTATTAGTAATAATTTTTAAAACAGCTTGTAACCGTATGATTCGGTTGAGCATGTAGATGGGGGTTCGATATCCTTATGAGCCATCTTGTGCCTAAGTGGCAGGCTTATAGTATTGTATAATTTTTTTTTTTAAGGAGGTCATTCGTCATCTTTTCAATTACTTATGGCTATGCTTCGTTTTCCGCGGGAAGCATAGACTGGGAAGCCTAGAAGTTCACCTGATTTATGGGCAGTAAGAAGAAAGATGGCTTAATGGTGCAATTACGCAGCTACCTGTCCACTGATCAGGCAGCTTAGCAGAAGCTCTGTGTCTATATATCCAATATAACCTGGTGGGGGCCGTCCAGTCCTGGTGGGATTCTGGGTGGGCCTAAACAGTCTGCAACTTTGGAAATTTACTGAATGGATCTCTTTCTGTGTAACTGGAACTTTATCATGTAACTGTTTTTTTTTTTTTGTGTGTGTGTGTGTGTGTGTGGTACTATTAATATGGTTTTTGTCTTAGGCAACTAAGTCATCCTACAGAATGAGTGAATTCTTTCCTTTTTCTAGCTATGTAATATTGTCTAATAATTGAGACTTTTAGAACCTAGAAATGATCAGGGTGATTCTTTTGGGCCGGGAATTCATCAGGAACTGGGTCTGTAGGCACTAATTCTCGGGCTTCTTATGCCATTGATCTCTTACTACAGTTTCTCCACAAACGTAACATGAAGTGACATTTAGAGACTGGGCTACATGCTCGGCTAATTGCAAAAAAAAAAAATTTAGTTTTTCCTGGAATCTCAGGTACTGGCACATTTAGTTCATCACAGAAAGTCTGAAATACTGGTTCTGGAGAGCATCTTTGAACTTCCTTTTTTATTAGGATGTTTATGCTAGGATCTAGTCCTTTTTCATCAATGCCTAATGATACGTATTTTTCTTTATTTCATTTTGGGTCTGAGGGGTTTGTGATTACTAATTCTAAAGGGTTGCAGCTTCCACTCGTGCAGGAGGGGCTGCCTTTTCCTTTTTGGAGCTAAACAGGATCTTTTTTATCTTCTTTTTAAGTAGCCTAAATGACACAAGACTAGTATTGACACATCTTACATAAATATGATTCTTGACAGATGTACTTATTTTCTGCTGTGTAACTTTGTTTCTAATCTAGAGAACCGCATCCTATCCTATGCTGTTTATTATTAATAGTGGCACAGGCGTCAAATTTTAAGGTTACATTTTTGGGGACCTTTCTTTCTTCTGTTCTAGCTATTACTTTACTTGTGTCACTTACAGAATGACCAGTTCTTAGTCTTACTTCAAAGACTGTGATCATGGGAGGTTCAAAGGAGTCATAGCACACATCGGGCTGGTCACTTCCTGGATTATATACTTTGTACTGGGTGTCATTATACAAACAGGTTTCCTTTGGAGTTCCTAGGCATTTATAATAACTATAAAATAATAGGACTGTAGCAATCTTTTGTCTTACCTCAGTGACTTGATGTATATACTGGGAACAGCCCTCAGTCTGAGGAAGGTCAGTTGAAGTCCTTACTGTACAAGTCTAAATTTTAAGGAAAATGAGTCCTGTGATGAGTTTCCTCACGCTTCGGCCGTGCATGGACTAGTCACCTTCCGGGTGTGACTGGAGCAGGGCTTGTCACCTTCTTCAGAGTCACTTTGCAGGGGTTGGCGAAGCTGCTCCTATCCACGTACAGCTCCTAGTCTACTGATGTTAAACAGTGGTCTCGGAGGTTGGGCCTACTAGAATAAACTAAGTCTAACACCTCTACTCAGTTTATGTTTAACTGGTCTCTCTGATTCCAGGAGTAAGATGGCGGGGTTAGGGTGTTGCAAACTTCAGTGGTTATGCGGGGATTTTCACAGAGCAAGCTTTGGTATCTAGTTAGTCTAGCATTCATTAGCTAATGGTGTCCTTTGGTATTTATTAAAGTCACCACAGCATGGGGGGACTTTATGTTTAGGTTTTGTCTAAGAGTTAGCTTATCTGCTTCTTGTGCTAACAGGGCTGTTGCTACCAGGGCCATTGGACATGGGGGCCAGCCTTTGGAAACGCTGTCTAGTTGTTTTGAGAGATAGGCCACTGGCCTTGGCCAGGGCCTTACAGTCTGGGTTAAAACTCCAACTGCCATTTTTTCTCTTTTTGACACATAGAGTGTAAAGAGTTTTTTCAGGTCAGGTAGCCTCATGGCGGGGGCCGACATGAGTTTTTCTTTTTAACTCATGAAAAGCTCATTGCTGTTGGTTGTAATAGATGTAGTTTATCTAATTTACATTTTTATTGACTGTCATCTACTAAAATATTGACTTAAATCCTGTAACTATTTGATTTCAAGCTTTAAATTGATCTGTATTTCTTGTGGGGCTCCAATTGCATCTAAATAGATGTGAGAGTTGAAAGACCTATAAGGGCTTCTCTCACTTTACGATGTCTTATTTTTTGTTTTTCCTCTGGTTGATGAAATGCCAGGGTGAAAGGGATAGCCAAGTGGACTAAAGCACAAGTGCCACTCTAGTTATGCGGCAGAGTGCCCAGTAAAGGTCCACCAGAATACCACCACACATTTGCTCGGGGAGGAACAAGGGCTGACTGGTTGAAAATTCTTAAGCTCACTGCATCCCTTCAGGTCTCTAAGGAATGCTAATAAGTCTCCTCCCTGCCATGAGAGACACGAAGTGAACTTAGTGTTGGGAGACGGAAGCTGGATGGCCTTTGGGGGCTGACCTGCAGGGACTTCGGGATATAGCAGAGAGAGCTTGGCATGACTTATTACTCTAGGCTGTAGAATCCTGGAAAAGAGCTACCATGCAGCCCACGCCTGGTGGACTGGAGGACCACCTTAGTGGAAGGGGGACAATCGGGGCCTCTGGCCTGCCATGTGCACAAGCATAACAATTGCTTTTTATAACGTGCAGATGGAATATTTGATCTATTTCAACCAGGCATTTGCATCTTGGTATGCCGTCTTAATTGCCAAAGTTTGTTTTAAGTCTTTAACTTCTATGATCCTCTAGTAAAATGAATGTTTCTTTTAGCATCTATTTTTTATTAGTTTTTAGACCAAAGAAAGTTAAACACTATTTTATATTTAATAATGCTTCTTGTATGATTTTTATACCACGTAAGTTAAATTTTACTTTTATATTAGGGTGTTATTAATGTTAAACTTAATTTTAATAAAACCTTGTAGACATATTTATCTAATTTTTTATGTTTGACCATAAGGTAAGATTTTATAGACTCTTTTTAACTTTTTATAATTTTTGTTAAAGAGCAGGTTGATGCTTTAAGAAAAACCTGTTGCATTTTTACTTTAATGTCTAGTTCACAGAAAAATTGGATGATACCTTTTTAACTTTAGCTAATATGTTTACACACAGAATTTTCTTTACAATTAACGTTTTAAAACTTTTAAAACAATATTTTTTTAACCTTTTAATGTAGGTAAAAATCCACGTTTTTATGCCCCTTTATAATCTTTTTACTAAAGGTACATTTTACTTTTCTTATACACTTTGCACATAAACTGTTTTTTTAAACAGTACTCAGGAGGCCTTATTACTTTTAAATTATACAACATTTTTTGCATAATTTTTTATAACATTTTTTCTTTCACGACTTTCGCACACAATTTTTCAACATGTCTCAACTTTCTGACTTATTACAAAGATTTTTTTCTTTAAACAAGCAGTTAATTTATTTCAGGACAAGAATTTACCATATAACACTCTTTACATAAATTCTGCCTCCCCCCTTTTTTTTCTCTTTATTTTTTGAAGATAACTATTCCTTTTTTTTTTTTAAAGCAAACTTTCTTTATGTCTTTGGACTAGACTGTCTAAGGCTACAAGATTAGAAGTTACCATAATACATGTTACACTGTTAACTTTTAGCAAACTTCACTTTGTTGAAAACCTTGTAAGTTTGGGATTTCAATTATCTTTTGCTATTAATAAGACCTTGTTTAGTCTAAATTAACTTAGAATTGGTATAGATGGTCTCTTTTTCTCTCTGCTGGTCTTTCCTTGCCTCTGCCAGCCGCTTATGCTGCTGTTCTCTTAACTACTGTGGGGAGGAAGGGGGTCTAAAACCAGCTGTAACTGTCTATGTACGGAAATTGGTCTGGGTGCCTTGGCTTACAGGTTAACTTGTGTCATACTTTTGAAACAAAGGACCTGTCTAGGCTTCCTTCTGATGGCCAACCCACCTCTAATGCTGGCCAGTCTATGTCACACAAAGTCCTAAGTTTTCCTGGAGTCATAGTGACTCCATAGTCTCCCTAAAATCTTTTCTTGAAATTCTTTAACATAGTTCCCAGTGGGGTGGGCTTACTTTGCACCTGACCTATTTTTTTTTTTTTTGAGACAAAATACCACGCTCACACTACACACACTCACCACAAGACAAAGAACGGGTAAAGAGGGCACACCCACACTTTTACTGTTTATACCAAACCAAAATCACGAAATTCAAAATCCGTGTACCAAAAAATTCAAGCCAAGTCAAAACTAAAACCAAAGTGTCCAGCAATTCAAGTCAAGTCAAAACCAGAACAAAAGTGCCAATGCAGGCACACCCTGGGTGATCAGGCCACGCTTCCACTCAGATGGAGTGGGGCAAGTTCTAAAGACTAGTCTTACTAAATTTCAGATGTCTGGACTCCAAGTGCCAGTTCCTTCCTGGTGTTCAGCCACTGTGTTAATCCTCCGCAGGGGCCTGCTACGCACTGCTCTGGCGAGGCGTTCCACCGGGGCAATTCTCTACCTGGGATCGCTCTTCGGATGGCTTCACTCAGGCTGGCTGGAGTCCCCTGCAGGGATGCTCCACACAGCAGGCCTAAGCCGCCTAAGGGGCTGCCTCGGGTAGCCCCTTAACTACCCAGGTTTTGTCTGCCTCGTTTCCCGGTCAGGGAACCAAGAAATGTAGCATGACCAGCCGGAGACAAAACCTCTCAGACACCAAGTTGTAGAAGGAAGGGCTTTATTCAGCTGGGAGCATTGGCAAGCTACTGCCTTAAAATCCGAGCTCCCTGAGTGCACAATTTCTGTCCCTTTTAAGGGCTCACAACACTAAAGATTTCACATGAAAGGGTCGTGATTGATTGAGCAATCTAGGGGATACGTGACAGGGGTTTCATGCACTGGTAGTCAGAGAGAAACAGAACAGAGCAGGGAGTTCCACATGTTCTTTTATACAATGCCTGAAATCTATGGGTAACATTGGTTTCTAAGTCAGGAGTTGATTTTTAACTACTGGGTTTAGGCCAGGCAGGCCCAGGCCTGGTTTCAGGCCTGGCGCTGGGCTGCCTGTCTTTGGTTTTACTTCCTTGTTGTTTTTTCTTTTTTTCTTAAAACAGGCACTGAATATAAAACAATATGAGAAGGTCTCTCTCTTCCCTCAGAGCCACTGCACCCAACTGAGTGATTTTTCTTAGGTTACTCACCTAGCAAGGCATACCTTGAAGAAATTGTGGGTTTGCTTATAGACTACCACAGTAAAATAAGTCACGTGGACTTTTTGGGTGTCCAGTGCATATAAAAGTTATGTTTACATGGTTGCTATTAAGTGTTCAATAGCATTATGTCTAAAAAAATGCAGTTTTATTTAAAATACTTCATTGCTAAAAAAATGCTAATGATCATCTGAGCTTCTAGTGAGTCATATCTTTTTTTTTTTTTCTGAGACAGAGTTTCGCTCTTGTTGCCCAGGCTGGAGTGAAATGGCGCGATCTCAGCTCACGGAAACCTCTGCCTCCTGGGTTCAAGCGATTCTCCTGCCTCAGCCTCCTGAGTAGCTGGGATTACAGGCATGCACCACCACGCCTGGCTAATTTTGTTATTTTTAGTAGAGACGGGGTTTCTCCAGGTTGGTCAGGCTGGTCTGGAACTCCGGACCTCAGGTGATCCGCCTGCCTCAGCCTCCCAAAGTGCTGGGATTACAGGCGTGAGCCACTGCGCCCAACCAAGTTATATCTTTTTGTTGGTGGAGAATCTTGCCTTGATGTTGGTGGCTGCTGCCTAATCAAGGTGGTGGTTGCTGAAGACCAGGGTGGCTGTGGCAATTTCTTCAAATAAGCCAATGAAGTTTGCCACATCAATTGACTCTTCCTTTCATGAATGAGTTATCTGTACCACGTGATGCTGTTTGATATCATTTTAGCCACAGTAGAACTTCTTCCAAAGTTGGAGTCAGTCGCCTCAAACCTTGTCACTGCTTTATTAACTGAGTTTGTGTAAAATTCTAAATTCTTGTCATTTCAACAACATACACAGCATCTTCACAAGGATAAGGTTCCATCACAAGAAACCACTTTCTTTGCTCATCCATAAGAAGCAACTCCTCATCTGTTCAAGTTTGATCATGAGATTGCAGCAATTCAGTCCCACCTTCAGGCTCCACTTCTAACTCTACCTCTCTTGCTATTTCCACCACATCTGCATTTACTTCCTCTATTGAAGTCTTGAATCCCCTAGGGCTCCATGAGGGTTGGAATAAAACTTCTTCCAAACTCCTATTTGTTGTTGATATTCTGACATCCTCCCATGAACCACAAATGTTATTAATGGCATCTAGAATGGTAAATCCTTTCATATGGCTTTCAATTTCTTTGCCCAGATTCATCAGAGGACTCACTATTTACGAAAGTTGTAGCTTTACAAAACGTATTAATATATATATATTCTTTTCTGAGACAGAGTCTCACTCTGTCACCCAGGCTGGAGTGCAGTGGCACAATCTCAGCTCACTGCAACCTCCACCTCCCAGGTTCAAGCAATTCTCCTTCCGCAGCCTCCTGAGTAGCTAGGATTACAAGCATGTGCCACCATGCCTGGATTTTTTTTTTTTTTGTACTTTTAGAAGAGACGGGGTTTCACCATGTTGGCCAGGCTGGTCTCGAACTCCTGACCTCATGATCTGCCCGCCTCGGCCTCCCAAAGTGCTGGGATTACAAGCGTGATCTACCGCGTCTGGCCTAATATTTCTTAAATAAGACTTGAAAGTCAAAATTACTCTTTGATCCATAGGTTGTAGAATGGATGTCATGTTAGCAGGCATGAAAACATCAATCTTCTTGTACATCTCCATCACAACTCTTGAGTGACTAGGTGCATTGTCAATGAGCTTATCATATTTTGAAAGCTTTAGGTTTTTTCCGTCCCTGAGCAATAGGTCTCAACAGTGGGTTTAAAATATTAGATGCGTTATGCTATAGAGATGTGCTGTCATCCATGCTTTGCTGTTCTATTTCTAGAGCACAGGCAGAGTAGATTTAGCTTAATTTTTAAGGGCCCTAGGATTTTCGAAATGGTAAATGAGTATTGGCTTCAGCTTAAAGTCACCAGCTGCATAAACCCCTCACAAGTCAGTCTTTTTTGAAGCTTTGAAGCCAGGCATTGACTTCTCTCTAGCCTATGAAAGGCCTAGATGGCATCTGCTTCCAATAGAAGGCTATTTTGTCTACCTTAAATACTTGCTATTTAGCATAGCCCCTTCATCAATTATCTCAGCTAGATCTTCCAGACAACTTGCTGCAGTTCGTACATCAACTCTTGCTGCTTCACTTTGCACTTTAATGTTATGGAGATGGGTGTTTTCCTTAAATCTCATGAACCAGCCTCTGCTAGCTTCAAACTTTTCTTCCACAACTTCTTCACCTCTCTGACTTCACGGAATTGGAGTTACGGCTTTGCTCTGGATACGGTTTTGGCTTAAGAGAATGTTGGGCCTGTTTCAATCTTTTATCCAGACCACTAAAACTTTATATCAGAAATAGGGTTCTTTTGTTTTCTTATCATTGTGTAGTCACTGGAGTAGCACTTTTAATTTCCTTCAAGATTTATCTTTTGCATTCACAACTTGTCTAATGGGCCCAAGAAGCCTATCTTTCTGGCCCATCTCAGATTTTGCCATGCCTTCCTCATTAAGCTTAATCATTTTCAGCTTTTGATTTAAACTGAGACGTGCGACTCTTCCTTTTACTTGAACACTTAGAGGCCACTGTAGGGCTATTAATTGGCCTAATTTCAATGTTGTGTCTCCGGGAATACAGAGGCCTAAGGAGACGGAGAGAGGGAACAGCCTGTTTGTGGAGCAATCAGAACACGTGCATTTATGTTCACCATCGTATGGGTGTGGTTCATGAGGCTCCAAATTACACTAGTAACATTCAAGATCCCGGATCACCATAACATGATAATTTAAGCCTGAAATAATTTTAAGAGTTATCAAATGTGACACAGACAGGAAATGAGCACACACTGTTAGAAAATAGCACTAATGAACTTGCTCAACATGGGGTTGCCACAAACCTTCGTTATTTTGAAGAAAAAATCTTGCAATATCTGCAAAGTGCAGTAAAACAAGGTATGCCTGTAACTTCAAGTACAGTGCTTTCACAACAGTGCAGCTTAGTAAAGAGCTTACACTTAAGAATTAGACTGTCTGGACCAAAAAACCCTGCCTCCTCTGCTTACTGTGTATCATTGGGCAGGTTACCACACCTCATTCTCTGCATGTGTAAATAATATTACCTACCTTATAAAGTTGGGGGGTGGAGGGGGCAAGTGGGTGATATTTATGTGTAATTTCCAGTTTTTCCCTGTAAGGTTCTAAGCTGGAGATACAATTCTGATAACTGAGTCATGTAACACGAAACTTTATAACACCCATTTATATTCCCAGGTTATAGAAAGCTGAGGCCCAATCAGTCTCCTCAATGGGTATCACGATCAGCTTCTGTGAAGAGTGTGGTTTTTACTCCAAGTACAACCTTCTTTGCAGCTTCTCATACTAGAGAGGGTGTCTCCTCCCCGGAACCAATAAACCTTATTCACATTGGTAATTAAAAAAAAAAAAAAAATAGCCACTGAATCCTTTAGCCAAGCAAAATTTTAAAGTGGAATTGCTTCTGTTTAATAGTGTGTACTTCCAATCTGAAAACCACTGCCCTAAGTAAACCAGATTACATCAGTTCCAGAGAACTGTCTGAAATTAACTATTTCGCCTCTTGACAAATCTAACCCTGGAGGGCCAGAATGCATCTCTGTCCCTCTACACCATCCTTGAACTTAAGACTTATTCACCTGGAACCACAGGCTCTGCTTATTGGAATTCTCTTCCTCTGTTCTCCACTGAACATTAGTGTCTTTTTCAGCTCAGATAAGGAAACTATTGCTTTTTTTGCTCATATACCAGGAAGACCCAAATTTACACATAATTCTACTTATTAAATATTAGCTAGTATGTGAAGAAATGGTGAGAAGGCCAGATCAGGGCTGACTAAAAACTTCTGGAAGATTTTAATCATATTTAGAAGGTTATGCAGTACAGGCAAATAGATTAGGGGCGAAAGCTTAGACTGGAAAATGGGGTTTGAGGCATCCATGAAATAAGGGCTAGGTATCTATCAGTGATGAAAACCTGAAAGGCCTCAAAGCCACCCCATGTATCTCCACCTACACCCCAGACTGTGTTAAGAAACTGTCCTCTATATTCCCAGCACCTGACACATACAGAGTTAATACTTGACTCCTTGCCTGATTACACCAGATTCACCTCTTGCTTAAACTCTCTACCTCAGGTAAGTTTTCCTTTTCCTGTAGCACATTATTCCTTTCTGTTGAGGGAAGTTTTTAAAAAAATAATTACATTACAATATGAAGTAAATTTGTGGCTCTTAACCAAACTCTATTTAACCACTTCCAAGGTAATATAAGTTGACTGATGACTATTAGCTAGTAGGTGGTTGTCAATATTACTTGATTTCTACAATTTTTACTGTAAAAACTGTGGTCAAATTAGGGGTATGAAGAAAGCTGGAAAACTGAGGGAAGGTATCTGTGAAAGTTCAAGGGAATTCTCTATTCAGATTTCTTTAAGACAAAACTGAAAACTATATATGATGCATATGTAATAGAATCTAGGCAGCAGACATCTCAAAGAAATGGTGTAGTCCTTCATTAAAAGATTGTATGGAAAATAAGCATACATCTAATACAAGCAATCAAAGTATCTAGACTTTGTGACTTTCCATTTTAACTGACCAACCACCAATCCTAGTTCTTCTACTTCTAAAGCACCTACAAAATAATTAGGTCTGTCAAACTATAATATAGTTTTATATTTATCCATAAGGTGGAAAAAAGTTGCAGGGGCATGTGAAGTCAGTACTGAAAATGGTAAGCATCTGTGAAATATGCTGCAGTGGTAACATGAAAAATCACGGGTTACTTGTTAGAAAAGACACTTAAATAGCTTCTGACTCATTCTGCCCTCTGTATCTTGCCTCTGGCCAAGAGTTTGTTAGAACTTTATAAACTATACCCTCCTCTCATTCCCCAACCCTCCTCCCCCAATCACTCTTCTATCATAAGCACTATTTGTTATTAACTAGGGGCAAGGACCTGGACTCCCCTTACCTTCTACCAGGGCAGCTCAGGGACAATGTTCAGAAGCTTATGTGACCAAGTATCTACAGTCAACTATTAACTGCAAAACCTTTTGGGTTATTCTGTCACATGTCAGAGAAGCCATGGACAAAACTACATGGCCAACTGCAGAGACACTTATATACATTATCTTACTTTCATTCGATATGCTTTTGGTGCCATTTTTCCATTGTAGGTTCTAGCGAAGGACCCAAAGTATTAGTGGTATTTTAACAGTTAATACAACCAAATAGCACATGCCTGCTGGTTTGCAAGTGGGGGTAATGCAAGCTGTATAGCTGGTCACCCATTAGGTCTTAAAATTTAGGAGGATTAAACTTAAAAACTAGAATATGAAAAATACTGACAATGGCAGTGACTTAGTAAGGCAAGTACTTGATTCCCATTCTTATCCATCATACCTCTTCCCCCAATCCCCTGCAATAAACCACAGCTTTTAATTTAGAGCATATTTTGAGAAAAACCCTAGACTGAAAACTTGGATCAAGGCAGGGCCTATTAATACGTATCAGACCTGGTGCGGTGGCTCACGCCTGTAATCCCAGAACTTTGGGAGGCTGAGGCAGGTGGATTGCTTGAGCTCAGGAGTTCAAGACCAGCCTGGGCAACATGGAGAAACCCTGTCTCTACCCAACACAAAACCATCAAAACTTGAGTATCTTGTGTTTAACAATCGCAGTATCCATGAGTTAAGAAGGCACATGCGTCATTAGTGACTAAATGACTAGTTTTCTCAAAGCTGGGTCTGGAAGCCGTATGTTCTGAACATGGGATTAAGTAATTACAATCCCTCAGTATTTCATTTCATAAATTGAGTAAATGATAGAATAAATGCCCTATAGCCTTTTAGGGCAGGTGATGTTCATGAACATGCTAACAAAGCTATGAAAAATACAAACATAAATAATACTGAGATCTATTTTTGGTCCTTCAGCTTCTGACCAAAAGATGGTGAAACTCTTCTACATCTGGCACTGTGCATCAAGAGAATTTTACTCCTTGACATCTCCTGCTTCGGCCTCACAAGTAGCTGGGACTACAGGCATGCACCACCACGCACAGCTTATTTTCGTATTTTTAGTAGAGACAGGGCTTCACCATGTTGGCCAGGCTGGTCTCGAACTCCTGACCTCAGGTGATCCGCCCACCTCAGCCTCCCAAAGTGCTGGGATTATAGGCATGAGCCACCACGCCCGGCTGACAGATTTGTTTTCAATATGAGTTTGGCTACTTCAGAACAGGGGCCATGACTATCTGCCATGACAATAGTTACTTTAGTTGAATGATCTCCAGAGTTCTTCAAAGTGAGAAGTCAAGGCTTTGGATGATAATCCTTTTCTAGAGTATAATGTAATTTTTTTTTTTTTTTTTTAAGACGGAGTTTCACTCTTTTGCCCAGGCTGGAGTGAAGTGGCTTGATGTTGGCTCATTGCAACCTCTGACTCCCGCCCCAGGTTCAAGCAATTCTCCTGCCTCAGCTTCCCAAGTAGCTGGGATTATAGGCACCTGCCACCAGGCCAGCTAATTTTTGTATTTTTAGTAGAGACAGGGTTTTGCCATGCTGGCCAGGCTGGTCTCAAACTCCTGACCTCAGGTGATCCACCTCCCTTGGCCTCCCAAAGTGTTAGGATTACAGGCATGAGCCATTGCTCCCGGCTGTATAATGTACTTTTTTTTTGTATTTTTAGTAGAGATGGGGTTTCACCATGTTGCCCAGGCTGGTCTCGTACTCCTGAGCTCAGGCAATTCACCCGCCTCGGCCTCCCAAAGTGCTAGGATTACAGGCATGAGCCACTGCGACTGGCCAGTACTCTTGACCACTATTTTTAATACATGACAAACCCTCTTGCTTCAGATTTTAGGAAATGATTATAAGCTCCAAGAATCATTATTTAGAGAATACTTTATTAGTTTCTGTAATCAAACCCATGTAGATAAGACCTTACATATTTAATACAGTGCGTTACCCCTGTACAAATGGAAAAAAATTAAGTTTAACGTTTCTAGACCAATATGGCTGTTAATTTCTGTACAATGCCAACTCAACACAGTAAACCGGGATACTTTTTCCAAAGTTGACAGCACAGCTAAAGTTTCCAAAAATTCAAATTATATATATATATGTATATATATATATATATTTATATAAAAAGACCAATAGCAGTATGTTATGCATCAATAGCAGCAACAGCTTTTCCAGGTTCTGCAGTCATCTGAATAAAATTATAGAGACATCCAGCACACTCCATTTAAAAAAAAGGGGGGAAAAAGGTAAAAAACAAAACCCCAGAAAATTGCAAAGTTCTGTTACTGTTGTGGTACCTGGCACCGTTTTTTAAAATTAGCTTCTGAATCATCATCTGGAAAGAAAACATTCTAGAATAACATCATTAAAAACAGCTCTGATAAAGCACGGTCACTACTACGTATCATAAAGCAGGTACAAGATATTTTACATTCACAGAGGTATGATACAGTACTGTCCTATATCTATAATACTAGAGGATACAATTAAAAAGGCATTATTTGAGACTTGATTCTACTTTTCCAGCAGAGGGCCCAAAGGATGGCATGACACAGCTCTGTAAAGAAATGCACCTTCTTAGGATTTCCTTTAATTAGTGGCACAGTTCTAGGTACTCACTGTTCTTCATAAACACCAGCTAAAAACTGGTATAAAAAAAAAAAGAAAAAAACCCCCAAATCATGGGATTCATACAAAGATGACTGAGTGGGGGCAAGGAAGACTCAACCTAACCAGCATTTTACCAAATCTGTCATGTTTGAATCGTGAGAGCTCCATGGAAGAAAGGAGATGCTAAGTAGCGCTTCAAAGCTTCAGACCACAACCAAAACACAGCACCATTTCAAATAGAAGCAGTAGCCAAACACTGCTCACTTTGATATGGTTCAAGGATGCTGACATCAATATTTATCTGCTCATTCATCCAGGAAGAAGGGGACATCAGTTACTACTGTACTTTGATTGTGTTCAACTCAATCACCATGTTATAAAAATAGCAAGCTGCCATAATAAAAAATAAGGCTCCTCTATCCAGCACCAGTTATCTTCAGTTCTTTACCTCCAAGCCTACAAATGCCATAACCATATCCGAAGAACATAAGGGAGCAAAAAAACCGCATCTGATGTAGTAGCTGGGACCATCACACTGTTCAGGCTGAGCTATTCCTCTGCTGTGTTATTTTCCTTATATTTTTGGTGTTTCATCTAATCATAAGGATTTTTAGGTCTAAATTATATGCACTCAAAAAAATGGGTGCATACATTTATATATAAATTCTGACTGAAGATGCATGGCCATCAACCAAGCACATGTTATATAGTAGGTACAAGCTTGCAAAGCCTCGTTTTCACTGGTACAGCAGCTGTGTGTCAGTGTAAATTGCTCCTATGTCCCTTGTACATCTCCAAGCTCTGAACAGGATAATGTCACAGGCCATTTTGCCCCTTTGGCTGCCAGCATTATCTGACTTAATTCTCCATGTTTTCCCGCCCCCCTCCCAATCCCCTGCAATAAACCATAGCCTTTAAGATTTTGTTTCTTCGGTTTTGATCGCCTGAGGTTTGATTGGTCCAGTTCTAACAGGTTTGGTGGCTATGGAGGGTGCAGGGGGTGGCTTTTCTTCTACTTTTTCCTGACAGACCCCAGGAGGGTCGGTCAGTGTTTCAGGAGGTTTACTTGAATCACTGTCCACTTTCTGGGCTTTGCCTCCTCCTATCTGTTTGCTCTGTTGCTGTTCAGAGAAGAACCGTTGCGTGGACTGAAGAACCTCTGCTCTCTGCTTTGCCTTAAAAAATGAGAAAGAACAACTGAAAATACTGCAGCATTACCAAAGCCTGTCAAATCAATCTTGGTTCAAATTCTTTTACCAATCACAAATCAGTTTTCCCCACACTGGTTTGGCCAAAGCCAAAAGTACCTCATTGATCTTTGAGCTTTTAATGAATAGATTTCTTCCTATTTTTGAAATATTTCATGTGATTTAAAAAAAAAAAAAAAACCACAGGACCACCTCCCACCACCTTTTCAAGGTCTGCCCTCTCATATTAAATTTTATTTAGGGAACCTGCTTGCAAATCTAAAAACATACATGTAACACTTAAAACTTCTAGTTATCAATATGTGGTCTACAATAAAATGAAAAGGAAGCACTTATATTGTGGCATTACCAACACCTAGGACCAAATGTCTTGTGGCTGAGTCCTCTTCCCACAGCTCTCTTCTGCAGGGGAAGAGCATCAGAAATTAGTAACTACGACTTCACTTGATCACTAAGTTCTGATAGCTCCTACCACATTCTGAGCTGGTAAATAATTTCTTAGTTTTGACTATGTGCCCCCAAAAATATACTTACGTCAAATCTGTAAATTTTACCACTGTAACATTCACAATTAAAACTTAAGTTTCCATCCTTCTTGCATATTAAAAAAATGCTTTATGTTCTATAGGTAACCTGTACTATCCAAAGATCTGAAGCAATTTTCAAGAAGTTTGTACCCTCTCCCACCCCATTACTACTATTAAGCTCTAATGTTATTTCCAACATGGGAATATGCGAAAATCAAGAGCCAAGGAGCCAGGAGTAGAACTGGAATCCAAGGCCAAATAACTTCCTAAGATTTTTACTCACACTGGTATTTCTAATTATAACAAACAGATGGAAATCCTAGGCATACAGCCTTAATAAAAGTAGATAATTATTTAATAAAAGTTTTGCTGCTGGGTAGTCTTTAAATTTGATTACTCAGGATCAGAAACACTAGGGATGTCGACCCAAAAAGACACTTTAATCAATCAATCAAATTTTCTAATAGGATTATCATAAACATGTTTCTAATTCAGAGTAAAGCATTACTATGCACATTTCCCTGTTTGAAAGCAGTAAGCTTTTCTTTGTTCTAGTCTGATCTGATGACATATGTAGTGACAAAACAGGCAAAAATTACTAAGATCCCTGAAAGTCAAGCCTAAAGTAAATATAGAAATAAACGGATTCAACTGGCTGTACTGGCAGACATGTAAGGTTTATGCTACAAAACTGTCCCCACACAGACTCCTAAAGGCACTCTTTCTGCATTAGCAAACCTCATGTTTATCAGTGCCTTTCATCATGAAGGATCCCAAAGTGCTTTTCTGAGTTCTTCATCTATAACTGCACAATCCACTGTGGAATACAACCACCTCATGTGGTAGGCCAATAAGGGTATGAAAACAGTTTGAGAAGAAAACTGTACTTTGATGACTCATAATGGAAAAAAGTACTAAGATAGTAACACATCTTACCCATTCCAGAGTTTTCATATAACCATGATTTACATTTTAAGCTGCTGGGAGGAGGAGAGTCAGGGGAAAGGGGGGAAGAAAATATATATTAAAAAAAAAAAAAAAAAGAAAGAAAATGGGGAAGTCTATAATAATTGATATTACTTCTTTGCTATTCCAAAAAAAAGTGTGCATCTAAACTCAGATCTCCCTCAAATATTTATTTGATAACAATTCATTTGGCCACAGTTTAAGACATTAATTCATTTCCTGACTACAGTTGCAAAAAAAAAGAAAAAGAAAAAGAAACAAAAAGAAAAAAAAGATGAAAGGAATGGGAATGGGGGAAAAAAAAGAAAAAAAAGGGGGAATGAATAAAAGTAGTTAGCTTGGTTAAGTCTGCTAAGACAATGAATGCCTGGATATACAGTTATGGGTCCAGAGGCATTTTAAGACATGGTTCAGAGACAGATTCTTGATCTGTTGGCTGTTAACACTGTACTAACCTTCATGTCTTGTTCAGCCTTCAACGCAGCCTGGGCCTGATTACCTCTGACTCCAGATAGTGATCCACAAGGACCCCTGGCTACATGTGGCAAACGAGCATGGCTCATGAGGCCTGTGGTCAGCGGAGGAGGCATCTGACTGGCCAGTGCCATTGGTGGCCTCTGAACAGGCGCTGGGAAGGTGTTAGTATGTGGGGCTCTTACCAATGGAGGGACCAGGTTAGGCTGGGAGAGAATCTGAGTGAAAAAAACAAAACATACAACATTGAACTGTTAAAAAAAAAAAAAAAAAAAAAACTGCCAACTAGACCAGGTTGGCTCATCCCAGAGTAAATCTGTGCCCATCCTACCAGTGAAAGGAAGTGTACAGATTGTGCCATTCCATTAACAAGGACAAGGAATAAACAGGCCATGCTTGGAGAGTTTAACAGAAAAACTAGGCAAAGCATGCTATGGCACTTCAGTTGGTCCTAGCATCTCAGTTGTAAATTCTGAAGGGGGGATAGAAAGACTTTTAATTAGGCTATCTTTTCAAAAGGTAGTTGCAGAAAAGGCACACACCTGTAACAAATGTAATCTGAAGATAAATAAAATCAATACTAATTCAACAAATGTGAATTTCTCAGGAACCAGTTCTAGTTTGTGAGAGTTCTTAGTCCTTTTATACGATCAGCAAGGGGAAGAGAAGCCAACATTTTTTACATATATTAAAACATCTTTTTGGAAATTTTATCTCAATTGCACATAAATATCTTAACAACAACAAAAAACAACTTTAAACCTAGAAAACTTCAAGCACTGGGACCCTTCGCTGAAAAGTCAACTCCTTAAAAAAAGTTAAAAGGAAAAGGACTCATTATCAGAGCTGTGTGGGGAATCTTTTAACTATTTCTCTTGTCTGCTTTAGAACTAAACAATTACCATGTCTGGCTATAAATCGCAGACTATCTTTATAAAATAAATTTATTGTTAAATTCAGAAACAATTTTTTATTAAAAACTGTACTTCTTAACTGGTTAACATAAGGCAAGATAATAATTTATCAGATTAGCAACTATTTTTAAGTAAATAATACTCATTTCTTAATTATGTCTGCCCACCTGGGGTGCAAACTGTGTAGGAAATGGTTGTGTCATTCTCACAGTGGCAGGGGCTGACTGGAACTGCTTCTGGTAGACAATGCTGTTCATTTTGCTGGACTGGCTGTTCGGACTTGTAGAAGTAGCCCTTGGAAAGAAGCCATTACTAGTCAGTATAGTAATACCAAGTAAATAATGCTGTTAGATTTTTGCAAACACCGTTCTTGGTATTTTCATCATACTTGGTAGTTGGTAAAAATTTACTATGATGATTACCAAAACATTCTGGTAGAAGAGAGACATTGGAGGAGCAGAGGTAAGAAAGGATACCAGTTACCAGTTAGATTGGCTGGTTCGAGACCAGCTTGGACAATATTTTTTTAAAAATTAGCCAGGTGTGGTGGCACGTGTATGTAGTCCCAGCTACTCAGGAGGCTGAGGCAGGAGGCTTGCTTGAGCCCAGGTGTTTGAGGTTGCAGTGAGCTATAATCATGGCACTGCACTCTAGTCTGGGTAACAGTGTGAGACTCTGTCTCAAAAAAAATAAAAGAAAAAAAGGTTTGCTCTGTAACAAAAGAATTTACTTAAAATATAGTACAATAAACACATTTTAAATAATTTAAAAGCTTAACATTTTAGACAAAACTATCAAAAAGAATGTCTTAATAATTCCTTTTCTGCTTGGAAAAGGGATTATGTCACACAGGACTGATAAGTATTTAACAAATAGTGACCAAATTGGAATTTCATAAGCAAATTTAAATGCCCATTTTACCGGAAGGGACTAGATGTTGGTGTGGTGCTTCTACCAGCGATTGGAGGTGTGCCTGGTTTTATATCAATGCCACTTCCAAAGGCTTTTAGTTCCATTTCAGACATCTGAGGAGAAGCATAAAATAAACTTAACATTTCTTTAATTCCACAAGCTAAGTGCTGTGTTTACATGTCCTATACGTGAAGACGTAATCTAGGAAAGGGCAAAGAACCTTAGTACAAAACTCCTATAGTTAGGCTTCAAGTATTATGGAATTACCTGACCAAACAGACTTATAATTAAATAAGCCCAAGAGACACTATAAATCCAATTCTTCCAATAAATTTGTGAATTCTTTGTTATTAGGTAAAAACTAGATGGGGCCAAACACATTAAAAGTAAATAGATAAAATGTAAATATACTGGGGTTTGAGATTTTTGCAGGGTGGTAAAAACTGACGCATTTTAGTTTTTTAGATAACACAGATGCATATATCTGAACACACTACCTTAAATTCTCAAATAACCTGTGCAAATGTCTCTTTACTTACTTTTCCTGTGGTTGCAATCATGCTATGCTGTGTTCCAGCAGGAATTAATCCTCTGAAAGGCTGGCTTACTTGTGCAGGACGACTCAGACTCTGAGCCTGTGCTTGGGGAGTGGTATGCTGTAATGGGGGCTGAAGAGTCTGAGGCAAAGCAATTAGAGGTTGCCCTGTAGATCCAAAATTAGGCAAGGAAAGCTGCGATGCTGGTAAAGGTACTGTAACCTAGAAAATAAGTAAAGAGAAACTGAAGCAATTTGTTTCTGTTTACTACAGACATATCCATACAACTATACACAACTCTTCAAATACTTTTGAGTAAGATTTCAAACAGAACACATCGGCCAGGTGCAGTGGCTCATGCCTGTAATCCCAGCACTTTGGAAGGCCAAGGCGGGCAGATCACGAGGTCAAGAGATCGAGACCATCCTGGCCAACATGGTGAAACCCTGTCTCTACTAAAAAAAAAAAATACGAAAATTAGCTGCATGTGGTGGCATGTGCCTGTAGTCTCAGCTACTTGGGAGGCTGAGGCATGAGAATCACTTGGACCCAGGAGGGGGAGGTTGCAGTGAGCCGAGATCCTGCCACTGCACTCCAGCCTGGCGACAGAGCGAGACTCTGTCTCAAAATAAAATAAAATAAAATAAAATAAAATAAAATAAAATAAAATAAAATAAAATACATAGAACACATCCATCTACTAATATATTTCACATATTTCTTTTGCTTAGTGATGACAAGTTGAGTATCTCTAATCTGAAAATCAAAATCCAAAATGCTCCAAAACTTTCTGAGAGGCTGATATGACACCACAAGTAGAGAATTTGACACCAAGTCCAGGCACGGTGGCTCACGCCTATAATCCCAGCACTTTGGGAGGCCAAGGTAGGCAGATCACTTGAGGTCAGGGGTTTGAGACCAGCCTGGCCAACATGGGGAAACTCCGTCTCTACTAAAAAAAAAAATAAATAAATAAATAAAATAAAATACAAAAATTAGCCAGGCATGGTGGTGGGTGCCTGTAATCTCAGCTACTTGGGAGGCTGAGGCACGAGAATCACTTGAACCTGGGAGGTGGAGGTTGCAGTGAGCCAAGATCATGCCACTGCACTCCAGCCTGGGTGAGGGAGACTCCGTCTCAAAAAAAAAAAAAAAAAAAAATCAACACCTGACCTCCTGCGACGGATCAGTCGAAGTGAGGTCAGAACTTCTGTTTCATGCACAAAGTTATTTAAAATGTTGCTTAAAATTACCTTCAGGTTATATGTATAAAGTATGTATGAAACAAAGGAATTTCATGTTTAGACAGGCCCCTCGCCCCAAGACACCTCATTATGTATACGCAAACACACAAAAAAAAACCAATCTGAAATCCGAGACATTTCTGGTCCCAAGCATTTCGGTAAGAGACACTCAACCCTCAACCGTATCTCCATTCTTCTATTAAAGGTACAACATAGTTTAGTTAATGCTACTTGTAGTGAAGAGAATAGAAACTGAAAGAATTAGGACTATCTTTGAATTTATCCACAGGACATGTCAAATAATCACAAAGTAAATGAGGACACAATATAAGCAGTATTCACAAGTTTCCAAACAGACATTTTACATAATACTTTCAAGGCTGGTCAAAATGAGCTATGAGAAGAACAAGAATCTCTCAGTTTTCACATAAACACTATATTTAATCTGAATGTCAATAAGATATTCATGAATTATCACTCCCTAAAATAGCAAACAACAACAGTTATAAGAAAATGACTAATGACTTTGTTCCCCCACCAGCCCTCCACCACTTTTAAAGAATAAGCTAATGAAATTATTAGAGATAGTTTTAAACGTACCATATACTTTTCACTGAAAATTATTATTGCATTCATACACTTAAGAAAGTGTTTGTCATTTATGCTCGATCACAGTCTGCCACACTGTTGTATGTATAGCTAACCTGCCAGATGGTCTTTGGGAGGCTTCTCCCTAGCACTAATGGGTAAACCACCTGTATCACACTTAATGTAACTATATTCTGGACAATGGTTTTCAAGGTTTTATATTCATTGAATCCTTTGTTAAAATAGAATAAATAATTACACGGAAACCTAAGTTGTTTTTTCCCCCTTAATTAAAAAAAAACAAAAAACAAAAAGCAGCCAGGTGTGGTGGCTCAAGCCTGTAATCCCAACACTTTGGAAGGCCGAGGCAGGCAGATCGCTTGAAACCAGTAGTTCAAGATCAGCCTGGGGCAACATGGCAAAACCCTGTCTCTACAAAAACTACGAAGAAAAATTAGCCAGGCATAATGGCGTGAGCCTGTAGTCCCAGCTACACAGGAGGCTGCGGTGCAAGGATCACTTGAGCCTGGGAGGTTGGGCTGCAATGAGCCATGATCACACCACTGCACTCTGGCCTAGGTGACAGAAAAAAACAAAACAAAACCCCCTAAACCAACAAAAAACCTGGAAGATATAAAAAAACAGGAATGACTGAAGTAGGGGGTGATGGTGGTGAGAAGGGGGGTGTCATGAGCCTGAAACCCCTTCTACGTGGACCCAGTGGAATTCTTCAGGACATCTCAGTGAACAGTTTAAAAACCATCCTCCATCTTGCATCTTGGTTCAATTTAAATTCCCAAACAATAACAAAAGCAATAAAAATAATAATAAAGAAAATTGAGGAAATTTACCATGCCATAGTTTACCTGCTGGAGAGCACTTGGTGACTGGGCAGTGTTATAAAAATTTGTCTGACCAGGCTGTTGTACTTGTCCAGAATAAAGATTTGAGGCCTGGGTAAGATTTGCTCTGGCCTAGAAAAAATTTTTTAAGAAAACATGAGTAAGACTGAAAAAAATTTCAAATTCAGAGGTGGAGATTATGACTTCAAAGCAATGTCTAGCAATTTTTAGTATTAGATAAATGAAAGGACTTTGTTTTTTTCATTGCATCTTCTAACATGTTTTCTTTTAAAAATGTTTCCTTAAAATGATCTGTGGCATAGGAATACAATGAGGGTGCATTGCTCTAGTCCCCTGACTTACCTGGAGAAGATGTGTGTCAATCAGCTGGGAACCTCCTAGTCCTGATGCCTGCCCCAGTTGATGTTCATACAATATAGGAATGGGCTGAGTATTTGATGTTTGCTGAAAGGCAAGACCGGATTGTGCCTTGGCAAGTTCTTGGTGTTGGACAGTTGGAAAGTTGTGAATAGCAGTACCAGAAAGGACCACAGATGGCTGGGATAAACTGCTTTGCATAAAAGCTGGCTGAGATCTACATAAGGATTAAAGAGAAAATATTGTTAGAAGTTAATTTCATCTGGAATCTGAAAATCTTAAGAATGCAAATCCCAAATGACCCAATACAGTCATGTGCTGCATGACATTTTAGTCAACAACAGACCACATATATATTGATGGTCCCATAAGATCATAAGGAAGCTGAAAAATTCCTATCACCTAGTGACATCATAGCTGTTCTAATATCATAGAACATATGACTCAAGTGTTTTTGCTGGTGCTAGTATTAAATATAAACAAACCTACTACACCTACAGTCCTAACAGTTCAGTACATACAGTTACATACAGTACATAATATCTGATACTGATAAAAAGAATTATGTTACTAGTTTATGTATTTACTATACATTTTCTGGTTATTTTAGAGTGTACTCTTTTTACTTAAAACTTATAAAACAGCTTCAGGTAGATCCTTTAGCGGGTATTCCAGAAGAAGGCATTGTTATCATAGGACATGACAGCTCTGTATGTGTTACTGCCCCTGAAGACCTCCCAGTGGGACAGGATGTGGAGGTAGATGAAAGTATATTGATGATCCTAGCCCTGCGTAGCCTAGCCTAATGTGTGTGTTTGCATCTTAGTTTTTAACAAAAAAGTTTAAAAAGTTAAAAAAAAATTAAAAAATTAAAAAACAGAAAAACGTTACAAAAGAAAAGGCCAGACATGGTGTTCATGCTCATAATCCCAGCACTTTGGGAGGCTGAGGTGAAAGGGCTGCTTGAGGCCAGGAATTTGAGACCAGCCTGGGCAAGAGAACAAGACATCATCTCTACAAAAAAATAAAAAATTAGGTGGGCATGGTAGCAAGTGCCTGTAGTCCTAGCTACTTGGGAAGCTGAGGCTGGACAATGGCTTGAGCTCAGGAGTTCGAGGTAGTGAGCTGTATGTGCCACTGCACTCCAGCCTGGGTGACACAGACCTTGTCTCAAAAAAACAAACAAAAAAAGAAATACTTCTGTGCAGATGTACAATGTGTTTGTGTTGTAAGCTAAATGTTATTATAAGAGTCAAAAAATTATAGTAAGTTGAGGTTAATTTATTATTGAAGAAAAATTTGTTTTTTTTTTTTTAACAAATTTAGTGTACCCACAGTGTAGTATAGAGTCCACAGTAGTGTACAGTAATATCACTCGCCACTCACTCACTGACTCACCTACAGCAACTGCCAGTCCTGCAAGCTCCATTCATGGTAAGTGCTCTATACATGGTACGTACCATTTTTAATCTTGTATGCTATATTTTTATTGTACCTTTTCTGTTTAGATTGTTTAGATTTCTATGTTTAGACACAAATATTTACCACTGTGTTACAACTGCCTACAGTATTAAGTACAGTAAAATGCTGCACGGGTTTATAGCCTAATTAGACACAATAGGCTGTACTCTACAGCCTAGGTGTATAGCTGCAGGCTATGCCACCTAGGTTCCTGTAGGTACACTCTATGATGTTTGAAAAAGGATGCATACTTCAGAATGTCTCCCCATCACTGATACTTGGATGCACTCTAATTAGCTCAGAAATCAAGAAAAGAGGCAGAGAATACAGACTGTGTCTAAAGCAACTTATTTCAAGATTTAAAGCCCTGTATACAAGGAAGCTTCACATGTAAAAGTTCTGTGAAAAGGCCTGTTCTCCCTAAGAAGTGGATTGCTCTTTCCTTTTGAACAGTGAGAATAATTCTCTTTTTGTGTTCACTACAAAGTTCAGAACAAAATCTCTTTTTCTCTTTGGCAACATTCTAATTCATAGCCCCAATAGCCCCAACTTTTCTTATTTGTATTTCATTACTTCCCCACATATATTTTTAATATAAATGGCCTAGCCTCAAGATCTCCATGGAATAAAGCACAGTAGTAGCTCATGTCAGAGTTACCCATGAAGATTAAGCAAGCAAACAAACAAACAAGAACATAAACCAAAACCAAACCAAGCCAAAACACACCCCCTCAAAACAAAACCACAATATGCCAGAATCTAACCCCAGACTTCCCTATCATCTGAGATGGATGCCTCCAGTCTACACTTTTAAGATGCAGAGATAAAGAATAAGCACCTAAATCAAAAGTAGTGGGTTAAAGAACATTATGCTTTGTTGCTTTGTTAAAACTGACCTATGTGGCAGGAACAAAAGCCACTAAGGAAGAATGCTAGTCTAGGATCATAGCAGTCTTTACAATACCTACTTATAATTTATGTTTCAAACACGAGGTAAGAAAACATGAATATACTGCTATAAACTATCCTGTCTTTGCAGAAACCAGTTCAGAGATTCCCTAATAAACACTATGCTGATTAGGTTAAGGAACAAGCAAGGAATGTTTAGGGATAAAATAACTGCTTTCAAAATCTAAACCTGTACTTTCCAATGTGGTAGCCAAGTGCCACAATTATATATGTGTCTTACATTTTATTTCTATTGACCACGTCTGGTCTTAAAAAGTATATCTTCCAAGACAATTAGTGAAATGGGGATTACAAATATAGTACATTGCTACTCCACCTCCCACGGCCTGTGGAAAACATTACTAATTAATCACTGTACTCTTTTTCACAGTACTGAAAAGCGGTTGCAAACTTTTCAACAGTGTTTCAAGCAGCCAATACAATTTAAAAGGAGACTGGCTTGTGAGATTAAATCTAGCTGCTATTCCTGTGTCAGAAATTTTCAAGTTTTATTTTTAATATAAATTCCAAGATAATCCCAAATTCAATACAAGACTTCCTTTAGCTTCTAGTTGGGGCTTCTAACGGGAGAAAATAACGAAATTAAATGAGAGTAAAATGAGGAGGGAAGACCTACAACAGCTATATAAGTAATGATACAGGTGTCTTAAATTTTACTAAAGCATCTTTAATCAAAAGGTAAAAATAAAAGCCACATTTATGAGGTTTACTAATGACTAGGCTCTCTGTTAAGAAAGTTTCATTAGCTGAACCTGGCTTCTCTAGGAGTATCATTATGGTAATATAAAACATACTGTATTAACTGATGACAGGTTTAATCTATAAAGTATAGAAATTCTATCTGAACCCACTTCTGAAAACAAATTCCTAAAAACAAATGCACAGCCTTCCTAAACTAAGTGTCCTGAATGTAACTTATTTTTCTTTATGATGATTTAAGGCCACCATCATGAGTATGGATGACAGCTATGCCATGATGCACTGCTCCTACTATCTGACTCTTACTCACTCTTCTTCCCTCATTAAACTGGAAACCAGAGACACTGAGGGTCTGCCACTTTATGTATAACCTCAGGTTAAAACAAAACAAAACAAAAAAAGCCTCACCCTCTTCAAGTCCTAACATCCACATGTTAAATGAGGGTGACTTATCTTAGGTGGTTGTGTGAAGACTAAATTTAGTTAATGTATGTGAAAGGCTGAATATCTATCATATATAAGGAAAGTTCAATAAAAATCAGTTTTCATTATTTCCCTAGTTGCAAAGGTAACTTACAGTGCATCTGAGTGAATTTTTGGAAAAAATGCTTTCTTCACTACACAGCATATTTATCATCATTACTTCCATGCTTTGATATTTACCCCTCTCTGTTCTGTTATATTCCACCCTGCCCTGCACCCCCTAACATGATGTAGTTAACTGCCATGCCTCAGCTCGTACATAGAGGAGATTCAGATTTATAGTTTTTGGTAGCCAGATGGCACACATACTTTTAGGTTCTTTAGCAGCTACTTTCTATAATTTCTAACAGTTTTGGGGTTGCTGTTGTTCACTACTTCAAGAGGGTTTGAAACCTGACATTCTTTAATAAGATATGGTTGAAATTACCAGAGGCTGAGGTTCATGACATATAATCAACATGCTCAATTAGCCAATGTAGTTTATAGCAGAGTCATCCTAGGTTTTTTTGGGAAGGAACAGTATGGATTACGGCAAGGAGGATCAGCAGTTACAATGTTTTCAACATCATTACAAACATAACTTTTAAAGCATTTACCTATATGGTTGAAGTGAGGAGCTGAACAATTCCTGAGCCTGGGAAACAGCAGGGCCAGCCCCCAAACTCAGTTGGGCTTGATGCTGCCCTTGCAGTGGTGCATAAATAGGGATTGGAATCTGCTGAACTGAAGTTGGCTGCAATGCATTGAGAAAGTATGTAAACATATATATCAACATCATACAGATAAATCATTAACACTGGAATATAAAAATTTGAGACATGAAAAGAGTAAAATTAATACTATATATCAGCTCCATTTTAAAACAAAACTGAATGTAAACATCTAAATTTCCCTTTCAACCCACTACTTATTCTACATTATTACTATTAAGCTTTGGTAAATTTGGGAAAAATTTTAAATTTTGCTTATAGAATATCAAGCTAATCGTGGGTAGCTTGTAATTTCAGAGTCTATTATTTATGTTCCAAGATAACTATTATAACCACAGAAATGCGAAGGAACAAATACAGGATGGAAGAAGTCTTTGATATTACCTGAGAGAGACCTGGTTGGAAACCCTGTTGTTGAGCCAAGGATGGCGGAGCCAATCGTGCATGTTGGGTATTGAATAAATGACTTGTGTCCATATAGAAGGCTGGGATTTGAGCTGTAGACCATCAGGATAAACAAGCAGTAGTAAGTGTCCTAATTTCAGAATTTTCCAAACAGTAAATAAAAACCAAGTTTTGTAGCAGATTCCAAATTAAGTGCACCCTCTGAAAATACAGCCATGGAAAAACTAAAAACGTGACAAGATGCAAATGTGAAAAGATGGAAAACTTCTAGTAGACAGGTACACACAAACATAACTAGTACTTGTGAAGGCATGAAAAAAAAATTTATATACCGCCAATGGGGTATAGATACGCAGATTTTGTCAGTGGTAAAATTTCACATAATCTACTAAAATTGAAAATGAATCTACCCATTGAACCAGCAATTCTACTCCAATTTTAAACCTACCTACTAGAATCTAGCAAAATATTTAGAGGATTGACATTTAATTTTAAAAGTTTGGTATAAATTTTAAACACATTTCTATGTATGATACATAATATTTGGTGACTTGCTGTTTTTTTTTGTTTTTGTTTTTTGTTTTGAAACAGTCTCGCTTTGTCACCCAGGCTGAAGTGCAGTGGCACGATTGATCCCAGCTCACTGCAACCTCCACCTCCCGGGTTCAAGCGATTCTTGTGCCTCAGCTACCTGAGCAGCTGAGTGTGCGCCACCACGCCCAACCAATTTTTGTATTTTTAGTAGAGACGTGGTTTCACCATGTTGGCCAGGTGGGTCTTGAACTGCTGGCCTCAACTGATCTGCCCGCCTCAGCCTCCCAAAGTGCTGGGATTACAGGCGTGAGCCACGGTGCCTAGCTGACTCGCTGTTTTTATATAGTAGTATGTTCTGCAGAACTCCACATATTATTACGACGAGACAGGGCCTCACTCCGCCAGGCTGGAGTGCAGTGGCATGATTATCACCTGGGTTCAAATGATTCTCTCACCTCAGCCTCCCAAGTAGCTGGAACTAGAGGCATGTGCCACCACATCCAGCTAATGTTTAAAATTTTTTGTAGAGATGGGTCTCACTATGTTGCTCGGGTTGGTCTTGAACTCCTAGGGTCAAGTAATCCTTCTGCCTTGGCCTCTCAAAGTGCTGGGATTATAGGTATGAGCCACCACACCCAGCCTATATATTGTTTTTAACTTGTCATTATTAGAAATAATACTGCAATGAATACCCTTACTTAATCTCTAATAGCTTAAATGTATCCATATGAGATTCCTAGTTATGAAACTGTTACTACAGTAAGTATGTACACTTATATTTTCCAAGACACTTTTAAAAAGAATTATGCCAATTTAGGCTGGGTGAGGTGGCTCATGCCTATAATTCCAGCACTTTGGGAGGCTGAGGCAGGAGGATCACTTGAGCTCAGGAGTTCGAGGCCAGCCTGGGCAACACGGTAAAACCCGTCTCTACCAAAAATGCAAAAAAAAAAAAAAAAAAGAAAAATTAGCTGGGTGTGGTGGTGTGCTCCTGTGGCCCCAGCTACTTGGGAGGCTGAGGTGAGAGGATCACTTGAACCTGGGAGGTGGAGGTGGCAGTAAGCCAAGACCGCGTCACTGCAATCCAGCCTGGGCAACAGAGCCAGACACCATCTCAAAAAAAAAAAAAAAAAAAAAAAATGCGAATTTAAATATTTACAGCAATGTACTTTAAGAGCCTTATGCTTAGCTGAAAGGGTAAGAAGAGACAAAAATAAGCATTTTAGTAAGTCTTCATTTTCTAAATTCCTTATATTCAAGCCTAAAAACATTACCTGCTGCAGACTGAGACACATAAACTTGCGGATTCTGTTGCTGCTGGGCAATAAGGGAAGGCATACAGCTTAACTGTGAAAAATGACTTGCAGAAGGCAGGCTGCTTGTCTGTAACTGCTGAGGTTTCACTTTACAAATATTTGGAGGGTCCGATGTGGTTGTAGATTTTGTGCTCAAAGAAGAGGTAGTGTATGTACCAGCTCCTATATTTGGGGAAGCAAATAAAGGGGAAAATAGAGCATATTTAAAAGTGTTGCTATTGTTCACAGTACCAACCAGAAACTGCAAAATTAATGTTTCTACCCATCACGTACTTATATACTGCTTCAGGCCAAAAGTAGATGAGGTAGCTTATAAAAGAAAAGGTAATTATCACCAAATGTAAATATGACTAGAAAATATGGAACAATAAACAACAGAAAATCAAAACAAGAAAGAAACAAAACACAAAATTAATAAAATGAGGCTGAGAGCCTATGTAACTGTTATAGTTTAGCCAGAAATGATTTGTTTTTTAATCATCACAAAGAATAGGATATATAATCAAGAGCTTCATTCACTTATGACCACAGATATAAGGACACAAAAGAGAAAAGTGCTATACCTTAGAAATAATTATGAATATACATGGGCCTTGAAAGATCTCAACTGGTCCTAAAATGTCACATAAACTTAAGGCTGGATTTCTCTCTCCTGCAAAAACTGGCACATGTTGAGGCCAGGAGTATAAGACCAGCCTGGGGAACATTGTAAGATCCTGTCTCTACACAAAATTAAAAAATTAGTTGGGCATGGTGGTGCCTGTAGTCGCAGCTACTTGGGAGGCTGAGATGGAAGGATTGCTTGAACCCAGGAGTTTGAGGCTGCAGTGAACAGTGATGACATCGCTGCACTCCAGCCTGAGCGACAGAGCAAGACATCAACTCTTAAAAAACAAAAAAAACCACACAACTCCAAAAACAACTAACCAAGAAACAAACAAAAACAAAACAAAACCACCTGGTATATAGTAATACCTTTAAAACAAATTAAATAAACTACTTAATAAGTAAATAGAATTATAAAACTTAGGTGTTAGGGTTAATTTGTTTTATTGATTAGTGAGCTATTATGACTTTAGTACTAGCCCAAAATGTCAATACTGGTATTTGATTAAAAAGTAATGTATAAGTTGTCATTATCTTCAGATGATGTTCCACCTGAGAGTGGACCAAAATTCAAGTGCTTCTATCCTTCTAGTGAATCATCTACCAGTAGGATGACTAGGCAATAAGGGCCTTGTTAAAAAAATTATCCTAGTCAAGCACAGTGGAGGAAATCTAGACCTGGGGAAACGGGTTAGTTGGGTTCCAAAGAAAGAACTAGGAACCATTATTTCCAGATCTTCCTACCATACTCTCCTGTTTCCTTTACACCACCTTCACTAACCCCCCCATCCCAAAGTGGACTGGGGCTCAAGCTAGTCTAGTAAACATAAGTGAAGATGCCTTGGCAAATGAGTGGTGGAGGAATGCTAGGAAGGGTTTTAAAGTGAAAAGAAATATAGTTGGAACACAGTTTGATTTAAAATGTTAATGCAGCGTAGAATCTCGGGAGTTTGTGTTAATATATACTTCTGATTACAGACAATATCAAAATAACTTGTATAAACCTAAGACCAGCTTTTTGGTACCTAAAAATAGCACGGTGGGCTGGAATACTAAAAAGCAATATTGAATGAGAACCAGTCAAACAAAGTAATTTATATCACTGGAAAGGAGCTTCCTACTGCTTTGGAAGCAGATAATACTGAGAAAGCTTGAAATTAAATTTTATTTTTTCAACAGAAGAAACTTGGTTCTACATATGGTAAAAGGAAAAGGGTGTACTTTTCTAGAGTCAAGCATTTTGGAAACATCTGTGTTTCTTTAAGAACCGTAAGGCCTCCAAATAATGAGATAGTTCAATGAAAAGATTACACACTAGTAAAAATTTAAGAAAATCTAAGGAAAAAGAGCAAGAAAAGCACCTTCTAACTTTGGGCACCAAAGGACTCTCCTAAAAAACAAAATAAAACAAAATCCAAACCAAACTAAAGCCAAATCCAATGAATTACATCACTCAAATAGCAGAGGCTGAAAATTCTCCATCCCTAAGTCTTTACCAGAAAATACGTTATCCCAACAGGTTTAGGCCAACAGCACCTTCAAATTAGATACAGATTGTCAAACATTTAAAAGAGGTGTGATTCTCTGTTCTTTTTGAGCTGATCTAGTTAGTTGTACATACATAAAAAATGACAATCAAAAGGTGAACTTCCTAGAAAAATTTAGAGGAAAATGACATTTTAAAAAGCAATTACTGGCCACATGTGGTGGCTCATGCCTGTAATCCCAGCACTTTGGGAGGCTGAGGTGGGAAGATTGAATATTACTATTTTCGGAGGGCTAGAGATAGTAAACAAGAAGAGATCATAAAAAATTTTAAATAATGTAAGATATTTAAAGAAACAGAACGAAAAAGTTCTACCTGATAGTGATGCTGTAGGAGTGACTGAAGCAACAGGAATCTGGGGCATGGATGCACTTGAGAACGAATTGTAATTAGCAGTGCTTGGTCCACTGGCACTACTGCTGACTCCAGTTGCAATTGGAGGTGCTGTGGAAGTTACTGGAGACCCCTTTTCCCTTACATTTGGAGAATTCTCCCATGCTTTGCGTGCAGACTCCATCTGCAATAAAACGGACATTTTATAGTAAAAAAATGATGTTAATACAGAATATACGTATGTATATACATGTATCAGTATTTAAGTGCCAAATATAATCTTTCAAAAACCACACACACACAAAGATATTTAAAGAAAATCTAAGACCCTAAGACCCTAGGGATTTCAGACTTTCCATTTGCCTCTTTATCTTTGCTCCATTACTCAAATTGGGAGTGTGAGAGTGTATCATTTAAACATGAGCCCTTATCCCTACCAGTGAATAAGGAAAGGCCTTCCCCCAGTAAATATCCATTCTCTCCATTCTTTCTTTTTACTCCAATGCTTCTTAAATGGCAAATGGCAGGCATCTTTTGGTTGGCTGCTTCATGCTCACAGTGTTTTAAAAGGCAAGGTAACAAGATAGGTTTTAGGCTTGGGTGCAATAGAAATGCTTTTGTTTCACATCCAGATCTCAAGCATTTCATGTACCACCAGATGTAACCATTTGCATTTATGACCCCTGGTTTCAGCTGTATTTTCTTCTCCTAGTTTCTTAAATGGCAGAAAATGGCCTTATTTCAATCTAGAGCAGCACTATTCAGTAGTTTTCAACAGATACATATCTAAATGCAAATCAAATATGTAATTTTAAATTTTCTAGTAGCTACATTTTAAAAAGTAAATACAAATAGATTATATATTTATTTTGAAAACATTTAATTCAACCCAATATTTATAATATTATAACTAAAACACTAATGAACATAAATTGATATTTTATAAGTTTTTTTAATATTAAAATTTCATATGCAGTATACATCCAACATAATCTATAAGATCCAGCTGCAATGACTTATGAGAGAGGAACTTTTTCAAGTAACATATTTAATATCACTGTTAGGAACTTTGTGAGTCCTTAAAGTATCAATTTCTAAAATTTTATTTTGGTTATAAGAATTTTGAGAAATAGAGGCCGGGTGCGGTGGCTCACCCCTGTAATCCCAGCACTTTGAGAGGCTGAGGCAGGCGGATCACGAGGTCAGAAGTTCGAGACCAGTCTGGCCAACATAGTGAAACCCTGTCTCTACTAAAAATACAAAAAAATTTAGCCGGGCGTGGTGTGCGCCTGTAAATCCAGCTACTCGGGAGGCTGAGGCAGGAGAATTGCGTGAACCCGGGAGGCAGAGGTTGCAGTGAGCCGAGATAGCGCCACTGCACTCCAGCCTGGGCGACAGAACGAGGCTCCAACTCAAAAAAAAAAAAAAAAAAAAAAAGAATTTTGAGACATAGTACATATTTTACCCTGCCTTCCTTTAAAAACACACTATTCATAATTTAACCTTTTCTTAAGACTAATTGTTATCATTAGATATTTAAAATACAGAACTTTTATATTTGAGAAAAATCTGAAATCTTTTCTTTTTCTCAAAATCACTTGGTTGATTTCAAATGTGTTTTATTTTAAAATAGAAGTCTTGGGGGAATTTAGGAAGTAAGCTAGAATATAATTTACCTGTACCATCTGAGATTTTGTGGTTTACGGCAAGTTGACAGAGTACAATGTCTTTTATGCCAATTTTGTTTTACTGGGAACATATAAATTAAGTTATAGCTAATCAAACTTACATAACATACAGGCCACAAGTTTGACTTGATTCCATTCCTTAAGCAGAAAGATAATTTGAAGTTTTTATTTTCGGAAATTCAGTGAAACTAAAAGTACAATTAGTTAATCATACTCATTTTTTTCATATTTTGTCAATGATGTCCATAAAAACTTAATGTCGTCAATAGGTTCTTGGAAACTGTGACTAAGCCCAACAATGTATAATCAATATTTTTTCTCATACACTTTAGAACAAGTGGCACTGAACCAAATGATGCTATTCTATGGATCCATCATACAGTTTTGCTTAAAGTTGCAGTTTTCATGAACCCACTGATAATAAGTAAGAATTTACTGTGTAATATAACTTTTCTATGCTTTATGTATTACTCCAACAAAAAGGAGATGGCAGAGGAAGTAAAAATAAAGAAATCAGAGGTTTTAAGCTAATGTAATTTGACTTAAATTTAATTCTCAATGTGTATATTTCTTCTTGGAATGTTAAAAACATGAGTGAAAGGCAAAGTTGAATAGGTATTCTAAAGAAATAAATACTGGCTTAAAAATAATTAAAGATGACATTATATTTGCTTATGTGAAATTAGATTATTTACCTTGCTAGTATAATGATAAAAACCATAAAAGTAAGACTAAGTAAGGAACACAGATTAAGACAGTCATTCAAGCCAAAAGACAACAGAAAAGGCTGAACAGGAATTGGCAGTAAAGACTAGGCAAAGACAGGGATGGCACAAAGCAGAAGCTGTTGTCTTATAAAATTTTATGATCTCAAACTTATATTTGTTAAGCCTCTTACAAAGAAGTTGGGCAGACAGGGGAAAAGATAAGGGGACAAAAGTAATATGAGTCCAAAATGAATATTGGCCACACTGTAGAACAACAAAGTTCCTGTGACCCCAACTGAAGATCATCAAAGAGATTGTCAACCAGTGCAACATCAGGAAGCCCTACTATATTAGAGATTAAGAACTTCCCTGGATTATGAACAAAGAACATCAATGAGATAAATAGACTTAAAAAAAATCTTCCCTTGGCCAGGTGTGGTGGTTCCCACCTGTAATTCCAATACTTTGGGAGGCTGAGGCAGGTGGATCGCTGGAGCCCAGAGTTCAAAACCAACCTGGGCAACATGGCAAAACCCCATCTCTATTTAAAAAAAATTTTTTTTTAAATTAAAAAAAACCTCCTTTAATTCCATGTTTGCACTTTTTTAAACTACTGACTACTCCAAAGACGAACTGATTTAAAATACTCTCAAACAACACAACTGTAAAAAATCATTAACATAGCTCAAAATTATAATAGATTAAAAAAAAAGGCCAAAACATTTTGACATCAAAAAGCGCTGAATCTCTTTTGTCCTCTTATTAAATAATTATCCAAAAAAAATCAACTGAAAATCTTCTGACATCATCTATAAAGCATACTTGTCAATTATCTTCCCATAAAATAATCATACAGTGTTCATTCAATTCACACATAACTTACAGGGAAGACAAACAACATTCTTACTATTATCAGTACTTAATATTTTGGTAACAATCATAAAAACATGAAATAATTAAGATTTTATTTTTTGTATACAAACCCATATATCCAAAAATTATTAAGATCTCTGGGAGGAACTTAACACAAACATGGAAAAATACTCTCCTGTATTTTTAAGACAAAATTCACAAGCATAATAGGCCTCACTTTAAATATGAGGATATCACGTCACCACTTAGTGGTATCAGAAGCTAATAAAACTGTAAGGTATAATTTGACAGCACTCTATTTCCTCAGCTTAGTATTGTTGCTTACCACATAAATCTAGTAAAAATACCCCACGAATATTGTTAACTTATGTCCCCTTGCATGCAACAATTAAGGACTCTTAGAGATGGATGTTGTACATACCTTGAAGGTGAGGCTGAAAGTAGTGGGAGGAACTGAAGTTAGGCTGGAGCTCTGTTGTATAGTCTCCCTCTTAGGGAGGGGAAGGGTGTTGGGCAGGGGCACCTGAAAAGGTAGGCAACACATATCACAATCTAACTATGTGTCTACTACGAAAGCCCCATTAAAGACAATGCTAAGGTGTTCTAAGGGTAGTGTTTATTTTTCATCAGAGCTAACAGAAATATGTGATTACTTAAGAGTCACATTGTGTTTATAGTAGTTGGTAATTAAGGATACCTCAGATAAAACTTCTGAAGGGAAATTATTATCTGCCTTTTTATACGTTAAGTTGGCAGAAAGAGAGTCTGCACCAGATATAAGGTGTATACTCAGAAGGCAGTGCTTCTCATATTTTAATATGTACATAAATCACCTGAGGATGCTGATAAAAAGCAGATTTTGATTCAATTGGTCTATGTTAAGGCCTGAAATGCTGGGTTTCAAACAAGTTGCCAGGTGATGCTGATGGTGCTGGTCTACAGGCTGCATACTGTGTAGCAAAGCTCTAAGGAATAAAACCTTCACCATATATCTACAGGTTCCACCAGAAGTATTTAACATGACAGCAAAAATATAAAAAATTAATCTCTTTCCTGCAATATGGTTAACTTTTATAACAAGATTCAAGAACAAAAGTAATCTTGGGAAGAAAGTATGGACTGTTAGCACCATCTCATTACAATAAAACTGTTCTGCTATAGTAATAATTATGGCAAATATTGTTAGAAACTTTAAGATATTAGAAACTCACTGCCTTTATCTCTGGATCTTGGGACTTTATTATGTATTACGTTTTGGATGGTTCGTTCAGTTGTTCAGGAAAAATAACTGGGATGCTTGAGAGTTTTAAGATAATCACTTTGTGATACTATGGACTACCTAATGGAGATTCTTTCATACATGTTGAAAGCAGCTGTGCTATGATAATCCAAAAGGCCACCTGCATTTAATCTTCAAGACATTCAAGATACAAGATGATTGTACTACTGAGTAATACTAACCAACATGTATCAGTTAAGACCATAAAAAAGTGTATTAAGCCCCAATAAGAGAAATAAGCCATTTTCAAGTATAATTAAGAAAGACAAAAGTTCTATGTGCAAAATGGAACCCCCAAACAGACAAGTGAAAGAAAAAAGGACATCTCAAGAGGTCCTAAATTTTTTCCCATGAAGGACATTCGTTTTTAACTCTACATTGAGTTCAGAATCACCAACACACTTGGCACAAGTAAGCAACACCATGAAATCCTTTCAAACTGATGACCATTTATAATGCTCCCTAACCCAAACTGATCTTTCTGCTTTCAAACATACCCTGGCTACACTGCTAACAACTGCATGCAGACTATTCACCTATATATGAGGCTGGGTCTGTTGTCTCCAGTAGTTACCAGTATATAAGTCGCTCCATTAATTAGCCTTACAGATCACACAGAAACCATCAAAATGCTCATCTGGATATTTTCAATGAATTTTAAGGGTTCTGAGAATAATAATTTTTTCTTCCTTATTTTATATATTTTATAAATCATATTTTCAGAGGGTAGTTTCGCAAAAAGCATCATATACTTTAAAAACCACTATCGTAGAAATATTCTGTATTTTTTAAAAATGAGAAAAGACACAAAGTATAATTAAACTTTATTGAGATCTTACTGATTGAATATTTCATAATCTAGACAGTGATATCACAGCACTTAAACTGAAAGGAAGTCTTTTCCTCCTTCCCAAGTCTTCCATTATTTTTCACAGGAGGTATAAGGAGTTAAAAAAAGAAAAAAAAAACCATATATATATATATATATTTAAACCACTTTCATAAAAGTGGGGGGTGGGTGGGAGGAAAGTTGAACAAATCACATTAATCAGCTCCTAGAGAGCTCTCAACACCAAGAAAAAATATGTGACTCACTCCTTTCTATTCCTTTTCTCAGCTACATATTTAGTACAGTCCTTCAGCTGAACTACAAAAATTGGATTAAGTGACCCCTAATGCAGCTCACCTTTCTAAAATTCCATATACTTGATGCTAGAGGGAAGAATAGAAAGCATAGAAAAAAAGTAAGAAGATAATAAAGATTTTTATAACTCAAAATGATAGTTAAAGCTCTTTGTGACAGACCTTTAAATATTTATCTGTAAAGGATTTTTTTAAAAAAAGGATGATCAACATTTTAGTCTGATAGCCTTTACTTATTACAGAAGGCTATATTTAAAACAGAGAGCACTAACCAAATTTCCATCATACCTCTCTCCAAAATAAGGACCATGCAAGTAACTTTTAAAATGTTCTTCTAAATAAATGACACTGTATAACTATGGCAAGCTACCTAATGTTTCTGGGCTAACAATTTTTCATCTATCAGACAGTGAGCTAAGCAAAATGATGAACTGTACAGACTTTTAACACAACCTTGAATTATATTAGTAACATGGTTGCTCTGGAAAACTAGGTCCTAAGTTACAACATGACTTAACATCACCTTATATTAGAGCATATCAGAGTGTTTGGCGTACTTATGTATACAATACAATATAGCTCAATCTACACAACAAGAATGTTGTTAACACGCTGGTATTTTTTCTTTTTTAAAGACATACTTGATTCTTTGGGAATTCTATAGTTGTCTTTTAATTCTAATTTTAGTTATCTTAAATAAGTTGGGTTTCACTGAATTATAAAAAGGTTTTATGTAAGAACAAAATCACCAACCGTTCATGTTAAATTTGTAAATGTGAGAGCTAAAACAACTTCTTACCAATACCAGGTTAATAAGATTAGTATTTACACGAAACCAAGCCTACGCACCACAAACCTTCATCTTAAATGGAAAGCAGATGGCTTTCAGAGGAAAAATAAAAAACTCAGCTTTGACTATTTTTGCTAATTATATTACAGTACTCCTAAACACAAATTTACTATCAACTCTTTCCCTGAGTTAAATATTGATCACTACAGTAAATAAAACATGAAATAATGTGCTTGATAATAATAGCCAGGTTCCAATCCAAACTTGCCACATCTCAAACTGATTACTTACATTATTAACCAAAGTATCCTCCATCTTTGTATTATTAGTAGCCACGGTGTTAGGCAAAGAAGAAGAGGGTGTAGTATAGTCTGTTACAGACTCCTGTGAAGTAGTAATAGAAAAAAAATACATTTTAAACTGAATTAATTGCTCACTTCTTCCTCTTTTTTTTGAGTCTCGCTATCATGCAGGCTGGAGTGCAGTGGCATGATCTCAGCTCACTGCAACCTCTGCCTTCCAGGCTCAAGTGATTCTTGTGCCTGAGTCACTGAAGTAGCTGGGATTACAGGCGTGCGCCACCATGACATTAATTTTTGTATTTTTAGTAGAGATGGGGTTTCACCATGTTGGCCAGGCTGGTCTCGAACTCCTGGCCTTAAGTGATCTGCCTGCCTCAGCCCACCAAAGTGCTGAGATTACTGGCATGAGCCACCACGCCTGGCCAAATTGCTCACTTTCTAATGATAGCCTAATAGTTGTAAAGTTGTTCTGGAAGAAAGCAGGGGAAGAGAGCAGACTTTAAGACTCAACTCACTCAATCAACTAACAATGGAATAATACAACATGGACTCACGATCAAAATGATAGCATTTCAACTACTACTGCATTCTTGTACATTTAGTACTAGGAGACTGTCAACAGTACCAAATATTTATTTCTGTAGGTTATTAAAAGAATCTTTTGTGTGTTTCCCACATTCATTCTTAGCTTACTATCAATTACCAAGATCTTAGTTGTTGCAATTACTCAGGTTTTAGGGTACACTCCTTGTTTCCTGTCACAAATCTCATTTTGAAATATGGCAGAGTAGGACCACATAAGCTATTACTTATATGAATTCAGCTGTATGGCAATTAAAAAGAGACTAATATTCAGATAATATAAAAAATTGCATGTAACTTTTTCTCAGAGTTTATGTCCCAGAGTCAATATAAAATCGCAGATATGTTTGCTATTCCCATGAGTGTCTGTTCCCATGGTCAATCAACATATCTTGTCTTAATGAGCATTTTTAGATACACGTTTCATTCAATGTGGCCCCTAAATGTGAGTCAACAGCCTCCAGTGTTCAACCAAAGAAACAGTAATCTGTTCCAACTATGAAAAAAAACTGGCTATACTGGAGTTAGTAAAAGTCTGCCTTATTTCCTGACTTTAGAATGTCACCAGTGGGCAAGATAAAGCTCTACTGTAATTCTATTTATATTAAAAGTGATATAGAGCCATCTTTCAAAGTATTCAGATTTTGTATAGATGTTTTTCACTTTAAGCTACTCAAATAGTCCAGAATTCAGAGTAAATTTCCTCAAAAAGAAATATAATTTGCTATAAAGAACTTCTTTAGATTACATATGCAAATCATGAAACAAAATCTTCTTTGCGGAAATAATCTATAGAGTTATATGCCTCAGCAGGAAAAAAAAAAGCAGACTGTTGCTGTTCTTCTCGTTCATTTTAGACATGGCTTGCATCTGTTGAACTGGTAATCCCTACATGTGGCTTACCTTTGCATTAGTACCATATTCTGCAGATGATACCGAGATCATTGTTCCTATTTCAGTAGACATTTCTGAGACTGCTTTAGTCTCCTTTGTCGTGACAGGATCTGTGCTTCTGACTGTAGCTGGGCTTGGTTTCTCTTGTCCTTCTGGCTCCACCTGTTGGGCATCTTTTACTTTTCTATTTTTTAATGAACGTTCCTTTCCAATGGGACCAGGTTTGTGTTCTTTGTTTTCTACTGGACTCAAATCTGGAAGCTAAAGTCAAATGTTTATGATAAAACTATGTTTATGATAGATGAGTATCTTTCATCATTGCACCATGATCAAAGATATTCATTAAAATTAAGTTCACTTTTAAAAGTATTATTTGCTCTTCATGTCAGTGGCCTTCATAAAATTTTATCTGGATTATAAAGTATATTTACCTTCTGGGCTTTGATAGGTCCTGCTCGTGGCTGCTTCTGCCGCTGTTCTTTAGGTTCAGGTATTTTGTCAGCAGATTTTTCCGAAAGCACAGGAACAACTTCATTTTCATTTCCATTTGAGGCTGGAGCACCAAACTGAATTGTGTCAGTTCCAATTTCGAGTCCACTTTCTTGACCATTCTTCGCTCCCTAGTAAAAGAATATTTTAAAACTTGCTTGCAAAGTATAGTTCAGATGTGACTGATTTATGAAGCACTATACAGTTTAAGTACAATAGAAGGTTTAAGACAATCTACATATTAACTGAGACCGACATTAATTATATTTTAGGATAATTTTCTCTTAACTGTTGTTTGTCTGTACTAGAAAACAACTGATAAGATGAAACTAGCACAAGACTTAAGTTTTTAAAGTCCTGGCTCTCATGAGTGTGATCATGGGCAAAGCACAGCTTCAAGTTGTTTCCTCATTTAAAACAAACGTAAAAGCAACACACAAAGACACCACTACCAACAAACAGATGAATACACTGGAAATAAAAGACAGTAATAAGTGTCACCTGCTTCTCAGAAGTCTGCTTTGAAAATGAAATTTAAGAAATATAATAAAAACTTTGTGATTGGTAACATAGAGCAAACATCTAAGCAATCAATCCACCAATTAAACAGTTAATTTGGGCCGGGTATGGTGGCTCATGCCTGTAATCCCAGCACTCTGGGAGGCCTAGGTGGGCGGATGATGAGGTCAGGAGTTTGAGACCAGCCTGACCAACATGGTGAAACTCTGTCTCTACTAAAAATACAAAAACTAGCAGGGCTTGGTGGCATGTGCCTGTAATCGCAGCTACTCAGGAGGCTGATGCAGGAGAATCGCTTGAACCCGGGAGGTGGACGTTGCAGTGAGCCTAGGTTGCGCCACTGCACTCCAGCCTGGGTGACAAAGCGAGACCTGTCTCAAAAACAAACAAACCAACCCAGCTAATTTGTTGAGCATCTTCTTTGTGCTAATCAGATGTGCTAATCAGTCTAATTGCACAATTTGCATTCTAGCAGGTGAAGCAAATAAAGAACTGAAAAGTCAGATAAGGAATCTGCAAAAGCAAAATAGGGTTAAGAGACCAGCTACTAGACTGGTAGACAGAGAAAGCCCCTGAGGAGGACACACTGACATTGAATCTAGAAGACAAGATCAGTGGAAAGAGTTTAGGGAGACCACATACCTAGGGTAAAGGTCAAGAACAAAAAAAGGTCAGTGAGGCTGAAGCATAGCAGGTATGGGGAACAGTTGTAGAAACAGACAAGCAGATTAGGTGACCTAGGGCTTTGTTACAACAATTAATCTTTTCATGAAAAGACAAACATAAAAAGCAAAACTAGGGTCAAAATTCAACTAAAGCTTGTTTTAATAATTGAATCACTACTCCATGTCATTTTTGGCATTCCTAAACCTAGCATGGTCAATTACTACATAAGGTTAATGTTATATCTACCCGGATATAATGTCAAGAGTATGAACAACGCATGCAATTCAGATTTACTTTTAATATTTAAATAGTCACCTTCAAATACAGTCATGTGCCATATAATGGTGATGTTTAGCCAATGATGGACCACATATACAAGGGTGGTTCCATAAAATTATAATATCGTATTTTTACTGTACCTTTTCTATGCTTAGAAACACAAATACTTATCATTGTGTTACAACTGCCTACGGTATTCAGTGTAGTAATAAGCTGTATAGGTTTGTAGCCTAGAAGCCATAGGCTATACCATCTAGGTTTGTGTAAGTAGACTCTATGATGTTCACACAATGACCCATTTCTCAGGACGTATCTCTGTTGTTAAGCAAAGCATGAATGTATTGGAAAATACTGATGCACATTAGAATAAAAATTTCTTTGCTTTAGTCAATGTTGAAATTCTACAGTCAGTTAAATGTAAGTGTACAGTAGTATTAGAAAAGAAAATAATGCAGTAAGTAGACTGTGAAGGCTATTAACTGTATATACAAAAATGTTAAGAACTTGTACATATTTAAATGAGTAGAAAAATAACTGTCAAGTTAATGACTGTTAGAGAATGTTATATCCTTTGAAATGAAAGTGTTTATGAAATATACATAACACAAAGAATGATAAAAGCTTAGACAATATTATAATATCAAGTCTTTGTAAGGCTAGTTGGTGTAACTAACGTTGATAACTTTAAGTAAAATAATCATTAAGAGTTCTATTTCACTAGAATAATCTAAGAAAAAGTCCATTAGGGAATTCTTTCCATCCTATGAAATGTCAACTTTGCTAATACAAAATTTCTTCATGAGGAAAAACTCCAAAATAATGTATGACATTCACAAAAAATCATCTTCCATCCAGAAAACATAAAGAACACAAAGACAATGAAGAAAAAGGTATGAGAGAAAAATGAGACACCAATAAAATATCTTGCTCCACCACTGACTGAAGGTAAGCGTAAACACCCATTTATCACTGTAAACTTGTAGAATGCCTGCAAGAAAAATCTTGTGGTTGGGAAACAAACTTCCACTCTTTCCTTCATACCAGCATGAAAAATCCTGAAATGCTCTCTATGACTAATCATGATGCTAATACCAACAGGCAAAGGAAAAATTATTAAACTGAGACTCTTAAATATTGAATGCAGTGACTCTTGAGTTTTAGAGTTCTCTGAAGAATCTGTAACATCAAAACAGATGATGAAGCCTACTCTAGACCTACTAAGTCAGAAAACTGGAGTGGAGACAGAAGTAGCAGGAAGACTTCTTTAAAGAAAAAAAAATCTTTTAGCACCTATAGGCTATACAAAAATTAAAATCTCAACTATATCTTCTTTACTGCCCCATTTTTTTCTGTACTCCTTTATAGCAAAATGACGTTCAAGTTCTTTATACAGTTGGCTCTCCTTATTTGCAGGTTCCACATCTGTAGATTCAACCCAGTATGGATGGAAAATATTCAGAAAAAAATTATAAATGGTTGTCAGTGCTATACAAGAACAGACTGTTCTTTCTTGTCATTATTCCCTAAATAATATGGTATAACAACAATTTACATAGCATTTACATTGTATTAGGTATATAATTAATCTAGAGATGATTTAAAGTACACAGGGAGGTTATGCATAGGTTACATGCAAATACTGCTTCATTTTATATGAGACTTGAGCATCCCTGGGTTTTGGTTTCTATGGTGGTGAGAACCAATCTCTACAGATGTGGAGAGAAAATGGTACTCATCTTTCCTTTCATTTCCTCTTAAACTCACTCTTTCATCCAGGCTTTCATCCCTACTACTCCACCAATAATGTTCTTATCAAAGTCATCAGTGACCATCATGTAACTCTATCAATTGAACACCTATATTACTTGACCTACCAGCAGCCATCTGACACACTTAATCTATCCCTTCTTTGAACTTATCTTTCACTTGACTTTTAGGATACTTCTCTAATCACTTAGCTTCTCTAATTCCTACATTTCCTGGAGTCAGAAAGCCCCAAGACTTAATTTTTGATTCTCTTTCCTAACTACTCTCATTCTCCCTTGGTAACCTTATACCATTCCATCACTTTAAACATCATCTATATGCTAATGACTTCAAATTCATTATCTTCAAACTAGATGAACTCTTCTGAACTACAGACTCATATCCAACTACATTTCCACTCAGAGGCATAATAAGCATCTTAAATCTAACATGTCAAAAACTGTCCAATCTCAGTTACTGAAAATTCTAGTATTTCCTACTGTTCAACCCAAAAACTTTGGAGCTAACTTTGACTCCTCTGTCCCTTCTCATACTCCATTTAACACTTTAGTAAATCTTGTCAGCTCAATCTTCAAAATACTCAGAAACCAACTATTTCTCATGACCTTTCATGCCACTTCCCAGGTTTTAAGCTATCATCATTCAATTATTGTAATATCGTAACTTCTACTCTTGCCACCTATGAATTATTTTTCACAGACAACCCAGAATAATTTGAAAAGTCAGATCCTGTTGCTCCTTGCTCAAAACCCTTCAGTGTCTTCCCACCTCTTCCATAGGCCCTACAGGATCCACCTGCTACTCAGGTGTGACTTCCAACTTCATCTATTCTCTTTCCATCTCTTACTTCATTCCAGCTACATGGACTTCCCTGAACTTCCTCAAACAAACCAAGTGTGCTCCTGTCTCATGGCATTCATATTTGCTATTATCTGAACCTGGAATCTCTTTTCCTCAGACATTTGAATAGCATACTCTCTTATATCCTTCAAGTCTTTAACTCAAGCATTATCTAAGTAGGCTTTCGTGGTCACCCTATATTAAACTGTCTTTGTGAACCTTGGAAAATTCCTTATGTACCTTTCCTGCTTCGTTTTTCTCCACAGTGCTGATCACGATGTTTTTTTATTAGTGGTTTCTCCTCACAGGACAATGGAAGTCCCATGACAGTAGGGCTTTTTGACTGTTTTTAGTCCCAGTTTTGTAAGCCCGCAGGTTAGAACACTACCTAGAATACTGTGAGTGCTTAGTAAATGTTCATTCAATGAATGAATGAAGAATCACTGACCCCCAACAGTCATTTACCAATATCACATTTGAGAAATTATGTTAGAATAACTATCTGCTATAAACAGTTTCTAAATACTTATACTACTTAAGTCCTCAAGATAGAAACATGGGAGAAAAGTCCAGAAAACAATAATTGCACTTTTATTTTCTGTTTCATTAAGATCTTTCTTGAGACTAAATTGAAAATAAGTGTTTAATGTCTAAAAGTGAGACACACCTTATAAATGTAAAGATGTAGCAGCAAGAGTATCACTTGGGAAATTGTTAGCATTTATTCAAACCTCAACCCAGACCTAATAAGTCATGAACTATGGACATGGGGCTCAGCAATCTGTTTTAATTGCCCTCCAAGTTAATTCTGAGGCATGCTATAAGCATTGTTTTGCTTTCCAGGTGGGGTCTTGCTCTATCACCTAGGCTGGAGTACAGTGGCACAGTTATGACTTTACTGTAGCCTTGACCTCCCAGGCTCAAGTGACAGTCCAACCTCAGCTCCAGAGTAGCTGAGACTACAAGCACATGCCACCACAACTGGCTATTTTTTATTCTGTATGTAGAGACAGGGTCTTCCTACATTGCCCAGGCGGGTCTCACTATGTTGCCCAGGCTGGTCTCAAACTCCCGGACTCAAGTAACCCTCCCACCACGCTAGGATTACAGGTGTAAGCCACCACACCCGGCCACACTGAAGTATTAGGGAAAATCCAGCACACCTATGCTGTTAAAAGCCTATTCTTACCTCTGATGAAGGAGCTGATCCAAACGATGTTAAGGGCTTATTCCATGCACTGACTGAAGGTGGCTGTGGTGGACTAATGGGACCTACTGGAAAGAAGAAGCCATAAAAAACATGATTAAGATTTAGAGTCTAATAATCTCTAACCCATTTAACCCTTTCCTTAATCTCCTACTGTGTAGCTATTACTAGCCAGGGAATAAAACAATCACTTTTCAAATCAGACTTACAAAGATTATTATGTATCAACATACAGGCATACCCCAGAAACATTGTGGGTTCAGTTCCAGACCACTGCAATAAAGCAAGTATTGCAATAAAGCAAATCACACTAATTTTCTGGTTTCCAAGTGCATATCAAAAGTTATGTTTACATTATACTACAGTCTAATAGGTAATAGCATCATGTCTTAAAAAAGATGTATACTTTTTAATTTTAAAAAAACTACCGCTAAAAAGGAAGCTAATCATCATCTTAGCCTTTGAATTGTACTTTTTTTGCTGGTGGAATCTTGCCAGTGGAGATGTTGATGGCTGCTAACTGACTAGGATGGTGTTTGCTGAAAGCTAGCATGGCTGTGGCAGTTACTTAAAATAAGACAACAATGAAGTCTGTAACATCAACTGACTATTCCTTTCATGAATTCTCTGTAGCATGTGATACTGTTTACCCATATGGTAGAACTTCTTTCAAAACTGGAGTCAAATCCCATTGTTTAATCAACTAAGTTTATGTAATATTCTAGATCCTTTGCTGTCATTTCAACAATGTCCACAGCATCTTCACCAGGAGATTCCATCACAAAAAACAACTTTCTTTGCGTCAGAGTTATTTCCTCCACTGATGTCTTGAATTCCTCCAAGTCATCCATGAGGGTTACAATCAACTTCTTCCAAACCCCTGTTAATGTTGATATTCTGACATCCTCCCATGAATCACTAATGTTCTTAAAGGAGTCTAGAATGGTAAATCCTTTCCACATGGTTTTCAAATTTCTTTGCCCAGATCCATCAGAAGAATCACTGTGTATGGAGGTTGCAGCCTTAGAAAATGTATTTCTTAAATAACAAGTCTTGAAAGTCAAAATACTCCTTGATCCATGGGCTGCAGAATGGATGCCATGTTGGAAGGCATGAAAACAACATAAATCTTCCTGTATATCTTCATCACAACTCTAGGGTGACTAGGTGCCCTGTCAACAAGCTTATATTTTGAAGGAAAGCTTTTGAGCATTTTTCCCCCTGAGCAGTAGGTCTCAACAGTGGGCTTAAAAATAATAGGTATGGGCCAGGCATGGTGGCTCACACCTGTAATCCCAGCACTTTGGGAGGCCGAGGTGGGTGGATCACCTGAAGTCAGGGGTTCGAGACCAGCCTGGCCAACATGGCAAAACCCCGTCTCTATGAAAAATACAAAATTAGCCAGGCATGGTGACGTGTGCCTGTAGTCCCAGATACTCAGGAGGCTGAGGCAGGGGAATTGCTTGAATCCGGGAGGCGGAGGTTGCAGTGAGCTGAGATTGAGCCACTGCACTCCAGCCTAGGTGACAAGAGTGAAACTGTCTCAAAAAAAAAAAAAAAAAAAAAAAAAAAAAAACAAACTTGGTATGCCATTTTGTAAACAGATGTGATGTCATCTAGGCTTTGTTGTTCCATTTCTAGAGTACAGGCAGAACAGATTTAGCATAATTTTTAAGGGCTCTAGGATTTCAAACATGGTAAATGAGCAGGGGCTTCAGCTTCAAGTCATCAGATACATTAGCCCCTAACAAGAGAGTTAGCCTGTCCTTTTAAGTCAGGCATTGACTTCTCTCTAGCCATGAAAGGCCCAGATGGCATCTCCTTCCAACAGAAGGCTGCTTCATCTACGTTAAAAATTTATTATTTAATGTAGCCACCTTCATCCATTATCTCAGTTTTGGATCTTCTGGATAACTTGCTGCTTTGCCTTGCACTTTAATGTGATAGAGGTGGTTGCTTTCCTTAAACTTCCTGAACCAACCACTGCTAGGTTCAAACTTTTCTTTGGCAGCTGCCTCACCTCTCTCAGGCATCACAGAATTGAATAGAGATAGAACACTTGCTTTGGATTAGGCTTTGGGTTAAGGGAATGTTGTGTCTGGATTGACCTGCTATCCAGACCACTATAACTTTGTATCAGCAATAAGACTGTTTTACTTTCTTATCATTAGTGTTGATTACTGAAGTAGCACTTAACTTTTGACCTATCTTGGCTTTTACCATGCCTTCTTCAATAAGCTTAGTCGTTCCCAGCTTTTGATTTAAAGTGAGACGTACGTGACTCTTCCATCCACTTGAACACTTAGAAGCCACCAGAGAGTTATTAATCGGCCTAATTTCAACATTGTTGTGTTCTTAAAGAATAGGGAGGTCCAGGAGAGGTAGATATCAGGGAACAGCTGGTCAATGGAGTGGTCAGAACACACAAAACATTTATCAATTAAGTTCACTATCTTATTTGGGTGTTCATGGTACCCTGAAACAATTACAATATCAAAGATAACTGACCACCATAACAGATAAATGATGAAAAATTTGACATATTGCAAGAATGACCAAAATGTGACACAGAACATGAAATGACCACATGCTGTTGGAAAAATGACACCAGAAGACTTGCTTGACAGTTACCATGAACTTTTAATTTTTAAAAATGCAGTGTCCACAAACTGTAATCAAATGAGATATGCATGTACAAGACCCCCCCAAACATTGCCTATTATTTTCTCATCAACACAAAATTATTTCCATAAAATATAATATGCTTGTTAAACATGCTTAAAACAAAAATTTTAAGAAAGTTGAGAGGATTACTATTACTTTTTCCTACAATAAAAAATGAGATGGCTAGAAAACACTTAAAGAGTATATAAATAAAATTGAAAAGAAACCTCAGTATTCCTATGCCATTCCCCACCCCTCACTTCTCTTTTGCAACTTACATTTCTTAGAGATATCATTCAGCACAGCTGGTGGGGCCACCTTGTTATCCCATAATTCAGCTGTCAGAGTGCCATGTGACTGTGGGGTCTGGATGGATTTTCCTGAGGCTACATAATCTGTGCCATTAGGTGTTTGAGCTGAAGGCAGCCTAATTGATGGTGGTGGTTGTTTTGAAGACTGAGATGTAGTCTGTAGTGGATTCTGGACTGGTTTGTGGGTCTGTGCCTGAGTCTGGGCTGGGGCAGGTGGGGCAGGATTTGGGGCTGAGACTGGGGTAGGGGCTGGGGCTGGGGCTGAAGCTGAGGCAGGGGCAAGTGGGACTGAGGCAGTTGGGGCTGAGGCTGGGATAGTTGGTGCTGTGATGACTGGGGCAGCTGGGGAAGAGGCTGCTGGGGCTGGCGTTGGAGCTGAAGTTGATGCTAGGGCTGAAGCAAGAATGGGAATTGAGGCTGAGGCAAGAATGGTGACAGAAGCTGGGGTTGAAACTGAGGCAAGGATGGGGGTTGGAGCTGGGGCTGAGGCTGGAGCTGAAGAAGAGGTTATAGCTGCAGCTGAAGTAGAGGCTGGAACTGAAGCTGAGACTGAGGCTGAGGCTGAAACTGGAGCTAAGGGTGAGGCTGGAACTGGAGCTGAGGTTGAGGCCAGAACTGGAGCTAAAGTTGAGGCTGGAACCGGAGCTGAGGTTGAGGCTGGAACTGGAGTTAAGGTTGCCGGAAGTGGAGCTGAGGTTGAGGCTGGAACTGAAGCTGAGGTTGAAGGTGGAAGTGGAGCCGAAGCTAGAGGTGGAACTGAGGCTGAAGACTGTGCTTGCTGGATCCCTGTAGCCTGTTTTTTGGCAAATCTTGGAGGAAGCTTAGAAGTCTGGCTTCTTCCTTTTTCATTTGCATTCTTTTTGTTCCAGACCTTAAAAAATTAACGGGGACCATTTTTGTCAATAATGCAGCTGAATGCAACAGTTCATAAATGCAACTTTTAACAACTCCCACTAACTTGGCTCCTTTACTTTTCAAAATAGGTACTCAAACCACAAAATGTCAGGGTTGCTAATAAGATTTTGAATGATGAGAAGCCAAAATGATATTGAGACAAAAGACAAATAGGTATTGTACATTCTTGACATACAGGTACATAATTCTGAAATTCAAGAACTAAGAAATTTTGCAGTAAATTCACTGGCAGCAAAACTTACCTGAGCTAACAAAATGCTACTCACAGTCTTAACTCATATATTTGCCACAGGCATTAATTTGGGCAGTGTGGCTGGTACGTTATGATATAGGGTAGATGCACAACTATTTTACCTTTCTAAATAAATGACTTCTGAAAATTTGGTTCCAAAGGTTATAGGCAATTAAATGAATAATTTACCTTGATTCATTCTGTGTATTTAAATGAACTAATATAAATTACAATAGATACTTTTGTAGGCCAGGAATCCAAAATCTACTGGTTCGTGATATTTGTGTTCATTAGCTTTCCAAGATAATTTAAAATCAACTCAACTTTGCCTTGGGGCAAATAAGGTGTCCCTAGCATACGATATGTTGTTAAAGTAAAGATGGTCTTGAGGAAGTAGTCGTTGCCATTCCAAGACAGCTGAATAGGAACAGCTCCAGTCTGCAGCTCCCAGTGTGATTGACGCAGAAGACGGGTGATTTCTGCACTTCCAAATGAGATACCTGGTTCATCTCACTGGGACTGGTTGGACAGTGGGTGCAGCCCACGGAGGGTGAGCCAAAGCAGGGCAGGGCATTGCCTCACCCAGGAAGCACAAGGGGTGGGGGGATTTCTCTTTCCTAGCCAAGGGAAGTCATGACAGACTGTACCTGGAAAATCGGGACTCCCGCCCTAATACTGCACTTTTCCAACGGTCTTAGCAAACGGCACACCAGGAGATTATATCCCACGCCTGGCTCGGCAGGTCCCACGCCCATAGAGCCTTGCTCACTGCTAGCGCAGCAGTCCGAGATCAAACTGCAAGGTGGCAGCCTGGCTGGGGGAGTGGTGTCCACCATTGCTGAGGCTTGAGTAGGTAAACAAAGCAACTGGGAAGCTTGAACTGCGGGGAGCCCACCGCAGTTCAATGAGGCCTGCCTGACTCTGTAGACTCTGTATGCTCTGGGGGCAGGGCATAGCTGAACAAAAGGCAGCAGAAACTTCTGCAAACTTAAAAGTCCCTGTCTGACTGCTCTGAAGAGGGCAGTGGTTCTCCCAGCACGGTGTTTGAGCTCTGAGAAGAGACAGACTGCCTCCTCAAGTGGGTCCCTGGCCCTGTGTAGCCTAACTGGGAGACCGAGGCTTCCAGAGGAAGGATCAGGCAGCAATATTTGCTGTTCTGCAATATTTGCTGTTCTGCAGCCTCTGCTGGTGATACCCAGGCAGTGGACCTCCAGCAAATTCCAACAGACCTGCAGCTGAGGGACCTGGCTGTTAGAAGGAAAACTAACAAACAGAAAGGAATAGCATCAACATCAACAAAAAGGACATCCACACCAAAACCCCATCTGTAGGTCACCATCATCAAAGACCAAAGGTAAATAAAACCACAAAGCTGGGGAGAAACCAGAGCAGAAAAGGTGAAAATTCTAAAAACCAGAGCAACTCTTCTCCTCCAAATGACCACAGCTCCTCGCCAGCAACGGAACAAAGCTAGACAGAGAATGACTTTGACAAGTTGATAGAAGTAGGCTTCAGAAGGTTGGTAATAACAAACTTCTCTGAGCTAAAGGAGGACGTTCAAACCCATCACAAGGAAACTAAAAACCTTGAAAAAAGATTAGACGAATGGCTAACTAGAATAAACAGTGTAGAAAAGACCTTAAATGACCTGATGGAGCTGAAAACCATGGCACGAGAGCTACGTGACACATGCCCAAGCTTCAGTAGCCGATTCGATCAAGTGGAAGAAAGTGTATCAGTGACTGAAGATCAAATAAATGAAATGAAGCGAGAAGAGAAGTTTAGAGAAAAAAGAGTAAAAAGAAACGAACAAAGCCTCCAAGAAATATGGGACTATGTGAAAAGACCAAATCTACATTTGATTAGTGTACCTGAAAGTGACGGGGAGAATGGAACCAAGTTGGAAAACATTCTTCCGGATATTATCCAGGAGAACTTCCCCAACCTAGCAAGGCAGGCTAACATTCAAATTCAGGAAACACGGAGAACACCACAAAGATACTCCTCGAGAAGAGTAACCCCAAGACACATAATTGTCAGATTCACCAAGGTTGAAATGAAGGAAAAAATATTAAGCGCAGCCAGAGAGAAAGGTCAGGTTACCCTCAAAGGGAAGCCCATCAGACTAACAGCTGATCTCTCGGCAGAAACTCTATAAGCCAGAAGAGAGTGGGGGCCAATATTCAACATTCTTAAAGAAAAGAATTTTCAACCCAGAATTTCATATGCAGCCAAACTAAGCTTCGTAAGTGAAGGAGAAATAAAATCCTTTACAGACAAGCAAATGCTGAGAGATTTTGTCAACACCAGGCCTGCCTTACAAGAGCTCCTGACACTAAACATGGAAAGCAAGAACCAGTACTAGTCACTGCAAAAACATGCCAAATTGTAAAGACCATCAATGCTAGGAAGAAACTGCATCAATTAACGGGCAAAACAACCAGCTAACATCATAATGACAGGATCAAATTCACACATAACAATATTAACCTTAAATGTAAATGGGCTAAATGCCCCAATTAAAAGACACAGACTGGCAAATTGGATAAAGAGTCAAGACTCATCAATGTGCTGTATTCAGGAGACCCATCTCACGTACAGAGACAGAGATAGGCTCAAAACAAAGGGATGGAGGAAGATCTACTAAGCAAATGGAAAACAAAAAAAGCAGGGGTTGCAATCCTAGTCTCTGATAAAACAGACTTTAAACCAACAAAGATCAAAAGAGACAAAGAAGACCATTACATAACGGTAAAGGGATCAATTCAACAAGAAGAGGTAACTATTCTAAATATATATGCACCCAATACAGGAGCATATATATTCATTTAAGCAACTCCTTAGAGACCTACAAAGAGACTTAGACTCCCACACAATACTAATGGGAGACTTTAACACCCCATTGTCAATATTAGACAGATCAATGAGACAGAAGGTTAACAAGGATATCCAGGACTTGAACTCAGCTCTGCAACAAGCAGACCTAATAGACATCTACAGAACTCTCCACCCCAAATCAACAGAATATACATTCTTCTCACTATCACATCACACTTATTCCAAAACTGACCAAATAGTTGGAAGTAAGCACTCCTCACCAAATGTAAAAGAACAGAAATCACAACAAACTGTCTCTCAGACCACAGTGCAATCAAATTAGAACTCAGGATTAAGAAACTCACTCAAAACCACACAACTACATGGAAACTGAACAACCTGCTCCTAAATGACTACTGGATAAATAACAGAATGAAGGTAGAAATAAAGATGTTCATTGAAACCAAAGAGAACAAAGACACAACATACCAGAATCTCTGGGACACACTTAAAACAGTGTGTAGAGGGAAATTTATAGCACTAAGTGCCCAAAAGAGAAAGCAGGAAAGATCTGAAATTGATACCCTAACATCACAATTAAAACAACTAGAGAAGCAAGAGCAAACACATTCAAAAGCTAGCAGAAGGCAAGAAATAACTAAGATCAGAGCAGAACTGAAGGAGATAGAGACACAAAGAAACCCTTCAAAAAAAAAAATCAATGAATCTAGGAGCTGGTTTTTTGAAAAGATCAATAAAATTGACAGACCGCTAGCAAGACTAATAAAGAAGAAAAGAGAGAAGAATCAAATAGACGCAATAAAAATTGATAAAGGGGATATCACCACCAATCCCACGGAAATACAAACTACCATCACAGAATACTACAAACACCTCTACGCACATAAACTGGAAAATCTAGAAGAAATGGATAAATTCCTCGACACACACACCCTCCCAAGACTAAACCAGGAAGAAGTTGAATCCCTGAATAGACCAGTAACAGGCTCTGAAATTGAGGCAATAATTAACAGCCTACCAACCAAAAAAAGTCCAGGGCCAGACAGATTCAGAGCTGAATTCTACCAGAGGTACAAAGAGGAGCCGGTACCATTCCTTCTGAAACTGTTCCAATCAACAGAAAAAGAGGGAATCCTCCCTAACTCATTTTATGAGGCCAGCATCATCCTGATACCAAAACCTGGCAGACACAATGAAAATAGAGAATTTTAGACCAATATCCCTGATGAACATTGATGCAAAAATCCTCAATAAAATACTGGTCAACCAAATCCAGCAGCACATCAGAAAGCTTATCCACCAAGATCAACTTGGCTTCATCCCTAGGATGCAAGGCTGATTCAACATATGCAAATCAATAAACATTATCCATCACATAAACAGAACCAAAGACAAAAACCACATGATTATCTCAATAGATGCAGAAAAGGCCTTCGACAAAATTCAATAGCACTTCATACTAAAAACTCTCAATAAACTAGGTATCAATGGAACTTGTCTCAAAATAATAAGAGCTACTTATGACAAACCCACAGCCAATATCACACTGAATGGGCAAAAACTGGAAGCATTCTCTTTGAAAACTGGCACAAGACAGGGATGCCCTCTCTTAACACTCCTATTCAGCATAGTGTTGGAAGTTCTGGCTAGGGCAATCAGGGAAGAGAAATAAATAAAGGATATTCAATTAGGAAAAGAGGAAGTCAAATTGTCCCTGTTTGCAGATGACATGACTGTATATTTAGAAAACCCCATCGTCTCAGCCCAAAATCTCCTTAAGCTGATAAACAACTTCAGCAAAGTCTCAGAATATAAAATCAATGTGCAAAAATCACAAGTATTCCTATACACCAATAACAGACAAACAGAGAGCCAAATCATGAGTGAACTCCCATTCACAATTGCTTCAAAGAGAATAAAATACCTAGGAATCCAACTTACAAGGGATGTGAAGGACCTCTTCAAGAAGAACTAGAAACCACTGCTCAACAAAATAAAAGAGAACACAAACAAATGGAAGAACATTCCATGCTCATGGATAGAAAGAATCAGTATCGTAAAAACGGCCATACTGCCCAAGGTAATTTACAGATTCAATGCCATCTCCATCAAGCTACCAATGACTTTCTTCACAGAATTGGAAAAAACTACTTTAAAGTTCATATGGAACCAAAAAAGAGCCCGCATTGCCAAGATAATCCTAAACAAAAAGAACAAAGCTGGAGGCATCATGCTACCTGACTTCAAACTACACTACAAGTCTACAGTAACCAAAACAGCATGGTACTGGTACCAAAACAGAGATACAGACCAATGGAACAGAACAGAGGCCTCAGAAATAACACCACCCATCTACAACCATCTGATTTTTGGCAAACCTGACAAAAACAAGAAATGGAGAAAGGATTCCCTATTTAATAAATGGTGCTGGGAAAACTGGCTAGCCATATGTAGAAAGCTGAAACTGGATCCCTTCCTTACACCTTATACAAAAACTAATTCAAGATGGATTAAAGACTTAAATGTTAGACCTAAAACGATAAAAACCCTAGAAGAAAACCTAGGCCATACCATTCAGGATATAGGCATGGGAAAGGACTTGGTGACTAAAATACCAAAAGCAATGGCAACAAAAGCCAAAACAGACAAAAGGGATCTAATTAAACTAAAGAGCTTCTGCACAGCAAAAGAAACTACCATCAGAGTGAACAGGCAACCTACAGAATGGGAGAAAATTTTTGCAATCTACTCATCTGACAAAGGGCTAATATCCAGAATCTACAATGAACTTAAATTTACAAGAAAAAATCAAACAACCCCATCAAAAAGTGGGCAAAGGATATGAACAGACACTTTTCAAAAGAAGACATATACGCAGCCAGCAGACACATGAAAAAATGATCATCATCACTGGTCAGAGAAATGCAAATCAAAACCACAATAAGATACCATCTCACACCAGTTAGAATGGCAATCATTAAAAAGTCAGGAAACAACAGGTGCTGGAGAGGACGTGGAGAAATAGGAATGCTTTTACACTGCTGGTGGGAGTGTAAACTAGTTCAACCATTGTGGAAGACAGTGTGGTGATTCCTCAAGGATCTAGAACTAGACATACCATTTGCCCCAGCGATCCCATTACTGGGTATATACCCAAAGGATTATAAATCATGCTACTATAAAGACACATGCACACGTATATTTATCGTGGCACTATTCACAATAGCAAAGACTTGGAACCAATCCAAATGTCCATCAATGATAGACTGGATTAAGAAAATGTGGCACATATACACCATGGAATACTATGCAGCCATAAAAAAGGATGAGTTCATGTCCTTTGCAGGGACATGGATGAAGCTGGAAACCATCATTCTGAGCAAACTATTGCAAGGACAGAAAACCAAACACCTCATGTTCTCACTCATAGGTAGGAACTGAACAACGAGAACACTTGCACACAGGGCAGGGAACATCACACACCTGGGCCTGTTGTGGGATGGGGGGAGGGGGGAGGGATAGCATTAGGAGAAATACCTAGTGTAAACGATGAGTTAATGGGTGCAGCACACCAACATAGCACATGTATACATATGTAACAAACCTGCATGTTGTGCACATGTACCCTAGAACTTACAGTATTTAAAAAAAAAAAAAAAGATGGTCTTTGCTGTAAGTCAAAATATAAGGAGCTACAGTCCTTATATTTTATTTAAAATTTCCTTTGATTCTGGTCAAAATGATTAAAAGTTGGGAAGATGATGTCACTTTTAACACTTGAATAATGAAAACAGCCTTGACAAGTATAAAAACCTTGAACATTTGCTGATACACTTTGGGCAACAAATCTAGATAACTAGCAACAAGTTGAAACAAGATTTAAACCTGTATGACTTGTTCTTCCTTCTTTCGGCGTTCTTCATCCTGTAAACGTTTTTGTTGTTTTTTGGATACCACTTCAGTAAAACCATCATCATTCAAATTTGACTGGGGATCTTCAATTACTGTTACTTCAGGATGATCATCAATTATAACAACACCTGTGGGTGTGGGAAAGGATTTAAGATATTTTCTGTTTTTCAAATGAAAATTAATAAAAATGTTTAGTACAGTAGTACTTAAAAAAAAAAAAAAAACTAGCCAAAGGCCTAGTTCCTATAACTTATAGTGTATAACCTATTTCTCACCCTATTGCATGGCCATTCATTGTAAAGATCTGAAAAGATTTCATACTCTTAAAGTTGAAAATAAAAATCCTAAAACTGGCCAGGTGCAGTGGCTCACGTCTGTAATCCCAGCACTTTTGGAGGCCGAGATGGGCATACTGCTTGAGGCCGGAAGTTTGAGACCAGCCTGGCCAACATGGCAAAACTCTGTCTCTACTAAAAATACAAAAATTAGATGTGTGTGGTGGTATATACCTGTAGTCCCAGATACTCAGGAGGCTGAAGCACAAGAATCACTTGAACCTGGGAGGTGGAAGTTGCAATGAGCTGAGACCGTGCCACTGCATTCCAGCCTGGGTGACAGAGTGCGACTCTGTCCAAAAAATCCTAAAAATACCTGTTTTGAATGATATAGGTCTTTTTTCTTTTCCTTAAGTAATATAGAAGTAATGCCTTAAAAAAGAAAAAAAATCAAAATTATCCTATGACCTAACCTCCATCTCTTAGCCTCAGACTGTATAGTGCTTTAAAAGATCTACAAAGCATTCTACCTCATTTGCATCTAACCATTCTAAGAGGTGGCTGTTACTATTATTTCTCCTTTTCAAAAAATGAAATAAATTGGCTTAGTGCTGTGGCACATGCCTGTAGTATCAGCATAATGGGAGGCCAAAGTGGGAGGACCATTTCAGGCCAACAGTTTCACACCAGCCTGGGCAACATGGGGAGACCTTGTCTCTACTTTAAAAACAAACACATAAATAAATAAATAATGTTTTAAAAAATGAAATAAACTGATTTGTTTAAGGTAAGATGACCAGCCTAGCTGGTCTTATGACTCTTAATGTCTCTGTTTTATGTAGACCCTTGTCTACAGTGTGGAGTTGTTAAAAATAAATATATGTTATGGGCAACACAGTGAAACCCTGTCTCTACAAAAAATGCAAAAATTAGCTGGCGCATGCCTGTGGTCCCAGCTACTTGGCAGGCTGAGGTAGGAGAATCACTTCAGTTGGGGAGGTTGAGACTGCAATGAGCTGAGATCAAGCCACTGCACTCCAGCCTGGGAGAGCAAGACCCTGTCTCAATAAATAAAGAAATGAATAAGTTAATTAATTAAAATAAATGTGTAAGCTGTGTGTGAATGTAAGATGGCATAGGTGAACACATACCAGAATCATCTAGGTGATGAACAACTCAAGATCATTTTTTAACTTATTTTCCAACTAACCAATTATTTTGGCTATCTTAAAATTACCCTATATCCCAGTCAGTATGTGAAATATAAATCCATCAAATAATATTTCCAAGAAAAATTAAATTACCTCAGGTGATGTAATTTTTTATTATAGGTATAATGTCTGAATAATAAGTATCAAGAAAGAGTGAAGCAATTTAAAGAAATTATTTAATTTTCAAACAATATACCATGTTTTAATTGGAAATTACATATACAATAAAAATATTTTTCTTGGAAACGATAAGTATACAATTCAGGATGGTGATAACTTGTTAGGTACAGCAACAAGGGAAGGTGATACTTGTTAGCTATGGCAACATAGGTATGATCAAGGAAGTGGTCACAGAGAAACTATCTACAAACATTTCTTCTAAAATAGTTAAAACTTAGCATTAACATACTCTGAGAGATGAAATGAAAAATGAATACTGGCTTTCACTCCTTAGAAACTGGCTGGGCATGGTGGTTCACACCTGTAATCCCAGCACTTTGGGAGGCCAAGGAAGGCGGATAACATGAGGTCAGGAGTTCCTGACTAGCCTGGCTAACATGGTAAAAAACCCTCTCTCTACTAAAAATACAAAAAATTAGCTGGGAATAGTGGTGCGCGCCTGTAGTCCCACCTATTCAGAAGGTTGAGGTAGGAGAATCGCTTGAACCTGGGAGGCAGAGGTTGCAGTGAGCCGAGATCACGCCACTGTACTCCAGCTTGGGTGACAGGGCGAGACATTACCATTATTCCATTTTTCTAATAGAAACTTGATTTCAGCCAGGCACGGTGGCTCATGCCTTTAATCCCAGCACTTTGGGAGGCCAAGGTGGGCGGATCACTTGAAGTCAGGAGTTTGAGAGCTGCCTGGCCAACATGGCGAAACCCTCTACTAAAGTCGCTACTAAAAATACAAAAAATTAGCTGGGCATGGTGGCATGTGCCTGTAATCCTAACTATTAAGGAGGCTGAGGCAGGAGAATCACTTGAACCGAGGAGGTAGAGGTTGCAGTGAGCTGAGATTACACCACCGCCTTCCAGCCTGGGGGACAGAGCAAGACTGTGTCTCAAAAAAAAAAAAAAACAAAAAAAAAAAAGAAGGGAAACTTGATTTCAAAAGAAAAAAACCCAGTTTATTCTGATTTATAAAACACTTCTACTTGTTTTTAAAATCCTTTTAAAAATCATTAACTCTGTAAAATGAAGCATATTCTCATTTCCATGAAAGGTCTAAGTCAAACATTTCAAAGGATGTCATGCACACATTACTTCAGACTGATGGAAAGACCTCATCATAATTCTAATTTCATCTCAGTTTTTCACTTACACTAAAATGTGTGTGTGTAAAGCCTATCTTATTATTTCAACTTCCTTAGTTCACCCAACTACATGTAGCATTTATGGAAAATTCGAACACTACTTTTTAGTTTCCAATGTCCTCTTCTTTTTAACATTTTAGGTTAGAGATATTACTTAAAAACAGTGTTACCAGGAAAAAGAACTAAAGACGACTAACTCTTAAAGATAACTTTAATGAGTTGAAATGAATAGCTTAATTTCTATCACCACTTCAGAAATATATATAGTTTTTATCTGTTTTTACTGTCTTTTTTGTTTTGTTTTGTTTTTACAGGCATGCACCACCATGCCTGGCTAATTTTGTATTTTTAGAGACAAGGTTTCTCCATGTTGGTCAGGCTGGTCTCAAACTCCCAACCTCAGGTGATCCGCCCACCTCAGCCTCCCAAAGTGCTGGGATGACAGGCCTGGGCCACTGCCCTGGGCCTATTATGTCTTAATATAGCAATATTATGGCTGGGCGTGGTGGCTCATGCCCGTAATCCCAGCACTTTGGGAGGCCAAGGTGGGTGGATGGCTTAAGCTCAGGAGTTCCGGACCGACCTGGACAACATGGCGAAAACCCATTTCTACAAACAAAAATAATAATAATAATAATAATAAATTAGCTGGGCATGGTGGCTCATGCTTGTACTCCCAGCTACTCGGGAAGCTGAGGCTGGGGAATCGCTTGACGTCTGGGATGCAGATGTTGCAGTGAGCCGAGATTGCATCACTGTACACCAGCCTGGGCAACAGAGTAAGTCTCTGTCTCAAAACAAACAAACAAACAAACAAATGAAGAATTTGCATTGCTCACAAATTTCCAGGTAATGCTGATGATGTGGGGACCACACTTTGAGAACCACTGGTCAAAAAATAATGTCCATGAGCTGTGCTCAAATCAGAGCTTAATATGTACAAATAACAATTAGGCAGATGAAAGAAAAACCTCATCTATATCTCTTATACTAGAATAACTGCAACTAACCCAACTTTCCTATTACTACTATTATTACCACTATTGAGCTATCTGGTCTTAACTTAGTAAATCTCTCAATTTTATTCAGTATTTCCAGTTTCATCCAAATGAATGGCAAATAGTACATTTTACATGTACAATGTCTATACACAGATATTCCTTGTCTGTTTTTTCTTCATCCAATATTTTCTTGTTGCTTGTATTATCCTTCATATTTGATCCTCTATTACTTCATGGCTTTCCTATTTATCCACAGTGACACTGCCTCTCGTCCTATTATTTATTCTGTATTTGCCACATCTTAGACACCAATTTTACCAAGGACATAATTATTGAGTTTAACATTTAGTTCCTTTTGTTTTTAATAATACATCTATACCAATATAACTAAGAATCAAATTTCTGTGCTTTCTCAAATCTGGCAAAGTAGAGTGGTTACTGAATTTTCTTCCTCTTTTTTGGAAGAACAGTGCAATGCTGTTGGATTATTTTTAACAAAAATTTTATTAAGCATTCAAGGCTACGCTAAAAGCTGGAGTTATTTTAGTTTAAGTTCAATCAGTTAGTGTTTCATAATCAGCCACTATGTATACCTTGAATGTCCAAATCTTTCCTTCTTGGAAAACTTCTTTAATTGTGGCATCTACATTTTAAAATGTAGCAAATAAATAAATAAATAAATAAATAAATAAATAAATAAAATGAAAGAAACCTAAGACATACTTGCATAATTGTTGAGATCAAACTGTGATAGAGCATCCACTTTCTCTTTTGGTTTTTTAGGGCCTGGTTTGGGGTCTTCTCTTTTTTTCCCAGTAGAATCTTTGGAGTTCTTTTGTCCTGTACCATTAGGTACTCCTTCCTGATGGTGTGCAGAGCTGCCATTGATGAGGTCAACCCCAGTTGTGCCTGCAGGCTGGTCATCAAATGGCCTACAAAAAAATAACTTGAGATATTACTATTTCCACCTACCCAAACAAAAGAAAAATGCTCTTATTGGCAGTTTCTAAAGTTCATTCTAAGATGAAACACTGTTGGGATAGAAAACTCTTAACTGTAACCAAACAAGCATTAGTAACTTTTGTTCAGCACAACCTTACTAAAACCGGGTTTCCCAAGAAAGTAGACTAGCTCCCTAGAGTTCTTTCCAGCAATTAAATTCTAGAATTCTAGTTATACCAGAAGTTCTTAGAGTCTATTTGTCTATCATATTATAAATGAGCTAATTAACACTGTTTATAGCAGAAAATTTCTGTGATCCAAGCAAGTTCAAAGTATTCACAAATGGATGCTCTCCAAAAGTGGGCAGCATATGAAAACAAAAATTTTTAAAAAGCATTCTATATTTACAACTATGTACATTTAAAAAAATGTAATCAGATTTACACATTGATATAATTATTTAAAAAACTTTAATATGGAAATAATTCACTTCACAAACCAAATGTATCCCCTACAGTTCTTAATAGTTCTTATTTCCTAAAAGAATAATTTCAGGTTGTTTTTTTAAATTTCCAAGTGAAAATGATCATGGGAAATGGGTTTACTAATTCATTTGCATCTTAGCCTATAGTATTACTCAAGATAAAAGCTTACCAGGTCCCTGGTCATAACCTGAAACATTTTAAGAATGAGTTCATTTCTTCTATATGGTGCTCTTATAAAAAACATTTAATTATAATCGTCACTGCCATTTCTACAGGTTCAAAGTTGTTGTTATCTATCTATGTGGCACAAAAATCTTGCTACATAGTTGAGATTTACATGGCACAAAAATCTTATCAAAATTTTCCCTGAGTATTGTTACTTAAAATTCTAATAGTTTGGTTACGGGAAATAAACTATTCTGTTTATTTTGGTTATCCTGATTCTCTTGGAATTTTAAGGGAATGTTCAAATTCCAAGTAAAAATTTCCTTTTTCTAAATTATCTGGAACAGCAAACTAATGCTGTGATTTGAACATATCCCTCAAAAGTTCATGTGTTGGGCCACGTGCAGTGGCTCACACCTGTAATCCCAGCACTTTGGGAGGCCGAGGTGGGCAGATCACCTGAGGTCAGGAGTTCGAGACCAGCCTGGCAAACATGGCGAATCCCTGTCTCTTCTAAAAATACAAAAATTAGCCGGGCATGGTAGTGTACGCCTGTAATCCCAGCTACTAGAGAGGCTGAGCCAGGAGAAATGCTTGAACCCAGCGGGGTGGAGGTTGCAGTGAGCAGAGATTGCGCCACTGCACTCCAGCCTGGGTGACAGAGTGAGACTCCGTCCCTCACCCACGCCCTCAATAAAAAAAAAAAAGTTCATGTGTTGGAAACTTGGTCCCTAATGGCAATGCAGCAGTGGTGAGAGGTGAGAACTTTGGAAGGTGATTATGTCATGAGGGCTCTGCCCTTCTGAATGGATTGATTGATCCTTAACAGGTTAATGAATGGGTTATCAAGGGAGTTGGTTAGTTACCATGAACGGGTCTGTTATAAAAGCCAGTTGTGCCATCTCTTGTGAGCCCCCTCACCATGTGATAAGCATGCTGCCTTGGGACTCTGCAGAGTCTCTACCAACAAGAAGGCCCTCATGAGATGTCGCCCCCTCAACCTTCGACTTTGCAGCCAACAGATTTGCAAGAAATACATTTCTTTTCTTTATAAATTACCAGATCTCAGGTATTTAGTTATATCAACAGAAAATAGACAAATATACCTTATGGGTATAGTAATCTGAAGTGCTAAGTATGTAAAACTAAGGAACTCAGATTAATACCATACAGTCCAAATAAATTCTTAAATTCTTATCAGCTCAGGCTGCAAACCTGGCAATTGCTCTAAAAGCAGGGCACACATAATAATGATTACTTACTATATACCAGGTATTAAGTGCATCACAAGTATCATCTTAGTATCTTCACACATTAAGTGCTATTATTTTCTCCCCATTTTAGCGGTGAGGAAGCAAAGGGGAAGCAACTAGAAAGTACTAGAGCCGAGATTTGAACCTAGGCATTCTGAATCTTAACTGCTACGTTATAATGCTAACACTAAATAAATAAATCAATACTAGCTTACTATAACCAACTTTTTTTTTTTTTTTTTTGAGACGGAGTCTCGCTCTGTGGCCCAGGCTGGAATGCAGTGGCACAATCTCGGCTCATTGCAAGCTCCACTCCCAGTGGCGCCTGCCACCACACCTGGCTAATTTTTTGTATTTTTAGTAGAGGACGGGGTTTCACTGTGTTAGCCAGGATGGTCTCGATATCCTGACCTTGTGACCCGCCCAACTTGGCCTCCCAAAGTGCTGGGATTACAGGAGCCACCGCACCAGGCCCAACATCTGAATAGTTAAAAAAACAGGCCAAGCAACAGGTGCAGTGGCTCACACCTGTAATCTCAGCACTTTGGGAGGCCGAGGCGGGTGGATCACGAGGTCAGGATATCGAGACCATCCTGGCTAACACAGTGAAACCCCGTCTCTACTAAAAATACAAAAAATTAACCAGGCATGGTGGTGGGCACCTGTAGTCCCAGCTACTTGGGAGGCTGAGGCAGGAGAATGGCATGAACCCTGGAGGTGGAGCTTGCAGTGAGCCGAGATCACGCCACTGCACTCCAGCCTGGGTGACAAGGCGAGACTCCATCTCAACAACAACAACAAAAAACAGGCCAAGTTTAGCTTACTTGAGAAAAAATATTTTTTTAAAAAAATCCATTGCCATGGCAATTATGTTATTGGTGTCCTTGGTAGTAGAACAGGGATTTGTTTTCTGGGCCTCTCTCTAGAGTGACAAAGTATATGGTTATAACATTAATTTAAATCTCAGAGGACACCTGTGTAGCATTAGAGGTTTATTAGGAGAAACTGAGAAAGAAGGGAGGGCTACTCATCAGATAACTTACCAAATAAGGACACAGTACATGTCCCTCCTTAGATGTGAACATTTTCCCAAAGCTACAAGTTTCCAAGAGAACTCTTCTGGAAAATGTAACGTAGCAGGCAAAGACTCCTAAGACACCTTAACCTCTCTTCCTTAAGCACCCTTACACTTTGAGAACAGAGAATAAAGCATTTGGGAAGAACAATGTTTTTTGGTCCTTTATCTAGACTGGCTCTTTGCATAATTCAACCAAGAACTCTACTTTTAGCTTCTTTAAAGGTGCAAAAGCAACTATATTTAAAACAAAGTACTCACCCTCTCTTCCCACTTTTTGATGGTGGGCCACTTCTCCTTTCATTTCTAGGACCTGAGAAATTCCTTCCTGATTTGGGTGGACCATTGTTGCCACGTCGATTCTGACGATCTACTGGTCTCTGACTAGAAAAACTTCTCTTTGCAATTTCCCTCTTTGGAGGTAGAACATTCTCTCCAACCTTTACAACTGTTTGTGCATTCAAGTCAGCATTTTTTTTTTCATCCCTCTCTCGCCTCTCATTGAAATCACTGCTTTCAGAAGCTGTTTCCCATTCTTCATTTGCCTGATCTGAAGAGTTCTGATTAGATAAATCTGGTGTCTTATTCCCGGAAATATCCCCAAGAGTATTAACTGGTTCTTGAGCCACATTATTAACTGTGCCATTTGTGGGCACTGCTACCACCTCATTTGATTTTGAAGCAGCCTCCCTCTCTCTTAGCCGTCTAAATCGAGGTGGCTTGTCTTGCCTTGGTGGTCGAGTAGGACGCTGCCTTCGAGGCCTTTCTCTAGCTGGGTCAAATTTTCGCTCAAATTTTGGAGGTCGTTTATCTGCTGCTATAGGAATAAACTGCTCATGTCTTCTTGGCGGCTCTCCATCTTCTGGTTTAGGAACTTCTGACTGCCTTGGGTTCCACTGATTGTCCCGATAAGCTGGTCTTCGTAAAGTGGAAGGGCGTGATGGACGGCCTCCAGGATCCCTTCCACCACGCCTGAATGTTCCCCCTCTGCCTCTCCTTGTAGGCTCTCCTTTAGGAAGAAAGCCTGGTTTAGCTTTATCGTCATCCCTTACATAAGGCTTTTCTAGCAGTCTATTATCTATTCGAACATGATTATCAGGCTTGAAAGAAGAATGAGGCTTTACAGGTTTTTTGTTTTCAGGCCGTTCCTCTCTTTTGGGAAGTTTGCCTTTACTTAAACTGTCCTTGTCACTTGCACTTTCATGAATTTCACTGTCTGTGTCAGTCTCTGAACCCCGCTGTCGTCTTCTTTTGGGGACAACTTCAAAATCAGAGCTCTCACTCCGTGTTTCACTTTCTTCTCGCTGTCTGAGAGGCCCTGAGGGTATATGCTCTGCTCTTGGCTTATTGTCTCTATACTGAGGATAATCTCGAGTGTGTCCCCTACCACCCCTGCCACGCCCTCCATAAGAACCTCTATAGCTTCGACCTCTGGAGTAATATTCACCTCGGCCTCGACCTCTGTATCCTTGATCTGGAAACCAATCTCTCTCTCTAGCTTCTTTCCAATAGGTCCTGGGAGGCAAAGTTGATTCTTTTTTAACTGCTGGTCTTGAATCTGGTCGAGGCCTCTCTATAACAAGGTCTTTGCTGATGACTTTCTCAGGTTGTTTTTCTTCTTTGACTACTGGTGCTGCCATAGTCTGTTGGTTTACAGTCTTAACTGCAGGCTCTACCTGAACAGTACTCACAGGTTCCAGAGGCTTCTCAGTATCCTGAGATGGTTTTTGAGCCAAAGTTGCAGTTTCTGTTGAAGGAAATTTCTCTGCTTCTGGTTGAATTGGTGGTGGAACTGACTGTGGCTGAATTGGTGCTGGTGGCTGAGGTGGTGGTGGGGGAGGAGGAAGATCCTTCTTTTCCGTCTTTTCAGGCTTTACAACTACTTTTTCAGTGACCTTTTCGGCCTTTTCTCCTTCTTTCTCCTTCCTCTGTTCCCGTTCCTCTTTCATATCTCTAAGTACAGGTTTTTTAATGGGACCTGATCTTCTCACAGGTCTATCATTAACTTCTTCCCTTCTGTTAGAGCTTGGTCGTGGGCCCCAACGAGTTTCTGATTTAGATTTATATACTTTTTCAGGTTTTGGTCCTTCAGAAGATCGTATAAAGCCTTCCTTTTTTGGTTTCTCCTCTGGCCTTTCTATTGGTTCTTTTGAATCAATGCATCTGCTGGTTACTTTAGGAATGCCTGCAGATGGTTCACTTCTCTGCTCGTCTGGTTTTTGCGTATGGTTAGATCCATGGGAAACACTTCTTTTCCGGGAAGGCTGACTTTCTACAGCTGAAATCCGCTCCTCTTGAGGAGCGGATAAGGTCTTTTGATCAGGTGCTTCAAAACAAGCAGACTGATTATTTGCATCAGTATGGTGAGGTCTAACATCTTCCACAGATCTGCTTAAAAACTTTTGTACTTGTGCCTCACTTGATTCTCTGATAAAGTCTGCCTTTGGGTGAGCCTCTAATTGATTATGTTCTACAGAATAAGCAGCAGTAATCTGTTCCTGGTCCAACGCAGCTTCAGACCTATGATGATAAGAATTCAAAGGTATAATCAACAAAGCAATCTTTCCCATGCGTAAGTATATAGCAAAATAATCCCTCTAAAACAGAAAGCAATGACTCTTAACCATAATGAGAATCTTTCTCTCGCTATATAAAAAGTTTAGAGGAGAATTACTCACAATAGCCAAGAGGTGGAAACAGCCTAAATATCCAATAGCTGAATGGATAAAGAAAATGTGGTATACACATACAATAGAATATTATTCAGGGATAAAAAAGAAGGAAATAGTGTCATATGCTACAACATGGATAAACCCTGAGGACATTATGCTTAAGTGAAGTCAGTCAGTCAGGACAAATATCTTACATGAGGAACATGAAATAATCAACTTCATCAAAGCAGAAACCATAATGGTGGCTGCCAGGGGCTAGGAGTAGGGGGAAATAGGAAATATAGGTATAGGTATAATATAGGAAATATAGGTAAAGGTAAATATAGGAAATATAGGTAAAGGTAAGAATAGGAAATAGGTATAAAGTTTCAGTCATGCAAGATAAAAAAAAGTTCTGGAGATTTGCTGTATAACACTGCTTACAGTTAACTACATGGTACCATATGATTAAATTTTTGTTAAGAGGATATATCTAATGTTCTAAGTGGTTTCTGCCACAATTAAAAATAAATAGGGCCGGGTGCGGTGGCTCACGCCTGTAATCCCAATCCTCACTTTGGGAGGCCGAGGAGGGCGGATCACCTGAGGTCGGGAGTTCGAGACCAGCCTGACCAACATGGAGAAACCCCGTCTCTACTAAAAATACAGAATCAGCTGGGCGTGGTGGCACATGCCTGTAATCCCAGCTACTAGGGAGGCTGAGGCAGGAGAATCGCTTGAACCCGGGAGGCGGAGGTTGCGGTGAGCTGAGATGGCACCATTGCACTCCAGCCTGGGCAACAAGAGCAAAACTCCATTAAAAAAAAAAAAATGGGCCTGAAGCGGTGGCTCATGCCTGTAATCCTTGCACTCTGGGAGGCAGGAGGATCACTAGGGCCCCAGGAGTTTGAGACCAGCCAGGGCAACATGAAAAAACCCTGTCTGTACAAAAAATACAAAAATTAGCCGGGTATGGTACTGCATGCCTGTAGTCCAACTACTCAGGAGGCTGAGGTGAGAGGATCACTTGAGCCTGGGAGGTCAAGGCTGCAGTGAGCTGTGATTGCATCACTGCACTCCAGCCTGGCTGACAGAGCGAGACCCTTCTCAAAAAATAAAAATAAAAAATAGAAATAAATAAATGAAGTTTATTCCTTAAGGAAAAACAAAGTTAAGACCATGCTGATGTGAATTTCTAATCCATCAAGACCAGTAATTTCCACCTAGAATGAAAGAGTACACTTGAGTAAGCTTATCTGTCCCAGTTAATTACAAATAATTATAAAACATTATAAAACATTACCAAAAAAATATAGCCCATAAAAGGGCAGGAAGTTCCAACTGTATGGCTATAAATTATTACAGTCATCACCAATTGTGCGCCATTTCAAAGTTAACTTTGTATTATTGTATTTCTCCTTATCTTGGCCTTAAAAATGTTCCCTAAAATACTGTTAAAAAGAAACATCTCACTAATGGAAAAATTACATCTAGCTATATTATATAAGCATTGTAGATACACCTAAATTTCTTCACACCTACTCTACAATAAAGACATCCCAAGTGGCTGCACACGATGGCTCACGTCTATAATCCCAGCACTTTGGGAGGTAAGGCAGTCAGACTGCTTGAGCCCAAGAGTTCAAGACCAGCCTGGGCAACACGGCAAAACCCCATCTCTATAAAAAATACAAAGATTATCACAAGGTCAGGAGATCGAGACCATCCTGGCTAACACGGTGAAACCCCGTCTCTACTAAAAATACAAAAATTTAGCTGGGCGTGGTGGCGGGTGCCTGTAGTCCCAGCTACTCAGGAGGCTGAGGCAGAAGAATGGTGTGAACCCGGGAGGCAGAGCTTGCAGTGAGCTGAGATCGCGCCACTGCACTCCAGCCTGGGAGACAGAGCAAGACTCTGTCTCAAAAACAAAAACAAAAACAAAAACAAAACAAAAAACCCCACAAAGATTAGCGGGGTGTGGTGGTGAACGCATGTAGTCTCAGCCACTCAGGAAGCTGAGGTAAGCCGATCACTTGAGCCTGGGAGGTGAACGCTGCAGTGAGCCAAGATCATACCAACGCACTCCAGCCTGAATAACAGAGCAAGTTCCTATCTCAAAAAAGAACCTACCAATTTCAACATCTAATACTAAATTACAGCATACAATTGAGTACAGAACCAGGTTACAAAATGCCCTAATGAATACAGAGAATATGTCCAAAGAGTAAGCGTAGCATGCTAAATTAAATAGAAGGAAACCAGATTTATGCTTCAGTCCTAAATTGGAATGATCTTCAGAAACACTACACAGTTTTCCTTTTACCAAAATATTCTGTATCATCTATTAAATTGAAATAATTTATTACCTTACATCCTCAGGCTCTTCTGTTGCTTTGGGAGTAGTTGCTTGTTGAGGCTCAGCATGAGGATAGGGATCTGACCCCCACAGCATACGAGGCTCAGAAAGGGAAATTGCGTGATCTCTTGCAGATCGAGCTATATGCTCAAATGACTCAGAACTGTTCGGTGACCCTTCCATCTGGTCTCTTCTCATTAATGGTTTAGGAGGAATCATTCCTGTAACAAAAGTTCAGAAAAAGGTGAAATGAGGATTTTGAAAAATGAACGAAACAAAACCATGATAGACATAGAATACAGGTTATTAATTGTTAGGTGGAATTCTCCATATTAAAAGCATTTTTTTCCTGAGTAAAAGATTGGTGGAAATTATGTAAGGGTTGTTCTGTGAATGGAATTTTATTACTGCTGTTAAATAAAAATTGCATTTAAGAACTGAGGAAGCAAAATAAGCAAAATCACAATAGCAGCCTGTTTTACTTCAAAAGAAAGAAAATATTATGCATATAAAAATCAGACACCAAGTACTGTGACTCTGGATGTCAATACAAACATCATGAAAATTATACTATGATAACTTTCAGAGAAAATTCTTTCCTAAATTCCATTAACCTACCTTAGTTGGTCAATATTCTACAAAATATGCCACTTAAATTTCCAAATACCAGTATAAATGTAAAAATCAAAACATGATTTGTGATCAGCTTATCATCCCTAAATTTTCCTCTGTAACATTTTGGTAATAGATTATCTTGATTTATTCTGATGGATTCCATAAAAGACTGCTAATTCACTTTTTTTCCCCCTAACCTAAAAGGAAATTCAAGTGTTAGGTTGGTAAATGATGGAAGAAGAACTTGAAAAGGAATATATATAACATATGGACAAAATTCAAACGCTGAAAACACTTTAAAGAAGAACAACAATGTAGCCAATAACAAATACTGTTAATAACACATAATTATTTCCATCTGAAGTTTTAAATAATACTTACAAAACAGAAATGAACTAGTATTTTGTTCTTGCCACATAAGTAATATGAGTGTCAGATATTTAATTACTCGATGCTGAAAGTTACATCATTTTGATTAAAAATCGGAGGTTTAAGTTTTTCCTAGATTACAACTCTCAAAGGAACTGAAACTAAAAGCAGGGAAAAAAAAATTTTGATCCTGTAAAACTATAAATGCAAATTCAACTGACCAGGATGAATGGGTGGAATATCCATAGCAGGTCTTCCTGACATCATTCGAGGATCCATGTAGGACTGCATCATGAGCCACCTTGGATCAAAACCCATAGAAGCCAAATGCTGAGGATGAGGCTGCATAGGCTGATAAAGAGGTCTGTGTGGTGGAGGAGGGACAGTACTACTGGACGGTTGTGAAGGAACAGTCTGTGGAAGTACACCTTGCTGTTGCTGCTGCTGCCACTGCTGCTGTTTCATCTGTTCCTGAAAAAGTAAGATCCCATATCTTGAGAGTTTAGTTCCACATGACAAATTAACATAATCAATCATATCACAAAATAATGGCCTGTTTTGAATCCTTGAAGGAAAAGTAAGAGTTCAAAAGGTATTTAACAGTTAAGAGTTGGCAAGACAAAAAACTGAAAGATGAACTATAACATTTTACCTTATACTCAAGCACTGTATGATCTATCTCCTAGAAATGGAAGATGGTGTCTATAAATGAGGCAGAAGATCAAAAGGAATGACACAGAAGGTCAAGGTAAAACCCACGTTAACTTTTATTTACAAGGAAAAATAATTTCAAGGGAACTTTGTGTGCTTTACGTATTATCAGTTTTATGTCTAATTTCCCAGACTACTGCATAATAAACCACTTCAATCACACATACATGATAAAATATTTTTATCATTACCTGCTGCCGCTGGAATCGTGGAGGTAAAGACTTCTGAAACTGTTTGAAATAGCCAGATAATACAGCCGGCCGAGGTTGAGACCCTGATTCTGGTTCTGTTTCATGCACCACTGGTGTGGCTTCCTTTTCACTGCGATTGCTGTCTTGTCTAGTGAAAACGGGTTCCTCCTCTGCTCAAAGAAAAGGTGAAAGGTAATAGTATTCATCTATGACACTTATCAAACACAGGATTTTTACAAAGACTGAGGTATAATAAAAGTTAATGAGGAAGAAAATATCCTCGACACTCTAAAACATTATTTTCTACTTTAACATTGGTAGTTATCAATGAGGTAACATTAGATTATCAAAACCTTAGATTTCCTAAAAGCTGCATTCTTAGAGATGGAGAGCAGAGATCCAAATGCTTCATCATATAAAATCTATGTTTTTTTTTTTTAAATAATGAAACATTTCCAACTCCACATATTTTTTATTTGTTTCAATAAACATCAATGTAATTGTCAGTATTTACTGGTAGTTCATTAAAATCTACATGAAAACACAAATGGCCTATAAATACTTAAAAAGAGAGCATGTTGGTTTATTTAGTTATTTATTGGGTAAAGGGACTATTATCTGTAAGGAAAACTAATGAGTTTAAGTCTGAAGACAACAGAGTGATCACTAGTTATCTTCAAACATAATTCATTCTAGAATGTCATTTGTCACAATTACAAATCCACGCTTGTTACAAATTCTTTTCTCAAATGACTAGTAATGAATTTAAAATGGAAGTTTATCTCCCAATGTAAAAGCATGCTGTTAAGAATCACAAATAACATTTTTATTGCTTGGATTACATTCAATATTAAGAATGTTGTAAAAGAGTGAGCAGGTCATGGTGGTGCATGACTGTAATAACAGTAACTCAGGAGGCTGAGGTGAGAGGATCACTTTAGCCTGGGAGTTTGAGACCAGCCTGGGCAACACAGCCAAAAAAAAAAGAATGGAAAATAATATACTGGAGGAAAAAGAGCCACATAGGCACTGACTTTAAAATCACGTGTGTCTTGAGAACATCTCAGAGAGCATTAAAACAAACAAAAAAATTGTATGTGTCTAGTATCAGAATTGAGGGGGGAAAAAAAAATCACATGGGTACATCTCACTGATAAACAAGCTAAAATTAAATTGCCATGAGAGAGAATATATAAAATGTGAATGAAAATAAAAGCACAAATAAAACTTATTAAACTATGATAATGTTTTCCTTTCTCTTGTGAACACTTTATTTCACTATTTTGGTGTTATGAGCAATCTTCATAAGTACTTATGTAATATAAGCCCACTATTCAATAGCAAAGTCTCTCTAGATTGATTAATATGAAAAAAATCTGAAATCTTAGAGTCTTAACAAATGGTCCATACAGGCCTTATTTCATTAAAAAAATTAAAGATAAAATACTCATACTCCTTTATAGTTAAATTAAGAGCCAAGTTTGAAGGTAACCCTGCATATAAATAAAAACTTTATTTTTAAAAACACATTCTTATTATTTTAAGCAGCAGTGCCTTGTAGAAAAGAGCATGAGACGTCAGGTTAGAAAACTTACAATATTTCCACATCAGAAAATACACTGAAATAAAACTGCATTTCTATTTTAATTCAAGTCGTTCATTAAAACTAAACTTTAGGCTGGGCGCGGTGGCTCACGTCTACAATCCCAGTACTTTGGGAGGCCGAGGCAGGCAGATCACGAGGTCAAGAGATTGAGGCTATGCTAGCCAACATAGTGAAACCCCGTCTCTACTAAAAATACAAAAATTAGCTGGGTGCGGTGGCACGCGCCTGTAGCCCCAGCTACTTGGGAGGCTGGGGCAGGAGAATCACTTGAACCTGGGAGGTGGAGTTTGCAGTGAGCTGAGATTCCGCCACTGCACTCCAGCCTGGAGACAGAGAGAGACTCTGTCTCAAAAACAACAACAACCACCACCACCACAACAACAACAAACAAAAAACGAAAACCCTGAACTTTAACTTTGCCAAGGCTTTATACTATATTTGAATGCCATTAATCAGTCTACAAGCCAACTCGGAGAAGAACAAAAAAGTTGATTAGATCTAGAAAAAGAATTTTATTTTAAAGTATAATTACTCCAGGAAATTACAGTTTAATAGCATATCAACTACACCATGGAAGCTTGCATGTTTAAACTGATTAAACAGCAAACCTGAAATTATGAACTAGGTGCAGTCATTTAATTATGATAATCCAACATACTCATTAAGCTCTATGCCAGTTCAGTTTTAGAGGTATTAATGCATGTGAACAAATGAGATTTTGTTTAGTTAAATGTCTTGGAGTCAGAAAAAAGCAGGGGGAGAATCAGTATATGTGACTATGAAGCCAATACAATTCTGCAGATAAAACAGAAATGAAGCTCATCTAATAACTGAGAAACACTTCAGAGACGTCTGTTCATATACAGAATTAGAAAACACGGCTCTAGCCCATATTTTGTACTGCAAATGCTATCATAAAACAATCACTTTTATATTGATTACATATATTTAAAATATACAAACCCCAAACTGTAACCAACATAAAGCTCTTTGTAAAGTTTTTAAAAGAGAATGAAGAATACTATCAAACCTTTATTACAGCTGTTTTCACTTTCTTGTTTTTCTACCATGGGCTCTAAATTAGGTTCTCTGGGTTCAATTTTCTCCTCTAATTTTTCCCTTTCCTTCTCCAGCTCACATTCCTTTTCTTGTTCTTTCATCTTTTGTAGTTCTTTTTCCTTTTCTTTCTGCCGTTCTAGTTCTTTTTCTTTTTCTTGCTTTCTTTCTTTCTCCATTTCTCTTTGTTTTTCCTGCTCCTTCTCCAGCTCTTTCTCCTTTTCCTGCTGTCTCTCTCTGTCTTTTTCCCTCTCCTTCTCTCGCTCCTGTTCTTGTTCTTTTTCAAGTTCTTTCTCACGCTCCCGTTCTTTTTCTCGCTCCCTTTCCCTAATTTCCTCTGGAGATGGTTGTTTTTCCAGGATGCCAAGCTTCTCATCCAATCGTTTCAGTTTCTCCGCACAAGCTGCCTTCCTTTGTTCTTCCATTCTTCGCTCTTCCTCTTCACGCCGTTTACGAGCACGTTCTACTGCTGCAGAAATTTCTGATTGTTGTCTTCGTCTTTGCTTCCATATTTCATCTTCATCAGCTACTTGCTGCTTGGAGGGAAAGGGGCCTGGTCTTCCAGGTACTGCCTGTCGATCTGGAGGTGGATGCTGAAACATTAAGGTATCAGATGAGTTATGACAACTCTATTTCTGACTAACACTGGGTATCAGGCATGGAGAAGGAAAAACCCCACAAAAATATCAGAAATTTCTCTGATGAACATACACATTAAAATGAAAACACATAAGATGGGAAATATATTACATCTAGATAATTCACCAAACTAAGACCAGAATAATTAATCCAGCGGTCCAATGTTTACTGAGTATGTACCTATTATTGTGCCAGACGTTGTTGCTCATTCAGTATTTGCTGAATAAAACTAGAAGCACAACAGTGAATCTCAAAATCTAAATTTAGAGACAAAGGAAATTTAGCATGGATACTTTAGAAGCAGCTGCCAGAGTTGGAATGTCTAAGGGAGAGAAATGAAGGTATTAAATATCCAAAATGATGGCATGTGAGCCCTGAGAAAATTAAGGTACAGCTACAGGTAAAAAGCACAGAGCCAAAGAAGCAAAGTGAAAAAGACAGAGTCAGTGCTGTAATGATACCCCAAAGGAGAAGAAATTCCTACAAATTAGTCTGGGTGAAGAAAAGTTCTATCTTTAGACTGAAAGATCCAGAAAAGCGTATCTAGAACCCGGAGTGGAGAATCGGAGGATCATCTGAAACATCCAAGTTTCAATGACTAAATTTTCATTAATGTGTTATAAAACAATGACAGGTTTTAAAATCACTGCTTGCAACTATGCAAAAACAATAAAAGTAATTAAAAAAATGTTTTTAACATATTGATTTTAAAAGCTACTAGGGTGAAGAAATCTTAAGAGCCATATGTAACCCAGCTGGAATGCTTATAAAAAGATTAAACAATGACACAACGAAAACACTTGACTATCTTTTTAAATGAATGCAGACTACCATTTACTAATAGTGCCATCATATGCAAATTACTTCATCTCTCTTGTGCTGAGTTTCTTCATCCACAGCTCAGAGATAAGCTGAAAAACCAAATATATTAGTGCCTAATTTACACAACTCACTTCATAAAAGTAAAATTTACATAAAATGTGCTGTGCTGCACATATTTTAAGTGTATAGTTTGATGAGTTTGGACAAATGATACACCTGTGTAACCACTGCTCCAACGCAGACACAACATTTCCATCACTCCTCTGCCTCCCCCTGTGGCCCCAAGCACCCCAACCCTAACCTTGTATAGTTCTGTTTGTCCTAGAATTTTATATACATGTATAAAATTATATTCTCTTTTGTGCTAGCTTCTTTTGCTAAGTATAATGGCATTGAGGTTATTTTATGTATAAGTAGTTTGCTCCATTTTACTGCTGGATAGTATTCCATTGTGGGCACGTTGTTTCATGTATGATAGACACGTGGGTTGCTTCCAGTTTTTAAACTATGAATAAAACAGCTATGAACATTCATGCGTAAGTCTTTGTGTAAATGTATGTTTTCCTGGCTGTTGGATAAACAGCTACAAGTGAAAATCCTGTGTCATATGGTAAATAGATATTTCATTTACAAGAAACTGCCAAACTGTTTTCCAAAGTGGTTATAAGGTTTTCCAATGTATAAGGGTGCCAGCTGCTCTATACATCCTTGCCAACACATGGTGTCATCAGTCTTTAATTCTGGCAGTGCAGTAAAATCTCAGTGGTTTTAACTTGTATTTCCCTAATAACTAAAGACACTGAATATCTTTTCATGTGCATACTGGCCATTCTTACATTTTCTTTTGAGAAACAAATGTTCAAGTCTTTTTGTTTAACTACGTATTATTGAGTTGTAAGATATTAAAAAAAAAATAAAAATACGGCCCAGGCTAGACACGGTGGCTCACATCTGGAATTCCAGCACTTTAGGAGGCCAAGGCAGGAGGACTGCTTGAGCTCAGGAATTCAAGACTAGCCTGGGCAACATGGCGAAACCCCATCTCTACAAAAAATACAAAAAAATTAGCCGGGCATAGAGGCACATGCCTGTGGTCCCAGCTACTTGGTAGGCTGAGGCAGGAGGATCGCTTGAGCCCAGGAGGTTTAGGCTGCAATGAGCTGAGATCTTGCTCCAGCCTCGGCAACAGAGCAAGACTCTGTTGCGCAAAAAAAAAAAAAAAAAAAAAAAAGCCCAGCTACAAGTCCTTCGTCAGATGTATTAGGAATATTTTTTTCTGTAACATATCTTTGCATTCTTTGGGAAATGTTCTCCAAAGTCCAACTGACCAGCTGCTTTTCCTTTCTAATTCGTGGCCAAGGTCTTATTTATCGAAGAAAACTTTGTCAGCTCCAAGTTCATGAACACTTGATCTTCTATACTTTTTTCTAGATGTTTTAGTTTTAGTTTCTGTGTACGCAGAAATGTTATAAAGAGCTTTCAGTGGTTATGAGGAGAGGGATTGCTGGAAACGATGGTGATGGTTGTGATATGTACAGCTATCACAGTAGGGTGATTACAGAAGGTCTGGAGACCCTGATCATAACAACGATTTCAGGAAAAGAAAATCTGCTAGTTAGAAAGAAGAACAAGTAAAAAAGTCAAGAAGAGCAATGTGTATGTGGTAAGAACAGCAGATGAAATTAGAAAAGTAGACAGAGATCTGAAAGATCATGAGAAGGACTTGAACAAGGAGTAACGGACCTAATCCATAGTTTTAAAAAGACAACAACTACTACAGAAGAATATGGGATGAAGGTGGCAAGTGAGCAGGCAGCATAAGAGGAAAGCAGTATCTGTCAAGAACCCACTCCAATAGTTCAAAGGAAATATAAAAGGTGGTAGCAAGTAGTCAGTGTACATTTTGAAGGTACAGGTGACAATCTGCTGATAGATAAAGCTAGATGTAGGGTAAAAAAAGAAGAGTTAAGAGTAACTTCTAAGTTTCAGCCTTAGCAAATATGTGAATGATAATGCCATTACCTGAAATGGGAAAGACAGGAGAAGCAGCACTGTGGGTATGCAGGAAAGGTGGGGGTGTGTGTTATGGTTTGGACATATTTGAGCTGTTTACTAGAGATCCAAGTGGAGATGTTGAGTTGATTGTTGAATATATGACTCTTAAAAGTCAGTGCAAAGCTTTTCAGGCTAAATGTACATTTGAATGCCATCAGCTCATAGAAGACATACCCAAGGAAAAGGATACAGATTTTTAAAATGGACTGAGAAAAAGGCTGAGTGCTCCAACACTCGAAGTGTAGGAGGCCCAGAAGGAATAGAAAGCAAAGAAAAACAAAATAGCGAGGTGTCTCAGATGCAAGTAGATAAAAAAGTGTTTTAAGGATAGGCCAGGGATGGTGGCTCAAGTCTGTAATTCCAGCACTTTGGTAGGTCAAGGTGGTATCTTGTCTAGGAGTTCGAGACCAGCCTGGGCATGAAGGTGAGACCCTGTCTCTGCAAAAAATTAGCCTGGCGTGGTGGTGTGCACCTGCAGTCCCAGCTGCTGGGGAGGTGAGAGGACCCCTTGAGCCCAGGAGTCCAGGTGGCAGTGAGCTATGATTACACCACTGCACTCCAGCCTGGGCCACAAAGCAAGACCCTGTCTCTAAAAATATATGCATATACAAAAGAAGGATAGAGAAATCAACTATGTCAATGACTCAGCTGAGATTTAAATGAGATGAAGACAAGAAAACTGAATTTGTCAAGATGGAAGTCATCACTGACTCTGATAATAATAGTTTCAAAGGTAGAGTGGGAAAAGAAAGCATGCCTGGAGAGGGCTAATGAGAGAATGAGCAGCAAAAGACGGTAAGTATAAATAGTTCACTAAAAGAATTTCATTGGCCGGGCGCGGTGGCTCACGCCTGTAATCCCAGCACTTTGGGAGGCCAAGGTGGGCGGATCACGAGGTCAGGATATCGAGACCGTCCTGGCTAACACGGTGAAACCCCGTCTCTACTAAAAAAAACACAAAAAATTAGCCGGGCGTGGTGGCGGGCATCTGTAGTGCCAGCAACTCAGGAGGCTGAGGCAGGAGAATGCTGTGAACCCAGGAGGCAGAGGTTGCAGTGAGCCAAGATCACGCCACTGCACTCCGGCCTGGGCGACAGAGCTAGACTCTGTCTAAAAAAAAAAAAAAAAAAAAATTTCACTGATGGAGAACAGAGAAATAGGGTAGACACTGCAATGGGATGGAAAGTGGGATGGAGTAATGTAAAGAGAGAGGTTTTTGTGAAGTTGTTTTTCTTAAAATATGAGATAACATTATCATAAGTGGAAAAGGATACAAGGAACCAAGTAAAAAAGTGTCCTTAGCACCAAAAACAATAGGAAGAAAAAGTATACGGGCAGTGAGAGAGAAAAAAAAAGTTATCTCCTAGGTACTTCTTATTTTCTTAGTGAAACTTGAAGCATGCTTATCAACTGAGAATGAAAATGAAAAGGATGAAGAGTAAGACATGTAAGAGTCACAAGGTAAAAAGTTAGTAACTGTTTCATAAAAGTTTTGAATAAAAAATTTGGTGTCTTTCCACCAAAACAAAAGGTCAAATAAAATATATAATCCATAAACAAGCACTTAAAATTTACCTGCTGTGCAAGCAACTTTGGAGGTGGTGGCAGATGTGAAGATGTTCCACGTTCCTATTATAAAGAAGAAAGAATTATTCTTATTATTTTGGAGACAGTCTTGCTCTGTTGCCCATGCTGGAGTGCAGTGGCATGATCTTGGCTCACTGCAACCTCTGTCTCCCGGGGCCAAGCAATTCTCATGCCTCAGCCTGCTAAATACCTGGGATTACAGGCGTCTGCCACCACAACTGGGTAATTTTGCATTTTTAGTAGAGACAGGGTTTTGCCATGTTGGCCAGGCTGTTCTTGAACTCCTGATGTCAAGTGATCTGCCTGCCTTAGCCTCCTAAAGTGCTAGGATTACAGATGTGAGCCACCACACCAGCTTGAAAGAATTACTTAAAAAGAACCATGTAAGAAAAAATATATCTGCTGGGTGCGGTGATTCACACGTGTAATCCCAGCACTTTGGGAGGCCGAGGCAGGCGGATCACCTGAGGTCAGGAGTTCAAGACCAGCCTGGCCAACATGGCAAAACCCTGTCTCTACTAAAAATACAAAAATTAGCCAGGCGTGGTGGCGGGTGCCTGTAATCCCAGCTACTCTGGAGGCTGAGACAGGAGAACTGCTTGAACCTGGGAGGCGGAGGTTGCAGTGAGCCAAGATCATGCTACTGCACTCCAGCCTGGGTGACAGAGCAAGACTCTGTCTCAAAAAAGGAAAGAAAAAGAAAAGATATATCTATTAGAAATATTTCAGCCGGGCACGGTGGCTCATGCCTGTGAGCCTAGCACTTCGGGAGGCCGAGGCAGGCGGATCACAAGGTCAGGAGTTAGAGACCAGCCTGGCGAACATGGCGAAACCTGTCTCTACTAAAGATACAAAAATTAGCCAGGCATGGGGGCAGGAGCCTGTAATCCCAGCTACTTGGGAGGCTGAGGCAGAAGAATTGCTTGAACCTGAGAGGCAGAGGTTGCAGTGAGCGGAGATCACGCCACTGCATTACAGCCTGGGAGACAGATCAAGACTCCATCTCAAAAAAAAAAAAAAAAAAAAAGATATATTTCTGAATGTAATGATTTTCTCAATACCATAAGATTGCTAAACATCTTTCTCCTCTCTTTTTAAATAAAAGCATATCACTCATTACAAGATTACTTTTATGCAATCACTCTGCTATTTCAGTAAGGTTAGAATCTTAAATGCACTTTACAATAAAAATTTTAGCCAGGCGTGGTGCCTCACGCCTGTAATCCCAGCACTTTGGGAGGCTGAGGCGGGTGGGTCATTTGAGGCCAGGAGTTCAAGACCAGCCTGGCCAACATGGGGAAACCCCAGCCCTATTAAAAATACAAAAATTAGCTGGGTGTGGTGGTGCACCACTGTAGTCCCAGCTAGTTGGGAGGCTGAGGCACAAGAATCTCTTGAGCCCAGGAGGTGGAGGTTGCAGTGAGCCAAGATCGCGCAACTCCATTCCAGCCTGGGTGAAAGAGCAAGGCTCTGTCTCAAGAGGGAAAAAAAGAATTTTAGTCTAGCTGTTCTGGAATTCTGATCCAGCAAATCTGACTGAGGAGATCTATACCTCTAATTACTAAATTTTATTTATGTAAGCTCAATTCTTTTCTAGTGGCAAACTAAAAATATGAGATTTATCTTAAAAAAAGAAAATCTAAAACATAATGGAACAAAATACATGAAACATTCACTTGCTAATATAAACTGTCACATGACTGTCACAAAAAAGTCAAAGACATCAAGACATATTCCATCTATTCCTCTATTCTTTCATGAAAAATTCTCATTCCCCATTATGCCAATAAGTAAAAAGTCACACAAAAAAGTTATTAAAATGTTATTTAAAAAATTCTTCTTTTTCAGGGTTCATAAATTTATTCAATGGATCATCAATGCCTTAAGATTAAAACCCTCATATAGCATACATTTTAAAGAAGTGGTTCTTACATAGCTCTCTTACCTCTCTCCTATATCAAACTACTTAGAATTTCTTGAATGTGCCATGTTTTCTCATACTTCTCTACATGTGTTTCCACTGCTTGTAACAGCTATATTCCCTTTCTATACTGCCTAAATCATGCTTGTTTAAGAATTAGCTCAAGTACTTAGTCTTCTGCAGCCTTCTACCTTAAATGAATGCTCAAAGAATTTATTTTGTACCCTCTATGATTACGCCACTTAGCACACTGTAACTGCTTACTGACTTTTTTTCCTGTCAAGGAAACTGTTAGCTACCTCCTTTTAGCCCTCAGAAGGGACAAGTTCCTCCATCTATTTTGTATGAATCCAACAAATACATGCTAACTATACTGATTCCTTAATAAAGAGATAAGTGGACTCCCTTGAAAGTAGTCCTTTTTATTCCCAGTTTATAATGCAGCTTTTGCAACCATTTACCATCTCAGAAGTGGGATCAAATATCTGTTGCACACACATTTCCCTTCATTCACAATGTTCTTCAAAATGATTCAGACTTTAGATCTCCCTACTCACTATGTGATTTCCCTACAGATAGTGTACCATTCACACAAAAAGACTGACTAGTATTTAAGTATTCAATAAACCATAAAGCACTTCAGCAATGTTTATTTTATTTTAGAAAAATATTATCCCTACACTTTGCTATGATTGAGCTATATCATAAGGTAAAAAAAATGTGAAGCTTTAGTTTTCACTTGATAACTTTAGCTACTGTATTGATAATTCCGGTTAAATGCAATAAAAATTATGATAGATTCAAGACTATTCAAGAAAAAAATACACAGTTTCCTTTTTCTAAGTCCCGTTCCACTCTGTGGTAAGAATAATTATCCATAGTATTACACAGTAATTACAATAAGGAGATCCTTGCAATAACAAGGATCTCCATGAGTCCAACAAACCTGATTAAATGAAGGTCCTTTCCCATAGGGAACTTTTGCTACTGATGGTTGGGCAGGTATTTGGGAAGATGATTTAGTGTTGGAAACTTCATCTGTTTCTTTTTTGTTTTCGTTGTTTTCAGAGGCTTTTGAACCTTGATCCTCACTGAAAAATCAAAATGCAGAAGAAATAAAGTGGACCAACTGTATCATAAGTACACACATTATTTTTGCAATTAAAAAAATTATTTCTGTATGGTTTCTGGGGGGGGAAATGTATTAAGGAATGAGATGGGTGTGTGACCCATTAGTGCTAATTTGTTCTTTCAATAAATATATACTATGAAAGTGCAATACAGTAGTTGTCAAATCTAAACACACATGTCAGGCATATATCCTGGCAAAAGAATATAATCACATCATTTCCTATCTCCTCTACATAAGAAATACAATCCAAATGTAACTGGGTAATATTGGAATTATTATTTAACTGCATTCTAATTTATTCTGATTTAATAAAAAGATAAATCAAACTACAGTATTTTTTCAAAGCCACGACAAACCACAGGTATCTCTTAAACGATCATAAAACGATGTTTGTCACAATGCCATAACTGAAAAATTATACCAAATGTGCTTCCAAACTTCCATATATTTTAAAAGCCCAACTTTTATGATATATAACCCATATATTCCTGACTGGTGCTCCAATATTCCAGAATGAAGGAAAAAGAAATAAAAAGCTCCCCATTTTCCAAGGCCCTAATGCAGTTTACTAAGTTTTAAGAAATCGAGGACCTGAAAAAGCTGTAGTAACCCAGGGAATTATTCTCCAATTTTGTAAATACAGATCAGGTCAAGCAAGTAACAGTTTAAAAAATTGTTCCTAATACCAGTTCTCAAAAGATCTCCAAACTAGGTGCCAAGCATCTAAATATCTTTTTTTTTTTTGAGATACAGTCTTGCTCTGTCACCCAGACTGGAGTGCAGTGGCATGATCTTGGCTCACTGCAACCTCCGCCTCCCGGATTCAAGTGATTCTCCTGCCTTAGCCTCCTGAGTAGCTGGGATTACAGGCATGCACCACCACGCCTGGATAATTTTTGTATTTTTAGTAGAGATGGGGTTTCACCATGTTGGCCAAGCTGGTCTCGAACTCCTGACCTCAAGTGATCTGCCTGCCTCGGCCTCCCAAAGTGCTGGGATTACAGATGTGAGCCACCGCACCCAGCCCTAAATGTTTTTAAATAAACTTTCTTGAGACGCATCAAATTTTAATTCCTTGATTAGCTGTATACTGTATTAATCTAGCTCATTAAGCACCCTCTATTCAGTAAAACTTCTGAGAATATATAAATTCTACAAATAACAAACAATTGTCTATTAACAAAGCTTCTTTGCATAAGTAGCTAATATTGTATCAACAAATTCATACTGTTATTAGTAAAAGATATCACAACTTACCTGTTATTCTCTTTAGGACTGTTACTTCCTTGTTCATCATCATCACTGAAATTCAGTTGCTCTGTATAATCTACTTCCATCTGAGCACCTATTAAATTAAGGAAAACTCAGACTGGCTGCTTGAAAGCATCTAACAATTTAAAGGACTTAATTAATTTTGCCTCTTACCTGCCCAACCTTCATCAGCTTCAGCATCTAGGTTATCAAATTTATCAAGCTCCTTCAGTTCTGATGCACTAAGAATGGATGGGCGTTCAGGCTCAGAGGCCCATGAAGGAGGTGGGCCTCTTCCTCGAAGGCCTCTAATGAAAGGCAGGTCATGGAAAAGATACAAAAGTTTATGATACTAAACTGGGAGAATACTAAAAGATTGGAATTTAGTTCATTTCAACATTAGTGTTTTCTACACCAAGATACCTAATATGTTCTGCATGGACATGTGTATGAAAAAATTAATATTAATACATAATGATAGGATAATACGTAACTCTTAAGTAACAGCTGACAAAGTTTTTAAGAATTCTCAAATATTTAAGATAAAACAAATATGTTAAAAGGATAACGATATGAATAAAACTAACTTCAAAATATATATTTTGAGGAAAATAATTCAAGAGGATGTTCAAGTCTCATATAATAAGCAAAAAAAAAAAAAGAAAGAAAATGGGGAGTCCATAATATGAAAGGAAGAAGAGAAAAACAAGTGTCATCAATTTTAGGGCCATGTTTTTCAGTTTTCTTTTTGTTTTGAGACGGAGTCTTGCTCTGTCGCTCAGGCTGGAGTGTAATGGCACAATCTCGGCTCATTGCAACTTCCGCCTCCTGGGTTCAAGCAATTCTCCTGCCTCAGCCTCCCGAGTAGCTGGGATTACAGGTGCACGCCACCACGTCCGACTAATTGTTTTGTACTTTTTTAATAGAAACAGGGTTTCACCATGCTGGCCAGGCTGGCCTTGAACTCCTGACCTCAGGCGAATCGCCCACCTCGGCCTTCCAAAGTGCTGGGATTACAGGGGTGAGCCACCGTCCCCGGCCTGGTTTTCAGTTTTCAAAATCCTATGTAAATTAATTTAAATGCTTAAAAGAATGAATTATTTCTGTTCTGTCTTATAAGAGTTAGCCAATTATTTACTAATGACAACTGTACTGTGAGGATAGGAAAACGATCAATTACACAACTCAGAATCACACAATCCACTCAACCTTCAGGAAATCTTAACAAGCATATATTCCTTACAGACTTTAATCATTTAATAGCCTTACTTGTTTGTTTCAGATAAAGAAGGTGGGAATCTCATGGGACCATGTAGAGGAGGATATGTCATCCTCGGATACTGTTGGAACATCTGAATGAAGGAAACAAAAAATTGTGATAAATTTAGCAACCTAGTTATTTTAAAAAATTATATATATATATAAATCTGAGCCTAGGCCTGAAGTTACAATTTATAAAACAATGATTTAAGTGAATAAAACTATTAATGACTGTTATCTGTTCATCCTCAATAGCAACCCATTTCCAAGGCCATTGCCACTAGCAACTCTTTATAAATAGAATAACTAGAGCACATATGAAAAACTTCTGTATTATATTAATAAAATTACATTAAAGTAACTATCAACAAGATATGTACACATTAAAGTAACTGTATCAATGAGATATGTAATGTAAAATTACATTAAAGTAACTGTGTCAACAAGATATAAATTACATTAAAGTAATTGTATCAACAGGATATGTACACACATGCACCCTAGCAAACGGCAAAGTGAAAATATTTGAAAAGCAAATGCTGTTGGCCTTCCTCCATAAGCAGGAGTAGAATAATCAGAGGCAGATTTGTGGATAAGGAGGATAACATCAGTCCCCAGCCCCAGCACCTCAAAAAGAAAAATGTAGGGGTGGCAGGCGTGGGGAAGAACTCAGCTCAGATAAAATTAAAAGACAGTCCACAATCCAAGGAAGTGAGTTGGAAAAGGGGGACAGAGAGCTACCCAGAAATTTTCTATGTATATGGCATAGGTGAATTCTCAATCAAGTTACTGCACAGATGATCATTATAAACTGTCCCAAACAGGTCCAGATACTGTTCTCTGTAGGAACTTGGCTCTGGGAAACTAAACTTAAGAGAAGACATAAGATAGATTCTGGGAACAAATAACACCAAGGGATTCATCCTATGATTTTGAAGGGAAGAAGGGTCAAAGAATGTCTTGGTCATTGACTATATGCTTATATCCAAGTCAAATTATGTAAATAATAGGAAATTATATTACTGTAAAAACATAATTTATATCCTGAAATAGAAGACTAGTTTTTCTAAAAAGTAAGTAGTAACTGTGTGTTAGATAAGAAAATTCTTACATTTGAAGTAAGGCTATGTTTATATGATTATGCTGTCTAAAGAAGAAATTTCTCAGCCAGGTGCAGTGGCTCATGCCTGCAATCCCAGCACTTTGGGAGGCCGAAGCGGGTAGATCACGAGGTCAGGAGATGGAGACCATCCTGGCTAACATGGTGAAACCCTGTCTCTACTAAACATACAAAAAAATTAGCTAGGTGTGGTGGGCGTGCCTGTAATCCCAGTAACTCAGGATGCTGAGACACAACAATCACTTGAACCCAGGAGGTGGAGGTTGCAGTGAGCTGAGATCGCACCACTGCACTCCAGCCTGGCAACAGAGCGAAACTCCGTCTTTATTAAAAAAAAAAAAAAAAAAAAAAGGAGAAGAAATTTCTCTTAAGTCAGGTTGAAGCAATGTTAATTAAGTCAAGCAACAGCTGAAACTCAGCTGGGGAAACTTTGAGGGATACTCTGGAGAATTTTCAGTTGCATCACACTTCTATACTGAAGTTAATAAAGACACTACTGGAGGCATATGTTCATAGCTAAAGTTGCATTAAATCCTTCATCTGGTCATTCCAGACATAATTTCATGTGGTCTTAAAAAATGCTTAAAATCTAGGAATTTGCCAGAAAATTCATTTTAGAAACAAATTTTAAATTCTCAGTATACAGTAGTGATATTTAAATGTTTTTGTTAATTAGTGGAACACTTTATTCAAATATAATCACTGATGAAAGTGGGAATGATGCCCACGTGGTTTCCCCTCTTTCCTATCCTACCCTCTCACATGAAAGTTCAGGGGTCTTTGGTAGCACAATTTGAAAATGATTAGAAAAAAAGTAATTGGGTATAAATCATTTTTCAAGGCCAGGTCAGCATACTCCCAAACTTCTTTTAGGAAAACGTTTAATGGCCAGGCACGGTGGCTCACGCCTGTAATCCCAGCACTTTGGGAGGCCGAGGAGGAAGGATCACCTCAAGTCAGGAGATCGAGACTAGCCCAGCCAACATGGTGAAACCCTGTCTCTACTAAAAATACAAGAATTAGCTGGGCGTGATGGCGTGCCCCTGTAATCCCAGCTACTTGGAAGGTTGAGGCGGGAGAATCGCTTGAACCTGGGAGGTGGAGGCTGCAGTGAGCCGAGATGGTGCCACTGCACTCCAGCCTAGGCATCAGAGCAAAAAACATTTAACAAGTAATTGTATTTAATCATTCATCTCCCTCTGTTAGTCTAGAATGATTAAAAAATAGTAATGTATATGCTCACTTTGGCAGCAAAATTGGAACAATACAGAGAAGATTAGCACAGCCCCCGCATAAAAATAACATACAAATTCATGAAGCATTCCATATTTTTAAATAAAATCAACAATATGAAGGAATGGAAAGTATGATGGATATTTAGGATTCAAATATTAGGAGTTAAACAACAAACTAAATAAATATGACCTAGATTTTTGTTTCCTATGAGAGTAATGAGTCTTCTGGAAAACTAAATGGATGTATCCAGGCACATGTGACTTGTTTTACAACTTCACATTGGGCTGAAAGTAAACAAAGAATGAGGACACCAAATCTAACTAATAATTTAGAAAATGTGGTGGGAGGGCAGGGGTGGGTGCCAGAGTATATAATAAATGAAATTAAAGATAGTATCAACAAAATCCAAAATCTGAGGAACTTCACAGGTTAACAAATTATAACAGATAAGCTCCAAAGGAAACAGGAGATAGAAATATCTATAGGTAACAAGATTCTTAAAAGAAATATGAACCAATCTCAACGAATGGATGTTGCCTGGATCCTAATTATGAGACAACTACTGGAATACTAACATAATATTTGAGAATATCAAGGAATTAGTTTTCTTTTTATGTATAACAGCATTGCAAACCTTCTCCCCAAGTCTTTATCCTTTAAAATAGAACTTAAAATATTTACTGATGAAATATCTTGGATTTGCTTTAGTAATCCAAAGTGGTAGGAAAAGAGCGGGCATGGTGACTCATGCCTATAATCCCAGCACTTTGGGAGGCTGAGGCGGGTGGATCACTTGACGTTAGGAGTTCAAGACCAACCTTGCCAACATGGCAAAATCCTGTCTCTACTAAAAATATAAAAATTAGCCAGGTATGGTGGCGGGCAGCTATAATCCCAGCTACTCAGGAGGCTAAGGCTAGGTTAACTGCTTGAACCTAGGAGGCAGAGGTTGCAGTGAGCCGACATCATGCCACTGCACTCCAGCCTGGGTGACAGAGCGAGACTCTGTTTCAAAAAAAAAAAAAAAGTGGTAGGAAAAGAGGCAGATTCATTGCACTGTTATCTTTATTTTTGTACATGTTTAAAATTTTCCATTAAAAAAAGTTTAAAGGCCAAGTGAGGTGGCTCATGTCTGTAATCCCAACACTCTGAGGGGCCAAGGTGGGCAGACTACTTGATGCCAGGAGTTCAAAACCAGCCTTGCCAACATGGCAAAACCCCATCTCTACCAAAAAAAAAAAAAAAAAAAAAGCCAGGTGTGGTGGCATATGCCTGTAATTTCAGCTACTCGGGAGGCGGAGGCACAAGAATTGCTTGAACCCAGGGGGCAGAGGGTGCAGTGAGCTGAGATCATGCCACTGCACTCCAGCCTGGGCGAAAGAGCAAGACTCTGTCTCCAAAAAAAAAAAAAAAAAAAATTGAAAAAAAATTGAAAAAAAATTGAAAAAAATATTAAAAGTACACAAATAAAAACTTTGAAACTACGGCAAGTGTTCTTTATCATTTTTTCCATGAACCACCCCTTTGGCAGTCTGATGAATCCTATGGACCTATGGACCTCCTCTCAGGAAAACATTTTAAATGCATAATGTAAAATACAAAAATATTGCAAAGAAGAACAATTATATTAAACAGAATGTTAGTGTAATTGTTCTCTGTATTTACAAAATAAATCTGTGGTATGGTAACGTACGTGCTTCTTTATTAGATCATTATCTATGGGTCTAATAATTATTTTGAAGTAATGTTGAATGTAATGTGATATGAAAATATCTGCAATCCCTGTTAATAATAAAGATACTGCTGATTTGTTTCCTATCTGGTACAACTACACTTAACCAAATAAAACAGCTAGGTGTTTCTGCTAAGAAACACTGCGTGGTAACGTTTCCCGGATAGCCCAAATGATCTCTATCTTCTGGTGTTTACACCATGTGTAGTCCCTTCTCACAATATACCATACAATAAAAGAGAATGCTAATTTTTAGTTAGATGTTAATGAAAACAAAGACCTAAACTTTTCCCTATAACAATTCGCTCCTTGGACCCCAGATCAAAAACCACTTGTTTGAATGCTTGTTCATTTAACAATACTCACATAAGGAGGCATCATAGCTCTATACTGGGAAGCGAGAGCAGCCTGCTGTCCATTCAGTTTAGCCTGTGGAGGACCACAAGCTATCCTCTTTTCCACCACTTTGAGGATATCATTTTGCTCTGATGTTCCAGCTGTGCTTTCATCCTGGCCAGGGAGCTTTTCATCTTGATCAGATGACGAAGGTGAGCCAGCAGCCTTACCACCATCTCTCCAACAAGCAACATCTAGTATGAAGGCAGAGAAAAAAGGAAAAAGATAAAAATCTGAAAATGGAACAAAGTGAAACCAAAATGTATTTCAGGAAAATGAAAGCAAGTAAGCAGAGTGAAAGAGCAGGAAAAGTCTAATCCAGGTCCTACTAATGCTTTCAAGTTGTTTGCGTAGTAGTGGCTTCCAAAGTGGAGAGGATGTACCTCAGAGGGTGTCACCACAAGCAAATACTGGGGTGGGAGAAGAAAATATTAGAACTTCTCTATGAAGCTTTATCAATATTTGGTATAGAAATTAAAATCACTGTTCTCCATATATCAGATGGCCATGTTTCAGAGTGACACACCTGAGGTTTCCTGAGGGAAGGAAGATGGGACTTCTACAATCTGGAAGGGTTGACAGTGATATTCTCATTTGTCTGTTTCCAGTATATTATTGTTAGTTACAGATGCCCCCAAGTGAACAGATTGCGTGAAATTATCTGGTGTAATTACACTTAACCAAATAAAACAGCTAGGTGGTTTTGCTAAGAAACACTGCATGGTAACCAGTCTCCTGGATAGCCCAAATGATCTTTATCTTCTGGTATTTACACTAAGTGTAGTCCCTTCTCACAATATAGCAGGGTTGGTCTGTGTAACCTGTAGAATATGGCAGAAGTGATAGCATGTCCCTCTCCAGATTAAGTTATTAAAGACTGTGGGCTTCTGTCTTGGGTGGAGGGTGTCTGTCTCTCATCATTTATTCTGCAGAAGCCATGTCATAAGCAGCCCCACTAAGAGACCATGAAACTAAAGAGCCAAGAGCTACACCAGTCAGTTTGGAAGTACAGCCCCAGTCAAGTCAGCTTCAGACAGCTTCATCGCGGCTTTGAGAGAGAGTCCCTTGGCCAGAACCTCAAACTAAGCTGACCCTGGATTCCTGACCTTCAGATACAGTGGGATATCATAAGTATAGTTCAGTTTGTTGTTTTACATTGCTAAATTTGTTATGCAGCAATAGACAACTGGTGAAAATTCAACTGAACAAAATAGAGGAGTCAGCACATCTATTTCTAATACAAATGCACCAACCACATTATGACGCTTGAAAAATAAGATTTAGATTTATTTACATCTGACAAGAGCTAAAAAATGTGAAATACATCAGGTTTTTAGAAATATGGAATTTGTAAACACTTCTGTCATAGACGAACCTCCCCATGTAAACAAGGTCCTTTAAGATACTTGGTAATGACAGTATGAAGCTATCACAATTAAGAAGACATTTAAAAATCCCTCGAACATTTTACACTTTTATTTTTAGTTTTTGCTTTGTAATGTACATAAACTATCCCTCATTATCCAAAATTATTTGTTTCCTCAGTTTGAGCTCAGAAAGTGAGGAATCACCGAATATTAATACAGTAGTAAGTAAATAGTTACACATTAGGGAAGCCTGCTCAAAAACTAGTATAAAAAAATCCAAATATTGGTATACATGAAAGTCACCTGGACATCTTGTTAAAATGTAGATTTTGATTTAGTAAGTTGGATGCGAGGCCCAAGATGACACATTTCTAACATGTTCTCAAGTTACAGTGATACTGTCGGTGCAAAAATCATACCTGAGTAGCAAGTGACTATAGTACAAAGTCTGCCTTTTCGAAGTAGGCAAATAATATATGCAACAGCAAGCAGGAGGTTGTATTGCAAGATAATACACAAATATGATCTCATTTTGTATTAAAGAGAAAGTACTCTTACTTGGTGGACGTAAACTGGGTCCAGGTCCATAGTTGTCATCATTTGTTTCCTTTTCTTTTTTTTCCTGATCCCCAGCTGCCTGCAGGCTGGGAAATTCTTGCTGAAACTGACTATTCACTTGGATTCCTATAGATTTTTTTAAAAAAACATTAAAGGTAACTTTTATACTGAAGATAATACAAACCACCCTCCCAGGATAGAGCTCTCTGCCTCTTTCTCTTAAATTATTCCACATTTCAGTGATGACTGTTCATAGCCATATCACTTTAAAATTCACCTAGACTCCTTTGAAAAGCTAATGATCAGCCATGAGGAGATGAAAGTCTAAGACAGTAATCTACCAGTACCATTCCAGAGGACTCATTTAAGATGACCATGCAAGTGAAGAGCTTGTTTCTCTTTCATTATGACTCCTTACATTTTCAATACACATCAAATTCCTCTGCTAAGAATTCTCAGAATTCGTTCAAATCATATTACTGAAATAGTGTTTGATGAATAAAGACCCCAAGATCAAGATGAGGCTAAAATGCCTTTATTTAATTTATTGCTTCATTTACTTTACTTTGATTTAATTTACAGCTAAGATTATTACACCTCACTATTCACCCAACTTCCTATCTACCTATTTTTTGTACTTCTATAAATTAAAACAGCTAGTTTTGTTAGCTTGAGGGCCCAGATTGGTTCTTCCATAGAATGTTTTATAGACAGTTCCTGTTTCGAAAGTGGGAAAACTAAATTCTGCTGGGGATTCCATCATTCCTTGGGGGAAAGGGGAATATTACAGCAGTGGTGCTTTATGGCTACTTTCTAGCTCTTCTCCTCTCAGGAATCGTGGCAGCATGTCTGAAACAGGAGATGTTGGGGACATAGATGAAAAATGAGTATGGTTTCTAACAATCTATGCGATGGCTGGATACTTTGAAGGTACAAGCTTTGCTTGGATATGCAGAGGTAAAGATAAAATGATGTGGGGCACAGGGTATCTTAAAGACTCCTTTCCTTAACCAATATCATTGACTCATACATGGCTCTTGACATTGGAACTTAGCTAGCCCAAGAGATTTTTTAAAAAACCTTTTTAAGAGCCTTGAGTATATCCTTTAACAATGCTTTATGGCTCTACCAAAACACAGTTCACCCCTTATCTCCTGCATGGCTGTTCAGTAACTATCAAGCCTAGGCAGCTTCCCCAACTAATGTCCACTTACCATCTCCTTGCCCACCTTGCTTGTTACTGGCCCATGATTTGGGAGCAGGTGCTACTTCTGGGGGAGCTGCAACCCCAGGTTTTGGCTGTGCTGGTGGCACTTCTGGTGTTCTTAAAAAAAAATATGAATCCATTATTTCAGATACTGTATGTTTAAATAAAATCAATATTATATTTAAGGTAAACCTGTGTACAAATTATTTTGGCTATATGTTTATTCATTGGTAAATCTCCAATAAATGTTTTCTCTCTGCAACATTCCTTTAAATGAATTATGGCTATTTTTATCGTCTTTCATCTCTACCTTTGAATAACCCAATGAGATGAGTTTTGCTTGTTTTCCATTTTGTTTAAAACACACACACACACACACACACACACACATACACACACACTTTTAATTAAACACAGTTACCAAATATCTGTTTTGAAGAAGTGAACACTTATAATTAAAAATAGCAGTATAAACATACATACAGTCTGGACTGGTGAAATTAGTTGAGGGCTAAAGCTAAGCAAACTCCCCACCTGGCAGTCAACAGGATCACCACTGTACTTACTACTGTTATTCAAAGAGGTAACAGCAACCTGCCTAATGCATTCACATGAGTAAAAGGTGTTTTGAAAGGGTGTACAGTTTTATTCAATTCTTGTAATGAGGTAATGCTTAAAAATAAGAAAGTAGTTAAGAGGCTCACAAAATGCAATGTGTTTCTGGGACACTCATACCTATAACTGACTCATTACTATAAAATAATTTTACTACAGCTAACAAGCATTTACGTATTTGATACATTACTACAGAAGTAGTCAAATTTACTATATAAATCTCCCCAGGCAGGAGTATAGAATTTTGATAAGAGATAGGCAAGAAAACATCAAGTATCCAATGGCTTGTCTTATTTTTTTTAAATTACCACTATTTAGGCTTGGTCATTCAATTAGCTAAGAGTCTGGCAAAATCCTTGACATACAGAAGTCTAAATAGTTGTTGAAAGAAGGATGACTAAGATGGACACTATTAATTCTATCCTAACTTTCTTGCTACAGTATATACAAATTATTACTTGAGCACCTATGAAACATCAGGCAGTTTCAATGCTGGAGATACACAGTAAATTGGCAGACAGACATCCTTAGTATCATGGAATTTAGGTATCGGAGTCAACTCTTAATCATATTGGAAAGGGAATACCTGAGTTGGTGGTAGTATGAAAGCGGGGAGCCTAATAAAGGCTATGACATAAGCAAGGTTGTGATTCCCAATTCTGTCATCTGTTCTACCCTGACAAATTGAAATACTTTTAATAGGGAAAATTAACCAAAAGTTACTATAGTCAAAAGACTTTAAAGAGTATAAAATATGTAATATGTAATACAGACAGCATAACACTTAGCAAATAGCAGGTACTCAAACATAAGTTCCCTACAAAGAAAGGGGAAGGGCTTCATTCTTTAACAGACTTTGACTCACTTTTCTTCTTCATGTTGCTCTTGTTTTGATGCCCACCCTGTGCCATCTTTAGGTACAATGTTTACATTAGGATCATTGCCTTTGTTTTCTGCTTTAAGACTTGGGAGGTTAGCAGGTGGAGGCATACGCCGTGAAATACCGACTTTTCCAAGACTCTGTAATCCATGTCGAGCTGCAACTAAAGATCAATAACATCAACTTTCTTAGAACATCTATTTTATTACCCATTTTATTCCTCAAACAATATAGAAAAACAATAGGAATTAATGCAATCCCTGAATGATTTTCATTCATGTATTTTAAAATAATAATTTTAAAACTAAGCTACACACCTGCAACACATTTCAGTGTAGAAATCAAGCCATTTAACAGCATTTAACAGATTCCTTAAAAAATTTAACAATGCAATTCAACACACTACAGAAAACATTGATAATACTGATATTTTTTCAGAGAATCTATTTCAAACTCAAAACTTAGAATGTTAGAGAATAAATGTATTGACTGTATGTTCATAAAGAATACTGTTAATATGCCATGCATGATTTTCAGTTTTCACTATATTCACTAGGTCACAGTATCTAACACACACACACACACACCCCCACACACGAAACATAAGACTTTCTCTAGTCTATAATTAAAAAGATACTAAATTCCCACTAATATATAGGTCTGTGCCTATCAATCTCATTGACTGAGTTTCCCCTTTAGAGCCACACAGTTCTACCTTTTTTCTGCTGACAACAGAGAAAAACAAAAATATTTTTAAAGGGCTCTATGAAAGTATAAATTTTCAATTATAAGATGTTTATCACATATCCTCTGAAAAATGTGTGCATGCATAAAAACGCAAATGTAAATAGCATTGTATTAACTTGGGTACATCCTAGCTTCTCATAGCAGCAGGTGTATCACTTATAGTAACAAAACAAACCATGAAAAACATAAGTGTCACTTGATTTTACTCACCTGTGGTTTTCTGTGTTTCTAATGATTTCCCCTTGTAAGTATTAAATAAACTGAGTGTTGCATACTTTTTCCCATCCTTTGCTTTTGTGCTCTGGCCTGACTTCTCCGACATTTCGGTGGAAACTCATCGAGTCCAAAACCTCCTGCCACACCCCTTAAAACCCCAGTCCTTAAGATGTACATAAGAAAGAAAAATAAGGATGAAAAACTCAGTAAATTCAAATGTTCACAGAAATTCTGAAAAAACTTCCCATATCAATGATAATTTCATAGAACTTTTTAACTGTCAAATTCCAATAACCAATACACAACAAAATTGATCACAATAAGCTATCATGCACTTGTGAAACATATCAGTTATATATGGTTATAACTGCTTAACTCTATCATAGAGAATAAGGGTTATAATTCCATGCTGTCGTGAATAGTTAAAACACAGTGAACCCACTGAGACTGTCTATTTTAAAAAGATATATTATCCAATTTAATATGCTTGAAATGACTGACACATCAACCTATGCACATGGAATCCAAATGACAGGACAACATCTTCATTCCCCTACATATTACATCCCTGTATCATCATCAGGCAGTATGTGCCCAACAAAGCTCTATTAACTTTAACAGTTTAGAACAGAAACAACGTTCTATGTTCTCTTCATTTCGTAAAAGGTAAAACATCTCACAAACACAAGGTATATAAAAATAACCTATTTCATCACTGAGGACTAAATATTCAAAAAATAGTATCCATTTTTTTCAAAGCATATATAAAGTTCCCTTACATATGAGAAGTTGTTAGAAATAAATAACATTTTCATAAGCATTCAAATACAAAGAGAATCCTCATCTTTAGAGCTAATGTACCCTCATCTTGGTGATGCACCCTAACTTAGTCTATTAATAGATAGGCAAAAAAGAAAAATTATGTCTCATGCTATTTCCCTTCAATTTAATTAAGTTGTAGATACATATCAACCTAACGGTTGTTTTTGTTTTTGTTTTTGAGGGGTTATTGTAGCAGTAGGGTAGAAGATGGCTAATTCTACCATAGAAACGATCAATAGCTGAAAACATTGAGAACTGAAACACAGGAGCCAAAGATAGTATAGAATAGGTATACCAAGCAAAAAGCATCAAAGTAAAGCCTATATCCACTTTACTTTTATAAATTTCGTTTCATCCGTTAGTTTTATATTTGTCAATTACAGAATCAGCAGAGATGTCATTTTATATGCATGTAAAATGCCACCCAACGTTTGTATAGTTCCATAAAATTTATCAGGCATTCTCACCTCTATTATCTCATTTCAGTCAAACAACTTTACAATGTAGTTACTGTCTTGATTTTTACACATAAAGACTAAATCAGATTGAATTTGAAACTAGGGTGTCGGGTTCAATCCATTACACTATGCTGCCTCCTCCCACATAACAGTGTAGATAACCATTTCGCTTTTCACGTATACGTTTACAATAAACCATCTTTCCTTGAGACAACCGACAACCTGAAAAAAGACTGACCTACAACCAATAGGACTACACTAATACAATTTGCTACTATATGTAGAAGAATGTATACAATTAATTTTACCCCAAGACCGCTAATGATGATGATGTTGTGAAAAGAGAATGTACTACCAAAATCTATCCTATTGGCAAATTTACCAGTAACATGTACAAAGATATAGAAAGAATATTCATCTACAGTGACAAAAGAGGACAGTAAATATTCACTACCTGACAAAATTAAAATTCAAAGAGCTTTTTCATCAGGTGAAAAAAAAAGGAACTGATGTATCAAGAAAAACAGTCAACTTGCTTAAGTTATTTAACTAAGAATCCTGAAATCTTGGACTTTTCTGAACACCATTATTACTCAAGCAGCACTCTTGGTGAAGACCCTTTCTGTATATTAGAGAGAAAGCAACATCATGAGAAAAGAACTCCTTAAACTTCCTAGGAGCAAATCTCCAAACCAACCTGTATCTAACATCCAAACTTTCCTTCCTACACCTACTGCTACTGCGGTTCGCAGAACCATGTTTCTGGCCGGGCACGATGGCTCACACCTGTAATCCCAGCACTTTGGGAGACTGAGGCAGGCGATCACCTGAGGTCAGGAGTTCAAGACCAGCCTGGCCAACATGGTGAAACCCCGTCTCTACTAAAAATACAAAAATTAGCCAGGCATGGTGGCAGGCACCTGTAATCCCAGCTACTCGGGAGGCTGAGGCAGGAGAATCACTTGAACCCGGAAGGTGGAGGTTGCAGTGAGCCGAGATCATGCCACTGTACTACAGCCTGGGTGACAGACCAAGACTCCGTCTCAAAAAAAAAAAAAAAAAAAAAAAAAGAAACAATGTTTCTGAGACATGTGATTCTAGAGAAACCATGTTTCTCTAGAAATAGGATAAAAATGAAAATTCTCAGGTCCCAACCCAGACCTACTGAATCAAACTCTGAGGAAGGGGCCCAGCACTCTATAGCAAGTCTTCCAGATTGACTAAGACTTACAAAAATGTTAAGACCTACCGACTTATTATAAGCAGATATATTCTAAGCAGTGATTCTCAACTCTTGCTGTATACAAATCTGGGGGCAGGGGGGAAACTGGGCATCAACTCTTTTTTAAAAAAAAAAATTCTTCAGGTGATTCTAACTGAAAGTAGTTTGAGAATCACTGCAATACAGAAAGTTTATCTTTCTTCTCATTCCATTTAAGGTCAATCTTTCCTCTAGTGCTCTTCATCCTATCCCCACTTCCCTTCTTATCTAAACTCTTGTCTAGGAAATCTCATTAGCTCCTTTGGCTTCAACTACTAACTGATTACCTTCAGCTCAGTACTCCTGAGGAATATATCCCCACACTGCCTGTTTACATTTCTTTGTTTTGAATGAAGTTTCACTTTTAACTAGAACAGAGGCATCTATTTCATGGCAAAACTTTAAGAAGCAAGCCTACTAAACATTCTGTCCAGCATAAGAGAAAAATAATGGTTAAAAAATCAAATTGGGCCGGGCACGGTGGCTTTGGCCTGTAATCCCAGCACTTTGGGGGGCTGAGGCAGGTGGATCGTGAGGTCAGGAGATCGAGACCATCCTGGCTAACACGGTGAAACCCGTCTCTACTAAAAATACAAAAAATTAGCCAGGCATGGTGGCAGGTGCCTGTAGTCCCAGCTACTCGGGAGGCTGAGGCAGGAGAATGGCTTCAACCTGGAAGGCGGAGCTTGCGGTGAGCAGAGATCATGCCACTGCACTCCAGCCTGGGCGACAGAGCAAGACTCTGTCTCAAAAAAAAGGAAAAAGAAAAAGAAAAAAAAAATTAAATTGATGGTCAGTGAAGAAAATAATCAACACTTGACAAAATGTAAATATGTTATAAGAACTCAACAAATCAAAGCAGCCCAAAGAGTAAAGCTTTGAACAGACAATTCACTAGAGAAATGTTAGTAAGCAAGCGTATTAAAATGTCCAACGTTACAACTAAACAAAAATCAAAATAAAATGTCAAGTTCAGCTTCTCCATATTCTTATGAAGGAACACAAAGTAGTAATACACAATTTAACCACAGGGTTATAGAACATCCGATTTAACTCTAGCCATCGCAGAACACTCAAGCTTAAAAGAATCATAAAATGAACCTTAACTTCCCTACTTAAAATCAAGACAATACCAATCCTTCTCAATAACACATTAAACCAAGTTTGATTTATCCCTAGAATGCAAGATTGGTTTAATATATGCAAATCAATGTGATATACCACAGTTTAACAGAATGAAAAGTAAAAACCAAATGATCATCTCAATAAATGCAGAAAACCACGTGACAAAGTTTAACATCCTTTCATGATAAAAACTCTCAACAAAACAGGTACAGAGGAAAATTCCTCAACATAATAAAGGTCATTTACAAAAATCCCACAGCTAACATCAAAATCAATGGGAAAAACCTGAAGGCTTTTTCCTGAAATCTAGTACACAGCTAGAATGTCCACTTTTACCATTTCTATTCAACACAGTGCTGGAAGGACTAGCAACAACAATCAGACCAAAAAAAGGAATAAAAGGTATCACAAATCAGAAGGGAAGTAAAACTATCCCTGTTTGCAGATGACATGATCTTTTAAGTAGAAAACTCTAAAATTTCACAAAAACTGTTGAAACTAATAAATGAACTCAGTAAAGCAACAGGATACAAAATCAACATACAAAAAATCAGTTGCATTTCTTTTCACAAATAACAACCTAGATGAAAAGGAAATCAAGAAAACAATCCCATTTACTAGAGCATCAAAAAGAATAAAGTTCTTAGGAGTAATCTAACCAAGGGAGCAAAATACCCATACACTGAAAACTATAAAATATTGATACAAGAAATCGAAATAAATAGAAAGATAGCCCACATTCACAGATTGGAAGAATTAATATTGTTAACAAGCCAGCAAAGAAAGACCTGAGAGGATCAGAGGGGAACAGTGCCTGAAGTTCATAAAGGGCTGGGAATAGTACCTGTTTCACAACCAAGACTAAAAAGATGACATGACATGCTTCACCAGGCATTAGGTAGAGATTTTTTTTTTGAGACAGAGTCTAACTCTGTTGCCCAGGCTACTTAAGTACAGTAATGCAATCTCAGCTCACTGAAACCTCTGCCTCTTGGGTTCAAGTGATCCTCCTGCTTCTGCCTCCCAAGTAGTTGGGACTACGGGCGTCTGCCACCATGCCCGGCTAATTTTTGTATTTTTAGTAAAGAAGGGGTTTCACCATGTTGGTCAGGGTGGTCTTGAACTCCTGATCTCAGGTGATCCACCGTCCTCGGCCTCCCAAAGTGCTGCGATTACAGACGTGAGCCACTGCACCCAACCCAGGTAGAGTACTGAGCAAAGCCTTGCCTCCAGCAGTGGGTGAAAATTACCCTAATGTAAATACTGCTCTGATCTTGTCTAACAAATCTTTTCTTCTTTTTATGTTAAATAAATGAGATGGAGTCTCACTATGTTGCCCAAGCTGGTCTCAAGTGATCCTCCCACCTCGGTTCTTCCCAGTAGGTGGGATTACAGGCATGTGTCACCACATCTGGCTTGTCTAACAGACCTTAAAGCTACACTTGAAAAGATCAAACAGTTTCCCAGTAACTTAACTGAATCCCAGAATCAAGGGGGGTGGGGAGGGGAATCAAGCAAGTGAAACCAACCTAGTCTTGACTATTGATGTTAGAATTAGTGGACAAAAATGTTAGAAGTTATTTTTCTTATGTCACCTTGTCTAAGAAAAAGCTACTTTATAACTGTATTCTATATGTTCAACAAGCTAAAGATTGAATACAAATAGAGACACAAAAGACATGAAAACATCAAAACATAGAGAAAAAAATACACCAATTGGTATTACTAGCATTTTAGACACACTGCCAAAGGAAACAATACTGCAGGCTGCAACCCTTTATGAAAAAGAAAACTCCCCTTTCCAATTAAAACACACACACACACACACACACACACACACAAAGAAAAAAAATAGTGAATCTGAAGCCATCAATAGAAGCTATCCAATGGGAAAGATAAAGTGGAAAAAGCTTAAAAAAAAAAAAAAGACCTTAAGTGAACCTTAAGACAACTTCAAACAGCCTAATCTATGTGTAATTGGTGTTACACATAGAGGGGCTTGAGAAAGTGAAAAAACAATGGCCAAAATGGTACAAATTTGATGAAAACTGCAAACCCAGATCCAAAAGACTCAACAAAGCCCAAGTCTAAGAAACGTGAAGAACCCACACCAAAGCCCATCATAATCAAAGTATTTAAAACCAATGATAAAGAGAAAATCTTAAAAGTAACAAGAGAAAATGTTGCTTTACATACAGAGAAACAGAATAACAGCAGAATCCTCATGGGAAATGCTGCAAGCAGTAGAGCTACATGCTTAAAGTACTGAAAGAAAAAATAAAAACAGAATTCTACATGCAGCAAAACATCTTCCAAAAATAAAGGCAAAATTGGCTGGGCACGGTGGCTCATGCCTGTATTCCCAGCACTTTGGGAGGCTAAGGTGGACAGATCACTTAAAGTCAGGAGTTCGAGACCAGTCTAGCCAAAATGGTGAAACCCTGGCTCTACTTTTCACCACTGTGTCATCATAGTGTGTACTTACAAATGTAGATGGCATAGCCTACTGAACACCAAGGCTATATGGTATAGTCTATTGCTCCTAGGCTTCAAACCTGCACAGCATGTTACTGTACTGAATACTGTACACAACGGTAACAAAAGCTGAAATATTTGTATATCGAAACATGTCTAAACATAGAAAGCGTACAGTAAAAATATGGTATTATAATCTTATGAGGCCACTGTCATATATGCGGCCCACTGTTGACTGAAACATCGTTATGCAGTGCATGATGTGGATGCAGAAAAACTATCTGACAAAAATCAACCCATTCCTGATTTGAAAAACAGAAACAAAACAAAAACCTCAATAAATAGGAATAGAAGGGAACAGTCAAAAGTTTGTATGCTTGCCCTTCTGTTCCCTTCAATGAAGAGAAATGAGGTAAGGATATCCACTCTCTCTTAACACTTCTTTCTGTTCAACACTATACTAAAAGTTCCACCCAGCAAAATAAGAAAGAAACAACAAAAAAAAATTCAAATTGGAAGGGATAAAGTAAAATTGTCTGTAATAGTTAGCATTATATGATCACATATGTAGAAAATCTGATATCTTAAAAAACCTACTAGATGGGAGTTTACAAGAGCATATAAGATCAATACACAAAATTCAATTGTATTTCTATACAGCACTAAACAATCAGAAACAGAAATTACATATAGTGCCATTTGTAATAGCAATAAAAAATGAAATACAGCCGGACACGGTGGCTCATGCCTGTAATCCCAGCACTTTGGGAGGCCGAGGCAGGTGGATCACCTAAGGTTGGGAGTTCGAAACTAGCCTGACCAACATGGAGAAACTCTGTCTCTACTAAAAATACAAAAATTAGCCGGGTGTGGTGGCACATGCCTGTAATCCCAGCTACTCGGGAGGCTGAGGCAGGAGAATCACTTGAACCCAGGAGGCGGAGTTTGCCATGAGCAGAGATCGTGCCATTGCACTCCAGCCTGGGCAACAAGAGTGAAACTCTGCCTCAAAAAAAAAAAAAAAAAATTGAAATACTTAGGGATACATCTGACAAAAGATACGTAAGACCTACACATTGAACACTACAAAACGTTATTTAAAAAGCTACACAAACATGGCATAAGAACTTATGCCATGTTCATGGATCACAAGACCCAATATTAAGATGTCAATTATTTTCAAGTTTATCTACAGATTCAAAGCAATCCCCAACAAAACCTCAGAAGAAATTTATTGGAGGACAAAAGTTGTCAAGCTGATTCTAAAATTTATAAAGAAATGGACTGGCTCTAGAACAGCACCACCCACCCCCTACCCTCCACCCCGCCAGCTTTGAAAAGAATGAAATTGGAAGGTGAATACTACTTGCTTTCAAGACTTAAGGCACAGCAATGAAGACAGTGTGGTACTGGTGTAAAAATAAGACAAATAGTTCAGTGGAGCAGAATAGAGTCTAGAAATATAAATACACATAAGCATTTGATTTTTGACAAATGCAAAGAAATTCAGTGGATAAAGGACAGTCTTCCCAAAAATGATACTGGAGCAATTATGTGTACATAATATTAAAAACTTAACACTGATTCATACCTTACACCATATATGAAACTCAACTCAAAAATGAACCATAGACAAAATGTAAAACCTGAAACTGTAAAACTTCCAGAGAAAACATAGAAAATCTTTGTGACACTGGGTTTAGATAAGGACTTCTTAGATATAACACCAAAAGCACAATCTATAAAAAATGAAATTTATAAACTGGACTTTTGCTTTTTGAAAGATAATGTTGAGAACTAAAGGACAAACTAGAGTCTGGAAAAAAAATTGTCAAATCATAGATCTGAGAAAGAACTTTTATCAAGAATACATACAAAACTCTCATAACAACCAACCCAGTTTTTAAAAATCGGCAGGAGATTTGAAGAGACACTTCACCAGACATATACAAATGGTAAGTAAGCATATGAAGATACTCAGTGATATGGTTTGGCTCTGTCCCCAACCAAATTTCATCTTGAATTGTACCTCCCTCAATTCCCACATGTCATGGGAGGGACTCGGTGGAAGGTAACTGAATCATGGGGACGGGTTTTTCCTGTGCTGTTCTTGTGATAGTGAATAATTCTAAAGAGATCTGATGGTTTTATAAAGGGAAGTTTCCCTGTACAAGTTCTCTCTCTTTGTCTGCTGCCATGTAAGACGCAGCTTTGCTCCTCTTTGCCTTCTGCCATGATTGTGAGGCCTCCCCAGCCATGTGGAACTGTGAGTCAATTAAACCTCTTTACTTTATAAATTGCCCAGTCTTGGGTATGTCTTTAGCCATGTGAGAACAAACTAATACACTCAGCATCATTTGTATTTGGGAAATGCAAATTTAAACCGAAATAAAATACCTCCACACATCCAATACAATTGCTAAAATTATAGAATGATTATATCAGGTTTTGGCAAGAATATTAAAGAACCGGAAATGAAAATAGCACCATCACTTTGAAAAACAATTTGGCAGTTTCTTTTTTTTTTTTTGAGATGGAGTCTCACTCTGTTGCTCAAGCTGGAGTGCAGTGGCGCGATCCTGGCTCACAGCAACCTCCGCCTCCCGGGTTCAAGTGATTCTCCTGCCTCAGCCTCCCAAGTAGCTGGGACTACAGGCACGTGCCACCACGCCCAGCTAATTTTTGTACTTTTAGTAAAGATGGGGTTTTGTCATGTTGGCTAGGCTAGTCTCGAACTCCTGACCTCAGATGATCCACCTGCCTCATCCTCCTAAAGTGCTGAGATTACAGGTGTGAGCCACCACACCCGGCCTACAAACACATTTATATGAACATTCACTGAGCACTCTATCATTATCAATAAGCCTCCTTCTACCACCAAAGGTGTTTATGGTAATGCCTCTAGTTTTTGTGCACCTGCATGGGAACCTAACCCACACCTGTAACACTGTTTCCAAGGGATAAAGTATTTACTTCTCTCTTATATGCCTTTGCCATTGGACATTAAAACCTTAGATAACAAAACCAAAGTCGGCTTGGCGCGGTGGCTCATGCTGTAATCCCAGCACTTTGGGAGGCCAAGGCAGGCGAATCATTTGAGGTCAGGAGTTTGAGACCAGTTCTGCCAACATGGTGAAACCTCATCTCTACTAAAAGTATAAAAACTAGCCGGGTGTGTGGTGCATGCCTGTAATCCCAGGTAGTCAGGAGGCTGAGGCAGAAGAATCGCTTGAACCCAGGAAGTGGAGGTTGCAGTGAGCCAAGATCGAGCCTTTGCACTCCAGCCTGTGTACGGAGCAAAACTCCATCTCAATAACAACAATCAACGTCCTTTTAAGGCCTACTAGAGTAGTTGGTATGTTCTCTAAAATATAATTTAGCAAAACAATTCTCTACAGGTTACACAGAAACAAGCCTTTTTTGGTGTTTCAGATATTAGGATATGTTATGAAAATACAGATGATGCCCCTGCCTTCATGGAACTTTTAACAAAACAATAAACAAGTAAATAAAAATGTAGAAATGAAAAACTCAACTGGGTAAAAAGGGGCAGCAAAGAGGTAAAGGGGACTTTGGATAGGATAGCAAAGGTCCAGAAGACCTCTCTGAAAAGGGGACAGGAGTTAAGGAAAACCAATCAGTGGTTTTCAACTTAGGCTGCACAGTTATCCAAAGTTTTAAAAAAAAATTGTATGTCAAGGCCCCATGCCAGGCAATTAAATCAGAATTTCTTGGGCCAGGCCTGGCAATAGTATTTTTTGAAAAGTTCCCCAAGTGTCTCTAAACTGTACCCACAGTTGAGAACCACTGAAAAGCAAACCAATTTCAATCTAAGAACGTTCAAGTGTAAAAGTCATGTCTCAGGGAGACAGGCAGGAGATGAAATCAGAGTAGGCAAAAGTCACATTTTGCAGAGCCTTGGATTAGAAGTGTTATCCTTGAGTTTATTCTAAATGCCACAAAAAAAGCTGGGTGTGGTGGTGTATACCTGGAGTCCCAGCTACTGAGAAGGCAGGGGTGGGATGATTATTTGAGTCCAAGCCCAGCCTGGGCAATACCAGCAAGACCCCCATCTCTCATTTGCAATAAAAAAACAAAAAAGGTTTTAATGGCAAGAAAAGCCACTGGAGGAAAAAGCTAGTAAAAAAATCTCAATTGCTGAGTAGGCACAGATGCACTCAGCATAACCACATTTAAGTAACAAAATGGTACAATTTACATAATTAGTAATCCCAAAACCCTTGAAACAGCATGCTCAGTAGCATTTGCCTTCAGCTTGCCAGCTCTGATTTCAAAACCCATCCACACAGTTATAGAGGATATCAAAATAAGTATACCCTCTACCTATATCAATTTTAATTTTGAAAAGCTTTTTTATTACTTTTACAATGTTAGTACTTTTTATATTACTGTCCTACTAGCCATGTATCTAAAAATCTCAATCATTAAGGGCAGAGGATCAGCCTGTAAAAACAAAACCTTCTGAATAACACACCTTTCTTTCTCTGTTTAAGGAAGAGAAAATCATTATTTTAAGTTCAAGGTTCTATGACTGACTGAGCAATGCTGGTAAGAAACTAGCATTTTTCATTGTAATTAGATGTATCAAAACAGGTACACCTCAGCTGGGAGTGGTGGCTCACATCTGTAATGCCAGCACTTTGGGAGGCCAAAGCATGCAGATCACTTGAGCTCAGGAGTTTGAGACCAGCCTGGGCAACATGACAAAACTCTGTTTCTACAAAAAATACAAAAATTAACAGGGCATTGTGGCGGGCACCTGCAGTCCCAGCTACTCAGGAGGCTGAGGCACGGAGGACTGCTTTGAGTCCAGGAGGTCAAAGCTGTAGTGAACCCTGTTCACACAGTAGCTCATGAGTAGTAACCCCAGCACCTTGGGAGGCCAAGTCAGGAGGATCACTTGAGCCCAGGAGTTCAAGACCAGACTGAACCGGTAGTGAGACCCTGTCTCTACAAAAATAAATAAACTAGCTGGGTATGGTGGCACACGCCTGCAGTCCCAGCTACTCAGGAGGCTGAGGTGGGAGGACTGCTGGAGCACAGGAAGTCGAGGCTGCAGTGAGCCATGATGGCGCCACTGCACTCTACCCTAGGCCAAGAGAGTAAGACCCTGTCTCAAAAAACAAAACAAAACAAGACATGTGCATCTGCATTTTCCATATTTTGTACAGCAAATATTACCTTGTAACAGTTTTGTTTTTGGGGGGAGGAAAAAAAGAAATGAAAGAAGAAGTTTAGGAGGAAAAAAAGGAAGCCAGGGATTTTAAAGCAGATTGTTTCCAAAAGGTCTAAAAGAAATTTGGAAGGCAGCAGTTTAATATATACATTAACCTTTTAAAATCAAAGAATGACACTGAACAGTGATAACAAAAGGACGTTTTTCATGAAAGGATAGCTATCCTAGATTGAAACTCTCTGGAGACAACCTGGGCAACATAGTGAGACTGTCTCTAACAAAACAACTAAAAAGTAGCCAGGCATGGTGGCGTGTACCGGTAGTTCAAGCTACTTAAGAGGCTGAGGCAGGAGGACAGCCTCAGCAGAAGTTCAGGGCTGCAGTGAGCTATGATTGCACCAGTCCACTCAAGCCTGGGTGACACAGCAAGATTGTCTCTAAAAATGAAAAAAATTACAATTAAAAAGAAGAGAAAATCTGGAAGAAAAAAGTCTAAGTGGTTTCCACATTTGTTAAAGAGATTAGCTATGGTCTCTCAAATTCCTTTGGTACTCAAAACTATAAGATTCTAGTTTTAATACTGAAAACCTTATTTTAAGCAATACTGAAAATTTAGTATATTTGGAAAAATAACCCCCATACTTCGGCAAATTGCAATTTGCTAAATTCAACTGAATGACATAACTTTCTTTCTGGCCACAATGGGTTTCTAAATATCCAAGCTCTGTTTACCGTTCTTTCCTCATTATTCTCATGATGAGAGTTCAGTTCCCCTGGAAAATACAGTGTCCCCCAGATTTAAATAGTTAACATTAAAAATGAACGACAACAATTTCCAGAGAAGTATACTCTACAAGTGTTTTACAGAACATTTGTAAATCAGGAAATAATGTGTATTAACTAATTGATAATAGTCAAGTATCACATATAAATATAAAAGTTAAATAGCATCTGTGTAAACCATTTTCTTTGGTTTCCATGACTATGACAGCTTTCAGCCTCGTTACTTTTTTTCTGTCTCTTCTTGCCATTGCTCCCTTTTCTGTTTCGTCTTTTTTTGAGTCCCACTTTGTCGCCCAGGCTGGAGTGCAGTGGCACGATCTTGGCTCACTGAAATTTCTGCCTCCCAGGTTCAAGCGATTCTCCTGCCTCAGCCTCCAGAGTAGCTGGGATTACAGGTGTCTGCCACCATGCCCGGCTAATTTTTGTATTTTTAGTAGAGACAGGGTTTCACCATGTTGGCCAGGCTGGTCTCGAACTCCCGACCTCAAGTGATCCACCTGCCTCGGCCTCCTGAGTAGTAATCCCAAAGTGCTGAGATTACAGGCGTGAGCCACCGTGCCCGGCCCATCTCTCCCTTTTCTATTAATAAGTGCTTTCTCCTTTGGCCATCTCATCTGCTGTTCACTGCTTCAAATATTATCAGTAAGGACAATTCCAAAACTTTCCTTCAAGCTACAATCTTTAGATACACAGTTTTAATGATCTACAAAACATCACTTACATTTCCTGTTGGAACTTCAAACTCAAAATGATTAGTTCCCCTATTCACTCGTACAAATATTTACCCAGTGTCTACCATATACCAGGCACTGCTAGGAACAGATGAACAAGAGACGTGCTTTCCTCATCCACTGAGTGGAGGCAGAATTTAGAAATTTGAGGAGGCTGGAAAAGGTTTGAAAAGCAAATGGGAGAATGTGAAAGACAGCCAAGACATTGGGAAGAAGCACTGAAAGCTTAGTAGGGCTGAGTGTCATGGCTCAAGCCTATAATCCCAGCACTTTGGGAAGCCAAGGAGGGAGGAATGCTTGAGCCCAGGAGCTCCAGATCAGCCTGTGCAACTTAGTGAGAGATCTTGGTCTCTAAACAAAATGAACAATTGGCCAGGTATGGTAGAGTATGTTTATAGTCCCCGTCCCAGCTACTCAGGAGGCTGAGGTGGAAGGGCCATTTGAACCCAGGAGTTCCAGGCTGCAGTGAGCGATGATCGCAACTGCTGGGCAACAAAGCAAGACCCAGTCTCCCCTCCAAAAACAAAAAAAAGAAAGCCCAGTAGAAGCTGGAGAGCAAGGGTATACAGAATTTCCAAGTTTGTGCAGTTACGATTCTCTTCAATGTCCAGTAGGACATCCAGGGAGTTGGGAGTGGTAGGAAGCACAAAAGCAGATGGACTGAATCAGAGATTAGAGTTGCACCAGTAATCAGTAAACTAGTAAAGAAAAGCAAGGTGGATGAAGATACTGCCAGAATTTCTGGAGTAATGTTTTACTGAAGTCTAATCCAGACAGTGAAAGAAAATGGTTTGAATGCCTATGTTTCTTCCAAATTTCATGCTGAAACTTAACCCCCAATGCAACACTTTTAAGAGGTGGGGTCTTTAGGAGGTGATTGGGCCATGTGGGCTCTGCCCTCACAGATGTGATGTGTGCCTTATGAAAGGGCTGGAGGGAACTAGCTATGCACTTCTGTCATCTGAGGACATGAACAAGGTGCCATCTTGGAGGCGGAGATCCTGCCTGTCGATAACTTGATCTTGGACTTTCCAGCCTTCAGTACCAACAGAAATTAATTTCTGTTATTTATAAGTTACCCAGTCTCAGGCATTTTGTTACAGCAGCATGAATGGACTAAGAGAGGAAGTCAGAAGAGAATGAGGAGGAGAGCAGAAAGGACTGGTGATTTCAGTTAAGGTTGACTAAAAGCTCTAGCAATAAAATAGTAATTATTGGCAGGGCATAGTGGCTCATGCCTGTAATTCCAGGAATTTCGGAAGCCGAGGCGGAAGGATGGCTTGAGCTCAGGAGTTCAAGACCAGCCTGGGCAACACAGCAAGACTTTGTCTTTTCTTAAAAAAAAAAAAAAAAAAAAAAAATTAGCTGGGTATGGTGGCTCATGCCTGTAGTCCCAGCTACTTGGCAGGCCAAGATGGGAGGCTCACTGGAGCCTAGGAGGTTGAGGCTACAGTGAGCCATGATTGTGCCACTGCACTCCAGCCTGGGGGACAAAAGGAGACCTTGTATCCCCCCACTGCCCCACCAAAATCTGAGCTCCAAAGATATAGTATAACGTAAAAATACCCGATTAGGGCCACGCGCAGTGGCTTACACCTGTAATACCAGCACTTTGAAAGGCGAAGGTGGGAGGACCACTTGAGCCCAGGAGTTCAAGACCAATCTGGGTAACATGGTGAGACCTCATCTCTACAAAAAATAAAATTTAGCCAGGCCTGGTGGCACATGCCTGTCTCCCAGATGCTCAGGAGACTGAGACAGAAGGATCGCTTGAGCCTAGGAGGTTGAGGCTACAGTGAGCCATGACTGTGCCACTGTATTACAGCCTCGGCAATAGACAGAGTAAGACCCTGTCTCAAAATAAATAAATAAAAATAAAAATAAAAACCAGATTAGGACTAAGAAGGGCTTAAAGCCTAAATCACTGAAAATTACCAATGAAGAAGCAATCTTAGAGAAGTAAAGTAATTTGCTCAAAACACACAGAGCTGGAAAGTGGTAGAGTCAAGATTAAATCCAGGCTGACTTCAAAGCCAGTGCCCAACATAATCTCATTATTTAAAAAATCAGGATTGAACTTTCATTTTGAGAAATTAACAAACTGAAATATAAAACAATAAATGTCACTTAAGAGACCCTAAATGATTCATGTTTTCATTATCAAACATACTGCATTACAATATAGAATAAGATATCAAAGATAAAACACAATAGCAACAAAACATAGCAACATCTCTATTAACAAATGTATTGGTGGGGCATGGTGGCTCATGCTTGTAATCCCAGCACTCTGGGAGGCAGAGGTGGGAGGATAGCTTGAGCAATGGAGTTTGAGACCAGCCTGAGCAACATGGAGAGACCTTGTCTCTACCAAAAAAATAGCCAGGTGTGGTGGCACATGCGTGTGGTCCCAACCAGGAGATTGAAGCAGGAGGATCGCTTGAGCCTGGGAGGTTGAGGCTACAGTGAGCCAATGATTGCACCACTGCACTCTAGCCTGGGTAACAGAGTGAGACCTTGTCAAAACAAAACACACACACACACACACACACACACACACACACACACGCCCCAAATGTATCGATTTGCTGCTAGAAATGTCATTTTGTAATACAAGTAAGGAATAAGAGCTTGTGAAATAAATTTAAAGTTTCTGGTGATGACAGGGTTTAGACAGCAGCCATTAAAAACCAAGCACAGAGTGCATGTGTGTGCCTATGTGCATACTATACAGAAAATAATAAAGTAAATATGGTAAAATATTAACAAGTGGGGAATCTGAATGAAGGAATATGGTAATTCTTTGTATTATTTTTGTAACTTGTAAAAAACAAGAATCAGGCCAGGCGCAGTGGCTCACATCTGTAATCCTAGCACTCTGGGAGGCCAAGGCAGGTGGATCACTTGAGGTCAGGACTTCCAGACCAGCCTGGCCAACATGGCAAAATACCATCTCTACTAAAAATACAAAAATTAGCTGGGTGTGGTGGCGTGCACCTGTAGTCTCAGCTACTAGGGAGGCTGAGGCAAGAGAATCGCTTGCACCCGGGAGGCAGAGGCTGTAGTGAGCCAAGATAGCACCACTGTACTCCAGCCAGGGCAACAGGGGGAGACCCTGCAAAAAAAAAAAAAAAAAAAAAAAAGGCACAAAAATCAAAGCTCTAAAAATCGTAAAGGGGGCAGGGGTGCTGATGGACTGATGGGTGCCCCCCTGACATTCATATGTTGAATCCCTAAATCCCCTGGGCTGATATTTGGAGATGGGGCCTTGGTGAGGTAATTAGATTTAGATGAGGTTGTACGGGCCATGAGGGGATTAGTGTCCTTATAAAAAGAGATACCAGAGCTTGCTCTCTTCTCCATTAGAGAATACAGTCAGAAGGTGGCTGTGTGCAAGCTAGGAAGAGCCCTCACCAGAACTACTATGCTGGCACCCTGATCTCAGACTTCCAGCCTCCAAAACTGTCAGAAATAAATTTCTGTTTTTTAAGCCATCCAGTCTATACTATTTTGTTATGGCAGCCTGAACTATGATGAGGGGAGACTGATGCATTAACTTCAAAAACCAGAATTTTATCACTCAAATTTTAACTAAATTGCCCATTTAAAATAAAAAAGCCCAAATATTCACCACACTCCTAGTTCCAAGTGAATCAGCATCCACAAAATATAAACCTTAAAAAAATTTAGTCACTTCCTTCCCTCAATCCACTTGATTTTTTAAGACTACTGAAAGTACTAGTCATTTACATACTTCTCCTTAAATAAACTTAATACAAATGAGAATCACACAATGTTTGAAGTAGAAAATCATTTTATATTTAAAAGAATGTGGTCAATATGAAATAATTTGGCCTGGATATGTTGGACCCTGTCCTTTTCCATGTCAATAACTTGAATAAAGACTTGGAAAGTAAACATGGCATATGAAATAATATATACATCTGAAGGAGTACCAATGTATTCCATGACCAAGATTTTTAAAGGTCTTAGAATGCTAGGCAGAATTAAACAATTAGTTATACAGTCATATTAACAGTTCAGAAACTGGATTTCATAAATGCAGAATACAGACCCAGACTGTCATGTGAAAAAGGTTCTAGCTGTGACAGCTAGTAGTGTGACAATACTGCTTTATAAAATTTTAATAGAAATCTAATGCACAGATTTGGAGTCATAACAGTTCCACTGAATTTTATGTTTGTCACAGTATGTTTAGAGTATTATGCTCAACTCCAGGCTTCATGAAGACAAACATTAACAAACGACTGAATGCAAAGGAAAAACTGTTCAGTTTATCCATAAGTGAGTAAGTTACATTAAACTAAAACTTATAGCATTACTTTAACAATTTGCCAAATAACCCAAAGAGCTGTGAAATGACGTGTAATTTTGCTAAAGCACAAAATGTAACTAACATGCCATGAGGTATGCATCTAGAAAATAAGCTTGGATATCCCTCACCACTCCTAATGCTGAGACCCCAGGCCCAGAGCTTTGTTTTCTTTTAGGGGATACAATAACTCTTACAAAGAGAAATCTGTTTCTTTCTTGAGGGAGGGGGGCAGGGTGGGGAAGAGCAGTGAAGAGGAGGCCAAATCCTAGTGTAGATCACGGAAGGCGAAAGTGAAGAGGTTTGAATGCTAAATACGGAAATTTGTAAGATCTTAGGACATATGCTTTGTGAATGTTAAGGGGTGACTGTAGTAACCTACTAATCATCAGATGGATCCAAGCAAAAGCAAGGTAAGCCTGTCAGAAATATTATAAAGATAATTCTTGCTTTGAGTAAGAAGTTGAATTGGCCACTTACAAGGTCTCTTCCATTTCTAGTAGTTAAAATGAACTAGTAATTCTAAGGTCAAATATTTTAAGAGTACATTTGCCACTATAATAGTAAAGCTAAGAATACCACCATATGTTGAATTCTTTTACTACAAATAGCAGTTCGGCAAAAACATCCAAAATGGTCATTTTTTAAAAAACAAAGTGTAATATAAATAAATCTGCTGGAGTTCTAATCAGGATAGTGGAAGGGCTCAGGCTGTTCCTGGAAACTGAAACATGTGAATTAAGTTTCCGGAGTAGGATAAAGCCTTAACAATCAGAACAGAAATGTAGCTATCAAATTTTCTGTACTAAAAACTGCTGTCCTTAAAAAGTACAGCTGTTCTGTCTACCGATTACTTAATGAGGTGATTGCCAGGGCATTCTTTTTAACAACTTATGTATTTTAAAATTGTTAAAATTACACAACTGTTTCTCTTAAAACTGTTTTTGTTTAAATTCTAGCTCTAATATTTAGTAGCTAGGTGACCACAGGCAAATTACTTAATCTCAAATTTTTTACTTCCTCACCTGGGTGGGCTATAATATCTACTCCAATACTATTATAAGATTTAATTAACAAAGTGTGTATAAAGCTCTTAGAATAGTGTAAAGCCTGTAACAAAAACTTATTAAGTGGTAATCAATATTTGCAAAACTAATATATTAAAAAGAAAAACCCAAGCATAGATAATTTCTTCTCTTTTTTTTTGAGACAGAGTCTTGCTCTGTTGCCCAGGCTAGAGTGCAGTGGTAGGATCTCCGCCTCCCAGGCTCAAGCAATTCTCCAGCCTCAGCCTCCTGAGTAGCTGGGGTTACAGGCGCCTGCCACCACAACTGACTAATTTTTGTATTTTTAGTAGAGATGGGGTTTCACCATGTTGGCCAGGCTGGTGTCAAATTCCTGACCTCAAGTAATCCACCCACCTTGGCCTCCCAAAGTGCTGGGATTACAGGGTGAGCCATCGCTTCAGGCCCAAAGCATAGATAATTTCTTAGTCAACCTTTATTTATTATTTTCCTTTTCAACAGTTTTACTCTGTCACCCATGCTGGAGTGCAGCAGTGCCATCACTTTGCAACCCTGAACTTGAGCTCAAGTGATCCTCCTACCTCACCCTTCTGAGGAGCTAGGACTACAAGTACATGCCACCCCATCCAGTTAATTGAACTTTGTTTTTTGCAAGGCCAAAGTATGTTGAATGTTATGAGAGTGAAAGAGAAGTACTTGCTCCAAGATGCTCATCTAGCATTATGAATTATGGTTAATCTTTTGGAGGACCAAAGGGTTGCCTTTAAAAGTCAGAATATTAATTTTAAATTTATTAAGTGTAGAGAATTGGTTAACATCCCTCCGTATCATTGGCCCTCTTCTTCTACCACTGAAATATCCAGTCTTAAGACATGTAAACCTATTTCCTTCCTTCTCTTCTTTTATTATTTTATTTTATTTTATTTAAATTCCCCGGCCAGGCGCAGTGGCTCACGCCTTGTAATCCCAGCACTTTGGGAGGGCGAGGCAGGTGGATCATTTGAGGTCAGTTCAGGACCAGCCTGGCCAACACGGTGAAACCCCATCTCTACTAAAAATACAAAGATTAGCCAGGTGTGCTGGTACACACCTGTAATCCCAGCTACTCGGGCTGCTGAGGCAGAAGAATTGCTTGAACCTGGGAGGCAGAGGTTGCAGTGAGCCAAGATCGCACCACTGCCTCCAGCCTGGGCGACAGAGAGAGACTCTGTCTCTAAATAAATAAATAAATAAATAAATAAATAAAATTAAAAAAATTCCCCTACCCTCTTGCTTTTAATAAGAAACAGGGTCACCTTAATGTTGTCCAGGCCGGAGTGCAATGGCTATCCCACTACTGATCAGCATGGGAGTTTTAACCTGCTCTGTTGCCAACCTGGACCAGTTCACCCCTCCTCAGGCAACCTGTTAGTCCCCCACTCCCAGGACACCCTATTGATGCTGAATTTAGTGCAGACACTCAGTCCATATGTAGAACACAGTGCGCTACCCTCCACAACTCCTGGGCTCAAGAGATCCTTCCACCTCAGCCTTCCAAGTAGCTAAGACCACAGGCACATGCCACAACACCCAACTCCTTCTTTTTCTTTCTCCTACTTTCATTCTTTCTATGTTCAAGTTTGTCATAAATATAACAGTATAATCAAAATATTTTTTCTTTCTAATCAGAAAACAAATCATTCAGCATGGGTAGGCCATTCTTGGCTTTTTCCATCCCTCTTTAATAGTTATTTCTTCAAGAGAATTTCCCTGTCTCCAAAATGCCAGAAGACTCTAGTTCTACAGTTGGGAGATGTTTTATCTTTCTACATTCTGTATCCTAGTTGTGGGGGCTACAAAAATCCATACGTACTAAAACTTAAAGAACTGTACACCACAAATCAAATTTCCAAATATAAACTTAAAATTCACCTGTCTAAAGCCTCCTTTGTTTTCAATGTCCTCTGTTTTCAAAATAAAATGCCACTGTTCCATTTTCCTAACCTTCAGAAGTAACTGTGTACCTTCCCTATTGTGCTTCTTCAATTAAGAGCTATAAAATTTATATAGCTTTAATTATAAAACCTAACATTAAAAAGTTACTTATATATAAAACTACCAGCCACATGACCAAAAATCTAAATTTTAATTTAAACCCCAAAATTACAAAGTTTTTGGGTAAGATTAAATTGTGTTAAGTATTGTTTTACTCTTATCACTCTTCTTTGAAATATGATAAACTATGATATTTAATATAGTTTCTTGATTAATAAAAATATTTAATAAGCTACAATACAGATCTTTAAAGTACACTGGATAAATGAGAATTCTGTACTTGCCCAACCACCTAACCCATCTCAGCAAAAAGTTCAAAGCTTTTTGTTCCTTAGTGACCATTTCTCCAATTTCCCAATTGTTTTTGATGTTGTTCTAAATGTATCCTTAATATGTCTCCTTAAGGAGTCTTTCAGAGCATCCATTGCTCTCCATAGGGCCTTTATGTAACTAGGAAAAATACATCCTTCTGGGGAAATACAGACACTTTTGGCAAGGAGCTGATGCCTTGGAGAGAGAAGTGGAGGCACAGTTCCCTCTGCGAGGCCTAAGCTGGGGCACAGGACTCTGTAAGCAGAACACAGGCTGACTTGTTGCTTCCTTCAGTCCAGCATCTTTGGGCAGTATACAAGCTGCATAACCATATATAGCAGCCCTGTACCTTCAGATTGTTCACTGGCAAACAGGGAAGAAAAAATGAATTATTAACTTATCTAGATACCCATTCTCCAACCACATACATGTATCCATCTCTTATCCTTCAGACTCAAGATTTATTCAGAAGGGATCTTCCAACCTTATAGGGAACGTATCTTCCCCTTTATCTTTAATTTTCCCTTTTCGTGGTTCTCTTTTCTGCTTTAAATATGGTCAAGACTCATGTCTTGATATTGTGTAATATCAAAGAATATTAAATTCAGAAGATATATAGAAATACATAAATGTACTCTTTGCAATAGTCCTCTGAGATAGGGGAAATGGATATTATCCTTGTATCACAAATCAATATATTTAAAACTTAAGCCAGGTTAACTTGCCCCAAAATTAACAGCTGGCACAAAGTGACAAAAAGGACTAAACCTAGGTTTTAAAACAATTAGTCTAGAGTCCACTTTGAGTATTCAATATATCTAAAAATCAAGAGATTTTCCCTCTTCCCCCTTTAACCTTCCACTTTTGTAACTTGACCTAGATTATTTTAAGGTCACCAAGGATATCACAGCCAAATCCAAAGACTACTTGTCACATATTTTTCTGAACTCTGCTACATTTAGCTCTAATAATCCTGTTTTTAGATTATCCTCTTCTGCCCTGATTTCTATAGTGACTTCCTTCTTATTTTGTCTTGTTCTTCCCTTGCCATAGACTGTCCTAGACATCCTATTACATTTCTCTATCTAAATAAACCTACTCCTTTGCGGTTTATCATGAAAGTGGTTGTCTCAAGTATGTAGTTAAGACTAATTCATATCTCTATTCCTGTAATGCTGCCATTTCCTATTTTATCAATCTATTCCATTCTAGGCTTTCGACCTTCATTAACTGTACCTGTGGCCTGATCCTATCCAGTATTCATTTCTTATAGCAGTAATGTCCCAAAGGGTGGAATACAAAGACTGGTAGTATACTGGATGATTTTAAGTGATCCACAGAAAATTATGTAAAATCATGTTTATTTTAAAACATGTTGGGGGGAAGCTAATGCCAAATAATCATAAAAATTTCCTTTTAAACGGCAGGATGCAGTGGCTCACGCCTGTAATCCCAGCACTTTGGGAGGCCAAGGTGGGCGGATCACGAGGTCAGGAGTTCGAGACCAGTCTGACAACATGGTGAAACCCCATCTCTACTAAAAATACAAAAATTAGCCAGGCGTGATGGCAGGCACCTGTAATCCCAGCTACTCAGGAAGCTGAGGTAGGAGAATCACTTGAACCCGGGAGGGAGAGGTTGCAGTGAGCCAAGATAGCGCCACTGCACTCCAGCCTGGGCAACGGAGTGAGACTCCATCTAAAAAAAGAAAAAAAAAATTCGTTTAAATTCATTTAATTAAAAGACAGCAAGTTGAATTGAAGAAAAATATTAAGTAACAGGCAGATGGTTTGGGACGAAGCAGAAATTGTGAATGATTTAAGTTTGGAAAATACTGGCCACTAGGAAACCCATGTAGTTGAGTTAGGCACTCAGGCTCTGGATCAATAATTCAAATGCCATTTCTACCACTTAAAAGCTAAGTAACTTTGAGCAAATTACTTAAATCTCTTCCTTTTAGGCTTTCTGCAATATGGATTTAAATAGATCATTCAAAAAATAGTCTTAGTTTAGTAACATGGCATAGTAAGTGCTCAAGAAATATTAATAATCACAATTATTCTTGATTTTTCTTAGACATCACAGCTTCACTTATAATCAACTAGGAACTCAATCTGTACTATCTGTAATTTTCTGTACCAAATTTCCCTTACCTTCTTATACACCTTTTTATCTTCTGGCATGAATCCAAAGACTACAAGATAACTTTTAACATTAATCCTTAAGGCTGTGAACACCTTGGGAGTGGACCAAATGCCATATTGCTCTGATTCACTGGGCCTTACAAAATTAAAAGAATCTTCAATCTTTGTTGAATAAGCTAAAAATTTTAAAAATCAGATGTAAATAAATCTCACAATGCATATTATTTAACACAAACTCTTCGAAGGTTACCTGTGATACTATTCTTAGAGGTAAAGGAAAAAAAACCTGACAGCATTTTCTTTTGCTCCAATAATATACTTATCAGTTAATCTTGTGGGTCTATTCTTTTGTGTTTCTCACCCTCATTCATTCAATAACATATAAACTCTAGGTATACGCCAACCACCATACAAGGTGATGAGGACATGGAAACAGTCTAGTAGAGGAAAACAAACTAGTATTAGAACACAGAAAACAGAAAAATTACCAGATAGTATGTAGTACATATTGCTATGTAGTATGCTACATACATAATACCCAATAGTTTTTTTAATACTAGACGTGCTCCTCAAATGATATTCCATCTTCCCTTAATGTTGAGCACATAGCAGCACCACACAGGGATGAGTATATCACACTGACTATAATTCACATAATAATTTCATTACAATCTTGTGTTCAGACTCTTAGTTAACAGTCTAAGAGTCTAGTTAATCATGTCTGCCAATCAGATAAAAATTTCCGGTTGAAACTAAGTAACAGTCCTTGTTTGACTGGATTTGCCAGCAAATACATGTAGTCACAGGCCCCAAAACATGCTTTCTGATAATCTGGAGGAAAATAAGGACTAGAAATGTAACTGGCAATGCTGGGAGCAATGGTAGGCACTTCTAGTCCCAGCTACCTGGGAGGCTGAGGCAGGAGATTCTCTTGAGCCCAGGAGTTGGAGGCCAGCCAGGGCAACAGAGTTAGGTCTGTCTCTTAAATAGAAAATTTACTAAAGTTACCCTCTCTATAGAACGCTTTTATCCACAAAGGTGTTCTGGCTCATGCATCGATGAGATTAGCGAGGAATTTAAAATGTTATTACTCATAAAACTAACACAGTAACTCTCAGACTTGTAAGCAACAATTAACATAGACTGAGATAAGCTTTCATTGTGTTGTCCTATTCATAAGGTGACAAAATCACGATTTACCGAAATGAAAGTGTGTCATAACTCAGACACAATTTTTGTATGTCCTTCACTGTAAGAATACAATTCTGTACTAACTTATGTAACATTTTACCAATGATCAATTCTTGTCATTTACAAATATGACATAAATAGCATCCAAAACACAAGTTACCTAACTAACAAACTGAAGTAGTGTTTAGGGGTGGCACTTGGAGGCAGACAGGGATATAATATAATCTTCAAAGACATTTTATCACTAAAGAGGGTGGGGTGGGGGTAAGAAGAAGAGAGGGGGCTGGAATGAGCCAGAACTTCTGCATTTTCAGCTATGAACAAGATACTCATCCCAGGGATATTTACTGTAGAGCATAAAGAAATCGCTAAGAAGCAAAATCCTGCATATAAGTAGACATATCAGGGATAAGGGGAGGTGAAATTTTCTTATGTACCTAAAGAAATATATACATCACCCTGAGAATTTACAGATTATTTATTGCTTGGAAGAGAGTATTTTCTTCTACCAATATCCTACCATTCTCCCTCCACTATTAGTTGACCTTTTACTATGCACTAAGCATAGTAATAAGCCCTTTACATACATTATCCATTATCTTTTTTTACTCCTATAAAAGCCTCTGAGGGAAGTCCTATTATCATCACCATTTTACAGATGAGGGAATATTCTACCAATAATATAGATCAGACGCCTAAATTTAAAAATTATATCTACGACATGGTAGAGTTAGTTTTAAGTTATCTCTAAGCACTCAAATAGAAAAGGACACAAAAAAATTAGCCTCTACCCCAAGTCCAAAGTGGATATATTCCATTTTTACAACTTTCAAAACTTTAACCTTAGCATGCAACAATATTCATATACTAGTCAAGCTAAAGAAAAACTACTAGTTAATAATGCTTTATCTTATTTAGTTACTGTAGTTTATAATTTAAAAAGCAGGTTGAAGGTTTAGAGCATCCCCTTTGGGTTCAGACAGTATGGAATTGAACCTACACAATACCACCAATAACTGCTATGTGACCTTGGTCAGACTACTCTCTCAGATTTCATTTCCTCATCTGTAAAATGGGGATGATCTTAATAGCACTTTTCTCAAAGGTCTGTTGTGGAGATTAAAAAAAAAATGTATGAAAAGGACTTATTACTGTGCTCAGTGTATAGCAAAAGGTCACCTAATGGAGAACAGCCACACATAAGCTAAGCAGAGCAAACACAATCACTTAAAAAGGCTATATTCTGAAAATCCACTTACAGAAAAGGAGAGAATTACTATTTGACTACATGCTAAAGACAAAATTCAAGTTCAATTTATTCCTAATTTTTTAGGGGATCAATGCATTTGGGGTGAGCCAGAAAAGATGCTGCAGTGCATCTGTGACACACACCTAAAAATGGCTCCAGTCAAAGCAGCATCTTAATTACCAATATGGGAGGTGAAATCTAGTTTTGAAAAATGGTGGGGTTAGGCTTGGTAGGTGCTTAGTATCACCCTATTATTTTTATTTGCAGGAGTAAGCTATTAAGTACTCAACAATCAAAAAATCCTCCGATTCTTCTGGTGCATTCCAAATGAAAATCTTACAGCAGAGCCGCCTACTGTACAATTCTAAGTACTCTAACGAGGTATGAATCTATGAACCCAGGCTGAAAACCAGCCAATGCGGAAATCCAGGTAGCTTTATAAGCCAGCAAACATCAGGCATGTCAGACCCTCAAAAGATCCCAAATAATGTCAAAACACACATACATCCCTTTAAATTAAAGGTACTCCTCTCATGCAAAGGAAGGAAGACTCTATCAATGTCTCTATAGTGGCCCCATGCCCTTTTCTTCAGTCCTAAAACGGGGCCTTTACCCTGACACCACCAATATCAACGCTATCTCAAAGACAGGGAGCTACCGAGATTCACCACGCAAGTTAGAGGATGGAGCGGCCTAGAGTGTGAAAAGACTACCCAAATCCTCCTCCGGAGTTGGGCAGCACTTCCCTAGCGGAAGTAGGGTTGGTCTTGATTCCCCGAAGAGCCTCTCATCTAACCAGGTCTTTAAACCAGACCCTCCCATACATTGCTCATTGCAAGTCCCACCCTCACTACACAGGAAGAGGTAGACAGTGAAAGCCCCGGCTGAGTCCTTCAGTTGTTTGGGGAAACGCATACCCGACACTAAAAAAAAAAAAAAAAAAAAAAGACTTCACGTCCGCCAGTCCAGGAAGACGGAAACCCCCTTCGCTTACCCGGCAACATGCGTAATCCCCTCGCAGGGCCAGGACTGGGGTCTAGGTGGGAGCAAGACAGACCGGTCCAGAACTCCCGCTGCAGACCACATGGGGCGGGTCTGACTCCGGTTTCCCGCTCCCCAAGCTGGAGGCCGACTTCCCCAGACACAGAGATGATGGTAACCAAACAGAAGGGAAATGCCCGGACCCAAGGCCCTCTCCACGCGGCCCCCTAGCCTCCGGGCGCCAGGGTCTGGGTGCGCTCCCACGCCCCAGGCCGCACTCTGGCCGTTCCCGATGGGGCCCTCTTTGATCGCGGCCCCCACACCCTCGCTTTCCTTACCGGTCAGGGTGAGTGTCAAGTTTGCGCACTTCGAGGGTCTCCGCCGATCTCTGATCGAAAGAAGGGGGAGGGAAAGCTGGGGTTAAAGGGGTGGCCGGAAGGGCCACCAGACTGGAAAAGCCGAAGCTGCGGATGGACAAACCGCCAAAGCACTTTCGCAGCTTTCCGAGGGGGAGCGAGCGAGCGAGAAAAAGAAGCAAGATGGCGGCTAGCCAGCCCCTACGTACTACGTCATGACGCTAAGTACGTAGGTCAAATCTCCGCAAGACCACACTCCTGCGCAGAGACGGCCGGATCACGTGAAGCCTCCGTGGCGGCCCAACCCCGACAGAGGGTGCTGGCGCTTCCTGCTGGACGGAGGGAGTTTCTGCAATCAGAATTATCTTTTCAGGACAAAGCTTGGACCTGAGACCTTTCTAAGAAGTCTTGAATTGACCACGTTTACAAGTTGATAATAAGCCTCAGTGAAATGAGCACTCTTATGTCTGGTGGGTGGATGTGTAAATGGTTGAACCAGCAGTTCGCCAGTATGTCTCAGTGAATTTGGGGCAAGCTGAGAAGTCTTGGTGTATTGAAAAGTTATCACAGAGAGTGAAAGTAAAACTAGTGTGAGGAACAGAGTAGCATGGGCTGCTGAGAGCACTTTTTAAGTTTCTAATTATGGATGTGAGATAAGCCATTCAGTTTATTTATATGATCTCTCCATCACAGTGTTCAGCTCCGTTGAATAGTAAGATTCACCCATGCTGGCTTTTACTAGGCAAGTGTAACATAGGCAGATGAGTGTATCTGGAAGTGGGAGACTACAATGATGATAATATTATGTCAGAACAGATGGCGAATGTTTAGTAAATGGTATCTTTTGTCCTCTTTGTGAACTACCTATGACATATTTAAAATTCAAGGATTTCTTACCACTTCTGGTCTGAACGATCTTCCCCGCCAGTAGCTGGTGTATGTCCATGGAATTGTCACTGTAGCAATGTTAGAATAAATGAAATAATAAAGAGAGGTAAATTATGAACACCTCCCTCCCCACTAATATTAATTTGAAGTAGAAAAGTCTGGACTTGCTTGGTGGCTCATGCCTGTAATACTAATACTTTGGTAGGTCAAGGCAAAAGGATTGCTTGAGACCAGGAGTTCAAGACCAATCTGGGCAACATAGTGAGACCCTACCTCTGCAAAAAAATTAAAAAGAAAAAAAGCTAGCTAGGCATAGTGGCACATGCTTATAGTCCTAGCTACCTGGGAGGCTGGAGGCAAAAGGATCACTTGAGCACAGGAGGTTGAGGCTGCAGCGAGACTCTTTCTCGAAAAAATAGAAAAGAAGAAAAGAAAAAGTTTTTTTATTGATATAGGGTCATTGCCAGGGGAAAGCCTACTGATCATCCACAAGAGGACAAGGAAGCATTACTTTAGTGAATTTCTACAACCTTCTAGGATCTGGTCTATAGTGTCCTGGTCACAGAAACATCTTTCTTTGTTTTTTTGGAGGCAGGGTCTCACTTTGCTGCCCAGGCTGGAGTGTAGTGGCATAATCACAGGTCACTGAAGCCTCAACCTCCCAGGCTCAAGCAATCCACCTGTCTCAGCCTCCCAGGTAGGTGGGACTACAGGTGCTTGCCACAAAACCTGGCTTTTTTTTTTTTTTTTTTTTTTTTTTGCCAGTAGAGACGAGGTCTTGCTATGTTGACTGGGCTGGTTTCGAACTCCTGAGCTCAAGCAAGCCTCCCGCATTGGCCTCCCAAAGTGCCGGAATTACCGGCATGAGCCACCACGCCCAGCCAAATCATCTGTCTTGAGCAATGGAGAACAACTTCAGCAATCAGATGAAATTACATTAACCAAGGTCATAAGACTGACACGTATGGCCGGGCGCGGTGGCTCACGCCTGTAATCCCAGCACTTTGGGAGGCCGAGGCGGGCGGATCACAAGGTCAGGAGATCGAGACCATCCTGGCTAACACGGTGAAACCCAGTCTCTACTAAAAAATACAAAAAAAAATTAGCCGGGCGTGGTGGCGGGCGCCTGTAGTCCCAGCTACTCAGGAGGCTGAAGCAGGAGAATGGCGTGAACCCAGGAGGCGGAGCTTGCAGTGAGCACAGATCCTGCCACTGCACTCCAGCCTGGGCAACAGAGCGAGAGAGCGAGACTCTGTCTCAAAAAAAAAAAAAAAAAAAAAAAGACATGTATTAAATTATTAATTTCTAAGAGCTTTAATTTATACACCTGAACACTCAACAACTGCAAAGCCAATACTTTTTTTTTCTTTTTTTCTTTTAATTTTTGCCAGAAACAGAAAGCCTCCGGTATGCCAGCATGGACCCAAGGTGCTATCTTTTCTTGAGTACATTTTCTCATTTCCCTCCCCTCCCCTCCCCTCCCTCCCTCCTTCTCCCCTCCCCTCCCTCCCTCCCTCCCTTCCCCTCCCCTCCCTCCCTCCCTTCCTTCCTTCCTTGCCTGCCTGCCTTTTCTTCCTTCCTTCCTTCCTTCTTTCTTTTTTTTTTTCCCCATGGAGTCTCACTCTGTTGTCCAGGTGGCGTAATCTCAGCTTACTGCAACCTTCACCTCCCAGGTTCGAGCGGTTCTCCTGCCTCAGCCTCCCGAGTAGTTGGGATTACACAAAGGCGCCACCACGCCCAGCTAATTTTTGTATTTTTGGTTGAGATGGGGTTTCGCCATGTTGGCCAGGCTGGTCTCAAACTCCTGACCGCATGTGATTCGCCTGCCTCAGCCTCCCAACGTGCTGGGATTACAGGTGTGAGCCACTGTGCCTGGCCCCGCTGAGTGCATTTTCTGTGTAGCCAAACCTACTCAGGAAACCAAGGCATTATCAGAAGGTTGCTTGATGAGCACATATTCTGAACAAGTGGAGTTATATGTATAGACTTTTCTTGAGTCATCTATCTTCACAACAGGAGAATTTTGTCCCGAAAATAGAAGTTCTCAATTTCCAATGGCTGCAGTTGCCCGCATTGATCTCCAATATAGTGGTGACATCCTGCTGAGCTGCTGATTTGTGCTCCTTGTCTCCTTAGCAGCACTTGGATGGCCACTGACCCTAAAGTGCCCCCTGTACGTTACTTTCTCTGTTTCCATGGCTACCCAAACCTCTTTGCAATATTATTTCAATAAAAATCAAGTTACAGTTAAATCAAACCAGTTTGTGTTTTAAAGGTGACTTTGCTTATTTCTGCTCCTAGCTATGTATGTGATCTTAAAGTCTAACTTTTAGAGAGCAGTCTTACTGCCTTTGTTTCCAATTTATTGGGGAAAATGTGACTGAAGTCTCCTTGACTTGGATTGCACTTCTCCTGACACTCCACCATTGTAGACAAATTTGTTATAACAAAAATGTCTTCATGACAGATTGAATGAAAACTTTTCATTTAATTTACAACACTTCTATTTAAACAATAATTTTAGAATAACATTATCAAATTTCCAATTGGGTGGTGTGGAATCAGGCAAACTAGTTTCTTACTGAAAACAAATTCACTCTCCAAACAATATGACGTATTTTCTTTGTGATTGTCCAGCCTTATTTGCTAATGATTTAATGAGTTTCTACCCTTCTCATTGTGATTGATTCCATAATCCTGTAGGCACTGAAATTTTACGGTAGAGTAGTTAAAAACAAAATGATCAGTGAAAGTATCATACTTTATTAGCAGTAATGTTCCTTTTTTCTCTCTTCTTTGTTTAAAAATTTTAAATTTTCACATCAGATGGGTAATGGACCACGTCATAACAAGGTTTGAGGTTGGCGCATCTCATAGATTCATGTGAACACTGAATCATCACACTTATGAACTACAAAAGGATCAGCAGTTGTGTTTCTTAAGTGTTTAGGTGCATTTGACAATTTTGTTTTCTTTTTATGAATGATCCAGCAAATCATATTTAGTTAAAAACTATGAAACATGATAAGCCTGGTGTAAAGAAAACCAGAATACCCAAATACTGCATGAAAATGTAATCCCGGTTTATAAACATCAACAGATGTTGTACATTTGCTAATAAAGATAAGAAAAATGTTGATAGTTCTTCAACAAATCACCTTTGCGGGGGGTCCAGAAAAAACAAAAACTAAGAAAAAAATGGGCCAAGCATGGAGGCTCACACCTGTAATCCCAGCACTTTGGGAGGCCGAGGCGGGCAGATCACCTGAGGTCAGGAGATCGAGACAATCCTGGCTAACACAGTGAAACCCCGTCTCTACTAAAAATACGAAAAATTAGCCGAGTGTGGTGGTGGGCGCCTGTAGTCCCAGCTACTCAGGAGGCTGAGGCAGGAGAATTGCTGGAACCCAGGAGGCCGAGGTTGCAGTGAGCTGAGATCCTGCCACTGCACTCCAGCCTGGGTGACAGAGCAAGACTCCTTCCCCGCCCCCGCAAAAAAAAAACCTTTGGCCAACTTGTGAGAGGCTATCTGTTGAGTACATTATAATGTTTATATTATATGTTATATGTAAAATTTTACATTATATATAAAGTACGATAAATTATTTATTTATTTATTTATTCTTTTGGAGACGGAGTCTCACTCTCTCACCCAGACTGGAGTGTGGAGTGTAGTGGTGTGATCCTGGCTCACTGCAACCTCCGCCTCTCAGGTTCAAGCCATTCTCCTGCCTTAGCCTCTGGAGTAGCTGGGACTACAGGCGCCTGCTGCCACACCCGCGTAATTTTTTTTTTTTTTTTTTAGAGATGGGGCTTTACCGTGTTCCCCAGGCTGGTTTCGAACTCCTGAGCTCAGGCAATCCACCTGCCTCAGCATCCCAAAGTGCTAGGATTACAGGCGTGAGCCACCGCGCCTGGCCAAGTAGGATAAATACTTTATTTTATTTTATTTTATTATTATTTTTTGAGATGGAGTCTTGTTCTTGTCACCCAGGCTGGAGTGCAGTGGCACAATCTTGGCTCACTGCAACTTCCGTCTCCTGGGTTCAAGCAATTCTCCTACTTCAGCCTCCCGAGTAGCTGGGATTACAAGCGCCCGCCACCACACCCAGCTAATTTTTGCATTTTTAGTACAGAGGGTGTTTCATCATGTTGGCCAGGCTGGTCTCGAACTCCTAAACTCAGGTGATCCACCCGCCTCGGCCTCCCAAAGTGCTAGGATTACAGGCGTGAGCCACTGCGCCCAGCCGATAAATATTTTAATTACCAGTCTGTTTATTGACTTAGCAAACACTTTTTATAATTGAATAAAGGGGACAGTTTGGCTAAAAGTTGTATTTATTTGTTATGTCATAAATTAATGAAGTTTGGATTACCTGGCATTTACTGTCCACCAAAAATTTTCCCAGAGTTTTCTTAGCTGACAGGAGAAACTAAGTTCTTACAGCTATGGATTCCAAGTCAAGAGGGTGCTGTGTTGTTAATAAGCACAGAATATCTGGAAGATTTAGTCCCTCACAGAGCTGCAGGAAGAAGGGAGGGAAAGAGGGGAGAGACTGAGAAAACAAACTTTGCTGGCTCCCATTTTTGCCTTAGGCTGTAAATTCACCTGAGTCAGCAAATGAGTAGCGATAAAAGGCACTGATCTGAAGGGGAAGATCACAAAGGGAAAGGGGCCACAACAAAGGCAGAACAGGAAAAGCTTAAAAAAGGAAAATAGCCAGGTGGTAACTGAAGATACAGAAAATTGTAATTTCTTAAATTTTTAGGCCAAAAAGCAGATCCGTGAGATATTACTAATGAATATGAATACAGTGCCCAATAAATTAAAATTGTAACTCTGGCTGTCGCTTGTAGCATTTCTTAAAGTATACGAGACTTTTTATGTATCTGCTGCCCAACCAATTGGGTATATGTATAAATAAAACTATCTGATGTCAAATATTTTATTGCTTCATAGTAATTAAGAGAAGTAAGATTGATAGTACTTTTTTTGGTTACCATTGGGACTAGGTATTTTGAATAATTTTTAGGCTTGTGGTGGAAGAGAGAATTTCATATGTTACAATGCCACCAGTAGCTTGTACCTAGTTTGGTTTTTTGGTTTGTTTCTCTTTCTCTTCTCTATTTTTTTTTTTTTTTGAGATGGACCCTCGCTCTGTCACCCAGACTGGAGTGCAGTGGCGCAATCTCGGCTCACTGCAAGCTCCACCTCCTGGGTTCACGCCATTCTCCTGCCTCAGCCTCCAGAGTAGCTGGGACTACAGGCTCTTCTCTATTCTTTTTTCTGCTGGGGTTAATTAAATGATTGTTTCAGAAATATTTCTATGAGCTGCTGAGAGTCTTAGTGAATAATTGCTTCAAATGGGAATTAGTGCAATTCTCTAGAGGTTGGACCATTGTTAACTTCATAGGGCATGGTCTTGATAGAAGAGAGAAAGGGGAATAGTGATTGAAAGAGAATTGAGAGAAAGCATCTCAAAGTATTTAGCAGCCTTGGGGAATTGCAGTGAAATGAAACTCTTCATTTCAATATTCCATAAAAAACAAAAGAACAATATTCCATATTACCTATGTATTAGCCAGGTGTGTGCCTATAATCTCAGCTACTTGAGAGGCTGAGGCTGGAGGATCTCTTGACCCCAGGCGTTTGAGGCTGCAGTGAGCTATGATCTTGCCACTGCTTTCCAGCCTGGAAAACAGAGCAAAACTCTGTCAAAAAAAAAAAAAAAAAAAAAAAAAAAAGTCATGATATATCAGGCTAAGGAAGACATAAAAATGAATAAAACAGTTTAAATTCCTGTTCTCAGGAGATTCTATTCAAGTGGGATGAGAGTGGGGTGAAATTATAAGTAATTATGATTAAAAGTGACATATTAGTCAGGGTCCTTCAGAGAAACAGAACCAATAGGATACGTAGACCAACAGGCTGGAGACCCAGGGAAGAGACAAAGTTGTAGTTTAAGTCAAAAGGCTGCCACACTTAAGAATTCCTTTGGGGGAGATCAGTCTTTTTTCCATTAGGCCTTCACTTGATTGTATGAGGCCCACTCACATTATGAAGGTCAAAATACATCCATTTACAGTTAATATAATCACCCCCCCACCCCCTCCCACAAAACAAAAACACTTTTATAGGCCGGATGAAGCAGCTCATGCCTGTAATCCCAGCACTTTGGAAGGCCAAGGCAGGTGGATCACTTGAGGTTAGGAGTTTGAGACCACACTGGCCAACATGGTGAAACCTCAGCTCTACTAAAAATACAAAACTTAGCCAGGTGTGATGGCGCATGCCTGTAATCCCACCTACTTGGGAGGCTGACGCAGGAGAATTGATCGAACCTGGGAGGTGGTGGTTGCAGTGAGCCGAGATTGGGCCACCACACTCTACCCTGGGCAACAAAGCGAGACTCTGTCTCAAAAAACAAATAAACAAACAAACAAAAAACACCTCTTTTATAGAAACATTCAGGATAATGTTTGACCAAATATTGACATAGTAGCCCAGCCAAGTTGACACAGAAAAATAACCATCACAGGTGATAAATTCTCTGATGAGAGAATTAAAAGTGCCTTGTGAGTCCAAAGGAAGGCACCTAACCCACATTTGCAGGGATGGTGGGGGTCAGGGAATGTAGCCATAATAGATCTATTGCAAGTCAATATGCAGGGTTGCAGCAGAGAAAGATTTAATCATTGGGCCATGAGGAGTTTAGGGCTTGGGTTTTTAAGGGTTTCAGAGTGGGCAGAAGTGTAGAGATAGTTGATTGGTTGAAGAGTGCAGAGTAAAGTCATGGGGCAGGAGATGAAGAAACCATATTCTCATGCTGACTAGGCTGCTCTGTGGAGATCTTTAAACTAGTTGGTGTCAGCTGTTCTGTCTGGAATTCAGGATCTGTTTAAGCAGTTTTTTTTTGTTTGTTTTTTGAGACAGAGTCTCGCTCTTGTCACCCAGGCTGGAGTGTAATGGTGAGATCCCAGCTCACTGCAACCTCTGCCTCCTGGGTTCAAGTGATTCTTGTGCCTCTGCCTCCCAAGTAGCTGGGATTACAGATGCCCACCACCACACCTGGCTAATTTTCGTATTTTTAGCAGAGACAGGGTTTCACCATGTTGGCCAGGCTAGTCTTGAACTCCTGAACTTAGGTGATCTGCCCACCTTAGCCTCCCAAAGTGCTGGGATTACAGGCATGAGCAGCCGTGCCCGACTTTAAGCGGTTCTTAAAAGCCTAATGATTTTAATGTTAGAAATCCTATCTATAGGGAAAATCAAGACGCAAATGGTCAGTATCTACTGTTATGCGACTTTCACTTACAAGGAAGTGGGTCATAGCGCAGCCTGATTAATGCTTATAACTACATTTCTGCCCAGAATTAAGCCCCAACAGTTTATAGGAATTAGATACTCATGTGAATATATGTTATGAGTGAGGGTGTGTGTCTGTATGTGTGTGTGTGCAGATATGACAGGAAGTGATGGGGCAAGTTTTGGGGAAAGGGAGGCAGTTAACTTGCATATAGTGAAGGGTGAAGAATGTTTCAGGCAGAGAGACCAGCGTATGGAAAGATCCCAAAAGCCAAATGGAGCATGGCATGTTTGAGGATTTTAAAAAGCATCTTGATAGCTCTGTTGTTCATAAAGTAAAAGGGAAGAGGTGGAGGGGGGAGAAAGGTGAAAAAAGGGGCAAAAAAGCAAAACTTCAGAGATGATCAGAGACCAGATTGCAAAAAGTCATGTAAACTGACTTTGTATGACTGAGGGCAATAGGAGCCAATGATTAGATTTAAACTGGGATATTACGTAATCTAGATAAAATGTGTAAGTTTTATGATATCACATAGGAAAGACAGCTTAATATATTTTATTCCTTAGTGACTTTTTCTTTCAACAAGTATTAATTGAGTATAAACTATGTACCAGTGATTGTGCTAGCTGCTGGAGCTGTAAATGGTTAATGTCTGAAGCTTTTCTTTAGCTGAAATGTGAAGAATGGTTTGCCTGGCACAAGAGCAGCTGTTTCAGGGGCTGTAATGATAATCCAAGGAGTAGTGAGAGGAGGCTTGAATCCTGCAGTAGGGGTTGAGAGAAGTAGGCAGGGCTGGATTGTTTCCTCAGATTGTTTTTACTTCCACAGAAACTCCATCATTATTCTCTTAAGAAACTAGGGAGTTACTCTTGCAATGGTGTGATTTCAGAAGGCAAGCATTCTAAAACCCATTTGTGACCATTAAATGCAGAATGTATTTATTTTGCCACCCAGGCTAGAGTGCAGAGGCTGATCACAGCTCACTGCAGCTTCAACTGCCAAGGCTCATGTGATTCTCCTGCCTCAGCCTCCCAAGTAGCTGGGACTACAGGTGTGTACCACCTTGCCCAGCTAATCAATCTTTCTTTCTTTCTTTCTTTCATTCTTTCTTTCTTTCTTTCTTTCTTTCTTTCTTTCTTTCTTTTTCTTTCCTTTTCTTTCTTTCTTTCTTTCTTTTTCTTTCCTTTCCTTCTTTTCTTTTCTTTTTTTTTTTTTTTTTGTAGAGATGAGGGTCTCACTATGCTGCTTAGGCTGGTCTCAAACTCCTGAGCTCAAGGGATCCTCCTGCCTTGACCTCCCAGAGTGCTGGGATTACAGGCATATGTCTAGCTGCAAATTTAAAATTTTATTAACAAGCTAGTATAGCACTTGACTGATGGTTGTGTTTTTTTGTTTGTTTGTTTGTTTGAGTTTTTTATTTTATTTTATTTTGAGACAAGGTCTGGCTCTGTTGTCCACGCTGGAGTGCAGTAGCACAATCTTGGTTCACTGCAACTTCCTGGGCTCAATTGATTCTCCTGCCTCAGCCTCCCAAGTAGCTAGGATTACAGGAATGCACCACCATACCCAGCTAATTTTTGTATTTTTAGTAGAGATGGGGTTTTGCCATATTGGCCAGGCTTGTTTTGAACTCCTGGCCTCAAGTGATCTTCCCGCCACGGCCTCCCAAAGTGCTGGGATTACAGGCGTGAGCCACCACGCCTCCCTTGTGTTTTTGTAATATGTAAAGTTGTTATCCATTTGAGGTAAGGGTTCTGTGTCTCAGTGAGAGAACCACCACCTGTGGTGGACACTGAGATGTGCTGCCCAGTCCCTCCTGGGGAAGGAATGACTGATTTTAGAGTTCTTGGGAGTGCTGGGTGAGAATAGCCCTCTTTGAGACTAAACCTTCTTTTGAGATTGCCTCAGCTAATGAGAACTGCCTTGCCCAAGGTCACAACTCTTTTCAGAGGCATCCACCATCTAAATGACTGATTGGTGTGAGGGTACAAAGATCTGGGCCTTTTATCTCATCTGAGGACCATTATGAACGGATACTTCAGTTTCAGAACTTCATGTACTGTTGGCAAAAGCCTTCATTGGGACTTATCATAGATCAACTTCTCAGTCTGTCTGATTCTGCTTCTCTCTCCTCCTTTCCCCTGGTGTTCCCCAAAGCATGCTAGTTAGTGTTCTGCATGCTAATTTGACTGTTACCCCAAAGAAGCCAGCCTGCAATACCATCATCTATCCAGTTTGCTGAAGCCAGAAATCAGGAAAATCCACCAGATGTCATTTTCTCCTTTATCCTGAAAATCACTATATCTAATCAATCGCCAAGTCCTTATTTTTTTTCCCCATTCCAGTTGCCACCATTGTAATCTAAGTCACCACCATATGTCATTTAAGTAAACTATTAAGGTCACTGCTATTTTGTTTTCCTCTCTTTACCTTTGTCTTTATCAAAGTGACTTATTTTTTCTTATAATTTTATTACACTGAATTGATTTGTTGAGGTATGTATGACATCCAGTATGCTGTGTATGTTTAGAGCATACAGGTCAGCCAGGTGTGGCAGTGCACACTTGTAGTTCCAGCTACTCAGGAGGCCAAGGTGGGAGGATCATTTGAGCCCAGATGTTTGAGACCAGCCTTGACAACATAGCAAAAGCCTCAGCTCAATTTAAAAAATAATAATAAATAAAAAATTAAAGTATGTAAGTTGATAAATTTTGACATTTTGGTGTGTCCCTTACCCATCTTTCCAGCTTCCCCTGGCAGGGTTCTCTTTTTTTCAGCCAGGCAGGACTGGACCTTAAAACCGAGTTCTGTGATGCCTTGCTTCTCATGCCTCAGGGCCTTTGACTGTGCTCCTTCCTCTGTTTCTACTGCTCATTTTCATCTGCTTTTATCCCTGCATTTGCATCATCTTAAATTTTCTCCAGGCCTGATCATAAAAAGATACGAATATTTAAATGTAATATTTATTTAATATGTATGTTTAAAGTAATTGCTAAGTAATGTTTATTGAGCGCTTACTTTTTGTTAGATTCTGTGCTTTTAACATTTTATCTGGTAAGTCTCACAAAACTTACGATTTGCATTATATCCCTTATTTTGCAGATAATAAACTGTTCCTTCCCCCAAATCATGAAACTAGAAAGTAGAGTTGCTGGACTTAGGATTCAGCTACTTGCTGAATCCTTAGACCTGCCAAAGACTCTCTCCTTTCACCAAAACTCTAATCAGCCTCCTCTGAGTCCTCTGCTTGAATAAACCTCTCTGGGCTTCCCTCTCTGTCCTCATAGAATCCAGTTTGAACAAAAATCCCACTAAGTCGATTTAGTGAAAAATTCCCCACCCTTGTTATCTCATTACCCCCATATCTTACCACTCTAGGCTAACCTTAACAATAATACTATGAAGTTGATTTAGCCAGAAATCTCCTTATCCTTGATGTTCCCTCTAAGTAATTTTCCAACCACTGACTTGACTCCCATCTCGCTACTTGGTTACAAATTTCCCTTGTTTTTGTTGGAGTCAGAGTTGAGTCTAATCTCCTTCCCCCACTGCAAGACCTCATTACAGTTGTTTCTATACCCATTGCCATGGCCCTCCTCCAATAAAGTCAGCTTTACCGTCTTTAACGAGTGTTAGAACAATTCTTTCTTTAACAGACCAAGATAAGTTACTGGTTACAGGCTACTGTGTAACATCCTACAGTTTTCCTTCATAATACTCATTGCTGTGACTATTAAATGTCTGCCATGTGTGATCTGTATTTACATCAGGGCCTAGTGCACAGTAAAGGCATATTTTATATTTCTTGGGTAGATATTGAATGGATAGTAACTTCCATTGCACTTGCATGTATAATAGGCTAGTGACAATAGCTTGGGTTCTGAGTCAGGGAAGTTCAAATTCAAACTGTGCCAATATATAACCTTTAGCTGGTATTTTACCTCTTGAGCCTTTGTAGGATTTTTTTTTTCTTTTTTTTAACCTGTGAGATAGAGATAATAATACATCCCGCACCACACCTCTTACATAATTGCTCCAAGGAATGAATTAAATGATGTCAACAAAGTTCTTAGCATAGGATATGACACATTTTTTCCTCTTTCCAACATTAAATGTAAAAAGTATCCAAGGGCACTGATATAGTTTGGCTGCGTCCCCACCCAAATCTCATCTTGAATTGTAATTCCCATAATCCCCATGTGTTGTGAGAGAGATCTGGTGGGGGGTAATTGATTCATGGGAGTGGGTTTTTCCCGTGCTGTTCTCGTGAGTGCATAAGTTCAGGAAATCTGATGGTTTTATAAAGCGCAGTTCCCCTGCACACTCTCTCTTGTCTGCTGCCATGTAAGACATGGCATTGCTCCTCCTTGCCTTCTGCCATGATTGTGAGGCCTCTCCAGTCATGTGGAACTGTGAGTCCATTAAACCTCTTTTTCTTTATAAATTACCCAGTCTCAGATATGTCTTTATTAACAGTGTGAAAACGGACTAATACATGCAGGTATCAAACTTTATAATTATTTTGTATCCTCTACTATGCCTGGCATATACAAAGTAAACAGTACATAGCAAGATAAAATTTTTATTTATTTATTTCTTCAGACACAGGATCTTGCTCTGTCACCCAGTCTGGAGTGTAGTGGTACAATCGTAGCTCACTACAGCCCCAACGCCTGGGCTCAAATGATCCTCCTGCCTCAGCCTCTCAAGTAGCTGGGATTACAGGCACAAGCTAGGGCGCCTGGCCCTCAGCACCTTAAAATTTTAATGAGTTTATTTAAACATTCAGTGATTCACGAATTAAGCAGCACTGGATCACAAGTGGTTCAGGACTCCACTGAGGGAACATGAGGGGGAAATTTTTATAAGGTGCTCGCACAAGCAAGACAAATAAAATATTTGGTTAAAGAGAAAAGTCCCTAGTTAGAGGTTAGAGTTGGCAGTTTATGATTGTTAATGTCTCTAGTTAAAGGTTAGCTTGTGGTTTCTTTTCTTTTCTTTTTGAAACAGGGTCTCACTCTGTTGCCACGGCTGAAGGGCAGTGGCACAATCACAGCTCAGTGCTCTGCTCAACCTCCCAAGCTCAAGAGATTCTCCCACCTTAGCCTCCTGAATAGCTGGGACTATAGGCGCACGCTCACGTTGCCTGGTGAGATGGGGTTTCACCGTGTTGCCCAGGCTGGTCTCAAACTCCTGACCTCAAGGAAATGCGCCCACCTTGGCCTCCCAAGGTACTGAGATTACAGGCATGAGCGAGCCACCACACCCAGCCAGTTTATGGTTTCTGACTGGTTAAGCTTATGTTTTGTTTTACTGTTTACACTGAGTGGGCTTTTGGTTTGCTTATGTAGGAACCCAAGGCACTGCAGCCTTCTCAGCCTAATGGTTTCCCAATTAATTATTTTAGCAATATATTGAATGCCAGTAGGTATTTCTGTGGACTAGGATTTAGGATTTCAGTCTCCTTAATTTACAAGCCAGGAGATAAATAAGGCAAAGCTTTCTTTTTGTTTTGTTTTGTTTTGTTTTTTAGTTTGTTTGCTTGTTTGTTTGTTTTTGAGAGTTTCGCTCTTGTTGCTCAGGCTGGAGTGCAACGGCACAATCTCGGCTCACAGCAACTTCTGCCTCCCGGGTTCAAGTGATTCTCCTGCCTCAGTCTCCTGAGTAGCTGGGATTACAGGCATGCACCACCACACCTGGCTAATTTTGTATTTTTAGTAGAGATGGGGTTTCTCCATGTTGGTCAGACTGGTCTTAAACTCCCAACCTCAGGTGATCTGCCCACCTCGGCCTCCCAAAGTGCTGGGATTACAGGCATGAGCCACATGCCAGGCAGCTTGTTTTTTGAGGTGGGGTCCTGCTGGCTGCTCAGGAGTGAAATGCAATGAGGCAACACAGATCAGAGTTGAGCCAGCATCTATCTGGCCAAATGATGTAAGATGCAAGACACTTAGAAGACTCATAGACCAATAGGCCTCGGGTGTGGTCAGAGCTCACAGAGTTGCTCATTTCCACAGTTTTTAAAATACATTTTAATTAATTAATTAATTTATTTTTGTTTTTGAGACAGAGTCTCGCTCTGTCCCCCAGGCTGGAGTGCAGTGGCATGATCTTGTCTCACTGCAACCTCCACCTCAAGGATTTACGTGATTCTCATGCCTCAGCCTCCCTAGTAGCTGAGACTGCAGGCACCCACCACCATGCCCGGCTAATTTTTGTATTTTTAGTAGGGACAGGGTTTCACCATGTTGGCCAGGCTGGTCTCAAACTCATGACCTCAAGTGATCCGCCCGTCTCGGCCTCCCAAAGTGCTGGGATTACAGGTGTGAGCCACCCAGCCCAGTGCATTTCCAGTTTTGATTCATTTGTTTATTTACTCATTCATTGAACATTTATATACAACTACTATATGTAGTGAGCTGCTCTGGGTACCCTGGGCAGTAATTCTCATATGCTGTTGGTATTGGTCAACAGAAAAAGCATCTGAGGAACTGTTAAGGTAACAGATTCTTGAGCCCTACTCTCTGAAGTTCCTGATAAAGGGTAATCCTGGGAACTGGTGTTTTTTTAACAAAAACTCTTCATGTGATTCCGATGCACTCTTCTGAGGGAGCAAACATAATGAAGACATTGTTCCTATTCACAAAGATGAATGGGAGAAGAATAAACATAACTTATAAGGAAAACTGCATCAAGGTACATTAGTTTTTTTTGTTTGTTGGTTTGTTTTTTGCTCTGGTTAACATGAATTTATTTGCCCATATTATCCTTCCTGCAAAACATAGCCTAAAACTTTGGGAGAGGGTCATGTGTTGTTACTTTATTCATGTGACTGTTGGGAGTGAAAGTGTGCTGGTAGAAAAATATGTGGGCTGATATTTTGTGTTTATATATATGCTGGTATGTAATTAGAACACATGTGATAAGTAAATTCTACATAGCCCTGATAAATTTCAGGCTAGAAAAGGGTGCAATAGAATTTTCTTTTTTCTTTTTTTTTCTATGTATTTAGGTCTAGGGCAACAGTAGAATTTTCTGGAGAGGTACGACATCCTTACCAACTAGGGTGTTCTTCCAAAAAAAAAAAAATCAGCACTTCACTGATACGTAAACAGGAAGTATTGATAAGTGCCTTTCTATCAATATCCAGAAAATGTCCCCATCATCGCTCATCCTGTGAACAGTCCTGGAAGTTATGAATGGGGGTAATGTAGGGATGCTGTATGTCTCCATCCTGCCAGCACAAATTCAGCATGAACACTGAATTTAAATATATAAATGTACATATTTGGGACAGCAGGTAATGTACTGAATGTAGATTAAAAAGTGTATAAGAAAAAGCTTTTCAGTCTGGACAACATAAGGAGACTTTGTCTGTACAAAAAAATTAAAAATTAGGCCGAGTGCAGTGGCTCATGCCTGTAATCCTAGCACTTTGAGAGGCTGAAGCAGGCGGATCACAAGGTCAGGAGATCGAGACCATACTGGCTAACACGGTGAAACCCCATCTTTACTAAAAGTACAAAATATTAGCCGGGTATGGTGGCGGGTGCCTGTAGTCCCAGCTACTTGGGAGGCTGAGGCAGGAGAATGGCGTGAACCCGGGAGGCGGAGCTTGCAGTGAGCCGAGATCGCGCCACTGCACTCCAGCCTGGGTGACAGAGCGAGACTCTGTCTCAAAAAAAGAAAAAAAAGAAATTAAAAACTAGCTAGATGTGTTGGTGTGTGCCTGTGGTCCTGGCTGCACAGGAGGCTGAGGTGGGAGGACAGCTTGAGCCCGGAGGTCAAGGCTTCAGTGAGCTATGACCACACCACTGCATTCCAGCCTGGGCAACAAAGCAAGACACAGTCTCAAATAAATATATAAATAAATAAATAAATAAGAAAGAAAGAAAAGAAAAGAAAAGAAAAAAGCCCCTTTTTTCCCTACTGAGTTCCAGGATGCAGGATAATGCATATCCACTATGTTTTACCTACTCTGAAATTCAATACTTGCTATGTTGGAAAATTTTAGTTTCAATATTAAATTGAATCAACAAATACTGTTGAGCATCTTTTATGTATGAAAGAATCTTTCTAAACATTTTAGTGAAAATAAAACACTGGTACTTAGAGTTTACTCAGAGCCACATGTTTTTTTTTTTTTTTTTTTTTTGAGACGGAGTCTAGCTCTGTCACTCAGGCTCGAGTGCAGTGTTGCGATCTCAGCTCACTGCAACCTCTGCCTCCCAGTTCAAGAGATTCTCCTGCCTCAGCCTCCTGAGTAGCTGGGATTACAGGCATATGCCACCACGCCTGGCTAATTTTGTATATTTAGTAGAGACGGGGTTTCACCATGTTGGTCAGGCTGGTCTCGATCTCCCAACCTCAGGTGATCCACCCACCTCGACCTCCCAAAGTGCTGGGATTACAGGCGTGAGCCACTGCACCCTGGCCCCGAGCCACACGTTTTATAGGCTATCTCAAAATTGCCATTATTAGGGTCTGCTTTTAGTATGGAGGGTAATTTCATCTGTGACCCAGTGGTCATTTATGTTGTGTGATTTTTACATTTTTTTTAGGTGTGAGGTTTTTTTTGCCTTATTATTATTATTTTTCTTTTTTGAGATGGGGTTTCGCTCTTGTTGCCCAGGCTGGAATGCAATGGCGCAATCTCGGCTCACTGATGCCTCTGCCCCCCGGCTTCAAGCAATTCTCCCTCAGGCTCCTGAGTAGCTGGGATTACAGGTGCCCGCCACCATGGCCTGGCTAATTTTTTGTATTTTTAGTAGAGACATGGTTTCACCATGTTGCCCAGGCTGGTCTCGAACTCCTGGTCTTAGGTGATCCACCCACCTCAGCCTCCCAAAGGGCTGGGATTACAGGTGTGAGCCACTGTGCCCAGCCTAGGTGTGAGTTTTCTTAAGGGTGTTTTGTACTGTCTCTATGTGGGAGATAATTGAGTCATAGAACAGGCTATTAACACAGGACTTTCCAAATGACTAAGTGTCTCGTGCAAAGTTATGGACACAGGCTTAGACAACCATCCTGCTTTAGCTTTCAATTTATCTTTTGGTTAAAATTTTTCATGATGGATCTAAAATATTTTTCTTTTTAAAAAATATGATTAAATATATTAAACTGATGTTGAGTTAAAACATCAGGAAGAAACAGATAACTAAAAATAACAGGATATGATTAATGGTTTTGATTCATAGGGCTATTTTTATCCTCTTCTGGAGTTTGAGTGCCCAGATTTATATTTGCAGAGCAATATGAGAAAAAATGAGATTGCAATTTTAATTTTGAAAGTTTTCCTCTTTTTAAAATTCTTAGTCTCATTGAAAAGCTATCACTCGAAAACTTGATCCATTTATGAATGCTCTGATAAAATTAAATTTCTCCTGGACTAGATCTTAGCCTAGTTAAGGATTTCTTCTTAATATTATGGGATATGAAAAAGTTATTGTGATTACGTTGTTTAAAAAATTCTCATCTCTTAGAGATACTTGTAGAAATATTTATAGTTAAAAATGATGCAAAAGGCCAGGTGTGGTGGCTCATACCTGTAATTCTAGCACTTTGGAAGGCCAAGGCAGGCAGATTGCCTGATCCCAGGAGTTCAAGACCAGCCCAGGCAACATGACAAACCTTGTCTCTACAAAAAATACAAAAAGTTATCCAGGTGTGGTGGTGTGTGCCTATAGCCCCAGCTATCTGTGGCTGAGGTGGAAGGATCACCTGAGCCTAGGAGGTTGAGGCTGCAGTGAGCCATGATCACATGACTGCTCTCCAGCCTGGGCAACCCAGTGAGAGCATGTCTCAAAAAAAAAAAAAAAAAAAAAAAAGGGCTGGGCATGGTGGCTCACACCTATAATCCCAGAACTTTGGGAGGCTGAGACAGGCAGATCTCAAGATCACTTGAGGCCAGGAGTTCAAGACCAGCCTGGCCAACATGGTGAAACACTGTATCTACAAAAAAAATTATAAAAATCAGCTGCATATGGTGATGCACGCCTGTAATCCCAGCTCCTTGGGAGGCTGAGGCATGAGAATCACTAGAACCTGGGAGGTGGAGTTTGCAGTGAGCTGAGATCACGTACCTGCACTCCAACCTGGGTGACAGAGCGAGACTGTGTCTTAAACAAAAAAAAGCATGCAAAATCTTGGTTTTGCTTTAAAAATATTCCACCACTAGCTGGGGGTGGTGGTACACACCTGTAATTCCAGTTACTCGGGAGGCTGAGGCATGAGAATTGTTTGAACCTGGGAGGCAGAGGCTGCAGTGAGCCAAGATCACACAACTGCTCTCCAGCCTGGGTGACAGAGTGAGACTCTGTCTCAAACAAACAAACAAACAAACAATATATGTATTCCACCATCTTCTCTGTAGGCCTAAATCTGAATTTACAAAAAAAAAAATTAAAAATTAAAAAAATATACCATCTCGATTAGTATGGTGGTAAGTTAATAAAAATAAAAAAATTAATATGAAAAAAGCAAAATGTTCCACTAAACAAAACAAAGCGAAATGAAAAAGAATGTAGGGGAATACATTTGTAATAAGAATGGCAGAATATTGATAACTGTTTAAAGTGGTGATAGGGATTCATTATATTCTCTCATTTTATGAATTAAAAAAATTTCCACAATAAAATATTCTTTAAAAGGATTTTCTCCGTGATATATTCTACATCATATTTTTACTTCACCCTCTTTTAGAAATCTTTCTTTTGGGAAACCTTCTGTCTTAGTCAGCTTGGGTTGCTATAACAAAATACCATAGACTGTGTGGTTAAACAGACATTTATTTCTCACAGTTTTGGAGGCTGGGAAGTCCAAGATCAAGGTGCTGGCCAGTTTGGTTTCTGGTGAGGGCTCTCTTCCTGGCTTGCAAGTGGCCGTCTTCTTGCTGTATCCTCACATGCGGGACAGAAAGAGAGAGAGAGAGAGAGCTTGATTTGGTATCTCTTTTTATAAGAGCACTAATTGTATCATGGGGACTCTACTCTCATGGCATCATCTAAACCTAATTACTTCCCAAAGGCCTCACCTCCTAACACCATCACATCAGGAGTTAACTCTTCAACATACGAATTTTGGGAAGACATAAACATTCAGTGCATAACACCTTTTCCCCGAAGCACGTCTAGAATGTAAATGATGATGACACTATTCATTCTTTGTTCATGAATATAAATTCATCACCTTTTTATCAAATAATGTGTGCTTGGTGCAATTGCTGCTGAGGCAAGGGGATTCAAAAGGACCTTGTGATCTGGTCACCATGAGCAGGCCACATTTCTGATCTTCAGTTTCCTATGGTAAAATGAGCAAACTAGACTGGATGAGCTCAATAATCTTCCAGTTCTATGTATCCTTGAGCATAGCTTCATGGAAATAAAGACCACAATTATCCTTTGGTTGAGATAGTTTAGAACAATTAGACTTTAAAAACGTATGCACTTAATGGCAACTGACTTTGAACCCCATACCCATTCCTTCATATGATAATAGAATACTCTTCATAGCACTCCTTCTCCTGCCAAGAGCCTGTTATTTTTGTTACAGTAGATAGTCAGACATGGCTAGGGCAGGAGAGGGCTGTCCCTACCAGTAATGTCAAGTGACCATCAGGTGATGGTCAGGTAGTTGTTAAACTGTCTCTGTAAAATAATAATTGGTCTCAGCTGATGCCAGGGACAGGCAGTCTCCCAATAAATAAACACCTGAAGCTGGTGATCGGCAACTTCCCTGTAAGATTTCAGGAGTTAGGCAAGTGGGCTCAAGCATGTTCACTAAGAGGCAAAATGGCAGAGTTTAACTGGTATATGACCTCCTTCTAGGAACACTTAGCTGGTAAGGGAAGAATGCCTCAGGTGAACATGTGTACAATTTCAGTAAACATACTGTGCATGTGGCCCCTCCTATGGGCTAGCAGGCCACTGTGCATGCAGACAGCTCACCTCAAGGGATCAGGGAGAAGTAACAGAAGACCCCAAAAGCATGCCAACATATAAGACCCCAAATCAAAGGTCACACCATGCACGTGAATCTCACAAGTTGTCTGCTTGGCCCTCTTCCAAGGGTACTTTACTTCCTTTGGTTCCACTTTAAAGCTTTTTAACAAACTTTCACTCCTGCTCTAAAACTTGCCTTGGTCTCTCCCTCTACCTTATGGCACTTGGATGAATTCTTTCCTCCGACAAGGCAAGAATTGAGGTTGCTTCAGACTCATATAGATTCGCCACTGCTCACATACTTTGGTGCTGCATGACTTGGATGTGTTCCTTAGTGCTAACATTGTCTCTCCTGGTGCTAGTTTCTTTCCAAGAATAATCTAGAGTTTTCAGCCAAATAGTCGCATTCAAGAACCTACCTTACGGTTTTTGCAGTACTTAAGTGAATCTTTGAAATCCGCTGGCAATAATATTTATTTGTAGTAAAAGATGACCTAGTTGTTTCCAGACAATTTATGCTCTTGCTTCCAGTATTTATGACATTATAAAATATCTTATCAATCAAAACTGTTGGTAATTTAACTCACCCAGCTTTTTTAAAAAATGAGAGTTAATTCAGTTTCAGACTTAATATGACTATTTTCCTCAGCTACAAAGAAGTGAAATCAGGAACATGCTAACAGAATAAGCCAAACATAGTTTGGTATTCAGGTATTAGAACATTGGGAAGACTTAAAACTTCAATTTTGACATGCTGTTTTAAAAAAGGAAAATATGGCTGGGCATAGTGTCTCATGCCTGTAATTTCAGCACTTTGAGAGGCAGAGGCAGGAGGATCAATTGAGGCCAGAAGTTCAAGACCAGCCTGGGCAACATAGTGAGACCCTGTTTCTACAAAAAAATAGAAAAAATTATCTGGGCATGGTGATGTGAACCTGTAGTCCCAGCTACTCAGGAGGCTGAGGAGGGAGGATTGCTCGAGCTCAGGAGGTGAAGGCTGCAGTGAGCTGAGATCTTACCACTGCACTCCAGCCTAGTCGATAGAACAAGACCTCGTCACAAAAAACAAACAAACAAAAAAACAAAATAGTGTGTTTGGAAGAAATTAAATTAAAATAAATGTGGCTACTAGAAAATGTGTTTGGCAGAAGCATGAACAAAAGGTGTTTACAGGGTTGAATACTGCTTGTGTGGAGAATTCAAAAGTTAAAATTATATATGTTTTTTACAACAGAAAAGGGTAAATTGGCCCTCCCTTACACAAAACCATCTTTTATTTGAAGCTTTTTACACTAAATCGTAGTTGTAATCACTTTTTTGTTGTTGTTGGTTTTTGTTAGTATTATGATTTAGGTATAACAAATACCTCTATTAAATACTATCCAAATAGTATCTTACTCAGGGAGGCTTAGAGATTTATTTTGCAGTCAACCTAAGTGTGTGTCTTTTCAAAATCTTTTCTTTGGAACTGGGGGTATAGAATGTAACTGTATGCCTCAGTTAACATTTTTTATTGGCAGAGGGATGGTGATGGGTGGGCCGAAACAAACTGAGATAAATTGGAAACTTCCTTTTTCTTCTACTTTATAAATAAAAGAAAACATCTTGGGTTTATTCTTTTTTTCAGCTCCTTCACTCATTCTTCCCTTCTCCTTTTCTTCCTTCCTTCCACATTTATTGGGCTCTTTCTATCTGTTAACTCTTAGGGATTGAGACATGGAGATGGGGAGCTAGAGGAGAAGTTCTGACACATCAGTCATAAAGTCCTAAATCTAGGACAGACCTATACAGCACTTTCCAATCCATGAACCATAGCTCTGATTCTATCTGCAGTTCTAGAATTGTGTTTTCAATTCTTTGTTTGTTTGTTTGTTTGTTTGTTTGAGATGGAGTCTTGCTCTGTCACCCAGGCTGGAGTGCAGTGGCACGATCTTGGCTCACTGCAACTGCTGCCTCCCCAGTTCAAGCGATTCTTCTGCCTCAGCCTCCTGGGTAGCTGGGATTACAGATGTGTGCTACCATGCCCAGCTAATTTTTGTATTTTTAGTAGAGACAGGATTTCACCATGTTGGCCAGGCTGGTCTCGAACTCCTGAACTCAGGTGATCTACCTGCCTTGGCCTCCCAAATTGCTGGGATTACAGCCATAAGCCACCATGCCCAGCCTCTAATTTTTAATTGGTCATTTTTTTCTATCATTTGTTAACAATTACTATTGAGCTTTATGTGCATTTTTTCATTAAACTCTCCTAGGAAACCCTTATAAGACAGGTAGTCTGGCCATTTTGCAGGTGAGGAGATGGAGGTTTATTATTTTTCTTTTATTACTTTTATTTTTTTAAGACAGGGTCTTGCTCTGTTGCCCAGGCTAGAGTGCAGTGGCATGATCACAGCTCACTGCAGCCTCAACCTCCAGGGCTCAAGTGATCCTCCCACTTCAGCCTCCCAAGTAGCTGGGACTACAGGCATGTGCCATCACGCCTGGCTAATTTTTGTATTTTTTGTGGAGATGGGGTTTCAACATGTTGCCCAGTCTGGTCTCAAATTCTTGAGCTCAAGTGATCTGCCCAACTAGGCCTCCCAAAACACTGGGATTAGAGGCGTGTGCCACCGTGGCTGGCCCATCTATGCTTTTTTTTTTTTTAAATGACCAGCTCTCATAAGAGGTGCTTTTTAAAAACTACCTTATCACATTGCGTATACCAGGATCCCAAACCCAAATGTCTGCAGGAGGTGAGAGTCCAGTGCAGACTGTGGATATCTGGGTGAATTTGTGCTACACTAAAGTGGCAGGAGCTATTGATTGGCTCTATGCAACTGAGGCTAGGCAGAAATGCAGTTTTGGTGTTATAGTGGTTCTGATCTTTTTGAAAGAAGCCAAATAGAATTTTTTGGGGGTGAAATCTTCCAATCGTTAAGTGATGGCATTTAATTACACACATAGTTATAAATAACGTGAGATCCAAACAGAACATGTCTGCCGACACCTCAATCTCAACACTTCTACAACTGCAAGGGCTTCAATTATGCAAATGTTGGCACTCCTTAATTTGTTTTCTCTATAATCTTTCTCCAATTCTTTTAAACTCTGTATTTCACTTTTCTTGTGCTCCTTCTAATTTCATCCTTATTCTTATTGGATTTATTTATTTTTTCCTGTATGTTCAGTTCACATGTTACCTCCTACTATTTCTCATCATTTCTTCCCAGAGTTCTGTTCTTTTTCTTTTTCTTTTCTTTTTTCTTTTTTTTGAGACAGGGTCTTACTCTGTCCCCCAGGCTGGAGTGCAGTGGTGGGATCTCGGCTCACTGCAACCTCTGCATTCTGGGTTTAAGCCATTCTCCTGCCTCAGCCTGCCAAGTAGCTGGGACTACAGGCACCCACCATTGTGCCCAGTTAATTTTTGTATTTTTAGTAGAGACAGGGTTTCACCATGTTGGCCAGGCTGGTCTCGAACTCCTGACCTCAGGTGGTCTGCCCGCCTTGGCCTCCCAAAGTGCTGGGATTACAGGTGTGAGCCACTGCGCCCAGCCTAGTTCTTTTCTCTCTTGTCTTGTCTTTCTTTTTCCTTCCTTCCTTCCTTCCTTCCTTCCTTCCTTCCTTCCTTCCTTCCTTCCCTCGTTCTTTCCTTCCTTTCCTTTATTTTCTTCCTTCCCTTTATTTTCTTCCTTCCCGGCCTGATTCTTCACTTCCTTCCTTCCTTCGTCCCTTCCTTCCTTCCTTTCTTTTCTTTCTTCCCTCCCTATTTCCTCCCCTCCCTTCCCCTCTCCTCCCCTCCCCTCCTTTCCTTTCCTTTTTCTTTCTTCTCTATAGTCCAGGCTGGAGGGCAGTGGTGGGATCATGGTTCACTGCAGCCTTGAACTCCCTGGACTCAAGTGATCCTCCCACTTCAGCCTCTCGAGTAGCTGGACTATAGGCACGTGACATCACACCTGGCTAATTTTTGTATTTTTTTTGTAGAGACAATAGGGTTTCACCATGTTGCCCAGGCTGGTCTCAAACTCCTGGGCTCAAGCAACTTACCCACCTCGGCCTCCCAAAGCCCTGGGATTACAGGTGTGAGCCACTGTGGCCAGGCTCATCTGTTTTTTGATGGCTATTATTCTCTTGGTTAGTATGATTTGTTCATTGGTAACTTTGTAATTGTTTTCAGTTTTTCTTTCTTTTTTTGAGACACGGTCTTCACTCTGTCACCCAGGCTGGAGCACAGTGGCCCCATCTCGGCTCACTGCAACCTCCACCTCCCAGTTTCAAGCAATTCTCATGCCTCAACCTCTTGAGTAGCTGGGACTAAAGGTGCCCACCACCACACCCGGCTAAGTTTTTGTATTTTTAGTAGAGATGGGGCTTCACCATGTTGGCCAGGCTGGTCTCAAACTCCTGACCTCAGGTGATCTGCTCACCTCAGCCTCCCAAAGTGCTAGGATTACAGGAGTAAGCCACAATGCCTGGCCCACAATTTTTCTTTTGGTATGTTTGTATCAATGCTGCCAGTGCCAGATTTTTTTTTTTTTTTTTTTTTTGAGACGGAGTCTCGCTCTGTCGCCCAGGCTGTAGTGCAGTGGCACGATCTCGGCTCACTACAAGCTCCGCCTCCCAGGTTCACGCCACTCTCCTGCCTCAGCCTCCCAAGTAGCTGGGACTACAGGCGCCGGCCACCACGCCAGGCTAATTTTTTGTATTTTTAGTAGAGACGGCATTTCACTGTGTTAGCCAGGATGGTCTCGATCTCCTGACCTCATGATCCGCCTGTCTCCGCCTTCCAAAGTGCTGAGGTTATAGGCATAAGCCACCGCGCCCAGCCAATTTTTTGTTTTTTATTGCCTAACAATAAATGAGTTAGATTGTCTTTTTACTTTTTTCTTTTTTTTAGACAGAGTCTCACTCAGTTACCCAGGCTGGAGGGCAGTGGCACGAACACAGTTCATTACAGCTTCAACCTCCTGGGCCTGAGTAATCCTCTTGCCTCAGTGTCTCTGGTATAGCTGGGACCACAGGTGCATGCCACCATGCCCGGCTAATTTTTAAATTTTGTTGTAGAGACACGGTCACACCTTGTTGCCCAGGCAGGTCTCAAACTCCTGAGCTCATGCAGTTCTCCCACCTCAGACTCCCAAAGTGCTAGGATTATAGGCATGAGCCACCATGCCTGCCCGAGTTAGATTCCTATTAACTTAACTATTTGTAGGAGATTATTGCATAGCAAAAGAGGTGAGTCAGGGTAACCTTTGAGATTTTACAACCCAAAGGCTCTCTCCTTTGCAGCAGAAATATACCAGTCCTATCTGTTTGAATTATCTGTGTAATTCTTTAGGTAGTCCTTACATGCCTACTTCTCTGGATCACACAATGTCCAGGAGGGCTTCTGCTAAGAGCCTTGCTTACCCCACTTCCCATAACCCTTTGTGCAAACAAGTGATATTGCCTTTGAACTGCAGACTGGGCCCCTCGCTTTCAGAAAGTGACCCCCACCCTGGTATTTCCTGAGCTCTAATAAAAATAACCTCTCATCATCCTTCAAATTTCTTCTCTCCACTTTCTATCATATGACTTTTGCCTATCCTCCACTGTTTTTAGCTGCCCTAATAGGTGTTTTGGAGTCTGCAGATTTTATCTATTTTATCCTAGTCTCACTGAACTATGGAGTGTTTTGGCCAGGTGCAGTGGCTCACACCTGTAATCCCAGCACTTTGGGAGGCCGAGGCGGGCAGATCACCTGACGTCAGCAGTTCGAGACCAGCCTGGCCAACATGGTGAAACCCCGTCTCTACTAAAAATACAAAAATAAACTGGCCATGGTGGTGCATGCCTGTAATCCCAGCTACTGGGGAGGCTGAGGTGGGAGAATTGCTTCAACCTGGTGGGGCGGAGTTTGTAGTGAGCCAAGATTACACCACTTTACTCCAGCCTGGGCGCCAGAGTGAGACTCTGTCTCAAAAAAAAGAAAAAAAAAAAAAAAAAGAAAATAGAGTGTCTTATGTATTTGTTTTTGTAATTGTGATAAAATATATATAACATAAAATCTACCTTTTTTTTTTTCTGGGAGACAGTGAAGACAGTCTCACTCAATGCAACCCCCCTCTTCCTGGGCTCAAGCCATCCTCCCACCTTAACCTCCCCAGAAGCTGGGAGCTGGGATTACAGGTGTGCACCACTGTGCCCAGCTAATTTTTTTTTTTTTTTTTTTTTTTGTAGAGAAGGGATTTCACTATGTTGCCAAGGCTGGTTTCGAACTTCTGGACTCAAGCGATCCACCTGCCTCAGCCTCTCAAAAAGAGCTGGGATTACAGGTGTTAGCCACCATGCCCAGCCAAAATCTACTATTTTAACCATTTTTTTTAAGATGGGTCTTAGGCCGGGGGTGGTGGCTCATATCTGTAATCCCAGCACTTTGGGAGGCCAAGACAGGTGGATTGTTTGAGCTCATGAGTTTGAGAACCGCTTGGGCAACATGGCGAAACCTGGTCTCCACAAAAAATACAAAAATTAGCTGGGCATGGTGGTGTGCACCTATAGTCCCAGCTACTCAGGAGGCTGAGGTGGGAGGATGGCTTAAACCTGGGAGGCAGAGGTTGCAGTGTGCTTAGATCAGGCCATTGCAATCCAGCCTCGGTGATAGAGTCAGACCTTGTCTCTAAATAAGTAAATAAACATGGGTCTTGCTATGTTGCCCAGGCTGGTGTCAAAATCCTAGCCCCAAGTGATTCTCTCACCTCAGCCAGCCAAAAGTGCTGGGGTTACAGATGTGAACCACTGTGTCTGGCCTTAACCATTTTAAAGTGTGCAGTTCAATGGCATTAAGTATATTTACATAGTTTGGGTTTTTTTGATCTAGGATCTTGCTTTGTCACCCAGGCTGGAGTACAATGGCACAATCACAGCTCACTGCAGCCTCAACCTCCCAGGCTCTAGTAATCCTGCTACTTCAGCCTCCTGAGGAGCTGGAACTTTATTTTTTGTAGAGACAAGTTCTCGCTATGTTGCCCTGGCTGGTCTTGAACGCCTGGGCTCAATCGATCCTCCCACCTTGGACTTTCACAGTGCTGGGAATACAAGCATGAGCTATTGTGCTGGCAATATATTCATATCGTTGTACAGCCACTACCACCATCTAACTCCAGAACTTTTTCATCATCCCATACTGAAACTCTACCCATTAAACACCAATTCCTGTTCCCTCCTCCTCCAGTCCATGGTAACCACCATTCCACCTTCTGTCTCTATGAATTTGACTACCCTAGGTACCTCATATAAGTAGAATCATACAATATTTTTCCTTTTGTGTCTGGCCTATTTTTATTTTACTTAGCACAATGTCTTTCTAGTTTATCCATCCTGTAAAATGTATCAGAATTTCATTCCTCTTTAAGGTTGAATAATATTCCATTGTATGCATATACTACATTTTGTTTTATTCATCTGTTGCTGAATATCTGAAGTCATATTGTTAGCTTTCTTTCCATGTAAGCATTCATCTTGTGGGTTGCTTTCATCTTGTGGCTATTGTGGATAATACTGCTATAAACATTGGTGTAGAAATTGTATATCTGTTTTTGTGTTTTATTGTTGTTTTTCATGTTGCTTTGAATGCTTTTCAGGATGCGATTCAGCTATAATTATTTTGGTAGTTCTTTTGGAAGCTGCATTTCAAAATAAATATTTTAGATGATTCTCAAGATTAGGTAAGTTTGGAAAGCACTTCCTACCATTTCTACCTGAATGAAATCAGGTAAAATAACATCAGAGAGAGTCTCTGGCAAGAAAAGAAGCACCAAGAAATCTGGGTAAGATTTTGGGCAGGAGAGGCACTGATGATAGCAAGAGGGAGGTTTGGCGCTTTGAGCAGGTTAAATACATACAAACCAATTGTTCTACTAAGCACCATCTGTCAGAGCTGCTCCTGCTTCTGTGAATCACTATGCGAGCAGAGAGAGAGGATGAAATAGATGGGCTAAAATTGCCTAATTCCCTGTCTGGGTTGACTGTATCTTAGGAAAATCCCCATTTGGCTCTGCTTTCAAGAATGACAAGCTTAGCTCAGCACTTCTGTGCATCTGCTGATGCTCATATTTTGAACTAGGGGATAACCCAATCTATGTCAAAGTAACTATTGATTCTTGGTTTTAACATAACAATTTAACAATCTGTAAAGTTGTCCAAGAGTAGTCAGCTAGTCTAAACTCACCTCTTGTGCATGTCTTAGATTTTTATCAAAGGAATAATGTAAGATACCCAAGGAATAACTTTCATGACACAAGCCAACTGTAGCCATGGGAATATTTTGAGGCAATTTGTTAGTGAACTTCTGTTTAATCTCCATAAAGCAATGCTACAGTGAGTTAGAGAAAAGCAGTTTGGGATTTTGTGGCAGACAAAGATACACTCAGGTGGCTTTCTAGAGGGAGAAAAAGGAAACATTCAGCTAGTTGCTGGAATATTTTTATTCATTAAGCAAATATTTATTTAACTCCTGTCATATAATAGATACAATGGATAAATCAGAGAAAAAGATTTTGCAAAAAAAGTCCCTGAGATTATTGCGCTTTCATTCTGTGGGGGAAGCAGATAATAAAAAAGTGAACAAATATAAATATATTTTCAAACAGCAGAGTACAAAGCATCAAGTAGACCTAACTAAATACTTATTAGTAACTAATTAAATTTATTGCAAGATTCCTTCAGATTGCTAAGGCCAATATTTTATTTCAATTACAATTTTATCTAAAAATACATAATTTAAAAACAAATCTTCCTGACACTCAATTACTTTGCAAAGAAAGGTATACATCTTTTTTTAAAGACTGAGAAAAAAGCCGGGCGCAGTGGCTCATGCCTGTAATCCCAGCACTTTGGGAGGCTGAGGCAGGTGGATCACCTGAGGTCAGGAGTTCGAGACCAGCCTAGCCAACATAGTAAAACCCGTCTCTACTAAAAACACAAAAAATTAGCTGAGCATAGTGGAGGGTGCCTGTAATCCCAGCTACTCGGGAGGCTGAGGAGGGAGAATCACTTGAACCCAGGAGGCAGAGGTTGCAGTGAGCCGAGATCACAGCCATTGCACTCCAGCCTGGGCAACAAGAGTGAAACTCCTCTCAAAAAAAAGACTGAGGAAAAAAAAAAAAAACAAAAAACACTGAGAAACCGTGAATGCTTACATGGAAAGAGAGTTAACAATGTGACTTAATGATATGGCTAAATGCAAACTGGCTAGTATGGATTCTAAGTACCATGACTTTCCAGATAAGAACCAAGATTTTTCATGGTTTTAGGGCCTGACAGTTTGGAAACTTTTGTATGCCCAAACAGGTTTTAAACATCTCCCACAATTTCTTAAATTGGCTTATCCACTTGTTCACTTGCTTTAGTGTTTCATCTGTTAGAAGAGAGTGGGAGGTGAGAGGAGGATAATGTTATTATGTGCTGCTCCCTGTGGGCTGTTTGTATATAAAAATGGCATGGTGGAATTGTTATAATGGTGCTTGTATCTAACTGGGGAAAGCAGTGGTTGACTTTTTTGTTCAGGAAAGTGTAGAAAGAAAGATTCCCAGATGTTAGAGGTCCTTCATTATGTATACTGTTGAGTGGAAAACCATGATGCTGTTCTTGGATCTGACATACCCTTTGAGGAATGAAACATTGATCACCCTGGCTCTATTTGAGCAGGCTAAGGATTTGAATGTGTTTCACTTTCGCTGGACAGTTCTGCAAAAATAAGGTACAACTTTCCCAAAATATTTACATTGAAAAAGTGACTGGCCAGGCGCGGTGGCTCATGCCTGTAATCCCAGCACTTTGGGAGGCCGAGACAGGCAAATCACAAGGTCAGGAGATCAAGACCATCCTGGCTAACATGGTGAAACTCCGCCTCTACTAAAAATAGAAAAAATTAGCCGGCCTGGTGGTGGGCGCCTTTAGTCCCAACTACTCAGAAGGCTGAGGCAGGGGAATGGCATGAACCCAGGAGGTGGAGCTTGCAGTGAGCCAAGATCATGCCACTGCACTCCAGCCTGGGCGACAGAGCGAGACTCTGTCTCAGAAAAAAAGAAAAAAAAAAAGAAAAAGTGACCAATTAAGAGAATTGATCACCAAATGAGAATGCTGCCTAAAATGTTAGAAAGGGACTCAACCCGACAGAAGAGAAACATAGGAAATTAAACTGGTGTCAATAAAAGAGTATTTGGTGGAGTACAATAAAATGGAATTCCTCTTTTGTCCATGTCAAAATGGTGCATTTTTGGCTGTGTGTGTGTGTGTATCTTACAAGGTCACTTCTTTTTCTAATCATACTGGGGGCAAATAATTTTGTCTATCAAATATTAATTTAGGACCAGGTGCAGTGGCGGGCACCTATAATCCCAGCACTTTGGGAGGCCAAGGTGGGCAGATCATTTGAGCTCAGAAGTTCTAGATCAGCCTGAGCAACATGGCAAAACCCTGTCTCTTCAAAAAAAAAAAAAAAATTACAAAAATTAACTGGGCATGGTGGTGCACACCCACAATCCCAGCTACTTGGGAGGCTGAGGTGGGAGGATCACTCAAGCCTGAGAGGTGGAGGTTGCAGTAGGTTGAAGTTGTGCCATTGCACTCCAGCCTGGGTAATAAAGTGAGACTGTCTCAAAAAAGATTAATTTAGGCTAGGCATGGTGGTTTACGCCTGTAATCACAGTGCTTTGGGAGGCTGAGGTGGGAGGATTGCATGAGGCCAGGAGTTCTAGACTAGCCTGAGCAACATAGTGAAACCCCATCTCTAAAAAAAAATTAGTTGAACATGGTGGTGCTGGTCTATAGTACCAGTTACTCAGGAAGCTTAGGCAGGAGGATCACTCGAGCCCAGGAGGTCAAGGCTGCAGTGAGCGTGATCATGCCACTGCACTCCAGCCTGGGTAACAGAGTGAAACCTTGTTTCAAAATAATAATAATTAATTTATTTGAACAGGCAGGACACCTGGGTGTGGTGGCCCGTGCCTACAGTCCCAGCTACTCAGGAAGCTGAGGTGGAAGACATAAGGAAAGAAATATTTGGAAAACAGGAACCTGGGCTGGGCACAGTGGCTCACGTCTGTAATTCCAGCACTTTGGGAGGCCGAGGTGGGTAGATCACTTGAGGTCAGGAGTTTGAGACCAGCCTAGGCAACATGCCGAAACCCTGTGTCTACTAAAAATATAAAAAATTAGGTGGGCGTGGTGGCATATGCCTGTAATCCCAGCTACTGGGGAGGCTGAGGCAGGAGAATTGCTTCAACCTGGGAGGTGGAGGTTGCAGTGAGCCGAGATCTCGCCACTGCACTCCAGCCTGGGCAACAGCATGAGACTATGTCTCCAGAAAGAAAAAAAAAAAGAAAAAAAAAAGAAAATAGGAACCTAGATTCACATTTAGAACAATTACCAAGTAGACTTCATTGTTATCTTGAAGACTTGAAATTATGTCAGACAAAAAGAATTGCATATTCTCTTCGATAAAAACTTATAAATAAGAAAAATATACCCACCATTTGGTTAACTGTTGTCTAGTGAGTGTGTTGCTATCTGTTTATATAATAAAAATCCCAAAGGGACCAGGCACTGTGGCTCATGCCTGTAATCCCAGCACTTTGGGAGGCTATGGTGGGAGGATCGTTTGAACCAAGGAGCTCGAGACCAGCCTGGGCAACATAGTGATACCTCGTCTCTACAAAAAATAAAAAAGCAGCTGTGCGTGGTGGTGCCTGCCTGTAGTCCTAGTTACTTCAGGAGGCTAAGGCAGGAAGATCACTTGAGCCCAGGAGTTTGAGGTTACAGCAAATCGTGATCACGTACGTCACTGCACTTTAGCCTGGGGTCAAAGCAAGACCCTGTTTGAAAAAAACAAAACAAAACAAAACAAAAATCCCAAAGGAATATGGGAAATACTGTACAAAAATTCTCCGTTCTCAATTCTGCCAGATTTTGGTATCAGGATGATGCTGGCCTTATAGAATGAATTAGGAGGGAGTCCCTTCTTTTACATTTTTGGGAATAGTTTCAGTAGAAATGGTATCAGTTCTTCTTTGTACCTCTGGTGGAATTTAGCTGTGAATCCGTCTGGTCTTGGGCTTTTTTTGGTTGTTAGGCTATTTATTACTGCCTCAATTCCAGAACTCGTTATTGGTCTATTCAGGGATTCAATTTCTTCCGGGTTCAGTCTTGGGAGGGTGTATGTGTCCAGGAATTTATCTATTTATCTATTTTTTCTAGATTTTCTAGTTTATGTGCATATAGGTGTTTATAGTATTCTCTAATTTTTTTTGTATTTCTGTGGAGTCAGTGGTGATATCACCGTTATCATTTCTTTTCTTTTTGGTGAGATGGAGTCTTTCTCTGCGCCCAGGCTGGAGTGCAGTGGCGGGATCTCGGCTCACTGCAACCTCTGCCTCCTGGATTCAAGTGATTCTCCTGCCTCAGTCTCCCGAGTAGCTGAGATTGCAGGCACCTGCCACCACACCTGGCTAATTTTTGTATTTTTAGTAGAGACAGGGTTTCACCATGTTGGCCAGGCCAGTCTCGAACTCCTGACCTTAAATGATCCACCTGCCTCAGTCTTCCAAAGTGCTGGCTGGGATTACAGGCATGAGCCACCATGCCCAGGCCCCCATTATCATTTCTGATTGTGTCTATTTGATTCTTCTCTCTTTTCTTCTTTATTAGTCTAGCTAACCATCTATCTACTTTATTAATTTTTTTCAAAAAATAGCTCCTGGATTTGTTGATTTTTTTGAAGGGTTTTTTTTTTTGTCTGTGTCTCTATTTCCTTCAGTTCAGGTCTGATCTTGGTTATTTCTTGTCTTCTGCTAGCTTTGGGGTTTGTTTGCTCTTGGTTCTCTAGTTCTTGGAGTTGAGATATTAGGTTGTTAACTTGAGAACTTTCTAGCTTTTCGATGTGGTCATTTAGTGCTATAAATTTCCCTCTTAACATGGCTTTAGCTGCATATCAGAGATTCTGGTACGTTGTCTCTTTGTTCTCATTAGCTTTAAAAGAACAAAGCTGGAGGTATTATGCTACACAACTTCAAACTCTGCTACAAGGCTACAGTAACCAAAACAGCATGATACTGGTACAAGAACAGACACATAGACCAATGGGACAGAATAGTGAACTCATAAATAAGACTGGACACCTACAACCATCTGATCTTTGGCAAACCTGACAAAAACAAGCAATAGGGAAGAGATTTCCTGTTTAATAAATGGTGCTGGGATAACTAGCTAGCCATATGCAGAAAATTGAAACTGGACCCCTTCCTTACACTATATACAAAAATTAACTCAAGATGGACTAAAGACTTAAATGGAAAATCTAAAACTACAAAAACCCTAGAAGAAAATCTAGGCAATACCACTCAGGACATAGGTGTCGGCAAAGATTTCATGATAAAAATGCTAAAAGCAATTGCAACAACAGCAAAAATTGACAAATGGAATCTAATTAAAGAGCTTCAGCACAGCAAAATAAACTATCATCAGAGTAAACAGACAACCTACAGAATGTGAGAAAATTTTTGCAATCTATCCATCTGACAAAGGTCTAATATCCAGAGTCTACAAAGAACTTAAGAAATTTACAAGAAAAAAAGAAACAACCCATTAAAAAGTGGTCAAAGGACATGAACAAACACTTCTCAAAATAAGACATACATGTGACCAACAAACATATGAAAAAATGTTCAACATCACTAATCATTAGAGAAATGCAAATGCAATGCAAATCAAAACCACGATGAGACACCATTTCATGCCAGTCAGAATGGCTATTATTAAAAAGTCAAAAAACAGATGCTGGCAAGGTTGCAGAGAAAAAGGAATGCTTTTACACTGTTGGTGGGAGTGTAAATTAGTTCAACCATTGTGGAAGACAGTGTGGTGATTCCTCAAAGACCTAGAGGCAGAAATACTATTTGACCCAGGAATCCCATTACTGGCTATATACCTGTAGGAATATAAATTGTTATATTATAAGGATACATGCATGCATATGTTCATTGCAGCACTGGTCACAAGGCATGGACTCAACCTAAATGCCCATCAATGATATACTGGATAAAGAAAATGTGGTACATATACACCCTGGAATACTACGCATCCATAAAAAGGAATGAGATCATGTCCTTTGCAGGGACATGGATGGAGCTAGAAGCCATTATCCTCAGCAAACTAATGCAGGAACAACAACAACAAACAAATATATATATATATATATATATATATATATATATATATATATCTCACACACACATATATAACAACAAATATATATATTTAAATAAATAAATAAAATAAATAAAAACTAATGCAGTAACAGAAAACCAAACACCACGTATTCTCACTTATAAGTGGGATCTGAACAATGAGAACACATGGACGCATCACACTGTGGGGAACAACACACACTGGGTCCTGTCAGAGGTGGGGAAGGTGGGGAGAGAAAGCATCAGGAAGAATAGCTAATGGACACTGGGCTTAATACCTAGGTGATGGGATGATCTGTGAAGCAAACCACCATGACACACGTTTACTTATGTAACAAACCCGCACATCTGGCACATGTACCCCTGAACTTAAAATAAACCTTGAAAAGAAAAAAAAAGGAAGATATGTTTAATATACTAGCAAGAGTATCATGATCCTGAAAGTTTCACAGTGTTGATTATATCAATTAATACAAATGTTTTGGATAAGCAAGAGTATCATGATCCTGAAAGTTTCACAGTGTTGATTATATCAATTAATACAAATGTTTTGGATAATATTTATGAGGCTAAAGTGTGCAGACTGACTGATGACTTACTTTATAACCTTAACTACTGTTCCCTTGCTCCACCTTTTCATCCTCTTATTTCTTCTTTCTCTTCCTCTCCTGTGTCTTCCCAACTCCACAGAGTTGAAGTCATTTAGTCACTCACTCAACAAATTCTTTTTGAGTGCCAGGAACTCTCTTAAGCTTTGGAAATATAGCAGTGAACAAAACATACAAGATTTCCTTTTTTAAGAAATCTGAGGGCTGCCACCTTAATAAAGATATCTGAGGGCACCTCCCAAACTTAGTTTAGAAGTATGATTCCTGGGAAATAAAATTAAAAGAGAGAGAGGGAGGGAGAGAGAGCGAGCACCAAGATAACTTCACAAACAATGGGACAAATCCAGATCATGTGCCTCTTGATATGATGCACTGTCTGCAGTATTCCTGCCCAGAATGCATAACCTGAATCTGATCACAAGGAAATATCAGACAAACTCAAATTCAAATTGATGGACATCTACAGAGCAACTGGCTTGAACTTTTCTTTTTTTTTTTTTTTTTTTTTTTGTTGAGACAAGGTCTCAGTGGCACGACCATGGCTCACTGTAGCCTTGACTTCCAGGGCTCAGGCGATCCTTCCACTTGAGCCTCCTGAGCAGCTGGGACTGCAGACACACACAAACATGATGCCCATATTTTTTGTAGAGACAGCGTTTTGCCATGTTACCCAGGCTGGTCTCAAACTCCTGGACTCAAGTGATCCGCCAATCTCAGCCTCCCAAAGTGCTGGGATTACAGGCATGAGCCACTGCACCCAGTTGGTCCGAGCTCTTAAAAAAATGTCAACGTGAAGAAAAACAAAAATAAAGTTGAGGACATGTACCAGATTAAAGGAGACCAAAGACTACTTCATGCAATGCATAATGCTGGATTGGGTCCTGGATTAGGAAAAATAGCTATAAAATAAGCACTAGGACAATTGATGATATCTGAATATGGACTGTGAATTAGATAACAGCATTGTTTAGATGTTTCATCTTCAGATTTGGATAATTATTATATATTGCAATTACACATATCATATGTAATATATACAAAGAATACATAAAGTATAAAGTATATATATACGAGACAGGAGGGAAATGTTAAAGCAAGTGGGCCAAAGGGATAGAAAATAAACAACTGATGAATTTAGATAAAAAGTATATTAGAATTTCTTGGACCGGTGCGGTGGCTCATACCTGTAATACGAGTACTTTGAGAGGCTGAGGCGGGTGGATAGCTTGAGCTCAGGAGTTTTAGACCAGCCTGGGCAACATGGTGAAACTCCGTCTCTACCAAAAATACAAAAATTAGCTTGGTGTGGTGGCACGTGCCTGTAGTCTCAGCTACTTAGGAGGCTGAGGTGGGAGGATGGCTTGAGCTCAGGAGGTGGAGGTTGCAGTGAGTCGAGACCATGCCACTGCACACCAGCCTGGGCAACAGAGCCAGACCTTGTCTCAAAAAAGAAAAAAAAAGAAAAGAAAAAGAAAAAAACAAGTATATTAGAATTTCTTGACCTAGTCTTGCAAATTTTCTGTTAAGTTTGAATTATATTAAAATAAAATGTTAAACAATTTCCTGTCTTGGTGGAACTTACCTTTGTGTTTATGTGGGTGGGTGGGGTGGGATGTGGGGAGAGTTGCAATGTTTTTTTTTTGTTTAATTTAAAAACTTTATTTTTTAGAAAAGTTTTATGTTTACAGAAAAAACCCACGGAGCAGAAAGTACAGTCTCCACATACACCTCTCCTTAACACAGTTTCCTATATTATTAAACATCTTGTATTAGTATAATACATTAGCTGCATTGATGAACCAATATTGACACATTATTATTAATAATAATAATGTTTTAAACTCCATGGTTTGCATTATATTTCATTCTTGTGTTGTATAGTTTTATGGGTTTTGTCAAATGCATATTATTATTTACCACCGTTACAGTATTGTACAGAATAATTTCACTGCTTTCAAAATCCCTTGTTTGTCACCTATAAATCTCTTCTTATACTTTAACCCCTGGCAGCCACTAATCTTTTTACTACTTCTACAGTTTCGCCTTTTCCAGAATGTCATCTATTTGGGATCACACATCTGTGGCCTTTCAGACTGATTTCTTTCATTTAGAAATATGCATTTTCCTCTTTTTGTGGCATGATAGCTGCTTTCTTTTTATCACTGAATACTATTCCATTGTATGGATGTACCTTAGTTTCTTTATCCATACACATGTTGAAGGATATCTTGGTTGCTTCCATTTTTTGGGGGAGGGCAATTATGAATAAAGCTACTATATACATTTATGTACAGGTTTAAGTGTGAATGTAAGTTTTCAATTCATTTGGGTAAATACCTCGGAGTGCAATTACTGATCATATGGTAAGTTTGTGTTTAACTTTGTGAGAAATTGCCAAACTTCCTACTGAAGTAGCTGTGCCATTTTGCATTCCTACTGTCAATGGTTGAAAATTCTTGTTGTTCCACATTCTTACTAGCATTTGGGATTGTCAGGTTTTTGGATTTTAGCTATTCCAATAGGTGTGACACTGCATTTCATTATTGTTTTACTTTGCAATTCCTTCATAACATATGATGTGGAGCGTCTTTTCATGTGCTGATTTACCATCTGTATTTCTTCTTTGGTGAGATATCTGTTCACATGCTTTGTTCACATTGTTCAGATCTTTTATCTGCTAGAAGGTTGCAATTTTAAATAGTGTGGCCAGGAAAGGTCTCATAGAGACTTTTGAATAAAGATCTGAAAGAAGTGAGGGAACAAGTTGTTTAGAACTCTAGGGAAAAAACATTCCAGGCAGAGGGAAAACACCTGCAAAGGACCTGAGTCCGGAGTGTGCTTGGTATATTCTAGGGTAACAGGTGGCCAGTGTAGCATGAGGGATTGGCCAGAAGGAAAGTATGAGGAGATAAGGCCAGAGACAGTGGGCTCAAGCTTATGTGGCCTTGTGGATCATTAGGCCTTTGCTTTTATCTTGAGTGAAGTAGGAGACCAGAGGATCTTAAGCAGAAATTGAGGTGATCAGACTTGTGTTTAATAGTATATTCCTGTTGCTTCATTAAAAATGGGCCAGGCCGGGCATGGTGGCTCACACCTGTAATCCCTGCACTTTGGGATGCCGAGGCGAGTGGATCACTTGAGGTTAGGAGTTCGAGACCAGCCTGGCCAACATGGTGAAACTCCGTCTCTACTAAAATACAAAAATTAGGCAGGTGTGGTGGCATGAGCCTATAACTCCAGCTACTCTGGAGGCTGAGGCAGGAGAATGTCTTGAATCAAGGAGGCAGAGGTTGCAGTAAGCCGAGATCACGCCATTGTACTCCAGCCTGGGTGACAAGAGCAAAACTCTGTCTAAAAAAACAAAAAACAAAAAACAAACAACAACAACAACAACAAAACAGAAAGAAAGAAAAGAAAAGAAAATAGACCAAAGGCAGGTGGATGCAAAAGCAAAGAGACTGGTTAGGAGGCTATTGCAGTAATTAGGCTATAGGTGATGGTGACTATGCCCAGAGGGGTATTGATGGAAAAGATGAGAAATGATTTAATTTGATATATATTTGGAAGATGAGGGATTGGATGATGGGTGGGAGAGAAACAAAGAAATCAAGGATTGTTTCAAATTTGTTCTGTTTAATTTTAGTTCCCATAAGCAACTGAAAGAATAGCATTGATTATGCTCTGGTATCACAGGTCTATATAAGGCCTTCTTTTTTCTCTTTATTCCTAATGCCCATTCTGATTTTTTCTGTCTCTCTCACAGGCATCACCAGTATGCTTGGAAATTATGTATTGCTTAGAGTGTTTTAAATTTACACTGGTACTTTGATACAGATTTTGTTTTGTTTTCTATATTTTCCCACTTGACACTATGTCTTCAAGAGGTAGCTAGATAGCTGAATGTATGTCTGGTCCATTAATTCTGACCACTGCCCAGTTTTCAATTGAATACATATATCACATATGATGGAGTTCTGTCCCTGCCTATCATGTCCCATGTTTTTCCAGGCTTCTGCCACTACAAACAATGCTGAGATGCACATTCTCATATCTGTTCTCATGAATACCTGTGTGCAAGTTTCCTTGGAGTGAGATTTCTGGAACATATTAAGTTGCATAAATACTGGCAAGTCACTTTCCAGTGTGGCTTCCTTAGTTTGCAGTCCAAGATTACCCCATCCTCCCAATTCTTATGAATTCTTGACATTACTAAGCCTTTAAATTTCTGTGAAGTGGTATCTTATTGTTATTTTAACTTGAATTTTTTTCTCACTAGAGAGTTTGAGAATCTTTTTATAGATTCACTAGGCATTCAGATTCCTTCTTCTGTGATTTGCCTATTTTATCCTTCATCTAGTGTATTAGCTGTTCTTGCATTGCTATAAAGAAATACCTGAGACTGGGTAATTTATAAAGAAAAGAAGTTTAACTGGCTAATGGTTCTGCAGGCTCTACAGGAAGCATAACAAAGGCATCTGTTTCTGGGGAGGCCTCAGGAAGCTTTTGGTCATGGTGGAAGGTGAAAAGGGAGCAGGCATCTCACATGGTGGGATCAGGGGCAAGAGAGAGAGGGAGGTGCCACACACTTTTAAATGAGTAGGTCTTGTGAGAACTCAGTCGCTATCATGAGGACGGCACCAAGAGGATGGTGCTAAACCATTGGTGAGAAATCTGCCCCCATGATCCAGGGGCACTTCCTGCCAGGCCCCACATCCAACACTGGGGATTACATTTCATGGGCATGGATGCACATCCAAACTATATCATGTAGTTTTCTATTGGACTTCACGTCTTTTGCTTCTTGATCTACAGAATTTCTCTGTATATTCTACATAACAATTCCTGAGTTGCATAGGTGGCAAATATACTCTTCTAGGCTATCACTTGCCCCCTAACTTTATTTATGATAGTCTTCTTTGAAAAGAAACCCTGGTGTTTTTTTGTGCGTGTTTTTGTTTTTGTATTTAAATCCACAAATTTCCCCCTTTATGGTAAGATTTTCAGGCCTTTCTTACTAACACCTCCATTTCAAAGTCACAAAGATATTCTTCTCTACTTTCCTTATCTTCACTGATTTCCATTTCAGATGGAAGTAATCCATTACAGTTAACATTTGTATATGGTATGAGGCAGGAATACAACTGGGTTTTTCTCCATGTACTAGCTCCCCCAACGTCATTCACTAAAAAAAAAAAAAAAATCTATCCTTCTTTCTTCATTGATTAAAGATGCCATTTCTATGATATATGAAGTTTCAATATGCACATGGGTTTGTTTCGGGGCTCCTTATTTTGTTCTACTGATCTATTGATCTATTTGTTCTTTTTTTTTTTTTCTTCAGATGGAGTTTTGCTCTTGTCATCCAGGCTGGAGTGCAGGCTGGAGTTGCCCAGGCTGGAGTCACCACACGTGGCTAATTTTTGTATTTTTAGTAGAGATGGGGTTTCACCATGTTGGCCAGGCTGGTGTCGAACTCCTGACCTCAGGTGATCCACCTGCCTCGGCCTCCGTCTGATAGTGCTGGGATTACAGGCATGAACCACGGCCCCTGGCCTATCTGTTCTTGTGGCAGTATTAAATTGTTTTTATTTCTGTGAATGTGATTGATTTATCTTAATATTTGGTAGAAAAAGTCCTCTATCTTTGCTCTTCTTTCTCAAAATTAGTTTAGTTATTTGCGTCTTAGCTATTCTTTGTTCATTTCAGAATCAATTTGTCACATTCCCCTCAAAATCCAGCTGGAGTCCTGGAGAGTGGGCTGTCCCGCTTCCGAGTGGGAACGTTCATAGTGTCGTTGATGAGAGATTAAATATGGGTGATGTTGAGAAAGGCAGAAGACTTTTGTTCAGAGTGTGCTCAGTGCCACATGGACCCAATCTTCATGGCCTCTTTGGAAAACAGATGAGTTCACTGGATTCTCTCTCACAGACATTAGTAAGAACAAAGGCATCATCTGGGGGGAGGAGACACTGATGAACTATTCGGAGATTCTCAAGAAATATACCTTAAACAAAAATGATCTTCACAGGCATTAAGAAGGAGACAGAAAGGACAGACCTGATAGCTTATCTCAAAAAGCCCTAATAAGTAATAATTGGCTACTGCCTTATTACAAAGCAGAAATGTCTCATAACTTTTTTCTTTCTTTTAAGAGATAGGGTCTTGTTCTGTTGTCTAGGCTGGAGTGCAGTGGCACAACCATGGCTCACTGCAGCCTCAAATTCCTGGGCTCAAGCAATCTTCACACCTCAAGCCTCCTGAGTAGCTGGGACTACAGGCGTATGCCAACACACTTGGCTGATCTTTAATTTTTAATTTTTTGTAGAGACGAGAGTTTGCAGTGTTGTGCAGGCTGGTCTCGAACTCCAGGCCTCAAGCAGTCCTCTCACTTTGGCCTCCCAAAGTGCTGAGATTATAGGTATGAGCCACTGTGACCAGCCTCATGACTTTTTAAATGTGTGTCATAATTTAATTGATCTCATACACCAGAATTCAGATCATTAATGACTGACAGAATATTTTTGTTAGACAGTCCTGATTTAACTAAGTCTGGCTTATGGTTAAATGAATACAATTAGTTTCTTGAATTTTGATAGTAATTCCAATTCAGTAAATGTTCTCACTGTTTCCTCTTCTAAAGATAAGTTTGGACTTGATTAGTAATGTTCAACTTTTCACAAAGATGGAGAATGCCATCACAAAGCCTATTGGAAATTGATTTTATGTTTTGATTTATATAGTTATATAAATGAATATATGAATATATTTAAATACTGGGGAAATCCCTTCACTATCTCAGAACCAAGCAAGAATTACCTGTGTTTTAACTTGTGATCATTAGCCTGTTAAGGGCAAGGGCTGAAGATAAGGTAGCAATGTCTGCTTTATATTTTTGGTCTTAATTATGTCAATCTAATTAGAATTCCTGGTATCCAAAATGCTATTTTTATTTTCTTTCTTTGTTCTTCTTTTTTATTTTTTTGAGACAGGGTCTCGCTTTGTCGCCCAGACTGGAGTGCAGTGGTATGATAAACAGCTCACTGCAGGCTCAACCTCCCAGGCTCAAGCCATCCTCCCACCTCAGCCCCCGAGTTGCTGAGACTAGAGGCAGGCACCATCATGCCAGGTTGGTTTTTAAAAAATTTTATGTAGAGACTGGGCCTCACTTTGTTGCCCAGGCTGGTATGAAACTCCTAGGCTCAAGCAATCCTATTACCTTGGCCTCCCAAAGGGCTGAAATTACAGGAGTGAGCCACTGTGCCCTACCTAAAATTCTACTTTTCAATTGCTGAAAGGCATTTTAGTGTAATTTATGTGTAACACCAAATAAAGAATATTTATCACTTATAAGAAATTCAGGCCGGGCATGGTGGCTCGCACCTGTAATCCCAGGCCTTTGGGAGGCCAATCACAAGGTCAGGAGATCGAGACCACCCTGGCCAACATGGTGAAACACCATCTTTACTAAAATACAAAAAAAAAAAATTAGCCGAGTGTGGTGGTGCACACCTCTGATCCCAGCTACTCAGGAGGCTGAGGCAGGGGAATTGCTTGAACCAAGGAGGCAGAGGTTATAGTGAGCCGAGATCATGCCACTGCACTCCAGCCTGGCAACAGAGCAAGACACTGTCTCAAAAAAAAAAAAGAAGTTCAGGTGGAATTTTGATTGAAAATGTGTTATACATTGTTATTTTTAGAAGAGCCTACAGATTTCTACTGTTGAGCTATTTTATTTCTCCTTTCTTTTCTTTTTAAATTATTATGTTAAAACAGAAATGGGGGGGTCTTGCTATGTTGACCAGGCTGCTCTCGAACTCCCGGCCTCAAGCAATCCTCCCATCTCAGCCTCCCAAAGTGCTGGAATTACAGGTGTGAGCCACTGTGCCCAGCCTGTTAAACTATTTTATACATATAGTATAGCCATCTTTTTCAACTTCTTTTGTCTTTAAGAGATTTTTTTTTTAATTTTAATTTTTATTTTTGAGACAGGGTCTCACTCTGCCATCCAGGCTGGAGTGCAGTGGCGCCATCTTGGCTCACTCAACCTCTACCTCCCGGGTTCAAGTGATTCTCCTGCCTCTCCCATGTAACTGGGATTACAGTCACGTGCCACCACACCCAGCTACTTTTTGTATTTTTAGTAGAGACGGGGTTTCATGTTGGACAGGCTGGTCTCAAACTCCTGGCCTCAAGTGATTCGCCTGCCTCGGCCTTCCAAAGTGCTGGGATTACAGGCATGAGCCACCGTGCGCAGCCTTTTGTCTTTAATAGGGTTTTAAGGGTATTTTTAAGGCTCTTCACTGTGAAAATTATTAGAGTTATATTTAAAGACACATTTATGACGGAGCGCAGTGGCTCACGCCTGTAATCCCAGCACTTTGAGAGGGCGAGGCGGGTGGATTGCGAGGTCAGGAGATCAAGACCATCCTGCCTAACACGGTGAAACCCCGTCTCTAGTAAAAACACAAAAAATTAGCCAGGTGTGGTGGCAGATGCCTATAGTCCAGCTACTCAGGAGGCTGAGGCAGGAGAATCACTTGAACCTGGGAGGCAGAGGTTGCAGCATTCCAGGCTGGGTGACAGAGCAAGACTCTGTCTCAGAAAAAAAATAGTAATAATAATAATAAAGATACATTTACAAAGGTGTAATGAATATTTGGAAATTGTCTACATGTCTACTAATAGAGGAATGGTTAAATAAATAGAAAACAGATTGATGCATGCATTTGCGGAAAATCACATTTAAATCACACTTTCAAAGAATGTTTAATGACATGAGAAAATATTGTTATACTGTTACATTACTTGATGAGATTACAGGGATTTAAACAGTCTTTATTACTTTATTATAATTTGTAGGATATGTCCCAAGTTTTCTGAAATAAACATGATTTATTTTTACAATTTTTTTTTTTTTTTTGGAGACAGAATCTCACTCTGTTGCCCAGGCTGGAGAGCAGTGGTGCAATCTTGGCTCCCACTGCAACCTCTGCCTACTGGGTTCAGGCGATTCTCCTGCCTAAGCCTCTTGAGTAGCTGGGATTACAGGCAAGCGCCACCATGTCTGGCTAATTTTTGTATTTTTAGTAAAGATGGGGTTTCACCATGTTGGCCAGGCTGGTCTCAAACTCCTGACCTCATGATCTGACTGCCTTGGCCTCCCAAAGTGCTGGAACTACAGGCGTGAACTACGGTGACTGGCCATAATTTTTTTCCTTTAAAGAAGTTGTTGGAAGCAAATTAAGTTTTGTATTTGTCATCTGAGTCTATTACAGGAATATTGGGAAAACGATTTCTGACTCATCTGATGAGCTCATCAAGCAATAAATAATAACTCACATGTAAATTTTCTAGCTTGACTTCCTGCCTCCTCCATCTGCTAGGACTCCTTACAGTTTGTTAGGCCACCTGACTCAACTAAGTATAAGTAAATGAAATTTCACACATTCATTTTTTTCTTGTTACAAATATTTAATAATCTGCTGCTATGTTCCAAGTACTCTACTAAATCCATTAAAGATAAAGGAATCACTTAAATTTTCTCTGTCCTAACGGGGCTTAGTACAGTTGGTCCTCTGTTTCTATGGATTCCAGATCTGTGGATTCAACCAACCATGAGACAAAAATATTTTTTTAAAAAAGAAAAAAGAGGAAAAAAATGGTTGTGTCTGTACTGAGCATGTATAGACTTTTTTCTTGCTGCTATTTCCCAGACAATGTAGTGTAACAACTATTTACATACTATTTACATTGCACTGGGTACTATAAGTAACCACGAGATGATTTAAAGTATATAGGAGGATATGCAAATACTATACCATTTTATTTTATTTTATTTTATTTTGAGACAGAGTTTTGCTCTTGTTGCCCAGGCTGGAGTGCAATGGTGCGATCTCAGCTCACTGCAGCCTCCACCTCCTGCGTTCAAGCAATTCTCCTGTCTCAGCCTCCTGAGTAGCTGAGATTACAGGTGAATGACATCACGCCCGGCTAAATTTTGTATTTTTAGTAGAGACGGTGGTTTCATTGTATTGGTCAGGCTGGTCTGGAACTCCTGACCTCAGGTGATCCACCTGCCTCATCCTCTCAAAGTGCTAGGATTACGGGCGTGAGCCACCGTGCCTGGCCTACTATACCATTTTATAGGAAGGACTTGAACACTGATACGGTTTGGCTCTGCATCCCCACCAAAATCTCATCTTGAATTGTATTCCCATAATTCCCATGTGTTGTGGGAGGGACCTGGTGGGAGATAATTTGAATCATGGGGACGGTTTCCCCCATACTGTTCTCATGGTAGTGAATAAGTCTTATGAAATCTAATGGTTTTATCATGGTTTTTGCATCTTCCTCATTCCATACTGTTCTCATGGTAGTGAATAAGTCTCACGAGAGCTGGTGATTTTATCATGGTTTTGCATCTTCCTCATTTTTCTCTTGCTGCCACCATGTAAGAAGTGCCTTTCGCCTCCCACCATGATTCTGAGGCCTCCCTAGCCATGTTGAACTGTAAGTTCAATTAAACCTCTTTTTCTACCCAGTCTTGGGTTTGTCTTTATCAGTAGCATGAAAACTGACTAATACCAACATCCATGGATTTTGGTATGGATGTTCAAGTCCCTCATATAAAATGAGGTCCAGAAACCAATCCCCCATGGATACCAAGGGATAACTCTGTGACATATAAAGATTCAGGATTTGGCTGTCAAGTTCAACCATGCCAACTCTCAACATTTCTGTGCTCCAGCTACCCCAGATTATTCCCCCCCTACTTTTCTCATGCTGTTTCCTCACTTGGAATTCCTTTCTCTTCTTATCCACCCATAAAAATGCTACTTATTAGCTGAGTATGGTGGTGCACACCTGTCGTCCCAGATCAGATACCCAGTAGGCTAAGGCAGAAAAATCTCTTGAGCTCAGCAATTCAAGGCCAGCCTGGGCAATATAGTGAGAACCCAGCTCTGGAAAAAAAAAAAAAAAGCTTATATTTCATACAGTTTTGTGAGAACTTCTCTGATTCTCCTATTTCCTCTAACATTCCATGAGCACTTCAAATGTAGCTCTAACTTGGCACATTCTTCCTGCTGCTTTGTTTTTGTTTGTCGTTTTTTTCCAAAAGCAAAGATGATGGCATGATTGCTGTCTGCATTAAATACTGCAATTATGATCTTAGTGAACAGGAAAAATAGAAATTCAAGCACCTATATTTTTGAACAACACACTCCACACAATACTTTTACCATTGCTATATTGGTTAGTAGATGGAAAAACTGAATATTGGGGAAAATTGTCCTGGCAATCTTGGGCAAGTACAGGACCCTGCTGGCTATAGACCACTGTACCTGTTTAAAAGTTCCTATCAAAGAGACTTGCTGGTTTCATTGAGGCTAAGGGGTGATTTACAGAGACTTTAGGAAATTAATGGACCACAAAAATTCAGAAACCAAAAGAGGCAACCTAGCAGGAGACGAGCAAACAGGACCCGATAGTGTCCCTGAGGGCTCTGTCCACTTGAGTAAATTATATCTTATTCTTATTTCCACGGGTTACCTTCCAATCACCAAGCTTTGCTCTATAGGACTGTGTTCTCCTGAGGAGGTGCCTCTTTCTACTTTGCACAGAGAGGCTGAGTAAGTTCCAGCTGCCCCTGTAAGCAGAACAGGTTTCATTCCTTTTCCCAGGCTCCCCCATCAGCTCACTCTTCTTCTATGATGAGGAGTGGGTGAGGGGATTATGGGGAGGCAGGCACTGTTCCTTCTATATTTCTCCTCCCTGGGATATGCAGTTAAAATCCTTTCCACCTTTCTTGACTACATGAAGAATTTCCTATGTGGAATTCCCACCTATAATCATCTTATGTAGTTCTGACAACCACTTGGTGGTATTCTTACTCTCATTTTATAAACTCATGGTAAGTTATGCTGAGAAAATGGAGCCAGCAAGAATTGACTAATCATTCTGGAATTTTGGATGAAATGAGAAAAAGTTTGAGGTGCAAAGTCAGAGGCCTTTTTTTTGAAGGAGAGACTTGAACTTGTTTAGAGGACAGTAGTTCTCAAACTTGAGTATGTATCAGAATCACCTAGAGAGCTTATTAGGCCTTAGTCAGCTGGGCTGCATGCCCGGAGTTTCTGATTCACTAGATCCGGGGTGGGGCAGGAAAATTTGCCTTTCTAACACATTCCCACATGATGCTGATGCTGTTGAGACCTCACTCTGAGAATCTGTTATAGGCTAAGTCAAGGAAGGCAAAATATGGCTGACTGCCTGTTTTTGTATCACTCCTGAACTAAGAATGGATTTTACATTTTACATCTTTGAAAACAATATTTTGTTCATGTGAAATATGAAATTAAAATTTCATTGTCCATAAAGTTTTATTGGAACACAGCCACACATTTATTATATATTGTCGATTGTTTTCATGTTGTAACAGCAGAGTTGAATAGTTGTGACAGAGATAGTAAGGCCTACTAATACAGTTTAGATATTTGTCCCCTCCAAATCTCATGTTGAAATATAATCCCCATGTTGGAGGTGGGGCCTGGTGGGAGGTGACTGGGAAATGGAGGATCTTTCATGAATGGTTTAGCACCATCCTTTTGGTGATACGTTAGCTCTTACTCAGTTCACTTGAAATGTGATTGTTTAGGCTGGGCACGGTAGCTCACGCCTGTAATCCCAGCATTTTGGGAGGCTGAGGCGGGCGGATCACCTGAGGTCAGGAGTTCAAGACCAGCCTGGCCACATGGTGAAACCCTGTCTCTACTAAAAATACAAAAATTAGCTGGGCATGGTGGCATGTGCCTGTAATCCCAGCTACTCAGGAGGATGAGGTAGGAGAATTGCTTAAACCTGGGAGATGGAGGTTGCAGTCAACTGAGATCGAGATTGTGCCTGGTGATAGTGCCTGGGATCACTCCAGCCTGGGTGACAGAGCAGGACTCCATCTCGTCTCAAAAAAGAAAAAAAAAAGTGTGGTTGTTTAAAAGAGTGTGACAGGCTGGGCACAATGGCTCATGCCTATAATCCTAGCATTTTGGGAGGCTGAGGTGGAAGAATTGTTTGAGCCTAAAAGTTTGAGACTAACCTGGGGCAATATGGTGAGACCCCATCTCTACAAAAAAATCAAAAACATTTGCTAGATGTGGTGGCTCAAGCCTGTAGTTCCAGCTACTCAGAGAGGTAGAAGGATTGCTTGAGCACAGGAAGTTGAGGCTGCAGTGAGCCCTTGATGGCACCACTGTATTCCAGCCTCGGTGACAGATGGAGACCCTGTCTCCAAGTAAATAAATAAATAAAATAAAAAAGTATGATGCCTCCTCATTCACTCTCTTGCTGCCACTCTCACCATGTGACATGCCTGCTCCAGCTTTGCCTCCCACCATAAGTAAGAGCTCCTTGAGGCTTTACCAGAAGCACGATGCTTGTTGTACAGCCTGCAGAACAGTGAGCCAATTAAAGCTCTTTTATTTAAGTTACCCAGCCTCCAAAATTTCTTTATAGTGCCCAATTTCTTTATAGTGGCAAAAATTTCTTTATAGTAAAAACAACCTGACACACCTACAAAGCCTAAAATATTAACTATGTGATACTTCACAGAAAAAGTTTGACATCCCCCAAGGAATGCAGTTAAGAAAGAGGAATATCTTCTTCTCTAAAATTGGAGATAAGTTGGTGAGAATTAGGGAGAATCTAGGTAAAATTATAGGTATGTGACTTGGTTGAAATTTGATGAAGGTCACTTGATAGAAGTGAAAAGAGAGGGGAGTTGATAAAATTGGCTAAGGTTTAGATTAATCTTTAAAGCGGAATAGGAGAAATTGCTAAAAGACCTCATTGAGGTTGAGGGTTGTTAATTTTTAGCGGTACATTTGCATAATGATTATCATTTTATTCAATTGTGCTTATTGTCCCAATGTAAGAGTAGAGAAGGCAATTGTAGAATTGACCCAGAACTTAAAGATAGGTATGCCTTGGAATCAAGGCTGTTCATGAAAAAATTGTGCATATGATCCACTATATAAGAGTATCCTGTGTTCAGAAGGAAAAGAGGTTGGGAGAAGATTGGGAGAAATGAAAGAATAAGAAGTAGAAGAACAGTCTTGTGAGAGTCAAAAGGACTGTCTAGTGGGTGCTTGAAAGATGAGAGTCCTTGTCAGAGGATGAGTTATTATAGTTTGGAATATAATTAATGGATTAATAAAGTAATTCCAGATGATGACATGGTTCAGAAATGATCACAAGAATGAGTAGCTGAATGAAGGAGAAATGGTAATTAGTGAAGTTGCAGGCATCAAGAAACTAGGAAGCTAAAGTGTTAGAAGCGTTATCCACTGAACATTGAAAACTACCAAGTATTCCAAGAATGCAAGCATGTAAAATATACAGATGTCAGAGAAAGAATAACTCTCAAAAGGACAGTGACACTTCAAGGAGAGTGAAGGCCTGGAAGTGCTATTAGGAGTGAGGAAAATCTTAACCTCACTTACCCAGCTTTAGGTATATAGGATGGGGAAAAAAACATTAACGAGACTATAGGGGAAATGTTCTTGAGTCGAAGCTGAGTCTTAATCATGACTAGGAATTCAGGTAGTATTCTATGAGTTTGGGATGCAAAGAGGGTACAGGTATAGGAGGGAAGGAATAATAAGGCAATATGGGAACGAGGGTATTGGGAAAAATCCGTTTTTGTTCCTGGTCATTTATGCCAACTCTGTAATATCTGGTGTGGTTGAACAATTATAATGGCCCCATGTGGGATGGCCCTAAGTCTCAAGATGGAGTCAGATGGTGAGGTCTGGATGCTGAGGCTAGTGCAGTTAAAGGACTTAGATTGAGAGTTGTGGACCTTATCTCGTAGGAGTTTTAGGCTGATGCAGGCTGAAGCCTGGTAAGTGAGGATTTCATAGTGAAGAATTTCCTTAATTACTCAATTGACAAATGATTATTAAATAACTAGTTATGTTTCAGGCAATGTAAGATACTTAATGAACACAGAAATGAATTAATACAGGATTGCTGTCTTTGTGTATGTAAAAAGTTTAGTGTAAGAGTATGATAAATGAACACAATGTAATATTAACTTTTTTTCTGTTAAAATTTACTTATTTGTTCATTTATTTATTAATTTTTGAGACAGGGTCTCACTTTGTCACCCAGGCTGGAGTGCAGTGGCATGATCTCGGCTCACTGCAGCCTTGACCTCCCAGGCTCAAACCATCCTTTTGCCTCAGCTTCTGGAATAGCTGAGACAACAGGTGTGTGCCACCACACCTGGCTAATTTTTGTATTTTTTGTAGAGACAGGACGGGGTTGGGCCGTGCAATCTGCCTGCCTCGGTCTCCAAGAGTGTTGAGATTACAGGTGTGAGTCACTGTTCCTGGCAAAATTTACTTTTTAATATCATTTTATATTATTTGCCTGCACTGTGAAAAACAGCAGACAGAACAATGTAGAATTAAAAGTGTAGTGGAGGGACACGTGTGAGTTAATGGGAGGAGTACACACCCCATTTGAAATAAAGGAAAGCTTCCTGTTTGAGGTCTTCATTGAAACTTAAGAGATGATTTGGATTTAGGCCAAGCTGGGTAGAATGGAGGTGCTGAGAGTTCAGGAAGAGGAAATGGGAGATTGTAAGCAAAATGAAAGTGTAAATGTCTAGAGTTTTCAGGGAATGGGCATATTTACAAATTTGTTTAGAATGTTGGGGTGGAATGTCTTATGGCTGGAAGAGTTCAGAAATGAGACAGGCGCTCTAAAAGCGAAGTTTGGTCTTTTTTCATGAGGGTTTTGGTGAGTCACTGAGAATTTTTAAGCCAGGAAATGACATGATGAAATTACTTTTTTTTTTTTTGAGACAGAGTCTTTCTGTATCACCCAGACTGGAGTGCAGTGGCGTAATCTTGGCTAACTGTAACCTCCACCTCCTCGGTTCAAGCAATTCTCGTTCCTCAGCCTCTGGAGTAACTGGGAATACAGGCACACGCCACCATGCCCGGCCAATTTTTGTATTTTTAGTAGAGATGGAGTTTCATCTGTTGACCAGGTTCGTCTTGAACTCCCTGCCTCAAGTGATCCACCCGCCTCAGCCTTCTAAAGTTCTGGGATTACAAGTCTGAACCACTGTGCCCAGCCCAAAGTTACCATTTAAGAAAGTTTATTTTGGCCGGGCATGGTGGCCCATGCCTATAATCCCAGTGCTTTTGGAGGCTGAGGCAGGCAGATCACTTGAGGCCAGGAGTTCGAGACCAGCCTGGGCAACATGATGAAACGTTGTCTCTACTAAAAATACAAAAATCAGCCAGGCATGGTGCCACATGCCTGTAATCCCAGCTACTCAGAAGGCTGAGGCATAAGAATCGCTTGAGCCTGGGAGGTCTAGGCTGCAGTGAGCCGACATCTTGCTACCGCACTACAGTCTGGGTGACAGAGCAAGACTCTGTCTCAATAAAGAAAAGAAAGAAAGAAAGTTCATTTTGGTGGCAGTATGGAGAATGAACTGAAACAAACACTCCCCTCCCTAATTACTCACAATACAATACTTGGCACTTTAATTGTAGCATTTCTCAAGCGCTCTTTTATATTAAAGATGTTTGTGTAAACTGTCTTCCCTACTACTTTATGAGCTCTCAGGTGCCAGAAAGCCTGTTTTATTCAAAGGCATAATATCTCCTCTCATTACTTAGGATTTTCTTCAATCTACTAGATCATCAGTAAGTGCTTGTATGAATATCAATATACTCTTTTATAGACAGCAATCTTTCACATTTAATTGTTTCCCTGTTCCTCAGGCCCTGATTCACTCTTCCCTAGAGTGAGAAATCAACATCATTTCTTGTAGATATGGTACCCAAAATCAGGATTGACAATCTGACAAAATATATTTTTCTTTAATTTTGAATTTATGTATATATCAAGTCTGCAAGAATTAAGTTACATTTGGTTATATATTTTTGTTTTCATCCAAAAGAGGAAGATTATATAAAACTGGGACTGCTTTGGGAAGCCTAAGATGCATGGTTTCTATGCTTTTGTACATCAGGGACTTGGAGAGAACATGATGAGGTCACCTGTTTTGTGAGTTGAGGCGGTGTGATCTGCGTTCCCCAAGTCTGAATCATGTTGAATAAACTGATCATTAACTTTCCAGACTATAATCCTTAGAGAGCAAATTTGGAGTACAGAGTGGTCAGCAGTCTTAACACTTCTTTTCCTGACTCATCTGAATAGTCAAATAGGAGAGAATAGAAATATATATTGCTCTGCATGGGTGTTTTTTGTTTGTTTGTTTGTTTTGTTGTTGTTGTTGTTTTTTTTTTTGACGGAGTCTCGCTCTGTCGCCCTGGCTGGAGTGCAGTGGCACATCGGCTCACTGCAACCTCTGCCTCCTGGGTTCAAGCGATTCTCATGTCTCAGCCTCCCAAGTAGCTGGGATTACAGGCATGTGCCACCACGCCTGGCTAATTTGTATTTTTAGTAGAGATGGGGTTTCACCATGTTGGTCAGGCTGGACTCGAATTCCTGACCTCAAGTGATCCACCCACCTCAGCCTCCCAAAGTGCTGGGATCACAGGTGTGAGCCACGGCACCCAGCCTCTGCATGGATTTGAGGCCTATGTGCCTTCTCAATTCATAAAACCTGTTCTCAGACTTCTGAGGTGTTATCACTAGGGATTTCCTAGACTGAATTAATCACCTATTATCAAAAGCAATATTAGGCCTGAACGATATTGCTGATGTTAAGCCTTGCACCTGCAAAATGCTCAGAGTTTTTGTGGTTGAAATTTTACCCTAGGAGCCCAGATAAAATGATACTTTGACCTCAAAGACCTCCTCTGTTTCTCCTGTGGGACATTCCAGACAGCCTTATCCCCTCTGCCCCTAGTCCCTCTCTAAGATTACTTGCCATGGATTTCTGAGTTTTCTAGTTTTCTGTGTCTTATTTTTTTCTATCAGACCATCAGCTCTATGAGGCCACAGGCTCAGTCACATTTGCATTTGTATCTGTAGGGACCAAGGGAAAACTTGCCCTTAGCCCTTTGAAGTTTCTCTGAAGCTGGGCACTTTGGGAGGCCAAGGCAGGAGGATCGCTTAAGGCCAGGAGTTTGAGGCCAGCCTGGGCAATGTAGTGAGACATCATCTCTACAAAAATTTAAAAAAATTAGCCAAGTATAGAGGCACAATGCCTATAGTCCCAGCTACTAGGGAGGCTGAGGTGGGGGAACTGATGGAGGTTGCAGTGAGCTGAATTCAAGCCACTGCTATCCAGCCTGGGAAGCAGAGTGAGACCCTGTCAAAAAAGGAAAGAAAAGAAAGAAAGAAGGAAAGAGAGAGACAGAAAAACAGAAAAAGAAAAAAATACCATGAAGTTTTCTGAAAAGCAACTGACAAAATGTAGATTAACAGGAGAAAAGGCACGCAAAATCTATTAATGTGCTGGGCACCGGGGGAGAATCACAGGGTGATCACCCAACAACTCAGTGGTACAGAAGCTTCTGTACCCTGTTTCATGGGGTTGGGGGAGGGATGGAGGAATGAATAGGCCCAATGCTCAGACTATGGTTCTCTGTGGGAGCTGATTGGGAGTAACTCCAAAGTTGAGAGGCATAACAAAGGTTTTTTATTATTATGTAGATGAAGCCCCTCAGGTAATCTCTTGAAGCTGCCCTCAGAAAAACAAATGAAAATTCTGTCTGGACATGATGAAGACTCCTGGTCTCTTCTATTCTCTGGTGGTTGATCTTTCCTGGTCATTTGATGAGATTTTCTAGGGAGGGAGTCTTAAAACAATTGCATTTCTTTTGGAAAGATGCTTTCTTAATCAGATAAGGAAATTCCCGAGAGAGTCCCTTCTGGTGGCTTGGAAAAGAGGACTAGAGAGACCAGGCGTCGGGGAAAAGTGAGAGAGAGATTTTGGTTCTGAGACCTATTCTGATGAAATGGATAGGAGGCAGGGAAATACTGGATAGAAGATGGCAGCCCCAGGGAGGGCTCCACCCTCAAGCCTGGAACTTCGGCCCAAAATGAGAACATGCATTCTTGTTTTCCTACTTGAATGTTGCTTTTTGGCCTGCCCCGCCCCTGATCTTGTACCCATAAAAACCCCAGGCTCCACTGGCAGAGCAGCAGAGCGGAACAGCAGAGAAGGAGGGAAGAGAAGAAGCAGCTGAACATTGGAGAGAAGCAGCTTGACTTCAGAGGGACAACTTGACAGCAGGACTTTGGAGAAGAGTTTGGCCAGGGATGGAACTAAGCTGGCCGAACTCCAAGGGAAGACTACCTTCCCACTCCATCCTTCTCACTCCATCCCCTTTCTAGCTGCCCATCCTGCTGAGAGTCACTTTCATAGGCAATAAAATCCCCCACATTTACCATCTTCAATTCGTTCATGTGACTTGATTCTTCTGCATGCCGAACAAGAGCTTGGTATACAGACAGCTGTCACACTGAGCTGTTAAGCACTTAAGCCATTTGTAGACAGCAAAGTTAAAAGAGCACACTGTCACACGTACCCTCTGGGGCTCTAGGGGTTGCAGGTACCCCCAAGATGCTGCCAGGGGCCACATGGAGTTCTGCTCCTGTCGGCTCCCAGAAGCACTTACCTTGGCCCCTGCACCTGCCCACTCACATGCTCCCCCTCCCACGAGGGGTTGAGAGCTGTGGGCTGAGTAAATGAGCCACCCCCTTCACAAGTCCTGCAAAGGGGTCAAGGAAACTATCCTGTTTCACTGAGGCCTTTCAATTTTCAAAAGCACTCAGCAAGCCGAAGTCCATATCTTGGGGAATCGTTTTCTGCCCCCCAACATATCCCTCAATGTGCTTGGTATAGTGCTGTGTATGTGTCTGTGTGTTAAGTATTTGCTAAACATAAATTTAACTGAATTTACCTTTATATGGTTAGGCAAATAAGATAAATTATAAACTAATATAAAGTTTGTGAAAAACTTTAGCTCCATTTTATCCTTATGTTAGGATGACAACCCTGCCCCCCGCCCCCTCAGTTAGCTATGCTACAAGACTGGCCTTGGCCAAAGAAAAAGAAAAAAATTGAAATTGGAAAGTAAAAGTTGCTAGTGGTAAGAGGTAATAAAGAAATAGAAATAGATCCAGAAGACCCAGAAAGCTCTTTCTAGAGCAAGAAAAGGAGGTAAACAGAATTCACACTGGATCTCAAGGCAGTGCTCAAGTGGTTAAGAGAGGGGAATACAGAACATATATCTGCACAGTTCTGTGGATGTTTTAATCATCATAATTTCAGTGGCACTGGAGAAGGTGTGAACCCCAAATACCTGAGACAGGACTCAGTTAATTTAGAAAGTTTATTTTGCCATGGTTGAGGACCCGCACCCGTGATACAGCCTCAGGATGTCCTGACTACATGTGCCCAAGGTGGTCAGAGCACAGCTTGATTTTATACATTTTAGGAAGACATGAGACATCAATCAACATATATAAGATGAACAATGGTTTGGTCCAGAGAGGCGGGACAACTCGAAGCAAAGGCGGGACAACTTGAAGTGGGGAGGGGGCTTCCAGGTCATAGGTAGATAAGAGACAAATGGTTACATTCTTTTGAGTTTCTTATTAGCCTCTCCAAAGGAGGCAATTAGATGTGCATTTATCTCAGTGAGCAGAGGGGTGACTTTGAATAGAATGTGAGACAGGTTTGCCCTAAGCACTTCCCAGCTTGACTTTTCCCTTTGGCTTAGTGATTTTGGGGCCCCAAGATTTATTTTCCTTTTACAAAGGCAAGTCGACCTAGGGGCAGTTCTCTTCCACCTCAGTGTGTGCCTCCTAAAAGACCCATTACTTGGAGAGGTTTCTCAGTGAGAGCAGTGTGGAGCCAGAGGTGAGAGAGGGCAGAGGTACCAAACGTAGGAAAACTACTGTGTGTGCTATAATCCCTCTCCAGTTTTTCAGTAAACTTACTAAATTTACAAAATCACAAGGGTGACTACGTTTCTGGAGAAAAGGGGCTAAATGTAGGATGTTATGTATGGGTTAAGGAAATAGACTAATAAAGGGTTGTGATTATTACAGTTTTAGCAAGATCCCTAGAGGAGAGTTGCTGATGCTGCTTGAGAATGCATCTGTCCCTGGAGGCTGGAAGATCAACTGAAGGAGGGAGAAATGTTGTTTACCCCAAGGTTGCATGAGGAGGGGCCAAGAAGATTTAGTGTGGGTTTCTTGGGATCCCAGGAAGAGGGAAGGAAATGGATTCTCTGGGTATAAAGTCAAAAACAAACTGTTTTACCTCTTTACTCTCACATATCACAAAACAGTTCTGTGACCAGCTATGTGCAGATTTTCTGTGTTAGAAACAAGTGCTTGGCGTAGCCAAAAGAAACCGGCACTTAGACAGAAAATTTCTCAGCAAGGCAGCTTCACTTCTGCAGAAGGGTGCTGCTTGCGCCTGATGCATTCACAAAAGCACACTGAACAAAGGAGGGAAGGAGCTTTTAACTCTAACGCAGTTCCTGTTTCTGTGTCCTTCCCCTGTTGGCTGGGGTTGGATGCACAATCTAAGCTGATCCTGACTGGCTGGGACTTAAACCTTCTCAAATAAGGTAAATGCACGATTTGCGAAAAGAAAAAGGGGGGAAGAAGGGGGTAGAGTTGATTTAAAACTTTTACAGCTTATGACCAGGAAGTTGAGGCTTTGAAGAGGAACTTAGTTGTCCCAACATTCTGCATACACCAAACAATTCTCCAGAAGACACCAACTATGTGTCCTCTAATTCAATTCAATCCTGATGTTATTTGCCTGGAATTAGTGTCAGATCCCACAGGTTAAGGGGTCAGTGCCACAAGACTGTCCCCACTTCAGATGTCAATTGCAAGTCCCAGATTGTTACCTGTGCTTCTGACTGACTGGCTATGGTTCAAGGTTCCAGCTGGGCATGGTGGCTCATGCCTGTAATCCCAGCACTTTTGGAGGCCTAAGTGGGAGGATTACTTGAACCCAGCAGTTCAAGACCAGCCAGGGCAATAGGGCAACAGGTCTTTTGTGAGACCACATCTCTACAACAACAACAACAACAAAAATAAAATAAAATAAAATTTCTGGGTGTGGTGGCCCATACCTGTATGCCTAGGTACTCCAGAGGCTGAGGTGGGAGAACTGCTTGAGCCCAGGAGGTTGAGGCTGCAGTGAGCTGAGATAGCACCAATGCCCTCCTGCCTGGGCAACAGAGCCAGACCCTATCTCAATCAATTAATCGGGGTTCCCATATCTCCTTTCCTTGGATTCCATTAATTTGGCAGGGTGGCTCACAGAACTCAGGGAAATACTTTACTTACATTTGCCAATTATAAGGGATAATATAAAGCATACAGATGAATAGCCAGATGAAGAGACAGATAGGATAAGGTATGAGGTTGTGGATCTTCCATCCCTTCTCTGGCACAACACCCTCCTTCCCAGTACTTCCAAGTGTCCAGCAACTTGGAAGCTTATCGCATCTCACTTGGTCTTTCCAGTGACTGACCCCATCCTGAGGCTATCTAGGGTCTCCACCCTAAGGTTACCTCATTAGCACAAACTCAGCTGTGAGCCAAAGGGCTTATTAAGAGTAACAAAATAAACTTTTATCACTTAGAAAATTCCAAGAGTTTTAGGAGCTCTGTACAAAAGACAAATATTATAATGAAAGATGCTTTTGTCACCCTTAACGCTAAGGAAACTAGAATAATTTAGGAGCTCTGTGTCAGGAAGCTGGAATGAAAGCCAAAAACAATAGACAGTTGGCCTTTTGTATTCATGAGTTCCGCATCCACAGATTCAACCAACCACTGATCAAAAATACTCCAAAATTTGTGTCTGTACCGAACATGTACAGACCTTTTTTTTCTTGTTATTATTCCCTAAACAATGCAGTATAACAACTATTTACATAGCATTTACTTGTATTGGGTGTTATTAAGTAATCTAGGTATGATTTAAAGTGTACAGAAGTTCTTCCTGGCTGTTTCTGGGGAAAAAGAATATACAGTATACACATCCTCTGGGGAGGATGTGTGTAGGTTATATCCAAATACTATGCCATTTTGTGTAAGAGTCTTGAGCATCTGCTGGCTTTAGTATCCACTATTGGGTCCTGGAACCAATTACCCATGGATAACCAGAGACAACTGTATTGCTTTTCTTTTTTAAAAAAATAAAAATAAGAAAAAAATTTATTACAAGCCCACAACTAACATCATAACTGTATTTCTTTTTTCTTTTTTTTAGAGGTTGGGTCTCGCTATGTTGCCCAGACTAGTCTTGAACTCCTGGGCTCAAGTAATCATCCTGCCTCAGCCTCCTCAGTTGTTGGAAATATGGGCACGAGCCATCATGCCTGGCTCAACAACAGTATTTCTTATTGCACACTGGGGCTGGTTAACAGGCTGGGACTTCTGAGAACTCTGAGAAACAGCTCAGGCTTTGCCTAAAAAATGGGGGCAAGGCAAGCCGGCTGCTGGGTACCAGCAGCAATGACAGAGACAGATTGTAAGGAAGCAGATCTTAGGATCACAAAAGGTTTATTAGAAAGAAAAAATGAAATTAAAAAAATAATAATAATAAAAGAAAGAAGCAGATCTACGTGGGTAGGGCTGCTCGCAAGGAGCCAGGCTGTTGTGAAGCAGTATGGTGAGGCTGGGGTGAGTGATGACGGGATTGTGCAGATGGGTCAGGAGGTTGCAGCAATTTGTAGTGACTGGGAAGTTGAAAGACAAGGTTGGGAGGATACCCAAGTATTTGTGAGCTACCCCACCCCTTAAAGATTCTCCTTTCTTTGAGGAGAAAACAAGATCTAAGTTAGAAGTACCCAGAATGTGGATATAGTGGGTGTGGGGCAGGGGCTGGAGTTGGTAGAAACAATAGAAACCTTGTCCTCCTAGCTGCATCCATAGGCTGTCCTGGCCCAGGGGAAATAAACTGTGACACTAGGCGTTCCCAACCCCCGAGCTGCAGACCAGTACCAGTCTGTGGCCTGTTAGGAACCGGGCTACACCGCAAGAGGTGAACAGCTGGCAAGTGAGCATTACTGCCTGAGCTCTGCCTCCTCTCAGATCAGTGGCAGCCTTAGATTCTCATAGGAGCACAAACCCTATTGTGAGCTGCACATGCAGGGGATCTAGGTTGTGCACTCCTTATGAGAATCTAATGCCTGATGATCGGAGGTGGAACAGTTTCATCCCGAAATCATTTCTGCCCACCCTGTTAGCAGTGGAAGAGATTGGAGTTACCCTGAGTTACCAGCAGCTATCCATACAGGTCTGCAGCAACTTTAGTCCTTGCCTCCTCAGAAGGAAGAACTCAATGAAGGGGCATAAAGCAGAAAAAGAGACCGAAGCAAGTTCCAGAGCAGGAATGGAAGTTTATTTAAAAAGGCTTTAAGGCAGGAAATAAAGAAAATAACCCTTGGAAGAGATCCAAGTGGGTGCCTGAAGGTCGAAGAGAGAAAAAGAATATCAAGTCCCCATTTAACCATGATCCTAGGATTTTTATAGGCTTGCCTCTTTCCCAAGATTCTTCCCTTAGGGTGGGCTTTCCGCATGTGCAGTGCTTTCCTTACTCTTTGGGACTGAGCACACACAGGGTGTTTAGGGAGCTATACACATGCGCATCTGAGGTTTTTTTTCCTTTTTTTCGGTGGCCTTTGTCCCTGGAACATCATACTTTGCCATTTTGTCTCTCTGTTTTTTTTTTTTTTTTTTGAGACAGGGTCTCTCTCTGTCGCCCAGGCTGGAATGCAGTGGCGGGATCTCAGCTCACTGCAACCTCTGCCTCCTGGGTTCAAGCGATTCTCCTGCCTCAGCCTCCTGAGTAGCTGGGACTACAGGCGCAGTGCCACCACGACCGGCTAATTTTTTTTTTTTTTTTTTTTTTTTGAGACAGAGTCTCGCTCTGGCACCCAGGCTGGAGTGCAGTGGCGGGATCTCGGCTCACTGCAAGCTCCGCCTCCCGGGTTCACGCCATTCTCCTGCCTCAGCCTCCCAAGTAGCTGGGACTACAGGCGCCCGCCACTACGCCCGGCTAATTTTTTGTATTTTTAGTAGAGACGGGGTTTCACCGTTTTAGCCGGGATGGTCTCGATCTCCTGACCTCGTGATCCGCCCGCCTCGGCCTCCCAAAGTGCTGGGATTACAGGCGTGAGCCACCGCGCCCGGCCAACGACCGGCTAATTTTTGTATTTTTTAGTAGAGACGGGGTTTCACCATATTGGCCAGGCTGATCTCTAACTCCTGACCTTTTGATCCGCCTGCCTCGGCCTCCCAAGTGCTGGGATTACAGGCACGAGCCACCGCATCTAGCCTGCAATTTTGTCTCTTAACACGCATGCCCGAGAAGCTGCTTCTCCATGGGGTCTGCATTCAATTAACACTTTTAATGTTAACAGGTGTGGACCATCAGGGGACTGTCTCTCCTGGCTGCCTAATTATCATTTTTAGCGAAGCAATGTGATAATTGCTGAACCATCACCTGACATTCCTAGTGGGTCGGGAGAGCCCTCTCCTGCCCTGCTCATGCCTATATAACTACACCCCCAGCCCCAGCACCAGCCGAGGAAATATTGTCTTCCATGAAACTGGTCCCTGGTGCCAAAAAGGTTGGGGACTGCTGTGTTACACTGTCAGAAGTTAGAAGAAAGGAAGGGAACTATGGTTATTGTTAAAATATTGTAACTAGCTTGAATTTTATCATGGCTAGTAAAACAATAGAACATTTGTGCTCCACTCTCTTGCATGTGAGAGGGGAGAGAGAAAGTTATGTTATCTAGCTTCTAGAATTATGATTTTAGTACTAACAATAGTCAGTATTTATTGAGTACTTACTATGTGCCAGGCATCACATTTAAGTATCCTGACAACCCTCAAGTAGGTTCTCCTGTCATCATTTTACAGACGAGAAACTGATATTTTGAAAGGTTTATTAACAGCTCGGAAGTGGCCAGATTAAGATTCCAACTCTGCTCTATCCATCTGTGAAGACTGTGCTCCTGACTGCTGGGCTATGTTGCTTAGTCTGTGCTTGAACAATAAGAGATCCTATCTGTGCATATCCTGCCCTAGGCGAGCCTTCAGGTGTGTAAGGCACTCTGACTTGGGAGACAGGTTTTCACTCGCTTCTTGAGGTCATAAAGAGGAGAGGCTGGAACTGACTCAACAGAGGCCCTATCCAGCTTTGTCCTGAGGGGATCAAGTTCCTTTGGGAATGGGGAATAGGCAAGGAGGAGAAAATGTGAGGGCTTTGAGAGGAAAGAATAAGAAAATCCCAGACTGTAACTTGTGAGCAAGGGTTTGTCCTTCCTGCCAGCAGCATTCTCATACATCTCTCTCTAAGGACTCCATTTATTCATCATGTGGGATTCCCTCTCCCATTAATTCAATCCAAAATAATGATCAATGTTTGGGTGAAATGGAAATGCATTAAAGGGTTTTAAAAAGGGGAGTTTAAGACTTTACATTTTAAAATGATTACTCTGGCAGGCTGGTTGTAAAGCAGCTCAAGATTTTTTATAACCAACTTTTTTCCCATCCTCTGTAATTCAGCGGTAAGGGGAGAGAGGAAAGAAGAAAGTTCAATACCTCCCCTCTTTCACTATCCCCTAAAGTTCTAAGATTTCCCAAAATATGTCTCTCCCTGCTCACTTCAGCAATTTACTTGACCCATTCTGGAATCCCAGCCAAATTTATCTTCTCTCTGCCCCATTAGGGCTCCTTAGGATCTTAACAGAAGGCTTAATGCAAAGAGGGCCTTGCACTTGTACTAATATTGAGACAGAGTAGGGACAGGACTTGGTCCCTCCACCCCCGTTAATACATAATTTTCCTCTTTTTCTGTCCTACCTGCTGACCCGGGGACCTTGAAGAAGCTAAGATAAGCAGCATCCCACCATCTTAGTCAAGGCAGCACACCCACTGATCTCAGGACTTTGAAGAAACTAAGACAAGTAGCATCCCACCCTAAGTCTTACTCAAGGAAGTCAACTCTATCATCCACACACATGACCAGAAGAATGATGATCTTTACCCTATAGAGTTGCCTCATTATAACACTAAAATCTCCACCCAGGGAAGGGCTTATTTGCCATTTTTTGATCATGTGATATACGTACTAAAATGATTTCGCACTGTGCCTGCGCACCCTGTGCTCTACCCCACGCATGTAATGACGTTTGCGTACCTCGTGCTTATTCACGTCACCCTTCTTAAAACACCAACATGACCTGTCCTTGGGGAACCAGCTGGAGAACTCCTCACTCTAGTGCTGTTTCCGTTGTGTTTGAGCATAAGCCCCTAACAAAGCTGTGTCTGGGAAACTCGCTTGGCCTTCTGTCAATTTCTATTGCATGGGAGCCTAAAAACTTTTGGTCCCTAACAATGTGTCACTAACATCCTGTAAGGGCAGATTTTTTGGTTTTGTTTTGTTTTTGAGACAGGGTCTTGCTTTGTTGCTCAGGCTGGAGTGCAGTGGTGTGATCATACCTCACTGTAATCTAGAACTCCTGGGCTCAAGTGATCCTCCTGCCTTATTTTTTATTTTTATTTATTTTTTGAGATGGAGTTTCACTCTTGTCGCCCAGGCTGGAGTGCAATGGTGCAATCTCAGCTCACTGCAACCTCTGCCTCCTGGGTTCAAGCAATTCTCCTGCCTCAGCCTCCCTAGTAGCTGGGATTACAGATGCCTGCCACTATGCCCGGAATTTTTGTATTTTTAGTAGATATGGGGTTTCACCATGTTGGCCAGGGTGGTCTCAAACTCTGACCTTTGGTGATCGGCCTGCCTTGGCCCTCCAAACTGCTGGGATTACAGGCTTGAGCCACTGTGCCAGGCCTGATCCTTCCTCCTTTAGATTCCCAAGTAGCTGAGACTACAAGCATGCACCACCATGCCTGGCTAATTTTTAAATTTTCTGTAGAGACGGAGTCTTGCTATGTTTATCAGGCTGGTCTTGATCTCCTGGCTCCAATCGATCTCTGGCTTTGGCTTCCCAAAGCACTGGGATTACAGGCATGACACACCACACCCAGACTGGATTCAAAGACTTTCTGATTTGCGATTGGTTAAAGAGGTTAAGCTTTGTACAAAAATTTGAGATCAGCAGAAAAGAATGTTACCTCTGACTCGTGGGTGTGATCTCCTTCAGGCCCCTCAGGAAGAGATTCAGAACAGCCATCAGAATTCAGTCCTTGGTTCCCCCTTAGCTGAGCTCTATGTGCCAGCAGATCCATTTGGTGGGGATCTGGGTCTCCGACAATTCAGGGACATATGTTAAGATGTTATCTTTAGTTTCTATAGAGAACAAAACATCTGACTCTAACTTCCTTGGCTATTGTTTTATTTTATTTTTTTTTTATTTTTTGAGATGGAGTTTCACTCTTGTTGCTCAGTCTGGAGTGCAGTGGTGTGATCTTGGCTCACTGCAACCTCTGCCTTCCAGTTTCAAGCGATTCTCCTGCCTCAGCCTCCCGAGTAACAAGCTGTTCATTTACTTCTCAAGGCTAGCTAGGTGCCTGGAATTTCCCTTGAAGGAACTCAAGATTTTCCTTTATTTCCATGCTAGGGGAGAGGGGAGGGGACCCACAGGCCTCAAAGAGGGGTCTCTGTTCTGTCTGTTTTACCCATAGCTCTTGGTAGTTTTTTCTGGGGGGGGAGGGGAGGGGCGGCAGTGGAGATGTTTCTCTCTCTCTCTTGTTTTTTAAAATAAAGTCACAATCTCTTCCCCATTTGTCTTATTGATGACTCTTCAGGATGGACACAGTAACGACAGAGACAGGAGGCAGCCAACAGTCTCCCAGTGAAACCCCTCCTTCAAGCCTAAAACAGTCTGAAGGCTGAAAAACCAGAGTGCTAGTCTGGATGAAGTCTGCCCTTTCCCAACCGATTCTTTCTGAATAATGGCCACCTGCGCACTGGGAGGACTGGGTGGAGCCTTGGGAAGTTCACGCTATTTGCAGTGGCGAGGATCCTGGCATCTCCTGTTCCTGTGTGGTGACCTGGGATTCAATCTTTGAGGAGGAAAACCTGCTAGCCGGCCTCTCTTTCGGTTTGCTGGAGTTCCTGTTTCCCTTTTTTTTTTCCTTTTCACCCGATAAACCCTGCCCTACTAACCTTACAGTGTGTCCCTGTGCCTAAATTATCCTGGTCATGTGACAAGAACCTGTTTTTTTTTCTACATCAGTAACAACAATAGCTAGTACACACGTCCTTACTTCATGTACTGCTCTGCACTGTTCCAAGCACTTTAGTCATTTAGTCCTTATTACATCCTTCTGAAGAAGGTACTATCATTACTCCAATTTACAGATAAAGAAACATGATTCTGCTGAAAGAGGGAAAACAAACGAACAAAAAAACCAGAAGCACAGGATGGTTAAATCACTTGTTCAAGGTCCACAGCTAATAAATACCCTTAACAGTATGCATAACTTACAAAGAATGTTTTGGAGCAATTTTAGAGCACCAAAACATCAATGTCCATTTATCTTAAGGTGAGTTTAATTTTGTGCAACTCTATATTGCTTCAACTATCTGGATGGAGCTATTTCACTATTTCTCACCCCCATTTCCTTTTATGGAAAACAGCACAAACAAATAGAGGACTCAGGAGTTCTTTAGTCACATAAGAACAGACCATGCCAAAGTGAAACACTGTTAAAATACCAGATGAGTGTGAACATTATGCAAGATTTTCAGAAATTAAGTGTTCTACAAAGACACTGGCTTGTTACCAGCCTTATCACCTATAGGTGTATCTCTGGCCCTTGTTATGGTAATTATTTCCTGTTTTGCTTTTGTTCCCACTCACCTGAAATGAGTCACTCAGATAACTCAGAAATTTGCCTTTATAGCCAGAAAGCTCTAAGTAGGAATGAAAGGAACTGAAATCTGAACAAACTATTGAAAGGAGACCCACTGCTGAAACTTCAAATTTAGTTCCAAGGAGAGATAAATAATGAAATAGTGTTAAAATAATCCATTGCTACATTGTCAGAGCAATCCTACACTGGATTCTCTCCCACCAAGCACACACACAGGTTTGTTAGAATAACCACCACAGGACCGGAGTGGTGGCTCACTTCTGTAATCCCAGCTGAGGCTGAGGAGAGTGGATCACTTGAGGCCAGGAGTTCAAGACCAGCCTGGCCAACATGATGAAACTGTGTTGCTACTAAAAATACAAAAATTAGCCAGGTGTGGTGGCATGTGCCGGTAGTGCCAGCTACTCAGGAGGCTGAGGCATAAGAATCACCTGAACACAGGAGGCAGAGGTTGTAGCAGTGAGCCAAGATTGCACCACTGCACTCCAGCCTGGGTGACAGAGTGAGATCCTGTCTTGGAAAAAATAAAAAAAAAATTAAAAAAACCCCACCACAGTACTGATACTGATTTTGTGATAGGTCACAACAAAACCACTCAATCTTTCTGCTTCCTGTTGTTCCTGGGTCAAACTGAGGGCCAGGCTGCTATTTCTATTTCTCGTGGCCCAATAATGAGATGCAGATGAACTGGGGAGGAAGAGAGTTTTTATTTCTGTAACTGATTACAGGGAGAAGGCCTGGAAATTATCACCAGACCAACTCAAAATTACGAAGTTTTTCAGAGCTTATATACCTTCTAAGCTATATGTTTTCGTGTAAGTGTGCATTCATCTAAAGACATAAGTGATTAACTTCTTTTAATCTATAACTAAGGTCTGGGTCCTGGAGACCTTCTTCTGGAGCCTCAGTAAGTTTACTCAATCTAAATGGGTCCAAGTGCCAAGTGCTGGGTTGATTGCACTTATCTTGTCTCCTGCTAAATCACAGAGTTTTGGGGAGTTCCTTCAGATTTCCAATAAACTTGTTTGTGGAGGCCTGGAGAGTTTCTTCAGACCCTCAATAAAACTTGTGCAATCCTAAATGGGCCCTGTTAAGAATTCTTTCATTATTTTGTCATGCTTTAAGGCTCAGGAAAGGCCTAAGCAAAACTCATGGTGGACTTTTGTTATATTGCAGCATTTGTATAAGGGCACTAGCTTTTAATATTTAGCTTAACCAGTCAGTCAGTACTAAAAAAGTTGTTATGGAGGCCTGCCACACTGTTGCAGTGATGTGATAGAGCCAGACTAATGCCACTCACACAAATCATCAACTTTTAACTTGATTATATAACTCTAGAGCTGTAATGAAAAGGCTTTCATAGATCATCTAGGTAAGAGGATGGTAAATTTTTTTCCATTTTACCAGTAGATTCTTGTTTTTATTTGTTTCCTTTCTAAAATTGCTTAATTATTATTATTTTTAGAAGCAATGTCTTGGTCTGTTGTCCAGGCTGTTGTGCAGTGGCATGATCATAATTCACTGCAGCCTTGAACTCCTGAGATCAAGGGATCCTCCTGCATCAGCCTCCTGAGTAGCTGGAACTATAGGCACATGCCACCATGCCTGGCTAATTATTTTATTTTATTTTTTTTGTACAGACAGGGTCTTGCTTAATTGCCCAGGCTAGTAATTCATTTTTTAATTGACAAATGACAAATTGTATATGTTTATGGTGTACAATGTGATGTTTTGAGATATGAATACATTGTGGAATGATTAAATCAAGCTAATTGACATATTCATCACCCCACATACTTAAATGTGTGAAGATAACATTTAAAATCTATCCTCTAACAATTTTCAAATATACTCTACCTTATTATTAATTATAGTTATCATGTTGCAAAATAGATCTCCACAACTTATTACTCCTAACTTCAACTTTGTATCTTTTGACCAACATCTACCCATTTCCTCCTCCTCCCCAGTCACCTCCATTCCCAGCCCTGGTAAACACTACATACCAAAAATAAAATTCTAAGCCCTCTAGCTGACTGATGGGTCCTCCCCTTTGCCCAGGGCATTCCAAAGTTATCCTGAAAAACTAGTTCAGGCCATAACGGGGAGTGGGGGTCAGACATGCCTCATTATGCCCTCCTCCCTTTTGGAGTTCAGGTACAGCTGTCCAGCATTAACATCAACACAGAGTCCTTAAGACTGATAGAATAGTGCTTGCTTTGGCAGCACATATAGTAAACTTGGAATGATACGGAGAAGATTAGCATCGCCCCTATGCAAAGATGACATGCAAATTCATGAAGCATTCCATAAAAAAAAAAAGACTGATAGAACAGAGTTTTTAAGTCTGATAAGAAACATTTACAATCTATTCTCTCTGAAGCCTGCTACCTGGAGGCTTCATCTGCTTGATTAAAATCTTGGTCTCCACAACCACTTACCATAACCCAGACATTTCTTTCTATTGATTCCAGGTCTTTAGATAATAACTCTTTCAACCAACTGCCAAAAAGAAAGTCTTTGAATCTGCCTGTGATCTGGAAGCCCCCCACCTCCTTCTAGTTGTCCTGCCTTTCCAGACTAAAGCAATGTATGTCTTACATGCATTGATTGATGTTCCAGGTCTCCCTAAAATGTATAAAACTAAGCTGTAGCCCTACCACCTTGGGCATATGTTCTCAGGATCTCCTGGGACTGTCAGAGACCATTGGTCACTCAAATTTGTCTTAGAATAAATCTCTTCAAATATTTTTCAGAGCTCGACTCTTTTTGTTGACACTACCACTCTACTCCCTGCTTCCATGAGTTTGATTTTTTAATCCCAGCACATTTGGAGGCCAAAGCAGGAGGATCGCTTTAGTCCACACATTTGAGACCAACCTGGGCAACATAGTGAGACCCTGTCTCTACAAAAAATTTTGAAAAAACTAGCCTGGTGTGGTGGTGCCTGCCTGTAGTTCCAGCTACTCAGGAGGCTGAGGTGGGAGGATTGCTTGAGCCCAGGAGTTCAAGGGTGCCATAAGCCACAGTCATGCCACTGCACTACAGCCTGGGTGACAGAGTGAGACCCTGTCTTTAAAAAACAAAACAAAACAACAAGATTTTGGGCTGAGTGCAGTGGCTCGCACCTGTAATCCCAGCTCTGTGGGAGGACAAGGTGAAAGGATCGCTTGGGGGGAGTTTGAGACCAGACTGGGCAGTGAGACCTCGTCTCTAAAACAAATAGACTGGGCATGGTGGTTCACACCCGTAATCCCAGCACTTTGGGAGGCTGAGGCAGGTGGATCATTTGAGGCCAGGAGTTCGAGACCAGCCTGGCCAACATGGCAAAACCATGTCTCTACTAAATATACAAAATTTAGCTGGGTGTGTACTCCCAGCTACTTGGGAGGCTGAGGCACAAGAATCGCTTGAACTTGGGAGGCAGAGTGAGTTGAGATCATGCCACTGCACTCCAGCCTGGTGGGTGGAGTGAGATTCTGTCTCAAACAAGCAAATAAACAAACACAAAAAAACCCACAAGATTTTGGCCTTCATTTTCTTCTTAGCAGTTTTATAGTTCCAGCTCTTACTTTTGAGTCTTCAATCCATTTTTAGTTGATTTTTAAATATGGTGTGAAATAAGGGCCCAATTTCATTCTTCTGCATGTGAATATCCACTTTCCGCAACACCAGATACTATCCTGTCTTCATTGTATGATTTCAGCAACTTTGTTGAAGATCAGTTGACCATAAACATGTGGATTTAATTTTGGGATTTTGGGCTTTTTGTTTTGTTTCATTGACTTGTATGTCTGTTTTTGTGCCATACTGTTTTGATTATTCTAGCTTTGTAAGTAGATTTTAAGATCAGGTAGGGTGATGCCTCCAGCTTTGTTTTTCTTTCTCCAGATTGCTTTGGCTACTTGGGGTCTTTTGTGGTTCATTTTAGAATTGTTTTTCTATTTCTGTGGAAATTTGTCATTGGAATTTTGATAGGGGTGCATTGAATTTTTAGATTGTTTTGACTAGTTTGGACGTTTTTACAATATTTACTCTTTAAATTCATGAACACAGGTAGCTTTTCATTTATTTGTGTCTTCAGTTATTTCATCAGTGTTTTGTTTTTTTCAGTATACAGGTCTTTCACTTCTTTGGTTAATTGTATTCCTAAGTATTTATTTTTATTTTTAAATTTTTTTTAGAGATAAAGTTCTTGCTATGTTACCCAGGCTGGTCTTGAACTTCTGGCTTCAAATGGTCTTCTTGCCTCAGCCTCCCAAAGTGCTGGGATTATAGGCATGAGTCACCATGTCCATCTGGACTAAGTATTTTATTTTTTATGCTATTGTAAATGGCATTGTATTCTTCATTTTTTTCTATCATAATCTAGCCCCAAATGTTATATTTTCATTTTTAAATTTTATTTTTTATTTCCATTTCCCTCCACTCTATTTTTTAGATCTTTGTTATTGTATAGAAATGCTACTAATTTTTGCATGTTAATTTTGTATCTTATAGCTTTATAAACCTTGTTTATTAGTTCTAATAGTTTTTTTGGTTGAGTCTAAAGTTTTTTACATATAAAATCATGTCATCTGCAAACATAGACAATTTTCATTTTTTTTTTTTTGAGACAGGGGTCTGTTGCCCAGGCTGAAGTGCAGTGGCACAATCTTGGCTCACTGCAGCCTCAACTTCCCAGGCTCAAGCGATCCTCACACCTCAGCCTGCCTAGTAGCTGCGAGTACAGATGCATGCCATCACACCTGGCTAAGTTTTTTTTTTTTTTTTGAGATGGAGTCTCACTCTGTCACCCAGGCTGGAGTGCAGTGGTGCCATCTTGGCTCACCACAACCTCCACCTCCCAGGTTCAAGCAATTCTCCTGCCTCAGCCTCCCAAGTAGCTGAGACTACAGGCGAGCACCACCACGCCCAGCTGATTTTTTGTATTTTTAGTAGAGATGGGGTTTCACCATGTTAGCCAGGATGGTCTTGATCTCCTGACCTCGTGATCTGCCCACCTCAGCCTCCCAAAGTGCTGAGATTACAGGCGTGAGCCACTGTGCCCGGTCGCCTGGCTAATTTTTGTATTTTTTGTAGAGAGAGGATTTCATCTTATTTCCTGGCTGGTCACAAGCTCCTGGACTCAAGTGATCTGTCTGCCTCAGCCTCCAAAGTGCTGGGATTACCAGTAGGAGCCACTGTGGCTGGCTCCTTTCTTTCTGTTTTGCGTGCCTTTTATTTCTTTTTCTTGGCTAATTACTCTGGCTAGAACTTCTAATACTGTTTTGAATAGAGGTGGAAAGTGTGGATATCCTTGTCTTGTTTCTTTTCATAGAGGAAAAGCTTTCAACTTTTCATCATTGAGTATGATGGCTTTTATTGTAGTGAGGTACATTCCTTTTATACTTAATTTGTTAAACGTTTTTATCATGAAAAGGTATTGAATTTTGTTATGTTTTTTCTTCATCTATTGAGATGATCATATAATTATTGTCTTTCATTCTGTTAATGTGATGTATAACAGTTATTGATTTGCATATATTGAACCATTTTTGCATCCCAGAGATAAATCCCACTTAGATAATGGTGAATGATCCTTTGGTATGCTTCTAAATTCTGTTTGCTAGAAATATAGCAATATTTGACTGGGTGCAGTGGCTCACGCCTGTAATCCCAGCACTTTGGGAGGCCGACGTGGGCAGATCACTTGAGGTCAGGAGTTTGAGACCAGCCTGGACAGCATGGTAAAACCCTGTGTGTAGTAAAAATGCAAAAATTAGCTGGGTGTGGTGGTATGCGCCTGTAGTCTCAGCTACTTGGGAGTCTGAAGCATGAGAATCACTTGAGCCTGGAGGTGAAGTTTGCAGTGAGCCAAGATCGCACCACTGCACTCCAGCCTGAGTGACAGAGCATGAAAAAGAAATAAAATAAAAAAAAGAAATATAGCAATATTCATCAGGATTGTTGGCCTGTAATTTTTTTTATGTAGTTTCTTAGTTTGGCTTTGGTATCGGGGTAATGCTGGCCTTGTAAAATGTGTTTGGAAGTATTCCTTTCTCCTCAGGTTTTTGGAAGAGATTGAGAAGGATTGGCATTAGTTATTTAAATGCCTGGTAGAATTCAGCAGTGAAGCTAACAGATCCTAGGCTTTTCTTTGGTGGGAGACTTTATTGCTGATTCAATCTCCTTACTCATTATTAATCTATTCAGATTTTCTATTTCTTCATAATTCAGTCTGGGGAAGTTGTATGTTTCTAGGACTTTATCCATTTCCTTTAGGTTATCCAATTTGTTGGAGTATAATTGTTCATATTAGTCTCTTTCAATCCTTTGTGTCTCGACAGTATCAGTTCTAATGTCTCATCTTTCCTTTCTGATTTGATTTGAATCTTTTTTTCTTAGTCTTGCTAAAGGTTTGTTGATTTTGTTTGTCTTTTAAGAAAATCAACTCAGTTTTCTTGATTCTATTATTTTTCTAGTCTATATTTCATTTATTTTTGCCCTGATCTTATTCCCTTCTGAGAGACAGGATTAGTTGGATTTCCTAGGCTGACTAAGAATTCCTAAGCCTAGCTGGGGCAGGTGACCGCACCTTTAAACAGTGTTTAAACCTTTAAACACTGGGCTTGCAACTCAGCTCACTAAAATACCAATTAGGCTAAAAGCAGGAGGTAAAGAAATAGTCAATCATCTATCACCTGAGAGCACAGCAGGAGGGACAATGATTGGGATATAAACCCAGGCATTGGTGCTGGACTGGGCAACCCCCTTTGGGTCCCCTCCCGTTGTATGGGAGCTCTGTTTTCACTCTATTAAATCTTGCAACTGCACACTCTTCTGGTCCATGTTTGTTCTGGCTTGAGCAGAGCTTTCACTTGCCGTCCACCACTGCTGAATGCCGCCATCACAGACCCCCCGTTGACTTCCACCCCTTGGGATCTGGCAGGGTGTCCGCTGTTCTTCTGATCCAGTGAGGTGCCCATTGCCACTCCTGATCAGGCTAGAGGCTTGCCATTATTCCTGCATGGCTAAGTGCCGAGGTTAGTCCTAATGGAGCTGAACACTAGTCACTGGGTTCCATGGTTCTCTTCCATGACCCATGGCTTCTAATAGAGCTATAACACTCACCACATGGCCCAAGGTTCCATTCCTTGGAATCCGTGAGGCCAAGAACCCCAGGTCAGAGAACAAAAGGCTTGCCACCATCTTGGGAGCAGCCCGCCACCATCTTGGGAGCAGCCCGCCACCATCTTGGGAGCTCTAAGAACAAAGACCCGCCGGTAACACTTCCTTCTACTAACTTTGGTCTTAGTTTGTTCTTCTTTTTCTAGTTCCTTGGGGTGTAATGTTAGGTTGTTTTCTTTTTTTTTTAGATCCTTCTTTTTCAATGTAGGCATTTATTGCTATAAATTTCCTTCTTACAGTTGCTTTTGCTGTTATCCCATACATTTTGGTATATCGTTTTTCCATTTTTGTGTGTCTTAAATTATTTTAAAATTTCCCTTTTGATTTCTTTTTTGACCCATTGTTTGTCCAGGAGCCTGTTGTTTAATTTCCACATATTTTTGAATTTTCCAAAATTCCTCCATTTGTTGATTTCTAATTTTATACCATTGTGGTTGGAAAAGATACTTGATATAGTTTTAGTCTCTTAATTTTAAAATAATTATCATATATACATTATTATATAATTATATATTATAATTACCTACGTGTTATCATACAACACATTAAATTTATCACACTATATTGCGCAGTGTTAATATAATAAATATAACAGCTGATGTATTGTCGGTAATATTAGAGTGAATATAATGTCCAATATGTTATATTGTATATTATTATATTTGCATATAATAACTTTAGGGAGATATGTACAAGATTTTAAATTGCAGCTGGTTCTCCCAGCATTGTATCCCTCTCTCTGGTTTATTTCTTTTCTTTTTTTTTACAAAAACACGTGTTCCTCTTTTTTTTTTTTTTTTGAGATGGAGTTTCACTCTGTTACCCAGGCTGGAGTGCAGTGGTTTAATTTCGGCTCACTGCAACCTCTGCTCCTGAGCTCAAGCAATCCTCCTGCCTCAGCCTCCCAAGTAGCTGGGATCACAGACTCATGCCACCATGCCCAGCTAATTTTTGTATTTTTGGTAGAGATGGGTTTCACCATGTTGCTCAGGCTGGTCTTGAACTCCTAAGCTCAAGCCATGCACCTGCCTTGTCTTCCCAAAGTGCTACGTGTGAACCGTCTCACCCCGCCAAAAATAAGTGTTCTTTTAATCACTAAAAGCAGGGTATTCATGCAATTTATCCAAAATTATCAATTTTTTTCTGTTCCTTTCCCTTCTATAGTCCAACATCTCATCTATCATCCCTGCTACCACTTCCCCTGCCCCCACCTGCAGGTATTTTCCATTTGCTCTCTGGGTTATTAATGCCAATCTCCTTCTAATATGTGAATTATTCTGAAGAATGTTTTGTGTGCACTTGAGAAGAATGTATATCCTGTTACTGTTGGATGGAATATTTGTATATGTCTTTTAGGTCCATTTGGTCTACAGTGTACTCCAAGTTCAATGTTTTCTTTTTTTTTTTTTAATTACATGGATAAGTTCTTTATTGGTGATTTCTGAGATTTTGGTACACCCATCACCTGAGCAGTGTAGACTGTACCCAATGTGTATTCTTTTATTCCTTACCCTCCTCCCACCCTTCTCCCCAAGTCTCCAGAGTCCATTATGTCATTCTTCTGCCTTTGTGTCCTCATAGCTTAGCTCCCACTCGTAAGTGAGAATATATGATGTTAGGTTTCCCATTCCTGAATTACTTCATTTATATTAATGGTCTCCAACTTCATCCAGGTTGCTGCGAATGCCATTATTTTACTGCTTTTTATAGCTGAGTAGTATTCCATGGTGTATATATACCATATTTTCTTTATCCACTTGTTGGTTGATTGGGCATTTAGGCTGGTTCCATACTTTTGCAATTTTGAATTGCACTGCTATAAACGTGCATGTGCAAGTGTCTTTTTCATATAATGACTTCTTTTCCTCTGAGTAGATACCCAGCAGTAGGATTGCTGGATCAAATGGTAGTTCTAATTTTAGTTCTTTAAGGAGGCTCTATACTGTTTTCCATAATGGTTGTACTAGTTTATATTCCTACCAGCTGGGTGAAAGTGTTCCCTTTCCACCACATCCACACCAATATCAATTTTTTTTAATTTTTAAATTATGGCTATTCTTGCAGGAGTAAAGTGGTACCACATTATGGTTTTAGATTCACATTTCTTTGATAATTAGTGATGTGAGCATTTTTTAAAATATGTTTGTTGGTCATATGTATATCTTCTTTTAAGAATTGTCTATGGCCGGGTGCAGTGGCTCACACCTGTAATCCCAGCACTTTGGGAGGCTGAGCCAGGTGGATCACGATGTCAGGAGTTCGAGACCCTCCTGGCTAAAATGGTGAAACCTTGTCTCTACTAAAAATACAAAAAAATTAGGTGGGCGTGGTGGCACGCACCTGTAATCCCAGCTACTTGGGAGGCTGAGGCAGGAGAATAGCTTGAACCCAGGAGATGGAGGTTGCAGTGAGACGAGATTGCACCACTGCACTCCAGCCTCGGTGACAGAGTGAGACTCCATCTCAAAAATAAATAAATAAATAAAAATAAATGTCTATTCATGTCCTTAGCTCACTTTTTTAAAAAAAATTTTAAAATTTATTTTATTTTATTTTATTTTTGAGACAGGGTCTGTCTCTCTTGCCCAGGCTGGAGTGCAGTGGTGTAATCTCAGCTTACTGCAGCTTCCACCTCCTGGGTTCAAGGGATCCTCCTATCTCAGACTCCCAAGTAGCTGGGACTACACAGACGCCACTGGACCCTGCTCATTTTTGTATTTTTTATAGGGACAGGGTTTCTCTATGTCGCCTAGGCTTGTCTCAAACTCCTGGGCATAAGTGATCCACCCACCTTGGCCTCCCAAAGTGCTGGGATTACAGACATGGGCCACCAAGCCCAAACGTTAGCCTAATTTTTGATGGGATTATTTGTTTTTTTCTTGCTGATTTGCTTGAGTTCCTTGTAAATTCTGAATGTTAGTCCTTTGTTGGATGCATAGTTTGTAAATATTTTCTTCCACTCTATGGGTTTTCTGTTTACTTTGCTGATTATTTCTTTTGCTGTGCAGAAGCATTTTAGTTTAATTAAGTCCCAGCTATTTATCTTTGTTTTTGTTGCACTTGCTTTTGGGTTCTTGGTCATGAACTCTTTGCCTAGGCCAATGTCTAGAAGGGTTTTTCCAATATTATCTTCTAGAATTTTTATGGTTTCAGGTCTTAGATTTAGGTCTTTGATCCATCTTGAGTTGATTTTTGTATAAAGTGAGAGACGAGGATCCAGTTTCATTCTTCTATATGTGGCTTGCCAATGATCTCGGCACTGTTTGTTGAATAGGGTTTCCTTTCCCCACTTTATGTTTTTGTTTGCTTTGTTGAAGATCAGTTGGCTGTAAGTATTTAGCTTTATTTCTGGTTTCTCTATTATGTTCCATTTGTCTATTTGCTTGTTTTTATACCAGTACCATGCTGTTTTGGTAACTATGCTTTGTAGTACAGTTTGAAATTGGGTAATATAATGTCTCCAGATTTATTCTTTTTGCTTAGTCTTGCTTTGGCTATGCTGGCTGGCTCTTTTTTGGTTATGTATGAATTTTAGGATTTTTTTTCTAGTTCTGTGAAGAATAATGATGGTATTTTGATGGAAATTGCATTGAATTTGTAGATTGCTTTTAGCAATATGATCGTTTTCACAATATTGACTCTACCCATCCATGAGCATGGGATGTGTTTCCATTTGTTTGTGTCATCTATGATTTCTTTCAGCCGTGTTTTGCAGTTTTTCTTGTAAAGGTCTTTCACCTCCTTGGTTAGGTATATTACTAAGCATTTTATTATTATTATTTTTTGCAGCTATTGTAAAAGGGCTTGAGTCCTTGATTTGATTCTCAGCTTGGTTGCTATTGGTGTATAGCAGTGCTGCTGATTTGTGTACATTGATTTTGTATCTTAAAACTTTACTGAATTCATTTATCTGATCTAGGTGACTTTTGGATGAGTCTTTAGGGTTTTTAGGAGTATGATCATATTTGACATATGATTATTTGTCAGACAGTGACAGTTTGACTTCCTCTTTACTGATTTGGATGCCCTTCATTTCTTTCTCTTGTCTGATTCCTCTGGATAGGACTTCTAGTACTATGTTGAATAGAAGTGGTGAAAATGAGCATCCTTATCTTGTTACAGTTATCACTGAAAATGCTTTCAACTTTTTCCCATTCAGTATAGTGTTAGCTACGGGTTTGTCATAGATGGCTTTTATTACCTTAAGGTATCCCTTCTGTGTCAGTTTTGCTGAGGGTTTTAATCATAAAGGAATGCTGGGTTTTATAAAATGCTTTTTTTGTGTCTATTGAAATGATTATATGGTTTTTGTTTTTAATTCTGTTTATGTGGTGTATTACATTCACTTCTGTATTTCAATCATCCCTGAATCCCTGGCATGAAACTCACTTAATCATGGTGTATTATCTTTTTGATATACTGTTGGATTCAGTTAGCTAGTATTTTGTTGAGGATTTTTGCATCTATGTTCATCAGGGATATTGGTCTGTAGTTTTCTTTTGTCCTTTCCTAATTTTGGTATTATGGTTATACTGACTTTTTTTTTTGGATGGAGTCTTGCTCTGTCACCAGGCTGGAGTGCAGTGGCGTGATCTCAGCTCACTGCAACCTCCGACTCCCTGGTTCAAGTGATTCTCCTGCCTTAGCCTCCCGAGTAGCTGGGATTACAGGCATGCGCCATCACACCTGGATAATTTTTGTATTTTTTAGTAGAGACGGGGTTTCTCCATGTTGGCTAGAATGGTCTTGATCTCCTGACCTCGTGATCCACCCGCCTCAGCCTCCCAAAGTGCTGAGATTACAGGCATGAGCCACCAAGCCCGGCTGGTTATACTGACTTTATAGAATGATTTAGGGAGGATTCCCTCTTGCTCTATCTCTTAGAGTAGTTTCAGTAGGATTGGTACCAATTATTTTTGAACGTCTGATAGAATTCAGCTGTGAATCCATCTGGTCCTGGACACTTTTTTTTTTGGTAATTTTTAAGTTACCATTTCAGTCTTGCTGCTTGTTATTGGTCTGGTCAGAGTTTCTATTTCTTACTAGTTTAATCTAGGAGGGTTGTATATTTCCAGGAATTTATACATCTCCTCTAGGTTTTCTAGTTTGTGAGGGTAAAGGTGTTCACAGCAGCCTTGAATGATCTTTTGTATTTCTGCCATATTGTTTGTAATACATCCCATTTTGTTTCTAATTGAGCTTATTCGAATCTTCTCTCTTCTTTTCTTGAGTAATCTTTCTAATGGTCTATGAATTTTGTTTATCTTTTCAAAGAACCTGCTTTTTGCTTCATTTATCTCTTGTTTTCTTTTTTTGTTTGTTTGTTTCAATTGTATTTAGCTCTGCTCTGATCTTTGTAATTTCTTTTCTTCTGCTGGGTTTGGGTTTGGTTTATTCTTGTTGCTCTATTTCCTTGAGGTGTGGCCTTTAATTGTCTCTTTGTGCTCTTTCAGACATTTTGAGGTAGGCATTTAATGCTATAAACTTTCCTTGTAGCATTGCTTTTGCTGTATTCCTGAGGTTATGATAGGTTTTGTCACTAGTATCATTCAGTTCAAAAAAAATTTTTTTTTTGGCGACAGAGTTTCACTCTGTCATCCATGCTGGAGTACAATGGTGCAATCTCGGCTCACTGCAACCTCCATCTCCCAGGTTCAAGCGATTCTCCTGCCTCAGCTTCCCAAGTAGCTGAGATTACAGGTATGTACCACCATGCCTGGCAAATTTTGTATTTTTAGTAGAGACAGGGTTTCTCCGTGTTGGTCAGGCTGGTCTCAAGTTCCCGACCACAGGTGATCCACCCACTTCGGCCTCCCGAAGTGCTGGGATTACAGATGTGAGCCACCATGCCCGGCCCAGTTCAAATAATTTTTTAATTTCCATTTTGATTTCATTGTTGACCCAGGGATCATTCAGGAGCAGATTATTTAATTTACATGTATTCGTATAGTTTTGAATGTTCCTTTTGGAGTTAATTTCCAATTTTATTTCACATTGCCCTGGGAGAGTACTTGATATAATTTCAATTTTCTCAAATTTATTGAGACTTGTTTTGTGGTCTATCATATTGTCTATCTTGGAGAATGTTCCATGTGCTGAAGAATAGAATGTATATTCTGTAGTTGTTGGGTAGAATGCTCTGTAAATATCTGTTAAGTGCATTCGTTCTAGGGCATAGTTTAAGTTCATTATTTCTTTGTTGACTCTCTGTCTTGATGACCTGTCTAGTGCTGTCAGTAGAGTATCGAAATCCCCCACTATTATTGTGTTGCCATCTATATCATTTCTTTCACCTAGTAGTAATTATTATTATTATTATTATTATTTTTTTTTTTTGAGACAGAATCTTACTCTGTCACCCAGGCTGAAGTGCAGTGGTGCCATCTTGCCTCAATGCAACCTTCACCTCTCATGTAGCTGGGATTATAGGCATGCACCACCACACCCAGCTAATTTTTCTATTTTTAGTAGAGATAGGGTTTCACTATGATGGCCAGGCTGATCTTCAACTCCTGGCCTCAAGTGATCTGCCTGCCTCGGCCTACCAAAGCACTGGGATTACAGGTGTGAGCCACCACGCCTAGCCAGTAGTAATTGTTTCATAAATTTGGGAGCTCCAGTGTTAGATGCATATATATTTAGGATTGTCATATTTTCCTATTGGACTAATCCTATTATTATTATATAATGTTCTCTTTGTCTTTTTTAAATTGTCATTACTTTAAAGTCTGTTTTGTCTGATATAAGTATAGCTACTCTGGCTTGATTTTGGTTTCCATTAGCATGGAATATATTTTTCCACCCCTTTACCTTAACTCAGTGCGGGCCCTTGTGTGTTAGGTGAGTCAGTTGAAGGCAGCTGATTCTTGGTTGGTGGATTTTTAACCATTCTGCCATTCTTTATCTTTTAAGTGAAACATTTAGGCCATTTACATTCAAAATTTCTACTGAGATGTGAGGTACTATCCTATTCATCATGCTAGTTGTTACCTGAATACCTTGTTTTGTTTTCACTGTGTTTTATAGGCCTTATGAGATTTATGCTTTGAGGAAGATCTATTTTGGTATATTTTGAGGTTTTGTTTCAAGATTTAGAACTCCTTTTGGCATTTCTTGTAGTGCTGGCTTGGTAGTGGTGAATTCTCTCAGCATTTGTCTGAAAAAGAGTTTATCTCTCTTTCATTTATCAAGCTTAGTTTTGCTGGATACAAAGTTCTTGCCTGATAATTATTTTGTTTAAGGAGGCTAAAGATAGGACCCCAGGCAGGGCACAGTGGCTCACGCCTGTAATCCTAGCACTTTGGGAGGCCAAGGAGGGGCAGAACACGAGGTCAAGAGTTTGAGACCATCCTGGCCAACATGGTGAAATCCCATCTCTACCAAAAATACAAAAATTAGCTGGGCATGGTGGTGCGTGCCTGTAGTTCCAGCTACTTGGGAGGCTGAGGCAGGAGAATCGCTTGAACCCAGAAGGCAGAGGTTACAGTGAGCCAAGATCATGCCACTGCACTCCAGCCTGGGCCTCAGTGTGAGACTCCGTCTTAAAAAGAAAGAAAGAAAAAAAAGATAGGACCCCAATCCCTCTGGCTTATAGGGTTTCTACTGAGAAATCTGCTGTTAATTCAATAGGTTCTCCTTTATGTTTTACCTGATGTTTTTGTCTCACAGCTCTTAAGATTATTTCCTTTGTCTTGACTTGATGATTAAGTGCCTAGGTGATGATCTTTTTATGATAACTTTCCCAGGTGTTCCTTGAGTTTCTTGTATTTGAATGTCTAGATCTCTAGCAGGGCCAAGGAAGCTTTTTTTTCATTATTATTCCCTCAAATATGTCTTCCAAACTTTTAGATTTCTCTTCTTCCTCAGGAACACAAATTATTCTTATGTTTGCTCATTTAATAGAATCTCAAATTTCTTGGAAACTTTGTTCATTTTTTTAAAATTCATTTTGTCTTTGTCTTTGTCTCATTGGGTTAATTTGAAAGCCTTGTCTTTAAGCTCTGAAGTTCTTTTTTCTACTTGTTCTAGTCTATTGTTGAAACTTTCCAGTGTATTTGGTATTTCTCTAAGTGTGTCTTTCATTTCCAGAAGTTGTGAGTGTTTTTTCTTTATGATATCTATTTTTCTGGAGAATTTTTAATCCATATCCTGTATTGTTTTTAAAATGTCTTTAAGTTGGTTTTCACCTTTCTGTGGGTGGCAAGCCACCCAGGTGCCAGCCAAAGCAAGAGACCGAGGGTACAAGCTGTTCCAGTATAATAAAGAAAATATATAGAATAAGAATAGTTATACTAGAAATAGATTATGGATATGATTACATATGAATGTTATTAATCATTAGTAGCTTTATTCTTTATTCCAATATTATAATAATCTTTGTTCTACAATTATAACCTAGGAAAAACCAGGCCATACAGAGATAGGAACTGAAGGGACACAGAAGTGACCGGAAGACAAGAGTATGAGCCATCTGTCATGCCCAGACAGGGTCACTAGAGGGCTCCTTGTTCTAGTGGTAATGCCAGTGCCTTGGAAGGCACCCGTTACTTAGCCGACCGGGAAAGGGAGTCTTTCTTTCCCCCAGGGGAGTTAGAGAAGACTCTGCTGCACCACCTCTTGTGGAAGGCCTGACAACAGTCAGTCTCACCCTCAGCCATCCGGAGTCCTAACCGTTTCCCTGTGATGCTGTGGTTCAGCGGTCACGCTCCTGGTCCACTTTCATGTTCCGCCTTGTACACCTGGCTCTGCCTTCTAGATAGCAGTAGCAGAATTAGTGAAAGTACTAAAGTCTTTGAAATGCGTGGAAGAAATAATGACATAAGCCGTCCCCTCTCTTTCTCCGCCTTGGCTACTAAACAGGGAAGGGACACCCCCCCACCCCCGGGTCCGGTGGACACGTGACTCGTGTGATCTTACTTATCATTGGAGATGGCTCACACTCCTTACCCTGCCCTCTTGCTTTGTATCCAGTAAATAACAGCACAGCCAGGCATTCGCGGGCACTACTGGTCTCCGCGTCTAGGTGGTAGTGGTCCCCCGGGCCCAGCTGTCTTTTCTTCTATCTCTTTGTCTTGTGTCTTTATTTCTACGATCCCTTGTCTCCTCACATGAGGAGAAAAACCCACAGGCCCAGTAGGACTGGACCCTACACTTTCTCTGGTAACTCCTTGAGTAGCTTAATAATCAACCTTCTGAATTCTTTATCTGGCAATTCAGAGGTTTCCTCTTGGTTTGGTTCCATTGCTAGAGAGCTAGTGTGATCTTTTAGGGGTGTCAAAGAACCTTGTTTTTTCATATTACCAGAATCACTTTTCTTGTTCCTTCTCATTTGGGAGGATTATTTCAGGTGAAAAATCTGGAACTCAAGGGCTGCTGTTCAGGTTCTTTTGTTCCACCAGGTGATCCCTTGCTGTGGTGTTCTCTCCCTTCTCCTGGGATGGGGGCTTCCTGAGAGTTGGGCTGCAATGATTGTTACTGCCACCCAGCAGAGCTACTGGGCTCTGGGCTAGTACTGGGGATTGTCTGCAAAGAGTCCTGTGATGTGATCTGTCCTTTGGTCTCCCAGCTGTGGATACCCAGTGAAGGTGGCAGGGGAGTGAAGTGGACTCTGTGGGAATTGTTGGTTGTACTTTTGTTTAGTGCACTGTTTTTCTAGAATGCTGGTAATCCTAGCAGTGAAGTTGTCATGTGGAAGGATTCAGGAACCTCTGGTTAGCCATGTTGTAGGGAGTGGAATTAGCTGTTGTTTTCTCCTTCTTTGGAGCAGAGTTGTTTTCTTATGAGTTGCTATAATGGCTTAAGTTGGGTGACCTCCAGCTAGGAAGTGGTGCTTTCAAGAGAGCACCAGCTGTGGTAGAAGGGGGATATAAGCTTGCCCTATGTTGGTCAGGATAAGTATTCAGGCTTCTCAGGTGATGGGCAAGGCCACAGAGCTCCCACGAATTTATGTCTTTTGTCTTCAGCTATCAGGGCAGGTAGAGAAAAACTATCAGATGGGGGCAGGGTTAGATGGATCTGAGCTCAGACTCTTCTCTGGGGCTTGCTGAGGCCACTGTCCGGTATGGGGAGTGTGGTTCTCAGGCCAATGGAATTATGTTCCCAGGGGGATTATGGCTGCCTCTGCTGTGTCATCCAGGTTGCCAGGGAAGTGGAGAAAGCCAGCGGTGGTTAGCCTCCTCCAGCTTCCACGCAGCCAGCAAGGCCGTCTCATTCCTGCTGTGCCCTGCCAACACCACCGAGTTTATATTCAGGCAGCTGGCATGCGGGGCTGAGCTCTTGCCCCAGGCCGTAAGCTTCCCTGCTGAGAAGGGTAGCAGAACTTTCAGGCCTTGCCCCTCCCTGTCTGCCTACACCTTTGGCTGTAGCTTCTGAGCTGCTATCTGCACTTCCTGTTCACCCCCTGAGTTCTGCTCACAAAAATTCGTGCTGGGTCAAAATTATTACAAAGTTCAGCTAGAAGCTTCTTTCACCCTTTGACCCTTCCCTAATTCCTCTGGCTGCCTTCCCCAAGGACCCCTGTGAGATTAAGTCAGGGACGGTTTCCTTGGGCTCAAGTTGGGGACTGGGAGTGCCTACAAGGCTCTTCCCACTGCTTTTTCTACTTTTCATATTTTGCTCAGCTCCCTAAATCTGTTTTAGCTCTAGGTAAGGTTAAATTCTTCTCCTGTGATCTGGATTTTCAGGTTCCCCAGTGTTTGGGGATGTGTGTTTGGAGGCAGGCTTTCCCCGACCTCACACGTTGGGAACTCACAGTTTTTCTACTATCTCATAGAGTTTGCAACAGCAAACTGCTTCTTTCAGAGGGTCTGTGAATTCTTTCAGTTTTCCTGATATGTTCCTGCAGTGGTACTTGAGCAAAATTTCACGATATGAGTCTCTACAAGCTGTTCTGTTCATCCAAGTGGGAGCTACACATTAGACCTGTCTCCTATTTGCCATTTTCTTTCTCACTGCACCCTCTTAGAGTTTTTTCCTTTTTTTTTTTTTTTTTTTGAGACAGAGTCTCCCTCTGTCATCCAGGCTGGAATGCAGTGGCATGATCTTGGCTCACTGCAACCTTCACCTCCCAGGTTCAAGTGATTCTCATGCCTCAGCCTCCTGAGTAGCTGGGATTACAGGCACCCGTCACCACGCCCAGCTATTTTTTTTTTTGTATTTTTAGTAGAGACAGGTTTCACCATGTTGGCCAGGCTAGTCTCAAACTCCTAACCTCAAGTTTCCTAGAGTGCTGGAATTATAGGCATGAGCCACTGCCCCTGGACTACATTTTTAAAGACTTGTTTTGTGGCCTAACATATCTATTCTGGAATATGTTCTGTGTGTATACTTGAGAGGAATGTGTATTTTAGTGGGGTTGGATATATTGTCCTATATATGTCATTCAGGTCCATTTGGTCTAAAACAAGCTTGTCCAACCCATGGCCCATGGGCTACATGCGGCCCAGGATGGCTTTGAATGTGACCCAACACAAATTCGTAAACTTTCTCAAAACATTATGAGATTTTTTTTTCTTTTAGCTTATCAGCTATTGTTAGTGTATTTTATATGTGGCTCAAGACAATTCTTCTTCTTCCAATGTTGCCCAAGGAAGCCAAAAGATTGGACACCCATGGTCTAATGTGTAGTTCAAGTCCAATGTTTCCTTATTGATTTTTTGTCTGGATGATCTGTTCATTATTGAAAATAGGGTTTGAAATTCTCCTGCTATTATCATATTGCAATCTGTCTTTCTCTTCAGATCTGTTAATATTTGCTTCATATATTTAGGAGCTCCAGTGTTGGGGGTGTATATATTTACAGTTGTTATATCCTTCTCTCTAAATGTCTGAAATAAAGTTGTCATATCCTTTTGATTACTTGACCCCTTTATCACTATATAATGACAATTTTTATCCATTTTTACAGTTTTTTTACTTAAGATCTATTTTGTCTGTTATAAATATTGCCACTCCTGCTCTCTTTTGTTTTCCATTTACATTAAATATCTGTTTCTATGTCTTTGCTTTTAGTCTAAATGTGTCTTTATGATTGAATTATATAGGCAGCATATGGTTGAACTTTTTTTTTTTTTTTTTTTTTTGAGACAGAGTCTCGTTCTGTCGCCCAGGCGGGAGTGCTGTGGCGCGATCTCCGCTCACTGCAAGCTCCGCCTTCCGGGTTCACGCCATTCTCCTGCCTCAGCCTCCCGAGTAGCTGGGACTACAGGCGCCCGCCACTGCGCCCGGCTAATTTTTTGTATTTTTAGTAGAGACGGGGTTTCACCGTGGTCTCGATCTCCTGACCTCGTGATCCGCCCGCCTCGGCCTCCCAAAGTGCTGGGATTACAGGCGTGAGCCACCGTGCCCGGCCAGAACTTTTTTTTTAAGGCATTCTCTTTTGACTGGAGAATTTAATCCATTTACATTTTTTTTTTTTTTTTTTTTGAGACAGAGTTTCACTCTTGTTGCCCGGGCTGGAGTGCAATGGCACCATCTCGGCTCACCACAACCTCCGCCTCCCTGGTTCAAGCAATTCTCCTGCCTCAGCCTCCCAAGTAGCTGGGATTACAGGCATGTGCCTCCATGCATGGCTAATTTTGTATTTTTTGTAGAGATGGGGTTTCTCCATGTTGGTCAGGCTGGTCTCGAACTCCCGACCTCAAGTGATCCGCCTGACTTGGCCTCCCAAAGTGCTGGGATCACAGGCATGAGCCATCGCACCGAGCAATCCATTTACATTTAAAGTAATTTTTGACAGGTAAGAAATTATGATTGCCATTTTGTTAATTGTTTACTGACTGTTTTGTAGTTCCTTTCTTCCAATCTTGCTGTCTTCCTTTGTGATTCGTTGAATTTTTGTAGTGGTACGCTTTGATTTCTTTTTCTTTATCTTTTGTGTATCTACTAGAGATTTTTTCTTTGTGGTTACTATGGGGCTTACATAAAGTATCTTATAGTTATAACATTCTAATTTAAGTTAATAACAGCTTAACTTCAAGCACATACAAAAACTGTATACTTTTACTTCTCCCTTATCCCATTTTATGCTATTGAAGTTACACTTTACATCTTTTATAGTATATTTTCATTAACAAACTGTGGTAGCTATATGTTTTTAATTAATTATTTTATTTTTTATAGCGATAGAGTCTTGTTATGTTGTCTACACTGGTTTCAAATTTCTGAACTCAAGTGATCCTCCTACCTCAGCCTCCCAAGTAGCTGGGACAGGTGCATGACACTGCACCTGGCATATAGTTATTTTAAATACTTTTAATTCCTGCTTTTAAATGCAACTTTACATGGACTGCTACTATACACAGCCTGTAATCCAGTTTGCCTGAATTTTCTCCCATCTCCTGAGAAGCATCGTAAGGCACCTGTACCTAACACAGTTTGAGAACTTCTGATCTGGTTTAAATCTGTCATGTACAAATGTGAAAGTTGAGGTTCAGAGAAGGGTAATGACTTTTCTAAAGTTACTCAGATTTTTAGTGGCCAAGTTGTGGCTAAGAACTTGAAAGTTTAGAAAATGGCAATTCCCTTCTTCTAGTTGTCCTGGTCATAAATCTTGAACTAATCCTGGAGTCTTCTCTTTCCTTCACTCCTCATTTCTTGCTGTCCATTATCAACTGCCCTTTAAAAATACATTTAGAATCAGACAATCTCTCCTTTCTACTATGCTACAACTTTGATCCCAGTTACCATCATTTCTCTACTGCAATAGCATCCTGAATCATCCTCTGCTTTTCTCATTTTCTCCCTTCCTCCTTACCTCCTGTACTGGCTTTATTCAACACTGCAACCGGAGTGATCCTTTTAAAAATACCACATTTAATTGAATCTAAGATGCCATCAATTTAAGATGCACTATTATCTTTTTAAATTTTTCCAATTTAATTTTTTTTTATAGAGATGGGGGTCTCACTATGTTGCCCATGCTGGTCTTGAACTCCTGGGCTCAAGCAATCCTCCTGCCTCAGCCTCCCAAAATTTTGGGATTACAGGCATGAGCCACTGTGCCTGGCCCATATGATGATTTAATACTTTCCATCACTTACATTTTTTTTTTTTTTGGTCAATAAAAGCTCTTTATTCATTCACACATGACAGCCTTGCTGTAGTTACAAAGTAAGATGGAGCAGGTCCTGCCTCTAAGAACTCTAAGCAGACATTCAGGGAGCTCACAGATCAGTGTAACACCAATTGCTACTGTGGAAGCTCCAGGAGGGGAGAGGTGTTGATATGGTTTGGCTTTGTGTCCCTACCCAAATCTCATCTTCAATTGTAATCCCACATGTCAAGGGAGGGACCTGTAATCCCCACATGTCGAGGGTGGGAAGTGATTGGATTATGGGGGCGGTGTCCCCAATGCCATTCTCATGATAATGAGTGAGTCTCACGAGATCTTGATGGCTTTAAAAGTGGCAGTATTTCCTGTGCTCAGTCTCATTCTCTCTCCTGTTGTCTTGCTTACCCTTTGCCTTCCACCATTTTTTGTAAATTTCCTGAGGCTGCCTCAGCCATGTGGAACTGTGAGTTAATTAAGCCTCTTTCCTTTATAAATTACCCACTCTTGCTATTTCTTTACAGCAGTGTGAAAACGGACTAATATAGGTGTCACAGAGATGTTGCAGGAACATCTGGCAGTCTGTAGGGTTGGCCTTCACACAATTCTTGTTTTTGCCTTTGTGCTTTCCTCCAGAAAAGCTTCTCTGCTCTCCTAAGGCTGTTAGATGTTCCACCCAAGTGCTCCCTCAGCTCCTTCTACTTACTTGTCACTTAATACTGTCTTTGGGTTACCTGCTTACTTGTGTATTTTCTTCTTGGGATGCTAAAGTATTTGAGGATAAAGATTGTGCCATGGCTTGGTGAAGCTGCTCACAACTGTAAGCCCAGTGCTTTGGGAGGCTGAAGCAGGAAGATCACTTGAGCTTGGGAGTTTGAGACCAGCCTGGGCAACACAGTGAGACCCCATCTCTCCAAAAAAAAAAAAAAAAAAAGTAGTGGTGTGTGTCAGGCCTCTGAGCCCAAGCTAAGCCATCATATCCCCTGTGACCTGCACGTATACATCCAGATGGCCTGAAGCAACTGAAGATCCACAAAAGAACTGAAAATAGCCTTAACTGATGACATTCCACCATTGTGATTTGTTTCTCCCCCACCCTTAAGAAGGTTCTTTGTAGTTCTTCCCACCCTTGAGAATGTGCTTTGTGAGATCCACCCACTGCCTGCAAAACATTGCTCCTAACTCCACCGCCTATCCCCAAACCTATAAGAACTAATGATAATCCCACCACCCTTTGCTGACTCTCTTTTTGGACTCAGCCCGCCTGCACCCAGGTGAAATAAACACAGCCTTGTTGCTCACACAAAGCCTGTTTGGTGGTCTCTTCACACAGATGCGCATGACTGTGTACCTGTAGTCTCAGCTGAGCATGAGGATTGCTTAAGCCCAGGAGATCGAGGCTGCGGTGAGCTGTAATCACACTGTGGCAGGCCAGGTCCCACTGATGCAGGCCTCCATAACAACTGTTTCAGTACTGATTGAGTGGTTAAGTTAAATGTTGAAAGTTGAAAGAGCTAGTGCCCTTGTACAAAGTCTGGAATGTGACAAAAGCCCACCAAGAGTTTTGCTTAGGCTTTTCCTCAGCCTTAAAGCATGACAAGATAATGAAGGAATTCTTAACAGGACCTGTTGAGGATTAAACAAGTTTTATTGTGGGCCTGAAGAAACTCTCCAGGCCTCCACAAACAAGCTTTATTGGGGACTAAAGTAAGTCCCCAAACCTCCATGACTTAGCAGGAGACAAGATAATGGTCGGTAATCACCCCAGCACCTGGACCCATTTAGCTTAAGTAAATTTACTGAGGCTCCAGAGGAAGGTCTTCAGGACTCAGATCTTAGTTACAGATTAAAAGAAGTTAATCGCTTGTGTCTTTAGGTAAATGCACACTTACATGTACACATATCGCTTAGAAGGTATATAAGCTTTGGAAAACTTTGTAATTTTGAGTTGGTCCAGCGATAATTTCCAGCCCTTCTCCCTGTAACCAGCTATAGAAATAAAAACTCCCTTTTCTCCCAGTTCATCTTTATCTCGTTATTGGGCCACGAGAATAAGGAACCTGACCCTTGGTTTGGCCCGGGAACACCACTGCACCTCAGCCTGGGCGACAGAATGAGACTCTGTTTCAAAAATAAATAAGTAAATAAAGGGATTGTGCCTCACTTATTATAGGATCTATAGGAACTACTAAAACAGGCTCATTGTCTGGGGTAAATACCAAGGTTCTTGATCTCATGGCCAAGGAAATCAAGGATGCAGATGCATACAGACTGAGATTGGAGCAGGAGTTTAAAAGGTGAGAAGAAAGAACAGCTGTCTGTCACAGAGAGGGGTCCAAACTGATTGCCAAGTTGTAGTAAAAATGTCAGGGTTTTTAAAAAATGAGCTAGTGAGAAGGGGGTGTCTTAGCTCCATAGGGCCTGAAGAACTGGCTAGGACCAGGTGTGCCGTCTGCTTAGAGCAGAGTTTCTAATAGCCCCACCCCATTCTTTGATTATGCAGGCAGGCTCTTAGATTGTGCGGCTGTGCTGCTGCTTATCTGCGTGTGCTAAAAGGGGAGGGAGAGTTTCTGTGCCGGGTTCCCAGGCACCTTCTTGCAGCTGCAGGCCTCCCCCGCCCAGTGCATGCTTCCAGCTTCCCTATCTTAGTGAGGCTAAATAAAGGGAAAGGAATGTGCTTATTAAGGTGCACTGGGGGCGGGGCGCGGTGGCTCACGCCTGTAATCCCAGCACTTTGGGAGGCTGAGGCAGGCAGATCACGAGGTCAGGAGATGGAGACCATCCTGGCTAACACAGTGAAACCCCGTCTCTACTAAAAATACAAAAAATTAGCCGGGCGTGGTGGCGGGCGCCTGTAGTCCCAGCTACTTGGGAGGCTGAGGCAGGAGAATGGCGTGAACCCGGGAGGCGGAGCTTGCAGTGAGCCGAGGTGATGCCACTGCACTCCAGCCTCGGCGACAGAGCGACACTCCGACTCAAAAAAAAAAAAAAGTGCACTGTTTTTACTTGGGCCCATTGTAGGTATGTGAAGTTTGGTGATAACCAGGAAGCTCCCCACTCTGTGCCCAAGTTGCTTATCTGTGTTTTACAGCCTGATCTTCCAGGCTGCTCTTTGTTAGAAGAGAAGTGATTTCTTTGAACTGCATGAGGTTAGAAAGGGAGCAATTTCCGAGCTGCTTTTTGTTAGAAGGAAAGTTTTCTGCTGGGGAGCCTCTTCATCCTAACAATCTACCTAAATGATTTCTTTCTATTTCCTATATCACTATTATAGTGATGACACACAATAAACGATCAATTACTGTTTGCTAAATTAATAAATCTTATATAGACTGATTGTATTATCAATGCCCAGGCATTAGAAAAAAGCCTGAGTCCCCCCAAACTTTATTTATTACATATACCAGCAATTATCCGGCCAAACTTAAGAAAAAAACACTGTTTTTTACTCTAAGGGATACCATTATGTAAGATGACCAGTCATCCTGGGAAAATCACTATGATTGGTCATCCTACGATTATGATAATAGTACACAAGCCTTTACAATTTTATTGTGACCCCATGGAGCTTTTATGTCTGCACTTGTATATTTTTAAAGGAGTTCAAAAGCAGACTTTGTGCCTCTGAATGTACTTAAAATTGTTTTCTCCTTAAAATTATGTTTTTAAGTTCATATATTTATGACAGATTAAGCTACAGTCATCCTTGACTCCCCCAATTTTTTCTTCTACATAATTAATTACTATTTTTAGTTTGCATGTATCCTTGGGGTCTTTATTTATCCATTTATATGCATATTTATACAAATAAACTGATGAAAATACACAGTATTATTTTAGGAGTGCTTATTTTAAAAATATATTATGCAAATTGTTTTTTTACTTAAAAATTCGCTATAGTTCATTTTAATGAGAACTCTATAGCATTTATCACGTATAATTAAACATTACTAAATATAAAAGACAATCCAGCCTGGGCAACATGGCAAAACTCTGTCTCTACAAAAAATACAAAAGTTAGCTGGACTTGGTGGTGTGTGTCTATTTGCCAGCTACACAGGAGGCTGAGGTGGGAGGATAGCTTGAGGCTGGAAGGCTGAAGCTGCAGTGAGCTGTAATCACACCACTGCACTCCAGCCTGGGTGACAGAGTGAGACCCTGTCTGAAAAAAAACACACAAAAAAAGAATGAACAGTAATTTTTGTATCAATCTAGTTATTCCTAAAGAATTAATAATAACTCTCTCTCTCTTTTTTCTCTCTGAGACAGAGTCCCAGTCTGTTGTCCAGGGTGGAGTATAGTAGTGCGATCTCAGCTCACTGCAACCTCCTCCTCTGGGGTTCAAGTGATTCTGGTGCCTCCTCGAGTAGCTGGGACTTCAGGCACACACCACCATGCCTGGCTAATTTTTGTATTTTTAGTAGAGAGGGGGTTTCCCCATGTTGGCCAGGCTGGTCTCGAACTCCTGGCCTCAAGTGATCTGCTCATCTCAGCCTCTGAAAGTGCTGGGATTACAGGTGTGAGCCACCACACCTGCCTTTTTCTTTTCTTTTTGCAAGTTAAAAATATTTATTGCTATTCCAGGCTTCAAATGAGCCCAGAACTCAGGTCTGGTGTGTGGTTCAGAAGTTGTCATGGCATAACAGGGTGGCGGACAAATCCAGGCAGCCTGACCTTGAGTCCACCTTATCTTCCTTGGACCCCTGCTCCACAAAGCAGCTGTTGGTGGGGCCAACTCTTCCACGTCTGCCTCATTCACCCTACAGAGCTCCAAGACTGGGGCAGGTGGCCTGCTGATCCCCATAGCTCACAGATGAGAGGCTGCCCATACCTCTCCTAGCACTGGAAGGGCCTTCTCCTTAAGATCAGACACGATGGATTTGGCCTTGTGGAGGGAGAAGTGGTGCCACAGGAGTTGTTTTAAGAGGACAAGGCATGCACCGTCTTAGATCAGAGGCTGCAAAATGGCCACCCACAAGCTGGCTTTCCCCACTCACATGTCCGCTCAGCCCCTTTGGGCTGCACAGTGTTTAAGGAAAATAATTGCCGGGCACTATGGCTCACACCTGTAATCCCAGCACTTTGGGAGGCTGAGGCGGGCAGATCACGAGGTCAAGAGATCAAGACCATCCTGGCCAACATGGTGAAACCCTGTCTCTACTAAAAATGCAAAAATTAGCTGGGTGTGGTGGTGCGTGCCTATAATCCCAGCTACTCAGGAGGCTGAGGTGGGAGAATCGTTTGAACCCGGGAGGTGGAGGTTGCAGTGAACTGATATCGTGTGACTGCACTCCAGCCTGGTGACAGAAGGAGACTCTGTCTCAAAAAAAAAAAAAAAAAAAAAAAAGAAAGAAAAAGAAAAATAATTAGTTGCCAATCTTTTAAAATGGTAAGATTTCATATAAAATTCTGGATTTTTGGCTTCTCTAGGAGTAAAAATTGAAACTATCTGTCAAATACTGGGCCTATGACATTCTTATGTGGCACTAACTTGTTATAGCAAGGTAGCAGTTGTCGTCACAGACTGGCTGGCTGTGTACTCTCCAACTTACTCCAGTCCTTGTCACCCTTAATTATATTTCCAACTGGAGACCAGGCCTCAGCAGCCTTGTATCAATGCACATGTGCTGTGACTTTCTGTATAGAATAAGAAAGAGTTACACTGTAGTATTATCTTTATCTAAAAAGGAAAAACAAACATCTCCCTTGGAAGCAACCTGTTTCTCATGGTCCTTGTCACTCATCTCTTGCTTGGCCCTGTGGGCACCTGTGTTTGTAAACAATAGAGCACTCCTATCTCCTATCTCCCCCAAGAGACTCCTCCCACACACCCTGCTCTCCAGGATACACTGTACCCCAGTATTAATTGGGCAAATCTAGAAAAGAAATCAAAATTAATCATAGAAGTTAAGGGATAAATAGACTAAGACCAACTACTTTTCCCCTTAATTGTAAGAGGGAGCTGGAGTAGAACAAAAATGTTAATACTCTCACTCTGCTTTTAACTCAGTGACAAAAAAAAAGTCACAAAGATTTTTCAGGAGATCAAGATTAGATCAGTGTAAACATGAGGCCCCAAAACACATTGGTTCCCATTCCTCAACTGTTTTGGAAATGAATGAAGCTCTTTAGAGAGAATGTCTAAAGGAGGATGGGTAATGTGGCCAGCCCAGCAGATGTCCTGGGCTATCAAGAACTGTTCAACTCTGGCCAGGCATGGTGGCTCACCCTGTAATTCCAGCACTTTGGGAGGCTAAGGCGGGCAGATCACTTGAGGTCAGGAGTTCGAGACCAGCCTGGCTAACATGGAAAAACCCTGTCTCTACTAAAAATACAAAAATTAGCTGGGCGCCATGGCGCCTGTCTGTAATCCCAGCTACTCAGAAGGCTGAGGCAGGAGAAGCGCTTAAATCTGGGAGGTGGAGGTTGCCCTGAGCTGGGATCGTGCCACTGCACTCCAGCCTGGGTGACAGAGTGAGACTCTGTCTCAAAAAACAAACAAAGAAAACAAAACAAAAAAACTGTCGAAATCATCCTGCCTTAGTTCAGGGCTGCTTGTCCCAGCCTAAAATGTAAGTGGCACACAATGATTTTCAGTGAGGATAGCTGACTCATTGCAGAAAGGGGCTTGAAGGGGGGCAGAGAGTCAAAATTTGACGTTGACAAGCACATGACAGAGGAAAAGGAACCTTCCTCATATCCCTTAATTCTGCTGTGGCTGATGCCATGTTATATTCCCTCTAGAGAGACAGCAATCTTTTTTTTTTTTTTTTTTTTTTTTTTTTTTTTTTTGAGACTGAGTCTCGCTCTGTTGCTCAGGCTGGAGTGCAGTGGCACAGTCTGGGCTCACTGCAAGCTCCGCCTCCTGGGTTCACGCCATTCTCCCGCCTCAGCCTCCCAAGTAGGTGGGACTACAGGCGCCCGCCACCGGTTTCACCTTGTTAGCCAGGATGGGAGAGACAGCAATCTTGAGGCAGCTCAGACGCTTTCCTCCGCTGCTCAGGATGCTCTCAATGCGGTAGTTTCTGGTGCTGAGCCAGCTGGGCAGCTCCAGGTCAGGCACAGTGAACTCACTCATGGTGAGTAGGTGCCTACTTTGAAGGGACAGTGGCAAAGAAGCCCATAGGTATGCAGGGGCTCTGGGCAGGGCTCCCCAGGGGGAATGAAAATATCAAGCACATCACAGAAGTTTTCATAGGCACAGCTGCCAATCTGTTCCATGCATGAGATCTTGACCCAGAAGCCAGACACTTCCTTCTCTACAGTTAATTCCTCCCTTCAGAGGAGATTTGAGGGGGACACTGGTTCTTGTCCTCAGCACTGACGATCACGTTCCCAGGAACGACGTTGGGGTCAGCTTCCAGAGACAGGCTTTTGATCACCACAGGGTCCTTCCCTTTGTCCCAGTTATCCCAGGGAAAGCTACTAATCTGGTTCAGGTGGACGTGGGCAGGGGCTGCTAGGCCTGCAAGAAGCAAGCCCAGGACAATCAGGAGTGGCGTCCATCAGGGATTGCACTGCGAAGGGTGAGTCTGTGTGGAGTTAACCACCCACATTTTCAATCCTTTAAGTTACAAATCTCAATAAACAAAGTTCTGGAAAAAAAATTATTCTGGCTTGTGTTGTGATTCTACCTCTTAGCCTGGTGAAAGAGAGACACAGAGAGCGAGAAGAAAGGAGAGGGGAAACAGAGAAAGGGAATAGTGTGATGGGGTGGGATGACAAGAGAACCTTGATTTATGGTTTCATCAAGACTGCACACAATGGAGAAGGTCTTTTCTGTAAAAGAAATTAGGGGTGTTGTCACAAAGAGGGGAAATATGCTAGGCAGTCAAAATTTCCAACAACTGTCACAGCAGATATTCTATGCTTTTAAGCAAAACTTTTTCAGATGTCAAAATAGTCAGCATATGCGTAATTCATGTAATTATGATTGTTTTCCTAAAAGGGGTAAGTCATTTTTCTTAGTAGAAAGATGCTTATATATTCATTGCCCCAAATGGGCCATTTATCTATTCAACGTATATTTGTTGAATATTGATCATGTTTCAGTCACTGTTTTAGGTGTGGGTGATAGTGGTGAACAGGATATAAACACTGCCATCATAGAGATCACATTCTAGCGGGTCAAATAGGTGATTTTTTAAAAAAGTAGATAGACTCACATGATGATTTCAGGTAATAAATCAAGGTAAAAGGAATGGGGGTATTTTGCTTATGGTGATCAGAAATGACTTCTTTGTGGAGGTGACATATCAGTGGAGAATTAAATGACATAAAGGGTCATGGCAAGCAAAATTTGAGGAACGTTCTAAGTGGAGAGGGAAATAAGGATAAAGATGGAGGGCGGAAAAAAGCTTGCCATGTTTCAGTCACTGCAAGAAGGGCAGTGAAGCTGCAGCTGCGTGAGAGAGTTGGAGAGGGGCAGGAGATGAGATAAGAGCATTAAGTTGGTTTTCAGAGCATTAAGTTGGTCACCAGGGTATGAAGGGCCTCATATGGAGTCTGAAATCTATTATAAGTGGGTTGGGAAACTCTTGAAGAGTTTTGAGTAGGGAAGTATATGCTTTATGGCAGCTGAAGGGAGAATGGATTTGAAGGAGCAAGAGTGGAAGAAGGAAGACTACTGCACTGAGAGGTGAAGCCAGCTGGGTTCTGGGTCAGGTGGGGACTTAGAGAACTTTTCTGTCTAGCTAAAGGATTGTAAACACACCAATCAGCACTCTGTGTCTAGCTAAAGGTTTGTGAATGCATCAATCAGCACTCTGTAAAAATGGACCAATCAGCACTCTGTAAAATGGACCAATCAGCAGGATGTGGGCTGGGCCAAATAAGGGAATAAAAGCTGGCCACCAGAGCCAGCCCCAGCAACCCACTGGGGTCACCTTCCATGCTGTGGTAGCTTTGTTCTTTCGCTCTTCACAATAAATGTTGCTGCTGCTCACTCTGGGTCCACACTACTTTTATGAGCTGTAACACTCACTGGGAAGGTCTGCAACTTCACTTTTGAAGCCAGTAAGACCATGAACCCGCCAGGAGGAACAAACAACTCTGGACATGCCACCTTTAAGAGCTGTAACACTTGTTGCGAAGGTCTGCGGCTTCACTCTTGAAGTCAGCAAGACAATGAACCCACCAGAAGGAAGAAACTCCGTACACATCTGAACATCTGAAGGAACAAACTCCACTCACCAAGAGGGTCCGTGGCTTCATTCTTGAAGTCAGCAAGACCAAGAACCCACCAGAAGGAAACGCATTCCAGACACAGCTCTAGTCCAGGTCAGAGATGGACGGGGCTTGGGCTGAGGTGGTAGCTGTGAAGGCATTAAGAAGTCAGTTTCCATTTAGACATTAAGAAGTATGCAGATCTTGTTGGTAGATTGAGTGTAGGAGGGTGAATGAAAGAGAGTAACCAAGGCTAGCTCATAAGCGCTTGGTTTGAGCAACTCGGCAAGTGAGATGGGAATGATTGGGATAAAAAGCAGGTTTTTGGTGTAGAAAATAGATCTGTTGGTCGGGTTTGGTGGCTCACGCCTATAATCCCAGCACTTTAGGAGGCCAAGGTGGGTGGGTCACCTGAGGTTAGGAGTTCAAGACCAGCCTGACCAACATGGTGATACCCTGTCTCTACTGAAAATACAAAAAATTAGCTGGGCATGGTGGCAGGCACCTGTAATCACAGCTACTCGGTAGGCTGAGGTAGAAGAATTACTTGAACCTGGGAGGCGGAGGTTGCAGTGAGCCAATATTGTGCCATTGCACTCCAGCCTTGGTGACAAGAGCAAAATTCCACCTCGAAAAAAAAAAAGAAAATAGATCTGTTTTGGCTATGTTAAATTTGAGATACGTATTGGACAACCAAAGGAAGCTGCTGAACTTTGTATAGACAAATCCGGGACTCTGAGGAGAAATAAATCTTTGAGAGGTCACTGTAGAGCTGGTCATTAAAACCATGGACCTGTGGTTAGAAGGAGAGTGTGAGTACAGAGAAAAGAGAGTTAAGAAAAACAAAACACAAAAAACTGAGTAAAGGAAGAAAGCGATCGCAAAGGAGGAGTAGGAAAATGGGCTTTAGAATTTTGGGGAAGGCCGGTCACGGTGACTCATTTCTGTAATCCCAGAACTTTGGGAGGCTGAAGTGGGAGGATCTATTGAGCTCAGGAGTTCAAGACCAGCCTGAGCAACATAGGAGAATCCCATCTCTACAAACAATTTAAAAAATTAGCCAGGCATGGTGAGGCGTGCCTGTGGTTCCAGATACTCGGGAGGCTAAAGTGAGAGGATCATTTGAGCTTAGGAGGTCAAGGCTGCAGTAAACTGTGATGGTCTGAGGAGATAGCTGAAGCAAAGATTTCAGAGACAGGAAATGATCCTCAGTGGTCAAGGACTTGAGAAGCCCAAGTGTTGGTTGACTCATGTATTTGGATTGTAGAATCAGTAAGATGCATGATAGCAGTTGTGGTAGAAAGACACAGAAGCTCAAGAGCTTCACATCTTTAAGGAACGAGGGAGGTTGATAGATAGTTATAAAAAGGGCAGGGGATATGAGAACATCTAATGGAATGTTCTTTAAAGAGTAAAACTTTTGTATATGAGAATGAGGGGCAAGGATATTTATACCATCTCCAGGCATTGTGAGAGGTTGAATGTGGAAAGAAAAAATTACACATGAGGAGGACCCAGGTGTAGCAGTGCACTCAAAGGGGTTATTGAGGAGCACATAGAGTAGGAAACACTCAGGTGTGTGAGGATAGAGGGGGTTTTGCTGACACTTGTGAATTCCATAGGACATAGTAGAGATATTTGTGTGGCTCAGGAAGGACAAAGATTGGACCTGTCAGACATGTACAGTGTCCTGTGGGGAGAAAATCTAGTGATGACCCTAAATTTTGGAACTTGGACTTTTGTGGATGACTAAGGTAAATAGGAAAGCAAGGCATGATGGCATTAGCTCCTTAGAAGGTGGGAGGTCAGTTCATTTATAGCCTCTTTCTCTGGTGTGGACTCTTGGGTGGTTTCTAGTGGTAAGGCTGTGGGAGGAACAGTCTCACCAGGGGCTCCAAGCAAACAATTCCTGCTCTTCAGACTCCTCCTGATGTTCTTTATAGCACATGATATCTTGATGCCTTACCATCCTGGTCACCCTCTACTGATTGCATCCAGTCAATCAACGTCATTGTTAGAATGTGTCTTTTAGAACAGATTATGATATTCTGAATGTGGGCTAGAAAGTACAGAGTTCCTTGAACTTGGTACCTCTTTTGACTTAGATACTATTCTTACATTCATCCACCTGTTTGTGCTTCTCAGTTCATGGTGAGATAATTATTCTGGGACTTTTTGTCCCCCTCAGGAACTGCCATTGTGCTAATTCTTCCTATTATCCTGTAGTTGTAGAATTATACAGTTCTTGAACACAATCAGTCAGACATATTCAATCTAGCATATTTTATAGATGGGAAACAGAGCTCCAGTTAGAATAAGTGATGAGTCTGATTTGATATTTTGAATCAAATACTTGGCTGGTTTAGAAAAACACAAGGTTAATGAAATCACTTGCAACTAGTTTCAGTTTAGGGATGTGAATCCAAACTTCTTTCTCTTTGGTAAGTGTGGGCTAATCTAAAGAACAAAGGGACATTCTCCTGGTGGTGGTTGGATTTACCCTTGCATAGTGGGATTTGCCTACAGCCTTGATAGCCCAGATACCTGACCTGGAATTGGGGCAACTTGTCTACTCACTTTATAGGAGCTGATTTACCTTTGGATTTGTGCTTTTTTTGTTTTTTTTTGAGACGGAGTCTCACTCTGTCTCCCAGGCTGGAGTGCAATGGTGTGATCTCGGCTCACTGCAACCTCCGCCTCCCCCGTTCAAGCAATTCTCCTGCCTCAGCCTCCCGAGTAGCTGGGACTACAGGTGCACGCCACCATGTCCGGCTAATTTTTGAATTTTTAGTAGAGACGAGGTGTCACCATATTAGTCAGGCTGGTCTCCAACTCCTTACCTCATGTGATCCACCCACTTTGGCCTCCCAAAGTGCTGGGATTACAGGTGTGAGTCACTGCATCTGGCAGGATTTGGCTTTCTTTACCCTCTTTGAATTTTTATCTGAAAGTAACAGGCCAGTCATGGATTTCATCCTGTCTTTTACAAATTGTCCCACTAAACAAAATGTTTTCTCCATGTAATATGACTTTTAGTTTATGTTTTTATCAGGTACACTCTGAGTATTTACTCCATCCCCTACTCATACCGTGTAACTTGATGTGGTCTCATCAACAGAGCCTATAGCTCATAATTGCCACTTGCATTATCACAAAATCAAATCATGCATTGTACTATAGATGTCACTTAACTGTAATAACATTAAAGAAAAAACATGTTTAAAATGAACCTAATGTAGTCTGTGTCAACATTAAATGTTTATTCCCTTTTCACTGTAATATGGGAAGACAAAATTTATTTTTTAATTATAATGTGAAACTATGTTGAGACATGGTAGGGGGATGAAAATTTTGACGAAACCATTGTTGACAGACTAGTTAAGTGAGCCTGCCTTTTACATACAAGAGGAAGAAAAAAAACCTAAACAAATCTAAATAACCAAGCATCATTTTTTTTAAGACCTGGATAACCTGCTGAATTATTATTTTTTTCCTTTTTGGAGACAAGGTCTTGCTGCGTTGCTCAGGTTGGAGTGCAATGGCACAATTATAACTTACTGTGGCCTCAAACTCTTGCATTCAAGTGATCTTCCTGCCTTGGTCTCCCAAAGTGTTGGGATTACAAGCGTGAGCCACCACGCATAGCCTAAACATCTTTTTTTTTTCTCTCTCTCTCTTTGAGACATGGTCTTGCTCTTTCACCCAGGCTGGAGTGCGGTGGCACGATCTCAGCTCACTGCAACCTTGACCTTCTGGGCTCAAGCCATCCTCCCACCTAAATCTCTCAAGTAGCTGGAATTATAGGAGCATGCCACCACGCCTGGCTAATTTTTGAGGTTTTTGTAGAGATGGAGTCTTGTCATGTTGTCCAGACTGGCCTTGAACTCCTGAGCTCAATCAATTCACCTGCCTTGGCCTCCCAAAGTGTTGGGATTACAGGTGTGAGCCACTGCACCTAGCCAGCATCAACTTCTTAAAGTAAGCATCACAGCTGTAGGCTGAGTCGTGTACCTGGGTTTATAGAAAATAAGTATCAATTCTTTGCATTTCTCTCTAGGGAAATTTAGATCAAATCAGTTTTCTCATTGTTTGTTATACAAGGATGACAACCTACTTATCTAACATCCATTACCCTAGTCCTTTCATTCTTTTCCTACTTAGAGCTGATATACTATAGTGGTTAAGAGCATGAGCTCTGGAATCGGCTGCATCTAGATTTGAATCATGGCCATGCCATGCACTAGTTTTCAGTTATTTAATTTCCTTTTTCTTTTTCTGTTTTTTTGTTTTGTTTTGTTTTGTTTTTTGAGACAGAGTCTCCTTCTGTTGACCAGGATGGAGTGCAGTGGCACAATCTTGGCTTACTGCAACCTCCACTTTTCAGGTTCAAGAGATTCTCCTGCCTCAGCCTCCCAAGTAACTGGGACTACAGGTGCACACCACCATGCCTGGCTAATTTTTTTTGTATTTTTAGTAAAGATGGAGTTTCACCATGTTGGCCAGGCTGGTCTCGAACTCCTGACCTCAAATGATCCACCTGCCTTGGCCTCCCAAAGTGCTGGGATTACAGGTGTGGGCAACTGTGCCCAGCTGGAGTCATTTAACTTCTTTGAACCTCAGTTTTCTCACCTATAAAAGGGGAACAGTGGGCCGGGCGGGGTGGCTTATGCCTGTAATCTCAGCACTTTGGGAGGCTGAGGTGGGTGGATCACCTGAGGTCAGGAGTTCAAGACCAGCCTGGCCAACATGGTGAAACCCCATCTCTACTAAAAATATTTAAAAAATTAGCTAGGCGTAGTGGTGGGCACCTGTAATCTCAGTTACTTAGGAGGCTGAGGCAGGAGAATTGCTGCAACCTGGGACACGGAGGTTGCAGTAAGCTGAGATCGCACCATTGCACCCCAGCCAGGGTGACAACAGCGACACTCTGTCTCAAAAAAAAAAGAAGGGGGCATGGGGGGGTACAATGATGCTTGTTTAATAGGGCTACTGTAAATATTAGTGAATGAATGTATAACATTTAGGATGCTGACTGGTAGACACAAAGTAATTGCTCAAGAAATGGTAACTATTTTTATTTTATAGATTTAAAATGACGAATTCCTCTGTTTTGAATTAGAACACTAGAAGATGGACTCAAAATCCTAGCTTTTATTTTCTTAGGAATGTAACAATAGGAGGAAACAAATAAGGATATCTACCCTAAGCATTTTTCTGGCTGAGTTTGAGAACACACTCTCACATAGCATGGTCCCAATAAACAAAAAGTGTCTGATGGAAATTTCTTGTTTCTAGGATATTCAAGGCATGTGGAATAATGGTTTCTAATTTGCAGCACTTGCTTGTATTTTAACTCCATTAGGATGGTCCCATCTGGTGGGACTTAAAGTATGGTCTACTTTATTTTTTAAAGGTCAATTCTCCATTCCCTACAGATTATAAACCTTTAATTCACTAGTTCTTAAATCTAAAGTGCTAGCCAGTATGTTTCCTCCTGGGCAAATTCCACTTGGGGTATCTCAGGTAAATAGTTTACAGGACAAGCAGGAGAGATTCAGGCACTGCTCTCCCATTTATTGACCATGGTCTTACTCATTTATCACCTTGTGGCAACATCTCTTAGAAGCAACATAAAATTCTTTGCAGCTTTTATCGATCTTTCCTTGACGTTTATTTTTGTGGTCAGGAATCTATTCTGAATGTAGCTGTTTTGCTACATATAGCCATCAGAGCTACTGAAGCTAATGTAGAGCCTGTATCTTAATAGCATCATGAAAATCTAGGTCAGTAGATATTTAACTTAGCTGAAAGTAAAATGTTATGTGATGTCGTCTACACTCTCCTATTAAAGCAGACGTTCCATAATAGCTTGACATCATATCTCTCTGAACAAAGTGCATGACCCCCTGCTAAAAAAGACAAGCACACATATGCTGATACTATGTTTTATTATCAGGAACTATTGTGTAATTACTGTACTCTCTTATTGTAAAAAAAAAAAGAATGTTGAGGTCAGGTGCAGCAGCTCACACCTGTGATCCCAACACTTTGGGAAGCTGAGGTGGGAGGACTGCTTGAGCCCAGGAGTTCGAGGCCAGCCTAGGCAACATGGCAAGACCCTTGTCTCTATAAAAAATACAAAAATTAGCCAAGTGAGCTGGTGCACACCCATAGTCCCAGCTACTGAGAAGGCTGAGGTGAAAGGATTGCTTGAGCCTAGGTTGAGGCTGCAGTGAGCCATGATTGTTACATTGCATTCCAGTCTGGGCAACATAGTGAGACCCTGTCTCAACAACAACAACAACAAAACAATGTCTTAGATGAGTTTTGAAGAATTAAGAGTGGTGGCTCAGGCCTGTAACCCTGGCACCTTGGAAGCACAGGAGGATTGCCTGAGCCCAGGAGTTCAAGATCAGCTTGGGCAATATAGTGACACCTTGTCTCTACAAAATCAAATTTAAAAATTAGCTTGGACATGTTGGCTTGCACCTGTAGTTCCAGCTACTCAGGAGGCTGAGGTGGGAGCATTGCTTGAGGCCAGGAGTTTGAGACCAGCCTGGGCAAGATAGCAAGACCCTGTCAGAACAAAAAATTTAAAAATGAAAGAATTGTGTAACGTGTGTGTATTTATGGAAAGTTAATATATTAAAGTTGGCATTTCCAATCAATGAGGGAATAATGAATTGTTCAACAAATGCTATTGAGAAAATAAATTACTCTTTAAAGAAAAAAAATTTCATTCCTATCTTACAGCATGCATAATATAAAGTCCAAATTACTTAGAGGCTAATGCATAAGAAACCATACTAGATGAAACAAAACAAAGCGTATCTTAGTAATTTTCAAAAGGCAAGGGCACCTGCAAGACACCAAATCCAGAAGCTGCAAAGAAATAGATGAACAGATGTGCTGTAATAAAACTCAAAGTGTTTTCATGATGAAAGTTACCATACACAAAATAAGAGACAGTCTGGGAGAAAATTCATGCAACATAGATAACCGACAGAAATTAATATTTACAAAGCATAAAGAGCTCCTATAATCATTAATAATAACAATAAAAAAGCCAAAAAATAAGAATGGAACTACAAAGGATGACATAAAAATGGTTCATTTACTTAAAAAGTTGCTCAACCACCAAATCAGGGAAATGTGAATCAAAATAGATTCTGTTTTTCACATTTATTTATAAGTTATGAGATAAAAATTATATAAAAGAGCTAATAAAAAAGACCTGGATTTGGAGGGGATGTGAAAGAGGGGGCACTGAAAAGAGAAGGAGTAAAAATTGTTTTTCTATTTTTAGTACAGACGGGGTTTCACCATGTTGGCCAGGCTGGTCTCAAACTCCTGACCTTGTGATCCGCCCATCTCGGTCTCCCAAAGTGCTGGGATTACAGGCGTGAGCCACCACGCCCGGCCTGAGAAGGAGTATAAATTGTTGTAGCCATTTTGGAGTATAATTTGGTGGTATCTATCAGAATTTTATCTATTGCCTCAGCAATCCCGTTCTAGGAATCTAGCCTATAGAATTATTTGCAGGCTGGGCACAGTGGCTCATGTCTGTAATCCCAGCACTTTGGGAGGCCAAGGTGGGTGGATTACCTGAGGTCATGAGTTCGAGATCAGCCTGGCCAACATGACAAAACCCCGTCTCTACTAAAAATACAAAAATTAGCCAGACGTGGTGGCAGTCGCCTGTACTCCCAGCTCCTCAGGAGGCTGAGGCATGAGAATTGCTTGAACCTGGGAGGTGGAGGCTGCAGTGAGCTGAGATTGCGCCATTGCACTCCAGCCTGGGCGACATAGTGAGACTGTGTCTCAAAAAAAAAAGAAAATTACGTATGAACATTTTTTTTGTTTGTCTCTGAGTGTTAGATCCTTATTTCCATTTCCAGCTAGTTACTGGATAGCTCCATTTGGATGTTGCGCAAAGATCTCAAAACTCCATGCCCTCATCTTTCTTTTTTTTAAACTGAACTCTGAACCTTCTGAGTCTCAAATCTGATTTTCATGCCATCTCCCTTATATCAGAAAATGATGTCTCTTCAATCTATTTTCATGCCAGTAAACCAGGAGTATCTTTGAGACCTCCTTTGCATCACATGCCCAATTCATCATTAAGTCCTGTGGATTCTACCTTCAAAATATGTCTGTAATCTGTCAGTTGTTTTCCACCTTCACTTGCCCCCCTTTTTTATTTTAATTTTCTTTTGAGATGGGGTCTCACTCTCACCCAGGCTGGAATGCAGTGGTGCAATCACAGCTCACTCTAATCTCCACCTCCTGGGCTCAAGCAATCCTCCCACCTCAGCCTCCCCAGTAACTGGGACTACAGGTGAGAGGTGACAATGTGCTAGCAGCCCTCCCTCACTCTTGGCACCTCCTCGGCCTTGGTGTCTGCTCTGGCCATACTTGAGGAGCCCTTCAGCCCATCACTGCACTGTGTGGGAGCCCCTCTCTGGGGTGGCTGAGGCCAGAGCCAGCTCCCTCTGCTTGTGTGGAGGTGTGGAGGGAAAGGCGCAGGCGGGAACCACCGCTGTGCGCAGCGCTCGCAGGCCAGGGTAAGTTCTGGGTGGGTGTGTGTTCAGCAGGCCCTGCACTTGGAGCAGCCGGCTGGCACCGCTGGCCCCGGGCAGTGAGGGGTTTAGCACCTGGGCCAGCAGCTGTTGAGGGTGTGCCAGGTCCCCCAACACTGCCAGCCGTCCCAAGCCATGCTTGAATTCTCACCAGGCTTCAACCGTCTCCTTGCAGGGCCGGGCTCAAGACCTGCAGCCTGCCATGCCCTAGCCCCCACCCCTGCCTGTGGGCTCCCGTGCCGCCAGAGCCTCCCGGAGAGGCGCCGCCCCCTGCTCCGTGGTGCCTGGTCCCATAGACTGCCCAAGGGCTGAGGAGTGTGGGCATGCTGTGCAGGACTGGGGGGCAGCTCCACTTGTGGGGGCAGCTCCACTTGTGGCCCCAGCATGGGATCCACTAGGTAAAGCCAGCTGGGCTCCTGAGTCCAGTGGGGACTTGGAGAACTTTTATGTTTAGCTGGAGGATTGTATGTGAACTCATCAGCACTCTGTGTATAGCTAATCTGTTGGGGACTTGGAGAACTTTTATGTCTAGCTAGAGGATTGTAAATGCACTAATCAGCACTCTGTGTCTAGCTCAGGGATTGTGAATGCACCAGTCAGCACTCTGTAAAAACGGACCAATCAGCTCTCTGTAAAACCGACCAATCAGCTCTCTGTAAAACGGACCAATCAGCTCTCTGTAAAATGGACCAATCAGCAGGATGTGGGTGGGGCCAGATAAGGGAATAAAAGCAGGCTGCCTGAGCCAGCAGAGGCAATCTGCTAGGTGTCCTTTCACATTGTGGAGGCTTTGTTCTTTTGCTTTTTGCAATAAATGTTGCTGCTGCTGATTGTTTGGGTCTGCACTGCTTTTATGAGCTGTAACACCACAAAGGTCTGCAGCTTGACTCCTGAAGCCAGCGAGAACACAAACCCGCCGGGAGAAACAAGCAACTTCAGACGCGCTGCCTTTGTGAGCTGTAACACTCACAGCAAAGGTCTGCAGCTTCACTCCTGAAGTCAGCAAGACCATGAATGAACCCAGTAGAAAAACCATCTTTAAGAACTGTGACACTCACGGTAAGTGTCTGTGGCTTCATTCTTGAAGTCAGCGAGAACAAGAACTCACCAATTCTGGACACATAGGCACGTGCCACCATGCTTGGCTAATTTTTATATTATTTGTAGAGATAGGGTTTTGCCTTGTTGCCCATGCTGGTCTCGAACTCCCAGACTCAAGAGATCCACCCGCCTTGACCTCCCAAAGTGTTGGGATTATAGGCGTGAGCCACTGTCCCTGGCCTCTACTTCCCCCATTTTTAAACCACCATCTTTTGCCTGTACTAAGGCAGAGGCTTTATAACTTGCATAACGTGCAAACTCGTATCCCCATCTATTCAAATTCCTAAACAGCAAGAAAATAGGTGAGCCATAACGAGGAGAGTGTATTTCTAATCAGGTGTAATATCCAGAATAAAGAAGTCTTATAACTGAAAATAACTCAAAGTAAGACTAAAACCCCAATCTAAAAAATGGCCAAAATATTTGAATAGACACTTCACCAAAGAATATATACATCTGGCAAATGGGCACATGAAAAGAAAAGATGTTCAATGTTTTTGTTGCTTAGGGAAATGTAAACTGAAACCACAGAGAGATACCACTACGCACCCACTAGAATCACTAAAGCAAAAAAGACAGACAATAAAAAGTGCTGGTAAAGATGTAGGGAAATGGGAAGCCCCATAACATTTCTAATGGAAATGCAAAATGGTGCAACCTCTTGGGAGAACAGTTCAAGTTCTTAAAAAGTTAAACAGGAACTTATCATAGGACCTAGCAATTCCACTGTTAGGATTCTACCCAAGAGAAAGAAAGCATATGTCCACACAAATACTTGTAGATGAATGTTCACAGTGGCCTTTTGTAATAGCCAGCAATCCAAATGTCCATCAACTGGTGAATGGATAAACAACATGTGTTATATGCATACCACCGGATGCTACTCAGCAATAAAAAGAAACAAACTGTTGATACACACAGTGTAATTGTAATAGGTTCACTGCCCCATGCACATAACAAGTCAATGCACTGAGACACCAGGTTGCAGCAGAGAAAGAGTTGTAATCATAAGGCTGCTGAACAAGGAGACAGGAGGAAACCTCAAATCCATCTTTTTGAGGAGCTTGGAGGTAGGGTTTTTAAGGGTTTCAGAGTGGGCTGAAGTGTGGAGATTGTTGATTGGTCGGAGTGCAGGGTGAAGTCATGGGGCAGGGAGATGAAGAAACTATTCTCAGGCTGACTTGGTTCCTCCTTGGGGTCTTTAATCTGGTTGCTGTCAGCTGTTCTGCTGGAATTCAGGATCTGCTTAAACATTCTTTCTTTCTTTCTTTTTTTTTTTTTTTGAGGAGTATATCTTCATTTATTTTTATTTTTATTTTATTTTATTTTATTTTTTATTATACTTTAAGTTTTAGGGTACATGTGCACATTGTGCAGGTTAGTTACATATGTATACATGTGCCATGCTGGTGTGCTGCACCCACTAACTCGTCATCTAGCATTAGGTATATCTCCCAATGCTATCCCTCCCCCCTCCCCCCACCCCACCACAGTCCCCAGAGTGTGATATTCCCCTTCCTGTGTCCATGTGATCTCATTGTTCAACTCCCACCTATGAGTGAGAATATGCAGTGTTTGGTTTTTTGTTCTTGCGATAGTTTACTGAGAATGATGATTTCCAATTTCATCCATGTCCCTACAAAGGATATGAACTCATCATTTTTTATGGCTGCATAGTATTCCATGGTGTATATGTGCCACATTTTCTTAATCCAGTCTATCATTGTTGGACATTTGGGTTGGTTCCAAGTCTTTGCTATTGTGAATACTGCCGCAATAAACATATGTGTGCATGTGTCTTTATAGCAGCATGATTTATAGTCCTTTGGGTATATACCCAGTAATGGGATGGCTGGGTCAAATGGTATTTCTAGTTCTAGATCCCTGAGGAATCGCCACACTGACTTCCACAATGGTTGAACTAGTTTACAGTCCCACCAACAGTGTCAAAGTGTTCCTATTTCTCCACATCCTCTCCAGCACCTGTTGTTTCCTGACTTTTTAATGATTGCCATTCTAACTGGTGTGAGGTGGTATCTCATTGTGGTTTTGATTTGCATTTCTCTGATGGCCAGTGATGATGAGCATTTTTTCATGTGTTTTTTGGCTGCATAAATGTCTTCTTTTGAGAAGTATCTGTTCATGTCCTTCGCCCCTTTTTGATGGGGTTGTTTGTTTTTTTCTTGTAAATTTGTTTGAGTTCATTGTAGATTCTGGATATTAGCCCTTTGTCAGATGAGTAGGTTGCAAAAATTTTCTCCCATTTTGTAGGTTGCCTGTTCACTCTGATGGTAGTTTCTTTTGCTGTGCAGAAGCTCTTTAGTTTAATGAGATCCCATTTGTCAATTTTGGCTTTTGTTGCCATTGCTTTTGATGTTTTGGACATGAAGTCCTTGCCCATGCCTATGTCCTGAATGGTAATGCCTAGGTTTTCTTCTAGGTTTTTTATGGTTTTAGGTCTAACGTTTAAGTCTTTAATCCATCTTGAATTGATTTTTGTATAAGGTGTAAGGAAGGGATCCAGTTTCAGCTTTCTACATATGGCTAGCCAGTTTTCCCAGCACCATTTATTAAATAGGGAATCCTTTCCCCATTGCTTGTTTTTCTCAAGTTTGTCAAAGATCAGATAGTTGTAGATATGTGGCGTTATTTCTGAGGGCTCTGTTCTGTTCCATTGATCTATATCTCTGTTTTGGTACCAGTACCATGCTGTTTTGGTTACTGTAGCCTTGTAGTATAGTTTGAAGTCAGGTAGTGTGATGCCTCCAGCTTTGTTCTTTTGGCTTAGGATTCCCTTGGTGATGTGGGCACTTTTTTGGTTCCATATGAACTTTAGTTTTTTCCAATTCTGTGAAGAAAGTCATTGGTAGCTTGATGGGGATGGCATTGAATCTGTAAATTACCTTGGGCAGTATGGCCATTTTCATGATATTGATTCTTCCTACCCATGAGCATGGAATGTTCTTCCATTTGTTTGTATCCTCTTTTATTTCCTTGAGCAGTGGTTTGTAGTTCTCCTTGAAGAGGTCCTTCACATCCCTTGTAAGTTGGATTCCTAGGTATTTTATTCTCTTTGAAGCAATTGTGAATGGGAGTTCACTCATGATTTGGCTCTCTGTTTGTCTGTTGTTGGTGTATAAGAATGCTTGTGATTTTTGTACATTGATTTTGTATCCTGAGACTTTGCTGAAGTTGCTTATCAGCTTAAGGAGATTTTGGGCTGTGACAATGGGGTTTTCTAGATATACAATCATGTCATCTGCAAACAGGGACAATTTGACTTCCTCTTTTCCTAATTGAATACCCTTTATTTCCTTCTCCTGCCTAATTACCCTGGCCAGAACTTCCAACACTATGTTGAATAGGAGTGGTGAGAGAGGACATCCCTGTCTTGTGCCAGCTTTCAAAGGGATTGCTTCCAGTTTTTGCCCATTCAGTATGATATTGGCTGTGGGTTTGTCATAGATAGCTCTTATTATTTTGAAATACGTCCCATCAATACCTAATTTATTGAGAGTTTTTAGCATGAAGCGTTGTTGAATTTTGTCAAAGGCTTTTTCTGCATCTATTGAGATAATCATGTGGTTTTTGTCTTTGGCTCTGTTTATATGCTGGATTACATTTATTGATTTGTGTATATTGAACCAGCCTTGCATCCCAGGGATGAAGCCCACTTGATCATGGTGGATAAGCTTTTTGATGTGCTGCTGGATTCGTTTTGCCAGTATTTTATTGAGGATTTTTGCATCAATGTTCATCAAGGATATTGGTCTAAAATTCTCTTTTTCGGTTGTGTCTCTGCCCGGCTTTGGTATCAGAATGGTGCTGGCCTCATAAAATGAGTTAGGGAGGATTCCCTGTTTTTCTATTGATTGGAATAGTTTCAGAAGGAATGGTACCAGTTCCTCCTTGTACCTCTGGTAGAATTCGGCTGTGAATCCATCTGGTCCTGGACTCTTTTTGGTTGGTAAACTATTGATTATTGCCACAATTTCAGCTCCTGTTATTGGTCTATTCAGAGATTCAACTTCTTCCTGGTTTAGTCTTGGGAGAGTGTTATGTGTCCAGGAATTTATCCATTTCTTCCAGATTTTCGAGTTTATTTGCATAGAGGTGTTTGTAGTATTCCTTGATGGTAGTTTGTATTTCTGTGGGATCGGTGGTGATATCCCCTTTATCATTTTTTATTGTGTCTATTTGATTCTTCTCTCTTTTTTTCTTTATTAGTCTTGCTAGCAGTCTATCAATTTTGTTGATCCTTTCAAAAAACCAGCTCCTGGATTCATTAATTTTTTGAAGGGTTTTTCGTGTCTCTATTTCCTTCAGTTCTGCTCTGATTTTAGTTATTTGTTGCCTTCTACTAGCTTTTGAATGTGTTTTCTCTTGCTTTTCTAGTTCTTTAAATTGTGATGTTAGGGTGTCAATTTTGGATCTTTCCTGCTTTCTCTTGTGGGCATTTAGTGCTATAAATTTCCCTCTACACACTGCTTTGAATGCGTCCCAGAGATTCTGGTATGTTGTGTCTTTGTTCTCGTTGGTTTCAAAGAACATCTTTATTTCTGCCTTCATTTTGTTATGTACCCAGTAGTCATTCAGAAGCAGGTTGTTCAGTTTCCATGTAGTTGAGCGGTTTTGAGTGAGATTCTTAATCCTGAGTTCTAGTTTGATTGCACTGTGGTCTGAGAGATAGTTTGTTATAATCTCTGTTCTTTTACATTTGCGGAGGAGAGCTTTACTTCCAAGTATGTGGTCAATTTTGGTATAGGTGTGGTGTGGTGCTGAAAAAAATGTATATTCTGTTGATTTGGGGTGGAGAGTTCTGTAGATGTCTATTAGGTCCGCTTGGTGCAGAGCTGAGTTCAATTCCTGGGTATCCTTGTTGACTTTTTGTCTCATTGATCTGTCTAATGTTGACAGTGGGGTGTTAAAGTCTCCCATTATTAATGTGTGGGAGTCTAAGTCTCTTTGTAGGTCACTCAGGACTTGCTTTATGAATCTGGGTGCTCCTGTATTGGGTGCATATATATTTAGGATAGTTAGCTCTTCTTGTTGAATTGATCCCTTTACCATTATGTAGTGGCCTTCTTTGTCTCTTTTGATCTTTGTTGGTTTAAAGTCTGTTTTATCAGAGACTAGGATTGCAACCCCTGCCTTTTTTTGTTTTCCATTTGCTCAGTAGATCTTCCTCCATCCTTTTATTTTGAGCCTATGTGTGTCTCTGCATGCAAGATGGGTTTCCTGAATACAGCACACTGATGGGTCTTGACTCTTTATCCAATTTGCCAGTCTGTGTCTTTTAATTGGAGCATTTAGTCCATTTACATTTAAAGTTAATATGGTTATGTGTGAATTTGATCCTGTCATTATGATGTTAGCTGGTTATTTTGCTCGTTAGTTGATGCAGTTTCTTCCTAGTCTCGATGGTCTTTACATTTTGGCATGATTTTGCAGCGGCTGGTACTGGTTGTTCCTTTCCATGTTTAGCGCTTCCTTCAGGAGCTCTTTTAGGGCAGGCCTGGTGGTGACAAAATCTCTCAGCATTTGCTTGTCTGTAAAGTATTTTATTTCTCCTTCACTTATGAAGCTTAGTTTGGCTGGATATGAAATTCTGGGTTGAAAATTCTTTTCTTTAAGAATGTTGAATATTGGCCCCCACTCTCTTCTGGCTTGTAGGGTTTCTGCCTAGAGATCCGCTGTTAGTCTGATGGGCTTCCCTTTGAGGGTAACCTGACCTTTCTCTCTGGCTGCCCTTAACATTTTTTCCTTCATTTCAACTTTGGTGAATCTGACAATTATGTGTCTTGGAGTTGCTCTTCTCGAGGAGTATCTTTGTGGCATTCTCTGTATTTCCTGAATCTGAACGTTGGCCTGCCTTGCTAGATTGGGGAAGTTCTCCTGGATAATATCCTGCAGAGTGTTTTCCAACTTGGTTCCATTCTCCCCATCACTTTCAGGTACACCAATCAGATGTAGATTTGGTCTTTTCACATAGTCCCATATTTCTTGGAGGGTTTGCTCATTTCTTTTTATTCTTTTTTCTCTAAACTTCTCTTCTTGCTTCATTTCATTCATTTCATCTTCCATTGCTGATACCCTTTCTTCCAGTTGATCGCATCAGCTCCTGAGGCTTCTGCATTCTTCACGTAGTTCTCGAGCCTTGGTTTTCAGCTCCATCAGCTCCTTTAAGCACTTCTCTGTATTGGTTATTCTAGTTATACATTCTTCTAAATTTTTTTCAAAGTTTTCAACTTCTTTGCCTTTGGTTTGAATGTCCTCCCGTAGCTCAGAGTAATTTGATCGTCTGAAGCCTTCTTCTCTCAGCTCGTCAAAGTCATTCTCCACCCAGCTTTATTCCATTGCTGGTGAGGAACTGCGTTCCTTTGGAGGAGGAGAGGTGCTCTGCGTTTTAGAGTTTCCAGTTTTTCTGTTCTGTTTTTTCCCCATCTTTGTGGTTTTATCTACTTTTGGTCTTTGATGATGGTGATGTACAGATGGGTTTTTGGTGTGGATGTCCTTTCTGTTTGTTAGTTTTCCTTCTAACAGACAGGACCCTCAGCTGCAGGTCTGTTGGAATACCCTGCCATGTGAGGTGTCAGTGTGCCCCTGCTGGGGGGTGCCTCCCAGTTAGGCTGCTCAGGGGTCAGGGGTCAGGGACCCACTTGAGGAGGCAGTCTGCCCGTTCTCAGATCTCCAGCTGCGTGCTGGGAGAACCACTGCTCTCTTCAAAGCTGTCAGACAGGGACATTTAAGTCTGCAGAGGTTACTGCTGTCTTTTTGTTTGTCTGTGCCCTGCCCCCAGAGGTGGAGCCTACAGAGGCAGGCAGGCTTCCTTGAGCTGTGGTGGGCTCCACCCAGTTCGAGCTTCCAGGCTGCTTTGTTTACCTAAGCAAGCCTGGGCAATGGCGGGCGCCCCTCCCCCAGCCTCGCTGCCGCCTTGCAGTTTGATCTCAGACTGCTGTGCTAGCAATCAGCGAGATTCCGTGGGCGTAGGACCCTCCGAGCCAGGTGAGGGATATAATCTCGTGGTGCGCCGTTTTTTAAGCTGGTCTGAAAAGCACAATATTCGGGTGGGAGTGACCCGATTTTCCAGGTGCGTCCGTCACCCCTTTCTTTGACTCGGAAAGGGAACTCCCTGACCCCTTGCGCTTCCGAAGTGAGGCAATGCCTCGCCCTGCTTCGGCTCGCGCACGGTGCGCGCACCCACTGACCTGCGCCCACTGTCTGGCACTCCCTAGTGAGATGAACCCGGTACCTCAGATGGAAATGCAGAAATCACCCGTCTTCTGTGTCGCTCACGCTGGGAGCTGTAGACCAGAGCTGTTCCTATTCGGCCATCTTGCTAAACATTTCTTGAAAGCCTAATGATCCTAATATCAGAAATCCTATCTATAGGAACAACTGGGATGCAAATGGTCAGTTTCTAGTGTTATGTGACTTTTGGTTACAAGAAAGTGGGTCAAAGTGCAACCTGATTAATGCTTAATTATAACTATATTTTTCTCCAGAATTCTTGTTAACCTTTTGAGGACAGCTTCAGCAATACTGATGATCCTCAAAAACATTGTGCTAAATAGAACAAGTCAGACGCAAAACTCCACATAGTGTATTTAATTCAGATGAAAATTCTGGCTGGGTGCAGTGGCTCATGCCTGTAATCCCAGCACTTTGGAAGGCCAAGGCGGATGGATGACTTGAGGCCAGGAGTTCAAGACCAGGCTGGCTAACATGGTGAAACCCCATGTCTACTGAAAATACAAAAATTAGCCAGGCATAGTGGCACATGCCTGTAGTCCCAGCTACTCGGGAGACTGAGGCACGAGAATTGCTTGAACCCAGGAGGCAGAGGTTGCAGTGAGCCGAGATTGTGCCATTGCACTCCAGGCTGAGTGACAGAGTTTAGACTCTGTCTCGAAGAAAAAAGAAAGAAGAAAAAGAAATTTCTAGAAAAGGCACACTTACTGAGACTGAAATCAAATTAGTGGTTTCCTTGGGCAGTGGGTGGATACGAACAGGCACAAATGGGCACAAATGAACTTTGGGTGACTGCAGCGATGGTTGCACAATTGTGTAAATTTTCTAAAATTCCTCAAACTGGCTTAAAGTGGGTGATTGTTATAAAATCCCTCTGTAGCACTTTTTTAATTTTAGAAACATAAATCAAATTATGTCATCTTTTTGTTTATAATACTTATCTTAGGTACAATTAGAACTCTGTACAGTGACCTAATAAGGTCTTCATTTATTTGCTTTATTTGGCTTTGACTTCAGAATCCTTCCCTGACCATCTTCTTGCCAACTGATTTCCAGCCCGAAAGGCCTATTTTCAGCAATGTGAAGTACTCTTTTTTTTTGTCTCAGGGAATGCTTACGTGCTGTACTTCTGCCTGGAATAGGCCTAATCCTACATTCTTTATTGGAAGAGGTATTACTCATTCTTTATGTTTCAATTTAAACCTCACTTTCTCAAAGAGCTCTTCCTTGATATACCCCATTCACAGTTTAAATTAGGTTACTGTCACACGACTCCATGTGAAGAGAGTCCACCAACAGGCTTTGTGTGAGCAACAAGGCTGTTTATTTCACTTGGGTGCAAGTGAGCTGAGTCTGAAAAGAGAGTCAGCAAAGGGAGATGGGGTGGGGCGGTTTTACAGGATTTGGGTAGGTAGTGGAAAATTACAGTTAAAGGTGATTATCTCTTGTGGGCAGGGGCGGGGGTCACGAGGTGCAGATTATGAGACTCATTGTACAGGAGAAGGAATGTCACAAGTTCAATTGATCAGTTAGGATGGGGCAGGAGCAAATCACAATGGTGGAATGTCATCAGTTAAGGCAGGAAGTGACTATTTTCACTTCTTTTGTGGTTCTTCAGTTGCTTCAGGCCATCTGGATGTATATGTGCAGGTCACAGGGGATATGATGGCTTAGCTTGGGCTCAGAGGCCTGACAGTTGCTCTGTCATTCTCTCTACTGGACTGTTCCTTCAAAGCATTTTTCACAATCTGTAATTATTATTATTATTTTTTGAGACAGAGTGTCTGTCACTCTATTACCCAGGCTGGAGTGCAGTGGCACAATCTTAGCTCACTGAAACCTCTGCCTCCTGGGCTCAAGCAATCCACCTGTTTCAGCCTCCTGGAGTAGATGGCACCACAGGTGTGTGTGCCACCATGCCCAGCTAATTTTTGTTGTTGTTGTTGTAGAGATGGGGTTCTGCCATGTTGCCCAGGCTGGTCTCCAACTCCTGAGCTCAAGCAATTCACCTGCTTTGGCCTCCCAAAGTGCTGGGATTAGGTGTGAGTCACTGCATCCGGCCATACAATCTGTAATTATATATTTTGTGATGGCTTATTTAGTTTCCATCCATGAGAGCAGGAAATATACCTATTTTATATATTCATTTTCAGTAGATATTTCCAACAGTTAGTTGGTCTATACGAAATAAATAAGCAGGCAAATTCATTTAATTACCCAGGATTACATGCTGCAATTAGAATATCTGGAAGTGTCCACCACAAAGTACACTGCTAAGATGAAAATAAAAACACTTCATTGATGTTTTTCTTTTTTCCTTTTACCAGTTGTATAATTGGTAACATGAGCTTAGAGAATCATCTAGGCCAAAGGTATTACAGACAAGCTCTATGGTATAGAAGTTTGGGCTCTCGTTGTTGTCCAAAGGTTTCTGTATACATTGGCAGAATTGATCATCAATGTGTGGAGAGAGACTTCCTCAAGTGACTACATATCTGTAGGGAGTCAAACTCTTGCTAAAACCTCATTTGAGAGGGATAATATTAAGAGAAGATTTCTAAGTGATATGCAGTCCTTCTAGAACATCAAGGACCTGCTTATTTTTACTGGATTATTTTGGTCCCTCCTAGAATTGCTTTTAGTGATTTGAGTTAATCTGTTAATACATAGAACAATATTTTAAGACATACTGTTGGTGTAACATTTACAGACTGCCATGTTCTATATCACCCAGTGTTCTCCTTATGAAAACTCACCATCTCTCAAGAGCTCCAGGCATATCCAGCTACCTGCTAGGCATCTCCACTTGGATGCAGTTCCAGGGAGGAGAGTAAGCAAGATGACTGAGTTTCAGATTTATACATAATATCCTTTTCTATTAGAGTTGGTAGGAATGTGTGGCTTACAATTTTTATATATATTTTTCAAGATAGAGTCTCACTCTGAGACTCCAGGCTCAGTCTGGAGGGCGGTGGCCAGATCTTGGCTCACTGCAACCACCACCTTCCGGGTTCAAGTGATTCTCCTGCCTTGGCCTCCTGAGTAGCTGGGATTACAGGTGCCTGCCAACACACCCGGCTAATTGTATTTTTAGTAGAGACAGGGTTTCACCATGTTGGCCAGGCTGGTCTCCAACTCCTGACCTCAGGTAATCCACCTGCCTGGCCTGCCAAAGTGCTGGGATTACAGGCATGAGCTCATAATTTGTCTCCAACGCTGACTTTTAAAAGTCAGTGTGTGATATTCCCCACCCTGTGTGCAAGTGTTCTCATTGTCCAATTCCCACCTATGAGTGAGAACATGTGGTGTTTGGTTTTCTGTCCTTGTGATAATTTGCTCAGAATGATGGTTTCCAGCTTCATCCATGTCCCTACAAAGGACATGAACTCCTCATTTTTTCTGGCTGCATAATATTCCATGGTGTATATGTGCCACATTTTCTTAATCCAGTCTATCATTGTTGGACATTTGGGTTGGTTCCAAGTCTTTGTTATTGTGAATAGTGCCGCAATAAACATACATATGCATGTGTCTTTATAGCAGCATGATTTATAATCCTTTGGGTATATACCCAGTAACGGGATGGCTGGGTCAAATGGTATTTCTAGTTCTAGATCCTTGAGGAATCACCACACTGTCTTGCACAAGGGTTGAACTAGTTTACAGTCCGACCAACAGTATAAAAGTGTTCCTATTTCTCCACATCCTCTCCAGCACCTATTGTTTCCTGACTTTTTAATGATTGCCATTCTAACTGGTGTGAGATGGTATCTCATTGTGGTTTTGATTTGCATTTCTCTGATGGCCAGTGATGATGATCATTTTTTTCATGTGTCTATTGGGTGCATAAATGTCCTCTTTTGAGAAGTGTCTGTTCATATCCTTTGCCCACTATTCCTTTGATAATTTTATCTTGCTTTCTGACTTCTTCTGAAAGTCCTGTTATTCAAATGTTCAAACTTCTAGACAGATATTATAATTTCCTTAGTTTTTTTTAATTGCTCACCATTTTACCTTTTGTTCCACCTCATCTTTATGTGAATTTTCATTCCTATTTTTAATTTCTGCAAGCTCTTTCTTGTTCTATTTTTCTTTTTACAATAGTATTCTGTTCTTGTTTTTTGGATGCAATACTACCTTTTGTCTCTCAGAGGACATGGATTACAGTTCTTTTGATGTTAACTTGTGCATTATTGTTATTTTTATTTTATTTTATGTATTTATTTTTGAGATGGAGTCATGCTCTGTCACCCAGGCTGGAGGGCAGTGGCACAGTCTTGGCTCACTGCAACCTCCACCTCTCAGGTTCAAGCAATTCTCCTGCCTCAGCCTCCCTAGTAGCTAGGATTACAGGCATGCACCACCACACCTGGCTCATTTTTTTTTTTTTTTTTTGTATTTTTAGTAGAGACAGGGTTTCACCATGTTGGCCAAGCTGATCTTGAACTCCTGACCTTGTGATCCGCCTGCCTCGGCCTCCCAAAGTGTTGGGATTACAGGCATGAGCCACTGTGCCTGGCAGCTTGTGCATTATTTTTATTTTCTCCAAGTTCTTTTTTGTGTGTTTGTTTTCATCTCTGCCTTCTGTATTAGATGATTTCCTTAAATGTCTGTTGACTCTTTACCTTCTGTTCATGTTTTAGAGCACAGCTCCAAACTATTGATTTGCAGCTTTATATATTTGTGGAGGACTTTTTAAGTAGTGGGATTTATCGTGAGGTAATCAGGCTGAGAGCCTAACTTTTTTGCTGGGAGTTAGTACCAGGAATTTTTCTCTGGAGCCATTCAGATTTTCCAGGGAAAAAAGACCACTCTTCTGCCCAGCTGTTGGTGGGTGCAGGCAGGGGAAAGCAATCTGGAGCTCATCCAGAGTAGAGACTTTAAGCTGGATGTGGTGGTGCACACCTGTAATACCAGCTACTTGGGAGGCTGAGGCAGGAGGATTCCATGAGGCCAGGATTTCAAGACCAGCCACTGCAAAAGAGCAAGATCATATCTCAAAACAAAACAAAAATAAAACCAGAAAAAATACTCTAAATTTAGAGCCCATCTGGCTTTGTCCACTTGTTTCATCCTTTCCCTTTGCTGTGCTGGATGCTATTAAAATCCTGAGCTTTTCCAAGGTTCTGTGGATTCTTTCTTATGGTATTTATCTCTATTATAATTCAGGTTGTAAACTTTCTCCACTTTGTTAGTTAGTACTCTTCCATCTGCTTTCTATCTACTGAAAATTTGATGACATTGCTCATCTGCTGTTGTCTCTCATTTTTTTGTTTTGATGGGGTTCCAAAGAGATGAAATAAAAATAATTACCTGTGTTCCACCTGCCATGTTCAACCAGAAGTTTTAATAAGATTGCTTTTTATTGAACACCCTAGAAAATAATTTAAAATGAATAGGTGGACAGTCTATTTAATTTAACCAAGTGTCCTTTCTCCAGTCATTTTTAGAATTCCTTGTTTGGAATCACGAAAGTAAACCAGTTTCATTATGTCAGCTTTTATTTTTAGTTTTTTAATTTGTTTTTTGAGACAGAATCTGGCTCTATTGTCCAGGCTGAAGTGCAGTGGCTTGATCTTAGCCCACTGCAACCTCTGCCTCCTGGGCCCAAGCCATCCTCCTACCTCAGCTTCTTGAGTAGCTGGAACTACAGGCACAAGCCACTACACCCATCTAAGTTTTGTGTTTTTTATAGAGACAGGGTTTTGCCATATTGCCCAAGCTGGTCTTAAACTCCTGAGATCAAGCAAAGCTTGCATTTATTTATTTGTGTTTTGTTTGTTTTATGTCCCATAAAACATTACCACAAAAGCTTTTATTATTAATTGAAATAACATTTCTCAGTTTGTCTTCATATCTTACTCATGCAAATTGGGGTCTAAGTGATTTCAAATTTTTTTAATTTTTATTTTTTTCTAGTTGCTTACTGAAGCTAAGTGATTTTTTTTTTTTTTTTTTTTTTTTGTGATTGTGTCTCACTCTGTTTCCTAAGCTGCAGTGCAGGGGTGTGATCTTGACTCACTGTAGTTTCCAACTCCTGAATTCAAGTTATTCTCTGTCTCAGCCTCCCCAGTAGCTAGAACTACAGGTACACACCACTGTGCCTGGCTAATTAAAAACAATTTTTTTTTTTTTGTAGGGACGGGGTCTTGCTATGTTGCTTAGGCTGGTCTCAAACTCCTGGCCTCAAGTGATCCTCCCATGTTGGCATCTCAAAGTGTTGGGATCACAGGTGTGAGCCACCATGCCTGGCCAGAGTAAGTGATTTTTAACTGCTTTCAGAAATCAAATTTATTCCCAAAAGATGATTATTTAGTTCAGCTAAAATTCCTTGATGACAGATCTATGCTATAATGCATTGTTTCACTCCCAGACCACTGCTTGAGAGGCTCAGATGTCCTGTGTTAGATGCCCCAGAATGCTATGCTATTGTGGTTGTTTGGTTTTGTGTCTTTCAAGTTGATGGTGTTTTCAAGGATTATTGAAACTGTTTTAATTCTTCCACATGACCTAGGGGCCTCTACCGTTCTGCTCGTAGTGTCTGCCTCTCTCTCTCTTCTCTTTTGTGTGTTCCTCTTCTCTGCTTTTGTCTATTACTGCATTTGCCACAGTCAGGGATCATTACATCTGACCTTTTGAACTGTTGCTCACAGGTAGCTGAAAATTAATTGAGAGTGGTCAAGGGAGGCTAGATTGCTTGGTACAAGTAGAATGAGTTCAAATGAACTGTATGCATGTATAGAGGGGGTATAGTTCTGGTTCTCTCCTGCAGGGTAAATGGTAAGCACTGTGATTACTATTCCCATAGAGATTCACAAGTTGGCTTGAACACTTAGAGTAAGCCCAATTCATAGAGGTGAATGTGTTAGAACATGTATGCATATGGTTGGGCCAAGAAAAGGAAAAGAAATGCTTTTGAGCTTCATTTATTCCCTCTTAAGTTATCATATGTATTATTATTAAAGTAGAAAGTACAATATATGAAGCTCAGTCTTTTTTAAATAAAATGATTTCCCAGGCTGGGTGCTGTGGCACATGCCTGTAATCTCAGAACTTTGGGAGGCCGAGTCAGGCAGATCACTTGAGGCCAGGAGTTCAACCCCAGCCTGGCCATCATGGCAAAACCCCATCCCTACTAAAAAATACAAAAATTAGCAAGGTGTGGTGGCACACACCTGCAATCCCAGCTACTCGGGAGGCTGAGGCATGAGAATCGGCTTGGGAGGTGGTGGTTGCAGTGAGCTGGGATCGCACCACTGCACTTCAGCCTGGGTGGTAGAGAAAGACTGTCTCAAAAAGAAAAAAAAAAAAAAAAGAGATTTCCCCCTTCACTTGAAGGACTTCCTTTTGAGGAGATAAATTTCCAGAAATTGCGTAACAGAAGTATCTAACTATAATGCTGACCTTTGAACACATTTTAACATTGCGCAAGAGACTATTACAACTAGTTTATTTTAAATTTCCTCGAACAATCTTGTGAAACAAGGTTTGCCTCAAAATGCTTCTTAATATTGCATTGTTTCATTTGAGTTATAATTTTATGTTTAAATATATGAATTCTATGATAATTTACAGAAGATAAAATGCCTTTAACATATATATTATTTTTATGTATGTATATATACATGTATCTACATGTATGTATTTTTTATTTATTATACTTTAAGTTCTGGGATACATGTGCAGAACATGTAGGTTTGTTACATAGGTATACACGTGCTATGGTGGTTTGCTGCACCCATCAACCCATCATCTACATTAGGTATTTCTCCTAATGCAATCTCTCCCTAACCCCCCACCCCCTGACAGGCCCCAGTGTGTGATGTTCTCCTTCTTGTGTCCATGTGTTCTCATTGTTCAACTCCTACTTATGAATGAGAATATGTGGTGTTTGGTTTTCTGTTCCTGTGTTAGCTTCCTGAGAATGATGGTTTCCAGCTTCATCCATGTCCCTGCAAAGGAGAGGAACTCCTCCTTTTATATGGCCGCATATACAGTATTCCATGCTGTATATGTGCCACATTTTCTTTATCCAGTCTATCATTGATGGACATTTGGGTTGGTTCCAAGTCTTTGTTATTGTGAACAGTGTGGCAATAAACATACACGTGCATGTATCTTTATAGTAGAATGATTTATAATCCTTTGGGTATATACCCAGTAATGGGATGGCTGGGTCAAATGGTATTTCTAGTTCTAGATCCTTGAGGAATTGCCACACTGTCTTCCACAAGGGTTGAAGTAGTTTACAGTCCCACCAACAGTGTAAAAGTGTTTCTATTTCTCCACATCCTCTCCAGCACCTGTTTTTTCCTGACTTTTTAATGAGCACCATTCTAACTGGGGTGAGATGTTAGCTCATTGTGGTTTTGATTTGCGTTTCTCTAATGACCAGTGATGATGAGCTTTTTTAAAATATGTTTGTTGGCCACATAAATGCCTTCTTTTGAGAAGTATCTGTTCATATCCTTTGCCCACTTTTCGATGGGGTTGTTTTTTTCTTGTAAATTTAAGTTCTTTGTAGAGTCTGGATATTAGCCCTTTGTCAGATGAATAGATTGGGAAAATTTTTTCCCATTCTGTAGGTTGCCTGTTCATTCTCATGATATTTCTTTTGCTGATCAGAAGCTCTTTAGTTTAATTAGGTCCCATTTGTCAATTTTGGCTTCTGTTGCCATTGCTTTTGGTGTTTTAGTCATGAAGTCTGCCCATGCCTATGTCCTGAATGGTATTGCCTGGGTTTTCTTCTAGAGTTTTTTTTTTTTTTTTTTTTTTTTGAGATGGAGTCTCGCTCAGTCGCCCAGGCTGGAGTGCAGTGGCATGATCTCAGTTCACTGCAAGCTCTGCCTCCCTGGTTCACGCCATTCTCCTACCTCAGCCTCCCGAGAAGCTGGGACTATAGGCACCTGCCACCACACCCAGCTAATTTTTTGTATTTTTGGTAGAGACAGGGTTTTGCCTTGTTAGCCAGGAAGGTCTTGATCTCCTGACCTCGTGATCTGCCTGCCTCAGCCTCCCGAAGTGCTGGGATTACAGGTGTGAGCCACGTACTCAGCTTCTTCAAGGGTTTTAATGGTTTTAGGTCTTACATTTAAGTCTTTAATCCATCTTGAGTTAATTTTTGTATAAGGTGTAAGGAAGGGGTCCTGTTTCAGTTTTCTGCAGATGGCTAGCCAGTTTTCCCAACACCATTTGTTAAATAAGGAATCCTTTCCCCATTGCTTGGTTTTGTCAGGTTTGTCAAAGATCAGGTGGTTGTAGATGTGTGGCATTATTTCTGAGGCCTCTGTTCTGTTCCATTGGTCTATATGTCTGTTTTGGTACCAGTACCATGCTGTTTTGGTTACTGTAGCCTTGCAATATAGTTTGAAGTCAGGTAGCAAGATGCCTTCAGCTTTGTTCTTTTTTGCTTAGGATTGTCTTGACTATATGGGCTCTTTTTTGGTTCCCTTTGAAATTTAAAGTGTTTTTTTCTAATTCTGTGAAGAAAGTCAATGGTAGCTTGATGAGGATAGAATTGAATCTATAAATTCCTTTGGGCAGTATGGCCATTTTCAAAATATTGATTCTTTCTATCCATGAGCATGGAATGTTTTTCCATTTGTTTGTGTCCTCTCTTATTTCCTTGAGCAGTAGTTTGTAGTTCTCCTTGAAGCGGTCCTTCACATCCCTTGTAAGTTATATTCCTAGGTATTTTATTCTCTTTGTAGCACTTGTGAATGGGAGTTCACTCATGATTTGGCTTTCTGTTTGTCTATTATCGGTGTATAGGAATGCCTGTGATTTTTGCACATTGATTTTGTATCCTGAGACTTTGCTGAAGGTGCTTATCAGCTTAAGGAGATTTCAGGCTGAGACGATGGGGCTTTCTAAATATATAACCATGTCATCTGCAAACAGAGACAATTAGACTTCTTCTCTTCCTATTTGAATACCCTTTATTTCTTTCTCTTTCCTGATTGCCCTGGCCAGAACTTCCAATACTATGTTGAATAAGAGTGGTGAGAGAGGGCATCCTTGTCTTCTGCTGGTTTTCATAGGGAAGGCTTCCAGCTTTTGCTCATTCAGGATGATACTGGCTGTGGGTTTGTCATAAATAGCTGTTACTCTTATAAGATATGTTCCATCAATATCTAGTTTGTTGAGAGTTTTTAGCATGAAGCGGTGTTGAATTTTATCAAAGGCATTTTCTGCATCTATTGAGATGATCATGTGGTTTTTGTCATTGGTTCTGTTTATGTGATGGATTACATTTATTGATTTGCATATGTTGAACCAGCCTTGCATCCCAGGGATGAAGCCGACTTGATTGTGGTGAATAAACTTTTTGATGTGCTGCTGGATTTGTTTTGGCAGTATTTTATTGAGGATTTTCACATAGATGTTCATCAGGGATGTTGGCCTGAAATTTTCTTTTTTTGTTGTGTCTCTGCCAGGTTTTGGTATCAGGATGATGGTGGCCCCATAAAATGAGTTTAGGGAGGAGTCCCTCTTTTTCTATTATTTGGAATAGTTTCAGAAGGCCTGGTGCCAGCTCCTCTTTGTACTTCTGGTGGAATTCAGCTGTGAATTCATCTAGTCCTGGGCTTTTTTTAGTTGGTAGGCTATTAATTACTGCCTCAATTTCAGAACTTGTTACTGATTTTTTCAGGGATTCCTCTTCTTCCTGGTTTAGTCTTGGGAGGGGTATATGTCCAGGAATTTATCCATTTCTTCCAGATTTTCGAGTTTATTTGCGTAGAGGTGTTTATAGTACTCTCTGATGGTAGTTTGCATTTCTGTGGGATCAGTGGTGATATCCCCTTTATAATTTTTTATTGTGTCTATTTGAATCTTCTCTCTTTTGTTTTTTATTAGTCTGGCTAGCAGTCTATCTATTTTGTTAATCTTTTCAAAAAACCAGCTGCTGAATTCATTGATTTCTTTGAAGAGTTTTTTTGTGTCTTTATCTCTTTCAGTTCTGCTCTGATCTTAGTTATTTCTTATCTTTTGCTAGCTTTTGAATTTGTTTGCTCTTGCTTCTCTAGTTCTTCTAAGTGTGATGTTAGGGTGTTGAGTTTACAGCTTTCCTGCTTTCTTCTGTGGGCATTTAGTGCTATACATTTTCCTCTAAACATTGCTTTAGCTGTGTCCCAGAGATTCTGGTATGTTGCGTCTTTGTTCTCATTGGTTTCAAAGAACTTATTTATTTCTGCCTTAATTTTGTTATTTACCCAGTAGTCATTCAGGAGCAGGTTTTTCAGTTTTCATGTAGTTGTGTGGTTTTGAGTGAGTTTCTTAATCCTGAGTTCTAATTTGATTGCACTGTGTTCTGAGAGACTGTTATTATTTCCATTCTTTTGCATTTGCTGTGGAGTGTTTTACTTCAATTATGTGGTCAATTTTGGAATAAGTGCAATGTGGTGCTGAGAAGAATGTATATCCTGTTGATTTGGGGTGGAGAGTTCTGTAGATGTCTATTAGTTCTGCTTGGTCCAGAGCTGAGTTCAAGTCCTGAATATCCTTGTTAATTTTCTGTCTTGTTGATTTGTCTAATATTGACAGTGGGGTGTTAAAGTCTCTTACTACTATTGTTTGAAAGTCTAAGTGTTTTTGTAGGTCTCTAAGAACTTGCTTTATGCATCTAGGTGCTCCAGTATTGGATGAATACATATTTAGGATAGTTAGCTCTTCCTGTTGCATTGATCTCTTTACCATTATGTAATTCCCTTCTTTGTCTTTTTTGATCTTTGTTGACTTAAAGTGTGTTTTATCAGAGACTAGGATTGCAACTCCTACTTATTTGCTTTCCATTTGCTTGGTAAATATTCCTCCATCCCTTTATTTTGAGCCTATGTGGGTCTTTGAATGTGAGGTGGGTCTCCTGAATACAGCACATTGATGGGTCTTGACTCTTTATCCAATTTGCCAGTCTGTTTCTTTTAATTGGGGCATTTAACCCATTTACATTTAAGGTTAATGTTGTTATGTGTGAATTTGATCCTGTCATTATGATGCTAGCTGGTTATTTTGCCTTTTAGTTGATGCGGTTTCTTCATAGTGTCAATGGTCTTTACAATTTGGTATGTTTTTGAAGTGGCTGGTACTGGTTGTTCCTTTCCATGTTTAGTGCTTCCTTCAGCAGCTCTTGTAAGCAGACCTGGTAGTGACAAAATCTCTCAGCATTTGCTTGTCTGTAAAGGATTTTATTTCTCCTTCACTTATGAAGTTTAGTTGGGCTGGATATGAAATTCTAGGTTGAAAATTCTTTTTCTTTAAGAATGTTGAATATTGGCCCCCACTCTCTCTGGCTTGTGGGGTTTCTGCAGATAGATCCGCTCTTAGTCTGATGGGCTTCCCTTTGTGGGTAACCCAACCTTTTTCTCTGGCTGCCCTTGATATTTTTTCCTTCATTTCAACCTTGGTGAATCCGATGATTGTGTGTTTTGGGGTTGCTCTTCTTGAAGAGTATCTTTGTGGCGTTCTCTGTATTTTCTGAATTTGAATGTTGACCTGTCTTGCTAGGTTGGGGAATTTCTCCTGGATAATATCCTGAAGAATGTTTTCTAACTTGATTCCATTCTCCCTGTTACTTTCAGGTATACCAATCAAATGTAGATTTGTTCTTTTCACATAGTCCCATGTTTCTTGGAGGCTTTGTTCCTTCCTTTTCATTCTCTTTTCTCTAATCTTGTCTTCATGCTTTATTTCATTAAGTTGGTCTTCAGTCTCTGATATTCTTTCTTCCACTTGATTGATTTAGCTATTGATACTTGTGTATGCTTCACGAAGTTCTCGTGCTGTTTTTTTCAGCTCCTTCAGATCATCTATGTTCTTCTCTCAACTGGTTATTCTAGTTAGCAATACCTCTAACATTTTTTTCGAGGTTCTTAGCTTCCTTGCATTGGGTTAGAACATGCTCCTTTAGCTTGGAGGAGTTTGTTGTGATCCACCTTCTGAAGCCTACTTCTGTCAATTCGTCAAACTCTTTCTCTGTACAGTTTTGTTTCCTTGCTGGTGAGGAGTTTTAATCCTTTGGAGGAGAAGAGGCATTCTGGTTTTTTGGAATTTTCAGCCTTTTTGTGCTGGTTTTTCCTCACTTTGTGGATTTATCTACCCTTGGTCTTTGATGTTGGTGACCTTCAGATGGGGTTTCTGTGTGGACATCCTTTTTGTTGATGTTGATGCTATTCCTTTCTGTTTGTTAGTTTTCCTTCTAACAGTCAGGCCCCTCTGCTGCAGGTCTGTTGGAATTTGCTGGAGGTCCACTGAAGACGCTGTTTGCCTGGATATCACCAGCAGAGGGTGCAGAACAGTAAAGATTGCTGCCTGTTCTTTCCTCTGGAAGCTTCGTCCCAGAGGGCACCCGCCAGATGCCAGCTGGAGCTCTCATGTATGAGGTGTCCGTTGACCACTGCTGGGAGGTGTCTCCCAGTCAGGAGGCATGGGGGTCAGGGACCCACTTGAGGACTTTGTCTGTCCCTTAGCAGAGCTTGAGCACTGTTCTGGGAGATCCACTGCCCTCTTCAGAGCTGGCGGGCAAGAATGTTTAAGTCTGCTGAAGCTGTGCCCACAGCTGCCCCTTCCCCCATGCACTCTGTCCCAGGGAGATGGGAGTTTTATCTACAAGCCCCTGACTGGGGCTGCTGCTTTTCTTTCAGAGAGGCCCTGCCCAGAGAGGAGGAATCTCAAGAGGCAGGGTGGCTACAGCGGCTTTCCAAGCTGCGGTGGGCTCCTGCAAGTTCAAACTTCCTGGTGGCTTTATTTACACTCTGAGGGAAGAACTGCCTACTCAAGCCTCAGTAATGGCAGACACCCCTCCCCTCACCAAGCTCAAGAGTCCCAGGTCTACTTCAGACTGCTGTGCTGGCAGCGAGAATTTCAAGCCAGTGGATCTTAGCTTGCTGGGCTCCATGGGGGTGGGATCCGCTGAGCTAGACCACTGGGCTCCCTGGCTTCAGCCTCCTTTCCAGGGGAGTGAATGGCTCTGTCTTGCCGGCATTCCAGGCTCCACTGGGGTATGAAAAAAAAAAAAAAAAAAACCTCCTGCAGCTAGCTTGGTGTCTGCCCAAATGGCCGCCCAGTTTTGTGCTTGAAACCCAGGGCCCTGGTGGCGTAGGCACCTGAGGGAATCTCCTGGTCTGCGGATTGTGAACACTGTGGGAAAAGTGTAGTGTCTCGGCCAAAGTGCACCATTCCTCACGGCACAGTCCCTCATGGCTTCCCTTGGCTAAGGGAGGGAGTTCCCTGACCCCTTGTGCTTCCCGGGTGAGGTGATGCCCCACCATGCTTTGGCTCACCCTCCGTGGGCTGCACCCACTGTATAACCACTCCCAATGAGATGAGCCGGGTACCTCAGTTGGAAATGCAGAAATCACCCACCTTATTCGTTGATCTCACTGGGAACTGCAGACCGGAGCTGTTCCTACTCTGTCATCTTGCCACCCACCCACCAAGATTCCCTTTAATTATATTTTTAAAATGTAATGGGATTACGAATTGTTCTTGGGAACTGTGTTTCATTCTCAACCAGGGAGGTGCAAGACTCATAGCTGCTGCTCTGAGAGAAACTGTCGGCTTCAGCTTGAACCATGACCCCTTATAAAGGCCCAAGTACAGGCTCAGACTGGATTTTCCAATTACTCCTTGCCATAAACTGTACACACAGCAGTTCAGCCTGCTGCACTTGATTGGTCCTTCCCTGTCTGCAAGACCTAATTAGAAATCATTGACTGTCAAGGGTCAAATTAGGTCTAGGCTGAGTTTACCTAAGTGAATCTCAATTTCTCCATTATTAGGATTAAAGGATTCCTGAAATTAAATTCTAAGCTGCATTGCAAGCTTTGGTTGGTAGCATATGGCCTGCTGGTCAAACTTCGCTCATACTAATGCTAAATGGTTGAAATTGCAAAAATGCCAGAAAGAATTCTGCAGTGTCAGATGAGACATTTGAAAAGTCTCAAGAATATGAAGGCTTATCTTTGCCTGCTTTCTTAGGTGACTTGCATGCATACCTAACTGACCTCTCATACAAATTAGTTTTTTGAGATGGAGTCTCACTCTGTCACCCAGGCTGGAGTGCAGTGGCTTGATCTCAGCTCATTGCAACCTCCACCCCCCGGCTTCAAGCAATTCTCTGCCTCAGCCTCCTGAGTAGCTGGAACTATAGGTGGCTGCCACCAAGCCCAGCTAATTTTTGTATTTTTAGTAGAGAGAGGGTTTCACCATCTTGACCAGGCTTGTCTTGAACTCCTGACCTCGTGATCCTCCTGCCTCAGCCTCCCAAAGTGCTGGGATTACAGGTGTGAGTCACCACACCTGGCCCAGGTTCTTAATTAATAGTAATAATACCTTCTTACATTTAAATCAATTTCATATTTTAAAATCTTCTCTCAGAAAAAAAATATACCTTTAGATAGGGGAGATTCTAATTGTGACCATGGATAAATATTTGTAGTTACAAATGCAAATTATTTCTCTGGAAGAGTCAAACTGAGTAAATGTTGATCTTAACCTGTAACTTAAGGAGAAGGCATTAAGTATCCGTAGTGGTAGGAAACATATGCAGAGAGAACAAAATTGGTATGTGGACTCAAGTTCAAAGCAGACTCTGCCAGGTATGGTGGCTCATGCCTGTAATCCCAGCACTCAGAAAGGCAGAGGAGGGAGGATGGCTTGGGCCCAGGAGTCTGAGACCAGCTTGGGCAACATATGGAGATGCTGTCTCCACAAGAAGAAAAAAGATCAAAAAGCAAAAAACAAAGGAGACCCTGGAGAACTCTTAATTACAGAGGCTGATATTTGAGTCACAGTACATGGGTGGCAAGCTTACCTTCAACTGAGGCAGTGGCTGGCACTGGAACATTCAATTCACTGATGGAAATCAGCCTTGAAGAAGTTGAGTGACATTTTAGTCCTTGGGACTCAAGTAGGCAGGTGACTTCTATCAGGAAATTTGCCCCTGTGCTGTGGTCCTCCAGCCATCAGAAAATGTTTTACTTTCACGTGAGACTGATTTGAGCAACTTTCTGCATCAGTGTTCAGGGGAGGGGTGAGTACCAGCTAAAAATTTAAGGAAGTACCACATAGACTTTGGAGGACAGCTGGGCATGGTGGCTTGCACCTATTATCCCAGCTACTCAGAGGCTGAGGCGGGAGGATCCCTTGAGCCCAGGAGTCAGAGGCTGCAGTGTGCGCAGTGTGCTATGATCACACCACTGCACTCCAGCCTGGGAGACAGAGCATGACCTTGTCTAAAAAAAAAAAAAAAAAAAGGAAATAGACCCATTTAGCTTCAGTCCACGCCCTTTCGTTGGCATCATGCTGCTAGTTATTTTGGAGCAGTAGTTGGCACCAAGTAAGCACTTCTCCCCAGACTTAATTGACTGTGAAAAATACTATGTCAGAAGAATTCTTGTAAATGGTTTACCCATGTCTGGAGTGTAAAAGTGTAATTTTCATAACTTTTTTTGCAAACTAAAATCATAACTTTTTTTGCAAACGTAGAACGAGCACATGTCAAAGATTTAATAATTTTATTAGTCAGGGGAAAACTACAATAAAGCTGGTTTTAAGGGTATTTATAGATAATTAAATAAACAAATGTTAGAATAAATTTTCTAAATTAGAAACAAAGCTGACTAATGCCTTACCCGGCAGTAAACTGTAACCTTTGGAATAATGTCTTTTACTGGAGAGAATTCATTTGCATCTTTTTTGTTGTTGTTGTTGGGACAGGGTATAGCTCTGTTGCCTAGACCAGAATGCAGTAACATGATTACAGCTCACTGCAGCCTCAATTTCGCAGGCTCAAGTGATCCTCCCATTTTAGTCCCCCGGTAGCTGGGACCACAGACATGCACCACCTCACTCTACCAATTTTTAAATTTTCTGTAGAGATGGGGTCTCACTGTATTGCCCAGGATGGTCTCAAACTCCTGGGCTCAAGCAATCCTCCTGCCTTGGCCTCCTAAAGTGTTAGGATTACAGACATGAGCCACAGTACCTCTCCTATTTGCATCTTTATCAGACATAAATCTACAAGTCGATATAACTTCACAAAGTTAAAGCCCCTAGTTAATATTAAATAGAGAAGTTAGAAAATGGTAACTTCTCCTAAAAAAATAAAACAATCCTTGGAAGGACTGTGTGACCTTTTCTTTAAAAAAAAAATTCTTCAGAATTACATTCATGACCTTATTTTCATGTTCTTTGTTGTTTTTCTTGAGAAGCGTGTGCAGGTAACCTGCACTCGAAATCTGTAATGTTTGTGATGCTCTAACTTTAGGTGGGTGCAGCAGTGTAATATGTGGTTAAGTGTGGGGACTCCAGAAGGAAGACCTGCCCCAGTTTTAATCCTGGTTCCATCCTATCGTAGCTATGAGCTTAGACAAATTATATAACTTATTTTCCTCAATTTCCTCATCTGTAAAATGAGGATAATAATCATCCTTACCTCGTAGGTTGTTGTATTAAATTAGTTATATATAAAGTGCTTAGAACAATGTCTGGTACATGATAAGAACTATATGTATCATTTGGAAAATTTGTTAAAATATACAGTTTTTAGGATAGACAGGCCAGAAGTTCAGCACTCTGCATTTGAAACTACCCACCCAGGTGGTTTTAATGAAAGTAGTTCATGGGCCATATTTAAAGCTACACTGCTGTGTGCTTTCCACCTCAGTCAGCATTGACTCAGAAAGTTGAGGGGGAGAGGAAGCCTGCAGGAGGGGGAATGATAGAGTAGTGAACCTACTTATAAGCGGGAAAAGCAAGGCTGGGGAGATAGGGAGAAGCCTGTCTGACCCAGGCATACATGATTCATCAAGAAAGGATTTTAGAGGGAACCAGGGATTCAAAATGCTCAGTGAGCATATCAGTGAGCATGAACTCATGTTTTTCTTTCTTCTCGGTGATCCCCAGTAAGTGGCGAGAGGCAGCATAGGGTGCTAAAGCAAGCACAGGAATTGTCTTTTTTTTTTTTTTTTTTTTGAGTTGGGGAGTTTTGCCTAGGCTGGGGTGCAGTGGCACGATCTGGGCTCACTGCAACCTCTGCCTTTCAGGTTCAAGTGATTCTCCTGCCTCAGCCTCCTCGGTAGCTGGGACTCCAGGTGCATGCCACCATGCCTGGCAAATTTTTTTTATTTTTAGTAGAGACAGGGTTTTGCCATGTTGGCCAGGCTGGTCTCGAACTCCTGATCTCGAGTGATCTGCCCACCTTGGCCTCCCAAAGTGATGGAATTACAGCCATGAGCCACCATGCCCAGCCAGTTATAGGAATTTCCTTAGAACAAATAACTTGGGACCACACTTTCTAAAGCACTTGATAAGAATATGGAAATTCATGAAGCACATTTATCAGATGGTTACAGAACTTGCTATAGGTAAGCGAGGGTTGTATGCATAGAAAATGAGGCCCTAAAACTGGAAGAGAGAGAAAATTGCAACAATTTAGTATCAACCATTACTGATTTAGTTAAGACAGAAAATGTGGAAGGATGTCTCTCTCTCTCTCTCTGTCTCTCTCTCACACACACACACACACACACACACACACACACACACGAAGAGCAATTGGAGAGAAAACTAGCTCAGTTAAGAGAACAAAGCAAGGAAGCCTGTGTCATCCCTGGTTATGCAGTGACAGACAGTAACAGCATAAGTGCTAATAGTAAAGTGTGACATATTTCTGTCGACAGTTTGAACATAAGAAGAGTTTGAGAAGTTTTCTCCACTAACTTCATTGTTTTGATCAACTGGACTCAATCAAAGGGGAAAGATATTCTAATCCCGAGGAAGACTACCCAGTTGCAGCTGGAAATAAATAGATCAGAAAACCTGGATGGGCCAGGATGGAATAAAGGAGTGAAAATGACAGTTATAGACTCCTAAGATCAGCCAAACAAGATATGTTTATAAGTATAAATTATTTGAATATAATAATTCAAATAATTTCAATATATAATTATTTGAATGTAATAATGTACAGTTGCAAAACACTTTATGGGCCGGGCGTGGTGGCTCCTGCCTGTAATCCCAGCACTTTGGGAGGCTTAGGTGGGTGGATTGCTTGATCCGGGGAGGTGGAGGTTGTGGTGAGACAAGATCACACCACTACACTCCAGCCTGGGTGACAGAGTGAGACCATGTCTCAATTCTCTACCCCAGCCTTACACATTAAACATATTTTGGTGGAATTCATGCCTTTGGCCAATTGGTTACTGATATCTCTGTTATCTATGCAGAGCAGTGTTCCACAAACGATTCCACTAAGCTAAGGCAGTGACCAGCACACATTGGGACCATTTTATAACCATTATGGAGTCTACAAAAGGATCTATACTCATTAAAGAGTCAGTTATATACTAGCAATTTGTCAGAGCACCAGGAGGCCAAATAAAGAGGAAAATGTATAATGACACCATGCTACTCCAGGAAAAACCTTTTAGAGTGCTTCTTTAGAACACATACATATTTTAAGAATTCTGAATCACAGTAAAAATCTTAATTGCAGGAGTTATGTAGAAACTCTAAGTCATGTCTTTGCTTTAAAAAGTATATATTATTTAGGCCAGGAGTGGTGACCTCACGCTTGTAATCCCAGCACTTCGGGAGGCTGAGGCAGGAGGATCACCAGAGGTCAGGAGTTCAAGACCAGCCTGGCCAACATAGCGAAGCTGCACCTCTACTAAAAATCCAAAAAATTAGCCAGGCCTGGAGGTGCGTGCCTATGATCTCAGCTACTCAGGAGGCTGAAGCACGAGAATCACTTGAACCCGGTAAGTGAAGGTTGCAGTGAGCCGAGATCGCACCACTGCACTCCAGCCTGGATGACAGAGTGAAACTGTGTCAAAAAAAAAAAAAAAAGTATGCATTATTCATTCATTTGTTTATCTGCTTCTTCCTTTAGTAAACAAATAAGACAAGTTCTTATAGTGCTGACTGTTAAGTTGGGGGATAGAGTAAATAATAAAGGAACACACAGATGATTTCAAATAATGCCAAGTACTGTGAAGGAAACCAATACATGAAATGATTGTTCACAAACAAAGGCAGGGTAAAGGGATGGGGAAAGTTCCTGTTTAAAATAGGTCATCAAAGAAGACCCCTCTAAGGAGGAGACTTTTAAAGTGAGCCCTGAAGGATGAAAAGGAACCTATGACATGTAAAATGAATTAAAGGATAGCTAATATAGGTGAAGAAGAGTAGAAAATGAAGGGGAAACTGGCATGAGACAGGGCCAAATGAAGCAGAACTTTGTAGGACATGATAACGAACTTGGGTTTTGTTGGAAGTGCAATGGGAAGGTTTTAAGTATGGGTGTAATTTGATATGATGGCAAGATTAGAAGTGGGAAGACCTGTTTACAGTCATCTGCATGAGAGGAGCTTGGATTAGGGTAGAACCATATAGTCTTCTGTCAATCTTTACTGCCAAGTGATCTCTGCTTCCAACATAGACACAGTATAGGAAGAATGAGTGAAGTTGTTTGCTAATGGATGTTGATAGCACTTTGAGGTAGGAAGCTGACAAAGTAGCAAGCCAACAAATAAAAGGGAGGGAATGCAATAGTAAGGGAGTTTTTATTGGGCATGTTGATGATGTAGTTGTAAAGAATTATGATTTCAGTGGAAAAGCTAGGAAATAGGAATTAGAGGTACAATTAAGTGACATATTATTAGTATATAATGGAGTCTCTGAGAGTACTTGCTCCCTGAATAACACCTATCTTCCTTGCATGGATTCTAGATAATTTGTAAGATAAAACAAACAGTAAAGATTGAGTCAAAAATATTCATTTCATGACTGATAAAAATGAAGCTGGAATGTATGGCTTACTAACTAAGCCCCAGAATTAGGAAATTCCTCATCCTGTGCCTGGAGCAGAGCTGAGAGTGTGCTCTGTGTGGGCGGGCTCACTCCACCAGAAAGAGTGTAGAGTTGGTGGGGAGTGTTATTCTCCGCAAATTTACCAGTCAGAAAAATCACTGCACAAGCCCAGACACAGAAGCAGTGTAAGTAAAGGGATGGGGAGAGGCTCAGGACTACATTAATTGGGTTCCTTTCTTGGGAAGGATGCATGAGAAGTGGGGAAGAAGTGTATCTGGGAACATACAAGATGCAGAGAGAGAAAGGTACATTTCACAGAGAGTTGCAGAGACCGTGTGGACCACTCCAACTCTTGAACTACAGACAATATTGAGTGTGTAGGGGGGTAGGAAGTGGGAGGATCAACTACGTTGGACCCTGTTTGGAAAAATAATAGCTTCATCTTATTCTCTACCCAGTAGGTTAGAAGTTTTGGAATGTAAGGATATTACTTTCAATAAACATTGACTGTTGACCTCTCTTCTTTCCTACTGATTTAGGAGAATTGATGACTCATTATTTGTTTCCAGAGGTACAGGCATTGGAACTGCTGAAGGCCCGAAAGACCCGTTCCATAGCAGGAGGCATTAGACTGTTCCCAAAATCCACTGAAAATTGATCTGGAAGACTTTTTTTTTTTTTGAAACTAGGCTTGCCCCATCTCTGCCAGGTTGGGGTGTGGTGATGCCATCATTGCACATTGCAGCCAAGGAACTCCTGGACTCAAGTGACCCTCCCACCTCAGTCTCCGCAGTAGCTAGGATTACAGGCATGAGCCACTGGGCCCAGCTGGAAAAGTTTTAGAAGCCTTGTTGACTTGGGAGAAGCTTAATTCAATGAACTGCTTTATTGAGCTGGCTTTACTCAGGCTGCTTTCTACTCGGGCCTTTGAAGAGTGCATAACCTAAAAGAAATGTAGAAAATAATCACAAAGAGACTTCTTTATCTGGGGATTTATTATCTGAATCTCTAAAGTTATAATACTGTAGGAAAAGGAACTCATCATAATACAAAAATATTCAGTGCTTTTCTATTTTTATTTATTTCCTTTTACTCTTTTGCCCTTGATATGGTTTGGCTGTGTCCCCACTCAAATCTCATCTTAAATTATAGCTCCCATAATTCTCATGTGTTGTGGGTGGGACCGGTGGGAGGTAATTGAATCATGGGGGTGGGTCTTTCTCATGCTGTCCTTGTGATAGTGAATAAGTCTCACGAGATCTGATGGTTTTATAAAGGGGAGTTCCCCTGTACATGCCCTCTTTGTCTACCAAAATGTAAGATGTGACTTTGCTCCTCTTTCGCCTTCTGCCATGATTGTGAAGCCTCCCCAGCCAGGTAGAACTGTGAGTCCATTAAACTTCTTTTTTTTTCTAAATTACCCAGTATCTGATATGTCTTTATTACCAGCGTGAACATAGACTAATACAGCCCTCCTCCTTCTCCTCTGTCACATTTTCTTCTTATAGGTCTTCTAACACAGAGCTTCCTACCCACTGTGCTGGAGAAATTGATCCCCTCAGCCCTCAGATTGGCAAGGTGTGTCCATGGGCTGAGTGCCTGGGCAGCAATCTGGGACCTAGAGCAGCATTTCGGACAGGATGCTCTATATCATCCCCTTTTGGCGGCAGCGTGATGTGTGAGTCCTGCATTTGATACTTCCCTGGGTTGCTTTGAGCTTTGTCAAAAAGATGCTGAACCACCTAGGCATCTACTTTAGGAGGATTTACAGAGCATGTCATTCCCCACTGTGGACAGGGGTTGTGGACTTGTTGGTGAAGTTGCTATGATAGGTGCCTAAGGTGGTGATGGTGGGTAGGGTGTTGGAGGTGGCAGGGAGTAGGTAGGGCTTCCTGGTAGGTGCAACTTCAGTCTGTAAAATTGTCCCTATAAATTTTGTAAAATTAATCAGGGAAGAAGCAAAAACAAACCAAGCTTGCAGCACATTTAGCATTAATCATTAGGTCAGCTTGATCTCTTACCTACTTCCTCATGATTGTCTGTTGCCCCAGAATCATGTAGACCTGTCACAAGATGATAGTTCCCCTTAACCTCTCCATAGACAACAACTTGAGCACTCTGAAATGTTAAATTTTCCATTTGAGATGTTCTTTTGTGTCCTGCATGCTGATAAAACTACTGACATTAGGCTGGGCATGCTGGCTCATACCTGTAATCCCACCATGGCCAGCCTAATGTTGGCAGTTGTGAGTAGTAGTCCATGGTGTGTGAGCGTGTGTGTGTATTATGTATATATATAACATTTTCTTTTTTGGGGGGTGAGGGACAGGGTCTCGCTCTGTCACCCAGGCTGGAGTGCAGTGGTGCAACCATGACTCACTGCAGCCTCAACCCCCTGGTCTCAAACAATCCTCCAACCTCAGCCCCCCAAGTAGCTGGTACCACAGGCGTCCACCAACATGCCCGATCAATTTTTGTATTTTTTTGTAGAGACAGGGTCTTGCCATGTTGACCAGGCTGGTCTCGAACTCCTGAGTTCAAGCAATCCTCCTGCATCAGCCTCCCAAAGTGCTGGGATGACTGGCCTAAGCCACATTGCCTGGCCTCCACATTTTTTTTATCCAGCACTTTGGGAGGCAGAAGTGGGAGGATCACTTGAGCCCAGGAGTTCGAGGCCAGCCTGAGCAACATAGTGAGACTCTGTTTCTACAATAAACTTAATAAAAAATAAACAAAACAAGACAAACAAAAATAAAACTATTGATGTTAGCTTGTCTGAAGGACTCCAAGAAGAGGTGACTCACCAAAGAATGCAGTTTCTACATCCTGATGATTTCAACCCCCTTTTCCTAACCAGTCAATGACCCTAATTTTCTAGCCATTTGCCCTCCACAATCCCCTTAAAATCCCCATCCCAGAACTCCTTGGAGAGTTGGATTCGAGGCTCCCTCCTGTCTCCTCACTCAGCCACCTGTGATCGTTAAACTCTTTCTCCATTGCAAACCTTGCTGTCTTGGTATACTAGTCTGTTACTGCACAGCAGATATATGAACCTGTTGGTCCTGTAAAAACAGTGGCTTGGAATTTCTATCTTCACATATAGTAGTTAATTGTGGCCAAGATGCACTTTTAATGTATTCAAGCTACCTGCAGGGTGAATGCTCTAAGTTAGCCCCTTCTACTAATTAGAACGTTGTCTTATTTATTTTCATTTTTAGTTTTTGATACACAATCTCACTCTGATTTCCCAAGCTGGAGTGAAGTCATGCAATCATAGCTCACTGTGACCTTGAACTCCTGAGCTCAAGGGATCCTCCTGCCTCAGCCTCCTGAGTACCTGGGACCACAGGCAGATGTCACCACACCTGGCTAATTTTTAAATTTTTTTGTAGAGTTAGAGTCTTGCTATGTTGACCAAACTGGTCTTGAACTCCTGGCCTCAAGCAATCCTCCCACTTTAACCTCCCAAGGCATTGGGATTACAGGTGCGAGCCAATGTTCATGGCTAAACTTTGTCTTATTCTAAATTACTTGTTTTAAAAAAGTTTGACTGGATTTGAATCAATTCTTATAACACAAAAAACTTTAAATGTTACATTTGTCAATGAGAAAAAAGGAAAAAAACACACTTGGATTTAAATATTTCAAGTGCTCTGATTATTTTTGAATGACTATGAAATGGTTTTACATTATTTTCATGCCAACTTGCCGAATGTGAAGTGCTCATCGTTAAAAAAATCTTAAGAATTAAGTATATAATTTCAAGTGTAAAATATGATAGAAAAACTTATGTTTCCAGAAATAAGCTCAAGTTTTAATTAAAAACTGTGAATATTTATTTGGAAGTATGTTATACATTCTGTATTTAATATTCTTCCTAAAATTTTATATGGATATTTTGCTTAATTTTATTTTAATATATAAAAAGATCATTTTTTCCTGTGCTCACATAGATAACCACATTCCTTCTAACTTATCCTAGTGTGAAATACAAACATTATCATCATTTTTCTTTTTTTATTTGTATAAATTTAAGGCATACAAGTGTAATTTTGTTGCATGCATATATTGTTAGTGGTGAAGTCTTGGGCTTTTAGTGTAAACATCACTCAAATGAGGTACATTGTACCTATTAAGTAATTTCTCATCACCCTCCCTCCCTTTGACACTCCTCACCCTTCTAAGTCTCCAGTGTCTATCATTCCACATTTTATATCCATGTTGATATGGTTTGGCTGTGTCTCCGCCCAAATCTCATCCTGAATTGTAGTTCTCCAAATACCCACATGTAGTGGGAGGGACTCAATGGGAGGTAATTGAATCATGGGAACGGTTGCCCCCATGCTATTCTTGTAGTAGTGAGTAAGTTCTGACAAGATCTGATGGTTTTATAAGGGGCTTCCCCCTTCGCTCAGCTCTCATTCTTCTCTCTCCTGCCACCATGTGAAGAAGGATGTGTTTGTTGCAATGATTTTAAGTTTTCTGAGGCCTCCCTGGCTGGAGCCATGTGGAACTGTGAGTCAATTAAACCTCTTTCCTTTATAAATTACCCAGTCTCAGGCAGTTCTTTATTGCAGTGTGAGAATGGAAAAATACGCATATGTACACATTATTTAGTTCCCACTTATAAGCGAGGACATGCAGTATTTGACTTTCTGTTTCTGAGTTGTTTCACTTAAGACAATGGCCGCCATTAGAACATGTGGGGGAAAAAAAAGATAATGGCCTCCAGTTCCATCCATGTTGCTTCAAAAGACATGATTTTATTTTTTTATGGCTGAGTAGTATTCCATGAACTGTGTATCTATACACACACACATATAGACATACACATGTAGACACACACACACACATACATACACACCCACATATATAGGTACCACATTTTCTTTATCCAGTTATCTATTTATGGACACTTAGGTTGGTGAATAGTGCTGCAATAAACATACAAGTGCAGAAATCATTGATATAATAATTTATTTTCCTATAGGTATATACCCAGTAGTGGGATTGCTGGATCAAAATCAAATGGTAGTTCTATTTTTAGTTCTTTATGAAATCTCCATTTTTTTTTTTTTTCTGAGATGGGGTTTTGCTCTTGTTGCCCAGGCTAGAGTGCAATGGCACAATCTCGGCTCATTGCAACCTCCGCCTCCCAGGTTCAAGTGATTCTCCTGCCTCAGCCTCCAAAGTAGCTGGGATTACAAGCATGCGCCACCACACCTGGCTAATTTTGTACTTTTTGTAGAGATGGGGTTTCTCCATGTTGGTCAAGTTGGTCTTGAACTCTCGACCTGAGGTGATCCGCCTGCCTCAGCCTCCCAAAGTGCTGGGATTACAGGCGTGAGCCACCACGTCCGGCCCATACTGTTTTACATAGAGGTTGTACTACTAATTTACATTCTCACCAACAGTCTATAAGTGGTCCCTTTTCTCCATGTTCTGACCATCTGTTATTTTTTGACTTTTTAATAATACCTATTCTGGCTGGTATAAGATGATATCTCACTGTAGTTTTAATTTGCATTTCTGAAATGATCAGTGATGTTGAGCATTTTTTCATATGCTCATTTGCTATTCATATGTCTTCTTTCATTATCATAATCTTCTTTTTTTTTTTTTGAGATGGGATTTTGCAATGTTGCCTATTGGTCTTGAATGCCTGAGCTCAAGTGATCCCCCCACCTTGGCCTCCCAAAGTGTTGGGATTACAGACATGAGTCACTGTGCCTGGCCCATTACCATAATCTTCTATGTGTCACAGTGTGAACAAGATTGGAAAGCACTGTTCTAACATCCCTGACTCAGGCCTACTTACTGATCTGTCTTTCAGAAACAATACCGTTCTATGACATATTCATGTGGGTCACATCCTCACTTTATGCAAGTTCCAATAAAAACATTTCAAGAGTCATTTCTTAGGAGAAGTCTTATCTGAGCATCCTATCTAACCCCCATCACCCTTTGTCTCTTAAACTTACTTGTTCTTCTTAAGACTGATCACTATAAAACATTTTATTGTTCATTTTCTGCCTCTCACACTGGATTATAAATTTCATGGAGTCAAGAATTTTATCTCTTTGTATTTGCTTCTATTTCCTCATGGTCTAGAATAGTGCTTGGAACATATTAGGTGCTCAATAAGTTTTATTGAGTGAACAAATTAACTGACCACTTAAAAGTTTATTTTCGGCCAGGTACAGTTGCTCATGCCTGTAATCCTAGCACTTTGGGAGGCCGAAATGGGTAGATGACTTGACGTCAGGAGTTTGAGACCAGCCTGGGAAATATGGTAAAACTTTGTTTCTACAAAAAATGAAAAAATTAGCTGGACATGGTGGTGCATGCCTATAGTCCCAGCTTGAGCCCGAGAGGTCAAGGCTGCAGTGAGCAGTCAGTGCACCACTGCACTCTAGCCTGGGTGACACAGTAAGACTCTGTCTTCAAAAAAAAAAGTTTACTTTTCCTCAAACACATATCCAACAGGACTGTTTGACAGTACAGTCTACTCTGGATATCATTCCCATAAATGTATTTCACAAATGTGTTTGTGGTCAGTCTCTGATAATTGTCTGATAATGCAGACCATACGATGCAAATCAATGGCAAAGAGAAGTTACATATCCTGCTGTATTAGTCCATTTTCACACTGCTGGTAAAGACATACCTGAAACTGTGCAATTTATAAAAGAAAGAGGTTTAATGGGCTTACAGTCTCACATGGCTGGGGAGGCCTCAGAATCATGGCCAAAGGCAAGGAGAAGCAAGTCACATCTTACATGGATGGCAGGGGGCAAAGAGAGAGCTTGTGCTGGGAAACCTTTGTTTTTAAAACCATCAGATCTCATGAGACTCATTCACCATCATGAGAACAGCATGGGAAAGCTCCACCCCCATAATTCAATCACCTCCCACCAGGTTCCTCCCACAACATGTGGGAATTGCAGGAGTTACAATTCAAGATGAGATTTGGGTGGGGACACAGCCAAACCATATCACCTGCAACTAAGAAGAATGTTGAAGTTGATGAAGTAATACTGGAGAACTGTTAAGCCATTGGCAAGTCTAGATCTTGCAGAGTTAAATCATGTAAGAAATACAAGAATAACATAGAGAGAATTGGCAAACATAATGACAAGACAGGAAATTCAAATAGAATGATGTAAATACTTGGCAAAATCAATGAAAACTGTGAATTTTTTTAAAAAGGGCAATCTTGTAATCTTGCTTTGAAAGTCATATGGGAAGTAAAGAATGTTGTATAAAGTGGGGAATGTTTTATCTTGCTGTAATATAAGTTGTCAGACAATTAGGCAGTTCCCATTTGTACATAGTTCCAATTATAATCTAACTCAGTTAAATGAACAGTAAAGCAAACTTATTTTTATAATTTCTGGTTTTATTTCTCAAGTTGAAGTTTTGACCAAACCTAATTTTTTTCCATACTATTTACTATGATGTTTTGATTCTCAGTTAAAATGGGTTCACTTACAGCGGACTTTTCCTGGTACCATTTGTTCCTTGAGAACTGAGGTTGAACCAAACCCATTCTAGTGAAAGGTTCTGTTGCGGGCTTTGAGTCTTCAGACAGGTGTCTGTTAAGAACTACTGATGGGAAAAAGAAGGTTAGCATTGTGGTGAGCTCCAAAGAAGTGAATAAGTTCCGGATGGCTTATTCAAACCTACTGAGAACTAACATGGATGGGCTGAAGAAGAGGGACAAAAAGAACACAAGTAACATCAAAGTAGCATAGTGAAGGGCACTGAATTTCCTCTGCTTTCACCAACTTTCACCAGTGAATTGCAATTTTTCCTTTAATTTTTAGTTTTGGTCACATAACTAGGTTTCCGGTTTCCCCACAATAGGTGTTTTCATGTAAGACTAGGGTCATTTTGGAAAGAATAGTTGCAATGTTTATAGGGTAGTTGTGGTAAGAAGCTAGTTTATTTTACATCTGGCTAATTAGTCTGTGATGCATGGTTGTATACTACTGGATTATAGATTAAAAGTCTCTGTAGTCATCTCTGTGAAGACCAATGTGTCATTAAACATGTCCGTTTATCAGTAGCAGCAGCAACAACAAAAACGATCGTTAACTGGAAAGTGCTGCCAGAGAATCCAGGGAGAGCAAAGGCCATGCCTCCAGATTACACAACAGGGAATGGGATTTGGCAATAGTTTCAAGTCCTTTCTTTAATTCAGAGAATAGAAAATGTCCCCGATTCTGCAGCTATTAGTAGTTAACTTACTTTGGACCAAACACCGTGCATTTTCTCATTAATGTTCACAGTAAGGTAGGCCCTATTATGACCACTGTTTTCCGGATGAGGACACTAAGGCTTAGAGAGGCTAAGTCACATGGCCAAGACTTCATAGCTAACAAGTTGAGTTCTCATTCTCAAGTTAGTGCTCTTAACCAGTGTACTTCGCTCCTGTGCAAGTACTGGACTGTATAGTTCTATTTCTTCTAATTGCCACTTGGATTGTCCTTTACTTATAACATTAGCTGTTGGCGGACTGTTCTTGTTTGTTTGCAAGGCTGAGGTAATTTATCATGTTGGCAGAAGACAAGAATGTAGGTAGAAGAGAGAAAACAAAGAGTGCCAGCTGGCAAGGCCACTGTCGATTCATCAAATACTTCTTTAGCAATGCTTCATATCAGGCAGTGTGTCCGATGAACATGATATGATTCCTTTTAGGAACTCACCATTTGTTAGGTGACAGACAAAAAGAAAATGATACTATAGTAAGAAAAGAGCAGCACCAGAGCATACACAAGGTGCAGCTGCTACACAGGGGTGACCATTTCTGCTTTGGGGATTTAGGGAAGGCTGCACAGAATGAGAGCACTGAGCTCTCTTGAAAGATAAATAGGATCTCATCAGTCAGGCACGGTATAGATTTGTGTGCCTGGCAGAGGCAAGAGCTGATGCCAAAGGGAGGAGTTATGAAAGTTCATAGTTTGGTAGTGCTGGATGGGAGGGTTTGAAATAACAGGCATCCTGCTGACCCAGGCAAAGGGACTCAGACCATGAAGGGCCTTCTATGTTATGCTAAGGAATATGGGACTATTATGTCTTCTTTTTTTTTTTTTTTTGAGAGAGTCTCTTTCTGTCACCCAGGCTGGAGTGCAGTGGTGTGATCTTGCCTCACTGCAACCTCTGTCTCCTGGGTTCAAGTGATTCTCCTGCCTCAGCCTCCTAAATAGCTGAGATTACAGTCACGCACCACCACGCCCAGCTGATTTTTGTATTTTTAGTAGAGATGAGGTTTCACCATGTTGGCCAGGCTGGTCTTGAACTCCTGACTTCAAGTGATCTGCCCGCCTCAACTTCCCAAAGTGTTGGGATTACAGGCATAAGCCACTGTGCCCAGCCAAGGACTATTATCTCTAATCAAGATAGAGAATGAAGGATTTTATATGGGAGGGTGACATGATCAAACTGGATCCCTTTTGTGTGCCTCACCATATATCCTCTCCATCATCTTTGCTCTGCTCTGTGCCCTAGGAGCCTGACCTCTGTGGATAAAATCTGTTGGCAACCTTGCCTTCTGACTTTCATTTGGTTTGGCCCTTGGGGAGCACTAGCAAGGGATCAGAGAGTGGGAAGAGAGTAAGATTAGATAATTTATTCCCCCAGATCTCTACTTTTGTAGTCATCGTGCACCTGCCTTTGTCACTCAGCTGAAGGTCATTGCTCTTGTTAGGTGGCCCTCTACGCAGTGCTTGCTTTTTCTCTTTAGTAATTGCTTTATTCTCTTGCCTCATTAGGTCTATGGATAGTAAAGGTTACAAGTCTGGGAGTGTTTCATTATCTCTATGATCTTCCTACACTCTGCCCATATCTTTTAAAATAATCTCTATATTAAAATTTCCAGGCAGGCATGGTGGCACATGTCTGTAATCCCAGCAACTTGGGAGGTGGAGGAGGGAGGTTTGTTTGAACCCAAGAGTTCAAGATCTGAGATCTAAAAAAAATAGTGAGGCTGGACATGATAACTCATGCCTGTAATCCCAGCACTTTGGAAGGCTGAGGCAGAATGATTGTTTGAGCTCAGGAGCTTGAAACCAGCCTGGGCAACATAGCGAGACCCTGGCCGTATTTTTTTTAAAAGAAAGAAAAAAAAAGAAAGAAAAAGTAACACACTGTCCCTATGAAAACCTTTAAAAACATTAGCCAGTCATGGTCCCAGCTACTCAGAAGGCTGAGGTGGGAGGATAGCTTGAGCCCAGGAGTTCGAGGCTGCAGTGATCTATGTTTGCATCACTGTGTTCCAGTTTGGGTGATGGAAAAAATTTTCTCAACTTAATTTGAATGCCATTTTGTTCCTACTGAGACCTTCCTGGGAATCAGAGGTTCCTATATATTTATAAACCATATATTTACTTTAGAGTAATAAACCATATTGTATTAGTCTGTTCTATTGCTGCTAATAAAGACATACCCAAGACTGGGTAATTTATAAAGGAAGGGAGGTTTAACAGACTCACAGTTCCACATGGCTGGGGAGGCCTCACAATCATGGTGGAAGGTGAAGAAGGAGCAAAGACACGTCTTACATGGTGGTAGACACGAGAGAGCTTGTGCAGGGGAACTGTCATTTATAAAACCATCAGATATAGTGAGACTTATTCACTACCATGAGAACAGTATGGGAGAAGACCTGCCCCCATGATTCAATTACCTACCTCCCACGGCATGTGGGAATTATGGGAGCTACAATTCAAGATGAGATTTGGGTGGGGACACAGCTAAACCATATCATATATATTTATTTTAGAATAATCACTGAGGTAGCAGGGTAGAAGATGCATTGGAAAGGGTGGCAAGAAAGAGGGTACTGAAAACAAAGAAGAAGATAATACAATAATTCAGATAGGAGATGACTGGGCCTGAATTTGGCTAATAGCAGTTATGATGGAGAGCAGAGGAGGGATGCACAAGATACTTGGAGATAGAATTAGCATGACTTTGTGTAACCCTTGTAACAATCAGGTTCATCCTCGCCAAAGACTTACTAGGTAAGGGGACATTCTGTCCTGTAGTTTATCTCTCACCAATTTCAAGAAAAGTGAAGATTTACAGATAAGTAGAAGAGAGGCAAGTAGGACAGGTGCCCCCCAGGCTTTTAAATAATGTGACATGGAGGCAGGCTTGGAGGAATCAGGGACAATTCGAGTTTTTAAAGGTTTCAATGTTCTGTCCCACTGGGTCAGGATGGCATTTCTGGCTCCATCCCATTTTCCAGGGCCCATGAGGCGGTACTGATAAGGAGTACATGGTCCAAAGAAAACTTCCCAAGCTAGTCTGGGATCCTTGAGGAACAGAAGTGGGATGCTGGGCTTTGTGCCTATGCAGGCAGCGATATCATCCATGTAGGCAATGTAGTCAAATTTGTCTTTGCTGGTGTCTTTAAACACTCCCCTGAGAGGAAAAAAGAGGGAGGACCTTTCATTAATCACACCTGCCCTGCATTTCTCAAGTTATCAGACCCACCCATCCTCCCACCATTTTGTTACATTTTTTGGGGGAAATCAAACCATATTTGGGAATGTTTTTGTATGTTAGGAAGAAAGAAATTAAAGGAGTTTATCTACAGAGGGTATCTGTGAAGCTAATTAATTTTACTAGAGATGGTAAAAGGAGGCAATTAATTTTACTAGAGATGGAAGAGAAACTTTTTTTTTTCCGTTAAGTTGTAGGAATTTATTTTAAATAACCTACAGTTGATTAAAAGGGAATTCATGATAAAAATAGAAGATACTTGAGGAAAGATGTGGGAAATGGACTCTGCACACACACTAAACTAACAATGCCTCTAAAACTAATGATTATAGCAAAAAAGTCTTCACATTAAAGTTCTGCTTTTTATGTTTTTTTCCATTTTTTACACAATTACAAAAGAAAAAATAAAAGCCCTAAAATCTTAATTATTTTTAATTTTTTTGGACCAAATACTCATTTTCCTCTAAATTTATTGACCTGTGGAACTTTTTATACAATAAAATCTTTCAAGTGAAAGATCAGGGCTAAAAAGAAAAAGATGGATATCTTAAAGTGTACAGCGAATGCTCAGAACAAAGGATGATGGGAAAATGGTTTCAGTCACTGATTATTTCATTATCCTTAGACTCACTCGCCCTTCATCCCTCCCCAACCCCAATCTACATGATCTTTAAGATCAAGAAAAAGGTTTAAATATTTTAAAATAATTAAAAAGAAATAAAAATTCACATCTAAAAAGGAACACTCAAGTCAGGAAATATTTTCCCATCATGCTTTTCTGTGAACAGGTGTCTGAACCAAAACACTGCCAAAGCGACGACTGCTTCAAGTTTAATGAAAATTGATCCCTATGACAATAGACAGTGACGACTCTAACAGGCGCACTGGGTTTTTTGTTCTACTTAATTTTAAATTCCTGAAATGGGGGAGAGGGGAGGGAGTTTAGGAATTTATTTCTATTAAAATATAGAAGTTATTGCAAAACCCTAACTGTAAAAACACACCAACATAATCGGACTTTGCATACAGTAGCTAAGAGAATCCAAACATTTCAGTGAAACAGTGAATTTGCCTGGTAGAACGCTGACAAATTCCCATCCACTTGCCCTCTGGAAAATAAAAACAAAATTCAAAACAAATCATACAGCTAGAATTTTGATAGCTGAAATATTTTTAAATAAGTTGTCCGTAGGACAACTGGCTCAGCTGTCCCTTATAATATCTCCAGGTTTAGCTTTTTGCAAAGATGTTGGTTTGTTAAGACTTGCTGCCTCTCTCACCCAGGCACGAGGGCAAGCGAGGCTCAGTTTATCCATCTTTCCCAAACCACACTGTTCCTTTTCACAGAACCCTGCCTCTTGAGACTGGCTAAAACTCGTAGTCTTCATCAGCGATTTCAATGGCCCAGGCAAACTTTTCTCGCTGGGTTTTGTTGTAAATCTTCTCAATTGGGACACCCCACTTCTTGCACCAAGGCACAGTGATCCTAGCATCCAGATAATTGAGTTTGGAGGTTCCCAAGGCCATCTGTTTATTTTCCTCTCGGTCTGTGGCTTGAACTTCCAGCTTCATCAACTGTTCCTCCAGTCTCTGAACAGCCTTCTTCTTTGACTCTACTACCTTCTTCATCTTTGCATCTTTCATGACCTTGGCATCAGCCTTAGCACTTTTCAGGTTTCTCCGGGCATCTGCTAGCTGTTCCTTCTTGGCATCAATCTTAGTTTGCAAGTTCATCATAGACTTCTCAAAAGTTTTTGGTGGTGCCCTCTGATGGTTACAAAGAATTGCAACAGCTCGATTGGCACGGTTATAAGAAAGGATCTTCGCTGGGATGTTCTCATCCGGGGCTGTGAGTTCTTCTAGCTGCTGCTGTAGCGTGATGGAGGCATTGTATGTATGGAATACCTTGGCTGTCAAGCTCTCCATGAGATCCTGGAGATGCTTATTCAGAATACCAGTATTGAGTCTATCAAAAAGATCATCCTTGGGCTGCTTTTTCTCCATAAATAGTTGTAGGTTCTTAAAAACTCGAGAGAAACTTTAAATAATGTTTTCAGTTCTTGGATTTGATGTGAGAACAACGTCTGATCAGTCCAAATAGAACAGCTGTTGAATGAATGAACATGACCAGAAAGCATCATATGTACCTAAATTTTTTTATTGGTGTGAATTGTGAGTTGAGAAGGCCATACTTGGTGTACGTGGACTGAACTTTCCACAGATATGAGCATATTATATATTAATATGAAGGCATTATTCATACCTATTTCTGTCAGTAAACTTACTTATTTACTTATTCCTGTCAGTAAACTTCCACGATGTTCTACTTTTCATGAAGTTTACTTATTTCTGTCAGTAAACTTTCATGATGTCCCAATGTCAATCATTCATTCATTCAGTGAGTAAATAAATAAATGAACATTAAGTGTCTATCACATTCCAGGCACCATTGTAGGTGCTGGAGATCCAATAGTGAACAAAACAAAGTCCTTGCTGTCAAAAAGCCTGTATTTTAATGGGGGAAATGAATACATTATTAAAAAACCTCAACTAAGTAGATATGTAATATATCAGGTGGTAATAATGGGCACTCTGAGAAATAGAAAGGAGGGTAAGGGGAGAGGCAATGGTGAGTCAGGGTGGGTTGCTGTCACATATAGTGTTGTCAGAGAAGGCTTCTCTCTTATTAAGTGACATTTGAACAGAGTGAGTCTTTTAGGTGTCTGATGGAACATTCCAGGCTGACAGAAGAGTAGAGCGTAAAGGTTCTGAGGGGGTTATGTTTGGTATGTTTGAGGAACAGGTAGGAGGCTGGAATGCCTAAAGCAGCATGGATGAGATGGAGAGCAGTAGGCAGTGAGGGCATATCAATATTTGGGTGTGCTGTGGGCCACAGAGGCTGTAGGGAGCCTCCTGGGAGTGAAAAGGAAGCAACTGGAGGTTTTTGAGTAGAAGGGCAATGTGATGTGGCTCACTCTTGATGCTGTGACAAGCCTAGATTGTAGAACAGAGTGGAAGGAGGGAGACCAGGTAAGAGGTGGCAGCAAGTGTCCTGATGAGAGATGTTGGTGGTCTGGTCTGGGATGGTAGCAGTAGGGGCAGTGAGAAGTGTCTGAATTCTGGATTTATTTGGTAGGTAGGAGCTGACAATATTTGCCGATATGGGATGTGAGAAAAAAAGAAGAGAAAAGGATTAATCCAAGGTTTTTGACTGAACTTGGTTTTGACCAACTGGAATGAGTAGCTATGAACTGAGATGGGGAAAAGTTTCAGATCAGCCCATTTACAGGGCAGATGGGGGGCGGAGGGGGTCAAGAGTTCATTTTTAGACATATTAAATTTGAGACGCCTATTAAATATCTAAGTGGAGCTATCTAGAGGGAGGGGAATTAGGAGTCTGAAGTTCTGGAGAAAGATTTGAGTCAGAGACACAGTTTGGGAGCCCTGAGTATATGATGATATTTAAAGCCACAGGCCTGGATGAGGCCACCTGGGAGTGGGTGTAAATAGGAATGAGAAGAGGCCTGAGGACTAAGTTTGGAGCTCACTAAATTTTGGGAGTGAGGAAGAGGCGATACCAGCAAATACAGAGAAAGAGCAGCCTGAGAGGTAGGAAGAGAGTGAAGTCAGAATAGATTTCCTGGACTAAGTGAAGACAGGATTGCCACTGGTAGGGGGCCAGGCTGTGTGTTCCACTGAAAAGACCTGGTGTCCCCAGATGACTTGTCTAAGGCCACGTCTGATTGGTGGCAGAGTTAGGACTAAAAATGTATCCTTCTGATTCCTAATGCAGAGTTATTTCCAACCTGCCATACTGCTTCTCTAGGAATGGCTTTTATACTCTGAATCCTTTTTTTGTAACAGAATATACTGTAAGTTTGCCCTAGAGCAAGCTACATTTCATACCTTTTAATGAGCTGTTCCTTTTCAGTAGCCTCCATCATCAATTTTTGGGATGGAGGTATCTTACAGAGTCCTGTGGGAAAAATCACAAACAACACTAAAGTCACATGTGGCTTTTCCTTTATTTAAATTCTCCACCCACTCATTTCTAGCCTCCCACTGCTCTAACTTCAGAGCACATGATAGTCAAAGCTCAGAATGGAAATGCAGCACAGAAAATAATTTTCTGGAGGTAAAATTCCCCGCCCAGTTCACTTAACCAGGGTACTCTACTGCCAGAATTGTGAGGAGAGATGCCTCTATGGCCCAGCTGTCAGCCTGCGCCACACTCACCAGACACCTGCACCTGTGCCAGTTGGCCTGCCCTGTCTCTCTTCATCTGCTTTTGCTGTATAAATAATATAATTTATATTATATTGTATGTATACCCTCCACATTGTACGTGTGTGTGTGTGTGTGTGTGTGTGCATGTTTGTGTTAAAGCTATTAGTTGGTTAGATGTAAACACTTAAAATGACCCCATTTTAGGCTGGTCATAGTGGCTCATGCCTATAACCCCAGCACGTTGGGAGGGCAAGGTAGGAGGACAGCTTAAGTCCAAGAGTTCAAGACCAGCCTGGCAACATAGCAAGATATTCTTTCTACAAAAAATAAAAATTTAGCCAGGTGTGGTGGCATGGGCTTATAGTTCCAGCTACTCAGGAGGCTGAGGTGGGAGAATCCCTTGAGCCCAGGAGATGGAGGCTGCAGTGAGCCATGATCACGCCACTGCACTCCAGCCTGGGCAATGGAGTGAGGACTGGTCTCTAAAAAAAACCCACTTTATAACCCTGTCTTAGAACATTTTCATTTTTGTTACACAAGGAGCCTCATGTGTGGAAGGGGCCTGGCAGTTTCGCAGTCAGTCTCACCCAGGCTCTGTCTGCTTTTGTTGTGAGGACCTGCTCATTCCCAATCTCCCATCTAGACAGTCTTAGCACTTGGACTCTGCTCTTCTTGTTTTTCTGAATTCTAAACCTTATTCTCCCTTAACAGCTTGCACCCTGATAATTCTCTGCAGTTGTCCAGCTTCCCCAGAGACTAAAATCCAAGTTTGTCTTCTGGGTTCCTAGAACACCCATACTCCCTCTTATAATGTAAACTCTGTCCCCACCCCCTGCCCCTTCACTGTCCCTATCCACCTCAGGCCACTTGTGACCCTTGTTAGTCTGCCCTGTTTGCCATCCCATTCTGGCCAGTCCTGCCTTTGTCAGGTACCAAGTGCTGGCCCAGGGTGTGTGTTTACTTTCCACACGAGATAGGTCCAACTAAGCTCTGTGGACTGCTTTCCACTAGGGTCACCTTATCCTCTAAAAAACTAGCAAGATTTAATTGGTTGTTCCTAGATTGCTTTTTGGAAGTTCTCAGGAGAAGCATGCCATTACTCCTATGGTGTGAGCTAAAAGAGTTTTGTTTTGTCAGCTTTATCATTCTAATAACCATTTTGGAGCTCACCATAAAATACTTTTTAAAACCAGTAGTTAATTAAGTCTTCTGTGGTTTTAATGTAATTGGATAATGCTGTGAAAGCTCTTTAACTGACCTTAAAAAACAGAAATTTGTGGTAATTTACTGCAGGGTTGTAGGATTTTTTTCTGTAATGTAAATAAAATGAGATTTTCTAACTGCCTTCTTTCCCCTCCCCCCATTCAAATAACATTTTTTTTTGTGCCAACTTAGGAGAACGTACGGTTTTAAGTGTGATTGATGCCTATTATATTTCTACAGTTTGATAGAAGTCAACACTATTTAATACCATGTTGTATGCTATTTATAAGTTATTGGTAATTGTTTTTATTCATTAAGAACAGAATTTTTCTACAGCATAGCTGATGGGCCCAATTGCTATGGCTGTTTATATTTAAAAACAGAAAACTGCAGTTCTTTAAAACTAAAATGCTTGCTAATCTAAAATTTGCCCTGCTTTAGAGAGGTATGATAGCAATAGCAATGGTCAGAGAAACCCTGTCACTTAATACGCGTTAGTTATATGTCAAGTACTGTGCTAATTGCTTTGCAGACATTATCCTTTTTACAAAATTCTTGTCATACGGGATTTATTATCCCCATTTTACAGATGAAGGGGCTGAGATTTAGAGGGGTTCTTGCAAAGCTAAAGAATTTTGAAGTTGGGATTGGACCTCCGTAGCTCTGACTCCAGTATCTATGCTCTTATTGCATAATTGACAGAAAGTAGTTTCCAGTGTCTAAAATATTTTTTATGGGTCTCTAATCTCAACTTCATTCATAGTGTATATTATTCCAATATCTTTCTTTGGAAGCAATATAAAATTATACTTCTAGTACTAAATGAAAAGATTTAGGAGTAGATAGATTAGACTAGGCTAGAACAGGATCATGAAGCCTTCAATAATTTCAGCTAACCTGACAAATTTGATTATATTCTGTTGTCCAAATTTATCTCATCCACAGAGCCAAAATCTCTTTTCCTATTCAGTCACATTAAGTGACACAGCACACCCTCATATTACAAACATATACAATTAATTGTACACTAATGTTAAAAATATTTTGTTACTTTAGTTCACATCTGTTTGATTTTAGCTAAATGGCAGGGCACCAATTTTACGATCCAAAGAGAGGACTTTCAGTAGAGTCATGGTACCTTTGAATACTCTTGTGACCCATCGTGCTTGGAGCTCTGTGCCTGATAAGATGGATCCTTTAAGGCCGATAAGGCCGATGATGGCTAATGTCGCTCTCTCTAGGTTTAAGGGAAAGACTTGCTTGTATAGAAATATCTTCTTTGTACAGAGGCTTTTAAGAGGTTCTTCAAAAAATGGAAAAGAAAATGTATATCCTGTAGTGAAGATCACAACATCAATGTTTTCTTCCACTGTCCCATCTTCAAAGACAGCAGAGGTTTCTGTAAATTCAATCACGCTGGTTTTCATAGTGATTGCCCCACAGAGGATACAGTTTGGCAGCTCATCATTCACAATGAATTTTGCTTTTTTCCTTTGACACACAGGAGAAAATTATTCACTGTAGTTATTTTTATGAGAAACTTCAGCAAATGATTTACTTAGCCAATTCAGGGAAATTACCTGCCAAGCTAAGGAAGAGAATTAACCAATGTCTAATTCAAAGTCATCTACTTGACTTAGTATGTTTATAACATGGTTTTGTGTTTCTGTTCTCAGTAGAAGGTATATGGAAAATGACTAAACCTACTCTTTCTTGCTTGGGGTTTAAAACTCTCTATCTCTTAGAACTAATTTCTGGAGCAATGCTTTTCTCAGAGTGTCAGCATAGAGGGTACAACAATCCATTTGATGATCAATTTTGGGTCTCAAATTACTTAGGCCTCTAGGGAATGACATCAGGCAGACAGGAAATTAGCAAGGAACTCTTTAAATAAAAATTTAATACAAAAAATTAGCTGGGCATGGTGGCCTGCACCTGTAGTCCCACCTATCTGGGAGGCTGAGGCAGGAGAATCACTTGAGCCCGGGGAGGGCAGAGGTGGCAGTGAGCCAAGATCACACCCACTGCACTCCAGCTTGGGCAACAGAGTGAGACTCCATTAAAAAAAATTTATACTGATACATATTTTCAGTGTGACCATCATTCTACCTAATCACATCAAACATATTTTCTTTGTAAAATTTACATATCAAATCATCCTTTGCCAGTAGTTTTCCTCATAAGTTGAAGGACATCTCAAGGATAAAAACACAGACAAAAAAAGAAACAAAACAAAAAAAGATATCTTACCAAAGAAAAATATTTGGGTCAAGTGTATAATAAAAATCATATTTAATGACCTTACGTGCTTTTCAAAGGCTTTCTTTTACTTGCCAATGTGCAACTCTATACAGATGTATATTAAAATATATCATTTTGGCTGAGTGGAGTGGCTCATTCCTATAATCCCAGCACTTTGGGAGGCCGAGGCAGGTAGATCACTTGAGACCAGGAGTTCAAAACCAGCCTGGCCAACATGGTGAAACACTGTCTCTACTAAAAATACAAAAATTAGCTGGGCGAGGTGGCCTGTGCCTGTAGTCCTAGCTACTTGGGAGGGTAAGGCAGAAGAATAGCTTGAGCCCAGGAGGCAGAGATTGCAGTGAATAGAAATCGGACCATTGAACTCCAGCCTGGGTGACAGGAGTAAAACCCTGTCTCAACAAGAACAAAAACAACATCAACAACACAAAAAAACCCCAACAACAACAACAACAACAACAAAAATATGTGATATTTGTAACAGCAGGAAATGGAAGTTTTCATCTTTTATTTTCTTCCAGCCTCATGAATCACTACTTTTGCCACCAGAAAGAGAATACATATATTTTAAAAACTGCTGTGGTACCTGATGAACAGTGTTTTAGGGAAATGGATTTAGAGTAGAATAAACAAAGGCAATATTACAATTATTGAACATTTTGAATTCTGAATAAAATGTAATGATAAATATTGATTTAATATTTTTTCTACTAAATAAAAAATGTAAGTACCCTTTGGTAATACTTAATCCATAATCCTCATGATTAAATCTCTTATTCAACTTCCTTTCTTGAATCCAGTTTAGAAAACGTGAAGGCAGAACTTGTGCAATAAAACTACAGCATCTTCTTGTAACCATCATATTATAAGGATAGCCCCAATCTGAAGAGCGCCCAAGAACCCAGGTACCAGTTCTAGTACTGAGAAGTACCTAAAAAGTAAAGTAAGGCAAGAAGGATAAATAAATGTTCATCATTTTGTAGTATTTTTCATCAGTGTGTTTCAAATGATCTTATTCCAGTCTGGTCTTTTAACAACAGAGGATTGGTGAATTTGTACATAGGTCTACATACGATTATCTGTTCCTATTGCTGTCATTGTTCTCAAAATCACTTTACTAGATCTGTATGTCTCTTAAATATTTTACTATGTTTATAGAATTATAAATATAGAAGTATAATATTTGTAGATACATGGAATTGATCTGGCAATTTTTTACATGTAAGCAAAATAGAACTTAAAGTGAAGGTATGGAAAAGCAATTTTACCTTATTTTTAAATAAAAATATATTCTTTCCAGATCTAATCATTTTCCTTTAATTTATGCTAAAGTGCAATAGATTTCTAATTTGTGAATCTGGGCTTAGACTTTCTAAAACCATTATGTATACTTGTTGTGCAAGAGTTGCTTTCATCTCAAAACAAGGTACAGATATCACCTTTAGTAGAGAACTTAGAAACATTCAAGAAAATGACCTTTCTATTCTTACATAGGGATTTTACCAGAATGACAAAGGGAGGGTGTAAAAAAAAGATAATTGAACTGGGTGAAGCAATTTGCCTATATGGTCTTGTTTCTGAAGGAAGCACTCCTGAAAAATGCTTAGAGGTCTGGCATCCACACAATTTTCCTAGACCCTTCTTGGAGATAGTTCAGTTCTGTAAAGCATGGCTTTTTAAATAGTTCAGAAAGAACCGTGAGTGGCTTTAAAGATTTTCAATGTTTTTTTTTTTTCCCACTTACTGTGTGTCTGCATAATTTAGCAATTGGCCAATGTACTTCATAGTTTTGAATATCTCTTTCCAGCCATCATAACTGATGATGGGATTAGGGGCATTAATTCAGAGATGATGTACCTGAGCTGCCGTTCGACTGAGTTCCACAGCAATGTCTCCTCCAGTGTTCCCAAGACCAATCACCAAGACGCGTTTGCCCTGAAAGCCTTCTGGGATCTTGTACTCTTGACTATGCAGGATCTGACCTTTAAACTTATGAATTCCTGAGAGGAGTGAAGGATCAGAAAGTCTGAAATGTCTAAAGTTATAATTTCTCACTACGCAGGGATAGGGTCTGTGGAAAAAGGGAAGTCCCACAACTATGGCAGTCCTTTGCTTATGCTGCTTGTGGCAGGAAGTAGAAAAAGCATATAACCTCCCTCTCCCTGGGATGCTGTGAGCCCAGATGTGGATTTAGTACAAACTGCCTTGTTAAAAACATAGGAAATCTTGAATTCCATATGAATGTGCCCTTTTAAAGCAGTTGCTTCAGGAAATCAAACTCACAAATAATGAGACATCTTATATACTATGCTGAATATCCTGGGCAAAAAGTAGATTGTTTCTAGTTCATCTACATTAAGTATTATATCCAACTGTGGCTTCTCCCAGGACCATTACACTTGTATCTAAATACCTACTTGACATCTTCTTTTGGATACTGAATAAAGATCTTGAACAAACAAATAAAAACAGTAGGTTGTTGATGCATGTTACTTTGCCCAATAGATATATTCTATCAGAATGTGATTTGTATATATAATATGTTTACATATTAAATTTTGATTCAATTAAAATTCTCCACAGGGGAGATTCTGTGGTAAGTTCTTTCGTAAATGAAGTAATTATTCTAGTGATTTAAGTTCATGTTACTTGTACTTTATGCTTTATTATTGATGTGTTATTATGCAGTATGCTTATTTGTGTTTTATTCTTATGTTATTTACTCTTGTTTCTGATTGATCTTTCATGAAGCTCCTAATACTCTGTCCATAGAAGCACAGCTATAATGATATTTACATATGTAAGGAAGACTACAAATATTTCTTCTTTTGATTCATTTTTGGTGATTATCTCCTTGGCAGACATAAAAGACTGATGTGGTTTGGCTGTGTCCCCACCCAAATCTTGAATTGTAGCTCCTCTAATTCTCACGTGTCATGGGAGGGACCCAGTGGGAGGTAACTGAATCATGGGGGCAGGTCTTTCCCATGCTGTTCTCCTGATAGTGAATAAGTCTCACGAGATATGATGGTTTTAGGAATGGGAGTTCCCCTGGGCATGCTCTCTCTCTTGCCTGCCACCCTGTAAGACGTGACTTTGCTCTTCCTTCGCTTCTGCCAAGATTGTGAGGCCTCCTGAGCCATGTGGAACTGGGAGTCAATTAAACTTCTTTCCTTTATGAATTACCCAGTCTTGGGTGTGTCTTTATTAGCAGCATGAGAATAGACATGAACCATGGATTCACATAAACTAAGAATGGTAAGAATAGTGGAAACAGGGTGTTTACAGCAGCAGCAGCAACAATGGAAATTGTGGGAGGTGACAGAGGAAACAATTGTGATGAGGCCAGTGATGGCCAGAATCACAGATGAGATGAAGCATTGACAAAGAATCTGAAAGAGAAGCCCAGCAGTTTTGAGGACTAGACTGCCTCTCACTCCAAGGCTTCAAGTTCCTTTGAAGTGTCAATATACAAAGATTAAATTCTCTTCTAGAATATATTATTTTCCTCCTATTCAGTCATTGATTCATTCATTCACTTGGTAACATTTATTGAATAGCTACAACCTGCCTTGTTAAAAACATAAGAGATCTTATAGTGCATATCAGTGTTCTTTTTTAAAGCAGTTGCTTCAGGAAATCAAACTCACAAATAATAAGAAACATCTTATACACTACGCTGAACATCCTGGGCAAGAAGTAGATTGTATAACAAAATGTTTTAACAGGATTCTTTGCCTACTGAGGCCCCCAAAGCTGGACAGTAAACAATAGTTCCCGCAGTCCAAGTGAGGTGCTAAACCAACTATGCTGAATTTGCAGAAACTGTGTGTGTGAGGCCAGTTTTGTGATTCTGACTTAGCCTCACACTCACTTTGACAGTCTAAAATGGTTGAGGTTGAAGTGGCTAGGAGTTGGAAATTGACAGGAATTGTGGCATTTTTTTCTGTCATGTTGACATGGAGCCAGGTGTGAGGGGCTTCAAGGAGACCACTCTGAGCGAGACCTTCATGTTTGGGGTCTACAGAGCACAGCAACTGGTGCTTGTAAGGCCGTGACTGGGACTGCCTTCGAGGGATGGTGGCTGCACTGGCAGCATTTCTCCCACTGTTGACAATACAAGATCTATATTTCATGTGGACCAGAAGGCCCTGTGGAAGAGAGCCAGTCTGACACCAGCGTAAGGGAACTTTGCCCAAGGTGGCAATTTGAACACACGATGAGGCCCTAACAGATAGTCTGTGTGGCGATGACCTGGGGAGAACTGGGGGTTAGAGAGTTGTAGGTAGCCAGCCTGAGAGCATATAATCTGTAACAGAAGCTACAGTTGAGACATCCCCAGTAACAAAGCGTCTCTCTGAATCAGAACCTGGGACACCACCTGACAAAGCCAATTTTAAACACCCCCGAGATCAGAGAAAACTAGCCCAGGATTGGGGCCAGTTCAGAAAGAACTTTTCTTCTCTCTTCCCTCTTGACCTTTCCCCAACTCCAATTCTGCAAAGGTCAGAAACTGCAGCTGGTAGGTTTAGGGTTCGGAGGGAGAGGATGGCAGAGGAAGAAGGAAGTCAAGCACACTGTCTCTTCTTGACACTGCTGTCAGCTCATAGCAGGTGCCAGACGGTGGAGGGAGAAGCTTTTACATTACATACAGTTGCACATTTTGACTATTGCCTGAACAGGACATTTTAGTTATGAAAATGAGATTTTTTTTTGTTTTTGGGTGACTTATAATGATCAGAGGACATTTCATTATCTGAGAATAAGCAGAAAACTGCCTGAGATTTCATCCAGGGGCAACGGAAGGACAAGCCCCACAGATCAAGTCTGCAGGGATACTAAAGGAAAAAGTTGGCTAATAGTCGTATCTTATATAGCCTGTTCTTTCAACACTTTCAACACCACCCAAGGTACTATGCTAGGTCTAAGGTCTAAGGAATGTGAGGACAAAAGGCAGTTCCCACCCTCAAAGAACTTTTTTTTTTTTTTTGAGACAGGGTCTTGCTCTGTCACCCAGGCTGGAGTGCAATGGCGTGATCTTGGCTCACTGCAACCTCCGCCTCCCAGGTTCAAGTAATTCTCCTGCCTCAGCCTCCTGAGTAGCTGGGATTACAGGTGCGTGCCACCATGCCCGGATAATTTTTGTATTTTTAGCAGAGACAGTGTTTCGCATGTTGTCCAGGCTGGTCTCAAACTCCTGGCCTCAAGTGATCTGCCCGCGTCAGCCTCCCAAAGTGCTGGGATTATAGGTGTGAGCCACCGCGCCCGACCCATATCCTCAAAGAATTTGTCCTCTTGGCTGGGTGCGGTGGCTCACACCTGTAATTCCAGCACTTTAGGAGGCCAAGGTGGGTGGATTGCCTGAGGTCAGGAGTTCGAGACCAGCCTGGCCAACATGGCGAAACCTCATCTCTATTAAAAATACAAAAAAATTATCTGGGTGTGGTGGTGGGCACCTGTAATCCCAGCTACTCAGGAGGCTGAGACAGGAGAATTGCTTGAACCTGGGAGGTGGAGGTCGCAGCAAGCTGAGATCATGCCATCGAACTCCAGCCTGGGGAACAAGAGCAAAACTCTGTCTCAAAATAAATAAATAAATAAAGACTTTGTCCTCTAATGGGGATGTAAGTAAGTAAACAGAAAATAGCTAACAATTATTTAGCCCTTGCTATGCTAGTCCCAGGCTTCTAAGAACTTTATACATATTAACAAATTTACTTATTTACTGAGAAAGAATTTAGCTCTGTTACCCAGGCTGGAGTGCAGTGGCACCATCAGAGCTCACTGTAACTGCCTCCCAGGCTCAAGTGATCCTCCCGCCTCAGCCGCCCGAGTAGCTGGGACTACATGTACATGCCACCATGCCTGGCTAATTTTTTGTATTTTTAGTAGAGACAGGGTTTCACCATATTGCCCAGGCTGTTCTCGAACTCTTGAGTTTAAAAGATCTGCCTGCCTCGGCCTCCCAAAGTGCTGGGATTATAGGCATGAGCCACCACACCTTGTCTGTATTAACGAATTTAAACCTCACAGCACCCCCATAGAGTGGACCATAGTATTATTCAATTTTGTCAAAGCTGAGATTGAGACAAAAAAAAAATCCCTGGGCAAATGGCTTAACCTCCCTGTTTGTTTTTGTTTTGCACTGCTGAGATTGCAGTGCAAAAAAACAAAAACCAACCAACCAAACAAACAAAACAGGGAGGTTAAGCAACTTGCCCAGAACCATACAGTAAGTAGCAGAGCCTGTATGGGAACTCAAGATGTCTGACTCTGGAGCTCAGCTGTCAGGCATGATACTATACTCCCTCCCAGAAGAGAAGGCATTAAGATGGGTCCAATGGGACGTCCAGCCTGGACTGAGCCAGTGAAGGCATTTGAAGGGGATTTTCTTAAATTAAGAATTTGTTAAAGGATGATTAGAAATTGGAAAAGGGGAGCACGAAGAAGTTTCCAAGAAGTGGGAACAGAATATGCATCAAACGCATTAGAGAGTGGGACTTTCAGCCACTTATGAGGTTTTCCTGGAGGGAATTTACTGGAGGGCTCAACTTTGCTCATGGATTTTATATCTTTCATATTGCCTCACACAATGACTTGCAAATGACAGATTCTCCGTAATTACATATTGAAGAAGAAAAAATAGAGAATGTGTAGATAGTTCTGAGTCAATGATTATGTCAATGCAGTGCCAAAAAGTAAAAAAGAAATATATTTGATAAATTAAAACTACTAATTCAGGAAAACAGCAGAAGTCAATTTATATTGGAAAGAAAAGAAACTTTATCTGAGGAATGCAAGTCCCCTTTAAGTTATCACGCCCAGAGAGGCATTGAAATCTAACAGCAGTCACATGTCACTCTCCATGATAAGTTAAATAATTGCCTCTTGAAGACACTTGCTATTTGGGCTCTAGACTTACTGACATTAAGTAGCCATAAATTACCCTGACAATGCTATATGCTGGATGTCATAACTCATAGCCTATAGTTAAACAATGTACAGCCAATGACTAATCAATGCTATTTCTATAAATTAATGAGAGTTCCTGTCAAACAACTTTGTATCTGTGCACTCCTTGTTCCCTGTTCCCTTCAGAAACCTGCTTGTAACAAAGGCTGAACAGAGCACTTCCCAAAGCAACTTGGAAATGTTTCCCAAGCAGCTATCCTCAAGGTAACTCTTTAAAATTGTATTTTGACTCAAGTAAATTCTTTGAAATCACATTTTATGCCTCAGCTTCTTCCATTAGGTTGACAATATAGATTTTTAAAAAGGGTATGCATGTGTTGCAATGTCAACTTTCAAACAGTTGTGGCGACATGTTATAGACAAAGCTTGTGATTTCTATGGATTTTTTTCAATAGTGTAGAAATAATCCTGGTACTTTCTATGCAGAGAAGAGTTCATGTTCCCAAGTAAAACATTCATTTCAACAGGGGTCCTACAGCTATTCGTGAAAGATATTGTGGTGGTTAGTTAAAAGCAGAAACAGAATCTTAAAAAGTCATAGTTCTGTAATCTCAGTATTTGGAAGGCCAAAGCAGGTGGATCCCTTGAGCCCAGGAGTTTGAAACCAGACTGGGCAACATGGCAAGTCACCGTCTCTGCAAAAAATACAAAAATGAGCCAGGTGTGGTGACACACACCTGTAGTCCCAACTATTCTGGAGGCTGAGGCAGGAAGATTGCTTCAGCCCAGGAGGTTGAGGCTGCAGTGAGCCTAGATGGCACCACTGCACTCCAGCTCAGGCAACAGAGTGAGACCCTGTCTCAAAAAAAAAAAAAAAAAAAAAAAAAAAAAAAAAAAAAAAAAAAAAAAAGGATAGTCTATGTGGAACTGAATTTAGTGTGGAATAAAGGGTAAACAATCCCAAACTTGAAGAGAATAAATTCCGAAAGCATCCATGTCAATAGTTTGGCACTTACAGCACATTTTCCTATAGAAAATGTCATAAGAGGTGTTTTTATATTCCTTTAGTACTGTACAGTTGTGTGTTTAGCCCCCAGATCAACAGCAAGCCTGAAGCCAACCACCATTTATAATATTGTTTCCTTGCAAAATTATGTATTGAATTTTCACTTCATTCCTTTTTGAGTAGGATATTTTGTCAATTTGTGATTACATTTATAAGAAGTATTTTCCTTCATTTTGCCAACGTTTGCATGTTTTATTCTTCAAGGTTTTCCTTCCTTAAAAGTTCTTTTAATTCCTTGAAGATACTTCAAAAACTCACCTATTCAATTGCCTTTAGGGCCACTAATATGTAACAAAAGAGTAGCTTTATTACATTTTAGTAATCCTCAATTGATTAATTTTATTTCCCTCAACTGAATTTGAATAGCTTTTGGCTTCTCAAATAATCAGTTTTGACCTCAAAATGATGGCAATTTGTCAGTCATGAGTATATTAAAAAGAATATGTTGTCACAGTGAAAAGCATTTCCAAATGGAAGTTTCTAAAACTCCTTTCTATGGATAGCCCTGGTTTAAGAGTTGTATGATTATTTATTTATTTGTTCATTTATTTTTGAGACAGAGTCTCACTCTGTGGCCCCGGCTGAAGTTCAGTGACGTGATCTTTGCTCACTGCAACCGCCACTCCCCCAGGTTCAAGCAATTCTTGTGCCTCAGCCTGCTGAGTAGCTGGGATTACAGGCATGAGCCATCATGCCCAGATAATTTTTGTATTTTTAGTAAAGACAGGGTTTCAGCATGATGCCCAGGCTGGTCTCCTACTTCTGGCCTCCCTCGGCCTCCCAAAGTACTGGGATTACAGGTATGAACCGCTATGCCCAGCCAAAGAATTGTATGATTATTATGTTGACTGTTTTGAAGGGTGACTATATTGCTTTTTTTTCCCTTTTAAAGTTTTATTTGTCCAAGAACCTCCAACTCTAGAGAAGGTTGAATATATTGCTTTACATGTTTAATTTCTGGTTTGTTTCTTTAAAAAAAAATCATATACTCTCACTTCCTGTAAGTTCTATTACAGGCCAGTCCTGATTCAAATTACCTGTAATTTAATCCCTAAAATCAAAGCCTGTTCTTTTTCATGACAGATCTGATTGTTTTGAACCTTATGTGATCACTGAATTTGAATTAGACACACATTAGAAAGCTTAAGCAATAACAATAATATTTATATTAATAAATAAATAAGACCTGACACCTACATAGTGCGTTATACAACTTTTAAAGTAATTTTGCACATATTATTTTTGAGAATGAATATAAAGCCATCTATAATCATGGGGCGGTATTTCCAACTGCAAATCAATAAGTTTACTTCTAGAAGAACCCAGAAGCATAGGCATGGTCTCAGGTAGAAATGACTCACCAGGAAAGGCTTCCAAAGGTAAATGGGGATTCAGGAAATGTCCAGTGCAAACCATAACAGCATCAAAGACAGCTCTATTTTGCTTGCCCTCTGTCTCTGTGACAACATCCCACTGACCAGTTTCGGAGAAGTCTGGACGCTTCGTTATGCTGCACACAGTGGTCTAAAAGTGAAAGACAAACACTCACTTCTCACTAACACCCTTGGACCTCATGCAATGACTGGTGTGGTAACCATGTCTGTTACTTTTAGTAGGCCAAGTCCCATGACAGGAGGTCTATTAATATTGATTTATCATCTTCCTAGAGAAGTTAAGTAACTTATGCAAACTCACAAAGGTGGCAATATAGACTTTAACTCAAGACATTTGAATCTTTCAGTGGAAGGAAGAAACAATCACGTTTTATTCCTGGTGAGAAAGAGATGAGTTACAATGCCCAATGTTTTGGGAAATTTAGGAAAATTAGTTTTGCCTTATTGTAATTTCTGTGGTTCAGACATCTAGATTTTTTTTCCCCAATGGGCTTCATGGACAAAATTCTTTTTTTCTCTCTTAAAAAAAGTCAAAATTTCATCCTGAATGAGAGTTTGGCATTTAGAGGAGGAATCAGCAAATTCAGCATTTTATTTTATTTTTGAGATGGAGTCTCACTCTGTGGCCCAGGCTAGAGTGCAGTGGCATGATCTTGGCTCACTGCAACCTCTGCCTCCCAGGTTCAAGCAATTCTCATGCTTCAGCCTCCTGAGAAGCTGGAATCACAGGTGTGCACCACCACACCCAGCTAATTTTTGTATTTTTAGTAAAGGTGGAATTTCACCATGTTGGCCATACTGGTCTCAAACTCCTGACCTCAAGTGATCTGCCTGCCTCGGCCTTCCAAAGTATTGCGATTACAGGTGTGAGCCACTGCACCCGTCCCCAATTCAGTATTTTAACGATTTATTCGAGTAAAACTTGAGCAGCAGCGGAAGTGAGGAGTCCTTATTATCTTCCTATTTATTTGGAGATAAAATCAATAAAAAGTTTACTTTAAACATCCAATTTTCATTAGATTGCTGAATAGGCCAGCCCCCATCTATTCATCTTCCATAACCCAAAGTATCTTACCTTAAACTGAATGTATTTCAGGAGGTCAAAGTGCTCAGCAAATTCTTGGAGATAGTCCCAAAATTTTTCATGGTTCATGAAATTAGGATAATCTTCGTGGAAAGGGAAGTCACTGTAACATGACATTTCCTTACAGACATTTGTCACTAATGACTTATAGACCCTGGTCATCCCATCTTTGGAAGATTCCTGTGGTGAAGGCATAGTTAGCTTGTTGGGATAATGGAGATAGGAGGAAGAGAACAGAGATCATGGTGGCTCATGCTAGCCTCACTGAGGGCGGGTTATAGCAATTAATGTTCCATTTGTAATTTTATTTACTTTTATTGATTGATTGATTTAGATGGAGTCTCACTCTATCACCCAGGCTAGAGTGCAGTGGTGCGATTTTGACTCACTGCAAACTCTGCCTCCCGGGTTCAAGCGATTCTCATGCCTCAGCCTCCCAAATAGTTTGGATTACATGTGTGTGCCACCATGCCTGGCTAATTTTTTTATTTTTAGTAGAGATGGGATTTCACCATGTTGGCCAGGCTGGTGTCTAACTCCTGGCGTCAAGTGATCCACCCGCCTTGGCCTCTTAAAGTGCCTGGATTACAGGCATGAGCCACTGCACCCAGCCACTATTTGTAATTTTAAAGAGTTCCAGGAAACCCAGCATTAGGTCTCTAAGCTATAATTATCAGAAATCATTGGTGGGATTGTATAATTAAAATCAATATATTTTTCAAACCACAAAGAAGCTAACCAAATTAAATAGGGCTCTCCAAGACTAACATTGTCCTTAAACAATTCCATGAATGCAGGGCTTATTATCTGTCTTGTTTATCTTTTCCTTCTTTCATTGGCATGGCTACTCCCTCCACTCATGCCCTGGACATGTTCCTTTTTGCCTTTCCTCAGGGAATACCTTACTAATTTTTCTCATTATTGTCTCCGTATATTCCCAATCTACCTTCCTTTATTGGCTCCTTCTCATCAGCACAAAATACTCTAATTTTAAAAACAAAACAAAACATCCTCTCAACCTATGTCCCCTTCAGCCCTGTCTCTCTCCATCCTATCTCAATCTTCATAGAAGAATCATTTACTGCAGCCTCTGTTTTTTCATGAAGTCCTCAACTTATCTTGATTCAATCTCCATCACTCAAAAACAAAACAACAAAACAAATAGGTCTATATTAAAGACACCAATGAACTTCTTGTGGCTGAAGCTAATCTCTGTTTCTCCCTTAAGCCTCTTTCTTAGCTGTCACTTTCTCTAAGAAGTCATCCATGACCCAACAGCGCTGCATAAGGTAGCTGATGCGGCCCTGCTGCATCCTGTACTTCTACCACGAACTTGATGACACTGTGTTATAATTCCCTATTTACTGTTTCTGTTTCCCACCGGACTACAAGGAGGGCAGAGCCCCTGTCTACCTTGTTTATCATTGTGTCCTGGCAGAAGGACATGATAAGTACTTGTTGAATGAGTGAAAATTAATATTATGATAACATTTTTGAAAAAAAAAATAGTACAGCTGGCCCTCTGTATCTGTAGGTTCTAGATCCATGGATTCAATCAACCAAGGATGGAAAATATTTGGGAAAAATAAAGGATGCTTCCATATGTATTGAACGTGTACATATTTCTTTCCTCGTGATTATTCCCTAAACATTACAGTGTAACAGCTATTTATATAGCATTTATATTGTATTAGGCATTATAAGTAATCTAGAGAACATTTAAAATATTCAGGAGGATGTGTGTAGGCTACATGCAAATATTATGCCATTTTCTATTAGGAACTTGAGCATTTGTGAATTTTGGTATCCACAGCAAAACCAAAGGGATACCTAAACCCCCACGGACACCAAGAGACAACTGTATATATATGACTGAGAGAAATTACATTGAAATGTTAATAGTACTAATTTGTGAGTATTGTTACTTACTTAATTTATATTTTTCTTTTTTTTCCCTATTTGTTTACCTCAAGATTGTTTTCTAAACTTAATCTGTATTACTTTAGAATAGAAGAAGTAAACCAAACCAACTGTGGGGTCAAATAGCAGAAGCTACATAAACCAGACCCAATATTTTCCTTCCACATTAACATTTGGTGGCTTGATGAGGTTAACAATATACCATTTTTTTTTTCTCCTAGTATACTATAATCCTAGGGTTATGGTTACTCCTGCTTATATGTAGTTGCTTATTCTGTTTTATTCATCATCCATCAGAGATCTATTAATAGCAAACAACATGTCTTCTATGAAGGCTTCTCTCTCACGCCTGTTGAACGAATGCCACTCTTCTTTTCCCCTATAGCATTTAGTACTTGGGCCTGCCTAGCTTCCATCTTATTTTTTTTGTTTGTTTTTCATTTTATTTTTTGTAGAGATAGGGTCTCACTATGCCGCCCATGCTGGTCTTGAGCTCCTGGCCTCAAGTGATCCTCCCACCTCAGCCTCCCAAAGTGCTGGGATTACAGGCATAAACCTTCTGATACCTCCTTATACTTCACTACTGGGGCAGATCCCTCAGTCCCTACTGGATACCCTGCTACTTCCAGTAACCAGCACCAATCCTGACCAGAGGCAGGTGGTATTTAACCACTTCCATCCCCACTGTCTGATGCTCAAGTCACCTAACAGGTGGCCTGGACCTGAGTGTAGCCTCCGAGGCTAAATATTCCACTTCAAAGAATGATTGGTTAGTGCCTGAGTTCTTTGTATTCTGAAAATGTGACAGGGAACCCTCCCCCTCCCACAAGGCCTTCCAAGATCTGGGGCCATGCCTCACTCTTGCCAGTTCTGTTCCTAAAGACCTGAACAATGTCTGGGGGTTGTGGTTCCACTCCCTGTTGCCAACTTCCATTCTCCCTAGAGTGTAATCTGTTTTATGTTCACCAATGCTATTCAGTTTGCCTGATGTTACACTCTGCTGCTTTGTCTTAGAATGTCCATGGTCCAGAAATCATCATAAATGTCCAATACTATGCTTATTTATCAGAGTTAACTCTTTTTTCCTCTCTCTTCCAACTGTCCCTGACCCGAGTCTGCGCATTCTCAAGATTCCTCACCAATCAGACTGCATCCTGCCTAATGTTTAACACTGCATTATGCACTTGTTTGTGCCGTTGCAGTAAGCCACTCCCTTACTTGATCACCAAGGCAGGCTAAAGCCACCATGTCTGAGCAGAGACAAAGCAAATGGCCAGATCATGACTGATAGAGATGAACCACGTACAGTAAACTTCCATAATCCCCCAATGTCATCACTTCTCTCAAAGCAGGTGGGCTCCAGGTCCTCATCCACACAGCATTTGATGGAGGAGAGGCCACTCACACCAGCTCCAATCACTGCAACTTTCTTGGCCATGGTATGCTCTGTTAGAGGAAAGTCAAGCAGAACTTCTTTATTTAATAAGTTTGGAAGGGAGCCCTTGTCAAAAGACTCAATTTTTGTAGTGCTATATATGCCTTTTTTTCATCTTTGAGTGGGGGCAGAATCACATGCTGCTTAAAAATCCAGGCTCTGAAATCAGATTGTTTTGGTTTAAGTCTTGGCTTCACTACTTATTAACTGTGTGATCTTGGGCTAACTATCCTGTCTAGGACTCAGTTTTCTCACCTGTAAAATGTGAATGGTAATAATAGTGATACTAACAGGAGGCAAGGAAATACTGAGTAGGAGAGAGCAGTTCCCTGGCAAACGCCCCACCCTCAAGCCTGGAAACCTACAGCCCTAAATGAGAACAGGCATTCCTGTTTTTGCACCCCAATGTTGCCTTTTCCAAGACCACTCTGGCCCACCATGCCCTATCCCATGCCCATATAAACCCCAAGCTCCAGTGGCAGAGCAGAGCAGTGTGGCAGAGAAGGAGAGAAGAGAAGGAGTGTTTGAATATCAAGAGGAGTTCAGCTGGGGATGGTTGGAAAGATCGGCCCAGGATGGCCAAACTCCAGGGGAAGATCATCTTCCCACTCCATCCCCTTTCCAGCTCCCCAGCAAGCCCACTGAGATCCACCTCCACCACTCAATAAAATACCCGCATTCACCATCCTTCAAGTCCATGTGACCTGATTCTTCCTGGACTTTGGACAAGGACCTGGGTACCAAAAGGGCAGGGTGTAAAAGACTGTCACCTGAATCTCCACTGAACTAGTAATACTTAGCTGTCTGTAAATAGCAACTGCTAAAAGAGCATTAATTTTATGACACCTCTAGATCCTACTGTGGGGCCAGAGCCCAAAAGCACTAGCCCTGGCTCCTGCACCTGCCTGTCTGCATGCTCCCCTTCCCATAAGGGGTTTGAACATGCAAACAAGCCACACCCCTGTAGCAAGTTCTGCGGGGGCTCAGGGAACTCTTCCGTTTTAATAGTAATAATAATAATGACTTTAAAGGGTTGTTATGAAGATTAAATGACTGATAAATGTTGGAATGGTTTTAGAAGTGTGCCTGCTACATAGTAAGTGCTCAACTAAATTTAGCTATTACCGGTTGAGCAGCCCAAACCCCCAAATCCAAAATTTGAAATACTCCAAAATCCAAAACTTTTTGAATACTGACATGAAATTCAAAAGAAATGCTCACTAGAGTATTTCAGATTTTAGATTTGGGATGTTCAACCAGGAAGTAAAATGAAAATATTCCAAAATCTGAAAAGACTTGAAATGTGAAACATTTATTTTTTATTTATTTTAATTTTTTTAAATAGAAATGGGGTCTCACCATATTGCCCAGGCTGTTCTTGAACTCCTGGGCTCAGGTGATCCTCCTGCCTTGGCCTCCCAAAGTGCTAGTATTACAGGAGTGAGCCACCATGTTCATCCTAGTGAAACATTTCTCATCCCAACTATTATTATTATTATTATTATTATTATTTTGAGACAGTCTTGCTCTGTCACCCAGGCTGGAGTGCAGTGGCACAATCTCAGCTCACTGCAACCTCCACTTCCTAGGTTCAAGTGATTCTTATGCCTCAGCCTCCCAAGTAGCTGGGATTACAGGTGCCTGTCACCACGCCCAGCTAATTTTTGTATTTTTTAGTAGACATGGGGTTTCACCATGTTGGCCAGGCTGGTCTCAAACTCCTGACCTCAAGTGATCTGCTGGCCTCAGCCTCCCAAAGTGCTGGGATTACAGACGTAAGCCACCGTGCCCGGCCTGGTCCCAAGTATTTTGGATAAGGAGTACTCAATCTGTGGTATTACTATTAGAGAGTGTAGACAGTACCTTGACCCCGTTGGGATGCTAGAATTTGTCAGTATTAAAGGGGCTCTTTGCTATCACTTTGCCTCTGAATCCTAGGAATTTCAGTCAGTAGAAATGTTGGTTTTGATTCAAAGCATTTAGAGTCCTAAAGAATAGCTGGTCACGGTCATGCCTTGCCATAAAACAAGGATATTACATGGGTTGAGGGGAGGTTCTTAGCTTGCAGAGGCAAGACTGACCATAATAGAAAATAAAGTCCCCAAGGAACGTCATAAGGGATATTCTAGAGCCCACGATGATGTCAGCTAGAAATGGGGATGCTCATGCTTGTCAGCGGGAACTGGAGGAAGTATACACATACACACACATGGAGATATAGGACCAGTTTTTACCAGTTTTTCTGGATTTTATCATTTCTGCACATATCACATTGCTTTTGCCTCAATCAAATGGGCTGAGTTAATTCTAGTAAATCAAGTTTATGTCACACTGAGGCCCTTAATATGTCATGTAGACTTAGTTGCAAGTGCTGCTTTTCCCTGCATTTCCCTGCAACCCACTTGGCCAATTCAGAAGACACACAAATGATAGTTGAGACCTCAAAGTATTCCATTGTTTTATGAAATATATATAACTCATTTCACTTTGCCTTTGAAGATACAGCATTTTTTGAGGAAAGATCAAGCTGTATAACCCCTGTGTGATTTTTGTAGTCTCATGTCACTTATCACAGTGGTATTTGCCTTGGGGAAACAAGAGAGCATATATTTTTTGAGCTATTAGGACCAGTAAATGGGAAATCAGCATAATCATTTGAAACAACTTAAGACTACACTGCTATTAAGAGGCAGAGTTTGCACTGAGTATGGATTTCAGGATCTGAAACCAAGATGTGAACATGCTGTTGGTCTGAGAGCCTGAGGTATCCTGTGGTTCCCGTCACTAAGCCTCTTCCTTCATCTTTGCTCAGGTTTGCTGCTGCACCTTTGGGATGGGCTTGGAGTTTTTCTCTATGGCTCTGTAGCTTGTCTCTTAATCAGATCAGAAGCCCCAGGCACAAAATCTAAGAGAATTTACTGACTGGAGGGAGTAAAGAAAGACTCCTGAGTCCTCCAGGAACCCTTAGACTTACCTGACCCTAAGGCAGATTCATGAACTTGCAATGAGGATCAGAAGGATTTCCTAGGGCTGCCAATTTCTGAATGTATTTGCTGCCTTGCCTTTGTAAGGCTGAGATTGCCATACCTGGCTTCATTATGTATTAAAAAATGCATCATTTTTCCTCTTAGACTTTTTATTTGGGAGTCCCTATTTAGTTGAGAGAGCTATATGGAATGCAATGAAAATGGATTTTGGAGGCAGCAGAGTTGGGTTTGAACTTTCTCTGCTACCAACTAGCCATATGACCCTGAGCAACCGACTGAAGCAACCTTAGATATATTATTTGTAAAATAATAAAAATATCTATGTTGAAGGATTGTTTGCATTTTAAAAAACTTGATATTACTTACACAAAAAAGTGCCTTGCACAAAATATTTACTCAGTGTTCATTCTCTACCTCCCTACTTGTCTCCTGTCTTCCTTCTCTTCTCCTTGGAAAAGACAGTTCATACAGATAAAATGTATCAACAAGTTTGGAAAGGAGTAGGCAGACATACCTGTGTTTTCCTTTGAGTTGAGGAGTAGGAGGTTTAGACAGCTTCTAATCAGAAACAAATGGCCTCCACCAATAAGAATACTTGAATTTCCAGGCCACTAGGTAGAGGCCTGGGGCTGGCAGATCTTTGCTGTGCTCTATCTCTGCAATCATAAGGTAAAAAGAAATGACTGCTAACTGAATTGCCAAAGTGAAAAATATACTGACGTGAATAGACTGGAAGCAAATTAATTCATTCAACAAATATGCCCTGGGTACCTCTAAGTGCAGGTCCTAAGCTAAGTATGGGGCCCTGAAGATAATGAAGACCCTGCAACTAAGAAATAGTAGTAAAGTCTTAGAATTTAAAAAAGACCGTGACTGCTCTTAAGATGTTGTATATGGAGAGGCTGATACTACCTTGTGCTAAGTCCTATGGTAGCAGCATGCTCTAGGCATGAATGCTTGCACTCTCCTGGCCTGTTTATTATCCCTGTCTAGAGACCTAGTTAGTGACACAGAGTGGCCTGTGGGGTTAAAAACGTGCTGGGCAAAAGCACTTTAAGGACTGACTTAGAGACTCTACAGGCAGTAGAAACAAATTGGGAATTAGCACCTTTTAAAATTAATCCGTATTTACAGACTATAAATTTCTGAATGGGAGCAACCTTTTTAAATTTTGCCTTGAGTCAGTAGAGGAAGGTAGTGAGTGAACTGGAAATTGAGAGATCTGAGTTCTAGTTCTGCTTCTGCCTCTAAGCAGCTTGTAACCCTGGACACAATTCTCAATTTCTCTGAGCCAGTGCTTCCACATTTGTAAAACAGAGGGTTCAAGTGGCTTTCTCTTTGTTTCCTTCAAGCTTGAAAGGACTGTTCTTATGTCTGAAAACCAAGTAATTGGTGCACAAAAAAAAAAAGATATGAATTCAAAGGTAGGCGAGAATACTGCAGGCTTGAAGGATTGGGAGAACGTGTGTGCAAACTCTGCAAACTATAAAGTGGACTTCATAAGGTACTTGGTTGCTCAAAGGTGCTTATATTTATTTATTTATTTATTTGAGTTGGAGTCTCACTCTGTCTTCCAGGCTGGAATGCAGTGGCACAATTTCGGCTCACTGCAACCTCCACCTCCTGGGTTCAAGTGATTCTCCTGCCTCAGCCTCCTGAGTAGCTGAGACTACAGGCAGGCGGCACCACGCCTGGATAATTTTTGTATTTTTAGTAGAGACGGGGTTTCACCATGTTGGTCAGGCTGGTCTCAAACTCCTGATCTCAAGTGGTCTGCCCTCCTCGGCTTTCCAAAGTGCTGGGATTACAGGCGTGAGCCACCGTGCCAGCCATAGGTTGCTTATATTTAGTCCCTTGGCAGAAAGGAGACCTGACCTATTGAACTAGACCTTTGTACAACGGGAAAACCCCACCCTATACCTGACTGACCAGCAAATGTAGGAATCCTTTATGAGACATGGAGAGACTTGGGTGATTTGCAAATCATGTAATCAATTATGATTTCTTTGAATTTGAAATTTGATCATTTTATGTTTCTTATCATCATCCTACCATGCTCTTGCTTTGTTACAGTATTTTTTTCCCACGCCATCTATGGGGTATTTGTTTCCCAATGGCTGGCATTTCCATCTCATTCATAAGATGAAATCAGAGGTCACTGGAGTCACTGAAAGTCTCATGATTCTGTTTATCTCACTGACACTTTCCTTTTGGATGGTTCTGTCCACAACATAACTTTGTTTCCTTACAACTTCCCTTTGCTTCCTGACTCTCTCCTTAATTCTCTTGCTTTAGCCCTAGTCAAGAGACCCCAAAAGAAGATAATCACATTCATTCTTAAGGAACACACTCCAAGAAAAACATTCATCTTTTGTGAAAGCAGTTTCTGGATCATTTCCCCATTAAAAAAAAAATCCAGGACACTTACCTTGGTTAGCATAGAGCAGATTCTTTGACTTAAATTATTTCTCAAAGTCAAGGAAAGTGTTTGTCTTTTTTTTTTAAAAAAGCTCAAAACCCAAATTCTTTTTTCTGAAAGAAAAATAAATGGAAAGATGACTTTTGTAAAAGTGCCCTCAGTTTAAAACAAAAGCCATTCGTCTTTTCTGTTATGCTAGTGACAGCAGAAAGTATACAGACTAAGGAAAAAAAGTTGTGTAAGAGGCAAGCGTGATACTTCCGTGATCTTAAGGGAGGGCGGAATGGTGAGTTAGAATACAGCTGTTGGATTGGCAGAACATAAACGCTTCCTGCCCCTTTACCCCACCCTCCTCAACGTCATAGTTCTGGCAAAGCCCTAAAGCTATGGGAAGCACATGATAGCGTCGCTTTTGCCATTATAGTCTGTAGAGGGCGCCAAATCACCCCAAATTACAGCTTTCTCAGCGAAACAGGAGTTCTACTTTTGGAAACAAACTTCTACACCCTGACTCTTGCTTGGATTACCATAGGAGCTGTCCAAAGGAGAAAGTTATTTAGATGACCATTACCTCATCAAGTTCTTTCATGCTTGGAGTTCTCCAACCCCAGAAATGTGATTTTAAAGTTCAGGACTTACAAGGAATTTAAGCTGTTTTGTCCTTCAGATTGGATCAGCAGAGGGAGCTGGTGAAATGTGTTTGAGAAAGCATAAAGCTATTTTTAGATATTAACCTAGGGCACAAGAAAGGTAATAATTATAGAAGCTGTGGCAGAAATAGAAAACTTAACTGTTTTTCCTTCCACTGTGTGCTTGTAAGATAATATAACAGACCATCTTTAGGACTTGTGTTTAGGGACATTTTCCAACATGGTTCACTGAACAATTTCTAAACCACATTTGCTTGTGACTACACATGCAAATGCCTACAGGAGTGAGGAGGGTAACATACACGAGGAAAGTGGGCCAGATATGATCTGACTGGAAAGTACTTTCTCTGTCTATTCAGTTCAGCTAAATGTTGCTATTTGAGAAAATGAGCCCAATATGGCAAGGCCTTAGGTTCTTTTCAGTAAAAGCTGCAAATACAGATTTTAATATAAAATCTTCTGTTGGCAGCAAATATTTTCTTTTGAAAAATATCATGGAATATTATGCAGCCATAAAAAGAAATAAGATCATGTCCTTTGCAGGGACATGGATGAAGCTGGAAGCCATCATCCTCAGCAAACTAACACAGGAACAGAAAACCAAACACTGCATGTTCTCACTCATAAGTGGGAGTTGAACAATGAGAACACATGGACACAGAGAGGGGAATGTTGTAGGGCCTGTTGTAGGGTAGGGGGTGAGGAGAGGGAACTTAGAGGAGAACAGGTCAATAGGTGCAGCAAATCACCATGGCACACGTGTACCTATGCAACAAACCTGCACGTTCTGCACATGCATCCCACTTTTTTTTAGAAGAAATAAAGAAAAAAATTTAAAAAAAGAAAAAAAAATATTGTGTCCAGAGTTAGTTCCTTCCGGTGGGTTCCTGGTCTCCCTGACTTCAAGAATGGAGCTGCGGACCTTTGTGGTGAGTGTTACAGTTCTTAAAAGATGGCACAGACCCAAAGAGTGAGCAGCAGCAAGATTTATTGTGAAGAGCGAAAGAACAAAGCTTCCACAGAGTGGAAGGGGACCCGAGCCAGTTGCTGCCGCTGGCTGGGGTGGCCAGCTTTCTCTTATTTGTCCCCTCCCATGTCCTGTTTCTGTCTTATCAGAATGCCCTTTTCTCAATTCTCCCCACGATTGGTTACTTTTAGAATCCTGCTGATTGATCCATTTTACAGAGCGCTGATTGGTCCATTTTACAGAGCACTGATTGGTCCATTTTACAGAGAACTGATTGGTGCATTTTACAAACTTCTTGCTAGCTACAGAGCACTGATTGGTGCATTTTACAATCCTCTTGTAAGACAGAAAAGTTCTCCAAGTCTCTACTCGACCCAGGAAGTCCAGCTGGCTTCACCTCTCAATACCCCCTTTAAACAGGACACCCCAACTGCTTTTGAGAATTGCGCAATGACTGCTCTAGCTACTTCCTGCTGGATAGGGGTGAAGAAGAGACCCTGAATTGTAGTATCCTCCAGAGGGAAACTCTCTAGGTATCAAAGGGCCAGTGGGTCGATCCAGGGGGTCCTTGGTAGAAGTTGTTAGTTGAGCTCATTTGGGGTTTAATTTGCAAAACCATCTGTAGCTTGATGGCCTCGATCCTGGAGGAAACAAATTGACAAAGAGCTTAAAAATACAGGGCCCGAAGGCAAGTAATAGCAAGATGGTTGTCATGAGACCTAGAAAGGGGAGAAGCCATGTTGCCCAACTCCAGAGAATGGTATAAGAATTTGAAAGGCATTGTCTGATTTCAGAAGACTTTTCCTGTAAATGCCGGGTGGCGTCTCATATTAACCCTGACTGGTTAGTGTAAAAGCAACACTCGTCCCCTAAGAAGGTGCAAAGTCCTCCTTTCTCAGCAGTGAGGAGGTTAGGCCTCAGTGGTTTTAGAGAGTCACTGCTGCCAAAGAGTCTATTTGGGATTGTAGAGTAAGGATAGATTTTGTTCTTTCTTGCAAACTGCCTGAGAAATGCTTTGAGAGTGTGTGGTAGTAGGATAATGAAGTGGATAAATCTGCTATTCCGGTTCCTGTAGCAGTGGCCATTCCTAACCCTATAAGTAGGGGTATTAGTTGTATGGCCCTGTGCTGATGGACTTGTGCTTTGAGGAGCACTGATAGGGTCTGGGCAATGTTTATATTGGGACTTAGGAAGACTAAGGTGCAGGTGCCTGTCCAGTTGGTGGGGAGGCAGATATAGGTTGACATTCCATGTAAGAAGAATACGTCTTGGCTGGGTAGACAGAACTGGTTGTGTACGTTAAAAAGGTGTGTGAGTTTGTTGTTTTCATTTTCCCATACTCCTAGAGTACGTGCCAAGGTGGCTCCGGTGAGTGGCTGGAAAGGGGTGTTGGGAGCAAACTGAGTGGCTCCCTGTGCTCTATCTTCCCATTGGGGGAAAAAGCCGTTTTGTATCTACTAGGAACCATTCAATAGATTAATTGAAAGAGGGGATGAGGAGGCATTCACTAGTGGTGGGGGCACTGCTGCAGGGGGTCCAGGGGTGAATGGTCATGCAGGGAGTATGTTTGCTATTAAAAAACCCAGACTGTTTGTTAAGCAGGGAGGAGGTGATGATTTTTGGAGGCTCTGAGAAGTGGACAAGCCATCTGAGTGGAGCTGTTTGGGTGACTCGGAAGTTACTATAATCAGTTCGGGCTTGAAGTTGTAGGATGTAATTACACTGATGGGATAATAGGTCCCCCAGGGGCAGGCCTGATAACGGGTTGTGTTGGATGCATAGAGGGGCTTGGAAAGTTAAGATGGTATTCATGGTTATAGGGATTTGCCTTCTCAACCTTCCCTAAGGATTGTGGCCTCCAGGCGCAGTGGAGGTAATATGATATCCCTAGCACCCTGGAAATTCCCTGTTACCGTGGCTTTAAAAGCCAGACCATTGTCACTTTGTAAGCTTTGGGGAAGCCCAAATCTAGGAATTATTTCATGCATTAGGACTTTAACCACTTCCTGAGCCTTCTCTGTCTTGCAGGGGAAGGCTTCTATCCAATTTGTAAAGGTTTCAACACAGACCAACAAGTGTTGAAATCCCTTAGACTTAGGCATATGGGTGAAGTCTAACTGCCAGTCCTCTCTGGGATTGTGCCCTATTCTTTGTTCCCCCAGAGGGGCCTTATGATGGACCAAGGGATTATTCCTTTGGCACACCTCACAGGCTTTGACTACTTGTTGGATGGTCCAGAGGAGATTTGGACCCGTAAATAGAGATTTAGCCATTTGATGAGTGTTCTCAATACCCATATGAAAAGTTTGGTGGAGGGTCTTAAGTATTTTCCACTGTCTGGCTTCAGGTATGAGTACCTTTCCCTCTTCCGTAGTGAACCACCCTGAGGGGAGAAAACTATGCCCCCGTGAAAGTCCCCATTCTGTTTAAGTTGGGAAATACTGGGGCTTAATCTCTTGGAGAGGGTTGTTCCATACCAGTGGCCCTTCTACAGGTATTTCTAATGGTAGGTTCCACCTGGCAGCAATTTTGGCCTCAGCATCTGCCCGACAGTTTCCTTCTGCCTTTTCTCCTTCACCTTTTTGATGGCTTTGGCAGTGTAAGACTGCCATCTCCTTAGGTTTTTGCACCACATGCAATAACTTAATGATTTCCTTGTGGTATTTAATGGGGGTTCACCCAGAGGTTATGAACTCCCTTTCTTCCCACATTGCAGCATGGGCATGTAGGATTAGATAAGCATATTTGCTATTTGTATACACATTTATTCTTTTTCCCTTTCCCAGTTCTAAGGCTTGGGTAAGTGCCACTAGTTCTGCTAACAGTGCTGGTCCCTGGAGGAAGATGCTTACTTTCAAGTACTGTTACATCATTAACTATGGCATAACCTGCCCTTCGTATCCCATTCTCCACAAATGAACTTCCATTGGTATATAGGTTAAGGTCAGGATTAGCTAAGGGGACTTCTAAGAGATCCTCTCAGGTGACATAAGTCTGGGCTACAATTTGTTGGTAGTCATGCTTGATTGGCTCTCCATCCTCTGGGAGAAAAATAGCAGGGTTGAGGGCCACACACGTGTGTATTTGAAGCACTGGTCCCTCAAGGAGTAGTGCCTGGTATCTAAGCAGGCGTTTGTCTGATAGCCATGAATTTCCTTTGGCACCTAGTATGCCATTTACATCATGAGAAGTCCAGACAGTGAAATCCTTTCCTTGTATTATTTTGATAGCCTCTAATACTAAGATGGCCACTGCCACAACTACCCATAAACAGTGAGGCCAGCCTTTTGCTACTACATCAGTTTCCTTACTTAGATATGCCACTGATGTGGGGTTGTCCCATGAGTCTGAGTAAGGACTCCAAGAGCTATTCCAGCTCTTTCTCTGACGCATAAAGAGAAGTTTTGTCCTGTGGAAGGCTTAAGGCTGGAGCTTGTGCTAGGGCCTGCTTTAAGGTTTTGAAGGCTGTTTCTGCCTCTGGTTCCCATTCTACTAGATGAGTATTTGCCCTCTGGGTTTCCTTGATTAGAGTATAGAGTGGTCTGGCCTTCTCGCTGTATCTGAGGATCCATAGTCAGCAAAAGCCGGTGATTCCAAGGAACTCCCACAATGATTTTCATGTCTTAGGGCAAGGATAAGCCAGTATAGGCTGTATTCATTCCTTGCTGAGGGCCCTGGTTCTTCTGGCTAAGATTAGGCCTAGATATCTGAGTTGTTGTAGGCAGAGCTGGGCCTTGTACCTTGGATTAGCTAGAAAATTCAAGAGATCCAGAGTAGCCTGCTGGCATGAGGCTTCTGAACTGGTAGCCAAAAGTAAATCATCCACATATTGAAGGACCAGAGTGCCTGGACTTGAGAAGTGGCCTAGATCTTGGGCCCGTGCCTGACCAAACAGATGAGGGCTATCTCTAAACCCTTGGGGCAAGACCATCCATGTAAGTTGGGATGTGTGGTGTGTGGGATCCTCAAAGGGAAAGAGAAACTGGGAGTCAGAGTGCAGGGGTATGTAGAAGAAGGTATCCTTAAGGTCCAGAACTGTGAACCATTCTGCTTCCTCTGGTATTTGAGAGAGGAGGGTATAGGGGTTGGATATAGAGAAATTACTGCCTCATTGATAAGTCTAAGATCTTGCACTAGTCTCCACTGACTATTCGGTTTTTGTACTCCTAGAATTGGGATGTTGTGGGGACTGTTGCATTTTCTTACTAAGACTTGAGCTTTTAAATGTCTAACAATATCCTGTAATCCTTTATGAGCTTCAGGCCTTATGGGATATTGCGTTTCATAAGGAAAAGTAGTGGGGTCCTTTAGCCTGATTTGGACTGGGTGGGCATTTTTTTGCCCTTCTGAATTGTCCTTCCAATGCCCAGACTTCAGAGTTGATTTCCTCCTCCAGAAGGGGACAACAAATGGGTAACTTGTTCCCATATTCATATAGGTAATAGCTCCAGCTTTGGCCAATATGTCCCTCATTAATAAGGTGTGGGACTTTCAGGCATAACAATAAAGGCATATAAAAAGAGCAAAGTCTCCCAATTACAGCTGAGGAGGAGGGACAAATACCTGATTACAGGCTGTCTCAGGATTCCTCGGATGGTAACAGACCTTGAGGACAGCTGTCTGGGGCAGGAGATTAACACCAAGAAGGCCACACCAGTGTCCAGGAGGAAGTCAATTTCCTGGACCTTAACGGTTAATCTTACCCAGGGCTCAGTAAGGGTGATGACATGAGCTGGCACTTGCCCTGGTCACCCTCAGTCCTGTTGTTGGATCATCTGGTTGGGGGCTTCTGGCTCAGAGAACCTTTGTTCTCTGGGGCAGTGCACCTTCCAGTGATTGCCTTGTCATAGCGGACATGGACGAGGATGTGGCTTGTTTCTTGTTGGACAGTCTTTTTTAAGGTGTCCTTGCAAACCACACTGATAACAAACTGTACCAGGTGATTGGCCTGCTCCATTTTCTGCCCTCTCTGAACCACCAAGGTTGGTTTGTCTGAGGGCCATGACTAAGGCTGCAGCCTTTCTCTGATCTCACTTTTCCTTTTTGGCCTGTTCCTCTTGGTCCCTATTATAGAACACCAAGGTTGCCAGGTTTAATAATGCCTCCAGATTTTGTTCAGGGCCCAGGGCTTGCTTTTGGAGCTTTCTCCTGATATCTGTGGCTGATTGGGTAATAAACTTATCTTTTAGCATCAATTGACCCTCAAGGGAGTCAGGTGACAGGGGAGTATATTTTCTTAAGGCCTCCTGTAGCCGCTCAAGGAAGACAGAAGGATATTCTTCCTTTCCCTGAGTTATGGTGGACATCACTGAATAATTTATGGGTTTTTTTCTATTCTCCTTAGTCCTTCTAGAACACAGGTCAATAGTTGTTTGTGACTCCAGTCCCCATGATCTGAGTCGAGGTCCCAGTGGGGATCCATACTGGGGATGGCTTGCTGACTGGTAGGGAATTTGTCCCTTTCTTCGGCTGTCATTCTATCATTTACTTGACTAAGGTACCAGGTATCTCCAAACTCTCAGGCTGCAGCTAAAGCCACATTCTTTTCATTAAAGGCCAGGGTTTGATCTAACAATAGCATGACATCTCTCCAAGTGAGGTCAAAGGTTTGCCCTAGACCCTGTAGGACATCTAAATACCTATCAGGATCATCTGAAAACTTCCCCATGTCTACCTTGATCTGCTTTAAATCAGAGAGGGAGAAGGGGACATGTACCCGAGTTGGGCCAAATTCTCCTCCCCCTACAGCTTGAAGGGAACATAACCGATAGCCCAGGGGTTTTTGTGGTCCCTTGGAGATTTCTTTGCTTGTTTCCTTCTGGGTAGGGGAGATTAGAGGAGACTTATCATTAATAGAAAGGGGAGCTATAGGAAGGCTAGGATATGGAGGTAAGCTGAGAGGTCCTCTTGTGGAATGTAAATTGCAAGCTTTGCATAGTTGTAGATTATCCTTCAATGAAAAGAAAGCTTTGACATAAGGTATTTCATTCCATTTGCCTTCCCCCTTACAGAAAAGGTCAAGCTGCAGGATAGTATTGTAATTTATACTTCCCTCAGGTGGCCATTTTTCCCCATCAGGGAGAGAATATTGGGGCCAGGCCATAGTGCAGGAAAAAAGATAAGCTGTTTATTTTTCAGGGGTTGTGGATCAAATTGGTCTCAATGGCTTAGGATGCATTTCAAGGGTGAGCCTCTTGAGGCCCGAGTGTTTCTCATCTGAAAGAAAAAACCACCCACAGTTTTGGTTTGTTTTTTCCCTCCCCCGTAAGAACGCACAACGGTCCCTGGATGCTGCTGATCGGAATAGTTGTGCTCACTGAAGCAGCAGTGGAAACACTAGTTTTCCTCCTAGACCGAAAAAAGGACCAAGGAAGGTTGGATTTAGTGGCCCTTACTGATGCACTCTTGAAAACCTGCACCCTTGCCTTTCCTCTTAGACTACAGAGGACTGAGAAAAATTGGATTTAGTGGCCCTTACTGATGCATTCTCAAAAACCTGTTAGAGTCCTAAGCATTTTTTCCTGTTAGTATTGGGACCTTACCCTTGTCCTATAAAGATAATATGCCTCAAAATGGAGTGGAGGGCCATACCTTGAGGGAGGGAAAGGATCTCTAGGGTTTGAAGGGTGATGCCTTTTGTCCTCACTTCTGAGGACATAGGAAGGATATAATTTCCGAGGCTCCCCATATCCTAGCTTCGGGAATAGCCTTTGTTAGGCCTGCTAGTCTGAGGAGGGATCTTAAAATTCCAGATAGTCCCCCCACCCTGATGGGGCTTTGGGCAAAAATTATGTCCTTCTGATTGGTGAGGCTGGGTGCCTACAGAAGGGAACAGAGTCCTGAAATTTACACTAGAAATCATTCTTATAGGAGAACCTAGAAAAGCACCAGAGACAGAGAGTGGTTTTTAGAAGCAGGAGTGGCCTTGGAGAAGAGAGGCAGGAGGAAGTTTGTCTGACAGGTGTTAGGACCCAGGAGGCAAGGCTCAGGATAGATAGGATAGATGGGTGAGTCTCGCTTGGGCAATGTGACTTTGAGAGTTCTGCTCATGGCTGCAGGGTCAACCAACTTTTTGTCGGTAACCAGGTGCTGAATGGCTTTCCTCTCTGTCGACCCTCGGCTCAGCCCGGAAGTACTGAAAAAGCAGAAGCTGGTTCCAGGCAAACCAACACTCCCAACTCCAAAGAGTTGGGGGTGGTTAGAGAGCCCTTTCCTAGAAAGCCTGACACCCATGTCTTTAGTCTGGCAGCTGCACTAGTAGCTTTTAACTGGCCGACAGGTGCCCAGTGTTTAGCCCCTGAATTCTAAGGAAAAATAGGACAGAATAGCAGTGAAAGTGGTCCGATGGTACTCACCATGTGGCAAAATCCCAGACAAGCCCCCAGGATGTGTCCAGAGTTAGTTCCTTCCAGTGGGTTCATGGTCTTGCTGACTTCAAGAATGGAGCCGCGGACCTTCGCAGTGAGTGTTACAGCTCTTAAAGATGGCAGAGACGCAAAGAGTGAGCAGCAGAAAGATTTATTGTGAAAAGTGAAAGAACAAAGCTTCCACAGCATGGAAGGGGACCTGAGTCGGTTGCCACTGCTGACTGGGGTGGTCAGCTTTTATTCCCTTATTTGTCCCCTTCCATGTCCTGTTTCTGTCATATCAGAATGCCCTTTTCTCAATCCTCAACGTGATTGGTTACTTTTAGAATCCTGCTGATTGGTCCATTTTACAGAGTGCCAAATTGGTGCATTTTACAAACCTCTTGCTAGCTACAGAGTACTGATTGGTGCATTTTTACAGAGCACTGATTGGTGTATTTTACAAACCTCTTGCTAGCTAGAGTGCTGACTGGTGCGTTTTACAATCCTCTTGTAAGACAGAAAATTTCTCCAAGTCCCCATTTGGCCCAGGAAGTCCAGCTGGCTTCACCTCTCAATATCAAGCCCACAGAAAGGTCAAAAGAACAGTTTTCATTAATAAACACCAATATGTCACTCCTCCTCCTCCTCCTCCTCCTCCTCCTCCTCCTTCTTCTTCTTCTTTTTTTTGAGACAGTGTCTTACTCTGCTGCCCAGGCTGGAGTGCAGTGGCTAGATCATGGCTTCACTGCAACTTTGACCACCTGGGCTGAAGTGATCCTCCCACCTCAACCTCCTAAGTGGCTGGAACCACAGGCACAAATCACCATGCATAGCTAATTTTTAAATTTTTTGTAGAGATGAGGTCTCACTATGTTACCCAGACTAGTCTTGAGCATCTGAGCTCAAGTAATCCTCCTGCTTGGCTTCCCAAAGTGCTGACATTACAGGCATGAGCCACTGTGTTTAGCCTGTGGTTTTTGTTGTTATTTTTGTTGTTATTATTTTTGTTTTTTGGATATTAACATCTTATCAGACCTATATTTTGCAAATCTTTTGTCCCATTCAATAGGTTGTCTCTTCACTCTGTTGATTGTTTCCTTTGGCGTGCAGCTTTTTAGTTTAATATAGTCCAATTTGTCTATTTTTATTACAGTTGTCTGTGCTTTTGAGGTTTTAGCTATGAAATCTTTTCCTAGACCGATGTCTTGAAGTGTTTTACCTATTTTTTTTTTCTAGTAGTTCTGTAGTTTTGGGTTTTATGTTTAAGTCTTTCTTTTTTTTTTTTTTTTTTTTGAGATGAAGTCTCACTCTGTCACCAGGCTGGAGTGCAGTGGCATGATCTCGGCTCACTGCAACCTCTGCCTCCCAGGTTCAAGTTATTCTCCTGCCTCAGCCTCCCGAATAGCTTGGATTACAGGCATGTGCCACCATGCCCAGCTAATTTTTTGTATTTTTAGTAGAGACAGGGTTTCATCATGTTGGCCAGGATGGTCTCGATCTCTTGACCTCATGATCCACCTGCCTCAGCCTCCCAAAGTGCTAGGATTACAGGCATGAGCCACTGCACCCAGCCTTATGATTAAGTCTTTAATTCACTTTGTGTTGATTTTTGTATATGTGAAGAGATAGTGATCCAGTTTCATTCTTCTACATATGGATATCCAATTTTCCCAGCAGCGTTTATTAAAGAGGGTGTCCTTTCTCCAGTGCATGTTCTTGGTGCCTTTATTGAAAATCATTTGGCTGTAAGCACACGGATTTATTTCTGGACTTACCATTCTAGTCTGTTGATCATGTCTGTTTTTATATCAATATTATGCTGTTTTGGTTAATGTAGTCTTGTGATATATTTTAAAGTCAGGTAGTATGATGCCTCCAGTTTTGTTCTTTTTGCATGGGACTGTGTTGGCTGTTTGGGCTCCTTTTTGTTTCCATATACATTTTAGGATTGCTTTTTGAAATCTGTGAAAAATGACATTGTCCTTTTGATAGTGTTTGCATTGAATCTGTAGATTGCTTAGGGCAGTATGATCATTTTAATGATATTAATTCTTCTGACCCATGAGCATGAGATGTCTTTCAATTTATTTGTGTCTTCTTCAATTTCGTTCATTAGAGTTTTGTAGTTTTTCTTGAGGATATCTTTTACTTTCTTGGTTAAATTTACTCCTAAGTGTTTTATTTTTATTTTTATTTTTGGCTATTGTAAATGGGATTGCTTTCCTGATTTCTTTCTCAGCCGGTTCATTGTTGGTGAATGGAAATGTTATTGATTTTTGTATGTTGATTTTCTATCTTGCAATTTAACTTAATTTGTTTACCATTTGTAAGAGTTTTCTGATGGAATATTTAGGGTTTTCTAGATGTAAGATCATGTCATCAGTAAGGAGGGACAATTTGACATTCTCTTTTACAGTTTGGATGTCTTCTTTTTCTTTCTCTTGTCTAATTGCTCTGGCTAGGACTTCCAGTACTATGTTGAATAGGAGTGGTGAAAATGGGCATCCTTGTCTTGTTCCAGATCTTATGGGAAAGGCTTTCAGCTTGTCTCCATTCAGTATGATGTTAGCCATGGCTTTTCATACATGGCCTTTATTATATTGAGGTATGCTCCTTCTATTCCGAGTTTGTTGCTAGTTTTTATCATGAAAGGATGTCGACTTTTATCAAAAGCTTTTTCTCTGTCTATTGAGATGATCATGTGGTTTTGTCCTTCATTCTGCTTTTTAGAATTTTTATTATATTTAATTTTTTACCAAGTGGTTCTTACAGAGACAGTTTCATTTTGTTGATGTGATGTATCATGTTTATTGATTTGTGTATGTTGAACCATTCTTGTATCCCTGGTATAAATCTCCCTTGGTCATGGTGTGCTGTCTTTTTGATGCACTTTTGGATTCAATTTGCTAGTATTTTGCTGAGGTTTTTTATATCTGTCTTCACCAGGGCTGTTAGTAGTAGTTTTCTTTTTGTGTTTCATCCTTCTCTGATTTTGGCATCAGGAGAATGCTAGACTCATAGAATGAGTTACAGAGAGTTCTCTCCTCTTCAATTTTTTCAGTAGTTTCAGGAGGATTGATATTAGTCCTTCTTTATGTATTTGGTATAATTCAGCTGTGAATTTATCCAGCCCTGGGCTTTTCTTTGTTGGGAGACTTTTTATTACTGATTCAGTCTCACTACTCGTTACTAGTCTGTTCAGGTTTTCTATTTCTTTCTTGTTCAATCTCAGTAGATTGTATGTTTCCAGGAATTTATTTATTTCCCTCAGGTTGTCCAGTTCATTAGTGTATAGTGGTTCATAATAATCTCTGCTAATCTTTTGTATTTCTTTGGTACCAGTTGCAATGTCTCCTTTTTCATTTCTGATTTTGTTTATTGGGGCCTTCTCTCTGCTTTTCTTGATTAGTACAGTTAGAGGTTTATCAATTTTGTTTATCTTTTCTAAGAACCAACTTTCTTTGTTTCATTGATGCTTCATATATTTTTTATATAGTCTTTATTTTATTTAGTTTTGCTTTGATTTTTATAATTTCTTTTCTTTTGCTAATTTTGGTTTTGGTTGGTTCTTGCTTTTCTAGTTCCTTGAGATACAACATTAGGTTGTGAATTTGAAATCTTTCTACTTTTTGATGTAGGCTTACATTGCTATAAACTTCCTTCTTAGCACTTTTCTGCATCCCATAAGTTTTGATGTGTTGTGTTTCCATTTTCATTTGTTTAAAGAAATTATTTGATTTCCATCTTAATTTATTCATTGACCCCCTGGTAATTAAGAATTACATTGTTTAATTTCCATGTATTTCTATAGACTCCAAAGTTCCTATTGGTGTTGATTGCTAGTTTTATTACATTATTGTCTGAGAAGATAATGGTATGATTTTGATTTTTGAAAAATATATTGAGACTTGCTTTGTGGCCTAACATGGAATATATCCTGGAGAATATTCCATGTGTTGATGAGAAAAATGTGTATTTTGCAGTTGTTGGATAAAATGTTCTGTAAATGTCTGTTAGTCCTATTTGGTTTACAGTCAGTTTAAATTCAACATTTCCTTGTAGATTTTTGTCTAGATGATCTGTTCAGTGCTAAGAGTGGTGTGTTGAAGTCCATAAATATTATTGTATTGGGATCTATCTCTCCCTTTAGATCCATTATATATCAGGATGCTCCAGTGTTGGGTGCATAAATATTTATAATTGTTATAGCTTCTTGCTGAATATATCCCTTTATCATTACATAGTGACCTTCCTTGTCTTTTTTCTGCTTTTGACTTAAAGTCTGTTTTATCTAAGTGTAGCTACTCCTGCTCACTTTTGGTTTCCATTTTCATGGAATATTTCATCTCTCCTATATGTGTTTTTACAGGTAAAGTGTGTTTCTTGTAGGCAGCTTATAGTTAGATAATATTTCTTTATTCAGCCAGTCTCTATTTTTTAAATGGATAATTTAATCCATTTACATTCAAAGTTATCATTGATATGTGAGTTTTTTTTTGTTCCTATCATATTGCTAATTGTTTTCTGGTTGTTTTGCATACTTTTTGTTCCTTTATTGCATTGTATCTGCTTGGGGACCCTTAACCTCTTGTATCTGGATGGCTAAGTCTCTTGCTAGACTTAGGAAGTTTTCCTTTAACATTTTAATAAATAGGTTTTCCAATCCTTTTGTTCTCTTTTTGCCCTTAAAGACACTGATCATTTGAATATTTGGTGGCTTTATGTTGTCCCAAATGTCATGAATTCTTTGCTTATTATTTTTATTCATTTTTCTTTATTTTTGTCTAACTAAATTATTTCAAAAGACCTGTCTTCAAGTTTTGTGATTATTTCTTCTCTATAATCTAGTCTATTATTGAAGCTTTCAAATGTATTTGGTATTCATTCAATAAATTTTTTACTTCTAAAATTTCTCTTTGTTCTTTAAAAAAAATCTATCTCTTGGTAAATTTCTTATTCATATCTTGAATTGTTTTCCCGATTTCTCTGTATTGTTTTCAGTACAGAGAAACCTGTATTTGCAGTGTTCTCTTGTATCACACTGAGCTGCTTTAAATTCAGTATTTTGAATTCTTTATCTGGGATTTCATGAATTTCTTTTTGCTTGGGATCTGTTGCTGGAAAATTATTGTGTTCCTTTGGGGGTGTCATAGTTTCTTGTTTTTTCACATTTTCTGTTCCCTTATATTGATATCTCTGCATCTGGTGTAACAATAACTTCTTCCAATTTCTTGAAGTTGCTTTTGCTGGGGAGGATTTTTCCTGAAGATTTATTTACATTTTTGGTTCCATGGGGTGCTTTTACTTTGATTTTGGGTGCATGCGGGAGTGTAGACACTGTATAATTTCTTCAGCTGTAAACAGTATCAGTAGTATCTATGATTTCCTCAGTGGCTTAGTGAGTGGTTGTTAGTAGAGTCTAACTCCCCTCTTCCTTGGGCAGCAGGTGTGATGTGAGCAATGGCAGTAGCAATGGTGGAGCAACCCCCTGGAACCTAAGCAGTCTGTGCTAGTGTTAGTGTTGGTTGTGACAGGTTGTGTAAGCCAGTCTCCTGGCCTACTGGTAGTGTATGTGAATGGGTGCTAGCTGTGGTGGTATCAGCAGGTTGGGTCAGCCTGTTTAGGTGCCAGGGAAGGTAGACTAGGTTAGGCAATCTCCAGGCCTCTGGATAGTGTGCTTGAGTTCTGGAGGGATGGGACTGGACTGGCTGGATTGACCTTGCCATGACTATGACGGCTTGCAGAAAAAAGAAAGTGAGAAGTTTAGAGTAAACAATTTCCTTTTTTAAGTAAGTGAGGGAGAAATTGCACACATTATCTCTATTCACATACTGTTTTCAAGAACTTGGTCACATGGCCACACAAACTGCAAGGAAGACTGGGAAATGTACGTGCCAGAGAGGTGGCCATGTGACCAGGATGAAGGGGGAAACAGACTTTTTGGGTGCAAGCAGCTACCTGTCAGATTGTCCTTCTGGAAGACTCCTGGAATTACTTTCCCCTCTTTTTCTGCAGACTGTAGCCTGAAATTTTGGTACTATCCACTTACTACACTGAGAATGAAGCTGGCCTAGGGAGAAGGGCAGATCCAAGGGAAATGTGGAGAATTCCCATTCTCAGGGAATGTCACCGAAGCTACTGGATTAAGTCCACCCAGAAGCCCTCCCTATTGCTGGACTCCCAATTATGTGAGCCACCAGTTGTTTCTTGTCATGCCAGTTAACTTTGAATTTTCTGTTTCTTGAAATAGTAGCAATGGTGGAGCAACCCCCTGGAACCCAAGCAGTCTGTGCTAGTGTTAGTGTTGGTTGTGACAGGTTGTGTCATAAATTAACCATACTAACATAGGAGTTATTAATAAATTAATTTTAGGCAGCTAGAAAGGGTAAAAGAGTTCTCAGTGAAATTTTCCTTCAGTAAAAAGCAGCCCCCAAACCATTTCTTCCCTCACAGAAAGCAGCCTGAAAAGTCGAGCTGCAAGCATAAATATGCAAGCTAGAAGCTTTTATATGTAAATGCCAGCAGCTGTACCTGGAAGCAAGGTATGTTCAATATGCCATTTTGTGCTCTCTTTTCCTTGTCACCACCTGTGCAGGTGTCATAGTGACCACCAGGTAGAAGCCGCATTTGCATAACAAAAAATTAGGGTGGAAGGGCCAGTCTTTTCATAGGCTATTTAAATAGCACACCTGGTCAAACCAACTGACCAGGTAAATCAATCACTGCGTCCTCAAGCCTCTGTGCAAAATTGATCGTGTTCCACCCCAAACCTGGAGACCCTCTCTTGGGCGACCTGCTTTCTCAGCATGAGAAAGCTTTCTTTCTCTTCTTTGTCTATTAAACTTTCCTCTCCTAAACCCACTCCTTGTGTGTGTCCATGTCCTGAATTCTTTCTTGGAGCAAGACAAAGAACCATGGGTATATCCCCAGACAACGGAGCCATTTCAATACCACTACTGACAGACACGGTTATTTACACTGTGAAAGGAAATTAATTTTGGGACCCCAAACACATTTAACCAATGGGAAAAGTCAAGTTGGGAACTGGGTCATGCAAATCTGCCTTCCCCTTTTAGTTCCTAAATAAGATGGCTACAAGATGAAGAGCTACACACTTCCCCCATATTTTGCCCACAAGGAAATTCCTAGTGAATTGTTAAAACTTCACCATGGCAGTGCAAATTGATAGCTTATCTTTATAATGTGCAGTTACCTCAGCTCACCAGACACAAATGCATATCTGATTGTTCCCCTACTCCATGTTGTCTGTGTTATCTTATGTAAAATGCAGATTCCTGTATTTTTCCTCTGCTCCTTTTATGTCATCTTATGTAAAAATGCACTTACATGAAAACTGTGTCCTTCTCAATATCCCGCCCTTTCCACTTTAAATTTGGAGCCTTTTGCCTTTGGAGAAAGGCATAGATCTGTCTCCTGGGCAAGTCCTTAACTTTGGCAAATAAATCTCATGAAATGATTGAGACTTGTCTCATCATTTTTCTTGATTGACATCTGGTAACCACAAAGGGATCCTGAGTGAAAGATACCTGGCCTGCTGCAGTTTGCCTCTTGGTGATTGGTACTAGCTTGGGCACCTTACAGCCCAAACCGATAGGATGATTTGCCGAAGTCTGGGAATCTTCCAGCGTTTTTCAGTTGGGGATCTGAGGTTTGAATGCTGTTAAAAAAAAAAAGTCTTTATTTTGTGGGAGTTTTTCCACTTGCTTCCATCAAGGAAGGCAAGCTCATCTGCTTCTGCATCACTGGAGAGTTGTCTTCAGCTTGGGCCCCCATCGCTAGGTAAGAAACTGGTTTGGGATTCTGTCTTGCAAATTCTTTTAAATGACTAACATTAGCATTAAGAACAAGCTGGTGTTAATTTCTTGCTTACACTTAGAACACTCAGAAATCGTATAACTTGTGTGATCATTGTGAGTTTTGCTTAACTGTTTTGTTTGTTTATGTTTTTGTGTATGCCTATATGTGTATGTTTTTATCCTTTCCCCTATTGCATTTGACCAACACCAAACCCTCTAGCTCATTAGTGTGGAATCTTCCACTCTGAAGAAATAGAACACCTTGCTCCCCTTAGCCTTTCTAGGCATTCTCAGGTGACTGAGAATCACATGAGGGTGTCTGGGAGAAATGCTCCCTAAGATGTGCAGTGGCTCTAAATAAGTTTCCCCCTCAGAAGAACATACTTAGGGTCTAATCTCAGCTGGCAGGTGCATGCAAGGAACTAACGCCTCCTGCACCTTGAGCCCCTGACACATTGTGCCTGGTAGCTGCAATATGTGTGGACCAAACCAGTTCAGGGTGTAATGGCCCTGAAAAGCTAGGTTTGCAAGCAGCATATTTTGGGTGTGACACATGTCCTGACTTGGTCAAATCCAAAGAGGAACTCTAAATTATGGAGAACGAGGCCTCTAAGACCCCAGCAGCTGTGGAAGATAAACTTCCCCCATTAGAAACTCTGGCTGGGTATATGCAAAATACTTATGGTGAATCATCATGCAAATATTTAACCAAGTGGACCACTATAACTAAAGCAGATTCTAAATTACAGTGGCTTAAATGGGAATCTTTTGAGATGCCCAAATTAGTGTACTTGCAAACCAAGATGGAAAACGCAGAGACAAAAACTAAACAACCAGAATGGGAGAGCCATTTTTAGTGGTATCTGGAAAGTAGCAAAACTGGGGAAGGCCACCTCATCTCCCTACAGGAGGTGAACAAACAAGTTAGAAATGCTAGTCAAGAACTCTCTCATCTTTTATCTCCCTTAAATAAATCCTTGGGATCTCTTGCTTCCCCCTAGGCACCTCCCCCACCTCCACCTCCAACCCCACTCTACCCTGACCTCTCTGAAATTCCGGGACCAGATCTGTCCCCACCTTCTCCTGCATGTTTAACACTCACTTAACAGAAGGCAGTTGGGAATCTGACTTCAAAGACCCCACCCACGGAAGATTACCCGACAGCCCCAATGCAGCATCTCATCTGGAAGATGTGGAAAAGGGGAACTCCGCAGGGACTTCTCTCATGATAACCCCATTTTGGGAACAGCCAATAACAGGTAGGGGAACCCCAGTGATTGTCTATGAACCCTATTCAAAGGCTGAATTACAAGGCATAAAGAATTTCCTGACCCTCATAAATATCCAATTGGGTTTGCCTGAGAATTTGAGCTCATTATATGAGCTAGGTTATTCAGACCTTCATCAGCTAGTCTACATCTTGATCTCAGAAGCTAAAGCTAAGGAATGGCTGGAAAAAGCATAATGGTCAGATCCTATAGCAGATTTGACCCCTGAAGGCCCAATAGAGTCACAAGAACCAGCCCCACCGAATTCAGAAGACAGGCATAAAAACGTGCTGGAAAGAGTCACTGCTCTGTTAAATAGCATTCCTTCAGTGTTCCAAAGGGTTATGGATTGGAATAAAATCCAACAATGCTGCTAGAACCCAAATGAATCAGTTTTAGACTATTTCACACATTCTAATAAAACTTTAAGACAGTGTTGCAGTATGTCAGCTGATTGCTTTAAAAACAATAAAAATGATACATTATTAGATGCAAATTTCTTTATTAATTTTTTTTTTTTTTTGAGATGGAGTCTCGCTGTGTCACCCAGGCTAGAGTGCAGTGGTGCCGTCTCGGCTCACTGTAACCTCTGACTCCCTGGTTCAAGCGATTCTTCTGCCTCAGCCTCCTGAGTAGCTGGGAAGACAGTCACGCGCCACCATGCCTAGCTCATTTTTGTACTTTTAGTAGAGATGGGATTTCACCATGTTGGCCAGATGGTCTCAATTTCCTGACCTTGTGATCCGCCTGCCTTGGCCTCCCAAAGTGCTGGAATTACAGGCATGAGCCACTGCGCCCAGACAAAAAATTTTTCAATTAAATGGACTAGATCGTGATTTAGCCACCCTTGTAAAACACCACATGACAAATTGGGCCATAGCCAGAACTAATGAACGAGTTAACCTAGCTGACAAATTAGCCCACACTATGATAAAAAAGGAAAAACAGAAGATTGCCTGAGTTATGCATTTACAGCTAAAGCAATTAACTTCTCTTGGCCCCAGGAAGAATCTAAGCTTCCTCAGTCTGAGAACTCTTCACTTCTAGTCTGTTACTACTATAAAAGACCGGGACACCTTAAGAGGGATTACCTTAGGCTGAAAGAAAAGGCAGGAAAATGCAACTCTGGAAGACGAGGGATGCTCCAAGGAAATGCAGGGGTTTCACCTCTCCAAATATTCTACCCTGACAAACAAATTGGGAGAGACTAATATAATAAACCGTAAGCTTACAACTGCCTTATTTGATGCAGGTGTGACCATATTGCTGATAACTCCTGTCTTAATTAGAAACCCCATTCTCTGGAGTAATGAAAGAATTTACATGGCGGGAGTGTCTAATAAAACAATCTTATGTTTTAAGTCCAAATCTGTACCTTACTGGTTCATCAGGTTCAGCTCCCCCGCTGAAGGCTCTAAGTGTGACATGCTCAGTAGGTCCCATATGTTTCTTACATGCCCTGGGTCCCCTGTCAATCTTTTGGGCTGTGACCTCCTCCACATCCATAATGTCTATATCTCTTTTTCATAAAAAAGTGAACCTTTTTTAGAATTGGAGCCAGGGTACCAAAAATACCAAATTAAAAAATGTCCTGACAATGTACCACAATTTACTACTAGTAATGTTAAAACATAAGCTTGTGACTGGGAAAATAAAATGGAGACAGAGAAGGAAATATTGGGGGGAAGAGAAAACACTGGAATAAAAAACAGGAAACATTACAACTCTTTCTAGCTTCCCCAGTCTTCCTGTTAATGCCAGAAGCAGAGCACTTACTCAAGGATATCCCCTCCCATTTATGGTCTCAGTCAAATGCAGATATAGGAAAAATATTCTCAGCCACTCCAATAAAGGTGGAGATGAACCCAAAGAAACCCCTACCCAACCTTAAACAATATTCTCTACGACAGGAAGCCATAGATGGAATTGCCCCTATCATACACGATTATCTGAAAAAGGGGCTTATTATTCCCTGCACAAGCCCCTGCAACAGCCCTGTATTCCCTGTAAAGAAACTAAGCAAGAGAGGACGGAGAGTTGTGCAGGACTTGAGGGCAATAAGCAATATTGTAATACCCAGGCACCCAGTAGTCCCAACCCACATACCCTTCTATCAGCTATACCCACTACCAGCCAGTATTTCTCAGTTGTGAATCTCTGTAATGCCTTCTTTAGTATTCCTGTAGATCCAGTCAGTATTTGTTTGCTTTTGCTTGGAAAGAACAGCAATATATGTGGACTGTAATGTCCCAAAGGGTATACAGAAAGTCCCACTTACTTTTCCCAAATATTAAAAGCTGATTTAGAGTATTTAATTTTTCCCCAGGACTCAACACTCATTCAGAATGTGGATGACTTTCTCCTTTGTCCAGACACACTATCTATCCTTTCAGGAAGATAGTCTATATTTACTCAAACAGCCACCAAGGGACATAAAGTGTCCAAAGACAAACTTCTGCTATGCTTACTGCAAGTTAAGTATTTGGGGCATATTATCTTAGTCAAAAGACTGAGTATTAACCCCGACAGAGTGAGAGGAATTTTAGCTTTCCCAATGCCCATTGCTAAGAAAAAACTTAGAGGATTTTTAAGCCTGGATGGCTATTGTAGAAACTGGATACCATATTTCTCCCTTATGTCTCAACCTCTGTATGCATACCTAAAAAATAAACAACCTGATCCCATCAGGTGGACTCCAGAGGCACAATCAGCTGTACAACAAATAAAGGAAATTCTAACTAATGCCCCAGCCTTAACGTACCCAAACTACAAATTGCCTTTCTCCCTTTTCGTACATGAAACTGGAGGTACTGCATCCAGGGTACTGACCTAGAGACATGGTGATCATCAGAGACCTATAAGCTATTATAGTCAACACCTGTACCCTGTGGCTCAAGGGCTGCTTCCTTGTGTGACAGCAATAGCGGCCATGACCCTTCTGTACAAATCTGTTGAAGATACAATTATAGGTTCCCCTCTTACCATTTTTGTGCCACATTCTCTTGAAGCCCTTCTAAACTCTCATCATACTCAACATCTGTCAACTGGTTAGCCTCTTATGAAATTTTGCTTTGATCATCTCCCAATATTACCATTTCCTGCTGTAATAATCTTAATCCAGCCACTCTCTTGCCAGGACCTTCCAACAAAACCCCCCATGACTGTGCTCTGATGACTGACTGACTTCTCTCTCCCAGGACAGACCTACAGGAGATGCCACTGGATAATGCTGAGACAGAATGGTATACAGATGGGTCTTATTTAAGAGGAGAGGATGAAAATTTTAGAGCAGGATATGCTGTGGTTTCCTTACTAGAGGTAATTAAAGCCAGTCCTCTTCCCCAGGCCAGATCAGCTCAAGTAGCCAAATTGATTGCCCTGACCCGAGCTTGCCAACTGGCAAAAAGACAAGGCTGCAACCATTTACACTGACTGCTGCTTTTGAGGTTGCTCATGACTTTGTTATGTTATGGAAAGAGAGAGGATATTTAACCTCCTTGGGGCAACCCATAAAAAATGGACAACAAGTATCAGAGCTATTAGAAGCTATTCTAAAACCAAAATGTTTGGCAACTATGAAAATCCCAGGTCATTCAAAATTAGACACCATAGAAAGTTAGGGTAACCAACTGGCTGAAGCTACAGCTAAAAGAGCAGCATCCGAGCCACCAGTCCCAATCTGGGAAATGGCCATAAAACCCCAAATACTTAAAAACATGTTGAAAGAAACCCAGAGCATAGCTCCTACAGAAGAGAAATCTACTTGGAAACAGGCAGGGAGGTACTTGTCTCTTGAAAGTGAAATATGATGTGGACCTAATAATAAACCCATTATTCCAATGGGATGTCAGGTGTCCCTTATGGAGTATGTTCATAATCTAACCCATTGGAATCTAGATAAAATAATACCCTGGTGTAAACAATATTACTGGAAACCATCCTTCACAGTGGCACAAAAAGGTTACTCTTTTTTTTTTTTTTTTTTTTTTTTTTGAGACGGAGTCTCGCTCTGTCGCCCAGGCTGGAGTGCAGTGGCGGGATCTCGGCTCACTGGAGGCTCCGCCTCCCGGGTTCACGCCATTCTCCTGCCTCAGCCTCCCAAGTAGCTGGGACTACAGGCGCCCGCCACTACGCCCGGCTAGTTTTTTTGTATTTTTAGTAGAGACGGGGTTTCACCGTTTTAGCCGGGATGGTCTCGATCTCCTGACCTCGTGATCCGCCCGCCTCGGCCTCCCAAAGTGCTGGGATTACAGGCGTGAGCCACCGCGCCCGGCCCAAAAAGGTTACTCTTAATGTGCTATTTGTCCCAAACAAAACCTAGGAAAGACCCTCCATGGGGCCCACGGTCATTTTTTCCTTCCGGCTGGACCCTTTGAGGTATGGCAGCTTGATTTTATCTGGCTGCCATCATCTCAAGGTTGTTAAGTATGTTTTTGTAATGGTCTGCATGTTTTCCCGTTGGGTTGAAGCTTTTCCCTGCAGGCAAGCAACAGCCATGGCAGTTGGAAAATTCTTCTACAAAAAATTATCCCACTGTGGGGAGTCCCCTGTGAACTTCACAGTGACAGGGGAGCTCACTTTACCGGCCAGGTTATTCAAGATGTTTGTGAAATTTGGCCCATATTTCAACATTTCCATTGTGCCTACCACCCCCAGTCCTCAGGCCTGGTGGAAAGGACCAATGGAATAATTAAAACACAATTGGCTAAGTTCACAGAGGCATTTCACCTCCCCTGGTCCAAAGCTGCTTACGGTCTGATCCACCCCTTTTGGAAAACATCAACTTTCCCCTTATGAAATTATAACAGGAAGGCCCATGTGTATGGGAATGAACATAACCAATCCAACTCTTCTTAAGGGAGATATATTGCAATATTGTGAGGGACTCATTTATTACCGTAAAAAAAATCAAGATTTGGGCCAGGCACAGTGGCTCATGCCTGTAATCCCAGCACTTTGGGAGGCCGAGGCAGGTGGATCATGAGGTCAGGAGTTCGAGACCAGCCTGGCCAATATGCTGAAAACTGTCCCTACTAAAAATACAAAAATTAGCTGGGTGTAGTGGCATGCACCTCTAGTTCCAGCTACTTGGGAGGGTGAGGCAGAAGAATCCCTTGAACCTGGGAGGTGGAGGTTGCAGTGAGCTGAGATCACGCCACTGCACTCCAGCCTGGGTGACAGAGTGAGACTCTGTCTCAAAAAAAAAAAAAAATTAAGATTTGGTAAATAATTCCTTTCACAGTATGCACCCTGAAGATAAGGTGCCTGGCCATGATCTGCAACTAAGAGATTTTGTCTACTGGGAAGGACATCTAATAAAGGACTTCCTTCAACCCCAGTGGAAGGGGTACTATACCAGGTATTATTGACTAATCCATGTGCCACAAAATTAGAGGGTATAGACTCATGGATTCACATCTCTCATCTTAAAAAGGCACAATGTCCTGAGTAGACTGTAACTCCCACCAAAGACCTTTGCCTCCAGTTCATTAAACATCAACCTTTAATGCAGGATTAGAAGCAGACGACAGCTGTTGTGGACGGCTTAAACCCAAGACACAGAACCAGGCCTGTATACCAAGGAATGCCTATGTTTATTGTACAATAACCATTATAATTATTGTCCTAGATATGCTGGCAACAGCAGTCTTATAAAGAACAGAGCACTTACCTTGTCTGATTTAACACCCTTTAGTAACTAAATAAATTTCACAACCTTGAAATGAGACTTGTTTCATCATTTTCCTCCACTGACAACACTTCTTTGTTTTTACAAACAATATGACAATGAACATCTTTGTATAAATATCTTTGTACACATGACAATTTCTATGGAATAGACTCTGAGATACGTAATTGTGTCAAAGGATACATGCATTTAAAATTATGCACGATATTGCCAAATTGCCCCCAAATGCATTTAATATCATTTTGATTCCACAATGACCACTTTCCTCCCCTAATGGCCTGGAATATGTCCCTTTGAGTCCTTTTATGTCTTGATATTATAGTATGGCTTTTGCAGAGGAGCATTTTGCTAACATGGATTCTCCTTTGCTGCCGGCATTTAAGATTAGCTCCTATTTCTAACCTCATATTGCACTCGCTCCTTCTCTGTTTACTAATCTGGCTATAACTCTAATAAGAAGCATACTCTTTATAAAGGCTGCTTATACGTCCACAAAAATGAATGTCTGAAATTAAAAAAAATGCATAGTTAAGTAGTATAAGTTTTACTCTGTAGGAAAATTTGCTCAATAATAGAGGCTGATCTCATATTTTTCCTTTTGGCTTAAAATATTTAGGTCCACTTTAAAATGTCTAACAAAGTTTTTGTCTTTCAGAGAAAGAATTAAATGCAGTCTTCTTTCATTTTTAATCAAAGTGCTCTCAAGTTAGAATATTTTAAAATAATAATGTATTCTATCTCATGAGGGACAGGACAACTCTAAAAGATGTTGTTTTTCTCAGTTGTTTACAGCCCCCATGTGAAACTTCCTAAATTGGGAAGCAGTGATTGAGACAGCGACACTGAGGGTAGGAGAACATAAGAAGCTCTTCATTTTTATCTCCTCTTACTATGACTGCTTCTGAGAATGGCATCACCCACAAATTATTCTTGGGGAAGCAGGGAGACAGGGGTAGAGGGACTAAATGGTGGTAAGGGGACCAGGGAAGCCAGGTAGCACTAACCTAGGGAAGAAATTAAATGAGTCTAAACTAGCCAGTGAGGAAGAAGGGAGGGTAAGAGACAGATGAGTCTGTGAGATATTAATAGTTACCTTTAGGTAAGCACTGACCACATGCCAGGCACTGGCCTAATGCTTTACATGGATTATCTTCATTAATTCTCCGTTACAGCAATGCTGAAGTGTTACTTCCATATTTTATAGATAAAGGAACTGAAGTTAGAAGACATTAAATAACTAGCCCAAGGTTGTGCAGCAAAGTAGGATTCAACCCGGGCCATCTGACTCTACAGCCCATGTGTTTGCACTCAGTACCACAGTGGTCTTTGCTCTGTGTTAGAGACACACTTGATAAGGCTCATAGGCTGTTGGATATGAGGTATGAGGGTTAGAGTGTCAAAGGTGATGTGTTTCAGTGGAAACATAACTATTGGTAAATGGTGTTGCTATTCCTTGGAAGAGTTAAAAGATAATTTTCAAAGAAGGTAGAATTGTGATTCATACAAATGTAAGATAGACACGTATTAGAGATTTTATTTCACTTGTTATTAAAAAGGAAATTGGTAAGATGTTACAATCAGTTCAAAAGAAAATTTAAAGATAAAATACGCATGTATAAATCAGGAATGTTGAAATGAATGTGCAAATGGAGGCAAAACTAGTTTTTCGCACAGTGGGGAAGGGACGCCAATTAGACTTCTGCTGGACATTATCTACGTGTCTATAGACAAGAATTATTTTGCACTGCTATTAGTTATCTATAATTTACTGAGTTATAAAATAGTTACCATAGAATAAAAATCAAATAACCTCATTAATGTCCTTAGTCGATGTGTAATTATTCACGGAAATTGTTCATTTCCCTACAGAGGATAAGGATGATGACATTAGCAGTTAAGTAAGGACTGTTGGGGAAAATAAGGACTGTTGGGAAATGAGTTTAATTTTGAGCATACTGCATTTGAGAGGCCTGTGACATACTGTGGTGTCAATGCCCTATGAGGAGCTAGGTCTATGGCCTAGAAAAAATAAATCAGGCGATAAAACATACATCTTGCTTGGGTAACATAGTAATAATAGCTATCATTTATTGAACACATACCTTGTACAGTATTTATGCGAAGTACTTTATGTGGATCATGCCATTTAATCCTCATAACATCCTTATGAGGCAAAATAAATTCTCAGAAGATAACTTCTATGTTATAGAAGGGAAAACTGTAGCTTAGGAAAAGTAAGTGACTTGCTCAAGGTCACACAGCTAGTAAGTGGCAGGGCCCTTGCTGGTTCTCCAAGCATCTCCACACGATGGGACATGTTGAAAGACCCAGAGCATTGGTACATGAGAAGATAGGTAACTTTACTTAAGACTGGTCTAGCAGGGGGTACTATTAATAGACATTAAAAATATTTTCAGAAAACATAAAATTACTCTTGGTGATGAAATGCCTCAGAAGCTCTTCTGATTTAAATAGTGTGCAAGAAACAGGAAATGCCTCAGAAGCTCTTCTGGTTTAAATAGTGTGCAAGAAACAGAGTAAGTAATGTAATGTCAAAATGTTTTACGTATTTCCTATTTTGCTAGATTTATGAGAATTCACTCAATTTTTTTTTCTGAACAGAAAAAAATGATACTTTTTTCAGGAGTGTGCATGGAATAATTTCTAGACTAGAAATGAGTCTGTTCTATAACACAGTCTTAGAGACTTGTAGACTTTTGAGTCTGTTCTATAATATAGTCATAGAGGAGGCCTAGCACAGCCATAGTCAGGAAAAAAAAGGAATGCACAGGGAAAAAGATGCATGTGGAGATTCAAACCCATGGATTCAGAAATTAAAGATATATATAAAGGGAAAGATATGAAATTCTAGGCACAGCATGAACGATTGACAATTGACAGGCAGACAGGTCCACACACACTCATAGGGAGAGTGGGAAAGGGAGAGAGACCTACAGATACTTTCATGGAGTAACATTCTTGTAATATGGCTTTTGCAATATCACTATTAAGGCTTCTGGAGTCATTTGAACATTGGAGACAGTGGGCTTAAATGGTAAAAAGCCTGTGATGTATGTTCTGGATTCTCATGTTCTGACTCAGCCACATTTTACCTGTTACCTGGGACAAATCAATTGACATCTCCTTATCTGAGTTTTCTTACTTGTCAAATTGTGTATGTAGTACAGTCGTCTTCCCAATCACATCATTATTGTGTGGATTAAGTGAGATAACAGTTGGCATTTTATTAATTTTAAAATAGTATAAAATGTGCAGCATTATAATTACTGCTGTAGTCTTTACATAATATATGTTTTTTTTTGCTGGCACCACCACTAATGTTTGGCACAGATTCAAAGGCAGCAGGGGAGGTTTTGTGTGTGTGTGTGTGTGTTTGTGTGTGTTTATAGTGAAAGAAAGGGAAGGCTTCAGGTACTCTCACTGATGGTTGTTGGCATAGGGAAGGTGGAGGTAGGTTAACTAGAAGCAAGACATCAGATGGGACTGGTTTGAGAAGCTTATTTGGCTTTCTTTCGTCACTCCTGAGTTAGAAGCAGGGGCAACAAGTAGAGAAGCTGGCACTCATTAAACAAGTCCTGACTGTTCTGAGCTGATTGCTGCAGGGGTTGTAGGTTATAAATCTATTGCTGTAAATGGTCTGGTCATTGACCATATGTATATTCAGTCTCCCAGTGCAGTAGATATGATCAGGTTCAGGTGGCCGCTTGTGTCATGATTTGCCACTGTGGCCTGAGGAGTTTATCCTTCCTTGTTTCACCTTGGGCACTAAACTTCTCCCCAGCCAGCTTCATGAGGAAAGTTAAAATATCAGCTTTGTTTCAATGGAAAGAAAAGCATTTCTAGGAGTAATCTAGATTGTATGCAGTGGGGGCAATTCTTCATCATGTGTTTCTATGGTAAGAGTGAAACAGGTCACAAGGAAAAGTAAGAAATGGAACAATACTGAAGAGTTGGCAGAGCCAAACAAAGTTGGGGAGAAATGATCTGTATCTGTACTGGCCCTACAGAGATCACTCTTTTCCTGACGCCACAGTTTTTGAATCTTGTCCCTGCATCCAAACTGTGGACCTCTCTGTGAGGTGAGGTTTACCCACAGGGTTTTCCATATAAGCCACGAGATGAAGTGAAGCAAAGCCTTTCCTGATTATGAGTCATATCTTCATCAGCTGTAACTGTGAGATAGGCTGGGTCTAGTTTCATTGAAACTGCTGCTTTTGACACGATGTTTGCTTTTGTTCCTCTTTTTCTTTCCCTTTTTTCCTCTCCCTGCTTTCTCTCCATTAAAAGCTTCTTGGCTGTGCTCTTTATCTAATGAATTCCAATTGAATTTGGTTGGTTCTCATTGACTCTTTAAAAGGAGGCAGCTCCATTTGCCTCTTACAGCAGGGTTGTGAAGGAGGATCTAAGCAGGTAGGCTTTTTCCTTTGGCTGCTGGAGGCTGGTTCTAAGAGCCCGTGGAGGTGGTGGTTTTCTGTGGAATCTGATTTGGGTCTTTGGGAGGCCAGCTGGAGTAACAGCTTTGTTATAAAGAGTGTTCTGGAGGAATGAACAGTCCCAGGCAGGTACAGTCCTTTGGGAAACTCTCAAAGTAACTCATTGAACCCCCTATCCTTTTATGAGCTTTATTCATAGAATCCTCATCTTTTTCTCCCTTTTCCCAATCTTTAATAAGAGAACAAAAGATCACTTAAAACAATCAATTTTTAGGTTTATTTTTTACTTTTAATAAGCCAGTACTATAAGAGCACCATTTCAGCACAACACAATCATTTGTGAAGTAAGGGGTTTTAGTTGAGATCTGTGAAAATAGTTTATATGGGAAAGAGGTATGATGGCTCAGAGTGCTGTCAAGAACAGCTTTCTTTCTAAAATGAACCTGTAACTTTCCAACAACCTTCAAATGCACAGAAGTCTTAGTTATCATTCTCTAGCATTAGAAGTGGAGCTGGGAGAGGCTCAGGAATACCAGTGGTAGCCCTGGGGCCAGCCAGGGAAGCGAGAGGGTGGCCTTTACTATTTGAATACAGTTTATAACTGTGAAGGCAATATTGCTGTAAGAGAGGAATTGGAGCATTGTAAATCTACTCTGTGCATCTTCCATTTAGGAGATCTTTTACTTATAGGAAAATCAGAAAAATAGCCACAAGCAAAGCCAGAAAGCTAAAGACTTTAAGAAAACTTTCAAAGGGAGATGGAGACTCTTGTACAACTCGAGCTTTGATGACCTTGAATGTTCGGTCCCACTGGGTCATGATGGCATTTCTGGCTCCTTCCCATTTTCCTGGGCCAGTCAAGCGGAACTGGTATGGTGAGCATGGGCCAAAGAAGACGGTCAGAGCCAGATGTGGATCCGTTAGGAGCATAGAGAACAGGTTGGGTTTTGCATTGATATAGGTCAGGAGTTCATCTATGTATGTGATATAATCTGATTGTAAAGCCTTGCAGTAGCACAAGCCAAACCTTTATAAAAGGAAGATTGGGGGAAAAGGTGAAGACAAAAAAACTGATAATCTTAGAACAAGTACAAGTGCCCAAAGCAAACAAATACTGCTGCAGAATTTGGGATGGTTTCTGCATTTTCCCCTTTATTTCCCTACCTATCTAACGGTCTCCTTCTGTTTCTTAAATCAAGATGAGTCCCTTCAAAAGATACTTTATACATATGGCTTTTAATGGGTGCTCTGAGTGCTCATAATGCATCTTAGTTCTTTTGTGAAATAATTAGCAATTTCTAGAGGAAAATATATTTTAAAATTTCTAAATCTTTATAAAATTCCATTATTCAGTAATAACAAATCCAATGATTTATATAATGTGAAAAGCCACAAAAATCTATAGGGTAAAATTCCCTGAAATGCTGGTATTAGGCTTTAATTAATTAATTAATTTTTCTTTTCCTTTTCTTTTTTTCTTTTTTCTTTTTTTTTTTTTTTACAAGGTCTTGCTCTGTCACCTAGGCTGGAGTGCAGTGGCATGATCATAGCTCACTGCAACCTTGAACTCCTTGGCTCAAGCGATCCTCCTGGCTTAGGAATAGGTGGGACTACAAGCATGAGCCACCATGCCTAAATAACTTTTATTTTTTTTGTAGGGATGGGGGCTTGCTATGTCATCCAGGCTGGTCTCAAAGTCCTGAGCTCAAATGATCCTCTTGCCTTAGCCTCCCAAAGTGCTGGGATTACAGGCATGATCCACTGCACCTGGCCCCTAAAATTGTTTGCTGACATGCGTGACAAGAAGATTTTCATTTTATAGCAGTTCTAATTAGTTATCTATTACACTGGAGTTCCATAATGAAGATCAAATCATATCCCAGGTTGAGGATAAAGAAGAGACATCTAAAATGCTATTATTGTTTTGGAATTTGGTACCTTGACAAGGATAGATCAACCCTTGAAGTTTGGGAATATATATGAACAAGAGAGTGATAATAAGTTCCTTAGATGCAATGATTTTAAAACTTGCTGTTTTTTGTTTTTTTTTTTTTGCCACAGAACCTTTATTTCAAGTGAAAATGTATATCAAACGCAGAAACAGATGAACAGATAAAACAAAGTGGTTTTATCAAACCACAAAACAATCAGAAATGTTTTGGTTGGATTGAGAGTGAGAGGGGAGGGCCAAGACTCTTTACTTTGCTGGCCATCAGTCTTCCATTGTCTCTAGCCTTGAGTGGTAGCCACAGAGCACAGCATAAGTGAAAACCTTTCCCATAGAGAAGTGCTCAATAAACTTTATTCTGAAAAAGGCCAGACAGTAAATGTTCAGGCTTTGAGAGCCACATTACAGTTTCTATCTCAACTGCTAAACAACTTTGGTACTGTAACACAAAAACAGCCATTGACAATATGTAAATGAATAACCATGGCTGTGTTCTAATAAAATTTTATTTATGGCCAGTATGGTTTCCATTTCATATGATTTTTTCACATGCTACAAAATTTTGTTTTTCTTCTTCCTTTTTTCCAGCCAATTATAAATGAAGAGCAAAAGCCACACTCCGAATAAAAACAATAGAGCTGATAGAGACTTGTTCAGTGAATGAATGAGCAGACACTTCTAGTGTCAGAGTAAATAGGTACAACTGCTTGCCTGTTGATTATGGATAAGATATGGAATAATGTACCTGGTAGATTAGGGTTAATTATGTAGTACTTGATTTGGAATCCAAACTCTATGTGATACTAGAAAACCATGGGCTGAAGTGATGACTTTGGGGACATTAAAAATTCTAAATTCCCCTTTCCCTTCTCTCTTCTTAAACAGGCTCTCCTAGTATTTTTCTTGTAAGTCTCAGATGCTTCTTTTTTTCTCCAATGTAACTTTCATCTCTCTGCTATTGTTTTTTTTTCTTTTTCATTTCCTTTTTTTTTTTTTTTTTTTTTTTTTTTTTTTTACCAATTTCAGTTATAATTTAAAAAGGGTGCATTAAGTAGTTAACTTACCAACTGGGCTTGTTTTCTTTCCTTGCATTAATTTCCTCTATCATGACACTTGGTGGTGGTAACTTATTTACACCTGTAGGATTAAAATAAAAACCTCAAATGCAACTTAAGTTTAGGTCTAGCTGTTGACTTATGGATAAAGATGCTTTACTATGGCTCTCCTTTCACGTCTAGTACCAGCTACTCATTGATCCTTCTGGCAAAAATGTTAGCAGCCTGAGCTGACTGGTTGTATGCTCCTGGTAATAATGCCGTCAGCTGAAAAGATAAGCATCTGGTCATCTCACTAATTATTTGATATAGCAGAATCTCACAACTAGTTTGGCTGAATGTTGTCACTCATTTGCTTGAGTTTAAAAATTTTAATTGAGCCAGTTGATTCAGTCAACTGACAGAAATGTTAACTGTCATTTTGTTTTAGTCAAAATAACAGGTAGCTGTGTGCAGTGTGCATGTCTGTAGTCTCCACTACTCAGGAGACTGAGGTAGGAGGATTGCTTGAGACCAGGAGTTTGAGGCTGCAGTAATCTATGATCATGCCTATAAATAGCCACTGCACACTAGTCTGGACGAGATAGTGAGACCCTGTGTCTTAAAAATAAAAAAGAAAAAATATCACAGTTGACATAGATACAGCCTATGTCAACTGTTATATTTTTGGTATATCAAAAAAATATATATATTTTTGACCCTGATATACCATTTATGCAGTAATGGAACAAATCATTATGACAGTATAATTCAGCAAACAATAGAATGCATCCTGCTTTTAAAGATTCTGTTATTTTAAATAGAAGCAGGAGGAATAATAGTCTCAACATTTCCAGTATCCAGAATCACATGGCACACCAAAAACACATGCCCTGCTATTTCTTATACTTACCTTTCAGGACTCGAACAGCCCACCGAGCTTGTGTTTCTCCTGTAGGTATCATGGAGCCCAAGGGTTTGATGAGGCCAATAATGGCCAGGGTTGGCTTTTGCAGATGTGCAGGGAAGATATACTTGTACAGTGAGGCCTGGCCATCTTCAACTTTCACTACAGACTCATCAAGGAAGGGGAAAGCAAATGTGTATCCAGTGGCAAAGACAATGATGTCAATAGGCTCTTCCTTTGAAGTATTGTTAAATATGACAGAGTTTTCCTTTACCTCTTTTATGCTTGGCCTGATGAACACTTTCCCAGTGATGATGCGTCCTGGGAGCTCATCATTTAGCACAAACTCTTTCAGCTGAGTCCTAAACAAAAACATGAACAGGGAGGAGACTTGTCAGTGAACAATTCAGCCAGCTCTCCCTTCTCTTTACCTCCCTCTCTCATTCTGGGGCTCTCTCCTTGGTTGGACAAGAATTGCTGCAAGTCTTGGGAGATGTTACTTCAGTGGAAGGGGATTCATGAATGTTCAGGAAGGATTATAAAATATGCTTGCCATTTACTAGAGTTTGGAAGCCTGAAGAGGAAGCCAGCACCTTCTCTAGCTTCTGTTTCTCTTGCTGATTTTTAGCATTCATCTGTCACTGTCATTCTAGAGTGGGGCTGAGAGCTGAAGGGCTACAAGGGAAACCAGGGACTTCTAGAGTGGCTGAGAACTTCTGAAAGCTCTAGTCTCTTCCTAGGAAAAAGTTTTATAAGGGAAACATGCATGTATTTAAAGGAACAAGGGCAGAATTGTCTTTTTCTGGCTATACCTTTGGAATCACAAGACAAACACTTTGTGAGCTGATCTTGTATAAGCTGAGCCATTTTTTGGGCCAAGGTCAATCTTGACAACGGGAAGAAGGCTCTACCATTAGAGAGATGGTGAGGGGCAACTATGGGATTCAGTTTTTCCCACACAGTGAAACTGGGCAAGTGTGTTTCTTTTATCAACAAAGTCATAGACAAATCATTCTCTTTTGGTTGCTACAGCTGAGGATCAAGTAACTTGCCAAGGTCACAGAGTTCACTTACTACTCAGTGAGCTTGGGTAAATGGCTGAATTTTGCTGTTTCAGTTTCTCCATAATAAAAGGATTATTATAATAATACGTAAAGTGTTGCTGACAAGGTGAAATACATAATTTCACTTTCTGAGTACTTAAGAACAGTTAGCTGTTATTATCAAGCAAATTTGTATCAAGTGTTCCCACACATTCAGCCATGTTGCTGTGGTACTGCCTGGCTTGTATAGGCTGCTGGACAGGCAGAGGCTCCTTCTTCCTAAAAGCCCTTGGCAGTCACATTATATTTACCTGTCTTCTGGTATTAAGCCGTAATTTGCATGATTGAGCCAGTTGTTTATCTTTCGCTCCATCAACCAAGTCACAATTGGGGTTGGGAGGGAATTTCTCAACATGTTCTGAAAGCGTGTCATGAACACCATGTCCCATGGGTAGCCCGAGTCAAAGATTCGGCTGATCACCCATCCCCCTCCGGTGGTGCTGAGGAACACCTGGAAGCAATCAAAGACATCCCTTCATTTGACACTGTGAACACGGCTGGCTGGTTCTGCCAGAGATTCAAGAAGTGTCATGAATGGAAAGGCACTGAAAAGTCTGCCACTCTCAAAATACACCCCTGACAAGATAGTCTTGGTTCTTCTAACTTCTATTTTAAAGTTAATCCTTTTGAGATTAGGATTCAGAGCATCTAGAGTATTAAAATGCCTTAAGACATATTATTGAATACTTATTATCTGCCAGCCTTTAGTAAACCATAGGGACCTAAAGTCTATGTAAGAAAACAATGAACAGGTGATTGCTACTTGGTGTGCTCACTATCATTGTAGGCAGTAAGAACAGGGAATGGCAGTATCAGAGTTGTCTACAGAGTTTCAGTGCAAACCATTGGCTTAAATGACAGCAAAATTCAGTACTACAATTACTTTTGGTATTTGTTCTTTTTAACATTGGCTGTTTGAATTTACCAGTTGACCGAATTCACAAAGCTAATAGTTTTAGTACTTAATAAGGAGTTTCCTGTACAATTGTTTACAAAGAAAATAATTAGTTAAGCAATCTGTTGCTTTGCTGATACAAAACAGCTGATTTAACAGATTGTTTCTTCCCCCACCAAACTGGGGAGCCAGCAACTAGTATATATTAGTTAGCTGAATGGCCCTCAATGAGTTTACAGCATAGTTGAAAAGAAACTATATATGATGAAAGGTAATTTGCAATATTAAGAATTTAAAAGTGAAAACTGAGGGGTGCAAATTACAATATTACTTACATTCTGAATAGGGAGAGATCACTTCGTGTTGGAGTGAGATATCTGGGAAGGTAAAGGTAGATTGTAATAGAAGAGAAAGGGGCTCTGAAGAAGAGAGAGGGGTAGCGTGAGCAAAGGGGAACTAAAGACAGGAACTGGAAAATGCTACAGTTGATTATCATGCAAGAAACAGAAGTTAAAATTAAAATGGCAGATTTGGTTCAGATTATAGAAAACTCTCTGATGCAGAGCTACTACGTCTGCAATTTATTTTTTTCAGGTAAAGAGAATAATTAGAGGTTTTTCAGCATGAGAGTGCTATAATGAGAGCAGGCTCTTCTGAGGATTTGTTTGTTGGTAGTTGGGGTCTAGATGGCTTGTTGTGGGTGGCAGTGACCTTGGGTAGTGGTACAAGGCAAAAATAAAATGCAGGGCAAAACCCTTGAGAAGCCTGAAGGTAGGAGGTAGAAGAGGATAGTTAGGAACGTAGGCTTTGAGTCAAAGAGACTTGGGTTTGAGAACTGGCTCTGCCACATGCTAGTGGTAAGATTTCAGGCAGGTTCTTTAACTTCTCTAAGCCTTGGTTTCCTCATGTGCAGTCAAGGATACTAACAGTACCTACTTCAGTGGCTTGTTTTGATGACTGGATAAAGTAGTGCAGTAAAAACACATTTAGTGCAGTGCCGGCCACAGAATAATCCTAATAAATATTAACTATTTCTACAACTATTATTAGGAGGACAATGCAATATCCTCAGTGTGAGGTAGCATGGACCTGATGAGGGTGTTGGTAATTAATAAGGAGAGGAATGGGCAAATGGGAGATAGTAGCAGGAAAAAGTTGGTAGAATTTTCTGACCTATGGGACTGAGTAGGGAAGAAACATGTCCTGTAGCTCTTGTTGGATGGCTGGGAAAATGACAAAAAAAAAAAAAAAAGTAAAAAGAAGTCAGAGAAGTTGGTTTTGGAGGGAAGATGACAACTGCAATTCATAGAAAAATTTGTGAACATTCAGTAAAAATTAAATTCCTTAGTAATCTGTTGTTTGCATGTGAGACATTTTATTCCTTTAACATTTATCATGGTGTCAAACACCATTTGCTTGAGGCATGCATCTTAAGATAAAGCTCTTCACCCAGTAACATCAGGAATGTACCTTTTCCGCCAGGTGGCTGGCCTCCACAGCAATGTCTGTGCCAGAATTTCCCATTCCAATCACAAGGACTCTCTTGTCCTTAAATATATCTGGATGCTTATATTGCCGGCTATGAAAGTACTGGCCTTTAAAGGCATTAATACCTATAGAAAATAAAAGAGAAGTCACACAGAGAATTAACAGGATCAGTGAATGAAACATAAATATTCTTCAGTTGATAACATTCTTTTGACAGATGATTTTGGTCATTTTTACTAGTATTCTCAAGTTTGAGAAAATATGAATACATGACTTTACAAGACATTGGCAGGTAATTATTTAAGGGGGGTTATTACTCCATCTCACTAGATAGGCCTCCAGTTTTACTTACTAGATAGTTAACTACTGAGCTGAAATATTATGGCATAAAGATATATTAAGCAAAAGTATAAGGAGTCATTATCATTTTAAAGGTTGATAAAAGTCAACAGGACAATAATGTTCTATTGATTAATACTTGATTTATATAAGCTTTTCATAAGCAAGAAGCTTAAGGGAACTGTGAGTCAGTATCTCTTTTCAGAAAACTTTTTGATCTCTGCTTTGTGCCTGGTACTGTGCTAGATGGTATGGGGGGAATAAGATAAATAAAATGTTGTCCCTATTCACAAAGTTTCATGTTAGTTGGAGAAGTTCACTTGGTGACTGACTGTAACTCAGGCTGAGTTTGCTGGGTTGGCCAGAGTTGGCTCAGAGAAAAAGGAGTGATGTCAGTTACACCAGGATTCAATCAACTGGGCTAACTTGATAGGATACCTTAGGCAGTGATGCTGAATCTTATTGAAACATCACATGAATGGAGAAGGTTTGAAAATACTCTTTTTCTTTTTTAACAGCAATAACTTAAGCAGAAAATACTCTTAAGACAACATTACATAATCAGAAGTAATATGTGCTAAACAAAGAACTTCTTTTTTCCTAAAAAAAGTAATAAGACCTCTACATTCTCAGGGGAAAAATGTATATACTTGTGGGGAGTGGCATTACAAGGCCTGCTGGCTCTTTAGCTCACCTTGAATTAGTAGAAATCTAACACGAATCCAAGTTAAAACCTAACCACAACACAGAGCATTTGGAATTTAGCAAGGATGCAACCAAGTTCCAATATTTACTCAGCACAGGAACCCAATATGGATCAGAGAACTGTTGCGAAGAAAGAGGTGGAAAGCCTAAGCAGAAAATACAGTTATCTCTGGATCTCATGTTGTTTTAGATTCTCTTTGGATAGGCTTTGTTTTGGGGGGTCACAAATGGACAAAAATGAGACTCTGTGGCTGTCTCTTAACAGACTAATACTTTCTCTTATCTCACAGAAAGACAGAGTAAGAACTTATATTAGGTAAATGTGGCTGTGTTAGTAAGTAGCAGAATGTCCTATCTAAGAAAAAAATTTATAATATAAAAAAGAAAAAAGGTAAATAGCAGAATGTATATATGTGAATGATAAAAGTAGTCATCTTGGGAAATCATACGTTTATTCTAACTGTGATACCTATTATTTTTACTACGACTTTTTAGTGCACCTTCTCTGGAATTGCTTCTAGAGCTTGTGATACATATTTTTAAATACCTTCAGTGAATTTGAATTTTATTTGACAGTTAACAACCATCGCAAGGAGTGTGTGCCATCTAAGCAAGTCTGCTGTAAGTCAGGAGATAGAGAGGTTGGGAGAACTGCTCTTCAACTCTAAAATCACAGAATTTTAGAGCTCAAAGACTCCTTAATCATTTAGCCAGGGATTTTAAATTGACAGTGGTAGATAAGATGGGTTTTAAGAAAGACTGCAAGCCTTGTAGAGCTCTTCTTGCTTGATTTGTGATGTGTACTGTTGGTTAAAGTAATCCAAGCTCTTCAATTTGTGGGTAAATTTGAGGCTTAGAAAAGTTAAGTGGGCGACTCAAGACTATCAGCTAGGTGGTTGTATATGCTAGAATTCATAGCTGCTGGGTCCCTACCTCTTCTACTCAAACTGAGCATATTGGCTCAATTGCTTTCAGGTATGCTTTATTATTTTAATCTGATGTAAACTTGTGTGACTTTGGGGGGCAAATCCAGGACCATGAGAGGTGTATGTTTAGGGTATTGGAATCACTACAGGTCATATGCAGACTGTGATTTCTCCACTGGACTCCATAAAACTCTATTCATTCCTCCAATACAGGTTACATGTTGCCTTATTCACCTCTATATTCTTAGCACCTAGTGCAATATACTGTAAGTGCTGAATGAATGTAGTTTACTCCCTATGCCATGGAACTTTCTGGATTCTTGCAGTGACTAGGTACTCCTTTCTGGAATTTTGGAGTGGATGGCTGCTCAGAGCCTTGCTCTGCAGGCAAGAATGACAAAAAATTGGGTTGTCTTCTGTGATGATGAGATTCCATTGTTGAATGGGTTCAAGAAGAGGCTATGGAGCCTCTCTCAGAATTGCTGAAAAATAATTTCCTGCATTGGGAAGAAGACTGAACTTGGTTCTTTCCAATTCAATGATTCTATTCTCTGGCAATTTTCAGGATATGCTTTATCCTAATCTAACCTGATCTGAGTGACCTCTGGGGGCAGATCCAGAACCATAGCATGCTCCTAAATTTATTGTGGTAAGATGAGTCTTGGGATCATTCTAGGCAATCATTAGATGATTTGGAGAAAAGTTTCTGAAAGTTTTAACTTTTTGAATGCTTGTTACAGATGAAATAAACCAAACCATTTCATTTTCTGTTCCATTGAGTTAAAATCCAGTTAAAATTTGGCATAGATTAACATGACTATGGTTGCAAAAGGCCGATAAGAAAACTGAGACCCAAAGATGTCTTAAGTTGTCTCCCAAGACTAATCTCCCTCTTGACTATTGACCAGTGCCGTAAACCTCTAATCTAATTGCTATCACTCACATAAGAGGAACAAATAGAAAAAATTACTTTTTTCTTTTTTCACAGATTGACTTTTGTGGCCTCTAAACTCAACTTTGGCAATGTGTACCTGCTGCTGAAGTTAATGACTTGTGTAAGCATCCCATGTCTCAGAAGACTTTCTGAGTGCTACCAGTCACTTGAGGGACATTGAATCTTGGTAAAGCATAAAAATACTTATAAAGTTATCCATTTTGCTCTTATGTATTCACAGATTGTTTGGAACAAATGAAAGCCAAAAACTGGCCAGAAAATGCTGGCTAGAAAAAAACAAAACAAAACAAAAAAAGCCTCCTCCTACCTCCCAACTTTAACTATTTAATGGAACAGCCATAGGAATTCATTCCCAGACCAATCAAGCATCAGAATGGCTCCCACGAGAAAACTTAAAGTTAGTTACAGAAAATGCTGTACCTGGAAAGGAATCCAGTGGCAAATAAGGATTAGTAAGAAAGCCAGTGCAGACCATGACAGCATCAAAGATGGCTGACTCTTGCTTCTCTTCATGCATAGTGACCACCTCCCATTGGCCAGAGACAGCAGAATCTGAGCATTTTGTTACACTGCAGACTTTGGTCTGAAAAAAGAATCACAGATATGATTAGCAGTTGTCAATGTTCCATTAAGCACTTGCCAGTTGATGTACCATTGATATTTTAAAAGTTCTAGAACACAGAATAAACATAATTAATAAGTATAACCCTAGAAACCTAATCAGGTTACCGGACTAATCATGATTCCCTAGATGGAGGTAGTCTAAGCTTGGAGAGATATCTAAGACAAGTGGTGGCATCCAAAAATTTTAAGTGATTTGCTCAAATTCTCACAGAAAGTGACAGAATCAGAATTAGAACCTAAGTTTCTGATGCCTTTTTCATTATCCTTTCTGTTATGCAACCTCATTTCTCACAGGGCTGTCTCTTTAACAAAAATTTCTTTGACAGATACATGGGTAAGATATAATTGAAAACCTGAATTTGGTCCTGTGTATATTAGCTTATGAGGTTTTATAGAATATGTTGCTGAAGTTTTTCCAGAACTAGAAAGCAATTGAAAAGTGCTAACATTATGGCCTGAATTTTTTTGAGAGTAGTCCACATTTCAAAGAATCTATTTTTTGCTCTTAGTGAGTACATACATGTCCATGATTACCAGGCTTTGGTTCAGGAAATATATGTACAATAAATCTCAGACAAGTCAAATTTAAAAGGATAAATTATTCACTCACCAAGTGGCTTGCTATCTTTCTTTCTTTTTTAAAGTTTTTAAAGAATATAGGCTTCTTAAGTCCCTCTTAATGGGTTCGCTATTTGATTTATACTATTTGAAGTGCTTATTGTGTTTCTACATTTGTAGTGCAACTGTCTTTTCTAAAAGTAAATTTTCAGTTAGTTTAAAATCTTTCAAAATAGATTTATTTTTAATCATAAAAATAATAAATATGTAGCCTGGGCAACATGGCAAAATCCCATCTTTACAAAAAAAATACAAAAAATTACCCAGGTGTGGTGGCCCATGCCTGTAGTCCCAGCTACTCAGGAGGCTGATTTGGGAGAATCACCTGTGCTTGGGAAGTCAAGGCTTCAGTGAGCCATGATAGTGTCATTGCACTCCAGCCTGGGCAACAGAGTGAGACCTTGTCTCAAAAAAAAAAAAGCTTGTCATTAAAAATTTGGAATATATACAGAGGAATGAGAAGCAAAACCAAACAAAATCAACTACAGATCACAGCTGAGTAATAGCTATTTGTGTTTACTTTTTTTTTTTTTTTTTTGAGATGGAGTCTCGCTCTGTTGCCCAGGCTGGAGTGCAGTGGTGCAATCTCGGCTCACCGCAATCTCCGCTTCCCTGGTTCAAGAGATTCTCCTGCCTCAGCCTTCTGAGTAGCTGAGACTACAGGCCCATGCCACCATGGCTGGCTAATTTTTTGTATTTTTAGTAGAGATGGGGTTTCGCCGTGTTAGCCAGGATGGTCTTGATCCACCCACCTTGGCCCCCCAAAGTGCTGGGATTACAGGTGTGGGCCACTGCACCTGGCCTTGTGTTTACTTTTTAAAACTTTGGTGAACATCTAGCTTTTTAAAAATTGTTCTAAAATGGCCTTGTGCCTGGCAACAGTGGCTCATGCCTATAATCCCCACCCTTTGGGAGGCCAAGGCAGGAGGATAGCTTGAGCTCAGGAGTTCAAGACCACCCTGGGCGGCATAGTGAGACCTTATCTCTACTAAAAATTAAAAAAAATATAGCCAGGCATGGTAGTATGTGCCTATAGTCCCAGCTATTAATAGTGGGGAGGCTGAAGTGGGAGGATTTCTTGAGCCTAGGAGGTGGAGGCTGCAGTGAGATAAGATCCTGCCACTGTACTCCAGCCTGGGTGACAGAAACTTTGTTTCAAACAACAACAACAAAATAAAAAAGGTCTTGGGCAGCATGTGGTAAAGGAAATGCTTCAAATTCAGAAATTTTGATGCATTAAAAAGAAGATTTTTATATGTTGTATATATTCATTATGATAATGCTTTATTTTTACTGTGTCCATTGCAAAATAAGGAAGTGGAATAAAATACTCTTTGGAAATCTGTTTAGGAGGATGTATTAGTCCATTTTCACACTGCTGATAAAGACAGACTAGAGACTGGGCAATTTACAAAGGAAAAAGGTCTAATGGAGAACTCACAGTTCCATGTGGCTGGGGAAGCATCACAATCATGGCAGGAGCAAAGAGGAGCAAGTCATATCTTACATGGATGATGTCAGGCAAAAAGAGAGCTTGTGCAGGGAAATTCTGCCTTATAAAACCATCAGATCTTGTGAGACTTATTCACTATCACTAGAACAGCATGGGAAAGACCTACCCTCATGATTCGGTTACCTCCCACTGGACCCCTCTCACAACATGTGAGAATTCAAGATGACATTTGAGTGGGGACACAGACAAACCATATTACTCTACCCCTGGCCCATCCCAAATCTCATGTCCTCACATTTCAAAAGCAATTATGCCTTCCCAACAGTTCCCCCCCAAGGTCTTAACTCATTTCAGCATTAACTCAAAAGTCCACAGTCCAAAGTCTCAACTGAGACATGGCAAGTCCCTTCCACCTATGAGCCTGTAAAATCAAAAGTTGGTTAGTTACTTCCTAGAAACAGTGGGGGTACAGGCATTGGGTAAATACAGCCATTCCAAATGGGAGAAATTGGTCAAAACAAAGGGGCTACAGGCCCCATGCAAGTCCGAAATCCAGCAGGGCAGTCAAATCTTAAAGCTCCAAAATGAACTCCTTTGACTCCATGTCTCACATCCAGGTCACACTGTTGCAAGAGGTGGGTTCCCATGGTCTTGGGCAGCTCTGCTCCTGTGGCTTTGCAGGGTACAGCTTCCCTCCTGGCTGCTTTCACAGGCTGGCATTGAGTGTCTGCAGCTTTTCCAGGCACATGCAAGCTGACAGTGGATCTAACATTCTGGGGTCTGAAGGATGGTGGCCCTCTTCTCACAGCTCCACTAGGCAGAGCCCCAGTAGAGACTCTGTGTGGGGACTCTGACCCCACATTTCCCTTCTGCACTGCCCTAGCAGAGGTTTTCCATGAGATCCCTGCCCCTGCAGCAAACTTCTGCCTGCACATCCAGGCATTTCCATACATCCTGTGAAATCTAGGTGAAGGTTCCCAAACCTCAATTCTTGACTTCTGTGTATTGCAGGCTCAATACAATGTGGAGGCTGCCAGGTCTTGGGGTTTGCACCCTCTAAAGCCACTGCCTGAGCTCTATGTTGGCCCCTTTTAGCCACAGCTGGAGCAGCTGGGATGCAGGGCACCAAGTCCCTTGGCTGCACACAGCATGGGGGCTCTGGGCCTGGCCCATGAAACCACTTTTTCTTCCTAGGCCTCCAGGCCTGTGATGGGAAGGGCTGTGGTGAACACCTCTGACATGCCCTGGAGACATTTTCCCCATTGTTTTGGGAATTAACATTTGGCTCCTTGTTATTTATGCAAATTTCTGCAGTTGGCTTGGATTTCTTCTCCAGAAAATAAGATTTTCTTTTCTATTGCATTGTCAGGCTGCAGATTTTCTGAACTTTTATGCTGATTCCCTTTTAAAACTGAATGCCTTTAACAGCACCCAAGTCACCTCTTTATTGCTTTGCTGCTTAGAAATTTCTTCTGCCAGATACCCTAAATCATCTCTCAAGTTCAAAGTTCCATAAATCTCCAGTCTCATTGCTAGAACATAAGAAGAGGCAGTACATTGAGCTCCATAGAGACAGCACTGGGGCAAGTGAGAGCCAGATGGGCACTGGGCAACTCTGTGCCTCACTGGGGAAAAATAACTAAACATTGGCAAAGGAGATTCTAAGAAGCCAAGAGGCAAAATGTCATCATATGCATTTTTTGTGCAAACTTGTCGGGAAGAGCATAAGAAGCAGCACCCAGATGCTTCAGTCAACTTCTCAGAGTTTTCTAAGAAAGGCTCAGAGAGGTGGAAGACCATGTCTGCTAAAGAGAAAGGACAATTTGAAGATATGGCAAAGGTGACAAGGCCCATTATGAAAGAGAAGTGAAAACCTAAATCCCTCCCAAAGGGGAGACAAAAAAGAAGTTCAAGGATCCCAATGCACCCAAGAGGCCTCCTTCAGCCTTTTTCCTGTTCTGCTCTGAGTATCACCCAAAAATTAAAGGAGAACAACTTGGCCTGCCCATTAGTGATGTCGTGAAGAAACTGGGAGAGATGTGGAATAACACTGCTGCAGAAGACAAGCAGCCTTGTGAAAAGAAGGCTGCAAAGCTAAAGGAAAAATACAAAAAGGATATTGCTGCATATTGAGCTAAAGGGAAGCCTGATGCAGCAAAAAAGGGATTTATCAAGGCTGAAAAAAGCAAGAAAAAGAAGGAAGAGGAGGAAGATGAGGAAGATGAAGAAGATTATGATGAGGAGGTAGATGAAGAAGATGAAGATGAAGAAGATGATGAATAAGTTGGTTCTAGCGGTTTTTTTTCTCGTCTATAAAGCATTTAACCCTACTGTTCACAAGTCACTCCTTTTAAAGAAAAAAATGGAAATGTAAGTCTGTGTAGGATTTGTTTTTAAACTGTACAGTGTCTTTTTTTATAAAGTTAACACACTACCGAATGTGTCTTTAGATAGCCCTCTCCTGGTGGTGTTTTCAATAGCCACTAACCTTGCCTGGTGCAGTATGCGGGTTGTAAATTGGCATGGAAATTTAAAGCATGTTCTTGTTGGTGCACAGCACAAATTAGTTATATATGGGGATGGTAGTTTTTTCATCTTCAGCTGTCTCTGATGCAGCTTATAGGAAATAATTGTTGTTCTGTTAACTGAATACCACTCTGTAATTGCAAAAAAAAAAAAGTTGCAGCTGTTTTGTTTACATTCTGAATGCTTCTAAGTAAATACAAATTTTTTATTAGTATTGTTGTCCTTTTCATAGGTCTGAAATTTTTCTTTTGGAGGGGAAGCTAGTCTTTGCTTTTGCCCATTTTGAATCACATGAATTATTACAGTGTTTATCCTTTCATATAGTTAGCTAATAAAAAGCTTTTGTCTACACACCCTGCATATCATATGGGGGTAAAGTTAAGTTGAGATAGTTTTCATCCATAACTGAACATCCAAAATCTTGATCAGTTAAGAAATTTCACATAGCCCACTTACATTTACAAACTGAAGAGTAATCAATCTACTCAAAGCATGGGATTACTAGAATCCAACATTTTGAAATTAGTCCTTGAAGGACTAATAGAAAAGTATGTTGTAATTTTTACATGAGGACTCTATTCTTTAACTCCCATTACCATGTAATGGCAGTTATATTTTGCAGTTCCCACATTAAAGAAGACCTGAGAATGTATCCCCAAAAGCGTGAGCTTAAAATGCAGGACTGCCATATTAAATTTTTTGTTGACATTAGTCTCAGTGAAGACTATGAAAATGCTGGCTATAGATGTCTTTTCCCATTTATCTAAATATGGACTGCTCAGGAAATGAGACTTTCCATTAAAAGTATTTTTAATTAATTGGGCCAGCTTTTAAAACAAAGATGCCACATTCAAAATAGCGTATATTTTCCTATATTATGGTTTGCCCCCTCATAAATCCAAATAGGAGGAAAGAAGACACTTAAATTTTGCATCTCAGTATGAATTATTCAATTTATTTGAATGATTTTTCTTTACAAAACAAACTCACTCATTAGTCATGATTATCTGCTTAGCAGTTTAGGGAACAATTTGGCAATTTTGTGATTTTCAAGATTATCGTTTTCTTAAGATGCCAGTATTTTAAAATAGTGTTATTGTAATTTTACACGCTTTTGTGATGGAGTGCTGTTTTGTTATATAATTTTGACTTGGATTCTTTCCATTTGCATTTGTTTATGTAATTTCAGGAGGAATACTGAACATCTAAGTCCCGGATGATACTAATAAACTAATAATTGCAGAGGTTTTTTTTAAAACAAAAAACCAAACAAGAGTCACCTTTGCTCCAGTTCCCAGCAAGTTCCTCCTCTCCATCTGAGACCATCTCAGCCTGGACTTTATTGTTCATATCACTATCAGCATTTTTGTCAAAGCCATTCAACAAGTCTCTAGGAAGTTCCAAAGTTTCCTACATTTTCCTTTCTTCTTCTGAGCCCTCCAAACTGTTCTAACCTCTGACGTTTCCACAGTTCCAAAGTCACTTCTACATTTTTTGATATCTTTTCACCAGCTCCCCACTCTACTGGTACCAATTTACTGTATTGATTTTCATGCTGCTGATAAAGACATACCAGAGACCTGGCAATTTACAAAGGAAAGAGGTTTAATGGAGAACTCACAGTTCCTTGTGGCTGGGGAAGCCTCACAATCATGGTGGAAGATAAAGAAGAGCAAATCACATCTTACGTGCATGGCAGCAAGCAGAGAGAGAGCTTGTGCAGGGAAGCTCCGCCTTATAAAACCATCAGATCTCATGAGACTTATTCACTATCAGGAGAACAGCATGGGAAAGACCTGCCCCCATGGTTCAATTACCTCCCACTGAGTCCCTCCCACAACATGTGGAAATTCAAGATGAGATTTGGATGGCGACACAGCCAAACCATATCAGAGGACTTTTAAGGTCGTGAATGTGAATGCAAATTTTATTTTCCACTTGTTTTGGTCAATGTCTCCATTTGTGTTGTTTTCTGTGTATAATTCTCTGTGAATTCCTCATCATCCTTACCTCTGACAGGGGAGGGAGAAAGGAGAAGGGAAACATAGATTTTCATATGTTTCTTGGAGAGGAAACAGAGAAAAAAAGGAAAAAAAAAGGACAAAAAGGATATATTATTCATTTGTCCCTGTCCTACTACCTTCCTCCTGTCTCCAGCCTCTGAAATGGGAGAGGAAGGGGGCATTGTAGAATAACAATATTCAAAGATTTTTCTATTCTCAAGAATATCTAGAAAAGATTTCTTTCACATAGCAAGGTTCTCTTGTGTATGGGCCACTGCACGTGTCCATTCCTATAAAAGAATAGTCAAGAAGAGAGTGGGAGCTGGGAGCAGTGGCTCATGCCTGTAATCCCAGCACTTTGGGAGGCCAAGGCAGGAGGATTGCTTGAGCCCAGGTGTTTGAGACTGCATGGCCAACATGGTGAGACCCCATCGCTAAAAAATATAAAAAGCTAGCTGGGTGTGGTGGTGTGCACCTGTGTTCCCAGCTACTTGGGAGGCTGAGGTGGGAGAATCACCTGAGCTTAGGAAGTCCAGGCTGCAGTGAGCCATGATCATGCCACTGCACTCCAGCCTGGGCAACAAAGTGAGACCCTGTCTCAAAAACAAACAAACAGACAAAAAACCAAACAGGAGACTGGGGAAGGGGGTTGGTGGTTCTCAGTGTCCATGTGGGCAGGCATTTGGCCCAAGCTGAAAATGTGGCTTGATATTTTTTAGGTTCCCTAAGATACTTGGATATAAGTATTGCAAACTAAAATTTTATACTTGTGAATCTTTACACAAAGTATCCTCCCCCACCTCCAGATTTACTTGAAGTGGGGAGTGAGTATAGGGAGAAAATAAATACAGCCAGGTGTCATTAATATTGCCAGTTTAGTATCTCATCTACAGAGCCCAGGGCTAGGCTGGAGAGATAAGAGAAAATAGGTAGGAAATACTTTCTGACTACTAACTGATGTTTTGTGTCTTACCTTGAATTGAATGTGTTTCAGAAGGTCAAAGTGGTTTGCATACATTTTGAGATATTCCAGGAATTGAGAATTTGGCACATAGTTTGGATAATCTTCTGGGAATGGAAAGTCTGAGTAACAAGACATCTCCTTGCAGCTGTTGGAAACCACAGACTTGTAGAGACTGGCTCTGCCTTCTTCAACATGTTCCTGTACAAACAGTGCACACACATGAACATTCATTGCATGCTCATAAATAAGCCTGGGAAGAACTCACCGGTCCAGATGCACACAGTATCATTGCCAAGCACAGGAGAATATAGAAATACATGAGAATCAGGAAGTAGTATTTATTTGAATGATGGACAATTGCTAGGTAATTTGGTTTTATGGGGTATTCTGGAAATGATTATGGAGAAGATGGTTCAGAGTATGAAGGATCTTGTATCCAAAGTTAAGGAATTTGGATTTTACAGGAAGGTTATGCCAATCTACTGAACGTTCTAAATATAGAAGTGATTCATATCACTTCTAAATTTTGGAAAGATAACTCTCGTTCTACAAAAGGTGAATTAGAGGGAGCTGGGAAGGAAGGAAGGGGGCGCTAGCCAGGAGCCTAATACACAAATCCACTTGATTGCTAATGAGGGCATGAGCAGAGGCAATGATAGCTGGAACCCAGAAGGGTGAGATTTGTGAGATGGCGGTAAGGTAGAACACATAGGATTGCAAAACCAATTAGATTTAGGGGTTGAGAGAGGAAGCAGTCAAAGGTTTCCAGATTGGACAACTGTGTGTGGCAAAGCACTAACAAATTTCCCACCCTCAGTTTTTACTCAAATAACTAGCAAATACCAATATCTCATAAGACTACTGCAAAGTTGAATGATAAACAGTTTTAGTAATGTCTTTAATATACATTGCCTCTGTCTTTTGGGGAGTAGTATGGAGGATTATTCTAATTTCAGTGGCAAGGTTCTTGTATTTTAACATTATTTACCATCTTGCATATGTATAGTTCATTTTTCCTGTGAAATAAAAATTATTTAATTTATGTGAACAAGTAGAAACATGAACATAAATCTCACATATGGAGAGGGCTTTCTCTGTTTCTGCAAAGGATGTGAATTGATATCATATATAGATTCCTGTATCTGTCTGAAATACACAGCAATCACAGATAACAAAATTATAAACATATCTCTGTGGTTTAAATTAATGTTATTTATCTCATTGACTGATAAGAGTTGATTACAACCTGCTTGTCTGTGGCCCACCTGTCACACAGACTCAGCTAAAATGCTTGCGAAAGATGACTATTTAAATCTTGATATTTTATTCAGCTGGAATATCTAATGCAGTGTTATTCAAACATAGTCTGCAGAGCAATACTGATATGAATGGTTTGTTACTAGTCTGTTACAGGATAAATACAGAAATCAAGAGTAAGCATTTAGAAACTTTTATAGCAATAATTTGACATTGCTCAATATGTAAGCATGTGGACACCATTTTGTTGAACAGGATATAAATCAGTCTTGTTTTTGTCTAACTTGTGTGATGAGTTTGAGTTGTGTACTAGTCATATGCCATAGGACTGTATTATCATGTGCGATGTTTTAAGGTTATTTTGAAAACTGTTATCCAAAAGTGCATAAAATCTGGAATCATTTTCTTTCATTGAAAGATTATTTATATTTAATCTTACAGTATAAGTTATTTGAACTGGCTACGGATAAAAGACTGAAGATACATTAAAAAAATGTAGCACTATCAGCTTCATTTTGGATAGCAGTTAAAAAATATACACTGAACTTGCTGAGACTGGTTTAAAAATCTCTTCCTCATTTCAATCAACATACCTCTGTGAGCCTCCTTTCTCTACTTTGACTGCTGTTAAGCAATGTTTAGAAATAGTTTAGATACACATTATCCCCTGCAAAGAGCATTGCCATCCATTCAAACCAGATTAGGTAAATTGACAACCAGGAAGCAAGATTAATTGTCATATTAAAAACCTTAAATAGTAATATAAAAAAATGTGTATTTAAAATGTGTCTACGAGTGTTTAACATGGAGAACTGCAATTTCATACAAAATATTTGTGTGGCAAAAAGTTACAAAGGTAATGATGACTCTCTGTGTCAATTGCCTATGTACCCACTTTCAAAGAACAATGTGTTCATTTTTTGTAATTGTTTTCCTTTATATCTATGTTGTTTAATGACACTTACTGAAATTAATTTTATAATTTCTGACTCTATAAATTTCAAATTTACATTTTGTATTTTTTGTTTGTGTCATTTTCATTTTTCTAAGCATTCTTTTTTTTTTTCTTTTTCTTTTTTATTTTTCTTTTTTTGAGACGGAGCCTCGCTCTGTCGCCCAGGCTAGCGTGCAGTGGCTTAATCTCTGCTCACTGCAAGCTCTGCCTCCCGGGTTCATGCCATTCTCCTGCCTCAGCCTCCCGAGTAGCTGGGACTACAGGCACCCGCCACCACGCTTGGCTAATTTTTTTGTATTTTTAGTAGAGACGGGGTTTCACCGTGTTAGCCAGGATGGTCTCAATCTCCTGACCTCATGATCCGCCTGCCTTGGCCTCCCAAAGTGCTGGGATTACAAGCATGAGCCACCTCGCCCGGCCGGATTCTTTTTTATTATATTTGACAACAGTCTACAATTAATTGGAAAAAAACTTGATTGTTCTTCACTGTTTGAGAAGCACAGCTCTGTAGCTCAGCGCCTTTTAATTTTGTTAGGAATTGCCTGGGTAGTCTAACAAACATGTGGATGCTGACTCTGTAAGTCAGGGTGAGCCTGAGATTGTGCATTTCTTTTGTTTTTGTTTTTTTTTGAGATGGAGTCTCGCTCTGTCGCCCAGGAAGGAGTGAAGTCACCCGATCTTGGCTCACTGCAAGCTCCGCCTCCTGGGTTCACGACTTTCTCCTGCCTCGGCCTCCCGAGTAGTTGGGACTACAGGCGCCGGCCACCACGCCCTGCTAATTTTATTTTATTTTTTGTATTTTTAGTAGAGACGGGGTTTCACCATGTTAGCCAGGATGGTCTCCATCTCCTGACCTCGTGATCCGCCCTTCTCGGCCTCCCAAATTGCTGAGATTACAGGCGTGAGCCACTGCCCCTGTCCGAGATTGTGCATTTATAAGAAGCTCCTATGCAGACGCTGCTGGCCCATGGACCATATTTTGAGTGAGAGTGCTTTAGGATGCCCAATAGGATGTATAGATGCCACATAAACACTTTTGAATTTACCAGTGGCCCCATTAAAAAAGTAAAAAGAAACAAGTGAAATTAATTTTAAGAGTATATTTTATTTAACTCAATATACCCAAAATATAATTTTTCTCTCTATATATAAATATAAATTTAATATATATATAAATGTGTGTGTGTGTGTGTATATATATATACACACACACAAATTAAAAATTTTAAAGCATTTTGTAATGGCATATTTAAATATCAGCAATTCATTGGAACTGGATAAGCCAGGGAACCATTTATTTTATGAGAACTTAAGGCCAATGAACTAACAAAAATAGAGGGAAAAATAACCCTTCTGTTTCTCAAAACGTAGGAAGATAATTTTCAAGGCAGAAAGATGAAGCGCTTCCAGGAAACACTGAAGCCTGTTGTGAAATAATGTATCACAGATGTTAACATATGAGAAACTGTAGCTTACAGAGGAAACTTAGCCCTTAGGATAAAATCTAAGACCAATACTTACTCTTGTCTCTCTTTCCTTCTATTGATTGTTTCTCCTGGAAATAGAAAAGGTCTGGAGTATTTAGCATATATACAGGGAGTATGAGTCCCTGCCCCTTCTGAATGGTATTGGTGGGACCTGGCCCCTCACCTCCAGTGTTCGCCTCACTGTGCAATCTGCCCCAGTGATTCCCAGGCCCTGCCAGCCTTCAATACCCACACTGCACCCTCCCACCCGTGCTGCAGACACTCTGGGAATTGTACCTGGTGGGGGGTCCACCAGTTGCCTTGAACTCCGAGTGTGGAAGCACGTGCCCTCTAAAAATGGATGGGGCGACTTAGGAGAAGATTTTTGTTTTCATGAAGAGAAAAATGAGTGAGTAGAGAAAAAAGGAGAGGAGGGTTGAACCATGGAAAGAGGGAAGAGACTAAGAGCATGAGCAGAGGTGTTTCTGTCCTTCTGGTCCACTTTGGTCCTGCAGCACAGTTGGGAGGTCACCATCACCACTGGGACACTTGCTGGGACTCTTTGAGACGCAGCCCAGGATTTGCCTGATTCTTGAGCTGTGAAACAGACTCCAGAAATGCATGCAATGTAGTTCTTAACAGAATAGGCCTCAATGTCAGACTGCCTAGGTTCATACTCAAGCTCTACATTTTTAGCTGGCTGATCTGGGAATTTTCTTAACTTCTCTCAGTTTCCATATCTATATGCTGGAACCGCAATATTACATAGCCCCTAGGAGAAATTGGAGTGATAGCTATCATGCTAATGGAACAATGAAGCAATCGTATCATGCTAATGGTACTAATGGAACAATGCCTCTAGGCTGTCAATAATATTAATCATTATTTGTATTATTCTTTCACAGCTACCATGGAAATTTACTTTCTTAAGCTTGTATCCTTCAGGCAGGAGTGTAGGCAATGGGAAGAAAATTTTGTCAGGTCAGTTCTTTTCTTTCTCATTTTAAAAACGGATATAAAGTGATAATAAAATTCACCCCTAAATAGAGACCTTCTCTCTATATGCACAACATTCACGTCTCCTGTTCTCCAAGAATGTTAATTTCTTCCTTCTTTTAATTTCCTTAAAACAGCTGGCACCCATTTTACTTTGTTGCCCCTTCTGCCTAGTGTGAGAGTCAGACTCTCACTGGAGGACAGGGTCCAGTTTCTGGGTCTATATCGCAGGAGAGCTGTGGAAACCTCAGAGGAAATTTGGGGAACCTCCAAGAATGCAAGCTCCATGAGGATAGGGGCCTGTCAGGGGTACCCCACTAGGATGATAGTAATTAAAAATGTTTATTGAATATACGAATAGACGTTTTAGAAATAAGGCTTTTAATGAAAGGTTACAGGAATCAGATTTACCAAACCTAAAGAAGAAATAGTTGAGGAACTATTCTTGTGATTTAAAAGTGTGAAGTATTTTTACACTTCATCATTGCCCTCACTGAATGTAAAAAATGTGGTATGTAAGGCACATAGTAGGGTTTCAATCAATGTTTGTTGAATAAATGAAAGCGTGCATGTGCGGAGGAAAAGAACTGGATGCACATGAGGAAAATATCATTCTAGGGAGGGTTACTGGGCCCCAGCAAATGTTACAGGGAGGTGAAGGATGAAGCACAGTGTATTTTTACCCCACAGTACTGTTAGTCACCTCTAGATGATGTCTGTGTGCTTTTACCTGAAGACTGGGTAGCTGGGATTACAGGCGCACGCCACCATGCCTGGCTAATTTTCATATTTTTAGTAGAGATGGGGTTTCGTCATGTTGACCAGGCTGGTCTCGAACTCCTGACCTCAGGTGATCTGTCCACCTCGGCCTTCCAAAGTGCTGGGATTACAGGCGTGAGCCACTGTGCCTGGCTGACCTTCTCTATTTTTCTAATTCTCCAAGGTCTCTTCCTATACTAAAATTCTCTGAAAGTAATATTTGATGATAATTCCTCAAATTTTGTTTCAAGTATCACTTTTTAATGGCGATAGTCAACCTACAGTTTTACTTTCCTAAGCCTCCCCTCCCTCTCAAGAGTCTGAGAAGTGTTTCACACACATGTCCAGCCTCTACTTGGGTCAGAAGTGGTTCTTTATCCCTGTAGCATTTTTCTTTTTAATGGTTTCCACCCTCTCTCCTTCCCCAGTGTATGATGTTCTTTCTTTTTCATTGTAACTCCTGCCTTATCTCTCTTTTCCTTAAAACTGTGGTAGCTGGGAGAGGCCAGAGTCATGACATTGTGAGTATCCAATGAAATGCGGTAATTTATTTATTTATTTTTGTCTTTTTTTTCCTTTTTATGGAGAACGGAACGGGGTCTTGTTATATTGCCCAGGCAGGTCTTGAACTCCTGGGCTCAAGCTATCCTCCTGCCTCTGCCACCCTAAGAGCTGGGATTACAGGCATGAGCCACCGCGCCTGGCCAAAATGCAGTAATTTATGATGTCTATATTCTCTGGGGCCTCTCCCCATCTGGAAATGGAAACTGTCACCACATGTGTTTTATTGGATCTCTGCAATTTGCCTTTCTACTTTTGCATTATGGTCCCTTCCACCCTAAGGCAGTAAGAATTCCCTTCTGAACACTTTCTAGCAAGCACAGCCATTGCCAGGGCAGGGTTTTTGATTTTACAGGTTTTAAATGGGCCACCTACCTTGAGTGCAAAGACATCTCTAACCTTTTGTGTGTGTGTGTGTGTGTGTGCCTGTGTGTGTTGGGGAAGGAGGGAAAGGAATGTCTCTAGAAAGACTCAGGAGACTCATCGCATATTAGAGCTGAAGGCACCTTCAAGATTGCCTAGTTTAGGAATGTCCAGTCAAGCTTTAGAGAAATCTCAAGGTATTACAGAGGTGCCTAAAAAGGCTGCAGTGTCAAGAGAAGGCTGCTGCATGAAGGTGAGGGTGGATTTTCCTAAGCCCGTTACTAATTCAGCTTTTGTATGTGTTTCATACTGGTCCCATGTTTTCATTTTATAAATGAGGTAATAGAGCTGGAATGACTTGTAAATTGGGTGCCATTTTACCTTGGCTACTGCTTGATATTCCTCTTACTAATCTTTTTGATGTCCTATTGCATTCTCCACAATATTCTTTTTTTTTTTTTTTTTTTTTTTGAGATGGAGCCTTTCTGTGTCACCCAGGCTGGAGTGCAGTGGTACAATCTTGTCCCCCAGGTTCCAGCGATTCTCCTGCCTCAGCCTCCTGAGTAGCTGGGATTACAGGTGCATGCCACCATGCCTGGCTAATTTTTGTATTTTAGTAGAGATGGGATTTCGCCATGTTGACCAGGCTGGTCTCGAACTCCTGACCTCAGGTGATCTGTCCACCTCGGCCTTCCAAAGTGCTGGGATTACAGGCGTGAGCCACCGTGCCTGGCTGACCTTCTCTATTTTTCTAATTCTCCAACCCCATTTGCCACCCCCACACCCTCTTTACCCTTGCAGGTGCCATATTTTCTCGATAGAATTGAGGGCCTCTGGTGTGAGTGCTCTTATATCTTCTTCCTCTACCTCAAAATTTCTCTTCCATGTTCACCTTCCCTTCCCCTCCAATCTCTGGGGAGGGTGTATCTCTTGTCTCCCCACCTTGCCAGGGCTAACCCTTCCACTGGTACCTACAATTCCACTCCTCCCTTTTCCTGCCAGGATTGTGTCTCAATTTGGATTTATGTGCTCAGTTATTTCTGGTCATCCAGATAGTTTCTATTTGCCTACAAAAATCTTTGGGTCTTCCTATCATGCAAACAAAACAAACGCGACAACCAGGAAATCTCCTTAATTTTGTTCCTCATTACCTATTGCTTTTAAAACTGAGTATAAACCCCTTGCCCAAACATGCAGCCACCCTTTTCCCTCCCATTCTTCCTCTTACGTGTACCTTATGCACCAAAAAGCTATTTTTACTTTCTGAATATGCCCAGTACTTTTTCTTTACTGTCCCTACCCTCCCTGGTGTCTTCTGCTCAATCTTGTCTACCTGTTGAAATTTTTCAAAGTCCATCACACACTACCTCTTCAGTGAAGCCTTTTCTGGCTTCCTAAATGTGGCTGTCATCCTGCTCTCAATGAAATGCTCACAGCACTGTTTCTGACTTGCAGAATCCTAGCCTTCTTCCATCTACCTGACAGCTCCTGAGGGCAGGGTGAATCCTCATTTTTGTGTCCCCCACAGGGTTTTGTGCTTTGTGCACTGGTGTTTGACCTACCTGCATCACACAGCTGGAAATGGGCCCAGCTGGATCCAGACTCATTTCTCTTGATTCTTAGATCAGTGATTTTTAGTGTTGATGATTAGGTGCCTGTGACCTATACAAGGAGCATTTATGTCTGGTGCTGCAAGAGGCTAAGTACTGCTTTTGATCTTTAGGTTTAGTTTTTGTTTTGACTGAGATTACTTTAGTCAAATAACTCGGCTAATTTAGTTAGGCAGTTTCATCTTTCAAGCCAACTCCTGACCCTGACTGATTAGGTATGCTTGTTTGGAATAATGTTAAGAAGGATTCTGAGGCTCCCTAGGGGAAAGGCATCATGTTTGATAATAATGTCTTCGATGGACATGGGAGTGGGGAGATTTTTGGCCTAGGTGTCAGGTTTCTGCCATCCTGTTGGAACATATGTGGTTTGATTCCTGAGAAGAGGCATGCTCTTTTACCTTGTCCTCTTTGGCAGTCTCCATGCATTGATGATCACATTTGGTGGGTACACTTTAAGATATGCAGTTCTTTATGTGAGCCAAGCCGCCTATGCTGGAGGACTGTGACTAAACTAGTAACCTTGGCCTCTCTGGAGTTTTACTCACTGAGCTAGAAAATAATTACTTTACTTCAGTTCCAAATTCTACCCTTCTGTAACAGAGAAATGCTGTGTCTTTCTCTCAGCCCCTCAGGGGATCTGAGGCGGGGCTATCTGATACCTTGCTTCTTTTCACTCTTTCTGACAGCTTTCTCCTCAGCAAATTTAAAGCTCATGGGAAATGTTTTTGCTCAAAAGGAGGGAAAATAGAAACTCTGGAAAGATTTGATGCAAATGTTTCCCTGACTAAGCCATGGAGTTCAGGGAACATTTTCCCTGCCTGGCTTCAGGGTTTCAATGGCTTTAAGAAGGGCCCTTGTGATCTCGTGGGGCCCCAGGCCAGGCAAGGGTGGGCTTTATAGTCCCCTTTCCTCGGTCCTCACCCCTTCATTCCTTTCTCCGATCCAGGCAGTAACCCTGCTGAGACTTGAGTATATTACTTTTCTTCTGCTCAGGGAATAAAAAAAAGACTCAAAACTCACATTCTTTACTTCTGTTTGTTCTTGGCCTGCACTGGGATTGCCAGGTCAGCAGGACCTTGATTATGGAGCTCATCCTACACAGAGCCCTGAGTCTGTAATGCAGACGGAGCCAGGCTGGGAAAAGAAGCAGGTAAAAGCAGCTCAGTCTTGCAGGCAGAGGCTGAAATTCTTGCTCTTGCTCCTAACACTGCCGTCTCTGGCCCTGCTTCAGACGCCCTGGTCCTGCTCCTTTGCTCCTAGGCTTTCCTGGCCTGGCCCAGTTACTCCATTCTCTTCCATACTTCTTGGGCATCTTTGGAAACACTTCTTCCCCTTGGCTCTAGATAAAGTGTACAAGTCTGTTCTGACTTCCACCCTAGCTCACCCATGTCCTGTTTCTTTTACAATTTCAGTGGCTCCTCATGGTCCCCTGTTCAGCAGACATTTCTAACCTTCCTCAAGGCCACCAACCCTTGTGAAAGAAGCACAGATATAATTTCCCAGCTGCCAAGCCATTCTCCAATAGACAGATAAAGTTGTTGAAACCCCACTTACGGTGAATCTCCACAGCCCCCCAAGGTCATCGCTCCTCTCAAAGCAGGTGGGCTCCAGTCCTTCTTCCAGACAGCACTTGATGGAGGCCAGGCCGCTGACCCCAGCTCCCACAATGGCAACTCGCTTGGCCATGTTCTCCTGCATGAGGAAGATGAAGCAGGCTTTTTATTCACAAGCTCCACCCCACCCTTGGCTGCTCTAACAAGCCAGGAAAAAGAATTTGGAAGATTAGGCGATTTGCTCAGTTTGAATCTTCTGTAGCGGGTCTCTGGTGTGTGAATGTGAGAAGGAAAATGTTCAGGTCACTGGTTAACCCTGTGCTTGGTATGTTCCCGCCCCTCATGCAGCACCAGTGCCAAATGTTCGTACAGTTGTCAAGGCTGTAGCTTCTGGCAGAGCTGCTGGAATTGGACCTTTTACTGGATAAAGTCTTGCACTTCAGACTGAGCTGCTGCCTCTAGTCTCCATTCTGTGGCCCTAGAACTGCATAGATCAGCAGACTAGGAAAAGGTCACCTTGTCAGACACAATCTCTTTATCACATACAAAACTGAAGCTCCGATTGGTGTGGTGACCTGACACAACACCACACAGCAGCTGGTGGGGTGGAGTTGGGACCAGGAGCCACCACACCTGTGGCACCACGGGTGCTACCGCGGCACTGCCCTGTGTGATCCTGCCCCTGGCACAATGCCAGGGCCCCAGCTGTGCTGTTGGTGTGTCCCTTTCACAGGTCACCAGTGATGGTCACCAGTGGGAGAGAGAGAGGGTGGCTGCCAGGGAGGGTTTGTGGTAGAAAGGTAGGCATGCAAAGCCATCCCTCCCTTCTCAATTGGATACTGATTCACCTCCAGGGCACATGGCACAGTCACCACTGGGATGGGCCAGAGAATCTTCTGGCACCAGGCCATGTGTTAATAACACACATGTGTAAGAACACCGAGAGGCAACAGAGTGCATTGATTAAGCAACCAGGCTCTGGATCCAGGCTGCCTGAGATAAAGCGCGGCTCTATCAGTTACGACAGTGTAATCTTGGACAGATTAACCCTTCTGTGCATCACAAATATAAAGAAAACAATAGTAGCTTCCTTGAAGTGTTCTGTGAGAATCAAGTGAGTTAATAATGTAAGGCGTCTCAGAATAGCTCCTGGCACATAGTAAGTGCTCAGTAGCTGTAAGTTATTGAAACTTTAAAAGCATTTCCAAGAATTGGTATCTGCCTTTCACATCAATGAGCCTCTGTTCTTTTAATTCCTATAGCATTTCTGGTCAGTAGCACACACATTTGTCACTAAATTATGTGATGTTAGCTTTTCCCCCAATATATTTTTGTGACAGTTTTATCTCCCTAAGTTTGTTAAGTGCAGTGCCCCCAAAGACATAATTTTTCTAAAAATTTGCTATTTTTTATTTCACAGGTGAATTCTCTTCTCAAAGCTGGATATGCATCTTTTTTTGTTTTGGATTAGGAACCTGAGAGAAGCAGCTCAACTGTAGAGACTAAAATATTCAATATTTTAGTCTTAACTGTAGAGACTAAAATGCTCAATTTTTTTTAATGAAATAAAAAGGTCCTCTTTTTTCAAGCAACATGTAAAAGTGTTGCAGGGCTGGTTGCTTCCCATAGCAACTGGATATAATTTACTGGGGAAGAACCAGTAGATTCCTTCTAGGGGAATTCATGTTTTAGGCCCTGAAGGACACTATAAAATCAAAAACCTTGTATAATTTTCCCCTCTCTGGGCCCAACAGGAGTAAGGTGACCCCACATTTAGAGAGGCAGTTGTGAAGTATGGGTATTGGGGGTAGACACATGTGTTTCAGAATCCTATTCTATCATGAGTCAACTTGGTGATATAGGAAAATGACTTACCCCTTTTGAGCCTCAGTTTACTCACTCGCAAGATGGGATAGAATGCTACTCTTTTTTTTTTTTTTTTTTTTTTGAGATGGAGTCTTGCACTGTTGCCCAGGCTGGAGTGCAGTGGTGAGATCTCGGCTCACTGCAAGCTCTGCCTCCTAGGTTCACACCATTCTCCTGCCTCAGCCTCCTGAATAGCTGGGACTACAGGCGCCCGCCACCATGCCTGGCTAATTTTTTGTATTTTTAGTAGAGACGGGGTTTCACCATGTTAGCCAGGATGGTCTTGATCTCCTAACCTCGTGATCAGCCTGCCTCAGCCTCCCAAAGTGCTGGGATTACAGGCGTGAGCCACTGTGCCCGGCCAAATGCTACTCATTTTTGTATGACATAGTAGCCATTTGATAAAGAATATCCACTTTTATGAGAAAAACAATTCCAGGAAAAAGGAAAGAGTATTGCATATATACATATGATATTGGCAGTTGTGCACAGAAGCATGCTGGCTCTATAAAGACAGCAGGTCTGACCATAGCATGACATTAGTGCCCACAGCAGGACAGCAGGAAAGAAAGCAGGTTCTTTGTGTTAGGGGAGGGTGAGGAGCCATTTCCATGAGCTGGGATGAGAAAGAGGGTGAGGCAATTTTCCTATCTCCCCTGAAACTAGAGAGGAGGCCAGTAGAGGGGGGCCTGGAGAAAGGCTAGTAGTGTTTATCCTGCCAGGGTGTCCAGAAGGGTGTCCCAGACAGAAGGAATGGGCTCCTAGTGTAGAAAGGACCAGTGTTATATATTTCCTTGACTAGAATGTAGTTTCAGGTACCCACTGCTGACTGAAAGCACCTGGCTGGTTTAGTAAGAAGGAACTACCTACTCCAAGTGCCTGGAGCAGAGGGAAGTACAGCTGGAGACCTGGATCTGCTGTGAGCTAGCTGTGGAGACCTTGAGCAGGGGACTGAACTGCCCTGGGCTCACTTTGCAAAAGAGGATCTAAGTTGTCTCTTAATCTAAGCACCTGACTCAGTAATGTAAACATTTGCCTTTAAACATTTGAAGGATCAACATGGAGAGAAAGATTAGAATTATGGCCAGCGGTGGAACTGAAAAGGCACATTTTTGCTTATAGCACCTTCCAGCATTTCAAGCTCTAAAATTGGCTTTATTCAAGCAGCATCTAGATGACAAATATTTGGAGGTATTATAAGCAGATTAACACATTATATAGAGGGTGAAACGAAATGCCCTATAACATTCTATCAACTCAGATCTGTGATTCATTCTCTGATGAGCTCAGGCATCAAACACTCCGTGGTTTCTATATTGCTAAGCCCAAGTTTGTGTATTGGGATTGCAAAGGAAGAATAAGGCATGACGCTTTCTCTAGAGCAGCAATCAGTCTGGTAGGGAAGTGAGACGTGAAAATCTATAATTACAAGATTCTGTGTAAGATGCTAAGACAGAAGTATGTCTTATGTACAAATTGCAATAAGAGCACAAAGAAAGAGGTGCCAATTCTGACAATGGGTTGGTAGGAAAACAACACAGACGATTACTATTTGCTCCAGATTTTGAAGGATGAATAGACTTCAGTGGGCAGAGAAGGGAAGAAAGTGGGCTCTAGAGTTAGGGAGCACTGAGAGTAGGGGCTGGAGGTGGTCACAGAGGTGTGAGAAGCTGCCTGACCCCACAGTAAGCTTGCCTTACTCTTGAGTGCTAGACCAACGACAGTGTATCATCCATAAGACATTGTTGATGAACTGATCATGTCTATTAGTCTTCTGTATATATAAGGTATATGTTTCCCCAAAGTAGGCATTTTCTTTGGCTCATCTCTTATTTTCTTGTAGCTCCTAACAACACACTTGGTCTATAATAGCTGTTGTGTAACTATTTGGCAATGGGTTGATTTTGTGATGGGTAAAATGAATTCATTTATCATCTATATCCATTTCAATTTAAAAATTAACTCGGGCCGGGGTGGTGGTTCATGCCTATAATCCTAGCACTTTGGGAGGACGAGATGGGCAGATCACTTAAGGTCAGAAGTTCGAAACCAGCTGGCCAACATGGTGAAACCCTGTCTCTACCAAAAATACAAAAAAGTTAGCTGGGCATGGTGGTGTGCACCTGTAATCCCAGCTACTTGGGAGGCTGAGGCAGGGGAATTGCTTGAACCTGGGAAGTGGAGGTTGCAGTGAGCCAAGATCGTGCCACTGCACTCCAGCCTGGGTGACAGAGCAAGACTCCATTTTAAAAAAAAAAAGTTAACTCAGTAAAAATTTGCTGTAAGCTAATATCCTAGGTCAAAGATTCCTTCCTCAAAATTACCTTTTATTGGCTAGTCCAAAGGTAGTACGCTAACTCGATTGATTGTTTACAGTTACAGAGTTACAGATTGAACTCCTTGTTCTACTTTTTCCCCCTTTCTCACTACTGTACTTGACTAGTCTTAAAAAATACACAACTTTTTGTTAAACATCCAGTATACAGAAGCCTTCTACCTGGGCCACCACCATACCTCAGCTGGACCAATGTAGTCAGACTTCTCTGAGCAGTAAATCTCCCTGGGGCTTTTCCTTATTATTATTATTATTTTTGAGATGGAGTTTCACTGTTGTTGCCCAGGCTGGAGTGTAATTGCATGATCTCGGCTCACTGCAACCTCCGCCTCCTGGGTTCGAGCGATTCTCCTGCCTCAGCCTCCCGAGTAGCTGGGATTACAAGTGCACACCACCACGTCTGGCTACTTTTGTATTTTTAGTAGAGATGGGGTTTCTCCATGTCGGTTAGGCTGGTCTCGAACTCCCGACCTCAGGTGATCCACCCGCCTCGGCCTCCCTTATTATTATTTTTTAAGGAGATGAGGTCTCACTATGTTGCCCAGGTTAGTTTTGAATGTCTGGGCTCAAGTGATCCTCCTGCCTCTGCATCCCAAAGTAGCTGGGACCATAGCCATGAGCCACCATGCCTGGCAGTCTTTTGAGCTTTTCGTGGTGCAGGTAGAGGGTTTAATTTGATATTTTTGTGGATGTCTGACTTGAAAATTTCAGGTTTATTTATGAAGACAAAGTCACAGTATATCTGGAATCAGAGCCATGGGGTAAACTAGAAATGTGTGTTTAATGATTGTGTTTTAGAAAGTGAAGGAAATGAGTAGGGAAATATAAGAATGATGATAGAAGAAAGAGAGGGAAAGAAAAAAGGACACAAAGTCGGTTTCAAAGTCACCCTGAAAGGTTTTTTGTTTTTTTCTTTTAAGTTTTCAGTTCAGATCTGCTTGGTGTATCACCATGTTCCCATATGAGTTGTTGTCAAACGTGAGAAAAGCCAACATGAGAGCACATGAATGTGGAGGCGCACAATATCAATATCAGCTTCACTCTCAGATCAAAATTCATGCTTCCAACCACTCCTTCAAGTATTGACAATTATATGAAATCAAACTGATTTTTTATTTTTTATTTGAAAGACTGAGATTCATTTAAATAAACAAACTCATATTCCTGAAGCCCCAGACCGTGGTAGGCAGCCCTCCCTCTTCTGTCCCCTCACCCCCACCTGTTAGCCACAGTGAGAGGAACGGAAAATGAGAAAACACAAGAGCCTCTGCCAGAAAAGGCTGCACCAGATGTGTGGTGAGCACAGTGCACCTGTGGCTGTGGTGGCAGCTGCCACAGGCCCCTCCCTGTAAGTTAAGTCCCTGCAGCCACAGCTGTGGGAGAAGCGTACTTGTAGAAACAAGGCCAGTTCAGCATCAGAAGGCAGAGGCAGCATCACCGACTCTCAGCCATGGAATGGATGGAGAGCACAGGGCTCAGGGACAGAACAGGCCAGGTGGAAAGAGGAGAGGCATGGCGGGGGGCTGAGGCCCCTAAATTTTGGCCCTAGGGAAAGAGACGAGGGCAGTTGGTCCAGTTTTGATGGGTATGGGGAAGGGACTGTATTAGTAAGCACAGGGGGAGAGGATGCCAATAGGCACCCCAGAGGTGACAGGACAGTCTGAACCCCCACCCTGGCAGAAGGGAGCTTGACAGCTCTGGGGCTCTCTGGGAATGTCACTGCTAAAATGGATATTTATATATATATTAACCATTCATGGGAGGGCAGGGGCAGGGCCTGGGGTGGGATCGGAGGATCTGGCATCGCATCCTGTAGCTGGTCATGCCTACCTGAGAGGCCTGGAGGAAACCAAAGTGGTTTAAAACATTTAAGTGTGCTTCTTCAGAAAAAGTTTTGTCTCCCCACGCCACTTTTTATTTAAACTAAAAATAATTTCTTGTTAGTGACTGCTTTGCATTTAGACAGAGTGATTGATAACAATTTATAGGGGATTTTGTTGGGGTGAAAAGCACACTGACATGCCACCGCTGTTTATTGGAGTGCGATTTCACGTGCAAATGCAAAAACATTAAAAATGTTATTGCTCCTTATGTGCATATGCGGCAGCGCTCCTCGAGGGGGCACCAGCTGCGGGAAGTCTGTTCCTTGCAGACCCCTGACCACGCGATGAATGAATAAAGTACACTGACACACAGATATTCTGCTCTGCCAGTCCAGCTGAGGGTCCAAGCCCCTTACAGGCTCCCTGCTGAGCCCTGTAAACAGTTGCGACTCGGCAGGGAGCCTGTAAGCACCTGGGACCCTCAGAATATCTGTGTGTCAGCGTACTTTATTCACCGGTCATTGGGTCAGGGGTCTGCAAGGGACAGACTCCCCACAGCTGGTGACCCCTCGAGAGGAGCCCTGCCCCCAGCTGGTGCCCCATGTGAGGCGCTGTGTGAGGAACTGTGTGAGGAATGCTGTGAAGGAAACGCGACGAACCGCCCGAAAACGAAGGTAAGAAAAGAACCCGCGCGGTCAAGTCAGTGAGTTATCAGTAAGTCATTACTGCGGCAGCGCCTCTCACACGGGGTACCAACTGCGGCAGCGCCCCTCTCGAGGGGGCACCAGCTGCGGGGAGCCTGTCCCTTGCAGACCCCTGACCCAGCAATGGATGAATAAACGTACATTGACACACAGATATTCTGCCCTGCCAGTCCAGCTGAGGGTCCGAGCCACTTACAGGCTCCCTGCTGAGTCCTGTAAACAGTTGCGACTTGGCCCTGATCAGCTAGTCAGACTCACATTTATTCGGTAAGATTAATTAACAGAAGCTTGAGTCAACACCGTTAGAGGGTAATTGATATTATGGACTTCCCAAGTAAAAAGCACTTAAGCACCTGCCGTACATCAAAGGTTAGTTTTAAGATCACATGAGTAAACAAACTAGGTAGGTAAACTACTCTGCCTTCCTTTGTTACTACTTTAATTTGTTTAACTAAAGGTAAAGATCAGGTTGCCTTCAACCATATCTATTACTGAAGTTATGCAAACTTCTCGGCCTTCCAAGAAGATTTGTGTCTATCTCCATAACTATCTTTAATATTTTTCCCACCAGCCTGATTGAACCCCAGCATAGATATTTAATAAAAATTTGGCCATTCCGTTGTTGGAAGTTTTAAGATAAATTTATTATTATTATTTTAATGAGAAAAGCCTCAGTAAAGCTGACTAAATATAAAATAAATAAGAGATAAAAATAAGAAAATAGGACTAAATTAGGAAGGTAGATGCCAATGGGTGAAAATTGAGTGAAAAAAACAAGTAAAATAACTTAAGCAACATAAAATTACTAAATGAGTTGGGAAATCGCTATTGGTTGTATAAAAGTGACTGATTTTTAACTACAGGGTTAGAAACTACTATGCTTTTTTGTGAATTTTATACTGCTTCCTCTTCTTGAAAGTTGTAAAATGCAAATATATAATTTACTGAAGTCAGATTGAGTGTCCGCTTTGGTTTAGTAGGACAGTAGATCATGAGAGGTCAAAACATGAGGTGACGCCTGTCATTACCAAACTGCAGCGGCACTCTGAGCTATTTTAAAATTTTGAAGAAGCACAGTGATTCTTGATGTCAGTTGAACACTATGCTAAGTATTAGCTGAAAGTAGTTAACAGTTTTAATATTGTAAAAGACTGTGTTCCATTTGCTGACATCATATCTTTGCAAAGCTGGGTGTTTGACAATTGCTATGACAAAAAGCAAGTATTGCATGAAAACTGAGGTAGAATAGAAATGAAGGGTTCATGTCTGATCTGATTCCAAGGTTTGAGAAGTTGTGCAGTGCTCAGCAGGCACATAAACCTTATTATTAAGTAATTGGGATTAAGAATGAAATAAAAATATTATTTTTCTTTTAGTTTGTATATTACTTGTTCAAAAAACTACAAAGTTGTTAGAACATAAATAGTTATTAAGTTTTTGTCTACTTAATAGGAGAAACTATGGTCTGGGGGCACCTTGAAGAAATTGCACACCAAGGGCTCCTTGAACCTAGAAAGTTGAAAACTTCTGGGCAAGAGTTTTATTTTCCGAGTTTATTTTATTGACCCGGAGATTTTATTTGTTGATGTCAAGAAAATGCATATTATACTATATTTGAGGCTAGCATTGTATCAATTAGCCAATGTTTAACTGTTTCCAGTGTGACTCACCTATGCATTTACTAGGAAGCCATTGGCACTGTCAGATTTGTATCCAGCCCTCTATTTATGCATTCCCCATCTTCTCCTCCTTCCCTACTCCCTCTGTCTCTCTCTCTCACACACACACATACACACACACACACACTCCTACACCTTAGTGCATGAAAATACTTCAGAATACTGGTTGGCACAGACTGCACAATGATACCCTATCCTCAAGTGGGTTGTGACATTTCAGGAGTAATCAGAGAGAGATTCAGCTGGATGGCAGTTGGGGTGGGTGAAGGTGCCTACTTAGCCCCTGGGAACAAAGGAGCACAGCTGGTAAGAAACTTGGGTCCAAGGAGGGCCATACTCTGGGATTTCTGTCCTCTAGCAGCAGCTCCTCATTTACTCAAATGTTCCTAACCACAACAAGCAAATAAAAATTCTCCCAGGCTTTAGGTCCTCTGTGCCAGTTACAAGGCCATAGCAGATTCCCTAGGATGCAGGGGAAACTCTAATAACCAAGGACTCAGTTTCTCCATCTGCAGAACAGATGGCATAGACCTGAATATCTAAAAATGATTTTCAAACCCTTGATGTTTATGATCTTGTGAATTTAACTGGAGCAGGATTAGTAAAAAAGATGTGCCAATCACATGGAAATCAATAAATTTTGACATAATACATAGAATGAAGCACGAAACACTTTTAACAACAGAAAAAAAGATGACATGACAGAACAGATTAGTCAAATTCTAAAGGGGCTTGCCTTTTGCTTCCCACTTGTGCCAAATGCCAACATTTGGTAGTCACCCTTCAAAAACTATGATCTCAGACAATGTTAGAAGCTGCTGATGGAAGCACTAAAAAAAAAAAGAGACTTTTCCTCTTGCATTAGAAATCCAAGTTTTTCCCATTTGATTCAACCACTTAATAATCTACCCAACAGTATACTTACCTGTGTACATGGAAGACAGGTAAGTATACTGCTGGGTAGATTATTAAGTGGTTGAATCAATGATATTGTCCCATTATAAGTATCCAAACATTTACTACTCCTATACTTTGGGCCAAGGAGTAGCTTTATAGCTCCTCCAGGGTTGGACAGAGAAAGCTGCTTTCTGATAAGGTGGTTCTTCCCTGGAGCACAATAACAAAACAGGAAAACTCCAGACCCCACTTTCCTCATCCAAAGAAATCAGAGATTATATCTGGTTACTTACTTTACGTACTTGTAATTTCTGGTGCCAATGGCTCTGCCACGCAGGACTCTGGTATTAGCAGAGATCAAAATGAATCAGTATGAGCCAGTGCTGGCTTGGGAGTCCCCAGCACAGTGGATAAACCTGGTCTAAGAGATAAGGAATGTTAAATTTGAAACCCAAGGTTAGCCGTTGTTTATATTTTAACTTGTTGATTAATGCAACAGCGAAATGCTAGGAGAAACACTGTCTGGTGATATGTACTTTAGACTCACTCTTCTGCTTACAGACTATAAACTAAGTTAGGGAGTTACACCAGCATCCTCACTTGTTCATCAGTTTTATTCTTTAAGGGGATGAGAATAAAATAAGACAATTATGTTAACAGTTACTACACCACAGATTCACTTTTAAGGGCTTTGATCCATTTCACCTTTAGGGACAATTATTATTTTTAAAAAATCATATATTACTCACATTAGTAAACTCAATTTGTAAAGGCTTTTTAAGTGCAGCTGATTGCCCAAGCACTTGGGAAATAAAAGACAGGTATATGGGAGGAGTCTGATCTTGGGAATCACAAGTCCTGGGTTCGAGTATTGCGTTCACCAGCTATTATCAGAGTCATGTTGGAAAAATTGTATAACTTTTCTCAGCTTTAGTTTCCTCAATTTAAAATAGGCATGATCGAGTGGCTGCCAGGGGCTGGGGAAAGAAGGGAATGGGGAAGGATTGCTAATGAGTATGGAGTTTTCTTTTGGGTGTGATGAAAGTGTTTTGAAACTGGATAGAGGTTGTGGTTACACAGCATTATGAATGTACTAAATGCCACTGAATTCTATACTTTGAAATGGTTAACGACAGATTGTTGGAAAATGGTGGATAGGAGGCAGGACTAACTTGCAGTTTCCACGCAGACAGACAGAACAGCATGTGGAGACTCACACAGTGAAATTTTCCTCCAAGAAGTACTGCATGAACATACCAGGAAAACCAAAAGAATTCACAGGACCTTTGAAAGAAGTGGCTTGCCGCTGCAAACTCCATGAGACAGCTGAAAAACTGTGAGTGCCCAAAGTGTGAGTGGGGGAAAAAATCTGCCTCCAAACACGCAAACCCACTAGGGAACCTAAAAATCCAGATCACAGGAGAAGGATTTAACCTTACCTAGAGCTGGGATGAATTTAGAGAGCAAAACGAAATATAAAAGTAGAAGCAGTGGGAAGAGCCCTGTAGGTACTCTTGGTGCCCAGGGAAGTCATTTCTGACTTTATCTCACAGGGGTCCTTGAGGAGGGCTGCCAGTGAAATTGAGGAAGGACCACAGGGAGAAGGAAACTTCCAGCTGAACTTTGTAATAGTTTTGACTATTAGCCTGAGAAACACGAATACTTATCCAGGAGACCTTAGGGCAATCTTGCATTCTCCCTATACTACCGCAGCTGATGCTGTCTTGAAAATGAGGAAAAGGAGTCATTATACAAAAAAGATACTTGAACACACTTGTTTATAGCAGCACAATTTGCAATTGCAAAAAATGAAACCAGCCAAAATGCCCATCAATCAATGAGTGGATAAATAATTCGTGGTATATACATACCATGGAATACTACTCAGCCATAAAAAGGGATGAAATAATGGCATTCACAGCAACCTGGATGGAGTTGCAGACCATTATCCTAAGTGAAGTAACTTGGGAGTGGAAAACTGAACATTCTATGTTCTCACTCATAAGTTGGAGCTAGGCTATGAGAATACAAAGGCATAAAAATGATACAATGGACTTTGGGGACTTGGGGGTAAGTGTTGGAGTGGGGGGTGATGCATAAAAGACTACACATTGGGTATAGTGTACACTGCTCAGATGATGGGTGCACCAAAACCCACAAATCACCATTAAAGAACTTATCCAGGTAACAAAACACCACCTGCTCCCCCAAAAGCTATTGAAATAAATAAAATAAAAAATTCTAAAAAATAAATAAAACAGGCATAATAACATCTGCATCAGATAGTTGTGGTGGGGATTAGATGAGATAATCTATGTCAAGAGATTTGTGTATATATAGTAAATACTGTGTATGATTGTAATGATGATAATGATGATGATGATGATGCTGTCATTGTTGGACCAGATAAGGTGTCTTGATTGCTGGTTCATAACACTGAAATGACTCCCACAGGTACAGAGAATAAATTCCATGAGAGGTTGGTGGACTGAAGCAGAGAGAAATTTCTGAAAGAATATGTCTTTTTCCTTGATTTTCAACATGGTATAACCCTTTGACCTGGAGGTCCTGTGTATCACTGAGTATACTGCTTGCTCATTGGGCTCACCTTTTGCCTCATTTCTGGCTTATTAAGTATTCAGCACAGAGACAGCATTGTTAGCTCTGTGAAATTCAGCTGCTTTGCTGCAGCTATGAAAATAATAATATTTGGATGATTTCAAGCTTAATTATACCCAGAGAGTAAGCCTTTAAAATGACTATTAGTTCAAGTATGTTTTCAAAAATCAGAATATGTTTGATTTGTAATTTACCTTGGTGTGCAGCATATACACATCAAGGTAAGTATGTAAGTACTGGGATTTGGTACACTAATGGTGGGACTTAACTTGTCCCTGGGCCTTACCAGGCATGCTGCTAACATAAGGAGAATCACAGGACTTTAAACTGTTGGTTGAGAATAAGATGATGATTTTATTATATCATCTCATTTTCCATAATCAGCAAGAGACTTGTAGTAATTAAAAATGAGAAGACCGGCCTTCGGTGGCAACTTCAGTTTCTGCTATTTTTAGGGATTTTTGTTAGTCAGTTATACTCTAGGCCATGGGATAAGGAAGGATATGTAGTCCCCTTATTCGAGTGGACCTAGACCCTAAGAAGCTGAATTGGTAGACAATAATGCTCTTTAGGAAATATTCTGGACCTCCTACCTTCAGGGAAGATGAATGGTAGGATTGTTCTTCTTGGCCCTCTAGCGGTTGGTTGGGAGGAATGTGACTCGTTCTGGTCAAAGAACTGTGAGCTAGAGTAAGGTGTCCTTTCTGGGCTAGAGCACTTAATTGCCAGTAAGATTCCATAGAACTTTCTTTTCCTTCAGTGTGGTAATCAGCAACTTTCAAGATGGCTCTTCTATTAGTCCGAATACCTGGTGAATGTGATGAGCAGGGCCTACACTAATGGACACATACATGAAATAATCTTTGTTTTATTTCAAGGTATCGAGGTTTGGGGATTGGTTGTTAATGCATCATACCAAGTCTTTATTGATCAATGCACTAGAGGGATGTTTCTTAGCTCCTTCATTGTATTTCTCAATCATCTTCTTTTTTAAAAAGTATATTTTTTATTTCGATAGGTTTTTAGGGAGCAGGTGGTGTTTGGTTACATGAAAAAGTTCTTTAGTGGTGATTTGCGAGATTTTGGTGCACTCATCACCCAAGCAGTGTACACTGTACGCAATGTGTAGTCTTTTATGCCTCACCTCCCTCCTGCCCTTTCCCCTAAGTCCCCAAAGTCCATCGTATCATTCTTATGCCTTTGCATTCTCATAGCTTAGCTCCCACTTATGAGTGAGAACATACAATGTTTGGTTTTCCATTCCTGGGTTACTTTACTTAGAATAATGGTCTCTAACTCCATCCAGGTTGCTGCAAATGCCATTATTTTGTTCCTTTTTTTATGGTTGAGTAGTGTTCCATGGTGTGTGTGTGTGTGTATATATATATATGTATCATAAATTATTATCCACTCATTGATTGATGGGCATTTGAGCTGGTTCTATATTTTGGCAATTGCAAATTGTGGTGACGTAAACATGCTTGTGCAAGTATCTTTCTTGTGTAATGACTTCTTTTCCTCTGGTTAGATACCCAGTAGTGGGATTGCTGAATCAAATGGTAGAACTACTTTCAATTCTTTAAGGAATCTCCACACTGTTTTCCATAGTGGTTGTACTACTTTAAATTCACACCAGCAGTGTAAAAGTTTTCCCTTTTCACCACATTCATGCCAACATCTATAATTTTATATTTTTAAAATTATGGACATTCTTGCAGGAGTAAGGTGGTATTGCATTGTGGTTTTGATTTGCATTTCCCTGATCATTAGTGATGTTGAACATTTTTCCATATGCTTGTTGGCCATTTGTATATCTTCTTTTGAGAATTGTCTATTCATGTCTTTAGCCCACTTTTTGATGAGATTGTTCGTTTTTTCCTGCTGATTTGTTTGAGTTCCTTGTAGATTCTGGATATTAGTCTTTTGTTTTATGTATAGATTGCAAAGATTTTCTCCCACTCTGTGGGTTGTCCGTTAACTCTGCTAATTATTTCATTTGTTGTGCAGAAGCTTTTTAATTTAATTAAGTCCAATCTATTTATCTTTGTTTTTGTTGCATTTGCTTTTGGCTTCTTGGTCATGAAGTCTTTGCTTAAGTCAATGTCTAGAAGAGTTTTTCTGATGTTATCGTCTAGTATTTTTATGGTTTCAGGTGTTAGATTTGTCTTTCATTCATCTTGAGTTGTCAACCATCTTCTTCAGTCTCACTTCCATTACTCTATTTCACTTCTCTGATTCACAGTTAGAGCCACAGAATTTTAGAGCTGAAAGAGAGCACAGAATTTACTTAGTCTGAAAATTGGACCCACCCCGTGAAATTGTTTTTCTCTCTACAAAAAACAAAGTTAAGACAAACACAATTCCCTAACTCACAACTTCCCGCTACACTCGAAGCATCAAAGGTCCCCTACCTACACAGATCTTCCCCACAGATACCTGTCATTCTAAAATGTGAGTGTTTGTTTTTTAATGCCACACATTAAAGGAAGTAATTCCCTCTGTTCCTTACACCTCGAGGTTATTATTTTTCTTTTCCTGAGAACCCACCTTTAGAATGAAAGCACTGAAAGTGGAGTTGGAGGGAGAACCAAGACTACTTAAGGCCAATTATTATGCTTGAAATGAGTTTACTAGTGTCAGTAGTGGTGATTCAGTGACTCACATATCCACTATCTGAAGATTGGAGGAAACAGCCACTTTTATGTTTTTCTTTTTAAGAATTTCTTTAAACATCTTTATAGCTTGATAAACATTTGTGACAAAGCCTGCAACTGTACGTTAGAAACTATCTTATCTATCATATCACTTAGAATTCTATCTTGAGTCTGCCTAAGGGGTTTGTAATTAATACAAAAGGTATTACATGGTATCATTTTTTAAAATTTTTTCTAAAAAAATGGGTACATGTGCAGAATGCGTGGGTTTGTTACATAGGTATACATGCGCCATGGTGGTTTGCTGCATCGTCTAAGTTCCCTTCCCTCACTCCTCACCCCCAACAGGCCCTGGTGTCTGTTGTTGCCCTCTCTGTGTCCGTATGTTCTTATTGTTCAACTCCCACTTATGAGAGAGAACAAATGGTATTTGGTTTTCTTTTCCTGTGTTAGCTTGCTGAGGATGATAGCTTTCAGCATCATCCATGTCCCTGCAAAGGATATGATCTCATTCCTTTTATAGTATCCCATGCTGTATATATGCCACACTTTCATTATCCAGTCTATCATTGATGGGCATTTGGTTTGGTTCCATGTCTTTGCTATTGTAAATGGTGCTGCAATAAATGTGTGCATGTGTCTTTACAGTAGAATAATTTATATTCCTTTGGGTATATATCCAGTATTGGAATTCTAGGTCAAATGTTATTTCTGGTCCTAGATCCTTGAGGAATCACCATACTGTCTTCCACAATGGTTGAACTAACTTACATTCCCACCAACAATGTAAAAGCATTCCTATTTCTCCACAGACTCACCAGTATCTATTGTTTCTTGACTTTTTAATAATTACCATTCTGACTAGTGTGAGATGGTATCTCTTTGTGGTTTTGATTTGTATTTCTCTAATGATCAGTGATGTGGAGATTGTTTTCATGTTTGTTAGCTGCATAAATGTCTTCTTTTGAGAAGTGTCTGTTCATATCCTTTGCCCACTTTTTGATGGGGTTGTTTTTTTTCTTGTAAATTTGTTTAAGTTTCTCGTAGATTCTGGATGTTAGAGCTTTGTCAGATGGATAGATTGCAGAAATTTTCTCCCATTCTCTAGGTTACCTGTTCACTCTGATAATAGTTTCTTTTGTTGTGCAGAAGCTCTTTAGTTTAATTAGATCCCATTTATCAATTTTGGCTTTTGTTGCAATTGCTTTTGGCGTCTTAGTCATGAGGTCTTTGCCCATGCCTATGTCCTGTATGGTATTGCCTAGGTTTTCTTCTAGGGTTTTTAAGGTTTGTGGTTTTACATTTAAGTATTTAATCCAACTTGAGTTAATTTTTGTATAAGGCTTAAGAAGTGTCCACTTTCTGTTTTCTGCCTATGGCTAGCCAGTTTTCCCAGCACCGTTTACTGAATAGGAGATCCTTTCCCCATTGCTTGTTGTTGGCAGGTTTGTCAAAGATCAGATGGTTGTAGATGTGTGGTGTTATTTCTGAGGTCTCTGTTCTACTCCATTGGCCTATATGCCTGTTTTGGTACCAATACCATGCTATTTTGGTTACTGTAGCCTTGTAGTATAGTTTGAAGTCAGGTAGTGTGTTTCTTCTAGCTTTGTTGTTTTTGCTTACAATTGTCTTGGCTATACCGGGTCTTCTTTGATTTCTTATAAAGTTTAAAATAATTTTTTAAATTCTGTGAAGAATATCAATGGGAATAGCATTGAATCTGTAAGTTATTTTGGGCGGTATGGCCATTTTCATGATAGTGATTCCTCCTATCCATGAGGATGGAATGTTTTTCCATTTGTTTGTGTCCTCTCTTATTTCCTTGAGCAGTAGTTTGTATTTCTCCTTGAAGAGGTCCTTTACATCCCTTGTTAGCTGTATTCCTAGGTATTTTATTCTCTTTGTAGCAATTGTGAATGGGAGTTTGTTCATGATTTGGCTCCCTGCTTGTCTATTGTTGGTGTAAAGGCATGCTTGTGATTTTTGCACATTGATTTTGTATCCTGAGATTGCTGAAGTTGCTTATCAGTTTAGAGTTTTGGAGTTGAGATCATGAGTTTTCTAAATGTACAATTATGTCATCTGCAAACAGAGACAATTTGACTTCCTCTCTTCCTATCTGAATACACTCTATTTCTTTTTCTTTCCTGATTGCCCTGGCCAGAACTTCCAATACTCTGTTGAATAGAAGTGGTGAGAGAGGGCACTCTTGTCTTGTACCAGTTTTCAAAGGGAATGGTTCCATCTTTTACCCATTCAATATGATATTGACTGTGGGTTTGTCATAAATAGCTCTTATTTTGAAATATGTTCCATCAATACCTAGTTTATTGAGAGTTTTAACATGAAAGGATGTTGAATTTCATCAAAGGCTTTTTCTACATCTCTTGAGACAATCATGCGGTTTTGTCTTTGGTTCTGTTTATGTGATGGTACCTTTATTGATTTGCACATGTTGAACCAGCACTACCTCCCAGGAATGAAGCTGGCTTGATCGTGGTGGATAAGTTTTTTGATGTATTGCTGGATTCAGCTTGCCAGTATTTTATTGAGGATTTTTGCATTGATGTTCATCAGGGATATTGGCCTGAAGTTTTCTCTTTTTGTTGTGTCTCTGCCAGGCTTGGTATCAGGATGATGCTGGCCTCAAAATATGGGTTAGGGAGGAGTCCTTCCTTTTCAATTGTTCAGAATAGTTTCAGAAGGAATGGTACCAGCTCCACTTTGTGTTTCTGGTAGAACTCAGCTGTGAATCTATCTGGTCCTGGGCTTTTTTTGGTTAGCAGGCTATTAATTACTGCCTCAATTTCAGAACTTGTTATTAGACTATTCAAGGATTCAACTTCTTCCTGGTTAGGAGGGTGTATGTGTCCAGGAATTTATCCATTTCTTCTAGATTTTCCAGTTTATTTGCATAGAGGTGTTTATATTATTCTCTGATGGTAGTTTGTATTTCTGTGGGGTCAGTGGTGATATCCCCTTTATCATTTTTTATTGTGTCTATTTGATTTTTCTCTCTTTTCTTCTTTATTGGTCTAGCTAGCAGTCTATTTACTTTGTTAATCTTTTCAAAAAACCAGCTCCTGGATTCATTGATTTTTTTTTTTGAAGGTTTTCTTTGTGTCTGTATCTCATTCAGTTCTTCTCTGATCTTAGTTATTTCTTGTCATCTGCTAGCTTTTGGATTAGTTTGTTCTTGCCTTTCTAGCTCTTGTAAGTGTGGTGTTAGGGTGTTTTTTTGAGATCTTTCAACTTTCTGATGTGGGCATTTAGTGCTATAAATTTTCCTCTTAACACTGCTTTAGCTGTGTCCCAGAGATTCTGGTACATTTTCTCTTTGTGCTCATTGGTTTCAAAGAGCTTCTTGATTCTGCCTTAATTTCATTATTTACCCAGGAGTCATTCAGGAGCACGTTGTTGAATTTCCATGTAACTGTGTAGTTGAGTGAGTTTCTTAATTCTGAGATCTAATTTGATTGCACTTTGGTTTGAGAGACTGTTATGATTTCAGTTCTTTTGCATTTGCTGAGGAGTGTTTTACTTCCAATTATGTGGTTGATTTTAGAATAAGTGCTATGTGGCACTGAGAAGAATGTATATTCCATTGATTTGGGGTAGAGAATTCTTTAGACATCTACTAGGTCCACTTGATCCAGAGCTGAGTTCAAGTCCTGGATATCCTTGTTAATTTTCTGTCTTGTTGATATGTCTAATACTGACAGTGGGATGTTAAAATCTCCCACTATTATGGTATGGGAGTCTAAGTCTCTTTGTAGGTCTTTGAGAACTTGTTTTATGAATCTGGGTGCTCCTGTATTGGGTGCATATATATTTAGAATAGTTAGCTCTTCGTGTTGAATTATTCCCTTTACCATTATGTAATGCCCTTCTTTATCTTTTTTTATCTTTATTGGTTTAAAGTCTGTTTTGTTAGAGACTAGGATTGCAATCCTTGCTTTTTTTCACTTTTCATTTGCTTGGTAAATTTTCCTCCATCCCTTTATTTTGAGCCTGTGTGTGTCTTTACGTGTGAGATGGGTCTCCTGAATATAGTACACAAATGGGTCTTGACTCTTTATCCAATTTGCCAGTCTGTGTCTTTCAATGGGGCATTAGTCCATTTACATTAAGGCCAATTACATGTGTGAATTTGATCCTGTCATTATGCTGCTATTTGGTTATTTTGCACACTAATTGATGTAGTTTCTTCATAGTGTCATTGGTTTTTATATTTTGGTTTGTTTTTGCATTGGCTGGTACTGGTTTTTCCTTTCCATATTTAGTGCTTCTTTCAGGAACTCTTGCAGGGCAGGCCTGGTGGTAACAAAATCCCTCAGCATTTGTTTGTCTGGAAAGGATTTTATTTCTCCTTTGCTTGTGAAGCTTAGTTTGGCTGGATATGAAATTCTCAGTTGAAAATTATTTTATTTAAGAATGTTAAATATTGGCCCCCAATCTCTTCTGGCTTGCAGAGTTTCTGCTGAGAGGTCCACTGTTAGTCTGATGGGCTTCTCTTTGTAGGTGACCTGGCCTTTCTCTCTGGCTGCCCTTAACAGTTTTTCCTTCATTTCGACCTTGGAGAATCTGATGATTATGTGTCTTGGAGTTGGTCTTCTCATGGAGTATCTTTGTGGTGTTCTCTGTATTTCCTGAATTCGCATGTTGTCCTGTCTTGCTAGATTTGGTAAGTTTTCCTGGATAATATCTTGAAGTGTGTTTTCCAGCTTGTTTCCATTCTCCTCATCTCCCTCTGGTACTCCAATCAATTGTAGCTTTGCTCTTTTTATAAAGTCCCATTTTTTTTGAGGGTTCGTTTATTCATTTTCATTCTCTTCCTCTAGTCTTGTCTGCATGCCTTATTTCAGCAAGGTGGTCTTCAAACTCTGATATCCTTTCTTCTGCTTCATCTATTTGGCTATTGATACTTGTGTATGCTTCATGAAGTTCTCATCGTATGTTTTTCAGCTCCATCAGATTGTTCATGTTCCTCTCTAAACTGATTATTCTAGTTAGCAATTCCTCTAACCTTTTATCGAGGTTCTTAGCTTCTTTGCATTGGGTTAGAACATACTCCTTTAGCTCAGTGTAGTTTTTTATTACCCATCTTCTGAAGCCTAATTCTGTCAATTCATTCAGCTTATCTTCTGTCCAGTTCTGTGCCCTTGATGGAGAGATGTTGTGATTATTTGGAGGAGAAGAGGCACTCTGGCCTTTTGGGTTTTCAGCATTTTTTTGTTGATTATTTCTCATCTTTGTGAGTTTGTCTAGTTTTGGTCTTTGAGGCCGCTGACCCTTGAATGGGGTTTTTGTGGGGGCTTTTTGTTGTTGTTGTGATTCGGTTGTTGTTGCTTTCTGCTTGTTTGTTTTTCTTTCAATGGTCAGGTTCCTCTTCTGTAGGGTTGCTGCAGTTTGCTGGGGGTTCACTTCAGGTCTTATTCATCTGATTCGCTCCTGTGCCTGGAGATATCACTCAAGGAGGCTGGAAAATAGCAAAGATGGGTGCCTGCTCCTTCATCTGGGACCTCTGACCTCTAGGGGCACCAACCTGATGCCAGTAGGATTGCTCCTGTATGGGGTGTCTGACAACTGCTGTTGGAGAGTCTCACTCACGTGGGTGGCATGGGGAACAGGACCCCTTTAATGGAGCACTTTGTCCCTTGGTGGAGGGGGTGTGCCTCACTGGGGGAAACCCAGTCATCTGGACTGTATGGATTCCTCAGAACTACCAGGAAGAAAGGCTGTCTTCTGGTTTGCGGAGACTGTAGCCACATCTCCTGCTAGTGGCTAAGGCCCCAGGGAATCTGCATTCTGTCTCTGAGCCTCTGGCTGGAGTTATTGGAGTTCCTGCAAGGAAGCCCCACCCATTGAAGAAGGATGGGTCAGGGTCAGGCCTGAAGAGGCACTCTGCCTGCAGACTGCCACAGCTGGTGTGTTGGGCTGTGGGGGACAAGTCTTGGGAGCAAGCTGTCCAGCCTCCCTGGCTCCAGCAGGGGACAAGCACAGCCTGGGGCTATAGAGATGGGTGCTGCCCTTCCCTCTGCCAGGGAGCTCAGTGTGTTAGGCAGTTGTGAGTCCCAGTGCTGGCTGCTGCCCCTCCCGCAAGGAGCTCAAATGGCTTAGACAGCAGGCAGATGCAGCCATGATGCTGATCGGCCCTCCCCCTGGGAGCTCCATAGGCTTAAGCAGATTCCAGCGGCAAGGCTGTTAAGAGTCTGCATGTCCTGGGGTTGGGATGCTAGGCCCAGGTGATGTGTGTTCATGAGTGAAATTCTTTGATCCATGGGTTGCACAGTTCCATGGGAAAAGCACAGTTTTCCCAGCTGGGTAATACGCTCACCGCCCCCCTTGGCTAGGCAGAGGGGGCTCCCCAGCCCCATGTGGCTCTCAGGTGGGCCACCATACTACACTGTTCTTCCTTCTCTCAGTGGGTCAAACCAGCGTCCTAATCAGTTCTGGTGAGAGAACCTGGATACCTTGGTTGCCAGTGAAGGATTCACATGCATATTTGTTGTGTGAAGTCAGGGACCCTGAACAGAGGGACCAGCTGGATCAGCAGCAGAGGGACATAAATTGTGAAGATTTCATGGACATTTATCAGTTCCCAAATCATAGTTTTATAATTTCTTATGCCTGTGTTTACTTTAATCACTTATATCTTCATAAGCTGAGGATGTACATTACCTCAGGACCACTGTGATAATTGTGTTAACTCTACAAATTGATAGTAAAACATGTGTGTTTGAACAATATGAAATCAGTGCACCTTGAAAAAGAACAGTATAACAGCGATTTTTATGGAACAAGGGAAGACATACATAAGGTCTGACCGCCTGTGGGATCTGGCAAAAACAGCCATATTTTTCTTCTTGCAGAGAGGCTATAAATGGACCTGCAAGTAGGAGAGACATCACTAAATTCTTTTCCTAGCAAGGAATATTAATATTAATACCCTGGGAGAGGAATGCATTCCTGGGGGAAGGTCTATAAATGGCCACCTGGAGAATGTCTGTCTTATGCAGTTGAGATAAGGACTGAGATACACCCTGGTCTCCTGCAGTACCCTCAGGCTTACTAGGGTGGGGAAAAACTCCCCCCTGGTAAATCTGTGATCAGACTGGTTCTCTGCTCTTGAATCCTGTTTTCTGTTGTTTAAGATGTTTATCAAGACAATACATCCACCGCTGAACATAGACCCTTATCAGTGGTTCTGCTTTTTCCGGAAAGTGTCCTGTTCCCTCAGAAGCATGTGATCTTTGTTAGACCCTTATTAGTAGTTCTGCTTTTTGCCCTTTGAATCATGTGATCTTTGTACCTACTCTCTGTTCTTATACCCCCTCCCCTTTTGAAACCCTTAATCAAAACTTGCTGGTCTGAGACTCAGGCGGGCATCATGGTCCTACCGATATGTGATGTCACCCCCGATGGCGCAGCTGTAAAATTCCTCTCTTTGTACTGTCTCTCTTTATTTCTCAGCTGACTGACACTTACGGAAAATAGAAAGAACCTACGTTGAAATATTGGGGGCAGATTCCCCCAATACATATTATGGTTTTTTCAATGGGAGCCTTCAAATGCCACTGTTTCTTGTTGTCCATCTTGGTCCCACAGCCTTGTTATATTTAGAGTAGTATAGTATAGTGGAGTGAAGCAGAAAGGATACTAGTGAGGAATCAAAGTTCCTTAACATCCTTATCTGTAGAGGGGTTTAATCATTTTTGCTTTGCCTAACCCACAATGTTGTGGTGGGGATCAGGTAGGATAATATTTATAGAAGTTCTTTGTAAATAGTTGCAGAACTCTATTAACTAAAGCTCAAAAGCTTGCATTTGTTTTTTTCTTGTGCCTCTTGGTATTCCCAGACATAGCACAGTGCCTGGCATGTAGTAGGTGCTTTATAAATGTTTAATAAATGAATAAACTGTAAGCCATATGTCCTTGCTTGAAGAGGATATTTAGGTCTTTCTATGATACTATGAGTCTTGTAAAAGTAACAACTCCAAGCTGGTCTCTTATGTGATACACAGAGTTTTTAGCAACTTTTCTAAGGCTCAGGCAACCTGAGGACTTTTTTAAGATTTATGTAACTTGGATAGCAGCTGGGGTCTCCCTGTACCCAGGCACATACCATCAATTTCACAGCTCTGTCCATGACTTCTGCTTACTACTTCATGGCTTTGTCCATGTCTGCATTGGCCTCAGATCGTGCTGTTATTGTTTTGCCTCCTATCAATCTATGTATAAAGCTTAGCTCCTTTTCAATTCCACAAAAAATCCACCTCCACTACATATTTTTTGTGTTTAATAACTTTACTGAATATACAAAGGGCCACAGGGAGACATCACTTTGAACCTACACAGCATTCTGTTATCCCACTGTCTCTATTCTTTCTTTTCGTTCTTAATTTTTTCCTTCATTCCTCTTCTAAATTGTTTGAAAGTTCTTTCTGTTATCCTGAGAATGCAATTCTGCCCAAAACAAGGTCCTTCAAAGTGTCTACTTTTTTCTTCAGGCACTTATGAGGATATTTTTAGTGAACAAATGCAGTTCCCTTTTTTATACAGATACCTTAATACCTAAATCATTACAATATTTATGAATGTGGACACAAACAAATTAAAACCATTCTTTGAGGGGGAAACAGGGTCTCACTCTCTTGCCCAGGCTGGAGTGCAGTGGCACAACCATGGCTTACTGCAGCCTCAGCCTCCCTGGGCTCAGGTGATCCTCTTATCTCAGCCTCACAACTAACTGTGATTACAGGCGTGCACTACCAAACCTATTTTAAAATCATTTCTGAAATTTCTTTGACAACCTGTAGTTTGTCAACTTTTCAATACTGTTGAGGATCACTTGTAATTTTTGTATATAAAGAGGGAACAAAACATTAACATAATATTCCATCTGGGATATAAGATGCACACTGAAGAATTCAGAGATAAAACATGATTTAAAAAAATAGTTTAATCATCCTATATGCCAGCATTTAGCACAGGGCCGAGAGTCAGACAGTCCTGGCAGTAAACCCCATCTGGGCCCACTTGTAGGCCATATAACTTGGGAAAGTTGTTTACTCTGTGTATTAGTCCATTTTCACACTGCTATAAAGATACTACCTGAGACTGGGTAATTTATAAAGACAGGGAGTTTAATTAACTCACAGTTCCATGTGGCTGGGGAAGCCTCAGGAAACCTATAATCCATGCAGAGGGTGAAGGGGAAGCAAGGCACATCTTACATGGTGGCAGGATACATGGTGGCAGGAAAGAGAGAGAAGGGGGAAGCACCAGGCACCTATCAAACAACCAGATCTTGTGAGAACTCATTCACTCTCACAAAAACAGCATGGGGGAACCATCCCCATGATCCAATCACCTCCCATCAGGTGGCTCCCTCAACATGTGGAGATTACAATTTGGATTACAATCTGAGATGAGATTTGGGTGGGGACACAGCCAAACCATATCACTCTGACTCTCTGAGTTTCCTGATGCACAAAAGAGGTTGTCAGAATTAAATATAATTAAATAAAATTGAATTGTTTATAATGTGTAGTGGCTTTTAGTATTTTATCCAGGTTACTTAAGTTGCTAAAACTTGAAATAGCTCAACATCTAGAGAAACTGATGCTCTTTAATAATCAATTACTCTATTAGCCAGCAGCTCAAAGTGCAGGGATGTCTAACAATAAAACTCTTTTTATTAGTTATAATTAAAATCCTTCTCCCAGAATATGAGAGCATATAGATGGAAACCTAAGTATTAAAGCACAAGTTTTAGATATACAACTGTCATCTACATGATTTGAGTAGCCAGTTATTACAATGGTTTGTTTGGACTGGTAGTAGAAGAAGCAACACACGATATTCAGAAGACTTGACCAGTCATGTGACCCTGGGCAGTGCCTTGATTTCTCTCAGCCTGTTTTCTTATCTAAGAGCATTCTGTTCAGTCCCTTCCACACCTAAAATGATCCAATGACTTGTGGTAATGCTTTGATTGCAAAGTATAATTGCTATTACTGTATTGTTGAAATTAATAAATTATTTATCTAATAAATTAATTTAATCAATAAATTTAGTTAATTAAATTGGCCTAAAGATGCCTCTGTAGGAAACTATATTCTAACTTAAAATGTAAACAAACTATGACCTAACTCGAGAGTGCATTTTTGTAATTGAGTTTTGGCCAATTATAGTAGCTGAACTTTCAGCCAATCACAGGTGAAAACTTCTCAGACATGTCCATATAAGGCAAATGCTGTGCTGTGACCAATCAGGCTCTTTCTGTATATAACTTCCTTTTTCCATCTGTAAATACTGCCTGCCCATCTTGTTGGGTGAAGCATTCTGGACCTTTAGTGGTTCAGGCAGCTGCCTGATTAATACATTTTTTTCTTTGTTAAAATAAACTCTGCTAAATTTAATTTGTCTACAGCTTTTCTTTGAGCAATTGGTGTCAGAAGTTGGATTTGGAGTAGACCTTCAGGGACCCCCAGGAGCACTGAGTGACAAAGTAAAAGTACTCACCAGGGCTCATCGTGCCCATTGATCTCTTGTAACAACTGGAGTCATGGGTGAATTCTGTCCTGAATTTGAGCTCCATGGATTTGTGTGATAAACTCTCTAACTTTACTTGAGCACTTTTTAGTTGACTGGGTCTAGGATCAAATTGGACTTAATAATTAACTAGATTGGATCTAGTTAGAGGCCTCATGTAGGTACCTTTCAAATCAAAAAGGAGTCTGGGACTCTAGGAGTCTGAGACTCCACTTTCTGCCACACTGGCTACCTTTATGTGCACAAATTCTGGGCCCAGAACCTGTATGTTCTGGGGAAAATGGGTTAACTTTACTAGTGACTACAGTGGGGATGTGTTAACCTAGATAAAATTGTTCACTTGCAAAGTGCATTAGAAAACAAATGCAAAAAGCCAAAAAAAAAAATGGAATGCATTCTGTAAGTGGTACAAAGAGGCATCTAAAGGATTAAATGAATCAAAGATTCTCTCTTTAAAAGGTTCTTTACAGAAGGCAAATGAAAAGCATCTTAAAAGTATTTTTCAAAAATGCCAGTCAAAATCTTTAGCCATTGGGCAAAAAATCCTAGTTCTAATGAACAGAAAATATTTGGATTCAGATGTTCTTTAAAAAAAATTGTGTAATTTAAAAAATTCATTTGTAGAGATAGGGTCTTGCCATGTTACCCAGGCTGGTTTTGAATGCCTGGTCTCAAGTGATCCTCCCACCTCAACCTCCTAAAGTGCTGGGATTATGTGCATGAGCCGCTGTTCCAAGCCTAGATCCAGATATTCTTTAATAAATTAGTGAGCTTGTATTATTGCACTGGCACACGGCTAAAATATTAGAATGAAAGCTGTAAGATCTGTTTCTGTCTGTATGTTTATATATGTCTCTATATATGATATCTATGTGTGATATTTTTCTATCTACTTATGATATTGCTAAATTAAGTGCTAAAAGAACTCTAATTGGCTTTAAGAAAAATAAGTGTTTACATAAATGAAGTATTTGTTTAGAAAAATAAGAACTAACCCAAGTAGTTTTCAAGTTCACATGATTTGGGTAATCTTTGATAAATTAGGATACTGTTGGTTTAATTAAAACAGGCATGTCTTCAGATTTTTCAGTACTAAATATAATACAGATGCATGACTTTTCCTACCTAGGGTTACCAATAAAATAAATTTATTTTATGTCTATATTACAAAACTTGTCAGCAAGAAAAATAAGATGATGACTAGCTGCTTAATATTTAACCTTTACAAGCAATCCAAGTGAAATTGTTAAAAAAGTGAGTTAAATGGATGTAAGATAAAGTTCTCATGTAAAAAAATTCTTTCTGTACCAGAAAGTTTTGACATTCTTATCAAGAAAGAAAAGTTGAGGCTGAGGGTAATCTGTAATAACAACAATTTAATTCTCAGGCCTAGCAAACAAACAAACACACAAACAAACAAAAACAAACCCTTAGGAGGACAGACATGCAATTTTGCCTCCTCTACAGTTTCTTATTGCAGAGGGACTAAGGATATTTGGGAATGTTAGTAAATATCTTCTATGCCACACTGACAAATTGTACTATGAGAAAGGATGTGCTTCTAGAAACTATGATCATACATTTGCCAATTTACAGATTGCTGGTGTGACAGACAGTTCACAGCTGCTTGCTTCCTAATGTTCCCTGGAAATTAAAGTCACTAGAGATTAAGAATTCTAATTAATACATGTAAGTAAAATCACTAGAACTAATAATGGAAACAACTCTGTATGCAAGAATACAAGGAAAGTAAGATTTACTTTTGATAAGGAAAAGCTATAAGATATGAGAATGTTATGTTTTGTTAAGGAAAAAAGAATAATTTTTGGACTAAAGTAGAATGACTGGTTTTTCCAAAATGAAAAGAGGTAAAGTACAGGACAAAAACTGAATGATGAAAAAGTTGTAGAGAGTTTGTGAAAGATAAATCTTTTTTTTTCTTGTATGTTCTTTCAATGTAGAAGATGAATCGTGGAATAAATTTCATGTGTGACCAGGCTAGCTAGGATTAGAAAGAACTATTTACAAGTTTTTCTAAAAATTCAGTATTAGTATGAGAACTACACTGATACAAAACTAGAATTTGGTGTTTCTGTTAAAACAACATTTTCTTGGTCTACTTCTAACAGGAAATTGTGAAAGGTTTTTCTTTCCATTTTAGATAATTGGTGTAGGAGATAAATATTCTGTATTTTACTAAGATAATGTCCAGTGCTTCATGCTGTCTTTATTAGGTTTTTTATTTCATAAGAGAACTGAGTCTTCTCTATTAAGAGAGCTAAAGTTTTTCTACAACTATGTAGCTTTCTATATTTGCCTTTGAAGTGTTTTAATTATCACTTTGGTTAAATAAATTACTACTATTCACAGTGACCTGTGATCCTATTAAATATTTTGCTCAAGTGTTTCAAACCTTTGATATTTTGGACAGACTTCCCAAATATAAAATGTAAAATTAAACCTTTTTCTTGACCTTGAATTAACTTTGAGATTTTCCACATGGGCCCTTGGAACACATCAAAAGGATATCCATCCTTACAAAAGATAGATAATAAGTATTTGGGCTTATTTGATACATTAAATTATATGAATAGTACTGTCAAAAATAAGTAATGCTTAACTTTCTTTGGGTTATTTTTGTGTGTATGTGTTATTACTATATGGTTTGGAAATTGTATGAAATTCATAGACATCAAGTTGTCCTCATATAATGCTGGTATTCATAATTCTAGTTATTATCTTAAAATGTTGTATGAAACAGAAGTAACTTCATTTCCTTATCAATTCCATCATTATTGTAGTGAATTTTCATTAGGTCTTTTTATTTTTCTTTTCTTGTCTGTCTTTTCTTGCTTTTTCTTATCTTCTTTTCTTTTCTGTTCTTTTCTTTTTTCAGAGGCAGAGTCTCACTCTGTCACACAGACTGGAGTGCAGTAGTATGGTCACGTCTCACTGAAGCCTTGGGCTCTTGGGCTCAAGCAATCCTCCCACCTCAGTCTCCCAAGTAGCTGGACTACTATGCACAACAACACCTGGCTAATTATTTTATTCTTCGTAGAGACAGGGTTTCACTATGTTGCTCAGGCTGGTCTTGAACTCCTAGGCTCAAGCAATCATCCTGCCTCAGCCTTCCAAGGTGCTGGGATTAGAGTCATGTACCACCATGCCTGGTCTCATCAGGTTTTTAACCATGGCAATTTTAAGTCTTGTCATTCACAGATGGTTAATTGTTTACTATGGTACTTTCCTGGGCAACTATAAGCCTAAAGTGTTTCATCTTCAAGAAGACTCATGAAAAGGACACTGACAAATATAGTTTTCTGATAACTTTAAGATCATACCATTGGACTGGCTAAGAATTCTACAATGAAAAAATTGACTGGTTCATAAAACTGTGAACCCAATATATGTCAGGACAAGAATTAATTAGATATCAGTGAAATGATTTGGCAGACTTTTATGCTAAGTCAGCCAGTACTGAAATTGTTAAGATATGCAATTTGAATAAACTTTAAAAGTTTGATCACTGTCAAATTACCTATGATAACCTATTTAATGAGCAGTACTATTCACCTGAATTGGAGAAACAAAATTGGTATTTAAAAAGACGTAAATGCAATATTAAGCATTAACTCATGAAGAGTCTGGACAGCTGCTTGGTCCTTCCTGAGTCCTTAAAGCTTCCATTATTAAGAGCTCTGAATTCCATATTCATCATGACAGAGATAAAATGATTCAAATTATGAAAAAATATTGATGGCATGACTTTTAAAATTGCTAAAATTTATAACCAATTTTGGTTATAAATTGTCAAACTCATAGTTCTGATAAGAAAATAAAAACTTCAGGTGATACACACCTGCTGGATCATTTGAACACTTAAAAATGGAGTTCCTTCAAGTGACACATTAAATGTATGTTTTCTGGTTGTATAGAAGCTTTCCCATGCAGGAAGGCTGATGCCATAATAATAGCTAAAGTTTATTAGAAAATGTGTTTCCCTTGGCTGGGCACAGTGGCTCACACCTGTAATCCCAGCACTTTGGGAGGCCGAGGCGGGTGGATCATGTCAGGAGATCGAGATCATCCTGGCCAACATGGTGAAACCCCGTCTCTCCTAAAAATACAAAAATTAGCTGGGCGTGGTGGTGCGTGCCTGTAATCCCAGCTACTGGGTGGGCTGAGGCAGGAGAATTGCTTGAACCAGGGAGACAGAGGTTGCAGTGAACCGAGATTGCGCCATTGCACTCCAGCCTGGTGACAGAGTGAGACTCCGTCTCAAAAGAAAAAAATAAAAAGGAAAAAAGAAAATGTGTTTCCCTTATCATTCATTCCTGGAGAAATCTTCAGTGATAGAAGTACTCATTTTGTGTCTGGAATTGGTTCCTTCCGGTGGGTTCTTGGTCTCACTGGCTTCAAGAATGAAGCCATGGACACTCGCGGTGAGTGTTACAGCTCTTAAAGATGGTGTGTCCGGAGTTATTTGTCCCTCCCAGTGGGTTTGTAGTCTCGCTGACTTCAGGAATGAAGCTGCAGACCCTCCCGGTGAGTGTTACAGCTCATAAAGGTAGTGCGGATCCAAAGAGTGAGCAGCAGTAAGATTTATTGTGAAGAGTGAAAGAAGAAAGCTTCCACAGCGTGGAAGGGGACCCAAGCGGGTTGCCACTGCTGGTTTGGGTGGCAAGCTTTTATTCCCTTGTTTGGCTCCACTCACATCCTGCTGATTGGTCCATTTTACAGAGTGCTGATTAGTCCTTTTTTACAGAGTGCTGATTGGTGCGTTTACAAACCATTAGCTAGACACAGAGCACTGATTGGTGTGTTTACAATCCTTTAGCTAGACAGAAAAGTTCTCCAAGTCCCCACCCAACCCAGAAGCCTAGCCTGCTTCACCTTTGAATTTCACTGGACAAGTTGTAAAACAGTTAAATAAGATATTATAAATACAATGGCATTAGGCGAAGCTAACTACATTGATTGGATTGCCTTAGTCAAAGGCAATTATCAACTGATGGCAATCACACTCATCCTCACTAGAAATCTAGGTTGACTGCTTATGAAATTAAATATTTGAAATTATGAAATAGTTACTTCAAGGCTTATTCCGTTAATAATAAAACCTATGGATCTTTTGCTTTTGTAAACTCTGACATGACTCAATAGTGCCATGCTTTGACGCATTATGCCAAAGCACATTTTCACTAGGTAAGAAAAGCCCTTTGTGACTCACAAATTGATGACAAGCAGACCTTTCATGATTTAGAGCAATGAGGTTGGGTCTTTTGGAAATGACACCAGAGGAAGACTGCCCTTGATAGGGACTATACCAAGTTCTTCTTTGCAGCAAAACCTCAGGGTTTTGAGTCTCGTATTCACATCTTTTTACTAAGAAGGGCTCCTCCAGACTCCTGGTGTATATTTGTTGGAGGCCTTAAGGTAAAGATGACCAGGGAAGTTTTTCCCCAGAGGCAGATGGTATCCTAGACATAGACACTTTCCTAAGACCATAGAATAAGATTTCTCTGTCATCACGAAAGCCTTATTTCTCCCCTTTCCCCCTAGTTTTCTGCTGTCTGAATCACTTCCTTTTCCTTAAAGGAAAATCCACGGGAGCATAATCTGTGTGTGGCTTTATCAAAAGCTTATGCCCTAAAAAGAAATGAGAGCAATTGTTGGGTTTGTAGGCTAATGCCACCATATCAGAAAACAATTTCTCTCATGCCAATGTCTGTGTTCCCATTGAGAGTCATCATGAAGCCCTAGAGGAAGAGTGGAAAGCTTTCCTTAAAATTCTAGACATTACTGCTACTTACTTTTCTACACTCACTAGAAATAGTACCACGAACTTTCCAATTAATAACCTAATTGTTACCAAATATAGAAAACATATCTGAGTGATGTCTGTAAAAGGTATATCACATATTCAAGACCTGGGGACTACCAATGCAGGTATGAGTAATTGCTTGTATGATGTCACTGAATTAAATCTGGAAGCTCCTTTTCCACTAAATGTGGTTATGCACCCTTACAGCATACCCTTTGAGTAAGTTTCTCACTGTACCTTACTCAGGAGCTATGTGAACTTGTGGACAAATTTAATTGACTTCTGCTCAAACACCACTAGGTGGCCATCTTTCCTAGCCCCTGAGGGCCTACATTGGGACTGAAGAGAATTTACTTACCTCTTCCTCACTGGTTCAGATTTTGCTATATGGCCTGTCTCCCTCCTACCTTCTGAATAGCTTTTCCTGAAAGTTCCCATTGTATCTTTCATAACCAGAGGCCAAAGCAATCAATAACCAAAATTAGCACAAACCTTGAAATAGATGGAGATAAGTTAGTTTCCTTGGAGGAAATGTTCCTGTGGGGTTATTGGGGGCACACTCTTGGCAGTATTGGGGTGCTGGTTGTATAGAATTTGAAGATAGTCTGTAAATTAGGAAAAATCTTAGATTTTGTAGCCAATGTGACCGCCCAAAAGTTCAGATGCATAGAAGCTGCTCTTTGAAAGGTGTATGAAAACATTCATGTTCAACAAAAATACTTAATGGAGCATCACGCAGATCTTCTCTTTGCCTACATTGAGGACTTGTGTATAGTGCTAAACGAAACTGAATATTGTACTTACCTTTCTCCTGATTTTACTACTACAAAAAGCTTAATTTAAAATGTGGCTGATACTGATGTTTCTCTAGACACTGCCACCAAATACATCAAGGAAATTTCTCACGGGAAAGGAACACATGATGTGTTTACAGGAGCAGCTAATGGTTGATTTGCAGGTATCCAGAATGGTGGAATGGTGGATGGCAGACTTGGCTATTGGAAGGTTTTTTATTGTTTATTTTTAGCCTAATCATTTGGGGCTAATATTCCAAGGTTTTAAAATCTTTATGTGTCTTTTAGTAGGTCTTCAGACTAGTATGACTTGTGTTACCAGGCTAACTACAGAATCAGGCACCTCTTTAAAGGAGGGCATTTTACTACTAACTATGGCCCTTAATCACCGTCATGCCCTGAACAAAGACTATAACCAATAGGACTTGAATACTGTTGAATTGTCTTTATTATTGCTTGAACTTTAAATTGCTTAATTTAGATTATTTTGGTTTGTAGAGACTCCTGTTAAGTAGTGTACTTTAATTTTTTAATTTTTTGTATTTTTCCTCCTGATAACCATTATAATATTCTTCCTAATGTATTGTATCCCTTAAGAGTCTTTCTCTCTCTTTTCTTTTCTTTTCTTTTCTTTTGACAGGGTCTGGCTCTATCACCTAAGCTGGAGTGCAGTGGTATGAGTGGTATGATCTCCATTCACTGCAACCTCCACCTCCTGGACCCAAGCTATCCTTTCACCTCAGCCTCCAGAGTAGCTGGGACTATAGGTGTGCACCACCATGCCCAGCTAATTTTTGTATATTTTTGTAGAGAAGGGGTTTTGCCATGTTACCCAGGATGGTCTTGAACTCCTGGGCTCAAGCAATCCACCTACCTTGGCCTTCCAAAGTGTTGGAATTACAGGCATAAGCCTCCATGCCTGGTCCCTTAAGAGTCTCAAATGCTCATATGGAGCCATCCGTTGTACATCAACTAATCTCATTATAGTTAGAAAAACAAAAATATCAGGAAAACATAAAGAATAATCCAACAAATTCGACATTGTGAATTGTGAATTTTATACTGAGACCAAACAAGTCCATTATGATGGTGAAAAAAATTGGACCTAGGTTATGGTCAATTTCTCAAAATTCAAAGGCTGATAAAAGAGGGGAATTGTTAAATTAAACTTTGGCCTAATGCTGTCTCTAAATGAAGCAAACTATAACCTAATATATATAAATAAAGCATAATATATGTTATATGTATGTTTTATATATATACATTATATATGTATATAAACCTATATATATATATATATATATATATATATATATATATATATATATAAACCTACCTTGAGACTACATTCTTGTAACAAGCAACTGAGTCTCAGTTAACTGTAGCAGCTGAGCTTTTGGCCAATCACAGGCTGCAAACTGCTCAGACATGTCCAAATAAAGCAAGTGCTAAACTGTAACAAATCAGGCTATTTTGTTATGTCACTTCCTTTTTCTATCTATAAATATGGACTGCCCACATTGCCAGGTAGAGTCTTCTGAACCTTTACTGGTTCAGGGTAATGCCCAATTCATGAATCATTTGTTTGCTCAAATAAATTATGTTAAACTTAACTTGTCTAAAGTTTTTATTTTAATAGCACCATGCTCTTTGAAATGCCTGTTCCTTGGTGCTGTAAAGAAATAGCACTTGAACATAAATTCAATTTCCTCAGCAAGGCCATTTCTATACTTTCTGCAGAAAGGGTACACTCACCAGCAGTTTTGCCATGAGAGTACACAGAACAAAGGAGACAGGGTCATTTATAACTTGATGCGTCCACCTTACCACCTTACTGCTGTGTCCGGTTTCCATTGGCTAGAACAGGACCTCACATTCTGTATTTGTCCCGATTGGCTAGCAACTTAGAACACTTTAAAAGAGGCAAAAGCAGAGGAGAACAAAGGAAGGAGGAAGTAACTTGTAGAATGCTGAGAAAAGTAAAAACACCTTCAAATAAGGAAGAGAAACAGGCTATGACCTAATGCTTGCTTGGACTAGTATGAGCACGCCAAGGCAAATATTTAGGCTAAATTGTAAGAGCTAAGAACATAAAGTACATTGATTTCTTTATTATGGCTAGCAGATAGTTAAGAATGTTACTATAGGTCTTTCAATAAATTTTGCTTTTAAGGGAAGTTACTATTTATTCCTAATTAAATGGGGAGACAAGTCTTTCCAGAGGAACTTCTACTTTACTTTTTACAATTCCTCCTCTTATTTCATAATTCTTCTTCAAACTTGTTTAATATGTTTTGACTTAATTGCTTTGTTTGTCCTTTTAAGAGAAGTAATTTTTCTGAATAAGGTGGAGGAGAGTTAGGAGTTAACTCTGTAAGCATGGCAGAGACAGGTTTTTGTGTAAAACTTCGACGGTAGGGAATAATATAACAGCCTACAAGAATAAGTACACCAATAACAACAGCAAATGAGGTGAGAATTGAAGTTAAAATTTCTTTTTATCTACTGAACAAATGTTTTATTACTTTAGAAAAAGGGTTATTTATTTTATTATTTTTGGCAAGTTTATTGGATAGGGTTTTTAATTCTTGTAGCACTTTTGTTATAATTCTGTCAGGGGCAGTATTTTTAGGAACAAAGGTATAACATTAAATTTTAAGTATGACACAAACATCTTCTTTTTCTGCTAATATTATATTTAAAGTTATTTTATTTTTCTAGGCCATCTGGCTGATAGGTCCTAATTGCTTAGGTATCTCTTTGATGGTGTCCTCAGTGTAATTTATGAATCGTTGCTGATTGTAATAGATATAGTTTATTTAGCCTACTTTTTTTTATAGTTACTTACTAGAACAATGTGGATTTAAATTCTGCAGCTAATTGATTTTGTGCTTTAAACTTATTTGGCACTTCTCACAGGACTTTAATGGCATTTATGTAAACCTGAGGATTAAAGGACTCATAAGGAGTTTCCTTTGGCCTGAGGTGTTTTGTTTTTACCTTTTTAGATTGATGAATTGCTACGGTGAAAGGGATAGCGAATTGGATTAGAGCACAAGTACTGTTCTAATTATTTGGCAGAGTGTCTAATAAAGGTCTTCTACAGTACTACTATACATTTGCTTGGGGATGGCTAAGCATAGACTGATAATCAAGCTCTTGGAAAGACTTGAGCTCCTTGCATTTTTTTTATGCTTCCAAGGAACACCAAATTTTCCTCTTGCTATGAGAGGCATGAAGTAAACTTGGCCATCTGAGATGGAAGCTGGATTGCCCTTGGGGGCTGACCCGTAGGGTGTTGAATTTCAGGAAATAGCAGATAGAGAGCTCGGCATGATGTATTATCCTAAGCCATGGGATTCTGAAAGAGAGCCACCATACACTCCATATCTGGTTGACAAGGAGACCATCCAAGTGGAAAGGGGACAATCTGGGCCTCTGGCCTACCATGTGTACAAGCATAATAATCGCTTTTATTTAAAGTGCGAACGGAATATTTAATTCATTCCAGCCAGGCATTTGCATCTTGATATTTTTGTCTTGATGGCTAAGGTCTGTCTTAGATCTCTTATTTTTACAACAGACAGCTTAGTTTTATTATTAGATGTAGGAGCAACTGGTGTGGGATCTAGAACTGAGGCTACTGAAGAAGGGGAAGATGGGAGAATCATGCATACTTTAAAAATACTTAGGGGTCTTTTCCATTTATGTCAATCTTCATACCATAGAAGCAACTAAGGGCTGGCCTAGAGTTAGTCAAGGTGGAGGTGGTGATAAAGAGAAGGACAGGGTTACATAGATAAGGCTGCCAGTTAGAAGGGGTAGTCCTTTTAGTGAAATAGATGAGGGGTTTTAGATCTGCACAAACCTTTTTTGTGGAAGTCCAACTTTGCTTCTAAGTAGTTTAAAGGACATAGTCCTATTTTCTACAAGGTTGCCAGGCTGCAGGAGCAGAAAATCAGTGTCTTGGCTGCAGCTGATCACAATGATGAGTGCTAGGGGTAACTGTGTCCAGTAGAGAGCCGGGTCATAAATATTTGTGTGAAAAGGCTAGCTGTCATTGATCTTTTACATCTCCACAAGGTATGACAGAGCAAGCATTAAAGGTAATGGTCTGAGGTGAGTCAGACTTAGTTACATTAATAACAAAGAAGCTAGTAACAGAATAAGGAAAGGAAAGGAAGCAATATAGAAGGTATATGAAAATTAAGCTTTCTTTAACTTTAACTTAGTAGGGCTTGATCTTAGTACAGTAACATGATTCTGAAGAGGAAGATGTTTTCTTGACTCGAGTATGGTGGGTCCATTCTTTCTCAGCTGTGTGGACGGCAGTCTCAGTGGTTAACAGCATAAAATAGGATCCTTCCCAGGCTGGCTTGAGTTTTTTTCTATCTTTTGATGAGAATGTGGTTTTCAGGCTGGTGCTGGTGTACTGGAAATTCTAGGAATGGTACTTGTGCTAAAATACTTTCAGTTCTGAGGGAAGGGAAAGTGGAAGATAAATTAAGTGTGTAATTTCTGCTGCATATCCTGGGGCTTGAGGCCTCATGGTGACACCTCCTGCTCCATCTCTGCTCAGCACTGCCCAGGGGATGCTGTGGCCTTGCCCTCTCTTAAGGTCTTGGCCTTCTTGTGGCCTTCACCGCCCCTGTGCACTGTGGCCTTGGGGATGAGGAGCCTTGTGACTTACCCAGCCACTTTTGGGCCTTAAGAAAGCTAAACACCGTTTTATATTTGACAGTGTTTTTGTATGATTTTATACCAGATAAGTTAAATTTTTTATATTAATGTGCTATTAATGTTAAGCTTAATTTTAATAAAATCTTGTAGATATTTAATCTATTTTTGATGTCTGACTATAAGGTAAGACTTTTATAGACTCTTTTTAACTGTTTATAATTTTTGCTAAAGAGCAGGTTAGTGCTTTAAGAAAAATCTATTGTGCTTTTATTTTAATGTCCAGTTCACAGAAAAACTGGATGATACCTCTTTAACTTTAGCCATTATGTTTACACACAGAATTTCCTTTACAATTAACATTTTAAAACTTGCTTAAACTTTTAAAACAAAATATATATTTTTAACTTTTTAATGTATGTAAAAACCTATATTTTTATGCCTCCTTATAATCCTGTTATTAAAAATATATTTTATTTTTCTTACATACCTTGTAAATAAACTGTTTTTCAAATAATTTTACATTCAGGAGGCCTACTTACTTTTTAAATTATACAATATTTCTGGCATAAATTCCTTTTCATAACTTTTCTTACAACTTTCACAATCTTCAACATGCCTTAACTTTCTGCCTTCCTTTTACACTCTTTGTTTTCGTAGTTTCACCTTCTGTGTCTTTCTTTGATTTCTGTCTCTTCCAGTTTCTCTCTTACTTACTCTTTCCATCTATTTATCTCTCTCTCATTTGCACTCTGTTTCTCTCTCTCTCTCTGTCATCCCGTTTCCTTTTCCCCTCCTGAGTTCTCTCGCTCCCACCAACGGCAGGGTCAGGCCACGGCACGGGCCCCACCCCTGCGCATACATTGCCATCTGTTTCTCCTGTTTTTGTTTGTTTGTTTGTTTTCCGATTTCCCTTTTTACTTTTTTTTCCCCTTTCTTCCTACACTTAGTTTCTTGGGCTGGGTGGGATTTGCACAGCTGCAGTCCTGGCCCCAGGCAGTCCCCCACACTCTCCTTCTGGCATCAGTCCCTGCCCTCTTTTTCACATAGAGCCTGGCTGGGGAGAGGGGCTTAACTCTTGGTGTGCCTGGCTGTCTGGTGTCGCACTTGCTGTTTTTGCTGTCTTTCTCCTTTCCCTTCCCCTAGGGGAGCAACCGGCGGGAGTGGAGCTTAGCCTTTTCTTTCCCGGAGAAGAGGGAAAAGGAGAATTTTGAATATATACGTATATATAATTTTTTTTACTACCAGAGGTTTTTGTGAAGTTCAATCCCCTCACCAATGGCGATTTCTCACTTCTTTTTGAGATTCAACTTCTTATCTATGGGGATTTCTTACTTTTTTTTGAGGTTCAACCTCCTCTCAGTGGGAATTTCTTACTTCTTTTTGAGGTTCAACCCCCCATGGGGATTTTTCACTTCTTTCTGAGGTTCAACTTCTTTCTTAATGGAGATTTCTTACTTCTTTTTAACTTCTAAGACATCTTGACTAAGGAATACTTCACCACCACCCCCTCCCCACCCCCGAGGCTTTCTTTCCTTAGTCCTGACTAAGGAATGCTTTACCCCCCATTGTGGTTTCTCTTTTTTCGGAATGTCTTAATTAAGGAATGCTTTACTGCCTTGTGGCTTTTTCTTTGGTTTTGACTACTAAGGAAATACTTTACTGGTTTTTCTGTTTTTTTTTTTTTTTTTCTTGTCTGTGTACAGAGTTTCTTGGTTCATGTGATATGTGAGGATGCTTTACTCCAGGTTGCCAGCCAGTTTTTATTGTTGTTGTTGTCTTTCTTTTTTTCTTTTCTTTGTGTGTGTGTGTGTGTGTGTGTGTTACTGAGAGTCTGGGTTTATTCATCACACTGGGTGGGTCTCGAGTCCTTATCCTTGAGGCTACTGCAGAGAGGCAGAGGACCATGCTTCTTCATGAGACAGGACTGGAGACTGCCTCCATATGAGAATGTATCCCCGTACAGGCCACCAAATTATTTGAAATGTTTGTTCCTTGGTGCTGTAAAGAAATAGCACTTGAACATAAATTTAATTTCCTCAGCAAGGCCATTTTTATGCCTTCTGCAGAAAGGGTACACTTGCCAGCAGTTTTGCCATGACAGTACACCAAACAAAGGAGGCAGGGTCATTTATAACTTGATGTGTCCACCTTACTGCTGTGTTCAGTTTCCATTGGCTGGAATGGGACCTCACATTCTGTATTTGTCCCAATTGGCTAGCAACTTACAACTTTTTAAAAGAGGCAAAGGCAGAGGAGAACAAAGGAAGGGGGAAATAACTTGTGGAATGTTGAGAAAAGTAAAAACACCTTCAAATAAGGAAGAGAAACAGGCTATGACCTAATGCTTGCTTGGAATAGTGTAAGCATGCCAAGGCAAATATTTAGGCTAAATTGTAAGAGCTAAGAACATAGAGTACATTGATTTCTTTATTATGGCTAGCAGATATTTAAGAATGTTAGTATAGGTCTTTGAATAAATTTTGCTTTTAAGGGAAGTTACTATTTATTCCTAATTAGATAAGGAGGAAAGTCTTTGAAGAGGAACCTCTACTTTACTTTTTACAATGCTGAAGAGTGGCAATGTGACTATTAGGTACAAAATTGTCATCTTGCCATTAGTGTCAGTTACCATGATAAAATGACATTCAATTTAACCATCATAAAAGCATTGACAGTGGATGAATTAGGATTATAGAATATTGGATTTGATAGACTTTAGTCATTATCTGCCCTCTATTATATGCTGAGATGAGAAAACTCAGTCCCAGAAAGGTGAGGTAACTTTTCTAGAGACTACAAAAGTAACCTAATAGTAGAAGGCAAGAGGGTAAACATTATTGCAGAGTTAAAACAAAATGGTTTGGTAATGCGGAAGCAGAGGAGACTATTTTTGGCTGGAGGGACTCAGGAAAGCCTGAGGGAGAACAACATTTGACCTAGACATTGTAGGAAGGATGGAATTTTAACTATTAGAGGCTGGGGAGGCAATAGTGGAGTAGCATTGAGACAGCCAGCTGGGAGGAGGTCCCCAGAAAAAACTCCAACCAGCATGCACACAGGGATGGAGCCTCAAATATTTGCACCATTTGCAGTGGGGAGGAGCCTGGCCCCTCCTCTTCCTGTGTGGAACCTGGAATTCGAATGACCAGGTGGGAAGCACTCTAGCAGGGGACTCTGGCCTTGTAGAGAGTCCCTGTTTCCTTTTTTTCTTTCTTTTCACCCAATAAAACCCTGTCTTACTCACCATTCAAATTGTTTGAGAGCCTGAACTTTTGTGGCTGTGGGACAAAGAACCCCATCTTTAGCTGAACTAAGGAAGAGTCCTACAACATTTTTGGCACCCAACGTGGGGCTTGAGAAGTGGCAAGTGAACTGGGGACTCAAAACCTCTCAACGTTCATTCTAAGCCTTTTCATCCTCAAATTTCTGAGGGTAGGGGAAACCATTCCCCAATCATCTATTGCTCCCAGGCCTTTTCCTTCCTTTTTTGGGACTGACCAGCAAGCAGCACCTCCCCGCTGCTCTCCCCTCCCTTCTGGGGCTGGAACGCACGGTCCAAGTGTCCTGTACAGCCAGCTGGCTGTTGTTTTCCACCATGCACCACCAAAGCCTTCACCTTCCCCTGCTAAGGGGCTTTACTCCATTGGACAGTAATTAAGCTTTTCTCCTGGTGGAGGAACCAGTTGTATAAGAATAAGAGGGTCTTTCCCAGGCATTTTAAAACTTTTTTTCTTTCTCTGCCCCACTCCATCAGCAGTTAACCTTTAATTTTTTTTTTCTTTTAGAAGACGTTTTTTACTAGGTCAGGCCCCACACCTATCACCGTTTATGTTTTCTGCAAAGCTTTTATTGTGAAATCAAGCCTCCATTTTGTTTTACATCCTGAGGGCATGGCTGGTAACCACCGCTTGGCAAGGCTTTGCTTAGCAATCCTGCCTTAGGGGATGAGCCCTCTCTGGTTTGATGTCTGCATGTTTTCCTAGCCTTGTCTCTTAAAGGTACCCACCCAGTGACTGGGTTTTCTTGTGCTTGTCTGCTTGTGTACTGTGTGTGATGTCTGTAAAAACGGCTCTAATGAATCTGGTCCAAAGAAGGACAAACACTTGAATCTAATATTTTTTAAAGGAAAGATAAAATTTCTGGTACCTTTCAGTTCATTTGACTTTAATCTTTAAGAAATAAAAACAGCCGTAAAGACTACGGTAAAATGCAGGTCAGATGCAAGGTTTGCTAAGTTTTTTGAGGTTACAAACTGTTTTTTGGGTTTTGAGACCTGTCTGTCTTGCCTGCTTCACAATTGGTAGGGCCTGGGAATATATGGAACTAAACACACCCTAGATTAAGAAGGCAAACCTTTGCAGCACTTACCACACAATTAAAGCAATTTAGCAGGTTTTACATTAAAGTTAAAAATTGCCAGGAGTTACCATTATATCACGTAATCTAAAAATAGATTTACACGCAAGATGCCTAAGAACGGTAAAATGTGTTTTTTAGTAAAAGGTTATAAGAAGGCATGGAAATGTAAACTTTTGCCTTGGATTAAAGGATTGTTTTGAGTTAGGTAGGAAAAGTTGAACGTTCAAACAAGTGATAGAAGCATTGTGGAAGTTAATCTTGCAGAAGAGGTTGTCTATGTGAACATATTGACTAAATTCAAAGGGTTATAAAAGTTTTTGCTTCTTTAAAATTTCTCAGTACCATTTTGGCAAAATAAATAATTTATGGTAACCTGGAATTCTATTTCATAATATCAAGTGCTTTAAACTTATTTAATAGGCTTCCCAAAATCAAACTTCAGTTTCCAAATGGTCTTTCCTGACACCTAACTCTTTGGATAGTCCAGAGGGCCCCTAGAATGTCCAGAAAAGAGAAGTAAACAGGATTATTTGACATGTTTAGGTACATGGTATTGCCAAAATGATGTTCAGTCTTCTTTAGGTTATATCTTGGTAAATAATGCTAATATATGTTCCAATATTGTATGGGATTTCTAAAATTCTAATGTCTAAGTGTATGCTATCAATCATAATAAGGTTGTGATGTTATTGTAAACCATGGAGATAACCAAACTTCTTTGTCGATTTTGTTTCTAACTGTAACTACCCTGGACATTTTGTAATTCACAGACAATTGTTGTCTTGTTTTAATCCTTTTCAAAAGATTGTTTATAACAAGCTATAGAACTTTAACAGGTGCTCTCAAAAACAGATTTCTGATAACTTTAGAGATTGTAACATTGGAATAAAAGAAAATGTACAGGACTCATAAAGAGCTGAAATATTCACAAATATCAAGCAAAACAAGAGTTAACTAAATGGACTGAACTGAAAAAGCTGAAGCAACCTTTTTGACTTTTGCTTGGAATATTGATGACCCTTGTTTTGTTTTTCAGTCAAGGAAACTCATTTTGAGCTATTTATGGCCTTTAATAATTAAGCAAGGTGTACTCCTATTATCAAAATTTGGAGCATGTTTGTTTCTCTCTCTCTGCCCAGTTCCTCCAGAATTTAGAACCTATCTGTGAGTATTCTTAACTTATGGCAATATAGTTGTTTGCATCCATGCAATAAGAATCCATTTTTCTTTTGCAACAGAACACAATTGGAGAAAGTGGTTATTTTACCAAGGCTTTGACTGGAAGGGTATGCTTCCTCTTAAGGAGTTAATCTCAACTGACAGAGCCAATAAAAGCCCAGTGAGGAAACTGGCCTCATACCCTTGTCTACATAGTCCCTGTACAGGGTTCCTGACCTGTGGTCAGTAAAGAATATCACTTTCTAACAGGTCTAGGAGCTCCAAGTTTATCTTGGGAACTTAAGAGGAGAGGATCACCCAACTCACAGGTGTTTAAGGATACAAACCCATGGATGGGCTCAGTTTTAAAAGGTCTTATCTGAGACTCCTTGTGGAACAGACTTCCATCAAAGCCAATCTAAAAGGCCTATGTAAAAATAATTATTCTTGCTGGACTTTATGCAAATAATCAGGCCAAGTATAAGACTAAAGTCTATTTAAACAACTAATTCCTATGATTATTTGTTTCTTAACAAAAATGAGGACTGGAGAGACAGAAATTACGTTCCAAAACTTATCATATATTTGTCACTAAATTCTAAACTCAATAGTTGTTTTTGAGTTTTTGCCTATATTTTAGACTAACCCTGCTTGCTCCTGTGAACCAACCAGCAATCCCTGGCTGCAGCTCAGAAAGAACAAAAGGGATGGGTAACATAGAAATCTGGATCAATAGTCTAGTTCCGAGCAATTATCCTGCAAATCCTGCCAGGTGATGGGAATAAATAGGATGCCCCAGACTTGGAGGTTTTCTTTTGGGGACAGTGAGACCAAGGGAGCTAACCAAAGCTGAGCATCATGCACCGAAATCCCGGCAAGCGTAACTACAGCTACCAGTTATCTGGGTGTGTCACAAGACATCCTTTCCTCTCCCTTGTTGGAGGACTTAATTCCACAGCCTCACTTTAGCATTTGGCTTATGATAAGGAGTCCATGCAACCCCCCAAGATACATTCTTGTCCCAGACTCAGTTCCAAGTGTTGGGTCAAAGCCCTAGGAAGAAAACTGGATCTGAGGAATCCAGAGGCAGATAGCAACAGAGGTTAAAAGGCACAGCACAGGTGAGTGTGGCTCATTCCTGCTGATTAAGCCAAGCCCAAGCTTCCTGTTTCATGGATAAAGGCTATATTAATATCCATAGCATAAATGCGATCTAGGGAACTCCAAGACTACTGACAGCAGGGGAAACGGCATACGTGGGTAAAAGTGGATGACTCCCCTGCCGACCCCCCCTGCTTCATGGGTGCAAGCCACTTTAAAACCCATGGCAGCACCTGCCAAGGTCACTGGAACTTGGGGATGCAAGGATGGAAGATGAAAAGAGGACACTCTTCCCTCTTTCCCTCATGTATCCCATGTATCTGCTAGGAAAAGAAGGGAACCAGAGATGTCTGCTCTCCTCTTTCTAGATGGGTAGCGATTCATCTTCAGTCTGTACCTCTTTCGAATGCATCCTGAACCCCTGGGACTCCTTTAAAAAATGCCTTCTTTTTTCCTTTTTCCCCCTCAGTTCTCTCTTCACAAATAGGTAGTTGCATCTTCATACTATGAGACACTCACATCAGATGCATCCTCCAAACTGGAAAGAGTTAATTTCCCAAACCTTAAACTGGTTGGCTTAGGATTGGGCTCAGGGGAAGGAAACCCAGAAGCCCAACATTCCGGCAAAAAGGTGAAGTTTTTTACTTTAAACAATTTTTTTTTAACCAGTCAGGCTTTTGGCCTCCCTCTCCCTGTGCAAACTGGAAAAAGACCTTAGAATTTTTGAGCTGTCTTTGTCCCTCCCTTTGTTTTGCTTTGATATATGTTTTCTAATAACCCGGTTTGTTTGTCCTTGCCTTCAGGCCATCGAACTCCAAATGGTCATGCAACCAGAGCCTCTGACAATGGCCCCTTTTGCCAGGAACCCTTAAATAGGCCTCTGAGGAAGCTCTGACTGCCGTTTCCCCAAAACAGTGCCACCTGTCAGCAGGAAGCTGTTAAGATTTGTCTTTGTCCTTATCCTTATTTTAAGGGCAGTTAGATGTACTTCTTTAGAGGGGGGAATGAGACAGCCAAGTGGGAGAAGGTCCCTGGAAAAACTCCAACCCACCTGCGCACTGGGGTGGAGCCTCAAAAATTTGCACCATTTGTAGTGGGGAGGAGCCTGGCCCCTCCTCTTCCCGTGTGGAAACTGGAGTTTGAACTCCAGGGCAGGAAGCACTCTAGCAAGGGACTCCGGCCTTGCGGAGAATCCCTGTTTCCTTTTAATTCTTCCTTTTTACTCAATAAAGCCCTGTCTTACTCACCATTCAAATTGTCTGTGAGCCTGAACTTTCATGGCTGTGGGACAAAGAACCCCGACTTTAGTTGAACTATGGAAAAATCCTGCAACAGCACAAAGCAAGACCAAGTGCCGCCATCTCTGTAGAATAGTAAGTCACATGGTTTGGCCGGAAAGCAAGCATGGTGGGCATAGCAGTGGGAGGTAAGGCTGGGAAGATAGGTTACAATCAATTAGAGAGTTTTGAATGACAAAGGAGGTGATAAACCTGTGGCAGCCATGAGAATGTGCCTCATGGATCTCTAATATAGTTAGTACAGGCAGTATAATTGACCAAGCTCTTCAGCTGCTGTACTTGAGATACATTTCGGTGCTTGTGCTAAGTCTCGCTTTCCTATGAGCTGTTTTCAGCCAGTGGGTAAGTATGTTAGAGAGACTTGGGACACCTTTGGTGGCTTGAAGACTTCTCAATGGTCCTGATGAATCTTCCTTAGACTGCACAGCAGTCTAAGATGTTTCTACCCAACCTTTCTCCCCTCTCTTTTTCACTCAGTGTCAGACTTGTGTTGCAATCTGATGACTCTTCCAGCTTTTCACTCCTTTATTTTAGTCTTCTTTCAGTTACTATAGCAGAATATATAAAGCAAAATAAATTTATTTTCTTTTACAAAGAAAAGAAATGTATTTCTTATAGTTCTGAAGGCTGGGAAGTTTAAGATTAAGGAACTGTCATTTAATTGGCCTCTGGTGAATGTCTTGATCTGCACTATGACATGGCAGAGAAGTGAAAGAGGAAGTGGGCATGTGGAAGAGGAAAGAGATGGCTGTCTGAATTCCTTCGTGATGCTGGAACCTCCCTGACCCAAACACCTCTCACTAGGTTCTACCTCCCAACACTGCTGCATGGAGGAATTAAGTTTCCAACTCATGGACTTTTGGGGGACACACTCAAACCTTAGCATACTCTCTCCTTATTTTCCTTTATACGGGTATTTTCCTTAATAAAATCCTTGCATATTTAGTCTCATTTTGACATGTGACCTGGATTAAGTAGAATCTAGTCTTAGAAGCCTTGTACTTAGCTTCATTAATCCATTTAGTCACAGGGCATAATGGGCAAGAAAGTGAGTCCTGTTAACACATTCTGCCTCCTTGGAAACAGCCAAAGTTGCAGGTCAGGAGCAGCAGCTTCCCGGATGAAAGACTGATGGTACAAAAGAGGCTTCCCTTTTAATCCTCATTATAATGTGGATGCTGGATTCTTTCTGGGTTAAGCATTTTCAATCTTTATTATTTGAAATTATTGTTTCAAATTTTATTACATACCATGGCCCTAGTATTTTGTTTAAAATATCTTTATTTTTCTGTAAAGAACAAGTGTGCCATATTTAGCTTTTGATAGAAAAAATTAAGAAACTATCATAAAGGGAATAGCTAAAAGAAAGGTTAGTAAAGGGAGCCATCACAAGGAGAGATTTTGGAAAAGGGTGGTGTCTTAGTCCATTTTGTGTTTCTGTAACAGAATATCTGAGACTGGGTTATTTATAATAAACAGAAATTTATTTGGCTTAGTTGTAGAGGCTAGGAAATTCAAGACCAAGGGGCCAGCATCTGATGAGGGCCTTCTTGCTGTGTCCACCCACGGCAAAGGTGAAGGCAGAAGGGAAAAAGAGTGTGTGAGGAAAAGAGGGAGCCAAACTTGCTTTTATAACCAACACACTCCTGAGATAATGGGATTAATCTTTTCATGAGGGCAGAGACTTCACCTAATCACCTCATTAGGCCCCATCTCCCAATACTATTGCAAGTTTCAAACACATAACTTTGGGGGACATATTGAAACTATTGAAGGTGATAACCATTGACATTCTTTACAGGAGAAGAACAAAAATTGTAAACTGCAGTTGGAGGACCAAGGCTGAACAGAAGGAATTTGTCCTTGAAGAATGGGAAATTTCATGGGCTACTCTCTGAAAGCAATTTTTATTTTTATTTTTGAGAGATCTCAAACTAATGGTTTCTAGATTTAATGTACACAGGAATCATCTGGGGAGCTTATGAAAACTGTGGATTTCAGCAGAGATTTCCATTCAGTAGGTTGAATTATTACTATGTTTATATTCAGGAATCTTCACTTCTATAAGCTCCCTGAGTTATTGTGATGTAGGTGGTCTGTGGCTAATATTTTGAAACAAACTACTCTAGATGGTTTTCCTGGGATAGTTTGATGTTCAGGATATATGGAGGCAGAAGGATAGACTGATGAGCCTTCTTTAACCTTTGAGTCAACCTCAGAGGTAGGGTTCTCTATAAATAAACTATTTACATTTTTCAAAGATACCAGAACATTTGGAAAGATTTTGAGAGATTTCTAAAAATTTTAGGGATATAAATTTAATAATATTTTCCTAGTGGAGCTATATTTCCGCACTGATTTAGCATTAACCTGACAAATGCTTTTCAATCTCTTCCACTGTAGAAGTAAGATAACAACCATAGCTACTAAATGGGTAGTGATAATGATGAAATAAGGCAAGTTATGCAAAATGGGACAATGCCTTACATATTATAAAGCAGGAATTATCAAACTTTTTCTGTAATGGGTGAGAATGTAAATATTTTAGCCTTGTGGGCCACAGAGATTCTGTTGCGACTACCCAACTCTACAATTGTAGCTTGAAAGCAACCACAGAAAATAAATGAATGAGTGTGGCTGTGTACTATTATAAAATTTTATTTACAAAAACAGATAGTGAGCTAGATTTGGCCCACAGGCAGTGGTAATTCACTGACCCTTGCTATAAAGGCTTGATAAATTTTATTAGTATTATTAATACAATGACTTACAAATAATCTTTAATACTTAACAAAGCAATATATTTTTTAACCAAGAACTAAGTATATACCTCATTTACAATTATTTTAAAACAAATTTGCTTATGGGAGCAATGAAAAAAAAAATCTTGCCTGTAAATTCTGGTGTAACTTAATTGAATTTTAAAGAAAAAGTTTTAACTACAGAGACTGACTGACATTCCATTGTTCTACGTCCCTGAGGGAGAAGTACCTTAATTGAATTTTAAAGAAAAAGTTTTAACTACAGAGACTGACTGACATTCCATTGTTCTACGTCCCTGAGGGAGAAGTACCTTAATTGAATTTTAAAGAAAAAGTTTTAACTACAGAGACTGACTGACATTCCATTGTTCTACGTCCCTGAGGGAGAAGTACAGGCCAAAATGAAGAGCAATGTTCACAAAGGCTTGGTAGAAATAAGAGGAGAAATTTGCTGGAATCTTCAACATCTCTGACCTTTGTTCTCTCTTGGAAGGGCTTGGTTTGGACTCAGGACAGAGCTTATCTTCCAAAGCACAGTTCAGGGAAGGAGCAGCTGTAACAAATGTTCCCTTAGGAGATGTTTGTCTATTATGTTGCTTAATGTCTATTGACATTGAATTGCTTTTGTTTGTTTCAGACTTCAATTCTAAAAAAAGTTTGTCTCTGCTAACAGACCAGTATACTTCCTTTTACCAAATGTTAGAGGTTACATATTGTTTATTTAGCTTTTTGCCTTAGTTATCTGTAAGACTGGAGTTAGATACAAGTGTCAGTCATTATAATGCTTTGCATCTACTTGAAAGATACACTTTTTTTCCTCAATTCTTATTTTTCCAAAATGTCAAAGATTATCCTAAATGTTATTGCATAGGTATCTTTCATTGTAAATTCCTTCAGATGCTTTTTAGATCTAGCTGAAATATAAATCAAAAATTATAAATAAAAGTAATTTGGTCATATTTGGCAAAAAGAATGCTGTTTTCTATGTAAAGGGCCTCCCAAAGTAGCAGATGTATGGGTATAAATAAGATAAACTGTTAGTAAATTCTTTATAAATAATGAAGTGTTTTGTAAATAAATATATTACAAGACAACATTATGATCTTTAGTTCTAGAGTTCAACAAATCTGAGTTCCAATTCCAGCTGCCTCACAAGATCAGCTGCTCTGAATCTTAGTTTCATCATCTGTGAAATGACTATAATAGCTGTAACCATTTCACAGAATTGTTGTGAGAATTAAATGAAATAATACATATGATATGCACATAGCACAATGTCTGGCCTATGATAAACATTAAACATATATATTTGTTAGGTAGCTATTATGGCATTTTAATTTTAATTTTTCCAGCAGTATCTCTGTCAAAATATAGGAAATGTGGCCATTTGCTTAGCTCTTAATATGAGGTCCTAAAAGTTTATCTGAGCATCACTGATGTTTTCTAAATCTATCCTCTCACTTTTTTGTCTAGTAGTTTTGAGTGATCCCCGACTGAGCAAATGAAACATGACCTAACATCTGAGAACTTTGTTACCAAGTAGGGTGGATAGAAGACCATCAGAAACATTGTTCAGGAGTTTTAAATATTTACCCACAATTTAAATTGTCCAATAATTTAAACCATGGGCTGCTTTTCATGCTGTGTAATTCTACTATTTTTCCATACAACTCCCCTATATCAGGGTTGGCAGCACTACTTACCTGAGCCAGTCTTATTTTATTTTACATTTTGGTAACTTTGGTGAACTGAGGGAAGCGTGGAAAGGCAAAATTTCATGACAAAATTTTGGTTTTGTACATATGCCTAATTCTGCTAATTCTTTACAATTTCCCCCTTACCTGTACTACCTAACTCTAAAATCTATAATTAGAACATGAATGTAATGTTTTTTCTTCTAGCCTTTTTTTTTTTCTTTAGGAGGTAGTGACTGACAAGATAATAAAGCCCAAAGCATTATGCTGACTAGGACCATTGAAGTTGGCAAAAAAAGGCCACAACAACAGCAAGAAGGCCCAGGATTTTCAACAGAAAAGAAACTGAGAAATTAGATGAATCCTTCAGGGCCCGAGTCTTGAGTGGCTTCAGTATTCTTTGTTTCTGGGTGAAGATGGCATTTCTGGCTCCTTCCCATTGCCCAGGCCCAACCAGGCGATACTGATAGGAGTTGCAGGGTCCGAAATAGAGTCTCACAGCCAGTTTAGGATCTTTGAACAAGAGAGAGCAGAAATCTGGCTTCGCACCTATCTCTAAGGCGAGCTCGTCCAAGTAGTCAACATAATTGGTCTGCAACGTCTGGCTCTGGCTTTCTCCAAACCTTAGTGAAGAAAGTAAAAAGGGAATGTTCACAGAATGTTCTAAGTTTTCTAGAATATTAGGCATTCAAAACTGCTAAAGGAATGAAGGAATGAGTGAATATGTGAATGAGTTTTCAATGAATCTCTGGTGGAAAGTTTGAGTTTATCATACCAGGAGGCTCATATCTCAGATTGAGAATACGCCCTCAAATAAAGAGCCATGAATTCATGGATGCTCTAGAAATGTGACAAGATTGGTAACCATTGTTTGGCATTTTTTAAGCGGTGGCAAATCTCCAGGCAAGTACATGCTAGCCAGGGCGGCTGCAGGAATTCATGAGATAATGCATATGAAAGCATAGCTTGGTGTCTTGCTCAAAGGAGATGCTTAATATTTGCTTGTTAAATTACTAAAGTACCTGGCAGTCTGGATGGCGTATAGTAGATACTCAATCAATCTTAGGTAAATTTGAATTTGAACATGAGAAAACTCTTTACACCTGATGTAAGCCCCAAATCAACTTTCCAAGGGTACTCGATCACTGTTGAACCTCATTTTACCTCATCACAAAGTACAAATCCTTGAACCTTCACACCAACCCCTTCCTAATTTATTCTGATGGGGATTCTCTAACTTTTCACAGCTATTCAAGCTACTATCACCACCACTGTCTCATCCTATTCCCTCTCTAACCACAGAGTGTAGGTGGCTTGAGAAGTTATGGAATCTGACATAGGCATCATATACAACTGAAATGAAATTAAGCCAAGGAGAAGTGCTCTGATTTGGTACAATTCTTATCTTTAAGTATTTGGTTCTTAACCTAGTATGTATAAGAATCGCTTAGGAAGAAGATAAAAATGCAACTTTTTAGCCTCACACACGGAGTTTCTGATTCAATCATCTGGGCTATAGCCCAGAAATTTGCATTTTATCAGGCAGCTAGGTGGTTCTTGTAAGTAGTTAGATCACTGTACTTTGAGAAACACTGCTTCATGTAAAGAATTAAAAAAAATTCTTACAGGTCAATTCTTTTTTCATTCCTTTTGATAATGTCCATCATCATAGTTCTCTCTGAGGGCAGGCTACACAAGCCTAAGGAATAAAAGGTTGGTTTGAATAGTAAGTTTGAGTCAATATCATTACTTTGTCTAGTTGTTGATTCTTAAAATTAAACTCTGGACATTGAACCATGTCATACCAGTCAGGGCTTCCGTGCTGTTGAACTTCAGGGGGTGCCACCCCCATAGCACTCTATGTGACACTGTCCAGGGTGCACAGTCTACGGCATGGACTACAAGTGGAGAGGGCCAAGAGAAGAGGCTGGAAAAGGGAAGTGTGTCTGGGAGCCTGGCAGCCATGACTAGTGGTTTGGGCTCTATCCTGAAGGTGACAGGAGGCCCCAAATCAAATCAGTGGAAGAGTATTCTGAATGAAGTGAGAAGATCAGATTTATTTTTTGGAAAGATCTGTCTGGCTGCTGAATTTAGGAAAATGGACTCCAGGGAGGCAAGCCCAAAGCTGGGGAGACCAGTAAAGAGGCTGTTGAAATAAACCTGGTGAGAGATGAGAGTAGGGCAGTAGAGATAGGGAAAGATTGATGCAGAAGTTATTACTGTGTGCTCATGACTCCATCGCCTGCCCACAAGTGTCCCCTGAGCTTTGGATGTGTTGAAATATGGTCAAGTCCCCTTGCCTAGAGTCATCAGACATCTCATGTTCAAGTAGTCCAGACCTGAGCTCCTCACTGAAGCCCTCCTGTCCAGACTTGCATCATTTTCTGCACACCCCCTCTGTATTCACAGCACTACTGTCCACCTGGTTTCCAATGCCAGAGATCTGTAAGTCCTCCTAGATTCCTCTCTATTTCTCTGACTTTCCCACATTGAACCAATTATAATGTCATGCTGATTTTTCCCTTAATGATTTCTCACATTTATGGCTTCCTTTCCACTTTGTATCTCTGCCCTGGCCCAGGATGCATCATATTTTAGCATAGGCTATTTCAGTAGCTTTCTCTTTCATCCCTGAGGCTGTAGTCTTTCCCCACTTTCAAATCTATATTCCACACTACTGCTGAAACAATCTATCTGAAGTGTAAATCTGCTAATGCCTGTTCCTTGCTTATAACCCTTCATTGGTGCCCCGGGCTGAAGAGCTTTCTAAAATGCAGATTCCAGGTCCCTTGGCCAGTCTTACTTAATCAGGGTCCCTAAGGATCCATCAGATGATTTTCATATGTAGCCATATTTGGGAAGAACTGATCTATAATTTATAATCTAAGCTCCATAGCATGTCTTACAAAATTCCTGTGTCCTGTCTCCTTCTTCTCCAAGAGTAATGGCTCATCTCTCTCTGCCTCATACGTCATGCTCTAGCAATGTCAAATAGCATGTGCCCTTCCATATGCATCATTGACTCTATGCTTTTGTTCAGGCAATCCCCTTTTCTGCCCCTGAGAAATGCAGTTATCCAGGACGTTTTCCTTTATCATGTGCCCTTCCCTTATTCTACCATGATAAGTGCCCTTTCTCTCCTTCCCTGAACACTCCATATATTATTCAATCAAAGCATTTGTCATGTTATGTTGAAATGATCTGTTTAAATTTCTCTCTGTCCCACCAGTTCCCAGCACAGGGCAAGGTATTCAGTAAGCTTTTGCTGAACAGAATTGAACCCTGGAGGCAGGGAGGTAACACCGTTCTGAGGAGTATGAAGTGCTACACAGACACCCAGAAAGAAACCTTTTAATAATTTTATAACTTGTAGGGATTTGTGAGGTTGAGCTGCTCAAGTATTAAGAGTTAAATTGATTTGCAGATATGCTGAGGAATTTTTAAACAACACAGAGGTAAAACCAGGAGACAGATCTTTTTCTTAAACTTATCTCTCACGATTCAAAGAAAAGTTAACATGCACTTAGCTTTATGCCAGTTGAAATTCTCTTGACTGTCTAATATTTTAAAAGGATGATTGCAGGTATTTATTATTACTAAATTCCTGTATTTGTTATTCTTTGAATTCTCCAGTAACTTTTTAGAATGTTAGTCTTGTGAGAGCAGCCAAGGTTGTCAAACTTTTTCTTGGCAACCTTTTTATCTCAGGCAACCTTCTTATCATTATTGATAAACTTCACCAGATCTGAAACGCTTAGCCACTCACCTGCCTACACACTTACCTTTGAAAACTCTTGTCACCCAACGAGCTTGAAGTTCAGCAGTTGGGAAAATGGAACCTAGGGGCTGGATGAGACCAATGCACGCGAGGGTTGACTTGTCCAGGTGAGCGGGGAATATGTATTTATACAGTGAGACCATATTATTCTCTACTTTAACGAGTGAATCTTCAAGGAAGGGAAAAGAGAAACTATATCCTGTTGCAAAAATGATGACATCAATGTTCTCCTCCACTGTTCCATCCTCAAAGATGGCAGAAGTTTCTGTGAGCTCTTTCACTGTAGATTTCACCTTGATGGCTCCACAGAGTAGACGACTTGGGACATCATCATTTAGTACAGGTTCCTTCATAATGTATCTGAGACATACAGAAGAAAAACATTCTGAAGGATCATTTGCTGAGGAATCTTGAACCCTCTTGATATTTTTGGGGTACGGCTCTGAAAATAAAAGGGCTTTTCAAATATCTGTAAAACTCTAACTTAACTGGTTGTCTGTGCAAATCCTTATTTTCTGACTTAATTCTCATGTCACAAATATCTCTTGTCAATAAATAAGGGAAAACATGTAGGCAACGTGAGTGAAAGAGATTTTAAGGAAGGAAGCATCCCCAAGGGCTTAGACAAAATGCCTGTGCCTATGGTCAATCCCCAAGTATTATGGTGGTTATTATACCATTTCTGTTTTTAACCTTTTTCATGCTATCTAGCTTTTATTATTTTGCTGTTTTATTTAACCCCTATTTGATCATAAGAAAAAATTTGCTAAATTTCCACTAGTTTTGAAATCTATGAAGGGATCAATGTGAAAATTAATGTATAAAATTAGGTTTGGTGATATTTGTTAATCCCAAATATCCATGGAGTCTCTGTTAGTAATAGCATGGATGTTGATGCAAAGTCCGCTTATTTTTTTTGTAGATTTGAGAACATTTTCTTTTTCTTTTTTTAATAGACGATACGTGGCACTTATGTCAGATCTTAGAATATGGTAGTTGCACGGCAGGCATTTGTTAAAAGATTCTAAAGCTCTTCTGTTTTTTTAAGGGAAGAAGCCTGTAACAACTAAAGCAAAAGAACCATTCATAACATTTGCTTGTGCTTAAATCACTGACATATAACTTTGACGTCAACAGAGATTTGTCTTTTAGCAAAGAAAAAGGAATGTGTTTTCAAAGGTTTCCCATGGGAAGAACCTTCATGCTATAGGGTTAGCAAAGCATAAATTATTAGATGGAGAATTACATGTTTCCCACCACACCCCTCTGAAAGGCAGGTCGTAATCTCTTGAAACAGTTTTCTCCAATGTTAGATAACTCTGGGTATTAGAAAGTTCTCCCCTAGTTTTGCTTTCTGGAGCAGCTTATAACACTTCTGCTTCATCTTCTTAAGTATTTTTTAAAGGCATACAGAACAAATTTAGAAGCTAAACTCCAGGACCTATAAGATACTCATATTGTTAGATTGTAGTTTTAACTACCGTGTTAGCAATTTGAATCTTTGTTAAGGGAGACACCTTCAGACAACTTTGCTCACCAACGAGTATACCATTAAAAAAGCAAAATAACTCTACTTGTTTTGAGGCTCAAGGCCATAATTTTCATGGTTGAACCACCGATTCATCTGTTGTTCTATCATCCATTTTACAGCTGTTCGTGGCAGTACATTGCGGAGCATAGAACGAAACCGGGTGTGGAACACTGAGTCCCAAGGATAGCCATCTTCAGAGATACGGCTCATGACCCAGGTGCCATGCCTGGTGCTGATAAAAACCTGGCAAGCAAAAAGAAATGCAGTTTAAATTAGGGCATTGTCCCGTTTAGGAGGAATCTACTATGAAGGTCATGTATCACATGTGTAGCCCCAGAATTTACAGAGGTTCTGTTTTAAAGATGATTGACCTCAATGTAAAGTACCTCCTAAATAGGGGTACCCAGTGGCATTTACACTGATGCAGGAAGACTGCAACAAAATCTTGAGAACTTCATGGAGACACGAGAAAGTCTTTGGGCTAACTCTGATGATAAAATCCACAAGTCTTTCCCATGTTTACAGTTGTGGTTTGCTGCTCCTTAAGAGAAAGTTCCTCCCTCCCTCCTCTCATGTTTTCCACTCACCTAAGTTTCTTCTATAGTGCAGGTAGAATGATTATAATCCTTGGAAATGTGCGATTATAGCCTAGTGACTACACAAGTATAAGTGTATATGCATCTGAATATCCCTGGATGGAGAATAACAGGGGAAATAATCTTCCTTCCATACTTAAAAGACTTTATTTTGTGTGTGTGTGTGTGTGTGTGTGTGTGTGTGTGTGAGACAGGGTCTTGCTCTGTCACTCAGGCTGGACTGCAGTTGTGCAGTCATAGCTCATTGCAGTCTCGACCTCCCAGGCTCAAGTGATCCTCCCACCTCAGTATCAGACATGTACCACCACATCCAGCTAATTCAAACAATTTTTTTGTAGAGACGGTCTCATTATGTTGCCCAGGTCGGTCTCAAATTTCTGGGCTTAAGCAATCCTCCTGCCGCAGCCTCCCAAAGTGCTGGGATTACAGGCATGAGACACAGTGCTTGTAATGTATTTTAAAAGTTAAAAACTCTGAACTTATACTGTGATTCTCTTTCTCTTCAAGTGCACATCTGAATCCTCTTTCAGGTGTATTCTTTACCTTGTTTATTAAGATTTCCCTTGTTTCCAAAATGTACATTTAATCTCTTTTCAAATGTATATTTTGCTGTGTTTGCTGTTACTCCCCCATTGGCCAAATGCATACTTGAACTGCTTCTTAAATTTTTACATACCATGCAATAAGTTTTTGTTTAAGGCTATACTTGATAAACACATAAGATTCACTTGCAAGGTAACCAATTTACTTGAGAGGTTTGGATACAGACTGCTTGGGTTTGAATCCCAATCACACTACTGTGGGTGAACTATTTCAATCTGTGTTGCCATGGTTGAATTATTTCAATCTCTCTGTGCCTCAGTTTCTCTCTCTGTAAAATGGGGGTATTAACAGTACCTACCTCATGGCATTCTTGTGTAGATTAAATGAGGTGGTATATATAAAGTACTTGAAATATTGCCTGGCAAGTGATAAGTACTGCTAGCTGTTAAGTTATAAAGTTAGGCTGGAAGAGAGGAGTTTCATACAGTGCCTTATGTCTGGAGTAAACCAGAATTTGGAGACAAATTTTGTGGGGATGGGCCTTACATTCCTAGCTTGTGAAGTAGCACCTATACCAAGCATTCCTATATTGCTGGTCTGTGTGTGGTATATACCTATGTTCTGAATTTCTCCTGCCGTTGCCCTTATAGGCTGACTTGGCAATACTTTGATTAGATATTAGATACAAAAATATTTTCATTAGTGTCTCTTTCCATTACTTACTGTCCCCTCTTCTTTCTCAGGAGCAAACCATGTTTCAAATGGTATGCTCTGCCCGTTTGATTCACTCTTTTTCTGTTGTGACCCTCCCTACAGCAGGGTGGTCTAACCTGCCTTAATGACACTAGCTGCAACAGTGAGAGAAACATGAGGATTTAGGCTCAGGCTGCTTTCTCTGAGACGCATGTTTTAGGTCAAAGGCCAGAGATTTGGTTTTTGGTCAGAAGTATGTAAATGACTAATATGGTTTGGCTGTGTGTCCCTACCCACATCTCACCTTAAATTATAATAATCCCCACGTGTCAAGGGCAGGACCAGGTGGAGATAATTCAGTCATGGGGGAGGTTTCTGCCATGCTGTTCTCCTAATAGGGAGTAAGTTCTCACGAGATCTGATGGTTTTATAAGGGTTCCCCCTTCGCTCTCATTCTTTCTCCTGCAGCCTCGTAAAGAGGTGCATTCCGTCATGATTGTTAGTTTCCTGAGGCTTCCCCAGCCATGCCAAACTGTAAGTCAATTAAACCTCTTTTCTTTATAAATTACCCAGTCTCGGGTATGTCTACATAGCAGCGTTGAGAATGGACTAATACAATGATGCAGCACCATCCCATATGATCTTGAGTGGTGCTTTTGGATTGTGGTAGAGGGTGCTGTATCCTTATGAAGGTGAATTTCTTTTAACAGAGCAGTGCACACTCAGAATTTTGGTGAGTTCAGGTTGTAATTTCAAGTTTTGCAGATGCGCCTAGTTCCGTTCCTAGCATGTATAGCTCCTGTAAAGTCTCTGGTTAGTCTTTTCACAGAAGGCTTGAGAGTATATTACTCTGTGTAAGAGGTTTTATCATAGTTATAGATTTATGTTGTTACTCTAATAAATATTGAAGAGATTAGTGCAGATGAATGAGTATAATCCTGGAAATGTATGATTATAACATTATATTTAGGAGGAATCTATTATGTAGGTGATGTATCACATGCATAGCCCCAGAATTTACTGAGGCTCTGTTTTAAAGATGATTGACCTCAAAGTGAAGTACCTCCTAAAAAGGGGGCATCTAGTGGCATTTACACTGATAGAGGGAGATGGAAACAAAGTCTTTTGCACTCTGTGCAAAAGATTGTTTAAGAAGCTGTAAGGCATGCATATAGAGCCAAGGTAGTTTCTTAATATTGAATCTCACACCATAAGTCTTCCTGTAGGGCAAGACCCATACAAGGAACTGGTTCTTGCCATCTAAGATTTGATATCTTTGGAATGAAGAGATCTAAATCCAAATCACTGGTCTGACAACGTGAAGTAGTCTAGGATGGATCTTCACTTGGCTGACTGCTATATTAGCTCCTCACATACTGCCCCATTACACACTGTTCCTAAGGCTTTGCGGGTATTCCTAGCATGAAAGAGCCTAGAGCTGGTACTCTCATTTTCCAGCTCTGCTCTTCTCCAGGCTGTCACAGTTCCTGCCTCCTCACTTGTTCTTCACACTGAGGTGATAAGTGACAAGAGGTTTATTTTCACAAAGTGAAGACTTATTGGGTCTAGTAAGTCTCTTTCCGGTGTTAGTGACCTGCTCTGTTCCCGGGCTGGCACTAACTAACTGACTGATAGATGACTCTGACAGGTCCCAGTATAACCCCTTCATTAACCTGCTGGGCGGGTGTCATGTTTGCTTGTAACTTTTGCCACTGGGTATCTAGAGTCCTGAAAGTGTAAGACTTAGGATGGAAATGATTTGTTGGTTGTGCACAGGGCCATGGTAAGCCCTGGGTGGCCAGAGACATCAGGCTGAAAGAGCTAGGGTAAGAGTGATTGGGCATCTGGTTCAGGCCTTCTTGAGAGGGAATACTTTGGGAAAGGATGTTTAGTGATTTTCCCTTCTTTGCCTGGGTCTGTCCTTGCAGAAGGAGTTTAGTTTTTGCTATTCCTGACCACCACTATCAGCAGCATCATCGTGTAATGAATGTTTGACTCTTTGGCAGCTCAGCTGGTGTCATTCCTGAGCAGGTGCAAAGAAGACAGTGGTTAGAAGGCCTCAGGAAGCACCTAAATATCTATGATTTTAGTTGAGAGACCTACTATCTATTTAATCTTTCTTTTCATAATATTTGGGTAACTGAAGGTTATCTATATTTCAAATATAATTCAAATACACACTAAATTTCTAAAAGCCACCCTCCAGAATATGAACAGATTAACCTCTCATTAAACATCCAGGTAGAAACAAGGCCTCTTGGCTGGGTGTGGTTGTGCATGCCTGTAATCCCAGCACTTTGGGAGGCTGAGGCGGGCAGATTGCTTGAGTTCAGGAGTTTGAGACTACCCTGGGCAACATGGCAAGACCCTCATCTCTACAAATATATGAAAATTAGCTGAGTGTGGTGTGGCATGTGCCTGTAGTCCCAGCTACTCAGGAGGCTGAGATGACAGGAAGATTGGAGCCCAGGAGGTCAAGGCTGCAGTGAGCCATGTTGATGAAAGGCCTCTTATATGGAAAATCATCTGGTCAAAAGTTCCCATTTTAAAAATGAGGGAGCCATCTCCCAGAGAAGTGAAATGAATCACTCTAGGATTCATGGCTGGTTATTGACAGAGCTAGGAGGTAAAGTGGTTTCTTGACTTCCAGATTTTCTATGATGCCACAATGCGCTACCAACCAACTAGTTAATGAGGATTGGAGCCGCGATTATATGGCTGGGGTTCTCCAGTATGGCATCCCCACTTCCTCCCCTCCAGGTACATGGTAAGCAGAGAGCATCACACCTGAGCAGCATTCTTACTCAGCTCAACAGCAATATCTGAGCCTGAGTTTCCCATTCCAATCACCAGGATGCGTTTTCCCTCAAATCCATCTGGATGCTTGTATTGGCGGCTATGGAAATATTGGCCTTTGAACCTCTCCATACCTTCAGGGGGAAGAAGAGAGAAGTCTGTGAGCTCCAGAGCAACTATGTCAAGCTAATTTCAATAAAACTGCATTGCCAGCTTTTCCTTTCTGGAGTTAATAATTTGTTTTGCCTCTTCTCTATAGGAGTAAAGCACATAAGAAAGTTTAGGTACCAGACCAGGTGGGGCCTGTAATCCCAGCCCTTTGGGAGGCCTAGGCAGGTTGATTGAGCCCAGGAGTTTGAGACCAGCCTGAGCAGCATAGTGAAACCCTGTATCTACAAAAAATACAAAAATTAGCTGGGCATGGTTGTGCATGCCTGTGGTCCCAGCTACTCGGGTGACTGAGGTGGGAAGATTGCTTGAGCTTGGGAAGTAAAGAATGCAGTGACCCCTGATTGAGTCACTGCACTCCAGTCTGGGTGACAGAGTGAGACTGTCACAACACCAAAACAAAACAAAAAACAAACAAAAAAACAGGACCAAAGGGGTTGATTTTTTATTTCAGAGGCTGCAGCTTACGGCTGCAGTTTGTCTCTATCAGAGACAAATAAATGGTGATGAACACAGCAGGACCAGATACTGTCTTCTGCCTGCCTATTATATACTATTTTGGACTATATAATGACATTTGACCCTTTAATATCACATATTAGGCAAGGTGTGGTGGCTCACACCTGTAATCCCAGCACTTTGGGAGGCCAAGGCGGGCGGATCAACTGAGGTCAGGAATTTGAAACCAGCCTGGCCAACATGATGAAGCTCTCTCTACTAAAAATACAAAAATTAGCCAGGGGTGGTCGTGCACTTGTAATCCCAGCTACTTGGGAGGCTGAGGCAGGAGAATTGCTTGAACCTGGAAGATGGAGGTTGTGGAGGTTGCAGTGAGCTGAGATCGTGCCACTGCACTCCAGTCTGGGTGACAGTGAGACTCCATCTCAAAAAAAAAAAAAAATCACTTATCAGATACTCTTAAATATTTCTTAAGCACATTATGAAGTGCTATTATTATAATTGTGTAATAGTTAGAATACAATTTAGCAATCTTATTTTCAAAAAGTAAACAAAAACTAAAACTAAAAACCAGGCACATAGGAGTTGGTTTCCATATTGTGTAAATCAGTGACTTGCTGGTGGTTAATCACAGACAAGCTTCTTCTGTGTCCTTTCCTAGTTACTACTTTTACACTTCACGGAAACACATGACTTTATAAAGTATTTGCCATTGACGGTGGGGTTGCTTGAAAGAATCTTTAGATTATTGGTTCTCAAAGTGTGGTCACATGGCCAGCAATATCAGCATTGCCTGGTGTTAGAAATGCAAATTCTCAGCCTCATGCCAGAGCTGCTGTCTTAATTTGTCTTCTATTGTTTTTAACAAAATATCTGAAACCGAATATTTTATAGGGGAAGGAAGTTATTTCTTCTGGCACACAATTGTGGAGGCTGAGAAGTCAAGGTTGAAGGGCTGCGTCTGCTGAAAGCCTTCTTGCTGGTTTGGACTCTGAAGAGTCCCAAGGCAGCATAGGGCATTGTATGGTGAGGGAGCCAAGCATGCTAACATGCTAGCTCAGGTCTCTCTTCCTCTTCTTATAAAGCCACCAGTTCCACTCCTGTGTAACCCAATAATCCATTAACCTATTTATCCACAAATGGCTTAATCCATTCTTGAGGGCAGAGCTCTTACTACTCAATCACCTCTTAAAGGCCCCACCTCTTCATACTGCCCCATTGGGGATTAATCTCAATATGAGTTTTGGACAGGACATTCAAGCCATAGCACCTATTGAATCAGAAATATGGAGGGTGGGGCCTAGCAATTTGTGCTTTCAAAAGCCCTCCAGGTGACTCTATTTGAGAACAATTGCTTTAGATGAGCAGGCCTTAATCCTGACTGTATATTAAAATCACCTGAGCAAACTTTCATTGCTCTAACCCTACTCCATAGTGTTTGAATCTTTGGGGGTAGGTCTCCAGGCCATCAGGGCTTTAGAAGCTCCCCAGGTGATTCTAATATGAGGCCTGGACTATGAACCACTATATTACATATTTTCCTAAGGGCCTTGGGAAAGAAGTGTGTTCTCTGAGGAAAGACTTGGGTGGACCAGAACAGCTGGATGCAGGGTTCTATTCCTGCACTTCTCTCCCCATCACTAACTTGCAAAGCATTTCTTTCTAGGAGCTCTCCCCTTGTGTGTGAGTATGGCCCTGTGAAAAAGGCTCGGTGTTTGGCAGGGTAGAAAAAGGCCAACGCAGGCACATGGCTAAAAGGGCCTCTCCAACAGAGAACCAGTTTGATGTGAATTCTCTAAAATTATGCCAAGGACTTAGTGACTTCCAAGGAAGTTGGCTCTGAGATCTATGTGTGATGAAGACTCAGAGGCCAATAGAAACAAAGATGATGTTTGGTGTCTTTCATCTTTCTAGCTCTGTCTCAATCTTATTGAGCCAAGTTCTGCCCAGTTGCAGCAATGAATCCTGCTTGTCAATCCAAACTACATATAAAGTACCTGGAAACCTACTCCAAAAAGCTGGGAATCCCAGCGGGTCTCACCTGGAAATGACTTCAGTGGGATATGAGGTAGAATGTGGTGGCCACTGCAAACCATAACTGCGTCAAAGACAGCACTCTGCTCCTTGCCGTTGCTCTGAGTGACAACCTTCCATTGGCCAGAGGATGAGAAATCTGGACATTTTCTCACACTAAGGACAGTTGTCTTGAAGAAACACAGAGAAGGCATCATTGAGAATTACTCCAGGATAACATTGGCCAAGTGTGTCTTTCTCATTGCTGCTTCATGCAAGAGGCCTGACTCAGCAGTGGGACTAATCTGTTAAGGGTGTTGAATACTGAATAAGGACTTGAGAGAGAAAAGAAAAGCAAGTTCTCATGAAAACTGTCAGAATCTAGATGGAGTCACTAATGTTAAGAAACCCGACAAATAGAATTGGGAAAGGCCAGAAAGAGCGGGTTCTCATGATGTGTGCCTGATAACAAAAACTACAAAAACCACCACCTTACACAAAGACCATCATAATCTTACACAAAAATGACTTCTACAAGAACATCTGCTCAGTAACTGTCCAATCTCAGACTGGCATCACCCTTGTTATTGCTCTTTATATAATTATTTCAAAACAATTATGTAATTGTATTTTTTCCCCATTTAAAAACCTTTGTCTTCCTTTAACTCCCTGAATACACAAATAGTTTACCATGGCATGTACATTCTCATTACAATGCTCTATCACCAAATATATATCTTTTCTTTTAAAGAACTTCTCTCTGTTTGTTATTTGATAATCTGAACAAGGAAACAAACCAATAATTCAAGTGATCATGCAATTGGCATATGTCAGGAACGTTTTATGTAGCCGCCTCTTTGTGGACTTTGTATTAGAGAAGATATTTCACGCAAAACACTTTGCAGAGTGCCTGACACATGGTCAGCATTCCACTGAATGATAGTTTTTAACATTTGCTATTTTTAAAACAGAGTACATCATGTGAGCAAGACAGTTCATGATCTTATTTGAATAAAATGATTTATTGGTTCATTGATTTTTTTAAATGTAGCTCACTGGAGGTCTGTTAATTTTTAAAATTGTACATAAATGTTTCATATCTGCTGGATTAAGAAACGATGTCAAGTGGAAGCAAAGTTTATAATGCTAGAGGAATGGCATGCTTCTCATTTGCAAGTATTTTAGTCTTTTATATATCTCAAATTTTCAGATATTTTTCCAACTGCTGGGTTGGTAATTTTTAAGCTGTCTCAATTTAAAAATGTATATGGAATATTAGTAGAAATCTTGTAAAAGGGCTTTAAATATCTGGGCAGTTTTCAGATGAAAGAAAAGATTTCAGATGGTAGTTCAAAGTAGTATATTAACTAAGTGCTGTAGATCCTTGCTATTCAAAATGTGATTTGAGGATCAGGATCTTCAGTATCACTTGGAGGCTTGTCAGAAATGCAGAATTTCAGAACTTACCCCATACCTATTAAATTAGAACCTACATTTTTAACAAGATATCCAGGTGATTCATGTCCACATTAAAGTTTGAGAAGCACTGATGTAGATTACATTGACAATCATAAGCAACAGGGCTTGTTACAGTTTGCCTGCTTCTCGAGTTGAGCTCTAACACCTATGACTTACACCAACTCAGAGACCAATAAACAGAAACCTTTCTTCCCAACCCCTCTTCACTCTCCAAGAAACAAAAGTAGCAGTAACACAATAACCAAGAGAAATGACTTCCTTGCGACTCTAACATGATCTTTAAAAGAATGGAATAGAAGTTATTTATCATAAAAAGGCGAGATATTTGTTAAGTAGATTGATAGTTAAGTGCACAAAGTTACAAAACCTTCTGGTATACATAATCTGTTATTCACAAGTTAGATCTACCAGGAATTGGTGAAAAACTACATTAGGTAGAACTGGACATTTTAATGGAATTTATAAATACAAATTTTCACCAAAATTTACTATTGTAAGTTGATATTATATAAGCCTAGTATTAGAATTACTAAGAAAATGACATGTATTAAAAATAAGCCTCACTAACAGTTATTTATCCAGAAATGTTAGTTATTTACTTTGAGACAGGGTCTCACACTGTTGCCCAGGCTGGAGTGCAGTGGCACAATCACCACTTATTGCAGCTTTGACCTCCCAGGCTCAAGCAATCCTCCCTTCTCAGTCTAGAATAGCTGGGACCACAGGTGGGTATCAACATGCCTGGATAATCTTTTAAAAATTTTTTGTAGAGACAGATTTTCACTGTATTGCCCAGGTTGGTCTCAGACTCTTGGGTTCAAGTGATCTTCCTGCCTCAGCCTCCCAAAGTGCTGGGATTACAAACATGAATCACCATACCTGGCCAAGAAATGTGATTTATATTTTATTTTCTAAGCATAGTAGCTATTTCTCAAAGTATAGACCATTGATAAAAATTCAGCATGCTTAATTAAAATATTGCTTTTTGTTGATTTTGAGGAAGCACAGGAAAAGGTAATTCCAAGTGTTTTTCAAAATGATCTGGCCATCTTTAGGTTGTAAGAGATTGCATTCAGAAAAAAATGATAAGCAAATACTTCCCACAGCCTTCTAGTATGAACAGAGACCAATGAATTTATTTAATACACATCTAAGAAATCCCATTTCTATGAAGAAGCTAAGAAAACAAAACAGCAATTTAATTTTGGTATACGCCCTTTCAAGGCAAATGAAGCTAGGTGTATTCAATGATAACAGATATTAGTTTAAATGAATTTTTGAGGCTGGGTGTGGTGGTTCACACCTGTAATCCCAGCACTTTGGGGGGCCGAGGCGGGTGGATCACTTGAGGTCAGGAGTTCGAGACCAGCCTGGCCCAAATGGTGAAACCTCGTCCCTACCAAAAATACAAAAATGAACCAGGCATGGTGATGTGTGCCTGTAATCCCAGCTACTCTGGAGGCCGAGGCAGGAGAATCACTTGAGCCTGGAAGGCAGAGGTTGCAGTGAGCTGAGATCATGCCACTGCACTCCAGCCTGAGCAACAGAGTGAGACTCTGTCTCAGGGAGAAAAAAAAAAAAAAAGTTTTGACATCAATATATTATTATTCAAACCTTTAACTTTAACAGATGATTTTCCTCTTCAATTAATGTATATAATCTATAATACCAAGGGTAATGACACTACTTTTTGGGTTTTATATGAGGCTGTTATATTTCAACAAATACTTAGAATGGGATACTTCATTCATAATTGCTTTCATTATCAGAGTAACTTTTCTATCTAAATATGAGCTGAACTAATGCAGAGAAACCCATTTCCCCAAAAATACAATACCTGGAACTGAATATATTTTAGCAGATCAAATTTTTTAGCAAAAATCCTGAAATATTCCAGAAGTTTAGAATTATGCAGGAAGTTTGGAAAATCTTCAGGCATTGGAAAGTCACTGAAACAGGACATTTCTTTGCTGGTGTTGGTAACGACAGATTGATAGATACTTGCTCGGCCATCTTCCACATTCTCCTGAAGGATCAAATAAAATAATTAGTGATAATTACGCATTCAAAAATTTTTTGTTTTTTACTCTTCCTACATCTAACCCCTGGGTAATGCGATTGTCTTTGGTTGCTGCAGTGTGACGACAATGTTTAGGTAATGAATGCAGTCTATGTGTTCCATCAATCATTCTGTGACGACACCAGTTTGTTGCCTGCCTGTGACGCTCACTGTGAGGGGTAGGGGTAATATTGGCAATGGTGAGGTTGGGGACAGGGACAATTATTTTGGCACATTGCAAGATATTAGCATCCTAGGTCTCTACCTATTTAATGCCAGTCTTTGTGACAACCAGCTTACTTCCTAAATTCCCCTTGGGGAGGCTGTATATACCCACTACCTCTTTAGAAACCAATAAACCCTGGGACACTGGGCAGAGAACATAATAGAGAATTTCAGTATTATAAAATGAGTACCTTTGGAGGAAGGGAGTTTGCAAATTTTGATTTGAATCCTTTTACACAAATCAATCATTGTCAAGCTATAAAGGTGAGTAGACTGATAGAATCAAATCTTTTTTTTTTTTTTTTTTTTTTGAGACAGAGTCTCGCTCTGTCACCCAGGCTGAAGTGCAGTGGCGTGATCTTGGCTCACTGCAAGCTCCGCCTCCCAGGTCCACGGCATTCTCCTGCCTCAGCCTCCTGAGTAGCTGGGACTACAGGTGCCTGCCACCACGCCCGGCTAATTTTTTTTGTGTGTATTTTTTAGTAGAGATGGTTTCACTGTGTTAACCAGAATGGTCTCAATCTCCTGACCTCGTGATCCACCCGCCTCAGCCTCCCAAAGTGCTGGGATTACAGGCACCACCATGCTTGGTTCATCCACTGCACCTGGCCAGAATCAAGATTTAAATGGTAACTTTGCTATAATTTCAAGTAACTTGGTAAAAGTTAATCAGGTTAAGGTATGCTAGCTTTCTAGGTAGTTAGAATGTAGTATGGTATTATTGTTAACTATACATATTAAGATCCAAAGAGAGTTTGCACTAGAATACAAGGGGGTTTCTGTCTCATATACAAGGATATAATAATCTGAACTCTGGATAAACAAATCACGGTACAGTGTTTTTATTTTCAAACAGTGGCTTCAAATTGCATAATACTGATGTCAAACTGATGTGTAAACTATTTCTGGATGTTTCAGCATGATTGAATGTAATGTCATTGGCAAGACAATGAGTTTCTTAATCAAGTTCTCAAAATGGAAAATATTTTATGAAGAAAAAAATACTATTTTTTCTCAAGACCAGATTATTATTATTATTTTTGAGACAGGGTCTCACTCTGTGGCCCAAGCTGGAATGCAGTGACATGATTATGGCTCACGGCAGCATCAACCTCCTGGGCTCAGGTGATCCCACCTCAACCTTCCAAGTAGCTGGGACTACAGGCGCGTGCCACTACACCGGCTAATTTTTTGTATTTTTTTTTTTTTTTTTTTTGTAGAGATGAGGTCTTACCATGTTGCCCAGGCAGGTCTAAAACTCCTGAGCTCAAGCAATCCACCCACCTCAACACCCTAAAGTGCTGGGATTACAGGTATGAGCCACTGCGCCCAGCCCCAAGACCAAATAATTTTATGAGTAGTATAGAGTAAATAGGAGGGTTCTGGAGTCACACCGACTGGATTGATATCCTAATTCTGCCACCTTTAATGGCTTGTGACCATGAGCAAGTTACATAGGTCAGTTTCCTCATTTTCCTCTGTAAAATGGGGCTCATTAATAACTTAAACATGCAACAATTGTTTCAAGGCTTTAATGAGAGTGAATAAAGTACTTAGCAGAATCCCTGGCTCAAAATACATACTTAAGAATATTTATCTCTTTTCTGTTATTATTGGCCACTAGCGTTAAATTTACTAAGCCAGCCATAGTTTTGAATCAGTTAAACTAAGACTGTTATACTACAGCCAAAATGCTAGTTTTTAAAAGACCCAACAATTTGGCTTAAAAATGTGGTTGGCTTCTCTATCAGGTCAATTTTAAGGGAATTTTGAGTGATGAGAAGAACTGATTTGATGTCTGAGGCCCTACAGTAATCTTAGGGCCAGGGCAAAACTGGCCTTTGGGAGATTTTACTTGTGTAGTCTGTCAGCAAACAATAATGACCTCACTATTTTTCTGAAGATCAAGTGATAATCCCTTTTTTTTTTTTGAGACAGAATTTTGCTCTTGTTGCCCAGGCTGGAGTGCAATGTCATGATCTCGGCTCACTGCAACCTCCCCGTCTTGGGTTCAAGTGATTCTCCTGCCTCAGCCTCCTGAGTAGCTGGGATTACAGGTATGCGCCACCATGCCCAGCTAATTTTGTATTTTTAGTAGAGGTGGGGTTTCTCCATTTTGGTCAGGCTGGTCTCGAACTCCCGACCTCAGGTGATCCACCTGCCTCAGCCTCCCAAAGTGCTGGGATTACAGGCGTGAGCCACCGCGCCCAGCCAAGTGATAAACTTTTATTGTTGGGTTAATTGGTAAATAGCAGCTAAAAAAGACCCCCTTGTCTTCATATGTGCTTCCTTCTACATTTAGTTTGCTGAAGTAGGCATCTGTGTATTTAGACAAATCTGGGTAAAATTGGCCTAGTTTTCCTAGTTATGAAGAGATGATTAATGTTGATTTAATAGACAAGTATGTATCAAATGCTTGAACTGACCAGGGCCTGAGCTTGGATTTAGGGATAAGATGCTAACAGTACAAACATAGTTTATATCTTTATGGTGCTTATTGTTATATTGTATTAAAATGCACTTGAACTTTGGAGATGTGAAAGTGGAGACAGAGGGTTTATTGTCAATCAAGAGGAGGACAGAGGCACAGTTTTCAAAACAGATAAATTTAACTCACATATTTACTTAAGTACTACTACTGCCTGGATAATTAAGCATAAATATAGTCTGAATTTCCTTATGTGTAGAATTTGCTATAATTTGTTTAACATAAATTATCATATAATAAAGAATTCTTCTAATATAGAATTTTCAGAATGTCAGAAAACTCTAGCAAACCAAGTTAATTCAGATAGCACTTATTTAGAATTTATGATCTTTTGATCACGAGCTGAATTGAAGTTTATGTTTGACTTCATGACAATAAAAAGGTTGTAAACAGTAAGTTTAAAGAAGATTATAAGGGTAATATTTAATCTACTCAAGTGAGGAAATTTATAAAGCAGAAACAGATTTATTTATTATAAATGTGAATTACAAAAACTTACAAATTAAACTTTTTCTTCGTGAAACATCATTATATTGACCCTTACCAATCAATATTTTTGCTTTCATGGGTAGTTACCATAAGCAGTTAGAAAGAATAAAATTGCCTTTCTTTAAGAATATTCTGTGATTCTATCATTTCACTCTTTCGGATGGACCTTACATCTATCTGCTCCATTACTTGAATTGAATATGATTAAAACTCTTCTTACTTCCTTGTCCTACAATTAGAGGCAAAATTGCAATTCCCAAATGCCAGTCAGTGGACCAGTTGCATTAGAAGATGGGTCCAGATGTGTGGTGGCACAAGGCTGTAATCCCAGCTAAATCGCTTGAACCCGGGGGATGGAGGTTGCAGTGAGCTGAGATTGCGCTACTGCCCTCCAGCCTGGGCAACAGAGCGAGACTCCATCTCAAAAAAAAAAAAAAAAAGAAAAGAAAAAAGACGGGCTCAGATTTCTGTATTTTAGAAGCTCTCCCTAGCTGCTTCTGCACAATGAACTTTGTGAACCACATCTCTATTAGAGTATTGCTATCTTCTGTCATCTTTCATTAGGCTGGTGTCTCCCTTGATCACTGGCCTTGATCACTGATAGAACCCCCTAATTAAGTTCCCTGGCTCAGGTATTTACCACTTTTTTTCTGCTGCTTTCAAGCTAAAAGGTATACACTCATTGGCAATATGTTTGGAATGTTGGATCTTGGGGGAGCCAAATTTAAGAGAGAAAGTGATATTTCAGATTGAACTTAGAGGAAGAAAACCAAGATTGAGATATGTCTAGAGAGTATTACATGAAAATTAAAATAACTAAACATATACATCTGGAAAAGGAGGAGATCCAAATCCAAATATTAAAAGAAAACCCACAGGAAAAAAAATGTACATGGTAACTCCCACGTGAATACAAGGTATTAGGAACAATAAAGGAAACAGAGAAGGTTAGCGGCTGAAAGAAGATCATGTTTTCCTCTATCAATACTTCAGCAAGGTTATTAAGTGTGACAGCTCCGAAATTGTAAACCCTCGTTTTTTTTCTCCCGCCACCTATGTTCCCCTGAGCAAATTCTTTATCTGAAAACTGTTTCTTCTTAATATGTAAATAAAGATAATCATAATACATACTTCCTAGCAGTATTGCGAAGAAAAGAAGGTGATGCTTGCCAAGTGCTTCCCGTTGCTGGAAACAGAACGAAAAATATATGCTAATTACCTACCCGTCCCATGGTCCATATGTGCCACTAGGGGGTGCTGGAGAGTCTGGAAGAACTCTATTGTCTGGGTTGGGTATAGGACAAGGATTCTTAAATTTACTTATTTATTGTTAACTTGTCACCACCAAATATGTTAAGTAATCCCAGTAGGAGTTGTGTAAATACAAAAATTAATAAATAACCCATTTAAAAAATTGCTTCTGGATGGTAGAGTAGTGAAAAGGCAAAGTTTCCCAGGGAAGAGCATGGGGCTCCCAGCATCCTTCTTGGAAACTCCCAGTCACCTGGTAACCAAAACCCTCACATAGCCGTAGTGCAGGCAGCCTATGAAATTTTGCTTATTTTATGTTTCACTCTGCAGGGAGACTCTTTGGACTCTTTGACTTCGTTGAGTGGAGACAATAGTTTACATTCCTCTATTGGATATAGTTTTAAGAGAAATTTGAAATGTGATACTGTTACAAGTTCCACAGTTATATACTTAACCCTTAATATTCAATAAAGCCTAATTAATCAGGTTTTAATCCAGTTTTTCTAGTGAATAGGAAGTTATCTCTAATCTGAAATTTTAGATACTGGCAAAAGGATAGTTGGAGAAATATTTTACTGCAGAAAATACCTTCCTAGAATTCATCAAATCATATTGTTGGCAGACTGTTCAAACTAACTCTCATCTCTTTTGCTGACAATAAATCTGTGGGATGTGAGTATGCAAGGATTTTGGTATACTGGGGGAGGGAGGTTGTGGAGCCAATCTCCTGCATATACCAAGGACCAACTGTAATTTCTACATTTCTTGTTTAGGTTAAGAATCTACCTGGGAGCAAAAAAAAAAAAAAAAAAAAAAAATTCCAGCTGAAATCTACATGTGAACCTAGAGTGGACAAAAATATCTTTGGTTAAGACAGGAATGACCACCATATTATATCACCATCCCAGGAAAAACTAAAATGATATTAATCATCAGCTTTTAATAAGAAATGAATGTGATTTAAGCTGTTTTCCTTTTTGCAAAGCTACCCGTCTTACAGAAGAATCAATTTCTCCCTTCTCCCTCATTAACTCTGAGTGTGTTTAGATAGTAGAATGATCAGATTTTTAAATTAGGTGTTTGTGTAACAATTACCAAATTTGTCTTATCATAGGATTCATTTGAGATGTTTATTAAAAACCCCCAGAAGATTTTGATTCCATAGATTTGGGATGGAGTGCCCACAAATCAGTATTTTTTTTTTTTTTTTTTTTTTTTTTTGGTGGCAGGTTTAACCAAAGGAATCAGTATCTTTAAGAAACTCTCCATGGCTGGGCATGGTAGCCTGGGTGACAGAGTAGGACCCTGTCTCAGAAAAATATTAAAAAGAAAATAAAAGAAACCCTCCAGGTGTGGTTTATGGTCATGTGTACCTGAGACACCTAATGTTACATGTTAAAAAAGATCGCTGTTGGCATGAGATTCAATTTGAACTGACAAAGCATGCGCAGGTCCTGGATCACCTTGCCATCCTCCTAACTAGTCAGCCTGCAGTGAGAGCCCTTTATATGGTCTCTGCTGATATGAGTTTGATTTTCATGTATTCAAACCTTTTGTTCCCATTTGGAATATTCTTATGTGTTTTAATATCTCAGGGATACCTGATTACATAATTCTAAAGTCATTGCTTTTGGGTTCTGAACTTAAACTTTTGTTTAATCTTTTTGAGCAAGAATGCAAGTTAGGGCATGGTTGTAAGTCAGGGCTTATCTGTTTAGAAGTCACGTAGGCCGTGGTTTGAAGGCCAGTTCCTCCAGTTGTGTGGCCCTGGCCATCTCACTTAACCTCCCTCACTTTCAGTTTGCTCATCTATAAAATATATAGTTATTATTAGTAGCTAACATTTATTGAACTCTATGAGTCCGGAACTTATCTAAGTTCTTTATATGAATTATCTCCCTTAATCTTCAAAATAGCACTATGAGATAATCACACTTTCCTGTTATTATATCCATTTATAACTGAGTAAATTGAAACACAGGATGTAAATAACTTGCTCAAGATCTCACAGCTAGAAGGTGGTAAGCTACTACCTATTGAGAGGTTGTGGGAAGGAATAATTGTAACTCCTTATAGCTATCTATGCAACTTTCTAAGTTTTATACAAATTTTTAAGGACAGTGACATGGTTTGGCTTTGTGTCCCCATCCAAATCTCATATTGAATTGTAGTTCCCACAATCCCCACATGTCTTGGGAAGGACCTGGTGGGGGTAGGTAATTGAATCAAGGGGGCAGCTACCCTCATGCTGTTCTCATGATAGTGAGTGCGTTCTAATGAGATCTGATGGTTTTATAAGGGGCTTTTCCCCCTTTGCTCAGCACCTCTCTTTCCCACTGCCATGATTGTAAATTTTCTGAGTCCTCCCCAGCATTGTGGAACTGGGAGTCAATTAAACCTCTTTCCTTTATAAATCACCCAGTCTCAGTATTTCTTCATAGCAGCATGAGAATGGACTAATACAGACAAATAGCATTATCAATATTTTGGTTTGATTAATAGAATAAATTTAATAAAACATATTTAACAAAGAGTTTCACAGCAGTTATACTAGAATGTCATTGATAAAGCTCAGTAAACAAACATGCTTCATTTGTCAGAGAAAAATAGTAATGATAAGAGCATGGTCTCTAAAGAAGCATTTGGTTTAATAATTGAAACAGAAGTGATATCTTGAGAAGAATCCCTGTTACTTCTATTTTTGTAAAATGTTCTCTAATATTAGCGTATTAAAGAATGACAGAAGTATGGGCTGTAAGACAATTGCTGAATCCAAAAGAAGAGATCTTTTACATGCCTGGGTCAGCTACCTGGGTTGGGTTAGTATTGACTGGGGGAGAGATGCCAGCCTATGACTTCAGTTCCATTATGGCCACATCAATAAGTAGAAATAAAATCTGATCAGAGTTGTTTAATAAATTTCTCAATATGACCCATCAGTAACTGTGATTCACCCTGAAATAACAACACAACCTGTTCAAGACCCAAGAAAATCTCACTTACTTTGAACCTCCACACTCCTCCAATATCTTCAGTTCTCTCAAAGCAAGTGGGCTCAAGTCCCTCATCCACACAGCACTTCAGAGAAATTAGGCCACTGACCCCAGCTCCAATCACAGCTACCTTCTTTGCCATCAGCTCCTGTCAAGGAGTTGATCAATCAACATTACTTAACTGGGACAACCGGTAAGAGAATCCTTATGATGTGCTCAGGTAATTGGCTTTAAACATTGTAGCAGTGGTAATTTAATAAGCAGCACTATTGAATAAAGAGCCAGTCAAAAATCCTGCTCTCTTCTTGCCTTTGAGAAAAGCTGAGTTTCTTATGGACTTTGTTGCAAACCTTGCTTACATCTAGCTTTAATATTTAAAAGCGACCCATTGAACAAAGCCAGACTATGCAGTAACATACTAGGGATGTGAGCCAAATTTCCAGCTAGAGTTCTGAGCTTTTCCTTTTCAGCTTCTTTCCCCAGCGATCATCCTTACCTTTGTTTTTGCCTTTTGGCACCGTCTCTTTGACAGAATAGTTTTCTCCCTTGGTTGTGTGCTGGGAGGCAGTTGGAAGCGTTTTTAAGAGTTGGAGGTGGCTGTGAGAAATGGGAGGAGTTCCGTATTCCTCCAGCATTCTTCCAGCTGAAACTCCAAAGACTTAGTTAGGAGTCCTAGAATTAGGCAAGAGGCTCGTGCTCTGAGGTCAACAGTAGTAATGCAATGTCTTTACAGTAACAGCATATACTCTTACATAGTAGCAACATATACTCTTAAACATACAGATAGTTTAAAAATCCTTTTTATAATGATGTAATAAATATTCATTCACAAATGAACATATAGGGATAAATAACAAGGTTAAGATTACTCCTCACCACCCAGAGGTAACTGCTGTTGACATTTTGGTATATCCTTCCACCTATTTGTAGATACATACACACAAACAGAAATGGAATAGTCTAATTTCCAACTTGATTTTTTAACTTTCTAGTATATCAATATTGTGTACCTATAGCAGCATTTTTCATGGTTGCATGAATCTCATTTAGTTGATGGTTTAATTATCTAACAAATATTCAGTTCTTGCAGTTAAGCACTATTTCTGGCAGATTACCATGCCTGGATGAACAAGACAGATTATGTTCCTGATCTTATGGAATTCACATTTGTGTTCTGGCTTAGTTTTCATAGACTTGATGATTTCTGGGTCCTAGCATACTGTGTTCATCTTTTCCCAGATTGCTCACCCTGTCCAGGCTCATATCTTATTTTGATTTTTCTGCCTATGTGTATGGTGGCTTGGATGAACCTAGTGGGACTTCTAAGATCTTTCTATCCACTGCTGTCTTTTTGCCTTGATATAGAACTGGATAATTACCTCTGCTAATAATTTCAGTTATTAGGGTTAACATTTATTAGCAGACTAACTTAGGAGACTAGCAAGCCCTCGTGTACCTTAGATAGAGTCTAACTGATGAGGTAAAGAACTTTATTCTCCAACCCCAAAAGACCAGTTTCTCTAAGGAGTCTGAGACGTTTTACATAAACTTATTCAATAAATATTTACTGAACACTTCCTAGGTGCCAGAAACTTTCTAAGTGATGCAGGTACAGCAATGAATAAAAGAGGCAAAACTCTCTGCCTTTGTGGAGTTTACTTTGTAGTTGAGGGAGCCAGACAGCCCATCAATAAAATAAAACAAGTGGTGATGACCACTATGGAGAAAAAGAAAACTGGAAAGGGAGGTCTGGAGTGCAAGAGTGAAGAGTTGTTTTATAATGTCAAATAAGGTGTTCTAGAAAAACGTTTTCCCTGAAATTTCCTAAAATAAATTGGTCGTGATAAAAGGCCTTCTCTGTGTAATAAGTGCAGCAACTCTATGACAAGACTAACAGATATAACAAAAGTGATGATCAATGACTAAGGAACAAAAGAGCTGAACACATTTCTCAGTTAAAATGAAAAAAGGCCAGGCACAGTGGCTCATGCCTGTAATCCCAGCAGTTTGGGAGGCCAGGGTAGGGTATTGCTAGGAGTTCAAGGTCAGACTGGGCAACATAGTGAGACTTCATCTCTGCAAAAAACAAAAAATCAGTCAGGCATGGCAGCATGCACTTGTAGTCTCAGCTACTTGGAAGGCTGAGGTGGGAGGATTGCTTGAGGCCCTGGAGGTCGAGACTGCAGTGGGCTATGATTGTGCCATTGTACGCCAGCCTGGGTAACAGAGCGAGACCGTGTCTCTAAAAAATAAGTAAATAAAATAAAAGGATACAAAAGAAAAATTTTAAAAAAAGAAAAAAATCAAGCCACTTCATTGGCAGTTGGGTACACATTTTGTTAACAGCCTGTTAACAATTCTCCAATTTTATCTTTGCAATGTCTTCTCTAGGTAGTTATGATATTGATGGAAGCCCTGTTAAAAATAATTGTACCTGACCAACATACAGAGAAAAGAAAATACCTAGGTATAGAAGCAAAGTTTTAAACTGACTGAACCCTTAAAAGATGATGGAGGCAGATGGCTTAGTTATCCTCCAGGGATAACTGATGTGGGGATATTAATGGCCTTTTGTGTCAACTAAACATACATCTGTGTTCATGGTGGCATGCATCAGCTGAGGAGCAGGCATCTTCTAGGTACCAGCACCAGCTGAGAAGAACCAGCTTGCTTTATAGAGTTAGCCTTGGCTGGCAAATGGTGTATCCATAGAAGAACCGTAAAGCACCTTGGCCAATTTTCTATTAGTGGAACTTTCTTTGTAAGATTTTGCTGTTATAAAAATGCTGTGTACTTAACCTAATCATTTTCTCAGGATAAATACCTAAAAACAAGGATTGCTTAGTGAAAGTGTTTGCATATTTTTAAGTTTACAGAGCTCCTCAGACTTTAATGTGCAAATGAAACACTTGGAGATCTTGTCAAAATGCAGGTGGGATTTAATGGATATGAGGTGGGCCTGAAATTGTTTCTTGCAAGCTTCCAGGTGATGCCAGGTGTACCATTAGACCATATTTTGAGTTGCAAGTTTCTAATATGCTTTGCCAAGTTGCCTTCTATGAAGGAGATATGTTTTAATAGTATCTTGTGTTTACAAAGTGTTTTAAGTTGTAAAAATACTATCACATATGTTAATTCATTTACTAGTTCAGGACCATAGGCCTTACCACCCATCCATCTTTCACGCATGTGGAAATAAGCTTGCCTTAGCTACCAGAGAATTTAAGAATAACCAAGATGGCAATGAACTTCTTAAAGCCATGTCACATAAGGGGCCACTGAAGAAACTTCTGATGCTTAGCCTAGAGGAGATATTGAAAAATCCATGACAATTGCCTTCAAGAAGGTTCCTATACGGAAAAGGTCATACAAGCCTATTTTGGGTAGAAACAAGTCTCTCTAGGATTACATATGTTAATGATACAAAAAAACTGAGTTTGTCTCAATGTGAGAAAGAACTTTCTAGCCAACCGTGCTGTACAAATATAGAGTGAGTTGTTTTGTATAGTAGTGAACTCCCTATCACTGTAAATATCAAACAAAGGTTAGATGACCACTTGTTAGTGGATAAGAGAGGAATTCAGGCAGCATGTGAAAGAGGAGTAATGTCACTAACTGCAAGAGTCTAGGGTCTGAGATGTGAAATCTTATCATCAATTAAAGTTTTAAGATAGGCATAAAAATGCTGAGAAGTATTTGGATTTGAAAATACTCCGGTTACTATAGGAGAATAAGAGGGTGTTGGCCCCCTTCACCCCTCTACATGGTTAGGGGCCCCATAGTCACCCCCTCTGAACCATTCTTGGATGAGTCCAAGCTCCCTTAATTGTGTATATTATCATAAGAACAATATACATATCAGCCCTGGTATCTCCTCCTTCATTTTTAACTTTCTGTTACATATTTCAACAGAAAACTCCTTAAAACCACATGGTACTTTTTGAGAAGCACAGAGTTGTGAGGACAAGTTCTCTCATTAAGTTGCCTTACACCTTAGAGAAATAACAAACCAACAAGTTCTCTCATTAAGTTGCCTTACACCTTAGAGAAATAACAAACCAACAAGTTCTCTCATTAAGTTGCCTTATACCTTAGAGAAATAACAACCAAACTGGTTTTCTCTTCCCTCGCCTATGACTCAATTTTTTTTTTGTATGAACCCATCTGCATTTCCTGTGTGACATATATAGTTCCATAACTTCTGTGTGTCCTCTATATTTTTGGGGGCAGTTCTTTTTAAAAATAATCCCTCCAAAGCTTCTGAATCAAGAGTGGACTGAGCAAGCACATTTGCTAACCCTTTCAAAAATCTCATTAAAGTGGTAAGAAAGTTATACAAAAGAACTAAATCCATGACAGCCCTGAGAAAGGGAAGTGTTCTGTGCATCAGATTTTTAAAAAGCAGTTTTGTAATGTAATTCATATACTATAAACTACATCAATTTGAAATGTAAAATTCAATGGTTTGGAGTATATTCACAGGTTGTACAATTATCACCACAATCAACATTAGAACATTTTCATCACGACCCCCTCCCCCGAAAAATCTCCTGTATCTGTCAGCAGTCTCTTTCTATTTTGCTTCAAGCTCCCCTCACTCCCAGCCCTTGGCAACTACCAATTTATTTTCCATTTCTATAGATTTGCCTATTCTGAAATTGTATATAAATGAAATCATACAATTTTTTAAAGACTGGATTATCTCACTTAGTGTAACATTTCCAAGGTTCACACATAGTACAGTATGTATCAGTGGTTCCTTCTGTTTTTATTGTTCAATAGTATTTTATTGTATGAATATCATATTTTATTCATCTAGTCATCAGTTGATAGACATTTGGGTTGTTTCTACTTTCTGGCTGTCATGAATAATGCTTCTATCTAAATTCTATCTAAATTCATATGCAAGTTTTTGTATGGACATATGTTTTCATTTATCTTGGGTATATGTTTAGCGGGATTGCTGGGTCATATGGTAATTCTATCTTTGGCATTTTGAGTAACTGCCAAACTGTTTATAAAGCACATTTAACATTTTTTATTCTCACCAGCAATGTAGGAGGGATCCAATTTCTTCATATCCTCTCCAACTCTTCTTTTCGGTTATACCCCTTCTAGTGGATGTGAGGTGGTATCTCATTGTGGTTTTGTTTACATTTTCCTATTATTTACCATCTGGCTAATGATACTGACCATCTTTTAATATACCTGTTGGCCATTTGTATATCTTCTTTGGAGAAATGTGTATTTAGATCCTTTGCCCATTTCGTCTTCCTATTGAGCTGTGAGAATTCTTTATATATTCTAGATACAATTCTCTTATCAGATAAATGATTTGCAAATATTTTCTGTTTTTCGAGGCATTGTCTTTTAACTTTCTTGATGGTTTCCTCTGAAGTACAAAAGTTTTAATTTTGATAAAGTACATTTTATTGTTTTTATTTTGTTTGTGCTTTTGGTATCATATCTAAGAAGTCTTTACCAACCCGTGGACTAGATATCAACGATGTTTCTGAAACATGGAATTTGCATGGGAGCATCTTGACAAACCAGAGGAGAAACCGTGCCCCAGAATGGATGAGAGAAGCCTGGAGCAGAGATGGGAGGTTTTCTTATCAGTAGAAACTGTGAGAGGCTCCATAACCCCTACCATTTATGTAGTACTTATTATTTACCAGGCACTAAGTTTTACGTAGATTAAGTTGCTTGTTATCACAATCTTGTGAAAAGTAAATCTTGTTAGCTGCATTTTTTGAGTGAGAAAGTTGATACCCAGAATAATTAAGTAAAATGCTGAAAACACAAGAAGGAGGGTTTTAAATCTAGGCCATCTATGCACTACATGCTCTTAATCACCGTTGGAAGAGGAGTAGGTTGTGGGATGTTAATCCAAGTAATTAAATAAATGAGAGCTTATGTAACAGCCGGGATTATTTTTCTTCCTTCATGCTTCCACCCATCACCTCCCAGCATGGGGATTGGGAGCAGGAGTATTTGCCTCCAGAATTAGTTCTAATTAACAGAGGAAAATTCAAAGTCCTATGTATGAATCAAGACATTATATTATTACAACAATTTATTGAGGCATATGCATTGTTCAGCTTGCTTTTTTGCTCATTGTTTTTGTGAGATCTATTTTCTAATTTAAGCAACTTTATTTTATTCTTATTATGTGAAAAACTCATATAGATATATTAGAATTCATTTAGCTCTTTCCCATTGATATTTATATTCTCTCCATTTTTTCTAATACAAACAATACAAAAACATTCTCGTGCTTGTTTACTTGTACACCCATTCAAGAGTTTCTCCAGAGTACATGCCCAGCTGTGGAATGGCTAGGTTGTTGAATATGCATATTTTCAACATTACTAGATGGTGATAAATTGTTCTTTAAAATGTTAGTACCAATTTATGCTCCCTGCAACAGTGAAGGATTCTTTTTGTTCCTCATTCTATCTGATACATGATATCGTCAGACTTTTATAATTTATTTGCTGATTTTAAGATGTGAAAATATATTTTATTGTGGTTTTAAGTTGCATTTCCTTGATTACTAGTAAATGCTATGAATTAAGAAAAACTTGGAGATAGCAGTACAATCAGAGAGTAACTTAACAGTTGATACAATAATTGGTAGAATGGCTTCTGTCTCTCTCTCTTTTTTTTTTTTTTTTTTTTTTTGGAGACAAGACTCACTCTGTCACCTAGGCTGGAGTGCAGTGGAGCCATCACAACTTATTGCAGCCTTGACTTCCTAGGCTCAAGTGATCCTCCAACCTCAGCTTCCTCAGTAGCTAGGACCACAGGCACATGCCACCCTGCCTGGCTAATTAAAAAAAAATTATTTGTAGATACAAGGTCTCCCCATGTTGCCCAGGCTGGTCTTGAACTCCTGGTCTCAAGCAACCCTCTGCGTCAGTGTTGGGATTACAGGCGTGAGTCACTGTGCCTGGGCAGAGTTGCTTCTTTTTTTTTTTTTTTTTTTTTTTTGAGTCGGAGTCTTGCTCTGTTGCCCAGGCTGGAGTGCAAAGGCATGAACTCAGCTTACTGCAACCTTGGCCTCCCAGGTTCAAATAATTCTCCTGCCTCAGCCTCCTGAGTAGCTGGAATTACAGGCACATGCCACCACTCCCAGCTAATTTTTGTATTTTTAGTAGAGGCGGGTTTCACCATGTAGGCCAGGCTGGTCTCAAACTCCTGACCTCAGGTGATCCACCTGCCTCGGTCTTCCAAAGTGCTGGGATTACAGGCATGAGCCATGGTGCCCAGCCTAGAATTGGCTTCTCTTATAGCCCATATACTTAAATTAGACCTTAGAGTCTCTCACCAACTTTTTGCTTAGCTTCTAGGAGGCACTAACCTTGAAGCGAAGGCCAAATTGCCTGCAAAACGCAGAGACCAAGTTCACCAATGTCCACCTCATGTACTGCCTGAGGATTATCCCATTCTCCATTCAGCTGATAATGAGAATTTAATATTCTTCAGGGAAAATCCATTCTCATAAAGAATATCTTTGGTCTGTATGGTCAGGGCAGAACATAATAATAGGTTAATAGGATGAGAATATAATAGAATAACAGTACACCAGGCACAGTGGCTCATGCCTGTAATTCCAGCAGTTTGGGAGGCTTAGGCAGGAGAATTGCTTGAGTTCAGGAGTTTGAGACCACCCTGGGCAACATAGTGAGACCCCATCTCTACAAAACAAAGTGAAGCAAAACAAAAAACTGGTAGACTGTTAGAATGACAGTAGAGATATCCCAAAGTTGGAGTTAGAAAGCCTCAACACCATGTGGGTGACTCCAACAGTTGGGGCATATTGTGCTGCCAAGGCCAATATCATTCTACCCCATTCTTCTCTCAGAGGACTTCCTGCATATTTCTTTAGCTGTGCTCTCAATTCTACTTTAGTATCCTGGAAGTTAAATTATAAGTAAACACAAACTCACAGAAGTTACTCAAAAACTGGTGTTAAGCATACATTGGTCTAGCTCCAGATTTATGAGAAAATAGAAAAACAAGGCTAAACATTTTACTGGGTCTTCATGATTATAGTTTTGCTAAAACACTCAATTTTTATTCCTTAAAATATTTGCTTTTTACAAATACAGTTGAATGTGTGTGAACTGGTTCATGTGTAAGGTTATTCACTGAAGCCAAATAAGATTGAAAATTTTGGGACTTAGAAACCAATACCCCAAAATATGGCACTTTAACATGCTGAACTGAAGAAGACGACTCAGGATCTCTCTGACCTTCCCTTTCTTCCTGTATCTCAATCCTCTGTATCCCCCAAAGCTCTCCCAAAAAACAGGGTGAAGTTGTTCTCTGCAGTTCCCTTATTTGCCTAAAGTCTAGACTTGCCAAAGAAGAAATCAATTACCTTTGGTACCTTCCCTGAGTTTTCATTAACTGAACTCATACTGCAGGAAGAAAGAATTCTGTCAACACACCTAGACAGACTTGTCATAAGCCATTGTTTGCGCTGCGGGCCCAACATACTTTATTCCAGGCCATTGTATGTTCTTCAAGCCCGTTGGGTCCCCTAGAGATCATTTCATAGTCACCCTAAAATCAATCCACACTTTCTCATCTCCCTGTCACCTAAGGAAGGGATATATAAGCATCCGTACCCCATTGCATGCTGGGATAATCATGTGATTTTTACCCCAACTCCTGTGGAAGTTAATAAATTTGTGTACATTTTCTTCTATCAATATGCCTTTTGTCAGTAGATTTTTAGCAAATCTTCAGAGAGCAGAGGGGAATTTTCCATCAACGCTCCAAAAACTAACAAAATGTCCATCAATAGAATATTGGTTCCATATCTTATGGTACATCTCTATGATTGAATAACATGTAGCTTTGAAAAGAATGACACAGCTCTCTATATATTAGTTGTCAAGGTATATTATTAAATAAGTAAGATACAGAACAGCATATACACAATGCTATGCTTTGTGTAAAAAGGAAAATACAATTTATTTTTCTCATATCTGCATAAATCTGAAAAATATTCAAGAAATTAGTAAGAGTGGACACTTGAGAGGATCAGGGGGTGGGAACTGAAAAGAAGAAGGCAGTGTTTAGGCAGATAGAGGCTGGGAGTGAACGTAAGATTTTTTTCACTTAAATTTTTTTTTGAATCATGAGAACATATAACTTAAAACAATAGCACAAACACAACACTTATTGTTAGCCCATGATCAATAAAGCATCGACATTTGGGTTGATTCTCTGATTTCAGGCTTGCCTAAGTAAAATGTCTGAGCACTTGTCTTACATGGTCATTAATGAAATGATAGAGGAAGGAACAAAGGGAAGATATGCCCAAAAGGCAAATCACAGTTCCCCACTCAGGAAGACACACACTAATTGTGCTTGTCAAAATAAAAGTTTTTCAATTTCAGAACATTCTAAGTTCTAGTCTTCACAAAACACTTGTTACAAATAAATGCTCATGATTAATCATCTAACTTAGAATGCCCTGCCTCCATCTCCATCTATCAAATTTCACCCATTTTTTCTGATTACCCCAGCCAGGAGTTAAAGCTCACTGTTGCTACTATTGAAATGTAACCTACAGAAATTCCTCTTATGTGCTGTACCTCTTGGACTTCTTTACGACACTTATCAACTCCAGTTTCTTCTATCAATTTAGTTTGTCTCAAATTTGTCCTCTTATCTCTATTTTTCCTGCTACTATCATGGTTCAGATACTCACCACTTCTTACTAGAAGTCTTGATTGTCTCCTCCCTCTCAGTCTTGACCCACCACCACCTTCCCACTCCAACCACTTCTAGCTCTCCCCCTACCAATTCATTCTTTACACTACAGCTGAAATTGAGAGAACTTCAGATTAAATATGGTGGACTGAAGACACATTTTCCTCTGCTTCCACTTGAAATCCCACGAAAGAGTATTTTAAAAGGCATAAACTTAGAGGATAAATGAAGTAAGAGATTGAGATTACAGTGAGAAGAAATGTCAACACACTATTTGAAGATGAGAAGTGAGTTGATGAATTATCAGAAAAGAGAATGCTAACACCAAGGGCTTGCGAATGGGATGCTAACATGAAAAAAGTGAATGCATGCCAGATGATTTTAAGATAGCTTAGTGAGTGATTGGAGGCATCAGGAACTGCAAAGATGTTGGTAATGGGACATGACAGAGGAATTCGTTGAAAGTCTTTTTATGAAATGGATATTTCTCATCCTCATTCTGCAAACAACTATGAGACTGACCTTCCTTCATCCTGGATGGAGACTGGAGGTTTGATCTTTGTGGAAATTGAACTGGTAAAGTTCCAGACCTGATAATATAAAAAGGACTCAAAACCAGGGCAATTCACCAAGAAATTTCAGAACCCCAGAGATAGAGATTCCACAACCTTTCAGAAAAGGAAATACAAGTCGCATATAAAGGACAGGAAGTAGAATGAACAATGGGCTTTTAACAATATTGAAGCTCGAAGGCAATGGGGCAATGACTTTAAAAGTCTAAGGTAGTATCATTTTCAGCTTATACTTTTACATTTAGCTGAATTACTAATAAAGTGTGAGCATGGAAGTAATATATTTCAGTTACAGAAGAGGTATGACACATACTGTTTATTGGTTACCCAAAAGTTTCCAAGTTCATTTTTCTCTTTTTACCTTCCACTATAGGCTGGGAAAAATTATTTATCGTTATTTCAGATGCCCTTGTACTTAGAAGTCACCATGCAATCTCCACTCTGACCAGTGAGGTATAAACAGAATTCTCCCAGTGGATCTCTAGAAAACCTTTTGATTCCTTCCTCCCTATCTCCCCTCCCCTCTCCTCCCCATCTCCCCTCCCCTCTCCTCCCCCTCCCTCCCTCCCTCCATCCTTCCCTCCCTCCCTCCCTCCCTCCCTCCCTCCTTCCCTCCTTCCTTCCTTCCTTCCTTCCTTCCTTCCTTCCTTCCTTCCTTCCTTCCTTCCTTCCTTCCTTCTTTTCTTGTTTTCATCTCTCTCTCCTATCTCTCTGGACATAGCTTATCTTTATCTTATTTGTTTTTATGAAATTAGGATATTTTACCAGATTCCTTATTTAGTGGTGCCCTCTTCTGAAAAAGTAGAAAAGTTCAGATATTTAACAGTTTTCCTTTTGTTTGTTTGTTTTAATGATGATGATTGGGGAAGGGTTTTGAATCCTCCAATTTTATGGTTCTTTTTTTGTCTTATAGGACCCTAATTTTTTTCTTCCTTTTTTTCTTCTTTCTCCCTTCACTGCCAAATTGCCACAGGGCTTGTCTTCCTTCTTTTTGCCTTTTCTTTTCTCACTCAGAGCTATGCATTTCAAAGACCAACTTTTAAAATGTAGTCTCTCCTTTTAAATCTCACCTGTCTCTTTATATTGCATCAATCCTTTTCAATGGTGCCTGGTCCTTTAAATAGCTAGTATTTGAAATTACTTTCTAGTAGCCAGTACTCTGACTTGCTTACATGCTTTTTTACTGTTTCTAATGTAAACTAGTTTTATTTTATGATACTTTTTGAATTTACTGTAAAGAGACTCCAGTATGGCCAACATGGCGAAACCCCGTTTCTACTAAAAATACAAGAATTATTCAGGTGTGGTGGCTCATGCCTATAATCCCAGCATTTTGGGAGGCTGAGGCAGGAGGATCACTTGAGGCCAGGAGTTCAAGACCAGCCTGGCCCACATGGTGAAACACTGTCTCTACTAAAAATATAAAATTTTGCCCGGTGTGGTGATGTGCGCCTGTAGTCCTAGCTACTTGGGAGGCTGAGGCAGGAGAATCGCTTGAACCTGGGAGGTGGAGGTTGCAGTGAGCTGAGATTGCACCACTACACTCCAGCCTGGGCAACCGAGCAAGAGTCTATCTCAAACAAACAAACAAAATGTAAAGAGACTGACTAGTATTTACCTTTTAGGATGTCAGTGAAAATTAGTGAAAGCTTTGAATAATGATTTATTTAAAAATAAATGCAGTATGATTACTTTCAGGTGTGGTGAGGACCTTCGGGAGCACTTTCTTTGCAAAGAAGTAATTATTTATAATTGTTATATTTCTTAATTGTACGGATTTTATGTTAAAATAGTACCAGATTGCATTTTGTTTTCTTCAGTAGTCTAAGTTCCCCCATCAAAATATTGTTCACTTAATTTATTTACTCTGCAAACTTAAAAACAGAAGTTATAGTTAGCAGAAGTAAATTTTAGCTCAAACTATACCCATGACATTATGAATTTTACATAGAAATTTACTGAGACTTATAAGGAGTTAGTGTGTTTATACAGCTTCCTAGAGAGGGAGATGCTAAATTTCTCTTTATCACTCATTCTTTTAGCTGTCCTCACTACCAGGAAGTTCTTTACTGTGTTTAATCAAATCCTTTAAATCACATGAACAACTATTAAAACAAATTAAAAGTGGGCCCAAGGAGGCCTATGTGTGAGTTCCTAAATGCAGCCCAACTCAGCACTTAAACAAACTGAAAACCTAACTTAGGAACAGAATCTCAGCCAATCACAGATGGCCAATTCTTCAAACCATGTTCAAATAAGACAGATGTGAACTATAACCAATTGGGCTATCTCTGTACCTCAGTGCAGTTTTCTGTATGTCACTTCCTTTTCTCTAGTTACAAATATAACCTACACATTTGGTGGGGTGGAACATTCTGAGCCATTTTTGGACTGAACTGCTGCTCAATTCTAAAGTCACAAATAAAGGCCAATTAACGCCTGCAAAACTAGATTTGTTGTAATTTTGTCTTTTAACACAACACATTTCCAATATGACTAATGTTTAGGAAAACAAACAACTTGAATTTTTGCTGGCTTCTCTGCAGATACATTCATAACTTTAATCCTACTATATTTTGTGTGATTTAAAATTATGTTGTTTAATTTTATAAGTCAAAGATAATTTCCGGTCTATTTTAAAATATTTATATACTAGGATTGTAGCTCATATTCTATGAGAATATGTTATGGATAGAAGACTTTTTTTCCATAGTAACTGGAGGCAGGGTGGTAGGTGGAGGTGGTAAAGCCAGTAAATTGGTGTGATATCTGAATGGGGTGCTATTTTTAAAGAAATGATGAGTGTATGGATTTATTTAGTAAATATTTATTGAGTACATATTGTGTGCCAGGTATTGCACATACTTGAACTACTGAACAAGTTCTTGCCCAGTGAAAGTCTTTCAAGAACATACTTTCAAAAGTACGTAATAGTTTATAACTAGTACATTAATTGTGGGAATGTGATTGCTTCCACGGTATTTAAAATATTTTGTGTTGTATAATAGTTTAAGCTTTCTCTTACAATTTTGTTTATAGTGCTAAGTGTTCATGAAATATCCCTTTTATAGATAAAATAAAGGGACACTTCAGCCATGTTCTTGTCAAAATTGTCATAAGTTCTGAATTATTGAAATCAGGCCTAGATTGTTGCAGTGGCTTTTCAACTGGTGTTCTTGTTTGTAGTCTTTCCCATTTATAATAAATTCTCTGCCTTGAAGGTAAAAGTATTTTCCTATACTGTTAAATCAATTTTTGCTACTTCCCTGCTTAAACACCCCATTGGTTTCCTATTTAAACATTGTTTTGAGTCATTTAATGAGCTGTAGGTGAAGAAACACGATTTTCTCTCTACCCTGCATGAGTTCTTAGTTGGGACAGACCTTTGTAATAAAAGATTAATAAGAGAAAAACAGAAGTTTAATTACATGTATATCTTATCTATACATTTTCAGGGAAAAATGAGTTCTCTGGAGTAGATCTGAAACAGGTGGCTTTGACTTCGAGCTTAAATACCATGGTTCCCTGATACAAAGAAGTATGTGAGAGAGACTCAGTTATGACAAGAAAAAAATTATGCCAAGAAAGGCCTGTTAAACAAGAACAAGGTTTATTATGCAGATTTTTGCTGATGACTTTTCCACTGATAAGAATTTCTAATGATTAAGTAATCCTTCTCTTCCTGGTACAGAGAGGGAGATACCCTTACAAATGAAGATTTCCTTTATAGATATAAATTTTCCTTACAAAAGAATAACTTCTGTTTTCAAAGCTTCTCTTGTGTCTGCTGTTTCTCAAAATAATCAACTTTAAATAATTTTTGTGCCAAAGAGGCATTCTTAAGGTGGCATAGTCTGGTCTCCTACAGTTATACTGGGGTGGTACATCCTGAATTTCCTCAATATTTTATAAATATTTTGAAGCAATCACATTTTTGTTGTGTGTAACACATTTATAAAACAAAACCATTATAATATGTATGAGCGAAACGGAGTCTGATCAACAACAAGCTTTGTCACAACCAGATATTTAAGAGGAATGCAAATACCTGTTATTCTGCATATGTTAAAAGTTTTGAGATAGGGGTATAGAATTATAATCTATCCAGAGAAGAGATGTGGGAAAAATCTCCAAATTTTAGAATAAAATCCAGTTTTCTAAATATAGTTTTCTTGGCTCTAACTGTAGAGAAAGCAAAATAACTGACTTTTTCTTCTTTTCTACAACCTCTTTCTGATTGCAGATGCTTCTTTATGGCTTCTTTTACCTTTCAAGCCTGTACTGGATGTACCTGTCACAGGACAAACAATTATGACACATGAGGAAAAGTAGTTGTGTGGACTATTCCCAGATATTTTCAAAGGATAATCCTTTGTTAACTGAGATAACAGATGTTAGGGTACTGAGTTGGAAAAGCCAGAGATAACTGAATTGTTCTAATGAGAAAACAGTGGAAGCTTGGTGGTGATGGGATTGAGGATACATTGTTTCAAAATATGACAGCTTGGCATTTGAGAAAACAGCACAAGCAGAAAGTACTCCTTGACTTTCTTGCTGTCTTTCTTCCCTGAAATAGGCCATAAAATAATTCTTTGACTTTGCTCTGAATAGGCAGTTAGTTTGGAATCAAGGATGGAGAAGCTCTGGGGAGGAAGGGTTGATAAAAGGGTGGGGGTGACAAGTCATCTGAGAAGAACCTTGAGAGGAAACAGAGATCTAATGAGGATTTTTTATTAATGTTTTTGTTGTCAGGTGTATTCTTTTGTCTTCCTATAGAAAAATTGGAATGATTTGCTAAAATTTCATAGAATTGGATGTACTTTTAGGGAATAGCCGAGTCTTACTTTAAAGTGGGAACAAGAACAGGTTGTCAACAGGAGTAACTTATTTACTTTAAGCCCAATGTATTTCATGTTCAAATCTGAGTGTGTGTGTACGTTCATGTGCATGTCCACGAGTGCGTGTGCGTACATGCTCACATAGGGATGAATTCAGGAAGACTATAGATATCTTGTGGTTTGACCTTGCCTCTTCTATTCCCATAGATGTGTCTATTTTCAGATCTTGGTGACCTAATAACTACAAATAGCTAAGGAGACAGAGACAATAAAGGTTATTTGTAAGATTTTAAGCTTGGTGGATCATGATATACTAGTGTCAGTTGAAGAATGACAAGGTTCATAAATTTGTGAAGGAGAGCTTTATTTCTCATAAATGATTATAGCCTGAAGGGTGGCCCTTCTGATGAGCTGGGAAGCATGGCCTCTGGCCAGAAGCTGGAAGCAGGCACTTTTGGGGGGGAGGGGTGTGGAGGTGGGGCAAAGGGAACATGAATTTATGTTGAGCAGGGTGGCTAAATATGCAAATTCAATATGCTATAGGAGGAATCATGAGTATTTATGAAATGAGAAACATTTATGTGCACATCTGAGCTTCATCTTCCTTCACGGGACCCATGTTCAAAAAATGGCAGGATTAGCATGACCCAAGGGTGGTGTTTTTGGCCCTCTGATGTCAAAAGGTGAAGCAGAGGACACAAAATCCTCACTGTGCATTCTCTGCAGACTGGCCAGAACCACTCCGTGGTCATCAGTGATCTCTTATCAGTCAGGCAGTTGGTTGAAATCAGGCATGGAATCTTTTGAAAGGGCTGGTTTCTACACACACACACACACACACACACACACACACACACACACACACACACACGAATATTATTCAGCCTTAGAAAGGAAGGAGATCCTGCCATTTGCAACATGATGATCCTAGAGGACATTACGCTAAGTGAAATAAGCCACAGGAAAAAAAAAGTATTCCACATCTTTCTTATATGCAGCATCTTAAAAATGCTGAATACACATAAACAGAGTAGAAAGGTGGTTACCAGAGGTAGGGGGAGATCAGGAGATGTAGATAAAAAGAAACAAAGTTGCAGTTTTGTCAGATGAATAAATCTAGAGGTCTGATATGCAGCATGTGGACTATAGTTAATAGTGTTGCTGATACAGGATTATTCTGTCACTTTTGCCAGCTGGAAGTGTCTGGCTGGCGATGCCCCAAACTGGGCCTTGCTCAGCCCCAGGCCTGCTGCAGGAGGTACTCTGCCCATTTGCACACTAGCTCACCCCATGACTGGCCCAGGAGTGCCCCAGCCCACCTGTGTTACAGCTCATACCTATGTTCAGCAATTCTTGTGTTCTTGTCCTGAATCCAAGAGAAGTGAGGTTACACTGACAATTGAAGGGTGAGAAGGGCAGAGAAGAGCTTTATTAAGTGACAGAACAGCTCTCAGCAAAGAGGGGCCATGAGGGTGATCCACCACATGAAGTTGGGTGGTCTCCCCTTCAGTGTGGCTGGGTCCGGGGCTTTTATGGGCTCAGAATGGGGGAGTGGTGATTGGTTTGTGAGTACGCAGAAAAGGTTAAAACAAAGGCACAACTCAGTGGGCATGGCAGTGTAAAAAACCAATTAGGGAAGGGTAGGTATATATAAAATAGGTGAAGGGTAGGGATCATTCAGAGGAAAGTGCACCAAATGGGAAGAGAGGTTCTCAATCCAGTCTGTGGATTTGACTTGTAGCTTGGCTTTCAGGCTTTAAACTGTCTTTGGCTTGAAGGTGGGGTTTCACCAGGGACCTGCCCCTGTCTGCCTAGGCATTTGCCTGCCTCTTGCGGATATCATTGTATTGTATACTAGAAATTTGCTAAGAGAGTAGATTTTTGGTGCTCTTACCATACACACACACACCAATTAGGGAAGGGTGAGATGATGGATATATTAATTGCCTTGACTGTAGTAATCATTTCAACATGTATATGTAAGGATAGGTATGGGCAAAGAGGAATGAAGACAATGGTCCCCAGGAAAAGCCACTGTGCAGAAAGAATAAAGATAAATAACAAAGAGCAGGAGTTGCCCAAGGCTATGGTGGTAGAGATGTGTGTGGGGTGATGGAAGGTATCTGTGACCAGGGGAACAGCAGGAATTGGAGCAAAGAGGTGAGGATCATTATGGTATGAGTTTAGGAAATATCACCAGTCCAATACTACCAGAGTATTAAGAGGGAGCAAGGAAGAGGTAAAAATGAGAAAGAGTAGAGCCAGATGGTAGAGGGCCTCATTTGCTCTTGAGCTTGGGCATTATCCAAAAGGTGATGAGAAGCCTTTGAAGGATTTTGAGCAGGGCGTGCTATGGCCAGACTTGCAGCAGAGTTGAGGATAGATGGGGAAGTGGCAGGACATTATCACAACCTATGGTCCTCTCTTTCCAGATCTCAGCATTGATCTGGGTGATGCATTATGAAAAAATTACATGCATTACCTGGGGACTTTTGCGATTCCATTATTCTTCCCTTTCTCATGTACAGGGCAAAGCGGCTGAGATCTTTGAACTCCCTTTGAACTTTGAGAATGGTGACTGGAAGATGACAATTCATGTTGTTTTCAGGAAAGGTAAGGAGAAGTTCACAACCTGCGCTCAACCTTTTGTTGGCTTATCCACAACTGTGTATTCTGGTAAAGTGCATTCTAATTAGTATATACCTCATTAGTCACAGCCCTCTCTGGCAATAGCACAATTAATATTGTTATATAATGCACAAACACAGTCATCTGAACACAGGGAGTGGTAACATGACACACAGGACCAAGTAGTGTCATTGAGAAAGCAGAAAAATATTTTGCAGTTGAGACTAAAATTCATACACAAAATCTTTCATTTTTCTCTTGTCTTCACAAGGTTCACCAATCAGGCATCTTGTAGGTGCTTTCTAGACTAAATGGTACCTATTTAAAAAATTATTTTCTTACATATAAAACTAGTCATGTATGAAAATGTCTTCAATGAAAAAACTCAAACAATGCGAAAGTATGTAGAAACAAAAGTGCGGTTCCTACTCCTTCCTCCCATTTCCAGCCCCAGTCTAATCTTCAGAGAAAACTACTGATGACAATTGGCTTTCAGACATTTCCTTCTGTGTAAAAATAACATTTATATACACAGATACTAGACTTTACATAAATGAAGAAATATTGTTTACTTTGTTACTTGCTTTTTTCATTAAACAATATATTTTGAAAAGAGTTCCATGTCAGTATATATACGTTGATCTCCTATATTTTACTGTATGTTATTTTATACTATTATAGATATTTGAATTGTTTCCAGGTTTTCATGATTATAAACGAGACTGCAATGATTTTCCTTGTTCATCCATCTTTGTGCTTTAATGCAAAAATATCCATATAACAGATTCCTACAAATAATTATTCCTTTTTAAATATTCTAATAAGTTATGAAGACTCCTGTTTGGAATCAGTTCAGTGTTTTGCTTTGAGTTTTTGAGCAGGTAGCTGTGACTCCCCCATTTGAACCTCTTTCTATCTCACAGGGCTGGTGTTCGCCACTGTGAATGAATGGTGGCTGTACTGGGTAAATGCCAGAGGCAGTCAGTTATCTGAAGGCTGCTCCAGAGGGTAATGAATGAATTTTGTGTCCAAAGAGGTGTTAAAGAGGAGGCTGGATATTGTAGAAAGAACACAAGTATCAACCAAGGGTTAAATTAGGAGATCTTTAAACTCCCTCTGAACCCTGAGAATGGTGGCTGGAAGATGGCAATACATATTGTTTCCAGAGAAGGTAAGGAGAAGTGGAGGTTCTTCGGCTGAAATCTGCCCTTACTGAGTTTTCTCCAGCCCATCTAAGACCTACAAATCTTTTTTTAAAAGTTGTTGCTAAACATTAAAAATCCAGAAAATAACAGATGGAAATATCAATACAAGGCTTCTCTAAAAAGTTTAGAAAATCTGGTTGTCCTGGGCCTGCAAATATTTTTGCGGAAGTAAAGGATGATTTCTCTTTGTTTAATGTGCCAACAGAATGATTAATATGCAATCTATCTGCTTTACTCACTTATTTTTTCAGTCTAGTCTCAAAAGTATCTGGATTTGGATGTCTCATATTGGCCAAAGCCTAATGGAGCTTAAGGATTTTCTTAATACATTAAGAAGGCAGGTATAGAATATGAGTCAGTTCTTAGCTGCGAAACTCATTTGATGATTAGTTGGGTGGGGTGGTGATGAATCTGTGATATATTAGTAAACCAAATACCTGAAGATTACATTGTCTTATTTCAGAGAGGAGAAATTAACAAATGTAGTCATAAAGGCTCTGGTTATACTTCTTTTATTATAAGAAAAGGTAATCTGTGAAGCTATCTACACCTTATTAAATCTAAGGACAGGGCAGTTGAAGGCACCTAGATCACTGCAGTTCAATGTAAGATGTAAATTTTAAAGATATGCATAGAAATTTCAGCTATCATTTCCTTGTGGCTTAAATTTCAGCTATCATTTCCTTGTGGCTTCATTTTTTAATCTAATTATTCATTTTACCTTCAAGTACTTTTTACTAAAAAGCCATATTATGACACTGCATCCAGATATACAGTTGTTAATTATCAATGTATTATAATCATCAACATAATGTATAAACCAGATTGTGGTTTATATCCTTAAAGAGACTGGTATATACAGAGCAAGGTGCCATGTCTAAGGGCCTGCCTTTTGATCTGTGTAGCTGCCCTTTTCCTCTCCTGCATTCCAAACCCCTGTCTCTTAAAAAAAAAACCCTGTGTTCCTCCCACAAATTGAAGAGTGGAAATTTTGGGAAAGAATTCTGCCCACTCTTTTCCTTGCTAACACAGATGATAAAACTCACTCTTTCTCTGTCACATCTCGCTCTTGTTATGTTGGCATCTTTCTAAAAGTGGCAAGCAGCAGGACCCTTTTGCCAGTTACACATTTTGTGTTGCTATAAAGAAATACCTGAGACTGGGTAATTTATAAAGAAAAGAGGTTTATTTTGGTTCATCATTCTGCAGACAGTACAAGAAGCATGGTGCCGACATCTGCTTCTGGTGAGGCCTCAAGATGCTTGCAATCATGGCAGAAGGTGAAGGGGGAGCAGGCATGTCACATGGTGTGAAAGGGAGCACGAGAATTGAAGCAAGAGAGAGGAGAGGAGGTGCCAGTCTCTTTTAAACAACTATAATAGCTCTCGTGAACTAATAGAGTGAGAACTCACTCATTACCCTGGGGAGGGCACCAAGCCATTTATGAGAGAATCACTTCCCACAAGGCCCCACTTCCAACACTGGGGATCACATTTCAACATGAGATTTGGAGGGGACACACATCTGAGTCATAGCACCTGGCTAATTTTTTAATTTTAATTTTTTTGTAGGACAAGGTTTTGCTATGTTGCTTAGGCTGGTCTCAAACTCCTGTGCTTAAGCAATCTTTGTGCCTGGGCCTCCTAAAATGCTGGGATTCCAGGCATAAACTACTACTCTTAACCCTTTTTTAAAAATATGCTAATTTATGCTAGGATTTTAGAGGCAAAGTAAAACATTAAAAATATGGTTTCTTCTGTGTCTGATGATGCAAAACATAGTAGTTTCTTAACTGTGAGATTTGCTATTAATCTGACTGAAAAGCTGATTGTCTTTGGGAATCAACTGGTAAAAGGGTTTTATTTAGTTAGTTTATTAATGAATTTGTCTGGTATAGTCCTTACACTAGATTCAATTACAGATTGTATATACACACAAACATAGATTTCACAGATGAGCAGGCTACCCAATCAGTAGAATGAGGTGCATGAGTTAGCTTTGAGTTAGCATGCTCCCTCGCCTTTTGTCACTCCTTAACGGCTCTTTGTTCTCACTTTATTTTGCATGGTTGGTAAAGATGATGGGAAGGACCACACTTATGTCTACTTACTACACAGGACCAAATACACAGAGGTTATAAGCAACATTCCATCAAGTTTAATTTAGTGCAAATTAATATTATCCATATGATTGAATAAAATATCAAGAAGTCTGAATTACAAAAAAGTTTCTAGTTGGCTCAAATAAACTAAGTCTGAAGGGCTCAGCAGTCCATTTAGCCAACTTTCACTACAGTCTTTGTTGAGGAGAACATCCCTCTAGTACTAGGTCTGAGGAGGGAATGAGATTCTCACACCCTGAAACATGTTCCAGAAAAGAGACCCCCACTCAAAATATTATTTTTCTTGTTCTTCCCAAGTGTCTCTCTCCAAGATTCCAGATTAGTCTTCATTGGTAGTCCCCAGATTGAACAGAGGACTCAGAAATATGTGCATAGGATATTTGGAAAATCAGCTTATAATTCTTACAGACTCTTTCTGTTACACAATCTAGCATCATACTAAACACAACACAACACTAGCATGTGTGTACACATACACATGTACACAAGAATACTTTGGAGACACATCTGGTTTGAACCAATTTTGATTACTAGGATAAATTATACATATTCTAAAAACAAATTGAGATAGTTTGGTATACATTTTTCTTTTCAAGTCTGAACTTTTTCTACTATGACTTATCCATCTCTCCAATTAGACAAATTGAGTTAGAATATTCATCCTGCTTTTATTAGATACAAATAATGTGGATGTCATAAGTATCAATGTACTTACTGTATTCTTTCCTAAAGGAATATTAGAACTGTTCTTTTTTTTTATTATACTTTAAGTTTTAGGGTACATGTGCACATTGTGCAGGTTAGTTACATATGTATACATGTGTCATGCTGGTGCGCTGCACCCACTAACTCGTCATTTAGCATTAGGTATATCTCCCAATGCTATCCCTCCCCCCTCCCCCTACCCCACAACAGTCCCCAGAGTGTGATATTCCCCTTCCTGTGTCCATGTGATCTCATTGTTCAATTCCCACCTGTGAGTGAGAATATGCTAGAACTGTTCTTAATTTTGATGAAGTTCAATTTACACAATTTTAAAAATGAATATTGTGCATTTAGTATTGTATCTAAGACATTTTTGCCTAACCCAAAGATTTTCTTTTTCATTTTCTGCTAGAAGTTTTAGGGTTTTAGTTCTATAATCCTCTTTCAGTTACTTTTTGTATATAGTACAAAGTATTGACTGAAGTTTTTTTTTTTCCATATTGCATGATATCCAATGGTTCCAACATCATTTGTTGAAAAGACTCTCCTGTCTTTACTGAATTTTCACCTTTGTCCATATTGTGTGGTTCTATTTCCAGACATTCCATTCTTTTTTATTGACCTATTGTTTATCTTCACACCATAACATACTGACTTGATTACTGTAGCTTCATAAAATAAGAAATTCTGAAATCAGAAGTCAGGTAGTGTTAATGCTCCACATTTGTTTTTTCTTTTGAAATGGAGTTTGGCTCTTGTTGCCCAGACTGGAGTGCAATGGCACAATCTCGGCTCACTGCAACCTCCGCCTCAAGCGATTCTCCTGTCTCAGCCTCCCGAGTAGCTGGGATTACAGGCATGCACCACCACGTCTGGCTAATTTTGTATTTTTAGTAGAGATGGGGTTTCTCCATGTTGGCCAGGCTGGTCTCGAACTCCTGACCTCAGGTGATCCGCCTGCCTCAGCTTCCCGAAATACTGGGATTACTGGCGTGAGCCTTTGTGCCCGGCCTTTTCAAAGTTATTTTTTAACAATTCTAGGTCCTTTAAATACCTTATACATTTTAGAATCAGTTTTCAATTTCTATAAAAAAGCATGTTAGGGGGTTGATTAGTATTGCATTGAAATTATGGATCAACTTGAGGATAATTGACATCACCACAATATCGGTGGTTCAACCCAGGATATAGTGTATCTCTCCATTTATTTAGACCTTTAATTACTCTCAGCTATGTTTTTTAGCTTTCAGTGTATGGTTTTTACCTTTCTTATGCTGGCTTATCCTAAATATTTCATATTTTTGGATGTTATAAATAATAGTTTACAATTTTCTAATTTTCTACTGTTTACTGTTAGTATATAGAAATATAATTATTTGTTCTGTAATTTTTATGTAGATTTCAAAATAATTTCTGTATAGACAATTATGTTGTCTAAGAATAAAGAAAGTTCTACTTCTCCCATTCCACTTTTGATATCTTTTATTCCTCTTTTTTTTTCCTTATTGCACTGGCTAGAAACCCCAGTAGGATGTTGACTAGAAGTGGTGAGAACCAAGGCCTTTATATTGTTCCTGCTCTTAGAAATACAGCGTTTAGTTTTCCACCATTCAGTATGATATTAGCTGTAGGTTTTTCATAGATGCCCTTTTTCATGTTGAGGAAGTTTCCTTCTATCACTTTGTTGAGAGTTTTCTTCAGGAATGGATGTTGGCTTTTGTCAGATGCTTTTTATGCATCTATTGAGATGATCCTATGGTTTTTCATTTTTAGTTTACAAATGTGGTGAATTACATTGACTATTAAACCAACATTGCTTTTCCAGAATAATTCTTACTTGGTTATGCTATTCATTTTATAAACTGTTTGATTATATTAACATTTGTTAAGAATTTTTGCATATATCTTCATGAAGGATATTGATCTATATTTTATTTTTTTAGAATGTGTTTGTCTTGTTTAGGTGTCAGGGCTATGATGAGCTGAGGATTATTCTGTCCTCTTTAATCTTCTGGAAAATTTTGCATATAGTTGGTATATTGCTTTCTCAAATGTTTGACAGAATTAACCAGTGAAGACCTGGTTCTTGGCCTGTTCTTTGTGGAAGAGTTTTTAAACTACAAATTCAAGTACTTTAATAGATTTAGGTCTATTCAGGTTATATGCTTCTTCTTGGGAGAGCTTTGGCAGTATGTATCTTTCAAGCAATGTGTTCATTTTATCTTCGTTGTTGTATTGGTATAAACTTATCTCTCTATGTTGATTTAATGTCAATAACTTCAGTTAATATGAAAAATACATTGGTTAATATACTATAATGGACAAAATAAAATGCCTTTACATTTTGTTAAACTTTGTTCAGCCTGAAAATCTGTGCTCATGCTTATTCAACTTCCTGTCTTATCTTAAGCATCCCCAAATTTGCCAATTCAGCATGTGAAAAGCCTTTTAGAGAACAGATTCCCAACAGAGAGAGAGAGGCTGAGTATTTTCCATTTTACTTATACTTTAATTCAAATGGGCCAAGACTGATTTTCATATCTTCAGGAAAGGAGAGAGGAACTATGTTGTGATTGTGTGTGTGTATGTGTGTGTGTGTGTGTGTTGTATTGTGTGATTACACTTCTATGCTGAATTTTGAGACCTCAAAGACTTTCTCATTAATAAAATGTAAGTGTAACAGCCAGAAGGAGTAATGGGAATGAAAGCATTTTAAGCAAATTGTAAAAGGGATGGGGTCGCTGAACTTCACTGACAACTCTTGTCCTGGTTGGCTTCACTGTCCGGTTCCACTGGGTCAGGATGGCATTTCTGGCCCCATCCCACTTCCCTGGTCCCATCAGTCGAAACTGGTATGGGCTGCAAGGGCCAAAGTACACCTCCAGGGCCAGGCGGGGATCTGTCAGGAAGAGCCATGGTATGTTAGGCTTGGCCCCTATGAAAGAGCCCAGCTCATCCACATATGTGATGTAATCTGTCTGCAAAGTCTGGCTCTGGCCAAACATGAAGAAAGAAGAGAACATACTGGAATAAGTGTTACAGTTGCAAATAGGAGCATTAATTTCTTATTTTTTCTTTCAGAAAAATAACATTTTAGATAGCACCTCCATTTATGCCCTCCTTTTCCACAAAATTGAATTTATTGTTTTTTCTTTAGCTAAGTGAGCTGCTTTTCTCCTCCTTCCTAATCTCTATTTGAGTTTGATGTAATGTTGGACTTTTGCCTTTGACCATGTGGCCTGGAGTAAACTGACCCTCTGGTTTAAGGAGACTAATTAACTTAGTTTACTCATTAACACATAATTATTCTTTATAAGACATTGCTTAGAATCTGCCCCAATGTTAGACTTTCAGATTGGTTTGTTTAAAAGTGAGATCATGGATGGTTTTAATACTCCTGTAATCTAATAATATAAATTGTTTCATACTAAAGAAAACAAAAAATATTTTACTGCAAAATATACACTTCGTTGACAGATTTTGAGATGGCTATTCAGAGGGCCTGCAGACAGAAACAGCCCTGAAAAGCTGCCTTTTGTGAAGGAGATTTTTATCTGTGGAGAAAATAAAAGGAAGTAAACAGAAGATGGAAACTAGGCTTTCTCGGAGGCCTCCCTTGCCCACTCTAGGAAAGATTAACTTGCAGGAGAGAGAGACTGAGAGTCAGGCACTGCTGAATGTCTGACAGAGAAACTTTCATCATAGGCTACTGACTCTGAGAGTTGCTTTCTGTGAGGTTTCGTCTGCAGAACAGGACAGCCTTTGTTTGACATACTTTCCTCCCTTTAGTCTCCCATGTCCTGTGATGTTACCTCTGAAATCACCTTTAAAAAAATTGTGACAGTGAAAAAAATGTGAAAAAAAAAATGTAATTACTCCATCTTTCTTCTAATCTCCAAGCTGCCATTATTCATTCCTGAGCATAGGCCAAGCTAACTATGGGAGACATTTAGTTTACAGTTTAACTTTGAAACAAAGATGGTAACAGCCCTTTCCCAAAACAAACCCCCTCCTTGCTTGGAGATCAGACTGCTTTTGTAGAACTAACAAATTAGCCACAAGATAAGAAATTAGGGCTCAGGAGTCATGCAGTCAGAAGTCCCCAATTGCTCCTATGGATAACATCACCATTATAAAACCTACCATTGGTGCTCAAGATATTTTTCAGACCCTGCATTCTGATGGGCCGGCTGGCACTACCCAGACTGGTAAACTGGTTCATCTTGTCATGTGGTCTCCTCCCAGGAAGACCAGAAGACAAGCTTTGACTCCCTATGGTTTCATCCCTGACCCAACCAATCAGCATTCCCCATTCCCTAGCCCCTGACTACCAAACTATCCTTAAAAAAATCTAGCCTCTGAATTTTCATGGAGGCTGATTTGAGTAGTAATAAACTCCTGTCCTTCCGTTTAGCTGGCCAGACCCCAAAAGAGGGTTCTTGGACCTCTCACAAGAAAGAATTCAGGGCCAGTCCATAAAGTGAAAGCGAGTTTATTAAGAAAGTAAAGGAATAAAAGAATGGCTACTTCATAGGCAGAGCAGTGGCATGGGCTGCTCAACTGAGTATACTTATAGTTACTTCTTGATTACATGTTAAACAAGGGGTGGATTATTCATAAGTTTTACAGGAAAGAAATGGGCAGTTCCCAGAACTGAGGGTTCCTCCCCTTTTTAGACTATATAGGGTAACTTCCTGATATTGCCATGGCATTTGTAAACTATCACAGTGCTGGTGGGAGTGTCTTCTAGCATGCTAATTCATTATAATCAGCATATAATGAGTAGTGAGGACGACCAGAGGTCACTTTTTTCATCATCTTGGTTTTGGTGGGTTTTGGCCAGCTTCGTTACTGAATCCTGTTTTATCAGCCAGGTCTTTGTGACCTGAATCTTGTGCTGGCCTCTTTTCTCATCCTGTGACTAAGAATGCCTAACCTCCTGGGAATGCAGCCTAGTGGGTCTCAGCCTCATTTTACCCAGCCCCTATTCAAGATGGAGTCACTCTGGTTCAAATGCCTCTGACAGCTGTGTGTTTATTAAACTCTCTCTATTGGAAAAACCTGCTGTTCTCAGGGCATCAGCTTTTCTGGGCAGTGAGCAAGATGAATCTGTTGGGTGATTACACCTCCCCCAAAGCCCAGAGAAACTTGGTCTAATCTGTGTTCTTTGGACTTATTAATTTCCTCTGAAAAATCATTTACTTTTACACTTCCATCTCCCCTAACCCCAGTGAAGAGAATATTTAAACATGAATGATCTGGCCCTCCTTTGAGTTCATGTTTTGTAAGGCTCTCATGCACACATGTGCACGTAATAAATCTGTCACGTTTTCTCTTGTTAACCTGTCTTTTGTTATAGGGGTGTTGGCCATTACCTTTTATGACAGAGAGAAAAGAGATCACCTCCTTTCCGCCTCTATAGTTCTTTTAGTTGGAATATGGTGTAATTTGCTTTTTGAAACTCTGAAGAGCAGCTTATCATTTAAGCAATAAGATGAACATTTTAACCTCTCTATTTCCTCATTTTTATTTCTACTGGGCTCTAAAGGAAAGGGTATCAAGCTGCATGAATTGTTAGCACATAAAAGTGCCCAACTCTGCAAGTTGTTCGTCAACTGGCTGAAGTTGTGCAGGAGAGGTTTTGTTGAATCTGAGGGTTCCATTTCTTTTCTTCTCTAGGCCCTGAATGGGTGACTACATTGTGGCATTCAATGTGAGAGAAGAAAAATAGCTCAGAGTAGTTTGCACTATGTGAGGTATGCAAAATTTATCAAGCTGAGAGAGCCACGTGTATGGGACTTGTCATGCTGCCCTCTACCAATGCCTGGCGGCAATTGTTAAAAGGCATTTTTATTCCTGACTAGCTGTCTCACTCATCATCTTCATGTTCGTAGAATTTGTGATACGAAGAACAGTATATAGCCAATCAATAGCTTATATAATTTTAATGTAAGTTCTTGGTAAACAACTTAGAAGTTGACTCTTTTGTATTTCCTTTAAAAAACCTACTTGTAACTGCTGCCAACGGAGTGCATATTCAGGGCAATTTGACTCTGTGCTCCTGGGTTGCAGTCCTCAAACTTGGCCCAAATCAATTCTCTTTTTATATTAAATTTGCCTCAGTGTTTTCCTTTAGGTTGACATATCAATGCAATGTTAAATGCTTGAAAAAGTAAAGAAACTTCCTATATCAGTTGACTTTGGAAGAACTGAGGGGTTAGGGGCATTGAGCCCTCTTGCAGTCAAAAATCCATGTATAACTTTTGACTCCCCAAATACTTAACTCTTAATAACCTGTTGACTGGAAGCCTTACCAATAATGCAAACAGTTGATTAACACATATTTTATATGTCATACGTATTAAATACTATTCTTACAATAAAGTAATATGGAGAAAAGAAAATGTTATTAAGAAAATTATGAGGAAGAAAAAATATGTTTACTATTCATTAAGTGGAAGTGGTTTATCATAAATGTCTTCATCCTTATCATCTTTATGTTGAGTAGGCTGAGGAGGAGGAGGAGAAACAGAAGGGGTTGGTCTTGCTGTTTCAGGGGTGGCAGAAGCGGAAGAGATGGAGGAGGTAGAATTGGGGGCAGGAGAGGCAGGCCCATTGGTGTAATTATGGAAATATATTATAATTTCTGTCTGACTTTGCTTTTTTATTTCTCTAAAAATTTTCTATATAGTAGTAATCCTTCCTCTATCATTTGCTTTAGTTTCAGTGCCTGTATCATAGAAGGGTCCATGTTATATAAAAGAAGTCAAAAGAAGTCTTAAATAACTGGAAACTGTCTGCCAGATGATCTAATGTCAATTTATTTCTGGCATGGCTTTTTCTATGTCTTCGTTCTCATCTGGCACTGCTTTGGAAGGACTCATCTCCATCAAATCATCTTTTAGTTCCTCTAGTGTGGAATTAAAAGTGTCTATTAGTGGTGTCTATTAGCTGTTGAATTTCTCCATGATCCATATCTTGAAACCCTTCACCCTCACCTTTTTATTTTGCCATATCCATAATCTTTTTCATGATTTCTGTGACTGGTCTGTTGTAAATCCTCTGAAGTCATATATAACATCTGGACATAGTTTTCTCCAGGAGAAATATGTTGTTTTAGGATTGATGGCTTTCATGGCTTTTTCTATAACAATTAGGGCATCTTCAATGGTATAATCCTTCCAGACTTTCATGATGTTCTCTCTATTGGGTTATCTTCCACAGCATTGACTATCTTTTCCATAGAGTATGGTATGTGATGAGCCTTAAAGGTCCTTATGACTCCCTGATATAAAGGCTGAATTAGAATGTTGTGTTTGGGGGAAATTAGACTACTTCGATGCCTTCCATGTTGAACTCATGGGGTTCTGGGTGGTCAGGGGCATTGTCTATATCAAAAAAACTTTAAAAGGCAGTCTCTTATTGGCAAGGACTTTCTGACTTCAGGGACAAAGCATTGACAGAGCTAATCCAGAAAAAGGGTCTTGTATAACCAAAAGATAGGAAGCTGATATTCATCTTTTCCCTTCAAGGTTTGAGGGGGTAGCTTCATAGGTAGGGGCCATCCTGATCATAAATCTGACTGCATTTGCACAAAACAGTAGTTAGCTTATTCTTTCCTGCCTAATCTTGGTGCTCACTTCTGCTCCTTATTAATAAATGGCCTTTGTGGCTTTTTTTTTTTTTTTTTTTTCCAGAATAGGGCACTTTTGTCTGTGTTAAAAATCTGTTCAGGCAGAAATCCTTTCTCCTCAATGATTTTCATAATGACATCTGGGAATTCATCTCCTTCTTCTTGGTTGGCAGCATGCGTGTCTCCTGTTATCTTGACATTTTTGAAGCCAAACTCTTTCTGATGTAATCAAATCATCCTTTGCTGGCATTAACTTTTCCAGCTCTAGATCCTTCACCTTCCTTTTGCTTTGTCATATAATAACTTCACTTTTTCTCAAATTATATTAGAGTCTATATGTATACTTTCTTATAGCAATCCTGCACCCACATAAAAAGCTGCATTTTCAATCCAAAATAAAAAGATATTTTACAAAAAGTGCAAGATTTCATGCCTGCTGGCATAGTTGCACTGGATTCATTTATCTTGAAATGGTGGGCAACTATAGCTGCAGACCTCAATGTATAGTATACATTAAGCAACTCAATTTTTTTATTATAATGTCATAACTTTTCTCTGCTTCTTGGGAGCACTTCCAACATCATTAATGACACTTCATATGGAGCCCATGGTGTTATTAAAGGCTTAAGGTATTGCACTAAACATGATAAAAATATGTGAGAACCTTGAGAGATCACTTTTTACTGTGAGGCAGAATTTACTGGAGATATGAACTGCTCAGGTGAAAATGACTAATGTCACACAGCATTTTAAGTAGATACTCAAAACACTTGAGCTCACTGCAATACCAACAAGAGGTGACTGCAAAATTATTATACTAGCACATTATGTGCTATATTTTATGCAGTTATGACAATATTGCATCTTTATGTTTGTTTACATTTCTGTTGACTATGAATGGTGCCATGTATAGTCTAAGAGTTTGTATGCATTTAGTTTTGATAAATTTTAATTTTTAATAATAGATTTGTGTATATTTTATGGTAGTAAATGATAAAATAGACTAGTATCTACAAATATTTTATACATGGCATCTTTTTCTTAATTTTTTAAAATATTTCTAGGCTACACAATTCATCTTTGAGGTTTTTTTTTTTTGAGACGGAGTCTCACTCTGTTGCCCAGACTGGAGTGCAGTGGCACAATCTGGGCTCACTGCAAGCTCCGCCTCCTGGGTTCACGCCATTCTCCTGCCTCAGCGTCCCGAGTAGCTGGGACTACAGGCACCCGCCACCACGCCCGGCTAATTTTGGTGTATTTTTAGTAGAGACGGGGTTTCACCATGTTAGCCAGGATGGTCTTGATCTCCTGAACTCATGATCCACCCGCCTCGGCCTCTCGAAGTGCTGGGATTACAGGCGTGAGCCACCGCGCCTGGCCTTGAGTTTTTAAATTGCTGCAAATCTCCAAAAAATTGCATTTTTTTTTTTTTTTTTTTGTGAGATGGAGTCTCACTCTGTCACCTAGGCTAGAGTGCAGTGGCGCGATCTTGGCTCACTGCAACCTCCACCTCCCTGATTCAAGCAATTCCCCTGCCTCAGCCTCCCGAGTAGCTGGGATTACAGGTGCACACCACCACACTCGACTAATTTTTTTTGTATTTTTAGTAGAGACAGGGTTTTACCATGTTGGCCAGACTGGTCTCGAACTCCTGACCTCAGGTAATCCGCCCGCCTCAGCCTCACAAAGTGCTGGGATTACAGGCGTGAGCCACCATGCCCAATCTGCATTATGTTAATTGAAAAAATCCATGTATAAGTGGACCCATATAATTCAAACCTGTGTTGTTCAAAGGTCAACTGTAGTCATTTATAGAGTTGTTTCTTAACCTCAGCACTATTGACATTTTGAGCCAGATAATTGTTTTGGTGAACTGTGCTCTGCATTGTTGGATGGTTAGCAGAATCCCTGTTCTCTACTCATAAGATGCTGATAGCATGCCCTCTCCACTCACAATGACCAAAAGTGTCTCCAGATTTTGCCATATGTCACCTGGAGGGCAAAATTATCCCTGATAGAAAACCTCTATTCTTGAGTTACACAAGAGAAGTGTGATGACTGTTTACTATCTAAACATTTTTTGATTATTGCAAGTGTTCAGAAAATGTAAACTCTGACTAATGACAATATTAAAGCATATTAATGTTTTTCTACACATAAAGGCACATTTTAGGACTTGCTCTATTAGCAAGTACAGTTAGCTGCTTACCACTTGAGTTTTTTCCCCATTTTCTCATCAGTGTCATCCATCATTTCATTCGTGGTTGGCAGGGTACATGAGTCTAGAAAAGAAATGAAGAGAAAAATATTGAAAAACACAAATCAGAAATATATAATGACATATGATGGAAATCATTTGGTTTTTATAAACTGTATTCCTGAAAACTTTTGTATTAAGAGGAGCTGGAGATGTCTTTGATATCTTTAGCAAAATACCAGTTCATAGAAACAAAGATCTGAAAAGTTAATGAACCTTTGGGAATGGCAAAGCTGGCCTGTAGTGAGATAGTGACAGCAGAGACATTTGTAGCTTCAAATCACTCAGTCTCTTATTTCGGTAACATTATAGAGGACCTAATCCTCAACATATGTGCTCAGTACACTTCATGCATATAATAGCTTAATAATTTCTTCCTTTTTTTTCTGTATCCTTTTCCTAAAACTTCTCTGAAGAAAGAATCTGGTAAAACAGTTCCCTTTAAGGTTTCTGCCATTTTAAATGAGGTAATGGAAGGAAGCATAGGATTTTAAACATCTTCTGCAACTATGCAAGGTGTTTTAAGGGGCAGCAGACAAGTTTTAGCTTTTTGTGAATTTCACTACATCAATGCAACTTCTTTTAACTGGTGATGGTAGCTTATTTGCCTTTGTAACAGTGGAAGAAAGTTACTCTAAAATTTGCAGTGCATGAATATTTCCCAGTCATCGTTAGTGTCTTATGTCAACCTGGTAGTACCCTATGATTGATATTGGCTGGACACCCTGCTAGAAAGTAAGAGGCCAGAATTTTGTTCTGCTTCGTTTGTTGTTGTGTCCTAAGTGCCAGGTTAGAGCCTGACACATAGTAGGTGTTCAGTAAGTATTTGCTGAATAAATAAATGATACCATTTGCTTCATGTAAATTTCTTAGGTTTATGAACTATATCCAGTCTTCTCATAATACCCCAGGCTCTTGGCATTGTTGTGCCTTTCGAAGGAAAAAGGCAATAGAAGTATTTTGCAGGGAGCACCTTTACAAAAGATTTCATGATGGGGTTTATTTAAATAATGATCTTTCATGGTGTATTTGAAATAGAAATTTATTTATCTACAAAGTTTTAGACAATATATATACATATATTCCATGATTGTAATGGTTTGTTAATTACCAATAGTGTAAGTTTTTATGGATTAGTTATGTTAGGTAAGTTATACCTATATTGGTCAATATTTTGGAGAATACCTGAATAAAAGAACACTTTTCAATAATAATGATAATATTCAGTATGACTGGAGTAAATTAATATATTTGAGACATTGCCTTTCTCCATGTAATCCTCATATTCTTGATTTCCTCACATAAGCATACTTGTAGCCCCTGGAGACCATGAGGTCTAGAGTAGAGGGAGAGAAGAAGAAGATTGTCATGAGAATCAGAGTGGCCTGACTTTGTTATTCTGACAGAAGTTGACACCAGTGAGGTTTCTGGCACACCTCCAACCCTCACCAGGGCCCTTCCAATCTTTATAATGTAGCCTGACATTGCAGTTATCCTCTGCTATTTTTTTCTTGCTTAAAATCTTGCGAAGTCCTTAATCCCTATGAGAAGTTTAAGCTCTTTAACGTGGCTTATAAACCTATATTTCTTGCCACTCCCTGCCTCTGCTTTATATTCCCTTCCACCAAAATGTTTCTGGGTCCTTACACATTTCATGCTTTCCCTCACCTTTATGACTTCCTGTATACTGTTTGCTCTGTGCAACAGTCCAACTCCCCTCACTAGAACCCCCCCAAATTTCCCCTATTATGGCATCCCCCACACCCCATTTTAAGCCTTGAGAGGTCAAGGAACATGTTTGTCTTGTTCTCATTGTATCCCTAGCACAGTGCTTTGCATATAGCAGGTGTTCAGTAAATGTTCATTGATAAAATGAATGAAAGACAGAATGGCCCACCTACTTGCAAATACTTTAGCAGCCCACCAGGCTTGCAGGTCTGCTGTGGGGATGGCAGCTCCAAGGGACTGAACCAAGCCAATCACAGCCAAGGTTGGCTTCTCCATTAGTGGGGGGAAGATGCCTTTAAACAAGGTAACCTCATTGTTTCTGCTTTTCATGATGGTCTCATCAAGGAAGGGGTAGGAATAATCATAGCCTGTTGCAAAGATGACAGAGTCGATAGCCTCAAACATGGTCCCATCCTCAAACACAGCTGAGGTTTCCGTGAACTCCTTCACACTGGGCTTGATGGACAGAGTGCCACACAGGATGCGGGATGGGAGCTCATCATTGAACACAGGCTCTTTTCTCAGGGAACTACAGCAATGAGAGGCAAACACCCTTGCTGTAAATAGCTCATTTCCAAGAAATACCTGCAACAGCCCATAACATTGAAATAACATCAAGCAGTTAAACATCAGCATGAGTGCCACTGACTCTCTTCTCTCATGGCAATTCCTTTCCTAAATGAGACTAAAACTAATTTATAGACATACTAAAGTGGTTAAGAACGCCAACTCTGGAAGCAGATGGCCCAGGTTCATAACCTAGCTCCATCTCTTACTAGTTGTTACTTTTCTGTATTTGTTTCTTTATGTGTAAAATGGGGATGATGATGGAATCTTCCTCATAGGTTGTTGTGAAAATTAAATGATCAATTATCCTTAAAGCACTTAAAACAGTTCCTGGCACATGCAAGCACTGTTGTTATAAGTGCACTATTATCATAACTTTAACGTCTTGTCTTACATGGAGAAATCAGACTTGCAGTGGTGGGAAGTTTTATTGCCATGTTTGGTTTTCTTTCATCAGCTGTGTCCACAAAAAAGTGTAACAACTTTGATATTGCATTTTAGTTGCCAAAATTCTAGGAATAATATTTTTCAGGACAATATATTTCATTTTGATTTAAGTTTCCTTTGAGATTCCGGAATTTCCTGCAAGTATCTCAGACACAAAGAAACCTTGTAAATCCTGAAATTTGTCTCTATACTTCCACATCATTTTCTGTTTATCTAATCCTGCAACCTCTTCTTTTACCTTACAAGGTAGCAAAACATAGACCACAATGAAACCTGTTTTTCCTCCCCCTTTCTCCCTCCAGAAACTTAGGGTAATTGGAACCCTTTCCAAAAGGAAGCTTAGTTTTCAGAATGAATGAATTTCTAAAACTATGTTTTAATTGTCTAAATGGCAAGGCCAAAATATAATTTATAGTTACTCTTACAAGATAAAAAATCTTAACCAGCTCAAGCTATGGGACTTACTATATTAAACATAATTTTTAAAAACTTTTATTTTAGGTTTGGGGGTCCATGGTTTGTTATATAAGTAAATTGTGTGTCACAGGGGTTTGGTGTATAGATAATTTTGTCGCCTGGGTAATAAGCATAGTACCTGATAAGTATTTTTTTCTGATTCTCTTCCTCCTCCCACCCTCTACTGTCAAGCAAGCCCCAGTGTTAAACATAATTTTAAATGCATAAAATCAACATATTTTAAAGGGTTATAGCAGCCTGCAAGACTTGGTAGTATAAGTGCTTTGGACTGACAGTTTAGCTCCTAAATCTGGCATTTGCTCTTTTGATTTACAGTTCCTCCTTTTTCTTACCATCTTTCTCTAAACACAATGAAACTTTTTGGCTAGCATGGGCCAGGAGATAAAATTTCTCAATTCTTTCTTTTCTTACCAACTTAAATATTCTTTTTTTCTATTGATATGCTGATTCTTCTACCTGGAATGACTTCCTAATTAGTAAATGTTGGGCCCTGTCTCTATAAAGAAGTAAATAAATGAATCTGACTAATCTTACAGGCCACGTTAGTTGTGACTCTCCATTACTTTATGTGTTCCATGCCTCCTGATGGTTCTGCAAAAATGTCAACATTTCAGGGGTGGAGGAAGTGTGCACTTTTGTTTTGAGACTTCCTACTTGCTGAGACATGTTGATTAACACTATTTTGTTATTTGCTCCTTTGAAGCACATTAGAAAAATTGAGACTAAGAAGAACCAATTTTTTTAAAGCTTTATCATTTAGAAAGCAATTTTTATATTTTTATATTATTGAATACCACAACCATCTTGAGAAGCAAGTATTATTATTGATGTCTTCATACACCCATAAGCACGGACAAGATATTCTTCCAAAAACCAATTTGAGTTTCTTCAGTCCTCAAAGTTCTATGCTATAGCTTGTAGCCACCACAAATGCATCATGCATGTCAGGGTGATTTATCTGCCTGCGTCATCTCCATTTCAGATTTTTCCATACCCTTTCTGTACTGGACTAATTTCAATAAGTTTTCCAAGCCATACGTGGTCTCTGGGCATATTCCGTCACCTATGAAACCTTGAGTTTAATGTTTCTAGGCTCAATGAGACAACAAAAGTAAGTTCTAGAGAGAATAAATTCATTAAATGAGTGCCCCCCTTTTTTGAATAAAAAAAATTTCCATTTTTAAGTACCCATTTAAAGGCATCAGGCCATAGTTCTCATGCTTAAACCACGTGTTCATCTTCTGGACATATAACCAGTCAGAGATGAATGAAGGAAGGACATTCCGGAGAAAGGATGCAAAGCGGGTAACATACATCATATCCCAAGGATAGCCATCATCCCAGACCCGACTCATGACCCAGGAAGCACTTCTGGTACTGATAATGACCTGGTGGGGAAAAGCAACACAGATTTCAGCATTACTCTGTAAGAAATAAGCAAACACAACACACTTCTTTGGGCACTTCCGTGCATTTTCCTCAATATCCAAGTAGGAACACTTTTAAAAGGCGAGTCTAAATAAGTTGTCTAGCAGCCATAAAAAAGAATGAGTTCATGTCCTTTGCAGGGACATGGATGAAGCTGGAAACCATCATCCTCAGCAAACTAACACAGGAACAGAAAACCGAACACTGCATGTTCTCACTCATAAGCAGGAGTTGAATCATGAGAACACATGGACACAGGAAGGGGAACAACACACACCAAGGCCTGTCGGGGGGATGGAGGGCTAGGGGAGGGAGAGCATTAAGACAAATACCTAATGCATGTGGGGCTTAAAATCTAGATGAAGGGTTGATAGGTGCAGCAAACCACCATGGCATGTGCAGACCTATGCATGTTCTGTACATGTATCCCAGAACTTAAAATAAAAAAAAATTTTTTTAAAGTCTAAAATTTAAACTAGTAGAGACAGGATTCTTTCACTGCCCCTGAGGGCTGGTGTGTAGTTGTTGAAAGGATTAGAATCATACCTCTAGGAACAACAGGGCTCTGTGTTCAACTGTGATGGTTTAATCTTCACATACTCATAGACTAAGATGGCAAGTCTGGTAGGGACCAGATGATCCAGTGAGCCCCAGTGGTTGTGGCTGGTGATAGTGGACTAGGTGTGGGAAAAGTGTAGCTAAATCTCTAGCTGAAATTAGGCTGACGAGATGTCAAGGATTTAATTCTGTTCTCTGTCTCTGGTTGCCTTTTCCAGTTCTCCCTATACACATACCCCAAGGACTTCTCCTGAGCAACCCAAACCATGGCAACCGCCTCAGCCCTGAGATGAGTCTGGCTGCTTATCTATTTTACCGTCTTTGCAAAATAGACTTTAACTTTGTGATAACTGAAGGGAATTTTTAGTTTAAAAAATTTAGGTTTTATTTACATCCATTTAAGAATTTATTTATTGAGAACCTGTTTTCTTAAAAATATGTTGTTTCTTTAGGGTCTATCGATGATACATGATTTAGCTTGGAGTCCTCTGGGAAGTCTTCCTTGACCTCATCCAGGCTAAGTTAGATTCTCTTTTCCCTGTGTTGCTATTGCCACACCTAATTCTACTGGAAGACTCACCATCTCCTCTGGTGATAGTCTGTGTGTACCTGTCAACTCCATCTCCATCCATTGACTCTTTCTTGAAGTCAGGAACTAGTCTAACTTATTTATGCATTTATTTTTAGTTTATCATAGTTCTGACACATAGTAAGCATAGTAAGTGCCCAATATTTGTTGAGCATCTGCTGTTGATTGAATTAATGTTAGTAAATACCAAGTCATGCATATCTTTCAGAACTTCAGAGTGGTAAACACAGTGCTTTTTGCATGATACGTTATAATAAATACTGTTAAATAAATAAAGATTAAGCCTGACCAGGAACTAGTCTATTTGGAGGTGATCAGAATATAAAATGAAAACAAGAAATACACACATACACACTCATCTGTACATACACGCACTCATGCACTTACTTCTGGATTCAGTGGAATGTACTTCCTTACTAGCACGGGCCACATTACCTGGCTTCACATGGAGGATGTCTCAAGTCCTCCTTGATTTGAAGGGCCACATAGAAGAGGTGGATCTCTTGTGGTGTGACATAGAAGTACCATCCTCTGTGCCTTGGCTACTGATTTAGTAGCACAGCCCTACCTTAGGTTTATTTCCCAAAACCTTTACGTCATGTACCTGTGTAGCCAGACGGCTGAGCTCAACAGCAATGTCAGATCCCGAATTCCCCAGACCAATCACGAGGACCCTCTTCCCCTTGAAGGCTTCTGGATTCTTATAATCCCGGCTATGGAGGTAGTTGCCTCGAAACTGGTCCAGGCCTAAGTGGAACATGGCAAGTTGTTTGAACTGATTTTCAGAAATTATGAAGATGTTTTCTTTGTGTCTTTTTAAACCTATTATCAGTTGTAATTAAAAAATTCCCTAGTTGAAGTGCATTTATCCATTTAGCATTTTTTGACATTAAGCCCCCTAAAACTTACTTTTAGTTCCTTAAAAAATCTTAAGGCATGAGAATGTATGTTTCGATAATAATAATGGTTAATATTTATTAAGTTAACTCTGTGGGCTAGATCCTCTGATAAATGCTTTACACGTTTTAACTATTTAATCTTGATAACATCCCTGCATGGTGGGCTATTGTCCCTATTTTAAAAGAAGAGGAAATTGAGACAAAGAAGGTAAGTGGTAAGGAACTAGTGGAATAGTAAGTTGAGGCCAGGTGTTCTGATCCCATGCTCATAAACATTAAATATGCTGCCCGTTAACATTAAGAGTTTTAATCTTATATTCCTCCTGAACCTTCACTCTTTAATTTTCCTCGGCCTATGGACATCATACCTAGACATGGAAACTCTAATATCTTTGAGTAGATTGTGTTCCTGTGGCAAGGAAGGAAGGAAAAATGGAAGGAAGCCTCCATGTATATTGTATTTATTTGAGGTTTGCCACTTTCGGATGGTAATGAAGTATGCTGCTATACACACACCCATGTGTGTACCCACACACAAATCACTGAGATTTCTAAAGTTTATTTGCAAATTGTGGATGAAGATGAAATTAGAAACCTAGGAGTCTCCTATAAATAACATAAGTAAACGTGTCTTTCTTTAAACCATTTGGCAGTTGGACTCTACTTTTTTTTAATGTAACTGTGCTCGGAGACCCCGTGTGCTGTTAGAACTTATATTTGAGTTACTGTCTGTAAAACAGGAACTTGTGTTTGTCTGATCTCTGGCTTGCAGTCCTTGATTATTTTAACATAAGGACTTATGAGGCTATTTATTACTATATCCTATCATTAAACTTAATTTTTTTCTTTTGAAATCTAAGAATAATCATTATGTAATACCTATAGAAAGATATGTTTCTAACTCTTGATGTTTGCATATAAGTCCCTAGATTATTATATATTTTCCAAACTTACCAGGAAAGGAATCCGTTGGCAGATTGGGGTATACGTGATGTCCTGAACAAATCATTACAGCATCAAAAATAGTAGATTCCTGTTTCCCATCCTTTTCAGTAACAACAACCCATTGGCCCGTGACTAAGAAGCTGGGACATTTCTTTATACCGGAAACCAGGGTCTTTAAGAAAACTAGAAAATTTATTTTTCCATTTATAATTCTACATGTGAAAGTTTTTTTCCTTCTTGCCTTGTTTCTGTGGAGGAAATAATTGTTACGAGCTCTCTTGGTCATTCAGAAATGTATAGAAAGATAGTAAAATTGGAGTCACAGTGAATCTTCAGTGAGTCTTTGAATCTCACAAGAAAAATTACTCACTGGAGTACATTTACTTTTTGACATCAAGTTAGTTGATTTAGGGGTAAATCACACTGAATATTTTTGTGAATGATGTCATATAACAAATCTGTGTTATTTTCTTATGGCTACCCTCTACTGACATGGCTTCCTCCTTTTCTGACCTCATCTTCCATCTACTCAATAAGTATGGGAATATCTCAAGGTTTGATCGTTGGCATCTCTTTTGCTCTGCATAAATACTCTTATCTTAGAAATATAGCAACTTTACGGCCAGGCGCGGTGGCTTATGCCTGTAATCCCAGCACTTTGGGAGGCCGAGGCGGGTGGATGACGAGGTCAGGAGATCAAGACCATCCTGGCTAGCATGGTGAAACCCCGTCTCTACTAAAAATACAAAAAATTAGCCGGGCGTGGTGGCGGGCGCCTGTAGTCCCAGCTACTCAGGAGGCTGAGGCAGGAGAATGGTGTGAACCCGGGAGGCGGAGGTTGCAGTGAGCCGAGATTGCGCCACTGCACTCCAGCCTGGGCGACAGAGCGAGACTCCGTCTCAAAAAAAAAAAAAAAAAATTAGCAAGTTTTGTGGTATGAATATACAAATACATCTATCCTTGGTCTCTCTTCTATCCAGTTTAGCTTGACCTTTCCATCTGGAGGGCCACCTAATACTTCCTCATATGTAGCAGGTTTTGATTGACCTACTTAAATTTCCTTTGAAACTGGCTTCTGACTTTCTTATTTCTTTGAATGATGACATGAAACTCCCAGCCACTTATGCTTCAAATCCATGACTTGTTTTCCTTGTTATTTCTCCATCCTTGCCTCATGTTTAAACAGTATTTATCTCCCAATCTCACGCTTTCTTTCCATGATTGCTAACACTGCCTTCATTCAAGTCCTTATCACTCCCTTGCATGGACTACGGCAAGAACCTATACCTAGCCTGTCTTCAGCCTCCCATTTCCTACAAGCCATCCTTTGTCCTGCTTGTCAGATTAATCTTCCTGAAGGACTATATTCATTTCTCAATTTCTCTGCTCAATTCACTGCTCAATTTCTGTTACTTCACAGCCTCTAAAACTTATTCTACATTTTGAATGCGATTACTATTAAGTCCATACAATTTTGTTCCAATTTACTCTTTTAGTTTTATTTTCTGTTATTCCCACAGACTTTTCTGGAACATATTCTGCAAATTGCTTCCCTAATGTCCATTCTCCCTTCATTCTTACTAACAGAACCCTGATTTTGTTTGGAGCGACAACATACACAGAAAAGGGATGCATTTTCCAGGTTCCTGTGCAACTAGGGTGGCCTGTGAGATATAAGCAATGTTGGACAGTTTTTTCAGGAGAATTTGTAAAAGGGGAGCTGATTCAGCTGAGAGAACATCCCTTTGCCCTTCATTCTTTACTTTTTTTTTTTTTTTTGCCTAGAAGGCAGATGTGACGGCTCAAGCTTCAGCAACTGTTTTGCACCACAAGGCAAACGTCATGATGTAGGCCACGTGCTAAGATGGGTGAAGCTGAATCTTTGATAACTTTGGTGCCATCACATAAGCTCTGGATGTCCCTTCTTTGGACTTCTTTTACATGGTTGCAAAATAATCCTCTATTTTTCAAAGTCACAGTACACACTAGTTTACTGATATATGTGGCCATATCTCATCCTAGCATATATATCTCCCTCCTAACCAACTTGGTTTGCCCACTGTTCTCCAAATGAGCAGGGCATTTTCCCACCTCTCTAATTTTACTCATGCCACTCATTTATCTAAAACACCTACTAAATACAACTAAATTTTACCTCCTCTAGAAAATACCTTCCCCCAAAGTGTTGCCTCTTGCTTCATGATCTCCATAGCATTGTTTTATTTATAAACAAATCATAAAGAGCTTTAAAAAATTTTCTCTTTGATTGAAATTGTTACTGGAATCTTTTTACTTACTCTTTACATATTTATTTTGAAATAACTTCTTGAGAGCTAAGTCTTAGACCTCTTTTTCTTTTACATATAACACATAGCACAATGCAAGCACACAATAGGAACTTCATTAATGTTTGTTGATATTAACACCATAATGGAAGCAAATGAATGTAATGAATGAATGGAATAAAATGACTATTGGAAAATTTTATTTTAACTATACATTTGGGGCTACTCCAGGTAAAATAATGATGTAAATATCACCATGGTTCATAATTTTGCTGATTGTTTTTCCCACTATATGCAAGTGTTCTGCATTTAGCAGCAGTTAATTGAGGTTAAGAGTTCCAAACATACAGACAGAAATGCTCAATAAAGAGTCCCAAATAAATGTAAAACATTATTCTCGCAGAAACAATGCTGAAATCTCACCTTTTTAATAAAAAAACTAATGAACTGAGTGGGTAAAGATGGGGGCAATGACTATATTTCCCATTTAAGTTGTTAACCTTTTCATAATGTAATGGGAGAAACCCTACCAAATGCTCTGGTTTTTTGAACCACAACTCATTGGCATTGAACTGACAAAATTCCTAATATATACTAAAGCATTTTGGATTATTTCCAAAACATCAGAGCATGAGGGTGGAAAGTGGACAATGATGGGCTAGCTGCCTCCATTTTCTAAGGTAGTCTGAAAGCTCTCAGAGACTAGTGAACTAGTAAGTCTAGGAGAGAAAAAATCAATGCATGAATGCTTTATAATCAGAGCCAACATTTGATTACTGAGGTGCCCAAACATTTGGCTCTAATTTTTATAATAGTTTGCTGCCTCCTTTTTCTCTAACCCACACATATCTTAATTTCAACAGTACAAGTTATGAGACCCCTACCTCAAACTGTATGTATCTTAAAAGATCCTTCTTTTGAGCATATGTCTTTATATATTCCTGGAGCTTGCTGTGGTGTATATAGTTTGGGTAATCATCCGGATAAGGGAAGTCTGGAAAGCACATCATTTCTTTGGAAGAGTTTGTGAATACAGACTGGTAAATGCTGGCTCTGCCTTCTTCTGTGTGGTCCTAGGGAGAATAAGAAAGCTTAAAGAGAAAGCCAAGAATTGTGTTCCCTTCAGTGAACACAGTGGTTCAATTCTTGGTTGACTAAAACCCTTTTCATGTTTAAAAGCGTAAACAAAAATTAAAAGCTCTCAGTAAGATAAGGAATGGAAAGCCCTTCGCGTAGCACCTGGCACAGAACTGGAGCTCTTTCCATGTGAATCCTCTTACTGTAATTACCCTCAGTGTTAGCTCTGTCTTTATAGCCACTTAGTGGTTTTTGCTTTCTCCTGTGCCACCACTGGTTCTGATCTTATACTCAGGTTAAAAAAAAAACAAAAAACAAAACTGTCTAGAAGAGGCTCTGACTTCTAGCCTATTTATTTGCTTTTGGAGTTTAGCAAACTCTTCACTGGCAACAACCCAATATTGCAGTGGTTTCCCAGCTTTGGCGTAATGAGAATCGCCTGGAAGCTCCCTAGACCGTAGATTCTTGGGCCCTATTCTTAGAATTTCGGATTCAATCTGTCTGGGGTGGAGTCTGGGGTGGTTTGCATTTCTATCAAGTTCCTGGTGATGCTGATGTGGCTGGTTTAGGAACCACACTTTGAGAACCACTGCTCTGTTGTAAATGAATCCTATTCTTTGGCTCACCAGTTGCTGGACTTCACTCCTCACCAAAGAAACACAGGAAACCAGAGCCCTTAGAACATGTGTTAAATCTTGGCACTTCATTTTAAAGCCTCTGTGTAATTGAAAAGTGGCTTATTTTTTAGAAGCAGTCAAAAGCTAAATTGAAAATAAACATTTCCTCTCAGTTGTGAGGGTAGGGTAAAAGTGCACACAATGTGCTGCCTTGAAAATACATTTCAGAGCTGGCAGCTTCTGCTTCCCGAGGTCCGGAAGGACTCTTGTGCAATGGGGGGAAAGAGATGGAATGTCACGTTGCTGCTGGATTCAAGATGTGTCTCTCCCTCTCACACCAGATGACCTCTGGAAGAGGGAAACAAAAAGTGCTGGAAAGGGTTGAGAGGATTGTGTCCCCGTGGGGAAGTGGGGGGCTGCCCAAAGCCTCAGTATTTTTTCTCAAGTTGAAAACATAATCTTCCTCTATTCATGGTTGCTGTATTTCTCATAAGCGTGGAAGCACAGGAATTTAAACTTTTTAAAATTTTTGTGGAGGTCAGAAAAAGGGTGAAGGCTCATGTCCAGCAGTTTGGCAGGCTGAGTGCTTCCCTTTCACCCACAGCTAGCGCCTTCTACTGATGGTTGTGAGAAGAAGGAGAGGTGGGAAGGAGGTTTTTTCAGCTGCCTGTTGAAAGGAGGCAGGGCTGAACTGTGGGATGGAGCCTGGTTAAAGAATGTAAGACTCTGTTCTGGGAAACAGATGCTAAGGCCTTGGAATATTTCCATCTTGAATGAATCTCTGCTTTTTTGCCCCTTGACCTCAGCCAATTATAACACCAGGAGAGAAGAGTATGTACACTACAGCTCCTTGGAATTTTTCCGAAAAGACTGTTCTCCAAACAAACACAAAAAAGCAAATGTATTAGATAACAAGTCAGTTGCTCCAGGGAGCATGCATTTTTATTATTTCAATATGAGGTGTGGTTTGAGCCAGTAAGGAGGAAATTCAACTTTGACTCTGCCTCTAGCTGAGGGAGCTTTACCCTGGAACCAGAGATCTAAGCAGCTGTGGGCACCATCTGTCTTGGATGATAACCGTGTTCATCTCTCATCTTTCCCACGAGAACATAAGTAACTTGAGGGCAAAGTCAGAGGTTAATTTCAGAATGTTGTACATGCATCTAAGCAGTTTACCTTGATCTTCTTTCCTATTCCAGCTCTGCTTATGAGTCCCATATCTCCTTGTCTAAATATGCCCTTGAAATATGCTCAAAAGTTGCCTTCAACTTTGTCATGGCTTTCTTTACCTTCCCTCTCAGCTACTGCCAAATCATCTTTAGTTTTACTAAGGTCCCATTATCCTTATTGCCCTAATTATATAGTCACTTATAGTTATTCTGATACTTGTTTTCTCACGGCTTTTAAAGTGCTGGCTGGCCTCTTATCTGCAGCTTATGCTTAATATAGTACCCTACACATAAAGTACACAGTATGTATTCATTGAATGAACAAAGGAATAAATGAGTGGGAAAAAGTTCAAATAGTCCTGGCTTCAGCTTTTGCAATCAAAATGCTACTAACCTATTGGTAAGCATTTTTTTTTTTTTTAATGGAGTCTTTCTCTATTGCCCAGGCTGGAGTGCAGTGGCATAATCTGAGGTCACTGCAACCTCTGCCTCCTGGGTTCAAGAGATTCTCCTGCCTCAGCCTCCTGAGTAGCTGGGATTACAGGCACCCACCACCACACCTGGCTAATTTTTGTGTTTTTAGTAGAGATGGGGTTTTTCTGTGTTGGCCAGGCTGATCTTGAACTCCTGACCTCTCGTGATCCACCCGCTTTGGCCTCCCAAAGTGCTGGGATTATAGGCATGAGCCACCGCACCTGGCTGTTGAGCAACTTCTTATTACAGCAGTAATGAAATCTTTTGAGGACACGAGGCCCTATTTAGGAGTGGATGAAACTTAAAACACACATTCAGCCTGCTAGTATTTAAATCCCATTTGGTTTTCATTTCTCAGAAAAAGCAAATAGTGAAAAGTTCAGAATTACCACGTTTCTGTCTGCTAGAACACCTTCTAAAAAAGGCTTACAAGATAAAGTCTTATGTAACACATAAAAAAAATCCCTCTCTGATTATATATTGTGCCAAGCAACTTTTCTAAGAAAAGAAGGAAGGGCTGGGGTATGTGGAGGAGGCTAAAGTTTTGAGTATTTGTATGGGTCCATATCCTCACCAGGACTTTGAGTAGAATTTTGCTTATAGACATGACCTTATGGAAAAGAAGAATTTCCTCTTGTGGATAACTCAGAATCCAACTTTGAATCTTACTGATCTTTGTATCATATTATTGCTTCCTTAAGTAAACTTTCTGATCTGGCTATATTGGATAACTCATGGATCCCTCTCTGCACACACCATGTTCATTGCCTTTTCTGTGCCTTTCATGGATTGTTGGTCTCTCTTAACCTGGTGCTGGCACACTGCCAATGACTGCATAGGCCTATGGAGTGCCATTCGCAGACTTTATTGGGAAATGCACTCTCTAGGAGTTGTGTCACAGGTGGTCCTCTATTTTGCTTGTCTGGGGTTATCCTTCAAGGCTAAGTGTCATCCCTGTGGGAGGTTTTCTTTGACCTACTAAGATTTCCGTAGTCCACCCTCTTCTAAACGCTCGAGGCACTCGTCCATTGAATTGATGGTGACAAGGTCTATCTTGTTGTTGTAGTTATATAATCTCTTATTTTAAAAGTCTTAGGGCCAGATATATTTTGGAATGTGTACATTTTTGGATTTTGCTCCATAATACTCCTAGTGAGATCTGGGGCAGCAATCTGTCAAATGCAATAAAATTTCTGCCGTGCAACAGAAGGTGAGACTTAGCTTCATGTTGATCCAATTCACGGTATTTAACCTTACGATTTCAGAAGAGGTTCGGCTATCAAATGAGTTTTTGCCCATTTGCTATCAAAGGATTACGGAATTATATTATGGCTTGCTTAATCAAATGAAATGGAACCATTTACAAGGAGTGATTATATTCCATATTTGTCATCCCAGTACTTAGCACAAACTACCAGAATAGATGCTCAAGCATCATTTAATTGTTACTAGGGAGATGGTAGAAAGCCATTTTATGATTTACTCTAAGCTGTCCACATTTCCCTGAGCAAATGTAAATAGGGAAAATTAAATTCTTGAAAAATATTAACTCTTGATTACCCCCTACTGGGAAATAAAAATTAATGACCTTATATCTCATGGAGTGCTTTCAGGGTTACAAAACCACAAATTTTTTTAAAAAAAGCTTGGAGAAGAATAAAAATGTGTTCTAAGTTAGCACTGATATACTCTATTGGAGGAGGCTATTGGCGCAGGCAGAGCAGTAACTGAGACCAGGACAGGAAGTAGTTACAATATGAATGATGTGAATATGTTTTCAAGCCAAATATGTATCATCGACAACTGATTACAATGGCTGGGAAATCCAGGACAGAAGAACTAGAAGTTTCTCCAAACTTGGCTTTGAAATTAAAAAAAAAAATGTGTTTACAAGGACTATTTCCTAATTATATTATTTCTACAATGAGCCCAAATGGCAAAGACCATAATTTTTCCCTCTGGATTTGGAGCTGATAGGCTATTCAACAGCCGCACACACAATCATCATCTATAATAATTTCTATCTGCCCAATAGACATAAGTTAATTATAGAATCATATCCTCTGCATTTGACAAATGAGCATTTGAGGTCCAGGGAAACAAAAGCAACTGGACTGAAATCTTATCTGCCTAGAAAACCTACAAGTTGAAATTAGAACTCAGGACTTCTGACCTCAGGATCTCAGTCCAGGTTTGTTTGTCTCTTTTCTAGTCGTGTTCCTGGCATTTAAGAGCAATAAAGAATAGAATTGTTTCACTTACCTGGGAAGCCCATGGTATATTTTTGACTAATTACCAACATTAGTGCCCTTTACAGCTTGGAGATCTGGATTTCACCATGCAGGTGATGATGTTTAATGAGCTGAAAATGTCCTTTTCAGGACAAATTTTGCTGGTATGAAATAGTTTTTTTGGGCATTAGTATGATTGGAGAGGTAAGATTTTACTTTCCAGATTTGGAGCTTTTGTGATCTGCCTTCTAAATCTGAATTAGAACTGATCAGATTTGATTTGCATTGGAATCCATCTCCTTCCACTGGTGTTCTAATGATGTGCCACTCACTGAGAATTTCCACAGGCCTCCAACATCATCGCTCCTTTCAAAGCAAGTGGGCTCCAGCCCCTCCTCCAGACAGCACCATATGGCAGCCAAGCCACTGACTCCAGCTCCGATGATGCCAACCCTCTTGCTCATGATTGCCTGTAGCAGAGTCTGGAGAGAACATCTTCAGAAGAGTGTCTTTAATACTTACGATTTTTTTCAGTAGAAATTATCAGCCAAGGTTTATGTATCAGGATCCTCACTCAAACATAAGAAGACATAGATGCACATTGATAGTATATGCTCATTATTTTTACCACTTTTGCTATAATAAGATTCTAAAACTGGCTGCTTCTGATTATTCAATATGTCAAAAATAGCAGATTCAGTGAATGCTAGAGCAGGAAGGACCTTGAAGATCATCAATCCAATGCTCTCAATTGCAGATGACGCTTTGGTATGCTGAGACTAGAAACTACTTCTTCAAGGTCTCAGAGGTAACAAATAAAGGAATTGGAACTAGACATCCAGCCTGCTGCATGATATCCTCTGTACAGAATCACTCCTCATTTTGAATGCTCTAAGGGACTTCACCTCTTAAGCAATCACCTTTCTCTCCCCAGAGAATCAGCAGTTCTCGAAATGTGGAAGAGAATGGCATTTAACAATGTCTTTTGATGTGAAAACTGGGGAAGGGGGAGGAGTTATTCTTAAAGTAAAATTCCTTTTTTTTCTTGTATTTTTAATGGTATAGAGCCATAGTAAAATCTGAAAGAGAAGGACTGAGTGTGGTAAGGATAAGAGAAGAACAGGGGAGGCATGGGTGAAGTAAAAAGAAAGGGGTAGGAAAAAGGCAAGAATGAAGTCTTTGGTTCTTGTTACAAAAAATATAAAACAGTGACTGCCATGGCCACTGGAGCTGTAAGGTGAAACTCCTGGGAGATTAGGGGAACAATGATTCTTTCATTTATGTTTGCTTTGGAAATATAGAATATATAAACAAAGGCTATGCACCTGGACTATAATGAAACGTTTTGTTGTGCCAACAGTGAAAAGTAGCTCAAATTTCTGGAAACTTAGGGCCTGATCTGAGTTGCTGAACTAACGCTTATAGATGAGCTTGTAAAACTAGTGAACTCAAAAGACAGAATTGTGGTCTCTGAACCTTGTCTCTGGCTCCCTCCGGCTTCTATACCTGTCCTTTCTGCTTCTGTTTCCCTCCTTTCCTTCCTCTGGCCATTCCTTTCACTGTACTGACAGCCTACTATATGTCATGCATTATAATAGTCTTTTGGGGGATTCAAAGGTGAGAAGACACAGTGCTTTCCATCTGGAACCATGAAGTCTAGTGTTGAGGGAGATGATAAATGTCACAGTGGAAGTATGGTTCAGTGTAGTGCTAGCATGTAGGAAGAAAAATCTAGGTCCACTTGGAGGAGGAAAGAGAGGCTTCAAGGAGTGTGAGAAGACAGCTGAGTCTTGAAGGAAGAATAGATGTTTTCCAGACAGATAAGGGACAAGAAATAGAAAAAAGGCAGAGAGAAAAATATGTGAAAATGCATAGAAAAGTAAGAACACGTGATGGGGGAACTACAATTAGTTCAGTTTTGCTGGACCATAAGTGATGGGAATAGCAAAATATGGGTTAAACATGCAGGACATAGGTTATGAAGGATACTGAAGTGCCACAATCACAGGTTTGGATACTACCTTCTGGATTACGGTTGTCCATTCGAGAATTTTGAACAAGGAAGTGACAACATCAGACAAGATCAGATTCACCTGGAGGCTAGAGAGGATGGTGACTAGAATCAAGGAGACCAAAAACCCAGGATGTTATTTCAACAATCTAGGCCAGAGAGACTGAGGACTTAAATTAGAGTAGCATTAGAGGAATGGATAATGGAGACAGGATATATGAGATATTCAGGAATTAGATGTTTGGGGACCTGCTGACTGATTATATGCTTAATGCCTCAGCAAAAGTACTTCTGTTTTTAAGATTTCATATTATGATTTATATGCATATGCTCATGATTTAGTGCAGGAGATAAAAAACACTATATATCATGAAGAAAGGTATATACTACAGGGAATTAGGTGCTTGCAAAAGGTCAAAGAGCTGAAAGAGCAGGAACTAGGAGGTTGCTGCAGGACTGGAGAGGTCACACCACTAGAGCTACTATCCAGAGGGCAGGAAACTGCTTCAATCACCACAGATGCCTGCAACATACAAATTGGGGGGCTAAAAGGTGGAACATGGAGTTCAGCTGATATAAGCACACCTGTTGGAATACATTTGCCCATCAGCATTGTCACGAAAATTTAGCTTTTGCTTCCCTTTGCCTTCTGAGCCTAGATGTCTGTCTCACTGGCAAAACTAATTGCATCCAATCCCTAACTGCAAGAGAGTCTTAGAAATGTGGTTTTTTAGCTTTCCAATTCTTGTAATACGTATGATATTAAATGAAAGCCAGTTCTGTCTTCTTATAAATTTTAAAAATATTCATACTGTTATCTAATATTATAGTTAAAAACTCAGTGATTCATCTCTTTGGCTGTATATTTTGGGATAATTCTTGCAGGAATTTAGATCCTTCCCCTGTAAGATAAGCAAATTGGATTAAGTAATTACTAATATCCCTTCAACATTTTACAAATCTCTTAATTTCCTGCATACACCTCAGTGTATTAAGAAATTAAGAGATTTGTAAAATGTCAGCTTTTCAAAGACAGAAAATATAATTTTCTGAAAGGGTTGGAAACTTTTCCATCAGCATCATGGGGAGGAGGAGTGGAAGCATAAGGCGATATAGGAGAAAAGCCTCATGCTTGCCTTCCAGGACCTCAGGCTTCTCCTAGCTGCAGGTTCAGCTGAAGGTAATACTGAAAAGATTACAGCTGAAAGTAAAGTCCAAGGTTTTGATTATCACATATGATGGGATCTATTTTCCGGATTGAGACTGCATTTGTGATTTAATGAGATCACAGAAAGTCCTGTTACTCAAAAATGATCAGGAAAATCAGACCTTGTGGATCTCCTGCCTCCCCCTGCATTCTCATAGCTTGGCAGTGTCTTTAGAGCTATAAGAAGGTGGTATCCCAGGTACTTAATCAACTAAAAGATGAAGTCCCTGGAGTTATTTGATAGGCCAAAGTGAGCAAGATCATGAAACAAGGGGAGAACATTGTCCACAGTGTCTTCTTCTTCTTCAGCGCCAGCAGTTCTCTACTGGTGAACCATCTTCAGGCTGACCCTGAGTACTATGGAGGACCCAGGAGGAAGAGATATGTTAAGGCCAGGGATAAAGGTGATCATTTCCAGAGCTTCTCTACCTCCCCCTCAGCTGGGAATCTACCTCTCTGTGGCCTTTCCATGTCTCCTTGTACTTAAAGTTCCATGCTTTTCTCTTAAAGCTCAGGGCTCTATAGGTCATACCACTGAGGCTTGCAGCCCCTAATGGTTCACACTAGCCACTCCAAGAACAGGATTAAGAATAGACTGAGATTAATGAACATCTTCAGAATGCTGACACGTATTTCAAAGTGCTTTTCATTTATTTTCTTCCATTAACCTTGTGAGGCAGGTATTATTATTCTCAATATACTAATGAAAAACTGAACTGTTCAAATTTGCTAAGCCAGCAAAAATTGATGACTTGATGCTATGTTTTTTCCAATACCCTATAAATGGGAATAGTGAGAAGACATACTTTAGAGAGTATGAAGAAGATACTCTTACTTTAGAGAGTATGGAACCTTCAGAGGGTTATTCAACAAGTATTAATCGAGCATTTACTGCATGCCAGGCATTGTTTGCAATGTTACAGATACAGTGGCAACAAAAAAGGACAGAGTACCGTCTCCTAGGAAGCTAAGTTCTAGTGCAGACTCTGGGACATGGTATGTAAAATGCTTCAGACTGCCTCACAGTCAGGAAATGATGGGGGAAAATACCACTAAAAATAATCACTTTAGAATGTGCATTCACTGGGTGCCAGGCACTAAACTAAGCACTTTAGACACATTATGTTATTTGTTTTCAAAAGTACCTTATAAGGCAAGTATTACTGTGGCCATTTTTCTGAAGAAAGACTGGGGCTTAGCAGGTTAACCTGGCACAATTATACAACTAAGATGTGGCAGGACTGTGAAGATGTGCTGCCTCCCCTTAAGAGAAAGAAAAGAAAAGGAAAAGAAAAGGAATTATTATGTACCAAATATTTAATAGGTATCAGTCACAGCATTAGGCCAGATAGATGAGAGGAAGACACATACATTGTTAACTATGCTACAGTTTTGACCATGATTCACATAGTAACAGAGTCTTAAAAGGGGCTATTTAAACCTAGAAGGGTGAGAAATTTACTCTGTGGGAGGGGACTGGAGGAAGATTTGCATTTTCATCAGTGTTTGAGAAAGGACTTTGAAGAATGAAGAAAAATGTGTGGTTTGAAATGGGTGGAAAGTGTTGTCAGCTACAGGGACCATGGGAGCAAGAGCACATACCCAAGAGAGTGCACACGGAAAGTTGGGCAGAGTGCAGAATGCAAACCATGAGGTAAGGTGTATGACAAATAAAAACTGCGTATATTTAAGGCACAAAACATGGTATATATATATATCTCCCCATTGTGAAATGATAAGCTATTTAACATACTTATCACCTCACATAGTTACCATTATTTTTGAGTGAGAACATTTAAGATCTACTCTTTTAGCAAATTTGAAGCATACAATACAGTATTTTAACCATAGTCACCATATTGTACATTACATCTCCAGAACATATTCATCCTGCATGACTGAAACTTTGTACCATTTGACCAAGATTACTCAATTTCCCCCACCCTCAAGCCCCTGGAAATCACCCTACTACTCTTTGCTTCTGTGAGTTTATCTTTTGTAGATTCTGCACGTAAGTGAGAATGATCAGTATTTGTCTTTCTGGGCCTAGGTTAATTTCACATAGCAAAATGTCTGTCAGGTTCATCCATATTGTTGCAACAAGATGTTTTCCATTTTTAAGCCTGAATAATATTCCACTGTAGTTAAGTGCCACATTTTCTTTATCCATTTGTTGATAAATGCTTAGGTTGATTCTATATTTTGGTCATTGTGAATAATTTTGCAGTGAACATGGGAGTGCAGACATGTCTTTGACTTACTGATTTCATGTCCTGTGGATATATACCCAGAGGTAGGATTGCAGAATCATATGGTAGTTCTATTCTACTTTTTTGAGGAACCTTCATACTGTTTCCCATAATGGCTATTCTAATTTACATTCCCATCAACAGCATTCAAGGATTCCCTTTACTCCACATCCTCACCAACACTTGTTATCTTTCATCTTTTTGATAATAGCCATCCTAATAGGTGTGAGGTGATATCTTGTTGTTTTGATTAGCATTTTCCTGATGATTAGTGATGTTGGGCATTTTTTCATATGGCCATTTCTTTTTTAGATGTTTATTCAGGTCCTTTACCCATTTTAAAATCCGGTTATTTGTTTTCTTGCTGTTGACATGTTTACGTTTCTTATATATTTTGATATTAACCCCGTATCACATGCATGGTTTGCAAATCTTTTCTGTCATTCTATAGGTTGTCTCTTCACTATGTTGTTTCCTTTCCTGTATAGAAGCCTTTTATTTTGAAGCAGTCACATTTGTCTCTTTTTGCTTTTGTTGCCTATGGTTTTGGGGTTATATCTGAAAAAATCATTGCCCAGACAAATCTCAAAAAGCTTTGTCTCTATGTTTTTATTTTCAGTAGTTTTACAGTTTCATGATTTATATACATGTTATACTTACAGTTTAAGTCTTTAATATATTTTGAGTTAATTTTTGCATATTGTGTGAGCTAAGGGTCCAATTTCATTCTTTTGCATGTGGATATCCAATTTTTTCCAACACCATTTATTGAAGAAACTATCCTTTTCTCATTGTGTGTCCTTGGCACTTTTGTCAAAGATTAGTTGGTTGTATATGTGTGGGTAATTACGTGGCTCTCTATACTGTTTCATTGGTCTGTGTCTGTTTTGGTGCCAGTACATTACTGTTTTGAATACTATAGCTTTGTAATATATTTTGAAATCAGGTAGTCTGATGATTCCAGCTTTGTTCTTTTTGCTCAAGATTGCTTTGGCTATCTGGGATATTTTTGGTTCCATATAAATTTTAGGAATGTTTTTTCATATTTGTGTGAAAAATGCTATTTATATTTTGAAAGGGATTGCATTAAATATGTAAATTGCTTTGGATTATATGGACATTTTAACAATATTAATTAATGAACACAAAATATCTTTGCATTCTTTTGTGTCTTCCTCAATTGCCTTAAAGACTATAGTTTTAAATGTCCAGATGTTTCACCTTATTGGCTAATTGTATTCCTAAGTATTTTTTCTTTTTGATGCTATTGTAAATGGAATTTCTTTCTTAATTTCTTTTTTGGATAGTTTGTTGTTGGTGTATGGAAATGCAATCCATTTTTTAGTGTTGATTTTGTATCCTGCAACTTTACTGAATGTGTTTATTAGTTATAAAAGTTTTTGGTGAAGTCTTTAGGGCTTTCTATATAAAATATGATGTCAACTGTAAATAAAGGCAATTTACCATTTTCATTTCTGATTTGATTTTTTTTTCTCTTGCTTGATTGTCTGGCTAGGACTTTCAGTTCTACATTGAATAGAAGGGGTGAGAGTTAGCTTTCTTGTTTTTTTTCTGATCTTAAAAGAAAAGCTTTCAGCTTTTTACTATTTTGCATGAAGTTAGCTGTAAGCTTATCATATATGGTCTTATTATATTGAGGTACATTTGTTGTATATGTAAATGTTGAGAATTTTCATCTTGAAAGGATGCTGAATTGTCAAACACTTTCTCTGCATCAATTGAGATTATCTTCTTTTTTGTCTTTCTTTTTGTTAATTTGATGTATTACATTTACTGATTTGCATATGTTAAACCTTCCTTCTATCCCAAGGATAAATCCCACTTGGTCATAATGTATAATCATTTTAATGTGTTGTAAACTCAGTTTGCTAGCATTTTGTTGAGGATTTTTGCATCTATGTTCATTAGGGATATTGGCCTAGAATTTTCTTTTCTTACAGTATCCTTGTCTGGTTTTGTTTTGAAGATAACACTGGCCTCATAAAATGAGTTTGATTTCCTCTGGTTCAATTTTTTGGAAGAGTTTAAGAGGGATTGATATTATTTATTTGAATGTTTTCTAGAATTTAGCTATGAAGTCATCTTTTCCTGGGCTTTTTTTCTTTATTTTGTTTATTTATTTTTTATTTTTGAGACTGGGTCTATCTCTGTTTCCTAGGCTGCAGTGCAATGAGGCTATCTCTGCTCACCACAACCTCCATATCCCTGGCTCAAGCTATTCCTCCCACCTCAGCCTCCTGAGTAGCTGGGACTACCAGTGCACAGCACCTCACCTGGCTAATTTTGTATTTTTTGTAGAGACGGGGTTTTACCATGTTTCCGGCTGGTCTCAAACTCCTGGGCTCAAGCAATCCACCTACCTCAGACTCCCAAAGTGCTGGGATTACAGGCATGAGCCACCATGTCCAGCCTGGTCCTGGGCTTTTCTTTATTGGAAGATTTTAAATTACTACTTAAATTTTTTTGTTTATATGTTCAGGCTTTTTATTTCTTCTTGACTCAGTTTTGGTTTGTTTTCTGTTTCTAGGAATTCATATATTTCCTCTAGGTTATTCAATTTGTTGGTATATAATTGTTCATAATAGTCCCCTATGATCTTTTTTGTTTCTGAGGCATCTGTATAATGTCTCTTCTTTCATTTATTTTAAAATGTAGGCATTTATCTCTGTAAGCTTTGCTCTTAGAACTGATTTTGCTGCGTCCCTCAGTTTTGGTATTTTTTTTTCTCTCAAGATATTTTAAAATGTTCTTTTTGATTTCTTCTTTGTCCTAGTCATTGTTCAGGAGAATATTATTTAATTTACATGTATTTGTAAATTTTCCAAAGTTCTTTCTGTCATCGATTTCTGATTTAATACCATGTGGTCAGTAAAGATACTTGATATGATTTCAGTATTCTTAAATTTGTGAAGACTTGTTTTGTGGCCTAACATATTATCTATCCTGGAGAATAGTTTATGTGCACTTGAGACAAATGTGGGCTCATAGGTGAAAGGGATTCATTTCCAGATAAGACATTGGACTTGAGACTCGGAACTTGGGACTTTTAAGTTAATACTAGAATGAGTTAAGACTTTGGGGACTATTGGAAGGGATAATTATATTTTGCAATGTGAGAAGGACATGAGATTTGGGGGCTAGGGGTGGAATGATGTAGTTTGGGTGTTTGTGCCCTCCAAATCTTATGTTGAAATGTAATCCCCAATATTGGAAGTGGGGCCTGGTGGGAGATGTTTGGATCATGGGGCCATATTGCTCATGAATGGCTTATTGCCATTCCCTTGGTGATGAGTAAGTTCTTGCTCTGATAGTTCACTCAAGATCTGAGTGGCACCTCCTCTCTTTCTCTCTTGCTCGCCCTCTGGCCGTGTAACATGCTTGCTTTCCTTCAGTTTCTGCCGTAATTGCAAGTTTCCCAAGGTCCTTACCAAAGACAGATGCTGGCACTATGCTTCCTATACAACCTGAAGAACTGTGAGTGAAAAATAAAACCTCTTTTCTTTATAAATCACCCAGCATCAGGTATTCCTTTATAGGAATGCAAGAACAGACTAACACATCACATATAGTATTCTTGATTGGCATTTTATTTTTCTTTCAGCATGTTGAGTATATCATTCCATTTTTGCCTACAAAGTTTCTACTGAGAAATCTACTGATTGTTTTATGAGTGTTCTCTTGTATGTGATGAATCACTTTTTTCTTGGTGCCTTTAAAATTCTGTCTTTTGACTTTTATGAATTTGATTATGTGTCACAGTGAAGATCTCTTTATGTTTAATCTAACTGAATTCTTTGGGATTTATGGATTTGGATGTTTAGCTCCCTTTCTAGATTTGGAAAGTCTGCTATCATTATTTCTTTATATAAGCTTTCTACCTCTATTTCTTGGTTCTTTGTGGGGCTCCCATAATGCGTATATTGGTTGACTTGATGGTTTCCCATTTGTCTTGTAGACTTTCTTTACTATCTGTCATTCTTTTTTCTGTTTCTCTCACTGGGTAATTTCAACTGATCTGTCTTAAAGTTTGCTGATTTTTTTTTTTCTGCTTGATCAAGTCTGCTGTTGAAGTTCTCTGTTGAATCTTTCAGTTCTGTAATTGTGTTTTGCAGCTCCAGAATTTTTTTGTGTGTTTTTTGAATGGTTTCTATCTCTTTGTTAAACTTATCATTTTGTTTATTTTTCCCCTGATTTCATTTAATTGCCTATCTGTGTTCTATTTTAGCTCACTGGACTTCTTGAAGACAATTATTTTAAATTCTTTTTCAGGAAGTTTGTAGATCTTCATTTCTTTAGTGTTGGTTTACTGGTGCTTTATTCTGTTCCTTTGGTGGTGTCACATTTCCCAGATTATTTGTAATCTTGTGGTCTTGAACTGCTGTCTGCAGATTTTAAAAAGTAAGGACCTCTTCTAGTTGTTAGAGACAGGTTTTGGCAGGGAGATCCCTTTACAGTCAGACTGGGCAGAGATTCTTGGCAGTCTGACATGCAAGGTCCATGACAGGTTTGCTACTGAAGTCCTCAGGTGAGCTGGCTTGGTGCCTAAGTTAGCAGATGAACAGGTCTGATGCCTAGGTTCACAAAGGTCAACTTGATGCATAGGTCCATGGGAAAGACTTGGAGCCTGGGTCCATTGGGCTTGGCCTGAAGCTGCAGCCATGTGGACAGTCCTGGTGCTTGCATCCACAGGGGCCAGCAGGGTTTGTGGTCCACTGGGGTGGGCTTAGTGACTGTCCATGGGGGTGCGCTTGAAGCTTATGTCTACGGGAGCTATCCTGGCATTGGGGCAGTTCTTAGGCCCAAGTCCACAGGGGCTGGCCTGGTACCGGGGTGGGCCTAAAACCTGGGTTCTCAGTGGTCAGTCTGGTGTCTGGGGCCATGAGGGCTGCTGCCCTTAAATCTCAGGCAGGCCTGGAAAACTGGGTTCGCAGGAGTTATCCTGCAGCCTGGGACCATTAGATATGGCCTGACACCTGGTTAAGCCTGGAGCCTGGGACTGTGAGGACTCACCTGGCACTGGGGTTTAGTAGTGCAGGCCTGGTAATAGGGTCCAGAGCAAAGTTGCCTACTCATTTTCTTCTCCTTACTTAAATGGAGGGCATCTGTCTCCATACTGTGTTGCCTAGGCTTGGGGGAGAGGTGATACAGGTAGTGTGAAACTGTCCCTCCTATCCTCTTCTATGTGTTTTTTCTTATTTCTGTGCCCCATTCAGGTGCTGTAATCTCTCACCTGGATTCCTTAGGTCTTGTGCAGGTATTTTTGTTGTGGATGGTTATTAAAATTGATATTACTGTGAGAGAATGAGCACTGAAAATTCCGATTCCACCAGCTGACATTCTGTAGTGTTTTCTTATTAACAACACGGAAAAGTGATTAAATTCATCTGCCAGGGAATTTTAGGCTCTCTGGTACCTTGGGATTTGGAACAGACTTTATTTCTTACCACAGGCATGCTAAGAGCCATTCTTCCTTTGTTCTGAATATAATATGCTATGTTTATCTTTTCAAGCAAGTCTATGTAAATACATTTTTTGGTCATTACTACTGGTTGCAAAACACATTCTCTACATTTGTTGTGTTATGGGAACAGCTTCAGGTTTGGATCCACTTAAATCTTTCTTTTGACATGGTCAAGGGGAGGAGTGAAGGAAGACAATGAATTAGATGCTGAGAAGTTTTCCAAGTTTGAGATTAGGTTAATCACCGTAAAAAGAAGATATTTTATTTTGTTTCCTCAAATGGCATTACTGTTTAATCAAAGCATTCCCATATGCAGAATCCCCTATTGTCATTCAAGTCTGACTTCCTGGACTGACATTCAATTCAGTTAAATTTATTCACTAACTAATCATTTATTTTCACACACACATACACACACACATACATACATGATGTATTATACTCTAGGTCCAGTTCTAAGCACTGGGGATTCAGCAGTGAACAAGTTCAACAACTAGCTATAGAGAAGTCAGAGGCAATATGGAAATAAATGAAACACTGTTCCAGCATTCATTGATTTTTTTCTAATATGTATGTTTTTGTGTCTGGAGAAGAATGACAATGAAGAGGGGAGAGATTAAGACAGCTATAGGGATACCTGTAGTACAGGGCAAAATACAAGTGACACCAAAAAGCATCTAAGTTGCTGTAGAGATTCTAAGGAGAGAGAAAAACACATATATAGAGAGTAAATTAAGAAAGCCTCAAACGAGGAGGATTTAAACCCATTTGAGATGGGTTTAAAGAAGGCTTCCTGATTAAGTTACTTTCTCTCAACTTCAGACATGTTCTTTTACGCTGTGCTTTATGTTGCTGGGGCTGGGACTTTGCAAACTTCATTCCCCTTCGTTCCTTCCTGGTTGCTTCCTGTTCCTGTTAGTATTGTTGCAGAAAAAGGTCTTCACCTCTGCAGCCATGCTGGTGCTGTAGCTACTTCCGATTTATAGTTGTTCCCAAACTCCTAGAACAAGTTTCTTCATGTGACTTCAGGGAGAGCAACACCAGCCAGCTGGCACCCTCTTCAGAGATGAGATTCCAGCTCTGCAAGTTCCTCCTAAGCCTCTAAGTTTTAATAATTCCAACCTGTTTCTGTTTTCTCTTCAGGCATAGGAGAGGCAACTCCTTCTATAGAAACTATCTGTGTGATACTCTGAGTTCTCTTTTCGCCTTTAAGACTCTCTGATACCTTGCTAATGCTTTTAAATATTATATTTGTATTAGTCCATTTTCACACTGCTGATAAAGACATACCAGAGACTGGGCAATTTACAAAAGAAAGAAATTTATTGGACTTATAGTTCCACGTGTCTGGGAAGGCCTCAAAATCATGGCAGAAGGTGAAAGGCACATCTCTCATGGCAGCAGACAAGAGAAGAGAGCTTGTGCAGGGAAGCTCCCCTCTTTAAAACCATCAGATCTCATGAGACTTATTCACTATCACGAGAACAGCACAGGAAAGACCTGCTTCCATGATTCAATTACCTCCCGCTGGGTCCTGCCCACAACACGTGGGAATTCAAGATGAGATTTGGGTGGGGACACAGCAAAACTATATCAATATTCTCTATGTTGAAACTATTGTTAAGGTTTCTCTTTCCTGAAAGCACCCTAACTGATACAGAAGTTGGTGCCAGGAATGGTCCAAGAAAATGGACACTTAAAAATAAGATATTGGGATTGGTTTGGTCATGTCCTTGGACTTGAATGCAGTGCTGACCTCCTTAAAAATTGAGAATCGTGATACAGTAATCCATGCAAGCAATGGCATCACAATTAACCACATTATCACCTCTATTTGATTGTGAGGAAGTACCTACTGAAGCAAGTCCCTTGGTGGGGCAGGGTGGGGGTGGGGCAGACGACAAGTGGCTGCTACATTTACCTGCATGATGGCAATAATGACCACAAGATCAAGGGTAGGGATGGTAACTTCTGAGTGCACTGAAGCACTTAAGAAAGAAGATGACAGGCACAGGTTTTTCAACTCTCGGCTCAAGTCATGCCAGACAGCCAGAGTGCTCCTGTGGTGGATTTAAAATAATATTATTTCTTGCAACAAAGGTTCAACTTGTCTGAAAATCAGAACAAATTTTAATTTTGCAGGTTTCAGAATGACAACTTATGCTGAATACCCAGCCTCAGCAAGTCTTTTAATGAAGCTGAGAATCTCAAACCTTCGAATCACTTTGAGCTTCTCTTTCTAGTGGAAGCAGCCCACCATCCCAAGTCTGAGGATGTTTAAAAATCCTGTAATAACCTCACTGGTGGCAATTGCTTTGCAAAAGGATGGCTATTCTCAAGAAGTACCCCAATCCAGCCTTTGCTGCCATTAGATTCATGACTAGAGTTAGATCTCAGCATGCTTCTGGGAACAGGTACAAAGTCTGACCCCAAAGGAAAGAATTTAGATTTAAGACGGGTTTAAAAAACGCCTGGATTTCAGGCATTTTTCTATGGTTATATATATATTTCATGTATAACCATAAATATATACATGAAGGTGGGTTTATTCAGGGAGAAAACTCTAAATAGTATAGTTTGTCTGGAACATAGTTACAAATAAGACTGGAAAAGTAGCTTTAGTCATATTGGGAGGCCCCTTGTATGAGATTTAAATGGGGAGAAAGAAGAACCAGTAAAGAATTGTATGCACGTGTAATGTGTTTTAGAGGCTCACTTCAGGAAGATGATTCTGGCAGTAGTATACAGGATAAACTATGACAGGGAAACTAAAGTCTAGCTGGCCAGTTAGAGGCCTATTCCAACAGACTAAGAAATTATGATAGCTGGGAGTGGGGTGGTATGTTCCATGTACTCGGGAGGCTCAGATGGGAGGACTGCTTGAGCCCAGGAGTTCCAGGCCAGCCTGGACAACATAACAAAAACCTGCCTCTAAAAAAACCGAAACAAAACATGAACAAAAAATTAAAAAACAAACCAGGCAGCAAAAGCAAAATAGACAAATAATACTATATCAAAATTAAAAAAAATAATGATAGCCAGATCTAATTTGCCAGAGTGGGAATTATAAGATGGAAAGAGGCAAAAGAGATAGAGAAAGTAGACTTTATAGAACCTATCCTTAGATTGCAAGTGGGGATTCAAGCCAGGGGAAGAGAGAATGAGGCTGAAATATTGAGTCTGGGTATGGGTAGCATAAAAATGAGAGAGAGAGAGAAGAAATGATGAAATGAATTGGTCGAAGGCACAGTGGGGTGGGAACAAGCATTGAAGATGCCAAAAAGGAGCATTCTGCTGATTTAGAATGAGATCTTACTGGGATAAAATAGAAGGAATTGCAGCTGGATTTCTGCACTAGAGATTAGGGAAATATAGAACTTCAGAATATTGATAAATTGACTAGAAATCCATCAGGTTTGGGGCTGATACACTGTAAGCAATATAGTTTCAGTAGCTTAAGAAAAAGTACACCTGGGACTCAAAGGGAGTTGGTAACCACTGGCCTCACATGTTTCCTGGGTTGCTTTGGTTTGCAACTAGAGGACTGGACTAGACAACTTTTAAGGCCATTTGTTTTCTATTATTCTATGTCATGATATGTTCTCTATTAATTTTAATTTTAATTTTTTTTTGAGACGGAGTCTTGCTCTGTCACCAGGCTGGAGTGCAGTGGCACGATCTCAGCTCACTGCAACCTCTGCCTCCCGTGTTCAAGCAATTCTCCTGCCTCAGCCAACTGAATAGCTGGGACTACAGGTGCCCGCCACCACATCTGGCTATTTTTTGTATTTTTAGTAGAGGCAAGGTTTCACCATGTTGGCCAGGATGGTCTTGATCTCTTGACCTCGTCATCCACCTGCCTCGGCCTCCCAAAGTGCTGGGATTATAGGCGTGAGCCACTGTGTTTGGCCCGTGTATTTTTAAATAGACTGTTTTCCCCTGATAGAATGTGACTTTCTTAAAAGTGGGATTATTTTAATATAATTTCCTGTTAAATCTCCAGGTCCTAGAATATACCCTAGTACATAACTAGTACAAAAACTGTTGGTAGAAAGCATGAATTCTGTTTGCCCTTTACTATTATCATTTTTATGGAAACTTTTGCCCTGGAAAACATGATAATTATTCTGGAGCTGAAAAACTGTGCTGTGATTTGGATATACTTTGCTTGGCCCTATCAAGTCTCAGGTTGACATTTGATCCCAATGTTGGAGGTGGGTCCTGGTGGGAGGTATTTGGATCTTGAGGGTGGACCTCTCATGAACTGCTTGGTGTCATCCTCACAGGAGTGAGTTCTCACTCTTAGTTCTGTGAGAATTGGTTGTTAAAAAGAGTCTGATGCCTCCTCCTCTCTCTACTGCTTCCTGCCTTACCATGTAATTTCTGCACACATCAGTTCCCCTTTCCCTTCCATCATGAGTGGAAGCAGCCTGAGGCCCTCATCAGAAGCAGATACTAGTGCAATGCTTTTGTACAGCCTGCAGAACCATGAGCCAAAGAAACCTTTTTTCTTTATAAATTATCCAGCCTCAGATATTCCTTTATAGCAGGACATATGGGCTGAGACACAGTGGCACTGGAAAGCTATTTGCAGTAGAGCAGCAGTCTAAAAATAAGCAGATCATGTGACCCCCACTATTATTTGTCTGTTTTATGTTCCACAGGAAGAAAACTGCTTGAAAACAGGCTGGGGGAACAACATAAAACACTGACAGGAGTTGTGTTATCTGACAGGATGCAAATTACACAGTGAAATTTAGATAACCATTTGCCATTATCTTGCTGGAAAATTTTCAAAAGTTTAACATTTATCTTTGAAGGCTCTGAGCTGAAATTCATAGCTCAGAGCCCCTCTTTAATTTACTCAAGCTTGGGAGAGGAGATTTAATAATTGCCAGTTGTGCCTTCACACAGAAGCACATTTTCACCTAAACACAGAGAAATTTCAGTCTGCTGAGTTTGCTGTTCCTGATCACTAAGCCAATCCAAACTAAGGCGAAAGGTGAACAATTGTCAGCTGCAGGGCCTGGAATTAGTTTTCCTTTGGTAATATTGGTATCTGGTATAAACTCTGCACCTGTTCCCTCACCAATCCTTTGGTAAATCCTACTGGGCTGGCTCCTTCTGGTGGTCATGAGAAGTTGCAGATCTCCAACTACAGGGAGCATAATTGACCAATGGACCCAAACTACAGGGAGCATAATTGACCAATGGACCCAAGCTGCTCATTGAATGCTGTCTTTGAACTGAGGCTGTACTTGTTCAGGCTATTCCCAGCCAATGACTGAGTATGGCAGAGATACCTAGGCAGGCCTCTGCCTTATAGACACAGGGCTCTTCTGATGCCCAACTTTGTTCAGGCATTCCCCTGCAGCTTTGCCAAACCATTCCTAGACTGCTTGGCAGTCTGGAATGTTTTCACCCAACTCTCCTCCCCTCACTTCTTCGCTTGGGGTCATACTTGCATCCCTGTCTGACAGCTCTCCCTGTCTTTTCCAGCTCCTTTCCTATTATCTTTCACAGGTATTCTCCTGATCAATTCCTTGCATGTTTAGTCGTATGTTGTCATATGCTCCTTGGAGGACCTTTCTTAGAGAATATACCCATGCTCTATGACTTGACTTATTGGAGCCTTATTCTGATCTCCAGGCCACTTGATTGGGACTCTGGTAGTCTGTCTGGTTCTTAGGAGTATCCCTTACCTGTAACTAGGAGCTAAATCTTTTCTTCATGTCATTTACTTCTGGCTGGAGTCTTATTCCACCAATGTATGGGCTATCTAGAATGACATTGGTCTTCTGGAACCATTTGTAAGATTTTGACTCTTGTTACAATTGAGGAACTCATCTTGTCCTCATTGTAGCTATGACCGAGAAACCAAGGAACTCACTATCTTGTCCTCTTGGATGCCAGCTATAAATTGAATCAAGTTGGACACCGGAATTTTGACCACTTTCCACCTTTCTATCGTGGTCAGGTAAGTTGCATAAGCCTGTGATATGCATGATTTTGGACTTTGTTCCTTTTCACACTGGCCTACAGTTGAGGTACCAGATTCTCATACATCAATAATTAAAGTAGTAATCACTTATATGAGATGTTGAAATGTACTCCCTTCAAGAAAGGTGACATTTTCAGCTGTTTTCTTAATGGGAAAACATTATTAGTGGGAGCAAACTACAGATCCTTCAATGAGATTAGTGTGAAAGCAGAAGAAATGTGAAGGCAGTGGCTATTTGAGTGACATGAAAATATTCTAAGGGGCACAAAAGCAGAAAGGGAAAGCCGGTAACTTCACAGAAATCTCATTGCCTCCATAGTTTTTCCCAACATCAGGAAGTGCCTTTCTACAAACCTGTGGCATGAACTTAACAGAAAGAATTGAAATTTCTACTTGTTGGATAACTACACAGTTACACAACAAACAAGAGGCTATACATTTCCATGTGGAGACTAATATTACAACTTAATCCTTTTGGCAATCAGAGATGGGCAATTATGTTTCCAACTTAGAAAGCTTTCTATTTTCAGGGCTTTCTTCATACTTAAATCTGGTAACCAAGCCTATGAAAAGAAGTTTTAAATACAGCAGGTATAAATGTCTGTAGGAAAAGGCTTGAGCAGTGTAGGTACCATCTCAGAATTATAAGAGGGTGGACAGAACTTCTTTTGTTAAATACTATTATCTTAACCCAAGAGAACTGTCAATAGAGAGCTGAGTTTCTGGATTATGGGTGCTTCCCTCCTATGTCTTAAGATTAGCCAGCAGCATGCAAGGAATTGGAAGCATGTCCTCACATGACACAGCAAGAAGGGTGACAAGATCCTATTTGCGTTTGAAAAAGTTTACTCTTGCTGCTGCATACAAAATGGAATGTTAAGATGCAAGAATGGAATCAAGAAGGAGGCTCTTAGAATAATGGGTAAGAGTTAATGGTGGCTTTGACCTGAGTGGAGGCTGTGGAGGTAGACAGAAGTGAGAACATTTGCTGATGCTGTAGGTAGGGGAATGGTGAGGTGTTATGGATGGACTTGTGTCACTCTCAAATTTATATATTGAAGTTCTAACCCCTAGTACTTCAGAATGTTACTATATTTGAAGACAGCATTCTTAAAAAGGCTATTAAGTTAAAATGAGGTCATAGGGTTGTCCCTAATCCAATATAATAGGTTTCTTCATGAGAAGAGGAGATTCGGTCACAGGCATGTACAGAAGAAGACTGTGTGAAGACACAGAAGAAGTTATCTACAAACCAACGAGAGAGGCTTCAGAAGAAACCAACATTGTTGACACCCTGATCTTGGATTTCTAGACTCAGGAATTATGAGAAAATAAATTTTTATTGTTTAAGCCACCCAGTCTGTGGTACTTTCTTATGGCATCCCTGGCTAATGAATACAGGAGGCAGCTAAAGGAATTGAGGATTATGCCTAGTTTTGTGGCTTGAGAAATGGGGTATTTAGAGGTCTCATTACCAGGACGAGTAAGATTGAGGAAAGAACATGTTTGGAATCTATATGGGAATGTTGGTGGTGGGAAAAACTGAGAGGTAAATGTAGTAGTTTATGTGTGGGATGCCTATGCACATGCAAGAAAAGATATCAAGGAGGCAATGGTATGTGCAAATCTGGAAATTTTATAAATTCTTATGCAGATGACTTAAATAAATAAATTTGAACCCTGTCATCTATTCTCAATCCCTTCTGGATTTCAACCAAAAGGGCTGTTATATGGGGCTAGCATCATATATCAATGTCAGTAAGTTAGATTGTCCATTACTTTGTATTGAATGGAACTATGTGCTGCATGATTTCTGTGTCTCTAAAAGTCAACAGACCTTGGGCAGACACAGAAGTTTAAATGTCACCCTGAAAAACCACTCTAAATTAGGAGGCAGTTGCGACATTCTAAACAAATTTAGTAGATTACATATCATGAGATATGGCTTTGGGTTCAAACTCTACCCTTTTTAGATTAGTGTTCTTGGATCATAATCTCTGAGACTTAGATTTTTCGTTCATTTTATAGTGAATCTCATTAGGGCTACTTCACTTGACTTAGGGTATTTTTGGAATTTTCAGGGTGAGTTTTTTTGTTGCATGATTGAGGAGTTCTAGTTATTAGAAGCTCTGTGAAGTCCTGCAAAATGATTTGACACAAAGCCTTCTTGGATGTGTACTTACAGTTGCACAACTTGAAAATATTCTGTACATTACAAGTGGGGTTATAGTCACACACACACGCACACATTTAACACATTTGTGTATTAATTTTACTTCAGGACTGTAAAGTGTTACAAAATTCTAGCTATTAAAAGAGGGCATTGCACCAAGTTATGTTGTGTTGAGAACCACTGACCTATAATATCTTTTTATTGCCTTTATTATTTTGAATGGACACATAATTATACAATTTATGGGGCACAGTGTGATATTTTGATGCATGTATATCATGAATAGTGATCAAATCAGGGTAACTAGCATATCCATCACCTCAACCATTTATCATTTCTTTGTACATGGATAAAGAAAATGTGGTGTATCCATTTGTCTGTTGACAAACACTTAGGTTTGGCCATTGTGAATAGTACTGCAATAACCATGGGAGTGCTTTCATATTGCTTTCCTTTCAATATGATATATATCTATATATCTATATATCTATATCTATATATATATACACTCACATACACACATATGGGGGATATAGAAATGGAAGAAAGAAAGAAGATCACATTTTTACCTAACGCTTTCTTCTTTTCTATTGTTACTTTCTTTATATTTTTATCTTTGAAGCTCAGATTTATCATAAATGTTGTATACAATTTTAAATATTTTCCTTTTCCTAATTGTTTGTGGTAGCAAAGTAACATTCTGCTTTTAAGGTCTTCTTACCAGATGTGAAATATTCCCAAGTATTCCCAAATGAAGCAAAACTTTTCTTGAAAACCTGTGCCCTAAATAGAATCAAGTAACTAAAAATTAAACACAGCCCATAAAAATTTTTTGCTTCATGTTATAAATGCCAGTACAAAAAATAAATAGAAGATTAAGTTGCTATAATCCAATTTTTAATAGCCTTTTTTTTGTATGATGCAATGGTTTGAATGTTTTTCTCTCCAGATCTCATGTTGAAAACTAATCCTCAATGCAGCAGTATTGAAAGGTGAGGCCTTTAAGAGGTGATTGGGTTATGAGGACTCTGCTTAAATAAATTGAAGCATCATTTATGGATTAATGAATTAGTGGATTATCACAGGAATGGGACTGGTGGACCTTTAAGAGGAATATATATACACACACATATATATTTGTTCCATTGATCTAAGTTGGAAGGGAAGGTTTAGTAAGAAATACGTAGTATAATAACTAACTGGTGGAGCCCTCTGATGACTGATGATTCTGGCAGGTGATTTTATCTGCTCTATAATGTCAAAATTTAAAAATCATAATTATGAAAATTTTAACTATAAAATGTAATACACTATAAAATACAGTTTTAGATTTATTCTGGTACCTCGTAAGTTTATTGGGGTAGACTATATAAGACTATAAATCTTTAATCTATAAGCATTAGATTTTGGTCACAGTTTTGGCTAAATATTTAATTTTTAAAAGATTAAGCTAAAAGGTGTATTATTTGGTACTACACTCATTGCTATTGCTATTATTCTTTTGCTGCTAGAAGTTGAAAAGTTTGTTTCCTTATTGAGAATATAAATAAAACAAATTACTTTGTGTTAACTTTCAATATAGACCAGGTCTTTATGCTATGTTTCTTGGGCAGAGAAGAGGAGGTCTTACCTGGATTATGTTGCACAAAACAAACAAATGAAAAATAATGTAATAGCCAAGCTCCCCCCTTGACCCTGCAAATAGCTTATAGAAGTAGCCTGAGAGTATCATATTATAATTATTCTGCTTAATTTGCTCTTTATTTAGATTTAAAATACATCTTTCATACATTGTTTAAAAGGAAAAAGGAATCATGTCAAAATGTTTCAGGAAATGATTTAAGTTAGATATAAAGAACATAGTTCTGATTTTGAAGTGTTAGTGGAACTCAAACAGAAATGATTAGTGCTCTCTTAAGATCATGACATGATTCTTAAAGTGGCTATTTCAGAGCCTAGAAATAACACTGTATTACTGACTAATGTCTACAGAGTACTGCAAAAGATGCTGAATAGAAAAGCAGGTGGTGTGAAAATTTTAATTTTTAAATAGCAAAGCCCCTGTCTGGGTATTGTCAGTAACTTTCAGAAATCCTAGAGAAAATGATGATTAGGTCAACACAAGGAAAACAGCGATTAACAGAATAGGAATTGCAAAGAGCTTCAGCCAATGGAAAAAGAAGCAAGGCTTCTGAAGTCTCCCGACCACTCGTGTCTGCATGGGTTTCAACGACCGGTCCCACTGGGTCAGTATGGCATTTCTGGCTCCTGGCCACTGCCCTGGGCCCACCAGCCTAAACTGGTAGGGACTACAAGGGCCAAAATAAACTTCCATGGCCAATTTGGGATCTGTGAGAAACAGCCATGGGATGTTGGGCTTTGCCCCAATGAAGGAGGAGAGTTCATCCATATAAACAATGTAATCTGTCTGTATGGTCTCGCTTTTGCCAAACCTGGAGATGGGAGAGAAAACACCACTGTGGATACCCAAACTCTGTGTAGAAACAGAACAGAGAAAATGGCTCGCAACTTTATATCAGTGAGAATTAACATCAATCTCTCTCTCTTTCTAAAAAAATTTCCCACACTACCCTGACATACAACATCAATTTCTTGTATAAGGAGAATGTCATTTGTTTATCCTACTTTGTGGTTTTTTTAAAGAACTTTCATATGGTTTCATTTGGAAATACCCCAACACTGCAATGCAGCTGAGAAAGACATTTTTTATCCTTATTTACAAATGGATAGATTGCCTCTTGCTCAAATGACCCTTCTATAATAGTTCATGGCCACTGAGCTAATTAGTGACAACTAGAAATGGAGCCCAGTTCTCCAGATTCATTCTCACTTTTCTGAGTCATTTTCATTAGAGGTATACCTTTGAAATATCCTCTACATCTTAGAGAATTTATGGGCTAGAGAATGGAAGTCCACATCCATGTGTTCCCAAACTCCTCTGATTTCAAATCCTTTCTGGGTCTCCTTTCTATGATATATATTACAGGAGGCATGGAGGGCTAAAACTGTCTATGTAATGTAGATTCTCAATCCTATTATTTACTCTGTGCCTTGTACTAAAAAGAACTTAATACAATGTCAGAAGCAACGTAGGTCTTCAATTAATATTTGTTGAATGGATGAATATAGCTTGTAGTTGTCATTCCAATGATGTCATTCAGGATAATTTAAGATTAAAACAGTTCCAAGCATTCATAAATTCTCACTTTTCTATGGAAATCCTACACTCCTATTACAATAGGTACTCTTACCATTTGCGCTTTTTCTCCATTTTCTCATTAATATCATTCATCATGTCTTCCATAGAAGGCAAAGTACAAGTTCCTGATAAAGAAGGAAAGACACGATGGTAATTAATGAGTCTGGCATAGGACCAGCCTGTAATTTTCCCTTTTTAATAATGAGTTATGAATTACATTAATTGGTGTTCATTTTCAGACAGACACCAAATTCAGTTCTAGTCTTCTCAGAACTCATATTTGTCATAATAATTAAAAAACATTACCTAAATAGCTTTGCTCTTAAACTGGTTACAAGATGTTTCAAAACAGTTTCATAGATATATTTTAATCTCAGTCATATTTTAAGAATGTTGTCTTTTAAATTATAGCCAAACAGAGGTGAATTGGCATCACTTTTCCAAGATTTATGAAGAAAAATCTTCATAGAAATTAATCCTGCTTTGCCAGAAAATGGAATTTCCAGAAGATAAGATATCGAATTTGGTGAAGGGCTAAGTTTTTCTATGGGAAGCCAGTAGTTCTTGAATATGACTGAGGATATGGACTGTCCACAAGTCACCAAGGACATAAGGGAGACCCAGGAGACTAGATCTGACTTGGGGCTGCCCCAGGATCCAGGTTTACATAAGTTTGCAGAGTTCTCTAAAACCCAGACCAAAACAGCCTTTTGTGTCCAGAAATACTTCAAATTTAGGATGATTTCTTTGGTAATCTTGGTATCAACTTGAAAGAGAATAAAACTCTTAGCCCAGATATGATTACTCAAGACCTACAATGGCTTGCTTAATTTCCCATTTCTACACTTCTTATAGGGAGGGTCACTTGAACAGCTTTTGTAGATATGGTATGGTTCCAGGCCTTGGAACTTGTCATGCTTTTCAGAGGAAGAGATTGAAAAGAAAGAGACTGTTTTTTAGCCTGCCGACTACTGCCATTGGGTTGCTTGTAACTAGCCCCTCTTGTCTTGGTACTCTGGTTTTCCAAATCTAGGTTGTTTGCCTTGTGTCTCATTTCCCTTAAGAGAGCCTGTGCCGTGTACATCAATTTTCCCCATAAATTGCCTTGTTTCCTTTCTTCAGAGCCCAAGTTACAACTCTTGTCCTCATAGAGAGTAAGGGTAGCACCCTTCCTTTAATGCCAGCCTCTCTGGGTCTGAACCCTAAGTGGAATCCTGAGTGAAATTTCATGCCATTACCTTCCTGGCTACCTGGTCGTGTGATCTGCATCTCCCCACAACTGTATTCCAGCCTGCTGCTGGGGGATGCTGCCTGCCTTTCTTGCCTGACCCCAATCAAGTTTGTTGTTTCCTTTGTAAAATATAAGAACTCAGTATTCTTATGTATTACAGACTGATCATCTACTACACTGAGCACTTTCTGCCTCTATTGATCCACTGTTTGTTCTTAGCACTTTCTGCCTCTGTTGATCCACTGTTTGTCCTTTTTTTGTCAGGGAAGAAAATAATAGTAGAAAAGCCATTGCCTTCCAGCAATCATATTTTCCATGACTGTGGATATTTGAAGTTGGCTGGATGTTGGCTCGTAAACATATTTTCTTATGAACTTTTCAAGCAATGTAATTCTACTGAGTTTTGCAATCATAATTTTATAAAGTTGTCATTCACTTAGTCTTAAGTGGATGTGAGCTTTGGTGGTCTCAAGTCTAATAAATGATCTTGGGTAATTATCAGCTGTAAGAAGTTGTAGTCACAAAATGCCTCCTCTAATAATATCTTGTAGTATTTCATACAATAATCCAAACTGGTATACTTTAAATTGCTAACAAAATATAGCACTAAAGAATATAGAATTATAAATTTTCAAAACTGAAGGGGACCTTGTAACTAGGATTATTGTTTTCACAAAGATCCAAAGTTATTGTCACTGGCATTCATCTTCGCAATCCATGAGCCTCTTTATTGACTTACCCTTTATTACTTGTGCTGCCCAGCGGGACTGGAGGTCAACTGTGGGAATGGCAGCCCCAAGGGACTGGACAAAGCCAATCACTGCTATGGTTGACTTCTCAAGTAGAGGAGGAAATACTCCTTTAAATAAAATGATCTCATTGTTTCTGCTTTTGATGATAGACTCATCAAGGAAGGGGTAGGCAAAACTATACCCTGTTGCAAAGATTACACAGTCAATGCCCTCAAATATGGTCCCATCCTCAAAAATGGCCGAGGTCTCTGTGAATTCCTTCACGTTAGGCTTTACGGACACAATGCCACACAGAATGCTTGCTGGGAGCTCATCGTTAAATACAGGCTCTTTCCTCAGGACTCTGTATGGAAAACAGAGACAATTATTGGAAGTGTAATATTTCCCTCTTGTTTTATTGGTCCATATATAAATTGATAAGGAAGGAAAAAATGACCCAAGATTTTTTTTTTCTGAGGCATAGAGTATCTCCAATATGGCTGAAGAACAAAATTGATGGGAGGCAACATTGGGAAGTAAGAGAAGTTGTTATTTGCTGGCCCCATCTCTATTTTCTGTGATCCTTCTCTTCCATGGAGCTCTTTCCAAATCCCGGAATAAAGGCTTATGCCCAGTTCCCTGTTAAAGCCTGTTTCAGGAAAAACTCTGAAGTGAGGGTACCTCGGTGTTTACATTTTTAAAGTTGCTACTTATTCAGTGGGAACCTTGATGAGATTATGTTTTTTAAATTCTTGGTGTCTCATATTTCTCATCTGGAATGTCAGTAATGTTTGTACTACCTCAGAAGTTCCCTAAATGATATAAAGAGTTTTGCACAGTCTCTAGCATATGCATGGAGCTCGAAAATGTTAACTGTTATTCTTAATTCAGTATACTCCAAGATGGTCATCATACTGTGGAGAAGACCAAATAGGAGGAGGAAAGTCAAAGGTGTGAGAGCTGCAGCTGGGCTCTTGAGGGATGAAGTATGAGCCCCATGCAGACAGAGGCACCAATCAGGTGAAGGAGGGAGCACCCAGGAATTTAAATAAGGCCAGAGGGAGGGTGCCAGTTTGAGGCTTTGGCAACTGCAAGTCTGGAAAGAGAGAGCTTTGGACTACTTTTTATTCAATAATATCTGTAGTGGGAGCAGAGAAATCTGAACCCAGGGATGAATGTGAATACAGTTGAAGGAAAGAGTGTTGTTCTTGTATGGCTGTGGGAGCTGTGAGAGAGTGCTACAGGCAGATTCCACTGGAGAACAAACTCCATCACCACGCTGAAACTGCTCTTGTCAAGGCCATCAGAATCAGGCTCCCAGATCCAGTGGTCCACCCTCACTTTCCCTTTTACTCAACTTAGCATTTAACATAATTGATGGTTTCCTCTTTCTTGAAACACTGTATTCATTTTGTTTCCAGGTCATCACTCTCTCTCAGTTCCTTTCCTACTTTGCTGGCTATTCTTTTTCTGTCTCCCACAGATGTCTTCTCCTCTTCCTGACTTCTGACAATGGCATACCTCAGGACTCAGTCCCCAGACCTTTAGTCTCCTCCATTTACATGCATTCTTCAAGAGATGTCATCTAGTTCCATTTCTTCAGGAAAAATTTTCTCATGACTCCAGAGTTTTAACTTCTGGTTTGAGCCTCCCTCCTGTCTTGTGTTTCCCACTGCTGGCTCAACATTCTTCTACCAGAATGTCTAATAGGCATTCCAACTTTAATATGTCTAAAACTGAACTTCTGTTCCTCCTGCAGTTTTTCACATTTTAGTAAACGTCAATGTCATCCTTTTTCAAATATCTTGAAGACATTCTTACTCCCTCCTTGCTCTCTCATCCTCTATCCAGTCCACAGAAAATCCTATTTGGGTCGACCTTCAAGCTATCCAGAAATCTGCCCAATTCTGACCACTCACTGCTAACAATTTTGGTCCAGACCAACATCCCCTCTGATTCAGGTTTTTGAGAGTAGCTTTTTAACTGGTCCTTTCACTTCCTTCCTTGCCCTACCCTTACATTGAATGATGACCACAGCAGCCGATCAATCTCTGCAATGCTAATTTAGGTCTTGTAATTCATTTGCTCAGATGCCTGCTGTAGTTTCCCATTGCTTTCAGAGTAAAAGCCAGAGTCCTTACAATGATCTACAAGGCCCACGCCATCCAACAATTTTTATGTCTCTGGTTTTATCTCCTGGCATTCTCCCCTCATTCTCTTTTCTCAAGGAAGAGAAGCCCCATTGTTGTTTGTTGATCATGCCAGCCCTGCCCGTAAATGCCCTGGCTGTGTCCTCAGTCTGGAATACCCTTCCCCTGAGACCCTCATGGCTCATTCCCTCAACTCCTTCAGAGGTTTTCTTAAAAGTCTCCTCCCTGAGACATACTCTGAGGACTCTATTGGAAATTGTCCTGACAGCACTTGCCATTACCTTTATCTGCTTTGTTTTCTTCCCCAAAGCACACATCGCCATATGATCTTATGCTATTGTTTGTCTGTTTCCCACCACTTAGAATGTAGGTTCCATGAGGACAGGGATTTTTGCATGTTTTGTCCACTACTATATCCACAGGGCTAAACACAGGATGTGGCATATAATAAACGTGTAATAAATGTTTGTCAAATTAATGAATTCACTTTGATGAAAACAGCTCGTAACTTGGGTTTTTCACCTCTTGTCAAAGTCATTTCTTGTTATGTTACTGGCTTGGAGGACGTTATAGGAGAAGATGGGAAGGAGACTGAAGATGCAAGCATTGGTAAGTATGTGTTTAGTGAGAGGGGGTCCATTAAGGGGTGGGTGATGAAACGAAGAGGGAAAGGTAGGACATGAAACGTTCTCCTGATGTGCTTAACTTTGCCATTAAGTGACAGGTAGTAGAGCAAGTGGCCAAGACTGAGAGGCTCTAGAATCAGCAGATCTGGGTTTGTTTTGAACGCTGCTTCTACTTCCTGGCTGTGGGACCTTAGTAAAGTTATTAACTACACTGAAACGCAGTTATCTCATCTCTAAAATGGAGATACTAGTAGAGCTCTCTTCATAATTGTAAGGATAAAATGAAATAATATATGCCAGAGCCTTAGCAGAGTCTTGCTAAATCTCTGACATGTATAAAATGCTTAAAAGAGGTTAACTTTGATTATCATTACTCCCGGGACTAATTCCTGAGGCATTATATAATTTTCCAGCTGTGTAAATATAGTAAGGAGGATTGCAAAATAGGAAATCACTCTTAATTTGTGCAGTTCTTTATCTTCTGATATATGAGTTGTGATTGCTAATACTTTGATTTGTTTTGGGCTTACAGGACATTAAGGGTTGTTGACACTGAACTAAAAGCCAGCAGGCATATCACGTTTAGCTCTGCATTACCCATTTAAAGGCATCAAGCCATAGTTTTCATGCTTGAATCTTGCATTCATCTGCTTCACGTACAACCAGTCAGAGATGGCTGTCGGTAAATTGTTCTTGAGGAAGGTTCCAAATCGAGTGACGAGCAGCATGTCCCAAGGATAACCATTGTCCCAGACCCGGCTCATCACCCAGGAGCCACTTCTGGAACTGATCATGACCTTAAAAAACACCAATTCAACCATGAAATTAGTGACCATTTGTAGTGGATATTCTGGTGAGCACCCCAGATCCCTCTTGAGGAATGGATCTATTACCCCAGCTGCAGAAAGTGGTGTCAGAAGACATCTCTCAGCTGTCAGTCCTTTTTGACCATTGCTTTGGCTGAAGAGAGGGGCCTCACCCAACATCTTCTACTCTTTCTGAGTTTCCTCCATCTAGTGACTGGTCAATGCGGGCGTATAAAGGCCCAGTCCCTCACCTCAAATTGGGGCAATGCCAAAGGACCATCCCAGCTTCAAAGTAAATGGAAGCTTCCTTCCCTTCCTGTGGAAGTATTGATCCTGAGAGTGTTCCCAAATAAACGTCTGAACTTTACATCTACATCTTAGGGTCAGCCACCCTGTCACAGTGCTGCAGGCAAATTTTCATATTTTAATCAATCTCTGCTACAGGTGACTAATAACTGAATTCTAGTCACGTTTTCCCTAGCACTTATCTAACTATTGCTGTCTACAAATAAGCAATTATGATCTCAAAATAGGCATTTTAAAGCAAAATGCCTGCTACTATCTGGAAAGAAGGTGAGAAATTTGGAATCAGAAAACCATACGCTCAAACGCTGGCTCTCCTACTTATTAATGATGTGATTTGAAAAAATTCCTTTAACTTCTCTAATCTTGTTCCCTCATTCCTAAAATGGAGAGAATCGAATTTGCCTCATCAAATTTGTGTAAGCGTTAATTCGATGTGATAAACTATGTCACATGGCTAACGTTACCTGGCAGATAGTATGTGCTCAGTAAATGTCAGTTTCCTTTCCTTCCCCTTCTGTTATGCTAATCCATAATAGTGTAGTTTTCAGGCTTTCTTTGTCTTTTTTAAAACCAATTTTTATATGCCATATCACTTCAAGGCATTTGTTATAAGAGGAACTAGACAAGAAGAGACTAAAGGAGTCCGGGCATGGTGGCTCACGCCTATAATCCCAGAATTTTGGGAGGCCTAGGTGGGCAGATCATCTGAGGTCAGGAGTTCAAGACCAGCCTGGCCAATATGGTGAAACCCTGTCTCTACTAAAAATACAAAAAGTAGCTGGGTATGGGGTGTGGTGGTGGGTGCCTGTAATCCCAGCTACTCAGGAGGCTGAGATGGGAGAATTGCTTGAACCTGGGAGACGGAGGTTGCAGTGAGCCGAGATTGTGCCACTGCACTCCAGCCTGGGCAACAGAGTGAGACTCTGTCTCCAAAAAAAAAAAAAAAAAAAAAAAAAGAAGAGACTAAAGGATCAATTAATTAAATAGCCTCTGAAATTGATCTTCCCTTTAATTTATCACATATGCAAATAATCACATATACAAATAGAAATCTGTGAAAACTATGAGTTCATCATAAATTTCCTAAACCCAAGAAGCTGAAATAATGATTTACCTTTATTTACACAGAAATCTATTTTATCCTGTCATTCAAGTCCTTAAAATATGTGATATAATCTGATCCCAATCTTTCTTTCCTGTAACGCAATCCTATGACTACTGTTCCTTGGATTCGGAAGCTTTGGCTTTCAGTTCTGTAACCCTTCAGTGGCTCAAACATTAATTTTCTCAATGACTTTCAAGAAGACAATTGACATTTCTGGTCCTCATTTATCCTTTCTGTTATAAAACTACTTTCTTCCCACAAGCAAAGGAGCCCATTTACAGGAAGGTATTTGAGTACCATAATGCATCATACAAATTGTTAGCATTAAGAACCTCCATTCCAGCAAGATGAAACTATAACCTACAATAGTAAAATATACAATGCTCATTTTCTTGTCTTCTTGCCTCTGCTTGTGGCATTTCCAATTCTAAGAACAGCTTCTGTCGCCTCTTCAGTCTCATGATTTATATTTATTGTTCAAGGACTGGTTCTATTCTACCTCCTTTGTGAAGCATCCAGTTTTGGAATCATAGCATTTAGTGCCTGAATCACTTGTTTATCCTTTTTTTCCAGTGGCAGCTCTTGTTCCAGAGCAGGGATCATGCCTGTTATGTTCACCACTGTCTTCAGCACCCAACCCAGTGCCTGGCACATAGTAGGCCCTCAATAAGTAGTCATTGAATAAATGTGTGCCTGCATCATAAATGAATGAATAAATGAGCCACTCTGTATTGCTTAAGTCTTGTTCAAAAGCTTTAACTTTATAACAAGCCCAGAAGTAGGTTCTATTTTTATCTGTTTTACCATTGAGAAACCTGCCTCAGAGAGATTGAAGGACTTGCCCGAGTCTAAGAGTCATAACCTTCACCCTAAATCTGTGCTAGTTTTAGAGAAATTGATCCGAGATATTAGGCATCAAATGTCTTGAAGAAGGAGATTGTTGAATGACAGTTACTCCTTGCTGATGTTCTGCCTTTGTCTATGAAGTGATTTAAAACCTCACCTGTTACTTGGGGAAGCTCAGCTATGTGAAATACCACTTAGTCTTTACATCAGATACCCTTCCCTCCTCCCCCACATTTCATATCACACCTTTCAAACGATAATAACTCTTCTGTCAGTAACGAGAGTCACCCGAGTACCCGGGGAGTAGTACCTGTTCTGCTGTGCGGCTGAGTTCTGTGGCAATATCACAGCCCGAATTCCCCAGGCCAACCACCAGGACACGCTTTCCATTGAATACACCTGGTTCTTTATAGTCCCTGCTGTGGAAGCATTTGCCTTTAAAGTGGTTTAGTCCTGAGTGAAAAGTGAGAAATACATGGCAGTTTGAGTCATATATTTAAACAAAGACTTTAACAGAAGCGACCTTGTGAATAGATGCAGTCACAATAATGTGCTATTTTAACACACCAAGCATATTAGATATAACAGAAGTATATTTTAATTTAACCTGCTTATACTTTTAGAAAAAAGAAGACATTATCAAGATATTCATTTTTGTCAGTTATGTGGCTAGCAGCTTAAATTTTGGCCTTACCTGGAAAGGACTCTTTTGGTAGGTTGGGATACACATGATGTCCGGAACAAACCATTACAGCATCAAAGACAGCCGATTCTTTTTTACCATCCCTTTCAGTGGTAACATCCCACTGGCCAGTAGTTGCAAAATCAGGATGTTTATTTACACTGGATACAAATGTCTAAGAGAAATACAGAAAGAAATCCCTCTTTTCTATGCTAGCAAATGGTTTTGGCAGATACAGTATGAAAAAAGAAAAGTGGGTTAAGAAAAATATTTAATGATTAAGATACATATTACAAATTTAAAATTCCCTCAGAATAAATCAAAACACTAAATGGTATCTGTCTATTTGTCCCTGCATGATTTCTTGTGCATAACCAGTATCTTCTGGAGTACAAGAGTGACACCCCTTGGAGATATGGCAGTGAATTCAATTATAATTTATAAGAGGTGCACATCACATATACTAGAAAATCTGATGGCCAATGATGTTCTGGATCACATTCCTGTATGTTCTGGTTCAGTATATTAAAGATAACTCAAAGATAGATGTACTGAACCAGAATATATGAAAACGTGATCCAGAAAATTATTAGATTTGTTAAATTAAAGTTAAAACTATTAAATTCAAATTTCTAACACACTCCTAGGTGACGCTGATGTCACTTGGACTATACACTGAGTAGCTTTGACTAGATTATCGATAAATATTTGTTCACAGCTAAATGGCTGCCTGTTGGTGTGCTCCCTGTTTTAAAAAAATCTTTCAATTCTTCTGATTATATTGGAAAAAGAATCTCTATTTGGTATTAATTGTTCTTAAGAACTTTATTATGTACTATTTCATACATATAAGAAAATACACAAACACATATATGTTACATTTTTGTTAGTTATGAAATATAATAAAATGAGCACTTATGGACTCATAAGACCTAATACATAATTTGTTTAGAATAACTGTGGGATAATTTAGTTAATTAGTTATGCTATTATATATGGCAACTTTTTTTTGGATAGGTTTCTGTTTGCTGCTGGTTTACAGAAATGCAATTCATTTTTATATATTGATCTTATATACCACCACCTTGCCTAACTCTTTTTATATTGCTATGAATTCTAGTAATTTATATATTCTTTTGGATTTACTACATAGAGAATCACATTATCTTCAATAACTGTGTTTTACTTTCTTTTGAGTTGTCATTCTCTTTATTTTTCTTTACTTACTGCACTGTTTCTTAAATTTCTTAAGACTATTGAAAAGAAGTAAGTGCTATTGATAATAGTAATTAGGAATTCTTATCTTGTTCTGAAACTTTAAAGTGAATGCTTCTAACTTTTCATCATTTAGCACAGCACTGACCAGTACCAATATAGTATGAGCAACATATGCAATTACAAAATTTCTAAGACCAGGCATGGTGGCTTACGCCTGTAATCCCAGTGCTTTGGGAGGGTGAGGCAGGTAGATCACCTGACGTTGGGAGTTTGAGACCAGCCTGACCAACATGGAGAAACCCCATCTCTACTAAAAATACAAAATTAGTTGGGCATGGTGGTGCATGCCTGTAATCCTAGCTACTTGGGAGGCTGAGGCAGGAGAATCACTTGAACCTAGGAGGTGGAGGTTATGGTGAGCCGAGATCACACCATTGCACTCCAGCCTGGGCAGCAAGAGGGAAACTCCGTGTCAAAACAAAAAAAAAAAATTCTAATAGTCACATTAAAAACTGAAAAAAATGTATAATTTAACTCAATCTGTCTGATATGTTAACATTTCAAAATGTAATTAAAATTTATTAATAAGGTATTTTACTTTCCTTTTTTATAATAAGAGTTGGAAAGTTTTTGTATATTTTATACTTATAGCACATCTCAGTTTTGTGACTAGTGGCTACTATATTGAACAGTGCAGATTTAAGATAAATTAAGATAAAGATTAAGATAATGTTTGCGTATGTTTTGCTGGTTCAAGACAATTCTGCTCTAAGTTTGGCGAGAGTTTTCTTTTGATTTTCTTTTTTTATCTTTCATGCATAAATAGGTGTTAAACTTCAGTTAATGTAACTGAATTTTAAATTCTGAATTTGTTAAATAAACGTGGTTTTCTGCCTATAACAGGTTTTTGTAGTAAAATATATATTTATATTTCTTAGTATTAAAATACTCTTGCATACTTAGGCCAAACTCAATCAAGACAGTTAATCTCTTTTTTTTTTATTATACTTTAAGTTTTAGGGCACATGAGATACCATCTCACACCAGTTAGAATGGCGATCATTAAAAAGTCAGGAAACAACAGGTGCTGGAGAGGATGTGGAGAAATAGGAACACTTTTACACTGTTGGTGGGACCGTAAACTAGTTCAACCATTGTGGAAGTCAGTGTGGCGATTCCTCAGGGATCTAGGACTAGAAATACCATTTGACCCAGTTAATCTCTTTTAATACTCTGTTGGATTCATTTTTGAAGGATTTTTACATTGATTTTCATGAAGGAGATTGGCCTGTAATTTTCCTATTTCATATTATCTTGTCTGCTTTTGATGTAAAGGTAATAATGTCATAAAATAACTTTGGAAATCATATCTCATTTTCAAGTCTCTGAAAGTTTCTAAAATATTGAAATAACTTGTTCACTGCAAGTTTGGAAGTACTCACCCATGGAACTGTTTATTTTCTTTATGGGAAGATTTTTAATTTCTAGGTCAAAAGAACTATAAATCATCAAATGACAATTCAGGCTTTCTACTTATTATTGAGTGAGTTTTGATAAGATTTTTTTAAAAAATTGAGAAAATTTAACCAACTTAAAATATTACTTGGCAAACACTTTTATAGTATTCTTGTTATATTTTTTAATTCATCTGTATCCATTTTGTCTATCCTTTCCTTCGCAATATTATTTATTTGTGCCTTTGATTATTTTTTCCTTACACTGCCAGCTTTTTATCTATTGTTTATTTATTTATTTTTTGAGATAGGGTCTCACTCTGTCGCCCAGGCTGGAGTGCAGTGGCGTGATCTCAGCTCACTGCAACCTCTACCTCCCGAGCTCAAGCAATCCTCCCACCTCAACCTCCCTAGTAGCTGGGACCACAGGCATGTGCCACCACATCCAGCTAATTTTTGTATTTTTTGTAGAGACATGGTTTCTCCATGTCACCCAGGCTAGTTTCCAACTCCTGGACTCAAGCAATCTGCCTGCCTTGTCCTCCCAAAGTGTTGGGACTATAAGATGGGCCATTGCACTTGGCTCCTGTTGTTTATTTTATTAGTCCTTTCAAATAATTAACTTTCAATTTGTACATATGCTTTTTTACATTTTATAAATTTATTTTATATCCCCTTCATTCTATGTTCTTTGAGTTTATTCTGTCTTTCTTTTACTAATTTTTTTAAACTTTCTTACCTTATTTTTAAACTTTTTCATTTTCTAATATAAACATTTACATTTATAATTTTCATGAAAATATAGCTTCCTATGTTTCCCACAAGTATTGATACATAGACTAAATTAACATTCAGTTATAGATATTTTTAAATTCCCATTGAAATTTCTTCTTTGACCTATATGTTATTTAGATAAAAAGAGTTTTTAATTTCCAAATTCACAGGTATTTTATATTTATTTCTTTGGTATTGATTTCTAAATTAGTAGTGATTTAGTCTAAGAACTGTAGGTGGTCAAATTTTGTGAATTTTCTATGTATCCTTGAGAAGAAGGTAATTCTCTAAACCTAGAGTTAGAGAGGCCACACTGTTAAAAATGTTGACAAATTAGAAAGGGAAACTGAAAGGAACAAATGAGAATCCAGTAGTAGACATAGACTTCTTCAGCATTATGACAAGAGCTAAATTGTTGATAACATCTTACCTTAAATTGTATGTACTTCAGGAGGTTCTTTTCTTTGGCAAATGCAATGATATATTCCTGGATCTTGCTGTTGTGCATAAAGTTGGGGAAGTCATCGGGAAATGGGAAGTCTGGGAAACACATCATCTCTTTGGAAGAGTTGGAAAAGACTGATTTGTAAATGCTAGCCCTGCCCTCCTCTGCATGGTCCTGTGAATGTATAGTATCAAATGGAAGCGAATTGGTAAATGAGTATACTGATCATGGTCAGGGCTGGTTCCAAGTAATTACAGTCATCCCTTGGTATCTATGGAAGGTTCCAGGACCTCCGTGGTTACCAAAATCTACGAATGCTCAAGTCTCTTACATAAAATGATATAGTATTTTCGTATAACCTATATACAGATACTTTAAATCATCTCTAGGTTACTTATAATACCTAATGCAATGTAAATGCTTAATGAATAGTTGTAGTGTATTGTTTTTTGATTTTGATTTTGATTTTTTATTTTTATTTTTGGATTTTTTAAATCAATGGTGGGTTGAATCTGTGGATGCAGAACTTGCAAAAACAGATGGCCAAGTGTATACTTATTTGAGTCATCCTTTATCCACAGTAAATTCGGTAAGACACACATAAATTAACTTCACTTCAACAATTGATGCTAATCATGGAAACTTACTAAGGGAACTTAGGATATGGAAGAATACCTTTCTTAATATCTTTTAAGAAAATATATCTTAATCTTTTCTAAGGGAAACAAATTTTAAATTTCATTATGTCCTTTAGGCCTATGTAACTAGAATCCTTTCATTCCCTTGAACCATTAAATATGGTGACAGAGATTTTTCAAAATTCAACCTTGCATAATTTCAATGTGTCAACTCATGAGCACAAGCATCTAATGGTCAATTTATAAAAGCAAACAGTAACAAGAGGTTGCAACTATTGATCAGATTTGTAAATGTAAGCATTTTAAGACCTAATTTTTAAAAAATTAACCTTAGAATTTCTATAATGTATAAAATAAGGTTAACTATTTTGAATCTAACACAGAATTTATGGGCATTGCATGCCTTTTAAGCACTTATGTAAGTAACAAAGTTTTAGCTTTCAATGATGTAAAAATATCTGAATTTTCTTTAACTCTAAGGAATTATAGAACTATGCTAATAAAGCCTTAGAGGAAATGTTAAGTGATGATGAATAAAGAAAAAGAACATTGAAGAAAGAATGATCAGTAATGAGAAGTTTAGGATATTGTGTTGTGGTTCTTTAGCCACACACTGAAATAAACTGGGAGCTTTAAAAAACACACTGAGCATTAGGTCCCACTCTCAGAGAATTTGATTTAATTGACAGCAAGTTTTAAAAGCTCTTCAGGTAATTTTAAGGTGCAGCCAAGTTTGTCAGTCACAATGTAGAGTTCAACAAATGGAAGCTCATGACCAACAGGCTACAGTTACTGTGGAAGAGCTTACCATAGGACACATCTGTTACAGCTGTGAGCTCTGCAAAGCAAGCTGTTGAATGAATAAAAGGCATTAAGTTAAAAAAAAATACTGGTTGGAGCATGATTAGGAAGAGGTGGAGCCTTGGTTTAGCTCTGTTGAAGCATCAAGGTACTTATATCTCAAGTTTCATGATGAAAGATCAGATTGTAGATCTCTATGTGTAGTTGCTAGTTCATAGTGGAAAGTACTGAGCACTAGAAACTTCTAATTAGAGCTCATCTAACTGAAAGTTGTCAGGGCTCCCAGAACATGAAATTTTAGTATAATATTGGAATATTACAATCACGTCAAAAGCCAATGTGGCTGCAGTTTCATTATTGACAAATAATTAATTGGCAGATTAGTTGCCATGTTCATTTCAGAAAGCAGCGTGTTCTTTAAATAGGACATGAGTTTTCTGCTGCTCACATGGTTTGTTGACTCTGCTATAGGCATGTGGGATGGGGAAGTGCAAAAATTTGTAGCTTTCTGTGAGTTGGGTAAGTTTAAAGAGATGATAATCAGCATAAAGAGAGAAGAAACATTAAAGAAAAAAATTGATACATAGTCCAGAAAAAAATCAGAGGAAGTTAAAAAAGGGAGGTATTCCCAGAAGAAAGCCACTATTCATAAAACTTCATGCAAAAATTCATATGATTTACTGATTTATTGTTTGGGGAGCTCCTGAGAAAAGAGGACATTTTGCCCAGATCCGTGGCCTATTCAGAAATGTGGCCTGTGATTAGGCCGCAGATCTGGGTGAAATGTCCTCCTTCTGTGACCAAAGAAGGTGAGGGAAATACATCATCGTGGCTCTAGATCAGGGTTAGAAGTCAGAACTAGAAGGGCATAGAAAGTGCTGTAGTAAACAGCTCCAACAGTTTCAACTATATGCACCCTTAGTGTTAGCTAAGTTTTAACCAATGTTTGGATCTCTCTGAAATTTAAAAAAAGTTAAGATAATGTAAAATGATGATGTTAGAAACCAAAGGGAAGGCAAATACAAAATTAGAACAATTTTATAACAATCTTATAATGTGAATACTAAGCCTATTGCTGCAGACTTCTAGTGATCTGAGAAACACTGCTGTTTGCTCCATCATTTGCAATCTATAAGCCCCCTCACAGTAGTAAAATAGGAAACGCTGAAAAACCAAAGGTATTAGTTTCTTGTGGCTGCTGTAATAAATTACCACAAAGTTAATGGCTTAAAATAATAGCAATTGATTCACAGTTCTAGAAGTCAGCAGTCGGGAATCACTATCAGTAGGCTGAAAACGAAGTGTGACAGTACCATGTTCATTTTCAGAGGCTCCAGGAGAGAATCCATTCCTTGCCGCTTCTGGCTTCTGGTGGATGCTGGCATTTCTTATTTTTTTCAGTGGCAAGACCCCTCTTGTACGCCTTCACTCATGGCTCCTCTGGCCATCATCAAAGATAGAGCATAGCATCTTCAAATTTCTCTCTTTCTGTTGAGGTCATCACATCACCTTCTCTCTTCTCTTTGTGTTAAATCTCCCTCTGCCTCTCTCTTTTAACGATGCATTCATTATAGCGTTTGGGGCTCACCCACATAATGCAGAAAAATCTCTCCATCTTAAGATTTTTAACTTAATTATATTTGCAAATACCCTTTTCTCTTGTAAGTAAGATAACATTTACAGGTTCCAGGAATTTGGATGTGATATCTTTGAGGAGGGGCATTGTTAAATTGTTCAGCCTATTACAGGCCATCCTCTGGTTCCCAAGGATTCACATCCATCCCATCTGCAAAATACATTAACCCAATCCCAACATCCTCAAAGTCTCAACCCATAGCAGCATGAAATCAAGTCTCAACTCTCATTTATATATTTTCAATTCAAAAGTCCAAAATCTCATCATCATATAAATTATCTAAATCAGGTATAAATGAGACTCTGGATATGGACCAGGATGAGGCAAAATTTCTATCTGTGAACCTGTGAAACTAGAAAACAAGTTATCTTCTTCCAAAATACAATGGTGGGACAAGCATGGGTAACCGTTATCGACATTCCCATTTAACCGGGGAGGAAAAAGGAGGAAAGAAAAGAATCACTAATCCCAAGCAATTTTGAAATCCAGTAGGACAAATTCCTTCAGGCTTGAAGGCTTTGGCTCAGGCCTCTGCCCTCAGGGCCTGAGGCTCTACCCTCTGGGCTATCCTTTCTTTTTCTTGAAGGGTAGCACATGTTGCAGTTCAGTTTTATCAACCTATGCTGCCAGGTTCAAATTTTAAAGTCTTCCTCGAGCAGCAAGAAAAGACAAATTAGCTGTCTTTGGCTGTGTTCCTCTCAATAGCCATATCAGCAGTGCGTTCTATCTTCAGCAACGTCTTGCAAACTAAATTTGAGTATGAGGCTTTGGTTAAGATCACTGTGTATAAGATATGGCTGGCCAGGAGTGGTGGCTCATGCCTATAATTCCAGCACTTTGGGAGGCCGAGGCGGGTGTATCACCTGATGTCAGGAGTTCGAGACCAGCCTGGCCAACATGGCGAAACCCCATCTCTACTAAAAATACAAAAATTAGCGGGGCGTGATGGCACACACCTGTAATCCCAACTATTCGGGAGGCTGAGGCAGGAGAATCCCTTGATCCCAGGAGGTGGAGGTTGTAGTGAGCTCAGATTGTGCCATTGCACTCCAGCCTGGGCAACAAGAGAGAAACTCTGTCTAAAAAAAAAGAAGAAGAAAAAAGAAAAAAAAAAAAAAAAAAAAGAAAGACATGGTCAGCTCGATAGGCCACTTGGTGAAATGGCAACCAGCAATTTACAAAGGAGTTAAGAATAGACTAGAGAGAAAGGCAAGCTTGAATTGGGATCTTTTCTCCACCATTATCAGCTGTATGATTTTTTTTCTTTTCTTTTAAAGCTTCAAATTCATTTGTAAAAGGAAAAAAAATATACCTAGCTTATAGGATTACTATAAATATTTAATTAAATAGAAAAAGTCATGTGTCATATAGAAAGTGCTTGATAAAATAGCCCTAAGTTTGGCCACAAAGAAACAAAAATAACAACAACCAAAAAGCCCTAAGAATCACCAGTGTGTTAATCTGAAGCCCTGTCAACACATTTTAATAACATACAGTAGGCTCCACAACATTGTATAAGATGTTGGGGGGTTTCACACCACACCTAATCCAAAATTGACCACATAGTTGGAAGTAAAGCACTCCTCAGCAAATGTAAAAGAACAGAAATTATAACAAACTGTCTCTCAGACCACAGTGCAATCAAACTAGAACTCAGGATTAAGAAACTCATTCAAAACCGCTCAACTACGTGGAAACTGAACAACCTTCTCCTGAATGACTACTGGGTACATAATGAAATGAAGGCGGAAATAAAGATGTTCTTTGAAACCAACGAGAACAAAGACACAGCATACCAGAATCTCTGGGACACATTTAAAGCAGTGTGTAGAGGGAAATTGATAGCACTAAATGCCCACAAGAGAAAGCAGGAAAGATCTAAAATTGACACCCTAACATCACAATTAAAAGAACTAGAGAAGATATATCTCAAAATAATAAGAGCTGTTTATGACAAACCCACAGCCAATATCATACTGAATGGGCAAAAACTGGAGGCATTCCCTCTGAAAACTGGCACAAGACAGGGATGCCCTCTCACACCACTCCTATTCAACATAGTGTTGGAAGTTCTGGCCAGGGAAATCAGGCAGGAGAAAGAAATAAAGCATGTTCAATTAGGAAAAGAGGAAGTCAAATTGTCCTTGTTTGCAGATGACATGATTGTATATCTAGAAAACCCCATCGTCTCAGCCCAAAATCTCCTTAAGCTGATAAGCTACTTCAGCAAAATCTCAGGATAGAAAATCAGTGTGCAAAAATCACAAGCATTCTTATACCCCAATAACAGACAAACAAAGAGCCAAATCATGAGTGAACTCCCATTCACAATTGCTTCAAAGAGAATAAAATACCTAGGAATCCAACTTACAAGGGATGTGAAAGACCTCTTCAAGGAGAACTACAAACCACTGCTCAACAAAATGAAAGAGGACACAAACAAATGGAAGAACATTCCATGCTCATGGATAGGAAGAATCAATATTGTGAAAATGGCCATACTGCCCAAGGTAATTTATAGATTCAATGCCATCCCCATCAAGCTACCAATGACTTTCTTCACATAATTGAAAAAACTACTTTAAAGTTCATATGGAACCAAAAAAGAGCCCGCATTGCCAAGTCAATCCTAAGCCAAAAGAATAAAGCTGGAGGCATCACACTACCTGACTTCAAACTATACTACAAGGCTACAGTAACCAAAACAGCATGGTACTGGTACCAAAACAGAGATATAAACCAGTGGAACAGAACAGAGCCCTCAGAAATAATACCACACATCTACAACTATCTGATCTTTGACAAACCTGACAAAAACAAGAAATGGGGAAAGGATGCCCTATTTAACAAATGGTGCTGGGAAAACTGGCTAGCCATATGTAGAAAGCTGAAACTGGATCCCTTACTTACACCTTATACAAAAATTAATTCAAATGGATTAAAGACTTAAATGTTAGACCTAAAACCATAAAAAACCTAGAAGAAAACCTAGGCATTACCATTCAGGACATAGGCACGGGCAAGGACTTCATGTCTAAAATACCAAAAGCAATGGCAACAAAAGCCAAAATTGACAAATGGGATCTAATTAAACTAAAGAGCTTCTGCACAGCAAAAGAAACTACCATCAGAGTGAACAGGCAACCCATAAAATGGGAGAAAATTTTCGCAACCTACTCATCTGACAAAGGGCTAATATCTAGAATCTACAATGAACTCAAACAAATTTACAAGAAAAAAACAAACAACCCCATCAAAAAGTGGGTGAAGGACATGAGCAGACAGTTCTCAAAAGAAGACATTTATGCAGCCAAAAAACACATGAAAAAATGCTCACCATCACTGACCATCAGAGAAATGCAAATCAAAACCAAAATGAGATATCATCTCACACCAGTTAGAATGGCAGTCATTAAAAAGTCAGGAAACAACAGGTGCTGGAGAGGATGTGGAGAAATAGGAACACTTTTACACTGTTGGTGGGACTGTAAACTAGTTCAACCATTGTGGAAGTCAGTGTGGCGATTCCTCAGGGATCTAGAACTAGAAATACCATTTGACCCAGCCATCCCATTACTGGGTATATACCCAAAGGACTATAAATCATGCTGCTATAAAGACACATGCACACGTATGTTTATTGCAGCACTATTCTCAATAGCAAAGACTTGGAACCAACCCAAATGTCCAACAATGATAGACTGGATTAAGAAAATGTGGCACATATACACCATGGAATACTATGCAGCCATAAAAAATGATGAGTTCATGTCCTTTGTAGGGACATGGATGAAGCTGGAAACCATCATTCTCAGCAAACTATCACAAGGACAAAAAACCAAACACCACATGTTCTCACTCATAGATGGGAATTGAACAATGAGAACACTTGGACACAGGAAGGGGAATATCACACACTGGGGCCTGTTGTGGGGCGGGGGGAGTGGGGAGGGATAGCATTAGGAGATATACCTAATGCTAAATGACAAGTTAATGGGTGCCGCACACCAACATGGCACATGTATACATATGTAACAAACCTGCACATTGTGCACATGTACCCTAGAACTTAAAGTATAATTACAAATATATATATTTTTAATATAATTATATTAATTATATATTTTTAATATAATTATATTAATTATATATATTTTTAATATAATTATATTAATTTTTATATAATTATATTAATTATATTTTAAATATAAAATATATATTTTAAATATAAAATATATTATGTATTTAATATATAAAGTATATTATGTATTTAATATATAAAGTATATTATGTATTTAATATATAAAGTATAGTATGTATTTAATATATAAAGTATAGTATGTATTTAATATATAAAGTATATTATGTATTTAATATATAAAGTATATTATGTATTTAATATATAAAATATATTATGTATTTAATATATATTTAATATATAAAATATGTAATATATATTATATATAACATATATAATATATATGTAATTATATATAACATATATATAATTATAATATATATATTTTTATATATTTATATATATTTATATATTTTATATATTATATATAAATATTATATATGATATATAATAGATATATAATATATATAATATTTATATATATAAAATTATATAATATGTATGAAATAATATATTTTATGTATTTATATATAAATATTATATTGATATAAATATATATTAATATATTATATATAATTATATATATTATATATTCATATCAATATATAATAATTACTATATTATTAATATATAATAATTAATTATATAAAAATATTAATATATATTATATATTAATATATAATATATATTATATATTTATATATAATATATATTATATATTAATATATAATATGTATATTAATATATAAAAATATATAAAATATATCTATATAATTATAAATATATAATTATAATACATAAATATATATTATATATAATTATATAAATATATATTTATACATATTATAATTATATATAATATAATTATATTTTATATATATTTATATTATATATATAATTATATGTTTATATATTTAATCTATATAGTTATATAAATATATATTTATATTTTTTATATATTTAATATATAAATATATATTAAATATATATTTATATTATTATAGATATATATAAAAGAAACATACCATATTTTTAAGAAAAGATGCTGGGTGGTTTCAAGAGTTTTTTGCAGTCTGCAAAATATCTATATTAATAAGAATGATATCTCATGTCTTTATAATATTTAAACAGCTGTTACAGACACTGTTTCATTAAATACAACCTTTTCATTGAGGTAAATAATATAATACTGATTTTGCATTTGAGGAGGAAATAGTGGCTTAAAAGGGTCATTAATCTTCCTAAATTTGCATATATATTAATGGGTTTATCAGAAGAAGAAAAATAAGACTCAGGCAATAAGGCTGGAAGACTGTACTGATTGAGTGGAGAACATAGGGAAGCCCCATTCCTGCTGCTGTTTGGCAACACATGAAGTGATTTAATGAGTGCATACATGCATGTCTGCTAATAGAACCCTTATTACATATGCACGGGACAAAGGGGCATTGAAGAACTTCAAAGCAATTCTCAGTTTTGTAGTTTCACAAGACCAAAGTCAGCACCTGAAACTTTAAAATCCATGGTCCCAATCACTTTGGTAGCCTCACCAAATGAATGGGAAAAGCCAACAACAATGGAAAAATTATCTAGGAACCCATTTAACCAGAGGTGCAAGATCTCTTTGGGGAAAACCACAAAACATGAATAAAAGAAATTGTAGCTGACACAAATGGTAAAACATCTCATGCTCATGGATTGGAAGGGCCAATATCATTAAAATAACCATATGCCCAAAAGACTTAATGCAATTTCTAACAAAATATCAATGCCATTTTTTACAGAATTAGAACAATTCTAAAAATTCATATGGAACCAAAAAAGCCCAAATAACCTCAGCAATTCTAAGCAAAAAGAACAAAACTGGAGGCATCATATTACCTGACTTCAAATTATACTACAAGGCTATAGTAATTAAAATAGCATGGTACTGGTATAAACATAGACACATAGATCAGTGGAACAGAATAGAGAAGTCAGAAATAAAGCCTCATCCCTATAGCCAACTGATCTTCAGCAAAGTTGACAATAGCATATGCTGGGGAAAGGACACCCTATTCAGTACATTGTGCTTGGAAAATTAGATAGCCATACGCAGAATGAAAGTGGACCCCTATCTCTCACCATATACAAAAATGAACTCAAGAGAGATTAAAGACTTAAATGTAAGATCTGAAACTATAAAAATTCTAGAAAAAAATAGGTAAAACTCTTTTACCTAGGCTATGACTAAGAATTTATGACTAAGGCCTCAAAAGCAAATGTAATAAAAATAGACAATCTAAAAATCTTTTTCGCATAAAGAGAAATAATTAACAGAGTGAACAGACTACCTTCAGAATGGGAGACAATATTTGCAAGCTATGCATTCAACAAAAGACAAATATCAGAATTTATAAGGAACTCAAGCAACTCAATTTTAAAGAAGCACAGATAACACCATTACAAAGGGGAAAAAGGAGATAAATAAGCATTTTTCAAAAAAAGACATACCAATGGCCAATAAACATATGGGAAAATGCTTAACATCACGAATTACCAGAGAAAATGCAAATTAAAACCGCAATAAAATACTATCTTACACCAGTCAGAATGGCTATTATTAAAAAGTCAAAAAGGCCAGGCGCAGTGGCTCATGCTGGTAATCCCAGCACTTTGGGAGTCCGAGGCCGGCAGATCACCTGAGCTGAGGAGTTTGAGACCAGCTTTGTCAACATGGCGAAACTCTGTCTCTACTAAAAATACAAAAATTAGCTGGGTGTGGGCACCTGTAACCCCAGCTACTCGGGAGGCTGAGGTAGGAGAATCGTTTGAACCCAGGAGGTGGAGGCTGCAGTGAACTGAGATGGCGCCACTGCCCTCCAGCCTGGGAGACAGAGTGAGACTCCCACTCAAAAAAAAAAAAAAAAAAAAAAAAAGATATTAGTGAGTATGTGGAGAAAAGGAAACACTGTTGGTTGGAATATAAACTATAGAAAACAGTATGGAGATTTCACAAAGAATTAAAAATAGAACTACCATTTGACCCAACAATGCCCCTAGTAGATATCTATCCAAAGGAAAAGAAGTCATTATATAAAAAAAATTCCTGCACCCATATGTTTATCGCAGCACCATTCACAATAGCAAAGAAATGGAATCAACCTTGTTGTCCAATAAGGATGATTGGATAAAGAAAATGTGGTATATACATACATATATGTATATATACACACAGACGCATATACATATATATGTATGTATATATGCACACACCATGGAATACTACCCAGCGAGAATACAGAATGAAATTATGTCTTCTGCAGCAACATGGATGGGACTGGAGGCCATTATCTTAAGTGAAATAACTCAGAAACAGAAAGTGAAATACCACATATTCTCTCACTTACGATTGGGAGCTACATAATGTATACACATTGACATAGAATGTGGGAATAATAGACATTGGAGACTTGGAAGGGTAGGAGAGTGGGAGGCGGTTGAGGTATGAGAAATTACTTAATGGGTGCAATGTACATTATTTGGGTCATGGCTACACAAAAGCCCAGACTTAACTGCTATACATTATATCCATGTAATAAAACTGCACTTGTACCCCCTAAATCTGTAAAAAAAAAAAAAGATGTGAAAAGTTATTGTGTTTTAAATGAGTAAATAATTATAACTACATAAACCTAACTAATATTTACCACTAATTTTATGTCCAAGTGGCTCTTATTAATGATCTATCAAGGGAGAACTGTAATGGAGAATTTCAAAGCCCATTGTCTAATTTACTTCTGACTTGCAAGGAGGTTACTTTCCAACCTGCTCTTGACACTGTACTTAGTGGATTCCAATTCTAACAGATATGATAACTGCCATGGTAGCAGGTTTGGAAACCTGTGTGCACACAGTGTGCTCTTATACACTTCCCAACCTATTTTCCTGTCTATTACAACAACATGCTACTCACTGAAAATTTCCACAGGCCCCCAATGTCATTGCTCTTCTCAAAGCAGGTGGGCTCCAGCCCCTCTTCCAGACAGCTCCTGATGGAGGCCAAGCCACTCACACCAGCTCCAATGATGGCCACTTTCTTCCCCATGGTAACCTGTGCAAAGGCCCAGAGAACATTTCCAGTAACAACATTGCTGAAAATGTATTTACTTATTTATCTATTTATTTTGATTTCGCTCTTTGGCTTAATAAAAACTTTACTTTTTAATAAACACTGGCTGAGTATGGTAGCTCACGCCTGTAATCCCAGCACTTTGGGAGGCTGAGGTGGGAGGATCACTTGAGCCCAGGAGTTTGAAAGCAGCCTGGACAACAGAGTGAGACCCTGTCTCCACAAAACAAAACAAAAAACAAACAAAATCAGCTGGGTGTGGTGGCACATGCCTGTACTCCCAGCTACTCAGGAGGCTGAGGCGGTAGGATCACTTGAGTTCAGGAGTTCCAGGCTGCAGTGAGCCGTGATTGTACCACTGCACTCCAGCCTGGGTGACAGAGTAAGACCTTGTCTCTAGAAAACAAATTCCTTTTAGTGATCTAACTACATTTTCATTTCTCTCTAATTTCTAAAGAGAAAGTTTTCTTCTGAAAAAAAAATAAGCACTTTGTTTTTAGTCATCAGCTCTCCAAAATTAAGAGACTGATGACCCAGCATACATATTTATCTTTTTTGCTTTTGGACTTTGTCATTTACTGTCTACCAAAAAGAGTAAGCAGAAGAAATAAAGATTCGCAACTAAAACACCTGTAGACACATCCACCCACCCACCCACATACATATGCCTGTATATGGGAATGAAGAAACACATATGTATATGTATACACACACACAGTCATACACACACACACACACACACGCAATCTGTATCTTCTTTTTACTTAGATACGGATAATGAGGAACAAGGTCTGAAGATGTCTGTATTTCAGTGTGCCAGGTAGTCACCCCTTCTCCCCATCAATAATGTACTTCACCTTCTCAATTAAAAAGACAAGTAAATGGTGCATACCTATAGTCCCAGCTACTCTGGGATTATATAGTCCTGTTGAGCTGGGGTATCGCTTGAGCCCAGGAGTTTGAGGCTGCAGTGAGCTATGGTTACAGCACTGCACTGTAGCCTAGGTGACAGAGTGAGACCTTCTCTCCGGGGGGTGTTGGGGAAAGAAGTCATGTTCTTACCTAAAAACAATTTTTTCCCACTACCTTCAGCGTCCATTCCCCTCTAAGAAAATTACGTTTCCTAACTTTTTTCTGTTCCTGACACTGTCTTTAGGCTCTACCACTACTTCTTTCACTACTTTTTTTTTTCTTTTTAGACAAAATCACATAGCTATGCAGGGAAATAGACTTGGATGATTAAACATCATGATCCGTGATTCCCAGAAACAAACAAACTGCCTGAATTATATCATTCTCATTCTAGCCATATTTGGTATAAAACTACAGCATGCTCCTTCTTCATTTACCCATCCCACCCTCAACCCTTTACTATATCACCTTTTATTCTTTTTCTTTTCTTTTTTTTTTTGAGACGGAGTTTCGCTTTTATCCAGGTTGGAGTACAATGGTGTGATCTCGGCTCACTGCAACCTCTGCCTCCCAGATTCAAGTGATTCTCCTGCCTCAGCCTCCCAAGTAGCTGGGATTACAGGCATGCACCACTACGCCTGGCTAATTTTTGTATCTTTGGTAGAGATTTGGTTTCACCATGTTGGTCAGGCTGGTCTCAAGCTCCTGACCTCAGGTGATCCACCCGCCTCAGCCTCCTACCTTTTTAATTTTCCTACCCGTTCTTTGTCTTCTTTTCTTCTGTGTGTCTACGTCCTGTCCAACCGTCTGGGCAGTTTGAAAGAGAAAATGTTCTAGTGAGCCTACATATTAGGAAGATTGTTGAAAAATGGGAGGAGCTGCTCTTAAAGAGATACTCATTTATTGGTCCTTGAATGGGTGAGCACACGCCAACCCTCTGTGATGGATGGGACTGTAGGCCAGTCTCCCATGGCCACCCAGTTTCTACTTTTCCTTTGATTATGGTAAACACAAGCTGCTGGTTATACTCTTGGACCCTTGGCCTGGGAGTCAAGTAGTTTCTCCCAGGTGACTTTGCAGTTCTGTACTCCATTTTATTATGTGTTATTTGAAAGTTTACCTTGTTTTCCTTATTCCTAGTTCTTTTGTGGGTAGCTCATAGTAGTCCTCCAAATACTGTAGAAACTTAGCTACTTAATTGAGATAGCCCAATAAGGAGGATGACTTTTCTCTGCTCTCTCTTTTCATGTCCTGTCTTGGAATTTTGGGGTCAAAGGCCTGTATTTCTCAAGCTTATATTTACTTGTTTCTGAGTACAGTGTGTGGTCACAGAAAAGATCAAAATTCCACAAATTGATCTATTAGTACCAGGAACCAGGTAAAATTAGTACCAGGTAAAATTATGTTGGCAGTTAGACAAAATAAACTGCACCTAACTCCCAGTCATGAAATATAGTAGAATTTCAAAAAAAGTTTTCCTATCAACTATATTTTGATGTCACTTAGAATTATAACATCTCACTCATTTTGTCTAGTTAACTCCTTCATTAAGCAAGTGATACTTAGTGTAAACTGGTATATGTCTAATTTTGAGGAATTACCCTTCATGCCTTTTGAAGACAGTAATCTTCATCTCTGAAGTGTGAGTATGAGAGATTCCAAATCACTTCTATAGCTCTGTGGCCTTGGGCAAATCACTTAACCTTTCCAATCGTTGATTTACTCATTAATAAAATAGGGATAACTACACTATTAATTCCTGTCTGGCTATTTTTTTTTTAACAAGGATTAGAGGATTAAAGGGTATGTACACATAAATACATGTATACATAGGTACATATAAAATGTGGCATGTAGTTAAAAATGAGCAAATGTGACTTGTAGATAAAAATTAAAAACAAGTCATAGGTTCATGAAATTTTCTAGGGCTGCAATTCAGACAACATGATTTTCTCTGCTCTCATTTTACATAGAACTTCTTTTCAGTTTTTAATGCTACATAAATAGAATTAAAATAATGCAAAGAAAAGATTGTGACTACTTCAGGAAGCAATACTACTCCTATAGCCTTATTCATTTAAAGATTGGCAGGACACACCCAATTCTACCTTGGCCTCCGATGTTTTATCTCTCTAGGAGGTGAAAAGGCCACCTATTCTTTGCTGTCCTTCACAAGAATGTATCTGAAGTCGACACATTTATTAGTCCTGTCTCTCTCTAGCCTATCCTTTGCTTGCCACAGCTTTCTGCAGAGCCCCTTTTTAAATCTTCAGAATCTCAAATGCCCAGGCTCTGGTTGGGGCAGTGGGCATTCTCTACTCTGTTGTCCCCTCCAAATCACAAAACTGCTAAGAAGAAACTTTCATCCCTGGATGGTTGCTAGATTATTGTTGCTGTTGGAGGATATGAGTGGAAGACTTATATTCTGTTCTCTTGCTCTATATTTTCTTTGTATTTTAAAGAAATTTTTGTTTTCTTCTAATTGATTTGCTGGAGGCAAGGCATATATCTCTTGTGACACCTGTTGTCATGTCTGATGATGCATAACAGTTGAAAGATTTCTATAAAATGAGAGTGGCTTTTGGAGACTCAGACTTGATCATCAAAGCTATGATGGAACATTCCAAAGATGTGGATTCTTTAGGGTCCATATTCTGAAGCTAATATCTCGTAAAGAATCGAGTGAACAACAATTAGTGCAGGCAGTGCTAAATGAAGCTGACAGTCTGTTGCATCTTCTGCTACAAGTTTAAAAAGTGTCTCAAACTTTTTTAGTTTCATAGCCAGAGGAATGCTGTGTTTATTTCCAAAGATATATTTTTTCATATGTTTTTAGCTATCTTTGTCATGTATGTGTGGGCTCTAAGTCAGTGATGTAAAATTATGTAAAATGTTTTCTCTAATGGGCTTGTCAATTGTTAACTTCAATAATGATAAAAATAAAGTGTCTTCAGTTTTTCTTTAGAAAAAAGATATATGCTGTTTGATCAGGTGATTTTACTTTTGGGAATATATCTTATAAAAATACAAATATAAGCATGCTTTAACAAATTGTATAAAAAAGTTTATTTCAGTGTTGTTCAAAGTATCAAAAATGAGATAGAATGAATGCTTTTTGTTAGAGAAGTGAATAAATTATTCTGTAAATTAGAGCTAACAGATAGCTTGGAGAAATACCCCATTAAAGTACTAGAAAGGAAAAAAGCAACATGCAAAAAAGTGCTTATAATATGATCCTTATTTCAAAAATGAATGCTGATTTTTAAAAATCTGTATAAATGTGAACACAGACACACATAGACATACTCATATGATCTGTAATGGATTTTGATCAGGGAGAAAAATATGAATGTATATATAAGAAGCGGTTAGTATGCTTTACCTTTGGGGGTCATCATATGTGAGTAGATGAAAGAGCTTAGAATAAATAAAATAGGAAAACTAAATTTAAAAAATTATGATAGGGAAAAAATAAAACCAAAACATTTTAGAACTTAGGTAATAAAAGACTGTCTATTTAATCCTGGAACTAACAAGCAAGTGCAAACAATGTTTGTCTGTGATTTTTGACATTTGGTTGCACTGTTGAGAAACACTGAGTTAAAGTCAGGTCCAATGATAGGTCCAGAGTGGTTACTCCACTTGTTCCTTTACAAAGGGGCAAGGTCTCTGTTCCTCACATTGCCACTATTGCCCCAGGGGCAGGAAAACCAAGACAGCCCTGATTAAGGAAAATAAATGAAGAGCTTATCTTACAACTTTGAGTTCCCATCTGAGCCTTCTGTGGCAGCTGCTGGAGTTACAAATAACCCTAAGTTACCAGGAAAATGGTCGCCATTACCAGAGCCTTCCAGAGCAGGAGCCTTATGGAATAAGAAAGATCACTTTCATCGCTCATTAGAGAAAGAACCCTTGTGTTGGTTGCTTTGGTAATTTTGGGGCAGTAGAGGTGAGGGGACAAGATAGCCTTTTAGGCTCCATTCCATTTCTCATATTCTATCACCTGGAACTGGGTTGGTGTATAATGGCCAAAAAGACTTTCCAGGCTAGTTTTGGATGCATGAGGAATGGGGACAGTAGTTTGAGTTTCACACCAGAGAATCTGACCATTTCATTCATAGAGCCCACATATTGCACCTGAAAGTAATGGGCCAGCCAGGAACACGCAAGAACGCAAAAGAGGAAGAAAACAGAAACCCTATTGGCTGATGTTAGCCTGATACTCATGTCTGCATTGTAAAACAATAATTTTCAAAATGTACTTTCCACTTAGAATCATGTAATTTTAGAACTTGAAAGAACTTTAAGGATTAAATTTATGAACGATCTCACTATAACATTTTGGGCTAGGCAATTTTTCTTTTCTTTCTTTTTTTTTTTTTTTTTTTGAGACGGAGTCTCACTCTGTCGCCCAGGCTGGAGTGCAGTGGCGGGATCTTGGCTCACTGCAAGCTCCGCCTCCCGGGTTCACGCCATTCTCCTGCCTCAGCCTCCCAAGTAGCTGGGACTACAGGCGCCCGCCACTACGCCCGGCTAATTTTTTTGTATTTTTAGTAGAGACGGGGTTTCACCGTTTTAGCCGGGATGGTCTCGATCTCCTGACCTCTTGATCCGCCCGCCTCGGCCTCCCAAAGTGCTGGGATTACAGGCGTGAGCCACCGCGCCCGGCCTCTTTTCTTTCTTTATTTTTTGAGTTGGAGTCTTGTTCTGTCACCCAGGCTGGAGTGCCGTGGTGCGATCATGGCTGACTGCACCCTTGAACTCCTGGGCTCAAGAGATCCTCCTGCTTCTGCCTCCCAAGTAGCTGGCACTGCAGGTGAGTGCCACCATGCCTGGCAAATTTTCTTTTCTTTTTTTGTAGAGTAGAGATGGGGGCCTTGCTATGTTGCCCAGGGTGGTCTCAAACTCCTGGGCTCAGTGATCCTCCAGCTGTAGCCTCCCAAAGTGCTAATATTACAGGCTTGAGCACTATGGCAAGTCAGCCTGGGCAGGGCAATTTTTCATTGTGTGAGATCATCCTTAAGATTGCAGGGTATTTAGCTTACCTAGTATCTAAGTCAATAAATGCCAGTGAAAACTACTAGGCATAGAAAAAGAAAAGACTACCCCTATATATTTCCAGATGCCACTATGGGGAAGTATTTCTGCCATCAAGACCCACTTATAGATCAACACACCTATTTTGTTTTTAGACCTAAAAATGTGAAAGAGGTTAATTAACTAATTCAACTTGTAGTTGTAGCTGACTAGTTACAAGTCAGACACACGTGCACTGTCCAGCATGCTGAGTTGCGTGGCATATTAAATAGCCAAAATAGAAAATATGTAAAATGAAGGGCAGCTGGTTGGAACTTATAACTAAGGAGAATGCACATGATGCCTTTCATTGGCACATTAAGCTGCATTCATATACACTTTTCATTTTTTAATCTAGTAAATGAGTGTCTATTATATTCCAGATAATGTTCTAAGTATTAGTGACAGATGTTCTCTGTAACTTATTCCAGTGATCTCCTTCGTTGCCAGTTTTCCAGTTCCACTCCTAAGTGTCTGACAACAGTGGTATATATTTAAAATTTAGGACCCCCTCAGCAAGTTATTTATTTATTTATTTATGAGATGGAGTTTCGCTCTTGTTGCCCAGGCTGGAATGCAGTGGTACTATCTCTGCTCACTGCAACCTCCACCTCCTGGGTTTAACAGGTGATACACCTGAGTTATTCTTCCATTTCACTACCTCTCCCGACTCCAGAATACCATCAAGAGGAGGTTACACATCATTTATTGGACCATAAGTAACACAGAAGCCACTTAGACACTACAATTAAAAAATGAGAAATAAGGACAGTAGTTTGAGTTTCATGCCAGAGAATCTGATCATTTCATTCTTAGAGTCCACATACTGCACCTGAGACTGATAGGCCACCGAGGAACACACAGGAAGGCAAGAGAAGCTGCAAAACAGGCACCCTATTGACTGATGTTAGCATGATATTCATGTCTGCATTAAAGTTTATGAAAATGTTACATATTACAATAAAAAATGTTATAGTGATGAATAGTATAGCTTTTATAAATAGATTAGTCAAGTTAATTTGAAGATTAGCATATATTTGTTTTTTTATTAACCAGAAATATTTCCTTTATTAAAATGTGGTAGAATTACTTCACTAAGATCCTACATGATTTAGTACATTCAGTAACACTTTATAACAAAAGGTTATCTTCAAAATGGTGGGCTCTTACCCAAGAATTACAAGCACTGCACAAATTACTTTAATTGCTTTTAGAAGCCATCTCTTGTAGGGAAGTTGTAGGAGACTACATCTATGAGGTCAGCCAACAGTAGCTGACTGAATGTCTCCTAATGAATCTCTACTTCCAAATTTTTCTCAAGAGCCCTCTTTTGGTAGTTTCTTAGTTTTCTCTTTAATTAAAATGATAATTATTCTCCTTTTTTTGAAACAAAATGAGCATTTCTTTTTTATACATGATATGTTCAGGTAAATAATCAGACCTTTTGAAGAATCACACACACATTTCCTTGATCGTAGTAGCTTTGCAGAATGCTGAAATCACTCACAGTCCTGCAGGCAACTTCCTATTCTCCCTCAAAGAACACATAAGTAATGATGAAACATGGAACTTGGGTCATAGGATCATATGGGACCAAATTGCTCAACAGGTTTGTCTTTATCAGGGTTTCCCCTAAGGTACCAGGGGACCAGTACATCCCGAGAACAAAAAGAAGTCCTGTTAATATGAATAGGAAGCTTGGAATTAGTAACTTGCCTTGAATTATATCCTCCCTCCTAAGAGTCATTAATGGAGGAGACAGAAGATGCTGAGTCTTGACTGCCCACATCAGGCATTTGCTTCACAACCATCCCCTGCACTGAGGTGTCACTGCTTATCTCCTCTCTCTTTCCTTGGCTAGTTCTGTTTCCTGTAAGCTACTTGGACTTCTGTTTATTATAATATATTCTTGTTGCATTGCCCAGACATAAATGAGTGCCTTCCCACCAGGTTTCAGGAGTCCAACATGTTCTTGAAGAGCTGTCATTCTATGTTCTGCTGTTGCAAAATGGGGAATAACAGCAATGGAGAGTCAGGCATACCAAACCCACTGTGGACTGGTACTGCCAATGCATCACAAACAAAAGCCTGGAATTGTCTCACTCTACAAATGTCCACAAGGTTTTGACTCTGATCACAACCAATCACATCTAACTCCTTATTGATGCCAAGGTGCTTTCCATTACCACATCCAGTATCAGCCACTATTAAGCCACTTGGCAAAGCCTTCAAAAACTCAATGATGTGTGGCCAAGCTGTATATCTCATGCTGCTGAAGTGCCCAGCAATCTATTAATAAACTTGATGGATGTACTCTTGCTCTAGTTGTCAGGCTTCTTTATCACTCTCTGGAAAGGAGGGAGGAGTCTCTTTCCTCTGGCTATCACAAGCCAAAGGGTAACCCATGGGCCCAAAGGTATCTAGATTCTCCTGTCATCACCAGCCAACTCAAACAAGGCAAAATAACTGGCACTGTGATACCATCTGGGTACTTAAAATCCATGACAGTCATGCCCAGGTTCATATTGATTTATGGTCAATTGTTCAGGTTTATGTTTAATGTAACCCTCCCTCAACCATTTCTCCAAAAAGCTATCACAAACATCAAGAAGACCCCTAGGCAAATGCTTATCTTTATCTACATTGTTTTTCTCACAGTGGAACTCATAACCAAAATGCTTTACTCTTCTGTGTTTTAAGCATTTTTGAAAATTTTGATGGTCTGTATCTTTTGTTTGATCAACACTTTCCAAAAGAATTTTCTCATCCTCAGTAGAAATTATTTCTTCTACTACTATGAGGACTAGTGGTAAGGCTTGAGGCCCCAACTCCTTCCATTGTGCTTTTTCCACAAAATTCAAATACAGAATCATCTTTTGTCCTAAATCATCCACTATTTCTTTCCCATTGAGAGTAACATAGGCTCTCTTAGATTCTTCTGTAGTTTTGTATCTTTCAAATGAGTAGGGCTTGTAAGGTGGCATTAAGAGAGCATCCACCAGTCCACATTTCTCTAAAACCAGTAGCAGTTGGTTTCTACTCACACCATTACCTAAACCAACACTGGCAACAACAAGCCTCTCCTCTTCAGCTCAGGCCGGATTCAGATTCTCACCCTGCAAGTGCTTTGTTCTTCGCTACCCTCTCCACTCTAGTGCCAGACAGCCGTCATGGATACTTGCACACCACCTCTCCTGGGCTCGGCCATGTTGGAGAAAAGCAGCATATATTTGTTTATAGGAGACCTAGTATATTTGTAAGCTAGTTTTGTTGGCTTGACCTCTGAGGTGCTGGAAGAGATTCAAATGTTCTTTGATCTTTTCGCCAGAGAACAGCAGCAAAAAACTTGTTCAAGCACATAACTTAGTATTTTCTCTTGTGATGAAAATTAAAGTTGTTATATAATCTCTATTATATAGTAAAATGATTTTTTTCTCAGGAATTACATCAACTCAAAGAAGTCTCTGTTTACTTTGACATCTGAACTTTCACTTTATCCGCTAGTTATAATTCCTTGGTTATCATTATCATTACATAAATTTTTCTTTCTGAAAATGGATGATAGTTCTTACAGAGTGTAGGAGTCATGTCTTGTAGTCTAACTTGGATTTTCCTCAGCACGATGCCCTATGCATACATAGTTGATCACAAAATTATTTACTGAATGGTCAGAAGTTTTAAAAATGAGCCCTATTTTAGAATAGGAAGCCTAGTACAGAGGAGAAGACTATGATTTTTAATAGTTTCTCTACAGTTAAGTCCACTTAAATTCATAAAACATTGACAAATACTGTTTTACTGCTTTTCATTGACCTTTACCCTATTGGTAACATTAACCAGTATATCTTTGCTAGGGATTATGACCAGATCTGGAAAAAAAAAGATAACAAAACTATTTTCTTTTCAAGCAGAGACCTCATATTCCTGGCAAATAAATCGACCTTGACAATAAAACACAGGCATTAAACTATTGGATGAATGAATAAGGAGTAGAAAAAATTTATGTGTAACCTTCACAATGAAACTTGCAATTACCAGAAAATAATCTTGTTGGTCCTTTTAGTGGGCACCAAACCAATGAATTATTCATAAAATTCATACATGAACAGAACATCCAGTTTAAAACCTACCTAATGCCAAAGTTGACAACTTCCTCAATACTAAGAGCCAGGAATAAGACTAAGGTATGCTTGTGGGTAACACGATGGGACTTAACACGTGGGCAACGGATAAGGCAGGAGAGAAAATGAAGACAGAGAAAAGTCAAAGGAAAATAATTTAGCATCAGGCAGACCTAATTTGAAACTCAACCTCCAGTGTGTATCAGCTGCATAAACTTGAGAAAGTTATTTCCTTTCTTAAATTTGCTTTTTAAAAAAATCTGTAAAATAGGCATACTGCAAAAGGTGGTCACAGGAATAAATTAGCTGATGAATATGAAACAGCAAGGTTCTACTTGGCAGAGAGTATTTTTGCACACAGGCTCATTTAGTGGCAAAGCACGATCTCCCTGGAAGAAAGCACAGCTGGTAAGAAAAATATTGGCACAAAAATATACACTTCTGTTTCGGAGAAGCTTTTGTAGGTTAAAGCAGTATGTCTCGCAGCTTTTAGCAGAGGTAAGCACAGCAGCTCTAGAAAATAAAAGATGAATTACTTAAAGTGGACTTTGTTCGTCACTTAAACTGAAGCTAAACCAAATCTGTATTGCCCTGAAACATGCTTGAGAGCAATGGTTCTTAAATAGCGAACGGCAAGCTGACGTGAATGGATTACAAATCAAAATGAAACAGATTACCAGGCCTCATCCTGAGCCTACTGGGTCAAAAATGAAGGGTGAAGCCTAGAAAGGAGTCACTTCCCCTGAAACACTCTCCCCATCTACCACCACTCAAAGAAAGCAAACAACTTCCCTCACCATGAGAATTGCTGAGTTTACAAATGAAGAGAGCCCAGTGTGCAAACTAGACCAAATTATACTAGATTTGGTACCCTTGATCACATGGGCTAGGAGTTCAGACTACACTGGTCAATTCCTCAACAAGGAGTAACTGGACATTTATATCAGCATCCTGCTTCATGTTTTTTACAGCAATGCTACTTATATTTATGATTAACTTAGCTATAGTGAAGGCCATCTGGTTTTTATTCCAGAGTGTGTGTTTGAGATACTCTTAAAAACCTGTGTGACTTGCATGGAGTTTAGAATTTAAAAGTTGCTTCTGCCACCTACTGGATGTTTGACCTTAGGTAAATTATTTAATCTTTCTGAGCTTCAATTTTCTGTTTCATAAAATGAAGATATTAATAGGATTGTGTTATAGTAGTAAATTCCTACATTAAATGAATCCTTTCTATTACACTCAGGATCCAGAAATCTCAAATAGATAAAACTCAGGGAAACAACATCATTTATATAATGCTGATTAACGAAGCTTGTTTCCATCTAGAAATGCAATAATCTATAAAGCCACTTTGTACAGAACTTGTCATAAAATAGGTTCTCAGAAATGCCAGTTTTTTTTCTCTCTCTCCCTAACTTATGGCCACTTTTTATATACTACCTTGCTTGTTGTTTTGCATTGCATTATTATGATCTCTTGTGTTATTACTTAATTTTCTATGCATGTCTTGTTTTTTCAATTGCCTTTTAAACTCTTTGAAGAAAGCGAATACATCTTACATTCATGGTACTATTCCTAATGCCAAGCATGGAGCATTCCTAGTGCCAATCACAAAAAAAGTGCTCAATAAAAATTTCAATTGATTTAGGGTAGAAATACTAAAAGATTGATGAAGAGAAGAGATGGGAGTTTGTGGTGAGCAGAGTTAATATATGAGATACAGAGTAGCACTAATGCCAGGGATGTTTAGTCTCTCCCCACAGTTGGGTTTTGGCTTCTGTGACATCCCATCTTCATTACTCAAACTTTGTTTATATAATGCTTTGAATATATATATATATATTTTGAATGTGTATTTGAAAAGAATTTATATAATGAAAATATTTTTAAGTGATACATATTTGAAGCTATAAGTGAGCTACAGAGATTAGACCTAGGGTGTGTAGACTGGCAGATACCTCTCAATATCCCCCAGCAATTGAGTGCCATAAAAGTATATAAGGGAGCTGAATCAAATACCTTATTTCAGAAATAGAGGGAGACCATGACTCTGATAAGAATTCGTTTATGAAACTGGATTGTAAAGAATAAGTAGACTTATGTCTAAGAATTTTAATTTTTGAAATGTCTTTTTGTTTTAGTCAGACTACCACTACAGATAGCTGAAAAGTTAAAAAAAAAAATCAGATAAGTATACATAATGCTTGGTTAGTATTTCCATTTTCTGGCCTTCTCTGGTTCTCACATCTCTGGTCCTAACTCATTTCTGGGATATCGAAATAAAACTTCTCTCCAACCATAATTGTTGACTTTCTAACTTATAAGAATAAATGGTAGACCTGATCCAGATATTCCATTGGGAGTTTAGAGTCTAGAACTGTGCTACTCTTTATTATTTAACAATGTGCCAGTTAAAGATATCACCCCAATGAAAAAGAATAGTTATAATAAATTTCAAATTAGAGACATATTAATATAGTTGACTGAATACTAGAAGTTAGAGTTGAAAGACTTAACTCTCCCCACTAACTATTTTGCTAATCATGAACAAGTCACTTGGAATCCCTAGACTTCAGGTTCCTCATCAATTTCAATGTGCCTCAGGCTATTGTTGTAAGAATAAAATAAGATATCACACGTAAGGTATTTAAAATGGAAAGGCACTAGGGACAGTGTGGTGGTATTAGCCTGAGGAATCTGCATGTGGGGTCCTGGGATTGCTCTGTGACAGGTGTGGAAGAGCCATTTGAGATATTTTTTCTGGGTTTTTAATACTCTTTGACAGGGCTGTAGCCTTGAAAATAAACACTGAATATGTACAAGTTGAAGAGAAATGAATAGAAAGAACTTTCAGGATGAAAAAGAATCAATAAAAAATGTGAACATCTAAGGGATTTTTTTTTATTATTATACTTTAAGTTTTAGGGTACATGTGCACAATGTGCAGGTTAGTTACATATGTATACATATGCCATGCTGGTGCGCTGCACCCACTAACTCGTCATCTAGCATTAGGTATATCTCCCAATGCTATCCCTCCCCCCTCCCCCCACCCCACAACAGTCCCCAGAGTGTGATGTTCCCCTTCCTGTGTCCATGTGTTCTCATTGTTCAATTCCCACCTATGAGTGAGAATATGCGGTGTTTGGTTTTTTGTTCTTGCGATAGTTTACTGAGAATGATGATTTTCAATTTCATCCATGTCCCTACAAAGGACATGAACTCATCATTTTTTATGGCTGCATAGTATTCCATGGTGTATATGTGCCACATTTTCTTAATCCAGTCTATCATTGTTGGACATTTGGGTTGGTTCCAAGTCTTTGCTATTGCGAATAGTGCTGCAATAAACATACGTGTGCATGTGTCTTTATAGCAGCATGATTTATAGTCCTTTGGGTATATACCCAGTAATGGGATGGCTGGGTCAAATGGTATTTCTAGTTCTAGATCCCTGAGGAATCGCCACACTGACTTCCACAATGGTTGAACTAGTTTACAGTCCCACCAACAGTGTAAAAGTGTTCCTATTTCTCCACATCCTCTCCAGCACCTGTTGTTTCCTGACTTTTTAATGACTGCCATTCTAACTGGTATGAGATGATATCTCATTGTGGTTTTGATTTGCATTTCTCTGATGGCCAGTGATGGTGAGCATTTTTTCATGTGTTTTTTGGCTGCATAAATGTCTTCTTTTGAGAACTGTCTGCTCATGTCCTTCACCCACTTTTTGATGGGGTTGTTTGTTTTTTTCTTGTAAATTTGTTTGAGTTCATTGTAGATTCTAGATATTAGCCCTTTGTCAGATGAGTAGGTTGCGAAAATTTTCTCCCATTTTATGGGTTGCCTGTTCACTCTGATGGTAGTTTCTTTTGCTGTGCAGAAGCTCTTTAGTTTAATTAGATCCCATTTGTCAATTTTGGCTTTGGTTGCCATTGCTTTTGGTGTTTTGGACATGAAATCCTTGCCTGTGCCTATGTCCTGAATGGTAATGCCTAGGTTTTCTTCTAGGGTTTGTATGGTTTTAGGTCTAATGTTTAAGTCTTTAATCCATCTTGAATTAATTTTTGTAAAAGGTGTAAGGAAGGGATCCAGTTTCAGCTTTCTACATATGGCTAGCCAGTTTTCCCAGCACCATTTATTAAATAGGGAATCCTTTCCCCATTGCTTGTTTTTCTCAGGTTTGTCAAAGATCAGATAGTTGTAGATATGTGGCGTTATTTCTGGGGGCTCTGTTCTGTTCCATTGATCTATATGTCTGTTTTGGTACCAGTACCATGCTGTTTTGGTTACTGTAGCCTTGTAGTATAGTTTGAAGTCAGGTAGCATGATGCCTCCAGCTTTGTTCTTTTGGCTTAGGATTGACTTGGCGATGCGGGCTCTTTTTTGGTATTGACATTGACCTCAGAAAGCGTGCCAGATTTTTCATAGGTTAGTGATACATAGATCTGCAGTAACGTATGATTACTGTTTAAAAACCAATGTCTCTTTTTGGTTGTGAAGATTTTTGCATTAAAAATACATATAAGATATTGATAAAACCCCACATATGTAATCTAAAAACTCCTCCACGTTTGCAGCTGAACTTCTGAGTTAAAAAAATTTCTAATGAAATGGTTCAGTTAAATTATTTCATGTCTACATCCTTAAGCTGCTGTCTATACTGCAGATAAAATGTGATTCACATGTGATCACTACTGAGAAAAATTGAGTACAAGGAACTATTGAATATATTGAAATATTTTTATATGTTTAAGAAAAGTTAGGAACTAGATAAAGAGGTGAAAAAGAAAGGGCCTTGAAGAATGTGCCAGGAAGGCCTTGAATCTTCATCCAAGCTTTGCACAATTGATACGTAGTCTAACAGGCTTGGACCTTGGAACTAAAAATGATTCTTCTGGGGCAGCCACCCAGTAGACATCTGTTTCAAGTGCATATGATGCATAACTCATGCCCCTCCCCCGACCCCCTGCCATCCCACATTGCTCAACTCCTTAAGATAAGCTTTAGTTTTTTAATTTCACTTGTAACTTTTATAAGAACTTCCGATAGCCTCTTAGGAAAGAAGAAACCTACATATTTTAATAAAGCTTGATGGCATATAATTTTATACTAAAATTTTATAAAGCAAAATTAATAAATACAAGTGTATTAGTCTGTTTTCATGTTGCTGATAAAGACATACCTGAAACTGGGCAATTTACAAAAGAAAGACATTTAATGGACTTATACGTGGCTGAGGAAGCCTAATCATGACACTAGGCAAAAAGAGAGCTTGTGCAGGGAAACTCCCCCTTATAGAACCATCAGATCTCATGAGATTTATTCACTATAATGAGGACAGCATGGGAAAGTCCTGCCCTCATGATTCAATTACCTCCCACTGGGTCCCTCCCACAACATGTGGGAATTCAAGATGAGATTTGGGTGGGGACACAGCAAAACCATATCAATCAGACTTTGAGTTAAAATAACACAATATTTTATGTAATTTTTATGCTTGACTATGTACCAGAAAGAATTACTTTGCTAGCTTCTTCTTTCTCCTCATTTCCTGCTGCCTCTGCAGTACCCATCCCCAATATAAATAGAACACATGAATTTTGGAATCAAATAGATCTGCAGTCTGATAGAATAGGTAGTAAGAAAGGGAGTAGAGGCAAATATGGGTGGGCTGGGTTCAAAGAAAGAGGCATGGTGGAGTTGAGGAATTTCCTAGATGATGGCTTCTATTTTTGTCTATAATGTAGGGAGCAAAGTCATCTGCTGAGAATGAGTGGGCAAGTCGTCAAGTAGTAGATTTCAGGAGTGTTAAATAAAGGCAGGAACTACCTATAAGGCTTGCCTGGGGTATCAAGGTCTGATTGGGGTTGAGGAACACAGATTTCTAATAGACCAGGACTTCTTCATGGGCAATAGCAGCATTCTGCATGCATGTGTAATGTTTCTCAGGGAGCAGTGTAATCTAGGAGCAGAGAAGGAAGTAAAGTAGGTGAATTCATCTAAGGTTAGAGTTTTCCTAGATAGGTTCAAAGGAAGGGGGATGGTGGGGTAGCAGCTTTTTTTCTGAGGGTGGCAGCTGAAGTGAAAGACAAGAGTCCTAAGCCATGCAAGAAGGCAATGAAGATTTGACAACAGGGTTTAAAGGTCTGAATCTTCGCAGTAAAGTGAAAGATGAGATGTGGTAGGAATGAAGGTGTCATGAGCTGAACTGTGCTCCCCACCAAACTCCTACGTTGAAGTCTTAACCCGTAGTACTGCAAAAGATGACTGTATTTGGAGATAGGGTCTTTAAAGGGGGAACTAAGATTAAATGAGTTCATTAGGGTGGGTTCTAATTTGGTCTTACAGTGTCCTAATAAGAAGAGATTAACACACAGACACAGAGGAAAGATCGTGAGAGGACACAGAGAAGTTGGCTATCTATAAGCTAAGGAGAGAGGCCTCAGAAGAAACCAGATCTGGGGCCAGGCGCGGTGGCTCACACCTGAAATCCCAGCACTTTGGGAGGCTGAGGCGGGCGGATAACCTGAGGTCAGGAGTTTGAGACCAGTCTGGCCAACATGGTGAAACCCCGGGCACGGTGGAGGGCACCTGTAGTCCCAGCTACTTGGGAGGCTGAGGCAGGAGAATTGCTTGAACCCAGGAGACAGAGGTTGCAGTGAGCTGATACGGTGCCAATGCACTCCAGCCTGGGTGACAGAGTGAGCAACTCTGTCTCAAAAGAAAAAAAAAAAAAAAGAAACCAGATCTGCCAGCAAATTGATCTTAGATGTTTAACCTTCAGAATTATGAGAAAATAAATTTCTGTCATTTAAGTAGGATTGCTTGAATTTAAGCTATCAGTAGTGGAGTAATTCTACATGGTCCAGGGTGTGGCTACGGGAGTGGAGGCTGAAATGGTAAGGATGGGAAAGTCACTAGATGCAAAGACAGTAAAGCATGCAATATAAAGACAAATAATTTAAAACCAATTTTATAGTGTTATAAAAAACAAATTTAACAGTTTTGGTGGCAATTGCGAGGTCAGTTTACAAGGTACTCTGTACATATCTTTTAGAACAAAAACTATCATGTGAAATAATAAATGTGAAAGTGTCTTTTAATTTCAAGCCGTAAAATAAAATCTCTGAAGCCTGAGGTGCATAAATATAGGCCCGTATAAGCCTATTAAGAGAAAAAACGTTCTCTGAAACATCTGATTTATTTGCCCTACAAAACATTATCTTCCTGTGACTTTTCCTTCCCTATATTTTGATGTGGCAATTAAATGCTGTGGGCAGTTAAATTATAGGATACAGATAGAATGCTTAGCTCTTTGGAAGAGCTCAATAAAAGTTAACTACTATGTACAAATTAGACATAGAAACCTACCATATCTGGGGAAGGGAGTAGGGAAACTTGGGAACTGCAGAGCTGGGCAGGTGTCTGGTACTTTCTAATTGTGGCTAAACAAATTAAAACATTGCAAAGAATTTTTAGAAGTCAACGTTAATGCTTTGACAGAAAAATATTTTAAAAATATTTCTTCATTTGGTAAAGAGTTAATCCATGTTTGAAATACCTGTAAGTTCCTCTGAATGCATGGGTTCCGTTTACTGGAAACTTTTCTGGAGTAATTAGAGAATATTTCATGGTCAAGGTTACTCTATGAATTGTTTTAGTAAATATATCTGTAAAGTGATGGACATTTTATTATCAAGAAATGAACTAAAATACTCATGATTTATGTCATTAATTTGTGTGGCTGTCAGGCCCTATTGATTTATATCCTCTGTATCTTGTTGAAGCACACTGTGAAACCCCTTCCCTAGCTTGTTTACAGCAATGAACGTCTTGCTTATTTAAAGCCACTGCCAGCCCAGACAACTTCTATTGCTTAGAATTATTCTTCCAGTCACCCATTACCCTCTATTAAAAAGGCTTTTTTCCTCTCTTTTTAGAAAACTACTCTTGACTACAATTATAACTCCCTGATGGGAGGCCTTCCTCTATAACTGACGTCCTGAAGGAAAATTTTACCTTGAGACATTTTTCATATACATAAGTGGTAAAAGAAGAGAATAAAAGGAAGGGAAAAAAGACAGTAACAGAAATCAAGCTGTAAATGGGACCCCAAAATACCAGGAACTAAATTATCTGACATTGTGGAATAACTTAGTAACTCTTGGCCTCATAAATATATTTCTAAGTAGCAATTCAATTCAAACCAATATATTAATATTATAGAACTGTGGTTTCTACATTCTTTGACTAAGAACTTCCTAAAAGAGTCCCTCCCTCCCTCCCTCCCTTCTCACCTTCCTTCCTTCCTTTTTTTTCTTTCCTTTCCTCCCTTTCTTTTTTCTTTTTCTTTTCTTTTCTTTTTCTTTCTTTCTTTCCCACAACGTTTTACTCTGTTGCCCAGGCTGGAGTGCAGTGGTGAAATCATGGCTCACTGCAGTCTCAACCACCACGGGCTTAGGTGATCCTCCCACCTCAGCTTCCTGAGTAGATGGGACCACAGGCACATGCCACCATGCTTGGCTAATTTTTGTATTTTTTGTAGAGAAGGAGTTTCACCATGTTTCCCAGGTTGGTCTTGAACTGGGCTCAAGCGATCCACCTGCCTCAGCCTCCCAGAGGGCTGGGATTACAGGTGTGAGCCACAGTGCCTGGCCTAAAAGGAATATTTCTTACCATTCTTTTTCCAAAGTGTAGATTCACAGTTTGACTAGATTGATTTCGATGTCACTGTAAGGTGGTAGAGGAAGAGGTACAGAGAAGGTCCCATTTGTAAACCAAAAAGTATCTGAGACAGGACTCAATCAATTTAGAATTTTATTTTGCCAAGGTTAAGGACCATGGCCAATGATACAGCCTCAGGAGGTCCTGAGAACATGGTGTATACATTTTAGGGAGACAGGAATTAAAGGCAAAGACATAAATCAATACATGTAAGGTATACACTGGTTTGGCCTGGAAAGGTGGGACATCTTGAATGGGTGGGAGAGGTGGGCTTCCAGGTCATAGGTGGATTCAGAGCTGTTCTGATTGGCAATTGGGTGGAAGAGTTAAGCTCCACATGAAGACTTGAACTCAGCATAAAGAAATGCTTGAGTTTAGATAAAGGGTTTGTGGTAACCAAGGTTCTTGTCATAGAGATGAAGCCTCCAAGTAGCAAGCTTCAGAGGGAATAGATGGCGAATGTCTCTTATCAGAACGTAAAAGGTGTCAGACTCTCAAAAAAAAAAAAAAAAAAAACAGTAAGGGAAAGAGACTCTCTACAGAATGCAAATCTTCCCCACAAGAGACAGATTTTCAGGGCCATTTCAGAATTTGTCAAATAAATATATTTTGGAGTAGAATACTTATTTTCCTTCAGAGCCTGTTATCTGTCATGTATATCAGAGTCAGGTTGGAATTGTTTTATTGCTATGGAGTCTGTTTTGTCAGTCTTGAGTTTGCTAGTTAGTTGCATCTAAACTCCAAAGAGAGGAGTGAACAATGAGGCATGTCTGACCTTCCACTTTCCATCATGGCTTGAACAAGTCTTTAAGGTTTCTTCGGGGTTCCCTTGGCCAAGAGGGGGTCCATTAAGACAACTGGGGGACTTGGAATTCTATTTTTTGTTTACACATTGAGGAGGAATCAGAAGAGTCTACTGAAAACAGAGCATACGACAAAATTGCTAATTTTATCACAACTCTCCAATGAGAATATCGGTAATTTAATTATTTGAGGATTCAATTTTTGCAACTTACTCTGTCCTTATGGGTGTTGGAGGACAGAGTGGGATGTTGATTTTTGTAATAGATATAATATTGTATTTTGAAATGTTCAACATGCCAAGGAAATGCAAAGTCCCACCTGTCATTCCTGTTGTCACAGTCTTGATAGAAGCCCTCATGCAACCTTGCTTTCAATATCATAGTGGCAGTGTAGCTGGCTTTCCTGACTACACTCTCCTTTCTTCTGCTGGCAACCTCCAGCAGATAGCCATCAAACCAATTTTTCCTGATAGCCTACTTTTATTAAGTCAAGAGACTACTCCAAATCACTACTTCACACTCAACATATGTAATATAAATTCCTGTGCATAACATGCTTTTATTATTTTTATTTATTTATTTATTTTTTGAGACGGAATCTCGCTCAGTCTCCCAGGCTGGAGTGCAGTGGCCTGATCTGGGCTCACTGCAAGCTCCGCCTCCCGGGTTGACGCCATTCTCCTGCCTCAGCCTCCCAAGTAGCTGGGACTACAGGCGCCTGCCACTACACCCGGCTAATTTTTTGTATTTTTAGTAGAGATGGGGTTTCACCATGTTAGCCAGGATGGTCTCGATCTCCTGACCTTGTGATCCACCTGTCTCGGCCTCCCAAAGTGCTGGGATTACAGGCGTGAGACACAGCACCCGGTCATAACATGCTTTTTAAATTTTGAAAATGTTTATATAGTTCCAGGGTTTTGTGCAAAGTGCTGAAGATTCAGTGACAAATATGACATAGCTCTTATTACAACAGAGCTCGTCGATTAGTGATGAGAAATCAGATGACTTCTTATTTCCTTTTCAATGACAGTGACTTGTTTAAAAGCATTCATTGAATCAGCATATATTTGAGTGCCAGATGACAGGCATCGTTCTTGAATTTAGGATTACAGTGGTGGACAAAATTGAATGCCCGTTTCATAGTGCTTACTTCTGGCTTGGATTACTCATAAAAGTTGCTTATAATGTAATAAAAAGCAAAAAGTCAAAATAAGTATTATATCCTATATCCTTCATTTTTACTCCCCAAAGGCAATCACTATTAATGGCTTTTGTGTATATTTCCAAAGTTTTCTGTCTATGCCAATATATATGTTTATTTTATTTTTGAGCAAAGGGCTCAAATTGTAACTCTACTTAATTTATTTAATCAAATCATATCTTAACATCTCTGAAATAGCGACATCTTATAATCAATGCTATATTATAGTTTTAATTGGCAGAATGTTTTCTTCTCTTTTTGTTACATAAAATGAGGGTGCGTCTTAATGTTGAGCCGATGAAATATAGTATTTTAATAGTAAAGGATTTGGCTATGAGTACAGAAAACCAACAGCATACCAGTTAGAGATGGTATGGTGTTTTCAGCCTAATTACGTTAGGCTGAAAGTAACAGAAATGAAAACCAACAGCTTAAAAAAGGAGTGTAATTTTTCTCACATAACAAGAAATTCTGGTGTTAGGAATGCAGGGCTAATGCATGGCTTTAATGTGCCAATGGGGCTCAAGCTCCTTTGTCTTTATCCTCCTCAGGGTAGTCAGAAGATGGTTCCTTCTCTTTCTGATGGTGCTACTACATCTAGGCAGGAAGAAAAAATGCTATCTACCTTTAACGCATTCTATATATAATGGCGGAGAAGAAACAGGATAAATGCAGGAAAAACTACCATTCAGAAAAGAGGAAGACGGGAAGACGGTGATCACCGGTTCATAGATATCGTCAAATCCTGCCAGGCAGGGATGGTAACTCTGGGCCCCAGCAGCAGAGTGAATATTTAGTTGGGCAACCTGGCAACCCCTGGTTCTGTTTTCTGGAAGAACCACCCTTGTCCATTGTCCTCTGTGGACCTGAATCTTTCCTTTTCAAGTTGGGGAGTATGAAGGAGGTACTTCTAGGAGTTTGTTCAGCTGTTAAATTTTACTTCTTTTGGTGTGAATTTGGGTTCTCTGAGATTATTTTAGCAATTGCCAACTGTTGTAGGTCAGGTATGGCGTTTCTTTGACCAATGTATGGAATCAAAATTTAGAATGCTTGCTATCTGTTTGCTTCCAGTCATATCTACACATAAGAAACAACAGCCAGGGATCTTGTAAAGACACATTCCATACCTGAAAATCCCTATTTACCGACATACTAGTTTTTGCGCTAGCTTTTTAGAAGGCTCATGTTGTAAAGAAATTTGAAAAAATGACAGTACTCTTAATCCCATCTGTCATAGCAGCTTCCTGCTTTTTCTCCTTAAAAGACTGAACTTTATTCTAATGTGTTTATATTAAATATTGGATGCTAAATAATCCATCCCTTTACCATAAGATATGATGATAAAGGTATACATGGAAGAGCATTTGAAAGCATTTTTAACTTTAAAATATTTAATTGATAAAGACTGCATATATTCAAGATGTATATCATTATGATTTGATATATAGATATGTTGTATAATAATGATCAGAATCAAAGTAATGTATTTTTTTTTTTTTTGAGATGGAGTCTTGCTCTGTCGCCCAGTCTGGAGTGCAGTGGCGTGATCTCGGCTCACTGCAAGCTCTGCCTCCTGGGTTCACGCCATTCTCCTGCCTCAGCCTCCCGAGTAGCTGGGACTACAGGCGCCTGCCACCACGCCTGGCTAATTTTTTGTATTTTTAGTAGAGACGTGGTTTCACTGTGTTAGCTAGGTTGGTCTTGATCTCCTGACCTTGTGATCTGCCCGCCTCAGCCTCCCAAAGTGCTGGGATTACAGGTGTGAGCCACTGCGCCCGGCCGGTAATTTATGTTTTTGTATTACAGTAGCACTGGTTTTATGTCCTAATCTTCTACTTGGAATGCCTTCTGCTTGATGTATAGAAGCGGTTGGTTTTCTTAACTCTATAAAGCTATGAGCTATGTACTGTGGCACATAGTATTCTCTCAAAATGGGTGCAACATTACCTCCAGTCCTTATACAATAGTCTGATGTGGATTGGACATTTTGCCTGAGAAGCTGTTCTCAAGGATACCAAATCCTTTCATTGTGTGATGCCATCATCTTTAACAAATGGCCTCTGATACAGAAGGGGAGGAGTGAGAGCATCTAGTACTTATCCACCTAGACATAGAAGTGACACTTATCACTCTCACTCACATTTGACTGCCCAGAATGAGTCAGTTGGCCAACCTAACTGCAAGGCAGTCTGGTAAATCTCCTCTTCTAATGTATCAGTAAAGAATAAAGAATTGCTAAGGACTTAGCCAATATCTATCACAAATTTTATTGTTAAAATTATTACAGTAATTCAACCTACTATAGAATCATCATTTTCAGCACCATAAAAAAAATGGATCAGAATACCAGCTTGTCAGTCCAATGGAAGAGTTTTGCCATTGTATAGTGCGCTAGATCATGACAAGACACATCTGACTAAGGAATAGCATGCTACCCAGAGGTCACAGAATTGAAGCTGAGAGCAGTAATTGGATGAGACTGTTATCTTCCTCAAACATTATGGTGGTGTGGAAGAGCTATGTTCTTCATTCTCTTACAAAAAGGATTACTTAAAACTATATAATTCTATATAATTATCCCATTAAAACTTCACAATAATCCTGTGCATGCTCTGGGGGAATATTAACTCCATATCATAGAAAAATAAACAAAATTAATTACCTAAGGCTTCCAGCTAGTAAGCAGAGAAGCTAGAACTCAAACCCATGTCTCCACAATTCAAGTCTAGGTTTTTTAAATATTTTCTCAAGAGGGAACCGTCATAGTACTGGCCTCTGCATCAAGCCAATGTTTCTCATGTATTATGAAAATGTTGTATTGGGCTATCAGGACACTGCCCTGCCAGAATATCCATTCTCTATCCATGTGCCTTCCTATTCTACTCAAGTCATTATTGCAAGGTGCCACCTCAGGACCATGGACATGCTTCAGTATTTATCAACTTGGCATCAGTGGTTATTTTGATGTTGCAAAAAAAAAACAAAATAAACTGGAAACTAAACAAATTGATGCAAGTCTATTAAACTTTTAGTTTTTACTTTGTTCGATGCTTGGAATTTCGAATGTGTCAGTCTAAACAGCAATCCTCTTTAGAATTTAGATATCTTCTTTGAATGGGGAACAGCCTCTCTCCCTCCTCTGCCTCACCTATTACAGAGTATCTTATTAGAATCATGCATCTGGAAATGCTTTATATTCTTATTTCCTAGTACAATGTCTCTTTACCCTAACTAAACTAATGTTTGTTTGTGAACAAATAAATGATTGGTTCCTACACCCAATGAATTATAAATTTATGACGTTTTTCCCCACATGACAAACACAGTGCTAGATGCTGATGATATAGAAATGTCTAAACCCGATCTTAAGGACTGACTAACACACTGACACACAATACTGACTTCTCTCTAGATCTACCAGGACTCTTAAAAAACACTGATGGCCAGGTATCAAGCCCAAATATTCTGATATAAATGGTCTGGATTAAAGCCTGTTTATTGATATGTATTTTTAAATCGGTCTAAATGATTCCAATGTGCAAACCGAGTTTATACCCAGTGGGAAAAACAAATCCATAGAAGGGCAATTTCAGTGATATAGTGATTAAATATCCTGTTCTGGAGTCCTTGAGTTCAAATATTCTGCACTCCTCTCCTTAAGTTATGTGATGATTTACCCAATCTCTCTGATATTCAGATTGCTTTTCAGTAAAATGGGAGCAGTAATAATACCCAGCTGCTAAGATTGTTGGGAAGAATAGGTCGGATATTACAAGCAAAGCACTTTGTAGTGTCTGGGGTACAGTAGCCACTAGGCCGAGTGTGCTGTGGAAACATGTGAGTTAGAGAAGGCCTCTAAGAGGGAGGATACCTCCTTCTCTGACAGGGTGCCACCATAATTTTGTGGTATAAAATGGAGGTCAGTTATCCTCCTGGAATAGTGAACTCACCGGGATCTCTCAAATCTTCTCCCCTTGCATGAATATCAAAGCCAACAGAGTGTATGAAATTGTTTCAACTATGCAATAGGAACAAAAATACCTTTTTTTCAGGATTATTGTGAGGATGAAATGAAATAGACACACAAAGAGTGCTTATCATATAGTAAGTCTGCAACAAATGTGTCCCACTTTCCTATACCATGGGCCACAAGAGTATGCCCAATAAAGCTTAGGCTGTCTCTTCCATTACACATATCTAGCCACCTAGTATCAGAAAGTCTGCTCCTATGTCTGTTTACTTATCCATTTATCCATGTGACGAATATGTATTAAATACTACTATGGCCTGTGTGGATACAGGGGTGAATCAAGCAAACACAATTCATGATCTTGTGGAGCTGGCATTTTAGCAACAGGGCCAGAGTAGAGGCAACTAACTGCAGATAAATTACCTTTCCATTAATTTATTCTATCATTAATTATCCTAGTTATTGTGGTAAGTGCTCCAAAGGTATATGGGGTCAAAGACGCTTCCTGTGGAAATAAGTTCTGAATTGGGTTTTGAAGGATGGGTAGGAACTGACTGTGTGAGGGGAAAGGAAGAGTGCTTCTGGCACAGGAAGAACATGAGTGAAGATCCTAATTCATGGGGAGAATGGGGAGTTGAGGAAGCCAGTGTTTCTGGAGCACAAAGAGTGAGCAGGAGAGTGTTCCATGAGGCTGGCAAGTGATGCAGGGCCAGATCCTGCATGGCCTCAAAGGCCATGTTGACTATTTCTCTCTTACTCCAGCAAACAATGGAGAAGCTTTCAAGGATTATTATACTTTTCAAAAATGGGAATAACAGTGATGTGCCAAGAAGAAAGGCGCTCATAACCACAACTATTTCCTAAAGAAGATGAAATCTATTGAAGGGATACTCTTATGTCATCAGAGCATATGGAAGACCTGGGTATCTAAGTAGGAGTTGAAGCCTCTGGAGAGTTGAGTGTTTTACCAAGTAAAGTGAAAACAACTCAGAGATCCTGAAGAAATCAGGAAAATGTGGGGTGAAGAGAAAATATGGAAAGGAGAAAGAGGAGAGAGAACCAGGAGATGATGAAGATCATGTCTAATATGATTATCAGACCTTTTAAAGAAATATCAACATTTGTATAAGGCCCATTATACCAGTTGCTGTCTGGTTGATTGATGGGTATTGGCTGATTTGGTTTTCTTTGTTTTGCAGAAATACAGGTATATTAATTTCCTTTTGCTGCTCTAGCAAATTACCACAAACAGGGCCTTAAAACAACATGAGTTTATTATCATACAATTCTGGATGTCAGGTGTCCCAAGTGGGTTTCACTGGGCCAAAGTCAAGATGTTTGTAGGACCCTTGCTCACTGGAAATTCTATGGAAGTCCATTTCCTTGCCTTTTTCAGCTCCTAGACCTGTATTCTTTGCATTTTTTTGGCTCATGGACCCTACCTCCATCTTCAAAAAGAAGTGTAGCATCTTCAAGAATCCCCTTTCTCACTGACCTCCCATATTCCTCTTATAAAGACGCTATGATTACATTGGGCCCACCTAGATAATCCAAAGTTATCTCCCCATCTCAAGATTTTTAATCACACCTGTTAAGTTCCTTTTGCTGCGTAAAGCAAAATATCTGCAGATTCCAGGGATTAGGAATTGGATATTTTTGGGGAGGTCATTATTCATCCTACCTCTTTAGGTATTCTGCTAGTTCATTAGGTGAGAATGAAAATTTGCCCTAATTTTGAAAGGTGAGATCTGGGACACCTGGATATATAAAATAATATGGGTTAAGGGATAAATTAAAATTATGTATTCTTTATTTCTAGTCTTTTTTATTACTCCACATTTCATAAATATGTAAAAACTTTTATTGAAGTGTGAAGGTAATATGTCTTGTCAACATTTCATTCATTTGGCAAGTATTCACTGAGCATATATAGGTACCAGGCATTGAGCCCAAGAGCACACAACCAAGTGTAAGATATGACAGTTGCTTTCATGAAACTTCCATTTTATGAGGCAGAAGGAGAAGGAAATAGATAATTTTACTACAGTGTGATAAAAGCGATGAAAGGTATAATCACAGGGTGTTAAGGCAAAATATAGGAGCAACACCCACCCAACTTGATCAAAGAGGGAAAGAAAATGGATCCCAGATATATCCATCAGGACTCAACTACACAAGCAGAACTGGGGATTTGACCATATGAAATTGTGGGAGCAGTATAAGTAGTCTAGTCTCTGAAATCTGTCATCTTCACATCCGATCCTGGAACTTGAAATATGCAGGGCAGGCTGTTGGGAGGGAAGGTGTATGTGAAATGGGAAGAGCCAAGGACAAGGTAGAACCCACAAGCTCAGAATTGTGTCCATCTCTTACTGCTTCCAATATTGATGTTGATGATGTGGGTATTTTGCAGGAGAAGCTGAATCCCTTGTCAATAAAACTAAACTCACCTGGCCCAGAAGTCAGAGAAGCTGAAGGAGAATGTAGGGGAAGCTGGAGTGGCTGCCATACAATACTAGAGAAGTGACCCAGCAAAGAAAGGAAAACATACTTGAACTGCAAGTTGCCACATTACAAATTCAGATGCCACTACATCTGAATTAACAGAGAAAAAGTGCTTTCATCTAATTACAAGTAATTTACTGTGGCTAGAATGGCTTATGCTCAGGTGGGGATATGGGGATCCAGAGAAGGTAAGGTGGGAGGAGTGAAGGATAAGCCTGAGCCTTAAGTCGAGAAAGATCATTGATGAGGTTTTATAATTCTGATGGCAATGCGAGTACTGACTGTGATGGACTATCCAATCTTTCTTTTAAAAAGCTCAAATCCATTAGCATAAAGTAATCTTCCCTTGGGTATCAGCTCTTTTCATTCTTCTTTCTTCCTCATAGTTGTACCCACAAACTCCTCCACTTTCCCCTACACTCTTATTGCTCAATACCTGTACCCAGAACACATTTCCTTCTCCCCTTTCCCTTCTTCAAGTTCCATATCTTTTTTGTTAACACTGCCCTAGGCAGTCTTTCTCCCAGCATGATAGAAATGACCACACTATGTGTCACTAGACTGTGCCCATCCTGAGATCAGGAACCTTGTCTATATCATCCAAATGTCCCCACTGCCTAACACAGTATCTGGCACTTAGAAGGTGCTCAGTAGAGCTTCCGGACTGAATCAAGTTCCCAGAGCTTCTCATCAAACACTTTGCTTATGTTATTTTCAATTGTCTTAGTGGTTTTGATGAAATAGGGCTTCTGATCACTGTCAGACATACAGAGGCACTAGTTCTCTCAGATTTCTATATTTGAATAGAGAATTAAGAAGTAACAGTAAAAGCTTCCAGAATTTTTCAGAAAAGCATCTACAAACAGACTCAAGTTGTCAGGAGGGAAAGAAAAATCATTCTTCTTCTAAGGTCAGCTCCAAGACATTGTTGGACTTCCCATTGTTTATGAATGATGAATGTCATCATCATTCTCTTCTATAAGGCCTTATCATTCTTGACATCTTTACTGTCTGTAGGACTGTCTATCTGGCCATTGGGTGAGTTATAATTGTAAAGAGGCTTCAATTTTTTGATGTAGAATAATTTAAGCAATTTTTGGAAGTTTTGTTTAAGAGGTGCAGAGGTCAGTTTATGGGCTTTTTTCTTAAAAATATCATAGGTTATTTCAGCCAACTGTTTGATCATAGGGTCTTCATCTCGGAGCAGTCGTTCAATAACTGTAATATCAGAAGAGACTTTAGTTCAAGTTATCTCTTTCTTAGAGGCCATGAAGCTTTAATACTAAACAGCCCTGCCACCTTTCACAGAGTGCCCCCTTCTCTCCATCTCTCCTCTGCATTCCCTCTGCATTTTGTAACTTTGGCTGATAGCATTCAGGAAGTTTTATCATCTATCCCTACTAAAACCCCACATAGACCCCATTAAAAGAAAAATGGGAATATTCACTAAAAATTACCAAGGACCTTTTATGTGCTGAGCATTCTGCTAGATAACATAAACATGTATTCATATATTTAGGAAGAGGTTCATATTGGTCATAATAATGAAAAAGTTAAAATCAGTCTCAATGTTCATTAACAGGGAACTGCTTAAAAATTAGGAACATAAAATGAAATGCTACATACATATTAACATAATGTAGGCCCATATTTCTTGGCTTAGAAAGATGTTTATATTATAAAGGTAAGTGAAAAAGTTAAAAAGCAGTTATGATAGTTTAAAAAAATATATAATAGCTTTCATTCTTTAGAAATATCCTGGATAGGCCAGGCACGGTGGCTCATGCCTATAATCCCAGCACTTCGGGAGACCGAGGCAGGTGGATCTCGGGGTCAGGAGATCGAGACCATCCTGGCTAACACGGTGAAACCTCATCTCTACTAAAAATACAAAAAATTAGCCGGGCATGGTGGCATGTGCCTGTCGTCCCACTTACTCAGAAGGCTGAGGCAGGAGAATCACTGGAACCCAGGAGGCAGAGGTTGCAGTGAGCTGAGATCACACCACTGCACTCCAGCTGGGTGACAGAGGGAGACTCCGTCTCAAAAAAAAAAAAAAAAAAATCCGGGATAATACATATACCAAAATGTTAATATCATTATATCCAGATAGTGGACTGTGAGAAATTACTATTTTATTTCTCGATAAAAGAAATAGAAACAAAGGGGGAGATTTAGAAAACAGAGATGAGAAGAGCAGGATGGGGGGAATGAAAGAAGAAAATGACTGTAAGAAAGAAAGATGGAAAATTCTAGTGTTTGACATTTAGCAGGTAGTCAAATATGTGTTGAATGAATGAATGAGTGAGTGAATGAATGAATGGATGAGTGAATAAGGAAGGAAGGTAATGATGTATAAATGTAGGTCCATGAATTATAATAAATGTACTACTCTGGTGGGGGATGTCGATAATGGGGGAGGCTATGCATAGGTGAGGAGAGAAGGTACTTGGGAAGTCCCTGTACCTGCAGCTCAATATTGCTGTGAACCTGAAACTGCTCTAAAAAATAGTCTATTAAGAAAGAAAAAGGAAGGAAGGCAGCCAACTTGTTTTTATAACTCACTATTTGTAATTCTTACCCTGATGGGACGATAGACAGAGGCTAAGGGAGATTCCTAAGACCCAAACATTTTGATAGACTAATATTACCCTTCTTTAATTCCCTCCTCTGCAAATGTATTGTACATTGCTATCCACTAAAATGTGAATTCTCTGAGGGAAGAGACTGCTTTATTTGCAACTCTGTCCCTAGCAGTAAATAGTGCTGTCACGTAAACATAAGAGATGCTAAAAAATATTTGTTAGATGAATGAGTAAATGAGTTTTCAACTTTCTGAAGTTCCCAAGGGCTCTAGGATGATAGTTCTCAGACAATTAGTGGAATACATGGAGAGACTGAAACAGGGAAAGAGAGTAAGGGGAAATAGAATAGAAAGAGAAAAAACAAACCTCTTAACCCAGTCCTTTCATTGATTCTTCCGTAATTATCCAACTACTACTACCACCACCCTCTTCCTGTCTGGCCTGGCACTCTAACAGAACTCATATGTGACTAGAATTAAAAATAGTAAATGTATTTAGATTTATGCATAAAGATTTTGTTATAACCTCAATACTCACCATCAAGCATGACTTCGATTTCATCTCTAAGCAGTAAATGACCACCTGATTTTGCCAAATATCCTATGCACATAATAAAAATTAAAGTTACTGCAACATGCATTATGAAAATACATTTTCTGATGTTATCTGGCTACCTTCTTTGCTTTTTTCAAAGCAAAGCATCTCTATATTATCCTTGAGTCATCTTTTAGTACTTTTAATTATTGTCTCATAAAATTGTTTATTGAAAGATATATGAGAGTATAAATGTGCATGAATCATATTGGACAGCTCAGTGAATGACCACAAAAGGAACACACCAGGGCTACCATTTAGGTTATTAAATAGAGTTTTAGCAGCATCCTAGAAGCTTCCTTCAAGGCTCTCCCAGTCTCCTCCTCCACCTTTCAGAATATATTCTTTTGTGTCTGCTTTCCTTTGCTTCATATTACCTTTTAAGATTCAACCATGTTCTTTCATGTAGCAATAGTTTGTTCATTTCCATTGCTACATGGCAGAGGCTAGCAAATAAAGTTTTCTTGAGATACAGCCATTCACATTGGCTCATTTGTTTACATATCTATGGTTGTTTTCATCATACCACAGCAGAGTTGCAACAGAGACTATATGGTACTCAAAGTCTAAAATATTTACTATTGGGCCTTTAACAGAAAGAGTTTGCTGAACCTGCTATATACAAGTACATCTTACGAATGCATCATTTTTTAAATCCATTCTGCTGTTGATGGGCGTTTGTGTTGTTTCCAGTTTGGAGCTATTATGAATGATGAAGTTATGGGAATTCTTGTACATGAATTTTGGCAGGTATTTGTATAACTGCTGTTTGGTATATAACTAGTGGATTTACCGGGTATGCTTATGTTCCACTTCAGCGGTTACTGCTAAACAGTTATCCAAAGTGGCTGTACCAATTTTCACTCCCACAAACAGTACGCTAACATTTTCATTGCTCTATGTCCTCCGAACAATTGATACTGTTAAAATGTTTCCTTTCAGTCATCCTCATGGGTTTGGTGATAATATCACATTGTAATTTTAATTTTCATTTTTTGTTGTTAATTAATAAGATCATGTGTGTATTTACTGGCCATTTGGATGTCTTCTTTTGTGAAATGCTTATTCAGATAAGTCTCTTGCCGGTGTATATATTGAGTTATCTTTTTCTTAGTTACTTGTAGACGTTTTAAAGTTCTAAGTACTAATCTGTTTAAAATGGTGCATATCTTACAATATCTTCTCTTATCTCATGGCTAAATTTTTCCATTTGCATTTGTTTTTTAATTAACACAAACCCCTAATTTCAATGTAGTTGAACTCATCATCTTTACATTTATGGTCAGTTAATTTTGAGGTCCTGTTCAGGAAATGTTTGCTTGTCTTAAGCCATAAAGATATTCTCCTATATTTACTTCTGGAAGCTTTACTATTTTACCTTTTATGCTTATATATACCATCCATCTGGAGTTATACAGCATGAAGTTGGGGTCAAGATATTTTTATATACCTGTATAGTTGATACTGCACCGTTAAGAGAAAAATCGTTCTTACCTTACTGTTCGGCAGTGTCACCTAGACGTAAATTGTGTGTGGTCAATGTCTTGATTCTATTCTGTCTATCATTGTGTCACTACGACATGACCTTAATGTGTAATGCATCTTGATATCCCATGGTATAAGTCCTTCAACTCTAGTTCCTCTTTAAATTATCTTGGCTATTCTTGAACACTTAAGTTTTAATATAAAGTTTATAATCAGCTTGTCACATTTCATACACACACCCAAAATACCCAGTGAGATATTGTTTGGGAATACATTGAATCTATACAGATCAATTTGGGGAGAACTGACATCATCATAATATTTAATCTTTCAATCAATGAGCATAATATATCCCTGTATGGAACTCTTTTAAAATTTTCTGTATGTTTCCCTGTTTTATGTGTATTCATTTTGTGCAACATTTCTTAGTTTTATTTTAAGGTATTTGATGATTTTTGGTGCTATTGTATTGGTATTTTTTAAACTTTTATTTTTTATTTCAATAGGCTTTGGGGGAAGAGGTGGTATTTGGTTACATGGTTAAGTCCTTTAGTGGTGATTTCTGAGATTTTGGCGCACCTGTCACCTGAGCAGTGTACACTGTACCCAATAGGTAGTCTTTTTTTTTTAATCGTAGAGAGAAATTTATTTTCTTTCTCTTTCCATCATTTTTTAAAATATGTGAGTGCATATATAACCTTTCATTTATTTTAAGTAAAATTTTTGCACCTATTGACCCATCCTCTAAGTTTCTTCCCCTCACCTCCCACTCCCAGACAGGCCCTGGTGTGTGTTGTTCCCCTCCCTGTGTCCATGTGTTCTCATTGTTCAACTCCCACTTATGAGTGAGAACATGTGGTGTTTGGTTTTCTGTTCCCATGTTAGTTTGCTGAGGATGATGGCTTCCATCTTCGTCCATGTCCCTGCAAAGGACATGATCTCATTTCTTTTTATGGCTGGATAGTATTCCATGGTATATATGTGCCACATTTTCTTTATCCAGTCTATCATTGATGAGCATTTTTGTTGGTTCCATGACTTTACAATGCTGCAATAGACATAGGTGTGCATGTGTCTTTATATGAGAATGATTTGTATTCCTTTGGGTATATACCCAGTAATGGGATTGCTGGGTCAAGTGGTATTTCTGGTTCTAGATCTTTGAGGAATCACCATACTGTCTTCCACAATGGTTGAACTAATCTACATTCCCACCAACAGTGTAAAAGCATTCCTATTTCTCCACAGCCTCGCCAGCATCTATTGTTTCTTGAGTTTTTAATAATCACCATTCTTACTGGTGTGAGATGGTATCTCATTGTGGTTTTGATTTGCATTTCTCTAATCAGTGATGTTGCACTTTTTTTCATAAGTTTGTTGGCCATGTAAAAGTCTTCTTTTGAGAAGTGTCTGTTCATATCCTTTGCCCACTTTTGTTACTTTGCCCACTTCAGACTCTGATATTCTTTCTTCCACTTGGTTGATTCAGCTATTGATACTTGTTTTTTTCTTGTAAATTTATTTAAGTTTCTTGTCGATTCTGGATATTAGACCTTTCTCAGATGGGTAGACTGCAAAAATTTTCTCCCATTCTGTAGGTTGCCTGTTCACCCTAATGATAGTTTCTTTTGCTGTGCAGAAGCTCTTTAATTAGATCCCATTTGTCAATTTTGGCTTTTGTTGTGATTGCTTTTGGCATTTTTGTCATGAAGTCTTTGCCCATGCATATGCCCTGAATGGTATTGCCTAGGTTTTCTTCTAGGGTTTTTGTGGTTTGGGGTTTACATTTAAGTCTTTAAGCCATGTTGAGTTAATTTTTGTATAAGGTGTAAGGAAAGGGTCCAGTTTCAGTTTTCTGCATATGGCTAGCCAGTTTTCCCAGCACCATTTATTAAATAGGAAATCCTTTCCCCATTGCTTGTTTTCGTCAGGTTTGTCGAAGGTCAGATGGTTGTAGATGTGTAGTGTTATTTCTGAGGTCTCTTTTCTGTTCCATTGGTCTATATGTCTGTTTTTGTACCAGTACCATGTTGTTGTGGTTACTGTAGCCTTGTAGTATAAAGTCAGGTAACATGATGCCTCCAGCTTTGTTCTTCCTGCTTAGGATTGTCTTGGCCATATGGGATCTTTTTTGATCATATATGAAATGAAACTAGTTTTTTTTTCTAATTTTATGAAGAATGTCAATAGTAGTATGATGGGAATAACATTGAATCTATAAATTACTTTGGGCAGTATGGCCATTTTCACGATATTGATTCTTCTTATCCATGAGGATGGAATGTTTTTCCTTTTTTTTTTTTTTTGCATCCTCTCTTATTTCCTTGACCCGTGGTTTGTAATTCTCCTTGAAGAGGTCCTTTACATCCCTTGTTAGCTGTATTCCAAGGTATTTTATTCTCTTTGTAGTGATTGTGAATGGGGATTTATTCATAATTTGGCTCTCTGCTTGTCTATTGTTGGTGTAAAGAAATGCTTGTAATATTTGCACATTGATTTTGTATCCTGACACTTTGCTAAAGTTGCTTATCAGCTTAAGGAGTTTTTGGGCTGAGGTGATGTTGCTTTCTAAATATAAAACCGTGTCATCTGCAAACAGAGACACTTTGACTTCCTCTCTTCCTATTTGAATATGCTTTATTTGTTTCTCTTGCCTGAAAGAATATATTTTGGTGTTTTTTTCCCCCCATATTTAGTGCTTCTTTCGGGCAGGCCTGGTGGTAATGAAATCCCTCAGCATTTGCTTGTGTGGAAATGATTTTATTTCTTCTTCACTTATGAAGCTTATTTTGGCTGGATATGAAATTCTGGGTTGGAAATTCTTTTCTTTAAGAATGTTGAATTTGGCCCCCAATCTGTTCTGGTTTGCAGAGTTTCTGCTGAGTGGTCCACTCTTCGTCTGATTGGCTTCCCTTTGTAGGTGACCTGGCCTTTCTCTCTGGCTGCCCTTAACATTTTTTCCCTTATTTTGACCTTGGAGAATCTGATGATTATGTATCTTGGGGTTTGTCTTCTTGTGGAGTATCTTAATGGTGTTCTCTCTCTTTTCCTGGATTTGCATGTTGGCCTGTATTGCTAGGTTGGGGAAGTTCCCCTGGATAATATCATGAAGTGCTTTTTCCAGCTTGTTTCCTTTCGTCCCATCTCCTTCAGGTATTCCAGTCTATCACTGGTTCCATCTTTTCACAAAGTCCCCAGTTTCCTGGAGGCTTTGTTTGTTCCTTTTCATTCTTTTTTCTCTAATCTTGCCTGGATGCCTTATTTCAATAAAGTGGTCTTCAAACTCTGATATTCTTTCTTCCACTTGGTTGATTCAGTTATTGATATTTGTGTATGCCTCATGAAGTTCTTGTGCTGTGTTTTTCAGCTCCATTAGGTCATTTCTGTTCCTCTCTAAACTGGTTATTCTAGTTAGCAGCTCCTCTAACCTTTTATCAAGGTTTTTAGCTTCTTTGCATTGGGTTAGAACATAATCCTTTAATCAGTGTAGTTTTTTATTACCCGTCTTCTGAAGCCTACTTCTGTCAATTCATCCATCTCATCCTCCGTCCAGTGCTGTGCCCTTGCTGGAGAGACATTGCAAACATTTGGAGAAGAGGCACTCTGGATTTTTGGGTTTTCAGCATTTTGTCATTGATTCTTTCTCATCTTTGTGAGTTTGCCTAGTTTTGTGAGTTTGAGGCTGCTGACTCTTGGATGAAGTTTTTGTGAGGACTTTTTTGTTGTTGGTGCTGTTGTTGTTGCTTTTTGTTTGTTTTTCTTTCAATGGTCAGGTCCCTTTTCTGTAGGGCTGCTGCCATTTGCTGGGGGTCCACTTCATGCCCTATTCATCTGGTTTACTCCTGCGTCTGGAGATGTCACTCAAGGAGGCTGGAGAACAGCAAAGATGGGTGCCTGCTCCATCTTCTGGCAGGGGCACTGACCTGATGCCAGTTGGATCGCTCCTGTGTAGGGTTTCTGACAACCCCTGTTGTCACCCAGTTGGGTGGCATGGGGAACAGGACCCATTTAATGAAGCACTTTGACTGACCCTTGGTGCAGGGGTGTGCTTTGCTAGGGGGAAACCCACTCATCTGGGCTCCTGGAACTATCAGGAGGAAAGGCTATGTCTGCTGATTCACAGAGACTGCAGCCATTCCTCCCACTAGAGGCTCAGGCCCAGGGAGATCTGGGTTCTGTCCCTGAGCCTCTGGTTAGAGTTGTTGGATTTCCTGCAGGAAGCCCCACCCAGTGAGGAAGGATGAGTCAGGGTCAGTCCTGAAGAGGTCCTCTGGCTGCAGTCTTCCACAGCTGGTATGTTGGGCTGTTGGGGACACCTTTTGGGACCAAGGTGTCCAGCCCTACTGGTTCCAGCAGGGGAAAAGCACAGCCTGGAGCTATAGAGATGGATGCCACACTTCCCCTGCCCAAGGAGCTTAACATGTTAGGCAGTTGTGAGTCCCAGTGCTGGCTGCTGCCCCTTTCCCAAGAAGCTCAAATGGCTTAGACATCAGGCAGCTGCAGCTGTGGTGCTGGTCACCCCTTCTCCCCAGGGGCTCGGCAGGCTTAAGCAGAGTCCAGCTGAGAGGCTATTAAGAATCTGCATGGCTCTGGGGTTAAGGCCCTAGGCCCCGGTGGTGTGGGTTCATGAGTGGGATCTTTCAATCTGTGGGTTTCATAGTTCTGTGGAAAAATCACCGTTCCCCCTGCTGGGTAGGATGCTCACTCATCACCTCCCTTGGCCTGGGGGTAGGGGCTCCTCTGCTCGTCTGGCTCCCAGATGGGCCACCACACCACACTGCTTGCTCTTCCTTTCTCTCCATGGATCACACCAGCTGCCTGGTCAGTTCTGATGAGAGAACCTGGTTACCTTGGTTGCCAGTGAAAGATTAATGCACTTATTATGGTTCTTTTCAATGGAAGCCTCCGACTGCCACCGTTTCTAGTTGGACATCTTGGCCCCTCAATATGTTGTCTTTTATCCCTCATCCCTTCCCACCTTTTCCCCTGAGTCCCCAAAGTCCACTGTATCTTTTTTTTTTTTTTTTTTTTTTTATGAAGTCTCACACTGTTGCCCAAACTGGAGTGCAGTGGAGCGATCTTGGCTCCTGCAACCTCCACCTCCCAGATTCTAGCGATTCTACTGCCTCAGCCTCCCAAGTAGCTGGAATTACAGGCATGCACCACCATGCCTGGCTAATTTTTTAGTATTTTTAGTAGAGACGGGGTTTCACCATGTTGGCCAGGCTGGTCTTGAACTCCTGACCTTGTGATCTGCCCACCACGGCCTCCCAAAGTGCTGGGATTAAAGGCATGAGCCACTGCACCTGGCCCATTGTATCATTCTTATGCCTTTGCATCCTCATAGCCTAGCTCCCACTTATAAGTGAGAACACAGGAAGTTTGGTTTTCCATTCTTGAGTTACTTCACTTAGAAAAAGGATCTCCAGTTATCCAGGTTGCTGCAAATGCCATTATTTCATTCCTTTTTAATGGCTGAGTAATATTTCACAGTATATATACACCCCATTTTCTTTATCCATTTGTTGATTGACGGACATTTAGGCCAGTTTTATATTTTTGCAATTGCAAATTGTACTGCCATAAACATGCGTGTGCAAGTGTCTTTTTTTTTTTTTTTATAATGACTTCTTTTCCTCTGGGTAGTTACCCAATAGTGGGATTGCTGGATCAAATGGTAGATCTACTTTTAGTTGTTTAAGGACTCTCCACACCATTTTCCATAATGGCTGTACTAGTTTAGATTCCCACCAGCAGTGTAAAAGTGTTCCCTTTTCACCACATCCACACCAACATCTATGATTTTTTGATTTTTAAATTATGGCCATTCTTGCAGGAGTAAGGTGGTATCATATTGTGGTTCTGATTTGCATTTTCCTGATAATTAGTGGTGTGGAGCATATTTTCATAGGTTTGTTGGCCATTTGTATATTTTCTTTTGAGAATTATCTATTCATGTCCTTAGCCCACTTTTTGATAGGATTGTTTCTTTCTTGCTGATTTGAGTTCCTTGTAGATTATGTTGGATGCATAGTTTGTGAAGATTTTCTCCCACTCTGTGGTTGTTGCTTTACTCTGCTGATTATTTCTTTTGCTGTGCAGAAGCTTTTTAGTTAAGTCCCATCTGTTTATCTTAATTTTGTTGCATTTGCTTTTGGGTTCTTGGTCATGAAGTCTTTGCCTAAGCCAATGCCTAGAAAGGTTTTTCTGATGCTATTTTTCTGGAATTTTTATGGTTTCAGGTCTTAGAGTTAAGTCTCTGATCCATCTTGAGTTAATTTTTGTATAAGGTGAGAGATGAGAATCCACTTTTCATTCTTCTACATGTGGCTTGCCAATTATCCCAGCACAATTTGTTGAATAGGGTGTCATATCCCCACTTTATATTTTTGTTTGCTTTGTCGAACATCAGTTGGCTGTATTTTACTTTATTTCTGGGTTCTCTATTCTGCTTCATTGGTCTAAAAATTAAGCTTCTAATTATTTATTGTTTATGTATAGAAATCCAATTGATCTTTGTATACTGATGTTGTATCTAGAAAACTTGCTAAACAGATTAATTTGAGAACTTTTTTCTGAATTTTTGGAATGTTTAAAATATGCAATTATTTATTTGCTAATTTTGAATGTTTCATTTCCTTTTATCCAAACTTAGCCATTTTATTTTTTGTTTTGCCTTATTTTAGTTTTGGAAAATTCTTGGCCATCATCTCTTACAGGAGTTCTTCTGCCTCATTCTTTCTCCTCTCTCTTTTTGAAATCTATATGTTAGACCATTTAGCCATGTCTGATATTATCTTACACTCTTTTTGTATTTTTCATTTTTATTTCTTCAAACTTTAATCTTTAGGTTGAATATTTTATTCTGACATATCCAATTTTCTTTTAAGCTTTTTCTAATATGCTGCTGATTTCATCCATTGAGTTCTGCATTCCATTTCATTATTTAATCTTTTGAATACATTAATCATATTTATTTTAAAGGTATATCTAATAACTGCAACAATGATATATTATTCATTCTATATCTACTATTTGTTTTCTCTTGTAATTAAAAAAGTCTATACATCTGGTTGTTTTTGATTAACTGTCAGCTACTGTGTATGAAATTGTGTGTAGAAAATTTGAGTCTCTGGGTAATTTATCTTTTCTCAGAGGGGATTTATTTTTGCTTCCACCAGGCAGTTAAGCTAAAGGTATATCTTCTTCATCCAACCAGAGATTTAGATGTTCAAGGCTTTGTTCATTGTGAGGGCTGGTCTATTTCCTGTTTACTCTTTCTCCTAGGATGAATCCATCACAGATCCCTTTTGAAAGCCTGGGAGTATTTGGGACCAAGAGGAGGACAACATTTTCAAACTGGGCTCACCCAAAGTCAATCATTGTTTGGTGATCTGGCAGTGATGGCTACCATGAGCATTTGTCTTGGGCCTCAGAGCACTTGCTTTGAAGTGGGTGAAGGGTTCCCACAGCAAGCAGGGAATGTGGAGTGCATTCCAGAGATAGGCACTGAAATTGGGATCTTTCTTGCTGCAGAACTAGAGCAGAAGGAGAATTGTTGAAGCCGCAGCGAGTTTTACAGCCAAGGATGCCTTTGAGACCTGGGATGACAGCTCTGTATAGGTCATTGCTAGGTGCCTCAACCTGTTCCCTTGGTCAGTCAGGAGAATGAGCCCCACTAGTTCCAAGGAGTGGGAGAGAGAATCCCATTCCTGCTCACCTGAATTAGAAGCATGGGCCATCCTTCCCTTCCTATGCAAAGAATTTTGTGTGGCAGTGCTCCCTCCACTCCCTACTAAGGCGTATTTTCAGGCATTTGATGCACCTACTCACCTGCATTAGGAGCCTGCACCACCCCTTGCTTTCTGTGCAGAGATCTTGGTGCTGTGGCACTTTCTTTGCTCCATGCCCAGGGCACATTTCCAGGCATTTGGCTTACCCACTCCCCTGGATTAGGAGCCTGAGCTGCCCCTGCCATTCCGTGGGCAGTAGTGATTTCTCTGCTCCTTTCTGGGGCACATTTCTAGGCATTTTTATGCACTCGCTTGCCTGGATTAGGAACCTAAACCACCCTTCCCTTTCTGAGTAGAGAACTTGGTGCAGCCAACTTGATAGTCTCTTCGCTCTATACCTGGACATATCTCCCGGCATTTGGAGTACCCACTATTCTAGATTAGGAGCTTAGGCTGCCTCTCCCTTCCCATGGAGAGAACTTAGGGTAGTGGAGGTTTCTCTACTCCACACACAGGCACATCACTGGGTGCTTTACCCCCTGGATTCCCATAAAAGCTGGTACTTATGACTACCACTGGGGGGCCACGGATGGGCCTGCCTGGCCTGGCTTCACCCAGCTTGGTCCCCAACTCTGAGACTCAAATAAGAGATTCAAATAAGCACAATCAGAAATGATAACAATGACAAACAACTGATTCCGCAGGAATACAAAAGATCATCAGAGACTACTATAAGCATCTCTATGCACACAAACTATGAAATCTAGAAGAAATGTGTAAATTATTGGAAACATACAATCTCCCAAGACTGAACCAAGAATAAATAGAAGTCCTGAACAGATCAATAAGTAGTAAAATTGAATCAGTAATTAATAAAAAAAAAAAGGTCCAAGACCAGACTGATCCACAGTTGAATTCTACTAGACATACAAGCAATAACTGATACCAATTCTATTAAAATTGCTCCAATTCCTATGAAGCCATCATTACCCTGCTATCAAAGCATGGCAAAGGCACAAAACAAATGGAGGAGGGAACCCTCCCTAACTCATTCTATGAAGCCATCACTGCAATATCAAAGAATGGCAAGGGTACAAAACAGAAAGAAAATGACAGACCACTATCCCTGATGAAAATAGAAATTTTTTTAAAATTAAATTTAAATTTAATTTGATTTTAAGTTCTGGGATACATGTGCAGGATGTGCAGGTTTGTTACATTAGGTAAATGTGTGCTATGGTGGTTTGCTGCACCTATCAACCCATCACCTAAGTGTTAAGCCTCACATGCATTAGCTATTTATCCTCTTGTTCTCCCTCCTCCCTGCCTCTCTGCCAGGCCCCAGTTTGTGTTGTTCCCTTCCCTTTTTCCATGTGTTCTCATTGTTCAGCTCCCACTTATAAGTGAGAATATGTGATGTTTTGTTTTCTGTTTCTGCATTTGTTTGCTGAGGATAATGGCTTCCAGCTTCATCCATGTCTGTGCAAAGGACATGATCTCATTCCTTTTTATGGATGCATAGTATTCCATGGCATATATGTACCACATTTTCTTTATCTAATCTAGTATTGATGGATGTTTAGGCTTATTCTATGTCTTTGCTATTGTGTATAGTGCTGCAATGATCATACCTGTGCATGTATCTTTGTAATAGAATGATTTATGCTCGTTTGGGTATATACCCAGTAATGAGATTGTTGGGTCAAACGGTATTTCTGGTTTTAGGTCTTTGAGGAAATATCACAATGTCTTACACAATGTTTGAACTAATTCACATTCCCACCAACAGTGTAAAAGCATTTCTATTTCTCCATAGCCTCACTGGCATCTTTTGTTGAAGAAAACATTTTCAACAAAATACTAGCAAATCAAATCCAACAGAACATGAAAAAGATAATATACCACAATCAAGTGGGTTTCATTCCAAGGATGTAGGATGATTCAACATAAAAAAAATCAATAAATGTGATTCACCACATAAACAAAACCAAAAACAATAATCATCGCAATAAATGTAGAAAAAGCATTTGATAAAATCCAGCTTCCCTTCATGAGAAAAACCCTTAACTAGGCACATAAGGAACATACCTCAAAATAATAAAAGCCATATGTGACAAACCCACAACCAATATTTTACTGAATGGGGAAAAGATGAAACCACTCCACCTAAGAACTGGAACAAGACAAGGATGTCCACTCTCACCACTTCTATTCAATGCAGTACTGGAAGACCTAACTAGAGCAATCAGACAAGAGAAATAAATAAAGGGCATCAAACTGGAAAAGATTATGTCAAATCATCCCTCTTCACTGATGATATGATGTTACATGCAGAAAACCCTAAAGACTCCTCCAGAAGACTCCTAATGACTTCAGTAAAGTTTCAGGATACCAAATCAACATACTGAAATCAGTAGCATTTTCATACACCAACAAGGATAAAGCCAAGAACCAAATCAAGAACTAAATCCCATCTACAATAGCTACAAAAAAATAAAATACTTAGAAATACATTTAACCAAGGAGGTGAAAGATCTCTATAAGAAGAACTATAAAACACTGATGAAAGAAATTTTAGATGACACAAATTTTAAAAATCCCTGTTTCTTACCATATACAAAAATTAACTCAAGAGATGTTAAAGATTTAAATAAGACCCAAAACCATAAAATTATAAAAGAAAAATTAGGGAAAACTCTTCTGGACATTGGCTTGGGTAAAGAAATTTAGTAAGTCTTCAAAAGAAAACACAACAAAAACAAAAGCAGACAAATGGAACTTAATTAAACTAAAGTTTCTGCACAGTGAAAGAAATAATCAGCTGAGTAAACAGACAATCCATAGGATGAGAGAAAGTATTTGCATAGTATGCATTTGACAAAGAATTAATATTCAGAATCTACAAAAAAATTCAAACAACTCAATAAGAAAGAAAATAGTCCAGGCATGGTGGTTCATGCCTGTAATCCTAGCACATTGGGAGGCCAAGGCAGGCAGATTGCTTGAGCCCAAGAGTTTGAGACCAGCCTAGGCAACATGGCAAAGCCACATTTTTACAAAACAATACAAAAATCAGTCTAGCATGGTGGTACAGGCCTATAGTCCTAGCTACTTAGGGGGCTGAGGTGAGAAGACCACTTGAACCTGGGAGGTCGAGGCTGTGTGAGCTGTGTTCACACTGCCCTCCAGCCTGGGCTACAGAGGAGACCATGTCTCAAATAAAAAAAAAAAAGAAAAAAGAAAAAACTCATTAAAAAGTGGGTAAAGAACATGAACAGATGAACAGACATTTTTTCAAAAGAAGACATGTAAGCGGCCAAGGAAAATGAAGAAATGGGGGGTGGAGCAAGGTGATGGAATAGAAAGCTCCACTGATCATTACCCAGATCAATGACTCCTCTCTGACTAGGGTTGGTTTAAATGTTCCCTCTGTGGGTTGGCATTGGCTGAGTTTTATCTGGTTTTACTCCCCGCTCTAACAGGACAGCACTGAGTTTAGTGCTTCACAACTGCTGTGTTCTCCCTCACAACTGCTGTGTTCTCCCTCACTCGGCACCCAGAGACCCTCTTAGCACCATACTGCTGCCACTGGGGCTGGGGGTGGGGGTAGTGGAGTCAGTGATTCAGGACTGTTTTTTCTATGTCTGCAGTACCTCTTTCAGAGATATGAAGTTAAAACCAGGTACTATGCATGCTCACCTGACTTTGGGTTCTTATGAAGGTGTTTCTTCTGTGTAGGTGGTTTTTTACTTGGCAGCAGGTTGGGTAATGATCATCCAAGGCAGTGCTGGCATCAGTCCTCCCCTAACCCCAGACTACACAGCTCATGGCTCCAAAAAAGACACTTTCCTTTCCCTTGAGGAGAGGAGAGGGAAAAGTGGGGAGGGCTTTGTCTTGCATGTTGGATACCAGCTCAGCCACAGTAGGATAGGTCACCAGTCAGAATCATGAGGCCCTGTTCCAGGTCCTAGTTCCCAGACGACATTTCTAAACATACCCTGGGCCAAAAGGGAACCCACTGCCTTGAAGGAAAAGGTCTGTCCTGGCAGCATTCATTACCTGATAACTGAAGAGCCCTTGGTCCTTGAATAACCAGCAGCAATACCCAGGTACTACATTGTGGGCCTTGGGTGAACCTCTGAGACTTGCTGGCTTCAGTTGAGACTCAGTACATTACCAGCTGTGGTGGCTATGGGACAAAACTCCTTCTGCTTGAGGAAAGCAGAGGAAAAAGTAAAGGGGACTTTCTCTTGCACCTTAGATCCCAGCACAGTTACAGGGGGCAGAGCATCAAGTGGGCTCTTGGGATCCTGGATTCCAGGACTTGACTTTTGGATGGATATTTTTAGACCTGCCTTGGGCCAAGGGGAAGCCACTGTCCTGAAGGGTGAATCGTGGGCCAGGCAGCATTCACCACAAGATGACTTCAGAGTTCTTGGGCCTTAAGGGAACATCAGTGGTAGTCTGGCAGTACTCCTCATGACGTGGGATGGTCGTGGCTACAAGGTGAGGCTCCTCTGCCTTTGGAGAGGGGAGAGGAGAGTGGGAAGGATTGCATCTCACAGTTTGAGGGTCAGCTAAGCTGCAATACAATGGAACACCAAGTAGACTTCCAAGGTTTTTGACCCTAGTCCCTGGCTCCTGGACAACCCCTCCACTCATGTCCTGGGGGACCTCACTGTTCTGAAGGGAGGAACACAGGCCTGGCTGGCTTTGCCACATGCCAATTGTAGAGCTCCACAGGCCGTGAGAGAACATAGGCCAGAGAGTGGTCACAGTAGGCCTTGGGTGAGACTCAGTGCTGTACTGGCTTCAGGTCGACCCAGTGCAGTCAGAGTGGTGGTGGCCACAGGGATGCTCATGTAACTCTATCCCCTGCTTTAGGTGGTTCACAACAGAGAGACAGAGAGAATATGTTTGTTTGGCAAAAAGTAAGGGAAGAAACAAGAGTCCCTTCTTGGTAATCCAGAGAATTTTCACAGATCTTGTCCAAGACGATCAAGGCAGTATCTCTATGAGTCTGCAAGAACCACAGTGTTACTTGGCTTGGGGATACAAAGTAGATACAACTTAGGTTACAACACCTAAGTCCTTTCAAATCTCTGCAAAGCCTTCCCAAGAAGGACAGCTATAAATAAGCCCAGACAGTGAAGACTACAATAAATACCTAAGTCTTCAATGCCCAGACAGTGAAGAACATCTGCTATCATCAACACCATTCAGGAAAACATGACCTCACTGAATGACCTAAATAAGGCACCATGGACCAATCATGGAGAAATAGAGACATGTGACCTTTCACACAGAGAATTTGAAATAGCTGTGTTGAGTAAACTCAAAGAAATTCAATATAACACCAAGAAGGGATTCAGAATTCTGTCAGATAAATTTAACAAAGAGATTAAAATGATGAAAAAGAATCAAGCAGAAATTCTGGAGCTGAAAAATGCAATAAGCATACTGTAGAATGCATCAGAGTACTTTAATAGCAGAATTCATCAAGCAAAAGAATTAGTGAGATTGAAGGCAGCCTATTTGAAAATAGAGCTGACAAAAAGAATAAAAAAAAATGAAGCATGCCTACAAGATCTAGAATAGCCTCAAGAGGGCAAATCTAAGAGTCACTGGCCTTAAAGAGGATGCAGAGAAAGAGACAGGGGTTGAAAGTTTATTCAGAGGGCTAATAACAGAAATCTTCCCAAATCTACGGAAAGATATCTATATCCAAGTACAAAAAGGTTGTGGAATACCAAGTAGATTTAACCCAAAGAAGACTACCTAAGGCATTTAACAATCAAACTCCCAAAGGTCAAGGATAAAGAAAGAAAGGATCCTAAAAGCAGCTAGAGAAAAGAAACACATAATATACAATGGAACTCCAATACATCTGGCAGCAGACTTTTAGTGGAACCCTTACAGGCCATGAGAGAGTGACATGACATATTCAAAGTGCTGAAGGAAAACTATGTTACACTAGAATAGTATATCTGATGAAAATATCCTTCAAACATGAAGGAGAAATAAAGGCTTTTCCAGATAAACAAAAGCTGAGGGATTTCATCAATACCAGACCTGTCTTACAAGAAATGCTAAAGGGAGTAACTCAATCAGAAAGAAAAGGATATTAATGAGCAATAAAATAGTCACCTGAAGGCACAAAACTCACTGGTAATAGTAAGTACACAGAAAAAACACAGAATATTATAACACTGTGACTGTGGTATATAAACTATTCTTATCCTAAGCAGAAAGACTAAATGATGAACCAATCAATAATAATAACTACAACTTTTCAAGACATAGTACAATAAGATATAAATAGAAGCAACAAAAAGTTAAAAAGCAGAGGGATGAAATTAAGGCATCTTGTTTGTTTATGCAAATAGTGTTGTTAACAGGTTAACATAATGGTTTATAAGACTGTATTTGCAAGTCCCGTGGTAGCCACAAACCAAAAAATGTACAATAGATACACAAAATATAAAAACAAACTAAATTATACTGCCAGAGAAAATCACCTTGACTAGAGGAAGACAGGAAGGAAAGAAAGAAGAAAGAAACCATAAAACAACTAGAATACAAATAATAAAATGACAGGAGTAAGTTCTAATAAATAATAACATTGAATGTAAATGGATTAAATTCCCCAATCAAAAGACATAGACTTGCTGAATGGATGAAAAAGTAAGGTTAATTGATCTGTTCAGTCTACAGAAAACACATTTCACCTATAAAGACACACATAGAGTGAAAATAAACTGGTGGAAAAAGATATTTCATGCCCATGGAAACGAAAAAATCAGAAGAGTCACTATACTTATATCAGAAAAGATAGATTTCAAGACAAAAACTATAAGGAAGGACAAAGAAGGTCACTATATAATGATAAAAGGGTCAATTCAGCAAGAAGATATAACAATTTAAAATATATATGCACCCAACATAGGAGCACTCAGATATATAGAGGAAATACTATTAGAGTGAAAGAGAGAGATGGGCTTCAATATAATAATAACTGGAGACTTCAACACCCCACTTTTAGCATTGCAAAGATCTTCTAGACAGAAAATCAACAAAGAAACATCAGACTTAATCTGCACTATACATGAAATGGATCTAATATATATTTAAGGAACATTTCATTCAAGAGCTGCAGAATACACATTCTTTTCCTCAGCCCATGGATTATTTTTTACAGATAGACTGTATGTTAGGTCACTGAACAGTCTTAAAACATTCAAAATAAAGGGAAACAATATCAAGTATCTTCTTTGACCACAATGGAATAAAACTAAAAATTAATAACAAGAGGAATTTTGGAAACTATACAAATAAGTGGAAATTTAACAATATACTTCCAAATGACCAGTGGGTCAATCAATAAATTAGGAAGAAATTAAAAAATTTCTTGAAACAAAATAATGGAAACACAACATACCAAAACCTATGGGATACAGCAAAAGCGGTACTAAGAGAGAAGTCTGTAGCTGTGAAGTGCCTATATCAAAAAAGAGGAAAAACCAAATGAGCATTCTAATGATGTATCTTAAAGAACTAGAGAAGCAAGAGCAAACCAAACCCAAAATTAGTAAAAGAAAAGAAATAATAAAGATCAGGGCAGGCCGAGCACGGTGGCGCATGCCTGTAATCCCAGCACTTTGGGAGGCCGAGGCGGGCGGATCACGAGGTCAGGAGATCGAGACCATCCTGGCTAACACAATGAAACCCCGTCTCTACTAAAAATAGAAAAAATTAACCGGGCGTGGTGGCGGGCGCCTGTAGTCCCAGCTACTCGGAGGCTGAGGCGGGAGAATGGCGTGAATCCAGGAGGTGGAGCTTGCAGTGAGCCCAGATAGCACCACTGCAGTCCAGCCTGTGTGAAAGAGCGAGACTCCATCTCAAAAAAAAAAAAAAAAAAAAAAAAAAAAAAAAAAAAAAAAAAAAAAAGATCAGAGCAGAAATAAATGGAATTGAACTGAAAACAACAATACAAATGATAAGTGAAACAAAAAGTTGGCTTTTTTTAAAAGTTAAACAAAAGTGACATACCTTTAGCCAGACTAAGAAAAAAAGGGAGAGGATCCAAATAAAATAAAAAATGAAAAAGGAGACATTAAAACTGCTACTGAAGAATTTCAAAGGATCATTAGTGGCTAGTATGAGCAACTATAGGCCAATAAATTGGAAAATATAGAAGAAATGGACAAATTCCTAGATACATGCAACCTACCAAGATTGAACCAGGAAGAAATACAAAATCTGAAAAGACCAATAACAAGTAATGAGATCAAAGCTATAATACAAAGTCTCCCAGTGAAGAAAAGCCCAGAACCTGATGGCTTTACTGTTGAATTCTACCAAACATTTAAAGAAGAATGAATACAAATCTTAATCAAAATGTTCTGAAAATTAGAGGAGGAGGGTATACTTCCAATATCATTCTGTGAGGCTAGTGTTACCCTGATATCAAAACCAGACAAATACACATCAGAAGAAGAAAACTATGGGCCAGTATCTCTGATGAATATTAATGCAAAAATCCTCAACAAAATACTAGCAAATGGAATCAACAATGCATTAGAAAGATCATCCATCATGATTTAGTAGGATTTATCCCTGGGATGCAAAGATGGCTCAACATTGGTAAATCAATCACTGTAATACATTGTATCAACAGAATGAAAGATAAAACCATATGATCATTTCAATTGATGCTGAAGAAGCATTTGATAATTTAATATCCCTTCATGATAAAAACCCTTAAAAAACTGCATAGATGGAATATACATCAACATAATAAAAACCATATATGACAGACCCACAGTTCGTATCATACTGAATGGGGAAAAACTGAAAGCCTTTTCTCTAAAATCTGGAACATGACAAGAATGTCCACTGTCATCGCTGTTATTCAATGTAGTACTAGAAGTCCTAGCTAGAGCAATCAGATAAGAGAAAGATATAAAGGATATCTAAATTGGAACAGAAGAAGTCAAATTATCCTTGTTTGCAGATAATATGATCTTATATTTGGAAAAACCTCAAGACTTCACAAGAAAACTATTAGAACTGATAATCCAGTAAAGTTGTAAAATACAAAAATCAACATACGAAAATCAGTAGCATTTCTATATGCCAAGTGAACAATGTGAAAAAAATTTGAATCCCATTTCTAATAGCCACACATAAAATTAAAGACCTAGTAATTAATTTAACCAAATAAGTGAAAGATTTTTATAATGAATATTATAAAACACTGATGAAAGAAATTGAAGAAGACACCAAGAAATGAAAAAAAATTCCAAGTTCATGGATTGGAAGAATCAATTTTGTTAAAATGTCCATACTACACAAAGCAATCTACAGATTAAATACAATCCCTATCAAAATAAATACCAATGACATTCTTTATATAAATAGAAAATACTATTCTAAAATGTATATGAAACCACAAAAGACCCAGAATAGCCAAAGCTATCCTAAACCAAAAAAACAAAACTGGAGGAATCACATTACCTGATTTCAAATTATACTACAGAGCTATAATAACCAAAACAACATGGTACCGGCATAAAAACAGACACACAGACCAATGGAACAGAATAGAGAACCCAGAAAGAAATCCACACACCCACAGTAAACTCATTTTTGACAAAGATGACAAGAACATAAAAGCAGTCTCTTCAATAAATGGTGCTGGAAAAACTGGATATCCATGTGCAGGAGAATGAATCTAGACCCCCATCTCTTGTCATATACAAGAATCAAGCCAAAATGGATTAAAGGCTTAAATCTAGGACCTCAAAATATACACCTATTACAAGAAAACATTGGGGAAAACCTCCAGGACATTGGTCTGGGCAAAGATTTCTTGACCAATACCTCACAAGCACAAACAACCAAAGCAAAAATGGACAAATGAAATCACCTCAAGTTAAAAAGATCTGGACAGCAAAGGAAGCAATCAACAAAGTGAAGAGACAACCCACACAATGGGAGAAAATGTTTGCAAACTACTTATCTGACAAGAGGTTAATAACCAGAATATATAAGGAGTTCAAACAACTCTATAGGAAAAACATCTAATAATCAGATCAAAAGATGAGCAAAAGATTTGAATAGACATTTCTAAAAAGAAGACATACAAATGGCAAACAGGTATATGAAAAGATGTTCAACATCACTGATCATCAGAGAAATGCAAATCAAAACTACAATGACATCCTGTCACCCCGGATAAGATGGCTTATATCAAAAAGACAGGCAATAACAAATGCTGGTGAGGATGTGGTTAAATGGGGACCCTCTACACTGTTGGTGAGAACATAAATTAGTACAGCTGCTATGGAGAAGAGTTTGGAGGTTCCTCAAAAAACTAAAAATTGAACTACCATATAATCCAGCAATTCCACTGCTGGGTATATACCCAAAAGAAAGGAAATCAGTCTATCAAAGATATATCTGCATTTCTTTGTTGCAGCACTGTTTACAATAGCTAAAACTTGGAAGCAACCTAAATGTTCATCAACAGATTAATGCATAAAGAAAATGTGGTACATACACATACACAATGGAATACCATTCAGCCATAAATAGAGTGAGATCCAGTCATTTGCAACAACATGAGTGAGTCTGAGGATCATTATTTTAAGTGAAATAAGCTAGGAACAGAAAGACAATCTTTGCATGTTCTCACTTATTTGTGGAATCTAAAAATCAAAATAATGGAACTCACAGACATAGAGAGTAGAAGGATGGTTACCAGAAGCTAGAAAGGGTAATGGGGATTTGAGGGGGTTGTGGGGATGGTTAATGTGTACAGAATAATAGTTACAAAGAATGAGTAAGACTTACTATTTGATAGCACAATAGAATGACTGTAGCCAATAATAACAATTGCACATTTTAAAATAGTGTGATTGGATTGTTTGTAATTCAAAGGATAAATGTTTGATGGGATGAATACCCCATTTTCCATGACATGCTTATTTCACATTGCATGCTTATATCAAAATATCCCATGTACCCATAAATATATACACCTACTATGTACCCACAAAAATAAAAATATTAAAAAATGAAAAAATGTTGAATGTCACTAATCATCAGTGAAATACAAATTAAAACTACAATGAGATACCATCTTGCACTAGTCAGAATGGCTATTACTAAAAAGTCCAAAAGAACAAATGTTGATGAAGTTACAGAGAAAAATGAATGCATATACATTGTTGGTGGGAATGTAATTTAGTACATCTTCTATGGAAAACATTATGTTGATTTCTCAAATAATTAAAAATAGAACTACCATTCAATCCACCAATCTTACTACTAGGTATCTAATCGAAGAAAAACAAATAATTGTATCAAAAAGACACTTGCATTCTTATGTTTGTCACAGCACTATTTACAATAGCAAAGTCATGCAATCAACATAAGTTACCATCAGGGATGACTGGATAAAGAAAATGTGACATATATATGTGTGTGTGTGTGTGTGTGTGTGTGTGTATGTATCTTGACCAATACATACACACACACACACACACACACACACACACACACACACACATCATGGAATACTACTCAGCCATAAAAAAGAATTGAATAATGTATATTGCAGCAACATGGATGCAACTGGAGGCCATTAGCCTCAGTGAAATTACTCAGAAATATAAAATCAAAAACCACATTTTCTCACTTATAAATGGGAGCTAAACAATGGGTACACATGGACATACAGAGTGGAATAATAGATGCTGGTGACTCCAAAACGTGGGAGGGTGGAAAGAGAATGAGGGATAAAATAATACCTATTGAGTACAATGTACATTGTTTGGGTAATAGGTACACTGAATGCCCAGCCTTCCACCATTATGCAATATATCCATGTAACACAACTGTACTTGTATCCCTAAATCTATTAAATAAAAAATTTATATCAGCTTTATAACTGACAGAGATATATATTATAACAGAGCCCTTCATTTCAGTGGATAAACATGTAATTTTCAGAATCTTCAAATAGTTATTCTTCAGTCAGCCAAAATATTCAATTGATACATGCCATTCTATGTGATAATTAAAAAAGCTAAACAATAAAATGATTTTAACAACCAGATGGAAAATAATGCTACAAAGGATTGAACAACTGCCATATGCTAGACACTCTCCTGAGTGCTTTGTTTCAATTACTACTCACACCCATTTTGTGAAGCTATTCTTATTATCCTCATTTTACAGATAGTAACACTAAAGTTCATAGAGATTAAGTAACTTGGTAAAGGTCACATGGCTAGAGGGTGTCCATTCTGAGGTTTAAATGCAAGATTATCTATTTTTTACTTGAGTAATCAGAAAATAAAATTTGTTTTTCTGTTGTGTATATTTAAGGTATATAACATAACATTTTGATATACATATACCTAGCGAAATGAATACAACACTCAAGCAAGTTAACGTATCTATCATCTCACATAGTTACCCTTTTTGTGTGTAACACACACAAATGTGTTGTATTTTAAGTGTTCTTTTAGCTAAAAACACCTAAGATGTACTCTCTTAGCAAATGTATGGTATGTAAGTATGTAATACAATATTATTAAGTACAGTTTTCATGCTATACATTAGCTCTCTAGATTTATCTTACATAACTGCAACTTTGCACCCTTTGATGTATATACCCTTTGATTTACATCTTCCCATTTCTTGTGCCCTTGCTCCTGGTAACCACCATTATACTTTACATTTCTATCTATTTGACTTTTTAAAAAAGATTTCACATATAAGTGAGATTATGCAGTATGTTTCTGTCTTTGGTTTATTTCACTTATTTTAACGTCCTCTAGGTTCATCTATGTTGTCTCTTGTTTTCCCCTTTTTTCAGGAGGGACCATCTATGTTGTCTCAAAGGAGGATTTTCTTTGCTTATCAAACCAATATTTTATATTTTTTCTTTGCTTTAGTAAAAATAGTGACCACAAAAATCACATGATCATTTTCATAATACAATCAACTGGCAGTAAAGCTCAAGATACTCTTATTGGCAGGTGGAGCATGGGCTTAGCAATTTAAGAATAATGCTTTTAAAAAAACTTGTTTTGTGGGACGTCCTTTATTAGTGTGCTTTTCTTTCTGTTTGATTTTGTATTCCAATGTATTTCCTTTTAAGATTAGGTAGATAAATGAATGAAAATTTCTCATGCTAACAAGTATTAATTCCCCCTAATGTCAAATTTCTTTTTTTTCTTTAGTGGTTTTACTAAATTACTGAGAGTTAGCTGGCCACCCAGCTAACAACTAGATTTTTAAGCCTTCTTCACAGCTAAGCGGGAGGATATGTCTATGATATGGGCTAATGATAATTTAGCAGAAGTTATATTTGCTCTTCAAAGAAGTGTGTGTGACCTCTTGATATTTTTGTTTCTTTCCAACCAACTGGAATGTAGAAGTGGTTGCAGGAGCTGGAGCAAACATTTTGGAGCTGATATGGGAAACTATGTGATGAGAATGCTAGAGCAGCAAAAGAGCTGGCCCTAGTTTACGTATGCTTGGACTATTGCATGAGAGAGAAATAAATTATTATGTTGTTTAAACCACAGTTATATTTGGATTGTTCTTACAACTGCAGATACTTATTTCATAAATACAATGTTACCACCAAATGAACAAAATAGGTGGAAACATTATGCAAAAAGACCTACAAATTAAATGGCTCTACGGAAACTGTTTTTTTGAAAGTCACAAATGAACTTTCAAACAGAATTTGATGCTTTGGAAATTATGTCAAATTAACCAAAATGCCAAGGCCTAGGTAGGTAAGCATGTGATCTCAACTGTGTGGAAGAATGCATTTGGTGGTGGTGGGGAGTGTGGTGAACAGGAAGTACAGGCTTCATCCACAAGTGAAGCTGATGGTCAGCTACATCCGGGTTGCTACCATGCAGAAATGCAGGTTCAGTATAGCTTCATCTTCCTTTTTTTTTTCTTCATGAATAACTGGAATCCCAGAAACTTCTATGAGATCTCTCACTTTTTAAATATTGACAATTGTGACATACTACTAGCTGTTAACACCATGATCCCCTTCTTGACCATTTAAATAACTATATTTCCAAGCATCTCTTGAACTAATGGTGTCACTATGACAGTTCTGGTCATTATGACTGTAAGATAAGTCACAGGTTGGGGACTTTGAAAGCCTTGTAAAATTGGGCTGACCCAGTTGGAAAGCACATCTTTTGTCTTTTACTTTTTTTGTTTGTTTCTTGCTGTAACACTTTTAAAATGCTGAAGGTAATCAGAAAACACAAGGATAAAAGCCACATGCTAAGGTGAGATGGCAGTGTACAATGATGCAATAAATATCTATGTACACACATCATTTCTCCCATGTGTGACTGTATCTGAGGATATATTCTCTTGAGAGGAGATTACTGAGTCAAAAGAATATGCATTTCACATTTTGATAGATTTTGCCAAATTGTTCTTCTTAGAGAAAGTAATGATTTATGGTCTCACCAGTAATGTAAGTGATTGCTCACTTCCTGCAACCTGGCCAAAACTGGGTAGTACAAAACTTTGCATCTTTGTCAACTCAATGGATAGAAACATTGTTTGCATCACTTTTGGAAAAATTTGTGAAAATTTTAATGCTTAAGAGCCAAATGATTTTTTTTTGGTGTGTACTTCGTCCATTTTTCTATTGTTACTTTTTCTCATGGGTTAGTAAAGATTCTTTAGACAGTGAGAATTCATGATAAATGTAAATATTTCATCCAAATTTGGCTTTTTACTTTGTTTATAGTAGTTTTGCTTTGCAATACCGTTTCATTTTTACATAGTTATCAATCTTTTCTTTATGGCTTCTTTTGACTCTTACTTAGCAAGATCTTCCCCAACTCAGCCAATTTTTCCAAATTATTTAATTTGATTTTATTTATTATTATAGTTTCCTTTTTTAACATTTGAACTTGTGACCATCTGGATTTTGTTTCGTGTAAGAAATGAAATGGGAGTAAAATTATTCTAAAAATTCCAGATGGCTCAGCAGGTGTCCCAATGTCATTTAACAAACATTCCATATTTTCATCACTGTTAGTTAAGGTCAATGATTCACTTTCTAAAATATTGCATGTTTAGGGGGTTATTTCTGGATGGTATTATGTCCTATTTATCTGTCTATTCATTCCATGTGATTTTAATTACTAAAGCTATATTGATGTATGATAGGGCTAGTCCTCTGTCATTATTCTTTTCAGTTAGAGTTTCCATTATTCTTGCATGCTAACTTTTCTACTTTAATTTTAGAATCAGCAAGCAATGTTGAAGAAAATCCTAAGGATATTTTAATTGGCATTTCATTCCATGCATAGATTCATTTAGAAAAAAAAATTGACACTTTTAAAATTTTTATTCTTTTTTTTCCTAAAATAGGGTTTATACCTTTCTATTTTCAGTCTTTGTGTCCTTCAGTAATGTTTGCAATTTTCTTCATAGAAATATTGCATGTATTTTAAAGTTTATTTTTAGACCTCCCTTCCTTTCTTCTGTCTATCCTTCCTTCTTTTCTTCCTCTCCCTATCTCCCATCTCCCTTCTTACTTTCTTCCAAAAGTCTTCCTTCCTTCCTTCTTTCTTTTTCTCCCTCCCTCTCTTTTTCCTCTCTCCCTCCGTCATTCCTCCCTTCCTCCTTTTCTTCCTCATTTTTTATTTCCTTCTTTATTTTTTACCTACTATAAATGGGATATTTTCTTTCACTGTATTTTTTAATGAGTTAGTTGCTTTGAGATTAGCATAATTTAAAACATGTATTTTTAAATTAAAAGTATATAAAAGAATAGATATAATATCCTACCTATGGACTTAAAAAATAAAAAATACTTGTGCTCTTGAAGCCTCTTGTGTGTCCTTTCATAAACGCTATTTTTTCCTCCCCCTCCTTCTAGATAAACTAGTATGTTGAATTTTATGTTGACCATTTCCTTGATTTTTCTTACTGTTTTCCAGAAAATTAATGTGAATTCCCAAATAATGTTTTAGTAGTGTCTGCTTTCATCCATATATAAATAGTATGTATTCTTTGGGTTTCGTTTTTTGCTTTTATTCATTTTACTCAAAGTTTTTTTTTTTTATTTTTGTATTCATCTATTCTGGTGAGTGTAAAGATAGCGTTTATTTATTTATTTATTTTTATTTTTTGTAATAAAATTCCTTGCTATTTGCTGTTGCATTTGTGACAATACATAAATTATTTATCCATTCTACTTGTGACAGACATTTGGATTATTTCTAATTTATCTGATATTACTAATAATAGGGCAATAAACTTCTACATGTCTCCAGATGCACCTGTGTGAGAGAGTCTAAGGTACATAGTTAAAAATGGTATTACAGATTTATAGGAACATTATGCTCAACTTTAGCTTATAAGATGATGTCAAATTATTTTCTGAGTGTTTATATCAATTTCTGTTCCCACTACAAGCAACAAAAATTCCCATTATTTCACACACTTTTCAACTCTTGGTATGTATATATACATAAAACTTTAATTTTAAACATCTAGGTATAACGCATGTATGAAAAAGTACACATATAAAAGTACAGCACATGGAATGTTCACACAGTGACCACATCTAAGGTCAAGACACAAGACATTACCAGTAATCCAGAAACTCTCTCCGAGGCTCCCTTTTATTTTCTCCCCAAGTGTAAACGCTACCCTGAGTTTAATAACTCTTTAGTTCTAGCTGTTTTTGTGTTTTATATCAATGGAATTGTACAATATGTACTTTTTGTGACTGGCTTTTATTTCAACGTTGTAAGCTTCCTCTACATTGTGAATGAAGTTGATTTTTTTCCATTGGTATGTAGTATTTCATTGTGTGAATCTACATCAATATATTCATCTAACTGTTGATTTGGAGGATTGGGTTATAACTAGTAATGCTGCTTTGAATATTCTAGTACATATCTTTTGTGAACACATGTATGTATTTCTGTGAGATTTTATAGAATTCCTGAGTCATAGGATATCTATGTGTTCGGCTTTATCAGATATAGCTAAACAGCTTTCCAAAGTGGTTTAAGAATTTTCTCCGCCAACAGCATATAACAGAGTTCTGTTTGCTCCATATCCTTGACAACAGTTGAGATTGTTAGTCTTTATTCTACACTTTATGTTGGATGTATAATGGTATCTTATGGTTTCAATTTGCATTTTCCAAATGAACAATGGAGTCAAATATCTTTTTATATGTTTATTGGTAATTTGTCTGTCCTTTTCTGAAAAGTGTCATTTATTACTCATTTTTCTATTAGGTGGTTTTTTTCTTATAAATTTACATGAATTCTTTATATATTCTAATGTGATTCTTTGCCAGATATATGTGTTGTAAATATCTTCTTCCATTTGGTGGTTGCCTTTTAACATAATTTGGTGAAGAGAAGCTTTCAATTTTAACATCAGTTTTTATTTTTTTATATTTTAAAAAACGTTGCTACTTTATTGGTGTGAAATGGGTTGTTATTGTTCTAATTTGCATGTTTCTGATTATTAATATTGTTGAACATGTTTTACATGATTATTTGTCTCTATGTTTTCTCTTTTTTGAACTTCCTCTTTATATTTATTATTATTTTTTGTACGTTTTATTTTTTGATCTATTGGATTTTTTGTCTTTTTCTAAGTTATTATAATTAATATATCAAAATTAATACATTTTAGTTGCACATGTGCAAATATTTCTCTCAGCTTGTTGCTTGATTTTTAAATTTTTTGTCTTTAGAAATATTTTGTTTATCTTCAGTTATGAAGATATTATCTTACATTTTCTTCTAAAAGTTTTTAAATATTTGTGTTTTATGTTTACATTGTTTGATTCTTCTAGAATTAATTTTTGTGTAGGGTGTCAGGAGTCCTTTTGTTTGTGCACTTCCAATTGTCGTTGCACCTTTCGTTAGGCAGCCCATCATTTGCCGGTCTGATATACACTGCCAGTTCTGATATATATTAGGTATATGTGTGGATCTGTTTATAGGCTTTCTATTCTGTTCCACAGGTCTGTTTGTCTTTCCTTGAATGAGTAACAGACTATCTAAAATTCTGTAGCTTTATAATAAATCTTGGTATCTGGTGAAACTAGTAGCCCCAATTTTTTTTCCTTCAGGAGTATCTTGGCCTTTTGCTATTCCACAAACATTTAGAATCAACTTATCAAGATCTATGAAATTATCTGATAGTATATTTATGACACTTGGACTGAGCCTGTTGATCAGTATTTTTAAACAGATGCTCAGTAAGGATTCTAGATGGGACAAGCATTTGTGAATAGCACTGTCATAATTATTTCTGAATATTAAGCATACCTCTGCTCATTAAATGCATTAATGGACATTAAGTGTTGTACCCATCAGGAAGCAAGCTGGCAAGGGAGCTTGGGAGATACAGAATGCAGAGGTCAGCCTTCCAAGGCATAGAGAAAAATAAAAAGTAGTAGAGACTTGATTGGCAGATGAGAGTCCTACAGTTAAATAGATACTGGATGTCTTTTTGCAATAGTTCATCCATTCATCCATTAGTTAGATGAATTCCATCCTCTAATAATGTCTTCAAGAAGAATTCATGATGATGATTTCATCCTGAGTTCTTGTCTTTTTGAAAATAATGTTCTGTTATCTGTATAGCTGGATAAAATTGTGCTGGATATAAAATTCTTCAGTCACAATTTTCTCTTCACTTAGGAATTTGTAAGCAATATTCTATATTTTATAGTTGAATACTATAAAAGTTTTTTTAGTATTCAACTATAAAATATGGAATATTGAAGTAAAGAAGTTTAATGACAGTTTCTCTATTTTTAAAATTTGTAGGTAATTTTTTTTGTCTGAATGCATAAAGAATTGTTGAAGAATTCTTATGGAATCGTGCAGTTCCATAACTTTATTACAAAATGCCTTAATGTTGCATTCTGTATAAAATATTTCTTGAAAAAATGATTCCTTATCTCAGTATATTTAATCAAGTCATCTTTATTTCTTAAATTATATATTTGAAGACTTTTGCTCTGTTGTAGTTTTTCATTTCTCTTCTTCAGGGATATCACTTGCTCATATTTGCATTTCTTTTTTCTATCATCTATATCTACTATTGTTCCCTAATTTTAAGAATTTTGTGGGGGAGCCGAATAGATGGCCGAATAGAAACAGCAGCGTTCAGAGGCTCCCATCAGGAAAAAAACAAAACAAAACAAACAAACAAACAAAAACATAATAAGCATGTGAATCCTTCACTGGCAGCCAAGGTACTCAGGTTTTCTCATCAGAACTGACTAGGAGGCTGGCGTGACCCACAGAGAGAAGGAAGAACAGTGTGGCGTGGCGACCGGCCTGAGAGCCACACGGGGCAGGGAAGCCCCTCCCCCAAAGCCAAGGCAGGCAGTGAGTGAGCATGCTACCCATCCAGGAAACTGTGCTTTTTTGATGAAACTGTGCAACCCACGGATTGGAAGATCCCATTCACGAACCCACGCCACTGGGGCCTAGTGTCCCACCTCAGAATGTGCAGACTCTTAACAGCCTCTCATCTGGAATCGGCTTAAGATTACTGAACTCCTGGGGTGAAGGGCGACCAGCGCCAGCTGCCGCTGCCTGCACCCTAAGCCATTTGAGCTCCTTGGGGGAGGGGCAGCAGCCAGCACTGGGACTCACAACTGCCTAACACTCTAAGCTCCCTGGGCAGGGGAAGGGTGGCACCCATTTCTAAAGCCCCAGGCTGTGCTTTTCCCCTGCTGGAGCCAGGGAGGCTGGATGGCTTGGTCCCAAGACTTGTCCCTCCGCAGCCCAACACACTGGCTGTGGCAGTCTGTGGCAGAGTGCCTCTACAGGCCTGACTCTTACCCATCCTTCCTCACTGGGTGGGGCTTCCCTGCAGGAACTCCAATAACTCCAGCCAGGGGCTCAGGGACAGAACCTGGATCCCACAGGACCTGAGCCCCTAAGGAGAGGGAGGCCACAGTCTCTGCAGACCAGCAGATTTAGCCTTTCTTCCTGGTAGTTCTGAGGAATCCAGGCAGCCCAGACAAGTGGGTTTCCCGCCTGGTGTGGCACACCCCCTCTGCGAAGGGACAAAGTGCTTTGTTAAATGGGTATTGTTCTCCGTGGTACCCAACTGTGTGAGACCCTCCAACAGGGTTTGTCAGAAACCCTATACAAGAGCGATCCTACTAGCATCAGATTGGTGCCCCTTGAGCTCAGAGATCCCAGAGGAAGGAGCAGGCACCCATCTTTGCTGTTCTCCAGCCTCCTTGAGTGACATCTCCAGGCACGGGAGTGAATCAGATGAGTAGGGCCTGCAGTGAACCCCCAGCAAACTGCAGCAGCCCTACAAAAGAGGGACTTTACCATTGCAAGAAAAACAAGCAGAAAGAAACAACAAAAACAACAACAAAAAAGCCCCCACAAAAACCCCATCCAAGGGTCAGAGCCTCAAAGACCGACTCTAGACAAACTCACGAAGATGAGAAAGAATCAATGAAAAGATGCTGAAAACCCAAAAGGCCAGAGTGCCTCTTCTCCAAATAATTGCAATGTCTTTCCATCAAGGACACAGAACTGGACAGAGGATCAGATGGATGAATCGACAGTAGTAGCCTTCAGAAGATGGGTAATAAAAAACTATGCTGCACTAAAGGAGCATGTTCTAACCCAATGCAAAGAAGCTAAGAACTTTGATAAAAGGTTATAGGAGCTGCTAACTGAATAACCAGTTTAGAGAGAAACATAAATGATCTGATGGAGCTGAAAACCCCAGCACGAGAAGTTCGTAAAACATATACAGCTATCAATAGCCGAACTGACCAAGTAGAAGAAAGGATATCAGAGTTTGAAGACCACCTTACTGAAATAAGGCATGCAGACAAGACTAGAGATAAAAGAATGAAAAGGAATGAAGAAAGCCTCCAAAAAATATGGAGCTTCATAAAAAGATCAAATCTATGATTGCTTAGAGTACCAGAAGGAGACGAGGAGAATGGAAACAAGCTGGAAAACACACTTCAGGATATTATCCGGGAGGACTTTCCCAACCTAGCAAGACAGGCCAACATGCAAATTCAGGAAATACAGAGAACACCACTAAGATACTCCATGAGAAGATCAACCCTGAGACACATAATCATCCAATTATCCAAGCTTGAAATGAAGGAAAAATTGTTAAGGGCAGCCAGAGAGAATGGCCAGGTCACCTACAAAGAGAAGCCCATAAGACTAAAAGTACGTCTCTCAACAGAAACCCTACAAGCCAGAAGAGATTGGGGGACAAATTCAACATTGTTAAAGAAAAGAATTTTCAACCCAGAATTTCATATCCAGCCAAATTAAGCTTCATAAGCAAAGGAGAAATAAAATCATTTCAAGACAAATGTTGAGGGATTTCATTATTACCAGGCCTGCATTGCAAGAGCTCCTGAGAGAAGTGCTAAACATGGAAAAAAAGCACCCAGTACCAGCCACTGGAAAACACACCAAAATGTAATGACCAATGACACTATGAAGAAACTGCATCAACTAGTGTGCAAAATAACCAGCTAGCTCATGATGACAGGATCAAATTCACACATAAAAATATTAACCTTAAATGTAAATGGTCTAAATGCCCCAGTTAAAAGACACAGACTGGCAAATTGGATAGAGTCAAGATCCATTGGTGTGCTGTATTCAGGAGAGCCATCTAATGTGCAAAGACACACATAGGCTCAAAATAAAGGGATGGAGGAAAATTTACCAAGCAAACAGAAAGCAAAAAAACCGCAGGGGTTGCAATGCTAGTCTCTGACAAAACAGACTTTAAAACCAAGAAAGATCAAAAAAGAAGAAAAAGGACATTACATTACGGAAAAGGGAACAATTCAACAAGAAGAGCTAACTATTCTAAATATACGTGCACTCAATACAGGCACACCCAGATTCATAAAACAAGTTTGTAAGAAATACAAAGAGACTTAGACTTCCACACAATAATAGTGGGATATTTTAACACCTCACTGTCAGTATTAGACAGAACTAGACAGAAAATTAATAAAGATATTCAGGACTTGAACTCGGCTCTGGATCAAATGGGCCCAATAGACATATGCAGAACTCTCCAACCCAAATCAACAGAATATACATTCTTCTCAGTGCCACATGGCACTGATTCTAAACTAGACCACATAATTGGAAATAAAACATTCCTCAGCAAATGCAAAAGAACTGAAATCATAACAAACAGTCTTTCAGAACACAGTGCAATCAAATTAGAACTCAGGATTAAGAAACTCACTCAAAAACACACAATTTCATGGAAATTGAACAACCTCCTCCTGAATGACTCCTGGGTAAACAATGAAATTAGGGCAGAAATCAAGAAGTTCTTTGAAACTAATGAGAACATGGGACAATGTACCGGAATCTCTGGGACACACCTAAGCAGTGTTAAGAGGGAAATTTATAGCACTAAATGCCCACATCAGAAAGCTTGGAAGATCTCAAATTGACGCTCTAGTATCACAGTTAAAAGAGCTAGAGCATCAAGAACAAACTAATCCAAAAGCTAGCATAAGACAATAAGTAACTAAGACCAGAAAAGAACTGAACTAGATAGAGACACGAAAAGCCCTCCAAAAAAACAATAAATCCAGGAGCTGGTTTTTCAAAAAGACTAACAAAATAGACTACTAGCTAAACTAATGTAGAAAAAAAAGAAGAATTAAATAGATACAATAAAAACTGATAAGGAAATATCACTGCTGACCCCACAGAAATAAAAACTACCATCAAAGAATACTATAAACACCTCTATGCAAATAAACTAGAAAATCTAGAAGAAATGGGTAAATTCCTGGACACATACACACTCCCAAGTCTAAACAAGAAAGAAGTTGAATCCCTCAATAGACCAATAACAAGTTCTGAAATTGAGGCAGTAATTAATAGCCTACCAACCAAAAAAAGCCCAGGAACAGATGGACTCACAGTTGAATTCTACCAGAAACACAAAGAGGAATTGGTACCATTCCTTCTGAAAGTATTCCAAACAATTGAAAAGGAGGGACTCCTCCCTAACTCATTTTATGAAGCCAGCATCATTCTGATACCAAAACCAGAAAGAGACACAATAAAAAAGGAAAACTCCAAGCCAATATTTCTGATGAACATCGATGCAAAAATCCTCAATAAAATACTGACAAATCGAATCTAGGAGCAAATCAAAAAAACTTACCCACCACGATCGGTTCAGCGTCATCCCTGCGATGCAAGGCTGATTCAACATATGCAAATCAATAAACATAATCCATCACATTAAACAGAACCAAAGACAAAAACCACAAGATTATCTCCATAGATGCAGAAAAGGCGTTTGATAAAATTCAACATCCCTTCAAGTTAAAAACTCTTAACAATCCCAGCACTTTAGGAGGCTGAGGCAGGTGGATCATGAGGTCAGGAGTTTGAGACCAGCCTGAACAACATGGTGAAACCTCGTCTCTACTAAAAATACAAAAATTAGCTGGGCATGGTGGCACATGCTGTAACCCTAGCTACTCAGGAGGCTGAGGCAGGAGAATCGCTGGAACCTGGGAGGCGGAGGTTGCAGTGAGCCGAGATTGTGCCACTGCACTCCAGCCTGGGCAACGAGCAGACTCCGAAAAAAAAAACAAAACCCTCTTAATAAACTAGATATTGAAGGAAGATATCTCACAATAATAAAGCTATTTAAGACAAACCCACAGCCAATATCATATCAATGTCATGTTGAATGGGCAAAAGCTGGAAACATTCCCTTTGAAAACTGGTACAAAACAAGAATGGCTTCTCACACTACTCATATTCAACATAGTATTGAAAGTTCTGGCCAGGGCAATCAGGCAAGAGAAAAAAATAAAGAGTATTCAAACAGGAAGGGAGGAAGTCAAATTGTCTCTGCAGACTGCATGATTCTATATTTAGAAAACTCCATCACCTCAGCCCAAAAACTCCTTAAATTTCAGCAAAGTCTCAGGATACAAAATCAATGTGCAAAAATTACGAGCATTCATTTACACCAATGATAGACACACAGAGAGCCAAATCATGAGTGAACTCCCATTCATAATCGCTACGAAGAAAATAAAATCTAGGAATACAGCTAACAAGAAATGTGAAGGACCTCTTTAAGGAGAACTACAAACCACTGCTCAAAGAAATCAGAGAGGACACAAACAAATGGAAAGACATTCCATCCTCATGGATAGGAAGAATCAATATTGTGAAAATGGCCATACTGCCCAAGTTAATTTATAGATTCAGTACTATTCCCATCAAACTACCATTGACATTCTTCACAGAATTAGGAAAAACTATTTTGGATTTCACATGTAATGAAAGAAGACCCCATATAGCCAAGAGAATCCTAAGCAGAAAGAACAAAGCTGGAGGCATTGTGGTGCCTGGCTTCAAACTATACCACAAGGCTACAGTAATCAAAACAACATGGTACTGGTACCAAAGCAGATACATAGACAAATGGAACAGAACAGAGACCTCAGAAATAACACCACACATCTACAATCATCTGATTTTCGACAAACCTGCTAAAAACAAGCAATGGGGAAAGGATCTCCTATTCAGTAAATGGTGCTGCGAAAACTGGCTAGCCATATGCAGGAAACTGAAACTAGACGCTTTCCTTACACCTTATACAAAAATTAACAAGGCTTAAAGACTTAATGTAAAACCCCAAACCCTCAAAACCCTAGAAGAAAACCTAGGCAATACCATTCAGGACATAGGCATGGGCAAAGATTTCATGACAAAAACACCAAAAGCAATTGCAACAAAAGCCAAAATTGACAAATAGGGTCTAATTAAATTAAACAGCTTCTGCACAGCAAAAGACAAAGACTGAACAGGCAACCTACAGAATGGGAGAAAAATTTTGCAATCTACCCATCTGACAAAGGTCTAATATCCAGAATCTACAAGTAACTTAACAACAAAAAACAACCCCCTCAAAAAGTGGGCAAAGGATATGAATAGACACTTCTGAAAAGAAGACATTTACATGCCAACAAGCATATGAAAAAAAGCTCAACATCACTGATCATTAGAGAAATGCAAATCAAACTATAATGAGATACCATCTCACACCAGTCAGAATGGCAATTATTAAAAAGTCAAGAAACAATAGATGGTGGCAAGGCTGTGGAGAAATAGGAACACTTTTACACTGTTGGTGGGAATGTAAATTATTTCAACCATTGTGGAATACAGTATGACAATTCCTCAAGGATCTAGGACCAGAAATACCATTTAACCCAGCAATCCCTTTACTATGTATATAACCAAAGGAATACAAATCATTTTACTATAAAGACAAGTGCACATGTATGTTTATTGCAGCACCATTTAAAATGGCAAAGACATGGAACCAACCCACATGCCCATCAATGATAGACTGGATAAAGAAAATGTGATATATATACACCATGGAATATTATGCAGCCATAAAGAAGAATGAGATCATGTTCTTTGCAGGGACATGGATGAAGCTGGAAGCCATCATTCTCAGCAAACTAATACAGGAACAGAAAATGAAATACCACATGTTCTCACTCATAAGTGGGAGTTGAACAACAAGAACACATGGACAAAGGGAGGGGAACAACATACACCAGAGCCTGTTGGGAGGTGGGGGTTGAGGCGAGGGAACTTAGAGGGCCAGTCAATAGGGGCAGCGAACCACCATGGCACATGTATAGCTATGTAACAAACCTGCATGTTCTGCACATGTATTCCATTTTTTTTTGGAAGAAGGAATAAAAAGAATTTTTCATTGATGGTTTTTGTTTGATTTTGCTAACATTTCTCAACCCTGTACTCCTTGTCCCTTACTGAGTTCTCAACAAATATTTTCTCTTTTGCTGGTTGTAATTTAATTTTCATTTTTGGTGATATACGTTTTTTCTTACTTTTTCCCCCTTGTACTTCGAAAGCTTATTTTTCATATGCTCCCATTATCCCATCCCAGATTCCCTGTATGCTTGTGTCTATACTTTAGATCTTCATTTTAAAATGTTTTGGATTCATGGAAATATTTATCATAACTTTCATCTGCTCTATCGACATATTTTCTAAGGTTTGTTTTTCTTCATTCTTTTGTCTCTTTTTTCCCTTGAAGTACCTCTGTAGAAAGATAATGCTGTTTCTTTTTTAAAATTACTTATTTACCAATCTTGCAATAGTTATATACAGAGGTTTATTTGTGGGAACTTCCAAGGTAGAATTCAGGATAGCAGGGATTATTTCTGGTCTGAAATAAAGTTACTATTGGCTGAGCATGGTGGCTCATGCCTGTAATTTTAGCACTTTGGGAGGCTGAGGCAGGCAGATCACTTTAGGTCAGAGTTCAAGACCAGCCTGGCAAACATAGTGAAACTCCATCTCTACTAAAAATACAAGAATAGCCAGGCGTGGTGGCTCATGCCTATAATCCCAGCTACTCTAGAGGCTGAAGCAGGAGAGTCGCTTGAACCTGGGAGGTGGAGGTTGCAGTGAGCCAAGATTGTGCCACTGCACTCCAGCCTAGGTGACAGAGCAAGATTCTGTCTTAAAAAAAAAAAAAGAAAAGAAAATGACAGAAAGTTATGATAACACAGGATTTTTCTTTGTGAGGGTGTGTGTGTGTGTGCGCGCACGTGCCTGTGTCTGTGTGTGTTCTGCCCCTCCTCTCTGATTAACACAGATCGTGGGCTTTAGTGCTGATCATAATTCATTTTGTCATCTACCCTGACCGAGAGCCTCCTCTCTATATGTATGATGTGACCATGTATTTCCTCATTCTTTGCTGTTCCTGTTACTCCATGATGCTAACTGGGGTCAAGGGAAGATCCGACTGCCAAGTTGGAGACTCACTACTAAGCTGGGAATTCCAAAATAAAGAATAATTAATTTTTATTTTCACAGTGAGAGCTAGTACAGAAAAACTGTGTGGTCAGGTTTGTCTGATATAAAAAACTTGTCTAGTCTTAGAGTCTTCCTGGGTTGCCCCTGCCTGTTTCCACTTTTTTAAAACTTTAGTGGGTTTGGTAGTTCTTCCTCATCTATTGTAGTTTGTGGTTACAGATGTCCAAGTTTGGTCGAAGATGATGTTTTTATATATTTTTAAATTATTCTTATTCTTTGGGTAGTAATTTTTAAGTGGTGAAGGGGAAAAATGAACAATGGTATGTCACTGTCTTAAGTTTTGAAATCCATTTTGCTGAACACATTTTGCATAATAATCAACCATACAGCTATATTCTCTGTGTATTATAAAATAGAACTCTATTCTCATCACACGTATCAACCTGTATTCATCACCATCACAGGTGCTGTCCCTCATAAACAGAGACATTAAAAAAAATGTAAGAAAGACTTTTAGTTTCTTCTCCATTCTATACCATTTAAGACAAGTTAGGAATTGAGAACTGAATTATATTTACCTATCAAAATAACCGATGCCCTCTTAAGATATGTTCTGGGGCTCCACAGGAATCGTAAGGTATCAGATGTCAAATCTGTAATGTAGTTCCTATGAGAAATAATCTGAGAATAAAAAGGGAAAAAAGCACCTCACTCGATTGCTGAAATAGAACATTTGCTCCCTCCAGAAAGGCTTCAACATACCAAATCAGGACCAAATTAGAAATTGGGGATGCTTTTGTGTGAACTATACTCTTGTTCCCAAACTCAACTCTCTTTTTCCATTCTTTGATTAGCATTCATCCATCCCCACTTGGCTATCATTGCTGTTCATGCTGGGTTTCAGAGGACTAGCTCAAGAGGCAGTGGCAAAGTAATTCTAGTTTTCTTTTTTGTGATCTGGGATGTTCTTCCTACCTTAATACCCACCCATAGCTCAAAATGGGTGGGCTGGAGGAAGAAGATAAGATGGATGATCAGTGTTGAGAAATAGGAAGTGGAAAATTCTAATTCCTCTCGGCTCAAGCTCCAGCTATAATCACTTATTTAAAATATTTTCTTCCATTTTTTTCCTCCAAGATCCACTCTTATCCCCATTACAGTTTTTATCACTTTGGATATCCTGTAAGTTTTGTCTACAACTCTTATAGTAGTAAAAATGGAAGGGCCACTTACAAGATTGTTACAGATATTGAGCACCACCATCTCAAAACTGTAATTTTCATCTTTGAGCAAACGTGATGTTGACCACTTTAATTGTGAGGTACAGATTTTTAATGTATATTTACATGCCTGTGAGACAGAAAAAGGCCGGTGAAGATCTATTCATCTGTTGTTAGATAAAACATTACAATCCTTGGTAAATTTATGAAAAAGAAGATCAAATGACTTACTTCAGCTACTCTTTTATCATCATCCTCCAAAAATAGGATTAGGGGCACCAAGCCTTCTAGAACCACATCATTCACCATCCATGTGTACTGTCTCATATCCCTAACTAATTGACCAAAGTGTCGAATTGCCATACTTCGAATGCCTCCATTAATCTGTAAAAGACAAAGGCCTTATTTGAGGATAATATTAGGGCTTTTTTCTTCAATCAGTAATCTACACACACACACACACACACACACACACCCCATATAAATATACTATATATGTATATGTGTATATATACATACACTATGTGAAATTTTATTTATTTTTAGAAAAAATTCACCTTGGGTTCAAGTAGTTAGGGCATCTTTTAATTTTAAAATAATATTTGCCTACCTATTATTCACAATAGCCAAGATATGGAATTAACCTAAGTGTCCATCAATGGAATAATTGAAATACTTTTCAGCCTTAAAAAAGAATAAAATCCTGTCATGTATGACATGGATGAACTTGGAGGACATCATGCTATTTGAAATCAGTCAGGGACAGAAAGACAAATATTGCATGATCTCACTTATATGTGGAATATTAAAAGGTTGAACTCATAGAAGAGGAGAGTGGGCCTAGGTTGCCAGCAGCTGAAGGGTGGTGGGAGGCACTGGGGGAGATGTTGGTTAAAGGATACAAAGTTTCTTTTAGACTGGATGAATAAATTCTAGAGATCTAATGTAAGTCTAGTTACATTAGAGTATAGTTAATGTAATGTATACTTAAAAACTGCAGAGATTAGATCTCAAACGTTCTCACCACACACACAAAAAAGATATGTGAGGTAATGGCTATGTTAATTTTGTTTGATTTAATCATTTGACAATGTATACCTATATCAAAACGTATTGTATTCTGTAAATATATATAATTTTAATTGATTAATTATGCCTTAATAAAGCTGAACAAAATATATAAACTAGTAAAACAATTTACTTACCATAATTCAGATTGCATTAAAAAAACTGTGAAAAATGAGTTTCTTAAATTTAGGAAGATGATTAGTATTTAATAACATCCTAAAAGTATAAACTGAAATAGTATGTATAACTTGAAGATAATTTTTGTAAGGATACTTATAATAATGTAACCATGCTGTGTTCAAAGGCTGGAAGACTTTGCTGAGTTGCCACTAAATAACAATGCAAGCTCTCTGCATACTGGCATACAACCAGGTTTTCAAAGGCTACTTATGCCAAATAGGAAGGTAATTGGATAAAAATGATTCTATAAAGGAAAAATTGCAAGTCAGAAGAGGTTAATTTTTAAATTTTTATTTATTTATATTTTATTAGAGACAGGGTCTCACTCTGTTGCCCAGGCTAGAGTGCAGGGGCAGGATCATAGCTCACTGCAGCTTTTAACTCTTGGGCTCCAACAACCCTCCTGCTGGTCTGAAATTCTTGGGCTCAAGCAATCCTCCCATGTCAGTCTTGGAAAGTGTTGGGATTACAGGCGTGAGCCACTGCACTTGGCCCAAATTTTAAAAATATAATATCACCTTCTGGTTTTAAGGAAATGTTTATAATCTCATATTGATTTTTTTTATATGAGCGCTCTGACTACTTTATCACATACATGACCTTGGCCAAACATTGCCTTCTCTTTGCCTTAGTTTCTTTACATGAAAATTGGATAATAGTAATACAGTTGCTTAGAGATTTATGTAAAATAGCTCAAGTAAATCCTTTAGAAAAGCCCCTGGTATATATTAAGTGTTCAATAAATTAAGCCACTTTTTTCTTTTTTTTTAACTTTAAGTTCTGGGATACAAGTGCAGAAAGTTTAGGTTTGTTACAAAGGTCTATGTGTGCCATGCTGGTTTGCTGCACCTATCACCCCATCATCTAGGTTTTAAGCCCCATATGCATTAGCTATTTCTCCTAATGTTCTCCCTCCCCTTGCCACCCACCCCCCAAGTGGCCCTGGTGTGTGTTGTTCCCCTCCTTGTGTCCATGTGTTTTCATTGTTCAACTCCCACTTATGAGTGAGAACATGTGGTATTTCATTTTCTGTTCCTGTGTTAGTTTGCTGAGAATGATGGCTTCCAGCTTCATCCATGTCCCTGCAAAGCACATAATCTTCATTCCTTTTTATGGCTGCATAGTAGTCCACGGTGTATATATACCACATTTTCTTTATCCAGTCTAACATTGATGGGCATTTGGGTTGGTTCCATGACTTTGCTACTGTAAGTAGTGCTGCAATAAACATACATGTGCATGTGTCTTTAAAGCAGAATGATTTATAATCCTTCGGGTATATACTCAGTAATGGGATTGCTGGGTCAGATGGTATTTCTGGTTCTAGATCCTTGACGAATCACCATACTTTATTCCACAATAGTTGAATTAATTTACATTCCCACCAACAGTGTAAAAGCATTCCTATTTCTCCACAGCCTTGCCAGCATCTATTATTTTTTGACTTTTTAATAATCACCATTCTGACTGGTGTGAGATGGTATCTCATTGTGGTTTTGATTTGCATTTCTCTAATCAGTGATGTTGAACTTTTTTTCATATGTTTGTTGGCCATGTAAATGTTTTCTTTTGAGAAGTGTCTGTTCATATGCTTTGCCCACTTTTTGATGGGGTCATTTTTTTTTTTTCTTGTAAATTTAAGTTTCTTGTAGATTCTGGATATTAGATCTTTGTCAGATGGGTAGATTGCAAAAATTTTTTCCCATTCTGTAGGTTGCCTATTCACCCTGATAATAGTTTCTTTTGCTGTGCAGAAGCTGTTTAATTTGATTAGATCCTATTTGTCAATTTTGCTTTTGTTGCAATTGCTTTTGGTGTTTTTGTAATGAAGTCTTTGCCCACGCCTATGTCCTGAACGCTATTGCCTAGGTTTTCTTCGAGGGTTTGTATGGTTTGGGGTCTTACATTTAAGTCTTTAAGCCATGTTAAGTTTTGTTTAATGTGTAAGGAGGGGTCCAGTTTCGGTTTTCTGCATGTGGCTAGCCAGTTTTCCCAGACCATTTATTAAATAGGGAATCTTTTCCCTATTGCTTGCTTTTGGCAGGATTGTTGAAGATCAGATGATTGTAGAAGTGTGGTGTTATTTCTGAGATCTCTGTTCTGTTTCGTTGGTCTATATACCTGTTTTGGTGCCAGTATCATGTTGTTTTGGATACTGTAGCCTTGTAGTATAGTTTGAAGTCAGGTACCATGATGTCTTCAGCTTTGTTCTTTGTGCTTAGGATTGTCTTGGCTATATGGGCTCTTTTTTGCTTCCATATGGAATTTAAAGTAGTTTTTTCTAATTCTGTGAATAATGTCAATGGTAGTTTGATGAGAATAGCACTGAATCTATAAATTACTTGGGCAGTATGGCCATTTTAATGATATTGATTCTTTTTATCCATGAGGATTGAATGTTTTTCCATTTGTTTGTGTCCTCTCTGATTTCCTTGAGCAGTGGTTTGTAGTTCTCCTTAAAGAGGTCCTTGACATCCCTTGTTAGCTGTATTCCTAGGTATTTTATTCTCTTTGTAGCAATTGCGAATGAGTGTTCATTCATGATTTGGCTCTCTGCTTGTCTATTGTTGGTGCATGGAAATGTTTGTGATTTTTGCACATTGATTTTGTATCCCGAGACTTTGTGAAGTTGCTTATCAGCTTAAGGAGTTTTGGGGCTGAGGTGATGGGGTTTTCTAAATATAGAATCATGTCCACAAACAGAGACAATTTGACTTCCTCTCTTCCTACGTGAGTACCATTTACTTTTTTCCCTTGCCTGATTGCCCTGAACAGAACTTCCAATACTATGATGCATAGGAGTGGTGAGAGAGGGCATCCTTGTCTTGTGCTGGTTTTCAAAGGGAATGCTTCCAGCTTTTGCTCATTCAATATGATATTGGCTGTGTGTTTGTCATAAATAGCTCTTATTATTTTGAAATATGTTCCAACAATACCAGGTTTATTGAGAGTTTTTAACATGAAGGAATGTTGAATTTTATCGAAGGCCTTTTCGGCATCTATTGAGATAATCATGTGGTTTTTGTCATTGGTTCTGTTTATGTGATGGATTACATTTGTTGATTTGTATATGTTGAACCAGGCTTGCGTCCCGGGGATGAAGCTGACCTGATCATGGTGGATAAGTTTTTGAATGTGCTGCTGGATTTGTTTTGCCAGTATTTTGTTGAGGATTTTCGCATCAATATTCATCAGGGATATTGCCCTGAAGTTTTCTTTTCTGTTGTGTCTCTGCCAGGTTTTGGAATCAGAATGATGCTGGACTCATAAAATGAATTAGGGAGAAGTCCCTCCTTTTCAATTGTTTGGAATAGTTTCAGAAGGAATGATGCCAGCTCCTCTTTGTATGTCTAGTAGAATTTGGCTGTGAAATCCTGGTCCTGAGCTTTTTTTTATCAGTAGGCTATTAATTACTGCCACAATTTCAGAACTTGTTATTCGTCTATTCAGGGATCCAACTTCTTCCTGGCTTTGTCTTGGGAGGGTGTATGCGTCCAGGAATTTACCCATTTCTTCTTGATTTTACCGTTTATTTGTGTATAGATGTTAATAGTGTTCTCTGATGGTAGTTTGCAGTGCTGGGGGGTCAGTGGTGATTTCCCCCTTATCATTTTTTATTGTGTCTATTTAATTCATTCTTTTTTTCTATATTAGTCTAGCTAGTGGTCTATCTATTTTGTTAATTTTTTCAGCAAACCAGCTCTTGGATTTGTTGATTTTTTGAAGAGTTTTTTGTGTCTTTACTTCCTTCAGTTCTGCTCTGATTTGGGTTATTTCTTGTTTTCTGCTAGCTTTTGAATTTGTTTGCTCCTGCTTCTTTAGCTCTTTTAATTGTGATGTTAGGGTGCTGATTTGAGATATTTCTAGCATTTTTTTTTTTTTGATGGAGTCTCGTTCTGTCGCCCAGACTGGAGTGCAGTGGTGTGATCTCGGCTGACTGCAACCTCCGCCTCCTGGGTTTAAGCAATTCTCTGCCTCAGCCTTCCGAGTAGCTGGGATTACAGGCATGTGCCACCACAGCAGGCTAATTTTTGTATTTTTAGTAGAGATGGGGTTTCACCATCTTGGCCATGCTGGTCTTGAACTCTTGATCTCGTGATCCACCCACCTCAGCCTTCCAAAGTGCTGGGATTACAGGCATCAGCCACTTCTCCTGGCCGATGTTTCTAGCCTTATGACATGGGCATTTAGTGCCATAAATTTCCCTCTCAACACCGCTGTAGCTGTGTCCCACAGATTCTGGTACATAGTCTCTTTGTTCTTACTGGTTTCAAAAGACTTCTTGATTTCTGCCTTAATTTCATTATTTACCCAGGAGTCATTCAGGAGCAGGTTGTTCAATTTCCATGTAATTATGTGCTTTTGAGTGAGTTTCTTAATCCTGAGCTCTAATGTGATTGCACTGTGTTTTTAGAGACTGTATTATGATTTCAGTTCTTTTGAATTTGCTGATGAGTGTTTTACCTCCAATTATGTGGTCTATTTTAGAATCAGTGCCATGTGGCACTGAGAAGAATGTACATTCTGTTGATTTGGGTTGGAGAGTTTTGTATATGTCTATTGGGTCCACTTGATCCATAGCTGAGTTTAAGTCCTCAATATCCTGTTAATTTGCTGTCTTGTTGATCTGTCCCCTATTTCTCAGAGGTTTTGCTCATTCCTTTTTATTCTTTTTTTCTCTAATATTGTCTGCATGCCTGATTTCAGCAAGATAGTCTTCAAACTCTGATATCGTTTCTTCTGCTTCATCGATTCAGCTATTGATACTTGTGTATGCTTCATAAAGTTCTTGTGCTGTTTTTCAGCTCCATCAGGTCATTTATTTTCCTCTGTAAACTGGTTATTCTAGTTAGCAGCTCCTCTAACCTTTTATCTAGGTTCTTAGCTTCTTTGCATTGGGTTAGAACGTGCTCCTTTAGCTCAGAGGAGTTTGTTATTACCCACCTTCTGAAGCCTACTTCTGTCAATTCGTCCATCTCATCCTCCGTCCAGTTCTATGTCCTTGCTGGAGGAGGTGCTGTGACCATTTGAAGGAGAAGAGGCACTCTGGCCTTTTGGGCCTTCAGCGTTGTTTTGTTAATTTTTTTCTCATCTTCATGAGTTTGTCTAGTATTGATCTTTGAGGCTGCTGACATTTGAATAGGGTTTTTGTGGGGACTTTTTTTTTTTTGTTGGTGCTGTTGTTGCTTTCTGTTTCTTTGTTTCTCTTGCAATGGTCAGGTCCCTCTTCTGTAGGGTTGCTGCAGTTTTCTGGGGGCTCACTTTAGGCCCTATTCATCTGATTTGCTCCCATGTCTGGAGATGTCACTCGAGGAATCTGGAGAACAGCAAAGATGGGTGCCTGCTCCTTCCTCTGGGATCTCGAGGGGCACCAACCTGATGCCTGTGGGCTCACTCCTGTATAGGGTTTCTGATGACCCCTTTTGGAGGGTCTCAATTGGCTGGGTTTTATGGGGAGCAGGACCCACTTAACAAAGCACTTTGGCTGTCCCTTGGTGGAGGGGGTGTGCTTTGCTGGGGGGAAAGCCCACTTGTCTGGTCTGCCTTGCTTCCTCCAAACTAGTAGGAGGAAAGACTATGTCTGCTGGTGTGCAGAGACTGTGGCCACCCCTCCCACGAGGGGTTCAGGCCTAAGGAGATCAGAGTTCTGTCCCTGAGCCCCTGGCTGGAGTAGTCAGACTTCCTGCAGGAAGACCCCAGCGAGGAGGGATGGGTCCAGGTCAAGCCTGAAGAGGCACTCGTCAACAGTCTGCCACAGCTGATGTGTTAGGCTATGGGGGATACCTCTTGGGATCAAGCCATCCAGTCTCACTGGCTCCAGCAGGGAAAAAGCATAGCCTAGAGCTATAGAGATGGCTGCTGCCCTACCCCCACCATGGGGGCTTAGTGTGTTAGGTGGCTATCAGTCTGAGTGCCAGCTGCCACCCCTCCCCCAAGGAGTTTAAAGGGCTTAGACAGCAGGCAGCCACAGCTGTTGTGCCAGTCACCCCTCCCCCAGGAGTTCAGCAGTCTTAAACAGATTCTAGCTTAGTGGCTGTTGAGAATCTGTGCAGCTCCGTGTTTGGGACCCTAGGTCCTTATGGCATGGGCTCACAAGTGGGATTTTCGTGGAAAAAACACGTTTTCCCAGGCTGGGTAGCATGCTCACTCACTGCCTCCCTTGGCTGGGGGTGGGGGCTCCCCTGGCCCGTGTGGCTGTCAGGTAGGCCTCCACACCACACTGCTCTGCCTTCCTCTCCATGGGTCATGCCCGCTGCCTAGTCAGTTCTGATGACAGAACCTGGATACCTCAGTTGCCAGTGCAGGATTTGCATGCTGTTTGGGATTTGCATCTTTGTGATGGCAGCTTCCGGATGCTGCTGCTTCTAGTTGACCATCTTGGCCCCCGCCCCTTTAAGCCACTACTATTATTATTACTATTCTAATGTGTTTATGTGTTTATAAAATTCATTTTTGCCACTACTTTTTTTCATAATTTAATAATACTGTGCTTTTCTTCATTGAACTGTAAGTGATTAAAAACTTAGAAGTTTTGGCAAGATAATTTATTGTGAAATAATTCTCTGGTTTACTAACAATTTATTGTGGAGTTCTTTAAAAATACATAGATTCCCCATGGCATACCAAAGTTTTCATTAAACTTTTCTGAAACATATTTACCATGTAAAATGAGAATTTTCAGAAAGAACAACTTTCTGATAAAATACTTTTAAATTCAAGTTTTATATGATAATAACAAACATTTATTTGGGGCATGGCAAATATCAAATCTAATTCTTATAATAAACCTAATATTGTTTATGTCACTATTGCTGTTTTATAGATGGGGAAAAAGTGATACACCAAAAGACTGAAGAAATCACTCACTCAGTGTTTCATAGCCAATAAGAGGTGGAAGAGGGATTTGAACCCAGGCAGTCCAGATATAGGGTTAATCAGTATATAGCCACAAAGCTACAGTTTCATCCAAGGATAGAGGCTATTCCTTGATTAGTCTTCTTTTCTTCCCCAGGTTCTCACAGTGTACTTAAAAAAAAAAAAGACCAGTACTTACCTAATATTTTTATCTCTGTAAAAGAAATGGTGGCTTCTTCTCCTATTGGCTTATTCTGTGACCTAACATCACTGCCTCAACTTGAGTTTCAGGTGAACCACAAAACCTAATGATCTCACATATCTAACTGTGTAACTCACATGATCCATCAGAGTACAGTAGCTGGAACCAATTCTGGTACCCAAAGAGTAGGTCACTTTGTCCAGTTCGTTTAAAAGCCTTCTAAGGGTGAGCAAGGCCTGAAGTACAACATTATCGTCTTTGGAAAGGAAGGCATCCAGGATGGCTATTAATATACTGCTGACATTTTCTGTCTACATATAAAAGGAAAAAATGGTGGGATTTAGGAACTAGCAGGAGACTTGAGCTGACATTTATATGGATACCTTGAGTCTGGGCGGCACATCATGGTGTGCGGAAGCCGACTCACGAAAATCTCTTGTCAAATTTTCAAAAATGTTGACTTTTTGCTAAGAAAATTAATTATTGAAAATTAAATTATATAAATTTAACATTAAGTAGAAACTGATAATACTAAAAAATTATCACTCCCTAATTCTTTCGCTACATTTTACCATTATCTATGCTCTTGAGGTTATTCATGGGCATTGTGTCTGATTGGCGGGAATATTAAATAATGATGGGCTATTGTGCATCTTTTCCCAGTTCCATGGTTAGTGATGTCCCTTTGAAAGCTTGAAATTAGCCATCATAAGGATCTTTACACCAGGGAATTGGCCTTATTTTCAGACACCTGGCTGTCAAACATTTACTAACACACTACTAGCAGAATGACCTCTAAATTAGATGATAGTGACCCATTTGGACATGAGAGCTACTGAGACACTCAGGCAGGTCATGGGAGTCAATGCAGATCAGAACCAAACAGAATAGAAGGCAAGGAAAAACACGAAAAGGAGACACCAGAGAGAAAGAAAGGCAAGGAGAAAAAGACTAAAGGAAATGAATGAATATTATTTTGCCAAAATAATAGCTTTAAGGAGAAAAAAATAGAGCTAAGGACTATGTCAATGCCAGAGGCCATTTGTGTCTTTACCAACAGTATATGAAATCTCAACCCAGATCACTTTCCACTACTTTTCTTTCACTCTCCTAGGAAGTCTTGACAGAATTTTCCTTTCAGTTTTTGATAACATTGGGAAGAGCTCTGGGTAAAGCAATAAATAATTTGCTGCTTACTAAGATAATGTACACCACTGGTAAATCCATCAACTTGTATTATTTATTTAAAGTAAACAGACCATGGCTTATGTCATTCTAAATGCACAACGGGTGTCCACTGATAGGCTTCAGTTCTCAGAGACTATGCTCATTAGATAAACAACGATTTATTATTGGATGTATTATAAAAGTAATGATTTATAGAACATTTGCACTGTCAGCATTTTGCAAGATACTTTGGAGTGTAGAATTACAGAAAATGGAACGTGCTTAAATTCAGTCGACCTGGAAGGTAAGAAGTATTCATGTGAGTCAATGGGAAACAGTGTAAGATTGTTGTTCTCAGCTTTAACTTGAATAACAGTCACCTGGAGGACCTTTAAAACACAGATTGGTGGGCCCACCCCAGAATTTCTGATTCCATAGGACGGGGGTGGGGCCTCACAATTTGCATTTCTAGCAAGTCTCCAGGTGATGCTGATACTGCTGGTTCAAGAACTATGCTTTGACACTGGTATAAAATATGAGTGCTCATAACTGATATGGCTCTGAGAGGGATGAGGCTGCGAGAGATAAGAATTTTCAGTGCAGTTTGACTTGGGCTGATCATTGAAAAAGGAGAAAAATGTAAATATGTATAGGTAAAGTAGGAACATTATGAGTAGAAGAAAAAGCTTGAGCAAGTGCTCTGAGATAGGAATTAGTGTGTACACATGAGTGTATGTTGGAGGGGAAATTATGTATATATGGTTTAGACTGTAAGACAAGTCTAGGGCAATGAGGATAAATACATTCTGAGTGCAATGAATGATTTTCTGTAAAAAAAAAAAAAAAGTAAGGCGATAAAGCCACTAAGTGGACTTAACACATCCTTTCTATTCAACTCAGTTTCCTTGTTAATAAAACAGCAGGCTTTGATATGTTTTAGTTATATAGAGACTGAAAAATATCACCGCTTTGTCAGTGAAGATGTTAAGTGACATCAAAATCTCAGATTATGATTTAGATGATGCTTGCAGACACAAATCACATACACATACCTTATTGATAATTGGTGACATGTGGACAATTCTATGAAGGATCAGTCTGCTAACTACAGGATTGGAATCATTGATCCAGTTTATGAAGAGGACCAAAAATTCTTCTGGTAAAGGGTCCTTGAAGAAGTTATTCAGAAGCTGAAAGAAAATAGTTAATAAGTTTATAAGCAAAGTAGAGGCCACTGCACGATTTCTGTCATAAAAATCAAGATATTCTAGGTAAAACTAGAATGCAAATCTCACTAAAACATCAAATACATATATTTCAGTGCTCACAGCAGTGGGGAGAGACAACAATCAGGATAGAAAAATAGATGCTTTGTTTCGTTTTTGTCTGTCTGTGTGTGTGTGTGTGTGTGTGTGTGTGTGTGTGTGTGTGTATGTATTTTACATTTTCCTCCATTGTTGGAAACTGAGTGACCCAATTTAAATTTCCCCATCATACTGATTGTAGTCAGGTTGTGAGTTTCTTCACAGTGTATGTCTACATATGCTAAGAGGTGATACCCACTACAGGCCAGGCACTGCACTAGTAAATAGAGATACAATGGTGAGCGAAACGGTAGCAACCCACAACCCTGTGGAGCTTCCAGGCAAGCTAGAGAGACTGATACTATACTATGTACTATTCTAATGAGACAGAGTTTCTAATTTTAGTCAGTACTAGGAAAGAAAGCTACCAGATGTCACAACACATCTGCATCTACAGCAGCAGTCCCCAAACTTTTTGGCACCAGGGACCAGTTTTTGGAAGACATTTTTTTTCCAAGAATGGCTGGGGAGGGAGGGTGTAAAACTCTTCTACCTCAGATCATCAGGCATTAGTTTAGATTCTCATAAAGAGCCTACAACCTAGATCCCTTGCATGCACAGTTCACAATAAGGTTTGTGCTACTATGAAAATCTAATGCCGCCACTGATCTGACAGGAGGCAGAGCTCAGGTGGTAATGCTCGCATGCTGCTCACTTCCCGCTGTGCAGCCCTGTTCCAAACAGGCTATAGACTGGTACCAGTATGTGGCCCAGGGAGCTGGGGACCCCTGATCTATGGGACTATTGAATTTACATTGTGTAATGTAGATTCAATTTAGAATGAAGAGTGATATTTAGATTTAGGTTTGTGAGTTGGCATTAGCTAGAAGAAGTGTTTAGAGAGGAGACCTTCAAGGATGGTGAACCATGTGCAAAGGCCCTGAGGAATATGAAGCAGGGTGTGTTTGAGCACCTGAAAGATGAGAGAGAGGAGGGGAGAGGGAACAGAAGACTGGACAGCAGGGAGGCTTGAGGGCAAGTATGGAAGGTGGGACAGAACCTGCAGGCCAGTTTGAGGAAGTTTAGTTTTTAAGAGCTAATACCCAGAGTGAAGACATGAGTATCATGAGCCTTCATACATTTAATAACTGACAGTCAAATATGCTGATTAAAATCTCTCAAAAACACAATGATAGTTTTGGCCGGGTGCGGTGGCTCATGCCTGTAATCCCAGCGCTTTGGGAGGCCAAGGCGGGCGGATCATGATGTCAGAAGATCGAGACCATCCTGGATAACATGGTGAAACCCCGTCTCTACTAAAAAATACAAAAAATTAGCCAGGCGTGGTGGCAGGCACCTGTAGTCCCAGCTACTTGGGAGGCTGAGGCAGGAGAATGGAGTGAACCCGGGAGGCGGAGCTTGCGGTGAGCCGAGATCGAGCCACTGCACTCTAGCCTGGGTGACGGAGCAAGACTCCATCTCAAAAAAAAAAAAAAAAAAAAATGACAGTTTTATAAAATCATGTTTTCCTTGGAAGAATTTAAAATATCCTTAGATCAGGTACACAGAAAGATAGGGAGTGACAGAGCAAGAGAGCGAGAGTGAGAGAGACTGAATGAGAGAGGAGGACAGATCACATCTTTTCAAGCTTTCAGAGAAGCTTCACAAAAATTAGATACCATGTCAGAAGGTATTAATAACTTCTCTAAAGCAAAACAATTAAAAAGCACTTCAAAAATTTGTGATATAATAAAAGAAGAAACCAAAAAGAAAGTTTAAATAAAAAAACAAGAAAGTCTGTAAAGTACTTGCAAATTTAAGAGAAATTTCCCCTAATTTGTGGATCAAAATCTTAAACCACAGAGGAACTCAAACACTCAATAGGATGACAACAAAATAAAAAACAATAAAAATTATATATAACATAGATATTTACACTATAGTTGGAAGTAAATGCATAATTTGACTTTAAATATTTTACTTAAAAAGAAATGTTAACATAAATTATTTATATCCTGAAATTAAGAGAAACAATATCACAAAATATAAAACAGTGCTAAAGAAAGTTGGTGTAAGAAAATAATAAAGGCAGAAATCATTGTATTAGGAAACAAAAAAAACAATAGAATTAATAAGCCTATTGCCTTTTGCACAGGAAAAAAATCCTATTAAGATAAACAGATTTTTGATATAATACAAAAAAGAACAAGTAAAATGAGCAGTGAGAAAAAAAGTGTGGATTAGATCAAAAATTTAAAAAGAATATCTGTGTTAGTAGTTCTTAGGCAAGGATGAGTGCAGGATCTTCTGCGGGCAGCTTTTATACATTACACATGTCTGGGCGTCATCCTAGTAGGTTTTCCAATGGCAGACCCTGGCTTATGTACTTAAAAAATATTTCTTGGTGATTTTAATAGCCCATCTAGTAGAGACCCAGTGATTATGGCAGTCATTTGAAATTCTGAGTGAAATAAATTATTTTCTGGAAAAATATAAATCTCCAAATGTAAGTCAAGGAAAACTAGATCATTGAAATAGATGAAAAATAATGGGAGACTGGTAATAATGCATTATTTCCAAACAGGATCAAAGGTAATTCTTTTTGAGTGATAACCACACATAAAAATGTAAAGTCATATTTTCCCTTTGGGATTCCAGTAAGTAATCTGTAGGGTGGTAATTTGGTGCTATGTGAATATTCCATTCTCTAACAACTTTTCACTTAATTGTTTTAACATCTATTGATGATTTTTCTGGATTTAGTTATCACATTAGGGCTTGCAGAAATTGTGATTTGCCACTTCTAGCATTCTTTCTACATTTAGTGGATGGCATCTGTCTCGCTGTCTGTCTCTATTCCTGTCTCTGTCTCTCTTCTCATTCTCTCATTTTGAGAACCACTAAGGACTCATGAAGTAAAAAAAATTCAATGTTACTAAAAGTCCTAGAAGAGAACCTAGGCAACACCATTCAGGATGTAGGCATGGGCAAAACTTCATGTCTAAAACACCAAAAGCAATGGTAACAAAAGCCACAATTGACAAATGGGATCTAATTAAACTAAAGAGCTTCTGCACAGCAAAATAAACTATCATCAGAGTGAACAGGCAACCTACAGAATGGGAGAAATTTTTTGCAATCTACCCATCTGACAAAGGGCTAACATCCAGAATCTACAAAGAACTTGAACAAATTTACAAAAAAAACCAAAACAAAAAAACAACCCCATGAAAAAGTGGGCAAAGAATATGAACAGAAACTTCTCAAAAGAAGACATTTATGCAGCCAACAGACATATGAAAAAATGCTCATCATCACTGGTCATTAGAGAAATGCAAATCAAAACCACAGTGAGATAACATCTCACACCAGTTAGAATGGCGATCATTAAAAAGTCAGGAAACAACAGATTCTGGAGAGGATGTAGAGAAATAGGAACCCTTTTACACTGTTGGTGGGAGTATAAATTAGTTCAACCATTGTGGAAGACTGTGGTGATTCCCCAAGGATCTGAAACTAGAATTACCATTTGACCCAGCAATCCCATTACTAGGTATATACCCAAAGGATTATAAGTCATTCTACTCTAAAGACACATGCACATGTATGTTTATTCTAGCACTATTCACAATAGCAAAGGCTTGGAACCAACCCAAATGTCCATCAACAATAGACTGGATAAAGAAAATGTGGCACATATACACCATGGAATACCATAAAAAGGGATGAGTTCATGTCCTTTGCAGGGACATGGATGAAGCTGGAAACCATCATTTTCAGCAAACTATCACAAGAACAGAAAAACAAACACCACATGTTCTCATAAGTGGGAGTTGAACAATGAGAACACATGGACATAAGGAGGGGAACATCACACACTGGGGCCTTTCAGGGAGTTGGGGGCTAGGGGAAGGATAACATTAGGAGAAATACCTAATGTAGGTGATGGGTTGATGGGTGTAGCAAACCACCATGTCATGTGTATACCTATGTAACAAAACTGCACATTCTGCACATGTACCCCAGAGCTTAAAGTATAATAATTAAAAAAGGAAAAAAAATAATGTTACAATTATTTAGTTACTATTCATTTTGATACTCAAAGTTGGCTAGTAGAAGCCACTACTTCTTGTGTCCTTTTGACATGGCCCCATGGGCCTTTAGCCCTTCTTTGGGTTGTGGAAAAATTAGATGTCCCTGACTCATCTATTTTTCTTGGCCCCTGAAACCAGCCATTTTATCAAGGAGACATGGTTCCTTTTGGTAAGTAATAGCACTTAGAAACCATTAGAAATGGATGCTAAAGTACTCCTAGCTGTCAGAATATCATGTCTTCTTGGCTTTTACTCAGAACTTGGAAATAGTTATTCTTTAAATCGTGAGTTTATACTTACAATGTTGATATTTTTAATTCAAAGCTAACATAAGAGTTTATATTAACTTTTTGCAGCTTCATGTTTTTATTGCCTTCCTTTTACTTGGAAAACCCTGGCATCTAATAGGATTAATATATTTACTTATTTGCTTTCTGATAAATAATACATACCTTAGTCTTAAAATGATAATATCAATATACAATACCAATAAACCTTCTGAGTAAAAGTGAATATTTCTTTATAGACATTTTCATTCTTAGAATATATCTAAGTCAAAGCACTATGTTCATAAGCTGCATGGAGTAATTATATTATCTGTGTGGTTATTAATTTGCTATACAAATAAATTCATTTGCATCAGTTTAAATTTGGCTTTTTTCTTCTTCTTGATTTAATTTTATTCTTTCAACAATAACTTTATGCGTCGAAACTACACAAGAGGGGTACTTTGAGAGTCTCATTTCCATCCCTATCCATTCTACCCTATTACTCCCATGTCCTTTAAAGTAACCAGTTTCTTTAATATCTAGTTTATCTTTTTGTTTTCTCTCCAAAAGATAAGTATATATTTAAAAATCCTTATATTTTAAAATCCTTATATTTTATAATATATAATAAAACTATATAGAATTATATATAATACATAAAACATGTATTTAGTGTGTGCATATGTATATGTTTCCCAAAGAATAAGTCTACATTTTATATACTTCTATAGTACATAATACATGTCTTTTTCTCTCTTATGCAAAAGGTAGCATCTGTGCTGCTCTGCAGCTTGTTTTATTTTCACTTAACAACATCTCCTGGAAGTTACTCTGCATCAGTACAAAGAGATCTTTCTCATTCTTTTTTTAAAAGAGATACGGTCTTGCTATGTTGCCCAAGCTGGAATGCACTGATTATTCACAAGCACAATCACAGCTCACGACAGCCTCAAACTCCTGGCCTCAAGTGATCCTTCTGTCTCAGCATCCTGAGTAGCTGTGACTACAGGTGTGTGGCTTCTCATTCATTTTTATGGCAACATAGTATTAAAATCTGTGTGGATCACAGCAGATGATTTTAACTACAGCCTTCTTCCAAAATTTTAAGAAATAGATGATTTCCAAGAATCATAAGTAATTCCATTGTACAGAAAAGTATTTAAAATTACTGAATTGATTGTTACAATTGAATGTAAATCTCATACAAAAATATGAGAGGCAACACATAATAAATAACTGCAGAACAAAATCACCTCTGAACAAGATATAAAAATTCTTAATAAAATTCTAATAAGTCAAGTTCCAATCATATCTAGTTTGTAGAATATTACAATGATAGTTTTAATGTTAGGCTATCTGTGACCATTATATATTATTAATAAGTTACATAAAAAATTATGTTGTTCACTGTCAAAATACAGTCAATAAAATTCAACATTTCAAATACAACTATGAATAGAACAATGGCTAATAACAGTGTATCTCCAATAAAAGTTAACTGTCTTAATAGTGAAATAGAAGCATTTCTATGAAAATCCATAATAAAACAAGAATGGAATACTATTCACCATGATTATCCCCCAGAGAAGCAATAATTTTGCAGTCATCCCCAAACAAAAGTACCTTGCTGGGGACTTTTTGGGATTTATGTAGAAGGTTGCAAAAACATGGTGGATTCTAAAATTAAGGAGAGCTATTTTGAGAGTGCAGATCAATGCTTGGATGGTAGGCTTGCTGACTGTGGTCCTGGTTCTAAACCCAGAAATGACCCGGTCTCTCTGCAGACTTGGCTACAGCTACATTTGGTGTTGGTTCTGCCACCAAAATCATCCACCAAGGAAACCAGGGTAACAGGCCTGCTGACTTTGGTTATGTCTTTGTGCCCTGAAACAGCCCTGTAACTCACCTCTATCTCTTCTCAGCAGTGGCCTGAGAGCCTTCCTGCCTGCCAAGGAAGCTGCCAAAAGAAGCCTATATGTGATTTTGCAGGCTGGACTGCTAACTTTGGTCCCACAGCAGATCCCGGAAAGGTCCTGTACCTTGACTCCAGCCCCTTTTAGCTTCAGTTTGGGAGCAGTTCTTCCTGTCTAGTGACCAGCTTAGGAACATGCCTATCCTGCAGACCATGGTCTTGGCTGTAGACACTGAAGCAGCCTTGTGACTGGGTTCTATCCTTGCTAGTCATTGTCTGGAGCCAGTCCTGCCCTGGGACCCACCTACTTACACAGTAGGAGCCATCTCACAGACCCAAAAGGAGCTACACCCATCTGTGTACTTGGTAATAGGTCTGTTGTTTCTGGATTCTGTAGTGGACCCTCATTCCAGAGACAACACTACTGACCAAGGTCCTGGAGCTAGGCCAGTTCACCCAGGAACCAGAGAAGAGACACACCTTCTTGAGTCTGTGGTAACAGACCAGCCAACCACAAGTCCCAGAAGCACCCAGGTGCCCTAGCTCCAACTCCACCTAACCTACAATTCTGGAGGCATTAGCCCAGGTGTGAAAAGGAAAAGGTGTTTACCTGCCAAAGCCAGTCTGTAAAAGTGGGAAGAGGTGTTTGCATTTTCAAATACACAGAAACCAATGCAAAACTATACAGATAATGAAGAATGAGGCACATATGACATTACCAAAGAAGACTTATAAAGCTCCAGTAGTTGACCACAAAAAATGGAGATCTACAAACTGCCTGACAAAGAGGTCAAAATAATCATCTTAAAGAAGCTCAATGAGATACAAGAAAACACTGATGGACAACTAAATAAAATTAGAAAGGCAATGCATGAACCAGAAAGAGACACTTAATTAAAAAAAAAATAACAAAACAGAAACCCTGGAGCTGAAGACTATAATAACAGGCTGAATAATTCAATTGAGACTTTTGAGAGCAGACTTGATCACACACAAGAAAGAATTAGCAAACTTGAAGACAAGTCATTTGAAATTAGCCAAAAAAAAAAAAAAGAAAAAGATATAAAAGAATGAAAGAGAGTAAAGACAGGGATGTAAGGGACACTATTAAATATATGAATCTAGATGTCTATAACCCTCACAAGATTCAGACAGTTTTGAGCCAGAATTTCTTTAAATGTTCTCTCTCCTATAGGAGTTCCAGAAGTTGGGGGAGGAGAGAGAGGGCAGAAAGAGGTGTGGGGGAGGGAGGAAGGAGCAGAGAGAAAGATAGAGAGAGAACATCTAGATTCATAAAGCTCAAGACTCTAAGATCAACTCAAAGAAGAATTATCTGAGACACATTATAATCTAATTATTAAAAGTAAAAAAAAGAGATAAGCTTGAAAGCAGAAAAGACAAAGAGACTTCTCACATACAAAGAAACTAGCATAAGGCTATCAGCAGATATCTCAACAGAAACCTCACAACTGAAGGAGTGGGATATATTCAAAGTGCTGAAAGAAAAAAAACCTGACAACCAAGAATACTATACCTGACAAAGCTGTCCTTGAGAATTAAGTAGAGATAAAGACATCCCCAAACAAACAAAAGCTGAGGGAGTTTACAACCATGAGACCTAACTTACAAGAAATGCTAAAGGGAGTTCTTCAACTTGAAATAAAAGGACACTGAGTAACAACATTAAAATATGTGAATGTGTAAAACTCACTTTGAAAGATAAATCTATAGTCAAAATTAGAATATTTTAATATGGGATGGTGTGTAAATCACATTTAACTCTCATATAAAAGTTAAAAGACAAATGTATTAAAATATAGCTTCAATAATTTGTTAATGAACACACAATATAAAAATATGTAAAGGGTGACATCAATAGAATAAAATGGGAGCAGGTAAGGAGAAAAAGTGTAAAGTGCTGCAAGTCCTAGTACTTTAAGTCCTGGACAGACATTCATACAAGAAACACAAGTCATTCAAATCAGAAAGGAAGAAGTAAAATGTTCTGTCTTTGCAGATGCCATGATCTTGTATGTAAAAAAAACCATAATGACTCCATAAAATGCCTGTTGGGCGTAATAAATTCAGTAAAGCTGCAGAATACAAAATAAACATACAAAAGTCAGTTGCATTTCTATGCACTAACAATAAACTATATGAAAAAGATTAAGAAAACAATTCTATTTACAATAGCTATAAAAATTAAAATATTTAGGAATATATTTAACCAACAACGTTACAGACCTGTACACTGAAAACTATAAAATGCTGATGAAGGAAATTGAAGACACACATACATGGAAAGATATCCAGTGTTCATATATTGAAAGAATTAAAATTGTTAAAATATCTATACTGGCCAGGCGTGATGGCTCATGCCTGTAATCCCAGCACTTTAGGAAGCCAAGTTGGGTGGATCACTTGAGCTCAGGAGTTTGAGATCAACCTGGGTAACATTGTGAAACCCAAAACCCATCTCTACTAAAAATACAAAAATTACCCAAGCATGGTGGCATGCACCTATAGTCCCAGCTACTCTGGAGGCTAAGGTGGAAGAATTGCTTGAGCATGGAGGACACAGGTTGCAGTAAGTCAAGATCATGTGACTGCACTCCAGCCTGGGAAACACAGCAAGACCTGTCTCAAAAAAATAAAAATGTCTATACCACCCGAAGTGATTTACACATTCAATGTAATCTTCATCAAAATTCCAATGGCTTGTTTTACAGAAATAGAAAAAAAAAAATAAGGTTTGTGTGAGACCAATAAACACCCCAAATAGTCAAAATAATCTTGAAAAACAATAAAGTTGGGATATTACACTTCCTGATTTCAAAATATATTACAAAGCTATAGTAGTCAAAACAGTATGGTCCTGGCCTGAAAACAGACATATTGACCCATGGAACAGAACAGAGTGCTCAGAAATAAACCCACCTGGTGACAAGGAGGGATCATGGCAGATGGGAAGCAGGACTAGATTGCAGCTCCAGACAGAACAGCATGCAGAGGCTGCATTGTGAATTTTAGCTCCAGATTGATTGCAAGGACAAACCAGCAATCCTGAGAGGACCCACAGACCCTCTGAAGGAAGTGGAAGCTCCTGCAGGACCCGGAAGATACCCCCAAATACTGTGAGTGCCCCAACCGCGGAAGTGAGAAAGGGAGACCCTCCTTTCCTAAACACACAACCTGACTGGAGAAGCTGAAGGTCTGTTTGCCAGAGAAGTTTATGACTTTACCTGGAGCTCAGTCAAATCAGAGAGCTGAGCCAAGTGAAATACAGGGGTAGGGGAAGCAGCAGAAAGGCCCTGGGAGTTCACTGGGTCCCCAAGCAGCCCATTCCTGCTTGGCACCACAGGGATCCATCAGGAGGGTGGCCAGAGGGGCAGGGAGTAAAACTATGCAGGGAGAAGGAATTCTTGAGCTGAACTTTATAACAATTTGAATGGGGCAAGAAGCCTCCTGGCCAGAACTCGGGGGAGGGCATGAATGTGGCTTGCAGACTTAGACTTCACAGGCAGGGGAAGAACTAAAGCCTTTTTCTTTTGCAGCTGGGAGGAGAAAAGCCTTGGGCAAGTTTTCAAGCCTGCCTTGCCCTCTGCTTGGAAACAGACTCAGGGCTGTTGCAGGGGGCATGGTGGGAGTGAGACTGCCCCTTTGGTTTGTGTGGAAGCTGGGTGAAGCTCGTGACTGCCACTTTCCCCAACTTCCCTGACCACCTGCATGACTCAGCAGAGGCAGCCATAATCCTCCTAGGTACACAACTCCAGTGACTTGGGACTCTCACCCCCATCCCCTACAGCAGCCATGGCAAGACCCACCCAAGGGGAGTCTGAGCTCAGTCACACCTAGCCCCATCCCCACCTGATGATCCTTCCCTACCCACCCTGATAGCAGAAGACAAATGGCATATAATCTTGGGAGTTCTAGGGTCCTACCCACCACCAGTCCCTCTCCACACTACTACAGCTGATGATTTCTGGAAAGCACCATCTCCTGCCAGGAGGCCAACCAGCACAAAAATAGAGCATTAAAACACCAAAGCTAAGGCTCCTCACAGAGTCCATTGCACCCTCCACCACCTCCACTGGAATAGGCACTGTTATCCACTTCTGAGAGACCCAAAAATGGTTCACATCACAGGACTCTGTGCAGACAACCCCCAGTACCAGCCCAGAGGCTGGTAGACTCACAGGGTGGCTAGACCCAGAAAAGAGACAACAATCACTGCAGTTTGAATCACAGGAAGCCACATCCACAGGAAAAGAGGAAGAGTACTACATCAAGGGAACACCCTGTGGGACAAAAAAATTTGAACAACAGCCTTCATCCCTAGACCTTCCCTCTGACAGAGCCTACCCAAATGAGAAGGAACCAGAAAACCAAACCTGGTAATATGACAAAACAAGGTTCATTGACATCCCTCAAAAATCGTACTAGTTCACCAGCAATGATTCCAAACCAAGAAGAAATCCCTGATTTTCCTGAAAAAGAATTCAGGAGTTTAGTTATTAAGCTAATCAGGGAGGGACAAGAGAAAGGCAAAGCCCAATGCAAGGAAATCCAAAAAATGATACAAGAAGTGAAGAGAAAAATATTCAAGGAAATAGATAGCTTAAAGAAAAAACAATAAAAAGTTCAGGAAATTTTGGAGACAAATGCAAAATGCTCTGGAAAGTCTCAGCAATAGAATGAACAAGTAGAAGAAAGACATTCAGAGCTCAAAGACAAGGTCTTCAAATTAACCCAATCCAACAAAGACAAAAAGAGTAAGAAAATATGAACAAAGCCACCAAGAAGTCTGGGATTATGTTAAACAACTAAACCTAAGAATAATTGGTATTCCTGAGGAAGAAGACAATTCTAAAAGCTCAGAAAATACATTCAGGGGAATAATCGAGGAAAACTTCCCCAGCCTTGCTAGAGATCTCGACATGCAGATAGAAGAAGCTCAAAGAAGAGCTGGGAAATTCATTGCAAAAAGATCTTCACCTAAGCACATTGTCATCGGGTTACCCAAAGTTAAGATGAAGGAAAGAATCTTAAGAGCTGTTAGACAGAAGCACCAGTTATCCTAACAAGAAAAACATATCAGATTAACAGAAGACTTCTCGGCATAAACCCTACAATCTAGAAGGGATTGCAGCCCTATCTTCAGCCTCTTCAAATAAAATTATCTGCCAAGAATTTTGTAATCAGTGAAACTAAGCATCATATATGAAGGAAAGATACAGTTGTTTTCAGACAAACAAATGCTGAGAGAATTTGCCATTACCAAGCTACCACTACAAGAACTGCTAAAAGGAGCTCTAAACCTTGAAACAAATCCTGGAAACACATGAAAACAGAACCTCTTTAAAGCATAAATCACACAGGACCTATAAAACAAAAATACAAGTTAAAAAGCAAAAACAAAAAACAAAATACACAGGCAAAAAAGAGCATGATGAATGCAACAGTACCTCACATTTCAATACTAACATTGAATGTAAATGGTCTAAACACTCCACTTAAAAGACACAGAACTGCAGAATGGATAAGAACTCACCAACCAACTATCTGCTGCCTTCAAGAGACTGACCTAACACATAAGGACTCACATAAACTTAAAGTAAAGGCATGGAAAAAGGGATTTCATGCAAATGAACACTGCAAGTGAGCAGGAGTAGCTATTCTTATATCAGACAAAATAAACTTTAAAGCAACAGTGGTTAAAAGAGACAAAGATGGACATTATATGATGGTAAAAGGCCTTGTCCAACAGGAAAATATCACAATCCTAAACATATTTGCACCTAATACTAGAGCTCCCAAATTTATAAAACAATTACTAATAGACCTAAAATATGAGATAGACAGCAACACAATAATAGTGGGGGACTTCATACTCCACTGGCAGCACTAAACAAGTCATCAAGACAGAAAGTCAACAAAGAAACAATGGATTTAAACTATACATTGGAACAAATGGACTTAACTGATATATACAGAGTATTTCATCCAACAACCACAGAATACACATTCTGTTCAACAGCGGAACTTTTTCCAAGATAGAATATATGATAGGCCAAAAAATGAGCCTCAATAAATTTAAGAAAACTGAAATTATATCAAGCACTCTCTCAGACCACAGTGAAATAAAACTGGAAATAACTCCAAAAGAAACCTTCAAAACCACACAAATACATTGAAATTAAATCCTGCTCCTGAATGAGCATTGGGTCAAAAACGAAATCAAGATGGAAATTTAAAAAAGTTTTTGCACTGAATTACAATAATGACACAATGTATCAAAACCTCTGGGATACAGCTAAGACGGTGCTAAGAGAAAAGTTCATAGCCCTAAATGCCTATGTCAAAAAGTCTGAAAGAGCACAAATCGACAACCTAAGGTCACACCTCAAGGAACTAGAGAAACAAGAACAAGCTAAACTCAAACCAAGCCGAAGAAAGAAAATAACCAAGATCACAGCAGAACTGAATGTAATTGAAACAAACAAAGAAAAAAGTACAAAAGGTAAATGAAACAAAAAACTGGTTCTTTGTAAAGATGAATAAAATTGATAGACGATTAGAAAGATTAACAAAGAAAAGAAGACAGAAAATCCAAATAATCTCACTAAGAAATGAAACAGGAGATATTACAACTGACACCATTGAGATACAAAAGATCCTTCAAGGCTACTATGAACACCTTTATGCACATAAACTAGAAAATGTAGAAAAGATGGATGAATTCCTGGAAAAATGCAACTCCCCTAGCTTAAATCAGGAAGAATTAGATATCCTGAACAGACCAATAACAAGCAGAGAGATTGAAACGGTAATTAAAAAATTACCAACAAAAAAAAGTCCAGGACCAGATGGATTCACAGCAGAATTCTACCAGACATTCAAAAAAGAATTGGTACCAATCCTTTTGACACTATTCCACAAGATTGAGAAAGAAGGAACCCTCCCTAATTCATTCTATGAAGTCAGCATCACCCTAATACCAAAACCAGGTAAAGATACAACCAAAAAAGAAAACTACAGACCAATATCCTTGATGAGCATAGATGCTAAAATCCTTAACAAAATACTAGCTAAATGAATTCAACAACAAATCAGAAAGATAATCCACCATGATCAAGTGGGTTTCATACCAGGTATGCAGGGATGGTTCAATATATGCAAGTCAATAAATGTGATAAACCACAGAAACATAGCTAAAAACAAAAATCACATGATCATCTCAATAGATGCAGAAAAAGCATTCGACAAAGTCCAGCATCCCTTTATGATTAAAACCCTCAGCAAAATCGGCATACAAGGGACATAGCTTAATGTAATAAAAGCCATCTATGAAAAACCCACAGCCAACATAATACTGAATAGGGAAAAGTGGAAAGCATTCCCTCTGAGAACTGGAAACTATAAAAATTCTAAAAGATAACATTGGAAAAAAAACTTCTAGACATTGGCTTAGACAAGGATTTCATGACCAAGAACCCAAAAGCAAATGCAACAAAAACAAAAATAAATAGCTGAGACCTAATTAAACTAAAGATCTTTTGCATGACAAAAGGAATAGTCAGCAGAGTAAACAGACAACCCACAGAGTGGGAGAAAATCTTCACAGCCTATACATCTGACAAAAGACTAATATCCAGGGTCTACAATGAACTCAAACAAATCAGTAAGAAAAAAACAAGTAATCCCATCAAAAAGTGGGCTAAGGACATGAATAGACAATTCCCAAAAGAAGATATACAGATGGCCAACAAACATATGAAAAAATGCTCAACATCATTAATAATCAGGAAAATGCAAATCAAAACCACAATGCAATACCACCTTACTCCTGCAAGAATGACAGTAATCAAGAAAATCAAAAAACAGTAGATGTTGTTGTGAATGCAGTGATCAGGGAACATTTCTACACTGCTGGTGGGAATGTGAAGTAGTACAGCCACTATGGAAAACTGTGTGGAGATCCCTTAAAGAACTAAAAGTAGAACTACCATTTATTTGATCCAGCAATCTCACTACTGGATATCTACCCAGAGGAAAATAAGACATTATTCGAAAAAGAAACTTTCACACACATATTTATAGCAGCACAATTCCCAATTTGAAAATCATGGAACCAACCCAAATGCCCATCAATCAATGAGTGGATAAAGAAACGGTGGTGTGTGTGTATATATATATATATAGATGGAATACTACTCAGCTAGAAAAAGGAATGAATTAACAGCATTTGCAGTGACCTGGATGAGATTGGAGACTATTATTCTAAGTGAAGTAACTCAGGAATGGAAAACCAAACATGGTATGTTCTCTGTGATATGTGAGAGCTAAGCTATGAGGATGCAAAGGCATAAGAATGATACAATGGACTTTGGGGACTTGGGGGAAAGAGTGGGAGAGAGCTGAGGGATAACAGACTACAAATATTGTGCAGTGTATGCTGCTCAGGTGATGGGTGCATCAAAATCTCACAAATCACCACTAAAGAATTTACTCATGTAACCAAATACCACCTGTACCCCAATAACTTATGGGGAAAAAAAAGAAACCCACCTGTAAATAGTCAACTAAAGATTGATAAAGAAGCCGAGAATAGACACCGGGCAAAGAATAGTCAATTCAATAAAAATAATGAGTCACGCAGTAAAATTAATGAGAGGTCAAAATAGACTGAGCATATTTGAAATCATTGATGACTACCACAATGTTCAGTTAAATTAATTTATGTATACTTTTGAAAGTTTTAGAAGTAGATGGTATAGTATAACAGTATGCTTTTCATAATTTATTAACCGTTTTCCTATGGTGTTTGAAATCACCTCAAAGTTTGAAAGTATTGGGCACTTCACCTTAGGTAATATGTGCCTATTATATTATTATTTTAATGAAAAAATTAGATTTGATAATTTCAGGTTATAAAGCCTTTATTTTTTGTAAACAAAAGTTTGTCAATTTGCTTGATTCCATTATAGTATTACAATACATGGCACAATATTGATATACAAAGTAATATGGTTCCACATCTTCATTTTACCCAGTTACTCAGCCAGTTCCTTTCTCCCTCTAGATGGTCAGAAGTACTGCCTAGATCCCAGATGTTAACTACCATCTTTATTAAACCCAATTATCCCTCAATATACTTTAACAATCATGCAGAAATATATAAACTGGTCCTAAAAAATAATTAGTTTTTGTACAAATTCACACCCCTAGAAACAGAGAAAAACCAACTGCTGGGGAAAGCTGAAGGGACAACTCTTCCATAACCCAGATCTAACTCCACACCTCTCCCCATCCGACTTCAGATATCTTTCATGATCTTAAGTCTTGGTAAGAACCAACATTCAGAGGGAGAGATACGAGAAACTGGAATTTTGATTTAAATTTGGGTAAGAAAAGGAAATGAGAACACAGCTGTTCACAGTCTACAAAACTCACTTCAGTGAGGAATATTAATACGATGACAGTGTCTTCTGACCTTCTAGGACCTTCTACTGAGAGCTTATAGAGATAACTCAGGGTCTCCGGAAACTGTGGAAAGTTATATTCACTGAGAGTTCTGTAAAAGAGAATAAGGCACTGAATTAGCAAAGGAGAAAACACCATGCTAATAGTGGCAAAGAGAGAATCATTATTCTAATATCTTGCACCTCCCAGATGAAAGATATTCTTTAATATTCCCTAAATAAATTGTCCCACTATGAATTCTACACATACTCTGGAGAATTACATATAACTGGATCCCTGTCAACATCTCTTTCCTTAATGTCACTTCTCTTTCCTGTCTCTCCCATCCTTTGCCACAGAACAGAATGTCCTATTTTAGTGCAAGCTCCCCATCAATTCTTGACTAAAGGGAGAGGAAATAAAAATCTAGTGCTTAGTCCAAGATGGCTGCATACAGGTCATCTTTGTGGTTTTGGACCAAGCTCTTCCTTTGAATGATGTAACGCCGATGAGAGTTTGGGACCGCCCTGGATTAGCCAGGAAAGGAGGTGATGAGCTCTGATTCACTATGCCATTCTCCAGAACACACTTGGGTGGTGGACAGCCTCACACTTGTACTGACATGGTGGCCTGGATCAGATCAGTAAGGGCAGAATTGCAAAGGATAACATGAGGAAGTTTCCATTTTAAGATTCCCAGTTGGTCTTCCAAACCAGTGCTTCTCAAACTGCAACGTGCAAACAGATCACCCTTGGGATATTGCTAAAATGCAGATTCTGATTCAGTAGGTCTGAGGTGGGCCATGAGATTCTGAATTTTTAACTCTCAGGTGATGCTGTTGCTGCTTGTCTGTGGACCCCACTTTGAGTAAGAATATCCAAAGTTACTTCTTAGATACCCTTAGAGTGACATTCAACTTGTGACAACTTGCAGGGTGCAGATGTACTACACTTTAACACAGCATGTGTTCCTGAAATCCATTTGCAAATGAGATGCTGTTATAAAAGCATCAAGGCCCCATAGACCACAAAGAGTGTAGTTTCTGGATCAGTCACAACTTGAAGTAGTCTTAGTCTGTCATGTTGTCAACAGCCCGTATTTTGATTCTTGATCAGAAAATCTGATCCCTACAATCAGAAACTTGCTGTTCACTAAAGGGTTAACTAGAAAACCCCCTTTCCAGTACAAGAAAAATAAAAGTTCTCTTCTATTCTTTTCCAAATTTATTTGGCTTGTTGAGTATAGGTTTTTACTGGACCTGTTTCAAGTGGAAACATGTCTAAAACTGATGCCTGCTGTGCAGGAATCAGCTAAAATCAGAGGGAAAAAACCAAACTCACTTCTAGTTTTCTGTATCTGTAAGAAAAGAAACCTGTTCTGTGGAGGGAGGATAATTGGGCATCTATGTTATCAGGTAAGAGGGCAAGAAAAAGGAAAAAAAATCACAAATAAAAACGCTTCAAAATAATTGAAGAAGTAGAAATCAAATAGCAACTCAGATCATTAAGAGAGATTTGGAAATTGGAATAGATGCCTATCTTGTTCCCGCATGGCTTATTGAAGGAAGTTGGAGAAGGTAGGATAGAGACCAAGAATCCTACACAGAGACCCCTGTTCTTACTTAGCAATAAAGCAGACTCCATGATAGTAACACAGATCTTCAGATAACTGGTCCCAGAAATTCTCCTTCATTAGAGTAATATCCACCTGTTGCAGTCCAGAACAATTCAGCAGAACTCTCAGGGCATCCTGGGCATACCTAAAGCCCCAAAAGAGAGCAAAGTCATCACATGCCGGTGATATTCAAAAAACTAAATACACATTACCTGCCTTTTAATCCCATCTTGGGCAGAATATAGGTTTTGAGAAAGGGGATGTCTCAATGGAAAAAGATTGCTAAATGTCCTTCATCTTCCCTGATTAACAGTACATGGGATAGGGGTTAAATTAAAATTGTGGCACACAAAATCTAGCATCAATCGCAGAACACCTTATTTGTTTATTATTACTAGCTTATTTGCAATAGATAATTTGAAAGAGATGTTCAATGACGCAATGACTTGCTAAAGATGTCCATTTTCTTCTATTAAATGAATAGGATATATTCTTATCTAGTTGGGATGCTTTGATGTATGTCATCTTAGAGAATAGGGCAAATAGTAGACAGGTGGGTTGAGATTTCCCTGCAGGGTAGCAAAATCAACTGTACACCCTTGGGCAAAATGGAATTGCCAAACTTCTATGTGGACAGACAACTGCACGTAGTCATAAACCCATATATCACATCTCCAACCACAAATTAACTTTCCAGTTCACAAAGTACACTTGAGCACATCATTTTTAATCTTATATGTATAATAACCCTGAGAGGTTACTAGCAGAAAGTAAGTAAATGGCAGAGCAAAAATGTATCTGACTTTGGATTTAATGCTCTGCTCTCTTTTCTGTGGTAGTCTCTTACTGATCTGATAGGCAGTGTGGTAGGAATCAACAGAGTTCTGTGGTCACGGCTCTTTATATACTACACATGCTCAGGGAAGGTGAACTAATTTTTAGGTACTTGGGCTGGTTACTTTTCTGAAGGCATTCTACCATTCAGAGGAGAGAAAACTGTAATAAATGAACACACCGCACATGGGACTGTAAAGAATCCCATATGAACCCAAGAGGGTAGAAGTATTGACAGCTGGACGCTTATCTCTTATTTAATCTGAAATAACCAGTTTTAACTCACAAAGCCCTGTCCTTGAGTATCGGTTTCAGCTCACTGTTGTAGAAGACTTGGAACATAAGAGTCGTCAAGAGCTGGGGGAAATACTGGGCCACCGCTTTCCTGTAGGAACCAAGAGGCAGAAAGGTGCACAGGGCCTGGCATGCCTATAAGGGAAGGAAATAGGAGGTAGAAATGTAAACATTTTTCTCTAAACCCGGTCAACCTTACTGAGGGGAGCAAGAGAGTGACTCTGCAACCCCTCCTTCAGCCTCCTTGAAGAAAACCTAAAGCACATATGGGTATCCATTCATTTAATAACAGCCGTTACATCAGTTGTGAGCTAGGAACTGTGTCAAGCCTACTACGGTAAGGAACTCTTAAGGCACTATACAAACACCCTGGATGACAAACCAGTGGGATGCAGGTTGGTTTCCAAGGTAGGCTTCCCTTCCAAGGTCCCCTTCCTATGTGGCCATGAAGAGCAGTCATACTAATAACCTAGGTCCTACCTGTGCTCAAACAATACAAGGAAGTGAGATATTTAAGGGGAAGGCAGGTCAGGTCACCAACAGATCATTTGGCCTATTGACTACTGCAATATGGGCGGGAGGTCACCACATCAGAAATATGGGTCTGGGCTATAATCTTAAAAGACACATTCCCAACTGCCATAATCCTGAATATTGAAATCCTGGGAGATCAAACTCCCAAAAATGTAACTCGGGAAAAATAATTTAAAAATTTTAAAGACGTGTTTACATTCTTAAAAATGAGATTTATTGGTTACCAGAGGCTGGGAAAGGGTAGTGGGATGGGGGAGGTGGGGATGGTTAATGGGCATAAAACAATAGTTAGAAAGAATAAATAAGATTATTTGATAGCACAACAGGGTGACTACTGTCAATAATAATATATTTTTAAATAAAGAGTGTAATTGGATTGTTTATAATTCAAAGAATAAATGCTTGACGGGATGGGTACCCCATTCTCTATGATGTGCGTATTTTATATTATATGCTGGTATTGAAACATCTCATGTGCCCCATAAATATATACACCTACTCTGTACCCACAAAAATAGAAAATTTTTTAAAAAATTAAAATGACATGTGAGAAACATGAACACATGACAGAAAACTTCATAGGTCTTTTTATACAATAAATTAGGCAATAATAACATATGTACTTTTCCAAACATAAAACACTTAGGTATACTAACAGCAGTCACGTGGGTAACAGTTATGGGCAGACAAACCATATTCACAAAGAAATAGCTTATATAATTGTGGTCATCTGAAATCCCTTGGTGGACAACCTAAGTCTTTTGACAAGACAGACCAATGGATCACCACCACATATGCAGTCACCCAAAGAGCCGAGATCTCAATACATTTTATCTTTCTTGAAAAAGGCAAATATACAAAAATGCATCACTTCATTTATTGAGGAAGTTTCAGCATTTTTATGTATAAGCGCAATGCTTACACACAAAGTCAATACAGTGACAATGCATCTTCATGGAGACAAATTTGCAAAATGCATAAAAATAATTAGAACCCTCTAAAAGTCTTTACATTTTTATCTGCAGTCTAGGAAATGAAATATGTAGTATATAGCAAATTGGAGAAAATAATGCTGACAACTTAAAATAGAGAGAAAAATACATTAAAAAGAAAATAAACACACTAAAAAGAAAATTCAACATATAAAAACAATAGGAATAAATTATGGGCAATTGCATAGAGGTGGTTCATAAGAGCTGGTCAACTTTTATGATCATTGATTATATTTTGAAGTCCTTTATTATGATGAATGGCTGTTATTTTTTCTTTTCTCTTTTACGGCATGGCTCTCCCTGGAGAATATGTTCACATTTATTTTATATGTGATGCTACTCTTTTTGAAATTCTTTTATGGTTTGACATACACTAACTCGAGCACTCCCTGTTAAATTTTCCCGTCTTCTGTGCCATGCTTTTATGATGTTTTGGCATGCAGAAATCTATTTCACATGCACTCATAGAAAGACCACAGATTTGGAGGAAACAATACTGATGGTTGAACAGCAACACCATTGCATAAGTGTCTTCTCCTACTGTACACACAATTAATTTCAAACCAGTCAGTAACTTTTCTGGCTTATTCAAGGCATATGTGGCTTTAATTTATCAAAAGCTCCTGGAATTTCATCAGCTGGAAGGAATGTCAATGCAAACAAATGACATATTTTACCACTAAAGTTTGCATCATTGCCATATTGCCTAGCTAATCCCCTCATCTGAATTTTCCTAGAAATGCTTTGGACTGAATGGAAAAAACAAACTTTATTAGTGACAACTTGAAATTCACTTTTAGAAGCCTTGATTGCACCTAATTCCAAACCTGTCATTACAGTTTGGGGATTCAATTAGATGATAGAAATTTTAGACTTTTGGGATTTTGATATTTTGGAATTTCGATATTCAGGATTATGGTGTTCAGGATTTTGCCTTTAGGGATTGTAATTGGCATCGTAGAAATACATATTCCAACATTTCACATTTGTGAAGCAATGCCAACTTTATACTACTCTGTCTCTGCAAGACCTTAATTTACTCCCAGGAGTGGTGATTTTGGTTTTCAGGAGAATAAAATGATGGACACAAATGAGATTAGGTCTTTCCATGACTACAAACGCCTACATGATCTAGCCAGTGGTTACTTCTCTCATATCATCTCCTATACTTTCATCTCCCTTGCCCAATTCACTCAGATTCTTTGGCTTCCTTGTATTCGCTGACATACAAGGTAAGTGTCCATCAATACGAGACTTTTCCCTTCTCTCAGTCTAGAACTCTCTAACTCAGATATATGTAAGGATCAAATCCTCACCTGATTCAGGTCTCTGATTAGATGCCAGCTCAGCAGAGAGGCCTGCCCTGACCAACTTACCTAAACCTTGCCAGTCACTTTCTTTCCTCCACACCACTATATATCTCTTTTAAGCTTTATACCATCTGACTTACAACACATTTATTTGTTCATTGTCTGTGTTTCTTACCAAAATGTAAGCTCCATAATAGGGCATAGCAAATAATAGACACTCAATAAATATGTGTTGCATGAATGGATGCATGAGAAGAGGACTGTGTTAAGAAAGTATGATTGAGTCTGTGGGCAGATAGGGATTTTCACAATCAGGAAAACAGTACTGAGAAGAAGAAACACTCATCGTGTTATTTACCGCCAAAGGCATCAAGTTGGTAATATCAAGAGAGAAACGTTTCCCTTCCGTTACGGTGTCCTCCATTTCCCCAGGCTTTCCTTTCAGTATCAATAAGATTGTCTTCAGCACGTGAGGGGCCACGCTCGCCTGAGAACATGCCGCCTTCCACATCTGTATCAGAGTGCTGCAAACACAGCCCCACCCCACACAATGAGAATCATGTTTGTCATGTCCTACTTGATAGAATAACAAGAATCAGGAAAATAGTCTTGGTTTTACATTTTTATATAGCAAAGACACTGCAGACATGTCCAAAGCAAACTGAGATTCCTATTTCCAAATGATCCCACAAACCTCTTATCCTAGAAAACAGAGAAAGAATTTAAATAAAACCTTATGGAAAATACCAGAGTCTGGTCTGCAAGTTCATTTCTACTGCAATTTAAATGTCTGTCTAGCTCACTGTCAAGAACTGATCAGCTTTCTGCAATCTATACTTCCTCTGTTCCTCTGGCCTTGTGACTTTGTTTGTTCAGGAATAATAGAATATTTAAAAACTGGCATGGGAATATAAATTAATATGTAGATTAATATAAAAATTAAAAAATCCTAAATAAAAATGAACTAATTAAATAATAAAAATAAAAACAAAACTGAGCTCAGAAGAGTGAGCCATTTTGTCAAATGTCACACAATGAGTGACACAGATGCTATTAAAATCCTGGCCTCTCAACCTCCAGTCCCCTAGCTCCTTTTCCTATATACTCGACACTCTTCAAGATTAGTCTTACTATTGCTTATCTTAGAAACTGCTATACATCTCTACACCGATGTATTTCTGATACCTTGCCAATTCATACTGGGTTCTGACACTTATTGCTCAGCCTTCTGTGTTTAGGTTCATCATATAGGTGCCTGATCCCTTGGAATATGGAAATACCCAGCTCTGTAGCACCCACTACCCACCTGCTCCTGCCTACAGGTCCCACTTAGAATCACATGGACATCAACTCTCATATGCCGTGTCTCCTTGTCTTACCACTTGTTCATACCTCTTGGCTGAGCAAATGTTCCATGTGTTTCTTTGGTTTAGTTTCACTCCAAATCCTGGCCTTTTCTACCTCAATCCTCACATAGAATTAGACCTGCTGGTAGCAGCTTTGATTAAGTTCACCTAACAAATTATGCCTGCTTTCTGTACTTCCTCAGCACATATTGCTTGTACCAGATTTATTGGCAATTTTTAGCTTGTATACATGTGGGTATATTCCCTCTCCTCAGCAAAATGCTTGAGGGCCAGTAATACTTTACACAAAGTGGGTGCTTAGTTCCTGGATGAGTAAATCATCTTACAAAGATCTTTCTAGGAATTTTATGAATAGTAAAATACTTTGTGAGTTAAAGCTTCCTAAATAAATACCATCTTTCAGTCTGAAAAATAAAGTTATGTGATTTGTTTAGAGTTTTGTTTATTTCAATGCCCTTTCACAGACATTAACTAACTAAGCAACCCACATAACATATCTATAGATAGAACTTTCCTCATTTTCTAGATGAGGAAATTTAGCATCGGGGAGTTTTATCAAACTTGCATAATGTCACATAAAATGTAAGGGTCAAAGTTGATGGAAACAGATTCATTTGTTTCCAAAGCCCAAGTCCTCTTCAAAATAAAACTCTCTGCCTTTTACACTGTTCATAGTAGAGAAGTAGTACCTTGATTTCCAATGTTTATGCCAATTGTAGAAATGGAGTGGTGTGATTTTTCTAAGCTCTTCTAATGTGCCTGTTAGGTTCATATTGTCCCATAGACTCGCGTTTGTATTTTTTTCTTCTTAAACTTTTCTTGTGATCCTGGATCATAAATTTCAGTCTAATAGTTAAAGGACACAGGACTCCCAATTTTAATGCTGTTATTGGTATGTAGAAATATCTTATGTCTGTCCTTCATAAACAAGAAAAACACTACATGTACAAATTTATTTCCTCAACAAAAATGAGTAAATTCACAAACGGGAATAAAAATCCATTATCACATTGAGGAGAGGTTTGTTCCTCTGGGATGTGCAACAGAACACAATTTAAAGCCTCAGATAAATAATAGTGACATTGGTCATATCTTGTGGGCCTATTGTGTTTTAGGTATTATACAAAGATATGCATAACACATATGATCTTATCTGAGTCTTACAAGTATCCCACATGGTGCAAAAATAGATTTTCTCTTTCAGAAAAAAGAAACCAGGCCTGACTATGGTAGATTGAGAGTTGAACCCAGGTCCATCTGACAGTGCAGCCTGTGAACAAGCCCTTGTGGAAGGGACAGAGGGTTGGGGGGCCTTACTCGTCTGCTGGAACTGGGTAGTCCATAAGTTGAAAGATGACCTTCTTGGGTGAAGTGCATGTCAACAAAGTGATAACCTGCAACATAACATCCTTCATACAATTGTTATCACACAGTTGCCTGTAAATAGCATCCACGATCTTAGACACCTGGAAGAGAAATTCCACAGGTAAACAAGAATCTCCTGTTCCATGGTCACCTCTAAACCAAGGCATTTCTTGGACATAAGAATTCACTTTTTCTCAGAATTACCAAAGCAGCAACTAACATACAGATAAGCACTAGTAGAAAGCATATTTACATGTGTGACTACACAATGCAAAATATTCATCTGGATGAAGACTAAATCTGTGCATTTATGAATAGCGGGAAAATGCCCATTTCTTTAAAAGTTTATTTTGGGAGGGTTGAATTCATTACATAAGAAATATAAGCTCGGTATAGGAAACATACATATAATTCAAGTACTTAAAGAAAATCAAAATAATGGAACAGAATAACAATGGAGCTACAGTGTATACTTCAAAGAAAACTTTTGCAAGTTAAAGACGATTTGAATCCACATATTGAAGGGATGAACCATGTATTGGAGGAATGACCCAGAATGGTAAACACTAACCCACAATGTTGCAAACTCTACTCGTAGGTCCCATGTTAGTGTCATTTTTCCCCCTTTTTACTCATTCTTGAACAAGGAGAGTTCTAACTGGATCTGAAATTTGTTTCAAATCAGTGGCTGTGTATTCAATATCAAATTTAATCCACTCAGATCATCTCACTTCTTATTTTGAAAATAATCCATTGCATTTTTTTCTTCTTAAATTTTTCTTGTGATCCTGGATCATAAATTTTAGACTAACAGAGATTATAAGCTGAAAAATTAGTTGATGCAAATTTACATTACCCTGCAGTTACATCATATACAGTTCATTTATCTGTACAACTTTCTATGGCAAACAAAAGAAAAAATTATAAATGTTAAAAAGTGCAGGGTACTTTTCCAACCACGTAGGTTCCAAGGTGAGCAAGAAATGAGAGATATCAAACTACTCTTTTCCACAGACCTTTTAAGTATAGGATTTAGAGCTTCTTCTAGTTGTCCTCTTCCTATTTTAAATGCAAATACCTCTAAAGCAAGCCACCTATGTCACTGGGTGCTTAATTATAGAAATTTATGCTAATTTAGGTCCAGTTATAAAAATGATGGTCTGTTTCAATTTTGATGAAATATTTGATGTGTTAGGATTATTTAGAGATTATAAGCCCATATACTGTATATGCAATTTGGGGGATTTTTAGGGATGTTTTTAGCCTTATAACTCATTTTAGAACCTAACCCCATCTAAGACAAGAATCCACTGTTTTCAGTAGTCCAGTTGCTTGTGGGAGCTGGGGTTGGGTCATAAATTGAGGAGCCCATTTTGTTCATTTTGTTTCTGTGGTTAGAGATTTCACTGTAGCAGAAGCTAGTTTTACAAATCTAGTTTTCTGTTTGGTCTCTCTTTCTCTCAGGGACTTGGTAAGCCTTCATCTCACCTTCCTTTGAGTGCTCTTTCCCACTTCACTAGAAGAGAACTCTATTTTGTAAGATGACTCTTGCCCTTCACCTTTCCCTGTGGTTGTGTTTGCCCTACAGAATGCTCCCATCTGCAGCAGCATTGAGAGTTCTATATAAAGCATCTCCTCCCCTTTCCTGCTCTATGAATTTGAGTAAGACTTCTCAGATTATTTTCAGTCACCTTGCACTCCTGTGTCAGGAGAGGGAACTGGAGGTTCATTCCTCATGTCACCATCAGGACTGGTTTCATGGGCCTGTGACCTATGTGTTTGCACAGGGCTCCATGCTGAGAAGGTACCCTTACTTTGTTTAAAGCTCTGCCACTATCACCTTGAACTTTTAAACAATTTCATCTTTGTATTTTGTAAATCAAGTCCCATGGGACAGTGGAGCAGAGGACATACAGTATGTGAGTCTGCCATTGTTCCTGTGGTCCCATTCACATGTGGTGTTCACAAAATGCCAGGGGACCGATGATGTGAAGCTCAGTGGAAAAACAAGATAAGCATCTTATTGAAACTGTAACCTACTTTAAAAATTCCCACTTAGTCTGAAAATGACATAGAAGGAAACAGAAAGGGTAGGCCATAAATTATTTTCCTTTCAGGCTTTCCTTACTCATCAATAAGCTGAAGGTAGAGAATGTTGGTAGGATATATGAATGATAAAAATTGAAATTTTAAAAGTCGAGCTAGTTTTACATAGTGTTTCCACCCTTTTGGAAAGAATGTAATACGTATGCATGTGTGAGCTGTGAAACACAAATAGCATTATTTTGGTGATTCTGCACATGAGCTAAATGCACCTATGCTTATGTTTGTAACTGGCATTGCACAATATATGTATGGATAGTAAAATTTGTGCTCACGACTAAAAAATGTTAATTGTTCTTTTTGCTTAGAAAGACGTTAAATAGCAAATAAAACCAGCATGAAGAATTGAGAGAGAGAGACTGTGGAGGAAAGGCGAACACTGCATGTGCTTACACATTTAATGACATTATTTCCTATGTTGTAAGGAAGCAGTCCCAGATTTCGTTGTGCACTGAGCCCCACAAATTATGTAGCCAGCTCTACGCAAGCTGAGAGTCTTTGAAATCATTCCTTAAGGGATACACAGGGGATTTCAATTACAGCTATACTATTTTATTGCTGTTAATGTATTTCTTTAAAAATTCTAAAGCAAATATGGCAAAATATTATGATTTAATATGATTGGTGGATAAGCATTCATTACTTACTCTCTAAAATTGTTCGTATGCTTGAAATATTTCACACAAAAAATTCTCAGGCCAGGCATGGTGGCTCATGCCTGTAACCCTCATGCTTTGGGAGGCCAAGGTGGGAGGGTTGCTTGAGCCCAGGAGTTTGAGACCAGCCTGGGCAACATAGTTAAGACCTCCATCTCTACAAAAATTCGTTTAAAAAATTAGCCGGGTGTGGTGGTACATGCCTGTAGTCCCAGCTGCTTAGGAGGCTGAGGTGGGAGGATTGCTTAAGCCCAGGAGTTTGAGGCTGCAGTGAGCCAAGGTTTCACCACTGCACTCCAGCGTGAGCCACAGAGCAAGACCCTGTCTCTAAGTAAAATTTAAAAAACCAAAAGCCTCATTATATTGAAGTCATATAATGAACAATGACAAGAAATACATATAAAAAGAAGTGGACATACAACACAGGCAAAAATGCACATTAGAGAGTAAACCCTGTGCTCTCCTGCTTATTGTCAAGTATCTTACCATGGTGACCTTCTCGGCATGAAATTCCAGAGTAAATATCAGTATGGATGCTGCATCAGATGCGATTTTATCATCAGGTGAAGAGAGTTTCATCAGGAGACTCTGCACAAAGTCAGTCAGCAAGGGAGGCAGTAAGGTTTGCCCTACTCTCTGCAACCACAAAGGATAATCATGACCTCAGGCCTTACTCACACCAACATAAGACAGCTAAACTCAGACATGGTGGGGGATGCTCAAGAGCCAAGCAGGGCCACAAGTCTTCCGTGGGCCATATACATCTTGTTGGAGTCTCTCTCTTCCATGAAAAATATTAAAAATTATACTTTACAACAATGTTGGTACAAAAATGACTATAATCCAAGTGAAATTATGTTTAATTTTTTTCTTCTGATTTTAAAGCAATTCAGCTGTTCAAATATTATCATGAATTTATTCAGTTTTGGAAATGAGTTTGCTCCAATCAGAAACAACTATGAAGAAAGCAGAAGATGCAGGAGGGGACAGAGTGAGGAAGTCAAGGGAATCAAAGGCATGGACTTTCCTCTTTTACAGAAAGGGATCAGGAAGCAGAAAGAAATAAAAGGCCTTTATGTCCATGATCAAGGTGCAAGAACTACAATTCAAATAATCCCTTTTTAAAGTTAGAGGACTATCCATGGATTGTAAAATTTGAACAAACTCACATTGATTATAGATTCCTCAAAGAAAGATAAACGAGCCAAATTTTCTCCTTTTGCCTTTATATGGAAAAAAAAAAAGTCATTCTCCCAAGTACAGAGGATACCCAATCTCACCAATAAAGGTTTTTCTTCACTCTCCTTAAAGGGATGGAGTATTGCTTTTTGGTCATAAGGCAGAACTAAGGTCTGAGTGAGAATTGATGATCACTAGCTCCTCTCCCACTGGGCAGAGGGGTGATGGAAGGGAATCTTGGAAAGCTATGGAAGAAAATTAGAGGGGGGTAACCAAGGCTTGGAGAGGGGGGCTGAATATCATAAATAGTTTGCCCTACTTTAAGAGAGCCAGATTTAATTATATGACACTGGATTTTTAAAAAATATTGGAGGGCAGAATATTCTCTTCTTGAATATTTGCTTACTCAACAAGAAATTTAGTATCTATCTAAAAAGTTGTAGAAGAAGCAATTCCCAGTGAAACTTAGAGCCAGTGTTAGAAGTTTCTGTCATGTACAGGTGAAGATGTGACAGTAGATTATATAAAATGGTAGGTTTGCTTTGTAAAATATTATCTACACGTAACTCTCCAGAAATACACCAATCACACAGGATCAGCTGGGTTCTTCAGAGGTCATTTTTATCTCCTCCTGCTTCTTACTGCTACGCCGTGTTGTTACATGTTCTTGATGCCGCTTGCTTGAATGTTTGCATAATATACTATTAACTTAATAGTCCACAGATTTTCATTTATTCCTCTATGTTTGGCATATACTTTAAAAAATCTGTGAAGAAGCTCTTCTCACAAATAATGGTGCCATTTTGAGTTATTTCTTTCTATAAATTCCCATGAGTGACACTATTAGTTTATTTGGTATGAACATATATAAACATATATTTTTAGTTAATGACACTTTTGTGGCTCTCTGTGGATCCTTTGCAAAACAGTGTCCTCTCTTACAACCAACCACTATATAAAATGAGAGTGCCATAGTTTGGGAATTGTTTTCGGTTTTGTTTTTCAATCCAGCCCTCCCATTTAATGGTGCTTTGCTTCCAGCTTCCATGGTTAGCAACCTTGCTGCTTCTGCCCCTATTTGCATGCTTTGAACTTTGTCTTTGGCTATAGGCCTCTTGGTCTTGTTTCTACAATCTTGTATTCTCTCAATTTACCTGTTCCATCTACTACTGGAAGTCCCAACTCCAGGTTTTCCAGCTACTGTTCCCGCATGTAGTGCTGGGCTTGCTTTGGTCTCACAATTGGGAAATGAATAACAGGTCATGAACACAAGGACCCAGGGTACCTCCCGCAAGCCCAAGGATTTTTACACCTGATGGACATTAAACTCAGATAAGCAAGGACACCAACCTAGAGGCTGTGATGATAAGTCTCATGAACAGCTTAGGAGAGGCCCCAACAGACTGCTGGTCCTAGGTTCACTAGCCCAGTCATGGTACTCAGGATTTCAATTCCAGGATACTGGAGTGGAGGATGGAAGGATGAGGGAAGATTTGCTAGTAAACTTAAACAGATGCCTGGTTTCTTCATGTAAATGAACATAGTCATCCAGGCTTGAAATTTTTGAGAGGAGGTGGGAAAGAATAACTTTTGATTTTGGAAAGATGTACCATTGGGCTTCTACATATTTAAGACAGCTATGCAGTATTTTTGACCATACCATGTTAGATGTATTGCTTCTGCATATCCTCAGCCTCCCACAATTCAACCCATCTCAGCCATGGAAGAAGACACTGCTTTATACATGTAGTTTTAAGAGGAACCCCTAGATCCTCCCACCCCAAGAGATGAGCTAGCCTAACGGGTTTCCTCAGAAGTTTTGCTGAACTACTAGCTCAACGTGTGTGGCTGGAAGGTGCTGGAAATCCCAACCTGGGCCCCAATGCTGTGCAACTTCTGGAGCCTATGGCTAAACCTATGTAGTCTGAAGAAGGTGAGGGAGAATATATGGCTATAGAGCCTCACAGTTCTCCCAAGGGTCGAGACAGTGTAAAAACTACTTACTTGGTACTGAGGTTTATCATGTAGGCTTTTTAAATTTTTATTTTTCATTTAATAGCGCTTTTAAACAAAATCAAAATCACAGTGTCATTATGATGTTTGCAGATTAAATTATGATAGTATTGGAAAGTCTGTTAACTGACGACTGTTAATTTTTCTAAATAAGCAGAAGTTCTCCATTTTTAGTGAACTATTTGTTGGCCAAACAAAAAGAAGTGTAACTAGGAAATACCTCATTTGCTTTCTATAAGGATTAAGTAAAGTAATACAAATTACTATATTTGGGAATAATAGGCATAACTACTATTAATAGAGATGAAAATCAGAAAACTAAATGGTCTATAATCATTTACATTTTATCACACTGAGTTTAAAAAAAAACGAAAAAATACTAACGACATAAACTTTGTTGAAATAAATTGTTACTAAGAGTAATCATACACATAAACAAAAGCCCTCGGAAAAAGTGGGGGCTAAGTTACCTGAGCTATTTTACTTTCGTCTTGTTGAAACTCCTTGGGTAGAAATTCTACATCAGAAGAAGGAAACTGGAGGCTATGACTTTTACCGTTTGTAGGCTTATTTGTTCCAATATCTGCTTTGTTAAGAAAAAGAGTTTCAGGTTGTTATTTGATCACTTGTTTGTTCTATGACATTACTATTTCCAATTTTCTTTTCCTGCCCAGTTCTGGAGATCTGAAGTTTTCCGAATATTTAACTCTCTGCTCATAGTTTAGTCTCATAAAATTTTATGGCACTCACACAGAATTCATAAAGTGTTTAAGAGAGTCCATGTGACATATGAATGGACAAATACTTTTAATAATAGCCTGACAAGATAACAAATATATATAGACCATCAAATGCATGGTTCAGTGTGCTGGAAAAGCTAATGCTAAGCTGGAGGGTCTATTGGCAGGGAAAGTAGACTTGGAGGCAACTGAAATGAGCTGAGGAGTGGTAGACCAGGGAATCCAGAAGTGCTCAGCAAAAGCTTCAGGTGCAGATAACTTCAGTTCTGGAGAAGGTGAGCTTTAAATGATTTTGTTTGTTTTTAAATAGCTCTATAGAGATATAATTGACATTTATTTACTGATTTTGTTTTTGTTTTTTGTCTTTTTTGAGCCCGGATCTTGCTCTGACACCCAAACTGAAGTCCAGTGGTACAAACAGGGTTCACTGCAGCCTTGACTTCCTGGGCTCAACTGATCTTCTCACCTCAGCCTCCCCAGTAGCTGGGATTGCAGGTACATGCCACAGTGCCCAGCTAATTAAAAATATACATATTTCGTAGAGATAGGGTCGCACTATGTTGCCCAGGCTGGTCTCCAACTCCTGGGCTCAAGTAATCTGCCCGCCCAGGCCTCCCAAATTGCTGGGGTTACAGGTGTGAGCCACCATGCCCAGCCCATATAACATATCTAAGGTGAACAACTTGGCAAGTTTTTGTGTATCTATACACTCAGTAAAACATTACCACAGGAAAAAAAATGAACATATCTATTGTCTCCAAAAGTTTCCTCATGCCCTTTTGTAACCCCTCACACCTAATCCCTGTATCCATCCTCTGACTCCAAGGCAACCACTTATCCACTTCTTGTCATCTGCTCTCTGTCAAGTTGGTACTTTCTAATTTTATATAAGTGGATCATACCATATATACTCTTTTTTGGGGGGATTGGCTTCTTTCACTCAGCAAAACTACTGAGATTCATCCATGTTTTCGTACATATTAATAGTTTGTTCTTTTTTACTGGAATAATAGTATTCTATTATATGTACATACCCAAATCTCTTTATCTATTTGCTTGTTAATGGACATTTAGGTTGTTTCCGGTTTGAGGCTATTACAAATAATGGTGTTATGAACATTCATGTACCAGTAAGTGTTTGTACGAACAATTGCTTTCATTTCTCTCAGGTAAATATAAAATTGTGTTATGACTGAATCATATGATAGCTATATGTTTAACTTTTTAGGATAGTGCCAAATTACTTTCCAAAGTTGTTATACCATTTTACAGTTTCACCCGCAATGTATGTGAGCTCCAGTGACATCCTTAACAACACATAGCAGAATCAGTCTTTTTAATTTTAGACATTCTAATGAGTGTGTAGTGGTATCTCATTATAGGTTTAATTTACATTTCTTTAATAAGTATATATAGAACATTATTTGATTTGCTCCTTTGCTATCTGTGCTTCTTTGGCTATTTAAATCCATTTTTATTTTTTATTTGGTTGTCTTTTTTCATAGAGAGTTTTTTTTTTTTATTTCTTCTAAAAAAAAAGCGGAAGGGGATACATGTGCAGAACGTGCAGGTTTGTTCCATAGGTACACATGTGCTGTGGTGGTTTGCTGCACCTATTGACCCGTCCTTTAAGTTCCCTCCCCGCACCCCCCACCTCCAACAAGCCCTGGTGTGTGTTGTTCCCCTCTCTGTGTCCATGTGTTCTCAATGCTCAACTCCCACTTAAGAGTGAGAACACGTGGTTTGGTTTTCTGTTCCTGTGTTAGTTTGCTGAGGATAATGGCTTCCAGCTTCATCCATGTCCCTGCAAAGGCCATGATCTCATTCCTTTTTGTGCCTGCATAGTATTCCAGTGTATATATGTACCACATTTTCTTTATCCAGTCTATCATGGATAGGCATTTGGGTTGGTTCCATGTCTTTGTCATTGTAAATAGTGCTGCAATAAACATATGTATGCATATGTCTTTATAGTAGAATGATCTATATTCCTTTGGGTATATACCCAGCAATGGGATTGCTGGTTAAATGGTATTCTGGCTCTAGAACCTTGAGGAATCACCATACTGTTTTCTACAATGGTTGAATTAACTTACATTCCCACCAACAGTGTAAAAGTATTCCTATTGCTCCACATCCTCCATCTATTGTTTCCTGATTTTTGAATAATCACCATTCTGACTGGCATGAGATGTTATCTCATTGTGGTTTTAATCTGCATTTATCTGATGATCAGTGATGTTGAGGTTTTTTCATGTTTGTTGGCCATGTAAATGTCTTCTTTTGAGAACTGTCTGTTTGTATCCTTTGCCCACTTTTTGATGGGGTTGTTTGTTTTTTTCTTGTAAATTTTTTTAAGTTCCCTGTAAATTCTGCATATTAGACCTTTGTCACATGGATAGATTGCAAACATTTTCTCCCATTCTGTAGGTTGCTTATTCACTCTGATAATAGTTTCTTTTGCCGTGCAGAAGCTCTTTAGTTGAATTAGATCTCATTTGTCAATTTGGGCTTTTCTTGCAATTCCTTTTGGTGTTTTATTCATGAAGTCTTTGCCCATGCTTATGTCCTGAATGGTATTGCCTAGGTTTTCTTCTAGGGTTTTTATGGTTTTAGGTTTTACATTTAAGTCTTAATCCATTTTGAGATAATTTTTGTGTAAGATGTAAGGAAGGGGTCCAGTTTCAGTTTTCTGCATATGGCTAGACAGTTTTTCCAGCACCATTTATTAAACAGAGAATTCTTTCCCCATTGTTTGTTTTTGTCAGGTTTGTCAAAGATCAGATAGTTGTAGATGTGTGGTGTTATTTCCGATGTCTCTGTTATGTTGCATTGGTCTATATGTCTGGTACCAGCACCAATGTTCCATTGGTCTATATGTTTGGTACAAGTACCATATTGTTTTGGTTACTGTAGCCTTGTAGTATAGTTTGAAGTCAGGTAGCATGATGCCTTCAACTTTGTTCTTTTTGCTTAGGACTGTCTTGGCTCTACGGGGTCTTTTTTGATTCCATATGACATTTAAAATAGTTTTTTTCTAATCGTGTGAAGAATGTCAATGGTAGTTTGATAGGAATAGCATTGAATCTATAAATTACTTTAGGCAGTATGGCCATTTTCATAATATTGATTCTTTCTATCCATGAGGATAGAATGTTTTTCTATTTTTTTGTGTCCTCTCTTATTTCCTTGAGCAGTGGTTTGCAGTTCTCCTTGAAGAGGTCCTTCACATCCTTTGTTAGCTGTATTCCTAGGTATTTTATTCTCTTTGTAGCGATTGTAAATGGGAGTCCATTCATGATTTGGCTCTTTGCTTGCCTATTGTTGGTGTAAAGGAATGCTTGTGATTTCTGCACATTGATTTTGTATTGAGATTTTGCTAAAGTTGCTTATCAGTTCAAGAAGTTTGTGGACTGAGATGATGGGGTTTTCTAAATATAAAATGATGTAATCTGCAAACAGAGATGACTTCCTCTCTTCCTCTTACAGAGTTTTGATGTCCTTTATGAACTTTGAATATGGGTCTTTTATCAGATATGTAGTTTGCAAATATTTTCTCCCAGTCTGTGGCTTAACTATTAACAGTATCTTTCAAAGAGCAGAAATACCTAATTTATCATTTATTTTCATTTATACTTTGACTATTGTATCTAAGAAATCTTTGCCTAATCCAAGGCCCCCAAAATTTCTTTGAGTTCTATAGTTTTAGATTTTACATATAGTTCTGTTACTCACTTTGGATTAATATTTGAATATATATGAAGTATAGATCAAAGTTGTTTTTCTGCCTATAAATATCCATTTTTTCCAAACGCAATTTATTGAAAAGTTTTTGCTCACTCCTTTAAATTGCCTTTGAAACTTCATAAAAAATCAACTGACTATATATATGGATTTATTTCTGGACTCTCAGTTCTATTCTGCACAATGTTGAATAGAATAGAACTAATGACAGTGCACATCCTTGCCTTGTTTCTGATGTTTCAGGGAAATCATTCAGTATTTCACCATTAAGTGCAGACATAACCTCAAAAGATACTACAGGTTTGGTTTCAGATCACTGCAATAAAGTGATTATCACAATAAAGTAACCCACGTTAATTTTGTTGGTTTCCCAGCACCTATAAAATGTATGTTTACACTATGCTGTATTCTATTAAGTATGCAATAGCATTATGTATAAAAATATACATATCTTAATTAAAGACATTTTATTGCTACAAAATGCTAACAATCATTTAAGCTTTCACTGAACAGGTTCTCCTGGCTTGGATCTCCAGCAATCCCTCACCAGGGCTATTGAGCCAGTAGCATCTCTGCAACTCCCTGGGACAGACCTCCCTGGGAGGGCGAGTTGCCCTCTTTGCTGTCTTATAACCCTTACTGTCTCCAGGTTCTTGAGAGTCTGTGGGGACCAAAGGCTGGTCTGGATTCCCAGCACAGAGCATTCCTGACATGAAAAAGTGGCTGGGCTATTTTCCACACAGGTCTCAGTCCTTCTCCTCACCAGACAGGGCCTCTTGACCTTGGACTCCAGCACAACCACCCTGCTCCCACCTGTCCCCTTCAATCAGAGGCAGCCCAGAATTTCTCTGAGTAGAAAATCCCAGAGTCAACCCACAATACCTCCGCGACTGCAATTGCAGTAGTACTCCCTTAGCAGCCCTTGGGCTAGGGGAAGGAACAAAGGGCCTAGTCACTATGCTGGCACCTCCAACACACTCCAGCCACAAAAGGAAAAGGAGTCTAGCCCTTATTCCCTGGAAATACCCAACCCCCACTCCTCACCAGCCAGGGCCCCTGGCTTACAACTGCAGAATGGTCACCCACAACCATGGCTGAGCATATCCACTGGTAAGTGGCTGGAGTCTCCCTGGGGAGAGGCTCCCAGAGGTGTTTGACAGCCCCTCTGCTACTGCCACAGCAGAGTTCTATCCCTGCTGCCCTCAATTTGGGGAAGAAATGAGCCTGAGGGCTACACCTGAGCTTATAGCACACCACAGTCACTGTAGGGAGAGGAGACCAATCTTTCCACCTGGAGAGCCTTTGAACCCCTGCTCTCCAACAAGCATAACCCCAAGCTCATACCAGCAATTTAGCTGTCCCACCCTACTGGCTGAACAATCTCAGTAACAGCAGCTCCATGTTTCTTGGAAGTAGAGCTCAAGGGGGCAAATGAAAACTCCTCTGCCACTGCCTCTGCAATGGTACTATCCCTGCTACCCTCAGACTAAAGAAGGAGCAAAGACTGTAAATACCTAATCTGCAACTCCAGCAAGTTACAGTCAACCCAGAGAAAGGGGGCCAGTCTGTCTCCTGTGGGTTCTACTCATGTTCCCTGCTCATCACCAGGCAGGGAACTCCTAGCTTGGGCCCACAGCACAGACCTTCAATCCTGGGTTGATTGCACTGAGCAATTGCTGACCTGCATCTCTCTGGTGTGGAGCCTCCAGAAGACAAGTAAAAGATCCTTGGCCACACTCACTGCTGAGGTCCCTTTCTCTGCTGCCTCCGAGTTGGGGAGGAAACATAAACCTTGAAATCAACCCAGAGTTGTGGTAGGCATCCTGGAAGTGCCAAGCCATGATCTATAGCCAACACTTAAGTGGGAAAGGAGCCCATGCTTTCGGGGCACTGAGAAGAAGCACAGCTGCTACTGTAAGGAAATATAGGGGAGCCACAACTGAGCAAGAGTCTACCAACTGATCACTGTGCCTAAGTGCCATTGACCAGACCAGATCACACCCTAAAGCTTCAACAACAAAATATCTCACTAACATACCCTACCATGAAACCAAAGATGAGAAGTCAGATACAAATACAGACCCTGTACAAGGCTCAGTCCTGTGAAGACATCCAGAAAGGAAGTCTACTGACTATACTCAATCTCCACTGCAGTTAAAGGGATACCCTCATGCCGAACTGAGAAAGAATGAGTAACTCAAATAGCTAGAGTGTCTTGTGTCCTCCAGATGGCTGAAATAGTTCTCCAACAAGGGTTCTTAACCAGGTTGGATTGACTGAAATGACAGAAATATAATTCAGAATATGGCTAGGAATGAAGATCATTGAGATTCAGGAGAATAGCAAAACCCAGTCCAAGGAAACTAAGACTCACAATAAAATGATACAGGAGCTGACTGATGAAATAGCCAGTATAAAAAAACCTAACTGGCCTGATAGAGCTGAAAAACACACTACAAGAATTTCAAAATGCAAATGCAAGTATTAACAGCAGAATAGATGAAGCTGAGGAAAAAAATCTTGAAACTTGAAGACTGGCTCTCTGAATTAAGGCAGTCAGAAAAAAAAGAAAAAAAAGAAACCAGAATGTAAAGGAAAGAACAAAACCTCCAAGAAATACAAGATTATATAAAGAGGCCAATTCTATGTGTTATTGGCATCCCTGCAATAGATGGAGAGAAAGCCAACAACTTGGAAACATTTCAGGATATCATCCATGAAAACTTCCCCAACCTTGCTAGACAGGTCAACAGTCAAATTCAGGAAATACAGACAACCTCTGCACAATTCTACATCCCCAAGACACATAATCATCAGATTCTCCAAGGTCAAAATAAAAAAAGAAAATATGTTATCATTTTTTTATATGCCTCAGCCTCCTGAGTAGCTGGGATTACAGGCACACACCACCATGCCCAGCTAATTTTTGTATTTTTATTAGAGACGAGGTTTCACCATGTTGGCCAGGCTGGTTTCAAACTCCTGGCCTCAATTGATCTACCCACCTCAGCTTCCCAAAGTCCTGGGATTACAGGTATGAGCCACCATGCCTGGCTTCAACATTCTTAAAAAAAAATAAATTCCAACCAAGAATTTCATATCTGGCTCAACTAAGCTTCCTAAGTGAAGGAGAAATAAGACCCTTTTTAGACAAGCAAATGCTGAAGAAATTCATTACCACTGATCTGCCTGATAAGAGCTCCTGAAAAGGGCACTAAATATGGAAAGGAAAGACCAGTACCAGTCACAGCAAAAATACACTGAAGTACACAGACCAGTAATACTGTAAAGCAATCACACGAACAAGTCTGCGTAATTAATCAGCTAACATCATGACAGGATCAAATCCATAAATAACACAAACCTTGAAGGTAAATGGGCTAAATGCTCCAATTAAAAGGCACAGAGTGGCAAGCTTAATAAAAAACAAAGACCCAATGGTATGCTGTCTTCAAGAGACCCATCTCACATGTAATGACACTTACAGGCTCAAAATAAAGAAATGGAGAAAAACCTACCAAGCAAATGGAAAACAGAAAAAGGCTGGGGTTGCAAACCTAATCTCAGGCAAAATAGACTTTAAGCCGACAAAGATCAAAAAAGACAAAAAAGGGCATTTACATAAATGATGAAGGATTCAATTCAATGGGAAGACTTAACCATCCTAAATAAATATGCACCCAACACAGGAGCACCCAGATTCATACAGCAAGTTCTTAGAGTTCTTCAAAGAAACTTAGACTCCCACACAATAATAGTGAGAGATTTCAGCATCCCACACAATAATAGTGGGAGTCTTCAACATCCCACTGGCAGTATTAGATCATTGAGGCAAAAAAGGTCATTTTCTTAAGTGAAATAACTCAAAACAGAAAGTCAAATACCACAGGTTCTCACTACATAATGTGTACACATGGGCATACAGAGCAGATTAATAGACATTAGAGACTCATAAAAGTGGGAAGGTGAAAGGGGAGTGAGGGATGAGAAAGGACCTAATGGGTAACATGTACACTATTTAGGTGATGCTTACTACTGAATATATCCATGCAACAAATCAGCATTTGTACCCCCTAAATCTATTCAAAAAAGAATTGTTATGTCTCCTTAATTAATCGATCCCTTTATCATTATGAAATGACTTTCTTTTCCCTGGAGGCATTCTTATCTCTAAAATATATCTTTTTATAATAATAGAATATAGCCACTCCAATTTTCTTTTTATTATTGTTAACATGTTATATCATTGTCTAACTTTTAACATTTAATTCATGTATGTTTTATATTTAAAGTGAGTTTCTTGTAGGCAGCATATAGTTGAGGCTTGCTTTTTATTCAGTCTGACAATCTGCCTTTTTACTTGGGGTATTTAGAATATTTACATTTATTATGATTGGGTTAAAAATTTGTCTTGATTATTTGTTTCCTATTTTGTGTTATCTGCTTTTTTTCTATTCTTTTTTGCCTCATTTTAAATTATTTTCTATGATTCCATTTTAGCTCCATTTTGGCTTAATATATATAACTTTTTGCTATATTATCTTAATGGTGGCTTTAGGGTTTAGATGATACATCCTTAACTTATTAGTTTACTTTCAAGTGTTATTTTATAACTTTGTGCATAGGAGAAGAATTTTAAAACACATTTATACATTTTTCCCTTTAAGTTTTTGTGTTGTTTTTATATATTTTACTTTTGTTATTATCTTTAAAGAGTTGATTATCATTTAAAGAGATTTAAATAAGAAAGATAAATGAATATTTATCTATATTGCTGAAGTTTTCCAGTGCTCTTCATTCCTTTTTGTAGATCTAGATTTTCGTCTGGTATAATTTCCTTTTCTAAAAGAATTTTCTTTAACATTTCTTGCAGTTAAAGATCTTATGGTAATTAATTCTACCAACTCTTGTATATCTAAAATGTCTTTATTTTACTTTTTATTTTGAAAGATATTTCTACTGGTTTAAGGATTCTAGATTGACTTTTTTTTTCTTTTCTGTATTTTATGATGTTCCTTCATTGCCTATAACTTGTGTCATTTCTGGTGAGAAATCTGCTGTCACCCTTATCTTTGTTTCTCTATATGTAATGTCCTTTTTCCTCTTTGGCTCCTTTTAAGATTTTTTTCTTTATCACTTGTTGTAAGCAATTTAATTATGATGTGCCTTGATGTTCTTTTCTTCACATTTCTTGTTCTCTGCTGAGCTTTTCAGTGTGTGAGTTTATAGCTTTTATTACATTTGAAAATTTTTCAGTCATTATTCTTTAATTTGTTTTTCTGTCCTCACTTTCTCACTTTCAGAGACTCAAATAAAATATGTATTAGGCTCTTCAGAGACTCATATTAGACATGCCTGATAGCTCACTGATGCTCTATTTGTCTGTCATTTATTTCTCTGTTTAAATTTTGATAATTACTATTACTATGTCTGCAAGCTCATTAATCTTTTCTTCTGCAAAGTTTTTGTTAATCCATGCCAGAGAATTTTTCTTCTCAGATATTGTAATTTTTACCTCCAGAGGTTCAATATAAGTCTTTTAGGAGTTTTTCTGTCTCTACTTAAGATGTTTTTATCTTCTAATTCCTTTAATAAGTGGAATGTAGTTATAATAATTCTTTTAATGTCACACTCTACTCATTCTATCATCTGTGCCATTTCTCTATCGCCCAGGCTGGAGTACAGTGGCACGATACCAGCTCACTGCAACCTCTGCCTCCCAGGTTCAAGCAATTCTCCTGTCTCAGCCTCCTGAGTAGCTGCGATTACAGGCACGCACCACCATGCTCAGCTAATTTTGTATTTTTAGTAGAGACGGGGATTCACCATTTTAGCCAGGCTAATCACGAACTCTTGACCTCAGGTGATCTGCCCGCCTCGGCCTCCAAAAGTGCTGGGATTACAGGCATGAGCCACCGTGCCCAACCTAATAATTTTTTTTAAATTGGATTTCAGACATTGTTAATTTTAACTTGTTGAGTGCAGGAACTTTTTTTTTTATTTCTAGGGGTATTCTTCAGCTTTGTTTTGGTAGGTAATTAAAATATTTGGAGATAGTGATACTTTTAGATCTTGTTTTAAGGCCTTTTTAAGTAGCACTAAAACAGTTTAGGATGATTTTTTTTCTCCTAATGAGACAAAACCCGTCTGAGTACTGTACCTCGGTACTTGTGAATTATAAGGTTTTAAATTCTGGCTTACAGGCACAGGCATTATCACTAGCCTTTGTTGAGCACTGAATCTTTTTCTCTAATCATTTTTGTTGTTTCCTACCCTTCAAACTCAGGCAGTTTACTTGCATGCATGTTCTCATTAGTACTCAGCTAAATACTTAAAGGGGGCTCTCTTTAGATCTCTGCAGATCTCGAGTTTGTGGGTTTGTGCGTGCGTGTGTGTGTGTGTGTATGCGTGTGCATGCACTCATGTACTCCGTTCTGGTACCCTGGCCTTTCAACCCTAGCTATTGACCTCTCTGGACTCCCATTTCTGTCTTTTTAACTTGATGAGACCACTGGCTTATCTCTTTTTGTGTTGGCTCTTAGAAATGTACTCTAGGTGGTAAGCTCAGGCAATTACAAACCCCACCTCATTCGTTCTCACCTCCTCATCTTTCAAGAGTCATTGTCCTTTATTATTTAATGTGCAATGAATTGAAAACTCTGTGTGTGTGTGTGTGTGTGTGTGTGTGTGTATTTTTTTTTTTTTTTTTGAGGCGGAGTCTTGCTCTGTCACCCACGCTGGAGTGCAGTGGCATGATCTCGGCTCACTGTAAGCTCTGCCTCCTGGGTTCACGCCATTCTCCTACCTCAGCCTCCTGAGTAGCTGGGATTACAGGTGCCTGCCACCACACCCGGCTTATTTTTTTGTATTTTTTAGTAGAGAGGGGGTTTCACTGTGTTAGCCAGGATGGTCTCGATCTCCTGACCTTGTGATCCGCCCACCTCAGCCTCCCAAAGTGCTGGGATTATAGGCGTGAGCCACTGTGCCTTGCCAAAAACTATGTATATTTTTAAGGTTGCTTACTATAGGAGTGTAAATAGAGTAAATGTGTTCTCTGTTATTACATCCTGGACAGAAACAGAGGCATAGCCTCCATAGACAGAGGCTCCACCCCTTACAAATATACAAATATTCTTAAGCTTTGTTCTAAAATGCAATTAAATTACTTGGAAATAGCTTAATACTTTCAGGTCTTGCTTTTATGCTTTGTTAGACAAGCCACAGCAACATTTATTTTAATCCTAGTCTTATTTTTCTCCACCATTGAAGCAAGAATCTTCTGAGTAGTCTATCAGATACTCAATTAGACAGAAAAAAATACCGCATTTTTAAAGTCCCATTGGTAAACTCTCTCCTTCTCTGTCCTCCCTGGATCCACCCAGCATTCCTCTCCCTACCATTAACCCTCAAGTAATCTAAGCACAGTACTTTATAAATCTTGAAGAACCAACCACACTATTACCAAAATTTCTTGACAATGCTAAAAAGATTAAAAGACACATTTTAGAAAGTATAGCCATGACTCTTGGGGCAGGATTTAGAAATTAACAGACGTAGAGCCTTCCCAGGACCTATAAGTTGAATAACGAGGGACATATTCTTAGTAATCCTGAGAAAAGATGGTGAACTGTTCTTACCGTTCTGACACCGTGCAATGTAGAGGAGGTGACACATTCCCAATGATGCTTGTTTTACAATCGAGGGATCTTCATGGGAACACAAAAGAGACAGCTCTGCTGCCAGGAGACCCAAACATGGAGCATCAACACTTATCTAATGGAGAAACAAAGGAGAACATGCATTTGCTATGCATAGCCAATATGAAAATGTCTGCATGCATCTGATCCTGTTATAAATCAGACTAGGATTCTAAGATAAGCTTCAGAGTTTACAATATCTGTAATCAAATCCTGGCCCCGTTACTGACTCTCAATTTCCTCATCTGTGAAATGAAGACAATAAATTCCACTTTGTAACAGTTATTGTGGAGAGTAAGGGGTAACACTGATGACAAGAAGAAAAATTCCTAGGAAAGTACTTGGACATAATGGTGACTCAACTAATGTTAGTTTCTATGCCATGAAGTGGGTAGTCACTTGCAGGTAGCAAATTCCCAGGACATAGAAAAGTAAGGTGGGCTGTGTATTTCCAAAACCTTTAGTACTTCCTTCTTCACATACGAAACACTAGATGTTTCTACAAGTCACTGAGGAGGCATGCCACTTTTCCTCTGGAAGTTATTCTGACTCCTCTCAAGGGAATTCATTTTTTTAAAATGCAGATCATTTGCTTTTGATGTCAAAGCTACTACCAAAATATTTCTGTATTTCTTTCTACAACTTCTTCAACCCTTAGACTGATCAAATATTTAGATTTTCACCTTAATGGACCTCTCTGGCTAGATAATATCCAAACAGAGAAGGGAGTAGAGAGAGAAAAGAGGAAAGGTAGAAAAGGCATTTGCTTTTATGAAAGTATGAGGGCCTTTACCAATTTTGCATGTCTTTTTTTAGACAAAGAAGGGCTCTGATTAAATGTAGATTTGGCAAACTAGCAGCATGACTTGCAGATAGTTCTTGCCTCCAAGACAAGTGAGTACTTTTCCTAGGTAGAGGCTTTGATGATTGGAGCAATTGTTGATGGTAAACTCTAGGGGGATCCCAAGGCCTGCTTCTGCTTCTGTTGACCTTTTTCATGCCCCATTTTCCCTGCCCTTTATGTGGCTTAACTCACCACTCCCTGCCCACTCTGTCTCTCTCTCTCTCTCTCTCTCTCTCTCTCTCTCTCTCACACACACACACACACACACACACACACAGAAATTCCTAAGGAAGAAATATGAAGTGACCTGGGTCATCTAGGTCATGGGCGAAGGCCATAATTGAATTGTGATGTGGGGAGTGATGATCTCAGTAGGAGAAGAGAGATTATAAATCTCTTTTTTTCCATGGATATTCTCCTTGCATTCTTTTCCACCCGTACAAAGAGTGGCCTGGTCCTTCCCCTTATAGGAGCTCTGTGGCTTTGGAGAATCTGGGAGCAGACAGCCTCTGCTCTAGGCCCTAGGGGGAAATGCTCTCTTTGCCTGAATGTCCTTTTCTTTGGGTTTGCATTCCAAGTTTTTTTTTTTTCCCACTCGATGGCAAGATCTTAAAACCATCATTGTGTATGGGCATGAGAAAAAGGATCAAGTTTTCTCTCTCTACTGGGTATGAGAGAAGAGTAGTACTTCTCACAGCTTACCTCACTGAAGCTGAGCACCACTTACAGGGGATTGGCCTTACAGTCATCTTATATTACAGGTTTTGCCTCAAATGTCCTCTCTGATTATCCCTGCTCAGGAGCTTGTTAGATGTGTAGTTCTTAGTAGATGTTTTTGTAAATGAAGCTCCTAGTGGTTTCCTTCTGTTCTGTTTGCCAGTTAGGATCTATCTAGGTGTATGTCTCTAGCAGAGTATGTGTGGTCGTGCCTAGACTGCATATCCACTTACTGTCACCAACTAAAAAGGCATGTTTAGGAAGTGGGACATGACCCAAGGTAGGCTGAGAGAGGAGTAAGGCAGCGTGGATCGTGGAGCACACTGATGTATATCCTGCCAAGCCCCTTCAGAAGCGTGACAACCACAGTTACCCCTCCTCTAAGATGAGACTTTGAGAGCTTTCGGTATGATATATCCTGCCTTTATAGAAAATCTACCCAAGTACTAAAAAGAAGCAGATATTTAAAAACTGGAGAAAAGTAGCTTCTCGGTATTCACTCCTAAACCTAAGTATTCCTGCTTAGTTTTCTGGCCCTTTTAACTGTGCCCTTTCTTTGTAGATCTGGCCTCTCCAGTCCCTTATCTTAACAGTAATGATAGTGTTAAGTGCTAGGTTCCAGAAGCAACCACTTCTATGGTTTTCAGCTGCTTCTTCTGGAAGTCTCCCCTGTTTCTATAAACAATGCACCTTTGCTTCTAACATCAGTTTGAGACATTGTCTATCTCAATTCCATTCTTCCACTTCGCCACAATTCTCTCAATAGAGAACATTACTCATCATAGTATATTATTTTTAATTCTTCTACTTTTGTGTTTTACTAATATATTAATACTTTTATTTCTTGTTTCATAGAACAGAATAACAGAATAGGAATGTAACAGGATAAAACATAACAGAATAGGAACATAAGTAGAATCATACAAAATGTAGCCTTTTGTGCCTGGCTTCTTTCACTTAGTATAATGTTTTCAAGGTTTATGCATGTTGTAGCATGTATACAACTTGATTCCTTTTTTTGAGTGGATAATATGCCATATGTGTGTGTTAGATTTTATTTGTTCATTTATCTGTTGATGGACATTTAGATTGCACTTTTCAGCTACTGTGAATTTTGCTGCAATGAACACTTTGTACAAGTTTTTGTTTGAGAAACTGTTAAATTCTTTTAGGTATATACCTAAGATTTCTGTGTCAAATAGCAATTCTATGTGTAACTTGTTGGAGAACCACTAAACTATTCTCTGCACTTTAATTTTTGCACTTTTGAGCTCATAGCATTTACATTGTATTCAGTAACTTATTTAAGTTTTCCTGTGCTGGGTTTATAGATTAATTCTAAAAGTTGAAAATCAATAATATGGTCTCACCATGACTAGATAAAATTATTCAATGTATAGGCCATGCTCACTTTAGTTATATTTCCTTTTAGTATGTACCTATGTCTTTCGCATCTGTACCCTGCATTATCTCTTTATTTTATTTTTAAAATTATTTTTATTTTTACTTTTTTTGGAGATGGGGTCTCACTCTGTCACCCAGGCTGGACTGCAGTGGTGTGATCATAGCTCACTGCAGCCTAGAACTCCTGGGCTCAAGAGGTCCTCCCACCTCAGGCTCTCAAAGCACTGGGATTATAGGCATGAGCCACAAAGCCCAGCTGTCTCTCTATCTTTAATAGTAATTTTTTCTTTATTTACCCTTGTTGGTCTCTTTTATTTGGAGAGTTTCCCCAAATTTCACAAAGTGTGGTTGCTGCTTAAAATTTAAGGATGTAATGCCTCTTGATGGGGTTTTGTGTGTGAGCAAGGCTTGCCACCTGTTGTACTTTGTTTTAGAGCAACTGGGAGGGAGGCTGGGGTCATGCTGTAGTATAGCTAGACAGAATGCAAGACTCTTTTCTCAGGGAGCTTAACAATGGTTTTTGCAAAAGAAAAATTCTCAACTTCTGTCTGCCAATGTGTGTCAAGAGGAATGCGGGACAATGTAGGTTCTTCTGTACATGTTTTCAATTAATCCTTTGAATTAATGCATGTGTTTCCAGCCTGCCTTTGACTCCCAGCCCTTATCATTATTTGGCCTTTCATAACTCACTCTCTAGGGTTCTACAGGGCACACTACTTTTCTTTCAGCTAACTCCTACCCTAATGCTCATGGGTTCCCACCATTCAATTCCCCTGCCAGGTTTTATCTTCTACCTAATCTGTCTTCCAGAAATTTGTTGGCATCACTAGCCCATTGAAAACACTTCATTAATTCTTTTTGTTGCTGTGTATTTATACTTTTAAAATATTTTATTACCATCATTTTGTGGGGACTCTGGAGGAGAAGGAGATATATACACATGGGCAATTTGTTAGATTTAGCTGGAAACCCACCATCCATTTTTAAATGCTGATGTGCCAAAGGAACAAAGCTAGGAAAAAAATCTTAATGCTATAAGTTGACATGCTTAACTTACATTTCTTTGCCTGTTGAAAGTTGAACCATTTAATTGAAGGAACATGTGCTTTGAGTGCAGGAGTTTCTCTACCCTGATGGGCACATGAGTCATGTGAGACAAATCATCACTTTAAAAATGTTTATGACAAGATAAAAATGATAGAATTGTTCAATAGGACAAGAATCTCTGACACTCTGGAGGACCTAGGCTAGGGTTATTATGGAGAAAAAAGTCTATCCAGTGTAGGAACAGTACCAGATAACAAATGAGGTGGATGCACTTAGAGAAGGGTAGAACAAATATTCGTTGATGATATACAATGTGTCAGATACAGAGATACACAGACTAGGGCTGTGGGAATCTCAGATTTTAATTTGTCAACAGTGTGTTTTGATTTTTTTGTTTTGTATATTTGCCTCCCCAATTAATTTCACAGGCTTAATCATCTTTACAAGACAATATTTTAAAGAGAAAGCGAACTTACTGAAGTTTTATGCTTCCCTGATTGTGATGAGCTGGTTGATTCTAGCTCTAGTTTCAATGTTCTGGAAAATACTGAAGTACTTCCACCTGGTGGCACTTAGTGAACATTGCAGAACCGAGTAATAGGTTATTCCGTTGGGTTTCTCGAACAAATCTGAGTTATAGCTAGGAACTCTCAACTAACAATTTATGAGAACCTTCTGCTACACATGTGAATTTACATATTTATTCCTTTGCAGTTGAAGGATGGGATGTATGCAAAGGAGAATGAACTCTACTACAGTAATGGAAAGAAGTGATAGAAGATGAAACTCCAAAATGCCTATCTGCTACTTGAGTGGAACTCACTAGAATATATCAAATGCAGAGAGAAACATGTGACTAGGCTCTAGTCAAACAATTGTCATCAAATACTTGCTGAATATATAACACATTTTAGGAGCTGTGCAGAAAACAGTTTTGAGTGGTGAGATACACTTAATTTCAAGCCTCACTTGCAAAATTTTCAATGGTGAACCTTCTGGACACCAAATGTATAACTCGAGCTATTTTAGAAGTTAGAGAAAGGCTGCCTTCCCAGGTCAGAGAATCAGAAGATTGAAATAAGCCGCTCACTCTCTTTTTTGGGACACTGAAATAGGGAATTAGCATGATACAAAGAACACTCTGGACTGTGTCCCCCATCTAAGTAAATTGTATTATGTTCCAAAGCTGAGTTTAAACAAAATAGTAAAAATTCAGAGGTATTACAAAGCTGATCTAGATTCTTCATCTCAATAAATCTGGGGACTGCTTGTACAAGCAGTAGAAAATGGATAAAGATAACATCATGAATGCATGTTTCTCACCCTCTTTACTTTTATCTCCTCCTGAAGTGACTCCAGCAATCAGATAAGTAATTAGCAGAGTATGTTTACAAATCGCTGTGAAGGATGAGTTGGGAAACAGAGGCTGAATATACAGTATCCACAAAAGGGAAATGTTCATAGGTAGTATAAGGTTTTTGAGAAGGCAGGCCATGATGTCATTCAAAGTATAGACAAACTCAGTAAATACTGGTGATTATGACATACCTATTTGTTCTCCATCCGAAATGCAAAAATTAAAAAGTCTGATTGTATCCCAGTATTTGTGAAGGTGTGGGGAAATGGGCACCTTAATATTTACATGAATGCAAATTGGTGGACAATTTTGTGTTACTAAACTTTAACCTATCATACTTCTTTATCTGACCATTATCTTTCTAAGCCTTTCCAGGTACACACTCATGTACTTGCACAAAGATGCCTGTTTTGTATTGTTTGAAGCAGAAAAAAATTAAATGATACTTTAATGTCCATCAACTGAAAAATAGCTAAATGGATCATAATATGTCAAAACTATGGGCTATATACTGTATTTAAAATAATAAAATGAATCTACATATGTTGACATGAAAATGTCTATAGGATGTATTGTTTCAGTGAAAAAAAGCAAATTGTAGAACCATATGTGAATATAACTTTAGTAAAGAAACAATAAATAATAAAGCTATGTATTTCAGTGTGTGTTTTATATGTGGGTGTGCACATTGAAAGTGGTTTGTTAGGACACACATCATGCTGACATGGCTAAGGACAGGGTTGGTGTGGAGAGGATAGTAAAGGGAGATTTATGCTCTACCTCTAGCATGTTTCACAATGAAAGAACTTGAGGATTACTTGTATAAATTTAAAATAAATAACAGCTTTCAAATTATTTTAGGAAGTAATACATAAGAAGAAAGGTAAGGTTGGAAGGATTTTAAAGATTACAAATTGTGGTCTACAGAGGAAATTTCAGAGTCAGCAAGAATCTGGTTTTAACACCCTCATGCTCTTTGCATAAAGCATGATGCGTCTTAACCAATTGTTTGAGAAACTCTGTTCTGATTGACAAAAAGTCATGTGGGATATTGACTCCTTTTCTGATATCCCAACCAACCTACCAGTACAATAATACCAAGGACCTGTCAAGTACTGTTAGGACCCAAGACATGGAAAGCAGCACTATGGAAATGCAGTCTTCAGAATCAGGTGGCATTGTTATATTCTGTGACTTACGTATTTTCTGACTTTTGTGACTGTAAATCTTAACACCTTGTTGATGATCACCATTATTCTCTCTTGCAGATATGAGCTATCTTTACTCATCCACACGAGCATTTCCTGTTGGAAACATAAAAGTCATCCTAGAACCATGAAATTTCCATTTTCCAAGAACCTTTCCTCTATTCTTCAACTTCACCAAATCAGGCCTTCCTACATTCTCCTGGTTATTTCACACTTAACCTACATTTATCTCAAAAACACAGACAATAAGCATCTAGTATACTACTTCATCTACTATGGAAACTGTATCTGGGTTTTATTTTATTTTATTATATTCAAAAAGTATTTACTAATATCCACTATAATAGTCACTTTGTTAGGCACCATGAATAGTTCAGTACGAAGCTATGACATGATTACCAGCTGCTTTGCCTCCTCTTTTTCTTTCAAAGTATGTATTCTCCCTTTTATTTTTAAATGACAATCTGCCTTTCAGCTTTAAAGAGATTTAAAATCTTGTCTGATCCTGCAATATCATCTTATTCCAGAATTCCTCTGCCAATTCACCACTCAAATATTCTGGCTTATGGTTAGAGAGTACATTACCGGAGGCAGGTTGGTTAGAAAGTTCTTGCAAATTTTTTTTCAAATCTGTCTTAGCTGCACCTTCTAGCTGTTCTTAATCCTCAGAGGCAAGGACACATTTACAACCTTGAAAAGGGAAGAATACTGCATATGCCTCATATGCCAATCGCCATTAATAGCCTTCTTTAAGGCAATCTGTCAGGGTCTACTATATTTATGTCAATGGTTGGCCAAACCTCTTCACCTTTTCTTGCTCCCATTGTGAAAAATGTTTGAAGTCTATTTCCTAAGGTGAAAGAGTTTCTAAATCTCAGAGGGGTCAGCCTCTCTGCCTTGTCCTTTTCAGGAGTGAGGTTTCAGCCCTTTTTGAGAAGCAGGGAAGCTTTTAGGCATGGTAGGTATAAGAACAAAGTGGTTAAGTAACAGGCTTCCAAGCTAGAGGGGCTCCTCCACACATTAGCATTATATATATTATTGCTCCTTTCTCCGTTTTCATTTTTTTTAAATCTGTGAAATGGAAGAATTAATAGTAACCTCCTCATGGAATTATGTTAAGGATTGTATGAGATAACCCACATATTCAATTTAGTGCCTGACATGGAGTCAATGCTTAACTCAATAAATGGAAGCTATTGATAGTGTCATGGAGTGAATAAAAGAGCATGCATGGGCAGGGAAGGGGAGGATTCATAATCACGGTGAAGGGTTGTGAGGATAACAACTTTTTTTAACTTTTATTTTAAGTTCAGAGGTACATGTGCAGGTTTTTATATAGATAAACTTGTGATATTAAGCCTAGTACCCATTAATTATTTTTCCTTATTCTCTCTCTCTTCCCAACCTCCACCCTTTGTCAGGCCCCAGTATCTCTTGTTCCCCAATATGTGTTCATGTTTTCTCATCACTTAGCTCTCACTAATAAGTGAGAACATGCAGTATTTGGTTTTCTGTTTCTGTGTTAGTTTGTTAAGGCTAATGGCTTCCAGCTCCATCCAAATTCCTGCAAAGTACATAATCTTATTCTTTTGTATGGCTGCATAGTATCCCATGGTGTATGTGTACTACAGTTTCTTTATCCAGTCTACCACAGGTGGTTATTTAGGTTGATTCCATGTCTTTGCTATTATGAATAGTGCTGCAACAAGTATATGTGTGCATTTGTCTTTATGACAGAACAATTTATATTCCTCTGGATATATTATATCCAGTAATCGAATTGCTGGGTCAAATGGTATTTCTGTTTTTAGGTCTTCGAGGAATCACCATGCTGTTTTGTACAATGGTTGTACTAATTTACACTCCCACCAACAGTGTATAAACATTTATTTTTCTCCACAACCCTGCCAGCATCTGTTGTTTTTTGACTTTTTAAGAATAGTCATTCTGACTGGTGGTAGTTGGTATCTCATTGTGGTTTTGATTTGCATTTCTTTAATCATCAATGAGGTTGAGCTTTTTTTCATATTCTTGTTGGCCACATGTATGTCTTCTTTTGAAAAGTGTCTGTTCATGTCCTTTGCCCACTTTGTAATGGAGTTTTTTTTTTTCTTGTAAACTTAAGTTCCTTATAGATGCTGGATATTAGACCTTTGTCAGATGGATAGTTTGCAAAAATTTTCTCCCAATCTGTAGGTTGTCTGTTTACTCTGTTGATAGTTTCTTTCGCTGGGCAGAAGCTCTTCAGTTTAATTAGATCCCATTTGTCAATTTTTGCTTTTGGTCCCATTTGCAACTGCTTTTGGTGTCTTTTTCACGAAATTTTTGCCTGTTCCTATGTCCAGAATGGTATTGCATAAGTTGTCTTCTAGGATTTTTATAGTTTTGGGGTTTACATTTAAGTCTTTAATCCATCTTCAGTTAATTTTTGTATATGGTGTAAGGAAGGGGTCCAATATCAATCTTCTGCATATGGCTAGCTAGTGGATAACATTTTTTAAATGAATTAAAAAAAACAGCTCAAATTAGGCACAAATTAGCTTAATACATTTTTATTTTCATTCAAATTCCTTTTTGTATTCATAAATACCAATACTGCTTCTTTACTTGTATGTATTTATGATTTATACAGCTCATAGATGCTCCTGGTAGGATAAATCCATCTATTTTTCCAGTACTTCTGGACAGTTGGCCTCTGATGCCAACATGTTAGGAATGCAAAGTTGAAGACCACAAGACATGCAGTGCAGTCTTCTGTCTCTGGTTGGGACATTAAAAAATGAAGTGAGGTCTCAGTTGTGAAAAATAGGGTTTTGAATTGTTGTTAGGCCTTCTTTAGGTACAGTAGTACCCATGAAGATAGAATGCTCAGCATTTTCTTTAGCACCTGAGTTGATGAGGAAGAAGCATGAACACAGACATACACAGCATGGTTTCATTGCTATGTGAACTTGAGGGTAGTTTAGGCTAACACTGCTCTCTAATACTATTCTCTGCTACTTCAAACTGTGTTCACCCATATATCACCACATGAGACCTGGTTTCTCAAGTACCTGTTGATGCTGTCCTTCCCAAATTAAATTCCTAAAAGTGTGCCCCTGTAATTCAAATAAAGGGAAGTGACTACATTTCACTCTTCTGTGGTAAAGAAAAACTTTCAGTCATCAAATACTTGAAGGAGATGCAAATATAGCAAATGAGAAGAAAGTGAAGCATAGTGAGCATACTAGACTTATGACAAGAAAATTAAACTACTTATTTCCTCTTTACCTTTAAGATCTGTAGTTTGTAGAGGTCTTTAGACACCAAGCTCGTAAGAATGTTCTCATATATATTTAAAATATTGTGGTATAAATTCTGAAACACAAAAACATTGCACAGTCAGCCAGACTTAGATAAAATTTTACCTAATGTCTACAGTTTTTTTCTTGCTTAAAAGTTACTTTTAACTGGGTTTCAATTCCTTGAACATAAATCAGTGACACAGAAAATACTTAACATCAAATTGTAAAATGCCACACATATTTAAAGAATTTTAGCATTATCTCAGATATTAAAAAATATACAAAGAAAAAGACAAATGAAAACATAAAAATGTAATTCTCTTTGAGAAGTAGAATGAATATTTTTAGTGACTTTCTATAATATTTAAATTTTCTGTAATAAGCATCTACCATGTTTATAGGAGGAAAAGCTATAAATTTAATTTTATAAAAACTTGATTTTCCATGTTTATGAATGCTGCATTTCCTCAATATTCTTTGTGCTTAAATGTGATTTTGCTTGAGAATTCAATATGTTGGATTTATTTTCACTGGATGTGTGATTTTGAGTTCATTTTCAAAAAGAACATAGCCCTGGCTAATAGTTTTGTCCCTGTATTTATAAAAAGTTTTATTTCCTATTCTAATGGTGAACATTTAGAAAAATTCTCACCTCTAAAATTTTAAATTTTCTCTTGCCTTAGCTGTTTATAGATTATCTTTTTAGTGTTTGTTTTGGGATACTCTTGTACGTATACTTTTCAATTTTCCACTGTCTTTTAGAATGTAATAACATGAATATATTTTATTCTAACTGTTGCTTTAAGTTCATTGAAAGGAATAATTTGTGAATATCCACCTGAATAGTTGTGATGGAAGTAGACAGTAATTGCTATTTTAAGTGCTGCTACTTACTACTATCTATGTAAAAAAAATAGACTTTTATGCCTTTGTGATTTGAAATAGGTTGGAGAAGACTCAAGCATGACGTGACTTGGTTCTTATTTTAGCTGACACCTACAAGTTATCCAAACATCATATTTAAATATAATTCAGGCCAGGCACAGTGCCACACACCTATAATCCCAGCAATTTGGGAGGCCAAGGTGGGAGGATTGCTAGAGTTCAGGAGTTTGAGACCAGCTTGGACAACATAGTGAGAACTCATCTCTATAAAACAAAACAAAACAAAAATTAGCCAGGTATGGTGGTGCATGTCTGTAGTCCTAGCTACTTGAGAGGCTGAGATGGAAGGATTGCTTGAGTCCAGAAGGTGGAGACTGCAGTGAGCCAAGATAGTGCCACTGAACTCTAGTTTGGGTGAAGGAGCAAGACCCTGTCTCAAACAAAACAAAACGAAACCAAATATTGAATACATTTTATATGTAAATAGATGGAAACAGTAAGATTTATTGTTCCACACACTATGTAGGTACTAGAAATTGTATGCTATGTGGGTATTGGAAATTTCCATGTGTGAGTAGCTGATATATAAAATATATGTAACATTAATAAACATGGGGCATTTGGATGATGAAATGCTATATAACAACACATTTTTTTCTTTCTTTCTAGTATTGGAAGAAGACTTTTATTTAACTCAGAAGTTATTTTTCTTCTCCCAACTACCAGAGTGGTCTTCACCAGTAAAAAGTAAAAGTATCTCTGGGTATCCTCAGGTAGCCACTCAGGAATATTTGGAAGAAGTCCAGTTGGAAAATAATGGCACATTTGTAAAAAAATAGCAGCCTACAAATCTGTGTTAGGGATACAGGAACATAGCTGAGAAAGTTTCTACATTAAAGTCACCTTGCATCAATTGCAGACGAGGCTGAAATTCTCTGAGATGTGTATAGAAGCTCTTATAAAAAGAAACAATTAGCCTGATAGTTTTGCATCTGAGTGTTGTACATTCTCTCCACAAACTGAAGAAAGGAGAGAGGTGGCTATGCTGAGACCTCACTTTATATCATATGCCATGAATTTCTTCTCTAGCTTATAGAGCAAGTTCACTGTATAGCAATGCTGAAGAAATGGAGACCGCAGATGTTTGCTAATTTTACTATAGGATTCTTTCTACTTCCATCTTTCCATGTTCCTATTCCATTCTTTGAAGCACTTGCCAGCAAACTCCCTATTCTTGCTAAACCAATTAACCAAAAATATCTTCGCCTATTTGCTCCTACAAATCCTATAGAATCCATTAAAATCCCATGGGTTGTAGAACTCACAAGGAGTCCAGTGGTATAGATTAGTGCCCTGACTGTTATAACTAAAAAGAGTGAAGAGGAGGACCCTAAAGATTATCACCTGCTGAGTCACATTCTGCAGGATTGCTGTGATGTGTAATAACATCCTATAATGATTAAAGGAAGAAAAATTTTACCTCCATGTCCTCAATGTACTCATAACTGCTCCCCATTTCTTTTACTTTGTCAAGACTTGGCATGACAACTAGCATTCCAAAGGATGACTCTATTATCTTCAACTGAGATTCAAACTGCAGTAAGGGATCCACAAAGCTGACAAGAAAAAGGAGCAATTATTAATGATGAGAAAACAAATATAATAGAAATTTAGTGGGCTTTATTTATTTATTTATTTATTTTGAGACAGAGTCTCGCTCTGTCACCCAGGCTGGAGTGCAGTGGTGCCATCTCGGCTCACTGCAAGCTCCACCTCCCGGGTTCACACCATTCTCCTGCCTCAGCCTCCTGAGTAGCTGGGACTACAGGCGCCCGCCACCACGCCTGGCTAATTTTTTGTATTTTCAGTAGAGACGGGGTTTCACCATGTTAGCTAGGATGGTCTCGATCTCCTGACCTCATGATCCGCCCGCCTCAGCCTCCCAAAGTGCTGGGATTAGAGGTGTGAGCCACCGTGCCTGGCCCAGCCATTTCTTAGTGATAAGCAAAAATGAGGTTCAGCTTTTGGCTTTGTATGACAGATGAGTCTTAAATATTCTCTTAAAAATGATAATAATGTTGTAAAAATAAAGGAATTAATTTCTTTGCAAATATTATCTATAAACAGTTATGTAGAAATCAGAATATATTTCTCCATAAACATAATAATGCAAAGAGTGGTTACATTCCCAGCCAAGTCCACAAAGCCATGCTAAGCTTTAAACAGTTGAGATATATTACTGACCCATTTTCTGTAATCAATGATAATATGTTTTTCACATCTTAGTATTTCTTACATTGAGATGCATCTTCAAACTGATGGCAAATGAAGCTTGCCTCAGCAGCTAGAAAGATTATCTGCTTGTCTACGCAATACAAAAAGACTGGGAAAGAGTATAAGAAAGAAATAGTAGTCACCAAATTATGATGGTGAAGTTTGGAGTAATTTCTTATCTTTCACAATTGCATGTTTTTAAAGATATAACATTTTAAATGCATCCAATTAGTGAAATAAAAGAGCATGATAGCTTATCATACCTGGAGTTCACAGCCAGGATCATGGATTCATTACTTAACAGGCCTGAGTATGCATCCAATAGGCTGTTAACTTTATGTGCCTAAGTACCATGTTAAAAAAAAAAAAAAAAAGAAGAATTAATGATTACAGAGCAGTGAGACTCATAATAGCATGTGCACTTCTTCCTTTTACAGAGACTAAAGGAACCAAATCAGACTGGAAAACATGCTCAAGAGTTCATAGAAGTGTTGAGACCAAACTGTAATTTAAATCTACAATAGTATGTTTGCCTAAGTGGAGGTCTTTTACAGTCAACCACTATGCTTATACAATTTGCATTTCCAGACAGCACTTTGTAAGGTGTGCTCTTTACCAGATGCACTTCTGTACACCACTATAACTATTAAGTCCCATCTACACAGTGTGGAGTCTACCTATAAAAATGCCAGCAGCGCCGGGCGTGGTGGCTCACGCCTGTAATCCCAGCACTTTGGGAGGCCGAGGCGGGGGGACCACGAGGTCAGGAGATCGAGACCATCCTGGCTAATACGGTGAAACCCCGTCTCTACTAAAAATAGAAAAAAATTAGCCGGGCGTGGTAGCGGGCGCCTGTAGTCCCAGCTACTCGGGAGACCGAGGCAGGAGAATGGCGTGAACCCGGGAGGCAGAGCTTGCAGTGAGCCGAGATGGCCCCACTGCACTCCAGCCTGGGTGACAGAGAGAGACTCTGTCTCAAAAAAAACAAACAAACAAAAAAAAAAAAAACAAAAAAATGCCAGCAGGGCAACTTAAGTCAGGCCTTATTAAAGAATGACTAAACTTACACTATGGAATGAGAATTTAGCCTTTAAAAGTGGTAATTAAAGGGATTCCACTAAGAATGTATCATTCTTTTTTTCCAAGAAACTGGAGAACTAGACCTCCAATAGCCAAAACAATCTTAAGAAAGAACATGGAGGTCTTACAGTTATGATTTCAAGCTATAATACAAAAGTAATTAAAATTGTAGGGACTGCTATAAAAACAGACTCATAGACAAATTGAATGAAATAAAAAGCCCAGAAATAAATCTATTAATATATGGTCAAGTAATCTTTGATAAGGGAGACAAGAATTCACAATGGGCAAAGGACAGTCTCTTCAATAAATGATGTTGGGAAAACTGAATGTCCATAAGCAAATAAATGAAATGGGACCCTTATCTTTTACCATATACAAAAGTTGATTTGAAATGGGTTAAAGACAAATGTAAAGAAGTGAAACTGTAAAACACCTAGAAGAAAACATAGGGAAAGAGCTTATTTACATTAGTTTCGGTGAAGATTTTTTGGATATGACGTAAAAAGCACAGGCAACAAAAGCAAAATTAAACAAGTGGGACTACATCAAACTAACAAGCTTCTGCACAGCAAAGAGAACAATTAATAAAATTAGAAAGACAACCTATGGAATGGGATAAAATATTTGTAAAACATAAATCAGATAAGGGGTTAATATCCAAAATGTATAAGAAACTCATGATTCAATGGCAAAAAAAAAAAAAAGCAGATAATCCAATTACAAATGGGCAAAAGACCTGAATAAAACTTTTTCCAAAAAATACATACAAAAAGCAGTCCCTCTGAGAACTGGAACAAGACAAGGATGCCCACTCTCACCACTCCTCTTCAACATAGTACTGGAAGTCCTAGCCAGAGAAATCAGGCAGGAGAAAGAAATAAAGGGCATCCAAATCTGTAAAGAAGTCAAACGGTCACTGTTTGCTGACGATGTGATCGTTTACCTTGAAGACCCTAAAGACTCCTCCAGAAAGCTCCTAGAGCTGATAAAAGAATTCAGCAAAGTTTCCAGATACAAGATTAATGTACACAAATCAGTAGCTCTTCTATATACCAACAGCGACCAAGGGGAGAATCAAATCGAGAACTCAACCCCTTTTACAATGGCTGCAAAAAAAAAAAAAAACAAAAAAAAAAAAGGAAAGAGAAAAACAAACCAACAACAACTTAGGAATATACCTAACCAAGTAGTCAAAAGACCTCTGCAAGAAAAACTGCAAAACACTGCTGAAATAAATCATAGATGACACAAACAAAAGGAAACATATCCCATGCTCATGGATGGGTAGAATCAACATTGTGAAATGACCATACTGCCAAAAGCAATCTACAAATTCAACGCAATCCCCATAAAAATACCACCAACATTCTTCATAGAATTAGAAAAAAAAATTCTAAAATTCATATGGAACCAAAAAAGAGCCCACATAGCCAAAGCAAGGCTAAGCAAAAAGAACAAATCTGGAGGCATCACATTATCTGATTTCAAGCTGTACTATAAGGCCATAGTCACCAAAACAGCATGGTACTGGTATAAAAATAGGCACATAGACCAATGGAACAGAATAGAGAATCCAGAAATAAACCCAAATGCTTACAGCCAACTGATCTTTGACAAAGCAAACAAAAACATAAAGTGGGGAAAGGACACCCTTTTCAACAAATGGTGCTGGGATAATTGGCTAGCCACATGCAGGAGAATGAAACTGGATCCTCATCTCTTACCTTATACAAAAATCAACACAAGATGGATTAAGGACTTAAATCTAAGACCTGAAACTATAAAAATTCTAGAAGATAACATTGGAAAAACCCTTCTAGACGTTGGCTTAGGCAAAAATTTCATGACCAAGAACCCAAAAGCAAATGCAATAAAAACAAAGATAAATAGCTGGGACTTAATTAAACTAAAGAGCTTTTGTACGGCAAAAGGAACAGTCAGCAGAGTAAACAGACAACCCACAGAGTGGGAGAAAATCTTCACAATCTATACATCTGACAAAGAACTAATATGCAGAATCTACAACAAATTCAAACAAATCAGTAAGAAAAAAACAATCTTATCAAAAAGTGGGCCAAGACATGAGTAGACAATTCTCAAAAGAAGATATACAAATGGCCAACAAACATATGAAAAAATGTTTAACATCACTAATGATTAGGGAAATGCAAATCAAAACTATAATGCAATACCACCTTACTCCTGCAAGAATGACGGTAATCAAAAAATCAAAAAACATTAGATGTTGGCATGGATGTGGTGATCAGGGAACATTTCTACACTGCTGGTGGAAATGTAAAGTAGTACAGCTGCTATGGAAAACAGTGTGGAGATTCCTTAAAGAACTAAAAGTAGAACTACCATTTGATCCAGCAATCCACACTACTGGGTATCTACCCACATGAAAAGAAGTCATTATTTGAAAAAGAAACTGGCACAAGCACGTTTATAGCAGCATGATTCACAATTGCAAAATCGTGGAACCAACCCAAATGCCCATCAACAAGTGGATAAAGAAACTGTGGTATGTATATATATATACATAAAATGGAATACTACTCAGCCATAAAAAGAAATGAATTAACAGCATTTGCAGTGACCTGGTTGAGACTGGAGACTACTATTCTAAGTAAAGTAAGTCAGGAATGGAAAACCAAACACCGTATGTTCTCTGTGATATGTGGGAGCTAAGCTATGAGGATGCAAAGGCATAAGAATGATACAATGGACTTCGGGGACTTGGAGGAAAGAGTGGGAGGGGGATAGGGATAAAGGCTATAAATATGTTGCAGTGTATACTGCTCAGATGATGGGTGCACCAAAGTCTCACAAATTACCACTAAAGAATTTACTCATGTAACCAAATACCACCTGTACCCCAATAACTTATGGGAAAAAAGGCATATAAACGGTGAATAGGAACGTGAAAAATGCTCAATATTATTAATATAATAATATTAATTGTCAAGGAAATGCAAATTAAAATCACAGTGAGACATTACCTCACACCTGTTAGGATAAGTATTATCAAAAAGATGAAAGATAATAAGAGTTGGTGAGAGTATGGAAAAAAGGAAACCCTTGGATGCATGTAAACCCTTGGCATGAACGTAAATTGGCATGAAAACAACCACATGGGAAAACAGTATGGAGATTTCTAAAAAATTAAAAATGGAACTACATATGATTCAGCAATCCTATTTATGGGTATTTATCCAAAGAAAATAAAAGCAGGATATCAAAGAGACATCTTTACTCCCATGTTCATTGCAGCATATTCACAATAGTCAAGATATGGAATCAACCTAAGTGTCCTCTGATAGATGAATTGATACAGAAAATATAAAATCAGATATTGAAGAGTGCCAAAATTCAAAGCTGTCAAATAGTAAAATTTCTTAAGAATTTACAATTCAATATGTAGCTAATAGGAGTCTCATAAAGAAATAATGGAGAAAACATGAAGAGAAAAATTATCCAATCAATAGTGTAGTATAATTTCTCAGAGATAAATGGCTGGAGCAGTTGGATTGGAAATGTGTGAGTGCCCAGTATATTTGAATTAAAAAATACCTAGAGACATTTTTATAAAATTCCAGTTTACCAAAAATAAAGATAAAGACTTCTACAGAAAGAATCCAGGTGACAAAGACTAGAGAATCAGACCACCATCATGTTTTCATCAGTCATAACGGATATCACAAAACAATGTAAGTTATGCATTCAATTTTTTTTTAAGAGAAAATGACTTGTGACCTAGAGAAATGGCTGAAATAATAATTGGTGATGACTCTTTTCACGGTGTTTCTTTCTTTCTCTCTCTTTTTTTCTTTCTTTCTTTCTCTCTCTCTCTCTCTCTTTCTTTCTCTTTCTTCCTTCCTTCCTTTCTTTTTCTTTCTTTCATCTCTCTCTCTCTCTCCCTCTCCTCCCTCCCCTCCCTCTCTCCATCCTTTCTTTCTCTTTCTTTTCTTTTCTTTTCTTTTCTTTTCTTTCCCTAATCTACATTGCATGGCTTTTAAAAATAAGAGCATACCATTTTTGTAAAACTATAAAAGCATTTGAAATTGATCATATATTCACTTCATGAAGAACATCTCCTTAAGCTCTGAAAGTTAGAAACTGTGTGGGCCAATGCTACAAGACTTTATGTTACAAACATAAGAATGGGACAAAAGATGTTTAATACAACTAGATGAATTTATACTTTACCTTGCACCTACACAAAATGGATCATAAATATAAATGTAAGGCTAAAATTATAAAACCTTTAGAAGAAAACAGCCATTTTTGGTTAGGAAAAGTTTTTTTTTGTTTTTAGATGCAACACGGAAACCATGGCCCACAAAAGAGAAAAAAATGGTAAATTGGACTTGATCAAAACTAAAACCTCTTGCTCTTCAAAAGATACCGTTAAGAAAAATAAGACAAACCATATACTGAGAGAATATATTTGCAAATCATACATTTTACACTCAATAACAATACTATTTATAAAATACTTCTAAAGATACTGTATGAAGTCTGCATGAAGAAAAAACTTTACTAAATATTCAAATAAGTAGAAAGAAAACATGTTTCTAATGATAAGACAATAGTTTAAGGAAGTATTCATAACTTAATCTATAAATTCAGTGTTTCAAATCAAAATGCCAAGAGAAATTCTGGAAGGAATTTGACAAGTATATTTCAAAGTTCCTCTGATAGTGTGAATAATTAAAAGTAGCTAATACATTTTTGAAAACCAAAAATAATTGGATAGATTACAAAAGATTTTGTGTTATACATCTGAGCTATCTGTAGTAAAGATTTGTCTGATACCTCCTTCACTGCTATAATTTGATGTGTTGGCATTGCCTACCTCTGTTGAAGTCAAAAGCTGCTGCTTGCTGCTGCTGCTGCCTCTGCCATCTGTCAAAGGCATTGATACTGTTGCTAATGCTTCTTTTTTTAATATATATATATATATTTTTTATTATACTTTAAGTTCTGGGGTACATGTGCACAACGTGCAGGTTTGTTACATATGTATACATGTGCCATGTTGGTGTGCTGCACCCATTAACTTGTCATTTACATTAGGTATATCTCCTAATACTATCCCTCCCCCCTCCCCCAACTCCACAACAGGCCCCAGTGTGTGATGTTCCGCTTCCTGTGTCCAAGTGTTCTCATTGTTCAATTCCCACCTATGAGTGAGAACATGCAGTGTTTGGTTTTTTGTCCTTGCGATAGTTTGCTGAGAATGATGGTTTCCAGCTTCATCCATGTCCCCACAAAGGACATGAACTCATCATTTTTTATGGCTGCATAGTATTCCATGGTGTGTATGTGCCACATTTTCTTAATCCAGTCTATCATTGATGGACATTTGGTTTGGTTCCAAGTCTTTGCTATTGTGAATAGTGCCACAATAAACATATGTGTGCATGTGTCTTTATAGCAGCATGACTTATAATCCTTTGGGTATACATCCAGTAATGGGATGGCTGGGTCAAATGGTATTTCTAGTTCTAGATCCCTGAGGAATCGCCACACTGACTTCCACAATGGTTGAACTAGTTTACAGTCCCACCAACAGTGTAAAAGTGTTCCTATTTCTCCACATCCTCTCCAGCACCTGTTGTTTCCTGACTTTTTAATGAGTGCCATTCTAACTGGTGTGAGATGGTATCTCATTATGGTTTTGATTTGCATTTCTCTGATGGCCAGTGATGATGAGCATTTTTTCATGTGTCTTTTGGCTGCATAAATGTCTTCTTTTGAGAAGTGTCTGTTCATATCCTTCACCCACTTGTTGATTACCGTCCCATGGCTGCTGTAACCCATTAGCAAAAGAGCCAGCTTCTGCACAAAAGGTGCTCTCACTTTATAGCTAAAGCCACAGGTGACTGAATTCACTCTCATCATTTTCAGATGGTCATTGTTTTGCTCTTTTACAACAGCCCTGTCTTTATAGGACTTAGCAGCTGGGACTGTGCTATTAATATAGTGAGAAGCACTGATCAACCTCTCATACTAGCCCACTGTCTTTGAATCACATTCACGCACCTTGATAATCTTCAGCTAGGAGGTGTCTTTCCCTGCAGGCTCTTCCATCCTGCTAGTCCTGCCTTATCTTGAGTGGCCCAGACATGTCTCAATGCTAGCAATAACTGTTTCTACATCAAGCAAGTTTATGTTTTGTTTCCAATGAGCCATTTGATTATCTCCTTCTCTCTTCTTGCAACTCCTATTTCCAATCTAAGTCTGTGTCATTCTTTTGAATATAATTGGGTTTCTGAAGTTGACCTTTTCCACAGCTAAGAGAAATGTAGATTCTGTTGCTGAAAAACAAATTAAGGCCTGGAATGGTAGTCCAGTTTTTGCTTTCTTAGAACCACAGTTTTACTATGCATGCTTAGGAGCTGGTTCACTAACTCCTATTATTCCTGTAGAGACAAATTGATGGAGTTAATTAATTTGTTTCTGTAATTGGAATGCCATAACTCTTTGCACTTTCTAAATTTTCTGTGCACTTTATATTTTTGACAAAACTCCTTATCACACTATTGGCAATAATTGTGTTTGGACTACTCTACTTCTCTAACAGTGTATACATCTAACTAGATCAAAATTTAGTGTGGTCATCTCTAACTGATGGCAAATCTCTATTTTAAAATTCCTTCAAATCCACATAGGAAGACATCTTTCAATTTATTCATTAGGACCCCTCTCCCACACTAGGGAAAAAAAGAGGGATTTTCAGTGGCTTAGAGACAAAGAAAACCAATTCGATGATATAAAAATAAAGGCTAAAAGAAAATAAAGAATAAAAATTAAGACAAAATGGAGGATTTAAGGGTGAGGGACATTTACAAACATGCATAGTAAACAGCCCCTTTACAAGAGCAAAAGATGGATTGTAAATATAATTATAGACTATATCAAAATATAGATATAGTTTGATCCAGCAATAAAACTTAGATTATTCATAGAAGCATGTTTTTGAATGGACTTTTAAAGTAGTATACCTTATTTATTTGTTTGAACATATAAAAAGGTAATACACATGCATGTGCAGTACAGTACAAAAGCGTAAACAGTGAACGTTTCCAAGTCTTCCCCTTCTCTAGCTCCCATCCCCTAATTTCCATCCCCAGAATCTACAGTTGTTACTGCTTTCCTGTGCATTCTCCTAGCAATAGAATATGCAGATATAAGAATGTTAATGATACTCTTTTGTGAGCAGTTTTAGCCTCTAAGGTATATATACAGGAATTGGTTCTATGTTTTCCTGTAACTGCTGCCACTGTGCTCTGTCCCTCTTCTCTGCCAACTCCCTTGCCCTGTCTTTCCCTGATAGATGGCTGTCTCCTTTATGGACTATTCTAAGTCTGATTTCATGAATTCTCCATCTTTTTTTGGTTATTAATACAGTCTCATAATTATTGTTAGTACTAAATCCTGTTTATTTAAAATCTTCAACTTCATTGTTTGTTCAAAAGTCTTCCTTGATACCCAGAGCAGGCAAGGATTTTGGTTTTAGGGTAAACACAGTATAGCTTGGTGCTTAGACCAGCAACTGTGCAGCCAGGATCTATGAATTTATAACCTCGTTCTGCCACTTGCTAGCTATGTGACTATAAGCAGGTCACTTTCTGCCTCTGTTTCCCCATTTTCAAGGTAGTACTTACCCCACAGGGCTGTTGTGAGAATTAAATGAGTTATTCATTTAAAGCACTTACAGCATGCCTAACATGTTATGGGTACTATATAAGTTTTAGCTATTTTTACTATCATTGGAATAGGGAAGGGATTTCCCTCTCTCACATGTCTCTGTACTCTGTTCCCTTTCTCATCTTCCTTGTCTTTGTATCTCTGGGGTTGTAGGTGGCTGAGGAATTGGGGGAAATATGTTTCCTTTTTGGTCCATCCATGAAATAATTTATTGTCCCCTTCCTGTTGGTGATTTGTTCTGGCAAGCAGGTGGTGCCCCCAACAGCCCTGCTGATGAAGAACTCAATTTACTAGGAGAGTGTCACTTTCAAGGTCCAGCTACATGTTCTGGAAGATCCCCACTGTGCTGTGTTTTGGTTTTTGGTTTTTAAATTTTGAAACACCAGCCCACTTGACCCAGGTGCAGGAGTTCCCAACAGCCATCCGCCCTCAATTGTACACTTCAACTCAGATGTCTGTTATTACTTATAAGGAGTATCTTTGTATTTCATCATCTATAATTTTGTTGGAGCAACACCACTCTCCTGATTAAGTAAGTCACCAAGGTTTTGAACTTTTTAGCAAAGCGTAAAGGAACTTTTATGACTAAGTCTGTGCTTACCTCTCCATCCACAACTCCTGTTATTTCCTCTTGACTAGTCTTCATTCTAGATACACCTTTTGTCTTAGATGGATGCTGCAGGGTGTTGTTTAGACCACCCCTCTCCATTTCAGTACTGAAATACTCTTTCCACAACTTGTGGAAGTGTTGGCAGCTGAGAGCTTTTAGATAAGTATTCTTGAGACTTCCCTTAGCCAAAGAGCCTTCCTACCTAAGATCACATCCCCTCTCTGGGAGCAACCTACATCTAATGACTAGTTGACATGGGGAAATAAAGGCCAAACCTCCTTGCCTCAAAGAGGGTCAACTTTGAAAGGTCATTCCAGTTCCAGAGTGCCCTGCAGAAGTAGCTGAGACCTATCTTGCAAGTGCATTGCAGTTCAACACCTCCTTGTACCTAATCCTGCTTCCTTCACTTTGCCTCTACTACTAATCCCCAAGTATTGATCCAAAGAGCACATCCAGTGTTATTTTAGAATCTGCTTCCTGGGGAACCATAGCTAAAATCTATAATTCTACAAACGTATGTTGCTTTTTCTTTCTCCACGCCTTTACAGGTGCTGTTTCCTCTTCTTGGAATGTACTTCACTTTCATCTAGGCATTCTACTCATCTTTCAAAGTCCAGCTCAAATCTTCTCTGGCCCAAAGTCATATTTGAATGTCCCTCCAAATATACTTCTATCATTTCCTGAATATTGTAACTTCTTCATAGCTTATAACAGTTTCTAACTACTGAATTTTTTAAAATCTCTCCCATTGGACTATAAGCAATTTGGGGCTAGTATTTGAGTTTTATTCTACTTTGTTTCTCAAAAAGATAGCATAATATTTAATGCATAGTAGATTCTCAATAAATATTTGTTGAATAAATGAATGAGTGATTGAGTGAGTGTAATTCTAAACTGCATCTTTCTGACTCTATGGACTATACAAATGGGAAAGGATTAAATGACCCTGTTTAATAGAATATGGTTTTATTAACAACTCTCCTCATGTCCTGGCTGGAAAAATCAATTTGTCCACCAAATGATATCAATGTTTTGCTTTAATTATCAGCGACTTCGACCTATGGATTATGAACAAAATCTATAAAAGTTTTAATATCCACGCTGAAGCATTTCTTTTGTAAAGGTAGAAGATTACATATTTTCTTATGGTAGCCCTCCCCTGTTTCTTCTGTGTTAATTTGGATGTGGATTAAAATGATGGTAGGGTCTATTAGAGGTTCAGAATTTTAAAACAATTTTGAAAAATGACTGGATGAATATCCACTAAGACAATACTGTGCTACACACTGCAGAGAACACAAAGATGAATAATCACAATCTCTGCTCTCAAGAGATCAAAGACAAGAAATCTGCAAAAGGCCTAGAAAATAAGATAAATGGAAAAGGAAAGACACAAACTAGAATGGCTCTCAAATAAGGAAATAATATCATTCAATCAGAGACTAGGTAGAAGGGCTTCACTTTGATGGGAAGGGTTTCCACAGTGATGATGGAAGGGAAAATATGAGTGAGGAGACTATCCTAGAGACCAGTCAGTTGATGGAGGATGGGTGGGATAAATAGTAGGATGGGTAAAAAGTTTCATCCTTTTAAATTAGTGCTGAAGGTCATTTTCAGGAGCATGAGAGAATGAAGAAGAAATGACGCTGCAGGGACATACAGGTAAAAACAATTTTTAACCAAATTGCCTTTTTTTCCCCTTTCTCCCCCAACACATGTATTTTAAACATTACTTGTAACATCCTTGTAATGGAAACAGTAAAAAGTTATTTTTTCCAAGAGAATTCAGTTACGTTGATATCCTTATAGAATATCACTTACCATGTGGTGCCATTTCACACTGTCTTGCAGAATCTGGAGACTACTCTCTAGCCAGAAAGAAGGAGATTCGTTAAAAAGGAATGAACATAGACTCCTATCATCTTAGTGGGGCCTTATTTCCAAACCTGAAGCTACTATGACCTTGATGTCAAAGCCCAACAAGGACATGCACACACACACTAAAACTATAGACAAATTTACTGTGAGTATTACTGGACAACACTTAACAAAAAGATTAGTAGGCAGGCTATGGCAGCACATTAAAAGAATAAAAGCCTATACCCAAGTAGTATTTATTACATAGAGGATGGTTCAATAAAAGAGAATCTATAATACAATTCTCAACATTAATTGCTAAAGAAGAAATTCTACACAATAATTTTTGAGTTCCAAATTTATAAGATTTTAAATATGAACTTGATAACATTTTTAAATAAAATGGCTATGTAGTTCATGTCTTAATGTGATAGATAAAAAAGTCAGTACCAAGTGTGATTAGAAAATAAATAGAAGTGTTCTTATTAAGGTAAAGAATAAAACAAAGATTATCATTACTACCACCATCATTTACCATTTCTGGAAGGACCATCAAATATTATTTAAAAATAGAAATAAATGCATATATTAAAACTGGAAAGGAAAATATAATTTTGTTTGAATTATAACTTCATAGGAAACAGTATAAGGGGCTTTTAAATTTTTTAATGTTATCAAAATAATTTAATTAGAAATGGAGTTATCAGTTACTGAAATGATTGATAAAATTGCCTTATGAAATTTTTAGAAACTGTTATGTTTTCCTTTGCTTGCTTGGAGGAGGTAGCCCTTTGATAATTATTTTATGTCTTCTATTTTAATCGGTATATTTAGATTTTCTAGATCTTCTTTGATTCTTTTTTTAAAAAAATAACTTTTTATTTCAGACCTATAGGAAAGTTGCAAAGACAGTAAATTATCATGTATCCTTCAACCAGTTCCCTCCAATGTTAACTAACATCTTACATAACCATGGCACATTTTTCAAAACTAAGAAATTAACATTATTACAATTACATTAACTAAAATTCAGACTTTATTTGGATTTCACCTATTTTTCCACTAATATCCTTTTCTGGTTCTGGGATCCAGTCCAGGATTCCACGTTGCATTTAGTCAGCGTGTCTCCTCAGTTTGCTCTGATCTCTAACAGTTTAGCAGTCTTTCCTTGTTTATGACCTTGACAGTTTTGAAGAGCACTGGTTAGGTATTTTGTAAAATGTACCTCTATTTGGATTTATCTGATTTTTTTTCATATAATTAGACTGGGAATATAGGTTTGAGGAAAAAATATTACAGAGTGAATGCCTGCCTGTCTCATCATGAAAAAAATACAAGATTTTGAATTTATTTATTAGTCCTACTATTTTTCTTTTCCTGAATTCAAATATTCAACTTCATCTTTATGTGGGTCATTTTATTTCTGCATTCCTTAGATTTGTTTTGTTTTATTTTGATAACTTCTTGCTTTCAATACTTGATTTCATTATTCTTATTTTGTTCTGGTTTAGTTTTCTAAGTACTAAAGGCTATAAATTTTTCTCTGTGATCCCTTTGGCTGTATACTATAGGGTTTGATATGTAGTATTATCAATACTTTGTAATTTCCTATTAATTTCCTCTTTGACTCAAGAATTGTTTAAAATAGAAAGTTTACTGGACAAGTGGTAGGTTGTTTTTCACTTGTTTCATGAATTCATCACTAGTTTCTAATTTTTTGCATTGTAATCAGAGAATATGTCTTCTATTTCTACTTTCTGGAATTTATACAGAAATTTCTAGCCTAATATATGGTTACTTTTGTGAACGTTCTACGGGCATTAGGGAAAAAAGGTACATTCTTTGTTATCATGGTTACAGAATGATGTATAGGTTTCTCTCTGTCATCTGTCACTCATACACACACATATACACAAAAATACCTTCTCCCATCTCTATTGTGTCCTAAAGCCTTACTTGTTTTTGGATTCCTTGTCAACATGCTGACAGAGGTGTATTAAAGTCTTCTACTAGTAATGCTGCAAAAAATATCACGTATTAGTACATAAACCAGAAACTTTCCTACAGTTTTGTTTTGCTCTATCAATATGGATGGTACTATGATATACAGTATGTGGATTGTGTTAATTTTCTATAGCTGTGCATCAATTTATCACAAATTTAAAGGCTTAAAAATATGTTGTTATTTCAGTGTCTGTAGGTCAGAAGGTTCAGTCTCAGTTTAGCTGTAGTCTGCTCAGGGTCTCACACAGCTGGACTCAAGATGTCAACTTGGAGTGCTATCTCATTTGAGGCTCAGAGTTCTCTTTCCAGGTCAATTAGATTGTTGGCAAAATTCAATTGTTTGAGGCTGTCAGATTGAAGAACCTATTACTTTGCTGGCTGCGGCTGAGGACAATACTCAGCATCTAGAAGCCGTCTGCGGTTTCTTGCCATATGACCTGTTCCAGAGGCCATCTCACACTACCAATCTCTGACTTCTGTCTCCAACCTCCAGACCCAGACTTAAAAGACTCATGTGATTAGGGCAGGCCACTCAAATACTCTTCCTTTTAACTCAAAGATAACTGATTAGTAACCTTAATTATAGCTGTACAGTTCCTTCTTTCACGTTATATAACATAATCATGAGAATGATTTCCCATCATACATCATATTCAGATCTTCATCCCGTACCCTTCCTTCCTAAATATTTCAGCTTCAAGTGGAGGGATTGATATAAGACGTGGATACTAGGGGACAGGAATATTGGGGGCCGTCTTAAAATTCTACTTACCACATAGATTTTCATAATTATTGTATCATCATAGTGGATTATGAACTTTTTCATAATGTGATGCATTTAAAAAATCACCTTTACTGCCTCAAAGCTTATTTTAAAGCCTGAAATTCAAGTTTGTCTGAATTATGATCCCAACACTACTTAGTGGTTGTTTACACTTTTTTGGTATTCCTTTTTTCCGTCTTTTTATTTGCAACCTTTTTGAGATACTTTGTTTTATAAGTACCTCGAGTATGTAACATATTGCTGGACTTTACTAGTGATTTAACCATATTTCTTTCTCTTTGTACATAAGTTCAATCCATTGTTGTTTATTACATAACAGATTTTATCACTATATTTTGTATGTGCTTTTGTTGTTGTTGTTGTTGTTACCTTTAAATATTTTATTATTTGATGTTTTTCTCCTTACTTTGTATGTGTGTGATGTGGTGTTTTGTGTGTTTCTTTAATACGAAAGGTTTATATTCCTGTTGTGATGATGTTTAGGATTACAATAACTTCTTATATTTATTCCTCAAAACTTTAGACAGAACCTGTTGATTCCCAACTATGAGCAAAGATGAAATTAGTTCATTTCTATTTTCTCTTCTCTGTCACTCCTCATACAATTTTAGTTGATTTATTAGTGAAACCTTTATGCATTTGTGTTTATATTGCTTGTTTAATAACCCCTAGGCTTTAAAAATGAAATCAATGTATTTATTAACTTTCCCCTTATCTTTTATTTTTATTATAATTGTTATTAGCGATATTATTTTTATACTTTCAAGATGTATAATATTTACATTCAGTTCTGTAACAATAATCCTACTTCCTTTATGTCTTAGCCCTTCATGTAAACAGATTCTATGCATACTGCCAGACTTTCCCCATTCATTTCTTGTTGAGCTAAAGTTCATTTTCTTTGACTTTATTTAAGAGAATCTCATGAGAATCACATTCCTTGATTTTTTTTCACATTAAAACTGTTACACTGAGTTAAAGTTTGACTGCATATAATACTCCTGAGCTATAATGTTTTCATAAGGATTTTACAGACATTGTTCCATTGTCATCTAGCATTGTTGTGGAAAAGGCTAAGGTTAGCTCCTTTTTTTTTTCTCCTATATAGATCAAATGAACCTTTTTCTCCCTCTCTGGATTTCCAAAGGATTCCTTGTTTATTTTTGAAATTAAGTAACTTTACAAGTAAAGAGCTCATCATTGATTGACTTAATTTTTCTAGGGACATAGTCTGCTTTTGAATCTATATGTTCATGGCACATTTTGTTAAAATTTATTTATATATTTTCTTCTTTTCTGTTATTTTGGTTCTCTTCTTTAGTGATATCAGTTATGCTTATATTTTATCTCATTTCTAAAGTCTTTCTAGCTTACCTCAGTTTGGTCCTTTATTCTCTTTAGCACATTTTTAGCAATATTCATTTTCTTTGCACTGTTTCCAACATTGCTTTTGGAGTATTTTTAACACTCCATTTTTTTCCTGAGCTGCACTATTTCTTTCCTAAATTCTTATATATCTACTTTGAAATCACATTTTATAGATAAAATCACTCCATTAAATTAAAAAAGTTTTTCATCTGCCGTTTGATATTTTTCCAGTTTTTGTCATTGATTTTTTTAATTTTCTACTTTTTTCTTGTAAAAAATTTGTTTAGATCCTGTATTGATTCTTTTAAAATTATTGCTTATTAGAATAAGATGGGCTACTTCCGAATCAAATATTTTCAGGACTTTCACCTGGAGGAATTTTCCTCTTGATCCAGCATAGTATATGTAAATTTGCTCTTTTGGCTTTACTTTTCCCCAACTATTTTACCCTCCTGGCAGCATTAGAGCTACTGCAGAATTGGCCTCCTTTACCCTGGCCCACCTGCAAGCAATAGCAGCTTGTTTGTGTGATTTCTTGTTTAGTTCAGCTTCACCAGCTTATGTTTGGTTCAAAACCAGAACCAAAGAAAGTTTCCTTAGTGCATGCATTCCATTCCCCTTTTTCTGTCTAAGCTACTCACCTTGCTTTCCTCACATCCTTATCACCCAGGAAAAGTATCAGTCATCTATCCAGGGAGGTATCTCTGGGTCCAAACATGTGAACAAAAGTCCTATTCCAGGCATGTCATATTTCCATACAATTCAGCTGTTACTCCATAACTGGAGTGCTTTCCTTGCTGTTTTTGAATATCCCATATTTTAGTAAATGTATGTTACTGGCCTACCCTATCAAAGACTTTGCTTTAGCAAAAGTTTCTTAAAAATTTTCACAGGATTGAAGACATACATAAAGAAATTTTAGGACAAATCTAAAATTTTACTCTTGATAAAATTATCGGTATTCTCTGAGGGTGTGTGTGTGTGTGTGTGTGTGTGTGTGTGTGTGTGTGTGTCTACTCTACATTGCCGGAGGAAACTGTAATTGCCTCCCCTGAGGCAGTTGCCAAGCAAGATAATGCTGAGTCTTCTTAGGGACTCAACCCCACCACTCTTCTTTGCTTCTAGACCCGTAACTAGACTCAAATTGCAGAAGGCCCCTAAAGTCAAGGTAGAAAGTGTGACCCATGAGGAAATGTGCTACACTCCAAAAGAATGACTTGAGTTTTCTTATTTCTACAAGCAGAAATCCAGGGAACCTGTGTAGAAATGGATATTAAAGCTGTAGGATAACAGTGGAAGAAACAAAAAGTTGAATTAGGCCAAATTTATTGATATGGGCTCACTAAGCAGAGATTCTGCATTTAATGGTGCAGCTCAGGGAGTTGGAAATGGCTCTAACTACTTGTTTGGTTGATTGGCTAAAACATGGACCAAAAAGTGGCCAATGAGGAGAAAGTTAGGAATGCCAGACCTGTATAGCTTAATGTAGAAAAGGGATTCAAAAGCTTAGGGAGATTGGAATGTTAGAGTGAATTTGTCATTTAAGACCTAGTCCCTCACGCCGGGAGTGTCCAGAAGACACACCTTTTGCCACTACAGCAAGCAATTTGTGAGGGAAGTCCCACCATCCTTGAGGAGCTCTGTGCTTGCTCTTTTCTGTAAATCAGACCCTACTATGGTGGAAACTGCAGCCACTGAATAGGGAAATGTAAATGTGATGAGGATAATTGGATTTCAGGGTGGCAGGGGCAAAGGGGCAAGCTCAACAGCCAATGGAAAGATGAGTGCAGTTGCCTTAATGAGCAACAAAAAGTCAAAGCAGCAGTCAAAATAGTCTGACTCTTTTGAACCTATGGTATTGGCTAGTTGATCATGGTGTTCCTAGAAGTTAAACAGATAGGAGGCCTATTAAATTCTTATTTGATTTGTATAAGCATAAAAGTTCTAGGTCAAGTGAACAAAAATATAACCTAAATAAAAAATTGAGTCATGATCCCTCAGTCATTTCCCAGGCTTAAGCTGGCTTATAAACCCAGAATTCCTTGAGTGAAAGGGAGGCTGGGCCCTTTTGAAGAAGGACCTTAGTATACTACCAAAATTTATACTGTGAATCTTTCTTCCAGTCTGCCACAAAGGGACCTATGGCCTTTTCCAGGGTAAGTGTGCCTTGGGGAAAGGAAATAATCAGACCTTCTGGGGAGTACTAGAAAATGGTTCTGAACTGACAATAATTCCAGGAGACCCAAAATGTCATTCTGGCCATCCAGTCAGAATAGGGAACTAGGGAGGTCAGGAGATCAATGGAGTGTAGCTCAGGTCCTTCTAACAGTGGGTCCGGTGTGTCCCCAATCCATCCTGGGTTATTACAGAGTTATTTGTTATAACTGATGTTATTTCCTCAGTTCTGGAATGCGTAATTGGAATAGACAAGCTGAGTAGCTAGTGGAATCCGCATACTGGTTGCCGGAACTGTGGAATGGGGGATATTATGGCGAGAAAAGCCAAGTGGAAGCCACAAGAACTGCCTCTACCTAGGAACATAGTAAGCTGGAAGCAATACTGCATTCCTGGAGGGATTGCAGAGGTTAGTGCCATCATCAAGGACTTAAATGAATCAGGGGTTGTCATTTGTACCACATCCCCATTTAAATTATCTATTTGGACTGTGAAGAAGATAGATCTTGGAGAATGACAGTGGATTACCATAAGCTTAACCAGGTGGTAACTCTAAATGCAGTTGCTGTTCCAGGTGTGATTTCATTGCTTGAGCAAATTGACATATTCTCTGGTACCTGGTATGCAGCTATTATTCTGGCAAATACTTTTTTTCTCTATCCCTTTCCGTAAGGTGTACATGAAGCAGTTTGTGTTCAGCTGGAAAGGCCAGCAATACACCTTCACTGTTCTACCACAGGGGCATGTCAACTCTCCAGCTGTATGTCATAATTTAGTTTTCAGGAGTCTTAATCACTTCCCCATCCACAAACATTACACTGGTTCATTATATTGGCGACATTATGCTTATTGGATCTTCTGAACAAGAAGTAGCAATATCTAAACTTATTGGCAGGACACCTGTGTGCCAGAGGGTGGGAAATAAATCTGACAAAAATTCAGAGGCCTTCTATCTCAGTGAAATTTCTAGGGGTCCAGTAGTGTGGAGCATGTTGAGATATCCCTTCTAAGGTTAAAGGTAACTTGTTGCATCTGGTACCTCCTAAAGCCAAAAAAGAAGCAGAATGCCCAATGGGCCCCTACAGATTTTAGGCAACATATTTCTCATTTGGGTGTGTTACTCCAGCACATTCACCAAGTGACCTAAAAAGCTGCTAATTTGAATGGAGCCCATAGTAGAAGAAGACTGAAACAGGTCCAGGCTGTTGTACAGTCTGCTCTGGTACTTGGACAATAGGATGCAGCAGATCCAGTGGTGCTTGATGCATCAGTGGCAGATAATGATGCTCTTTTCAGCCTTTGGCAGTGAATTGAAGTGCAAGCCCCCAGGATTTTGGAGCAAAGCCTTACTCTCCTCTGCAGATAGTTAGTCTTCTTTTGAGAAACAGCCCTTGACATGCTACTAGGCCTTAGTAGAGACTGAATGCTTGACCACGTGGCACCAAGTTACCATGTGATCTGAGCTGCTTATCATGAACTGGGTGTTATCCAACCCACCAAGCCATAAAGTTGGGTGTGCACGGCAGTACTCCATCATCAAATGGAAGTGATATATATGTGTGATCAGGCCTGAGCAGGTCTTGAAGGCACAAGTAAATTACATAAAGAAATGGCCAAAAGCCAGTGATCCTTCCTCCTACTACACTGCCTTCTCTTTATTAGCCTGCAACTATGGCTTCATGGGGAGTTCCCTATGATCAATTGACAGAGGAAGAAAACAGCCTGGTTTACAGTTGGTTCTACATGATATACAGGCACAACTTGAAAGTGGATGACTGTATCCCTATAGCCCCCTTTTGGGACATCTCTGAAGGACAATGGCCAAGAGAAATACTCCCAGTGGGCAAAACCCCAAGCAGTGCAATCCTCCCTGTAGGCAGAACTTCGAGCACTGAATCTGATTTTTTACTTTGATTGGAAGGAGAAATAGCCAGATGTGTGATTATATACTGATTCATGGGCTGTGCCCAGTGATTTTTCTAGATGGTCAGAAACTTGGAAGGAACATGATTGGAAAATTGATGAAGAAATTTGAGGAAGAGATAAGTGGATAGACATCTCAGAATTAGCAAAAAGTTTGAAGATATTTGTGTTCCCTGTAAATATTCACCAAAGGGCAATCTCTGCTGAGGATTATTTAATAATCAAGCAGATAGGATGACCCATTCTGTAGGTACCAATTAGGCTATTTCTTCAGCCACTAGTGTCATCACCCAATAGGCTCATGAGCAAAGTAGCCATAGTGTCAGGGATGTAAATTATGTATGGGTCCAGCAACATGGACTTTTATTTGTCAAGGACAACCTAGCTGTGGCCACTACCGAGTGGCCAATATGCCAGTAGCAGAGAAAAACACTGAGTCCTTGATGTGGCCCAGAGTGATCAGCCAGCTACCTGGTGGCAGCTTGACTACATTGGACTGCGTCCATCATAGAAGAGGAAGCATTTTGTCCTTACTGAAATAGACACTTACCCTGGATATGGATTTGCCGTCCAGGTATGCAATGCTTCTGCCAAAACTGCCATTTGTGGACTTATAGAATGCCTTATCCACCATCATGTTATTCCACACAGCATTGCTTCTGATCAAGGAACTCACTTCACAGCCAAAGAAGTGGGGCAATTGGCTTATGCTCATGGAATTCACTAGTCTTACCATGTTCCCCACCATCCTAAAGCCACTTGTTTGATGGAACGGTGGAATGACCTTTTGAAGACTCAGTTACGTCATCAGCTAGATGTCAATACCTGGAAGGGCTGGGGCAAGGTTCTCCGGAAAACTGAATATGCTCTGAATATGTTCAATTTATAGTGCTATTTCTCCTATAACCAGGATTCCTGGGTCTAGGGATCAAGGGGTGAAAATAGAGTTGCACCACTCACTATTATCCTTAGTGTCCCACTAGCTTCCTGTTCTTGTGGCATTATGCTCTGCTGGCTTAGAGATCTCAGTTCTGGAGGGAAGAATTCTTCCATCAGGGGACACGACAATAATTCCACTGAACTGGAAGTTAAGACTGCCACCTGGCCACCTTGGTCTCCTTGTGCTTCTGAGTCAACAGGCTAAGAAGGGAGTTATGGTGCTGGTTGGACTGACTGATCCACACTACCAAAGAGAACTTGGGCTACTATTCCATAATGGAGGCAAGGAAGAGTATGTCTGCAATACAAAAGATCCCTTAGTGTGTCTCTTAGTATTACTGTGTCCTGTGATTAAGATCAATGGAAAACTACAACCACCCAGTGCAGGTAGGACTACTAGTGACCCAGACCTTTATGGATCACTTTAGCAGGTAAAGAACCACAAGCAGCTGAGGTGCTTACTGAAGGCAAAGAAACTACAGAATGTGTAGTAGAAAAAGGGAGTTAAAAATACTGATTATGGGCCGGGCGCGGTGGCTCACGCCTGTAATCCCAGCACTTTGGGAGGCCGAGGCGGGCGGATCACGAGGTCAGGAGATCGAGACCATCCCGGCTAAAACGGTGAAACCCCGTCTCTACTAAAAATACAAAAAAAATTAGCCGGGCGTAGTGGCGGGCGCCTGTAGTCCCAGCTACTTGGGAGGCTGAGGCAGGAGAATGGCGTGAACCCGGGAGGCGGAGCTTGCAGTGAGCCGAGATCCCGCCACTGCACTCCAGCCTGGGCGACAGAGCGAGACTCCGTCTCAAAAAAAAAAAAAAAAAAAAAAAATACTGATTATGATGCTGTGATCAGTGCAGAAATGAAGACTGTAATAATTATGAGTATTTCCTTTTAATTTTGTTCTGAATACATTTCTTTGTGTATATATTAGATACCAAATATTTTTTCTTTTCTTATTCTCTTATCACATAATACAAAATGCAATGACTTCATATTCTAGTATTTAAGTATTGTTAATGTTACATCATAGTGTTTAAGTTACAGGACATCAAGGAAGAGAGTAAACATCACTGAAGGACTTTATCTCCTCCTCTGAGAAGGGTTTAGTGCATTTTCAGTTGTATGCAGGACATATGTTGGAACAGGAATTAAAAGAAATTAAAGAATGTGTAAGCAGAAACTCAGTTGTATGTAAGAAAACCCAATTCCCCAGAGAAAGAGAAAGAGCTGGAGTCCTTTAAAATTAACTGCCTGTTTTTCTGTGGCTAGTGAGCCTTATCTCTCCTCCTTTCCCAGGCATTGTGAAGACCCTGTTTCTCTAGCTGTGCAGCTGCAAGGTCACTAGACAGATAAACTCAAGTCATAAAACATGTTTTTCCTTGAAAAGTAAGAAATGATGTAATGCATGTTTCAATTAATTGAATAACTGTCTTTGTTTCTCACTTCTGTAATATGCTTCCCCCTACACAGATCTCCCCCACCCCACGAAATGATTAAAAGATAACTCTTTGTTCAGGGCTCAGTCCTTTGGAGGTTAATCCAACTGGGCCGGTGCACCTAAATAATAAATATCCTTCTCAACCCCATCGGTCTCTCTGATTCCTTATCAATCCCACTACATTTCAACATGTTAAATGGAATTATGAGCTTCTTATTGACTTTATTTGGAGATTAACTATGGCTTAAGGATATGTATATGGGTGCCAAATTTTCAACGTGGGAACTCATTATGGTTAGTTAATATTACGTGTCAAACTGAGTGAGCCATAGGATGCCCAGATATCTGGTAAACATTATTTTGGGGTATGTCTGTGAGGGTATTTCCAGAAGAGATTAGCATTTAAATTGGTGTTCTGATGATAGGAGATGACACTCCCTAATGTGGGTCAACATCTTCCAATCCATTGAGGGCCTGAATAAAACAAGAAGGCAGAAGAATGCTTAGTTTTCTCTTTGCCTGACTACTTGACTTGGGACACAAATCTGCTGCCCTCGGTGCTCTGGTTCTCAGATCCTCAGAACCAGGCTGGAATTTTTATCATCAACTCTCTTGCTCTCAGGCCTTCAAACTGCACCATTGGATCTCCTGGGTCTCTGTCTTGCAGAAAGCAGAATCCAGGACTTCCTAGCTTCTATTATTGTGTAAACCAATACCTTATAATAAATATATTTATCTATATAGTTGTGGTTTCTCTCATCCTTACTAATAAGATAATCCTTACTAGTAAGGCATGAAGTTAGGAGATTAATGAATAAAGACAAATTCTTCCAATTGCCAACTTTGGCAAGATTTCTGGATGAGGGCCCATAGTAATGTAATTTTCTTTTTCTTTTCTTTTTTTTTTTTTTTTTTTTTTTTTTGTCTCACTCTGTTGCCAGGCTGGAGTGCAGTAGCATGATCTCGGCTCACTGCAACCTCCACCTCCCGAGTTCAAGTGATTCTCCTGCCTCAGCCTCCTGAGTAGCTGGGATTACAGGCACCCGCCACCACACCCAGCTAATTTTTGTATTTTTAGTAGAGATGGGGTTTCACCAAGTTGCCTAGGGTGGTCTCGACCTCCTGACCTCATGATCCGCCCACAGCCTCCCAAAGTGCTGGGATTACAGGTGTGAGCCACCATACCTGGGCCATAACGTAATTTTCTAATGTATTCATGGTTCTTTTTCTTAACAGAACAAAAATTAAGAAAAGTAGTCAGGATTAGAAAAAAAGACAAGCTTTTGAATGACAGAAATATTAATAGGAATTCACTTACATATTTGTAACTTCTCTGTAATCACGGTGAGACAAAGTAGTGAAGAGAAACTCTAGTATATTACCTCTTAGCCAAAGGTAAAATACTCTAGGTAGTTATCAACCAAGCAAATTCTTTGAAATGTTGACACTCGTCATGGCAACCATATGTTTCAAAGATTCCATTCTGGAATGAATGTGGTAGAATGTCCTGGCATGCCCAAGTGGCTACTAATGCTCACCTGTCATTATTGAGGGGTGGGTAAGTTTCTGGTTTCTATGTTACAAGCACTGAAAGATAGTTCTTCAGACCAACAGTCCAGTAGAAGCTGGGCAAAGGATAAGAATAGAAAATTCACAGAAAAGGAAAACTGAATGGCCAATAAATATTTTAAAAGATTTTTAATCTCACTTGAAGTTATGAAAATACAAACCATTAAAATATTATTTCCCAGCTAATAAGTTAAAAAGTACTAAAATACAAGTAAAAATTAAAAAAAGATAATTTCAAATATTGGCAAAGATAAAAGAAAGTTGAACTTTCTCACACGACTGGTGGGATTATAAATGGATATAACTAGTTTGTAGAGAAACTTGTCAAGTTCTAGCAAAACTGAAAATCTACAACCCAGAATTTCCAGTTCTAGGTCCATAGAGTGTATAAACATGTATACAACTGATGCACTGAGAGACATGAAGGATGTTTATTGTAGCACTTTTTATAATAGAGTTATTAAAATATAATTCACATACCATAAAATTTATCTTAAAGTATATAATTCAATCATTTTAAATATATTTACAGAGGTATACAACCATCATTACTATCTAATTTTAGAACATTTTCATTTAGAACAAGCTCCAAAGAAACCCTGTACCTGTTAGCAGACATTCACCCTCCCTCTCCCCCAAGTACCTGGCAACCACTAATCTTCTGTCTGCCTTCTGGACATTTTATGTAAATAGATTTATACAATATGTGACTTTTTATGATTAGACTGTTTGGATTTTTATTACTGAGTTGTGATTTTTTAATATGTTCTAGATGCTAGTCTCTTATCAGATACATAATTTGCAAATATTCCTCCTTTTCTATGGGCTGCCTTTACATTTTCTTGACAGTGTCTCTTGAAGCACAAAAGTTTTAAATTTAAGTGAAATTTAAATTTGCCATTCTTTTTCTTTTATTGCTTGTGTTTTTGGTATCATAACTAAAAAAAAAGAAAAAGACATTGCCTGCATTCCCTGGCCCAACTTCACAGAGATTAGATTTAGAACTTTTCTAAGAGTTTTGTAGTTTTTGCCTTACATTTAGGTCTTTGGTTCATTCTGAATTAGTTTTAGTATATAGTGTGAGGTAGAGGTCTAATTTTATCTTATTTTTTGCATCTGGATATTCACTTGTCTCAGTACAATTTGTTAAAAAGATGATTCTTTTCCTGATTGTCTCCACATCTTTGTAAAAAATGAATTGACTAAAATGGTTTATTTCTGAACTCAATTTTATCCCATTAATCTATATGTTTTTCCTATACTGGTAGCACACTGTGGTGATTTCTGTGTCTTTGTAGTAAGTTTTGAAATCAAGAAGTGTGAATTTTCAAACTTTGTTTGTTCTAGGGTCACAATTATAACATTAGCCTAAAACAATGTAGTTTGAATTAATATCAATTTAGTTTCAATAACATACAAAGGTTTTGCTCCAGTATACCTGGTTTCCTCCTTCATTTTTTCTGCTATTATTGCCATGCACATTATATATATTCATGTTATACATACATATATTTAAACATTATAATCCCACCAACCCAGTTTTATAATTATTGCTTTAAGCTGTTTTCTTTTAAACATAATAGGAGAACAAAACCAAATAATTTTATTCTACCTCTGTAGTTTATGAGTGTGCTCTCTGTGTAGACTTGAGTGACTAGCTAGTATTCTTTTATTTCAGCGTGAGACAATATCTTCAGTATTTCTGGTAGGGCAGATCTGCTAGAAAAACAATCTTACTTTATTTGTGAATACTTAATTTTTCCTTTCTTTCTTTCCCTTCCTTCCTTTCTTTCTCTTTTCTTTCTTTCTTTCTTTCTTTCTTTCTTTCTTTCTTTTTTTTTGAAGGATAGTTTGGTCAAATATAGAATTCTCAGTTGGTAATTTTCTTTTTCTTTTTTGAGACGGAGTCTTGCTCTGTCATCCAGGCTGGAGTGCAGTGGCGCAATCTCGGCTCATTGCAAGCTCCACCTCCCAGGTTCACACAATTCTCCTGCCTCAGCCTCCTGAGTAGCTGGGACTACAGGTGCGTGCCACCACAGTGGCTAATTTTTTTGTATTTTCAGTAGAGACGGGGTTTCACCGTGTTAGCCAGGATGGTCTCGATCTCCTGACCTCGTAATCCACCCGCCTTGGCCTCCCAAATTGCTGGGATTACAGGTGTGAGCCACTGCACCTGGCCCAGTAATTTTTTTTATGGTTCTTTGTTGTCATCTGACTTCCTTCTAGCCCCCTTCTTCTCTGTCTTCCTCCTGCTTTGGCCATGTAAGATGAACCTGCTTCCCCTTCAGCCATGATTGAAAGTTTCCTGAGGCCTCCCCAGCCATGCTTTCTGTACAACATGTGGAACAGTGAGCCAGTTAAACCTTGTTTCTTTATAAATTACCCAGTCTCAGATATTTATTTAAAGCAGTGTGAGAACAGACTACTACAGAAAATTAGTACCTAGGAGTGGTGCATTGCTATAAAGATACCTGAAAATGTGGAAGCAGCTTTGGAACAGGGTAATGGGCAGAGATTGGAACAGTTTGGTTGGCTCAGAAGAAAACAGAAAGATGAGAGAAAGTTTGGAACATCCTAGAGACTTGAATGGTTTTGACCAAATTGCTGACAGTGGGGCAGAGATGGCCAGGCTGATGAGGTCTCAGATGGACATGAGGAACTTATTGGGAAGTTTGAACTTGAGAGTGATGATTTAGGGAATTTGGTGCAAGAAATTTCTAAGCAGCAAAACATTTAAGATGTGACCTGGCTGCTTCTAACAATATATGCCCACATGCCTAAGCAAAGAGATGGTCCGAAACTGGAACTTAAAAAGGGAAGCGGAGCATAAAAATTTGCAGCCTGACCATGTGGTGCAAAAGAAAAACCAATTTTCTGGGGAGGAGTTCAAGCCAGCTGCAGAAATTTGCATAAGTAAAGAGAAACCAAATGTTAATAGCCAAGACAATGAGGGAAATGCCATAAAGGTACTTGAGAGAACTTCAGGGCAGTCCCTCCCATTACAGGCTGGAGTCCTAGGAAAGAAGAACGGTCTTAAGGGCCAGGCTTGGGGCCCCACTGCCCTTGGGACACTGCTTCTTGTGTCCCAGCTGTTACAGCTCCCACTGTGGCTAAAACAGCCCCAGGTACATCTCAGGCCACTGTTTCAAAATATGCAAGCCATAAGCCTTGCTGGCTTCCACATGGTGTTAAGCATGCAGGTGCACAGGGGACAAGGGTTAAGGCTTGGGAGCCAATGCCTAGATTTCAGATAACATATGGAAATGCCTGGATGTTCAGGCAGCAGTCTGCTGTGGCAGCACAGCTCTCATGGAGAACCTCTATAGAGCAGGGTGGAGGGAAAATGTGGGGTTGGAGCCTTCACACAGAGTCCTCACTGGGGCACTGCCTAGTGGAGCTGTGAGAAGAGGGCCACTGTCCTCCAGACCTCAGAATGGTAGATCCACCAACAGCTTGTACTGTGCACCTGGAAAAGCTGCAGGCACTCAATACAAACTTGAGAAGGCAGCCACGGGGGCAATACCTTGCAGAACCACAGGGGCGAAGCTGCCCAAGGCCTTGGGAGTCCACCCCTTGCATCATTGTTGTCTGGATTTGAGACATGGAGTCAAAGGAGATTATTCTGGAGCTTTAATATTTAAAGACTGCCCTGCTGGGTTTCAGACTTGCATGGCACCTGTAGCCCCTTCGTGTTGGCCGATCTCTCCCTTTTGGAAAGGGAATATTTCCCTATTGCCTGTACCATCATTGTATCTTGGAAGTTACTAACTTACTGTTTTTCTAACTTGGAAGTTACTAACTTACTGTTTTTGATTTTTCAGGCTCATAGAAGGCACTAGACTTGTCTCAGATGAGACTTTGGACTTTTTAGTTAATGTTGAAATCAGTTAAGACTTTGGAGAACTGTTGAGAAGAGTTGATTGTATTTTGCAGTGTGAGAAGGACATGAGATTTGGGAGGGGCTAAGGGCAGACTGATATGGTTTGGATTTGTGTTCCCACCCAAATCTCATGACAAATTGTAATTCCCAATGTTGGAGGAGGGGTATGGTGGGAGGTGATTGGGTCATTGGGATGGATTTTCCCCCTTGCTGTTCTCATGATAGTGAGTGAGTTCTCATGAGATCTGGTTGTTTGAAAGTGGATAGCACCTTCCCCTTCTCTCTCTTTTCTCTCTCTTCTTCCTGCTCCAGCTATGTAAGATGGGCCTGCTTCCCCTCCTGCCATGAATGAAAGTTTCCTGAGGCCTCTGCAGCCATGCTTTCTGTACAGCAGAAGTCCTTGCCCCACCATTCTAAAAATGCTTTCACTGTTTTGTTTTGATAGAAAAAAAATTTCTAATATTAAACAAATTGTGATCTCTTCATACAATGGAAATAGCAATTAAAATAATGGACTAAGATTGTATATCTAAACATGGATAGCTATAAAAAATTATGAAAAAATTGCAGAATGATATGTATGGTATGACACTTATCATATAATAACACACTGAACTATATTTTTGTTGGGTGCAAAACACTATTTTTGATATGAAGTAAATTTTCTAAAACAATTGGATAGGAGGATAAATACCACATGCATCATAGTGATCGTGAATAAAACTAGAATGAAGAAAAAAATCAGATAAACTTTTTCCATAATATTTTCTTTTTTTATTAAAGAAAATCTCGACGCATGAAAATTTGCTATATTATTTTCTGTGCTTTTCTGAATTTAAAATTTAAGAAGAAAGTCATAATGAATTAGTTCTGTCTGTTCTCTGGGAATTCCTTTGACTCTATCCAATTCAATATTTTATAATCTATGAGTGGAGAGAAAACAAAAGACAAGAGTAAGATAAATAACTGCTGAACCACAATCAAGTCTGTTATATAACGATTTTGAAATGGGTTTCAAATCTGGAATGTGAAATTCTGGTTTTCATTTTGCTTTTAAATAAGCACAAGTTCAAACCAGACAAAAAAATATGAATCATTGGCTTCTTACTATCTAAAAATCTCCACAGTTTTCTCTGCTCTGGCCAGGGAATGAGAACTTTGGACATTGTTTCTCTTCTTTCCCCCTCAGTGTTGGTTTGTAACACCTCCACAGTTTCCAAAGAAGGGAAGGAAACTGCTTTATAATCATAGCCACTTGAAAGAACATAGCACCTCTCTTCCAGAGATTTTTAACATTCCAGCAACGAAGGGCGAGCACAAATATAAATTCCGTTTTACAAGTAAGAAGTGGGACAGTCTGAATTGCCGTGATCCCTAAATCATTTTTCTCACATGACTATTTGACCAGGGTAAAGATGCAAAACAAGCTCAAACCTCACCCCTCTGGCCTGCTAGCCAGAGCTTCCAAGCCTCCTCCGTGTTCTCATTACAACATGAAACCACTAGGTGTCACTCAAGATAAAACTTGCAGGCATCATATTAGAGATTACAACTAGGGGAGCAGAAAGGAAATTCAGTGTTAGTGCGGAATTCAAGGTGTTAACAGAGAAAACTGAAATTTGCACACTTACATGACACAATGGAAAGTGGCCTCTCTCCAGCCTAGTACCCTCAGGAGAAGGTTTCAGATCCTCTGTATCACATCTGTATAGTGTGTGGACTCATTTAGGTTGGAATCAGCTTTCAACAGAAAAATAACTAAATGAGTTCACAAAACTCAAAAGGCATGTTATAGTGATGCCTCTGTCAGTAAAATGGGGTTAAAATTCCAAGCCTTAAGTTTGCTGGCGTCTCTCCTGGGAATTGCGTCTGAAATTTCAGCAGCTGCCCTCAGGGGTTAGTGAGTCAAATAATTCGGATTCTCATATCTCATGAGATATGAGTTTAAAATATCCACTTGTACTATTTCCTATGATTTTTCCCATTGTATGTCTTGTATAAACCACAACTAGCAAATAGTATGAATTTAATAAATATTTTTTCGGTGAATCAAGAGAAAGACACTAAATTTATTTAGTGCCGCTCTATGCCTTATTCTCTATGGCTTTCTTTCATTCTTTTTTTTTTTTTTAATAACTTCAGGAAAAGCCTGAGGGGGGTTATTGTAGCCATCACTTTGTACAAGCAATACTCACAGGATATAATCACAAGTGATTTTTACTTTTATTTCTCCCTATACTTGTAAACGTTATTAAGTAGGAAAGCCTTTGTCCTGTTCCTGGACAAATGTCAGGCACACCTATGACATTTCTGATTTCTTGTTGCTAATAAAAAGCCCTATGGTCACTGTACATAGCAGAATAATCACAATTTAATAATTATAACAGTCCCTTTTTGTATAATAACACAATGTATTTCACTCAAAATTACATTTTCCTTGTCCAAACTAGGCATGGCTGCAGTCAGGCAGCCTCCAGAAGTGGGTGAGGTATGTTTGTCTTCTTTTTCTTATTTGATTCCTCTGCACTCCCTAACTTGGGTTGAAGAGGGTAAGAAAGAAGAGAGATGAGAAAGGCAGTGAAATTTCTTTCTTTGAATGGTGTTTTTGAGATATTCAGATGTCCCTACTAAAATCATTTGACTGCACTTCCCAAGATGCGAGCTAAGCATTTTCTTCTAGCTGGCCATTCTCTTGCAGTTTTTCATATAGTTTTACCTTCTTTAATGAAGATTTATTAACTACTGTGGTGTTTTCTCCTTCTTCTATATTATAGAGTCCCCAGTGTTTAGCTGAGTATATGACTGCTTGGAATAAGCCTCGTGACCATGGCTCATGTGTAAATTCTTGGACGCCTCCTTGCTTTGTTTTCCTTTTCCTCTATCTTTTTTTCTGTTGGCTGCAGCAGACAGACAAAATTGCGGCCTGGATAATGAGGTGGAAGCCCTGTGCTAAGGGCCTTAATGATCATGAAACTGACTTGCCAGCCTTGCTCAACTTTGCTCATCCTTGTCCAAACTTGCTCAGTCTGGACTTCATTCACCTGAGATAAATAAATTTCTAATCTGCTATGTTAAGCTTTTAGCACTTGTAGAAAAACATAAGCCTAACTGATAGAACTATGGAACTATACTAGATTTAATCTTAGTGGAACTTATTTGTGAATAGTCAAAATTAGAAAAATAACCTTTACCGATGCATTCTAATGTTTGATCACCTTACATATAGGAATGACATTGTGTGAAGTTCTGGAAGAGGAGGATACTGAAGTGAAATAAGGGAGGTCCTGAACACAAGAGGTCACTCTCCTCCTCTCCTACTAGAAACATTTACCTGTGTTTCCCCAAGTGTAAGCTAAGAATTTTCTTTCAGCTGGCCATTCTCACTCAGTTCTTCTTAGATTATTATTCTTATATACTTACATACGTATATACTTTTATATTTATACACTTACGTACATGTAGTTACATACATACACTCCGTTTTTCACATACCTCATGCTTTCTGCATAGTAAATTGGATCTATTGCCCATGGCTGATTTCTTCTCTTCCAACGCTTCATAGCTACTGCTTCTTTATTCTCTGGTGGCAAATCTTATTATTTGCTTATTGAACTCCAACAATACATATTGACATAAGAGAAAATAAATGAGTAAATAAATAATGTTGCTATGGTTTTCTCATGCTTAACTTCCTAAAATTCTGTTTCTCTCAGATGAATTTAGGTGTAATGTGATATGACAAGTTGTAATAGGAAATTAGAGTGTTCTTTTTTCCTCCAATAGTCACATTCTGATGTGATTAGAGAAAATTTACCTATGTGACTTCCAGTTTAAAAAATATGCTCCATGAACAAAGGATTCTATGGTCACTGCCTCTTTTTGCAAATTCATATTGAAAATTAGCATACTAAAGTTGCACAGTATCCCTGTGGTAAATAAATGTATTTAACTTTCTTTAACCTAGCATTTTCCAATCTCATTTGATTATGGAAGCCTTTTGTCCTATAGCATCTACTAACGTATATTAGCAGAACACCATGTGTCCTGAGGCGTTAAGATCACAGTGAGCTCCTCTTGCTTTCTGTGGCAATGATCCATGAGGTTGATCACTGACATAATTAAATAATGATGACCTTTCCTAATTTGCAGATGAAAGTCAAACAGAAAGAATATCTTAGTTCAAAATTATACTTTCATTAGTTTTGCTTAAATCTTTGGTGTCATAATTATCTGCTTTACAAAATAAATGAGCAAGTAACAAGCATTATTACTAGAAAAAATTTTAAAAAGAGCAGATCATATTTAGATATACAGCTTATTTTTCCAAAGTAACAGTTTCTATGGCTGTGATTTTACATGATACACATACAGTATTATACATTCTTTAGAAAATTATTTCCAGATCTCATGATAAAATACTTTTTGATGCACTTTCATGGTGAATCTCAAGAGTGTATTGAGGATCTAGAGAGGCAACTCTCTTTGGACTCAATGGTGGGCGCTTGAGGGAGCAGGAAGGCATTGGGGGAGGGCACAGGGCAGGAAGGATGAGGAGAGGGAAATGGGGCATTGCTTTCTATTTATTTGAAGCTGCTAAGATGTCAACATTTTCCAAGCTTATAAACTGCCCCCACAAAAATGTGTGCCCTCTCCTCTCAAGTTCTCCCATTTTTTCTCTTTATTTATTTTTTAATCATGCATCAAAATGGAAAGGACGTGTCTAAGATGAGTAGAAACCATTCTGATTCTTTCTTACCTAGTATTTAGTATAGAAATGGTAAGTATGTGATGCTAAAAAACCATTCTTTTTTGGATCATTTCTTGTTTAAAAGAATAATTTCAACTTTTATTTTAGATCCCAGGGGTACATGTGCAGGTTTGTTACATGAGTATATTATGCGATGCTGAAGTTTGGGGTATGACTGAGATTGATCTGATCATCTGGGTAGTGAGCATAGTACCCAGTAATTAGTTTTTCAACTTTTACCCTTCCCTCCCTACCCTCTGTAGTGGTTCAGAGTGCCTATTGTTTTCATCTTTATGTCCATGAGCACCCAATATTTCGCTCCAACTGATAAGCGAGAACATGCAGTATTTGTGCTAATTCACTTAGGATAATGGTCTCCTGCTGCATCCATGTTGCTGCAAGGGACATGGCTTTGTTCTTTGTTATGGCCGTGTAGTATTTCATGGTGTATACGTAGCATATGTTCCATATTTTCTTTACCCAATCCACCACCGATGGGCACCTAGGTTGATCCCGTGTCTTTCCTATTGTGAATAATGCTGTGATGAACATGTGAGTGCACATGCCCTTTTGGTAGAACGATTTATTTTCTGCTAAAAACAATTCCTAATATAAAACAATATCTAATAGAAAAACCAACTAAAAAGTAAGACGTTGACCCTATCCCCAGCATGTGCATTATAGTATAGTTCGATTGTATTTGATTTTTATATTTATTTTTACAGTTTCGTTAATAATTAACAAGAATATTTCTTTAAAACTACAACTAAATAATTATGCCTAATTTTGTCAAAAAAAATACATCCTACCCTCACATTAAATAAAACTCCCCAAGTAATAGGATTTTATTCTCTAAGTTATCCTTCCAGAGATGTGGAAATTTGGCAGGAGGGATACTAGTTATGTTGTATTTTCGTTTAGACATGGCAAACGTTAGAAAAGATTAAGAATTTAGAATGAAATTCTTTTAGTGCAAAATAGAAAAAAAAAGTCCATAAAACATTATCATACAGTAGTTCCCCCTTATCTGTGAGAGATATGTTCCAAGATCTCCCCAGTGAGTATCTGAAACCATGGATAGTACTGAACCATATATATACCATGTTTTTTTTCCTATACATACTTACCTTCAATAAAGTTTAATTTAAAAATTAGGCACAGTAAGAGATCAACAACAACGAATGATAAAATAGTACAAACATACCAATATACTGAAATAAAACTTATGTAAACTTGGTCTCTCCCTCTCTCTGTCTCTCTGTCTCTCTCTCTCAAAGTATCTTATTATACAGCAGTTAATTATTTTTGAACCACGAATGACCACAGGCAACTGAAACTACAGAAAGCAAAACTATGGGTAATTGTAAATGGGATTGCTGCTTTGATTTCTTTTTCAAGTTGACTGCTGGTAGTGTATATAAATGTAACTGATTTTTGATGTTGTATCCTGCAACTTTACTAATTTCATTTAAGAGTTAAATAAATTCTCTAAGAGTTTTTTAGTGGAGTCTTTAGGTTTTTCTAAATATAAGATCACGTTGTCTACCAACGATGATAATTTGACTTCTTTCTTTTTAATTTAGATGTCCTTTATTTCTTGTATTAGTCCATTTTCACACTGCTAATAAAGACCTACACAAGACTAGGCAATTTGTAAAAGAGAGAGGTTTAATGGACTCACAGTTCCACGTGGATGGGAAGGCCTCACAATCATGGCAGAAGGTGAAAGGCACATCTGACATGGTGGCAGAAAAGAGAAGAGAATAAGAGCCAAGCAAGAGGGGTTTCCCCTTATAAAATCATCAGCTCTTGTGAGACTTACTCACTACAACAAGAACAGTATGAGGCAACCCATGATTCAGTTATCTTCCACTGGATCCCTCTCACAACATGAGGGAATTATGGGAGCTACAATTCAAGATGAGATTTGGGTGCAGACACAGCCAAACCACATCATTTATCTCACCTAAATGCTGGCTAGGACTTCCAGTACTATGTTGAATAGAAGTGGTGAAAGTGGGCATCTTTGTCCCATTCTATGTATTAGTGGAAAGGCTTTCAATTTTTCTCTGTTTAGTCTGATATTAGCTGTGGGTTTGTCATAAATGGCCTATATCATGTTTCTTCTATACTCAACTTGCTGAGAAATTTTATAATAAAGGAATGTTGAATGTTATTGAATGCCTTTTCAGCATCTATTGCAATGATCATATGGTTTTCATCCTTCATTCTTTTGATGTGGTGTATCATGTTTATTGATTTGCACATGTTGAACCATCTTTGTATCCCTAAGATAAATCTCATTTTATCATGATGAGTGATTTTTTTTTTTAACTTTTAAGTTCAGGAGTACAAGTGCAGGTTTGTTAAATAGGTAAACTTGTGTCATGGGGGTTTGTTGCACAGATTATTTCATCGCCCAGGTATTAACCCCAGCACCCATTAGTTGTTTTTCCTGATCCTTTCCCTCCTCCCACTCTCCACCCTCCAAAAGGCCCAAGTGTGTGTTGTTCTTTTCTATGTGTCCATGTGTTGGCGAGTGATCTTTTTAATGTGTGTTGAACTTGGTTTCCTAATATTCTGTTGAGAATTTTTGCATCTATGTCCATCAGGGATGTTGGCCTCTAGTGTTTTGTATTTTGTTTGTTTGTTTGTTTATTTGTTTGATTTGAGGGATGTTCTTCTCTGGTTTTGGTATCACAGTAATGCTGGCCTCAGAGAATTAGTTTGGAAATAGTCCCTCCTCTACAATTTTTTGAAATAATTAAAGTATAATTGGTATTAGTTCTTTACATGTTTGGTAGAATTCAGCAGTGAATCCATTAGGTCCTAGGGTTTTCTTTCATTGGAGACTGTTTTGCTCTTGTTGCTCATTATTGGTCTGTTCATATTTTCTATTTTTAAATGATTCAGTCTTGGTAGTTTGTAAGTATCTAGGAATTTATCAATTTCTCCTAGGTTTCTGATTTGGTGGTATATAGTTGTTCATAGTTGTCTATAATTATCCTTCGTATTTCATAGTAGTCTATAATTATCCTTTGTATTTCTGTAGTACCAGTTATAATGTTTCCTTTTTAATCTCTGATTTTATTTATTTGGGTTTTCTCTCTTTTTTTTCTTAGTCTAGATAAAGGTTTTCAATCTTGTTTATCTTTTCAAAAAAACGAAGTTTTTGTTTCATTGATCTTTTATATTTTAGTCTCAATTTCATTTGTTTCTGCACTGACCTTAATTACTTATTTTTTCTTATTAAATTTGGCTTTGGTTTTTTTATTGCTTTTCTAGGTCCTTGAGGTGCATTACTTGAAGTCTTTCTGTTTTTTAAATGTACATATTTATTGCTATAAAATTCTCTCTTAGTGTTGTTTTTGCTGTGTCCCATAGGTTCTGGTATGCTATGTTTCCATTTGCATTTGTTTGAAGAAATTTTTTAGTTTCCTTTTAATTTCTTCATTGACCACTGGACATTCAGAAGCATGTTCTTTAATTTCCATGTATTTACACAGTTTTCAAAAATTTCTCTTGTTATTTATTTCTTATTTTATTCTGCGGTGGTAACAAAATATACTTAATATAATTTTGACTTTTTTGAATTTGTTGAGACTTGTTTTATGGCCTAACATGTGGTTTATCTTGGAGACTGTTTCATGTGCTGATGAGAAGAATGTGTGTTCTGCAGCAGTTGGATAAAATGTTCTGTAAATGTCTATGATGCCCATTTGATCTAAAGTGCAGTTTAATTCTCATATTTATTTGTTGATTTTCTGCCTGAATTATCTGTCCATTGCCAAAAGTGGGGTGTCCCCTATTATTATTATTATTATTATTATTATTATTATTATTATTGTTATTATGAGACAGAGTCTCACTCTGTCACCCAGGCTGGAGTGCAGTGGCACAATCTTGGCTCACTGCAACCTCCGCCTCCTGGGTTCAAGTAATTCTCCTGACTCAGCCTCCCAAGTAGTTGGGACTACAGTTGTGCGCCACCATGCCCAACTAAGTTTTGTATTTTTAGTAAAGACAGGGTTTTGCCATGTTGGCCAGGCTGGCCTCAAACTCCTCACCTCAGGTGATCCACCCACATCAGCTTCCCAAAGTGCTGAGATTACAGGTGTGAGCCACCATGCCCAGCTGGTGTCCCCTCTTATTATTGTACTATAGCCTATCTTCTTCTTTATATCTATTAACATTTGCTTTATATATTTGGGTGCTCCATTGTTGGGTGTACATATATTTACTATCATTATATGTTCTTGCTGAATTTACCCCTTTACATTATATAATGACCTTCTTTGTCTCTTTTTACTCCTTTTTACCTAAAGTCTAGGGAAGTATAATTACTTCTGCTCTATTTTAGTTTCCATTTACATGGAATATATTTTTCCATCCCTTCACTTTCAATCTTTTTGTCTTTATAGGTGAATTAAGTTTCTTGTAGGCAGCATAGAACTGGATTTTGTTTTTTAATCTATTCAGCCACTGTATGTCTTTTAATTGGATAATTTAATCCATTTACGTTCAATTACATTCAATGTTATTATTGATAGGTAAGGACTTACTACTGCCATTTTGTTACTTGTATTCTAGTTGTTTTATAACTCCACTCTTGCTCTCTTCCTTTCTGTCTTCCTTTGTGGGTTAAGTAAATTTCTCTGGTAGTATGTTTTAATTTGTTACTTTTTATTTTTAATGTATGTATTATAGGTTTTTGCTTTGTGGTTGTCATGAGGCTTACACAAAAGTCCTATAATAACAAGTTATTTAAAAGTGATACTAACTTAACTTTGGTCACAAAAAAAGAAAAAAACAACCACATAAGATCCTGTATACAATAACTTACTTCTTTCTCCACATTATGAGTATTTGATGTCACAATTTGTATTTTTTATATTGCCTATCTCCTAACAAATTGTTGTGGCCATTACTTTTAACAGTTTTCTCTTTTAGTCTTCTTAGTAAAGATATAAGTGGCTTAAACAGCACAGTTACAACATTAGTTTAACAGTCAAATTAGCATTCTTCCCTTTCAGTTTGAAGAACTTGCTTTAGCATTTCTTGTAGGACCAGTCTGGTAGCTACAAACTCTCTGAGCTTCTGTTTGTCTGGTAAACTGTTTATCTCTCCTTAATTTCTGAATGATAGCTTTGTTGAATACAGTATTCTTGGTTGACAGTATTTTTCTTTCAGCTCTTTTAATATATCATTTCACTCTCTCTGGACTGTAAGGATTTTGCCAAGAAGTCTGCTGCCAGGCACATTGGCTTTTTAAAATATGTTATTTGCTTCTTTTCTGTCACTGCTTTCAGAATCCTCTCTTTGTCTTTGATCTTTATAGTTTTGATTACAATATGCCTTAAGGTATTCTTATGAATTTGATTGGTGACCTTTAATGTTCCTATTCATGCATATTTATATCTTTCTCCATATTGGGAAAGTTTTTGGTTATTATTTCTTTGAATAAGCTTTCTCTTTTTCTTTCTCAGTTCCTTCTTTAATTCCAATAACCCAAATATTTGCTTTTTTATGTTGTCTCATAGAGCCCATAAACTTTCTTCATTTCCTTTTATTCTTTATTCTTTTTTCTCCTCTGACTATGTATTTTCAAATAATCTGCCTTTGAGCTCCCTGATTTTTTCTTCTGTTTGATCAGCTCTGCTATTGATTGCATTTTTTATTTCATTTACTGTATTTTTCAGTTCCAGGATTTGTATTTTGTTTTTTAAAAAATTATTTAAATTTCTCTGATTAATTTATCTGATAAGTGTCTCAATTGATTCTCTGTTTCCTTGAAGTTTGCTGAACTTCCTTAAAACAACTATTTTGAATTCTTTGTGCAAAAGGTCACACATCTCCATCATTGTCTCAGAAGGTCTCTGCACAAGCAAGGTAATACCTTGACTGCAACAGAAGAGGCTGGAGCTGAAACTGGGCCTTCTTGAGGGACAGAAGCTGGGATACCTATCACATTGGCTCAGATAGGCATGTTGTCTACCAGCAGGTCCCTGCATAAAAGGGATAGTTTTCTGACTGCAGCAGGAGGGCTGGAGCTGAGACTGGTCCCTGTTGGGATCTGCTGTAGGGCAGAGGCTGAAGAGTCCAGTCTCATTGGCTTAGAGGTCATGTCTCTCCCAGAAGGAACCTGTCAGCCCTTCATGCAGCATGAGAAGCTAGAGCTGAGACTGGGTCCCATTGGGATATGTTGTGGGACAGAGGCTGGAGAGCCCAGTCTCACTGGCTTAGAGGGTGTGCATCTCCCAGGAGGAACATACCAGCCCTTCATGCAGCATGAGGGTCTAGAGCTGAAACTGGGCCCCTTTGGGATCTACTGTGGGAAAGAATATGAGGTTCCCAACTTGCAATTTAAAATAATGTGGGTAGCCAAGGCTACACCAAGAGAGTGGCATTTAAGAAACCTAGAGGAAGTGAGGGTGAGTGCTACACATATAGCTGGTGGAAAGGTATTTCACGTACAGAAAACAGCAGGTATTAAGGCTCTGATATCAGAGCATACTTGAACTTCTCAAAGATGGTCATGAAGACCATTGTTGTTGGACATAAAGGGTGAGGTATTGTCTTAGTCTGTTCTCATGCTGCTGATAAAGACATACCCAAAACTGGGAAATTTACAAAAGAAAGAGGTTTAATGGATTTACAGTTCCACATGGCTGGGGAGGCCTCATAATCATGGTAGAAGGCAAAGAGGAGCAAGTCACGTCTTACATGGATAGCAGCAGGCAAAGAGAGAGAGCTTGTGCAGGGGAACTCCTCTTTATAAAACCATCACATCTCGTAATACTTATTCACTATCACAAGAACAGCATGGGAAAGACTTGCCCCCATGATTCAATTACCTTCCACTGGGTCCCTCCCACAACACATGAGAATTCAAGATGAGATTTGGGTGGGGACACAGCAAAAGCATATCAAGTATTAAGAGAGGAAGTGAAAGGAGAACCTCATAGTCAATTATATGTACTTCACTCTTATGGGTAAGAAGTGAAATTATTGAGGACTTCAGGTGGAGGAAATATGTAATCTTACATATAATTCTGTTGCTGTCTTGAAAATAATCTAAAACTGACCTAATGCAGAAGTACATAGACTGGTTATGAAATGATTCTAATAATTCAGGCAAGAGGTGATGGTGATGGACCAGAGTAGAAGCAGTGCAGGTAGGCACAATGGTCAGATTCTAACTTTATTTTGAAAGTAGAACTTTAGCTAGTAGGTCAAATATGAAGATGTGAGAGAAGAAGGGGTCATGAGCAAATCCAAGGGTGGATATTCCATTCCTGTGTGGGGAGCAAGGATTTTATAGAAGGTAAGAAATTTAGTTTCATATGTTAGTCACATAGATGTCCTTTTAGAGATGTTGAGAGGACAATTGGATATAAGAAATTAGTTTATAATACAAGATACATCATAAGATCCTGGAGAATGTATGGATTAGTCCACAAAGAGTGCAGAAAAAAATAATTATTTGGGGGAAAATCAGCTTACAGCTTGCAATTGCATAGTCTAGCAAAAGAAATTCAAGCTGGATTAAAGAGATAAATTTTTTTAAAACAGCAGAAAACGAGTAAATTTCTGATCTCTGAATGAATAAAGTTACTTCTGAGTATTAAAATAATGGAAAAATTCAAAGGGGAAAATATTGGTAGATTTATGCACATACAAATTTGAAATATGACAAAAAACATAAAAGGTTAATAACAAACTGGAAGAAAATGCACCGCAGATATGAAAAACAGGGTCAATAGTCTTTTATAAGAGGCCTTACAAATTAGTGATATCAAAGACTAACATACAATATGAAAATGTTAAAAGTCATATAGATATAATTTATGAAAAAACGAAAGGCTAATAAGTATATTTAAAAATGTTCAACCTGACCAACAATTAAAATGATGAGAATTAAAACAAAGAAAACACCCTTCTCCTTTTTTCTTTCTTTTTTTGCTCATCACAATGTGTGTTCATAGCAGTGCTGCAGGAGAGCACTGTGTGGTTCATACTCAGACTCTGCCTCGTGGGAACACACGTTTCATTTTTCCTGAATTTGGAAATATAAATCAAGAGTCCTGGGAGAGTTCACACCCTGTGACTCAATAATTACATTTCAAGAAACTAGAATAGAGATTCAAATTTTTTAAAATAAAGACATTTATAACAGTATTATTTATATTGTGAAACTTAGGAACAATAGAAGTATCAACAAAATAAATGGTTACCTCAATTATGAAGCATAGTTAAAGACTATAATGCAGTCATTAAAATTAAGTTTTGGAGAATTTTGGTCTCAATCTGTTTTGTGCTGCCATAACAAACTACCTGAGATCGGGTATTTTTGAAAGAACAGAAATTTATTTTCATATAATTCTGGAGGATGAGAAGTCCAAGATCAAGGCTCTGGCATCTGGTGTCTAGTGACAGCCTTCTTGCTATGTCCTCACATGGCAGAAGGTAGAAGGGCCAAAAGGAATGGACTACTTCCATTAAGCCCTTTTAATGAAACTCATTCATTCATGAAGGCAGAGCCTTCATGACTTAAACACTTTCCACAAGACCCTACCTCCCAACAATGTTGCATTGGGAATTAAGTTTCTAACATAAGAATTTTCAAGGACACATTCAGACCATAGAAATTTTTAAGATGGGGGAAACTCTAATGATGTAACTTTTACTAAATAGAATCACAATATAAAACTATGTACATCATGAATCTAATTATATAAGTGTTAAAGAAAAATACATAAAAATTAGCTCCTTATAAAAAAGAATACTTACAAAAAGGATATTTAATATACATAATTTGGAACATGTAGGAAAGTAAGAAAGAGACAATAAAATCACCCATAATGCAGAGTTATAATAAGGCCACCCTAAACCATCAAGCCCCTGATCAACCAGCCCAAACTCAAAAAACCTACCAGGCAACCCATGGGATAGTGAAAAATAATCTTTATTGCTTTAAGGTACTAAATTTTGGTGTGGTTTGTGACACTGGAAAAGCTAACTGATGTACTTCATTACCCAAGCCCAGGCACCAAATGTTTCTTTTTCCATTATTACAATATCTGGGAAAGGAAGGGTTTGACTTTTAATAAAACAAATGATACTAGTGAACCAGCAGGCAATACTGTGTCCCCTTCCCTTCCCTTCCCATTTCTTCCCTTCTCTTCCCTTCCCTTCCCTTCCCTTCCTTTCCCTTCCCTTCCTGCCTCACCCACACGTTTTTGCCTCCAGAAAAGCAAGCTTCATCGTGGATAGAAACTTCTTTCTGTTAACTTTGAGTGGTAACATAATCTCATATGAACCCTGAGAGAAGCCGCTGAGCACAGCTTATTAGAGCTCATTTGTGCTTTGTAAGCACTGCTTTTCTCCCATTGCTACATCAGTTCTTCTTGTAAGACTCTGTATGCCCCTTTAGTTTACAAAATGGGAAGAAATACTGGACATTAGTTAATTGAATTAATAAAGTCACACTTCAGGGTGGAGGAAGCAGTTGAGTATCAAACATTTTTTATTACATGCCTGAAAAAGAAAGGCAGGGAATTTTAATGATATTTGAATACTGGAAAAACAGATTATCATTTCTTGGCATCACATTTCAATTGTTTCGTAAAGACCTAAGGTGGAAAATTTTCTCTTTTTTACTTATCATCCCATGTGTATTTCCAGGGAAATACAATCCTTGTGTTTCTGATTCATTTACACTTAACTCATTACAATGTTTTTCAAGAACTTTTTCCAATGGGCCTTTAAAACATGAGTTTATTTATTGGGAGAATGAGTTCATAATCCTCCCTAGCCCAGATGGACACACATGAAGAGAAAGTGACAATCTCTAGAAAAAGTATTGGAATGCAGATTCATTCCAATAAGATTCTGGATAAATAAGAGTTACCTGGATAATTTACTTTAATGCTCCCCATATTCGATAGAACTAAATGAAGGAAACCAGAATTCCTGTTTTTTTTTTAAGCAACTAGTTATTAGTTTATTAGTTTGCCAGGGAGGAAGGCCAGAATCATCCCGGGCATGACGACAGACTCTAGGCCTAGAGATTCTAGGAAGATTCACCCATACTCACTCCATCCATGCTTTGATTCTCAGTTGCTGCTCAGCTCCCAGAATCTGTCTCTTACCTCTATTATTCACTTAAAAATTCACTTGCTAAGGTTGGCCAAATATCTCCATGATTAGTGTATCCAAAGGAAGGGAACATGTTGCACTGCACATCATTCTTGACGCCACTTTTGCATTAAACACTATGGAAGCATATTCCTTCATAAAGCTCATTTGTCCTTTTCCCCTGGCTCTCTTCTGACTTCTCTGCCTGTGTGGTCTCCTGCAGTGATTCCTTTTCCTCTCCCTACTTCTCAAATATTCACTTTCCTCAGGGATCTATCTATACACATTATTATCAGTCTCCAAAATGAGGAGCTGTAATCAGAGACAATTGGTCTCTTCATTTCACATCAGAACACGAGAGTCTGCTTGCTCCCTCTTTCTTCCCTGCATTCAAGCTTCAGGGTGAGGTGTCTTTGTTCACTGAGTCAGATCAGATAAATAAACAGAACCCCAAGTCATCATTTCCAGCTAGGTACATCCTCTCAGGAAACATTAATTACTGAGAGCCACCCTGGGAAATTTCCCTACAGATCCCATAAAAATTTGGACCATGTCAAAAATTTGTCCTGAGCAGATTTATCTACTAACCTGTTAGAGTCTCTACTAAAGCAAGACTTTACAAAGACTGTTAAACCAGATGGGTAATGGGGTGTCCCTTCCCAGGCATAGACACAGGCCTTTCCACATGTGCATCTGGCTATATAGCTATTTGTTTTCTGTGTGACATGCTCTGAGTTATGAGTGCTTATAGCAACACATCAGGCCAACTTATCCTTTGCTTACAAAGAGGATCTGTAGGGCACATCCATCAATAACCCTGCTTTCCAGATGTATGAAAACTTGTGATATTAAAAATAAATGCTCAAGACCAAGCTCTTAGCCTGTTCTCAACATGGGGAGAAGCCTATTGTTGATTCAAGTTGGGAATTTCTCCTCATCTGTGGAGACTTCGTCACCTTCCCTGGGACAGTGCAGATTTGCTGTGCTAGAGTTTTTTTGCCTGCATCTGGAATGATGCAGGCACACATCCGGCCGGTGTTGGTAGTGGTTCTGGCTGGTGAAGATATCAGCATAATTCCCAGGAAGGTCCAGAGCCGGATATCTCTGAAATGAACTAGAAAAACTCTTATATTAGATGGGATTTATAGCCAAAAATCCCATATTCTGCTGCCATGTAAAGTTAAAACTTCAGAGAAAACCATTGGCAACTTATTTCTCAGAATTTACACACACACACACCAATATACATACATCATACACACACACACCTCATATATACATACATCATACATATGTACACACACTTGGCTCAACACTTTGAGACTATAGGACTTCTTTAAGAAAAGTACCACATTTGGTCAAAATTTTGGGGGACGGGGATTTTTTTGGTATCTAACTGGTAATGCTTTTCATTCTAGGGCAGACAAAATGAGAGGTTCAAAAGCCCACTCGAAACATTATGTTTTATGTGGGAGAGGGTGAGGGATGCAGTGGTGCGGAGACAGATTGAGAAAAAAAAAGAGGACAACGGATATTTTTTTTTTCCAGAAAATAACACCAATTGACTGGCTTCCCACAACTGAATATCCCAAAGCCTAATAGATAAACGCATGCCTACTGCAAAGCAATTCTGAAGCTAACCACTCATAGTTAATGCAGACTTCACAGATTAAGGGCACAGACCCCACAGGTGTCCTCACATCAGATATTGGCTGCAAAGTCTGTGATTCCCAGGAAACTGGCACTTCTGATCAGCTGGCTACAAATCTGGGGCTTCCTACTAGTCCCTCAAGTTCTATAATTCACTGGAATGACCCACAGCACTGAGGAAACTGTTATACTCATGGTTACAGTTTTATTATAAAGGATAAAAATCAGGAACAACCAAAAGAAGGAACCTATAAGATGAGGTTTGAGGCCGGGCGCGGTGACTCACGCCTGTAACCCCAGCACTTTGGGAGGCGGAGGCGGGCGGATCATGAGGTCAGGAGATCAAGACCATCCTGGCCAACACGGTGAAACCCCGTCTCTACTAAAAATACAAAAAATTAGCCGGGCGTGGTGGCAGGCGCCTGTAGTCCCAGCTGCTGGGGAGGGTGAGGCAGGAAAATGGCGTGAACCCGGGAGGGGGAGCTTGTAGTGAGCCGAGATCGTGCCACTGCACTCCAGCTTGGGCGACAAAGTGAGACTCCATCTCAAAAAAAAAAAAAAAAAGTTTGAGAGGGTCTCAAATGTGAAGTTTCCATGTCCTCTGGATGTATCATCCTCCTGACACATCATTGTGTATTGCCAACTAGGAATCTCACTTGACCATCATTGTCTAGAGTTTTTATTGGGGGTTTTATTTCATAGATAGAATCATTGACTATACGATTAAACTCATTCTCTAACACCCTTCCCTCCTTGGAAGTCAAGCTGATATCATGTGGCTCAAAGCTCCAACACTCTAATGACTTGGTTAGTGTTTCTGGTATGGCCAGCCCCCATCCTGAAACTATCTAGGAGCCCACCATGAGTCATCTCATTGGCATAAACTCAATGTGGTCTCAGGTGCTCACCAGGGATAACAAATACACTTTTGTCACTTGGGAAATTTCAAGGGTTTAGAAGACCCTTTCCAGAAACCAAGGTCAAAGGCCAGACATATTTTTTATTATACAACATTCAATCTGAACCATTGCAGCCCAATTGAAATTATATAGGGAAGTAGTGATGCATAGAAGGGAATGATAGGGTTTCATTACAGCTTGAGTGTGCCCTGTTTAAACAAAATCTGATGTATGAAAGTCAGATTTATAAAACAAAGTTATTCTAACAATAAAGAGAAATTATAAAGTAATCATATGATAGATGGCATAATATGTAGTTAGTAAATTGGTGCTCAAAAAAGGTTAAAGGCATGAGAAAAGTACTTAGATAATATTAAGATATACTCTGTATAGAGAGATCAAACAAGAGCAAAAATAGAGTGAAAGAATATTAGCAGTGACTATAGTTGGCAAGTGGTAGAAAAGAGTGAAGGAGGAGAAGCTGTAGGGAATGACCTCTTCAGGAGACTCTAGGTCCTGTGTTCATCTGGTAAGCCCTGGTGGCAGCAGGCTTCAATGTCTACATAGCTGTGAGTTTAACATGGCGAAGCTTTGTGTCCTCCCCTATATATCAGTATCAGATAGAAAATAAAGCTTCTACCTGGCCTACTTGAAGGCAATGATTATAAAAAAAATGACTATTTTATGTTTTTATTTCCATTGACTGTTTAACTGGTTTAATGAGAGAGAAATTTTATCATATTTTATGATTTCTTTTTCTTATATCAGTTTTTATTTGAATATTTCCCAAATTTTCTACTGTAAATGTGTATTTTTCTCTAATAAAAAAAATCCATAACATACAAAATGGTAACATGGGATTAAGATGTTTTATTGACCTATTTTCCCCTTGTTCTTATAGAAAAAATATAAAATGACTGCTATATTTTCTACAAGAAAAATTCTTTACGTTTATAAAAGCACCAGTAAAATGTTTAAAAAATAGAAAGTAATTACAAGGTTGACAAAGTTTCAACTTAGAATTCCCTTCAAAACCAAGCATTTTAAATGAATATTAAATGTGTCGATGTGCAAAAATGTACTTTTCATTTGATTCACACACCTGTTGTATCATACTACATACATTTGCATTCAAAATTTTATTATTTGCTACATTACTTTGGGAGTAAATTTTCCCACAATTCTGAGGCTGGTAGTAGAGTTGCTACTCAATGCTGTTAAATTAAAGCTACAGAGTTTACATTTCTTTGAAATGTTAAAGTACAATTCTAAAATAAGGAATTGTTATTCTTATATACTGGACAAGAACACGGAGTCCTTTCCAAAATTTGTCCAGTGAAATATTGTCAAATCAAGATTACTGCATAGTAGAGAGGAAATAAAATCGTGAGAAATCAAAATGCATTTTCCATGTTTCAGATGCAAAATCCTTTTATAATTTTAAATTTAATCTTTTATTCTATGTTAGGTTTTTGTTAACTTTATTCCTTCATTTTACCACTGAACTGCAATGATTAGCTTTATAGCATATCCCTAAGATCAACTCCCTTAAGTATCTTTCATTAAGTTACTTTTGACACAACTTAAGTAGAAATTAAGACTCTTTCATTTTTAGAACCTAAGCTAAAACTTTTTTCCTTGCCTATCTCCTGTACTCTTTCCTTATTATACCTTTATTTCAAATCCTATTTTGTCAGAATGAATATACAAGGGTCATTGTATAAGGCAGCAGTTTTCAGAGTGTCATCAGCACATCCCTGGAGGTCCTTGCAACTCTATCAGGAGGTCCATGAGGTCAAAACTGTTTTAATAATAATGCACCGATGATGCAAAACCATTGTTGGATAAAACTGCTAGTCCTTCAGCATGAATCGACATAGGGCACCAAACTGTACTAGTAGTCACCACATTATCCACTGCCGCATACATACAGTAAAAACAAAACAAAAACAAAAACAAAACCCACCAAAACCTCCCCAAAACCTAACCAAACAAAACAAGCAAAGTCAGCAAATGAATTTTTAAATATTCTATATAATGAACTGAGAAATACATATAAAGTACTTCTGCTACATGGAGAAATATGCTAGTTTCATATTTTCAAGGAAAAGCACTTGTGTGAGTATTTGAATTGTGAGCTGAACAGACCACTCTATAAACTCTTTTTTATTATTTGAATGAAGCAATGACAGACTACAGTTATTCAGACTTGGGTATTTGGCAGACATTTTCTCAAAAATGAATGATATGAGTCTGTCACTTCAGGGAAAATAAGTATCTGTTGCCAATGATAAAACTGAAGTTTTCAAGAGAAAATTAGAATCTTGGAAAATGTTATCCACCACCATGAGTTTGACAGCTTCCCAATACTGAAAAACTTTTCTGATGAAATTGGCAGTGATATTAATAACTGTGATTTTGCGTCAGCATTTGGAAGATCTGCATAACTTGGTAAACCAGTATGTTCCAAATTACCAACGTATAATGTTACAAAATCAGACATGAGTGAAAGGTCTCCTCAAAGTGCAAGACAGACAAGTGGATTTTAATGTAACAGAGCATGCAAAGTTTATAGGTATAGTTTGAGATTGCACATTGCAACAAACCTTTTATAAATTATTGCTTATCAAATTTTATCGTAGTAGCAAAGAATAGTGACAAATGTCTGAAAGGATATGTAGAGAGACATGATGTCAAGAGAGACTGTAAATAGTTCAATCATTGCTAGAACAATGGTTCTCTTGCAAGCATATTTGCCATTGGGAAACGTTTATAAGACAGTAAAATCTTTTGAAATTGCTGCTTAGTTTAGAAAATGCTTCGCTGTGTGCCAGTGGTCTCTATGAGTAGTAACTGCTTCATAGTTTTCTTTCCCATCAACAATTTACAGGGTGAGGAGACATGAAAAGGGTTTCATAGACCTTTGTAAAGGCCCATTTTAATCAATAGCACCTTTGAAAAACAATGTTTTGAATAATAGCTTCGATTTTGAATTCCTTGTAAACATTTCTGTAATTCAGCCGCTGAAATCTCCCAAGAACAACTTTTAAGACAGAGGTTTGAATATGACTTTGAAATATTCTTTACCTCCCAAATGCCTCACAGATTAAAGCTTTGTTCTTGGCAATGCAAGAAATTTACAGTCCTTCTTGAAAACTGTTGCTGGGAAAGAATATGCTTACTTTGGATGTTCCTTGTGAACAGTTAGGACACTCAAATAAAACAAATATTGCCTTAGTTTCAAGGCAAATCAATGATATTTTCAGATACCTCCAAACAGACCTCAGAAATGATCTGTGTCACTGTCATTACTGAGTTCTTGGAGTGACCATACAGATAGGTCTCAACAGCCATGAAGGGTCAAATAAGGGAGACAACCAGAGTCCTAGAGGCTTATAGGCCTTACTGCCTACAGTTTGACCTCCAAAATCCTTTGGAAACTTGACCTTGCAAAACAGGATGAATGATGAAGAATGACTCAATTTCCTGCTAGCCAGGGAGTGATGCTCTGGTTGTCTGCTTCAACCCTTGTCAACCCCACTGCACAGATTTCTTTCTATGTTTCTCAATTTTTAGAACCACTTTACAAATCTCAAAATAAGATGCCTTGCAATTATAGTCATAATTGGTTTCATGAATGAATGTAATTTCCCCACAGATGCAATGCTGAGATATGAGACACATCACTTGTCTTACTGGAACCTTGAGATCTGGGTTCTGGGGACCATTTAATTGCCAAATGTATAATTTTTAGCAAATTACTTGACTTCTCTGGACTCAAGTCTCTCTTCAGTAAAAGAAAGAGATAAAGTAGATTAGTTTAGTTACAAAGTTCCATAATTTATGAAAACTGCCTGTGATAGAAAGAGGTTGATAAATACCTCCACATAAACCCACTCTTCCCACCCTTGCAGACCTAAGTGTAAGTTATTTTTTGCTGTGTCCACATTTGGTCTCAAAATCATATTCTTCTCAAGACTCTAGGAAGCTACTACCAAGTGATTGAAGTTGGCACAAAGAAAAGTCTTCCAGTTAAGCTTTAAAACTAATTGCTAATTAGGATAACTTTGCTTTTAAATAGCTAACATGTATTAGCACATACTGTTTATCTCTCACTGTTCTAAATGCTTTATATGTATTAATTCCCCGAATCTTGGCAAGTTTGTTAGCCAAGTACCATTATTATCCCCATCGTACAGATGAGGAAACTGAGGCACAAGAAGATTTATTAGTCACCATAGTCCCTCAGCTGGTAAGTAGTAGAGTTGGAATTTAATCTCAGGCAGTTGATTCCAGAGCTATATTCTGAATCACAACACTGTACTTTGTTCAATCTTCATTTCTGCCTGTTTTTTCCTTCTTTTTACATTGTTTATTATGGAAACATTAAAACATATATGAAAGTAACAAGAACATTATAATACATCTACGTATACCTACCAACCCATCTCAATAATTATCAAACATGACCAAACATAATTTATCTATACATCCCTTAATTACCTTCAGTTAGATTATTTTGAAACAAATCCTACATATCATTCATCCACAAATCTTCAGTGTGTGTCTCTAAAAGATTTCCACCACTATTATCACACCTAAAACAATAGACAAGTAATTCCTTAATTTGATCAAATATTCAGCCAGTATTCAAACTTTCCTGATTATCTTATTTTTGTATTTGTTTTGTTTTACAGTTTGTTCAAATCAGAATCCAGAAGTGTTTACACATTGCCTTTGGTTGATGTGTCTTTTAAGGATCTTTTAAACTACAGGTTTCTTCTTCCTCTTTTTTCCCCTTGACATATACTTGTGGAGGAAACTGAGCTGTTTATTCTGAGGAAAAAAATCTTTAGAATTTCCCATAGTCTGGACTTTGTTATTGCATTCTGCAGTGTCACTAACATGTTCCTCTATGCCCTGTAGCGTCTATAAACCAGAAATTTGATCTAGAGGCTTTATAAGATGTATTTTGGCAAAAATACTTCACAGATAATGTTGTGAATGTTCTAATACATCACACTAGTACTCACAAAATGTCAAATTGTTACTATTTTTTGTGATATTAAGATCAGTGGGTTCAGGTACTATCAGCCTGAGCCATCTACTATAATGTTCTCCATCAATTTTTCATCTAATTATTTTAGTATGTATTGATGATCACTGTTTACCTCCAGTATTTTATTATAGTTTGAAAAATGGTGATTTCTAATTATGTGATTTCCTTCTTCATTTGTTAGCTAAGATTCTGATTCAAGAAAAATCTTTATGGACAATTTAGCTCAAAATAGAGATAATACATCTTTCTACTTATTGTTACCTATGTGATTGAAGCAATGTACAGTCTAAATAAGCCAAAATAAAATGTATCTGTTCAACTTTGGAAAAGGTAAATAATAAGTTAAAGAGAACATTGAAATGCTGTAATTTATATGCCAATCTTTTAATAGCTCATTAGCAATTATATGAAAGATGGTTAGCTTAATTTTCATATTAATTTTTATCTTATATTTCTATTCTAATTTGAACTGTTTTACTTATTTACATGTTCAAGAAATGTGTATTGAAACCTCAGTATGTGCAAGGCACTCTGCTAATCAGTGGCTATAGAACACGAAACCAAATAGTGCTTGCCCTCTCTGAGCTCCCAGTTCAGTGGGAAAGAGAAATAATAAATACACAAATACCACATAAATACTGTTACATGTTATTCACACATCATTTACATCCCACATTTATTACATTTATACAGCTTTCATACATTATGGTGCTATGAGAGCATATAACAGAGAAATCTCAGAGGTTAGTGGTTAATGAAGGAGTCTATCATAGATCTTTCCTTCTTTAAAATCTCTATTTCTAAATTCTAAACTATTTAGGCAGACACTAAAGCCTTGATTATTCATGAAACTCACAAAATGATTAGCTAAACTGCAGTAACTTTACTGAAACTTGCTAGAGAACGCTATTTCTCCTTATCTTTATGGTTATTATATTTTCCCAGAGTATTTAATGGTTAGCAAAATGTCACTTGATCTTGATTGAAATATTGAAATAAACAGTGCAAATATGATTAAATGACAGTGACTGATATGTCTTTTTAACATTCTGTGTAAGGAAATGGAAGCAACTGTACAACCCTGCTCTTACGCACTGAAGTTCCCTGGCTGTTAAGTCAACACTGGCAATGTGAGATTTTGAAATGAGGAATTATATTAAAACTTTCCTATTGATGCTGGAAATTTCATTTGACCAATTATATAATTTCCAGTGACTTGCTTAGGCAATATATTTCAACAACATATGCAGCATTTATATAGAGTGGCCTGTTAGTTTGGGGCCAAAATATTACCATTTTTATTACTGAGAATAGGATATCAGGATTTTAAAAAAGAAGACTGAACTGATATCACAGAGATCTTTACTTTTCCCTTCAATTTGAGAATTTCCTTTTCTTATTGGACAAAGAAATGGATAGTGTGTTATTGATGAGGAAGTATGTATTATTGATGAGTATTGAGTAATACTCATCAAAACAAAACAAAGGAAAGCAAAGCAAAGCGAAACAAAACAACACATGCAAGAGAGAACTAGGAAATGCTTTCCACAGTCAAAACTTTTTTAAAGGCTGGATTAGAAAACCATTTGCCTTTGGCTGGGCGCGGCGCCTCACGCCTGTAATCCCAGCACTTTGGGAAGCCGAGGCGGGTGGATCACGAGGTCAGGAGATCCAGACCATCCTGGCTAACACGGTGAAACCCAGTCTCTACTAAAAATACAAAAAATTAGCCGGGTGTGGTGGCGGGCACCTGTAGTCCCAGCTATTCGGGAGGCTGAGGCGGGAGAATGGCGTGAACCCGGGAGGCAGAGCTTGCAGTGAGCCGAGATCGCGCCACTGCACTCCAGCCTGGGCGACAGAGCGAGACTCCGTCCCCGCCCCCCCAAAAAAAAAAAAGAAAGAAAACCATTTGCCCTAATATCTGAAGTTGAGGTATTTTTTCTTCCATACTTCAAGTGAGAGAAACTAGTCAACTTGGGAACTGTCACAGTATTGAATTCTTCAGTGAGAAATCTTAAGAGTTCCTGGGTCCAAGTTGAATATGAATCTGACAGAGTCAACAGACTCATCTGTTCCCAACAATCTGTAATTGTGAGTTGAATTTTTTCTAATTTAGTAAACAAAAACAGGGAGAAAAGAAGTGGTACAAGGATGCTTCGTGCTTATGGAGCATACACTATGAACCCAGCAATCTTGGCACCTTGCATGCATTGTGTCATTTAATCTGTGCAATAACTTTATAAGATTTTAATTCTTGTCCATTATTAAATATCACATATTTAATATCTATAAATCTAATATTACACTCTCTTGATTATCATAACTTTATGTTAAGTTTGCAATCTAATAGTGTGTGTTCGTTTTTCTTAAGATTGTTTTGATATATATATTAGTTTTATATATATTATATATAATATGTATAAATTTATATACATAAAATAAACATTTTAATGTATAATTACACATATTTATATATTATATAGTATATAATATACTACATAATGATATATATAAATATATAATATATATTATGTATGTATATTATTTATATATTTTTTTCTCCCAGTCTATGGTTCGTCTTTTTACTTTCTTAACAGAATCTTTCAAAGTTTTTAATTTTGATGAAGTCTATTTGACACTTTTTTTCTTTTATAGTTAATGTGTAGGAAATTACTGCTTATAACCATTTCAAGATGATGTTTTCCTTTGTTTTCTTCAACAAGCTGTATAGTTTGGCTATTATGTTTAGGTCTGTGATACATCTCAAAATAATTGTTTGCATGTCTCATGAGCTATAGGTTGAGGTTCATTTATTTTCATATAGGTAGCCAGTTGATCCAACACTATTTGTTGAAAAGTCTTTTTTTTCCCATTAAATTGCTTTAGAACTTTAGTAAAAAATAACAATAAATAAAAGAAAGAAATCAGTAAAGATATAGGCTTATTTCTGAACTCTTTTGTTTTTTGATCTATTTACTTTTTCCATTGGATTCATATAGGTTTTATAAACAGTGTGACAATTTAATTCTTAAATGTTTGAGGACTTTGGTTGGTATTGCTTTGAATTCATAGATTAATTTCAAAAGGATTAACATTACAACAATATTGAATCTTTTAATTGATGAACATGATGCATCTCTCCATTTATTTATGTCTTCAATTTCTCTTAGTAGTGTTTGTAATTTTCATGTACATATCTTGCATCTCTATCACTAAACTTGGCTCTAGTATCTTAAATGTTTGGGAGCTGTTATAAATGTTATTTTTAAAATTATTTTCCAAATGTTATTGTCAGTATCTGGAAATATTTTTTATATATATTTTATATATATATATATTTTATATATTGATTTTGTTTCATGCCATTCTCCTGCCTCAGCCTCCCGAGTAGCTGGGACTACAAGCACCCACCACCACGCCCGGCTAATTTTTTGTATTTTTAGTAGAGACGGGGTTTCACCGTGTTAGCCAGGATGGTCTTGATCTCCTGACCTCATGATCCACCTGTCTCAGCCTCCCAAAGTGCTGGGATTACAGGCGTGAGCCACCGTGCCCGGCCTTGCTTAGGATTTTTTATGCACACGATTATGTCATCTGAGAATAAAGTCTTTTATTTATTCCTTTCCAATACGTACGTCTTTTATTTGTTTTTCTAGTCTTATTTCATTGGCTAGGGTTGCCAATGCAGTGCTGAACAGAGTGACAAAGTGGATATCTTCCCTTATGTGCTCCAGAAATTTGTATTGAAAATTTGACTGAATCAAAAGCTGCAAATGCTCAGGGCAAAACTCTGCAAGGCCTGGCAGAATACAACTACTTGGGGAAGAACAATTATCAAGAAGTTTTGAACTGAGCAACTACCAGAGGTCACACAGGTGTGGAAAACATTCAAGGTTTGACAGAAAGAATGAAAAGACCCTGTAGAACCCCCAAAGAATTCAATGAAGACCTTGTAAATGCTAAGCCTAATAGCTGATGACCTGCTCTCCTCACCATGATAAAGATTTGGAACTGTCCTAATACACTCTCCACCAAGCTATCTTTTAATGGTTTCTTTACCATTGAAGGTAATAATTACTTTAAACTGATGTCACATTTTAGGGATTGGTGAGTGCTCAGTCAAATATTATAATGTCGCATTCCTTTATATGCACATGTCTCTAATCTCAGCAATGATAAGTGATTGAAATGCTTAAAGGCCTTTCTTAACATTAAGAGCATAACTTCACATTAAGATCACAGCATAATAGAGATAGATGTGATTCAGGGATAGAAACAAAAATTTTGGAAATTAATCAAGGATGACCAGAATCAGAAAAAATATCTAATAATAATAACTAAATTTGGGAGTCATGTCTCAAAGACAATAACAAGGGAACCACCATAACTTAAGGTTAACTTAGTTCATAAATGTCTTAGAATACACATCACAGAAAATAATGCTTTGGCCAGAGCAATAGAGAAGATGACTTAATGCTTTTTCTCAGTTTTGAAAAATACTGCATTACCACAGCTTGAAAAAATAACAAAGTGAAGAAAAAAATACCAAAGGCAAAATTTGAGTTTTCTGCCTCACCAAAAATAACAGAAGACTGTCAATCAAAGCATAAAAATACAACGAACTGCAGTTCAAGTCAATCATCTGCCTTTGATGCCAACTTTTTACCAGCCATATAGAGTCTCTCTGCCTTATCTATCTCTTTGGACTATTTGGAAAGTAATTTATTTTGAGACACTTTGGACTGTTGCTGGTCCTCAGTATGTGCCTGCCTCACCCAATGTGTTCTTTAAAAATTACATTACCACACATAAAAGGAATTCTACTTGGGCTAGTCTTTCTGGCTCTATCCAGTTAGTGGAAGCTCTGGGTCTCAATATTAAGAGCAAAGTATCAAGGACTGAGATATACAGTAGGGAACAGGTTGAAGCATCACTGTCTTCTTAGTGCACAGTACACATGGTCTTTCTCTACAATTTTATGCCTTACCCCAACATAGTGCCTTATATACTTGTAAGGAGGCCAAGCTACACATTTGTACAGACTACCTCTGGCAGTGTGGTGAATATTTTAGAACGAGTCTTTAGCTGAATAAAGTGTTTCTTATTTTCAGTTGCAGTGTTATCAAAATTTAATGGATCTAAAAAGTCAACAGATTAGTGAAATGGACTAAAATTGGTAAAACACAGAAACTGGTCCAAATAGATTGTCAAAACAAAAAGAGACCTAAAGCAGATGACAGAAGCTGGGTCACAAAGCCTACAGATCAAAGATGCAGGAGATGAGGGCTGGAAAAAGCTAGTCAAGTGAGTAAGTGGAGGAATGGGAGGGTAGCTAGAGAAAATATTGACAGCGGAAAGGTATTATCTGGAGCTGGAGTTTTTCTTTTTCACCCTAATGTGAAAGTGAACCAAGATTAGAGCAAGTAGTTTTATCCAGTTAAATTGAACTGATCCAATTTGACTTCAATGGAATTGATGTGACCTAATTGAACTAGATTAAAAGATTGTATTGGGCTGCAATATTTCCTTTTAGAAATGTGGGTTTTTTATGTGGACACACACACAACTATAAAATTCAGATAACACAATGCTTTTACTAAATTATTTTAATTACTTAATCATAGAATAGACATTTAAAAGTTTTGAAGTCTATCCTCTTGATCTCCAGGACCATAAGTAAACCATTTCAAAGATGTAACAATTCATGTTCATGAAGACACACACACACACGTACACACATACATATACACACACATAGTTTTGGCCTTTTAAAAATAATTTTTGTTCATTTTTAGGAAACATGGAAGAGAAAAGCTGTGTTCCTGCTTCTGTACTTGTCTTGGCCTGGAAACTCCCACTCAGTTCTTCATTATAGAAAATAACTTGTAAAACTATGAGCCCCAAAATGGGATGAGGCAAAAGAATGAGATGAAAGTTATAGAATTAATGAAACAGATTATGAACTGAAATAATAGCACAATAGACTTTGTAAATAATAATAAGAACAAGGAAGGAAATAGACATGGACAAAAACTGTATTTATGGCATGGGGGATACACTGAAATGGTCACGGATCAGAGATTAAAGCAATTGGAAGAGATGATAGTTATGAAAAAGTAAAGATAATATAACATAAAGGCAATTGGTATCCCTGAAGGAAAGAGCTACTATGATGTAAAGATATACCACAATGACAAAAATTTTCCTGAAATGAAGAAAAAAATTGAGAGGGAATTTTATATACTAAGAAGTAATAATGCAAAATTATTCCTATCTGAACATTTTTAAAAAATAAATTACTATTAAATGATCAAACTACAAAAAAAAAACTTTGAAGGAATTGCTTTAGATGTTTAGGCAGAAAAAGTAAGTTACCAAGGAGGAAAGAAAATCCAGAAGACAATGAAGCAATGGCTACAGAATTCTATTCTTGGGTCTAACATTAACCCAGCCAAATTGCCATTTAGGTAAATAGGAGAAAATGCAAATACCGCATATATGAAAAAAGTAAAGGATTATAGGTTCCAGTGAAGAATTCTTAAGCAAAACATTCAATAAAACAAAACAGACAATTAAGTGATGTTTAAAGAAATGAAGAACCCTGACTTGGAAAACTGATAAAAATTAAAACAAAAACTGATGGGGTATTAAATCCATTTAAAAATAGAACAAAATTAGGCCAGGCGCGGTGGCTCATGCTTGTAATCCCAGCACTTTGGGAGGCCGAGGTGGGCAGATCACAAGGTCAGGAGTTCGAGACCAGCCTGACCAACATGGTGAAACTCCATCTCTACTAAAAATACAAAAATTAGCTGGACATGGTGGTGCGAGCCTGTAATCCCAGCTACTCAGGAGGCTGAGGCAGGAGAATCGCTTGAACCCAGGAGGTGGAGGTTGCAGCGAGCCCAGATTGCGCCACTGCACTGCAGCCTGGGCGACAGAGTGAGACTCTGTCTCAAAAAAAAAAAAAAAAATTAACAGTTGAAGGAATTTTCATTGCAAAACATAAGTGTTATAATCCCTAAACAAGTAAAAATATTATAAGTAACAGAAAAAAGATGGTAGGAGGATTAAAAGAAGTTTAGTAATAATTGTTTCATTTTTGGTGGAAGAGAGGCAATTCACACTAAAATTGAAAATACAGTTTTCTGAAAAAGATAACACTAATATAATTATCTTCATATAGTTCCTTTAATGTTAAAAGAGCTTATAAAATGTAGCAGCTCTGGCATATAGAAATTTTTAACTCAAGTTTACAAATTAATTTCTGTTTTTTCTTCAAGTAAAATTAAATGTTAGGTATTTTATTAAAAATGGCTTAGAGTATAATTACGTCCTTATAAATTAATTTTATCTATGTATGTATCCTCCTTTCTGATATTCTCTATATATTTGTGTATTCAAATTTTATTAATTTTCTGCTTTTTTGGGGGTTAAGTTTTTCTTTTACTTGCCTCCACAATAGTATCACATTCGCTATATTCTAACAAATTACAAAATTTAGTATTCTCATTATAATTTTCTTGTAAATATATTTCTATTTTCTTTATGATTTCTCTTTTAAACCATAAATTGTTGTTTTTAATTTTTTGAGCATCATTTATATTTTATGTAGATGATTTTTAAAAAAATTTTTAAATTTTTGTGGGTATATAGTAGATATATGTATTTATGGGGTACATGAGATGCTTTGATACAGACATGCAATGCCTAATAATCACATCATGGTAAATGGCATATCCATCTTCTCAAGCATGTATCTTTTGTGTTATAAACAATCCAATTATACTCTTTTAGTTATTTTAAAATGTATAATTAAATTATTATTGACTGTAGTCACTCCGTTTTGCTGTCAAATACTAGGTCTTATTAATTCTTTCTAATTACTTTTTGTACTTATTAACCATCCCCACTCCCCTGCACCCCCACCCTTCAGTACCCTCCCCAGCCTCTGGTAATCATCCATTTACTCTCTGTGTCTGTGAATTCAACTGTTTTGATTTTTAGTTCCCACAAATAAGTGAGAACATGCGATGTTTGTCTTCTGTGCCTGGCTTATTTCATTTGACATAATGACTTCCAGTTCCATCCATGTTGTTGCAGATGAAAGGATCTCATTTTTTATGGCAGAATAGTACTCCATTGTGTATATGTACCATACTTTATCTGTTCAACCGTTGCTTCCAAATCTTGCCCATTGTGAACAATGCTGCAACAAGCATGGGAATGCAGAATATCCCTTTGATATACTAATTTCCTTTCTTTTGTATTTATACCTTGGAGTGGAATTGCTGGATTGTGTGGTAGCTCTAATTTTAGTTTAGTTTAGTTTAGTTTAGTTTAGTTTAGTTTAGTTTAGTTTAGTTTAGTTTAGTTTAGTTTAGTTTTGTTTAGTTTTGTTTTGTTTTTGAGACAGAGTCTCGCTCTGTTACCCAGGCTGGAGTGCAGTGGCGCAATCTCAGCTCACTGCAACCTCCACCTCCCTGGGTTCAAGTGATTCTCCCGCCTCAGCCTCCAGAGTACCTGGGATTACAGGTGCCCACCATCATGCCAGGCTAATTTTTATATTTTTAGTAGAGACAGGGTTTTGCCAAGTTGGCCAGGATGGTCTTGAACTCCTGACCTCAGATGGCCCACCTGCCTTGACCTCCCAAAGTGCTGGGATTACAGGTGTGAGCCACCGCACCTGCCCTATTTTTAGTTTTTTTTTTTTTTAATTTCGTGAGTTCATAGTAGGGGTGTGTGTGAGTGTGTTTGTGTGTGTGTGTGTGTGTGTGTGTGTGTGTATCCATATGGGGTACATGAGATGCTTTGACACAGGCATGCACTGTGAAATAAGCACATTATGGAGAATGGGATATCCATCCCCTCAAGCATTTATCCTTTGAGTTACAAACAATCCAATTACACTCTTTAAGTTATTTAAAAATGTACAATTAAGTTATTATTGACTATAGTCACCCTGTCATGCTATCAAGTAGTAGGTCTTATTCATTCTTAAACTGTTCTCCATAGTGATTGTTCTGATTTACATTCCCATTAACAGTGTATGAGGGTTTCTTTTTCTCCACATCCTTGCCAGCATTTGTTATTGCCTGTCTTTTAGATAAAAGCCATTTTATCTGGAGTGAAATGATATCTTATAGTTTTAATTTGAATTTCTCTGATGATCAATGATGTTGAGCACCTTTACATATGCCTATTTCCCATTTGTGTGTCTTCTTTTAAGAAATGTGTATTCAGATCTTTTGCCCATTTGAAACATCAGATTATTGTATATTTTTTCCTATAGAGTTGTTTGAGCTCCTTATGCATTCTTAAACTCTGAGTTATTTAAATGTGTTTTTAAAAATTTTATACACATGGAGTACTTTAGTTACCCTTTTGTTATTGAGTTTTTAATTTTATGCTACTGTGTGGTTAGTTTTTAAAATACATCTTACATTCTTTAAAATAATGTATATTTTCTAACTAAAGGAAGGAAGATAACTCTATAGGTACAAAGACAGAAATATGGATATAAGATCAAACTTGGTAATGTGTGGTTCAAATATTCTCTAACCTTGCTTATTTTTGATTTGTTTTGATGGGAGATGTGTCTATTTCAAATATTTTCTTATGTATTAGAAACTATGTTTTTAGGTGCATATGCATTTGTGATTATTATTGCTACTTGGTTGATTGCTCCATATATTGTATCACAATTTATTCATAATTACTATTTTGTTTTTAATTCTATATTATCTGGTATTAACATAAAATAATCTTTACTTTGGTTAGAATTTACATGTTACATCTTTTCTTCATAATTCCTTTTCCGACCTGCATGGTTTTACTTCAGTTGTGTGTCTTAAAAGCTGCATATAGCTAGATTTTATTCTTTTTCTACTATCTAAACAGTTAATCTCTATATTTTAATAGGTGACTTAATTGTATTTAAATTTGTTTTAATTATTAAATTGTGGATTTATTCTTCTTGTCTTATTTTGTGTTTTTCAGTTTACCACTATTTCTTTGCTTTATTTTTTCTTTTCCTGTTTTCTCTTGGATTAAAGTTCCATTTATTCCCAATTTCTTTTGTTAGTCCAGAAACTAAGTATTTCTATTTCTTTAGTGATTACCTTAAACTTTTTATAATTTTACAGTGCAGAATTAGCTCTACATTTTTGAATGGTTTATAAAATTGTTCAGTATTTACATCCTACTCTTGTATAATAGGATCCTAGCACTTTTTAACACCCCATTGACAAACTCTCCTAATGTTTTTGTTTTACCATTTTTAACCCACAAAAGCTCATCATTAGAATTTTTATAGTCACATTAATTAATTTTCTGGTATGTTTTATTAATTTTCATAACCTCTGTTGTTTTTTGCATTCCATGCTTTCCCTGTGGGTTCTCTTTTCTTCTAGGCTTCCCCTAATATTCAAGGGGGTTGATCAAGAATATAAAGAAGCTCACATACCATACATATTTTTACATACATAGAAGTTTTTTTCCCCTACCACAAGCCCCTGTCTCTTCTCACTAGGATACCACCGTTGCTTTTGCATTTAGTGGACAAACTGGGACCTGAAATGTCCAAGCTAAAATATAGATTGTGAACAACCACTCACTTATTATTATTTTTCCTAGACTGTAGTTTAGCTCTTTCCATGAGTGTTTGAAATTTGAGGGGCTTTTGTACTGTAGAGAGGCTTTTATACTGTAGAGGGACTTCTGTACTGTAATTCCATTCAGCCTTTAGCTGTTTGTGTGCTCCCTGTGTACTATTTACATAACTGTTAACTCCTGCGTTAATGGTTCTAAGTTTCTCTTTGTAGAGCTATTTGTTTCCACGCAACTGTACATAAAGCCCCACAAATTGTTAAATACACGATGCTCTATCCTCTTTCTTGGCAAATATATCCTCCTAACAACCTAGAAGGCCAGGTTCAAATTTAGATTTCTTAGACTTCTTGGAATCCCAAACCAGAAAGTCATGGCTTGGAAAGAGTGGGCCCCTGGCTTTTGTTTTGCAGCTCACACCAATTCTGTTCTCATCCTGGCTTTACTTCACACAACTAAGGGTCTCACATACATGCTTGTAGTTATCTCCACACATATACATAGTTCCATCTAGAACCCTTGCAAACAGCTACCTCTCAGCTACCTCTTCAGTTGAGAAGTGTGACCACTGGTGGTATCTCCCTCTGGGGAAAGAGATCCATGTGGGACCTGTAAGTAGTCCCAGGTTCTGGTGGAAAACTCTGGTGTTCTAGGTATTTGGACCAAGGTCTAGAAGGAGAGGCAGGTTCCCAGTGAGCACATCCCCTTAGCCCTATGGATTCTACCTTGTAGCAAAAACAGAGACAGAGAGAGGATTATATAATAGCATGAGCGTCAGGAGAGCTCCCTGTCTCTAAAAACAACAATGTTCTGAAGCACATCTTTACTAATTATTTCAGTGAGAATCTGTATGTGGTAAACTGTACTTTTCTCCTTCCCTCTTAAACAATAGTTTAGCTGAATAAAAAAATCTAGTTTTACATTATGTTCTCTCAGTACTTTCAATATATTACTCCATTGACTTCTGATATCTACTGTTCCTGATTAACAACCTGCTTTTGATCTCACTGTCATATTTTTATAGGTAATTGGCATTTCATTACACATTTCAGTTTGAATGATATTCACTCAGTTTTGTTTATAGGCAGTGGTTTCATAGATCTATGGACTCTCAATACCAGGAAAGATCTTAGAAGTCCTTTACAGAGAAGATAAATTATTTTTCTCTTTTGTGTCTCTATCCCCTGCTTCTTCCTTGGTTCATTCAGATGAGAAATTTCACACACATTTTTGACCTTATGTGCCTTTGCGCTTGAGTGTCTGAGTGACTATTCCTATCCACAAGGGTGGTTACTTAAGTTAGTCTGGAATACACTATGCAGATCCAATCACGCTAGATGGAGCAGAGAAAAGAAGGTGCAGCCCAGTTTCGAAGCCCAAGATACTCTAATGTGACTTAGCCGAGGAATTTTACAACTGAAATGCTTGACATATCGTTTTCCATTTGGCTGTTCGGCCTCGCTCAGATAGCATCTTCCACAGAGAAACCTAAGGTAGGGGCAGTCTTTAACAGCAATCTTTAACAGCATTAAATTCATCTCCTTAATTTGGTAGCATAGATGATACAACCAAAGCCTGAAGAGATAAAGTGAGTGACTTACCTAAGATTATAAAGTTAATTAGTAAAATAGTAGAAAATAGAATTTAAATCTCATTTCTAGCTCAGGAATATTTCCAGGACTCTGTAAGTTTTTAATCTTTTTTTCTCTATTTTCAATCCGCTTCCTTCACAGAACAGAATTTTCTCCACCATATTCTCTGATTAATATGGAAAGAACAGAAATTTTAAAGTCAGGAAGAACTGAGTTTTAACTTTGTTTCTATCATTTACTAGGTCTGGAGCCTGAAAATGTTAGTTTCTCTGAGACTTGATTTTCCATCTGTAAAACAGGGATAAGAATATTCAACTCACAGAGTCTGTATAGAATCAATATAAAGCTCCTAGCACAGTGCTTGCCACACAGTAGACATTAAATAAATAGTATTAAGTTTTTTGTTGGTATTCTTGTTATTGATATTAGCGTGTTTACTTTAACTACTTTAAGGCATTGACTTTTGCCCCACCCTGGCATTCCTTCTCTTTGAGGGAGCTCTTAGCTTTAGCTTTATCGTGTGTGTGTGTGTGTGTGTGTGTGTGTGTGTGTGTGCGCACGCGCACACGCTTGATTAATTTAAATGGAATGTTCTCTGGGTAGAGATAACTCTCGCTTGTGGCTCAGAGTAGCACTTACCATATTATGGATGAAGACTGGGAAGTGGTGATTAATATTATTAAGTGATAAATGAAGAGTTGACAAAAAGATCATAGCCATTCTAAAACAGAATGAGTGCTTGTAGTTTGTCCATAACTCATTAGTCTGCTCCAGACCTAAAATATGAATCATAGTCACTGAATGCCAAGCTCAAGAACGTGGAGTCCAGCTCTTTTATTTTGACCACATAATTTCAGAAGCCACTCATTAGCATGAGTGTGTTAGATGCTCAGTCACTATTCAATTCATATGTCTCTGTTCTCTTTCCCAACTTTCCATCATTTCCCTTTATATGTTTCCCTTTGTTGCATTATCCTGTACTGCCTCTCACTTGATATTCCCACAAGAATTCCTGACTGATTTCTGGAAAGTTTGGGGTGGGACTAAGTTATGAAAGTTTAAGAGATTGTATTACACTTCCATTTAAATCATCACAGAAAGAAAGCCTGGGAGAGATGGGTGGTTTTCTTTAAATCAAGCCTGCCAAGTCCATCCAATCTGATAGGATAACATTTCAACTCCAAAGGGAAAAAAACACATTACTTACTCTCATGATTTTTGGGAAACCAGAAGAACATCTCCTTCTTGAATGGAGCTCATGAGGTCCAAAAGCCACAGACCTGCAAGCTACAGGGATCCCAAATTGAAGGAAATAGCAGTTATTAGAAGATACAGGCAATATAAGACTCCAGGAACTTCAAGGGAGAAATGGGATTGTCAAGGAAGCTTCAAGCGAGAGATGGGAAACTACTGTTTTTCAAATAATAATGTAGATTTTAATAATTTTAGATTTTTTTAGTATGTGATTATGAATCCTTGGGTTTATGTTAAAGACAAACTTTCCTAAAGGACACTTTAAGTAGTGTATAGAAGCCAATAGATAACATATATGAGTATCAACTTTTATTTGCTTATTGATTTGCATTTTGTTTTTTAAATTTTTAATTGACAAATCATAATTGTACATATTATATATTTATGGGGTACAATGTTATTGACTTTAAACTGAGACAAACCTGAGTTCCTAATCTCATGTTGGCTTTACTAACTGATTAACCTTGGCAAGTGATTTTCCAGATAAAAGCTTCAGCTCTTCATCTGAACATTAGAGATATTTAGTACTTCACAGGGTTTTTGTTTGTTTTGAGGATTAGAGAAGCTTATGTATAAAAACATTCAAGACTTATTAAAATCTAAGTAAATGGTAAGTTTCTTAGGTGGAAGCCAAGACATGTATGCCTGCTGAGTTAAATTAATCAAATATTTATCAAATGCCAAGTCTAAATTAGAGACTTTGCATCTAGGCACAGAGATGAAAAAGACACAGTCTCTGCTCTTGTTCTATCCTCAAGATGTTTACTGTCAACATGGTTTGTCTTTTGAGCATTTTATTTTCGTGTCCAAGACACCGATCATGTTGAATGAAAGTCTCTTAAGAGACTTTTTTGTATGTTTTATATCAATGTATCGTCAAAGTCTAAAAGAATGAACAAATTCAGCAAATAGTCACTGAGGGTCTCTTTGCACCAAATTGCTGTTCTTGGTATTTGGGATATATCAATGTCCAAAACAGTCAAGAATCCGTGCCCTTGAGAAACTTACATTCTGAAACAATGAATGAAACTACTTAATAATTGTCATCAAAAATTTGCCATAAAGTGTTTTTTGACCTTTTGATAGAAAATCTCCCTGAAGAATAGAAGCAATTCAGAAATAACAGTCTCCTAGGTAGAGTGATGCACTCACAAGTCACCAACACAGATCCTGCATTTTGCAAGGCCACCAGTCTTTCTCATAGCTTTTATGAGAATGACATGGGAATGTGTGGTTGAAGGGAGTATCTGGTTCCTTTGAGGAGATGGGTTTTGTACAAACTCAGCTTAGGATTCCTGGTCTCCCATCCATCACATGGCTTCCTTGTCCTGACCCTTGAAGACAGTATGGGGCAAGCATAGGGCCCAGGAGGTTAAGCCAACTTGCTCTGATCAGTAGGTGTATATCTACTGTGCTTCTCAATCTGCTCTCCGCAGGGCATGTGTGCTCCTTCATCAAGAAAGCTGCCAGCATTCACAATTGGAACATAAACAGACCAGCAGGTTCTGATTAATCCAAATTGGAACTATTCAAACAGTCACAAAAAGAGATCTTTTCCCCTGAAGGAATTTACATGTGAAGAGAGACTAAGATGGGAAATAAACATTTCTATAATGATTAAAGTTAATTGCCTTGAATGGATGCCTCTGAAAGAACTGCTTTCTGGTTTTAGTTCCAATCTATTTCGGGACAAGCCTGTTTTTCATAAGATTGGTAACTGCAAACAGATACTGCCCTTTCATTGAAAACAGATGGCACAGGACATAATTAAAGAAGTATGCACTGGCATCTCAAATAACTGCTTTCAATTACAGCATTTCAAGAGTATTAAGGGGAAATATTTTAAACAAGACCACTGCAAAAATAGATTTTGTCATTAACTTTGAAATAATATTTGACTTAAGGCTGAAATTTCCATGTGCCAGGTCTGGATCTCACAGGTTGATGCTGATTGGTGCAGGAGAAATTGAATCGTTACGGTCCTATCATTCAGGGGGAAAAAAATCTTATATTTTTAATCCAGAGAAAACCCATATTTTTCCTCTGGTAAGACTCATATTTTATTTTGCTCTTGAATCTCAGTTATATTTCACAACTTTGAGGAGCTTTTATAGAGAAACCATTTCAACGCTAAGCCTGAGTTTATCTATCTGTCACTAATGTATGGGCTTGTGTGTGTGTGTAGCCAGTGGGTACAGGTCCACCCCCACCATAAAGTGTGGGTGTGTGTGTGTGCATGTTGTATATATATGTGTGTGTGTGTGTGTATAAATATATATATATATATATATATTTTTTTTTTTTTTTTTGAGACAGAGTCTCGCTCTGTCGCCCAGGCTGGAGTGCAGTGGCACAATCTCGGCTCACTGCAACCTCTGCCTCCCAGGCTCAAGTGATTTTCCTGCTTCAGCCTCCAAAGTAGCTGGGACTAAATGGGTGGTGCCCGCCACCATGTCCAGCTAATTTTTTGTATTTTTAGTAGAGATGGGGTTTTACTGTGATAGCCAGGATGGTCTTGATCTTCTGACATCGTGATCCGCCCGCCTCTGCTGCCCAAAGTGCTGGGATTACAGGGGTGAGCCACCGCACCTGGCCTGGTAAAGTATATTTGTATGCCCCGTAGACCAAATTGGTAAGTAACACTGTATGTGTTCATGCCAAGACCAATACATACAACCCCCAAATTAGATAATTTGCAAAGTTGCCAGATTGCCTGGGCTAGCACATTCATAATCTGTGGTTTGCCAATTGTAATTTTTCTCAGTAGATAATTTTAATGGAGATTATACTAATTATAACAGTGATATAAAATTGACAGTTTACAAAATGCTTTACTTGTGTTGTCTTATGTAAAATTTGGAATGATGTTTACTTCTCTCAAAAAAAATTATTGAGCATATAATATAGGGCAGGCACTATACCAAGAGAGAAAACTATAAACAAGATGTTTACTTGCCCTCTCAGAGCTTATGGTTAGGTAGAGACAAGTGAATAGGCAATTACAATACAGGATGGTTAGTGCTGTGGTGAAAGGTAGTTAGGGTTACATAGTAACCCAGAAAGAAGTAGCTTCCCTCCTATTACCTGAAACAGTTTTAGAAACAGAAGTGTGAGGAAAATGTACAATGCATTATCTTAGTGACTCAAACACATATACTTTCTAACGAATCAATGGTTCCCAATAATTATAGCAGCAGTCGGGAAGCTATACTTCGTTGATTATTAATGGCCATTAATTGGTTAATAAGCACAACATATATTTACTTTTGATTATGTGTACACACACCTACACATATGCACACATGCATGAAGGTGGAGAGACAGAGAACACGTATGAGCCATACTACCTCTGATCCACCAATCAAAACTGCATGGACTTTGAGCTCTGTCCGGTCATGCTGATGAGTTAGTTGTGAGCTCTCACCCACTTCCTTTGCATTAGTGGTGTGCATAGCTTAAGGACAAAGGTACGGTTGTGGTGAATAACAAGCAAAGGATCCCAAACTAACCAGTTCACACATCCATACATCTAATGCCTCATCATGTGAGTGGTGAGTAGAATATTGCAATTGGAAATTTCCTTCAAGGTTATACTCAATGTTCAAGTTCTCCCTGAAGATTTTCAGCTGAATCTCACCCAATAACTAATTCACTTTTCCTCATTTTGGATATTCTTGTGTGTGTGTGTGTGTGTGTGTGTGTGTGTATCCTATATCATTTATCATTTATGGGGAATGAACTGAGGCAGTACTGCAAATGTTAATGACATCCATTCCAGATGAAACTATATAGATTGCCTCCCAAAGAATTAAAATACAGCACAAACAGTAATCATGTTTTGATAAATGATGAGGGGAAAAAGTTTTCAGTGTGGAGCATAAAATGAAATGGGGAATTATGGATTCTGGCCAGGGAAGAAGTGTAGGGGGTTTAGAACCCCCTTGAATGATCTTAAAAAGTGAAGAAATATCCTTTCAATAGAGAAACGTCAAGTTCTGCAGGTGAGAGCATTTTTAGCTTAGGATTGGGAGTGATTCAGAGTGGTAGGCTGAAAGATTGGCTCCCATTCTTCACACTTTCTTGCTTCCATATTTAGTCATAGCCCCATCATTGGTGGAGTGTATTTTCTTGCTTCATAGACTTTGGGCTTGGCCATGTGACTTGCTTTGATCCTGGGGACAAGAGTGACAATGGGTCAGTTTCATACCTGGGCCTTAACAGGACTCATATACTTCCTCTTGTTCCCTTTTGCCTCTGCTCCCTCCATGAATGAAGAAGTGTGCCTGTTTCTGGGACTCTTAGGATAATGAGATATGTGAAGTAGAGACTCCAGGCTGGCCCACAGACCTGTAGTGGGAAGCAATGGCATCTAGGGAGACACAGCTTCAAGTAGATCCACCCAGCTGAGCACAGCATCCATCCCAGTTCAGCCAACCCACGGACTCATGGAAATAAATGTTCTTTTAAGTCAGTGAGTTTTGGGTGAATTTTTTACTCAGATATATAGTGGCAAAGACTAGTTAATAATTGTTTGGGAAACAAATGATGGTGTGTGGAGGTAGGAAGAGGATGAAGCTGGAAGCGGGTTTGATTCTGGCTGTCTTTCCTTGGTTCTTCACAGTCTCTAAATAGAGGCAGCTATCAGGCAAATGGCTGGCCAGCCCAGCATTTGACTGTCTTCACTGACTCGTTGCAATTCAAATCCTGCTTGCTTGACCAGAAACCTGGCTTTCCAAAATTCAGAGCAAGCCATACAGTCTGGGGGCAAAGGGCTTTTATTTCTGCTCACAAATACTCTAAATTTGACAATAACTAAGCTGAAAATGGGAGAGGTAGATTAATTTAGGAACATAGGAATATCTATGCTTCTTATACTGTAAAATATCATGTAAGCTCTTTGATTGTAAAGAATAATTCCAGTCATCTTTTTGCCCAGCTCAGTGGTGGGTAAACACAGAAATGTTATACATTCTACTAAAGTGCTAAATGTTAAATGTTCCTGGGTTGTAAGGCCTGTTTCAGAATCTGGATAATAAGTTGAATGTTACATTTGTAGCTCTCTTCCCTTCATAACCCCAACGTCAACGAATCGTTTTTTATTCCTTGCTCTCTTCCCTAAATAACCCCAATATCAATGAATAGTTTTCGAATTCCTTTTTGCCAAGCTTTCTTCCTCCAAAATATTGGATTTATGTCATGTGATTTATAAAGATACATGCTGAGATTGTGGATGCTGAGACTTTGAATGGTATATTCACTCTGCATCAATTCCTCAATTAGGAAATCTAGCTACCTATACGTATAGAAGCTGAAGGTTAATTGCCTCAACAAGCACGCATTGAGGATGTGTGATTGCTTGGTGCCAATGAGTAGCTTCCATCTACTTCCTAGATTGATGGTATTTGTCTTATCTGCCCCCACACCTTGATCACAGAAAAATCCAATTCTGCTGTACAGGCTTAGAAGCTTGCGGCAGGGGGCAAGATACCAAAATACAAATGTCCTGTCACACGACTTGGACTGCACTGAAGGTTTACCTCTAGATAATAAAAATAACAACAATAACAACAACAACCACAGTATTTTAGCTAGAATATTTTCTGAACACTTAGGATCAACAGGCACTGTGCTAAATGTTTTCCTCGCATTATTTCATTTAAACTTCACAACAATCCTATGAGGTGGTAACCATGATTAATCCAGAGAAGTTAAACCACTTGCAGTTAGTAAGTAGCTGAAGCAGGTATTGAACATATTCCTAGGTCACTGCTTTTCACTACTTTGCTAAGAGGTGTTAGTTGAAAGCATGATTTTGGATGTTCTCTTAAAAGACCAGGACCCTTTTTCCACTTACTTGTCTTTTCCATAATTAGTGGTTAATCTTAGTCTTACTTTATTCCAAATTTCTCTTGATAGAACTCCAAAAATACTTAACAACTTCCAAATGTAATAGTGGGTGACCCGGCGCTTTCTCATTTATACTTTCAGTTCAGGTCAAGTGTCATCACACTGAAGCCTTCAAGCATGACTGAGTTTGCGCTAGAAGTATAGAAAAATCTAATTTGTCACCAACCACTTCATAAGAAGATAGGCACAAAAACTAAGTGGCCTTATCCAATTGAACTCCTTACCTGTGCTGAGTCTAATCATAAATACTAATTTTTAAAATAAACCTCACATGTTTAATTTGATTTTTTCTGAAAATAAAAAAGTATTCCCATATGATTACTTAGAATAAATCTAGTAAATCACTGTCTTCGTCGTACCAAAGATTTTTTAAAAGCCTACTCCAATAGTTTTCATGTGGTTAACTGTATGGGTCCTACTGATGGGACAAGTCCTAGAATTAAAAAAAAAAAAAAAAAAAAAAAAGAAAAAAAGAAAAAGGGAGAAATGCCTTTTTTAAGACTATGAGAACAGAATTACTTTATGCTATTTAGAGAAGCTTGGAAGATTTTTTTCCCTTTGGTAAATGCCACAAAAGAGACATTCCTCATGAAAACTTAACAGAGAGACAGGCTGTAGCATAGTGAGGATGGCCTCTGGGAATAGTTATAGGAGAGAGTTTGGAGCCAGGATCAGTAATTATGAGACACCAAGGAAAAAAGCAGAGGTTACATAGACATAAAACATTCTGAAAGTAATAATGGAAGTGGAATGAGAGGATGAAACACAGAAAATGCTTTAAATAAAAGTAGTTCTCACCATACAAAAACCAATAGCATTCACATCTGGTGTAGCAGAATATATATCAGACTTAGACATATCCTTAAAAATATACTGAAAGCTGAATGTATTCTTAAAAATATGCTAGACAGAGAGTACTGGATTTTGAATCTTGGACCTTCACTTAAAATGTGAGTGACCTTGAACAATTTACTATACCTTCGGTTTCATTATTCGCAAAATAAAAGTCATGAAACAACATATGTGAAAGTGCCTAGCATATATAGTAAGTGTTTAAGATGTATACTTTTGAGTCTGAATTATATAACCAGTTCTATGCTAGAGGCAAGAATGCTTATTATGGCGAAAAGGACTTGAAATGTAATTTTCAGTCCTCAGATTTCTCAAGATCAATCACTTGATAGGCAGCAGGGAAAGTATAGTTTCTGTCACACAGCTGAAAATACATGATGTGAACCCACTGAGTGGCTGCCGTAAACACAGCACTTTGGTAGGCATATGGCGCTGAGAAGAATGGGGTGGGGATTATGGAATGGAGAATAAGAAAGGAACACCTGTTGGACACTACACACTCCCACCAATCAAACTGAGGCTTCAGATGTTTATGACTGGGTGACATCATAAGCTTTCAGTTAGGCTTGTTCTCAAATCTTGACTTTGAATATGTGACTTAGGTATAGCCTTCTAAGTCTCAGATCTCCCATCCAGAGAATGGGAACAAAAATACACTGCAATACCATTTAAGGATTACAGATGATTTATGAAAACTGCCTAGCAGTTAGTAGACATCTGATACATGGCAGCTATTGTTACTTAAAAGGTTACAGCTGCTTCAGAGAAGAAACTGAGCCTCATGAATCTTAGTATTCTTCATTGTGTTTAGCACAATGCCCGTCATATATTGAGCATAATAAATCTTCATTGAATAGATGAATAACCAAAAGACTAATGCTCTTGGCTTTTGCTCTAATTGCCATCAGATGGAGCTTTGCCTGATTTGGGAGATTTTTTTCCCTTAAAGGACCAACTGAGTACCACCTTTGACTTCAGAGCATATCTCCGAGACAGAGGAACTACAATAGACATAAACTGGCTGTCAGGCTTGCTTGCCTGTTAATGACACATTCACATCCCACCTAAATGTTGGTTATACTTTTGGTTTTGTACTTAGTCTTATATTCATTTTCCAGCACCATCATGTCTGACAAGTCACTTTGAGAAAGTTAGTTACCTCTTTGAACTTAATTTCCTCATTCATAAATAATGGCCTTAACGGGTGATGGGAAAATTAAATGAGACAGGATATGTATAATGTCTGACACATAATAGGCAGTGCAAGTTTTGAGACTGGGTATATGACACAAGAACTCAAGCTCCTTAGATTACATTTGACTTCCAAAGGATTTTAAGCTTGTTGAATAAAGCAGCCATATCTTATTCAGAACCACTTTGCATGTGCCTTGGTGCCTAGTATAATACAGGGCAAAGAGTAGACATGTAATCAATACCTGTGGAGCTGAATTGCTTCCAACTGTTACCCATACTCTAAGTGAATCAAGAACATTTCTCCAGGAAAATGTGACTTTAGGCACTAGGAACCACAATTGATTCACAAAAACAAGGCATACCAAAGACACGTTTTTCCTTTCTTAATATTATTAGAGCAGTTGTTCATAAAAAACCATAGACATAATATCTCTTTAATAAGGCTTTAGACAAGTTGAATACTTATGATGGTTTTAGACGTAAATAACAGACAATCTAAATCAAACTGGCTTCAACAATGAGTACATTTATTGGCCCACATGCTTGGCAGCGTGTATCAGAATTCATTGATCCAGCAGTTTAGTAATATGATCAAGGATCCAGGTTTTATTTTGTCTTTCTGTGCTAACAACATTGTTGGCTTCATCTTGTAGGTAAGTTGTCCAGTAGTCGAAAATAGGCTACATGTTCTCTCATTCATATCTGGAAAGAAAAAATGAGCAAACAGTTCTCAAGCACTGAACATAATTTTCCTTTCATAATGTTCCCACTTCTTAACGAGTAATTGTCATCAATGGAACACTATGCACGGATAGGTTCCAGTTAGGGATCCTGGCAAGGGGTGGGTTTTATGACTGGAGTTGAGGTCAGTTCCTCAAACTTTATTGCTTCTACACAGGGGTGGGAGTGGAATGGGGAAAGCATGATGGAGACTCAGTCACTATGTCCCCAGCTAAGATTATTATGTTCATGGAAAGATGTAGACTTTAGACTGGATGATATAGTTGGGTTGATTATTAACTGATTAAATTGCTGCACGACTAACAAACTAGAAAGTGAGGTGACATGTCATATACTCCAGGAATCTTCCCTTCCTTTACCTTACCAGCCTAAATTGGGGGAATATGTCCCTCCACTCTGCTTTTATACAGAACTATGCACAGTGTATGAATTATATATTTATATGACAATTCTCCAACCCAACTATAAGGCTGTTGAAAGCAGGAGCTGTGCCTTATCCATCTTCCTGGCCTCAACACATAGCACAGAACCTGAAGTGTGATAAGGAGCTCAGTGTTCAAATATTAGTTCATAAACAATCAATAAGTAGAAGTTTCAGCAAGGAAGATTTCAAGTCCTCATATGTGTGAAAAGAAAACTTTCTAACAATAAATGTGTTATGTAAATTACCAGCAGTCTTCAATCACTTAACTATAAAGAGGATGGATGTTGGATTAAGATACCATTAAAGCCTCTTTTAATCCTGGAATTCAGTGATTTTCTGAGCTTACTAGTGGTGATCACAATATATACTTGATGATGGAGTATTACATTAATGGCCCAGATACCTCCCAGATAGAAGTCAGGACATCTGAGGGGTGGGAAGGTACTATAGCCAACTGTTTGGCTCCTGAGAATTTGAATCTTCTTTCTGAGCCATGATCTTTACAAAGGGAGCATATTCCATTCTCCTTGCCAGCGGTGATAAGCATTTTTTTGCAGATTGTGATCTGGCATGAACTTGGCATTCTTTGTCTACTTAAAAGTCAGATGCCAAGACAATGAGAAAGATAACTGAAAAAAGCTCATGAGCCAATACAGTACCATGGATGGGGGTGGCATTTCTCAATAGCTTGAGAATTTTTAGCTCTAGTGACCTTTCAGAAAGAGAATAAATAAAAGCAGAAGTCAACGTGGCAGACACTCAATGTTCTCCTAGTGCCGAGTACTGGGCAGGCCCTCTGGTTAGGTGGATAGTAAATATAAGGAGACAAAATTCTGGCCTACAATAAAGTTCAGAGTTAAGGTGGGTATTTGCAAAACACGCACACACACACACACACACACACACACACACAATGTGAAAAATGTACAAAATGACATCCAAGACAGCAAAGGAAGTGACAGGGCAATATTATATTCAGGAATATATTACCCCTACACTCACCTCTTAAACTATCCTAACGTGTTTTCAGAGGGAAATTCATTCCTCTCTAATTGCTTCCAACACGGGCACTTCACTCCACCCTATTAGAACTTACCTTTGTGTAAGGTGTAAACCCTTTGACTACCCTAAAAATGAGAAAGAAGAGGCTTGATTTTCTTGTAGAGCCCTGAAATGCTTCATGGCCAAAAAAGCAAATCTATGGGGATAAAGCACACTCCACGTCAGGGAGGGAATTATTCTCAAAGGGCTTTTCAGAGGCAGGAATTTTGGGTAGAGAGAGAACTTGCTGGAAATGAGGAGGTATGAATTTTAGTTCTTCTTCTGCTATAATCTAGATAGACGAATATGTAGAAGTCATGGCATCTCTCTTGACTTCAGTTTCCTGCCTTATGGAGATAGCTAATTCTAGAATATTTAAAAATTGGGTATTATTGAGGATGTTCAACTTTTCACTTTGCCAAGTATGGGCCATTAAAAGGAAAAAGCTAACAAATAAGCAGCAAAATAGAAACTGTCATCAAACTCTATCATTATTTAACAAATGAAAGGACACTTTAGCACCAAAAAAAGTAAGGAAATTATCCCACATTTTAAAAAATAAAATTTAAAACTTAGCTTTATGTCAATGCCTTCAAATTTGCCTTTGTCTATCTTTTTTCTTCATGGGAAAGTGAAAATTTTGCCATAGCTTTCATATGGGAACCTCAGAAGTAAGCCTGCTTATATTTCTGTCCTGTGCTATCATGCTGGCATGCTGTGACCCTGGACAGCATACTGGACATTGAGTAGTAAGTCCAGGGATACAGAAGGGGAATTCAAAGCCATATTGCACAGCAATGAGGTTCAGCACTGAGAGAATAATCCAAATTCATTATTGAACTATTACTGTGTGCTAGGTCCTCTTCTGGGTGATGGAATTCCACAGAGAACAAAACAGACACAGACCTGCCTTCACGGAGCTTATGTCCTAGTTAAAGGAAAAAGGTTATTTACAGATACACAAGCAAATTGTAGTATATCACATCATCTTAAATACTCTAGAGAAAAATACAGCAGAGTGAGTATGACAAATCCACTCAAGTGTGAAAAGTGTTCAGGGAAGGTCTCTGAGCAGAGCCCAGAAGGAAAGGAAGGGAATGAGCCACATAAATGTTCTAAGGGAAGAACCTTATTGGCACAGAGAATAATAACTATAAATGTCCTTAAGCAAGTGTGCTTGATATATAGTTGAGGAACAGCTAAGCATGGAAGTTAAGGCACAAAGAAAATGAGGTCAGAGGTGATTGAGGGCCAGATCACATAGGACCTTATAAGCTCCAGCAAGGACGGACTTTTCTCTGAGTGAATGGTGAACCATTGGAGGTCATGGAGCAGAGGAGTGACTTAGTCTGACTTGTGTTTTAATAAAATTGCTCTGTTTACTATATACAAAGCCTCTATGTGGACAAAGGTAGAAAAAGAAAACTGAGTCAATGCTTTAATTTCCAGTCTTGGAAATGATAAAGAATATTAATAACAGAGAGATAAAGGAGACATCTGAAAAGTACCATTGTATTGTTGTTGCTGCTGCTTTCAGAGTTGAGAAAACAGGGGAAAATATGTTATTAAATAGGGAAATGGCTAACATTTGGAAATACATTTCTAAACCGTATATATTATAGACACACACATATATATTGACTTCATATACAACACATAACTAAAAAACCCTTGTCCTCTAGCTTTTCCAAAGCTAATGTTTTCTAATTTTAGGTTTTTTAAGGCTTTCCTTCTTATTTTTACTTTTATTAGCTCATTATTTTATATATTTTATGGGAACCCTGTATATTAGTCAGGATGTGCTAGGTTATGCTGCAGCAACAAACAAACCTCACAATCTTGATGGCATACCACAATAAAGGTGTATATCCAATGTGAATCAGTAAACAGACTCTGATCATCTTGGTTACCTAGAGACCAGATTAAGAGACACTCCATTTCAACATTTGGATTCACAATTGCTGAGGTAGGGAAAAGATACATAACAAATTCTATACTGGCTTTTAGATCTTCTGCTCAGAAGTAATGCACACTGTTTTCCTTCACATGTCATTGGTATAAGTCATACAATCATGTCTAACTTCAAATGAGGCAGGAAAATGCAATTGTGTCATGTACCTAGAAGAATAAGAGGTGGAAAAACAAACCTGAATAGTCCTACTGACTCCCACAGTCTGGCTTTTTGTTTCTGATTGGATCTCAGCTATTTCTTGCCCTCATCTTTCCAGTTTGAGTGTCCTCCTGCCAGTCTTCCCTGTTTATCTCAGTTGGAATTTTTATGACCTATAAATTCCCAAATCACTCATGCCACTCATATGACATTGGACATTTCCTTATATTGTAGTTTTTGTACATACACTTAACTGGCATCTGATATTCTGAATGCCCAGCTATCTTTTTCTTTACTCTAGTAGGGTGATCCTTATTGTCAGGAAATTGATCCAAAGAAGTCCTAGAGAAAATATCTCTGCCAAGCAAGATATTTGACCAGCAAGCAATTCCAGATATTCTCTGCTGTCTGAAGCCCAGCAAATTTAACGTCATCATTTGCTTGCTAGCAATGGAAAAGCAATACCATTGAGTGTTTCATCTTTAGACTGAGGCATTGGTAAGTCTCAGGGTACCACCTTGAGCAATACTGATAGACTTCCAACTCTGAGGACACTCTGTCTTAAACAAAAATTGTTTATGTTTTCCGGGTCAGGGACTAATATCCATATGTCATCTCACTATCAGAATATCATCTTTGATTTTTCTTTCTTTATTACATTTCAGAGATTTATGACTATGTAGTACTGACAAGAAGAAGTACAAAACTGCTGCAGCCCCCACAAACAGGGCCCCATCTTTGCTAAGTTGTTAAAACAATTATCTGCTTTATTAAAAGTAATGTCTCATTTTAGTTAAGTGACAGGTGTTACAGATTGCTATTTTTGCTTTCAGCAGCCCCATAAAAGGAGTGTGAAAGAACAATAGAGCAAATGCCAGGATAGATCATGTAATCCTTGGAAGGATTTGGGAGGAAAAAAGTTAGGTTTTAAAATAGAGACTTGTCCATATGCTATGACTAGAAATATGTCTTTTCATTTGCTTTACTACTTAGGAAACTTTTTGCAAGTGATTTTTTCATTTTTCTCTCCTTCTCATACTGCAACCCAATACTTTGCCTCCTAGAGGAGGCATAAACAAATATTTTTCCAATACACAAAAATCATAACAGACTTGCATATTCTACCCAACAGGTGGCATTGCTGTTTTACAAATGGCTCTAGAACGAACACTGCAGCTAAGCCGTCAACGTTGGGTTTGGTTTTTGTTGTCTTTGTTTTCTTTTTAATCCCATCTATTTTTCGTAGAAGAGGGCAGATAGGAGAAGTACAAATATTCTTTTGAGAAGCCCTTTGGCTTTAAGAAGACATATATGGCTAATGAGTCATTTGGGAACATTAGTTCTGTAAGAAACATCTAACTTTTCCTTTTTGATCTCTCTGGATGAGTTGAGAAAGAATGGTTTGTTTTCTCTATTTCTGTCAGTGACCAATTCATACCAGTTGAATTTACAAATTAATTCACTAAATCATTTATGCATTTAGACAGTGGCAGTTGCAGAGTCTGGCTTTCATACTTACTGTACAAGGCTAGAAACATCAGGAGCTACAGAAGAAAAATAAGACCCTATCTTCTCCAAAATTTTTACCCTAATTGAGATAAAACATATATCTACTCCACTACCAATAATCCAGGCAACATGCTCTCATTTGGGGGCACTCATGGTTAAAAATGAAAGCTAATAGTCAGTGAGAAGGTACTGTATGCTAGACACTCTTCCAAGGCTTTATTTGATTCTCACTGCAATCCTATGGAGTAGGTACTATAATTATCCTCATTTTATCATTGAGAAATTTAAGACCTGAGGCCGAGTCATGGCAGAACTGAGATTTAAATCCAGACAGTGTGACTCCAGGTATAATAACAGCTGATACTTACTAAGTATTCATCATAAGCCAAGCAAGTGTTTATGTCCTTTGTACACATTAGGTTAATTAATTTTCATGCTAACATTTTAAACTAGGTATTAACCATTATCATTACATTATTTTCTTATAAGGGTTTAATTGCCTTTCCTAAAAAATATAAATGCATTTATCTCTCAATTCCTTAAAAATAAACTGAGATTTGTGTAAACATATATTGATTAACATCAGACAATGAAATTCCAGAACTCTAGTAATTTACTAAGTGTCATAAAAGTGTGCATTTTTTCCATAAGATACATCAGTTACATTTCAACAAGCATTTTAGTAGAAGTTTAAAAATATTTACTTATAATACTTTATTGCTTCCTCTTTGGAAAAAAAACTATATTTTCGGCTGTGAGAAGAGTTGCCAAATGACTAATTAGCGTCTCTGAAAGTTTGTCCATTTTGTTTCATCAATGTACCACAAAGCCTTTAAAATAGGAAAACATTTATTTAAAGTAAGAAATTACAGGTGCATGCACACACACACACACACACACACACACACAGCCCCCACTCAACTGATTAAAAAATAACAAATATTTTTCTATTCATAAAAAGACAAACAAAAAACATATAAACTTCAATAATTTATACCATTTCTTTGGTTGAAAGCAACCACAGAACGTTTTAGTTAAAAAAAAAATTCCTGAGGAAGGTGGGGTTGAGGAAGAACAGCAAAAAAAGTAAGAGAGAAATTTCGGCATGCTTTGATTTCTAACCATGATATAGATTAGCAAGAACATGAAAATATAATAATCTTATTTAGAATTTTACCGAACCACTTTGACAGCTTATTTCATGAACTTTCAAGTATTTTTCGTCATTGTTGAGGAATGGGATATTCTGGTTAATACTTGCCATGGGTTCTTATTAACTCAATAGAGCCGAGTTTCAGGATTCCTAATTAGACATCTGGCTGCTTTACATGGAAGCTGAAAAGATTTTATTTTTTAAGGGAAGTGACTAAGTGTTGTAAATACACATTTTTAATTTCTGCTAAAATACTAGAAGAAATACTACTGTTTCTCCCTTATTGCAAATTAGAGCTATAATAAATTGCTAGGATTCTGTAGTTTGTCTGAAATTAAATTAGTATCTAAATATTTGCCCAAACCTTAAGTCAGAGTTCAAATGCAAAACTTTTTCTTATAATTCCCATGCCTATTTTCAACGGTTGAGAGGCAATGCCTTCATATTTATTCTTAAAAAAAAAAACACCCAACATAAAGGAGAAAAAACTTTGACATAATTTTAGATTCATACAGGGGAAATCTGTGGCTCCCTACACAGCTGAAGATCTGTTTTTTAGGAGCTTGTGAAGCATCTCCATAAGTTTGATTCCTTCATTTTCTAATCAGAGGGAACACAGCATAGAGTCATCAGTGGGTAACACATATAGAACCCTGCCCTGATGTTTTTCAGCTTTCTTTGTTCTCTGGTAAAACCTTAAAACCAAGTCTAATTTTACTTCAACCACTTATATCTTCCAGAATTTTTTAGATGCTTCCTAGGGAAAATTATCTATTCAAGAGGCAATGTGGGATGAGAAAGGGGATGTTTTGAGGTTTTTCAGACAATGGCTCTCTGAAAAATTAGAAAGGCTGATAGCCCAAATCAACAAGCTGTGGGGATGCAAACCTTCCCCCACTGTGTCAATGGGAGGAGAAAACGTTTACACATTTTCTGGAAGGCACTTGAGTAATTTCTGTCCAAAGAACTTATATACATATACATATATATATATATATGTATATGTATATATATATGTATATATATATCCATGTAATTCTGCAGAATTTATCTTAAGGAAACAAATGAACATGTATAGATATGCATGTGTAAGGATATTCATCACAATGCTCTTATAGTATCTAAGAATTCAAAATAAGCCAGTGTCCATCAATAGGGGATTAATTAAATAAATTATATCTGTCCAAGCAACAGAAAACTACACAACTATTCAAGAGAAGATATTTAGTAGCGTAGAGAATAATCATATTGTTGTTGAGTAACAAAAAGCTGATTACAAATGTCGATGCCTTTTTAGAAGGAAATATGAAGTTAGGTATGTGTGCATAATGAACAGAAATAGCCAAGAAGGCTATATGATAAAATTCTAACCAGAGTTTTGTTTAGATAGGATTACAGATTATTTTATTTTTTCTTATTTAATATACTTTCTGAATACATAAGCATATTTATTTATATATGCATACTTAGAAAAATAAAATAAGGCTATTTTTATGTTATACACACACTCACACACACACGGCAAAACAAAACAAAGCAAAGCAAAATGAGTTCCTTGAGATAATAACCATGACATGATTGCCTAACTTTATAATAAATTGCTTTAACTTCAAATTTATTATTTTTTATTATACTTTAACTTTTAGGGTACATGTGCACAAGGTGCAGGTTTGTTACATATGTATACATGTGCCATGTTGGTGTGCTGCACCCATTAACTTGTCATTTGCATTAGATATATCTCCTAATGCTATCCCTCCCCTGTTCCCCCACCCCACAACAGGCCCCAGTGTGTGATGTTCCCCTTCCTGTGTCCATGTGTTCTCATTGTTCAATTCCCACCTATGAGTGAGAACATGCAGTGTTTGGTTTTTTGTCCTTGCGATAGTTTGCTGAGAATGATGGTTTCCAGCTTCATCCATGTCCCTACAAAGGACATGAACTCATCATTTTTTATGGCTGCATAGTATTCCATGGTGTACATGTGCCACATTTTCTTAATCCAGTCTATCATTGTTGGACATTTAGATTGGTTCCAATGTTATGCCGTATACATAACAGTTGCTCAAAAATATTTATTAACTTCAAATTTAATAAATATTTTTGAGCAACTGTTATGTATAAGGCATAACATACTCCATACTACCTTTGATTCCTTCTTCACCCTCCAACATTCTCCCTCCTCTTCTCTTCTCTGCACTACCTCCTCTCTTTTCTCATTTCCTCTCATCCTCTTTCTATTTATTATTCCTTGGTTTCTTCTCTTTGGCTTTTTTCAAATCCCTTGATTCTACCTCTCTTCAAACAAAAAACATGCAATTTTCTTCTATCATCACCAGCCTCTGAAAGATCAGTTTACTAAACCCTTCTGCTCCTACCTCTTAAAGGAAATTTATCTGGCAACACCATTAATGAACTTCTAACTGAAGAATCCAATAGTCTCTTGTGAACAAAAATCTTATTTTTGCATTTTCTTCTGGTCTTTTCTTATATTCACATACCTATACCTATAATATACAGATCTTTTTTGTATTTTATTTCCTTTTTAACATAAGCCATTAGAAACAATTTTTTTCATATTTTCTTTCCTTTTGAATGTGTCACTCTATCTTCAATCCATTTTCGTTGTAATTACTCTCAGTATTTGCTTAATATTGGGTAGTTTTACTGATGGTTAAGAACCTGGACTTGGGAGTTATCCTGCTTACATTCAAGTCTTATCTTTACCACTGACTGGTTGTATAATTTTAAACTATGTGTCCTTCATGCCTCTCATCAGTTAATTGGGGATAAATCCTACCACGCAGGATATAGTATCTATGTTATAGGCTATTACGAAGATAAAATGAGGTGATGTAAACTAAGCCTTAGCGTAGTGTCAAGCACATAGTAAACATTCAATAAAAGTTATCTGTTATTACAAATTCTATCCAAAGGCACATTACTTATACAATTTCCTTTTCTGGACACTTGTTATACAAATATTTCATTGCTACAGGCTGAGCATCCTTATCTTAAATTCTTGGGACCAGAAGTGTTTCTGATTTGAGATATTTTTTTCTGATTTGGGGATATTCACATAGACATAATGAGATATCTTGGGGATGGAACCCAAGTCCAAACATGAAATTCATTTCTGTTTTGTATAAACTTTATACACATAACCTGAAGGTAATTTATATAATATTTTAAATAATTTTGTGCATGAAACATAGTTTTTATTTTATTACCTTTTGTGGGTGTGCTTGAAGGTGAATCTGGACTTGCATGGAAAAGATACACTGCAGTTGAAGGGGGCTGAGAGGGTTTTCTTTTCCCTCTAAGATGCTGAATAAACCATGTTGTGCAACTGTGTTTTGACAGCGACCCATCACATGAGGTCAGGTGTGGAATTTTCCACTTGTGGTGTCATGTAAATGCTCAAAAAGTTTCAGGTTTTGGAACATTTCGGATTTCATATTTTTGAGATAAGGATGCACAACCTGTATAAGGAAAGTTGCAGTGAGCATTTGATACAAATTATACTTTTTCTGTCTTTTAGATTATTTGGTTTAATTTTTAAACATAATTCTCTAAGAAAAAGTTCTCAGAATTGGAATGAGGGGGCAAAAGAGTCATGGATGGTTCTGGGCCACTGTTCTTCAAATAAAGGTTCTTTTCTGAATTACCATCTGCAGTTGGTGCATGTACAAGTTCTCCCAACATAACCAACATTGAGTAGCATCATGTTTTTCAATAATCGGTAATTTAATAGTTGTACACTTGTACTCCACTGTTATTTCAATGAGCATATTTTTGTTTTTCTGTTATGACCTGTCTGTGAAATGCTTATCCATTTATTAAAATTTATCTTTCATAAATCCTCTTTAATATTTAAAACTACACTATTTTCCCCACAAAACTTCAGTCACTGTCATCTAACAATGGTACCTCTGTATACCCAGTTTCTCAGGGCAAAAGCCCAGACTCATCCTTAACTCTTCTCTCCCACACTTTATACCCAATCCATCAGCAAGTCTCTGGCTTTTTCTTCAATTGAATATGCAATATGATTCCATCCAAGATAACCCATGCTACAAAGGGGCATGAATGAATTTTTTGGTTGCTATCTATAACTGTTATAACTCTTGATTATGGTGGTGATCACTGGAGTGTATACATTTCTCAAAACTCATTGAAATGTACACTTAAAACGGATGAATTTTCTATATGTAGCTTATACTCCAATAAAGCTGACTTAGAATTTTTCTCCTGCAAGAAAATTTTGCAATTTACAGTACTTTGCTTTCTGTGCTTTAAAAATCCAGTTTTCAATATTTTTAAGTTTCCATCCTTGATTTTCTACCTAGACCTACATTAATAATAATAAAAATTTGCAGAATTTTCAAAAAGCTGCAAATACGTGAAGTGCTCTCCTTGCTGGGTCATATCATAAGGAATTTGCTTCTCCACAAGGAGTTGAGTCACATAATCTATTCTGCAGCTATTCCATCTGCCAAGAATACTCAGTGGGACAGTTGTCATCTGTTTTTGAAGCACCCAGTGCTCCAGTGCCATCCTGAGCAACTGTGATGACTCCCTCATAAATTGTACCCCTAGGGTCTCAATGCAGTTTGCCATACACAGTGTTTGGCATTCCCACCCTCATCAGTTTTGATTTTGAGGATGAGTGAATGTTCCATGAATGCCATAGAGAAACAACACTGTAGGCAATTTGTGCTTTAACATGAGTTAGCTAATCAGATGTCTAAAGTTCCCAATGCTCCCGTGGAAATAAGACTTAAGTTAGGAGAAAGGAACAAATCTAGAGAAAAAAGACCTTTCAGGAAGGTGTGGGATAAAGTATTTGGGGAAATTAGCACAAACGCTGGGTCCCCAGAAAATAAGCAGCTGAGGCTGAATTAGAAACAAGATCCTCAGGAAGCAAATCCAGGACACCTTGCTTTATCATTGTCCTTGGCTCCCACCTGTGCTGTAACTTCTGCAAATAACTATAGCTGCTAGAAAGAGCTGAGTTCTTCATGGTCCCTGGACATTGAGCTACAGGCTACCCCTTTGGGAGCTGGGAGAGTTTATAATAACTAATTTCAATTTTTTTTTTTTGTTTAACCATAGCTAGTTATTAGCAAAACTAGGATTTAAATCTGGGATCTCTGATCCCAAAGCTCTTTTCCTGTCCACTATGTCAGGCTACCTCATAAACCATTAACTAGGAGTTTCTATAAATAATAATAATAACACAGCAATAGCATCAACCAACACCAAAACTGCTATTACTAATATTTATTGAGCATTAATTATCTGGCAGGCATTGCAAAGTCCAGAAACTAGGAGTTACTCTTGGTCTATTGCTATAACCTTTTGATTTTGCTTCCTAAATATTTGTCAAACCCATTTCTTCATCCCCATTATCTTATTCTGAGCACCTCACTTGATTGCTGAAATTACCTCCTGTCCAGTTTCTACTTTGATCTTCTTCTAAGAATGGCCCACATTTCATCCAGGAAAATCTTTTCAAAACAGAAATTCTATTATGTTTCTTTCATGCTTAAAACTCCACAGTGACTTCCTGTTCCTGTTAGGACAAAGGACAGAGGTCCTTAATGTTGTCCAGAAGACTCCCACCTCCACTGTGCTCTCTAATCCTATTCGTCTCCACCTCATTCTCTGGCTTTCAGTCCTTTCAGCTTTCTTGTTCTGTGAATGTGCACATGCCCTTCAGCCAAAGGCCTTTGTCCTCACTCTTCTCTCTCTCTGGAATGAGGTCCCCCCTGTTATATTGCCTTACCCTCTAACCTATGTAACTCCTCAGCTCAAGCATTATTTCCTCAAGGAAGCCCATCCTGATTCCATATTCTGGTTGGCCTCATTTATTGCAAATTTTCCATAAAGCAGTGTTCTTTTTCTCTAGACCTCTTATTTCAGTTTGTAACAGTACATTTGTTAGTGTGGCTTTTTAACTGTTTACTCTCCTTGTCTAAACTGAAAGCTACTTGAGAACAGTAACTTTGTCTCTTTTGTTCGTATTTCATCTCCAGTAACAGGCACATAATATTCATTTAATAAATATTTCTTAAATCAATAATTCTAAGAGATAAGTACTATGATTATGCCTATGTTACACAATGCAACTGAAGACAGGTAAACATTAAAAGTATAAACTAGGACCAGACACAGTGGCTCATGCCTGTAATCCCAGTGATTTGGTAGGCTGAGGCAGGAGGACTGCTTGAGCCCAGGAATTTGAGACTGCAGTAAACTATTAATTGACCCACTGCATTCAGCCTGGGAGACAGTCTGAGACCCTATCTCTCTATATTTTTTAAATTATAAACTATACATTTTAATTGCATTGTGGAATATGCTGTCCATGTTGGTAATATGAGTTAGTGAACATTGACACAGACTCCTTTTTCTGGTTTGCTCATTGTCACTCGGTGGCAGGACAGATGGGAAAGAATAGGAAACAGCTTTGATAAAATACCATGAGGTGAGAAAGGTTCAAGCACAGTTTCTGCTAGAGTCCCAGGGAGGTAAATTGCACTAAAGACAAATGAGAACAATACTGATCTTTCATGAAGTATTTGTGAAATTTAAATTATATGACAGCATAAACCCAGAAATTCCATTCCAAGGTATTTACCCACGAGAAATGAAAATACATATCCACCAAAATACTTGTACATAAAAGTTCATAGCAGCTTTACTCACAATAACTAAAAACTGGAAGCAGCTTACTTGTCTGTCAGTAAAAAAAATGGAAAACTACACTTCGGTATATTCATACAATGAATACTATTCAACATTAAAAAGGAACAAAGTACTGAAACACACAATAACATGGTCAATTTCATCAACATCATGGTAAGCCAAAAAAGTAAGGAAAGACACAAAATGAACAAATGCCATAGGATTCCATTTATAAGATGTTCTTGATAATGCAAAACTATTTTTGGCAAAGTAAAAATTAATTAATCAATAATAATAATAATTAGAACTGTGGTTGCCTCTGCAGGGGGAGGGGAAAAGGATTACCCAAAAAGAGGGATGAGGGAACTCTCAGGGGTAATGATCACATTTTATACCTTGAAAGGGATTTAAGTTACATAGATATATTTATTTGTCAAAAATTAGCAAATGTTCAATTAAGGTAAATGTATTTAATTGCATGTAAATTCTATCACAAAGAGAAATAAAACTGTAAACAAATACTAAACTAATGATGTGCCTGCTGGCATATTCATGGGGGGTATAATGACGGCTATAATTTACCTAGAATTCCTTGCAAAGCAATTCTAAGGTGGATTGATGGAAGGATGAGTAGATAAATAGATTTGTAATAAAACATGTATAGTAAAATGTTAATGGTAGAATTTGGTGGTGGTTGTATTTGAGTATCACTGTAAAATACTTTCAACTTTTTTGTACATCTAAATATTTTTACAATACAATATTGAAAAAAATTAAATGGGAGCAGCTGGCACCAGTGATCTTTCACTGGTTAAATATATTACAGTTTTCCCCATTGCTTCAGTCTAAGGAAAATTCTCTGGTAAAAGCTGTGAGGTTATCTGGCTGTAACTAGAATTAGTTCTCATGGTTTGGCCTGGTCTGGGCTGCAGTTTATTATTATTACTCCTTTCTTAACACGCTATTCTTTCCTGTCCTGTGACTCCTGCTTTTCTGTTCTCCTTTTTACTTTCATATGACTCCTCCTCTCTCTCTGTTTTAGGTTGCTCTTCCTCCTCCTTCTCACTAAATATAGATCTGTATTCTTTTTCCTCTCAATGACATCTCCTGTGAGAATTCCTCTCAGTTTCATTTCTTCAATTATAACATTCACTCCAATAATTACCAAATCTATTGCCAACCCCACCCTCATTCCAGAATATCAGACGTACACCTGAACTGCTTTATGGTAAATTCCATCTGGGTGTTCCCAGAATCTCACACGAAAACCTCTATATCTCTGTAACCATCCTCTGTTCTCAGCTTGTGTTTCTCCATCTTCAAGGCCTCTTTGACTCCTCCTTCCACCCCTCAGCCCATGTAGCCAGTGAGTAGCCACCATCTCTTGGGCAGAATTCCTAAACTTCCCAAACACCCCTCCCACCATCTCCGGACTTCCTGTTGCTACCCTAGTTAATTGATTTATTTTTCCATAGTTTGTAGCAACAGTTTCCCAACTGGTCTTCTGCTTCCTATGTCTCCTGTTTTTCTCTTTCCTGACAATGATCTTTCTAATGCCCAACTATAGGAATGTAATTCTTCAGCCAGAATATTTTTGATGATTTCTTGTTGCTTAGAGAGTGAAGTTCAAACTTCTTGGCCAGCCTTTCAAGGTCACAGTGTGGCTTAAACTGAGTCTTTTAACCCCTTTTCCCAGCACTTCCATAGTCTCCCAATCCTACGTTCCACACGAATGAAACCAGTTGTTTCCCAGTCCCATCCAGAGACTCCTTCTCATCCATTTAGGCCCAACTGAAATGTCTCATAAGTGTCCCTGAACTTTCCTAATGGAAAGAATCTTTCTTATCTCTGGACATGCATAGTACATTCTTCGTCCTGCTCTTAGGAAACTGGGCACTTTCTCTCCTGTATTATAATTCCCCATGTGTAATCAGCTGCCAGCTCCTTGAAAAGTATCTATATTTGGTTAATTTTTTATTCCTCATAGTGCCTAGCAAAGAGCCTTGCAGAATTGAAACCAAATGAACATTCGTTGATTTAACCAACAAAAACCACATGAAGGAAAAATGTAAGTTAAATAGAAATATGGATGTTTAGACATAGATCATTCTTTAGCACTTCTATTACTAGATAGTTAACTTTTTTCATGTGTGAATTCTTGCTCAACTGCTTAATTTCCCTTTGATGCAATTCTCTTTATACAAGTCATTTTTTTAGACCACTGGTGAAGGTTTCTTTCTGTGTATGGATTATAGAGCACAGTGGTATCTTTCATGGTCCAGATAAAAGCACGACATCAAAAACAGGAATTACTATATTGGTGAGCGTATACATATTTATGTTTGGCTATTTCAGCCAAACACTTAGGCTCAGGCAGAAAGCTGGATATTACTGGATATTTGACCCAGAATAGTGCTTTTTCAATGTGGGCTTTATTAGGAAATTGGTATAAGATTACAGTCTCTTGTTACTTTCTCTTTTAATCTCAAATTCATAAATAGCTTCATATTGCAAAGAAAGAAAACTTTTATAGTATAATCCAGTTGTTTAAAAAATATAAATAGTAATTATTTGTTAAATAGGGCCAAATTTAAGGAAAAAATGGCCCTTTAGCAAAAACAAAATATTGGAGAAATTTAGAGCTAAAAGTGATCTTGGGTATTTTAAACCAACCATTTCATTATGATGTTAGAAAACTGAAATCGACAAAAGTAAGTCATTGGTTAAGGGAAGGTGGTTAATTAAAAGTATCAATAGGGGAACCAGGCTCCTGAATCCCCAACCAGTGCTCCTCACTGCTCTGTTCCATGTCTTTCAAGAGACTTTGGAGTAAAAGAGTTGTCTGAAGGTTGTTTTCCCATCTTCCCCTATAACCACAATGATAAATAATAATTCACAATTATAATTTGTCTTTCCATGTGCCAGACACTGAGAAATATAATTTATATACATGATCACTTTATTAGTCCTGCTATAACTGCATCCTGAGATGATTAATTCCATTTCACAGATGATGAAATTAGGCTCATAGTGCTGGGAGTCAAATAACCAACAGTTCCTGCCTCAAAGAGTTCACAATTTTGTGCAGGAGAAAAACATTGGAAAGGTAATTCCACTTTTTCCTCAAAGTTTTATTAGAAAGTTTCTAAAGTGCCTTTGTTCACCACAGTCAAAATCTAATTACTATGTTACAATGATCCTGGTTTAAGGTGGAGGAAGAAGAGATCTTTCCTATCACCCTCACGGGGTTTTTTAAATTATTATAATTTTGTTTTTGTTTTTGTTTTTTGAGACGGAGTCTCCCTCTTTTGCCCAGGCCGGACTTCAGTGGCACTATCTCGGCTCACTGCAAGCTCTGCCTCCCGGGTTCAGGCCATTCTCCTGCCTCAGCCTCCCAAGTAGCTGGGATTACAGGCACCCGCCACTGCGCCCGGCTAATTTTTTTTGACGAATTGCCACACTGTCTTCCAGAATGCTTGAACTAATTTACATTCCCACCAACAATGTAAAAACATTCCTATTTCTCCACAACCTCGCCAGCATCTGTTTTTCTTGACTTTTTAATAATTGCCATTCTGACTAGTGTGAGATGGTATCTCATTGTGGTTTTGATTTGCATTTCTCTAATAATCAGTGATGTTGAGCTTATTTTCATATGTTTGTTGGCCACGTGTATGTCTTTTTTTGAGAAGTGTCTGTTCATATCCTTTGTCCACTTTTTAATGGGGTTGTTTGTTTTATTTCTTGTAAATTTGTTTAAGTTCCTTGTAGATTCTAGATATTAGACCTTTGTCAGATGGATAGATTGCAAAAATTTTCTTCCATTCTGTAGGTAGTCTGTTCACACTGATGATAGTTTCGTTTGCTGTGCAGAAGCTCTTTAATTAGATCCCATTTGTCAATTTTTGCTTTTGTTGCAATTGCTTTCGGTGATTTCCTCATAAAATCTTTGCCCATGCCTATTCCCTGAATGGTACTGCCTAAACTTTTTCTAGGGTTTTTATAGCTTTGGGTTTTACATTTAAGTCTTTAATCTATCTTGAGTTAATTTTTGAATAAGATGTAAGGAAGAGATCCAGTTTCAGTCTTCTGCATATGGCTAGCCAGTTATCCCAGCACCATTTATTAAATAGGAAGTCCTTTCCCCGTTGCTTGTTTTTTTCAGGTTTGTCAAAGATCAAGTGATTGTAGATATATGGTTTTATTTCTGAGTTCTCTATTCTGTTCCATTGGTCTATATGCCAGTTTTTGTACCAGTACCATGCTGTTTTGGTTATTGTAAAATCCTCAATAACATATTGGCAAACTGAATCCAGCAGCACATCAAAAAGCTTATTCACCATGACCAAGTTGGCTTCATCCCTGGGATGCAAGGCTGGTTCAACATATGCAAATCAATAAACATAATTCATCACATAAACAGAACTAAATACAAAAAACACATGATTATCTCAATAGATGCATAAAAGGCCTTTGATAAAATTCAACATCCCTTCATGTTAAAAACTTTTAATAAACTGGGTATTGAAGAAACACACCTCAAAATAATAAGAGCCATTTATGACAAACCCACAGCCCATATCATATCATACTGAATGGGCAAAAGCTGGAAGCATTCCCCGTGAAAACTGGCACAAGACATGGATGCCCTCTCTCACCCCTCCTATTCAACATAGCGTTGGAAGTTCTGGCAAGTCAATCAGGAAAGAGATAAAATAAACAGTATTCAAATAGGAAGAGAGGACATCAAATTGTCTTTGTTTGCAGATGACATGATCCTGTATCTAGAAAACCCTCTCATCTCAGCCCTAAAGCTTCTTATGCTGATAAGCGACTTCAGCAGTTTCAGGATACAAAATCAACGTGCAGAAATCACAAACATTCCTATACATCAATAACAGACAAGCAGAGAGCCAAATCATGAATGAACTCCTATTCACAGCTGCCACAAAGGGAATAAATACCTAGGAATACAGCTAACAAGGGAAGTGAAAGACCACTTCAAGGATAACTACAAACCACTGCTCAAGGAAATCTGAGAGAACGCAAGCGAATGGAAAAACATTCCATGCTCATGGATAGGAAGAATCAATATCGTAAAAATGGCCATACTGCCCAAAGCAATTTACAGATTCAATGCTATTCGCATTAAACTACCATTGACATTCTTCATAGAATTAGAAAAAAACCATTGTAAAATTCACATGGAACCCAAAAAGAGCTCGCATAGCCAAGACAATCCTAAGCAAAAGGAACAAAGCTGGAGGCAATCTCATTTTTTAAATTATTTTTGGCATGTTTCATGAACCTGATGTGCACTCCTTATACTAACGGCAGCAGAAACTTTTATTCCTTCTTTCATGTATTTGCTATTTATTATTCTGTCACAGGTTATTGCACATACATGCAGTAATCTGCAATGATTTAGCACCTTAGACATGTTTGTTACTAGAAAAATTAATGTAGGTAAGGTGATAAGTGGCACAACAGTCCTTTTAGAAGAGAGTTAGAGGGGAAAAAAGTAATTGGTATTCTGGGGGTGCAGTATTAGGTTGAGTCTTTGGTGGCTTAAGTTTTATTTCTTTCTCCCATGCTGGGATTCAATTTCTGGGATTCCATGCAGAAATTGAATTCCTTCCATTTCTGTGATGCTGAAGTGAACATAATTGTATTTCCCTGGTACCTTGTTAGCAAAAATTTGGATTGGCTGGTTGTGTTCATTCCAGTACACTGCCAGCGTGGGCCCAGTGTGAACTTCCATGCAATTCCACTCTGTGTAGAAGGCCACTGTCACACATGACACACATAAGATATTTCACACATAAGGAAAATCTATCCCATAACCTTCTTTCTAATCATTCAAAACAAACCTTCCCAGCACCACTGTTCCTGCCCTGCCATCCATCTCTCCTCCACTGCTTGTTGTTAGCCAGCAGTGGAAGGGAGCAGTGGATTTGAAGAAGTCTTAATGGTAGCAACTCTGGTCACCGTCTTGATGACTTACTCATGTATTAGCTGCCTAATACTTGATTTCTGAAAATCTCCTTTCCTCTTAAGTAAAATAGGTATAATAATAGTGCCCACCTTGTGAGTATTAAGTTGGATAATACAGTGCTAAGCATAGAGCATATCACACACTTGTGCTTAATAAACTTTAGCAATTACTTTGTTATTCTATCATAATTTCACCATCCAATAGAAAGCAGAGACTGGAGGCAAAGACTTGGGACAAAAAAAAGCCTAAAAATAGATACGAACCAGAGAAAGCCGAGATAACACCACGGCAGGAGTTACAGACTATTCTCTCTTCACATTTATTGTCAAATCTGTCCTTGAAATGCCTACAGATCTTGGGTTTATGAACAAAGCTTCAGTTATTCATAATTCACAATCAAAATGTAGGCATTAAGACGAGGATAGAAAGGGATAGATAGTCATCTTCTCATCTGCCTTTGTATACATGGACAGAGGAGAAGCAGGATACTGAGATAGGTAAAAGGGGTGAGGTGTATCTCTCCACTTGCCCACCAAGACTACTCTTTACAGCATTGCTGATGGCCAAGAAAAAGGCTGACATTTTTCTTTCCTTCAACTTGGGAAACTAACAGATAATAGCCTATCATATGAGTGGAAAAGATTGGATGTAAATTTGATCTTCAAGAGGTGGGGGGTGGATAACTTTGGGGGAAAAAATGCAGTTTTTACATAACAGGTCTTTGTGTTAACAGAAAGTATACTAGATAAAATGCACAGCCTATTTGTTAGAGAAGTGTGCTGATTCCTGATGGGAACAGATGTAGGTGTCATGTAATACAATAAACATTTGGCATTGTCAACCGAGGGCACATGGTCTTGACCTCCAAGGTAAGCTTGGTCTTAGGTGAGCTTCTTCTCCATTAAGGGGAAAATGTGATTGAGTCCATACACATTCCTTTCCATTTCTTATTAAGGGTCCAAATAGGAGCTAATACAGTCCTTGGAACTATATTAGGATAATAAATAATCAGTGTTTATGATGCCACCTTTGTGTCCCAGCAACAGCCACAGCACAATGAGCTTGCACTTCTGCCTTCCCAGACGTGCTCTCCCCAGTTCTACAGGGAGACAGACAATATGTGGCAGGCTCACAAGAATTCTCACATTGGAGAATGAGAATTCTGCAAGTTAATGAAAGTTTTAATAAAGTTCATGGAAGTTTTAACTTGCAAATTTTTAACTTGCTTAAAAATTAAGCCTCTTAATATTCTAGAAACCAGTAGGTGAAAATCCCAGTGGTCCTTTTCTTAAGCGCTGTATTACATAATTAACAGGTATATGGAATGTTGGCGTATAGGTGCAAGGAAAATATGGTTTAAGCAATCACCTCTTGGGTCAACCTGCTGCAAGTAATCTAAGGCAAACGATTTGGAAAAATGATGCCTTTGACTGCAATTGAAGCATATGAAAATTGTTGACTGGAAACTAAAGGTTAGTGAGTACAAGAGCCTCAGACAGCAGAGTAAGATGCCCAGGCAGAGGAGGCAGGCCTGGCATCCATGGCAGCTCCTGGAACCATCTGCAGAAATGAAACTTGGAGGAAGGTGTGCCATTTGCCACCAGCAGTGTTTCCCATCCACCTGGCTATAAACCCTGGCCATCAACCTGAAATCTGACCGGAATCAGTAAGGGATATTTCATAGCCACAAAAGAGTTGGACTCTGCAAAATAAGGGTGTTTACTAAAATGGTATTTAGATTGGTGGAGCCATTAATAATTTCAGATGTTGGAATTTGTTCCAAAGGGAAGCAGTGTAGCTGACATCAGATGAAATACACAGATAAGGCTAGTGAGAAGGGGGTAGTGAGAAGGGTACTTCTGGAAACCTAAGCCTAGCATATGAATTTCTCTTGGAGGATGAGCAGGGCTCAACCTTTCTTTTCTGTTGTTTAGGTTGTTTGAAGTTGTAGTGCTCTGTCAGGAAAAGTCAAGTCTGGGAGGATGACAGCCTGTTGATTTCAGGGAAGGAGAAACAAGGAACTACCTTGCCTATCATGTGCTCAACATGTGCTTGTCAGTTTGTGTCCATTATTTCCTGTAATGATCACACCAATCTCATGCAGGTGGTATTAATATTAACCTATTTTATAGCTGCATAAACTGAGGTTTAAAAATAGAAGTAACTTGCCCAAGATCACCCTCCTATTTCACGGCAGAGCAGAGCTTTGAACTAACTCATGTCTGCCTGACTTCAAAGTCTATTGGCTTCACAACACTATTTTGACTTCCCTCTGTGATCTTTTCCTAAGTGTTTACAATGGGCAAAGCAGTGTCTTAGATCTTATGTCTATCTCACAGAATGTCCTCAACTCCCAGAGGGTAAAATAGAGGCTCAAAAGGGTGACATATCTATACTCAAAAAACTGGTACATATTATCGTCAGTGGTAGAATATTCTGTCTTTCTTGAGCCCTAACCTTCCTGAATTGAGAGTTGAATAAGAAGAAAGGGGAGTAATTAGCCCTCTTGCCCTGGGCCTGTACAATCACAGTAAACATTTGCACAGCTCTTTATAGTTAGCAAATCATTTTCACATACAATTATTTCATCTAAGCCTTGATTAACGCCTGAAGAAAGTAGTAATATTACTTTCACTTTCCAGATGAAAAGGAGGTTTGTAAAGGTTAAGTGACTCTCTCTCTAACACTTAGAAAGCCATGAAGGGCTGCATCTTTGGTGTTTTGACTATAGATCTCATTACCATTCCTTCAACATTCATTGTGTACTGTCTACATGTCAGCATTGTGATGAGGGCTGGGAGCAGAGAGGTGAATAAGGCACAGTTCTGGCTTTTCAGGAGCTCATAGTATAACAGGGGATGCAGCTGAACAAACCAGATAATTCCAGTAGAAGGTAGTAAGCCTTTACTCTTAGTTAACACAGCCATGGTATTCTGTCAGGGAACTTGGGAATGAGGCCCACTTGGCAGAACTATTAAGGTACTCATAGTAGGACTGACTCCTTGTTATCTAGACTTTGTCAACAGCAGTAATTTTGTTATGTGTGTGAAAAGTAAAGGGTAACTAAGTTACCACTGGGAGAAGCCAAGGGAGAATTGATTACTGGATGGAGGGACAGTTCTTTTCAGGGTTTCAAATATTTTCCTATTATTATCCCAAATGTCTTCCCACTTTCATGATCAGTACATCATGCTTTTCTCTTCCACAGGTTCCTCTCAGAAACTGTTATTAGGTACGGAGAAGGAAACACATGTCCTTGATGAAGTAAGAAAAATAAAAAAGACTTCGGAAGTTGAAAATAATGGCAAATGGGGAATGATACAGCTTTGCATGGGTTCTAATAAAAAAAAGTCTCAGAAGAGAAAAAAATAATATTTTCATAAAAATCCCTTTTGGAAGGCATCCAGACAGGCGAGGTCAATTCTAGCTTGGAGGCAAGCCGCTGTGACTATTTTGAGATTTCCAAGCAGGAAAGCCACAGGGGTGAAGTGCAGCTGGAAGAGAGGGAGCCAAGAGTTTCATCAGCAAAGACTTCATCTTGACTTGTTTTGCAAAGAAACAAAGGTGGGAGGTCTTTGCTCTTCCTCAGGGATGTGTTGAATATTCAAAAATATTAATTTTGGAGCAACAGTGCCTACAATTTTGGAAACAAGCTAAGTCAGAGCTATAGTTGATTGAATTGGCAGAAAGCTCCTTTGAATCTCCTGAGGACGCCCATTCTAAGTCTCCATGGCCCTTCAACAAGAAATCAAAATGACACAACATACAGACCAGGAAGTCTCCAGATGGACTACAACCTCTGGGCACCCCCAAATGTCCAATGTCCAACACAAACCATAATCCAGTATTTAAGATGAGCCTAGAATTTTTAATAATTGCAAGGGAAATAGCTTCATTTGACAATCCACAAAGTGCTGCAATTATAGGTAGGGTGTTTTCAGCCTTACAGGTGGCTCTTCCAGAATACAGGGCCAGTTCCACACAACAATGCCCCTAGCATTTTTATGTACTTTGATGCCCTTTTTCTCTACCTCTAGATACTAGGTTTAATCCTATTCCCCAGCACCCCATTCTGAATCATCATCACCAGACAACTTCCTCTTGTGTCCTCCCAATTGAAGGCCTGACTGTACAACTCCCTTGGTACTTTCTGCTTAGTAGCTGTTTATTTGAATGTATAAATGTGTAAACAGGAATAGAGGTTCAATGTGTTCTTTTTCCTGGAAGTATTCGTATTATTAACTTTAGAATTAATGAATTAATTCAAGAGAATTATTAACTAATGGGGGGACTTTTAGGAACCAGGAAGGATTAGAGAGGGTATCAGAGGGCATCTCTGTTGCAAGACAGAGACAGTTACTGTTTAGATCCATTTCTGAGTAATTTCAGCTCTGTTTCCAGGAATATACTTAAGAAAATATTCTGATCACCCAAGATAGGATTTTTTTTTTTTTTGAGACAGAGTCTTGCTCTGTCACCCAGACTGGAATGCAGTGGCACGATCTTGGCTCACTGCAACCTCCGCCTCCCAGATTCAAGCGATTCTCCTGCCTCAGCCTCCCAAGTAGCTGAGATTACAGGCACCCACCACCATGCCTGGCTAATTTTTGTATATTTAGTAGACACGGGGTTTCACCATGTTGGCCAGGCTGGTCTCGAACTCCTGACCTCAGATGATTTGCCTGCCTCAGCCTCCCACATGGTAGGATTTATAACTCATGGAGTTCCATCACAAAAGGAAAAAAAAATTGTTTGTGTTTTGTATTTTCTTCCAGTCCTAGATTGCAGGAATCAACATTGTAAAAATTTCAAAAATTTTCACAAATTGATTTGTAAATTTGATGGACAGAGGTATGGATAGACATATGATAAGTATAAATGTAAAATATTAACGGCAGAATCAAAGTGATGAATATGAATGTGTTCACTATAAAATTCTGTCCACTTTTTCATATGTTGAAAGTTTTTATAGTAAAATATTAGGAAAAATATGCTACTGTTATAACAATAATTATAGAAAAGTGTTTGTTTCCCAATATCTGTACTTATTTCACAATAATTTATTTTAAATTGGAATTACTGAGTCAAATGATGAGTATTTCAAGGATTTTAACATTTATTATAAAATATTTTCCCAAACATTTGTTCCAAGTTACACTTTCACCAGTAGAATATCTGAGACTGTTGGGATAGCATTTCTTAAAAATATAAACAACTTTATTGTTACAACTGGCACAACTGGCACACAGTGAAATTTACAAATCTGAAATGTACAGCTCAGCAAGTTTGTATAAAGGTATGTACCTATGTAACCAACACCTCTATACAGACAGTTTCCGTTACTGTAGAGAATGCCCTGATGTTTCTTACCAGCTATTTCCTACCCACCCCACCTCAGGCAACAATTCTGCTAATTTCTTTTTACCAAGATTAGGCTGATATTTTCTAGAGTTTCATGTAAATTAAGTGATACAGTATATACTACTCTGAGTCTGTCTTCCTTTTCTCAGTATGTTTTAAGGATTCATCCATGTTATTTCATGTTTTTATAGTACTTTGTTCCTTTTTATTGCTTAGTAGTATTTCATTGTATAGATAAACCATAATCTCTTTATTAATTCTTTTGTTGATGAACAAGAGATAGCTTTTAAATTTTTTAAATATTACAATTTTTTGTATCCTGATTCCATTCATATAAAAAAGTAATTGTGTGCATTAGACCAAGATCTTTGAAGTCAATGGCTGTGCACAAATAAATGGATAATGTGTAGTGAGAGTTTTAGGCATCTGTTTCAGGTCAGAGGAAAGATACCTGCAGGAAGGTGAAACTGCAGGCACCTAGTATTACCCAGAGGTTGGAGCTGTATAGACATAGAAATAGCACTTTAAAGTTGTTCTTTCTCTACAATGTATTTCTCTTTAAAACAAATAAATGATCTATAAGAAAAGACCCACTATTTTATGGCCAATTTCTGTTTTCTTTTTTTTTTTATAAATAAAAGAATCTTTAATATGCATTTGCTTAACGTTTATCCTGGAAAAGGCACAAGCTTCTTTTATTGCAGCTAATGGGAACATTTACTCATGAATTGAAACTTCCTATGTTAATTATATTATATTGTTTCCTTTTTGGCATATGTTTTGAACAGCATATGAAAATTTCCCATGAGAAAAACATTTATCTTCTTTTTAAACATTTTTACTACAACTTAACCAGTAATGCATTCTATTTTTAATTCTCATAAAATTAGGTTTATATAATAAATGAAAGGCATCCAGTCAAAATCACAAAAGGGTATCTTAGAATTTTAGGAGTAGAAGGGACCCTTGAAGTCATTTTGCTTAAATTTCTTATTGTGCAATTAAAGAAAGTGAGACCCAGAGAGATTATATGAATTGTGGAAAGTCCCACAGCTAGCTGTATGAGACCTGGGGACCAACCTTTGGCCTGCTGGGACCCAGTCCATTTTCTATTTGTACTCCATTACCTTGCCTCTCTGTGGGCTGCGGCCAGGTGGTCTTTTCTAACCCAGGTCCTGAGGATCATGGACTATTTTCAAGTGCAGAGAGAATTCATCAAGATCAAAGTGAAAGTGTCTCTCCACCTCCTTCTCTGACTGTGCAGCCCACTTACCTTCTAGCCCTTAGGCTACAAAGTCACAGCCTCCCTGTACTTTGCTGTATGTGCATGTCTCAAATGTTGGGCCATTCCAAAATTCTAGCTTCAAACTTTAGTTGCATTGCAAGAATGCATCAAGCTCAACACCTATGAAGCTTTAAGAATTTTCAATTTTCATTTTTGAAAACTTTATGGTTTTATAACAGCTCCAATTATTCAGAATGTCCATCATCAAAGGCAACAAAAAAGAGGAATGTATGAAATATCCAACTCATAGCAACAAATTCAAACTTAACTATTAGGCCCGTCTTGCATCACTATAAATAAATACCTGTGGCTGGGTAATTTATAAAGAAAAGAGGTTTAATTAACTCATGGTTCTACAGGCTGTACAAGCATGGTGCTGGCATCTGCTCAGCTTCTGGGGAAGCCTCAGATAACTTTTTATTCTTTTTATTATTATTATTATTATTATTATTATTATACTTTAAGTTTTAGGGTACATGTGCACAATGTGCAGGTTAGTTACATATGTATACATGTGCCATGCTGGTGTGCTGCACCCATTAACTCGTCATTTAGCATTAGGTATATCTCCTAATGCTATCCCTCCCCACTCACCCCACCCCACAACAGTCCCCAGAGTGTGATGTTCCCCTTCCTGTGTCCATGTGTTCTCATTGTTTAATTCCCATCTATGAGTGAGAACATGCGGTGTTTGGTTTTTTGTCCTTGTGATAGTTTGCTGAGAATGACGATTTCCAATTTCATCCATGTCCCTACAAAGGACATGAACTCATCATTTTTTATGGCTGCATAGTATTCCATGGTGTATATGTGCCACATTTTCTTAATCCAGTCTATCATTGTTGGACATTTGGGTTGGTTCCAAGTCTTTGCTATTGTGAATAGTGCCACAATAAACATACGTGTGCATGTGTCTTAATAGCAGCATGATTTATAGTCCTTTGGGTATATACCCAGTAATGGGATGTCTGGGTCAAATGGTATTTCTAGTTCTAATCCCTGAGGAATCGCCACACTGACTTCCACAATGGTTGAACTAGTTTACAGTCCCACCAACAGTGTAAAAGTGTTCCTATTTCTCCACATCCTCTCCAGCACCTGTTGTTTCCTGACTTTTTAATGATTGCCATTCTAACTGGTGTGAGATGGTATCTCATTGTGGTTTTGATTTGCATTTCTCTGATGGCCAGTGATGATGATCATTTTTTCGTGTGTCTGTTGGCTGCATAAATGTCTTCTTTTGAGAAGTGTCTGTTCATATCCTTTGCCCACTTTTTGATGGGGTTGTTTTTTTCTTGTAAATTTGTTTGAGTTCATTGTAGATTCTGGATATTAGCCCTTTGTCAGATGAGTAGGTTGTGAAAATTTTCTCCCATTCTGTAGGTTGCCTGTTCACTCTGATGGTAGTTTCTTTTGCTGTGCAGAAGCTCTTTAGTTTAATTAGATCCCATTTGTCAATTTTGGCTTTTGTTGCCATTGCTTTTGGTGTTTTAGACATGAAGCCCTTGCCCATGCCTATATCCTGAATGGTAATGCCTGGGTTTTCTTCTAGGGTTTTTATGGTTTTAGGTCTAACGTTTAAGTCTTTAATCCATCTTGAATTAATTTTTATATAAGGTGTAAGGAAGGGATCCAGTTTCAGCTTTCTACATATGGCTAGCCAGTTTTCCCAGCACCATTTATTAAATAGGGAATCCTTTCCCCATTGCTTGTTTTTGTCAGGTTTGTCAAAGATCAGATAGTTGTAGATATGTGGCGTTATTTCTGAGGGCTCTGTTCTGTTCCATTGATCTATATCTCTGTTTTGGTACCAGTACCATGCTGTTTTGGTTACTGTAGCCTTGTAGTATAGTTTGAAGTCAGGTAATGTGATGCCTCCAGCTTTGTTCTTTTGGCTTAGGATTGACTTGGTGATGCAGGCTCTTTTTTGGTTCCATATGAACTTTAAAGTAGTTTTTTCCAATTCTGTGAAGAAAGTCATTGGTAGCTTGATGGGGATGGCATTGAATCTATAAATTACCTTGGGCAGTATGGCCATTTTCACGATATTGATTCTTCCTACTCATGAGCATGGAATGTTCTTCCATTTGTTTGTATCCTATTTTATTTCACTGAGCAGTGGTTTGTAGCTCTCCTTGAAGAGGTCCTTCACGTCCCTTGTAAGTTGGATTCCTGAGTATTTTATTCTCTTTGAAGCAATTAAACTTTTTCTTCTTGAATGTGAAGGGAAAGCAAGCGTATCACATGGCCAAAACAGAAGGAAGAGCAAGAATGGAGGAAGTGAACACACTTTAAACCACCAGATCTCCTGAGAGCCTCACTCACTACCTTTAGGACAGCACCAAGCCATGAGGGATACCCACTCCCAGGACCCAAACACCTCCCATTAGGCCCCACCCCCAACACTGGGTATTACATCTCAACATGAGAGTTGGAGGGGACATCCAAACTATATAAATGACACTTTCAGAAATAAATAACTTCCCAAATGAAAAAAAAAAAAAAGAAGTGGCAGATTTTGGAAAAGGCAAAGGCTAGTTTCTGTATTCAATAACCATAAAGCAGGAAGGTGAATGATTGTGTTCGCATAAAGCTTTGGTTCAGACTCAACCTTTAGGTGAAGCAAGCTAACTGCAAATGGAGAAATCTTGAGTACAAGACCTCCTTAGCATCCTGTGGCACTGAGGTGTCCCTAGCTTTATGCCTTGCAATGTTCTTGGCTAAAGGCTTAGAAACATCTTTTTGATAGTGGAAGAGAAGAGTTTGATATAAATTCACAGTCAGCCACCTGTTAGATTCTTTAGTAGGGTAGTGGTTCTCAAAGTTGTTCAGGCAGATAATCAGAAGACATGATGCTCTGTGTAAAGAAAGAGCCACAGAGCACTAACTGATTTCATTCCCCCAAACACACAGAATTCTTACCAGCAGAAAATATGACTCTGCTATATGTAAACAATGTGAAATAATAGAATCACAGCCACAAGCACACTATCCACAAAAGAGCAAAGCATCACACTAAACACCTTTGGCTGCTTACAAGTGCTTTCTGTTTTTCCAAAGAGCAAAGCCTGAGGCAAACTGAAAAGAAGATATTCTATTTGCCCTGCTTTTTGTCTCCAGTGAACTGTGAAAACAGAGCCATTATTTTAGCAGCTGGACAATTCCACCCAGTACTCTGTTGGAAAACACATTGAGAGCCACTATTTTAGAAAAAAAAAAAATTCTCCTCAAAGGGTCCTGGATTCTTCTTTTTCCTTCTCCTTTATTACTTCCATCTTCCATTTCAGGCACACAATACCCTAAGGCTCTTTCTAACACTTCCTTTGTAAAAAAAAATTATTATTATTCAATAAATGTCTTCACAATGAGATGTACATTAATATTAAGGCAAAATGTTTGATCATATGCAAGGATATTTACTTGTTTAATAAAAAGAATAAATAGTAGTAAGTTAAATAAATGAAGCTCTAATTATAGGCATCAACTAGCAAGGTAAGGAGCTCAAACTTTGGCCAGTGAGGACAGGAAAAGACAAAAGCGCTGAGCTCTCATAAGAATGAAAGGCGACAGGTTGGGCGTGGTGGCCCACACCTGTAATCCCAACACTTTGGGAGGCTGAGGAGGGTGGATCACCTGAGGTCAGGAGTTCGAGACCAGCCTGGCCAACACGGTGAAACCCCCATCTCTACTAAAAATACAAAAATTAGCCGGGCACGGTGGCAGATGCCTGTAATCCCAGCTACTTAGGAGGCTAAGGCAGGAGAATCGCTTGAACCCGGGAGGCAGAGGCTGCAGTGAGCCAAGATCGTGTCATTGTACTCCAGCCTGGGCAACAAGAGCAAGACTCCGTCTCAGAAAAAAAAAAAAAAAAAAAAAAAAAAAGAACTAAAGGCGACATTGCCTATTCCAGGAAGAAATGGCAGAGTTCTGAAGAGTGTAAAACTGCATAAGGAGAAGGAAGAAGCAGTAGAAAAAACTGTTTTATCTTAAGGTGGCTTTCTAAAAGTTTGTATTTCCTCATTTGGATGTAGTATTGATTAATGAAGCATTATCTGAGGTTTGGATTATTGCTGAAGTTCTAATTTTCTCCATCTAAAATTAGGGCATCACTGCCCATTTTTCTGTATTCTGAGCACTTGAATTTATTTTTTTAATTAGTGTTATGTTTTCATTTTTTCATATTTATTTCATCTTGAAATAATTCAACTCATAAAAAACTTGCAAAATAGTAGTGGTTTTTTTTCAGCCTACCCTTTACACAGCTTTTCCAAATGTTACATCTTATCTAAGCATAGTACAATTATCAAAACCCAAAAATAAAAACATTGACACAATGCTATTAAGTTAATCTACAGTCATACCTTATTCAAATTTTACCAGTTGTCCCACTAATGTTCTTTTTCTTGTACAGGATTCATTTAGTTGCCATGTCTTCTTAGCCTCATGTAATCTGGAACTGTTCCTCAATCTTTTTTTGTCTTTCATGACCTTGAAACTTTCAGTGAGTCCCTCAATTTGTTTTGTCTGATGTTTTCTCATGATTAATTCAGGGTATTCATTTTTGGCAAGGATGCCATGGAAGGGATCTCGCTCCCTTCTTAGCACATTCATATTAGGCGATGTCATATACTGTTACGTCTCATTACTGGTGACGGTAATTTTGATGCCATGGTTAAGGTGGCAACTTTCATTTCTAAACTGTTGTTACTCTTTTTCTCCTTGCAATGAGTAAATACCTTGTGGGGATATACTTTGAGAAAATGCAAATATCCTATTTCTTGTCATACTTTTGTTCACTAATTTTAATATCCAGTATGATTCTTGCCTGCAACAATTATTACTGTGGTGTCTGACAAATGGTGATTTTCTGTAGAGTTGATTCTTTCTACATTTCTCCCCTCCTCCCTTCTTCTCTTCTCACCTCTCTCCTTTTCTTCCTTCCTTTTTGTTCAAATTGTCCCAATTTAGCTATTGGGAATTCCTTCAAGTTGATTTCCGTATCTTCTCAATATATCTCTATCATTTTTCAGCACTTCCTTAATCCCTGGCACCACAGAATATTACAGATTCTTCCTGTCCTTTCTTTGACCCAGCCCTGGAATCATCCATTTTTCCAAGGAACCCTGGTTTCTTTTACTGAACAGAATTATTTAGAAACTAAAATCTTGGTGCTTTTTATGTTAATTCTATTATGTGTCATTGCTCCTAGGCTCTTTCCCCCAGAGAGAGCTGGGGAATATATGTATGTACATACATACACATGCACGTCTGTATTTCTTTCTATCTGTCATCTATCTAGCTAGCTAGCTAGCTAGCTATCATCTATCTATCTATCCAATCTACCTATTATCTATCACCTGTTAAAGACCATGAGTTCATACTAATATCTCCAATTCGAATCCAATACCATAAGTTTTTTTCTTTATTTTTTTTTTCTTAACCTAGATTTCTCTTCTTCCTTATTTGTAACTCTTTTCTCTGACAGGGAGAAATCTGGCTCTCATTGTCCACAACATATTTTCATGTTTGTTCAATCCCCCAAAAACACATAGAGTAGCTTCAGAACTACTAAAACATACCACGGTTCAAACCATGTTTATTTGCTAGAGCACATGTGTGCTACATCCTTTTTGTACTTAGTCTTACACCATATACTCAAAATCTGTTTCCCAAAGTTACTTAGGATAACTGTGTTCTTCCCCAACTCCTTCAGTGTGACTTGGTTATTCATTTGTTATACAGTTAGGTTTATTTGTTACTATTTGTGTTACATTTTGGGTTGACCTCCACACCTCAGCTGATTTAATTGTTTATTTATTTGGGGGCTATGTGAAACATTACCATGTTTCTAAACACTCAAACTAAACAAAAGGATATATCCAGAGAAGTTAGACTGATGGCTTATAATTAATATGTTTTCTTTATTCATTTACTTATTTTTTTATATTTTTCTCTGGTTATTATTTCAGTCCCAAATTCATAGTTAACATTTTTCCTTTTCTGTCACTCTCTTGGGTAGTTTAGTGAAGGGAACTCTAGGTATAGGTGATGTTAAAGATAGATATATAGAGATATGCACAAGGATTTATGCAGGCACATATTTATACATTAATAGAAATCACTTCCTGCTTCAAAATGTTTTTATTCAACAATCTATATTCCAAAACAATACTTCCATAGCACTCCTGCCTGAGGCGAAGTCATTCAGAAGCTCTGTTGATAGAAGTAGAGCAGAGGCTGCTGAGGAGTTTGAAGAGAACTGTGCCCTAACCCTCCTCCTCCACAAAACATGAGGATGCATGGCCAGCTGCGTGATCTTTTCCCCTTGCTGATTTTCTATGTCCTCCTTGAAGCTTTTGGCTGTTCCGAGCACCCTCCCCCTTTTTTTTTTCTGGCCCTTGCAACACCTTGTATACGTGGCTGCCTTTTCTGTTTTTCCTTCTTCTGTCGCTAATATTCCAAATTCTTGTTCTCTATCAGACAGTATCTTATCTACATTTGGTGCCACAAAATCTGTGAAAAATGTACAACAAATGCAAGATCAAAAATCAAAACTTGAGCTGTCTTTTTTATAAATGGCTATTCCAGCTCTTTCCTTTCCCTCCAAACTACTGCTGAACATTTCCCAAAAATAACCAGAATTGTTCAGGTTGTTCAAAGCAAATCATAAGCTAATTAGTGAGCAGAAAATCCTCCCCAAAGCCCTCTTGACCACAGGTACAGAGCTGCAGTAAAAGGTCAAGAGTAAGTAGAATCCTGTAGAATCCTCAGAAGAGGGCTGGTGTGTGGGCATGCTGGGTGAAGAGCCCACTCTGCCTGGAGAGTTAATCCATGACAGACCAGCCAGGTTGTAAGTCTCAGAAATGCACACAATTGGTCTTTTCTTTTATGTATCACATAGACCATGGTATTAAATTTACTTTTATGTGAATATCACAGAATATAAAGAAATCAAGGTAAAACAAAGAATTATGAACTTCAGATAATTTTTTTCTGCAACAAAAGTTATTATTCATGCTTCAACAAATCTCTAAAATTGTGGCACAATCTTCTGAGAAGCATTGTTAAATTGGAGTATTATACTGGAAAACTGTATTATTTAATATTTGACAGGATCTAATGATTCTCTACTATGATATATGAGGAAAACAATTCACCCAAGATTTTTGCTGATTATGTTATTTTTACAATTTCAAAATATAAGTCATTTTCTCCTATCATCTGGTTTCAGTTTCATAGTTGTGTAATTCTAATTCTGTATTTAAATAAAGTCACCAATTTCCACCAGTTCTTGTGTCATGGCTTCTCTGTTCCTGGCATCTTGGTGGCTAGATTTTGTCAAGAAGTGTGTTTTGAGATGTCCTAATGGGACCTGTCTTCTCTGAGTTCTTAAAAGCTTGAAAGCAGGTGTTTTTGTTTTGTTTTGTTTTTGACAGAGTTTTGCTGTATCAACCAGGCTGGAGTGCAGTGGCATGATCTCAGCTCACTGCAACCTCTGCCTCCTGGGATCAAATGATTCTTCTGCCTCAGCCTCATGAGCAGCTGGGATGACAGGTACCTACCACCATGCCCTGTTAATTTTTGTATTTTTAGTAGAGACAGGATTTTGCCATGTTGGCCAGGCTGGTCTCAAACTCTTGACCTCAACTCATCAGCCCGCTTTGGCCTCGCAAAGTGCTGAGATTACAGGCATGAGCCACCGTGAGCGGCCAGCATGTGTCTCTTGACCTGGACAATGCTTCATCTAGCAATGAAATGTTTTGGTTTTGCTTTCCTCTTGTAGATATTGTTCCACTGTCTTCTGGTATTGACCACTGCAGTGGTTAAGTCTGAGAGCAGTTTGGTTTTTCCTTCTCATAAGTGACTTGCACGTCTGTTTTGCTTTAGGGCCTGACTGATTTGATACACTTTCTTTCTCTTTGAAGTTCAGTAACTTTACTAAGATGTTTTCCCAAGTTCATACCCTGTGCCAGTTTCTCCTGGAATGCAGTTTGTCCTTATGTCCAACACATCTTGCTCCCCACCTTGAATCCTCTCAGACCACCTTTCACTCCAGTCTTTTCTGTAGTAGCCAACTTGATAAGCTGTCACCTGACAGTATCTTGCCTCAAATAATACTCAAATCCATCTCTTTCTGTCCAGGGCTTTGCCAATGTAGGGATTTGGGATTCCTAGGGGGACCCTCTAGACCCCTCTTCATGTGCAACTTTGGAAGTACAAGCGGGTTAACTTTATGCAACATGGTACCCTTTATTCTGGGAGGAATAGAAAGAGGTGTTGCCCATTTCTCCTTTTGAGTAGTGCAGGGTGCCACAGCAAGACCTGACTTGGGAAACACTGATGTTTGTATTCCCCTTCCCTCTTATGCTCTTCCCAGTTCTTCTCTTCTAATGCCTGGGATTACTTCCCAAAATAACTACCTGAACATAATACCTTGTCTCAGGCTAGGAAGAATAATTATTTCTAAAATGTCCTTGGATTATAGGTTTGCAACTTTTTGTTTATTCATTTATATTTATTTCACTTTTTCTCCTCTGTAAATGTTTCCCTATCTTCACTTTTTTTTCCATCTTATTTATTGAGCTTGCCTCAAGCCTACTCCAGGTTTCAAACAGATTTTCTCAGTCCAACATGACATAAATCTCTGTGATTATTTCATTTTTCTCTTTGATTCCTTTCCAGCACTTTGCCATCCTATTTTTCGTTACTTTTAATAGGTTATTGTCTCCTCTTTGATTTGTTGTTTCTCCTATTGGTATGTTTTTTAAACTTTCAAGGGATCACAGTGTATGGAAGGGTAATTAATTGTGTGATGTATGTTCTTCATCTGCTTTTTGCTTATGTTCATTTCTTATCTATGCATTGTCTCTATGAGAGTTTTTTTTCTGTATATCTGTCATTTTTAACAGGTCAACAATTTGCTGGAGTACAGTGGGGAGGAGATTGGTGAGAATGAGTAATGCAGTCTGTGTTTTGGGGCTTATGTTATTTCTTTTTCCTTGGGGGACCATCTCAGCTTGGTTTTCAACATTCTAACAGATCATATCGATCACTGCAAAGCTCTTTCTATACTTGCCTGTGTTGTACATTTGTGGTTTCCTTTTCCCCTCCCTTTTCCACCTCTTTCTCTCTCTCTTTTTTTTAACCTTTGGCAGCCTGTCTAAGCCAGGAGACCAGAATATAGACAGTAGCTGCTCCCCTTATGTTATTTTGTGGTGTTTTACTAGGTATCTAAAGAGAAAAATCTTTGATTTTTCTAATGGCCAGTACCAACCCCTAGAGCTCCTTGCTCTAATTAAAAGACTATACAGGGCTTTTAGATTCCCAAACTAGGGTCTCTAACCAATAATATCAGCATTACCTATAGACTTGTTAGAACTGCAGTTTCTCAAGCCCCACCTGCTGAATGAGAAACTCTAGGGGTAGAAATGAGCAGTCTGTGCCTTTAGGAAACTCCCTAGGTGATTCTGATGCACACTAAAGCTTGAGAAACACTCTTTTAAAAGAATCTCCTCTCTAAAGCCAGGACTAAGGAGATTTGTCTCACTTCTGAGTTATCCTCGCTCATTTTAGAGCAAATTACACAAAATTTGGGGTTTAGGATTGTGGTTTAGGGTTGCAGCTCTTTGTCCTAAGAAGATGGAGGGTATTTTTTTCTCTTCTTATTGTTTTCAGTGTGATTTGAAAGAGAAGGCAGGAATAAAAACATACATTTAAGCCCACAATTTATAACTGGAATTCTAGGCCACTGATCTGAAAGACAGAGCTATATGGAAAAGGATGGGTTTTCTAGATATAAAATCATGTCATCTGCAAACAGTGACAATTTAACTTCTTTCTTTCCAATTTGGATGCCTTTTATTTTCTTTCTCCTGCCTGATTGCTCTGGCTAGGACTTCCAGTACTATGTTGAATAGGAGTGGTGAAAGTAAACATCTTTGTTTTGTCCCAGTTCTTAGAGGAACAGTTTTCAACTTTTCCCCACTCAGTAGGATATTAGCTGTGGATTTCTCATAGATGGTGGCATTTAGTGTGCTGAGCAAATTACATTCATTCTATACCTAATTTGTGAAGATTTTTTAATCATGAAGGGATGTTGAATTTTGTCAGATGTTCCTTCTACATCTATTGAAATGTTCGTATGGCTTTTGTCCATTCTATTAGTAAGAGTGTATTAGTCTGTTTTCACATTGCTGATAAAGACATACCCGAGACTGGGCAATTTACAAAGGAAAGAGTTTTAATGGAGAACTCATAGTTCCACATGGCTGGGGAAACCTCACAATTATGGAGGAAGGTAAGGAGGAGCAAGTCACATCTTATGTGGATGGCAGCAGACAAAGAGACAGCTTGTGCAGGCAAACTCGCGTTTTTTAAAAACCATCTGATCTTGTGAGACTCATTCACTATCAGGAGAACAGTGCAGGAAAGACCCACCCCCATAATTCAATCACCTCCCACAGGGTTTCTCACAGGACATGTGGTAATTGTGGGAGCTACAATTCAAGATGAGATTTGCGTGGGGACACAGAGCCAAACCATATCAGAGATGTATCATGCTTTTGATTTGTATACATTGCACCATCCTTGCATCCTTGGGATAAATCCTACTTGATCATGGTGACTAATCTTTTCAGTGTGCTGTTGAATTTGAACTCAGGTTGCTGGTATTTGGTTGAGAATTTCTGCATCTATGTTCATCAGGGATGTTGACTTGTAGTTTTCTTTTTTTTCCTTCTGGTTTTATTATTAAAATAATGCTGGCTTCATAGAATAAGTTTAGTAGAATTCTCTCTTCAATTTTTTTATATATAGTTAGGAAAAATTTGTATTAGAGTAGAGCTTTTTTAATGTTTGGTAGAATTCAGCACTAAAGCCATCAGGTCCTAGGCTTTTATTTTATTTTTTTTTTTGGAGACAGAATCTTGCTCTATCCCCCAGGCTGGAGTTCAGTGGTGCGATATTTTTAACAGAGATGGGGTTTTGCCACATTGGCCAGGTTGATCTCGAACTCCTTACCTCAGGTGATCTGCCTGCCTCGGCCTCCCAAAGTGCTGGGATTACAGGCGTGAACCACTGTGGTGGCCCTGGGCTTTCTTTCGATGGGAGACTTTTATTAGATTGGTGCAAAAGTAATTGCCATAATGGCAAAAACTGCAATTATTTTTGCACCAACTATAAAGTCTTCATTCTTTATTGGTATGTTCAGACATTCTATTCTTCACACTTTTGCACATAGAAAACCCTAAAGACTCCACCAGAAAAATTTAGAACTAATAAATGAATCTGATAAAGTTGCAGGAAATGAAATAAACATACAAAAATTAGTACATTTCTATACGCTAATAGAAAATTATCTTTCAAAAATCAATAAAACAATCTCATTTACAATAGCTACAAAAACCCTATGAATTAATTTAACCAAGGAGGTAAAAGATCTCTACAATGAAAATTATAAAACACTGATGAAAAATGGAAGAAGACACAAAGAAATAAAAAGATGGCTGTGTTCATGGATTGAAATAATTAATATTGTTTAAATGTCCATAGTATCCAAGGTGATTTACAAATTCAATGTATAATCTCTATCAAAATACCAATGGCATTCTTCATGGAAGTAGAAAAAAAATCCTAAAATTTGTATAGAACCACAAAAGACCCTGAATAGCCAAAGCATTCTTGAGCAAAAAGAATAAAGCTGGAAGTGTCACACTATCTGACTACAAAACGTGGTATAAAGCTATAACAACCAAAACAGTATGGTACTAGCAGGAAAACAGACACACAGACTAATGGAACAGAATTAAGAGCCCACAAATAAATCTATGCATTTACAACCAATTGATTTTTTTTTTTACAAAAGTGCCAGAAACATACGTTGGGGAAAGAATAGTGTTTTCAATAAATCATGCTAGGAAACTGGATATTCACATGTAGAAGACTGAAACTAGATGCTTATCTCTCACCACATTAAGAAAATCAAAATGGATTGAATACTTGAATGTAAAACCTGGAACTATAAAACTATTACAAAAAAACATAGGGGAAATGCTTCATGATATGGATATGGCCAAGGATATTTTGGATAAGTCATCCAAAGCACATGCAATAAATGCAAAAATGGACAAATGGGATTGTATCAAAGGAAAAAGCTTCTGCACAGGAAAAAAAAATCAACAGAGTGAAGAGACAACCTACAGAATGGGAGAAAATATTCATAACTATATATCTGACAAGGGTTTAATATCCAAACTATATAAGGAGCTGAATAGCAAAACAAAACAACATACAAACGAACCCCAAAACAATAAATGGGAAAAAAATACCTGAATAGACATTCTCAAGATATACAAATAGTCAATAGGTATGTGAAAATAATGCTCAACATCACTAAACATCAGGGAAATGCATATCAAAACCATAATGAGATGTGGCCTCCCTCCTGTTAGAATGGCTATTATAGGCCGGATGTGGTGGCTAATGCCTGTAATCCCTGCACTTTGGGAGGTTGAGGCGGGTGGATCACCTGGGTCAGGAGTTCGAGACCAGCCTGGCCAACATGAGGAAACCTCATCTCTACAAAAAATACAAAAAGTTAGCTGGGCACGGTGGCGGGCACCTGTAATCCCAGCTACTTGGGAGGCTGAGGCAGGAGAATCACTTGAACCTGGGAGGCAGAGGTTGCAGTGAGCCAAGGTCGCGCCACTGTACTCCAGCCTGGTCAACAAGAGCAAAACTCCACCTCGAAAAAAAAGAAAAAAAAAAGAAATGGCTATTATCAAAAGGACAAAAAATAAAAAGTGTTGACAAGGCTGTGGAGAAAAGGGAACCCTTAAACACTGTTGGTGGGAATGTAAATTAGTGCAGCCATTATGGATAATGGTATGGATGTTTATCAAAAAATTAAATATAGAACTACCATATGATCCAGAAATCCCACTACTGGCTATTTATCCAAAGGAAATAAAATCCATATGTTGAAGAGATACCTGCACTTCCATGCTTATTGCAGCACTATCTTCAAAAGCCGAGATATGAAATCAACCTAAATGTCCAGCAATGGATGAATGGTTAAAGAAAATATATACCCAATGGAATAGTATTGAGCTATAAAAACAAATGAAATCCTGTCATTTGCAACATGGTTGAACCTGGAGGACATGATATTAAGTGAAATAAGCCAGGCACAGAAAGATAAATACTGCATAGTCACACTTACACGTGGAAACTAAAGTTGAATTGATGAAATTAGAGAGTATAATGGTGGTTCCTAGAGGCTGGGGTGGTTGGGCAGGGGATGAGGAAATGTTGATCAAAGAATACATAAATACAGTTAGATAGGAGAAATAAATTTCAAGATACCTATTGTATAGCAAGGTGACAATAGTTAATTTGATATTTTATATTCTTTAAAAACGTAAAGAGAGTGGATGCTAAATGCTCTCACCACAAAAAAATGATAACCATGTGAGAGAATGCATTTGTTCATTAGCTAGATTTAACATTACACTATGTATATATACAAGTCAAAACATCATGTTGTATGTGGTGAAAACATATAATGTTATCTATCAACCTAAAAAAAAAAAAAAAGGAAAATGATAGGCTTAGCAGCTAGAGGCCCAGTTTGGTTCTCAGTTCTGCATCTCATTAGTTTATGACCTCTGACAAGCCACTTAACCTCTTCAGGCTCCTCTGAGCCATGTAAACTCCATGCCTTTGAGCAACAAAAATGCTCCTTGTGATTTTCCTCCTTAGCTCAAGTTTAAATGCCTCAAAAGATAACGTTTGTTTTCTTTCCTGTAAGAGGTCATCACTGGGGAGTGCTCACTGCCATAACCTTGAAGCCTAAACTAATTCTACTCTTAATTTATATTTATTCATGTTCAAAGACAGTGACACCTTCTTTCAGTGAGGGTAATTTATTCAAATTTCAAGTCTTTGTCAAAAGCTATGGAGCCCTGGCAAGGCCTGCTTTCCATTAATCCTGTAACTCTGGTTCTCTAGGGGAGAGAAGGTAGCTGACTCCTGCTAGCAGAGGGTGAGGTGGAGGCCAAGACACCATAAAATTTGTATATGATTTCTGACTTTTCCTGTGCCTCATCACATTTGAAATAATCACACCCCTTCTTCCTCGGCTAAATGATTGTTGTTAAAAATTTACCATAGTGCGGCCGGGCGCGGTGGCTCACGCCTGTAATCCCAGCACTTTGGGAGGCCGAGGCGGGTGGATCACCAGGTCAGGAGATCGAGACCATCCTGGCTAACACGGTGAAACCCCATCTCTACTAAAAACATAAAAAAAATTAGCCGGGCGTGGTGGCGGGGTCCTGTAGTCCCAGCTACTCGGGAGGCTGAAGCAGGAGAATGGCGTGAACCCGGGAGGCGGAGCTTGCAGTGAGCCGAGATCGCGCCATTGTACTCCAGCCTGGGTGACAGAGCCAGACTCTGTCTCAAAAAAAAAAAAAAAAAAAAAAATTTACCATAGTGCTCAGCTAACCCTTAACAAATATCCTAGCAGGCATATCCACAAAGAGAAGACTCCTGGCCTCTAGTTATTTCTAGGGATCCCTGCTCCCACATCCAAATGGATTCATTGCTTCCTTCATTTTATTGGTCACTGATTTAATGTCTAGGAAAGTGCCACTTGAAGTGGGCCTGTGAGCCAATCCATGACTGGTCGTTACCAGTGTGTGATGAGATAATCCTGGAAATGAAGAGTAAACATTGAGACATGTGTACAGCAATTTGCTTGACATTGCATGATATCCAAGCAGGTGGTCAATGGACTAGTCTCATTGAACAGAGGATAAGCCAATTTGAGTATGACTAACTCAGAAAGTGAGTTGCATGTACCTTGAGTTATATTTTTCATGTCAGCAAGGACTGGTTACATAATTTCCTGAGCCCAACACAAAATGGGGGGAACTGTGTGAATATACAGGTTGCATGCCCATGGAGTGAGACCTGAATGCATTGTAGAATAATGTTATGACATGACATGATTATTTTAAAGTTGGCTAATCATCTGGAAACTAAAAGCATGCAAAAATTTGAGAAAATATAAGCATATATTTTTATAACTTATCATTTTTATACTCAGCTTAAATTTAAATCAAGCCTGGTTTTCAGTTTAGCTGAATAGTATCAAGTATAATAGGATAGAAAATATTTGTCTTGTTTATTTTTAATTCTCATGTTCAGTTTGTACTATAAGTGTCACTGGATTTTTTTTGTCAAGAAAAGACACATCTCTTATGAATGTGGCAGTTGTAGAAAAGCAAATGTTGAAAACAGAAGTTATTTAAAAAATTGAAGATCCAAAGAGTTTGTATTGATTTGACATACAAGTGTGATCCCCCATATATTGATTTTGTAACCATAGTTGAGGTTGAAGTGTGTTATCGCAGAGATGTAGTAGCTAATAAAGCAATAAGACCATCAGAGCAAAAGTACTATTAACATATGAAACTTGAAGAACTACATGAAAACTCAAACACTGAAGAAATAATATTAAATTAGAAAGCTGACAGAGCATATGCTCAAATACTATGCTTGTAATGTATATAAGCATATATGAATATGTATAAATACTATACCTGTAAATACTAGGCCACTGTAGGTTTCTTGTAAAGTAATACTTCGTATTGCTAAAACAGACAAACAATAACAAACCCATGTAGGGCTTTGATGGTTTCATTCTTTATAAGCCAGTGCACCTCTGCAACAACACACTTCAACCTCAATACATTAATATGAGAATGTATTAAAGATGGATACTTTGAAATTTGGAATAAATCTGCAACCAAGAAGAGAACTCAAGTAGAACTCTCCAGTGATTCTGTTGGTTGGTGTGTTCAGGAATGAACTAGTGATAAGGAAGACAGATTTGTAGAAGAAATAAAGCTGGTAAATAATTTTTATTGCATTTTGACAAATGCACCGGCACCACTACCATGACAATTATTTTCATATATGTCCAATTTAATCGCGATACTATGAAGGAAGCACTTGACTTTCAGCTTCATTGCTGACAACCGCAGCTAACTTGTAACTACATAAAGCTCCTCAGAATTATATCATCTAAAATGTGGTTTGGAATTTAAGTTTTGTGTAGGAGAATGTTCTGATGGCACAGCTGCAATGATGAAAACATTTTGGAGTCTGTTGAAGATTATGGAGCTTGCACTAGAATGTAAACCAATGCACCAGTTTCTTCACCAAGAAAATGTTGTTATGAATAAAGTGTCTTCTGATCTAAACAGTGTGATTAGTGATATAGTAAAAATTGTGAAATGCTTAGAGACAAATGTGTTAAATTTGAGAATTCTCTTCATTATTATGATAATTTGTAAGCTGATAGTAAACAACTCTTGTATGCTGAGATACAATTGTCATCCAGGGGAAAAGTTATATTGGAATTATTTGAACTATGAAAGGAACTGTTAGTATTTCTGCAAGGTAAAAAACCAATTTGTTTCCATCTTCTTAAAGCTGTGAATTAAAAATTTAGACTTGCTGATTTTTACAGCATTGTAAAAATATCTTATCTGATAGCTACATTAGTATTTCTAATGATTTCAATAATTCCATTTAAGAAAAGAATGTGATGCATTTTTAAAAGGCACATAAGATTAAAGGACAAAAATGAAAGATAGAAGCTTGGAAAAACGGTTTCTACAGATTATTATGACAATTAATTTCACAATAATTTTCAATGAAATAATGATTCTGATATTGCTTATCTGCAAAAAATTACCTAATAGTTTAGAATGTGATAGAATTTTGGATTTTATTTTTCAACAAAAGGAGATGCATGCTTAGGAGAGTCATGAATCTGCAACCTATTTCTTTCTTTGAAAAATAATTTAAATTGAACTAGAAATTTTAGAATATATTGTTGGAACTGGGTACAGATGGATTGAATTTGAAAATTTAGCAACACTTGCTTTATTTATTTTGAATAAAAGATTAAAAATGACTATCCAGAGCTTGCTAAAATTGCTTTAATATATCATCTTCCATTCCTGTCAATAAAGCTCTGTAGGTCTGGTTTCTCTACTCTGAGTGTTATAAAAGCAAAATAAAAATAATTTAGATGCACGTTTTCTCATGGGAATAATGCTGTCGTAGGTCTCACCACTATTATATGAGAAAAAAGCAAACCCATTTATCACATTAATATTGATATACATAGATAGTATGTTTTCAAAGTGTGAATATGGCATTTAATCAGAAGGGCTATTTTACTTAAAACTTATTTAGTCATAATTGCAACTGACCAAAAATTACAAGTGTAATAGAAATTATCTATTTTAATCACCTGTCTGCACATTTCAGTGATAACTATAATTTTTCTGTTATGCTTATTCAAACTATATTAATTAAAAGGTAATGTTTGTTTGAATCTAATAATAAAAACTGGTTATTGTCTGTGTTTTTCAATTTTATTTTTGAATTATATTTTATTATACTTTACTAAAATATTAATTTGATGTGGACTGGAAATTTTAAAAAATTTAGGAAATTTTAAAAGAAATTTTTTAACTTAAAATTTTTAAATTAAGAAGTTTTTTCAGAACAGCATTGATTTTAAGAGGAAATTCAAAGCTTCCCTCACTCCATCTTCAGCAATGAGGAACTTTAATGTAGACAAAACAAGGGAATACATGTGGCAGATACTATCATTTGCCTAGCAAAAGTAAGTCCCATCCCTTAATTTTTAGGATCAAATCCCCAGTTACATTCTAAAATGCAACATGCCCAGTTAAAGCATTATGTTTACTAGCCTCTCTGAAAGTACTGGGTGGCCAATGAAATGTAAGCCAAAATTGTCTGGTGAGAACCCTGGAAAAATCTCCTAAGGGTATATGTTGGCAGGAGGCATGAGCCTATTTTGGTATTTTCCTCTTTTCCCTGTTTCCTGCTTGGAATAAAGGTATGATCTGTAGAGATGCAGTTGACATCAAGAGCTGATCTAGAGGATAATAACCACTGTTTTTTGTTTTTTTTTTATTATTATACTTTAAGTTTTAGGGTACATGTGCACAATGTGCAGGTTAGTTACATATGTGTACATGTGCCATGCTGGTGCGCTGCACCCACTAACTCGTCATCTAGCATTAGGTATATCTCCCAATGCTATCCCTTCCCCCTCCCCCCACCCCACAACAGTCCCCAGAGTGTGATGTTCCCCTTCCTGTGTCCATGTATTCTCATTGTTCAATTCCCACCTATGAGTGAGAATATGCAGTGTTTGGTTTTTTGTTCTTGCGATAGTTTACTGAGAATGATGATTTCCAATTTCATCCATGTCCCTACAAAGGACATGAACTCATCATTTTTTATGGCTGCATAGTATCCCATGGTGTATATGTGCCACATTTTCTTAATCCAGTCTATCATTGTTGGACATTTGGGTTGGTTCCAAGTCTTTGCTATTGTGAATAATGCCACAATAAACATACGTGTGTATGTGTCTTTATAGCAGCATGATTTATAGTCCTTTGGGTATATACCCAGTAATGGGATGGCTACCATCAGAGTGAACAGGCAACCTACAAAATGGGAGAAAATTTTCACAACCTACTCATCTGACAAAGGACTAATATCCAGAATCTACAATGAACTCAAACAAATTTACAAGAAAAAAACAAACAACCCCATCAAAAAGTGGGCAAAGGACATGAACAGACACTTCTCAAAAGAAGACATTTATGCAGCAAAAAAACACATGAAAAAATGCTCACCATCACTGGCCATCAGAGAAATGCAAATCAAAACCACAATGAGATACCATCTCACACCAGTTAGAATGGCAATCATTAAAAAGTCAGGAAACAGCAGGTGCTGGAGAGGATGTGGAGAAATAGGAACACTTTTACACTGTTGGTGGTACTGTAAACTAGTTCAACCATTGTGGAAGTCAGTGTGGCGATTCCTCAGGGATCTAGAACTAGAAATAACCACTGTTAAAAATAATGTACCAAAAACATAGAAAGAGTCAAAATTTCTGATAGCTAGGGTGATTTTATCATTGGAATATTAAAACAGGTCTGTTCTGAAGTGAGAGAAAATCAGTAAAATAATTCAGTATACTTTTGAAATATTTATTTCTTAATTTACAACTTGGTTTTATTCTATTGATGAACCTATAAACTAGTTTCATCCAAAAATATTTTGAAAAAGTGAATTTTTCTCTAATAAAATAACATCTATCTATATACTTAAAATTGTAAAAATTCTTAACTAGGCTGAGTGTAGTAGCTCATGACTGTAAACCCAACTACTTGGGAGGCTGAGCAGGTAGAAGGGATCACTTGAGGCCAGGAGTTTGGGACCAGCCTGGGCAACATAGCAAGACCCCATCTCTACAAAAATATTTAAAAATTAGCTAAGCATGGTGGCATGTGCCTATAGTCCCAGCTACTGGGGATGCTGAGGCAGGAGGATCGCTTGACCCCAGGAACTCAAGGCTGCAGTGAGCTATGATCATGCCACTGCACCCTAGCCTGAGTAACAGAGTAAGATGTCATTTTTTATTTAAAAACTAATAAATTCTTAAGTGGATTATCTGAATATTTAAAAATAACAAGCAGAATAATACCTTGATCAGGCTATTTTTCTGCAATATATTGTCTTGCCATATGGTCATATTATATTTATTTTTTCATAAAATTGTCTACAACCTGCCTTAATGTCTTTTACTTCATGCTTCTTCAATTGATGCGTCTCTGTAGACCATGTTACTTCTAATTGAGAAGATACTTTCCCACAGGTGGTAAGGTATCCATAAGTTGGAGCAAATTTCGCTGTATGGAGGGTATTCTACATTTAGGTTTCGTGGAATTGACAGGTGACTATCTCAGCCCATTTCACCTGTGCTATCTTTTTGTCTCCATCCAGTGTCCGTTTCTTCAAAAAAATAGTTTTACAAGACAAAACGTCAAATAAATTCTCTTCAGCCATAATTCTTTTGAATTTTTTGGTACACTTAAATGTTGAAAAATCGCTGACCATCTCAAAATTTTATTTCATCCTGGTATGATTGTAAATTCATTTTATGAAGAATAGAAGCTCTCTCCAAAAATTCTCAGCAAAATTGAGCTTTCCAAATTATAATTATAGAATTTTAAAATTAAATCTTACAAGCCATTTGAGCTTTGGTCATTATTTCGTTGTTATTTCACCCTGGCTTTTGGAGGTATGTATTCTAGTCTGTAAGCATTTTTTTTCAATATTGCAATCCTATAAAAGTCCCAAATCTATCATTTCGGGCCCTCTATTTATTGATTTTTTTTGGAATAAAAATTTTTCATGAATTTTTAGGAACCAAGAAAGGTTTTTTTAAAAGCTATGCATTTAACTCAAGAAATTTGTAATAGATCAGGAACAAACATCAAAAATAAGAAAGAAACTACACAATAAAATATTATTCAGCTGTAAAAAAATTAAATCCTGTCATTTGTAACAGGAAGAATGGAACTGAATGACATTATATTAAGTGAAATTAGCCAGACACAGAAAGACAAATATTACATGTTCTCATTTATATGTGGGGGCTAAAAATATAATCTCATGGAGATCGAGAGTAAAATGATGCTTACCATGAGCTGGGAAGGGTAGTGGGGGAGTAGGATCAAGAAGGATTAGTTAATTTGGTACAGAAATACAATTAGAAAGAAAGAATAAGGTCTAGTGTTTGGTAACACAATTGAGCCACTGTAGTTAACAATAATTTATTGTACATTTCAAAGTAACTAGAAGAGTGGAATTGTAATGTTTCTAAAACAAAGAAATAGTAAATGTTTAAGATGATAGATATCCCAATTACCCTGATTTGATCATTATACATTGTATGCTTGCATTAAAATATCACACATGACACATAAATATATACAAAGAATTAAATAAAACAAATAAAAGAACAGGAAAATTGATGAAAGAATAGCAGCCTAAACCTGAATCTGAAAAAAACCTCACTGATAGAGATAAATCTCATAAGATTAATCAAGGGAAAAAATAGAAGACGCCAATAAACAAAGTATAGGATGAAAAATGGGAAAGAAATACAAGCATGATAGAGGTTTTATATACACATATATGAATGTATACGACTATTTCGACATCTATGTACTAGTAAGTTTGAAAAGCTAAATAAAATAAATATATTACACTATATTTATAAAGTGTTATATTGGCACAAGAGTAGAGGACTTGAGTAGATAAATATTATTTAAATATACATATATATTTAAAGGTGATCAAAGACTTCTCTTCTTCAACAGCCTAGACTCATGTAACTTTATAGGTAAATTTTACTGTACTTTTAAGAAACCAAATCTTATCATATTGAAGCTTCCTCCTAAATAGTAAAAGAAGATAAAGCTGCCAAGACCATTTTTGAAGCTATTGTACTCTTGATTCCCAAACTAGAAAAGGACAGTGCCAGAAAAAAATATTATGATCCACTTCACTTTGGAACAGAATGTAAACATCTGAAATACAATGTTAACTAATAAAATCCAACATTATATTTTAAAAATAATAAGTGTAATTAAGAAGAAATTTCCTCCTTAATGAAAGAATGATTATTGATCAGGAAAATCTATCAACAAAATTATAAGAAATCTTTGATTATCTCAAAGCAGAAAACTATTTCATAAGGTTCAATACTCATTTGTGATTTTTAATTATAGCAAATTAGAACTATAAGAGGGCTTTTAAATTGAATATAAATATTCAAGTATAAAACTATACAACACATAGTCCAATTCTTTCGAGAACTGGAACAAGACAAGGTGATTTACTTTGAAAATATTACTCAGTATAGAAGTAGAAGTATTTGTCATTGCAATAAGGAGAAAAGGAGATAAAATCATCATTATTTGCAGAGGATATAATTGTCAACAAAACAACCAAAACTCTTACCACCAATAAGAGAATTCAGAAAGATTATCAGATAGAAGACAAACTTACAAAAATCAGCAGCATGCATTAATAACAACAATAACTAACCAGAAAAAAAGTATATAGAATAATGATTTTCACAATGTTAAGAAAAATAATCTCTAGGAAGTAATCTAAGCAAGAATACACAAAACTTCATGGCCTTTCGTAAGGAATAAAAACGATAATTTGATTAAATGGAAAGAAATTTCATGCACTGGGATAGAAGGCTTTTATTTTATAAATATGTCAATTCTTCCTCAAATTAATCTATTAAGTAAATGCAAGCTCAATCAAAATTACTATTTATTTTTATGTTTTTTCTATTTATAGTTTATATTTAAATTTTTAGGGAGGACCAAAAGCCTATGGATAATTATAGCAGATTAAAAATTTAAGAGTTAAATGTCAGTATTGTCATATCACATATTATGGCACACTCCAAAGCTGGAGCAATTAGAAAATATGGCATTGGTATAAGGTCAAATAGGTGGTCAACATCATTGATCATCAGAGAAATGCAAATCAAAACTACAATAAGGTATCCTACTTCTCCAGTTAAAATGGCTTATATCAAAAAGACAGGCAATAACAAATGGTTGTGAGGATGTGGAGGAAAGGGAACCCTCGTACACTGTTGGTGGGAATGTAAATTAGCACAACCACTATGAAGAAGACCTTGGAGGTTCCTCAAATAATTAAAAATAGAGCTATCATATGATCCAGCAATTCCACTCCTAGGTATGTACCCAAAAGAAAGGAAATCTGTGGCAGACTGCCACAATTACTACTTGAGACCGTCACTACGACAGTTACTACTGTTACTACGTGAGACCGTCATTGAGACTGTCATTATGAGACTGGACGAAGGGACAAATGTAGAAATGAAAACTTAAAGACAAAATAAACCATTTTAAAGGAAGGGTCCAGGGGAAGAAGAAGAGAGCTCCCTGCTTCTAGTGAGCAAAGGCAGCCTCCCCTGAGCTTCCACAGCCCTTCATATTTATTGGGTAGGATAAGCAGGGAGGAGGAGGTAATGATTGGTCAGCTGCTTAATTGATCACTGGTTCATATTATTACTAACAGGCTTCAGATGTGCTTAATTACAAGAAACACTGCGCTTGGGGCATGACTGCCCTCAGCATTCCTTCTGGGTGGCAGACGCAATTTCTCAGCTTGCCAACATTCTGCATGCATGAGAAACAGTTTGCTGCTTACTCATATAGCCTCCAGTGGTATACTGAGTTGATCACGACCCTCACTCTTTCAGCCTGTAACAGAAATCAGTGTATCAAAGGGATATCTGCACTCCCATGTTTGTTGCAGCACTGTTCACAATAGCCAAGATTTGGAAGCAACCTAAGTGTCCATCAACAAATGAATGGATAAAGAAAATGAGGTACATATACACAATGGGGTACTATTCAGCCACAAAAAAGAATGAGACCCTGTCATTTGCAATAACACGGATGGAACTGGAGATCATTATGTGAAGTGACATAAGCCAGGCACAGAAACACAAACATTGCATGTTCTCTCTTATTTGTGAAACCAAAAAATTAAAACAATTGAACTCATGGACATAGAGAGTAGAAGGATGGTTCCCATAGGCTGGGAAGGCTAGTTGGGGGATAAGGGGGAGGCGGGAATGGTTAATGGGTACAAAAAAAAAAAAATAGAAAACTAAGACCTACTATTTGATAGCATAGCAGGGTGACTATAGTCAATAATAAGTTAATTGTATATTTTAAAATAATTAAAAGAGTATAATTGGACTGTTTGTAACACAAAGAATAAATGTTTGAGGAGATGGATACCTCATTCTCCATGATGTAATTATTATGCATTGCATGCCTGTACCAAAACATTCCATATACCTGCATTATACCCATAAGATTAAAAATTTTAACATTAAAAAAACAAAAGGTCAAATAGACTGATAGAACAGAATAAGGAATACCGAGACAAAGCCATTTGCGTTGAGCAAATTAATGTACAGTAAAGGTGATATCAGAAATCAATGGAAGGGGGGAGATAAATTCTTTGACAGATGATATTAGAAAGCTGGCTCAACATATGAAAAAATACTGAATTCCTACACATCACATATAAAGATGAATTGTACATTAAATTAAAAATTTTAAAAATGAATATTAAATTTATGTAGTTAATGGAAAAGTGCAATTGAATAATTTGGATTAATATTTCTTAAACCATATTAAATAATGTAAGGCAACCTAATTCTACCTTTTTCTCTCTCTTCACACACACACACACACACACACACACAAACACATACACGCACACACACTCTCTCTCTCTCCCCATCTTGCTCTCTCTCTCTCTCATATGTATATAATTACATCTAAATTAATGCTTCCCATTCAATGAAAGACACTTAGGAAAAGTTAACAGTGGCTGGGCGTGGTGGCTCACACTTGTAATCCCAGCATTTTGGGAGGCCGAGGCAGGTGGATCACCTGAGGTCAGGAGTTCAAGACCAGCCTGACCAGCACGGTGAAACCTCATCTCTACTAAAAATACAAAAAATAATTAGCCAAGCGTAGTGGTGTGTGCCTGTAATCCCAGCTACTCAGAAGGCTGAGGCAGGAGAATCACATGAATGATTCTCCTGAGGATGAGGTAGGGGTTGCAGTGAGCCAAGATCATGCCATTGCCATTGCGCTCCAGGCTGGGCAACAAGAGCGAAACTCTGTCACAAAAAAAAAAAAAAAAAAAAAAAAAAAAAGTTAACAGATGGATGAAATCATAGGAAATTATATTTCTGATGCCAAAAACTAAAATGTAATTATTTAGAATTTATTGGAAACTCTTCATAATTAACAAGAAGACAAAAATACTAAAAGGTATAAAAACATTTGACAGAAGTGGAACCCCAAAGGACTAACAAGCACATGAACAAGCTACTTAGAATCATGACTCATCAGAGAACACAGGCTAGATTAGTGAGCTATTACTTTTATGTATTTGACTGGCAAAAGAAAAATGGGTTGGGAAAGGGTTGGAATGCCAAATATTAGAGAGAATGAGGGGATATAGGAACCCTCAATACTACAATGAACACATAACAAAGTCAACTGCTGCAGCTATTCTGGACAGCAAACTGACACTATATGCATAAGTCACCCATCTGTACCCCCGGGACCTGGCAATTCTGTCTAGCCATATTTACCAAAGACTACTCACTCAGGTCAATAAGAGGGCATACTGAAGATGTTCAATTCTGTGTATTCATGATGGTGGGTGTTTGATGATGAGAAGTTTGAAGCACTGTAGGTGTCCATTTCAGGACAATGGTTAGAAAAATGTGCTGAATGAAAATCATGCAGCAGTTAGAAGTAACCAAGTAGATGAATAGAAAGCAACTTCAACAGATATACATTACTTAATGAAAAGAAAGGGGAAACAACATGTAATACAAAAATGATCCATCATAAAATTAGTTAGGGTGGAGTCCCTCTTTTTCTACTGTTTGGAATAGTCTCAGAAGGAATGGTACCAGCTCCTATTTGTACCTCTGGTAGAATTCGCCTGTGAATCCAACTGGTCCTGGGCTTTTTTGGGTTGGTAGACTATTAATTGGTGCCTCAATTTCAGAATTGTTATTGGTCTGTTCAGGGATTAGACTTCTTCCTGGTTTAGTCTTGCAAGGGTGTATGTGTCCAGGAATTTATCCATTTCTTCTAGATTTTCTAGTCAAAAAGCTGGCAAATGATATGAAAAGACACTTCTCAAAATAAGACAATTATGCGGCCAACAAACACATGAAAAAAAGCTCATCATCACCGGTCATTAGAGAAATGAAAATCAAAACCACAATGAGATACCATCTCACGCCAGTTAGAATGGTGATCATTAAAAAGTCAGTAAACAACAGATGCTGGAGAGGATGTGGAGAAATAGGAATGCTTTTACACTGTTGGTAGGAGTGTAAATTAGTTCAACCATTGTGGGAGACTGTATGGTGATTCCTCAAGGATCTAGAACCAGAAATACCATTTGACCCAGCAATACCATTACTGGGTATATACCCAAAGGATTATAAATCATTCTACTATAAAGACACATGCACATGTATGTTTATTGCAGCACTGTTCACAATAGCAAAGACTTGAAACCAACCCAAATGCCCATCAATGATAGACTGGATAAAGAAAATGTGGCACATATACACCATGGACTACTATGCAGCCATCCTTTGCAGGGACATGGATGAAGCTGGAAACCATCATTCTTAGCAAACTAACACAGGAACAGAAAACCAGACACTGTATATTCTCACTCATAAGTGGGAGTTGAACAATGAGAGCACATGGATACAGGGAGGGGAACATCACACACTGGGGCCTGTCAGGGGGTGGGGGGCTAGGGGAGGGATAGCATTAGGAAAAATACCTAATGTAGGTGATGGGTTGGTGGGTGCAGCAAACCACCATGGCGTGTGTACACCTATGTAACAAACCTGCATGTTCTGCACATGTATCCCAAAACTTAAAGTATAATTTTAAAAAAGATCCCAATACCACTTAAAATGCATGCTATGTTAGTCCATTTTCATGCTGCTGATAAAGACATACCTGAGACTAAGCAATTTATAGAAGAAAGAGATATAATTGGACTCACAGTTCCATGTGGTTGGGGAGGCCTCAATCATGGTGGAAGGCAAGGAGGAGCAAGTCACATCTTACGTGGATGGTGGCAGGCAAAGAGGAAGAGTTTTGCAGGGAAACTCCTCTTTTTAAAGCCATTGGATCTCATGAGACTTATTCACTATCACGAGAACAGCACAGGAAAGACCTGGCCCCATGATTCAATTACCTCCCACTGGGTCCCTCCCACAACACGTGGGAATTCAAGATGAGATTTGTGTGGGGACACAGTCAAATCATATCATTCCACCCCGGCCCCTCCCAAGTATCATGTCCTACCATTTCAAAACCAATCGTGTCTTCCCAACAGTCCCCCAAAGTCTTATTTCAGCATTAACTCAAGATTCCACAGTCCAAAGTCTCATCTGAGATAAGGCAAGTCCCTTCCACCTATGAGCCTGTAAAATCAAAAGCAAGTTAGTTACTTCATAGATACAATGGGGACACAGGCATTGGGTAAATACAGCCATTCCAAATGGGAGATATTGTGCAAAACTAAGGGGCTACAGGCCCAATTCAAGTCTGAAATCCAGTGGGGCAGTCAAATCTTAAAGCTGCAAAATGATCTTTGACTCCGCATCTCACATCGGGGTCATGCTGATTTAAGTGGTGCATTCCCGTGGTCTTGGGTAGCTTTGCCCCTGTGGATTTGCAGGGTAAAACCTCCCTCATAATCATGACTAATCAGATTATGCTTGGTGAATCATATATGTCTAAGCATGACTAGCTGCTTTCATGGACTGGCATTGAGTGTCTGCAGCTTTTCCAGGTGCATGGTGCAAGCTGTTGGTGGATCTACCATTCTGAGGTCTGGAAGATGGTGGCCCTCTTCTCACAGCTCCACTAGGCAGTGCCCCAGTATGGACTCTGTGTGGGGATTCTGATCCCACATTTCCCTTCCACACTGCCCTAGTGGAGGTTCTCCATGAGGACACTGCCCCTGCAGCAAACTTCTGCCTAGGCATCCGGGTATTTTCATGCATCCTCTGAAATCTAGGCAGAGGCTCGCAAACCCCAGTTCTTGATTTCTATGTACTCGCAGGCTCAACACCACATGGAAGCTGCCAAGGCTTGGGACTTACACTCTCTGAAGCCATGGTCTGAGTTTTACATTGGCCACTTTCAGCCACAACTGGAGTGGCTAGGACACAGGGCACCAAGTCCCTAGGCTGCACACAGCACAGGGACCCTCGGCCCAGTCCACAAAACCGTTTTTGCCTCCTACGTCTCCAGGCCTGTGATGGGAGGGGCTTCCATGAAGACATCTGACATGCCCTGGAGACATTTTCCCCATTGTCTTGGGGAATAACATTCAGCTCCTCATTATTTATGCAAATTTCTGCAGCCGCTTGACTTTCTCCTCAGAAAATGGGATTTTCTTTTCTATCACATCATCAGGCTGCAAACTGTCTGAGGTTTTATACTCTGCTTCTCTTACAAAACTGAATGCCTTTATCAGCACCCAAGTGGAATGCTTTGCTGCTTAGAAATTTCTTCCACCACATACCCTAAATCATCTCTCTTAAGTTCAAAGTTCCACAAATCTCTAGGACAGGGGCAAAATGCCACCAGTCTCTTTGCTAAAACATAACAAGAGTCACCTTTGCTCCAATCTCCAACAAATTCCTCATCTCCATCTGAGACCACCTCAGCCTGGATTTCATTGTCCATATCATTATCAGCATTTTTGTCAACAAGTCTCTAAAGAGTTCCAAACTTTCTCACATTTTCCTGTCTTCTGAGCCTTCCAAACTGTTCTAACCTCTGCCTGTTACCCAGTTCCAGTTGCTTCCACATTTTCAGTTATCTTTTCAGCAGCATCCCCCTCTACTGGTACCAATTTACTATATTAGTTCATTTTCACACTGCTAATAAAGACATACCTGAGACTGGACAATTTACAAAGGAAAGAGGTTCCATGTGGTGGGGGAAGCTTCACAATCATGGTTCAAGGCAAGGAGAGGCAAGTCACATCTTATGTGGATGGCGGCAGACAGAAAGAGAGCTTTTGCAGGGAAACTCATTTTTAAAACCATCAAATCTTGTGAGACTTATTCACTAGCATGAGAACAGCACAGGAAAGACCAGCTCCCATGATTCTATTACCTCCAACCAGGTACCTTCCACAACATGTGGGAATTCAAGATGAGATTTGGGTGAAGACACAGCAAAATCATATCACATGTCATGATAAGTACACAATATATATTTTGCAAGAACATATTAAAACTGTTATACACCCACCTGAGAATGTTTGTCTATGTGTAGAGAGAACATAGAACATAGAGTGGGATATAGGAATTTAAGTGTGGATGCAGTGAAAAGGGCTCACTCATACACTGCTGGTGGGAATGTAAATTAGTATAACCACTAAGAGAGATGGTATGGAGATTTCTCAAAAAGCTAAAAGTAGATCTACCATTTAATCTAGCAATCCCACTACTGGGTATCTACCCAAAGGAAAAGAAGTCATTATATAAAAAAAGACACCTTCTCATGCATGTTTATTGCAGCACAATTCATAATTGCAAAGTTATGGAAACAACTTAAGTGCCCATCAACAAATGAGTGGATAAAGAAAATATGATGTCTATATACCATGGAATATTACTCAGCCAAAAAAAAGTGAAATCATGTCTTTTACAGCAACTTGGATGGAACTGGAGGCCATTATCCTAAGTGAAGTAAATCAGAAACAGAAAACCAAACACCACACGTGGCTTTTAAGTGGAAGCTAAGCTATGGGTATGCAATGGCATACAGAGTGGTATAATGGAAATTGGAGTTTCAGAAGTGGGGAGGGTGGGAGAGGGCTAAGGGATGAAAAGCTACCTGTTGTGTACAATCTACACTGTTCAGGTGATGGGTACATTAAAAGCCCAGACTTCACCACTATATAATTTATCTGTGTAGCCAAAAACCATGTGTACCCATGAAAGTATTGGAAAAAAAAATTTTTTTTTGAGATGGAGTTTTGTTCTTGTTGCCCAGGCTGAAGTGCAGTGGCACTCTCTCTGCTCACTGCAACCTCCACTCCCAGGTACACGTGATGCTCCTGTCTCAGCCTCCCAGGTAGTTAGGATTACAGGTATGCGCCACCATGCCGGGCTAATTTTTTTGTATTTAGTAGAGACGGGGTTTCACCATGTTAGTCAGACTGGTCGCGACCTCCTGACCTCAGGCATGTGCCTGATTACAGGTGTGATTACAGGTGTGCACCACCACACCCAGCCTGGAAAAAAAATTCAATAAGATAAAATCAAAACATTTTAAAGGTATGAATAAACAAACAATAAGTAAAACAAGAAAAGACGTATGAATGGACTCAAGATGGTAAAGTGCCATGAACTGAGAAAATCAATGAATTTTTTTTTTTTTTAGACAGTCTTACTGTATGGCCCAGACTGGAGGGCAGTCGCACAATCTTGGCTCACTGCAACCTCCACCTTCCAGGCTCAAGTGTTCCTTTCACCTCAGTTTCCCAAGTAGCTTGACTATAGGTGCCTGCCACCAGGCCCGGCTAATTTTTGTACTTTTTGTAGAGATGGGGTTTTACCATGTTACCCAGGCTGATCTTGAACGCCTGGGCTCAAGTGATCTGCTTACCTCAGCTTCCCAAACTGCTGGGATTACAGTCATGAGCCACCACACTCAGCCAACAGATGTTTTTATGTTTGTATGCATCAATGCACCTGAAGTAAAAACAAAAAACTATATAAAAGAAAATGAAGAAAGAAGAAAAGAAAGGATGGAGGGAGGAAGGGAGAGAGAAGGAGAAGGCAACACAGGGGCACCAGGGTGTGGCTCAGATAAAATGAAAAGGAACTGATGGCAAAGACAAGTTCTGCTTCCAGCTATAGGGAGGGAAGAGGAATTCTCTTTGACTCCTTCCTTTTCTCACAAAGGTGACATTCAGGATAATGAGGGGGCCACATTCAATGTGTCTCTACGTATGTTTTCTTCTAAGGAACAAGGCCAATTATGAGAAAAGCATTTGTCATTTGTAGCCTCCGACATCTTGACACCATCCCTGTATTTTAGTAGTTCTCCGCCGTGTTCATCTTGCCTTTCACAGGAAGATGTCAGAACATTCATTTTCTCAGTTCACTTGCAGCTAGGCTGTAGACATGTGACCTGGATCATCACTCAGACATATTCATTTGAGATTTTAATTTGGTAAGTGTATTAGTCAGAGTTTTTCAGAGAAACATAAGGAATAGTACATTGTGTATATATACATACATATATATATAAAATATATATTTTTAAAATGAGACCAAGATTTATTATAAGGAATTGGCAGCAGGGCACGGTGTCTCATGCCTATAATCCCAGCACTTTGGGAGGCCAAGGCTAGCAGACCACTTGAGTTCAGGAGTTCAAGACCAGCCTGGCCAATGTGGTGAAACCCTGTCTCTACTAAAAATACAAAAATTAGCTGGTCATGGTGGCATGCACCTGGAATCCCAGCTACTTGGCAGGCTGAGGTGGGAGAATTGCTTGAACCTGGGAGGTGAAAGTTGCAGTGAGCCAAGGTCATGCTGCTGCACTCCAGCCTGGGCAACAGAACGAGACTCCATCTCAAAAAAAAAAAAGGGGGAATTGGCTCATGTAATTATGGAGACTGACAAGTTCCAAAATCTGCAGTCAGCAAACTGGACACCCAGGAGAGCTGATGATATGGTTTCAGTCTAAATGCTGGCTGGCTCAAGACCCACAAAGAGCCAATATTTCAGGTGAGTGGGAAAGCAGAAAAAACAAACAAACAGCAACAACAAAAAAAAACCTATGTCTCAGGTCAAAAGCAGTCAGGCAGGAGGTAGGATGAATTCCTCCTTACTCCAGAGAGGGTAAGAGTTTTGCTCTATTCAGGCCTTTACCTGATGGGATGAGGCCCAGCCACAATGGGGAAGAGGATCTCCTTTAGTCAGTCTACCAATTCAAATGTTAATCCCATCTAGAAAACCCTCACAGACATTCCCAGAATAATATTCCACCAAATGTTGGAGCACTCGTAACCCAGTGAAGTTGACATATAAAATTAACAATCATAGTAAGCAATGCCAGAAAGAGTATGCATGAGAAATCGAGCACCTTGGTGGTCACACAGATGGTGGCATCTGCTTCTTTGTGGCTAGCAAGAGAAGACCTTCTAGCATTCCATTGTTCATCGTGGATAGACACTATAGCAGTGGTGTTGAGAGGTGGCAGCAGCACTGCTTTGCTAAAACACCTGTAGCATGGTTGGGCATGGTTCCTGGCTGGGCTGTTATGTTCCTAGTTTGGCTCTTCAGCTCTCCCAAGTCTCTGTGAGTGTCCTATCTCCTTTAATATTTACAAGGGATGACTTGTTTTTCCTTTGTAACTAATAATCCTGATTGATACAGGCCCACAAATACCACTTTCAGATTATAACTTTTTGCACTGCACAAATACATATTAATGCAAGGCACTGCACTACATGATGGGAGTACAAACGCAAAAGACTTCCTGCTCTTCTGAGCATTTGAGTGGGGCTATGCCAGTTCTCTAAGATAGAAAACCAGATTGGAGTCAGACCGTGATAAGCAACAACTCTATGGACAAAAGCCATGTGCCAAGAATGGTAGGGCAGAGAAATGGAGAGTCTTCCTCCTTAAATCATCACTGAATCATCTTTAAGTGACCATACTGCCCTGGATTGCTTTTCTTCAGATATCTTAAGTGGAGGCAAAAACAACTCAAACCCCTTTTCTGTATAGGAGTAGTACACAGCCAGGGACTATTTTCCCCCAAAGATACATTTCTATGAGACATTTTCAGTTTGTACAACGAGGGGAGTACTACTGGCATTTAGTGAGCAGAGGCCAAGAATGATGCTAAACATTTCACAACGCACAGGACAGCCCCTCACAACAAGGAATTATCTGGTTCAAAATGTCCATAGTGCTGAAGTTCAGAAACCTTGCTTTATAGCTATGCTTTGTCAGGTTCTGTATAACTAACAACAGAGCACAATCATATCTGATATGGGTAGGAAGTATTGTTATTCTCATTTTACATATGGAAAAACTAATGTATGGAGTTAAGTAACTTGCCTACATCTTTGTGGCATAGGCACATCTCTCCTGGACTTATTTCAGTGTCTATGGCAATATACATTTTACCTGGTTGCTATCCAGCTAAGGCTTTACTTCTCAGACTCCATTTCAGCAAAAGAGAGCCATGTGATCAAGTGCTGGTTGAAGGGCTATGACCAGAAATGATTAATACAACTTCTTGATTATGCCCCTTAGTGGTAGAGATAAGCCTTCCCTTCCTTCTCATGTCCACTGTCTAGAATGCAGACATGATAATGTGAACTGGAGCAAGCCTTCTTGGAGCAAGAGTTGGAAACATATTGAGGGTGGAAAGGCTGTTTGAAAAAAAGGTCCTGCATTCCTAATACTGGTGGAGCTTCCATAACAGCTCTGGACCATCTATCTGGAATTAACAGCCCAAACCACCTCACCCAGAGTTTTACATGTTATATAAACTAATTTCTAACTTGTTTAAGGCACTGATTTTTTGAATCCCTTTGTTATAGAAGCCATGTCTGTAGCCTAACTAATACAGATACACAGTTACCAAATGGAGGACTAGAATTCAAACCCAAGTGCACCTTCATGTGCATGGAACCCATGCCCTTAACCACTTGTACTATACAGAAACCACTGTGTCTCTTTGTCTTCCTCCTTCTCGCAACATTACCCTATCCCTCCCACAATAGCCTCTCTTTATTACTGATTGAGGCATTCCAAAAAATCGACTGCCTCTCCTCCTTCCTCACTCCAGTCCTGCACAGAGTAAATTATATTCCTATAGGAGCAACATCAGAAACTCTAAAGAATTCTTTCTCCATTGACTTTATCAGCTATTGTTCCAGAAGTAGTGAGCCAGATCTCAGTAAAATGAAGCTGTTAGACTGAATGATATCCAGGATCTATTTAGGACCCAGAATGTTCTCATACTCTCAGGTAGTTTCTTATTACGGTCACAGGCAGAGAAGATGCAAAAAAAATATCATACAAGTATATGTCACTCCTTAGCGAAGTAAAACCTACAGGCCATTTCAGGTTCATATGTCATGCTATGCATACTTCCCCAGAGGAGAGGATATATTTTATTTTAAATATATAATTTAGGACTTACACCTGAAAATATGACTGATGGGCTTCCCTTTCACAAGCCAAAACTATTTTCAAAGACAGCATGTCTCATATTTCCCAGAGGAAGAGGTGAAGCAGGCTAAAATGAGTTAGAGTTCTGATGGGAAATGGGGTGTGAAAGACCTTTTTCACAGCACGGTTTTACTTTAAAGGAATATATATGTTTTAGAAAGTTAGTGACCCAAAGAATTATCCTCCAAGGTCTTTAATATTTTCAAGGCAAAGGCATATATTATCTGTGCATAAAAGACTGGAGAGAAGAAAACTAAGGTCTCAGGATGAAAAATCCTGAGAAAGGTCATACTCAGTGTCATAGCAGTGTGGCACAGGTTTCTTGGAAACTGGATTCAGGTTTATACAATTTAGAGATTATCTAATATATTTCATATATCATTAATATGTATTAGGCATTTCATGTAAGAGCAACACTGAAATCCAAATTTGAGAAAGAGAACGATCAAGCAATGTGACTTTCTTTACGGAAAGGTCAGTGTAGAGTTCATTTTGACGAGTTCCCCAGTGCAATTCCAGGTTGGTATTCTATTTAGAATGCTCTTGCTTGCAGGAAGCAGAAAAAATGCAAGTATGAGTGGCTTAAATGTTAAGTAATGTTGAGGTTCTCACATGACAGGAAATCTTAAGGTAGGACAGTTCAGGAGTTGACCTATTCAAAACTCAGGGAGGTCATCAGGAACCAGATGCATCTGTCTGTCCCCTCTGCCGTCTTCATCATACTGACACTCCTTGTGGACCCAAGATGGTCAAAGCAGATGAAAAGATGAAATGCTGATGACAGCATGGAGACAGACATGCCACAACCTCTCAATGTGTCCTTTTTTTAAAAAAAAAAACAGGATGCACTGTAGTAGACTTTCCTTTAAATATTATTGGCAAATTGGTTTTATACGCCCATTCCTAAATGAGCTCCTAGAAAGGGGAATAGGATTACTATCCTTGCTTAGACTAATACAGATTGCCTTTGTGGATCAGGGAAGCTCAGCTTTCTCTAAAACACAAGGCCACCAAATATCTAAACAAAAGGAATTATATTTTCAGTAAAGCCGAAGAGGAAGATTGGATAGGGAACCAATGACGTCCTTCAGGTTTTGCATTTGTCTTAAATACTTTCAAGGCAAAGGCATACATGGAGAGAGGTTTATAACATCTGCATATATAAGACTGAACGGAAAACAGTTGAAAGATCTGTAACAACTTAGAGTGAATTGAAAGTGGCAAGTGGGTGCTACTGCGAAATGACCATGGACACAAAGCACAAAGTCAATATTACAGTGTAAGTGTAAGAGAGGATAAGTTAAAAAAAAAAAAAAAAAAACTGTGGTATTGTAAAGTGAGAACCAGATTGGAAATCAGAATTGGAAGCAGCCCAAGTTCTGCCTCTTGCTGGTGTTATGGCTTTGGGCACACATAAATTTCCTTAACTTCAGTTAATTAGTCTGTAAAAATAAATAACGTTGCTTACCTTGAAGGGTGTTTCTGAGGGCCAAATGAGGTAATGCAGTCATTTATTCAAGTATTATTTAATAAGTGCTTACTATGTATTATGACACAATCTTTGCCCTAAAGAATCACAACTTAAAGGGCCAATGCAAGAAGAAAAGTGGCAATGACAACACTTTGTTCAAACAGGGCTGAGCATTTTGGGCTGTGGGAAAACAGAAGAGAGGCTCCTCACTCAGTCATGATGTGTCCAGAAAGGAGTCCCAGAGAAAATAACATCTGATCTGAGAAAAGAGAGAAACAAGGAGCAGAAGTTAGGTAAGTGAAGGAGGGGCAATTCAGGCAGAGAAGGCGGCATAGAGAGAGACAAAGAGAAAGAGTAATTTAGGAACCTGTTAATAAGTGCAGTATAACTGCATTTGAGAAGATAGCATAAGTTTGGGGAAATCATTAAAGACAAGACCAGAGAAGTTCAGCACAGATCAAAGAGTGATAAGCATTTTTTTTTTTTTTTTGAGACAGGGTTTCACTCTGTCACCCAGGCTGGAGTGCCTTGGCTCAGGTGATCCTTCCACTTCAGCCTCCCAGGTAGCTGGAACTACAGGTGCACACCACCATGCCTGGCTAATTTTTTTTGTATTTATTGTAGAGTCAGAGCTTCACCATGTTGCCCAGGCTGGTCTTAAACACCTGGACTCAAACAATCTACCTGCCTCTGCTTCCCTAAGTGGTAGGATTGCAGACATGAGCCACCACACCCAGCTGTGATTAGCATTTTAAACCTCTTTAATTAGAGGGTTCGAAATTTATTCTATTTGTCATATAGAGTCATCTAAAAAGGATTTTTAAGCAGCAATTGCATGACCATTTTTTCTCTTTAGAAAGATGACTCTGACTTTCTGGCAGAGACTATTTGGTTGTTACACAATATGTATTTTCTCACACCTTCCTTAATAGTAGAAATAGTAATTTTTAGTTAAATCCACGGGCACTTGAAATAAGCCCCACATTTGCTAGCCTTTCATAGCTAAGCGTGGAAGTAGGACTAAATAAATGTCTGATGAGCTGTAAGCAGAATAAATATGGTTAACTTCTAGGAAGTTAACCCCTTCTTTGTCATTTTCCCTTCTTGCTAGTTGACACAATGGTTGTGATTGCCATTGTTCAATCAAATGCTTTGGAACACATAGAAAAATTCATATGCTAAAGATAGCAAAGTAGCAAGATAGAACAAACTTGGGTCCATGCCAAGGAACTCTACTTTTAACCCTGGACCCACCTAACTTCAGACTTCTTTTGCGTGAGAGAAAAATCAATTTATATCTTGTTTATTTTTATTTTATTTCTTAAATAGCCAGATCTTAATTGACATAGAATGCATTATGCAAAGTGAATTGAGTGGCAGCAAAATTGGACATCCCAGTTAGAAAAATGATGCAAGTGAAATAATACAAGTGAACAATGATAGTTACTTGAAGTAGGAAAGTGAGAGTTAGCATTCACAGAGGCTAGTGATTTATGGGAGGTGGGAGATAACAAAGAGTGTTGACACTATTGATATTTTAGGTTAGTAATTCTTTGTTGTAGGGGGATATCCCGTGCATGGTAGGATGTTTTGCAGCATCGCTGGCCTCTACCCACTAGATGCCATTACTACCACACGGTTACAGTCATAACCGTAAAAAATGACTCCAGACAATGCCAAATGTACCCTCAGGGATAAAATCACTCCTGGTTGAGAACCACTGATACATGAGAAATTTTAATATTTGTAAGTGAGACACTTGCATGGCGTCCCTCTGGCCTTAAGAATTGTTTCAGGAATTGGCACATAACACATAATTCACACCAAGAAAATGTGAAAGGAAATTTCTGAGACTTTGTGGGAAAAGTTTCTATGCTTCCAAAAAACCCATAAGAAGGGATGGCTTTCTGTCTTCTGAATACTGTTTGTGTGCCAAGGTGAAGTCAGGACCAACTGCAGCCATCTTGTGCCCAGTCGATTCATGTAGGAGAGCAGACCTGGAGCCACAGGATGGAATGATGTCTGATCAGTGTTCTACCCCTGGTATTCCAATTAAGTGAGCCAAAATTTCCTTCATAATTTAATCCAGTTTGGGTTGGGTTTTCTTGTACTTATAGCCAGACTTCTAACCTACCCAGTGACTTTGGCAGACTGTCATGACTTGAGGATTAAACGGGAGGTGAAGAGTAGGAGAGTAGGGTGAACATAGTTACAAATAACTCATTGTGTATTTCCAAAACAACTAAAAGAGAAGATTTGGAATGTTCCCAACACAAAGAAGTGATAAATATTTGAGGTAATGGATATCTCAACTACCCCGATTTGATCATTACAGTTTGTATGCATGCATCAAAATGCCATGTGTACCCTGTAAATATGTACAATTATTACGTATCCATTTTACAAAAGTTTAGCAGTGAAAGGATACATATAAGGCAGAAGATGGGGGTGGAGTTTGACAGAGGCTTATTTGTTTATTTAAATGTGTGGAGGACTTGAGTCTGTTTAAATGCTAATGGGAAGGGGTCAGTAAAAAAAGAAAAGGTTGTACATAGAGCAAGGATGAGAAAAAATTCAGTACTGCAAAGTCCCTGTGGGCGTTGTGGGGGAGGGACAAAAAGGATGAAACTCCAGGATAGGTGGAATGACTCATTGTGGGTCAACGGAAGAAAATGTCTCCCATGCTGACATCAGGGATGGAAAAGAAGATGCAGATAAATTTGTAGTGTAGATGCAAGATGTTAGAAAAGTTCTTTTTTTGATCATTTCAATTTTTCTATAGAGTAGCAGGGAAAGGGGAACAGGATGTAGATCAAATGCATGGAGAAATTCTCAGAAACTCTAAGGAGCTGTCCAGGTATAAAATGCTCTACTTAATTTACATATATGGGAGCTCTTAGTAGATGACTGGTATCACAACTGTTGGACAAAGTAAGTTCTTGTCATTCTTCACTCTGTAGAAGGTGCTCTAGAGACAGGTTAAAACAGAGATGCCTGAGATGAACATCAACATAAAATACAGATGCCTGTGCTTTACATACTGAGAGGTTGCAAAGGTCAAAGGGGGCTCCCAAAACTCAGGGCTGCTTCCTCTTGATGACCTATGTTGTCCATTCTAAGCCCTTCTGCTGAGACGGACTTCAGAGCTGGGGCACTCATTACAGCTATTGTTCATCAAACAAATGTGAGAAATGGCTGTTTAAAGTCCACTTCAACATGGCTTTCCTCTCAAACCTCTTGTCTGAACTTTAATAATAGAATGTTTGGAAATCGTTAAATAGTTGCCTTGATTTGTTTAATGCAATGGCCATAGACATTTCATCGAGCTGACATAGGATTTATGTCTCAATAACACAATGACATTTGGTGAGCACTGGTTTCAGAACGATTTATGTCTGATCTGCAATTGGAGAATGATTTACACTCAAGTGAGGGGCAGAGTTATGAGAGACTCTGCTAAGACACCCTGTATCCTGTTGCTTACCTGCTTGCTTTCCACTAGAGATGGAGGGGAGATGGCAATATTCACTCTCTGACATATTTCCTTTATGGTTTTTTCATTAGAAAAAAATAGAAGTCTGAACTTGCTAGCTTATCTCTGCAAAATGTTTCCAATTATTCTGGTTCCCATTAGTTCTTTCTGTAAACTCCAAATTGGTCTTGGACAGCACCAGGATGAAAGCAGTCACAGGAACTCCACGCCAGACAAAACTCTTCAGTTTTCCCATCACTAATCTGGCCTTATTGAAGGGACCATGGCAACGGCCAAATTTTGCACATCTACTTGTAGATCATCTCAGTGCCAAGGTCACTGGAAGTTTTTTTCAGGCCTCTACTGATACCCACAACAAATAAGCCAGTGGGTCCTCAGGATGCTAGGGAGGTCACAGTCAAAATGGGATGGCCTCTTGGAAACCAAGAGGCAGAAAAAGCCCCAGGGGTGGCTCAGAGCATGGCTGCGTACCTGAGACGGATCCTGGCTGCACTGTTATCTAGCTCTGCAACGCTGGCCTGTTGTCTCATCTGTTTGTGCCTCAATTACCTCATCTATAAATTGGGACAATAGTACCTAATTCAGGGAGTTGTTCTGAGAAGATGTGACTAAGAATATCCAAAATACCAATAGTGGGATAGTTAGAGAGAAAAAGGAAACAAGTAGAGCCAGGAAATGAACAATCATCTTGAAAAGGAAAAAGAGAATTGAACTCAAAGTTAGAATTCTGGTTTTACATTCCAACTCTGTTTTTCATTAGCTATAGAAATGATAACTGGTATACCATGCAATTGTTTTAAGTACATGAAAGATCATTTGCAAAAACACCTAATAATTCACAGATATTGACTATATATGCATTCTCTTCCTTCTTTCCATGCAAGCAAGAAAGTGGATGAGTTTATATCTTGATTACCAAAGTGTTAGGTCATAAGGACGATGTCTGTTTTGTAGGGTAAGGCTGTCCTTGAAGAAATTTGTGAAGCAACCATAGGTTTCCTCTAGCATCTTCCCACTTGTCCTCCTGGATCTTTTTCTCCAGTCAGGAGCACCTACTTCCTGACTCCACACAGATTTTCCTTTTCAAATTGTTGTCATAGGTAAAAAAGCAATACTTAGTTCTTGACAAATAATGGTAAAAAAAAAATTGTAAAAACCAAGGGTATTGTAATTTTAATACAAAAACTCCAAGAGGCAAAGAAAAACTGTAGAGACTCACAGGGCACTATAACAATAAGAATGACATTTTTCAAAGACTTTTTTTTGGATGCAAGCCTTTTCAAGCCTTTCCATCTTTTCCACAATATAATGTAGTCAAATAGCCTGAGGTTTCTATGTTTTCCACATCCTTCTCTTTTTGCCCAAGCCAGTTCTCACCAACCTGCTCTTTCTTTTTCTTTTCTTTTTTTTTTTTTTTTTTTTTTTTTTTTTGCGACAGAGTCTCACTCTGTTGCCTAGGCTGGAGTGCAGTGGCATGATCACGGTTCAATGCAAACTTGATCTCACCTCAACTTCCCAAATAGCTGGGACTACAGCCACACACCACTGCATTCGACTAATTCTGTGTATCAGGATCTTTTCATGTTCCCTAGGCTAGTCTCAAACTCCAGGCCTCAAGCAATCCTCCTGCCTCGGCCTCCCAAAGTGTTGGGATTATAGGTGTGAGCCACTGCTCTTTTCTTGTGTGGTCCTATCAGCCCTAGTCTTTTTGTAATCGGTTCTGTCCTTCAGTATATCCATCACTAAGTCATTCTAAGAGCTCTCACCCTGGACTGGAAGGATGATGACTTCATGTTGTCATATTTTTTTTTCTTCTTTTTTCTCTGCTACACATTTGTTACCATTAAAATAAATGCCCAGAACAGTTCAAATTTCTCACAATGCAAAGCACTGGGATTCTTGGTGCTTTCTATTACTAGCTTAAGAAAAATCTGCACAAGCTATTGAACTTGAATTTTATTCATGTATTTGTTTTCTAAACAATAAGGAAATAGGAAGTAAAAACACAAATGGTTTTCAAAAAAATGCCTCAAAGTTGCCCATTCATTCTTTCTCAAACTATTTTATTTCCTTTGGATCTGAGGAAAAGTAAATAAATTATAACTGATTTAGTTTAAGAAAAAATTTTGAAGGTGAGAAAAATAGATTAGTAAGTAGATCCAGAGTTGCACTATTTCTGCAGTTTGATTCTGCAAGTAGTTATGTACCACATACGTGAATGTTGCTAGGTATTGTCCAGGACACAGCTTAGATATGGCCCCTGCTCTCTGAGACAGCACACCCTCTGCATATATGATATTTGAGTTTACCAGACTATATTCAAATTACCTCTCTAGATTGTCCATCTGTCTCCACTAGTCAGTGAGATACTCCAGGGCAGGAGTGTGACTTAGTTATCTTTGTGATTCAGATGTCTTATCCTCTGTTGACCCCTCAAATCAATTTTGATGCAGATTTCAATACTACTTAATATCTTCCAGGAAAAAAAGAAAAAAGCACCAAAAGCATTCTTAAACAATAGAGATTTTGGTGAAGCTTTTGTAAGATTATGTTGGGGGTTTAAAATCATAATCCCCGCAACAACCTCTTAAAGCTTTTTATCAGACATGAGTTTTCTCCCGATTCCTCTTGTCTCCTCAGAGAGTCAATGCAGTAGTTATGCCTCTTGTCTCTTGTCTCCTCAGAGAGTCAATGTAGCAGGCAAAGTAAATGAGGCCTCAAATCCAGTCCTTGCCACCCTTTCCAGGCAAACAGTCCAAGTGTGGGCGGTAGCCACCCAGAAGCACCAACTTCTTTTTCCCTGCACGTAGGCACTGTCCACTTTGCAAACCATGCGCCTCTAGGAGCTACTTCTCACCTGAACAAGAACTTTCTTTTTCTACTTCCTATGAAGCTCTGATGAGTTAGAGGCCCTAATTCTTCTCCACCCTCTGAAATTGCATTTGTCCTTTTTTTGGTGTTCAGTCCCTTTCTTGCCCTCACACCCACCCCCTCTGCTACCCTGCAGCCAGTCCACAGTGAGATTACCAGCGAGAATGAATTTTTACTTTTTTGTATTTGATTCTCTGGAGTCCTGACAACACCAGGCACATAGTAGGCTCTCAGTGCACGTATGTTAAACTGAACTTCATTTAGAATAAAACTTTTAAAAGTAAGAAACAAGTATAAAACATTACTAGACCAATGCCAAAAGAACACTAGAGATAACAAATGCAAAGTAGTCTTATAATAGAAAGTGGTATCACTTTTAAGTCAGTAGGAAATAATGTGTCTGGGCCAAATTTGCTGCGGTTATCAACATAATTCTTACTAACATCCAGTTTTATCATGTGAACAATTTATCTTTTTTAATAGAAAAATCTGTAAAAATAATCTCTTCTTAACTGCCAGTAAAATTTAATTCAGAGCAATAGAAAATGGAGAAAGTTTGTTCGCCATTAATGAAATGTTTGAATTATAAAATGTCTTCAGACAAATACAGTTTCGTTACGTCCAATTACTGGGAAAACAATCTAATTAGAAAAACAAAGTTTTGCCAAATGGAGGAACTTTAGTAATCTGTTTCAGTGAGTACATAAAAGTTAATGATTAAAATATGAATTACTGTATCACAATAGATCTTTCCAGAATTAGGAAATGTTCTCTCTCATAAGTGAAATATCTCTCTTTCTTTCTATTTTTATTAAAAGTCATAATCATTCAGTAAATTACTTGTAAATAATTTAAGAGTAAATTTCATTTTCGCTTCTGTGAAAATGATCATTTTTATAAATATTGAGACCTCAGCGTTGATTTTACTTTTTTGTTTCAGTGCTGCTGGGTATGTAGGATTACTATTCCTTCTGTTACAACTGCTTGCTCATTGTCCCCACTTTCCAAAAGCCTCACACACATAGACACTATTTTCCCTTCCAAGAAATCCTCAGGGAAGAGAATATAGAAGTACCACTATTGGATGTGGTCAAGGCTCATAAATAAAAGAGTTAAATTTCAGTTACCTGGAAATACTTACATTCTGCCAAGGCTGCAATCATTCTCTCACTTATAAATTCTAAGTTTAAATTAAATCAAATCCCAGTCTTTCTTGGTTCCAACTCTTCCCTTTTGGCAAGGCTTGTATTCTTGGTTCAAAGAAAGAAAAGCTTTCTTTTTTTTTTTTAAGGGGCTAAAGTCTTCTTGGACATTGAATGGTTTTTACAAATTACCATTTTGTTGTTTAAAAGAATAAAAAACAGCTGGGTTACATTCTCTTTGAAATGCACACTTAGTTAAAAATTAAACACACAAAAAAATTAAAAGCACTAGAGAAAAACACTTTTTGGTTTTGCCAAGACCCAAACCATTTAGGAGGAAGATGGGATAAGAGAGAGGAAAAAAGAATAGTCTGAACTGTGTTGCCAAACCCATTCCCCCTCCTGTGGCAGTGAAGTTCAGTAAGCCCAAAATAAAATGGTGCAAGACACAAAATTAGATTGAATGGGTTCTGGAAACAGTTATGGGTCTGGTAAGAGTGAAGGGATTTAATGAATATTTCTCATCTCTGTTCTCTTCTATCCCAAGAATAGTTGCAGTCATTTTTTTCTTACCAGTTTCTGAATTTTGCCAAACTCTATATGATAGAAGTTTCCTAAATAGAGGAATTGAATTTAAGTAGAAAACTACATTCTAGTCGCTTAAGTTCGTGGAAACATGTTTGTACTACAAATAGTATATAAATAATAAAAGTGATTCCAGGGAATGAAAAGTTACTAGCTCCTGCCAAATTGCTTTCATCACTCAACAGAAAGACAAAAAGTCAACCTTGCCCTAAAATTGTAGGTAAAATGGGCCCATATGTGGTGATGTTGACTTAAATTCAATTTAACAAACACTGTTCAGCACCTACCATGTTCAAATCACAGAACTAGGTGCTATAAGTTGATTAAAAATATGAGCAAGGAGCTAAAAAATGGATAGAGGAAAGAGAAGGGAAGGGAAAAACTAAAAAACAAAGTACAGAATAGAACCAGAAAACAAAAATCTTCTATTTTTCAACATAAAATTGTTTTATTCAATTCAAAAGTTCTCAAGATGCAAAACTTTATGAAATTATCCTTTTTCTGAAGTAGTTTTCAGTTTGGGGTATAGAAATATGTATCAAAAACTTGCATTAAAAGTATCATATAATTATTCAATTATTCCAGAAACAAAGTGTCTCAAAATGACTGAATTTGGAGTGATTAATTGTACTTTATTTGAAAGTCTCCCTTTAGAATTTCCAGAACCAAGTTAAACGACAAGAAAAATATTTTTACGGTTTCATACATTTGTTAGACAGGATTCTAACAGCCTCATGCCAGTGTTGGCAAAATTGAAAAAAGCTAATCTGTACTTGCAATTTTTCACATTTTCAGATTTCTTTTTACCCCCAACACAAACTCAACAGACTCAACTTTTTAATGACACTTTCATGCTGCCTGTATTTTTCCACTGAAAGATAATCTGATATGTTAATTAACACTAAAATGACACTATTTTACATTTTCCTGTCTTTCTATTTTTTTTTATTGTGCACATATTTCTACTTTTTTTTATTGTGCACATGTGCACAATGTGCAGGTTTGTTACATAGGTATACATGTGCCATGTTGGTTTGTTGCACCCATCAACTATCATTTACATTAGGTATTTCTCCAAATGCTATCCCTCCCCTAGCCCCCAACCCCCCAACAGGCCCCAGTGTGTGATGTTCCCTGCCCTGTGTCCAAGTGTTCTCATTGTTCACTTCCCACCTATGAGTGAGAACATGCAGTGTTTGGTTTTCTATCCTTGTGATAGTTTGCTGAGAATGATGGTTTCCAGCTTCATCCATGTCCCTGCAAAGGACCTGAACTCATCCTTTTCTATGGCTGCATAGTATTCCATGGTGTATATGTGCTACATTTTCTTAATCCAGTCTATCATTGATGGACATTTGAGTTGGTTCCAAGTCTTTGCTATTGTGAAAAGTGCCACAATAAACATATGTGTGCCTGTGTGTTTATGGTAGCATGATTTATGATCCTTTGGGTATATACCCAGTAATAAGATTGCTGGGTCAAATGGAATTTCTGGTTCTAGATCCTTGAGGAATCGCCACACTGTCTTCCACAATGCTTGAAATAATTTACACTCCCACCAACAGTGTAAAAGCATTCATATTTCTCCACATCCTCTCCAGCATCTATTGTTTCCTGACTTTTTAACCATCGCCATTCTAACTGGCATGAGATGGTATCTCACTGTGGTTTTGATTTGCATTTCTCTGATGGCCAGTGATGATGAGCATTTTTTCATGTGTCCGTTGGCTGCATAAATGTCTTCTCTTGAGAAGTGTCTGTTTGTATCCTTTGTCCATTTTTTGATGGGGTTGTTTGTTTATTTCTTGTAAATTTGTTTGAGTTCTTTGTAGACTCTGGATATTAGCCCTTTGTCAGATGGGTAGATTGCAAAAATTTTCTCCCATTCTGCAGGTTGCCTGTTCACTCTGATGGTAGTTTCTTTTGCTGTGCAGAAGCTCTTTAGTTAAATTAGATCCCATTTGTCTATTTTGGCTTTTGTTGCCATTGCTTTTGGTGTTTTAGTCATGAAGTCTTTGCCCATGTCTATGTCCTGAATGGTATTGCCTAGGTTTTCTTCTAGAGTTTTTATGGATTTAGGTCTAATATTTAAGTCTTTAATCCATCTTGAATTAATTTTTGTATAAGGAGTAAGGAAGGGATCTAGTTCCAGCTTTCTACATATGGCTAGCCAGTTTTTCTCAGCACCATTTATTAAATAGGGAATCCTTTCCCCATTTCTTGTTTTTGTCAAATTTTTCAAAGATCAGATGGTTGTAGATGTGTGCTGTTATTTCTGAGGCCTGTATTCTGTTCCATTGATCTATATATCTGTTTTGGTACCAGTACCATGCTGTTTTGGTTACTGTAGCCTTGTAGTATAGTTTGAAGTCAGGTAGCGTGATGCCTCCAGCTTTGTTCTTTTTACTTAGGATTGTCTTGGCTATGTGGGCTCTTTTTTGGTTCCATATGGACCTCAAAGTAGTTTTTTCCAATTCTGTGAAGAAAGTCACTGGTAGTTTGATGGGGATGGCATTGAATCTATAAATTACCTTGGGCTGTATGGCCATTTTCATGATATTTATTCTTCCTATCCATGAGCATGGAATGTTCTTCCATTTGTTTTTGTCCTCTTTTATTTCATTGAGCAGTGGTTTGTAGTTCTCCTTGAAGAGGTCCTTCACATCCCTTGTAAGTTGGATTCCCAGGTATTTTATTCTCTTTGTAGCAATTGTGAATGGGAGTTCACTCATGATTTGGCTCCCTCTTTGTCTGTTATTGGTGTATAGGAATGCTTGTGATTTTTGCACATTGATTTTGTATCCTAAGACTTTGCTGAAGTTGCTTATCAGCTTAAGGAGATTTTGGGGTGAGACGATGGGGTTTTCTACAGATAAAATCATGTCATCTGCAAACAGGGACATTTTGACTTCCTCTTTTCCTAATTAAATACCCTTTATTTCTTTCTCTTGCCTGATTGCCCTGGCCAACACTATGCCCTTCCAACACTATGTCGAATAGGAGTGGTGAGAGAGGGCATCCTCGTCTTGTGCCGGTTTTCAAAGGGAATGCTTCCAGTTTCTGCCCATTCAGTATGCTATTGGCTGTGGGTTTGTCATAAATAGCTCTTATTATTTTGAGATACGTTCCATCAATACCTAGTTTATTGAGAGTTTTTAGCATGAAGGACTGTTGAATTTTGTCAAAGACCTTTTCTGTATCTATTGAGATAATCATGTGGTTTTTGTCATTGGTTCTGTTTATGTGATGGATTACGTTTATTGATTTGCATATGTTGAACCAGCCTTGCATCCCAGGGATGAAGCCCACTTGATCGTGGTGGATAAGCTTTTTGATGTGCTGCTGGATTCGGTTTTCCAGTATTTTATTGAGGATTTTTGTATCGATGTTCATCAGGGATATTGGTCTAAAATTCTGTTTTTTTATTGTGTCTCTGCCAGGCTTTGCTGTCATGATGATGCTGGCCTCATAAAATGAGTTAGGGAGAAGTTCCTCTTTTTCTATTGATTGGAATAGTTTCAGAAGGAATGGTACCATCTCTTCTTTATACCTCTTGTAGAATTTGACTGTGAATCTGTCTGGTTCCCGATTTTTTTTTTTTTTTTGGTTGGTAGGCTATTAATTATTTCCTCAATTTCAGAGCCTGTTATTGGTCTATTCAGAGATTCAACTTCTTACTGGTTTAGTCTTGGGAGGGTCAATGTGTCCAGGAATTTATCCATTTCTTCTAGATTTTCTAGTTTATTTGCATAGAGGTGTTTATAGTATTCTCTGATGGTAGTTTGTATTTCTGTGGGATTAGTGGTGATATCCCCTGTATCATTTTTTTATTGTGTATATTTAATTCTTCTCTCTTTTCTTCTTTATTAGGCTTGCTAGCAGTCTATCAATTTTGCTGATCTTTTCAAAAAACCAGCTCCTGGATTCATTGATTTTTTGAAGGGTTTTTTATGTCTCTATCTCCATCAATTCTGCTCTGATCTTAGTTATTTCTTGCCTTCCACTAGCTTTTTACTTTGTTTGCTCTTGTTTCTCTAGTTCTTTTAATTGTGATGTTAGGGTGTCAATTTTAGATCTTTTCTGCTTTCCCTTATGGGCATTTAGTTCTATAAATTTCCCTCTACACACTGCTTTAAATGTGTCCCAGAGATTCTGGTATGTTGTGTCTTTGTTCTCATTGGTTTCAAAGAACACCTTTATTCCTGCTTTCATTTCATTATTTAACCGAGTAGTCATTCAGGAGCATGTTGTTCACTTTCCACGTAATTGTGCAGTTTTGAGTGAGTTTCTTAGTCCTGAGTTCTAATTTGATTACACTGTGGTCTGACAGACAGTTTGTCGTGATTTCCATTCTTTTACATTTGCTGAGGAGTGCTTTACTTCTGATTATGTGGTCAATTTTAGAATAAGTGCAATGTGGTGCTGAGAAGAATGTATATTCTGTTGATTTGGGGTGGAGAGTTCTGTAGATGTCTTTTAGGTCCACTTGGTGCAGAGCTGTGTTCAAGTTCTAGATATCCTTGTTAACCTTCTGTGTCGTTCATCTGTCTAATATTGACAGTAGGGTGTTAAAGTCTCCCATTATTGTTGTGTGGGAGTCTAAGTCTCTTTTTAGGTCTCTCAGGACTTGCTTTATGAATTTGGGTGCTCCCGTATTGGGTGCATATATATTTAGGGTAGTTCTCCTTCATGAATTGATCCCTTTACCATTATGTAATGGCCTTCTTTGTCTCTTTTGATCTTTGTTGGTTTAAAGTCTGTTTTATCAGTGACTAGGACTGCATCCCCACCCCCTTTTTTTTTCTTTCCATTTGCTTGGTAGATCTTCCTCCATCCCTTTATTTTGAGCCTATGTGTGTCTCTGCACATGAGATGGGTTTCCTGAATACAGCACACTGAAGGGTCTTGACTCTTTATCCAATTTCCCAGTCTGTGTCTTTTAATTGGAGCATTTAGCCTACTTACCTTTAAGGTTAATATTGTTATGTGTGAATTTGATCCTGTCATTATGATGTTAGCTGGTTATTTTGCTTGTTAATTGATGCAGTTTCTTCCTAGCATCTATGATCTTTACAATTTGGCATGCTTCTGCATTGGCTGGTACTGGTTGTTTCTTTCTATGTTTAGTGCTTCCTTCAGGAGCTCTTGTAAGGCAGGCCTGGTGGTGACAAAATCTCTCAGCATTTGTTTGTCTGTAAAGGATTTTATTTCTCCTTCACTTATGAAGCTTAGTTTGGCTGGATATGAAATTCTGGGTTGAAAATTCTTCTCTTTAAGAATGTTGAATATGGGCCCCCACTCTCTTCTGGCTTGTAGAGTTTCTGCCGAGCAATCTGCTGTTAGTCTGATGGGCTTCCCTTTGTGGGTAACCCAACCTTTCTCTCTGGCTGCCCTTAATGTTTTTTCCTTCATTTCAATCTTGGTGAATCTGACTATTATGTGTCTTGGGGTTGCTCTTCTCGAGGAGTATCTTTGTGGTGTTCTCTGTATTTGCTGAATTTGAATACTGGCCTGCCTTGCTAGGTTGGGGAAGTTTTCCTGGATAATATCCTGAAGAGTGATTTCCAACTTGGTTCCATGCTCCCCGTCACTTTCAGGTGCACCAATCAAATGTAGATTTGGTGTTTTCACATAGTCTCATATTTCTTGGATGCTTTGTTTGTTCTTTTTACTTTTTTTCTCTAATCTTGTCTTATCACTTTATTTCATTAATTTGATCTTCAATCACTGATACCCTTTCTTCCACTTGATGTAATCAGCTATTGAAGCTTGTGCATGCCTCACGACGTTCTCACGCCATGGTTTTCAGCTCCATCAGGTCATTTAAGGTCTTCTCTACACTGTTTATTCTAGTTTGCCATTTGTCTAACCTTTTTTCAAGGTTTTTAGCTTCCTTGTGATGGGTTAGAACATGCTCCTTTAGCTCAGAGAAGTTTGTTATTACTGACCTTCTAAAGCCTACTTCTGTCAACTTGTCAAAGTCATTCTCCATCCAGCTTTGTTCCGTTGCTGGCAAGGAGCTGCGATCCTTTGAAGGAGAAGAGGCACTCTGTTTTTTAGAATTTTCAGCTTTTCTGCTCTGGTTTATCTACTTTTGGTCTTTGATGTTGGTGACCTACAGATGGGGTTTTGGTGTAGATGTCCTTTTTCTTGATGTTGATGCTATTCCTTTCTGCTTGTTAGTTTTCCTTCTAACAGTCAGGTCCCTCAGCTGCAGGTCTGTTAGAGTTTGCTGGAGGTCCACTCCGGACACTGTTTGCCTGGGTATCACCAGCAGAGGCTGCAGAACAGCAAATATTGCAGAACAGCAAATATTGCTGCCTGATCCTTCCTCTGGTATCTTTGTCCCAGAGGGGCACCGCCCTGTATGAGGTGTCTGTTGGCCCCTACTGGGAGGTATCTCCCAGTTAGGCTACATGGGGGTCAGGGACCCAGTTGAGGAGGCAGTCTGTCTGTTCTCAGAGCTCAAATGCCATACTGGGGAACCAGTGCTCTCTTCAGAGCTGTCAGACAGGGACGTTTAAGTCTGCAGAAGTTGTCTGCTGGCTTTTGTTCAGCTATGCCCTGCCCACAGAGGTGCAGTCTGTAGAGGCAGTAGGCCTTGCTGAGCTGCGGTGGGCTCCACCCACCCAGTTCATGATTTCCGGCCTCTTTGTTTACACTGTGAGCTACTCAAGCCTTAGCAATGGTGGACACCCCTCCCCCTGCCAGGCTGCAGCCTTGCAGTTCAATCTCAGACTGCTGTGCTAGCAGTGAGTAAGGCTCCGTGGGCATGGGACCCGCCGAGCCAGGCACGGAAGAGAATCTCCTGGTCTACCAGTTGTTAAGACCTTGGGAAAAGTGCAGTATTTGGGTGGGAGTGTCCCGTTTTTCCAGGTACAGTCTGTCATGGCTTCCTTTGGCTAGGAAAGGGAAATCTCCCGACCCCTTGTGCTTCCCAGGTGAGGCGATGCCCCGCCCTGCTTTGGCTCACCCTCCATGGGCTGCACCCACTGTCCAACCAGTCCCAATGAGATGAACCAGGTACCTCAGTTGGAAATGCAGAAATCACCCATCTTCTGCATGGATCATGCTGGGAGCTGCAGACGAGAGCTATTCCTATTCAGCCATCTTAGAACGGACATCCTGTCTTTCTACTTTTTAAGAAGATACTTGAGAGATGGCTTAAATAACCCAGAAAGATTGTTTTCTCTTAGGATTTGTAAGTAGTCCAGTATGGTAGGAGCTATCAGAAGGCCCAGGGTGGCAGTGAACAGATGATGACTTGACAGCAGCAGAGCTGAGAGGTGGCTCATCATGGCTAAACATTATTGTGGTTTTCAGTCAATTTTCAGGCACATGGTTGGCACTGGGAACCAACATGATGGAGCAGGAGTCTGGCAGATGAATAGGACCCAGGAGCAAGGAATCCTGGCCCCAGATGATACTCTGATCCTAGAAAGCCAGACTGACTTGCAGTCAATATTCAGCCCTAGCCACTGGGTTGGGTTAGGGGGAGGAACCCCACTGACTGGAGAAGGAAAAGGCAGAAGCTGAAGAAAAGACCTGGAAAAACTACAGAACTTCTCAGAAGGGGGCCCAGAATGAAACCTCCAGTGTAGACTGGGACAGTGATAAATCTCCTGGTGATTATAAGGGCTAGGAGGGTATGATGAAGAGTGAGGTGCTATTATAGACTCAGGATCAAAAACAAGAACCTCAGGCTCCCAAAGCCGCAACTTCTCTAGGAATTAACTGCAGGAAGTAGCTGGGAACCCAGAACAAATGGTGAGTACTCCTTTGGCCAACCCTGGAACTGACTGAGTCAAGTTAATTCAAGAATAGAACCTGCAGCCATGGAAAGGCACAGAAGGCAAGGCTGGAAAGAAGCCTCAGGAGCAGGCAGAAATGGATCCCTTTACTAGTAGGAGAAATATACCAAGGGTGAAGGAAGGGACTTCCTTTGGTGGTCAAAGGATGCTTCTATTTCTCCTTCTGAGTAGACATTTAGCTTTGGGATAATGCTGATTTTGGAGTCTGATACAGTACTTCCTTTCGTCCTTTCAGCAGAAGACCCTGGGCAATGGATTATCTGAGCTTCAACTTTAAAAACTTAATAGAATAGGATTTACATACTTCCTAACAAGGGCATTGCAAATATTATAAAGTGTGAGATCTCCAAAAAATTCCAGTAGGATAAACATTTCATTTTTGCAAAAGCTGATGAAATTTGATAACAGGGTCATAGGAAATAAGAAATTCCTGGGTAAACTTAGGATAATAAAACATCCATTAGTGGCCATGCCTGTCATTCCATTATTACCTTCTTAAAACCCCAGAAGCACTGGGAATGGTCTCTTTGAGACTGGGCTGGACAGGATGATCCCATACATGAAGAAACTGCTAACATGGTGGTAGTGGGTGGCTCTCCACATAATCTCACCTTGCCTTGCCCAGCTCAGGCGTTGTCTTGCTAAGGACCCCATTATACTCTGCCCACCCTCTCAGGCTGATGTCTGCCCCACATCCAGCCCCCGCTTTTTGTCTTTCCTTCCTGCGTGGCCCTTCTAGAAATGGCCTGCCTCCCAGACTCCCTGCCCCCTGGCCCAGCACCATCCCAGCCACCACATTGACCTCATCCCAGAGATTCCTTAAGTCCAGGATCTTCCTTTGTTCTTTGACAGTACCTAATAGTACTTGGCACTATTTAAAGGTATTTTAAATATTTAAAATATTAAAAAGATACTTAAAACCCTTATTATATTCAACGCAATTCTGGTTTCAGTCTTCTTTTTCCTAGGAGTGAATACTAGTAGGATTTCACAAATTATCCTGTCTTTAATATATTGAAAAAGTTTCTGAGATATACCTAGGGTCAGAAGTCTGAGAGCCATGGGGAGCAAGGCAAAAACCAATTATGCTACCTCTGTTGTGTGGGCAAGTCAGTGAGATTAATAAAGCCTCCCATGCTGTATTCCGTGGGTTGTTATAAGGATCAGACTGAAATAAGAAAAACAAATGAACAAAATTATTTTGCAAGCTTTATTAAATTATAACATAAACCTAAATATCATCTAGAAATGTGTTTCTGTGGAACATCTGTTTTGCAAGGGGCTGGATAAGTGAGATATCACTGTGTTTGAGTCTGTTTTTTAAATAGTTTGGGACTTATAAGAAAACCCTCTGAGCTTCTCTAGCAAGGCTGAGCCTGGCCACAAGCCACTCCTGCTGCAAACTGGAATACTAAAACCCTCTTGATGGCAAATATTGTTTTATAACCCAAACCTCAGCCAGTCTTCTGCATGACAGTTCATCGTTGTTGCTACTGCTGGTTAACTTACAGGTTTTCAAAAAGGAACTGTTTCCTATTTTTCATATCAAGACATTTGGGAACCCCTCCTCCCTGTCTCTCCTCTGAGTCTTCACCTCCCCTGCCTACCCTGTGCAGCTCCCCCACAAACAGGAATGTGTCACTATAAGCATCCAATAAAGAAAGCAACATGTGCCCTTCAGAAACAGGTTTATCAACTTGAAACAGTACAATTCAGAGCAGAAAAGCTTCCTTTTCAAGTGTAAAGTAAACGCGTGCCTATTTTTCCAAGAACCAGATGGTGCCATGGTTCTTCCAGGACCAATTTCCTCAAAATATTATATTTTGTGCTTTGATAGGTTGGTGCTTGTCCCCAGTAGAAACTGTTAATAGCCATGGGATACTCCTCCTATCCCTTAACATACTCATGAGTAAGAAGTTGCTGAAATCAAACTATTTCTATCTTTGTTTTATTCATGGCCCCCCAAAAATACACTCCAACTTTCCCCACATCTCAAAATAAGATGATTAATGCAGGGTTTGCAAAGAAGGTAGCTAATTACAGGCTTTGAGGCTTTGGCTTGGCATCCACTTGAGAGCACAAAATATTTGAAGTTAATATGCCTGGGAAATATAAAATTTTAAAATATTTTTGTAAAGAGCTATTAATATCCTGTGCATTTCATTCCCATCCCCCTTTCAACCATCATCCTAGGGACAGAGGCATTTTGGAGAGTTTGATATGTGGCCCTTGGAGCCCAGGATATCTAGTGGACTGGCATTTGGCTCATACCTGAGAGATCTATAAGGCAAGAGACTGAGATGGACTAGCTGTTCATCTAGAAGAACAAAGACAATATTATTGTGGGCAACCTACCCTTCCAGAGAAGGGCGCCTCATTCCTGTGAGTCACCAGAGAGAGAGATGCCATTTCATAATAGTCCATGTTAAGCAAAACCATTTTTTCCTCCTTTAGGGGTACTAACTGGAAGAAAGGAATGCGAATGATTACCAATCCTGCTGCAAGTGCTTAAAGAAGATGGAATCAGAGTGTGGGAACCAGGCTGAACTACATGACTGACAGTAGATGACCGCCACTGCCACGGGATCCACAGGGTCCACAAAGGTGCTTTTCATTGGGCTGCTATATTTAATCATTCTAGGGTGACATATTGCTTTGAGAATTTAATCAAAGCTTCAAGTTTTCTTCTTGCACATTTTAAAGGAGAGTTCAGGGTTTTTCCAGACCTCTTGAAGGCTGTCCTTGGATCACTGTTCTCTCTCTCAGACCACCCCTCCCACCAGCTGAAGAACTCCTGTTTTAACCTAGCTTGTCCCATGTAACCAACATGATGTAACAACAGGTTTCTGGCCCTCTCTGTATTGTTCACAGCCTCCCCTGAATCACTGGTCCTGGAACTCTCGTCTCATGCTTCTGCTTTCCAACCTGGGCCCCTTCTTCCTGGCGTCTAACCTGAAATCTTATTTCTTCATATTTATGTTGTCTCCCTTTTAGATTTGATCTACTGCTTTGTTCTCTGCCTGATCATAATTCTTACAGTTCCGTGGTTAAACTCTAGTAATCCTTCCATAATATCCAATCTAGCCTCTGGGAACTCCCTACTTCCCATCCAACATCCAGGCATCCTTGTCCAGAGAACACTCCTTTGAAAACTTTTTCTAAATTTTGCTTAGTTTAAGGATTGAATCCACATTAACATTTTTTAAAACACCTGTGGGAGAAGTAACAATTAACCTATTGTCTTTCATTTGGATTCCCGTGTTAATAAGTTTTAGGTCTTTGCTTCAGAGAAGATTTTGTTGAGGAGAGTTTGAGAATTAAATAGAATGAAAAGAAGAAACTCTGCTACCAAAGGAAAGGGGGCTTTGAAAGCTGGAGTGTAAAATTATTAATTTTTCCTATCCCTCGTTCTGCTTCGGTCCCACACTAAGCTGAAGTGTTGAAAACAGTACAGAAAAAGTTTTTCTGACAGAAAAACATTTGAGTTATTGCTGAGAGTGCCTTGAGATGGTGTGGCATGCTGCCAGGCCTTTGGCATTGACTGCCACTAGCTAAAAACTGTGTGTTTATAGTGTTGATGTGTGCCTGATGAGCGAGAGACCAGCCCGCTAGGCTCAACCCCTGAGCCTGGCCTCTCTTAAGACCGTAGAAAGAACATAGCACACTCCCAAGGCTACAGCTCTCCGTGGTTCAGTAATTGACTTAGGTCAGCATGCCAGTCAAACCAGACAGCCTGACTTTTCTTCCCCAACAGAAACTTGAATTTATAAAATGTATTCACATCTCATCATTTAGGGATTTATGCCTGCAAGTCCACTATCATTAAAGGGTTACATGCATACATTCTCCTTTCCATTGTAGGGATTACAAACGCCTAACGATAGTAAATTATTCTCTTCTGCGCTGTACACTACGATTACCCTGTGGAATTTTTTAGACTGTTTTGTAAGGCATTACAGCACTAATGAAGTGTTATTTATACTACACACTGATTTTCTGTTTTGTTTTTCTTGAAGTTTCTCCTTGTTCCATCTTTTTTGATTTATCATACATTTAGCAGACTTGAGTATGAAAGCTATTTTTCTGTCACTCTTCAAACTTTAAATGAACAAGACTTTTTATGAAGTGTAATTTTCAATAACAATGAAATATTAGAAGTCCCTCTTGGAGTTCCTCGTTCCATTCGTGTGTGTGTGTGTGTGTGTGTGTGTGTGTGTGTGTGCATGTGTGTGTGTGTGTTTTCTGTTCTGGTTTCCCACCAGTGCTGTCTGTGATTGCCTTAGCCTCTGATATATGGAAGCAAGGATCCAGTGGAAGGTCACAGACGTTTCCTCTTACTCAGAGAATACCAAGAAGTAAAAACATAGACGACTGCACAACAGGCTGTGCATACAACTAATGGATGAATGACTTAGCTTAATTCGGGGTGTTAAGAAGGTTAAAGGTGCAAAGAGGCATTAGACAAGTTTTCCAAAAGATGGGAGTTATTCTTCGATATTGGTCTGTTTTATACTTGCATCTAAGGTGGATAACTTCCAGCCATTCTCCCCTAAGGGGAGAAGTTATCCACCTTAGATGCAAGTATAAAACAAACCAGTATCTCTAGAGAGCATGTACCTTCTAATCATCAATTTGAATTCAAATCGTCACTGCCATTTTCAAGTGTGATTTGAAAGACTTAAAAGAGCTTCTAGAAAATGGGTATAATAAAAGTACCATGTGAAGAGCATATTGTGAAGTATGTAAAAGGAGCTAACATTAATTCATGGAAGTGCTCAATACATTTTCCCTTTCTCTTCTCCCCTCTTGTCTGTACTCCTCTCTTCTCCCAACCTCCATTTCCATCAGCCATATTAAAACTAAATTAATCCCTAGAACAAGAAGTTTGTTGTAGTGCTTGTGGCAGACAATTTTTTTTTTCTTTTTGCCATACCAACAGCATCACCAGCCCTCTCCCAGTGTACCTTCTTTTTTTGCTGGCTAAGGGAAATCGACGTCTTGAACAATCTCAGAGAGTGAATCGTGATTGGATTTAGGCCTAGATGTGTGGCTTATTACTAGCCAATAGCACATGCAGAGAATCCTACTGGGGGCACTGGAGGAAAGATTTTCTCACAAATTAAAAAAGAGATTTATAAAGAACATTCTCCCTCCTCTTAAATAAACGTAGTCATGGCTTCCTAGGATGCCCGAAACCGCTAGCACTATGCTCTTGAACATGAAACATTAGCAACACATAGGGCAGAGTAGAAAGGTGGAAATCCATAGTTCTTGAGGATATCACTGTGCTGCTGAACAGCCATCCTTCCAGATTCCCTGCCATGTTAAAAAACATATGCTTTAGGATTTAAGGGACTTTTTGTCAGTATGCTATTATCTGCAGCAGATATCAGCTAACTGCCAAAGGGTTCCACAGAGCAAAGTTCAAGTCCCAGCTTTGTTTGTATGTGAGCTTGGGCAGGTTATCTAAACCCACATGCTTCCATTTCCTCATCTGTACAATGAAGACAGTAATTTTATCCACTACTTAGATTACTGTGAGGATTCAATTGAATCCTCAGTAAATGGTAATTAAAAATATTTTATTTTATTAGTATTTTTTGGACAAGATCTGTCTCTGTTGCCCAGGCTGGAGTGTGGTACTGAAAACACGGCTCACTGCAGCCTCAACCTCCTGAGCTCTAGCGATCCTCCTGCTTTGGCCTCCTGAATAGATGAGATGACAGGTACACACCATCACACCGGCTAATTTTTTTAAATTTTCTTTGTGAGATGAGGTCTCTTCATGTTGCCCAGGCTGGTCTTAAACTTCTGGGAGCAAGCAGTCCTCCTGCCTCAGTCTCCCAAAGTGCTGGGATTAAAAGTATGAGCCACTGTGCCTGGCCTGAAATTATTTTAAAACTTTCCCCAATTCACATGCAGATTATACCTTAGTCTAATTACAGACACAGCTCACTGTGGATTATTTGGATAAAAGTGTTAGTGATCTTTATTATTAAATTCTGCTACTCTGGCCATGATTGTTCTCTTTTCTCTTCCTTCTTCATTCTTTGTGTTGAAGCTCTGAGCCCCACTAGCGGATGGTCACCCCATTATATACATTTACTCATGGGAAGGATGAAAGGTCTTGGTGCTCATGTGAGTCAGTCAGGAATTTGAGGTTTTGCTTGAAAATGTGAAGCCTGGACAGCCTTTTTAAATTTTTTTGGTGCAGGGGAGAATTTGGAACTTTTAATTTCCTTTTAGAATAACTCTTTCTGGCACAGTGCCCTAAAGTCTCTCCTTTGTCCCCATCTAACTGTTCCTATAACCAACCCTGATATTTCTATTATGATCTCTAAATCAAAACCTCCAACATTATTAGATATTAATATTCTGTTTTTTCTTATTCCCAAGTATTATATAAAACTAGTCTTGTTTTCATAACCTTTCTTAGGATCCTTTCCTAGATTTTTAATATGTGTGTTTGTTTCCTTGTCTTAGTCACTTTGATTACACTTGAACTTCTCCTTAATGCTTTCATGCTAACTAGAATTCTAGCCTGCTCCTCGTCTTTATGCTTGTTCTATATCATCTCAATTTCCCATAAATCTGCACAGATATATCCAATATTTGAAACCTGTATCTTTCCTTTCTGTTCCTAAGCTGGCTCAGAATTTGGGCACAGCCAGATGGAACAAATAAAGCCGGCCTCCCTATTTTCCAGGTTTAAAAAGTACTATATTTATTGCTTTGGATCTCAAGGAAAGTTAAAAGGGTTTAAGAATGAAACAAAACAAAGTCCTTAAAGGGCCAGGCACAAGTGGCTCATGCCTATAATCTCAGCACTTTGGGAGGCTGAGGCAGGAGGATCGCTTGAACTCAGGAGTTCAAGACCAGCCTGGGCAACCTAGTGAGACCCCATCTCTACCAAAAATTAAAAAAAAAAAAATAGCTGGACATGGTGGTGTTTGCCTGTGGTCCCAGCTACTCAGGAGGCTGAGGTGGGAAAATGGCTTGAGCCTTGGAGGTCAAGACTTCAGGGAGCCAATTGCACCACTGCACTCTAGCCTGGTGACAGAGTAAGACCCTGTCTCGAACAAAACAAAACAAAACAAACAAAAACCCCTAAAGGATAATCATCAGTGGATATTTGTCAACTTTTTCTTGGCAGCCTAGCTGCAGAAACTTCTTCCTTTGTTGGAGAATCTGGGACTATAGGCTTGTGGTGGAAGGGCCCCCAGAGGTCAGGTACCTGGTGTCCCTGGTACCAAGCCTCTAAAGGGACAGCATGCCTACAACATCAAATTAATGCATTGCCACAAAGAAGCAGGGACTGCTTAGCATCTGCTTTGGTGACTGTGATGGCAGAATTCAATGTCTCAGACCCTGACTAGGGGCTGTGGTGGCTTACTAACCTGGCTGAGCTGTTGGAGACTCAGCTTGACTTCTCAGACCTTGCCCTCTAGCCACCACATCAATCTCAGAGCCACCAGGTACCCCTCCAATCACTTCCTTTTGTCTTAAGTTAGGCAAACTCCAATTCTGTTGCTTGCAACCAAAAAAAAACAAACAAAACAAACCAACAAAAAACACCTGAGTAACATGATTTACTTCTTCTGTTTCACTGTCATGGAAATAGCATGACATAATGAAACAGGAGAAATAAACTGTGTTACTCTTAACACTCTTAAGAGGAGTAAACTGTGTTACTCTATTAACTTCTCTCTTCACAGTGAGAATATGGGATCAAATTCTCTCATTTATTTGCTGGCAAACTTAGGCAATTAAGTTAACATCTGAGTCTCAGCCTGCATATCTGAAACAAGGGAAAATAATATCAAACTCACAGTGTTATTGAAGGAATTAAATGAAATTTTATGTGTAAACCCTTAGTTGTTTTTAAATTAAAACCTGATTCTGCCTTCCAATCATTTACAATTTAGTTGGGAAACTATAGTGTGCACGCTTAATAGTAATAGGTAACATAATGATGCTTAGTAATATCTCATGCACTGTTATAAATGAATGTACTGTTATATTTATTAGTTCACTTAACCTTTGCAACAACCTAGTGAAGTAGATATTATTTATCATGTTTTATAGATGAAGAAACTGAAACTTTTAGAGAGGTCACTAAGTATCGAAAGATCACACAGATGGAATTCAAACACAGGCACTCTTACTCCAGAGTGTGATCCTAAACAGCTCACTCATGTGAATAGGTATTCCACACTTTGAGGATGGCATAGAAGGGCCAAAAAAGAGATGCAGGCAAGATATTTGGCTGAGTTCAGAGGACAGAAGAACACTGTGTTTCAGAGAAGCAAGGGAAATCTTTGTAGTAGGGCGAGGCATGGCCGGGCAGGGTGGCTCACGCCTATAATCCCAGCACTTTGGGAGGCCGAGGTGGGTGGATCATGAGGTCAGGATTTCAAGACCAGCCTGGACAACATGGTGAAACCCCGTCTCTATTAAAAATACAAAAGAAATTAGCCGGGCATGGTGGCAGGTGCCTGTAATCCCAGCTACTCGTGAGGCTGAGGCAGGAGAATGGCTTGATCCCAGGAGGCGGAGGTTGCAGTGAGCCGAGATAGTGCCACTGTACTCCAGCCTGAGTGACAGAGCGAGACTCTAAAAAAAAAAAAAAAAAAGAAAAAAAGAAAAAAAAGATGAGGCACATTTTTAAGATGTCAGATTACATGGGTACTGAAACACTAGACTATTTGACGTAATGTTGTCGTAAGACTTTTCCTCTGTCAATTCCTTCCCACCTTCCATGGGAAGAAATATCTAATTCTTATTTGTTCTGAAAACTCAGCCAAACATTATCCCCTCCAGGAAGGCTTCTCTGACTTTCATTGACTGGGTCAGGCACCTCTTTTATGTGCATCCATAACTTATACATCCTATACATAGGTCCTGTAAATATTGGCTTATTTGTCTACTTACAATCACTGGTTTGTGGACCCTATGGATGCAGAGGCAATGTGTGTCTTACTTACAGCTCTACTCACAACATCTAACATAGTACCTGGCACGTGGTGGGTGCTCAGTCAGCGTTTATTAAATGAATGCGAATGAAGGCCCCCAGCAGAGAAAACCACGGAGACAAATCTGGCTGAAGACAGAATGTTTGGAGTGAAAACATTACCAATGTCGAAAGATCCTGGCCCCTTTCAGAACTTGATTGCAAAAATATAGATGATCAAAGATGATCAAGATAATTAAATTAGAAGACGGTCTAGAGAAAACTTCTTGGGGGTTGTATAAAAGACATATGAAAATGAAATTATGTGAGTACATTCAATATAAAAATAGAAAAATACATCAGCGTGATAACAACTAGTCATTTTGAATGGATAGTGGCCATTATAAGCTCAGTGCAAGTGTGTGTGTGTGTGTGTGTGTGTGTGTGCATGTACATGTGTGCTTATGTGTACATATATCTGTCAATGAAAGTTTGTGATTAATCATTTTGCAGACAATCAGAATTCCATGTGCACTAGTATTTTGTCCTAAGTTATCCTCCCAGAAGTCTCACACTCATAGAAATAATATTGGCTTTTTTTTTTGACATAACATTTTGATTACTCTGGCTCCAGCAAGTCTGGGGTTTGTTCTCTATCTGCATGCTTTTTGAGGAAAAAACTTTCTGGTCATGACAGACCAATATATGCACCTGAAACATTTTTAAAATAATCTAAGTGTTAGAATATGTGCCAAAAATAAGGATCTAGAGGAAGAGTTATAGGAATTGAGACATGACAGGGCACAGGGAGCCAGAATTATTAGTCAAGTTTTCATGGATAGGAGAATAGAAATCATGAGTGCCCTTGGGGACTGATTTCAGTGAGATGGAGAACAATTTGTTGAATGTCATGGAGTAGGTAGAGGAAGTGGGTGAGGGTCACTGTTGAAAAGGATTGCAAATGGCAGCAGATGCAAGAACAGAGACGGCATTTTGTTTCACAGAGAGCCTGGCAGGGTGCTGTTCCTAAGAATTTTTTAAATTAACATACAGTTAAACTGACTTTTTTTCATGTACAGTCCTATGAATTGATACACATATAGGTTCATGTCACCACCGTCACAATCAGGAAACAGAATCATTCTGTCATTCCGGATGATTCCTTGGGATACCCCTTGGTAGTCGCCTTCTTTTTCCTTCCCTACCCCCTGAAAACCATTGATCTGTTCATCACTATAGTTTTGTCTTTTCTAGAATATCATATTAACAGAATCATACAATATGTAAAACTTTGAGACTAACCTCTTTCAGTTAGTGTAAGGCCTTTGAAATTTATCCAATAAATGTATCAGTAGTCCATTGCTGAGTAGTATAGCATTGCCCAGATATACCTCAGTTTGTTTATTTATTCTGCTGTTAAAGGACAATTGAGTTGTTTCCAGCTTTTTGGCAATTATGACTAGAGCTGCCACAAACTTTCATGTATAGGTTTTTATGTGAACATATGTTTTCATTTCTCTAAAGTAAATTCCTAGGAGGGGAATTGCTGGATCATATGGTAAGTATATATTTAACTTTATAATAATTGCTAAACTCTTTTGCAGAGTGGACATACCATTTTGTATTCCCAGTGGCAATGTATGAGTTTCAGTTGCTCTGTATCCTTGCCTATCTATAGAGTTATCTCATTTAATTTTAATTTGTATTTATCAAATATCCAAGGATGTTGAACATTTTTTTTCTTTTTTATTATTATACTTTAAGTTCTGGGACACATGTGCAGAACATGCAGCTTTGTTACATATATATGCATGTGCCATGGTGGTTTGCTGCACCCATCAACCCGTCATCTACATTAGGTATTTCTCCTAATGCTATCCCTCCCCCAGCCCCCCACCCCCTGACAAGCGTGTGATGTTCCCCTCCCTGTGTCCATGTGTTCTCATTGTTCAGGATGTTGAACATTTTTAATGTGTTTTTTGCCATCAATATATCCTCTTTGGTGAAGCATCTATTCCAACCTTTTGCCCATTTTTAAATTGGGTTGTGTTCTGGTGGTTGAGTTTTGAGTGCTCTGTATATATTCTGGATTCAATTCCTTTGTCAAATATGTAATCTGCATATATTTTTTCCAGTCTGTAGTTTGTATTTACATTGTCTTAACAAATCTTTTGCAGAACAAACGTTTTAAGGTCGGATGAAGTCCAGTTTATCCATTTTTATATTTAATGGATCATGCATTTGGCATAATGTCTAAGAATTCTTTGCCTAATCCCAGTTTACAATGATTTTCTTCCATGTTTTCTTCTGAAGGCTTTATAATTTTCCATTTTCCATTTAGATCTATGATCCAATTTGGGTTCATTTTTGTAACAGGTGTGAGGTTAAAGTTCATTTTTGCATATTAATGGACAATTTAACTCTTTATTAAAAAGACTGTTCTTTCCTTTATTGAATTACCATTTTACCTTTGTCAAAGATCAATTGGTCAGAATTTGGTGGGTCCCCTTCTGTACTCTCTATTCTGTTTCATTAATCTATGAGTCTATCACTCTGTAAATAAGATCACAGCCATATATTAAGTCTTAAACTGGGGCTAGTGTTATCATCCAACTTTATAGCTCTTTTTACAAAATTATGTTAGCTATTCTAGATCCTTATGATTTTCATATAAATTTTAGAATAAATCTGTCCATTTCTACAAGAAAAATTCTCTTGGGAATTTTACTGAAATTGCACTAAATCTCTTGATCAATGTGCAGAAAATTAAATGTTGTTTGTTGATGTTAATTGACCGTACCCTGTGACAGATCTATACCTCCAAACATTGTTTCCAATACAGAATTCTGTCTCCTGCCTGATCCAAGGAATGGATTGGGCTGGGTTATTATTATGGCTGGTTCTTGAGAATGCAGATATCCAAATAATTACTCAGCACATCATAAATACAGACCTAAAAGTTACAGGAAGATACGCACCTATCTTATCTCTTCATGCTGTTACAGACATCTGAGAAAGATCTTAGATTAGGTTTAACTCTCTAGATGGAACCACTGACTTTCCATACAAGACTGAATAACCCAAACTTTGAGAGACAGCACAAGGTCAGGCTATTGTAATGTCACATTCCTATGGTTGAGAATTAGATTTGCACATTCAGGAGTAGTATACCTCTTATTAATAAATTGGGGAAGAACATTTTCTTGACCAGTAGATGTACATTATGGTGGCTATTCTTAGACTAAGATAAAGGAACAAATTTCTTCTGCTCTGAAAAATTGTTTAAAACTTGTGAGGTTTCTCTAAATATATAAAAGGGCACTGTTTAACAGGTACCCCAAAGATTATTTAGTTATCTAGGGAATGTACTTTATTCGACTCACTATTTACTATGAACTCAAAGTTCCAGATTTAAGTGAAGCTATGTGTTGATAGATTTTTGTTTCGTAGATATGGAGCTAAATTTATCTAATAGAAAATATAATCCCAAAGTCATGGTTTATTCTTCTGAAGGACATTACCAGCTTTGTATCTAATCAAGAAATTTTATTCTAATATTCCTTCATTAAGTTGCCTATAAATTCCCAGCTTCTCAAATGCTCTTTGAACCTACTAAGGTATGATAGCCTTTGCTAAGGCTATCATAATAACATATCATAAACTGGGTGGCTTAAACAACTAAAATTTACTTTTCACAGTTTGGGAGGCTTGAAGTCCAAGATCAAGGTGTTGGCAGGTTGGTTTTTCCTGACGCCTGTCTCCCTGACTTGCAGAGGGCGGCCTTCTTGCTGTGTCCATACGTTGTCTTTCCTCGGTGTGTGCACATCCATGGCATCTCTGTATGTCTGCATTTCTTCTTCTTTTAAGGACACCAATTAGACTAATTAGGGCTCACCCTAAAGACATCATTTTAACTTAATTACCTCTTTAATGTCCTTATCTCCAAATACAGCTACATTCTGAGATACTACTGGGGGTAATGACTTCCATTTTGGAGGATCACAATTCAGTCCATAGCACCATGCCATCATCCTACTCCCTCATAATTAATGAACTGAATGCAATCTTAGACACATATTCATTTGTATAAGGGTGATCATTTTAATTTTTTTGAAAAGTATCTTTTAACACTCTTCAGTGTAGTTCTGGTGTGATATTTGACCTTATTTATGAGACACAAGAATGCCTTGAGCATTTCCAGTGTTGCAATAAGGGGCCAAGAGTGGGAGAAAACTAAGAATAACACTTTACAGAATAATTTTTCTAATGTATTATCCTTAAACCCATCTCCACAGATCTTGCCAGTGTATGTTGATCAATAATAACGATGATTACACTGACTTTTGTGTTTTGTTCTTGACTGCTCTCATAGAGCCTCAGAATCATCTAAAATACCTCTAAGATGTTTTCTTTATTGGACCCAGAGAAAGTCACAGATTTCCTTGTGAGCAAATCCTCTGCTGCCAGGCGCAGCCCAGCAGAGCATCTTCCGTGTGAAGTCACATCCACCATGCATTCATGGTAATGTGGGACATTCAGGCCTCACCCAGACCAGCCACTCTTCTGAAAAATATTCTTCTGATGCCAGTGGTGCTTCCTAGACCTTTGTCTCCAGTTCTCAAATGCCCTGAGTTTTTAAATCTGTGAAGTGGCCTGTGGCTAATTAAAGGAGATTCTTTTTTTGTGCTTTCCTCCATCAAAGGAATCCCAAAGCAGCTTTTTCTTGTGCCACGAAGTTCTACAAATAATTTAACAAATAGCTCTTTTAGTCTTTATGCTCTACTTAGGATTTGATCTTAATTTCAGTGGAAACTAAGTTGGAAGACAATTTCTGTGATGAACACCAAATTCTATTTTTAATTTTTATTCTTATCCAAAAATTAAATTGTTATTATTTGGTCAAATTTATTACCACTGGCTCCTTCTTTTCTGAGCATGAATTTTCTGGCTGAAGGCTTCTCATTCCCCTGCAAAGACATATGTTCAGGTTATCTCATCATTTCTCCAGACATACCAGAAGATTCCAAAGTATCTGTGCAAATAGGTTTCTGGTAGAACACTCCCATCAGCTTGCCAATTGTCTTGGACTACCATTTGGATTTGAGCTAAGATATCCTCTAACCCAATACGAATTTATATAACATAATGCCTGAAGGAAAATATGAATGCTGTCAAATCTATAGGCAAGAAGACTAAGGCTCAAACCCATTAAGCAACTTGCCCAAGGGATTCCTAGACCTAGGATTTAAATCCAGATCGTGTGACTTCAAATACCATTTTTCTTTTCAACAAACCATAAACAAAAGCCTAGCAATCATCCTAGGAGGTCACCTGACAATCTGTCTACCAATTCCAGTGGAACCAGCCAATCATTCAAGATTCTGCAACTGACTATGGTAAAAGCAGAGCAGAATCTGAATACAAGTCTGCTTGACCACAGCATCAATAAAAATGACACAGTAAGGAAATTAAGGCCACAGGTATTGTAGCCACGAAGAACCCTATTTGAATTCTACTTCTGCCACTTGGACATGTTTCTTAAACTCTTTAAGCCTCAGTTTCCCATGTACAAAATGGAGGTAATAAGGACTACCCCATAGTATTCTTAAGTGTCAGTATAGTTTTTACTCTTGGCCCTAAAGAGTCATAGTTCCTCACTAAATGACAATTGTTGTTATGAGTAATAAATAATAAATTGTTAATTTATTATTATATTTGAAACATATTAGGTATAATATTAAGTATATATTTGAGTATAGTAGGTAAATTGCATTCAATATATCTTCTTTTTATGAACAAAAACATTTAATGGGTAATAAGTTTCCACAGTTTAAGTGGTCTCCAACATTTGCAATTAGACCAATTTTGAAAACAGCACTCAGGATAGCACCAAATCGGACTGCCAAGCAGGGCTCAGGAAATGAAATGTAAAGAAGAGAGCTTCCTCAAAGAAATGAATTAAAAGCTTGGTAGGATTTATGCTATTCAGAATATACTGAAAATGGAAGATGATTAAATTTCAGCCCTCTTTACTCCAAAGAAATATATAAAGCAAAAAATTAATTTGAGATACATTTTCATTTCAAAAAACTTTAAAATGTTCATAATTAGCATTTCCACTCTGTTTATTGCTGGGAAGTAAAATAAAACCATCAGCCTGGTTCTCTGCAATCAGTTGCTTATTCTCTTTTGGTAAAAGCTGTAAGTGAAAGTTTTCCCGGAGGCAGACTTTCTTTTCCTTTCCTATTTTTGGAAAGAAAACAACAGATGAAGAAACAAAATACCATTTTCTTAATATCATATTTAGAGACCATAATCATTATAGAGAGATAATGTTGAAAAACCAACCTGAAAAGAATGCATCAGATGCTTAGTCCATGTTGAGCAATATGGTGAATTTAGATGAATGTAATGCAGAATATTAATCATCCTGTTAACACAGGACTAAAACACATAAAACAATAATATGCAAAGCAGTTTCATAATTCAATACTGAAGGTGATACACAAAAATAACAGAATGATGGCATCAGATCTACCTGAAGCAGACTTGTAAAGACAGAACAATTCCTTGAGTATGGTAAAATACACCCATGATATTATGTTTCTAAAGACGTAAATTCAAAGGAAAAGTCTGTTAAAATTATAGAAAGAAGTCTGAGAGGGAATGATTGGTTGCATTGGCTTACAGACCAGGCGACAGTGTTGAATTTATAACAGGTACATTTCCAACAACAACATTTTATCATATAAATTTCTGTATTCTCAGTGTAAGTGCTATGTTTGGTTTTGTGTTGATGTTTGTTCTAGACACTTTAGAAGGCTCAAGCAGCCTTTATATCTAGATAGACAGATAGATAAATAGATAGGCTAGTTTAGATACATAGATAGGTAGACAACAAATAAGCCCAAAGCACTAATAGAGCTTATATGAATAAAGAATATACCAGAGAGTGATGAATGCTATGAAGGGCCATTGTTATACAGAAAAACTGAGTGGAAGAGGATTTTCACTGAAGCCTTCTCTGAGCAGTTGATAGATATTTCAGCTGAGACCTGCATGGCAGAAGAAGCCAGTCAAGAAAGGATGTGGACAAGCGTCACAACCAGAGGGAACAGCTAATGCAAAGGCCCTAACAGGAAACAATTTTAGTGTGGTGGTGGAACAGAAAGGAGGGCAATGTGGATTTGAATGCAGTGAGCAAGAAATAAGGTGAAATGGAGTTGGAGATTTAGAAGGCGGCTATATCATCTAGGTGCTTCTACACTGAAGGAAAAATTATTCTAAATGTGATGGGATGGCATTGGACATTGGGCAATGCCCAGATATTACTAGCATTTTTAAAAGATTACTCTGGCTGATGTGTGTAGAATAAATTATAGATGGATAAGAGAAAGGTAATTTCAGTAGGCAAAGGGAAAGTTGATGGTAATTTGAATAAGAATGATGATTTGTTAGACATATATAGTAATTGACACATTGGCACTCAGATATATAAAGTAAAGGGGAGAAAGGATTAAAGATAATAAAAGAATGTGGAACCTGGGTGACAGATGCCTGATTCTGTGACAGTGTGAAGGCTAGAGTCATGAAACTTAGAAGAGGTAGGTACCGTCGGGGATGAAGGCAAATTCTGCTTGGGACATATTAAGGCAGAAGTAATGTTGAAATATATAGTCCCACGAGTCTGTGAATGATTTAAGACTGAAACTAATGGAAACTAAGAAAAATCTGGAAATGGCTATTTATAAATCATTCTAATGAATATAATGGCAAAATCAGATGAGTGAAAAAGTATATAGGGGCAAGAGGAGAAAATGAGATCACCTTAAGAACCATTTCCTAAATAATGTTAATTTTCACTTAAATCTACAGTCTAATTTCTCTGATAGGTGAGGGTTGCAGCTGTGTAAGCGAGGGGTGCCAAGACAAGTGACCTTGAAAACATGACCTGTCGTTTGTTGCCTTGTTACTCCTTTCCAGTAGTCTGAGACAATAGGCTCGCATCACTCCCCAGTTTATATCAAATGTCATGTGTCCAATGCCCACCCTCAACCCATGAAATGTTGAGTTCTTTAATTTGTATTTCATTCGTCTTTAAATGCTCTGAATTTCTAGTCTGTGGACTTGCATATATTAGCAAAAATAAATAAATGTTTGTTGTCTGAAATAGACATAGTCTATCTAAAACTTGCTTACTCATCTCTATATTACTAGTATGTCTCTTTCCTTACATTACACCATAAAACTACATGTCTCCTAGTCCTCAGCCTCCCCAAAGCACTTGTCACTCTTTGTATAGGCACTTCTCAGTCTGGGTACTGTTGTAAACCTAGGCTGCCTTTAATGTGATTTGCATGGCTGAAGAGAAGCCATATGAGATTGTTATAGAAATCCTCAATAGTTAGGCCTAGGCAATACAAAGAAGGAATTAAAGGTCTGTCCTCCTAAAGATCCCAAGAGAATGTAAGAAAAATATTCTGGGCCAGGAAACACTGGTCACCCAAGATTATTACACACAAGAAATCAAGAAAACAACCAAGATGCTACAAACATAGGAGTGGATTCAAAATCTGTGTGACTCTAAGGGTTTGATCTTAGAATCTTTGGGACAACCACTAGAAACAAATAAATCCAAGAAATACTAGAAATCTGTCTACTGTTACTTAGAAGTACCACCTGACAAACAGATGTAAACATAAGGTACTAACAAGAGGCCCCCATCAATCCCATGAAATTCAGAGATCCAGGTACTGAATGAAAGTGACCACAAAAATATTGCCCCAAAACACAAGCAACCAAAGGCCTTATGCTATTCTTCCCTTATTCCTTCTTTCTATTCACTTACATTCATTCCTGACTTGTGCCTCCCTTGGCGACCTTCCCGTGATGAGGCAGAGAAGAGACTATGCTTTCCTTTTTACTGATGTGGCCTCCGTCAGAGGGGATGTTGTGCAGTTACTTTACTTCCCCTAAACATCATAATGCCAAGGGATTCATATAAAAATCAGCCCAACCATGAACTCAGGTTTCGTAGTCAGATAACTGCCAACAGATGGTGCCTTAGACACCACAATCCTATCCTATTTTAAAACGTGCTTCACTTAGCTGGTATTTGGCTTAACTTTCTCTATTTCTCCATTTCAGGAGCAGTTTGTCTCCCAAATAAAACAAATAATACTGTCAGAAAGTTTATCCTAATTATTAACTTGAATTTATTGCTCTAAAAGTACTAAGTCTTTCTCCTTCACAGACACTGGAAAGTTTAAAATATTCATGCATTATTACTCACATCACTCCTGAATTATGATTCAGTTAGGCAGTCTCTAATCTCTCATTATTTTCTCAACCCAACTCTCAATCCTCAAAATCACTCCTGTCTTTTCCACACATTCTTTATAAGTCACCAGCATCACTGTTGTATTGAGGACCCCAACCCCAACATGGAATTTCCTCATTCTTTCCCTAAAACTCAATAATGACCTTAGTAATATCTCAAATGTTGACTTAACTTTCCATCTAATGTAATCTACAGATGGTTTTCATAACCCAAGTTTCTTGCTGGAGATCAAGATAAAAGGAAATATGTTATCCTGTGTTGTTTTAGAGAATAAACTTCTGAAAAAATCTACCTTTATTTTTAATTCTGCTGTGTTCTTTTCTTCAGAGGGTTCACACCTATTTGTATCTATAGCTTTGAAATATTCCTAAAGCTCTTCCCTGAACAACCCACCTGATACACTTGGGTTTGGATCTTTAACTCCATTTCAGGCTGTGTCAATAGACACAGCCAACTGGAACTTTATCTTTAAGTCAGACTAAGCCATGCTTATTGGGACAGACAGTGAGAGAGTTTATCAATTCACCAGGATTCTTACAATTCTATTAACTGTGACTATTACCATTTAAAATTCATCTCTTATTGCTTAGAATTGATTGAATCGATTGGCAACACTGCCCACTGTGACATTATCCCTTAGTTTTGCTTTGCTAGCTAGAAGCTCTCACATTGTTTGACACCATATAATCACCAATTTCAGAATTAGTCAGAGATGGCACAGAAGGATTTGAATTCTGTAGCAGTAAAAACAGTACAGTCATTAACTTAGCTCTTTAGTTTGTTTTTCTTGGAATTCATCTAGTTCCAAATATTCTGACCAAAACTTAAAAACAACAACAAAAAATTCTCTGTAGCTTTCTGTGCTTACCAACAGATAAATTTTAAAAGTGTAAGTTGAATCATAGCTACCAAGCTAACAGTGGAATGCAATCTCAACGCTTCAAAGAGAATAAAATCTGAATATGACCAGCGTGTTATTTGAGACTGTGAGAACCTAGATTGTGCCATATGTGAGTCTCTTACTACATACCTGACATCAGAATAAGACACTCAGAAAGTTTAGCCAACACCATGACTTTGTCTAAACATTTTCCCCAAGCGTCCTTTAGTGGAAGTTTAAATTTCACATCTTCAGGCTAAAATGAAATTCCTTAAATCTTTCCTTGCATGACTTGTTTTGAAACAGAATAAGCTTTCTCCTGCTTGACCAAAATAATTATGCCTGTGTGCAGCTTCCAAGATTTAAATTGGGAATAAATCTTAGCAGGATAAAAAGTCCAGCACTGTTCTTTGTTGGGTATAAAAAGTGGTGGTGGGGAATGTGGTCTTAGAAGATTTTGGAGAGAATTCAGTCTTTTCGACACTGAATGCAGCACCACCACGTGGAAACTTCCATTACCACTAACTGCAAATCACAGAATCTTGGGTAACACCTGAGCATTCCTGTTCCCTGGCCAGCAGGGACATTTCATGGCCTTTATGCTTTAAAAACCTGTTTCCATTCCTGTATATTTCCTATACTTTCATCTAAGTTTCTTTTCTTATGGTTCTTATTTTTTAAAACATTAACTTTTTCACATATTTAGAATTTTTTTGCTATTTAATGTAAGGTGAGAATCTAATTTGTTTTTCGCCCTAAATAACCAATTTCAACTCTGTCCTGCCTCTAATTGAATTATATTTTTTCTTTAAAGGTATCAAGTTTTAAAAAATCACAGATGTTCATGTGACCTACTAACTTATGTCAATCAAAGCGTATACTTAATAATAACAAAATCTAAACAACTACCTATTGGCACAAATGGCTGAAGGGATAGTCATCAGTGAGTATAAAGTGTTTTGTTTCTGTGAAATAGTTTTAAAAATAAAAATATGGAAGCCCTATTTATCTTCCTCTCTCCATTAAATAAATATACCTCTCATCTCCTACCCATTTTTTTTTTTTTTTTTGAGACAGAGTCTCGCTCTGTTACCTAGGCTGCAGTGCAGTGGTGTGATCTCGGCTCACTGCAACCTCCGCCTCCGACATTCAAGTGATTCTCCTGCCTCAGCCTCCTGAGTAGCTAGGACTATAGGCATGCGCCACCACACCCGGCTAATTTTTGTATTTTGAGTAGAGATGGGGTTTCACCATATTGGCCATGCTGGTCTTGAACTCGTGACCTCGTGATCCACCTGCCTCAGCCTCCCAAAGTGCTGAGATTACAGGCATGAACCACCACACCTGGCCCCTACCCATGTTTTTGTTACCCTAAGCCTTCTACCCTGTTTTCCAGGACCTAAAACTCTCCTCAGAATTCCATTTTCACATCTTAAATTTTTTATTTCTCTTAAAATTATCCAAGGAGGACATTTACTTTTTGTTGTTCTAACCTTTCCAGGATGGAAAGGAAAGAGAGAGCTTTAGAAGTGAACAAATCTGGTATCACATCTTCGCTTGACTACTTAGTCACTGGTTGTTTTGGGTAAAGCACATGACCACCCTGGCTCTCACTTTCCATATCTGTCCCTTGGGGATCTCTGGGACATGAGAAGATCAGTATTAATGCAAATAGGCTCCCCGTAACAGAAAACCATGGTTATATTTTGTTGCATGATCTTGCTTAATCCATAGGCTGCAGACTCCTGAGATAGGGTGATAGCAGAGTTCATGCTACTCAGAAATTCTTGAGGTGGATGCTGTTTGGAGTTATCCACCTTTAGAGAGAAGATGAACATATTTTCATTGTTTGTGGAATACTAACATTATGTTAGGTTAAACCCTTATTGAGGGTTAATATATAGGAATAAATTTGTGGATATTAAGATAGCCAAGGGCCTGGAGCATATACACATTTTTGTTTTTTCATATAGCAACAACTCTCCATCCTCTTCCTAACAATACTCATTCACAGGTTGATTGAACCATGGATCAGTATGCTCTGTGCTCCTCTATCTGAAGAATGAGCAAAAAATCTAAATTTGGCTATTCAGATATAAACTTTCTGAAACTTGGATATAGAACACGTTGACTAAAGGCAAAAACTCCTGAACATTGCATTTAGGGGCCAGAATGCTAGAAAAATCAACCATCTCTTCCTGCTTTTTCAATGTCTGCAGCTACTGTAATTTCTCACCTTCCTACTTCTTTTATCCCCTCCTAACCCACACACATTGTTCCCAGCCTCTGGTAACTATCTCGAACTCCATGAGATCCACTTTTTTAGCTCCCACATGGGAATGAGATATTTATGAGACAAATGTAATGTTTGTCTTCCTGTGCCTGGCTTATTGCACTTAACATAATGACTTCCAGTTCCATCCATGTTGCTGCAAATATGGCCAAATGATATTCCATTGTGTATATATACCACATACCACATTTTCTTTTTTTAAGGTAAAATTCTATTTTTTTTATTTTAAAAATTCATTGGTAAAATATGCAAGCATAAACTTTACATTTTCAACCATTTTTTTTAAAAAAGCTTTTATTTTAGATTAAGGGGTACATATTCAGGTTTTTTATATAGTTAAGCTGTATCATGGAGATTTGGCATACAGATAATTTCATCACCTAGGTAATAAGCATAGTACCCAATGTGTAGTTATCTAATTCTCTCCCTCCTCCCACCCTCCATCTTCATGTAGGCCTGGTGTCTGCTGTTTCCTTTCTTTGTGTCCACATGTTCTCGTTTAGCTCCCATTTACAAGTGAGAACATACAGTATTTGGGTCTCCGTTCCTGCATGAGTTTGCTTAGGATAATGGCCACCAGCTCCATCCATATCACTGCAAAAGACATAATCTTTGTTTTCTGACTCTCTGCCTCCTCCCACTCTCCAACGTCATGTAGACTTTGGTGTCTGTTGTTTCCCTTATTTGTGTCCGCGTGTTCTTGTTTAGCTCCCACTTATAAGTGAGAATATGCGGTATTTGGGTTTCTGTCCCTGCGTGAATTTGCTTATGATAATGGCCTCCAGCTCCATCTATGTCACTGCAAAGGACATGATCTCAATTTTTTTTATGGCTGCATAGTTTTCTAGGTGTATATGTACCACATTTTCTTTATCCAGTCTACCATTGATGGACATTTAGGTTGATTCTGTTTCTTTACTACTGTGAATAGTACTATAATAAACATATGTGTGCATGTGACTTTATGGTATAATGATTTATTTTCTTTTGGGTATATACCCAATAATAGGATTGCTACATCAAGTTGTAGTTCTGTTTTAAGTTCTTGGAAGAATTGCTACACTGCTTTCCACAGTGGCTGAACTAATTTACCTTCCCACCAACAGTGTATAGTGTTCCCTTTTCCCTGCAACCTCACCAGCATCTGTTATTTTTGACTTTTTAATAGTAGCCATTCGGACTGGTGTGAGATGGTATCTTATTGTGGTTTTAATTTGCATTTATCTAATGATTAGCGATGTTGAACATTTTTTCAAATGCTCGTTGGCCGTGTATATGTCTTCTTTTGAAAAGTATCTGTTCACGTCCTTTGCCCACTTTTTAATGGGGTTGTTTTTTGCTTGTTGATTTGTTTAAGTTCCTTATAGATGCTGGATATTAGATCTTTGTTGGATGCATACTTTGCAAATATTTTCTCCCATTCTGTAGGTTGTCTGTTTACTCTGTTGATGGTTTCTTTTGCTGTGTAGAAGCTTTTTAATTGAAGTAGGTCCCATTTGTCAATTTTTGTTTTTGTTGCAGTTGCTTTTGGTGTCTTTGTTATAAAATCTTTGCCAGATCCTATGTTCAGAATGATATTTCCTAGGTTATCTTCCAGGGTCTTTACAGTTTAAGTTTTACATTTAAGTATTTAACTCATCTTGAGTTGATGTTTTTGTACGTGGTATAAAGAAGGGGCCCAATTTCAATCTTCTGCATGTGGCTAACCAACCCCATTATCTTTATCCATCCATCTACTGATGAACACTTAGGTTGATTCCATATCTTTGCTATTTTTGAATAGTACACATGCCATTTTAGATCTCCTGAGAATACTCTCCTTCAAGATAGCATACTGGTGCCAAGGTTTAGAAAAACAATAACAACAACATCAACAATAAACAAAGAAACAAAAGATACTCATTGGAGAGTTATCTCTTAAGTAGCCTTCTTTTTCTCTGGTTACAGTACATATTTTTTTCATATCCACACACTGTTTCCAATGAGTCTGAAAAGTTTATGTTTAATTTTTTAGCCACAGTGGGTTATTCCCCACTGGTTTACAGCCTGTTTCTAAAACCTGACATAAAAAGTCACACATCCAAGCAAGGTTATCAGTGGCTACATCTGCTGATTTCACATTCATACTTGTCAGAAAACAAAACAAAACAAAAAAACTACTGATCTGAACCAATTTCTGCACATTCTAGCTAAGTGAATTCTTTCTTTGTTAATCCATTAATTTAATAATTACTAAATATTTGTTCTATGGCAGCACTTTACTATTTGTCAGATTGCCATATGCTTTTTAGGGGTGCTCTTCCTCCTCTTTTCTATATTTCCTTCTCTACTCAATATTTCTCAGAATCTTTACAAGTTTCTCCTATTTTTGAAAACAAAAACAAATATCCCAAACTAATGTTTTCCTCTGGCTTCACCTTCTTTCTTTCCTTCACAATATTTTTCAATATTTAGGTGCTCAATCTATCTGGAATTGATTCTTGTGTATGGTTTGAGGTAGGGCTCCAAATTTATTTTTCTCTCATATGAATTATAATTATTCCAGTTCATTTACTAAATAGTTTCTTCTTTCTCCAGTAATTTGTTATGCCACCTACATCATATATCAAAATTCCATTTATGTATACTCTGTTTTGTGAGCTTTCTATTTTGCTCAATCAGTTAACAATTCATTCCTACACTATACCTTTTTAACTTTAAAATAGCTTTATAATCTTTACAGTAAAGTTTTTTTCTTTCTTTCTTCCTTTTGAGAAATAAATTGCCTATTCTTTGTCTTTTGCTGCTCTACATAAATTCTAGAGCCAATCTGCCAAAAAGTCTGTTGGGATTAATATTTTTATTTTGAGAACATAGAGCCAATTTATCTGCATTTCTAATTGTCATATACTTAAGTTATTTCATCAGGAACATTCTGATGGTAAAAATGTTTGCCACCATTTATCATTAATTCCTTAAGGCAATTTTCTAGGTATTAAAATGTTTAGTAGAATATGTTCTCTCCCCCATTAAACATTGTATTATGAAACATTTTAAATGAACAGACAAGAGAGAAAGAATAATAAAATATATTCAAGGTCAAAGATCTAGATCAAAAAACTATTAACATTTGGCCATTTCAAAGTAATTTGCAGACATCATGACACTCCTAAAAATAAAGACATTTCTACATTTCTTAAAAATAAGAACATTTTCTTATATAGCCATAAAATTATTGCCCTAAAGAAAATTAAACATAAATCCCTAATAAACCATAATACTAGTCCATTTTTAAATAACCCCCAATTGTCCACAAGATATCTTACTTGGTTTTTTTTCCTGAACAAAACAATCCAGTTAAGGTTTACCTATTGTATTTGGTCATTATATCTTTTTAGTCCCTCTTAATTAAGAACAGTCCCAATATCTTTTTTTTTCTTTTTAATAACATTGAATTTTTGAAGAGACTGGATCAGTCATCTTGTGGAACTTCTAAAATCTGAATTTGCTTGACTGATTGTTTCCATCTGGATTCCCTTTTTTTTAAATCTCCCATATTCCTGTGAACCAGAAATGTAAATGAATAATTAGCTTCAGATTAAACATGTTCAATAAGAATATCTTAAGAAGACTGCTGGGCACTTCATATTGTATTACATCAGGTGGCACATCAAATCCAGATCTTATTATTGGTGATGCCAAGTTTGAGCACTTGATTGAGATGTTAAGAGTCAGCTCTTTCCACTGTAATTTTTTCTAATTTTTACAATAAGACAGTAAACTATCTGGCTCCATGTGAATGTATCATTCTTAATTAACATTTTATCTAAGGGTTTTAGTACATTTGATAGTCATTACCACAATCAATCATTTTATTATGGAGTTGTAAGACAGTGAATATTTCTCCCAATACTATAATTTTTTTATGTTTACTAGTTAGCATTTTTCTATAAGAGAAAAAATTTTTTATCCACTAGAAAAAAACTACATTTCTCTTCTAAAATTGAGTGAACATCATTTTCATTTATTTACCAATTTATGCAACAAGATTTTTATATAATTACCACCTCCAATGATTTGGCCTGTGGAAATGCCTTCGACTGGACACATCCCTATAGTCTTTGAACTCTTGCTTTCTGACACAGAAAAGTTCAGGATAACCTTGTTATTTCCCAAATCATGATGCAGAATCAATCATTTCACCAAATCACCCTGATTTTTTTAATGGAAATTAAGTAGAAACAAAAATCTGGGCACTATGTTGTTTATTGTTACCAGGAAGATTTTTTTTTAGGCATCTTAAGTGAACAGGGCTAAGAAATATATTTTAAACAAAATTGTGAGTTTTAGACTTCTGTTTTTGGCCAAGGAGGACTAATAACCAAAAAATATATTGAACCATCTATATGAAACAATTTTCAAGACACTGAATATGAGACAACAAAGGACAGAGTTCCCCAAGAGATGGAAAACAAGTAAGGTGAGTCATACGATTATCAAGCTTATGCCTTTAAGAGAGCTTCCAGGCCCCTATTCAAGAAGTGGAAGCCCAAGCAGGGTCCAGTGGATTCCCTGAGTTGAGGAGAAAATGAAAAATCCAGAGAGAATAAGGCAGCTAGGGTTTTAGGCCAGATTACTGGAGAGGAAAGGACTGTATAGAAGGGAAGCTCTAAAAACAGAGGTTTTCTGTCAAGTATACAGCTAAGTGAATGTATGGAGGATAACTACCTGAGGCTGGGGAAGATCTACCCCAAGGATTAAAGACTGCTACATGTGTTGGGTGGGAAGAAGTGCCTATGCTTACCAGGCAGATTGGAAAACCTCAAAATTCCTGGGTCACTGAACAGGATACTCAGAAGGAACTCCTCTCAGTAGTGGAGAGTAATTCACCCAAGATTGAGCACGTCTCCAGTCCCATCTGAGAAAAACAAAGCAAAACAAAACAAAGCAAAATCATAAATCTCAAACTATCTCAAATCCTTTCCATGTATCTTAACTTTATCCGTGAATAAACTTTGACTACTTATAGAAATATAAAAACATCCAGCACCCAACAGATTAAAATTCACAATGTCTGAAATCTAAACAACAACGAAAATGTCAGACATACAAAGCAATATAACTTCTAATGAAAAGAAACTTCAAGCAAACAGAAATGACCCAGAATAGATATAGATATTATAATAAAATTATCAAGAAAGGGAATTGACAGCTGAATTCCATATATCCGAAAAGTTAAATAGAGTTATAGAAGGCATAATATAGACAAAAATCAAACTTTTAGAAATTAAAACTATGCTGTCTGAAATGAAAAATACACTAGAAGGGATTAATGGCAGATTAGACACCACAAAGAAAAAAGTAGTAAAACTGAAGACAACAATAGAAACTCTTCAAAATAAAATGCAGAAGAAAAAATAATTTTAAAAAGTAAAAGGTCACTAGCATACTGTGGGATAACTTTTAATGGCCTTATATATGTATAATTGGAATCCCAATAAAAGAATGGGTCACAGAAAGAGTATTTGAAAAAATAATGTCCTTTTTTTTATATTGATGAAGACTATATATATCTACAGATCCTAGAATCTCAAAAACAAAAACAAAACCTAGGACAAGAGTCATGATGGAAATTACACCAATCCTATTATAATCCAATTTCTCAAAAATAGTGATGAAAAGAAAAGTGTAAATGTATCTAAAGAACAGTGATACATTACAAATGTAGGAACAAAGTTAAGGATGGTCAAAGATTTTTTATCAGAAACAGTGTAAGTGAGAAGACAGTAGAACAACATCTTTAAAGTGCTGAAGGAAAGCGATTGTCAATCTAGAATTCTATAGCTACTAAAATTGTCATTCAGAAATGAAGGACATTTCTTCAAAAAGAGATTCTCAGACATACAAAAGCTAAAAGCGCTCTCCAGCAGACCCATACTTCAAAAAAAAATTAAAGGAGTTTCTTCAGGTGGAAAGAAAATGACACCAGATGGAAATCTGTATCTAGACAAAGGAATAAAGAGCCCTGGAAATGGTAGCTGTTGGATAAATCTCTGACAATCTCTTATTATTATTTAAATGTCTTTCAAATATAATTTTAGGCTGTGTGCAGTGGCTCACATCTGTAATCCCAGCAATTTAGGAGGTCGACACAGGAGGATCTCGTGAGCCCAGGAGTTCAAGACCAGCCTAGGCAACACAGTGAGACCTCATCTCCACACAAAAAATAAACAAAAATAGCTGGATGTGGTGGTGCATGCCTGTAGTCCCAGCTACTCAGAAAGCTGAGGTGAGAGGATCACTTCAGCCTAGGAGGTCAAGACTACAGTGAGCCGAGATGGTGCCACTGCATAAAGAAACAAAGAAATAAGATAAAATAAAAAGTTGATATTAAACAAAATTATAAATAACAATGTTGTTATATATAGTTGTTAATATAGTTAATGTAGAGTTTATAACATCTATTAAAGTAAAATGTGTTACAATAATGTCAAGATGGGAGAAAGAGACATATACATGTTTAAGGTTGCTACAGTATATGTGAAGCGATACATCACATGAAGGTTGACTGTGATAAGTTAAAGATGTATACTATAAACCCTAAAGCAATTACTAAAATTAAAAAAAACCCACAAAGTTACAGCTAACAAGCCAATAAAGAAGAGGAAATAAAATCATTAAAAATAATTCCAAAGAATACAGAAAAAGACAACAAAGAACAAACTAGACAGAAAACAAATAACAGGATGATGCCATAAAAAACCTTAGCTTTACACTCCTTCTGCTTTACCTTCACTATCCAGCCTCCAAATACATTTCTAGCTTCTAAAATAATTTCCTGTCTTCCAAAGCCTGTTCCTGCACACTTTCCAAGTTCTTTTCTTTTGACTTCCAAGTATCCAATACTTTGATTCACCACATCTTCTTTTTCATTTTTAGTATTTCCTACTCAGAGTGGGTCCCTTGCCTTATGAAACAGCCCTTAATTGATGTTAACTGTGTTCTACCACTGCAAGGACCCCACTAAGTTTTGTTTGCTTCTTCTGAGGCCTTGAGAGACTCTCAGCTCCACTGTGAGTTCTGGAGCCTACTCTACTAATCTTGGGTGATTATTTCTCCAATTACGTGTTAATCGGATTTTACATCTGCTCTATTTTCTTATTATGTGCGTGATTTTATTTATTTTTTTATTTCCATTGTTCTTAGTAGAATGTGTAGATAGGTTAAATTTTGGCAGTCACTATTATCTACAGGAACTCGTCCTGTCTTTCTCCTCATTTCCCATTTATACTTTAATGGTATGAAAGGTGGTTTCCTACTTAACTACAGGGTTCTTAGCTAGATCAGCTATACCCTTGTTGCAGACTTCAACAGGCAATGACTCAATCCTTACCTTATCAAATTGTCTGTACATTTAGATATTTATAGTTATTTCCCACTTCTTGAAGCACTTTATTTTTCTTTAGATTCTTTGATATCTAAAGATTTTATGGTTTTCCTTCTATCTTTTTGCCTACTTCTTGGTCTTTGTGCATTATTTTTCTTTTATTTGCCTCTGATTCAGGATCTTGTCCCAAATCCTGACTTCTTATCACTCTAAACATACTTCCTTCTTTTCATAACTTCATTTTTCGTCTCTATGCTAATGATTCTCAAAATATTTTTCTAAACCAATAACTCTTGCCCAAACCTCAAACTATATAGTTACCTGCCTAATGAACATTTCTATTTTATTTTCCAAAGCTATTCAAACTCATCATGTCCCAAACTAAATTCATTACGATTTAAGCCTTCACTCTTCCCAATCCTACTCCTCCTCTTAAATGCCACCAATCACCCACAATTATCCAAGCCTGAAATCTGGTGAGTATTTCTGCTACTTCCTCCTCCCTCTTCCTCAATGTCCAGATGATTCTACCTCCTTGGTGTCTATGACTCCAACAATTTATTACAATTACTGTTATCCCTATCTTAGCAAGACTTTATCATCTCTCACCTGAATTAGTTCACAGCCTTCTATCTTCCTGCCTACAATAATTTCCCCCGTCCAATCAATTGCTTATAGTGCAGTCAGAGTAAATTTTCTAAACTCTAACTTAATCATGGCTTTCAACTCCTTAAAATTTTTTATTTTTTATTTATTTATTTATTTATTTATTTATTTATTTATTTATTTATTGAGACAGAGTCTCGCTCTGTCGCCCAGGCTGGAGTGCAGTGGCGCGATCTCGGCTCACTGCAAGCTCCGCCTCCCGGGTTCACGACATTCTCCAGCCTCAGCCTCCCCAGCAGCTGGGACTACAGGCGCCCACCACCACGCCCGGCTAATTTTTTTGTATTTTTAGTAGAGACGGGGTTTCACCGTGTTAGCCAGGATGATCTCGATCTCCTGACCTCGTGATCTGCCTGCCTCGGCCTCCCAAAGTGCTGGGATTACAGGCATGAGCCACCTCGCCCGGCTTAACTCCTTAAAAAGTTAATGATTTGGTGTGGCCTCGAGATAAGTTCTATGCTCCTTACACTGTTTACAAAGTCAATAATTTAGCCCCTCTCTGTGAATTCAGTCTTTAATGTCATTACTTTTTCACTTCACAGTCTACATTCCAGTCATGCTGAACCTTGTGCAACAACCCCAGGACTTTGTCTATATTGTTCCTCCCTTTTCACATAATTAACTCTGGATGACCTTTTAGGGCTCATCTTAAACATTCCTTCCTCTTTAAAGCCCTCTCTGATCACCTCCTGCCACAGAAATGAGTTAGGGGCATTCCCTTTGATTTCATTATACCTGGTACTTATTCCTTCACAGACCTTTTCATACTGTAATTGTAACTTGATTACAGGTCTGTAATCTCTACTACATGATGAGCTATTTGGTAAAATAAATGTCTTCACTGACTTATCCCTAGAAGCTAACACAGAACCCAGCATGTAAAAAGCACTCAATGAATAACTTTAAATGAATAAAGTAATATATGCATATAAATGCAAATGACTGATTTACACTTACGTGTTTACTCTCAGTTGCTTTTCTATTGATAATTCTCATCACAAAACTTTAAAAAGTGTAAACATTCTCAGATAAGTATGATTCTAAGACTTGTAAAACTCACAATGTCAATAAAATTGGTTATCTTTATTATTTTAGACTGAAAGATTTTTAAATCCCTTAAAGTAGCAACTGTATCTTTCCAAATGAAACTGAAACTCTGCTAGGTTCTACTTTTTAGATGATAATAATAGATTGTACTTATTGAACACTGACTGTGTCAATCAGTGGTCTCAGAGCTTTATATGTAGGAAGTTATAGAATCCTCACAATTACCCAATGAAATCGCAAACTGAGGCATAGTTAGATTTAGTGGCTTCCCCAAAGTTACACAGCTAGTAAGCAGAGCTTGGATTTGAACCCAAGTAGTCTAGCTGCAGAATACTATTAAACACGATGCTTCACTGCCACTTGGCTGTCTTGGTTGGAGAGGCTTGGTTGGAGAGCAAGAATGCTCTCGTTACCCTTTGGTTCAGCTTCCAATCTTTAATATGCTTACATGTATAAATGTGTAACCCATTTCATTTAGACTCTGCAAAACCAACTCAGAATTAACTTTATCCTTTGAAACCAAAAGTATAAATGCTAATACCTTTTATTTATTTGTTTTTAATTTTTTTAAATACAGGGTCTTACTCTGTCACCTAGGCTAGAGTGCAGTGGCATGATCAAAGCTCACTGCAGGCTTGGACTCCTAGGCTCAATCTCTTGCTTCAGTCTCTTGAGTAGCTGGGACTAAGGTGCACACCACCACACCCAGCTAATTTATTTTTATTTTTTATTTTTGTAGAGATGGGGTCTTGCTATGTTGCCCAGGCTGGTCTCAAACTCCTGGCCTCAACTGACCCTCCCACCTCGGCCTCCCAAAGTGCTGGGAGTACAAGTTATGAGCCACTGCACCAGGCCTAATGCCTATTTTTAAGACAGACCATGCTGGCCAGGTGCAGTGGCTCACGCCTGTAATCCCAACACTTTGGGAGACTGAGGGGAGTGAATCACCTGAGATCAGGAGTTCAACACCAGCCTGGCCAACATGGTAAAACCCCGCCTCTACTAAAAATACAAAATTAGCCTGGCCTAGTGGCATGTGCCTGTAATCCCACCTGCTCGGGAGGCTGAGGCAGGAGAATTGCCTGAACCTGGGAGGCAGAGCTTGCAGTGAGCCGTGATTGCACCACTGCACTTCAGCCTGGGCGACAGAGTGAGACTCCGTCTTAAAAAAAAAAAAAAAAAAAAAAAAAGAGGATAGAATATGCCTTCATATATGTACATCTTTTTTCTTATAAATTCGAGGAAGCATGCATGTAGCAGAGAATTTCCTTCCTAAGTCTCAGGACAGACTGTGTAATTTGCAGGGCCCAGTGCAAAATGAAAACGTGGGGCCTTTATTCAAAAATTATTAAGAATTTCAACATGTCAACAGCAGAGCATTAAACCAAAAATGGAGCCCTTCTAAACATAGGGTCCTTTGTGACTGCTTAGGAAGCATGCCCATGAAGCTAGACCTGCTGAGTTTTCTTCCTAAGAGGCACCAGACAACCACTGTAGTTGACCCTTATTTGAGAACAATGCTGCTTAGCATTTCTGTATATGTGACTGAGAACTGCATCCCCAACTTAAAAAAAAACCAAAAAAAAACCAAAAAAAAAACGCTTTAAGTAGTTTAAGATAGAATCCTCACTAGCATTATCACAGCATTAAAATTTTATAATCAGGCCGGGCGCGGTAGCTCACGCCTGTAATCCCAGCACTTTGGGAGGCCGAGGCGGGCGGATCACGAGGTCAGGAGATCGAAACCATCCTGGCTAACACGGTGAAACCCCGTCTCTACTAAAAATACAAAAAAATAAGCCTGGTGTAGTGGCGGGCGCCTGTAGTCCCAGCTACTAGGGAGGCTGAGGCAGGAGAATGGCGTGAACCCAGGAGGCGGAGCTTGTAGTGAGCCGAGATCCCACCACTGCACTCCAGCCTAGGCGACTGAGCGAGACTCCGTCTCCAAAAAAAAAAAAGAAATTTTATGATCAAATAGGGAATCTAGAATATATAAAGTATCTATGTGTTTTACCCACTGTAAAATCTACCTGTTCACAACTCTGCAAAAGAAATGTGTTATTTTACAGATGAATAAACAGACTGAAAGACATTAAGTAACTTCCATAAAGCCTCTTAGCTAGTAAATTGAGGCACTACTAGTTAAGTCCAGAACCACCTGCTTCAAAGCCCAGGGTTTTTCCATTATGCCATGCTGCTTCTTCTGCAGCAATGGAAAAAAGTGCAGTCAGTGATGGACTAACACATTGAATTATGAGACATTAAGTTTTTGCCCTGAGCAAATAAAAGCTTATTCTTATTTTCCCTGTGTGTCTCCCCTGTTAATCCAAGATTCTTCAGTCATAGGCATGTATGCACAAGGACATATATGATTTTCAGAAAGGACAAGGGTATCTTCTGAGGCTTGGTGAGATCCCTATTGGGAATGCTGTCATGGTCACTCTCAAATATCAGGAGCAGATGCAGTCTATTAGGAATTACAAGGCCAGCTGTTGTTTCATGTCATTAGACTTTTGCAACCAAATGTGAAAAACCGACTTCTGCCAAGAGGCAAGTCCCCAGGCTCAGCAACAAATATCAATTCCAATTTAGTTGAAGTTCCGCAGAATTTTTTTTTCCTTTCTTTGTCATGGTTATAGAAGTGATTCTCTGCACATTGGTTGGAGCTCAACCTAAAGTATGTCACATTTTCCATCTATATTGAAGAAGATGTGCATTTATTCGTGCCCTCTAAAACAGAGCAGGGACATAAAACTTGTCTGGGATTTTGAGCTAAGAACAGTGCGTGATTTTCAGAACCAATCATCTTGCCTTGGACAAGAAAAAAAAGAATTATAATTTGTTGTTCTCTCTTTTGAACTGTTATATTGTCCAGTCAAGATAATTGGCCATCCTGCAATTCACAAATGGCTCTCCTTGGCAAAGCTTGATTTTGAGTTTGACAGTGACTCAGATGATTTCATAACATCTTAGAATCATGAAGTGTTAGCATTAGAAAGGACCTTAGAGATCGCATAATCAAATACCTCATTTTACAGATGAGGACACTGATGTTCAGAGATGCTTCAAGGTGGCTGTAGTCATAAAGCCGTCATATGAGCTGGTCCTGGAAATCTGAGCTCCTGCTCTCAGTCTAGTTCTCTTTCCATTCCTCCACAGCTGCCTTGTTTTCCTAAGTTAATATGTCAAACTCCATTTGCTCTTACTCTGCAGGCAGTTTCCAGTTCAGCAGGGAAACTCTTTGAAATACGAACACTTAAATGAATCAAGTTTTATTGAGCACATATTTTTAATTTTAATATTCAACACAGAATTCAGCGTGGTGCCCTGTGCATAGGGAGCCTTCAATCATTCTTCTACTCATTTATTCAGTCAACAAATATTTGCTGAGCATAATAAAAACCACAATAAGTGCTTATTAGGATAAAATTTATTGTTCATTTCTGCTAAGATAAATAACACATAATCCCTGCCCCAAAAGAGCTTATAGTACACTGGCCATATATATGAGCAATTAAAATTATTTAATAATTTATATGTATAAGTTTATATAAACTTTGGCAAAAGGCTATACTGACTATGTGGCATGTGAGATCAAATAATGTTACCAATAGAATCGTTACTGGATTGATTCTATTGTGAGGAATAGTACCACAGTTCTGAGGAAAGAGCATGAACAAAGGAACAGGAGCATGAAGGCCATACTTTATTCTGGAATCTTGGAGAGGCACAGGCTGCACAGCAGATGAGCAGGATATAAAGGTGGAAAGGCAAAATTACATCACATCTTGGAGGCTACTGAACATCAGGCACAGAAATATAAATGTTACCATGTAAAAAGTTGAATATTAAGGCAAGAGAACTAAAAGGATTTAACTCGTATGTCTGTAAAACTTGTACGGGAAAAGCGAGAGAGCCGAGAAAATCAGTAAACAATTACAAATTTATCTCTACCAGTGTAAATGAAATAATTAATTTTGTTTGATCATGTAAGTTTAGAAACCTAAAATAGCTCTCTATTGTTAATCTTGTACAATGTAAAATTTTCAGCCCTTCAATAAATACCTGCCCCACACCCTGTAGGCGTGCACAGAAGCAAATGCAATGTAACATTCATGTTTGCACACTGGTGCATTGTTTACAAGGCACTTCCTGATTTATTGTACCACTTGTCCTTTAAAGTAGAAAGGGAAAAGTTAACATCTTCACCTTGTAAATTATAAAATAAAGGTTTGAAAAGATTAAGGTTAATTTATTGAAGTCCTTTTCAGCATTTATTCTAGTCCTCAACTTTTCTGCGGTTATACATCTAATAAATGGCAATGACCGCTCAGATCCTTGACTTTTCTCCTCTAATAATCTTGTTCTCCCTAACTTTAGCCACACCCTCCCATGGACTTTCCCTAGGCTTTGCCACTATCAATAGCTTCAATCTTTCCAATTTTATTCATTCTAATCCCATTTTTCCCATCTGCTCCCTTTGACAATCCAAATCAATCATCTTTTATCATTACCACAATTAATAACCCTACCACTTTGTCACTGGAATTCACTCATTTAATGTTATTCTTTTCCCTTACACAGCTTAAATTCTATAGCTAGTTATTATAACCGTTCTATTGCATATGCCCTCAACAACCTTTTCATTTCCACTTTGTCAGAGCCACAACCGTTAATCCCACTCTGCACGTATTCTGTGCCTGCACTTCTGCTGCTTAATGTGGCTGGAAAAAAATAAAAACACCACACAACCATGTTTGCCTGGTCTGACCTCAACTTCGTGACCACTGTCAGAAAATCAAGCTATCAATACCTAGTCCATTTACTCTCCGTCTGCTCCAACGACTAACACCTTTTTCTGCTCAAATATCCAACACATTCTCCCTTATGTCCACTTTCAGTTGATGACCTTGTTTCCAGCTTTACTGAGAAAACTGAAGCAATCAGAAGAGAATTTTTAGACATCTGTCATCACATCAACCTATTTATCAGCATATGCAGGCAAATATCTGCCTTCCTGCCTGTTGTTAAACATAAACTCTCTCCATGATCTTACCTAAAAGAAATTTATCACTTGCATAGATCAAGTCCCACCTCCTCTCACCTGCTGAAGAGCATTACTGAAGAAGTTGTCTCCTCTCACTCCTACAACATCAAAATTGCCCTTTGTACTAGAAAATTCTAATCAGGATGCAGATATCTTCTTATTTCTTCCATATTAAGACCAAAAACAAAAACATTGTTTCACCCACCAATTCTAACCCCATTTCCTTGCTTCCCTTCGCAGCAAAGAGTTGTCTATACTTGGTGTTTCAGAGTAATGTCATTTCTTAAGCTCATTTTAATCAAGCTATTGCCTCCGCCATATTAAAATTGCTCTTGATAAGTTCACTGACATCTTTCTTATTGCTAAGCCCATTAGTCAATTCTCAGGTCTCATCTTCTTTGAACCATCAGCAACAATTAACACTGTTAATCATTTCTTGACATATTTTCTTCACTTAGCTTCCAGATCATCAACTTTCTTGTTTTTCCTCCTATTAGTGCTCCTTGTCAACTTCCTTTTGTTGGTTTCTTCTAGTCTCCTTACCTCTCTGTATTTTAGTGCTCCAGAGCTCAGTCCTTGGTCTTTTTTTTCTTTCTCTACTTTTACTTGCTCCCTTGGTGATCCCACCCAGTTGCATGACTTTAAAGATAATTTGTGTGCCAATGACTTCTACTTTTAACATTTTTAGCCAAGAACTCTTTTCCAGACTGCAGATGTGTGTGTCTATTCATCTATCTGACATCTGAGGGAAATGATGTATGCAGTGGTCCATTTCCAAGACAAAGTGCCTTAAATCGGCTTAGGTCAGCAAACTACAGAAGAAACGGGATATACTAGGCCCCTGCCTGGATAGCCGATGTCTGCTTGTTGGCCTCCCCCTTCCTCCCCCTTCCCCTGCCTCCACTTAGTTGCCCTCACCCAAAGCAAAGAAGTTTAGTCTACAATGAAAGTTTACTAGCCTGCCAAATAGCTTGCTTTGTCTGTTCTTTTCAGCCTGCCCAGGTGCTTAGGTCATAAGTCAAATATTTGAAGAGCCCCTGAGCAAACTAGGATTGCAATGCATTGTGGGCTGCAACAAAATGCAGTAAGACAACCCTAAAAAAGAACACCTTCAGCCCCTACCCAGCAATCAATAGGCATCGTCTGGGAAGATTGTGACCCCATAGTACTCAGCCTATAAGGAACCAGGGGAGGGACCTGTGCACTAGGGGATAAATTGCTTGTTAAAACTGTGCTGGGTGTGCCTGCCTATCAGACACCCATTCTTGCAAGACCATCATTAAAAGTCTCACTTTCACTGTTCTCCCAGTCTCTAAGTCCATTCTTTGGGTTGGATGAGTTTGTTTCTCACACATGCTTATTTGAATGTCTACTTAATCGTCTCAAAATCAACCTGTCCCACACTAAATCTTGGTTTTCTTTGCTGGGCTCCCTAAACCTACTCCTCCAATAGCATTACATGTCTCTATTAATGGCATTTCCACCCTTCCATTTGCTCAGGCCAAAACTTTTGAGTCATTCTTGACTCCTTTCTTTTTCTCACACTCTATATCCAATCTATCAGGAATTCCATTTTTCTCTACCTTTAAAAATCTCTCCAGATTCCAAGCATTATTCACAACATCTTCTGCTACCACCCTAGTCTGAGCCACCATGATCTCTAGCCAGGATTATAGCAGTACCCTCCTAAAAGATTTCCCTATTTATACTCTTGCCTCTCAATAGTCTACCCAAGTAGTTTTCAACTGAGGAAATTCTCCCCACCCTCTGCTGCTGACCAAGGGACATTAGATATTATCTGGAGACATTTTTTATTGTCACAACTGGGGGAGGTAGTACTACTGGCATCTAGTAGGTGGTGGTTAAGGATGCTATAAACAATACACAATACACAATAAATCGCCCGAAGCAAAAGTTTGATGCAAAATGTCAATAAGGCTAAGGCTGAGAATCTTCATAGCTGATAGAGTGATTTAAAAAAAAAAAGTTAATTTTTGGTACTATGTTAAAAACTCTTCACGGTTTCTTTATTTCATGCAGAGCAAAAACAAAGCTCTGACAATGCCCCATGAGGTCCTATATGATCTAGGATTTTGCTCTAAGCATTCACTCTGGCTGGGATGCTCTTCCCTCAGGTATGCATTTCACTAAATCCCTCACCTCTTCTAAATCTTGCCTGCTCTTTCAAGTTAGAATTACAAGCTTCTTTCTCCTGTGAAATTTCTGATTATCCTTATTCTGTTTTCTACTTTCCACAGCAATTATTAACTTCTAATATACCATAGCATTTTCTTTATCATATGTTGTTTATTGTTTGTCTCTAGCACATAAGCTCCATAAGGTCAGGGCTCTCTATTTAACCAAGCATCTAGAAGTGTGCCTGCATACAGGAAGCACTCAACAAATATTTTTTGACTGAATGAAGATAGTTGTTTGAAGGCAAGAGCCTCACTAGGAAAAAATTGGATATATTGGCATAAGTAGGAAGATCAGGCCATTCTCATAGCAAATATAAGAAGAGGACATTCTTAACCCTATTCTCCAAGTGAACAAGAAGTTTAAGTGACATGCTCAAAGTCACACTGCTAGTAAATAGGTAAGCCAGGATTCAAACCCAAGTTTACTTGAGTTCAAACCCTCTTCTCTTTAAACAGTGTGAACTGCACTTCAATAATCAGCATGAGATTAATACAGGGCTGAAGGAGGGGAACTCTATATCACTTTTTCCACTCTATAAATTAAGCAAAATAAATGTGGAGAAAAAATTCATAAACAAGGCTGACAAAATTCTTTAACTTTTATTTTAAGTTCACTGTACATGTGCAGGTTTGTTACATAGGTAATCGTGTGTCATGCGGGTTTGTTTTATGGACTATTTCATCACCCAGATATTAAGCCTAGTGCCCATTAGCTATTTTTCCTTATCTTCTCCTTCCTCCCACCCTACACCCTCTGAAAGGCCCCAATGTGTGTTGTTCCCCTGTAAGTGTCCATGTGTTCTCATCATTTAGCTTCCACTTATAAGAGAGAACATACAGTTTTTGGTTTTCTGTTCCTGTGTTAGTTTGCTAAGGACAGTGGCCTCCAGCTGCATCTATGTTTCTGCAAATGACATGATCTCATTCTTTTTATGGCTGCATAGTATTTCATGGTGTGTATGTACCACATTTTCTTTATCCAGTCTATTATTGATGGGCATTTAGGTTGACTCTATATCTTTTCTATTGTGAATAGTGCTACAATGAACATACGTATGTATGTGTCTTTATAATATAATGATTTAAAAGAATAGAAGTAATGGGAGTTGTGATGGTTAATACTGAGTGTCAACTTGATTAGATTGAAGGATACAAAGTATTGATCCTGGGTGTGTCTGTGAGGGTGTTGCCAAAGGAGATTAACATTTGAGGCAGTGGGCTGGGAAAGGGAGACCCACCCTTAATCTGGGTGGGCACAATCTAATCAGCTGCCAGCACAGCTAGAATATAAACAGACAGAAAAGTGTGCAAAGAGAGACTGGCCTAGCCTCCCTGTCTACATCTTCCTCCCCTGCTGGATGCTTCCTGTCCTTGAGCATCGGACTCCAAGTTCTTCAGTTTTGAAATTTGAAATTCGGACTGGCTATCCTTGCTCCTCAGCTTGCAGATGGCCTATTGTGGAACTGTGTGATCATGTGAGTTAATACTTAATAAATTCATATATATATATGGAATATATATATGGAATGTCATATATATATGTGTATATATGTGTGTGTATATATGTGTGTATATATATGTGTGTATATATATGTGTGTGTATATATATGTGTGTGTGTGTATATATATATGTGTGTGTATATATATATTTTGTTAGTTCTGTCCATCTAGAGAATCCTGACTAATATAGGAGTAAAAGAAGGAAGAGTGAGATGAGAAAAATCTAGTATTCCCAGAGATTCACAGAGCTGGCAGGAACTTAGAGGTCACACAGCTCTCATTTAGTAGGTGAGAATGATGAAGTCCAGGGGGGCAGGACTCTTTATTCCAGTTCAAAAATAGCTCTTATATGGCAGAGCCAGAATGGAAGCTAGGACATCCTATTGTAACCTAGTTCCCCTTTTACCATATCTCCATCATCTTTCCATAGAAAATAGAACTGCTCTTCCAAATGAAACTGGGCATTGTGCAAAAGTTTAGTAAAAACTTTAATAACTGTATTTAACTCAAGGGTGAGAGAAGTGACAGCTTAAAATAATGCTCTATTTTTAATAGATTATTTTCAAATTCATATGAATTTAACTATTTATGCTTCATTGGTCGGTTTTAATTAGCAGACTATTGTTAACACATAGTTAATAGATAAATATATAAATAATATATTGTTAAGATAGAAATATTCTTTCTAACATAACTAAAAGCTGTTTTTCCTCTTAAATTATTAAACATTTCCACAAGCTATGATCCACCCCTTTATTCTAGCAGATAGGCATTATTTATGTGCATATACATATTATATATGCACATGCATAATTTATCTCTTGCCCCTGAGCATTCCAGGAATATGTACTAATTTCCAAGATTATGATACTACCCACAAGTGTATATTTATAATCATGAGGACTGTGTAGACTATGGGTGGGTCCTTCAAACCCCAGTGTGAAGCAATTTTCTATAGCATCAGATTCTCCTCTCTTTTCAGTGGCCAGCATATGCCTGGTATTAGGGATTTCATTCCCGCTGGGTGACAAACAGGCATGGCAGCTATGAAATGGAAGTAGAGGAGGATATAAACTGGACTCTAGAGGACTGTCCCTTGAGGTTAATCTTTTGAGTTAAACTATCAAAAAAATTATTAAGACGTATGAGTACATCTTCAAATAATTTTCAATATAATAAATTAGAAAATACATTCTTTTTAAATTAAGTAGGTGAATACATCACAAAAAAAGTTGCACTTGTGCTACGGCTATAAGGAATGTTTCTTGACCCCAAAGCAAGGCTACTAGAATGTCCTGAAATAGGGCTTGTGCTCATTTACATAAAATGCAACATGAATGTCCTCAGGCCTCACTTGGAATTATAGGGATAGAGTGATATACAGTTCTCCAGTATTCTGCACTTACCTGCTTATGGGGACCTCTGGCTTCCACAGTCTCTCCCAACTATGTCTTGAAATCTCTATGAAGTGCTGTATATGCTGACAAATCAATCTTCCCACTACGGCTACCATCACACATCTGTTGTGTTTTTCCTCCCTAAATTCTTTCCATCTCCCACTCTCCCCACTGCCTGTCAGTAGATGCCTTCTCACAAAGCCATGGGACATTTCCCCTTAGCTACTGCCCCTGCTGTCCATGGTGCTGTCACCTGATGCTCCTCATTCTGCCTATCTGCAAGGTTCCAGGGCCATCTCTGTTCTAAGGAAACATGGACAGAATGCCTTTCTCCTCCATCTCAGTCTCTACCCAGCAAATACAAATTTACTATCCTAATAGCTGGCACCAGATTTTCTCTTACACAGAGAAATGACTGTTTAGTAAAATACTCTGATAAGCAACCTAGGATTGAAGGTAAGACATTGTAGCCATGGATGTTGCCTAGATAGAGGCCTGAGAAACAAATAGATGGTAAATTCTTCTGCATGAGACTGTTTTACTCATGAGAGGGAAGGCAAGCATGAACAAGTAACCTCTTAGGTGACATGAGGCTGGCATCTATGTGGACCAGAGGAAAAGATTCAGTTAGTGAATTTGTGGGCCAAGGGAATGTCTGTAAGTCCATTTGTAAGTGGAAGTTTCTTTTTTTGTTTGTTTTTGTTTTTGTTTTTGTTTTTTGATGGAATGTTGGTCTGCCGCTGAGGCTGGAGTGCAGTGGCGCAATCCTGGAGATGGAGACATTTTTAGATTGGAAAAGTCTGACATATAATTAAACAGTGTTTCCACTTCTGCAGTGTGAAGCCCTCCTAGGTCTCCCAGTTACCGCCAAATACTCCTCTGTATGCTAAACTCATGCCTGCATGCTGTGTGGAAATGGAAGTGCTGAGAGGGAAGGAGCTATGTTATATCTGGGTCACTGTGTGTAACACATAGATACAATTTGAATAAAAAGCAGAGGTAAACATTAGAATATCAATCCAACTCCCCATTCCACCTCTGCCAAGAAATTTGCAGAAGTCTTGAAGAAGTCTTTGGATTTCTAGGATTCATGGAATGGGTGAGCAGGGTTTAATCATTGTTTAATTACCTTTGGGACAGAGCCATGTTGTTTGTGTGATTTCCACTCCACTGTAAACTCCTCTAATGCAATGCCTCACTAAACCTTCATGAAAACTCACCTTCAATCTCTGGCTCTAGCTTCCTTCTGTTTTACTCAAAAACTGGTCAAAAGAGCCTAGCAGGAAACAGAAACCACATTACCCATCTGAGAAAAGGAAATACAAAATAATATTGCGAAGAGTTTTCAGATATTGACACACGGGATAATAAAGTGAGGAGGTAAGATAATTAAAGCAAATGATGTCCAAAGTGCCCCTAACAGGAGGGGAGTTAAGGGAAGAAGTTTTCCTAGATCAGAATTTCTCAGCCTCAACAGGATTGACACTTGGGGTCGAATAATTTTCTGTTTTGTGGGGCTGTCTATGCACTGAAAGATACCTAGTAGCACCCCTGACCTCTCCCCACCAGAGGCCAGTAGCTGTCCCCTAGTTTTGACAATCAAAAATGTCTCCAGGCATTGCCAAATGTTTCCTGGGGGGCAAAATTGTTCCCAGTTAAGACTGTCCTGAACGAAGTTGGAAGAAAGGTGAATTATCACTGAAACATAATTTGGGAGAGGCTAAAGAAGTATCTATACACAATTGTCTTTGTTGCCATTCTGGAACTTTATTTTTTGGAAATGAGCACAATGTAATAATGGTATACATTCCCTGAGCAACACAGCTCTTGGCTACTTTTCACTGTACCACATGCATCCTACCAGGATATTTACTTGGAATCATCTTCCTTACATTGGTCTAATTCACCTTTCAGATTCTACTCAAAGATTTCTCTACATCAATATCACTCTCTCATCAATTCCACAGATAGCAATCAAATGCCTACTCCTTGTCTCCCGAACGTAGTCATTCCATTCCAGGTTTTCCAAAAAAAGTTTTATACTAGTTCTCTTGGAACTCACCTGACTACTTTAAAATTATTTTGCATAGGTCTTCCTTCAACAGTAGACTGTGGAGTCTTCCAGAGCAGGATTTGTTTCTACTTAATTTTATGCCTTTGATAATAGTACTAAGAGCAATAATTCCTAATATGAGTACAAAAATTCACAATTTCCAAAGACCTCTCATAGAGTCTGTCTCATTTTATTCTCACAATGTTGCAAAGTACATGTATTTAGAAGTTAAAGTCCGGAGAGTTTTAGGGGGACTCAGTTAATATTATAAAATTAATCAACTGTGGCTCTGGATCTAGAACATAGAACTTTTACTCCTTCCAATGTTAAAAAATAAGATAATAATATTATAAAATCCATGAATTTTGGCGATAAGAAAGTCACTGGGAGATCTTCAAGAGTGTGTTTAGTTCCTGTATCGTGATGGGTAATAAACAAGCTTTGCAAGTTTGTAATGTTTTCACAGTGAAGAAATGTGAGGAGAACCTGTGCAAGAAACATGTGAATTTTGACAGTAAAATGGAGAAAGAAAAGATTATGTTAGTGAATTTGTGGGCTGAGGGAATACTTACAAGTCACAAAGCTATGGGCATATTGTTACATATAGTAGGAGATATTAGAGACAGGCTAGGAAAATTATAAAAGCGTAATCCAATGAGTGTCTTCCTGAAAAGATGGTAAAAGAGAAGATTAAAAGAAAGAACAAAGGCGGTATAAAAAGATCATTTTATTTTAATCCTTATTTTTCATTGAGTCTTTTTAAAAGATCCACAGTTTTCAAAATGAAAAACACGAGCAGATGTTTTTCAGTTGCATCTTATATTTAAATATTCAACAATAAATAATAATTTATCTGCTATGTACTAGGCACTATTCACCCATGAACTTACCTTCCTTGCAATGACCCTTTGAAGAAGTCATAATTTTTAACCATTTGCAGATTAGGAAAATGAGTATAAAAAGTAAGTAATTTTCTTACGGTCATATAGTTAACTCTGGAAGAGTGAGTGCAGAAACACCTCCATTGCGGGAACACCGGCTCTTTCCACATAGCCTGCCTTTCAGACATGAAACACACAACTCCGTCCTCAAGAAAGTTACTACCTTTTGGATGAGAAAGACAAGTAATCTCGTTGATTACCGTGCAACACAGAGTGCTGTGTTGTGTGGGGCTGCCTGTGCATCGTAAGATGTCTATCTGCCTGGGGGACCATCAGAGAAGGCTCCATAAAATATGACCATTTAAAATACTTCTTTGAAACATTTTTTAAAATCCCTAATATTCACCAAATGTTCCACTTTTAACCGTGCGTGTTTTCGTGAAATTCACATAATGTCTTGAAGAAAGGCCCTGCAGGGGAGAAAACAGGTTTTAGACATTTTATACTCAGTGCAGTTCTTTCCAGAGCCACCATGTGGTATTGTTGTGCAATTAAAACAACTCCTTTTTAACATTCTGGCCTTTCTCTTGACTAGTTCTCATCTAAGGAATATCTTTTCTGAATTTACTCTGTCAATTCTATAATGGGTGCTTATATTTTCCCCTTTAAGTGGGGCTTTTTAAATGTCTACTTTCTTAAATTTCTCCAGGAGCTGTGGGAAACGGTTGGCCAGATATATTTGTTCAGAAAAAAGCCACTAGGGCACATTTGCCCGTGTCATTGTTTCCAGAAAGAGGGACAATTCCATATTTGTTGGCTAGCTACCTTTCATCACAACCCCACATGGGATAGCAACACTTGGCCCCATAGGCCCCCATCAGGACAGAATCCCTTGCCCACACCACCCTGAGCCACATCTTTGATGCTCTCCAGCTCTTCCATCATGAGAGCCACATAAAAACACATGAAAAATTAGGTCTCACTTTATAACACCCTAAGGGAGCACTCTCTCTGGGAGAGGGCAGTGCAATAGAAGGAGCACATTGACTCTTGGAATTTGCATGAGTCCTGGAATCTCCTTGGAGACCTCTGGAAAGTTTCAGGCCTCAAATTTTCTATCAGTGCTTAAAAGATTATCTTTGTTTTCTGTCCATCACAAGTATCATCATTACTGCTTATTAGCTTTTATTTATTTTTTACTATTTTGTTGTTACATCTGGACCCCCCAAGGACAATTCCTTAGACTCCATCTAAGATTGTATTAGAAGAGAGGCAATACCTCAAATCAAATGTCAAATAACAATAATCCACAATATCTTTGTATTACTTGGGAGTTTTCGAGCACTTTCTCATACATTATTTTATTTAGCCTCACAGCAAATCCATAAGGCAGGTATTGAGGATTACAAATCAGGAAACCAAGTGTCTGAGAAGCGAAATAATTTTCCTCAAATCAACAAATGAGAGAGGCAAGGTAGAAATCAGACTTCTGATTCTCAGTGTACTGTGTTTCCACTGTACCTCAGCTACTTAAGCTAAGTGGCAGAGTGTGACAACAAACTGCACACCCAATAAACAGAGTTTGGGATAAAGGGCAAGGGCATAAGCATGAGTGAGAAATGAGGGAACCAGAACTTCCATGATGAGTGAGATTTTAATCATCAAAATGTAGTACATGCTTTGAACTCTCTTTAGGCAAATTCTTATAAAATAGCATAGTAGGCAGCCAGAAAGTTGATTCCACAGCTTTAAAAAAAAAAAAAAAAAAAAAACCCTTTCATCAGCAAATGTTTGTCATGATGTCTTTCATTTGAAAATGTGCTTTGCACATGTGAATGCTTAATACATGCTAGTTGATAATGACAATGAGGACTGATGGACTGAAATCACCTTTGGCACTAAACTTGTCAGCTTTCACATGAGTAGCATACGACGAAGAATGGTGTGTCCCATTAACAGCTCACTAAGCATTTGGGTCTGTAATAGTAACTTTTTGAACCCACTGTGGCACGAGTGCAGGGCTGATAACATAAGGCCGTATATACACAACGCCAATCATTCCGATGAAAACTGAAAAATTCAGTCAATCATCTGGAGATTTATCCACATGATACCAAACATCTGGATGGACTGTTTCCAGTTCCCACTAGGACAATGTCATGTAGATGCTTACATCTACTCTTAGAGACAAGTAATGCTTCAAGATAAATAAACTTTTACATAGCATGGCATATTTGGGGCCACAAGAGTATATTTAATTCATTGATTCCCTCAGTAAATATATTTATAAGAGGGAATACTATGTGTCGCCAATCACTCTTTTGGTACAAGAGACCAAACATGCACAAAGCATTCATGGTGTAGTGGAGAAAGACAGTGATTCCAATGCAGAGTAACAAAGACCATCAAAGAGACATAAACAAAATGCCAAGGGACTGCAAAGCATAAATGAACTATCTCTACCTAAGAAAGTTTGCAAAGCTTCAAAGATAAAATGTCATTTGAACAAGGTCTTATTCAAACAGAGTCAGCATGGGTGTTCTACACAAAAAAGAAAGTCAGGAGGAGTGAGGGAGTGATGTATGCAAAGATGAAGAGATACTAAAAGACACTTTTTAGGGAAAAGGAGAAACTGGGAGAGGGGTAAAATATAGGAAATATTGGCAGTATCTGTCCTGGGTCCTGTGTGTTAGAGGGCCATGTTTCAGCCCTCCTCCAGCCATGTGCTTTGTAAGAATAAGAAGTCCATTGGCAAGGGGACTGGCTCACCCAGAGCCAGCGCTTCTGCCTTTGCAGACCAGAGTTTGGTTTCCAGGGACTGTCTTGAATTCCAGGGATCCAGAATTCCCAGAGTAGAGCTCCTAGGAGTCCAGGAATTCTAAAGTTAAACCTAGCCTTTCAGATTGCTATAAATGTAGGATAATCAACATAGCATAGTATGGTGTGTTTTATTTACCTGTGTGTTACCTTGCTTTATAACTTTTAAATATCAAAATACATGGTATGTGAGACTCCATTCACACTCTTTTTTTATATTTATTTATTATACTTTAAGTTCCCCGGGGTACATGTGCAGAATGTGCAGGTTTGTTACATAGGTATACACGTGCCGTGGTGGTTTGCTGCACCCATCAACCCATCATCTACATTAGATATTTCTCCTTATGCTATCCCTCCCCTAGCCCCCCACCCCCAAAAGGCCCCAGTGTGTGATGTTCCCCACCCTGTGTCCATGTTTCTCATTGTTCAACTCTCACTTACGAGTGAGAACATGCGGTGTTTGTTTTTCTGTTCCTGTGTTAGTTTGTTGAGAATGATGGTTTTCAGCTTCATCCATGTCCCTGCAAAGGACACGAACTCATACTTTTTTATGGCTGCATAGTGTTCCATGGTGTATATGTGCCACATTTTGTTTATCCAGTCTATCATTGACATTGATGGGAGATTTGGGTTGGTTCCAAGTCTTTGCTATTGTGAACAGTGCCACAATAAACATACGTGTGCATGTGTCTTTACAGTAGAATGATTTATAATCCTTTGGGTATATACCCAGTAATGGGATTGCTGGGTCAAATTATATTTCTGTTTCCAGAACCTTGAGGAATCGCCACACTGTCTTCCACAATGATTGAAATAATTTACACTCCCACCAACAGTGTAAAAGAGTTCGTATTTCTCCACGAATACAAAAAACAAGGGTTTGTATTTCTCTTCTCCAGCATCTGTACTTTTTAATGATTGCCATTCTAACTGGCATGAGATGATATCTCACTGTGGTTTCGATTTGCATTTCTCTGATGACCAGTGATGATTAGGTTTTTTTCATGTTTGTTGGCTGCATAAATGTCTTCTTTTGAGAAGTGTCTGTTCATATCCTCCCACTTTTTGATGGGGTTGTTTTTTGCTTGTACACTTGTTTAAATTCTTTGTAGATTTTGGATAATAGCCCTTTGTCAGATGGATAGATTGTAAAAGTTTTCTCTCATTCTGTAGGTTGCCTGTTCACTCCGATGATAATTTCTTTTGTTTTGCAGAACATCTTTAGTTTAATTAGATCCCATTTGTCAATTTTGGCTTTTGTTGCCATTGCTTTTGGTGTTTTAGTCATGAAGTCTTTGCCCATGCCTATGTCCTGAATGATATTGCCTAGGTTTTCTTCTAGGGTTTTTATGGTTTTAGGTCTTACATTTAAGTCTTTAATTCATCTTGAGTTAAAGTTTGTATAAGGTGTAAGGAAAAGGTCCATTTTCAGTTTTCTGTATATGGCTAGCTAGTTTTCCCAACATCATGTATTAAATAGGGAATCTTTTCCCCATTGCTTGTTTTTGTCGGGGTTGTGAAAAATCAGATGGTTGTAGATGTTTGGCATTATTTCTGAGACCTCTGTTCTGTTCCATTGGTTTATATAACTGTTTTGGTACCAGTACCATGCTGTTTTCATTACTGTAGCCTTGCAGTATAGTTTGAAGTCAGGTAGTGTAATGCCTCCAGCTTTGTCGTTTGTGCTAAGGATTTTCTTGGCTGTATGGGCTCTTTTTTGGTTCCATATGAAATTTAAAGTAGTTTTTTTTTTTAATTCTGCGAAGAAAGTCAATGGTAGCTTGATGGGGATAGCATTGAATCTATAAATTACTTTGGGCAGTATTTTCATGATATTCTTCCTATCCATGAGCCTGGAATGTTCTTCCATTTGTCTGTGTCTTCTCTTATTTCCTTGAGCAGTGGTCTGCAATTCTCCTTGAAGAAATCCTTCACATCCCTTGTAAGTTGCATTCCTAGGTATTTTATTCTCTTTGTAGCAATTGTGAATGGGAGTTCACTCATGATTTGGCTGTTTGTCTATTATCGTTGTATAGGAACCCTTGTGATTTTTGCACATTAATTTTTTACCCTGAGACTTTGCTGAAGTTGCTTATCAGCTTAAGGAGTTTTTGGGCTGAGATGATGGGGTTTTCTTAATATACAATCATGCCATCTGCAAATAGAGACAATTTGACTCCCTCTCTTCCTATTTGAATACCTTTTATTTCTTTCTCTTGCCTGATTTCCCTGGCCAGAACTTCCAATTCTATGTTGAATAGGAGTGGTGAGAGACAGCATCGTTCTCTTGTGCCAGTTTTCAAAGGGAATGCTTCCAGCTATTGTCTATTCAGTATGATATTAGCTGTGGGTTTTTCATAAATAGCTCTTATTATTTTGAGATATGTTCCATCAATGCCTAGTTTATTGAGAGTTTTTAGCATGAAGTGGTGTTGAATTTTATTGAAGGCCTGTCCTGCATCTATTGAGATCATCATGTGGTTTTGTCATTGGTTCTGTTTATGTGATGGACCACGTTTATTGATTTGCATATGTTGAGCCAGCCTTGCATCCCAGGGATGAAGCTGACTTAATTGTGTTGGATAAGCTTTTTGATGTGCTGCTGGATTCAGTTTGCCAATATTTTATTGAGGATTTTCACATCGATGTTCATCAGGGATATTGGCCTGAATTTTTTGTTGTTGTTGTTGTGTCTCTGCCACGTTTTGCAAACTAACCAGCTAGCATCATAATGACAGGATCAAATTCACACAAAACAATATTAACTTTAAATGTAAACAGGCTAAATGCCCCAATTAAAAGACACAAACTGCCATATTGGATAAAGAGTCAAGACCCATCAGTGTGCTGTATTCAGGAGACCCATCTCATGTGCAAAGACACACATAGGCTCAAAATAAAGGGATGGAGGAATATTTACGAAGAAAATGGAAAGCAAAAAAAAGCAGGGGTTGCAGTCCTAGTCTCTGATAAAGCAGACTTTAAACCAAGAAAGTTCAAAAAAGACAAAGAAGGGCCTTACATAATGGTAAAGGGATCAATGCAATAAGAAGACCTAACTATCCAAAATTTATATGCACCCAATACAGGAGCACCCAGATTCATAAAGCAAGTTCTTAGAGACCTACAAAGAGACTTAGACTCCCACACAATAATAGTGGGAGACTTTAACACCCACTGTCAATATTACACAGATCAACAAGACAGAAAATTAACAAGGATATTCAAGACTTGAACTCAGCTCTGGACCAAGCTGACCTAATAGATATCTACAGAACTCTCCACCCCAAATAAACAGAATATACATTCTTCTCAGCACTACATCGCACTTATTCTAAACCTGGCCACATAATTGGAAGTAAAACACTCCTGAGCAAATGTAAAAGAATGGAAATCATAACAAACAGTCTCTCAGACCATGGTGCAATCAAATTAGAATTTAGGATTAAGAAACTCACTCAGAAATGCACAACTACATGGAAACTGAACAACCTGCTCCTGAATGACTACTGGGTAAATAATGAAATTAAGGCAGAAATAAATAAGTCCTTTGAAACCAATGAGAAAAAATACACAACGTATCAGAATCTCTGGGACACAGCTAAGGCAGTGTTTAGAGAGAAATTTATAGCACTAAATGCCCATATCAGAAAGCTGGAAAGATCTAAAATTGACACCCCAACATCAAAATTAAAAGAGCTAGAGAAACAAGGGCAAACAAATTCAAAAGCTAGCAGAAGACAAGAAATAACTAAGATCAGAGCAGAACTGAAGGAGATAGAGACACAAAAAACCCTTCAAAAAAAATCAGTAAATCCAGGAGCTGGTTTTTTGAAAAGATTAACAAAATAGATAGACTGCTAGCCAGACTAATAAAGAAAAAAAGAGAGAAGAATCAAAAAGATGCAATAAAAAATGATAAAGGGGATATCACTACTGATCCCACAGAAATGCAAACTACCATCAGAGAATACTATAAACACCCCTATGCAAATAAACTAGAAAATCTAGAAGAAATGGATAAATTCCTGGACACATACACCCTCCCAAGACTAAACCAGGAAAGAACCGAATCTCTGAATAGGCCAATAACAAGTTCTGAAATTGAGGCAATAATTAATAGCCTACCAATCAAAAAAAGCTCAGGAACAGACGGATTCAAAGCCAAATTCTACCAGAGGTACAAAGAGGAGCTGGAACTATTCCTTCTGAAACTATTCCAAACAATAGAAAAAGAGGGACTCCTCTCTAACTCATTTTATGAGGCCAGCATCATCCTTATTCCATTGACACTCTTGTCTTGAGTTTTGTAAATATTAGGCACAGTTCTGTATTTGAAGAGACTGGTCAAAGATGAAGCTGGCGAGAGAGGTTGGGACTAGACTCTGAAGGGTTGTACATGAGAAGCTTAGTAGAGACATTTCTAAAAATAGACATGTGAGCCATCAAATGGCTCAAATCCTTCCTTTCACATCTTCTTCCATTACTCCTGTCCTCGAAGGTGTCTTTCTCTCTTAAACTACTGTTATTATTACCCACAACATACAATATAGCTCTTAATTATAGAATTTCTAATTGCTTAATGAATATCAATGTTATCTCCCCAACCTGACTATAAGCTGTAATATTAGATAAGAAACACCTAATATTTCCATTTTATCTCCCATGGATATGTTGTATAGCTTTCGGGTGGTAGTTTTTCTAATGACTATTTAATGAGTCACTATAAAGGAGCTGTTAATGTAAAATGAATTTCAGCATTACAGCTGAGCCATGTTCTTATGCCATACCTTTTATATTCCTTTACCTCTTCAGGACTGGCTCTATAATTTGCAAAACCTGGTGAAAAAAAAAGTGGGATCTTTTATTGACCAATAATTGAGAATTTCAACAAGTGGCAGTAGAGCATTTGATATTGTTTGTATCTGTGTCCCCAACCAAATTTCATGTCAAATTGTAATTCACAGTGTTTTAGGAAGGTCCTGGTGGGAGGTGATTAAATCATGGTCATGACCTTCCCCCTTGCTGTTCTCAAGTCATGAGATCTGGTTATTTGAAAGTGTATAGCACCTCCCTTTTCTCTCTCTCTCTCTGTCTCTCTCCTGCTCTGGCCATGTGAGGACCACACCTGCTTCTTCTTCGCCTTCTACAATGATTTTAAGTTTCCTGAGGCCTCCCCAGAAGCAGAAGCCTGTACAGCCCACAGAATTGAGTCAATTAAACCTCTTTTCTTTATAAATTACCCAGTCTCAGGTAGTTCTTTATAGCAATGTAAGAACAGACTAATACAGCATTAAAGCAGGCATGGGGCCTTTCTGAATGCAGGGTCCTGTGTAACTGTCCAGGTTTGCTTCCCTTATTCACTTAAGATGACTTTCCTTTAGTCTTTGTCACTAAACTCAGTGAAAATGGCCTCTGAGTCTTCCCAAAGTGTGGTTCAGTGGTTGATGAGATGATTTTTGATGGTACACAGACGGACATTTGCTTAGTGTTATAGTTGTGTACCAATATGTTATGATATATATAATAGTTACGTAAATGTGCCTTAGAGAAATATAATTTGCACATCAATCAATAATTTCAGGTTTATTACTGTTTGGGATAAAGCTAAGTTTAAAAATGGGCCAGATTAAAGAAAAATGCTAAGTAAATAAGAATACAGGTGTTATGCAGATGTTGTAGAAAGCATAAAATGGTACTTCAATAATGGAAATTTGGAAACAGTGGAAAACTGGATGACTATGGTGTCCTAATGACCTCAAAAATGTGATGGCATTCTTGGGCCACACCTGACCTTTGATTTTCTGTTCTGGCTGATCTTTTCTTTGTGTTTTCTCTTTAGACTGGTAAAAGGTTTTCCAAAATTGAACAAAGAAAGGCTACTGAATCTGCAGCCCAGTTGGAGGCAGCAGTCACCAATCACCCCCCTCAAGATCTCAAAGTCCATCAGCCATTCACCACACCCTTTCCTGATCCTTTTTTGTACACAGAAAGACTCCTTACCAGGGACAGAACACATAATTGGACCTGGCCACAAAGCTGTTTCTACCAATTTTCCAGTCAGCCCTGAAGTACTAATAACAATCTTGACACTCTTTATTCATTATTGTGGATATCTTTAAAATGTGTATTTAATAATAATTCTTAGTAAGTAATAAATAATACTTATTCATTTATTATTAACTCCAGTTATTATCCTACCCAAATTTATACATGACACAGAAAATTTAGCAAAGATCACTTGAGATTATTGCCTGAATTTATGCTCCTTATTTATCTAGAGTACATAAAGGGGTAGAATTCCTAACCTTATTTCGTATTATCAACAATCCAGTAAGTATGAGTATGTCCATATTGTAGATGAGTCTCAAGAGGCCAAGTGACTTGCTTAAGGCCAGATAGTGGTCAAGTTTCTGAAGGAGGGTCTATTTCTACTCTTCCAATTGCTAAGTTCAAAATGTTTTCAACATTCTTTGCTTGGACACTTAACGTCAGGGCCCCCGTATTCCATTCTAGAATGAAGTTTCTTCCTAAATTCACATAGGACTAGCATTCCAAATTCTGAAAGGTGTTAATCTTAGGGATTTAAGGAACAAGTGATGAGAATTTCTGGGAATTCTCAGGAATTTCAAAAGTCCTAAGTTATTCTTAAATTATTTCCAACGTTCTTTACACTCTTCACTCATTATTATGGATATCTAAAAATTATTTCTTTAAATTATTAATGTTATTTAAATAAGGTAACATTCAGATTATCTAACAAAATAACGGGAGTATACAGAGTCACATATCAATATTACCAATATAAGATCTTGTTTTGCTTCCCAAACCCATTATTTCTTGAAACACTACTCACAGAATTTGTATAAAATATTTAATACAATAAAACATAAAAATATTAATTTTATTTACAAGAATGATTCACCATTAGCAGCATACAAGGCCATGAGCACATAGTTAAACTGCAAGCATCTACAAGCTTGCATCTACAAGCAAATCTGATTACACTGTGACCACTTCACTCTTACCTGCTCCTGTCCTGGTAACAAAAACATGAACCTTAAACTTCTGCTCCAAGTGGCATCACTTTCTGAGACTCATTTGACTCAATAAGTTTTCTATGTTGTTTATTGAGTTCAATTCTCTCAGAATATAATATTTTTCACATTTCTCCAATGTTTCAGCTGATTTTTCTTGGGATCTAGGATTTAGAAAAGTATATTCAGGTAGAAGAAATGCTAGGAAGAAATACCTGCGGGGAAACACTACTTAGGACAGGCAGAAATCTGGGATCATGAGCTTTTGGGTACAGCAGTTAGGGCAAACGATTCGTGTTCCAAGAAAGAGAAGGGCAACAACTAAGTGAGCTTTTTTAACAATATTTCCTCCTTTTTGAAATAAAGAGCCTTTTAAGCCTCATGTTAGGTAATGAGTATCCTACGTAGAATTAAAATCCACTATCTTCCCAGGAAGAGGTATTATTTAGGAGTTAATTGCTAGTTGCTTGTTTAGTCTTTCTGTGGCTGTCAGATTATTCCTGAATGGGAGCCTCATAAACAAGAAGCTTCCTAGCATGTCCTCTCCAGACCAAATGGACGTGTGTTTCCCATTTAAACATTTCATTTCCCCAACTGAAAACAAATCAGCTGTGTCTTTCGGATCTTAAGGGGAGAAGGTTGGGATTTATTCCTGGGCAAGCCTGAAGAAAACATTACCCTAATGGATGAAATATGTTTGCACAAAAAGACTTTTAAAAAGTGTTGCATTGGTCTTTCCCAACTTGATGTCCTCTTCCTTGAAAAGAAAGAGAGTGCAGAAAAATTCATCCGAATTAGCCTAGCTTTGTCCTTAAATGAAGAGTAACGGATTAACTTTGCTTTGGTTTAGATAAGCACCAAAAGAAATAGTCACTGTCTCCAGGAATTATTCACACACCTTCAACAATGTAGTCTAGAAGTCCCATTCTCTCCTGGCCATATACAGCAATAGAAACTCACTTCCTGTTTTCTCAAGCCAGATTCCCCTATCAATTCAATTCTTCCCAAGAAGACTCTCACTGATTTCTCAATTCTCAATGTAGTCAGCAAGAAAATTGGTCCTGGAAAAAATATTTGACTTTCTGCATAGAAAATAATGGTCTCTTTAAGATTGCAAGCCCACTGTGGAGGAATTTTGGCTTATTTTATGTTTTGTACCCTGATGAAGCACAGGAAATAGGAAAATAGAGTATTTTTCTTGGCAAACCTGGGGTATGTTTGGTTTAGCAATTGGACAATTTTTAGTTTAAACTGGGCAGCAAACATGAAGCCACTCTCAAAACTGTGTGTCAGGTTCTCAAGCATAATTAGGAAATTATATAAATAGGAAAATTCATCATCACTAACGGTTTTTTCTGAAATCTATATGATAGAAGTGCACAGGAAGTAAAATATGTTGGGTTTTTTCTTTTTTCTCTTTTTTGTGATTGATTTTGTCATAAGAAGGCTTAGAACCTCAAAGAAACTTGAGAGATGGCGAGGTCCACAGTGAACCCAAAGAACAGCACTCGTTAGCTAACTAGAAGCTGGTATCTTGCTCGCGTTGGTGCCATACCACTCAGCATTGAAGATATATAAGAATAGTGTAAAAGGGTATTTTAAAATTATTCTTATATGGGTATCTGATTCAAATTTGAAATGTAGATGTCACTTTTTCATCACTCAAACAGGTGAGGCTCCATCTGGACAGAGTCTGATATATAATTCTTATTTGAGGCTTGCCCCTAGAACTCACCATACATGTGTCTCTTTGCAGAAAAAATTTTAGCAGAACCAATAGGGGTCAATCTGTGATTTTATCCAAATTATCTTCTAGCTTTTATATTCCATTCTATGATGTCTATCATTTTTAATTTTTTAAAGACTAATTTTTCCATATAATAATCATTCTGGGATGTACAGTGAGATCTTACTTGGCAAGATAGTTCATATTCATGTGAAATGTAAGCATATTATCTCCATTGAAAAATCTTCCTCAGTTTGTATTTGGTATTGACATTATTGTCTTCCAATAAAAGACTATAGAAAATTTGATATAAACATAGAGATATATTAATGTTATTCACCAAGAGAAGTATATATATATATTATCAAATATAATAACCAATATGATAATAATGATTATCAGTGCTTGTTGTCTGATGTTAGCCAATGTTCTTTAGGCCTCAAGGGCAGGTCTGCATATATGATAGTCTCTGAATTCATAGTGGGAATTTTGTTTTTGGTATGGATGTCCAATTAATTGAATTAATCAACATATGCCAACAGTTTGTTTATTACTTTGCAGCTCAATCTATTGATCAATGGCTTCCGTTCCTAGATCCCACATCTTACAGATCAAACCTTACATCATAAGGGCATTCATGGAGCTTCTGTTTCCATTACTACATACTTTATTGGTCTGTCTACTTTTTTGTAGATTTATACAATTATACTGTTTTAATCAACTGTATTGAGGCATAATTTACATATAATAAAATGTACATATTTCAGGAGTACAGTTTAATAATCTTTAACAAATGTATATAGTCATGTAACCACCATGCCAGCCATGATAGGGAACAATTCCATTAGCTCAGACAGATTCCTTATGACCTTCACAGTCAATTTCCCCAACCGAAGCCCTAGGCAGCCAACTGGACTTCTTTCTACTCCTATAGATTTTTCCTTTCTAGAGTCTCACATAATGGAATTAAATATATGCACTCCTTTGCTTTATCTTCTTGCACTCAACCTGTTTTTGAGATATATCCATGTTGTCGCCTGCATCAGTGATTTGATCCTTCTTATTGTCATGCAGTATTCTATTTTATGCATATACCACAAATGTCTATCCACTCACCTGTTGTGGGCATTTAGGTTGTTTCCATTTGGTACTATTATGAATAAAATTGCTACAAACATTTGTGTTTAAGTCTCTATATAACCGAATGTTTTCATTTCTCTTGGAGAAATACTTAGGAATATAATTTGGTTTTCTGATGACTGTGTTTTCAGCTAGGTAAGAAACTGACAAACTGCTTTCCACGAGATTATACAAATTTTAATTCCCACGAGCAATGTTTAAGATTTCTAGTTGTTCTACATCTTTACCAATATTTGTTTTTGTCAATCTCCCTAATTTTAGCCGTTCTAATGGGTGTGCAGTGGAAGGTAAAACTAGTGAAGAATGTTGCTTCAATAACGTTTCATTTCTCCTGGAATTAGGAGCCCACTAACCCATTATCTAACATCTATTTAAAATGAGGATCATCTCAAATGAATCTTGTGATTCAAGTGCATTAACTATTTTTTCAAGACTTGGGTCAAAGTGACTCAAGTTACTTTGGGTCAAATATGCCAAGTTACTTTGGCTCACTTTTGGGTCAAGTCTTTAAAAAGTAATGCACTTGAATCACAAGATTTTTCACTATTTTGATAAACGATAGAATTTTTTTACCTTTACAGAAGTAATTGATTAAAATATTGAGTAAAAATGTACCTACAACAAAGTCCTCAAGTATGCCAATGAATAAGCATGGATTTTGGGCATGATTATGCAGACAGTAAAAATATTTATTCATTTGTACAATGTCATCATCTGTCTCATATTTGTCTATTTTTTCCTGTTGAGAAATGAGAAACTTACTCAAAATCTTCTTGGACATTTTCAGCTTTCTAGCTGCCAGCCTAAGGATAAAGCCATCAAGTAAAAGAGCACAAAAGCCCCGCCATAATAAATTTCCTCATTTTTTAAAGGCCTCCAAAAACGAAGATGAGCAAGTGTTTTTAGAATCTCCTAATCTATCAATTTACTAATTCTTCTGACTTAAAAAAGTATAATGAACACATTCTACCCCCTTGTGTCCATATTCTCTCCTCCCCCAACCCCCAACTTTTTACTCAAAAACCATCTGCTCAACTGTTTTCTGGGAAGCAAAATCAAACATGACAACAAATTTTAGTAAGGGGCTTGGATTGACCGAAAAAACAAACACAAACATTACATCAGTAAATCAATCTGGATTCATTTTTCTAAAAGATCTTTAAAGAAAGTGCTGTTAGGATACCCAGCAGATATTCCAGGACAGAAGGATAGGTAAGTTTCCATACCCTAAATCCTGTGCATTTGTAGATTACAACGTCCAAGTGAATGAGAGTCATATCAGTATTCAGGTAGCCTACCTGCTATGCCTCTTCAGGCTATCATATATAAAACCAGAGGCTGGGCGCAGTGGCTCACACCTGTAATCCCAACACTTTGGGAGGCCGAGGTGGGCAGATCACCTGAGGTCAAGAGTTCAAGACCAGCCTGGCTAACATGGTGAAACGCCATTTCTACTAAATATACAAAAATTTGCCGGGCATGGTGGTACACACCTGTAATCTCAGCTACTCAGGAGGCTAAGGCAGGAGAATTGCTTGAACCCGGGAGACGGAGGTTGCAGTGAGCCGAGATTATGCCATTGCACTCTAGCTTGGGCAACAAGAGTGAAACTCCATCTCAAAAAAAAAAAAAAGAAAAAACAGAGCAGGTCTGAGCACTGAGCATAGGTTGGTCCGCATATATGCTTGAGATAATCAAACTTACTACTATACAATATACTATATGATTACTGGGTACAGTTTGGTATAGTACATTCAGGCATCTCCCTCAGTCTGGGTAGACCAATATGAGCCCAGACCAGGTACACTCCTGAACTCAGTACAGTGGGATAAAAAATAGGCTGGGCACAGTGGCTCAAGCCTGTAATCCCAGCACTGTGGGAGGCCGAGGCGGGCGGATCACGAGGTCAGGAGATCGAGACCATCCTGGCTAACATGGTGAAACCCCGTCTCTATTAAAAAATACAAAAAAAATTAGCCAGTCGTGGTGGCGGATGCCTGTAGTCCCAGCTACTCGGGAGGCTGAGGCAGGAGAATGGCGTGAACCCGGGAGGCGGAGCTTGCAGTGAGCCAAGATCACGCCATTGCACTCCAGCCTGGGCAACAAGCGAGACTCTGCCTCAAAAAAAAAAAAAAAAAAAAATAGGGTTGCTCTGATGTACCCAGAAGCCAAGTCATCAAAACCTTAGACTGGGTATAGGGCTTGTCCCTATATACATACATAATAGATATAATGCCTGTTATCTCCCTTCCTTAAAATGTTGAAATATTTTCCTGGCTCTCCTATTCTGTAATTCTTTCTACTGTCTATGACTTTTCAAACATGGGCCATGATGTTTACCCCATCATATTTCTTTTGTTAATTATATTTAATTAATTTACAGTAAAAATGGGTTCATTGATATTTAAAATTATATTATAAATATTTATAAAGATTATGCTTGTTAATGGTCTTATTTAACTCTTCTATAAGCTTTCTAATTTTAAATCTTTATCATTTACTGACAGGTATGTTAAAATTTCCAACTGTGGTTGTGGATTTATAAATTCCTTCTTGTGATTCTATTGATTTATCATTTATAAATCTTAAAGCTCTGTTACTAAGTGTTGTTAGATGTTATCTAAAATTTTTATAGCTTCATGTTGAACAATTTTGTCTTTTTATCATTATCTAATGATCTTCCTGATCCCTAACAGTGGTCTTTGCATTAATGTCTACATTGTCTGTTATTGATGTGGGTAGACCAGATTTCTTTTGCCTAGTATTCATCTGATGTATATTTTCTCACACTTTTATGTTCAAAATTCTATCTTTGCATTTTACGTATCTCCTGTCAACAGCATATTTGCAAAATTTTAATATTCTGTCTGACCAGCAGCAATTTATTTGGTGTTGGGTTGAAGTGGAGAAGGAGATGCATTCTTTCCCTGAGACAGCAAAAGCTGAGTTAGGTACCTAGAGGTACACACAGCAGGGGCTTATGGGAGCCAGCCCAGATATTGGTTTTCTGAGGCTCAGAGGACAATTCTGTATTCATCCATAGGCCTACAATGCCTGCTTTCTGCCTTACTGATGGAAAACCAAGCATTAACTTCAAGTAGGCCCTTTGAAAACTCACCTGGAGCCAGGAAGGGTGGGATTGAGTAGGTCAGGAGAAGTAGGGACTGCTACCCTGGATGAAGAAATTTCTCCGTAACTAACTGGCTTCTAACACTTCATCCCTGAAAAGAAGGGGCATTGCACAAACAGCAGGGAGAGGGGATTTAAACAAAAGACTTCCAGGGACTTTTATTCACTCAAAAATTAATTCTACACTCTACTGCTTTGGGGCTAGGCTATTTTGTTACTAGAAAATAGGTTATTTTGTTAGAGGAAAAAGAAATTCTTCAGAAGTCCTCACAGTTACTATTCTGTAGACTTCCCATTGTGCTGGGAAAAGGGGCTTCTAAACTTCTGAGTGCCATTTTTATACGTAAGGGGGAAGAAACCCAAACCCTCAGCCTTGTGTAGCTAAGCAACAAGCCTTGTGTAGCTAAGCTAAGAAAACATGTTGTATATACTTCTGGAAAGAGCAGAGCAGTCACACACATTCCATGTACTCCCTCTTTTCCTTTCTGCAGTTTTCTTCCTCTTCTCACTGCCACATTACCCTCGTCTTTGAATTTCTTTTGCTGTAATGCCACACAGAGAACCTGAGCCTCCTGATCTGCAGCCCAGGACTCTTGCCAATGTATCTGAGTTGTTGTTTGATAGTATGGAAGGAAAACGGAGCCTGAAGTGTGACACAGGTACTGTGTTAATATTTCATGTATGTTGTCTCCTTTAATTTTGCCACTAATCTCTGATGTAGGTATCATTTTACAAAAGAAGAAAAAAGACTCAGGGGATAAGCAACTTGCCCAAGATTACACTGAAAGTAAGTAGCTAAACAGGAACTGGAACCAAGGTCCATGTTTTTTCCATTACATCATGTTGTCCCCTGAAATTCCCCTCTGAAGAATTCCTGTTAATGCTTGCTATTCTGCAGCAGAATCCTCCCAGACCTCACACATGTACTTCTCTTTTGCCTCATCTCATGCGTCAAAACTATATCCTATTCCTTTAAGACCAAGCAGTTGTGGAAATGGTTAATAATTTTCTCAAGGCATGGGTTGAGCCCATGCCCCCCGTGCAGCAGAATTAATGGGAGACTCCTGGAAACTGCGGTGATGGCAGGAATAAGTCTCTGCTTATGGCAATTTAGGTACAGTAGTAAACCAAGGGAGACATTTTTGGTAGAAGTCTTTTAGACTCTTGGACTCTTTTACATCTAAAAGCTTGACTGGACAAGTTGAATTGCATGCAACAAAACTTTCTGTAGTTTTCTTAAAAATATATTACGATTTCCCTTCTCCCTGCTTATCTAGAGCAAAGACAAGGATTGCACAAACATACCCACCCCAATCCCACATCTCCGTCTGCTGAGGTTGTAAAATATACCTTCCCATTCTTTCTTTCTACATTTAACAAATTTTGAACTATAATAATCACAGAAAAGTACAGAGGTTAACACCATAAACATGTTGTACTCACCACCCAGCTTTTATCAAATTTAATATTTTGTCATATTTTATTCTCATATTTTTAAGAAATAAAATATTTCAGATGTATTAGAAGCACCCAGTATACCTGTCCCAATCCTATCCTCTGCCCCCTTGTTCAGAAGTTGCTTTTGCTGAAATTGTTTCTGAAACAATTCAGAAATTTTATGAAATTATTTCTCACTTCTATGATTTTTTTGCATTTTTACTACATACATATATGTTTACAAACAACATACTATTAGAGTGTGCATTTTTAAACTTTTTATAAAGGGTGGCACATCTTTCTACAACATGTCCTCCCCTCAAAGTTATGTTTCTAAGTGAATAAATGTAGCTGTGTTTCCTTCATTTTCTATTTCTGAATAGTATTCCATTGTTTGAACATGTCACAATATGTTTATTCTCCCATTGAAGGACATTTTGTTTGTCTCCAATATTTTGTTATTGCAAACCATGCTGCAATTAACATTTTTGTTCATGTCTTCCTGTGCACATGTGTGAGTTTCTCTAACTGTCCAGGATTGCTAGCCTTATTTTACCTCTGCTTAACTGAATGACACTAAGCAAATAAATATGTGACTCTAGGAAATAATTTTCAGATGCCTTTAATTTGTCGATGACCTAGCTATCTTCCTTTTAGGAATACTGACTTTTTATAACTAAAATAACAGTTCGAAATATTTTCCATCAACTCCAGAGTGTCAGGCATTAATTTCTTGAAAGGGTTATTTAGTGTATTTATTTGTTATAACATTCAATTTACTTTATTAGGTTATAATCCAAGGGCATAAGGTGCCACAAGACTATGTATTACATATTCAAATATCCAATATGGGAGAATAATTTCCCCTGTTCATTGAGAACTATAAGTCTATGAGTTACCACAGGGATGTTGAAATGCTGGTGGTATAGAAGGAAGAAAGGAATGAGGGAAGGGAGAGTAGGAGGGAAGGGAGGGAGGGAAAGAGAGAGAAAGAAGAGGGAGATATTTTTACATTGGGCTGCGTTGCAGTAACAAATAGACCTTGCCGTGTAATGGTTCAACAGAATGGAACTTTATTTCTCTGTGGTACAACACTCCTGGATGGTTCCAGGTCAGTGAGGGTTGCAGCGTTTCTTTATGCGGTCACTTTTCTGTGTCCAGGCTGACTGTTACTTTACTGTCTTTAAAATGTGGCTTCCAAAGTTGATCAGAAGTTGTCACCTTAGACAGCCAGATGGAATAAATAGCAAGAAGAGTGAATGGGAGGTCTGAATGGGAGGATTGAAATAGTCAAATTCCAGTTATGCTCACATTCTATTGGCTAGGAATTAGTCATGAGACAAGATCTACCTGCAAGAGATGCTGAGAAATGAAATCTACCTGTGTGCCCAGAAGGAAGAGCAAATGGATTTTGCTAAAATGCTAATTCTCTCTTCCACAGGAAAGAGGAAAGAAGTTGTTATAGTTTTAATTGAAGTATTTGCAGCAAATATTTGACAACATTAGTAAGAAGAAATAGGTAATACCAATTGAGCTAAAAACAATTTACCATCAAAAGTGCTCTCTTTCTTCTTCCTTTCTCTGGTGTATCTGTGCTATTTTTGTCTGCCTACATTTCATTTCCTCATCTATCTTCTGATAACAACAGATCTCCACTACCCAGTCCTCATAGTTTTGAGAAGGATGCAGCCTAAGCCCCCCAAAAAGTGGAGTTGGAAGTAATGGCTGATATGCAGGAAGTTTACTTGGAAAATGATTCCACAGAGCTGGAATGAGGGGTTGAGAGAATACAGGTAAAAAGGATGCATGATCAAGGTGGCCACCACTTCAATAGTGACTGATGGTCAATAATTGTATGCATGTAGATGAAAAGTGGGGAGCATTTATCTGTTTGTTTAGTTGAAGTTCTATCTTCAAAGCTGGTGGAAATATCATGGAGACTGGGTACTGCAGTAATGACTGGGCTACAAGTGGGGACAAGAGGAGTTGCATTGGCACCCAAGTGGTGTCTAAGACAGGCAGGCAATGCTGGTCTGGCTACTCAGTACACCTGCACCTCCAAGGCACAATGATTGGCTCATGAGTGTACATACAAGCCAAGAAAACAGAATTCTCCCTCGGGATTTTTATAATAGCAGCTTGTTTCTAAGGTCCTTCTTCCAAAGCTAAATGGAGGTAAGTCTGCACCTTCAAGCAGCCCCTTTCCCTACTGCAAGGAGAAAATTTGCCTGCAGAGGTGGGAGATGGAGTCCTGGTGACATCAAGTCTCAGTTCCAGGACCTGAGGTTCTCAGAGTTACTCTGATTCTTATAAATCTCCCTTTCATCCTGTGACCACATCCCATCCATCTAATAAATATTCTGATTGACTATCTTAGCCTAATTTGAGTTGGGTTGCTGCCACTTACAACTGAAATGTACCTGAACAGAAATGTAAAAATGGATAGATGAAAGTGGAGTGTTACTAAGTACACACCTTCAAATCTAGACCTAGATGACCTGTGGTAGTTTGAAGAGCTGGAGGATCTCAATTTGAGGCCAGCTACCCAAGACTCCTGAGTGTCATACTGAGGGTCAGAATCTGCCAAATGGTAGAAACATTTTCCCATTTTCAAACAAAGTCAGGAATTGTGAAACGCAGTGAAAAGTACTGAGGCTTAAGAGGAGCTAGAGAAATGACTGCAAATCTTCTTTCCCCAGCCCCTTCCCAATCCCTTCCTGCTGTCCTTGCTCCCCACGGGCCAGGACTCCACTCCCCGTCTCGCTGTAAATTACAATCTGCTGGGATCTTGCCTGACAAGGACAGATTATCCTTGCCCAAGACTCTTGTGTCATTCTATCCAAAGGCAGAAGATTAGAATGAAGCCTTTAAATTGAGGTCCTAGGAATGAGCAGACCTCTGTGTCCTGTCAAGAAAATATAAAAATAAAAAAAAAAGTGGGGTTGGGATGGGTTCAGACTCAAGAATATAACTCAACAATATTTCTGACTCAACAATATTAATGTCTAGTTATGGAATCTCCAAAAATTGAATCAAAAAGCAGCCAAGCCAGATCTTAAAGGGTGTATGTCACCCATCCACAGGGATAATATAGCAGTGCCTGTTTCCCAGGCCTGGGTGTGCATGGCAAACAAAGGGTGAAGTAGGCAGATGTGTGCTGGATAGACTGACCAATGAAACCATTTTATTGTCAAGGGATTGCGTGCTCCATGTTCCTGGTGTCACATGCTACAGACAAGTAAACACTATCTTCCCCTGTACTCTTCCTTAAATGAAAATTTTATTGTTAGCCTCTCTTCTCCACACCCATTAGGAATGGTTAAAATACCTTAGCTATAGATGACAGGATCATAAGTTAGACCTACAGATCTAACTGAAAAATATGGGTGCCTCAGAGTTCCGAGATAAGTGTTCTTGAGAGTTTTTGGCATCGTGTTAAGCAGAGGCACTATGAATGGGAAGAAAGTGGTGTGTGTGCTGGGGCCCCCGGCATGGAATGTGTTGAATCTCTGCTACTTTTGTCAGTCCGTTGTCCCTTTCCTTCTGGTATAGCATTTCCCTTCTTATAGAAGGCTGCTCCTGCTCCATGACTATTTCCCTGTAGTACTCATGGATCTGCGTATCAGAGTGTCCCTCATAAAGCAGTCTGGTCAATCAGAGGATCCCCCACTCCCTGACCACAGTGCTGATTCAGAAAGCCCCATAAGCCTAGCCAGGCCAACCAGAATCTTTCCCCTGCATTGTTCTGCTTAGAACCAGCATGGAAGATTCTTTGCCCCTCATTAGAATGTGAATCTCAAGCTGCCACTACCCATACTATTTGTCTGCTCAAAGGCTGATTAGTTGGAAAGAATTAAGATAAGAGAAAGTAAGAGGCCAAAATAAGAGAGGGAAATAGACAGAATGCTGGAGTGTTGAGCTCTTGTCCAGTCTTGTGCCCAGGGAAAGAGTACAAATGGAAGGTCTGCATATTTATATCCATGTATTTATGTTATAAGTCAAGCTAACAGACTGTTAAAGTATGTTCTAGTCTCCTACTATAACAAACATACCTTCATAATGACTTGAACAGCCAGGTTTGCTGTTAGGATTCTCATACTATTTGGAGTTTCTTTCCAGAACATGGCAGTGGTGGAGAAGGGGGTTAGACCTTGGCCCCAGCCTGTGGCCTTTGCATTTCTCTCCTCACCCCAGCCCCATCGTGCACCAAAAGTGGATGTGTGTGTGGGGGGGGTGGGAGCAACTGTAGCACACATAACCCAGGTCTACCTGCACACTCTCACCTCCACCAAAAGTAATCTTTTGACTACCCCTCAATGATATATGAACCACAAGAAGAGCCTGTTCAGGCCCTGAGAGGGGGCTTGGGATCACTTGTTTAGGGAATTTCAAATCTCAAGTACCGCAGTGTGGTCAAGAACTGGGGGTGTAGGCTCCAGGTGGGCACATGCAGGTGGCTCCATAAACTCTTTTCTCAGGAGAGGGACACAGACAGATGAATATAGGTGAGGCTCAGGGCATGGCATATGGGCCTTGCCTGATAGAAGGTTAAGGACTTATTGCTATGGTTTGGTTGTGTCCTCACCCAAATCTCACCTCAAATTTTAATAATCCTCACCTGTCAAGGAGGGGACCAAATGGAGATACTTGAATCATGTAGGTGGTTTCCACCATACTGCTCTCCTGGTAGTGAATAAGTCCCATGAGATCTGATGGTTTTAAGAATGGGAGTTCCCCTGCACAAGCTCTTTTGCCTGCCACCATGTAAGACAACTCTTTGCTCTTTCTTCACGTTCCACCATGATTGTGAGGCCTCTCCAGCCATGTAGAATGTGAGACCCACTAAGCCTCTTTCCTTTATAAATTACCCAGTCTTGGCCAGGCGCGGTGGCTCATGCCTATAATCCCAGCACTTTGGGAGGCCAAGGCGGGCAGATCACGAGTTCAAGAGATCGAGACCATCCTGGCTAACATGGTGAAACCCCATCTCTACTAAAAATACAAAAAAATTAGTTAGAAGTTGTGGCGGGCACCTGTAGTCCCAGCTACTCAGGAGGCTGAGGCAGGAGAATGGCATGAACCTGGGAGGTGGAGTTTGCAGTGAGCTGAGATCACGCCACTGCACTCCAGCCTGGGTGATAGAGTGAGACCCTGTCTCAAAAAATAAAATAAAATAAAAAATAAATTACCCAGTCTTGGTTATGTCTTTATTAGCAGTGTGAGAAGAGACTAATACAGTAAATTGGTACCAGTAGAGTGAGGTGTTGCTGTAAAGATACCCAAACATGTGAAAGCAACTTTGGAACTGGGTAACAGACAGAGGCTGGAACAGTTTGGAGGGCTCAGAAGAAGACAGGAAGATGTGGGAAAGTTTGCAACTTCCTGGAGACTTGTTAGATGACTTTGATCAAAATGCTGATAGTGAATGATATGGACAATATAGTCCAGGCTGAGGTGGTCTCAGATGGAGATGAGGAACTTGTTGGGAACTGGAGCAAAGGTGACTCTTGCTATGTTTTAGCAAAGAGACTGGTGGCATTTTGCCCCTGCTCTAGAGATTTTTGGAACTTTGAACTTAAGAGAAATGATTTAGGGCATCTGGCAGAAGAAATTTCTAAGCAGCAAAGTGTTCAAGAGGAAGCAAAGCATAAAAGTTTGAAAAATTTGCAGCCTGGTGATGCAATAGAAAAGAAAAACCCATTTTCTAAGGAGAAATTCTAGCTTGCTGTAGCAATTTGCATAAATAACAAGGAGACAAATGTTAATCACAAAGACAATGGAGAAAATGTCTCCAGGGCATGTTAGCATGTCAGAGACCTTCACTGCAGCCCTCCCATCACAGGCCTGGAGGCCTAGAAGGAAAAAATGGTTTCATGGGCTGGGCCCAGGGCCTCTTTGCTGTGTATGGCCTAGGGACTTGGTGCCCTGCATCCCAGCTACTCCAGCCATGGCTAAAAGGGACCAAGATAGAGCTTGGGCTGTGGCTTCAGGGGTGCAAACCCAAAGGTATTGCAGCTTCCATGTGGTGGTGAGCCTGCAGGTGCACAGAAGTTAAGAATCGAGGTTTGAGAACCTCCACCTAGATTTCAGAGGATGTATGAAAATGCCTGGACATCCAGGCAGAGGTGACACTGCAAGGGCAGAGCCTTCATGGAGAACCTCTGCGAGGGCAGTGCAGAAGGGAAATTTGGGGTGAGATACCTCAAACAGAGTGGGGCACTGCCTAGTGGAACTGTGAGAAGAGCACCACCATCCTCCAGACCCCGGAATGGTAGATCCACTGACAGCTTGCACTGTGTACATGGAAAAGCCACAGACACTCAAGACCAGCCTGTGAAAAAGCAACCAGGAGGGGCGCTGTACCCTGAAAAGCCACAGGGGCAGAGCTGACCAAGGCCATGGGAGCCCACCTCTTGCAGCAGCATGCCCTGGATGTGAGACATGGAAGAAAAGGAGGTCATTTTGAAGCTTTAAGATTTAACCGTGCTGCTGGATTTCGGACTCACATGAGGTCTGTAGCCCCTTCATTTTGGCCAATTTCTCCCATTTGGAACAGGTATATTTACCCAATGCCTGTACCCCATTGTATCTAGAAAGTTACTAACTTCCATTTGATTTTACAGGCTCTTAAGTGGAAGGGACTTGCCTTGTCTAAGATGAGATTTTGGACTTGAACTTTTGAGTTAATTCTGAAAGGAGTTAAGACTTTGGGGGACTGTTGGGAAGGCAGGATTGGTTTTGAAATGTGAGGACATGAGATTTAGAGGGGACCAGGGGTGGAGTGACATGGTTTGGCTGTGTCCCCACTCAAATCTCACCTCAAATTGTAATAGTCCCTATGTGCCAAGGGCAGGGCCAGGTGGAGATTACTGAATCATGTGTGTGGTCTCCTCCATACTGTTCTCATGATAGTAAATGAGTCTCACGAGATCTGATGGTTTTATAAATGAGAGTTCCCCTGCACAAGCTCTTTTGCCTGACACCATGTAACACAACCCTTTGCTCTTCCTTTGTCTTCTGCCATGATTGTAAGGCCTCCCCAGCCCTGTGGAACTGTGAGGCCACTAAACTCTCTTTCATAAATTACCCAGTCTCAGGTATATCTTTATTAGCAGTGTGAGAACAGACTACTATACCTGCCTTAAAAGGCCTGCAAGTTTGTGTACCATCTAAATTCATATGTTGGAACTTTAACCCCCAATCGGATATTGCTAGTAGGTAGGGTATTTGGGGATAATTAGGTTTAGCTGACGTCATGAGGGTGGAGCCACCACTGTGGAATTGATGTCCTTATAAGAGAAAGAAACTAGAGCTCACTCTTTTTGCCGTGTAAAGCCACAAGAAGATGGCTGTCTCAGGAAAAGGGCCCTCACCAGACACGGAATCTGCCAGCATCCTGATCTTGCATTTCCCAGCCTCCAGAACTGTGAGAAATAACTGTGTGTTTTTAAAGCTACCAGTCTATGGTATCTTGTTATAGCAGCCCAACTTGACAAAAACAGGTATAGGCTTTGTTCCAGGGTCTAGGATCCCTGGGGCTGTCCTGGCTCTGGCAGCATATCTCGGCTGGGTGAGCTGTCCTTCAAATAAAGCCTCTTTATAAATTTGACTAGTTTGATGTTTCTACTACTTGCAACTGAAAGAATCCTTATTAATAAGCTTATAATGCCATGCAAGGGGTTCCATTTTTTAAAAGCATTTATTCCTACCATAACTTGCTAAATCAACCTTCCCCCTCCAGCACTCTGGTGAACTGTACTTTTGAAAGTCATGAATCCAATGGTCTTTCCTCCATTCCCAATTAGCTGGCCTTATCTATAATATTTGAATATATTAAACATTCCCTTCTTTTTGAAAACCTCTCTTAACTCTGGAATAATAAATAAGCTTAAATCTCCTATTTTTCAAACAGCTGCTTTTAAATACACTTTATTAGCCATCTCCCCAACTAGAGATGTTCTTCAAAGTATTGTCTTCCTCCCTGGCTGAAACTACTTTAAGTCATTTACTGGGAATAATTATTTGAGTCATAATGGCACTCTCTCATTTCAATGAACCCATTTGTTATTGTACCTCTAAGTATCACCTCCTTAAAGATTAATTTCAAACTTATATCTCCATCTTCGACTTTGGTACCAAGTCCCATTTTTATGTCTTCACTTACTGCATGCTTACATTTGGATTTCCAGCTTCAATAATACAACAAAAATTGTGCTTATCTTCTGTAGTTTGGTATTTTCCATTTTGGGTAGATTTTGTCAGTTTTGTCACTGATTCATTTTCCCAGTCCCCAGGTTTTAAACCAATATTACCTTTGACTCCATTCTCTTTTTCTTGCTATGAAGTCCCAATGATTCTTTCCTTGCAAGATGTTTTCTAATCATCCTTTCTTTTTTGTTCCCCTTGCAGCAATCTCTATATTATCTGCTTCCAGTTCCTGTTCTGCTCTAGTTTACCTTCATTCTTTTACCAGAATAATCCTGCTAAAGTAGCATTTTTTTTTTTTTTTTTTTTTTTTTGAGACAGAGTCTTGCTCTGTCGCCCAGGCTCGAGTTCGGTGGCGCAATCTCGGCTCACTGCAAGCTCCGCCTCCCGGGTTCACGCCATTCTTCTGCCTCAGCCTCCCAAGTAGCTGGGACTACAGGCACCCGCCACCACGCCCGGCTAATTTTTTGTATTTTTAGTAGAGATGGGGTTTCACTGTGTTAGTCAGGATGGTCTTGATCTCCTGACGTTGTGATTCGCCCGCCTCGGCCTCCCAAAGTGCTGGGATTACAGGCGTGAGCCACCGCGCCTGGCCTAAAGTAGCATTTTTTCACATGGCTTTTTTTTCTGCTCAAAAGCCTTCAATAGATCTCTGTGGCCTGAGGAAAAGTCCAAACATCTTTGACATGTGGTACCCTGCAAGATTAAGCCTCAACTTGCATCTCTAGTATCTTCCATTCAACTTTAAAATTAACTCTCCATCTCATCCAGGCCCATTTTGCCATACATCTTTGAATACAAATTCCTCATTCCTATATCCCTGCCTTCACCCCTTCTTCTCCATGCCCTCACTTGAAAAGCCATCACCTGTTCTTCACCTGTCCGGATCCTTGCTGATAAAATTCAAGTCCCAGTTCCTCTGTAAAACTGGTCTCCCACTTCAACTAACAGCATGTTCTCTCTCTTCCTCTTCTGAACTCCTTTTATCTGTTCTGTTTGATACTTATTAATATATTATCTTGAACTGTTGCTTATTTTTGCATGCTAGGGTTGCTTTTTAAACCAGATTTTAATTGATATGAAAACAGCATCTGTGTCTCACAATTTAGTTTTTCTGTCCTCCCCATGACCACACACCCATGCTATGCACAATGGATGCTTAAGAAATTTTATTTTTCTATTTCTTTACTCCAGAAGAAACAGCCATGCTTATATGAAGTCTTTTCCATATGGTGTCCAGTATTGTGAATGTTAAAGATATTGATTTTGAAAATGCTAAACTCTCATAAAAGTTCCACTCTATTCTCATCTATTATAATAGTAAGTGTCCCCTCTTCTTCCTACCATTGTCTTTGTTTCTGAGGAAAAATAGATTATTTTCCTGTTTTATGGAAAATAATATCACACTCAGATAAAGTTATCTTGTCTATAAGCCCTTCTTACCTTCACTGTTCTGCATGTAATCTCAGATTCTAGCAGATCTGTGTTTTTGAAGTTCAAAGAGAAAAGAATCAGCAGGCTTAAATGTATATAACAAAAGACATGGTAGAGTCCTTCTTTCTTTTTATTGAAAAGAAATCATTTCTATTCTAGCGCAAACAATGTATATTTTACAACATAAAGCAAGATATAATTTACATATTACATTTCTTATGAGATCTTTATACCCTAAATGTCATTCCCTTTTTTATTAAGTCACCTCTTCTGGTTTAATTTAACCTGCCAAGTACCCTACAAATCAGCATCTTGTTTGAAGGGAGATTGAGGACACAGGCAGATAGTTCCTATGTATTCACCTGTATCTGGTATCATGATGGTGAGGAACAGGGTTATGTCTTGACATTTGCAGCCCTGAGGACCTCCACTGACAACTGGCTTAAGATCCAGAAGGCATCTTTTCCAAATCACATACCAAACTTGTATTTTAAAAATTTGATAATAAATGAACAAAATTGAGAGCTTGTACAACATGTATATTTCTTGATCAAGTGCTTAGATAATACATGCTTATGGTATTGGTTCACCAGCAGTGAATGTTTCTTTGGCTGACCAGCACTTGTTACTCTATGATATTCCCAGACATTGCTTGCTTGAGACATTGGATAAAACCACCCAACTTCACCTATCATTTGGGTTTATGGGTTCAGGCTTTGCTGTTTGCCACTGGAAATGGATGTCTGAATCAAAATTTCAAATGATTTTGTTTCACATGTCCCTCTATCTAAGGTTTTCCCCTTCTCAGTAAAACCTTTTCATGTATGATTTCTGTTCCCTCCCTATAATTCAAATCTTCTTAGCCATTCTCTTCAAGCTCCAAACCTCCAAAGTTCACCAGTTACTTGGATTATACTCATTTCACTTAGAATGTTTCAGTCTGTTGGGATGTACAGTTCCTTCAAAACTTGATAATCCACAGCAACTAATGGGACAAATGGATGAATGGGGGAACTCTTCAGGAAGCAAGTAATGCGTGCTGTTCAGCAAGCCTACATGAACCATTCAGTAAGAAATGTTTTAATAGTGGGCTAAAAGAAGAAGGAATCAATTGGTGAAAGCAAAATGTATAAGATGAGCTTCATTATTATTTAAAGAACTACAGAATCAACATTTGAAATACAATTTCAGATTGGTGGCTGTTAGATTGAAATAACATCACCATTAGCTCAATCTGATATGCCAAGGGAAATACAAATGTGTGCTAAAAGTGCATCTTAAACCCAAAAATCCTTGCCTGTCACTCAGACTACAAAGTTGGCATGTTTGACCAAAATTGATCCAAAGTTTTTTAATCACTCACAACTAAAAATTATTAGAACTAAGCTGGTCAGGATGAAAATATAAATTAAAAAAATCTGTTCTATGTGTCTTAAATTATTCTTTGGTCAAATGATGTGATTTTTGAGAGATCTGAAAATATAAACCTATTTCTCATTTCCAAATACAAGGTTATAAGTATGTACAGCAAGGTAGCATTTTCTTACTAGAAAACAAGGCTTTCAGGTACCGTATCATTCCATTAACATTGTACACTTTTATAGTCCCTTTCCTCCCATGGCTACAAAGTGCTGGACATACAGAGAATACAGGAAAGAATAAAGGAGCAAATGAATAGAGCCTCACAACACCCCTGTGAGGTAGGTAAGTATTATTAATCCCATTTTACAAATGGGTAAACTGAGGCACAGCATGGTAATGTAGTTGGTCAAGTCCACCTGGCAAGTTACAAAAGCATGGCTGGGAACAAAGAAAAAGAAATGGAAGATCAGTCCTGGCTCCCAGCCCTAGACACTAAACTTTATTTCAAAATATTAAAAAATAAAAATAGCCCACAATTGCCTTTTAAATGTTGGAATTTAGAAAAACCTTTAGGTATTCCTCTTAAACATGTGCCTTTCTTTCATATTCCTGCTAAGTGAAGAACGGATAGATGACTAAATGGTATTCCTTACTCTCTCTAACTGCAATTCCCATGATAGATCAGATGTATCAGCATTTCACCAGAGCTCAGGCTCCAAACTCAAGGACATTTTTATAGCCTCAAATAGTTTCTAATTCATTTAAAGCCCTAATGTGAAAATGGGACCTGTTCTCAAACAGCTGCCCTATCAATTATTCTGTGGCTTTAATGAAAACTTCGTGTAGAAAAAGAAAAGCAGCAAGATCCCTAATTAATGTTTCATCACTATAGAGATAAGAACAGTGGTGAGGGTGTGTAATTTGCTTTTTGTATTGTTTGGGAAATTGCAAACTTAAGCTTGCAATATTATATATATATATGAAATATATATATAAATATATAAATATATACAGTATATATATAAGTGTGCATCTCACTATCCTTAAGGCACGAAAGAGATGTGGGCATGCCTTTTAGAACTCACTCTTTGTGTTACTAGAGAAATTTCTCTTCCTCTCTCAGGTGAAAAATATTTCTTCTACCAAATAGTCTGTGACAGCAAATCATTCAAAGACAACAAATATCTTTAACTTAAGATGATTGATTGATTGATTGCATAGGGTGAGGGGTGGTGGTGATAGTGATATAATCTGTAGCTTCAAGCTTAAATCTATAGCTTAGATGTAGACTTTAGTGCTTAGAATTAGCCAGACGCAGCCAATTACATTGGATCAGACAGTCCAGTGAGCAGATGTTGTGCACAACTATTTTTTCAGAGGCTGATGGAAAAACCTTACCATGACCAACAAAGATGGAGACAATGAGAAAGGGAATTATGTCTGTCCAGCACAGATTCTTCAGAAAGACTTTGGCTTTTCGAAAGCTCCTAGAGCTTCTATAAAGAGAACTGGGAAGAGGACAGGGTAAGGCACTAAGGTTCAAACAAGTCAATGAGGACAGTAGAGGCAATCATTCTGGATATATATATATATATATATATATATAGTTTCTTTGGCTGCTGTAGTTTTTTTTAAAACTTCATACAATCATGGGGGTGGGTGGGCTGAACCTAGCTGAAGAAGCCTGGAGTACATTAAGCAAAGCATGAATGAAAGAAAAACAAAATAAACACACACAGAAACAAGTGGTGGTGGTATCCCAGAGGGAGGAGGAACATTTGTTAACTAATTTTCATTTTGCTCCTCTCCTGCTTTTCTCTGCCATGGTCCCAATATTTTAGTTCTGCTTTGTTTGTTTGTTTGTAATTTACTTTTTCCCCCCAGCAGATGAAGAAATAACAGAGCAGGATAGGTGTCTTATGGTTTTTGATTTCTTCTTAGGCCTGTTTAATTATTTTTTTTCCTCAGTTGACTGTTGGCACCTGGTTCCTCTGTAAACTATATTCCTTGGCCTTCAGTCTCAGGTTGGCAATGCTGTTGGCCATGTTGATGCCCTGTGCAGGGCTATTGTTGGCACATGTGGCAGAATAAGTAGCCATGGCGCTGTAGGGACAAAGGAGAGAGCAGGGAGAATAACAGGCATTAGTTTCACAAAGCTGCAAGTCTGTGCCCCAGATGGATGTACTCTCAGCATGGGGGCAGGCAGGGGCAATGGCTTGGACTAGATGACCTCTAGGGTCCCTTACAGCCCCAGCTTTCCATTCGTCTAAGGTACTTAGGGAAGAGTGGTCATGTTTTGAAGAGCAGGAGAAAGTGGTGTAGAGTGAGGAAAGGGAGGAAGAGGTATTTGTTGTGGTGGATACAGTGAGTAATGATTTATTTCTGGGGTGAGAGAAGAAAGTTGCTCAAGTTGAATAGCAGGTGTTTCATCAGCTGACTTATTAAAACAGTATTTAATCTCTTGTCCTGCCTACCTCCCCAGCCTGTGGGAGCAGTGGGGAATAGAAACAAGCATTTGAAAATAAACTAAAGGGAATTTTGCTCCTTCACTCTAGATAACTGACCTTAATTCTAACACATTTTAGATAATAAATACCATAATAAATAATGTGCCTGGAGAACCAGTTAAACAACCTAACATATGTTCTCTGCCATTCTTAATTTACTGGTTGATAGCACCAAGCTTGCTGAATCAAGAGGTTACTAAGCCACTGGCCTTGATTTTAAAACCTCCTCAAGAGAACTTGAATAGCATACACTGCCTTTTGGGTCAGTTATTTTGAAAATGTTTAAATCTCCTAGATAAACTATCAAAGTCTCCATTTTCAGCATTCTTGATTTCAGAGGTAACTGTTTCTCACTGTCTTCATTGCTGAGAAAAATCTAAACTTGTTTTTCATTGTCATAGATTACAATTAGGACCTAAGAACACCACTAGGCAGAAATTTATCATTGGTGGGTTTCTGTTAATTGCATCCATGAATCTCTGTTAAAGGAAAAAGAAATGGTTTCATAGACTTAATAGCAAATTAGTCTTTCTACTAAATAGTTAAAAGTATACATATTTTACTTCAATAAAAATGTTTTTAGTTGCTTCTAAGATTAGCAAAATCCCTTTCAACTCAGGGCTGGAATGAGATAGACTTATAAATGGAATGACATGTGCTCTTCTGTTGCCTGCATTCCAATGGAATTTTGTCAGCCACATAAGACTTTGTGGTTCTGGGGATCAAGTGACAAGATCAGAAAGAGAGAAAAGTAAAGCTACTCCACAAATAGAATATATCATTGATACTTATTTGGGACACCACGGAGTCAAAACTCATAATAACCTATTTCAGCTCAGTTACTAATAATTAACTCAAGAAAATTAAGTTAAGAAATATAATGAGTCCCAGATCACTAGGTCTTTCCAGAAATATACATCTTTAATTTAAAATCTTTATAGCCCTGGTTAAGTGTATGGGTGACTGTGTGTGTGTGTGTGCACACATACATGTATGTGTTCTGACACAGGAGACTCAGAAAGGTTTCAAAAGGATCCTACCTTCTTCTATTTCAGTTTTGCCTGCTTAACTCTTACTCATCATTTCATGATAGATGATCTCAACCCTCTAGACCAGGCTACGTTCTTTTATAACACACTAAACTTTTGCTTTTAGCACTTGATTCAAGTTTAGTTAATAATTTGTTTAGTATCTATCACTGTTTCAACTATAAGCTCCATAGATCAGACACCACATCTGCCTTGTTCACAACTGTTTCCTCAGGTAGAAATGACACCATATCTAGTACCATGTGTTCAATGAATAGACAGATAACTAAGAAATATCTATATATAGTGTGATTAAATTGATTCCTGCTCGATGTCATTGGTTTCTGTCATTCTGCTGTGAGCAATGATTTCTAAAAAAAAAAAAAAAAAAATCTTACCAATATGCTTTTATTCATAGGAACTGGTCCTTACTGCCAATTTTACTATCTTAATAGAAAGGGCAAAGTCAGTAGGACATGACAAAAGCAGGAGCTGGTGACTGTGTATACTTGGATCCATCAAAAAATATATTTCACAATAAAAACTGAACAAGTTATTAGTACAGTTTAGACTATCACTTCAACCACTGCCTACCAAGGGATAGAAGCAGAAGAGTTCCCAGTTAAGGTAGGTTTAAGTTAGAAGTGAGATAAATGACCAGAACGATACACTAAAGTGGGACAAGTTTGTTTTAGAATATACCAAGAAATGTCATTTATTTTCAAAGCCCATATATGTATTATCATTTAGTTCACAGTTCCATTCAAGACCTTACCATAAATGTATGTAAACCCACAAAACCTATATTCAAAAAATTTCTAGGGTATACCAAGAATCCGAAGATCTAAGTATCTGAGAAAAAAAGACTATTGGATTTGGGAAATGTACCTAAGTCATAGATTATTATAAAATCAACCAAGTCAACCTTTCTTAATCAGGTTTCTGTGAGAGAATTAAGCCCTAAAGATGATGCACAATTAGTGAAATTGTAAACACATAGAAGAGAAGCTGGAATTAGGAGTTGTCTGTATTATTTGCTAAGTATTGAGAACAAATTTGAATGGCTTCTGAAAACAGAAAGCTAAAACTTATGAGAGAGTATAAAGAAAAATTTTCTCATCCCAAATTGTAGATTGTCATAGAATATTGTGCTTTTAAGTACTTGGTCTAATTTTCTGAAAGATGATGTGTTTTTTGAGATTCTGGACAAGCAAAGTCTTATGTAACAGAAATGTGCCCTTTCTTAGATAATCAAAGCTGTATTCCATCTCTTTAGCCAAAAAGGGAGATTAGAACCTTGGGGAGATTATTTTAGTTTACTGAAGATGCTATTGCTATTTCCCAGAAATGTCTCCTATAATAACGATTACAAGTTGTCTATTGCATAACCGTTTTTGCTGTAGTGATTTCAGAGTCAACTAGCTTTACCACCTGATATTCTAGTCTGAGGACTTAGCAGGGTAACACATTTCTTGGAAATACTGAGTTTCTCTCTTGAATGTAGGCAAGACTGTAATATCCCAAATGAGATGAATGTTAATGCACTTTCTATCTCAAAAACAAATTAATGGGAATTCAGATCATCTATTACACAGGAGATTGGATATTCACTGGCACATTTTTCACATAAACGGCAGCCTGCTTTTCCACAGTAAAGAACAGTGCCCTCGTCTGATTATATGGTGGCATTGTATAAGAACACCACCAGAGGCAAGTCTGTGACAATGCCTTATAGGTATCCCTCAAATTAGTGGATTAACAAGTAGTTGTTTTTAATGAATGAATTTAGCAATTCCCTAGGAGCTTGATAGGTGATAATATTTTCCCTTGATAAATGCTTAGGAAATGTATAAACTTTCAAAATTGATTTAACTTGTTTCAGCATCCTATAGCCGCAAGAAGTAGGATAAAAGAACCAAAGCCATCTTATTTCACAGCCTCTTAACAAATGTTTAGAATATGTAATCCTACAAATAGGGATTCCAATAATATTTTGTACACATACTAAATAATTGCAAGTCTGTTTTCCAGTAGTTTGACATGGATCTAGCTTCTCAATTTGAGCTAAGGGTGCCATACAGGCAAGCAGTGAGCAGTCCTTGGATATACCAGTGAAAAGCAAAACTTGTATTACAAGTCAGAAAAGACAGAATTAGTGAGTGAGTACTCTAAGAGTATCTTAGTCATTCTTCAAAAATGGCATTAGAAGTAAGATGCAGAGGACCTGCCTCCTAAAGTGTCAACAGATGCAAGAGAGCCTTGAGTGGCTGCCAATATGAAATTGTTTGTGACCATCTGCTTTCCATGTCACGGAGACTTCTGACGTTCTGCTTTAGGAAAAGAAAGAGAACCCTGAAATGTTTTCTTAAAAGTCCAAAGAGGGTAATTAACTGTTTTCAACCAATTTATAGGGCCATTCGGAACATGTAAAATGACCAGTCCTTCCTATACAGGATTAAGCTTGCTCGGGTAAAATGGTGAGATTGAAGCTAAGTGATTTGTACAGATTAAGCACATGACAACAACCAGAAGCCTGCTTAACAACAACCAGAGATCCTGCCTGTTGGTCTTGCCTTCTAAGTAAAACCCACTTATTCTTGGAAGTGGGGTACAGACATAAGTTCTGGGACTGAGTTTTTAGGCTTTGGCTAAAGCCCCATTTTTAGTTAGTTTTAGTTAAGTTCTTTGTGTCAGTGACCAAGAAACCACATTACTGAATAAAGTGCATTGAGAAATTAGAGATTAATAATAAATGCTTGCACCCCATCTGTTGATTCAGCTAATCTGCCCTGAGACTTACACAGAGCTGACACATTTAAATCAGCTTCAAATGTTTCCATTTACTTGTTTGGAGATTCCTAACAGATGCAACACAGCCATAGAGAGCAGAATGCTAACCACTAGCAGAGGTGGAGTACTGTTTTCACTGGGACAAATCATTTTTTATCATTTCAACCTACCCTGAAAGTTGTGAGGAAAAAAAAATGTGTTAAAATGATTGTCAAACATTGAGGAAGTATGGAAAATACTATTCGTACTACGATTTTAAAGCCAGGAAACGTATGGACAACTGCCCCTCTGCTTTCTAAACACCTATAGTGTTAAGTCCCACAAATCACAAAACAATTGATAGCTTGGGAAAAAAATAATACCTGACTCTATTTTCAACTCTTTGTTTTCTATTTGGCCCTTTGAACAAATGATGACAAGATGTTTACAATTTCACCCTAAAGACAAATCTGTCAGCCGAGAAGTCTATGAGTTTTCCTGAAATCCTTGGGTTTCACCAGCTCAGGATTTTTTCAAAGACTGTAGGGGTTACGGTGTTCAAGACTGTGATGCATAGAAGTTGCAGAAAGTCTCGGGTTTGTTCTTTTGTCAGTGCAAGAACAACGGAGGCATACTTGCTTCACCTGATAAAATGTAATACCAGTTTTCCTAGGGAAATTTACTTTTAAAAAGAGATCTGGTAAATTCTTTGGAAAGGGATCTTTTGTGATTTAAATAACTAACTTCTATTTCTAACTTCTGTTTTGAAATTCAGAAGTTGATTTTCTAATACGTATATTTATCTCTTAAAGTGAACACACTTGCACATTTCATTGGTAAGCTTTCCGTTTGTACTGTATGTTCAGTGATCTTTCTGCTATGTTTAACTTTTCATTTTAGAAATACTTTTATATATAAAGCCTCTTGTATCTTTCTATTGTTGCAAGACTTTTTTTGAAGCGCACACTGCTTATCGATAGGTTCCAAACACCCCTGTGAAATAAGCAATAGGGAGATTATTGCTAGCTTCATGTTAGATACAAAGCTGCATAAGAGAGCAATGATCTGACTGGCCTGAGGAGCAGCAGAAGCCAGGACAAGAACGTAGTTCTTCCGAACCCCGTCCTGTAACCTACAAAGTCTCGCTATTCAAAATGTGTACCAAGTGTCAACAGCATCAGCATCACCTAGAAGCAAGTTAGAGATACACAATCCAAGCTCCAACCTGGAATTAGTGAATCAGAGTTTGCACAGTCACGCGATCCCAGATGTTTCCTGTGCACAGCAATCTCTGAAGAGCCCTGCTCTAGATTAGTATCACACTATGCTTCATTTAGTGGACATGCTTTCTTGCAGCTCTGGTTACCAATAATATTCCTCACTTGAGGACTTCACTGCTGAAATTTCTAGAACTGCAACCCCCACTTTCTTAAACACTCTGAATTCCCACTTAAACCCTACCCCAAGCAGCCACCCTCTTCCCCCTCTGACAAGTTACCTTTTCAGTGTCTTCCGTTAGAATCCGTTATGAAGCCCCTCGTGTAAACAACATCTTGGGAGGGACGAGGATCTATTTTTGAAAGTGTGAAAGGGAGAAATAAGCCAAATGCGTTCAGCAGATGTCAGGCAGCACCATGACCACGATCAAATGAGGGGAGGAGAAGGATGGGGAGGGAAGCTGTGGACAAGGATAGCTGACCTCTCTTTCACTCATCACTAGCTTTCTTTTAAGCCCAGCCCTCCCTCTGGAAATGGCACTTCAGGTAAATAATGCAAAACCAGGCCATTCACTATCCACTTCACCTAGGAAAGGATGTCTCTGAGAAAATGTTTCTTGGCTACTTCATCTCAAATAACAGTCAAAAGTTCAGGACTTGGTTGATCACTGCTACCCACGAAGCACGAAGCAAAGCACTGCAAGATTAGTGAGTCTGAATAATTCTGGTGCTTGTGTGTGCTTTCACTCTTACAAGTTGCCTAAGAAAAATAGTTCTGAGTTAAGCAATGGGTGTGTGTGCCAAAAACAAGCTTCCTTTAACTGGCCACGGATGTAAAGAAGGCACCTGCCAGGACAACAGTGTCCGTGATAGGGAATGCTTTGTCCCTCTGGTGACTCAGTTGCCTGCCTAATGTCATCACCTCTAACATGCTCAAGGGAATGAGTGAGGTCATGACAAGCTATAATTAGAGCAGACTATATGTCCCAGTTTGCTAGGGACAATCCTGGCTTATACCTGTTGTCCTAGTATAATTATTAATAATGCTCCCCTTTCACTCTAAAAAATGTCCCAGTTTGAACAATAAATTACACATCCATGACTCTGGATGTAAAAGACACCCAGAAAAAAGTATGTTGGCTATTTTCCAACCCAAAATTCTGACCATATGCAAATAACTGCTTTTATGCCTTGGTTTTCTCCTTTCTTTTTTCAGGGGATAACTGTGGAAGTCAGCAAAATATCCTTTCTGGCAAAACTGTCGCTCACTGTCTCTGGCTTGTATGACCAAGCCACGTCTATCAGTCCAATGGGATGAGGTCCCCACAGAGTGTGGACTTCAGCTGCAGGCATGCCTCACTGATCTGAGATATCTCTTGCATAAAAAGGGGATTTTAGATAGTTTTCCAATCTTATACTTTTTTTACTACTTTCAATACAATGCAAGGTTTAATTTGAATGAAAATATAGTCGTGTGGCTTAACATGTTGGATGAAAACAGGGAACACAAGCATTAGTTCTAATTCTCCTTGCTGAAGACTTAAATTTGGGCAAGTGTTTAGTCTCTTCTTTGGAAGCACAGCAAGACAGAGCTATCACACAACAGTGTTCCAAGAATTAACCAAGAGAAATGCCTTTTAATGAGTGTCACATGTGAGATAACTAACTTGACATAATAGTACCAACAAGAACAGTGAGTTAATTTTTCATAACACAAAAGTCTATCATTTCCTTTGCTTTGGATCACTTGTTTTTCTTTTTTATTTCCTTAACAATATTTCCTATCAAGCTTCAAAGTGTGAAATCATAACATAGTTTGGTTCTAAACATAGCAGAAAATTCTCCAAATAACAGAATAGCTTTTTGCTACTTTTAGAAATCAACCAAAATATAAACACTTCAGTCAACATTGGATCAAAAAACATTATTATTGATTAAATTATTGTTTTAACATCACTTTTCTGCTTATATCTGAAGATTAATTTATTCTTCATACAGAATATGAACAGATTTTATGATTTTCTAAATTAATTTTTACAAATCCAATTTCTAAGAGAGAAATGATATAAAAGCATACCAAGAAATGAGTAAAATGTACTAGGTCATATGACTTTAAGTGAAAAGAGCAGAATACAAAATAATATATACACTAAAGCTACATCTATATAAAACATTGAACTCTAATCACAAAAATGAATATACTAGTTATGTCAAGATGGTGAATTATGGATGTTTTTAAAAATGTATCCAGTATTTCTACATAATTCTTTCCATTAAAATAGAATATTTCCAAAAAAGGCACGCATAAATTGCCACGTTAATAATTTCAGTTAGATGTCCATATACTAAACACATATGATGCAGACACTGAGGCTCAAATGGCTGAGGTCCAAGTAATATAACCCTATATTAATTCAGGAATGATTTCATCCCCATTCATGCAGTGTGTGCTGTGTGACGCCTCTCACTGGTAAGGACCACGTGGCAGCCATCTGGATTGTTTATGGCTGGTATGAAAAGTTCCTATGGAGGACCCAGACAGAAAAAGGGGCAATACTTCCTGGTTGTGACCAAATTCAAACCAGAGATCTTGAAGCATCAGGCTTTGAACCACACCCATTTTCCAAGCCATTTAGCGTGTTCATGAACACACCAAATTTCTCTTATACCAATGTTTATAAGAGAAATAAAGCAGCCTTTCATTTATTTAAAATATTAGAGAATATGTGATTTTACAGTGGTCTTCAAAAAATGTATTTGTAGTAAATCTTATAGGAGAGGAGTTTAAATTTAAAATAGGGCACACAGATATAACTAATGTTTCAAGATCAGTAAGGCACACCACATCTGAGTGCAATAGGGCCCAGAATAAGACTTTCCTAGATGTAGGGTCTCTATGTGCTAAGACAAAAAGAATTCAGGCTAATTTTATAACAGGGGATTAAAACAAATTTCCAAGTGCATTTACCATGTTTCTCTAAAGGAACTGATTTGGAACAGAAAGAAACTTTTAGATGAGGCTTTTTGCTTTGATTAAAGCTAAGAACCTTTGAAAAACACTTGCATTTCAAAAATGTAGCATTTCATGTCAGAAATTCAACTTCATCTGAGACATAATCTCCTATATTTCATTTAAAACCTCTCCTTAAACCAATAATTAACCTTGACAATAAAAAGGTAAACAAAAGCATAATAAATGAATTTTTGAATAGTTCTTCCTCCACTGAAATCAGCCAGGGAGAACACGTAGGCTTGGCCTGGTTTCTCAGAGTACTCAGGTATATTTTCAAAGAAAGTCACTCTAGACTAATCCAATGGGTTAGGAATTTGTGTCTCAGCTTCCCTTCTGGCAGCCTATATTTTCTGAACAGCATAATAATGGGAGGTTAAAAGCCTCTTTATGAGATTGAAATAGTACTCTGATATTTGTTTCTTTAAAAATGTTCAACTTTTTAATATAAAAGTTTAGTGTAAATTATACATTCCTTTTTTATTTAAAAGAAACACACACAGACACACACACACACGCACACACACAAATACACACAAACTGATCCCCAGAGAAAACTTCAGACAAGTAGACAAGAATTAGCAATAGATTAGGAAGGCATTTGGCATTATAAGAAATTCACACCTACTAACAAAGAACCTTGGCCATGAAAGTGATCAGAATGAACTTGGCTTTTCTTTCCTCCTCTCTCTGTCATAGTCCCTCTCGTCTCTCTCCTTCCTTCCTTCTTTCCTTTCTTTCTTCCTTCCTTCCTTCTTCCTTTTTTTAATTCAAAGCCAGTTTTACTGCAAAGTTTGCCTTTGGCCCTATACTTGGAGTTTTACAAGTTACGTCCCTACATTTGCATAATACAACGAATTTAGCTTAAATTTGGAAACAGGGTAAAGTTTTGTTCCAGAATTGTTGCAAGAGGAACACTGGGCACAGCTTAATGATCTTTTCTTTTAGATTCTTCCTCATCTTTGAAACCTTTGCAAGAGTTCCTGAGTCCAAGAGGAGATTGGTGAGATAGCCTGCCCCTCTCACTTCTGCCCCAAACCCTGCTGCTGGGGCAGCTTATAATCTCCTGGGAAAATGTGGGGATGTCAGCAAGTTGAATGTCTCTGAAGAGATTAACCCAGTAAGAAATGTCGGTGAGCTGCACAAGCAGCTTGAAACATGACCGACCGCTGAGAAACATGTGGAAGTGGAGCAAGGGAGAGTGGGCCAGTCATTCACCTGTACGGAGACGCTGTCCCCCAGGAGAGATAATCGGTGGGTCTCGGAGCAGGACGAGGTACGATGGGCTGCTCCACAGCAGTCACGTCTCCTGAGTAGGATTTGAGGAGGGAAGCGTTTTTATTGGCTAGCATGGCTCTCTCATTCCTGCGGAACTTGGCTCTTCGGTTCTGAAACCACACCTGGAGGATTGTTAGGAGGCAAGAAGGCATAAGGAAAGAGAGGAAAAACAAAGAAGAAGGGGTTACATGAATGAAATTCTGCTTGATTTTACTATATAATGCCTTCCCAAAGAAGATATAAGATGGCTATGGAATTCTCCGTAGAACAATAGAAACATGCCATCCGCCTTCCCTCAATGAGGGCCATTCTTAAAGGTCAAGACTATTACAACAAGACCATGAAATTCTCCAGTAATCAGGTCTCCAGATATGGGATCTGTGACTTACCCACGGGACAGCAAAATATGGGTTATAATCCCTGTTACAATTGTAATCAAGAAAAGTGAAGAAAAATCTCATTAGGCTTCTGCCACAGAAATAATGACTTTTCTAAAAGCTTTTTCAAAATTCTTCAAAATGTGAAAATTTCATCTGCTTTCATAATAATTATATTTTAAGAAAATTCCCCATCTCCCAAAAGTAGATGTTCCAACAAAGATTTAAGAAGGAAATGTTTTATTTGGGAGGTGCAAAGACCACCATTTGGGGAGCAAGGAAGTAACAGAGATGAAAAGGCAACCACTAAAGGGTGTACTACTAAACCAGCTATCTCTGTGGTAGCTCAATCCTGCAGAGAACCTGAAGACTAAGACTAACGTAGAACACACACTTCAGAGTTATCCCTCTTGGAGGTGATAGAGCTGGGTGTGTGTACACTGGATCCTGTCAGTCATTGTCTATTAATGTTCCAGCACTTCTAGAATGCTGAAGGCAGGGCACTCTCCTGAAGTTCTAGGAAGAAACTGCTGGCACAGAAATGCAGGCACTGAAAGTTGGAAGCTGACCAGACTACACCTAATTGTAGGGTTCAAGGGAAATGGACAGCACTGACAGCATTTGCTACAACTAATAATAAACCTATAATTTAATTTTATTTATTTTTATTTTATTTTATAAGTTCTGGGATACGTGTGCAGGATGTGCAGGTTTGCTACATAAGTCAAACTGTCTCTGTTTGCAGATGACCTGATCCTGTATCTAGAAAACCCTATCGTCTCACCCCAAAAACTTCTTAAGCTGATAAGCAACTTCAGCAAAGTCTCAGGGTGCAAAATCAGTATGCAAAAATCACAAGTATTCCTATACACCTACAACAGAAAAGCAAAGAGCCAAATCATGAATGAACTCCCATTCACAATTGCTACAAAGAGAATAAAAAACCTGGGAATACAGCTAAGAAGAGAAGTAAAGCACCTCTTCAAGGAGAACTAAAAACCATTGCTCAAGGAAATCAGAGAGGACACAAACAAATGGAAAAACATTCTATGCTCATGGATAGGAAGAATCAATATCACAAAAATGGCTATACATCCAAAGTAATTTATAGATCTAATGCTATTCCCATCAAATTACCATTCACATTGTTCACAGAATTAGAAAAATCTACTTTAAAATTTATATAGAACGAAAAAGAGCCCGTATGGCCAAGACAATCCTCAACAAAAAGAGCAAAGCTGAAGGTATCACACTATCTGACTTCAAACTATTCTACAAGGCTACAGTAACCAAAACAGCGTGGTATTAGTACAAAAGCACACACACAGACCAATGGAACAGAATAGAGAACTCAGAAAAGACTGTACATTTACAACCATCTGATATTCATCAAGCCTGACAAAAACAAGCTATGGGGAAAGGATTCCCTATTTAATAAATGGTGCTTGGAGAACTGGCTAGCCATATGCGGAAAACTGAAACTGGACCTCTTTGTTACACCATATACAAAAATTAACTCAAGATAAATTAAAAACTTAAGTATAAAACCCCAAACTATAAAAGCTCTAGAAGAAAATACAGGCAATATCATTCAGGACATAGGCATGGGCAAAGATTTCATGATGAAAACGTCAAAAACAATTTCAACAAAAGCAAAAATTGACAAATGGGATCTAATTAAAGAGCTTCTGCACAGAAAAATAAACTATCATCAGAGTGAACAGGCAACCCACAGAATGGGAGAAGATTTTTGTAATCTATCCATCTGACAAAGGTCTAATATCCAGAATCTACAAGGAGCTTAAACAAATTTATAAGAAAAAAACAAACAATCCCATGAAAAAGTGGGCAAACGATATTGTTTTTTAAGTGTTACCAGGGCTAGGAACTTATATAAGCACACTACATACATTATTTCTAGTCAACATGACAATTCCACGTATTAGGTTTTATTATTTCTATTTTACAGTTGAGGAAGCAATTTCAATGAGATTAAATACAGTCATGCACCACATATGATGGACCTCATATACGACAGTGGTCTCATTAAATTATAATACCAAATTTTTGCTATTTGATATGATTAGATACGCAAATACTTACCATGGTATTACAATCGCCTACACTATTCAGTAGAGTAATATGCTGTACAGGCTTGTGACCTAAGAGCAATAAGCTATACCCTATAGCCTAGGTGTGCAGTCAGTTATACCATCTAGATTTGTGTAAGTAGACTCCATGATGTTTGCACAATGACAAAATTACCTAAAAATGCAGTTCTCAGAACAGATCCCCATTGTTAAGCATTGTATGACTGTAATCTGTTGAAATTCACATAAATAATAAATGGCTGAGTTTCTGAAGTCAAGGACATCCAATTCATGATCATACAACTCTTCTAGAGTGCTATGGAATTCTACTCATTCATTTACTCATTCAAGAAATCTTTATGGAGCACCTGCTATGGTCCAGGCCCAGTACTAAATGCTGGAAAGAGAGAGATGAGAAACTTATTCTCTGCTTTTAAGCAGATCAAAACCTATTAAATGAAGACATGTAAATTTGAAAAACTACAAAACAAGTATTTTAAGTGCAATTATAGAAATGTATAACAAGGTATGGGAGAAGAAAATTCTTTTTGTGGAGTGAGCAGTTGTACAGCTCGAGGGGCCAACATACACATAAATTACCACGTGATCAGTGCCCTGTAGAGCTGTGCAGCATGAAGGGCCTGGGTGGAAATTGGCCAAGGTGGAATCTGGACTTGGCTTCCCACACTCCTGGCTCTTCTGTTTCTAATGTGCCTTCACATTGCTCTTAGAGCTATCATCTTAAATGTTAATACAATCACCTTATTGCCTCGTTTTATATCATCTACTGGCTCCCCGTTACTCACAGAATAAAATAAAAACTTCTTAACCATAGAACTAAGGCTGTTCAGGAATTAGCTCTTTGTCCATCAATCCAGCCACAAACCACATCACTCTAACCTCATACACTGGCCCTCTAGAGCTCCAGCTCCTACCCTGTGCTCAAAATTACCTGTGGACTCCTAAATGTGTTAGGCCCTTTCCTACCTAAAAATATTCACACCGGATATTTCCTTTGCCTATTATATTCTTCCCCGCTTTGTCCGGGTATCAAAGCCCATATATTTTTTTCAAAGTTCAACTTTAACATTGAACATGACTTAAAAGTCATACTGGCTACACTACTTTCAAGATTTGTCCTGTGAGTTGTTTAATTTCTCTGCTCCTTTGTCTCCTAATCAGTTGGAGATAACAATATCTACTTACAGGATAGTTTTGAGAATTGGCCCAGAATTAGTGCCTAATAAACATAAATTCTCTCCCTTTTCCCCCAGGCAGATTGGATCATTCCTTCCTCTGGTCTATCACTAATTATTGTACATTCCACTGATGTAGGAATCATATTATGATATCATAAGTGTATGGTTTGTACATCTATCTTCTCCACCCCAGTCCAAACATCCTTAAGGAGAGGGTCAGTATCTTATTCATCCCCAGCAAAACAAAACCGGGTTCAAGAGTATAATATGTGCTTGATAAGTGTATGAGGAAAAAAAGAGGAAAAGAAGAAAAAAATAAATGTTGCAAAGATGAATAAAACATGGCCTCCATCCAAGAGGCCTCCTCAGTCCTGTGGGGGAAGTTGGCCCAGATACAACTCAATATAATACATTTCATGTTATGATAAATGCCATAAATGCAAAGAAGCCCAGAATCAGAAGGGATTGGTTCAGACTGGGAAAAGGTAGGCTTTCATGGGGGAAGAATGAAGTCATGAAGGGAGAACTCTGCCCTACTCACTTAGGAAATGTTCACTACTCTAAAAGTCATTAAATCATAGCAAGGTGGGAAAAGAGAAATAAAAAATAGTTCCAACATATAAAAAAGGTATTTCCCTGTCATGATAGGGGCAAGACAGTCCCCCAACCCCAAAATTGGTCTTTCATTTTTTTTTTTTTGAAATGTCCACCATTGCCCTCTGCAGTTTTCCTTATTTAAAATTTAGATCACCATAGCAAAAGTGGCACATTAGTGTGCTGTGGGTTACTGGACTAAAAGTATTCATTACACCACCGCAAGCTGAGGCGTGGCATAAAAGACATGGGGTTTTTGAGGAGAGAGGAAAGGATTTAACAGCAGAGTTAGAGATTTGCGGTAAGCAGTGTTGAGGAAGAGGGTGTGGGAAGACAAATTGCATAATCTGCACTGGATGGCGAATGGGAGAGCAAAACTGAGTATTGTCTCTATGGGTCACTCTCACTTGAGCCCAAAGGGGCACCTGCACTCACACTTCCTCCTGATCTACCCTCAGGGGCCCCACAGGCTCCCACGACTTTCTTCTTTTGTCACTGACATTTTTCTTTTTTCTCTTGGGGAGTACTTCTTGGTGAGGTCCCTGTTTCCCCGTGGGAAAGCGTTCACACTTTCTCTTCAGGCTGAAGGGAGCACTAGGATCTCTGCATCAACTCCACAGTGGTCTCCCACTGTGTACTGTGCCTCCTCCATAGACACAGGCCCTAATCGATGGGCTAGGAATCTACCCTGAGGTCTAGCTCAAGTTCTGGCTGTTCAAGAGGGTTATCATTTGCAGAAAGAAATTATTAACACTCAGACTGAACATAGATATACAAACAATAATTTTGTAAGGAAGACAAGACAGATTGGACCTACCCACCTTATCAAAACAGCATCTTGCTACTGGCAATATGGAAGACAAGATCTTTCAGCAGAGACACAACAAAGCACTACTTGAAAAGGCATTTAGCCAAGAGACTCTTATTCATTCAGTTTTTTTGGGAGGCGGGGTGGGGAGTGGTAATTAAAAGCATGAACTCTGGATCTGCCTATCTGCATTCAAATCCTATTTCAGACACTTCCTAGCTATGTGATGTTGTGCAAAATACTTTGACCTCTCTGTGTCTCAGTTTTCTCATCTGCAAAATGAAGAACACTATCCACATCACTGAATTGGTGTGAGGATGAAATAAATTACTTATGTAAAGAACACTACTTGGCATATAAGGGCTCCAGTAGTGTTAGTATTACGTATTGTTATGAGTTAATCGCAGGTTGTATCATGTTCTAGATGTCTGGCTTGCAGTTGGTGTGTCATGGCACTAATGTTAGAAAGAATGGCTATTCTCTTTTTCCTGCCTTTCATGCTCTTACCTTCTTTCAGTTCACAGAGACACTGAAGGAAAATAAAATCATCCACTTAAGTGTGCTCTTAACTCAGTTCATAAGTATTCATTTCCCACTCCATCAGTGCTCATACTCATGTGTACTTACAACAAGTTTCTTGAAGACTGGGGAGGAGAGCTGAGGTAGGGGACAGAGAATTCATCTCTTTAACCACTTCGAGATCAGATTGAAATCTAAGGGTGCAGAGTAAAATACTCAGATGGACAATGTATATCACATAAATCTGGAAGTGTCAGAAAGAAAGGGGTGCTGGGAGAGGAACCTGTAGCAAGGATTATTCTGCCCTACCTGAAGGCATTCAATTTTATTTAAAAAAATACTTGCTGCCCAAAGAAACACAGCTGGAAACAGGATTCTATCCTCATGCTGACCATATGTAACCCTTATAAGTACCAGCTCCCATCTGAAGCCTATAACTTGGGTATTATTTATTTGTTTGTTTGTTTATTTATTTTTGAGTCAGGGTCTCACTCTGTCACCCAGGCTGGGGTGCACTGGCGTGATCTCAGCTCACTGCAACCTCCACCCCCCAGGCTCAAGCAATTCTCCCACCTCAGCCTTCCAAGAAGCTGGGACCACAGGCACGCAGCATCATGCCTGGCTGTTTATTTATTTATTTTGTATTTTTGGTAGAGATGAGGTCTCACTATGTTGCCCAGGCTGGTTTCGAACTCCTGAGCTCAAGCAATGTGCCTGCCTCAACCTCCCAACGTGCTGAGATTGCAGGCATGAGCCACTGTGCTGGGCTATAATTTGTGTTTTTAAACAGTTTTCAGAGATGTGCCTCTGAGGAGGGTACTACTTGGTGCCAGCCTCTCACAGCTTGAGTTACCTGCACTCTCGCCTCGGTGAGGTTCACCCGGCGGGCAAGGTCTTCTCGCACAAAAGCATCAGGATAGTGTGTCCGCTCAAAGACACGCTCCAAAGCCTGCAGCTGGCTGCTATTGAAGGTTGTCCTATTCCTTCGCTGCTTTCTCTTCTTTTTTTCTTCTGAGTTCAGCTGGTCATCTGGAATAGAACACAATGATGAAAAGAAGCCAAATTCACTGTAGGAGTCCCAGTTAAGACTTTTTTATGGTATATCTATAGTGAGATCTTGCTTCATTTGCTCACATCTTTATCAAAGTCCTATAGCCAAATGCCACTTTGCATGTGCAAATGTGGCCATTAGCGCTCTCAAGTTCATATGTCAAGAATCCCAGCAACTCTAATGCTTGGCTGTTGCCTCTAAATCTGGGACAAGATCTGAACTGTCAGAGAGACATTACTTGCATGATCCTTGATGCCTGTTTGTCAAGGAAAATCTTACCCCTGCCCATGTTCTTTGGACTTCTCTAGAGATAAAGGAAGAAGAGTAAATGGTTTTGTACCTTATTTGTCTTTGACAATATTATGCTCACTCATATAGTTTAATAATCAAGTAGACCAATTATCTCCTGGTTCCTTCTCTCCTAACATATATACATGAACAAATACATAGAGTTATAGAGAGGAAACTATGTTCAAACCACATTACAGGGATTTGTTTTACCATGAACTCTCCTTGAAGCAGCAAGTAATTTCTAACACCATTCACTCAAGGCTCCATGCTGTTGCAAAGGCAGGCTTCAGAGGCCTCAGCCTAGATCAGGACTAGTGCTACAATGCCATCAACCCAAGCTAACATTAGCCTGGGGCTCACTCCCTGAGAACCCAAGAACAGGAAACAGTTCAGAAAGATCCCTGAAAATGTTTCACTCAAACTTGAGTTCTAGGACCCTGAGATCTTAGGGACCTTTGAAGAATCACAACTCCATTTTTACCTGTCAAGATCCTTCCTTGGTTTTCTCTGAGTTCCCCTGAAGGTAGCGTGGTGAGATAATTGTCCAGGTTGTCCATAGCAGTCAGAGTGTAGTATGCTCCTCTCCTGCTGCCCCCACCCAGCCCAGTCAGGAGTGATGTATATGTGAAACTGAATGGAATACCAGCTGTGCTGACACCTCAATCAAACTATCACCCTAAGGCCTGAGCTCTGCAGAGCCTGTGTAGGTCCCAGAGATTTGCAACACCATGCTGCCAAAACCCAAGTCACATGCTCCATCTAATGAACTTGACTTACATTCCCCATAGCTTTTCCCCAAAGAGGCTCAGCCCAAAGAAAATTATGAAGTGTTGGAGTGAGGATGGGGAGAACAAGGAGAGCTTGGCCATTCACTATTTAGAAAGTACTTTTGGCTCTCTCTTCTAATATGCAAATTCTCCTGATTCTCTCTGATTATAAACACACAATGTACTCAGCAAAACTATTAGCACAAGTCATGATGACACCTACCTCAGCTATAATATTGTTTTTATTACAAATTGAGGGAATGATCTAGATTTGTGTACAGAGTCAAAATGTAGCTTAAATCCAGAGGCCTGACAACTGAGGCCTCTAAGTCTTTTGCTAAGAGAATCCTTCTTCATCAATGCTTCCTTACCAGGAATACCCTTGAAGCTTAGAATAGAGACTGCACATTTCTTCTTGATAATTAAAGCACCCAGATATAGTAAATGCTTGCTGAGTTTGTTTTCAGGGAAAACGTGAAACTCCTCTTGTCCTTAGAAGACTGTTTCTGTAGAAAAAAATGTCAGATGATCTCAACCAGATTCCTCCAGCCAAGAAGCTACCATACCTTTCTCTCTGCTTCATGGTTTTGTACAGTCCACCTTCTCTTTGGTATTTTACACTTGTGGTGCCTTACCTCAGGGCCCAGCTTTGGTGGCACTTCTGTGACACTCAGTAAGAATGTAAGATCAGCTGCATCTTGGAAATGGAGCAAATTTAATAATAATTTTTGAGATCTACCAATGCCTAAAATATTCCAACCAACATCACTGATTATACCACTAGCTATTAGCAAAATTAGTTTGCAATAAGATCAGCACTAGAATTCAAACACCTAGGATTAAATACCTTTCAGTAGTTACATTGCACTTGCATTCTCCTTCCTATTTAATATTTGGAAGCATTCCTCCCATTCCTATTCATTTTTCCAAATCATTTTGTCTCGTACTTCAGGTCTTTCTAAGTAATACAAGCCCTTGTGATAGCACAATTATCTGAATTTCATGCCCCCAAAACAGAAGTCTGCAAAAAAAAAAAAGAAAAATCCTTAGCTTCTGTACTTTGTTTTAACTGAGACCAATTAGACACTAAGCCATTATTTTTAATCATATAGAGAAAATCCCCTATTAAGCCAATCCCATGACTTGTTTTCTTCTCTCAAAGAAAATTCTTTCTTAGGTGCAACCACAAATTATAAATCTTTTATGTTGTTTCAAAAGCCTATTTCTTCTTGTACTGCCAACTGCAATCAAGACCAAGAATATTTTATGTTTTGTTCTTAGTATTACAACCTGCTACATAATCTCAGTAGTTCTTTGAAATATTCCACTGTTCAATCAAATTCCACTGACTGTCTACCATAAACCACCAACTCCCCTGATGTGGGAGTAAGGGAAATGGAGAATTATAGTTTATGACAGGGAATAAATAGCTATGATGACCTGAAGCAATTCCAGCAAAAGTTTCCCAGTGAATGTTCTTGTTGTTTTTAACAAATGAAAACACTAGTTCAGATCATGTTGAAGGTGAGAAAAGACACAAATAACAGGGATCCAGGGAGTCTGGCTCTGGCAAATGTCCTTCAGAGTGCAAGTATAATAGAAAGAGACGATGAGCGGGCAACAGAGACAGCTCGAGCAGCAGTCCTGGGGATGGTCTGTCTTTGCTCACTAATCACAAAATGTGAGCTCCCTGTTTTTCCCCAAGAATGCAGAACAGGACCCAGCACAGTATCTTCAGCAGTACAAAAGGAAACATAAACACTGTAGAGGTTTACAAATGCAGGGTATCTGAAGGACCTGTGATAAACACATTTATCAGATTCTTGGCTCTGGTTGAATACAGGGGAGAGAAAGCAGTGTATTTTTACTAATTCCAAGAGGGTCATCTTTTCTTGCAAAAACAACTACAGTGAAAGTTGATTTTGAAACATGCTGTCTGAAGATACTGACATCCAACTGGATATTAGAATGCATCTCATTCTTTGGCATTCTAAAATGGGAAGGATTCACCAAGTTGTAGAATAACCAGCGGAAACATGAATACATTTTTTTTTTTTTTTTTGAGATGGAGTCTCGCTCTGTCGCCCAGGCTGGAGTGCAGTGGCGCGATCTTGGCTCACCGCAACCTCCGCCTCCTGGGTTCACACCATTCTCCTGCCTCAGCCTCCCGAGTAGCTGGGACTACAGGCACCTGCCACCACGCCCAGCTAATTTTTTGTATTTTTAGTAGAAACGAGGTTTCACCGTGTTAGCCGGGATGGTCTCGATCTCCTGACCTCGTGATCCACCTGCCTCGGCCTCCCAAAGTGCTGGGATTACAGGCGTGAGCCACTGCTCCTGGCCTACATGGATACATTTTTTATCAAAGTTGCAATGTTTCAAATCCAAAGTGTTTATGGATTTTATAATTTTTTTGATGATTGAGTAAACTGAAAATATGTAGTTATTGTTGCTCTTAGTAAAAACAAGCAAAACAGCCTTATAAATAGGTGTAGTCTTGCTGGGATCATGAGTCATAAAATATTGGCATCTAATGAAACCCATGAAATTGTCGAATTCAACCATCTTATTTTACAGATGAGTTAAATTAGATCTAGAAGAACAACGTGACTTGCCCAAAATCACAATGCGGACTTGGGACCTCCAGCCAGAGCAAGAAACCAGGATTCCCAATTCCATTCCACTCTTAAGTGCAGATGACAACATACACGCTGTGCAAGAGAGAAACAACAAAGCATCCAACACATAAATGGAAACCATTCCCCAGGGAAAATATTTATAGGAAAGACAGATTTTTCCATACTAGCTGTTATAAAGAGGGTCTGAGAAAGAGGGTCGATGAATATCACATGTTGTCCTTTCTACCAGAATAGCCATTAAAAAATGCAACCATTCTCATCTAGAAAGCCATTTTGATCCAGATGTTCTTGCATTCTTCTTTACAATGATATCCATAAGTCCTTGCTTCATCAATTAAATAAGTGCAGGGTTATTTTAGCTTAGTAGTATGCCCCATCTTCTATCTTCTCCCACAATCATAGGAGATGATTTTCACTTTAGGACACAGTTTAAAATCTCTCTGTTCCTAAAACACATCTCAAATCTTACCTTCTCTATAAACCTTTTCTGATAGCACCAATTCATATTGATTTCTCAGGCTCTAAATTTATATACATATATTAGTATATTATCAAATACTTTTTAAAAATTATGGTTCAATATTTTCTCTGTAAATATTTTGTCACCTTAATGTATTCAGGTATTTCTATAGAAAAGAGATAGGATTCCTTGACATATTACATTACAGTAAAAGTTGAAAGAGTTATAGTAATGTCATGGTATAGAAGCAGTCCCACAATATTAGAATTTTAGTGATTTATTTAAAGTTTTAAAGGACTGAGTAATTTCTGAATTCTTTTTAACAATACATAGCAAGTAATTATGTTAGCATTGTCTTTTGTCTCTGGATAGTTTTACCCACAGAGGAAAAATTCTTTTGCAGTGTTTCTTTATCAGATAGGATAGTCACCAGATTTAGAGAGGGAAAAAGCCTTGTGGTCTGATTCCTCTGCAAATGTAGGAATTATTCTTTCATTTTTATCTTTTACTAGAAAAGCGGCTGCAGGATACATGAATTACTTAAACCACCAAGAAAATACACAAGAAAGAGGTACTAAAAGAGATGGGTGTTTCTAATGGATCACAATGTTAGAATACATATGAAGAACTTCTTGAGAAAAGAAGACTGTAAGCCCAAGGTAGGCTACCCTCTGTGCATTCAAATATGAGTTAAAGAGAACAATAGCCCTGACCTCGGCTCTAGTATGAAGTTCACTCTGGACTCCTCATGTGGCTGCTGAAGTTGCCCTAGAGGGAAGGTGGAGAAGAAGGCATAAAGTGCCATCCTCAAGCATGGGGACCTGACAGCATGTGGTGATCCCTATTCACTAAGGCCTTGCTCTTGCCATGCAAGCTTCAGCTAACTCCAACACCCCTCACCCTCTTCTGCTCTGCATCCTGTGGGAGGAACCTTAGAGATTCCAAATCATTGGTCAGCCAAACGTAATTTAAAGGTACGGAAAAACATATTTTAGGAATAAAATCTGAAGAAAAATGCGTTTCCTATGCCTGGGTCACATCAGTTTGGGAAAAAATCTGATGCAAGAAGATAAAATGCCAGCTCCAGTAGCAGAAACCAACTACCACATCAAAGTTTGTCATCTGCCTTTTGGTTGAAAGCATGGCAGGCAAGCGGATCTAAAGTGCAGCCCGCTGATCATTTTATGGGCATTGAACAATGTTTTCAAAGGAACTTATATTGCACAACAGCTACTTACTTTAATGGGATTTGTGTGGTTCAGGCCCCGTAACCTTTGGAAAATTGAAAGGAAGTGTAATTGCAAAAGCCACTAAAAACCGTTTAGCTTTTATTGCAAGGCCCATGAAAAGCAGTGAAATAGAGCTGTGGCATTCATTTGAGTTTCTTTGGCTACACTTAGCATTAACTGAAATTAGGACAGCATCTTTCTAATATGTGTCCTGATAAATGGCACATGGGTCACTTAACTGGGAAGATTGTTGCAATATAGACTGAGCTTAGTGCATCACAATGACCAAAGCCAAGTTTAGCAGCACACACACATCGTCTCAACAGCATAGCCCTTCAGCGGTCCTCCATCATTGACTCCCAGCACGTATCAAGAGCGAACAAATCTCTGCCAATACAAATACCCAACTGTGCAGCTATTGCGCATTATCACAGCACAGCTACCTGAACTATAGCCCACTAAAGCCCCTAAACTTTGTATGGTCGTCTTTACTGTCATCTTGGTATAGACTTGGTTCATTTTTAGTCAAGTATCAGACTAAGCCTTAGCAAATAGAATTAAAACATCTTATATGTGATTTGGGAAATGACATATGTTCTCTGGAGAACAAAATGCTCTAAGAAGTGTGAAATTACATTATTTTGCATGGTTTTGATCAAAGAGATGAGTCAGTGGCTCTGTGTAAAGCAACAGTGGTTCTGTGTAGATAGCTCAAAATTTAACTTTCTCAATATAGCCAACCCTCCTTTCAAGTAGAAAACACTCAAGAATGTGAGGTACTCTAAGGTGATTTGCACTGTTTTTAGCTTCTTTGTTATATATTTCTTTTCACCTCTATAGAACAAATACTTTTCTATAGCGCCAAAAATGTTAACACAATCCATATCACCTTAAGCGCTTTAACTCTCTTAAGACATTTTCCTTAAAGGATTATTGATCAGAACCCCTGAGAATATCCAACACAAAGCAAGGTTTTCCATGTAGTCCCATATTGGAACTGTACTTACTTCTGAGGCTATGTTGATAAATCTCCCCACCCCACCGCATTATGTGGGCATTTTCCGTGTGATGATGAATCTGTTTTAGGCTATAACTCCAGAGCACAACATTTGTGTTTGTATTTAATTGAAGCTCTTATCAATGTTCAGTAAGTGAATAATCAGACATGAAATACTACTACTAATAATAATACTAATGTATTCCTGAATCCATAATTTACTAATACGAATAACAATAATGTATTCATGAATATGTTAGAATTCTTACTGTAAGAGATGCATTATTGAACAGAGTACCCTCTCTTTGATAAAGACATGAAATTCTGGCTTCAGATATGTAAGCTACCTCCAATTTTTCTATGGATGAATTACCAGTTTACTCATTTTTTCAATTCATTGCAGGATGCCAAAAAAGGGGAAAATAAGAATCTTTTTGTCAGACCCAACTAGCTATAATTGGGATGGAAGCATAGTTGGAAGTGGAGTGGAGTAGAAAGTAAACCAGCTTAGAAATAAGAACAACCTTTGTTCTCATACAGATCCTGCCACTGACTAGCTGTGTGGCCTTGGATAAGATGTTTCACTTGTCTGAGCCTCAGTTTCCAAAATGATAAAATGGGAGTAGGATCACCTGCATCCTGGGGTCATTTGAAAATTTAATAAATGCATAAAAGGCACATAGGCTGACACATAGTAGGCATTTGACAAGAGGTGGATTTTACTTCTACCAGTGCTACCATAATGTGTTCTCAAAAATGGGCTGGTCAAGCCATTGCTGCTGTACCTTTACTCTTCTGCTCACTCTTTGTTGTTATTTAGCTGTTCAGTAAGATTTCTATCACAAAATAACTGGAGAGAAAGTGAGAAAGCCATTCAAATACGTTTATATGGCTCGGTCATGTTTGATGGAGAGCATAACAGAACTAGGAAACTGGAAAAATGAATAAAAGCTTTAAAATTCAGCAAGAACTGAGATATAGGGTAGACTCAAAATTGCACAAGGATATATATCATGCACAGGTGTTTGCCCCAAAAGTTCCATTTGGGGCATTTTTTTGCTATTATTCAATTCTTGGCTTTCTAAAAAGCCAACTTGCCTTCTTAAATTCAAATTTTGGAAAAAAAATCTAGAAAGCAAATAGATTCTAGTACTCAGACGGATAAGCAATTGGTACCTTTAACAAGTAGTCTCACTAGAAATTAGCTTCAGAAAAAAAGACAGGAAAGAAAAGAAAGCCAAGAGCTAAAGACAGGTTATGAAAATTCAATTATTTCCCAGCCTATTTGCTTTTGGTTAACTAATTTGGTTGCCATATGCCTAAAAACACAACAGTTGAGTCATATTACTCACTATTTATTCAGTGACTCTTTTAAAAAGAAATGTCTGATTATTTTGGTAAATTCCAAAAGGATAAGAAGAAACCAAAGTTCTGGGAAAAGAGTGAGTTCTGACTGAGATATTAGAAGCTTTCTAAACTTGCAATAATCCAGATGTGTGGTCCCCTTGGAAGTGCCTGGTATTTGACTAGGAATTTGACTAGGATTACAAACAGAGCTGAGGATGAGGCATATCCTCTTGTCTTCTTCTGCTGAGGTTTTTTTCCCTTTGCACTGAGACTGCTGTCACTTCATAAAAGAGACAACATCAATCTTGCCATTACCAGTAGAAACTAGTGTTTTCATGAGAGGCAAGCATCATATGTCACCTTTTTCAATGATTCCTTATCTTTTTGGTTATAATTTTTAATGTTCTAAAGAAAAATCTGGTAAGCACAGGTTCTAAAAAACCAAGACTGGAAGCAGACAGGAATGAAGGAGATGTACATAGTTAATGAGTAAGCTCAGCTCTTAGAAGGACAGGAGTGATGGAGCAGAGCTTCTCTGCTTAGATAGAAAGACAGCTACAAGGCATTTGAACTTATGAGAACAAAAGTATGACTTGAATTTTCTTATAATTTTTTATCTTGTGTTAAAAGGACAAGGTGCTTATAGCAGAGAAAGCCACAATAACAGAGAATTAGCTTTCCATCACAGTAAGAGATAGAACCAAAGGTAATTCTGTAACACTATATAGAATAAATGAAGAGGGCTGAAAAGGATATCAAAGTTCTTCTTGGTGTTACTCTGGTCTTGGATGTCAAATAAATCTGAAGATGAAAACATGCTAAAATGGTCAAAATAAGAAGCTTGATATTTTTAAATACTTTTTAGATGAAATAAAATTCTCTTTAAAGAACAAAAATTCAAATTTTGTTTAAAAAATAAGAAAAGTCGAAGTGTAAATAGTGGCTTAAAGCTTGACTTTTTTGAGGAAATTACCATTCTTTAACATCTGAAGCTTTCAATTTCTGTATCTGTAAAATGGGTTGTTGGCTTAGTCAGCTCAGGCTGCCAAAACAAAATACTATAGACTGGGTAGTTTAGACAACAGAAATATGTTTCAGAGGCTGGAAGCCTCAGGAAGAGGGGCTGGCCTATATGGGTTCCTGTTGAGGGCCTGCTTCCTGGCCTGCAAACAACTGCCTTCTTACTATATCCTCATATGGCAGAGAGAGCAAAAGAGAGCAAGCTTCCTGGTCTCTTCTTATAAAGACACTAATTCCATCATGAGGACTCACTCATGTGACCTCATCTAAACCTTATTACCTTTCAAAGGTCTTACTTCCAAATAGTGTCACACTGGGGGTTACGGATTCAATATATGAATTTGGGGAGGATGTAAACATTCAGTCCATGACAACTGCTTTAAGATACAAGTGATACATATATTTTTAAATGATACAAATTGTGACAACTAGCTGTACACATTTCCTTATATTTTATTGTAAAATATGTATTATGGAGCAATAGTGGAAATGGCTTTGGATTGGAAATAAGGAGACTTTGATTCTAATTCAGGGGAGTTACTGGGAAAGCCTGTGATGTTAGCCCTCAAGTGTCCTAACTGGCATAATTGTAAGTTGGGCTATGGGACTAAGATCTGTTTCAAATTCAGCATTGTGGAGTTATAGGATAGTTTTTACACTTCCAATGCCTAGCCTAATAAAAAACTTTCAATAATTGCTCATTTAGCATGATGACTGAATTATATTCTTTTGGTGGTGATGGTGTTGGTGGTGTGTTTTTTTACTTTTTTGAGAAAAAGTTAGGCTGGATTTTATCTTGCATAAGGGCTGTAATGTAATTACCAGGCCTGAGGAAAGCTTCAATGATTGACATATTCCTCCATGCCCACAGCACTCTGCAGGGATAAACTCCAGACTGAAATCAATGTGAATCTTTAGAAGACATTAGTTTACCTCTAACCACAGTCTAGAGAAAGAAGAAACCTAAGATGTTTTTTAGAATAACTATAAAGAGTTATTCTATCTTCTAAATTTACTAAAAGGAAATAAGAATAGCTACATACTTCATTTCTCTGCCATCCTTGACCTCTTAACCATGAGTCAAGTGGCGTCAGCCTTGCTGCAAACACTGCCTATATCAACCATTTTAGGGTAATCCCAAAATGGATGCCACTAACAATGGTTACATTCAATCTTGACTTTAGCATCCTCCCTATCACTTTATTCATTCATTTGAACAAATATCTATTGAGCACCTACATGCCAAGCGATGAGATGCTCTGAGTAGAGAGAAATGTTGTATGTTGTCTGCACTTCAAGATACTTACTTTCTAACTGATCTGGAGAAAGAAGTCAAAAGCACTTGACAAGTAAAGTAATAGTAGAAAAAAAAAATATTCCAGTACACTTGGTGACCATCAGAGCCAGGAACGGGCCAGGAAGGAGGACAGATATACCAAAGAGAGTGCAAGGTTAGAAAACACTGCATGGGCCTCTCTTTGTCATACCTGAAGCTTAGCATCCTTTTCTCAGCTGATCTATTATTTCTCACCCAATCACTCCACTCTAGTTGTACTGCTAATGGTGATAAAAACATAATTTTCTTGTCCTTTTCATTTATACTTTTCTCTGACCTTGTCTTTCTTTGCCTAATAACACATCACAGACCTTACCCATACCTACTAACTTTTACATTAATGGCCCCTTCTCCTTTCCTAAGTCTCAGCTGACCTGTCAGTTCTTTGTAGGAACCTTCTGTGATCAACAACCAGAAGTAGTCTTCTCACTATTCTTCATCCAGCATCTTAACCATTTGCTTTATAACACTTATGACAGTCTGTAATTATTTATGTTGATTGTCTCACACTAGAATATAGCTTCATGAGGGTAGGCACCTTACCTGACTTGTTAACTGTGCTATCCCGGCACCTGACATTAGTCTTCCATATTTTGGGTACTTCTCTTAGAATTATTAAATTAATATGTTAGACTCTGCTTGGTGAAAGTGCCTACTCTGAACAACCTGGTCCATTCACACTCAGCCACCAAACCTGACCACTCTTTCAGGGATCAGTTTCTGTAATAAGGTCTTGACACACAAAATTTCCTGCTTACTGCATTTTTGTAAGGCATGTAAATTCCAGGATCAAGTGTTATGCAGGTTTCTCATGCACTTTCTCAGTGAATGACTTTGCAGCAGTAATTATTCTGATTAGAAAGTAAGCCTTGAAGGCAGGTGAACAAAGTGTGTAGAATAGAGCCCTAAACCTTTTAGTAGTGCTCAGTAAATGTTTGACTTTGATAATGATGATACATATGGAATTATTGACCATCTTGCTCCTAGAAAAGACAAAGGAAGTCTCAAAAGGCTTGACCTGATACAGTTATTTCTATGTTCCAAAAAACATATTTAGCTTGAGGTTGTATTTTCTTCTAGTTAGTCATTTCCAGTCACCGTGTTTTCTGTTCCCTTTCTCTGGCAAAGGAGCTTGGGCAAAAGCCTGGCTAATTCATTCTCCAATATACAGGAACATTACGGCCTGTCAACCACACCTAAGCCTTAATTATATGGTGATTTCCTCTCCAAGGATATGCGACTGTTTTAACTAGTAAGGAAGCCGATGCACTAAGGTCATATGAGAAAAAAAAAAGTTACATTTGGGTAAAACACCCAAAAATTCATGTGGAATAATCTTATTCCATTGAATCATGTCCCCTGTTGTTGAACAGCCCTAAAGAAGTCCTTGTTAATAGTCATTCTGTCTGCCTGGAGTGGAAATCTATGAGTAATCTGTGTGTCACTGTGACTCATGTCGTGACCAGCACTTCCAAATCCTCATCATCTGAAATCTGGCAAGAAGAATTTACACTGCTCAACTCATAACAGGAAGAAAGTAGGATGAAGGAAAGACCTAAGAAAAAGTTGTATTGATTAAACATAAAATGATAACCAGAAAAGGAAGATAATCAAGGTTAAGGAAGGACAATGACTCTTTAATCACCATCTGGGTCATTCTCTTCCTTGGCATCTGTTTCCAATATGACTTACATGACAATTACAGATATATTTCCTCATATAACCTTGGGTCTTTTTTCAGGTTTTCCCTATTTCTAAAAATTTTCCAATTTTTAAATTACTTTGAAAAAGGACTTTGATAGTAATATGTTGAACCAAGAACAAGGACAAACTGGATATACTAGTGTTTAATTCCACTGCAAGAGCATTTCCAACAATTGGTAAAAGTTTCATTGACAAGCCTTCTTATTTCTTTTCTTTAATCTATTTGATTAAAATGGCACAGGGTATAATTATGTGGTTAATTTACTCAGAAGTCAGCACCTTTAAAATAAAGCATCCTAGGAATAAACATGAAAATTTCATAGACTCAGGAGATTCTTATAGAAAACATATACTGGTTGGATGAGTAGATGGAAGAAAGGATTTGAGAAAATCAGATTTTATAAACACAGTGTTTGCATTAAATCAATTAAAGAAGATGTGTGCATGGTAACTGATTTGGGCAAAGGTGGGGACATTCTAAGCTACATTTTAATTTTTTTTTTTATCTGGCCAACAAGAGAGTTAAAAGGAAATATTTTCCTTTCTTGCTATTCAGCTGTGTTCTGCAGACCCCTGCTGGGCTCCTTCACTTTGTTCTATTTGGTTATTTCCATACTAGGGCTTTTTAGTTGTAGTGGTCATACTTTCCCTGATGATATCATTAAACTTATTCCTTTACTACAGATCTGTTAGTTTGAGGAGAAAGCTTCTTGACTAGAAGGATTATTACAATTTTCTTTCCTAGAGACATCCAGGTATTTTTTTTTTCTTTTTCTTTTTCCTTTTTTTAAGGACAGGGTCTCACTCTGTCACCCAGGCTGGGGTACGGTGGCATAATCACAGCTCACTCCAACCTCATTTACTGGGCTCAAGTGATCCTCCTGCCTCAGCCTCCCCAGTAGCTGGGACTGCAGTTGCACACCACCATGCCCAGCAGTCTTTTTTTTGCTAGGTTTGGGGTCTCACTATGTTGCCAAGACTAGTCTTGAACTCCTGGTCTCATGCAATCCTCCTGCCTCAGCCTCCCAAAGTGTTGAGATTACAGGTGTGAGCCACTGTGCCCTGCTGAGACTTCTGGTTTGAGCACCAGTCTCAGGTCTTCCCAAGACCAAATGGCACTAAGCTTTTCTGGCCATGAAGTGTAGGTGGTCACCAAGTGATACGAATATAGGTAACTTCTTGACCTGAGAGAACCCATTTTTTATATCAAAACTTGTCTCTAATTAATCATAGCCCCAGACCAAATTTATACAATTATAACTTTATACTCTTTCCCACATTTTCAGCAATTCAATGTTAGTAAAGTTTTTTCATAGAAATGTATGAGAAGTCAACTTTATATAATGGGGTACGGGGGAACGTCAGTGGATCAGAAGCCAGACGACATGAGTTCTCTGTCTCTGGCCCAAAAAAGTCATGTGATCTTGAGAATGTAACTTTGCCAATCTAGGTTTCTATTACTGTTGCTGTTGAAAAAGGGCATAGTATTAAATTGTTTTTAATAACTCTTTCTAATTTTAAATTACAAACTCCTCTTCAAGTACTTGACCAATAGATACATCTGTGCCTTCAAAGAGGTATATAGTAAAGAATAATATACTTAATTGCTAATTACCTCCATTTTTGGAATCTATAAATTTAACAATGGATTAACTAGACACTGTGTAATTCCATGGATATACATTCCTGTGGTCAAATCTGCAATGTCTTTGACTATTTTTAAATAACACTAGTAATGATATTTGCAGATATCAGGGTTATTTCAACATTGCATGAATGCTTATTTTCTTTTAGATAACTTTTAAAGATAATGTTCAGATTTAGCAGGTATTCAAATACTTAACAAGAGACCAAAGAAAACTGTTGAAAAACTATTTATAAAGTTCCAGAGTTTTTAAAAAATCTAACATTTAAGGGTGGGGGGCATAATTTCTCATAAAATGTTTGTGTGTGTGTGTGTGTGTGTGTGTGTGTGTGTATGTGTGTGTGTGTGTGTCTATGTGGGTATATGTGTGACTTAGCCCAGAGAACCCAAAATTGAACTGGTAACAGCAGTGCTAGAAACATGAGAACTAGAAGCAGATTCAATTGCTCACATGAGAAGGAACAACTTCTTGCAATGCAAAAGTTTTACTTGTTTGAGTTCTCTACGTAGCCCACTAAAACTGCTGAGACTTACTGTCATTACCTAGTACAGTACTAACTGTATCTGCTAGCTCACTTTGACATAGTAGTTTCTGGTAGGAGCTCCCAGACAATAGGTCACATGATATCACTGCCTGCTGAACTTAGCAGTAAACAAAAAATATATATTTTAAATAGATATTTCAGGGCCAGGAGAGGTGGCTTACACCTGTAATTCCAGCACTTTGGGATGCCAGGGCGGGTAAATCACTTGAGCCTGGGAGTTTGAGACCAGCCTGAGCAACATTGCGAAACCCTGTCTCTACAAAAATAACAAAAATTAGCTGGGTGTGGTAGCATGCTCCTGTAGTCCCAGCTACCTGGGAGGCTGAGGTGGGAGGATCACCTGAGCCCAGGTGGTTGAGGCTGCACTGAGGCCATGATTGTGCCACTGCACTCCAGCCTGGGCAACAGAGTGAGAACCTGCCAAAAATATGTATATATAATGTCTAAAATTTAAATAAACCAAGGCAGAGGATGTAAGGTTCCTAGTGAAGTGAATTGCCAGATTATGCTGGTTGACACAACCATGAGCTATATAAATGAGGTCTTAAATTGCTACGTAATGCAGACATGGAGCAGGAAAGTGGCAAAGTGGTGACAAAAAAAAAGAATGGGGTACATTTAAGGTGAATCACTAAGGATGTTCTCCCATTACATTGTGAGAGTTTATATATTGAGACCATTCCACTAGGACCCAAATAACATGTGTGCCTTTGGAACTCTTTGCAGTGTACATTTCAAAGTTCAGACCAAAGCCACTAGGTAAGTTTTATGGGTCCCTCTAGAAGAGCAGTTTCTTGTCAGGGCTGGAAAAATAATGGCACAAAGCATCCAGTAACAACAGAATCTAGGCCTGTTAGTTTGATCCCAAGATGATGCCCCTTCCAAAAGGAGAGAATCCAGAAGAAAAATTTATTCTCCAGACTGAGTGTGAAAGACTAATATTGAAGATTTGGAAATGTTTTGGGTATAGTCTATTACACACCAGGTGCAGATCTGTTGGGGAAAATCTATTTACCATTTTATTTGTTCCAACAAAGACTCTCATGAAGTTGAGTTTCTCCAAGATCATCATTTGTGGAGGCTAAGGACAGGAAACAGGAAAGATGTATGACACCAACTTTCCAAAGTCTATCTTGCTTCTCAAGGTTCCTTTAAGAACACAATACAGCTGAGAAGGCAAGTTTGCATTCAGGCCTATACGATGACTGCAGTGACCAATGGCCAATAAATCAATTACATCTTGTGTACCCTACTTAACCTATGAATATGATGAATATTTGGAGTGTGTTTTTTGTGGTCTCATGCCAAAAGTTAACCACAGCTTAGAGATTCTTGAACTTTAGAAAAATAAGTAGAAATCTATGTCCCCCACTTTATTCTCAGTGTAGTTGGAAAGAACAGAATTCCATGAGAGAGCAACTTAATTGTGTTCATAACTTCCCAGCGTTGAGAGGTTGCGTTTATATAGGCCTTTCTTTCAAAGATCATAAAACACCTCACTTACTTATGTTATTTCATTTATATTCTAAATGTGTTTATAGTATAACAAAAGGACACAATACAATTTTAATTTTAAAAAGTGTTAATTTAATAAATTTTAACAAAACTAAGCAAAGTTATATTTATCTAGTTTAACACTTGGGGAAATCAATGTTTAGTTATATTTCAGAATAAAAATGGTCAGTGGGTAAGTTGATTAGTTTTACCTTTAATTAAAATTTTTATTTTTGCTTTGCTTTTCCCAGTACTCTAGGCCACATTAATTATTCTCCTTCCTTAACTCTGAGCTAGTGCTCGATTCACACAATTTAGGACATGGCTGTATATTTTCATGATGTCTTCTTTGTTTTCTATGTATTTTGGTCTCAACTACGTATTCAGGGGGAAGAGCTGACATGGACTGGAAATGACATTAATTAGAAGACAGAGCCTTGAGAGCCAGACCTGTCACTCACTGTCTTTCAGCAAACTCACTCATCTTGCCTGAGCCCAGGGCATGCAGCTGATATCTGGTAGTTTGGCTACAGAGCCCAAGTTCTGAAATAAAATGTAAAATACCAATGGAAAGTGTCCTAAATGCTTTAAAGAGTTGTTGTGAGGTTCAAGTAAGATGACTTAAAAAAAAAACACTATTATATAATGTATTATTATTATAAACTCTGTGAAGACAGAGACAATATTTTGTACTTTTGCTATATACTTTCCAGGAACTAATGTAATGTCAAGTCAATATGATTTACCAAGTAAGTACTTAATAAATATTTCTGAATAACAAACAATTATTAAGTACTAACTACTTGCTAAGAACCTCTGTTAAGTGCTCTGCATGGACCATTTTGTATTTCACTACACTAGGAGGTCTTGCAGATGAGGAGACCAAGGCTCAGGGAGCTGATCATCCAGGCCCAGGGCACACAATGGACGACATCTGGTAGTTTGGCTACAGAGCCCAAGTTCTGAAACACTTGACATTCGTAGAACCAATGATCCTGAAAGAATTCAGAGGTTATAAAATTTTCTTCCTATAAACTATTAAGAAGTGGAAGAACTTTTAAGAAATGGATAGGAATTCGTGGCAGTGTATTGGGTATAATTTTAACCCAGAAATTAAATTAGATAGACAGATAAACTTCTTGATATGATTGGATTGCAATTCTATGATTTTCATAAGAGATGTTTTCTTCAAAGAAATGCCTCTGAGCATTTGATTTGGCTTTGCAAACTGAAGTTCCAGCCTGCAAGATATTTCTGTTCTTCTCTTGATCAAATGGTTATAAATCCCTCTCAGAATAGTGGGAGCATTAATCTAATTATGCACGAAGCCAATGAGAGCAAGATAATTGCATAGATCTACCCATCCATTTCACCCAACATCGTAAATTATTGAAATGCTGCAACCTAGCTTTCTGGGTTTTAAAAAACACTTTCCAAGTTTTAAAAACACTCTGCTATTGCCATTTATGGGAGACCCACATTATATTGTCTTTTTGCCTTAAGTACCATAAAACTAAAATTTTAAATTTGAGCGTTTACCCTTTAGAGGGTGCTCATGTGATAGAAGAATGGAAAACATGTGATACGTTCTTACATGAACACGGGTAAAAGCCTCAATCCTGGGAACTAGTTACCCTCACTCTAAAGAAATTAAGTTGAATAGTTCTCTTTTTACTTGTTATAAATTACATTTGTTAACAGAGATATGGATCTGCTTTGCCTGCACACACACCCATTGTACAGCACTGCCAACTCCATAGGGAGGAGTCCGACAAACCCACTTCTTAAAAGTTCTTCCAAGTAGAGAGTACAATTGTGGTTATTAGAGGCTTGAAAGGGTGAGGGGAGGGGAGGACAGGGAGAGGTTGGTTAATAACAGATACAAAATTACAGCTAGATAAGAGGAGTAATTCTAGTGTTCTAGTTCCAACTAGTGTTCTAGTCTCCAACCCCCAGAGCCATGGACCGGTAACAGTCCGTGGCCTGATAGGAACAGGGCCACACAGCAGGAGGTGTGAGGCAGGTGAGTGAGCATTACTGCCTGAGCTCCGCCTCCTGTCAAATCAGCGGTAGCATTAGATTCTTATACGAGTAGAAACCCTATTGTGAACTGCGCATGCGCGGGATCTAGGTTGCAGGTTCCTTATGATAATTTAAATTAATGCCTGATGAGCCGAGGAGGAAGTTTCATTCCAAAACCATTCTCGCCCCCTCCCCCCGCCTTCCCCCATCCATGGAAAAATTGACTTCCATGAAACCGGTCCCTGGTGTCAAAAAGGTTGGGGACTGTTGTTCTATAGTGCTATCGGGTGACTATAAAATAATTTATGTATATCTTCAAATAGAAAAGAGGATTTTGAGTGTTCCCAACACAAAAAAAGATAAATGTTTCAGATGATGGATATGCTATTAATAATTACTCTGATTTGATCATGACATTGCATGCATGTATCAGAATATCATGCTGTACTGTATAAACAAGTACAATTACAATGTGTCAATTAAAAATAATAATATAATAAAATATATTTTCTGTCTGACTTTAGGACATTTGTAAAACTTGTAGTTGAAGCATTCTCCCTGTTGCAATAACCCTTTCGAATAAAATCTTTCCTTAAAAAAATTCTTCTACTTCTTAATAGTTTTTGGAAATAAAATTTCATAAACTCTAAATTTGTAATTCTTGAACAAAACAAGCAAAACATTTGGCCTGAGTAGAAATGGAATGATCAGATGCCCACAAGTTAAACTGATTTCATGCCCAAGGATTATATGAGCCTTTAAACCATGGAATTCAAATTAAGTTGCAATGACAAATCACAATTCAGAGTTCCTATGTTGTGTTTTCTTTCTATTTAATGTAATATATGCTTACTACTGGTGATGAGTACTGGCTGGTAAGTATGAAAGGTCAATCTTTCCCACAAGGAGCTCAAAATTTAGTGAAGAAAAACAGATATATAAGCAAGTAACTTCAAAAATGAGTTATGTAAGATAATGGAGGATATATATTGTAAAGCTGTGATGCAAAGGAAGGATCAACTGTAACTTAATAGATGAGATAATAGATGAGTCATAAAGAAGAGGAACTAATTGCACTAGATTTTGATGGAAAAATACACATTTTGACCAGTGGAAAAATACTGTTTGTAATGGACAGAGCAGGGTGATAAAGGCAGTATTACTCATTCCTAAAAGTGGATTTTTACCTCATTTATTCCTCATAACAGCCCTATGAAAAACTATGTCACTGTCCTAATTTCAAGAGTTCAGAAAAATAGACTTCTCAGGAATGCAGTGCTGGTAAGTGATATGATCATGATTTCCCTATGTTGTCTCAGCCCAGCATTTGGGAGCTTTAAGAAGAGAAGATGAAGCCGTAGTGGGAAAGTAGGGCCAGATGGTAGAGGACCTTTCCCAACATGCTAAGACTCTTTGAACTGCATCCTCCAGGGTAGGACAGTCAGTAACGGGTTTTCAGCAGCAAAGTGGGTGATAAGGGCAGTTTTGTCTCCAGGTAGCATCCTGGTAACTTGGAGTTTGGTTTTGGCTGGGCATGAGACAAACATTAATGCTTTACAGATTCAGAAGGACAGTACTAATAATACAGCCTGTCTGCTACTTTTAATGGATAGGATGCTCAAGGCCTCTCTGACTGCTAAACTTTGACCACAATATCTCTGTCCATCATCTCCCACTTTCTCCCCTGTATAGGTCTGTTTTCAATTCTCCTGGTCATCTTTCTTTCAATCTATGACACACACGTGTATCTAAATTACTAGATAAGTAAAGCAGGAATTCAAGACACAAGGACATGTCATTTTTTAATGTATGGAAGAGCTCTGACGGACTTTCCAAATGGTCTGAATATATATCCTAAAGGTTCTCCACCCTATAGTAGAACCTGCAGTAACACACTCATCAGCGGTTCTATACTAGCTAGAAACACCTCCACCTGCCAACATTTCACCTGAGACCTACTGGACTTCCTGGGCTCAGGAATTATTTCCTATGAATGAATTTGGCTTGAACCAACTCATTCACACAAAAAAATAACTTCCAAATGCATAAAATTGAATATGGTGTTTCATTTGCTTAAAAAAAATGGCCATAGGAGGCCATAGGACATTTTTAAGTTTGTAACCCCATCAATACATTTAAATATGATTATAAGCATATATATGAAAACCCTTGAAATCCATCCGCTTGGCTGGGCTCAGTGGCTCACACTTGTAATTCCAGTACTTTGAGAGGTTGAGGCTGGCAGATCACCTGAGGTCAGGAGTTCAAGACCAGCCTCGCCCCATCTCTACTAAAAATACAGAAATTACCCGAGCGTGGTGGCAGGCGTCTGTAATCCCAGCTACTTGGCAGGCTGAGGCAGGGGAATCACTTGAACCCAGGAGGGGGAGGTTGCAGTGAGCCTAGATCACGCCACCACACTCCAGCCTAGGTGACAGAGCGAGACTCCTTCTCAAATCCATTCACTTGCACTTTTGAGGCACACTGGTATTTCTCGGTGCACTTTTGTGTTGCTTTGTTTCATTGTGAAAGGTATGAATCTCAGTTTACATCCAAGCAAGCCAATCTTTCTTTGAGCCCATAGGAACCTGATTTCTCTCATTTTTGCCATCCTCTGGCCCCTTTTACTATAATTTTCCCTTCAGTCTTGTGGTGCACAGACCCTTGGGGAAGCCTTTCCCCAATCCCATTGCCCATAATACAGTTTTCTGTGAACAGACTAGAGAGCCATCTTCTTGCCATTTATCTAGAGGAGCTGTGTGCAAACTAGAGCTCATGAATGGGACAGAGAAAGAAATGAGACCCATTTAAAAACTCAAATAATTCTCATTCCAAGGAAGTAAACATTTGCCCCTCTGAAAGGGTTTTGTAAAATAATAAAATAAAAAGTAAAATAAATAAAAATCCTTATTAATGTTCACTAGAGAAACAGAAAAGTCTTTTCCACAGAAAAGTCCTTTATGTGCTGAAATTGGCAGCCGGACGGCCTGAGCATTTATCTCCTGCATAGAAAGTGCTCTGTCAGGAAAGCTGTGACTAACAATAAGCTGAAAAACACACCACAGACTTCCACTGTATTTTATTTGGCAGAGAGGAATTATTCCTCAGCACAAAGTATTTGCAACTGGCATCAGTTAAACAAGAAATTACAACCTTTAAAAGCCCTATTTATCATTAGCTGCAAAAGTGCAGACTTCACCGTCAATTACTCTGACAAAGGATCACAGACCATCAACACTGCACACAGGATAACAGTCTTGGCAGCCAAAAGGCCTTGCTGAGGGGAGGATTAGACAGCTAGCTAATAGCCCGGGGCCCCTTCTCCAGAGACCCCCTTGACACTTCCTTAGCCACCCTCCTCCCCTCTCAGGACTGACTCTCCTATCTCCAGCCCTCGTCTCCCTTCACCTCATCTAGTGGAGACTGCTGGACTGACAAGGTTTTGGCAGAAAGATGTGACAGTTGTGCCACCGTCATTTCTTAAGAATCATTGGCCAAATCAAATCAGCAACAACTTTACGCCAATTCTGCTCTGAATGTGTTCTGTGGATGAAAATGGAAATTACTAGATAGATATCTGAAAGCTGAAGAAATAATACGGTGTTACTCCTCTCAGCTGCTTTGCAAGGCTAAATGGTCAGGAAAAAAAATAGTCTATTTTAATACGCAAAAGGCCTCTACTGTGATTCTAAAACAACTTTCTAAACCCTGAATAGTGCCTATGTATTCTTGGAAGAAGCCTTTTTGCATTGAGCTGAAGCATTTCCCCATCTTTAAATGATTCCATTCTTTAGGATCCGAAAAATAAAGAGACGCTTTGTTTTTCAGTTTTTAATTTTTTTAAAAAGTGTTTTTCTCAAGTGGTTATATAATGATAAGAAATCTCTTTCAAGAAACATATATAAGTATATAGCCTTATTTAGCTTTAACTTTCCAAAAAAGTACAAGGTAATAATCAGTGTTTCTGTCACCTTGTTGCCAGTTAAGTTGGTTTGAAATGGTCCTGGAGTTTCTCTCAGAGGCACAAAGCTTACAGATGATTATTTTTCTCTTCAATATTTTTGTTTTTGTTGGCTATATTTGTCTCCATTTACAAATGTGAATAATTCTTGAGAATAAAGTAAAATAGCGTAATATGTGTAAACCACTTACATAAGATTTGGCTCATAGTGTTTAACAAATGATGATGATACTGATCTTGGAGATGATACTAACAAAGATAAAGATGATGATGATGGGGAGGTGGAATATGCAGTATTAAAAATTATGTTATATAAAGGCCTTTTAATAATACAAAAGAACACAGTGATTTATATATAGATCTAGATCTATTTATATATGTATATATAGATATACATATTTGTATATCTATATATTTATACAGAGATATATTTCTACATATTTATATATACATATTTATATATCTTTATATGTATATATTTATATATCTATATATGTATATATATTTATATATGTATATATTTATATATCTATATATGTGTATAGATATTTGTATATGTATATATATGCATATATAAATATATGTATATTTACAGATACATAAAATATATCTTTTTTTAAGGATTCCAGCTGCAAATATGGTGTATTCTTAACTATATAAGAAAATGTTCAGCAAAAGATTGGAAGAAAGTGCCTTTGAATAATGCAAAGATTAGAAGAAAAACCTCTGAATGATGCAATAATGAAGACTTTTTCCCTTATCTTCCTTTCTATATAGTTCTCTAATTCTTTAAGATAAGCTTGTCTTACATGTATTATTATAAGAAAATAGAAAATACAGGCAAGTCAATAAATCAAAACAAAAATATCACACTTGGAAGATTATGTATTTATAAAACTTTTACACATGCAATATTATAACCCTTCAAGGGAGATCATTGTTCCCATTTTACAAAAGTAACTAATGCTCAAAGAGATGAAGCTGTTTTCCCAATGGAAATTAGTTCCCCAGCACAGCCAAAGCTAAGAAAGACATGGCTTATCTTACTCCTAGGCCTCTGCGCTTTCCATTTCTCCTGGCTGTCTCCTGCCTGGAGAGCGTGTGCATGCATGTTCACATTCCATATCTTTTCCAGTTAATGTGTATTTAAGAAGTGGCTCTATTCATGTATGAGGCCCCTAATCTCTCCAGATTAGAGAATGTTCCTTCACGTTTGGTCTGCTATGTTCATGAAAACTATCACAGGGCTATCGCTTGTAGATGACCTCCTCCAAAAATCACAGGAGTTTGGATAGTTTTATTTAGCTCTATTAAGTTCAAAAAATGTGCCAGGCAGATTCTCAGTCCAAAAATAATCTCCTTTCATTGGTGTTCTAAATTAACTCATGGAGGAATGAGCCGAGCTAAATTAAAGCTTTCATACAGTGAGGCCCAGGGATTTTTACTGAGTGGTAAACGTTTTCTTTCTCTGTGAGAACTTTACTGTTTCCTTCCTCTAAGAGAGGCTGTGCTTAGAAGCAAAGAAAGTAGCTCAAAGCAGATTTGTGAGAATTCATTTTATTTGACAAAGACTCTTAGTGTAAGCCCCCAGTGTGGAACCTTTAAAATTTTATAGGTTTTCCTACCTTTTAAAGTAATTTGCATGTAAATAAAGGGATATTAATCTCTAGCACAAATGGCAAAATGTGTTCTTTGCCCTTTTTTTAACTGGAAAATTGAATTCGTAAGAATCATTGAGTGAGGTATTTTTACTTATAAACGACTTCAAATAGTTTGACAAATCTTGACCACATCTCTTCTGGACTGCTGGCTGCACCTTATGTTATCTTTTCATAACTATTGGAATACTGTGGCACATTCCTCTCTGAGAACCGCACACTAGAGAATAGGCAATGTAGGACGTAAAATATAATGTTAAGATTCAGGGTTGCCTCTTTTTCTCTAATATAGACATATCTCTGCTGGTCATGGTTAATGACGTATTTATCACTATTCTTGCAGTGTGGGGATAACACCCACAGGGTTTACAAATAGACCTAGACAAGCATGCCTGGCTTGTCCTACTGCCATATGGCCCGGATACTTTTCATGTGTCACTCTCTCCTTTGCTCCTGCCTACCTTGCACCTTGAATGAGTGACCAGTGCAGGTGTGAGGCACATGCTGATCCCTTCTGTCTCTTTTTCTGTACTGGTCTTTGGACATGTCTACTGCTAAAGATAGAGAAAACTAAAAGGCCAAACAAAGCCTTTATGTTGAAATGTAGAGAAAAGCATGTTTTATTTTATTTCTCCACACTGGACATCTGGATGATCCTAGAAAAGTCATCCTAAATTGCTCCAAGCATGTGCTATGCATTCAATAAAGGTTCCATCAAAGGTCTCAGAGAATAGAGAGGGGGGGAAAAAAAGCATACCCAGGAAAAGAAGAGAAAAGAGAAAAGAAGGATGGGGATCACGATATTTGAAGGAAAAGATGCACGTTCATACTGATCACACAAAGAAAAGTGTGTGAGAGTGAGGGCAGGCACTCAGGGACTCTTTACAGATTTGTTGTTGACTGGAGAAGTGTTTGAACTAATAGGAAATATAATTGATTGGAATTGATATGTTTAATTAAGTTGCAAAAACTCAAGCCTGGCCACATAAAAAATTGTGGTCTTGATTCTGAAGAAGAAAATACTCTCTTCTATTCAACTGTGACTGAGGATCCCACACATCCCCAGCAGAGAAGAATAGCCTTTCTACCCCTGGACAATTACTCCTTCCACCAAGCGTATGTCAACAGACAAATGACACTAGTGTCAAATATGTTCTAAAAAGGTTTTGGTAAAAAGAGAAAAACATCCAACTGATTGAACCTTAGGTATGTAGTATTAAAATAGCATCTCGTTTAGAGTGTCTACAACCATAATGCAGCTATGGGAAAGCCATTGGTGGGACATAATAAGCATTATGTAGGGGCTCAGTTTCCAGTCACAGTTGTGCAGCTAGCTGGCTGATCTTGTGCAAATCACTTCAGTTTCCTCATTTTGCCAGTAAGAGATTTGGAAGGGCACCCTCTCTAGCTCCTTCTGTCTCTAATAGTTCATGGGGTATGGTTGTTGCATTTAATCATAACAACATCGGATATCTTGCAAATCAGGCCTTCACGGACATTTAGCAAACCATCTCCACCATCACTGAGGAGATAGACTCTTCCAGTGCAAGTCTTTGCAACTACAAGTAAGGTCAGATCACCACAGCATATCTCCCAATGCATCGGATTGTTAGACTATGTCAGTTTCTCCAACTTACTACATGAAGAGGCTGACTGACATATTAGAAGCATTGATGCCTTTAGCCTCCTCTTAATTCTTAAGTCTACCGTTATTTTAAAAACAACAAAATCCTTAGATGTTATCATACTTTTAATTTTTATCTATAAGGCCACTTCAAGCACAGCTGTTACTCATTAGATCCAGTGGCTGAGAGCATTTGATTACTACAGGAAAAGGAAAAAGGGAAATCAGTAAAGTTTCATTTACAATCTGCTTTCATTGTAAAATAGCAGAAGTCCTGAATCAACAAGAAGATCTGCTTGGTACTAAAAGCATAAATATGCTTTCTTAAAACAGCGGTAAATACTGTGGGCACATTTCCCAGATTTAAAGTACTATCCTAATTCTGTCTTATTTTCCCCATAAGTACCCTCATACTTCTCAACCCGTGTGACTAGCTTTTGAATAAGCAAATGCAATTATATAGGGAATATGCCTCTCCTAGATGGAAATATAAATTTTGCATGCACATACACATAGACATTCACAGAATTTTCATATAAATTTCATAAGAATCATTTCCACTCTACAACGAAAACAGCTGTTCTGTGTGAAAATCTTGAAGCAAGGCTGGATCCTGTCTGCCAGGAATACTGGAGAAGGAATTTCGGCTCCCAGAATAGGTTTGGTTTGATCATTTATAAGCTCTCTTTCAACTCTGAATTCAAAGTTTCTGTAAGTTACTATTTTTTCCTAAATTCATTTTAAAAAATTGATCAAACCTTTCTACCGTGTTTCATGTGTTGGCAGGTACTATAAAAAAAACACAAGTGAGAAACTGAAACCTTATGGTGCTGAAATTTGGATATATTTGCACCTGGGGTTTGGACTCACTTGCACCTGGAAACCAAAGTATGTGGTAATAAAGTCCTTCGTGGCGACAACTTTCCTCCAGGAAAATTGCAAAGTTCTTTACAAAACTAAGCCTCTCTTTGCTTCATGGAATCTCTGTGTGGTGAAAACATGAAAAAAAAACTAGTAATAAAATATGTATAAATAAGATGGAATTATTGCTCCCAACCATTTTTCTTTGTGGGCACAAACCTTGCCTGAGTTGTATACTATGCAGACCCATTGCCTTGCCGCTACATCTCATTTTCCCCATTCGGATCAGATTTCTTAGAGAATAAATGTCCCTCGATCTTGTGTCTCCTCTTGTAAATTTAGTCTGATTCAAGGTCTGAGCTTCTCATCTTTTCGATCCAACTTCCAAAGAAATTTTAAATAATAAATTGTCAGCTTCCATCATACTATCCACACTATCAAATTTCTTATTTCTAATAGTTTTTCTTTTAAGAGTCTAGCTGAGTAAGTTTTATCTAACAACATACATTTCCAAATTATTTACAACAGTGATTATTGATTTTAGTGGGGGCTGGTGGATAGGGAAAGTGGAAGATCACAGCCCAGCAAAAAAGTCAACTGTTGTTCTTTCCTGGTACCCTTCATAAGAAAGGCTGTACTGCCATATCAAATATCCTCTTTCCTGAGAGCCTGCCTCTGAGATTGGTATGTGCAGGAAATTACATCATACTAGAATTTGGTCATACTGACCCTAAGTACACCCGTATTCCAGTGTTTCTCTCTTTGACCCCACCTCCCTAATCACACTTGCATGCTGTCTCCACTCTTTATAGTATATTTAGAACCTTTCTACAGCATTTTCTATTTTGCGAGTCATTTATCAATGCTAATTCATCTCTTCTCACCCTGATTCCTTTGAGGTAGAGCCCTGTAATTAGTAGTAATAACAAAACCATGGTATTTAGCTTTTCTATAGCTTCTGTCTCCTGAGAATGCTACAAATATTAACAGCACACATTGCAGTCTCCCAGAATTGCTTGGGTCACAGAAGGACTGGGGAAAAATGCTGTGACTAGCCTAAGTGGAATAAATTGAAGGTTGGGTTGGAAGTGAATCAAGATGCTGGTGTTAACATGCCTGAATATTTAGGAAAAGTTCCAGGATCACTTCATGATGAAAAGCAATAAGGCTGTCAAAATTTGTCTGGCATATATATAGGATTAGGCCAAGTCCTAAAATTTCCCAAGACACCTCAGGGTCAAGGGCTTTCTGCAGAAGGTAAGCCTTTTGATGATATAAAAATTCTAGAAGTCTCAGTTGCAGAAAAATGTGAGAGATGCATGTGCGTGTGCACGTGTGTCTGTGTGTGTGTGTGTGTGTGTGAGAGAGAGAGAGAGAGAGAGAGAGAGAGGATTTGTTAGTTCGTTAAGGGGTTTCTTCCACTTATTTCCATGAAGATTCTCTATTTGACCCATTTTAATCCCCAATACTTGTTGTAGATGATTACTTCCTATCTTGAAAAAAAAAAAAAAGATTCAACTAGAACAGACCTGGTTCTTAAAAAATAGTAGAACTCTAGTGGCCTGAATTTAAAAAAAAAAAACAGCTTTAACTTTTCATCAAATACACACAACAATTTAAGAATAATGTAAGGTGATCCCTTAACTACATTCTAGAAAGTTAGCTACATTGTAAAATATGTCAAGAGTGAATTAAGGAAAGATATCCCGACAGGCTCACCAATTCTATTTATTGGAATTTTGTAGGCTGTTATTTTGAGTTAAACCCTTCAAATTAAGAATTTAATCAAAAGTATTGAAACAATGGAAAATAAATTGGGTTCTTACCCCATAAGGATTTATGTCAGTTATTAGAAAGGGCTTCCTGATCCTGGACAATTGTTATTAATAATACAAATGTATATTTTTCCTGGAAATGTAAACCTGAATAGATCCAACTTCAATTTTGGTCTGCCAGGATAAAAACAACTTTATTATGGAATTGGCTCCTCTCTCATGGCATGACTTTCCATTTGATATTATATTTATGTGTATATCTAGAGTCTAGATTCTAGACCCATATATGACCTCTTAAGTTTCCTAAAGGACAGGGAGCTTTGTATTCCTCATAGCACTTAACACAGTACCAAGCACACAATAACTGTGCATTAAATATTTCTTGAATAAATGTGCTGATAAGGCAGGCTTAGAGAACACTGCTTCCCCTCACCCTAACAGAAGGCCCCATAGTGCTCTGAAACTTGCTGCTGGAACTCTGTTGACCACAACCCAGAGCACAGGGTTAATATTTTCATCCTTTACGTTAAACCATTTGGACTATGCTTCATTTTGTTTATTTTCAATACTATCTTTGTCACAACACATAAGAGTAGAAGAGAAAGCGGGAAGGAGAGGAGGGGAGAAAAGGTGAAAAGAGAAGGGAAAAGAAAGAAAGAGAGAAGAGGAAAGAGTGAAATTAAAGAAAGCAATTGACACAACAATATATCTGAAATAAAAACAAAAATATTAAAAAGAACTAAAAAAGGTGGGGGAAGAGAGGCAGGCAAGGAGGGAGGGAGGAAGGAAGGAAGAGAGGGAGGGAGGGAAGAAGGAAGGAAAGGAAAGGAAAGGAAAGGAAAGGAAAGGAAAGGAAAGGAAAGGAAAGGAAAGGAAAGGAAAGGAAATGGAAGGAAAGGGAAGGAAAAGGGAATAAATTTCTTCTTAGGGATGTCAGAATCCATTTGAGTGGCAACTCTATAAAAGCAAGCTGTTTCTCATTATTTATGTAAGTTTGATCTGATTAAATCCATCAACAGTTTCTAAAAGACATTACTTTATATTTCACTCTCTGGTTGGCTAATAAACATTTTTTAATCCACTCTTTGGTTGCAAACATGCAACCCATCTGCTTTATTTCTTTCATTTATTCATTCAACAAATACCTTTTGCACAACCATTTTCCAGGTCTATGATTGGCACTGGAAAAACAGTGGTGAATAAAATATGGCCCTCACTTGAAAGGCTACATTACCTTGCTCTCTCGATAGCTTTCAAAAACACAAATTAGTGTATTATCCATCCCTAAATTTTGTCAAGCATCTTTTCATTACATTATCCTCTCAAGCCTCTTTTTGTCTGTCTAGATAAAACCACGAGTACCTTCTCTTTGGAATCAAGCCTTTTCTGATGGACTATGTCTGACCAGTTCATGCATTTCCTTATTTTGATGCTCACAGCAAAGACTGCATCGAGCTAACTTGCTGTTCTCTCTGTAGTCTCTTACATTTTCTGAAATATCCATCTCTCTGAATATCTTCTAAATTTAATTTTACTGATACCTTTCCCAGAGTCACAGTTCCAGGGCCTCTCTGGTACATAATTCAGGTGGCACATATTTAATCTGCCCTGACCCAATAAAAACATTTGAATACTTAAAGTCTAATTTATATTATAATTATTCTTATCACACAAATTCTCATATATAGGAGGAAGCAGGGAAGTTGAATTTTACCAAACACTTATTTTCTCACATTTTCAAATTCAAAAACTAGGCTGGTAATGTTAGCTATAGATTGTGCTTATGAATATTATTATAAATAAATGCTAAGATCCAACTGACTTTCTCATACGCACCACACACACCTGAAGGGTTCAAAGGAGCAAAATTGATTATTATAACTTCTCTCTCCAAGTCTATTCTAAGTGATGAATATCTACTCATCTGCCACTATTCAGCTTATAGTTCATATCTCCCATGATGTTTTTCTTTACCCACTGAGCTGACAAGTTCATCCTTGTGACCCTTCTATATCCTGCCTTGATCCTGACTCCATCGCAGAAGCCATAACATGCAGCTGATTTAGGGTTCATATGTCTATCTCTGCTAAACTATAAGCTCATAGGGGGCACGGACCAGACCTTATCTGATGCAATATTTCTAATACTTATTACAGTGCGTGGGACATTATAGGTGCTCAGTAAATGTTGAAAAAATGGGGGGGGAGGGGAGGAGTAAGGATCTTATATACAGTGAAATGCTAACCAAATGCTAGCAAGAGCTAGAGACCTGGCAGCTCTTGAATTTTCCAAGCGATATATTGTATGGAATCTGTTGAGAAGTGTTTCATACAGATGAGGAATGCCAATCCAGTCTTTCTCAGACAAAATGGAACCAAATCTTTACAAAGTTTTCTCTTTTTGGATCTCTCTCCCTCTCACACACACACACACACGCACACACACACACCCACAGAGAGAGAGAGAGAGAGAGAGAGAGAGAGAGAGAGGGAGAGAGAGAGAGAGAGAGAGAGACGGAATATTAAATCTCATCAGTTCGGCTCTACAGATGCTTGGTCTTTATGACAACCCAACCTGTGTATCCCATGCACTCCCCACCTCACTCCATATCGCCACCTGGTGCCCAAAAGCAAGAAAACTACCTAAAAAATGAAAACGATTTTTTTAAAGCTGATAAGTATCAGGACCTTGGAACCATAAACTGAAAGTTTAAAACAAAAACAAAAACATGTGCTTCTTGGCATAGACATCTGGTCACAGGCATATAAAGATTAAACACACAAATCTTCCTCAAAACTCACCCTTGTTTCCACTCACATCTTTATGAATGTTCTCAATTGTTGCAGCCCCATGGACTACCTTCCCACATAGATTCCATGATTTAAAACCTTTTCTACTAAATCAACTATATTTTGTCATTTGCATTAAGTAAATTCAAAATTGTCAGACTATGATATCATTTAGCCTGAGATAGCCAGGAATATTGTTCATTCATTGACTTATTCAGCTCTTTAATGAGTCCCTACTTTGTTCTAAGAACAGTACACAGCTCCACAGAAAGAGTCTCACTAAATTATTATCAATCCTGTCAAAAATCTTAAGTTCTTCTTTTGCTTATAGAGAGTAAACATACATTTTTATTAATCTTTTTGAAATAACAGAAAAAAAAATAAAGGTCCTCTATTACTGCCCAAAGAAGTTAGGGAATCTGAGATGGGGAACCAATGGATTAGAAAAGAGCATATTCTGATAGATTAAATACAACTTCAGATCAATAATTCCTGAAGAAAAAGTCTCAAATATCTATGTTTAGCTCAGTTAATCTTTCATCTCATTATCAATATGCTATTGATTTCTAATGTATATTGATAACAATTATATTGTCACAGAACTAAAAACCAAAAGATGCATAGCTAAAGAATAATATGAATTTCACTTGAACTTGAGTCAGCACAAAATTATCAAATAAGTTTCAGTACTGAAATTAGCAAGTATATAGTTAAGATATGGGAAGAAAAAAATGTCAGTCAGGAATTTCCTGTAAACAGTTCCCAGAACAAAGACAAACTCTTCAAGTGTCACAATTAAATGGGTGCAAAAATCAGTACAACATAGTAAAGTTTTATATGTTAAATATGCCCATTTATTTTACTTTGCAAGCATAGCAGTTTTATTATTTTGGTCTTATAATGTTTCGTCTATGAAACGATATAGTCAGCAGACTATAGGAGGTTTATTTAAATGTTTTTATTTAAATAAGTCAATATTCATACCTTTTAAACATAAAATTTTATTGGTAAATAAATTTCATAAATCTGTATAACCCTGAACATTCACCTGAAATTAATTTTCAAGGATATTAAAAGTTAGAAACTGTTGAAACATACCGGACAAAGCTATCTTTAAGAGTAAATTTTTAAAAATTCTATTACTTTTTCAAATGGATTGGTTAAATAAAAGCAATTTTTAAGAAAAATAGAAAAAAAATAGATACCTTAATTTTCTGCCTCAGTACAGTCCAGTTTCAGAAATATATATTAACACTATATAACATTACAGTTTTTGGACCCACTTTGTACTTGGAGTGTTAGTTTTCCTTACATTCTTATTTTATACTGCTTTCTGGGTCCAAAGTCAACAATGAGCTCCAGGATTTATTTCATCTCTCAAGATCTTTAGGGTAATAGAAAAATAATAATAATAGCAACTTTTGAGAAGTATGACAATGAATTTAGAGGTCACATAGCAAGTGAATAAATGTATGCCTACATGCTTGACTTCTAAATTATAGAGTAAGCAACACATTGCTTCTCAATCAAAATATTCTTGATGATTAGCTATTTCTCTTTCCCGGTCCTTCTCTTTCTCCTTTCTTTTTCCCCTTTTTCTCACCACAGAGCTTTTTGAATTGAGTAGAAGTATTTGGCCACTTGCTCTTTGACCCCGGTGTCTCCTGAGACTATATATTCATTTTGAGAATGAGTCCTTTTAGTTACCTAAAGTGTCCTCAGACTAAATTGTTTCCAGATGTTTACAAATATTTCAAGGATATATCCACACAGTTTTTATGGCTGAGTGATAACGGACTCCACAATGTCTGTTCAATTGTAAAATAAGAATCAAGCACATGCTATAAAATAACTTCCATGAAGCAGGGACTTGCTACACACGAGGCACAATGCTAACCATATCCTATACATTATCTTACTTAATGCTTACAAAAACCCTATAAAGGATGTATTATAATCCTCATTTTAGAGAAAAGGAAAGTGAGGCTCAGAGGGCGACTTCATAGAACAATTAAGTGACGGGAGAAGGGCGCTATATCAAGTCCATGTTCTTAGCCCTTGTGTCCTGCTGCTCTGTCGAAGCAAACGTCATCTACTGTTAGCTTAAGGCAGGAAAGAAAAGACAGAATTCACAAAAGTTGGGGAGCATCCCTGAGCATCCAAACAGATTGCCTTTAAGAGGCTAGAGAAGGAGACTTGTAGGCCAAGAGTTCTTGTTTAGTTTCAATAAATGCCTCCAATGGGCTTGTTCACCAAATATGCTTTCAACAGACTGTAAATGTGCAATGCAGACATTTTCTCATCGTTTAAAAACCAGCCTTCACAAATGGGGTTTTGGAAATTGCCTGTTTCGTGTTTATTTTGTTCTTCACTCACAACATTCTGACTTGTAAAGTTAAAAAAAAAAGAGAGAGAGAGAGAAATCCTAAATGGTCAAGATGACCTTTTTGTAAAAAGCTCTTCTTATCATAGAAATTTTGCTTTTTGTTTAACCTTGTGGTACTCTGAGGGTGGGGGGCTGGGGGAGGATGCTTAATTAGTAAGAAAACTTGAATGACGTGCATTTGGGATGGGACTGGAGAAGCGTCCAGTCAATTCTTGTTTATTCTAACTAATGGAGAGAGGCAAGGCATAACCATTTATAAGGCACTCAACCAATGTTATTATAGTTCTGTCTCCCACATTACATAGTTTCCTCATTTTTGTTTCATTTCCAAATGATTTTGAACCCTCAAAGTGTAGATTCTCTGATAAGGAAATAAAGAAACTCTGGAGTGTGCAAGTTAGAGAGAGGTGTCAACTATAGATTTTAAAAGAATACACCAAGTGGTAAATCCATATGCAGGCAATTAAAAGGTGACTCTGTTTGTTCTGGAAATATCTCTCATGGAATCGACTGCACAAGCCGCTGCAGCCGCCCGTCTCCTACCAATGCGAAATGTCATCTATTCATGCCACCTCCTTCTCTGTTCTCATCAAACAGCTACCCCCTAAGGCTAGAATTTGAATCAGTGTCAGAATTGCTGACCTTGGCAGGTCACATTTTTCTTAGACCCACTCCCCAAGGCTCTACACAACTCTCAGACTTTTGACCTTGCTGAAAACTATGGGATTATTGGAACAAGAAATTCTATTCCCCACGTCTCTTCCTTCCCTTCTGCTTCCCCTACGCCCCAGTGCTGCTGTAGCTCCTTTTAAAGAAAAGCTCGCTTATGAAGCACAGAGCTGCTTGCTCTTGCCCTCTTAGGTTTTTAGTCCTCTAAGCTAGCATTTTTTCCGAGCTGCCATTTTCCACTCACCAGACAGTATTTTTAAAAAATATCTGAAACGTAAATAGCAACTTGTTTTTTTTTTTTTTTTGTACCCTTAACTAAGGATCTATCAGGCTTTTTTTTAATGTAATGTTGTTTTAAATCATTTTTAAGTGAGCTTAATGCTGGTGAAAGGTGCCGGATTGACAGCCTTGGAGGCAGACGGTCTACATTTTAACTATAACAGAGTGAAGCAATATTGACTACAGCCAATGAAATTCACAAGCCTCACCCTTCAGTTCAGTCTCTTGTGGGAATGAACAGGTATATGTCCAATTGAATTTGCTTGTTTAGTGTTTATATTGTTCTTAACTCTCAATAGTCTGACTTGTAAAAAAAAAATCAATTACACTCAAGTTGCATTCACATGCTGCCTTGTGCACTCAAGGCCTGTCCTTATATACCCTTGCTAGATATGAAAAATCCACCCTCTGAATCCCTAGCAGCTTGTTACCCTCTTATTATATTAGAGCTTCATAGAGGTATTCATTAGACTTCAAACCATGTATAACTTTTCCTCCACATTGTGCCCTCTTCAGATCTCCATGATTAAAAAAAAAGAAAGAAAGAAAGAAAGAAATCAAGCAGGCATTACCGTTTTCATTTTACAGGTAGGTAATACAAGCCAAGAGTGGCAGAAATAGAGGCAGGATTGAAATCTAGATTTTCTGACTCCAAATTCCAAAATCTTTTAGTCTCCATCTATCAAAATGAATACTTTTTAAACTTTCAAGTTTGGATGACAGCACTTTCATTCTCAAATCATTTTCCCTCTAAATGTGTCTTGCAGATGGCCTAACAAATCCCCTAGCTCGAGTCAGCCTTCAGAGCACTGCCGGGTTGTTCCTGAGTCAGCTGCTAGCCCACACTTGAATCACCCTTTGACAAGACTTCCCAGGCTGTGGCCTCACCCACCTCACACAGTCCTTGGTGTCCTCCTGCGTCAGGAGGTGAGCAAGGATAATGGGTCCAGTCACAAATGGTGTCAACTGGCTTACTCTGACCCAATTTTCTTCTCCGTTCCTTATTTCAGATCATTAATAAAGACATTAGTGAAAGCTCAAAGAAGAGATAAACCTCAAATAAGCCTTGGTCCAAAACCAATATTTCAGCATCAGGAAAAATATTGATTAAATTTCCTGTGCCAAGAAATTAAAAAACTGGTAGGTTCTAAATTGTAATTTGGAAGTCAGATGACTGCCTTTCTTGTTCCAAGCTTCAGTTTACATGAAGTCTAGTTTTTCTTTTCAAGTACTAAACTTCTCTGCATGGTCTACCTAATCAATGGCATAACTCTAGGTTTATACTGATTATAACTTATCCTTTGCCAAATTATTTTTAAAATCATGAAAAATGTTGGAAAGCTCAAGATGCTGAGAAAAATGAGATAGTGAAGCATTTCTTAACTTTCTTCATGGTGCTACAAACTGCAGAATGCTTAAAGTATCTGAGTTCCAAATCTTTTTTTGTGTGTGTGAGATGGAGTCTCACTCTGTTGTCCAGGCTGGAATGCAGTGGCATGATCTTGGCTCACTGCAACCTCCGCCTCCTGGATTCAAGTGATTCTCCTGCCTCAGCCTCCTGAGTAGCTGGGATTACAGGCGTGTACCACCACACCCAGCTAATTTTTGTATTTTTAGT